>NC_000002.12:129989618-132489618 GCF_000001405.40 Homo sapiens
ACACAAGGCGGGGAACATCACACACCAGGGCCTGTCATGGGGTGGGGGGATGGGGGAGGGATAGCATTACGAGAAATACCTAATGTAAATGACGAGTTAATGGGTGCAGCAAACCAACACAGCACATGTATACATATGTAACAAACCTGCGCGTTGTGCACATGTACCCTAGAACTTAAAGTATAATAAAAAAAAGAAGATAGTATAATTCAAAGTACTTTCAAAAGGACATAGCGCTATACTGAGGTTAGAAAAAACAGTGTTCCCAAGCTGAGATCCTTCTGTGCACTTTGTAACCCTTGTTTACCCTGGCAGTTGCAATACTACCAATTTACCATTAAGAACATTCGGTATGTTTAAACTACAGTGGGAAAGCCAAGATATGAAACCATCACCCATGGGAATTTTGAGGCTAGAGTAATTAGAAGCTAATTTAAGATCTCCATTCAACTCTAGGACAGTCAGGGTAACTGCCAGAGAAGCTGCATGCTGGGTAAATCCTGATCCCAAAGTGGAATTTTGCCCTAGTACAATGGGTTGATATATGATTGGCTGCACTTAGCTATACATCCTGAGGAGGAAGAAGAGGAGGAGAAGGGGAAGGGGAAGAGGAAGAAGAAGAGGAAGAAAGAAGAAGAAGGAAGAGAAGGAGGAGGAGGGGGAGAAATGACATCAGAAAGTAATTGGGCTAGAAGAACTTTAATTTGGAAGCAAAATACAGAATTCAGGTGAGTGGGCTTACTGGGAAAGGGTCGTGCCACGTCGCTCCCACAGTGGAGGGCCTTATGATGGCGATGGTTACATTTCTGCTCTCCTGCTGCACCACCATTTCTCCCAAGGCCTTGCGGTAGGTGCAAGAATTGGGCAGATCTCTGATCAGCTTGGGTGTGATCTCGTCAATAACAGCGTTATCTAACCACCTAAAAAGTAGTCAGAGTAAAAAGAATTCTAGCAGCATATGTTAGACAATAGACCAAAAGGAAAATGTGACACACAAATAGTCAAAACAAAACTTCCACCTTTTAGCCTTGGTTCTGGAATTCAGAAGAGTCACACGATACCAAGTTTGTGTGCGTACCTGTTCAAAGCATGCATGAGCTCTTTGCTCTCCACTGCTAAGCCCAATCTCATCAGCCAAATCCTACGCCCTCCCATCTAGAGAGATAGGTAGGTAGACAGACCAATAGAATCAATAGCAATACCACTTTATTGTTACTACTAGTATAGGGCTATTAGTACTACTTGATTAGTATGACTTTAGCACTACTATTACTTTATCAATTACTTTATCAATATTGTTACTTTATCTGTAGTAGTGCTAATTTGAGGTAATTACATACAACCTCTTTACTTCCTCTCCAAGAAGCTCATAAATAAATTCATTGCATGCATTTTTGAGTCCCAGTCATTCTCTCAGTAGTGTGCTAGATGCTATATGTTCAGGGAGTTTGAGGCTCTCATCCAAGGTGTTTCAGTGGCAGCCCTGTTCAGTGTTGTCCCATAGAAACCAGTGCAGTGATCCTGAAGAGTTTAGCTTTACATTTTAAAAATTTCATTCAATGCAAATCAAACCAAAGTGACTATGGCAGACTGACAATCTCTTTTAGCAAATCTATGTAATGCATTTTGAAGGTCTGTTTAGAGTCTGGGCTAATAACTTGCTAATTATTTCCAGAGATTTCCAATGAATTCTGAAGTCTGTGAAGTGGGGTGATTATAGTACTCTGAAATTGCTTCAAAATCATGAATATTGAATTCTCCTACTTATAATATGACATGTATCATGAATAACTGAGTTACCATAGCATTTGCCTAATCTTTCTAAAAATATGTCAGAACTGGCCTGGCGGAGTGGCTCACACCTGTAATCCCAGCACTTTGGGAGGCCGAGGCGGGTGGATCTTGAGGTCAGGAAATTGAGACCATCCTGGCCAACATGGTGAAACCCCGTCTCTACTAAAAGTATAAAAATTAGCTGGGCGTGGTGGCACATGCCTGTAATCCCAGCTACTTGAGAGGCTGAAGCAGGAGAATCGCTTGAACCCAGGAGTCAGAGGTTGTAATCAGCCAAGATCGCACCACTGCTCACCAGCCTGGTGACACAGAGAGACTCCATCTCAAAGAAAAAAAAAAGAACCATTTGATAAACCCAAAGTGTATCTACACGTCTCTAAGAGAGCAAAAAATTATTGTCAATTAAATATGTAACATTTATTCTAACTGACAGATCTATGTGGTTAAATTATTGATATAGCATTTTAAAAATTAAGCTGCCATTCTAGCTGCTGTGTGATGGTATCTCACTGTGGTTTTGATTTGCATTTCTCTGATGGCCAGTGATGGTGAGCATTTTTTCGTGTGTCTGTTGGCTGCATAAATGTCTTCTTTTGAGAAGTGTCTGTTCATATCCTTTGCCCACTTTTTGTTGGGGTTGTTTGTTTTTTTCTTGTAAATTTGTTTAAGTTATTTGTAGATTCTGGATATTAGCCTTTTGTCAGATGGGTAGATTGCAAAAATGTTCTCCCATTCTGTAGGTTGCCTGTTCACTCTGACGGTAGTTTCTTTTGCTGTGCAGAAGCTCTTTAGTTTAATTAGATCCCATTTGTCTATTTTGGCTTTTGTTGCCATTGCTTGACATAGGAACGCTTTTACACTGTTGGTGGGAGTGTAAACTAGTTCAACCATTGTGGAAGACAGTGTGGCGATTCCTCAAGGATCTAGAACTAGAAATACCATTTGACCCAGCGATTCCATTACTGGGTATATACCCAAAGGATTATAAATCATGCTACTATAAAGACACATGCACAGGTATGTTTATTGCGGCACTATTCACAATAGCAAAAAGTTGGAACCAACGCAAATATCCATCAGCCATAGACTGGATTAAGAAAATGTGACACATGAGGCCAGCGCCGGCGGCGGCGGCAGCGGTGCTGGGGGCGCAGAGGGCCGCGCAAGCGGAACCGGGCGAGCACGCGAGCTACCGGAGAGCGGGCGGCCTTGCGGGAGGCGGCGGCGGCACCCCAGGCCAAGCCGGCGCGGGAGGAGTTCCAGGGCGATGGGGCCGCGGCCGGGCCTGATGCTTTGACAGCTGGAAAGAGCGCGGAGCCAGCGCCTGCTCGGGAGGGAGGGGAGCGCTGCTAGGAGAGCGCCAGCCAGCGAGAGAGGGAGGGAGCGCCTGGGAGGGGGCCGGGGGCGAGGGGCAGCTCGGGAGAGCGGGAGCGGTGGCGGCTGTGGGGAGGCTGGGCGCCCTCTTCCCTGCAAACCATGTTTGCCAAAGGCAAAGGCTCCTTGGTGCCCTCGGACGGGCAGGCTGGGGAAAAGTTAGCTTTATACGTCTACGAATATTTACTGCAGGTAGGAGCACAGAAATCTGCACAGACCTTCTTATCGGAGATTCGCTGGGAAAAAAACATCGCGTTGGGAGAACCGCCTGGGTTTTTGCACTCGTGGTGGTGTGTATTTTGGGACCTTTACTGTGCAGCTACTAAAAGGAGAGACACTTGTGAACATTCAAGTGAAGCAAAAGCCTTTCCTGATTCTAGTGCAGCAGCTGCCCTGAGCCCCGTGCTTGGCAACATTCCCCCCAACAATAGGATGCGGGGAGGCCGAGTCCCGCCAGGGTCCTCCGGGGTCACAGCCCTCGCCGCACGCACAGCCTCCACCTCACAATCCTAGCAGCATGATGGGACCCCACAGTCAGCCTTTCATGTCACCGCGATACGCAGGCGGCCCCAGGCCCCCCGATCAGAATGGGAAACCAGCCTCCGGGAGGAGTTCCTGGGACACAGCCATTGCTGCCCAATTCCATGGATCCCGCACGACAACAAGGCCATCCCCACATGGGAGGATCAATGCAGAGAATGAACCCTCCCCGAGGCATGGGGCCCACGGGTCCCAGCCCACAGAATTACGGCAGCGGCATGAGACCACCACGCAATTCCCTCGGCCCCCCATGCCCGGGATTAACATGGGCCCGGGAGCCGGCAGACCCTGGCCCAATCCTAACAGTGCTAACTCAATTCCATACTCCTCCTCATCACCTGGTACCTATGTGGGACCCCCTGGTGGTGGCGGCCCTCCAGGAACACCCACTATGCCCAGTCCCTCAGATTCAACAAATTCCAGCGACATCTACACAATGATTAATCCGGTGCCGCCTGGAGGCAGCCGGTCCAACTTCCCGATGGGTCCCGGCTCGGACGGTCGGATGGGCAGCATGGGCGGCATGGAGCCACACCACATGAACGGATTGTTAGGGTCAGGCGACATAGATGGCTTCCAAAAAATTCTCCTAACAACGTAAATAGTATTAGCAATCCTCCAGGCACCCCTCGAGATGACGGAGAGTTAGGAGGGAACTTCCTCCACTCCTTTCAGAATGACAATTATTCTCCAAGCATGACGATGAGTGTGTGATCCCCCCTTCTCCAAGACGCTGAGAGAGCCTGCATTGCAGGCGGGAAGATGCCAGAAATTATGCAAGAAGTGAGGTGTCATTATCCAGGAGCTGGTAGGGAGGGCATCTCCTGCTCCCCTCAAACCCTCCCACCCCATTCACTCCCACCTTTCCCAATTTTAGTTTCATGCAATAAAAAGGCTGAACTTTTTATTCCATAAAATAAAACAAAAAGAAAGAAAGAAAGAAAATGTGGCACATATACACCATGGAATACTATGCAGCCATAAAAAAGGATGAGTTTGTGTCCTTTGCAGGGACATGGATGAAGCTGGAAACCATCATTCTGAGCAAACTATCATAAGGACAGAAAACCAAACACCACATGTTCTCACTCATAGGTGGGAATTGAACAATGAGAACACTTGGACACAGGGCGGGGAACATCACACACAGGGGCCTGTCCTAGCGTGGAGGCTAGGGGAGGGATAGCATTAGGAGAAATACCTAATGTAAATGACGAGTAAATGGGTGCAGCAAACCAACATGGCACATATATACCTACGTAACAAACCTGCACGTTGTGCACATGTGCCCTAGAACTTAAAGTATAATAATAAAAAAATTAAGCTGCCAGAATATGCTAGTGTGATTTTTCTGACCAATGTGGTACATTTATTTCTATTTTATACAACAGAACATAACAATACTATTTTGATTGTAGAAAATCTTCACTGTTACCACCTTGCTGACATGACACATTTTTGAACAACTAAGATGTGCATGAGGTTAAGACTTATTCAGAATCACAACTCTCAGTATTAATGCCTCATTTCATCCTGGGGTAGAACATGGGCATTGACTATAATGTTTCCGTTTTTCTTGCTTTGCTTCTGAGTGCTGAGTGTCTTCTGGATACTCAAATGTCTTTTCATTTAAGTTGAATAGAGAAAGATTGAGGGGTTCTAGAATTAAAAACTTAAACTACATAGAAATATCAAGGATACTTTAATTATATGGTCACCTGGAGGCTGGGAAAAAGTGTAGGATGATGCAGACACCTCTCCGTCTTAACAATAATCCTACCTCATTTCATTTGTGGGTCAACAGCGGATTGACTGACCTGAGATCATTTTCCCTCAACTGCAAAAATATACAGTTTATAAAAACCAGGTCTTCAGAAAATAGAGCTTAATATCAATAAGGCTGTAAAGAAAAAATTCCTAGAAAACATCAGAGCCCAACAATGTGCTGGGATTGTATGTCACAAGGCTAGTACCAGTTGCGGTCATTAATGTTGGGGTACCTGGAAAGGACAATACTTGGGGGGATGGGGGCCTTATAAAGCTTAGTAGGTTTGCTTGTCTTAGAAAATGTTGTTTTTGGTTGTTGTTGTTTTGGTTTGGTTTGGTTTATTTGGTTTTTTTTTTTTTTTTTTTTTTGAGAAGGAGTCTCGCTCTTTTCCCCCAGGCTGGAGTGCAATGGTGTGATCTCGGCTCACTGCAACCTCTGCCTCCCAGGTTCAAGCAATTCTCCTGCCTCAGCCTTCTGAGTAGCTGGGATTATAGGTGCCTGCCACCACGCCTGGCTAATCTTTGTACTTTTAGTAGACACGGGGTTTCACCATGTTGGCCAGGCTAGTCTCAAACTACTGACCACAGGTGATCCACCCGTCTCAGCCTCCCAAAGTGCTGGGATTTCAGGCATGAGAAAATGTTGGTAACATGCATGCAAGAAATTTTAATATTCTATAGATGGCTTGCCTCTGCTGTTCTTACTTACACCTGTGTTCCACTGTTTTATCTTCTCATTCCAATTTTACTTGTGAAAATAGCAATAATTATATTCATTCTAAATTCTCAGGCTATTATGAGGGTAAACAAAAATATTCACAACTGCATTTAAGATCTTTGATAAAACAAAATGAGCCAAAAACCTAAGGCATTCCTATTTTGAAACAAAACAACAAGGGAGCATCATACATCTGTGTAGGTAATAGTTGGTTTTAAAATGTCATTTCTGGCCAGGTGTGGTGGCTCAAACCTATAATCCCAGCACTTTGAGAGGCCAAGGAAGGAGGATCGCTTGAGTCCAGGAGTTTGAGACCAGCCTGGGCAACATAATAAGACCCTGTCTCTACAAAAAAAGTTTTTAAAACTTAGCTGGGCATGGTGGCATGCACCTGTAGTCCTACTCAGGAGGCTGAGGCAGGAGGATTGCTTGAGCCTTGGAGTTGAAGGCTGCAGTGAGCTGTGATTCTGCCACCCTACTCTAGCCTGGGTGAAAGAGCAAGACCCTGTCTCAAAATAAATGAATGAATGAATGAATGAATTAATTAATTAATAAAACAAATAAAAATAAATTATTATTTATAATACAGCCAAAGAGACCATCTGCTAGCTCATTCAGCCAGTTCCTAGGTTCAGACAGGAGATTATGTAAACACGCACATGCACCGATTGGGCAAAGCCTTTCTCAGGACTTTCACTCAATTCAGGGTTGCTGCTGTTGTTTGTTCTCAGTATGTTTTTAAACAGTAAATAAGTTACCATGGATAAAAAACACTATATAAACCAAAATACATGTCTGAAATTAATCCAAATGTTCTTCAGTATACTCAAGAAGATGTTTTGACCCATGGGTCTCAAATTCTAAACTCGAATTGCTTCAGAAGAAGCATAAAGTCATTGAAAATTTCAGAAAGCAATATGTATATGTCTATGTGTGTACATGCATAGACACATACACAATTTCTTCTAAAGATTACTATCAATTTTGGGGTTTCAAACTTATTGAATCAACATGATTATATCATTAATAGTTTCATTATTTATGTATTTATGGAATGAAATACTAAGAAGCATATGTATTTCCCCTCCCCTGACCCTCCAATTTTCTTATTCAACAAGTTGGCAAGCCTAGTGGTTTATGAGGAAATCTGTTAGAGAGTAAGTAGTGGACACACTGTCTTATGATAACATTTGTTATCTCTTTCTCTAGTCTAAATTATATAATTCACTTGATTGTTTTAGTTATCAAGTTGTATTTGTTCATCTATCTGTCTCCCCACTGGACAGTGAGTCCAGGAGAGCAGGGATTATGATTTTTATCTCTGTGTCCAATCACTTTTCTGCCCCGAGGAGCCAGCTGCCTTATTCAGTAAATGGATGCTCTTCCACATGGTAATCTTAATTGGTCAATTTCTGTTCTATATAAGGTTTTGGGAAACAAAGATGGACAAATAATGAGACAGAGTGGATGAAAGGAAGATGAGGTTATAGGGAGAATGTGAGAAAGGAAGGAAGGGGGTATCTTCACAGAGCAGGAAGCAAAATTGGAAGTCAAAGTGTGCAGTTGCAGTGGTGGAAAGTGTTGACCAACCTCGGTTTGGTGAAGGTGGCGTCAAATCAATTTAAACTTTTCACGGGGAAGCAGGGTATTTCTGAGCCTAATGGTTATGGAGAATTGGCCTCTGTATTTCCCTCCAGACTTTCACGGACTACTCAGCCTAGAGCAAACATGATCCAGATGCCGAATGGACTGCCAATGTGAAAATTATTTGATTTGATTAAGAAACAATTTAATCTTACTCTGGTTTGTATTTAAAGCCTGCTAATATCAAAGCACACAGAATTTTCATTTTTATATCAGCAACTTAGATGCCATTTAGAAGCTGTGCCATCCTGAAATTAAAAGCACAAGTTGTAGAGTCAGCTTTCCCCATTCCCTTAGAAGAGATCAGCTTTTTTGGTGTTAACAATGTGTTCTATAGCAGGAAGGCAAGACTACTGTCCAACGTCTGACCTCCTTTCATATCTCCTGGAGGACTGTGATGAGGGCCACTGCTGCTGGCTGTGGGGGTCTCCATTCCCCTGCCTGTCACCTCTGCACCCTCAGTGCACACACAACCTTTCCTTTTTTACATGGCAGACTAGCTGTGTCTTCTGGTGGCCACGTAGATTCAGAAGTGTGGGTTTTAGTAGGTACAGATCTACTAGGAACTTCCATTCAATTAAAGTTTCTAAGAACTGAAAGACAACAGGAGGTGAGGAAGGCAGGAGAAAGAGGAAGCATGGGGTATTAGAAGATAAGTGATCCTCATTTCAAATGAAGACTGCTTAATGAAAAATCTCTTTAAGGCACTATTTCCCAAACTTGCCTGTTCACCAATGTGAATTACACAAGGCCCCTGGGAAAAATCCAGACTCCTGGGTGCCATTTTAGAACCACTAAATACATCTGCAGAGGTAAGAGCCTGGATAATCTGTATTTTCAGTATGCCCTGGAAATTCCAGCAGTCAGGCAAATTAGGGAATCCCTAATTTAAAGAAGTCCACTCCATCAACTTAAGTCATTAAGATTTGAATAGATCAGGATTAGCTCTCAAAAACGCATTGCTTCTTGAGTAAACATTTCAACAGCATTGAATTTTAAAAGAATTAAATCCCCTGAGGGTGGAGCCAAGATGGCCGAATATGAAGAGCTCCGGTCTACAGCTCCCAGCGTGAGCGATGCAGAAGATGGGTGATTTCTGCATTTCCATCTGAGGTACCGGGTTCATCTCACTAGGGAGTGCCAGACAGTGGGTGCAGGACAGTGGGTGCAGCACACTGTGCATGACCCAAAGCAGGGCGAGGGATTGCCTCACTCAAGAAGCGCAAGGGGTCAGGGAGTTCCCTTTCCTAGTCAAAGAAAGGGGTGACAGACAGCACCTGGAAAATTGGGTCACTCCCACCCTAATACTGCGCTTTTCCAACAGGCTCAAAAATTGCACACCAGGAGATTATATCCCGCACATGGCTTGGAGGGTCCTACGCCCACAGAGTCTGGCTGATTGCTAGCACAGTAGTCTGAGATCAAACTGCAAGGCAGCAGCGAGGCTGGGGGAGAGGCGCCTGCCATTGCCCAGGCTTGATTAGGTAAACAAAGTGGCAGGGAAGCTCAAACGGGGTGGAGCCCACCACAGCTCAAGGAGGCCTGCCTGCCTCTGTAGGCTCCACCTCTGGGGGCGGGGTACAGACAAACAAAAAGACAGCAGTAACCTCTGAAGACTTAAATGTCCCTGTCTGACAGCTTTGAAGAGAGTAGTGGTTCTCCCAGCACACAGCTGGAGATCTGAGAACAGGCAGACTGCCTCCTCAAGTGGGTCCTTGACCCCCAAGCAGCCTAACTGGGAGGCACCCCCCAGTAGGGGCAGACTGACACCTCACACGGCCGGGTACTTCTCTGAGATAAGACTTCCAGAGGGACAATCAGGCAGCAGCATTTGCGGTTCACCAAGATCCGCTGTTCTACAGCCACTGCTCTTCTACAGCCACCACTGTTCTGCAGTCACTGCTGCTGATACCCAGGCAAACAGGGTCTGGAGTGGACTTCTAGCAAACTCCAACAGACCTGCAGCTGAGGGTCCTGTCTGTTAGAAGGAAAACTAACAAACAGAAAGGACATCCACACCAAAAACCCTTCTGTACATCACCATCATCAAGGACCAAAAGTAGATAAAACCACAAAGACAGGGAAAAAACAGCAGAAAAACTGGAAACTCTAAAAAGCAGAGCACCTCTCCTCCTCCAAAGGAATGCAGCTCCTCACCAGCAACGGAACAAAGCTGGATGGAGAATGACTTTGACAAGCTGAGAGAAGAAGGCTTCAGACAATCAAACTACTCCAAGCTACAGGAGGAAATTCAAACCAATGGCAAAGAAGTTAAAAACTGTGAAAAAAAATTAGACAAATCGATAACTAGAATAACCAATGCAGAGAAGTCCTTAAAGGAGCTGATGGAGCTGAAAGTCAAGGCTCGAGAACTACGTGAAGAATGCAGAAGCCTCAGGAGCCGATGCGATCAGCTGGAATAAAGGGTATCAGTGATGGAAGACAAAATGAATGAAATGAAGCGAGAAGGGAAGTTTAGAGAAAAAAGAATAAAAAAACAAACAAAACCTCTAAGAAATATTGGACTATGTGAAAAGACCAAATCTACATCTGATTGGTGTACCTGAAAGTGACGGGGAGAATGGAACCAAGTTGGAAAACACTCTGCAGGATATTATCCAGGAGAACTTCCCCAATCTAGCAAGGCAGGCCAACATTCAGATTCAGGAAATACAGAGAATGCCACAAAGATACTCCTCGAGCAGAGCAACTCCCAGACACATAATTGTCAGATTCACCAAAGTTGAAATGGAGGAAAAAATGTTAAGGGCACCCAGAGAGAAAGGTTGGGTTACCCACAAAGGGAAGCCCATCAGACTAACAGTGGGTCTCTCGGCAGAAACTCTACAAGCCAGAAGAGAGTGGAGGCCAATATTCAACATTCTTAAAGAAAAGAATTTTCGACCCAGAATTTCATATCCAGCCAAACTAAGCTTCATAAGTGAAGGAGAAATAAAATCCTTTAAAGACAAGCAAATGCTGAGAGATTTTGTCACTATCAGGCTTGCCCTAAAAGAGCTCCTGAAGGAAGCACTAAACATGGAAAGGAAGAACTGGTACCAGCCACTGCAAAAACATTCCAAAATGTAAAGACCATCAAGGCTGGGAAGAAACTGCATCAACTAACGAGCAAAATAACCAGCTAACATCATAATGACAGGACCAAATACACATATAACAATATTAACTTTAAATGTAAATGGGCTAAATGCTCCAATTAAAAGACACAGACTGGCAAATTGGATAAAGAGTCAAGACCCATCAGTGTGCTGTATTCAGGAAACCCATCTCACATGCAGAGACACACATAGGCTCAAAATAAAGGGATGGAGGAAGATCTACCAAGCAAATGGAAAACAAAAATGGGCAGGAGTTGCAATCCTAGTCTTTGATAAAACAGACTTTAAACCAACAAAGATCAAAAGAGACAAAGAAGGCCATTACATAATGGTAAAGGGATCAATTCAACAAGAAGAGCTAACTATCCTAAATATATCTGCACTCAATACAGGAGCACCCAGATTCATAAAGCAAGTCCTTAGTGATCTACAAAGAGATGTAGAATCCCACACAATAATAATGGGAGACTTTAACACCCCACTGTCAACATTAGACAGATCAATGAGACAGAAAGTTAAGAAGGATACCCAGGAATTGAACTCAGCTCTGCACCAAGCGGATCTAATAGACATCTACAGAACTCTATACCCCAAATCAACAGAATATACATTTTTTTCAGCACCACACCACACCTATTCCAAAATTGACCACATAGTTAGAAGTAAAGCACTCCTCAGCAAATGTAGAAGAACAGAAATTATAACAAACTGTCTCTCAGACCACAGTGCAATCAAACTAGAACTCAGCATTAAGAAACTCACTCAAAACCACTCAACTACATGGAAACTGAACAACCTGCTCCTGAATGACTACTGAGTACATAACGAAATGAAGGCAGAAATAAAGATGTTCTTGAAACCAAGGAGAACAAAGACACAACATACCAGAATCTCTGGGACACATTCAAAGCAGTGTGTAGAGGGAAATTTATAGCACTAAATGCCCACGAGAGAAAGCAGGAAAGATCCAGAATTGACACCCTAAAGTCACAATTAAAAGAACTAGATAAGCAAGAGCAAACACATTCAAAAGCTAGCAGAAGGCAAGAAATAACTAAAATCAGAGCAGAACTGAAGGAAATAGAGACACAAAAAACCCTTCAAAAAATTAATGAATCCAGGAGCTGGTTTTTCTAAAAGATCAACAAAATTGACAGACCGCTAGCAAGACTAATAAAGAAGAAAAGAGACAAGAATCAAATAGACACAATAGTCATTGATATTTTGATAAGGATTGCATTGAATCTGTAGATTGCTTTGGGTGGTAGTATCTACATTTTATCAATATTGATTCTTCCAATCCATGAACCTGAAATACTTTTCCAGTTTTTGGTGTCCTATTCAATTTCTTTCATCAGTGTATTATAGTTTTTATTATAGAAATCTTTCACTTCTTTGGTCAAGTTAATTCCTAGGTATTTAACTCTATGTGTGGCTATTTTAAAGGGTGTTACTTTAAAAAAAATTCTTTTTAATGTCCTTGATTCTTGTTCACTGAAAAGACTCAAATTTTGCTTATTGAATTAAAATTAATTCTTGTAAGAACAGTAACAGAACTATTACTACAATAGAATGGAAGCCTGATTCTTGAAGTTTGTATGACTGTGATGAGAGTTCGCAGGTAGCAACTGCTAAATGAGGACACAAAGCGTTCCCTAAATCCTCTGTATTAACTGCCAATGAGAGCTTCATTTCTCCCATCTTTATAGCAGACCCTCTATTTTTATAATAATGACAAGACTGAAGGGACAAGATGAAATGGTGCAAATGGATCCTGGATAAGCGCCAGTTCTTCTAAAAGGTTTTTTATTTTTGCTAATGTGAAAGATTAAATTTAGAAAAATATGAAGTCAAAATGAATAAATAAAAAACATAATTTCAAAAATTTCATTGAAAGCCCATCAATTAAGAACAATATAATTAGTTTAAAATCTAAGAGCTTATCTTGTTTCTTCCCATTGCATAAACTTATTTTCTCTACTTGACAGCATAAGACTGAGAAGGTAAAGAGTTGAATAACTGCTAACCATCATCAAAACTCAAGCAGAGGGATTGTTTTTTAACCATTTTAGGAAACCTTGTTCTTGACACATTTATGTGATCACTGAAAGATACAGCTGAAAGGTGATCTAAGCATTTCAAATTATAACAAAACTATACATTTCTCTTGGAAACTGACAGTGTTCCATTGATTTTCCATTACACAGGCAAGTATTCTGTGTCTTAATTTGTTTTTAAACATGAGATACTATTCAAATTATATGAACAGTTACTTGTAGCCCAGAGGCAAGAGAGAAACTGCAAACTCTAAGTAAGGAAATTCAGCAGATGAGAAAAACAGAAAGAGAAATTCTTTGGTTTAAATAAACTCCTTGCGGGCCAGGTGTGGTGGCTCACGCCTGTAATCCCAGCACTTTGAGAGGCTGAGGTGGGAGGATCACAAGGTCAGGAGTTTGAGACCAGCTTGGCCAACAAAGTGAAACCCAGTATCTACTAAAAATACAAAAATTAGCCAGGCATGGTGGCACATGCCTGTAATTCCAGCTACTTGGGAGGCTGAGGCAGGAGAATCGCTCAAACCCAGGAGGTGGAGGTTGCAGTGAGCCAAGATTATGCCACTGCACTCCAGCTTGGGCAACAGAGTGAGACTTCATCTCAAAAAAATTAAATAAATAAAATAAAAAATAAAAAAATGAACTCCTCATGTGTGACTTCTGTAGTCAGACACTAACACTGTATTTTTATTAGAAGCAGGAATTGGGGTGGGGGCATTAAATTTATATGATGTTTTTGAAACAATTCAGAGGCCTTTAATGTGGTCTCTTACAATCAACAAGTTAGCCACATGACCTCATTTTGGAAATATCCACAGGAGATTTGGCCTGTAATTCCTTGGGCTCACTGAAGGTAATCAAATCTTTTCCAGTCATAAGAATCTTTGATCTTTAATTATTTTACTAAGTCTTGCTCTTCAAAAATAACTGTATTATTTAGTCCCATTAACCCACCAAGACCTGCTTTACATATATATGTAAAAGAAATTATATATATATATATATATATATATATATATATATATATATATATATATATATGTATGTATATGTATATTTGTCAAAGAAAAGAGTAAGGTCCCTTAAACTAAGGGGCAGTCTCTGTGGAATATTTGGTGTCCCAAGGTGAAAGAGACACTGTAACGTTTTATAGAAAATTTGTAGAGTGCTGAGTAAAAGCAAATAAATGAATTCTACAAATTAGCTCTAAGTTGAGAACAATTAAACACAAATAAGTACATTCTAATTTAAGCAAAAACCATTATACCCAATGTACAGATTAACAAAAATTCACAAAATGTTAAAATTTTTGCTAGTTCACTAGTAACTCCCATAAGATGTAAAGATTAGTCTACATGTTTTTAATGTTTTAGCAAAGGATCATTTCTATAACTCCATAAGGCAGCATGGTATAGTAGTATGGCCGTCAAACTTCGGCATATAGCAGGGTTGCCTAGGAAGTTGCTCAAACAAACATATGTCCTGACCCTGGAGATTCTCATTCAGCAGTTATTGGTCAAAGCTTGGGCATTTAGCTTTACTTTGAACACACTCTCTGGTAATTCTGATACACTCTGTAGTTGAGAACCATCGGTGTATTGGAAAGAACTCAGGCCCTTTGGAGTCATGAAAGACTGGATTTGAATTCTGATTCTGCCATTTATTTGCTATGTGACTGGGGCAAGTTATTTACCTCTCTGCACCATCATGTCTAAAATGCCAATCATGTGACTAACTTATCACGTGATCGCAGAGAAGTAGGATTAAGCACATATTATGCTGTTCTTATAGACAATTTTGCATTTAACAAAATTTTACTTCACTTTGCGTAATAATCTATAATAAATGCTAAATGCAGCACAATGTTTGATTCACCATCTTGTTATGCTTTCTTCCCACACCAAAGGTCAATTTCACAGAGTTCTTTAATAATTCTTTCTTGCAGCTGGGCAGGAATGGAACCAGGGTGGCTAGGAAGTTGAACAACCTTAAGATTATTTCTGCTCTCCAACAGAATTGGTGGTGTCTCTACATTATTCATGCTAGATGATGGAAGAAGTGTTGATACTAAGAAGTGACAAGCAATAGTTTCCCCTTCTTCATGATATTGTCATGGAGGAAGAAATTTCCTAGGAGAGGCAATAAACTACAGTAGAGAAAGTATGGGCTTTAGAGATTAGAGACCGGCATTCCAATTTTGTATATAACTGGGCATAAATTACATAACCTTGGATAGAGGACAGCTTTCATGAACTAATATCTCATCTGTGATATAGGAATGGGCACACTACAGAGATTTCTGAGGATTAGAGTAATGAAGTCAGATGTTTGTCTTAGTGCCTACCACATTGTAGGTCCCTAATAACAGGAAAATCCCCTTTCTACTTTCACAGCAGTACTCCATTTCCAAAAGCTGCTGATCAGAAAGCTGTGTCGTGTGTGTGTGTGTGTGTGTGTGTGTGTGTGTGTGTGTATGTGTGTGTTGGGCCATGCCAAGTTTTCCAATTCTATCCTGTGATCCAGAGTGTATGCCAAAATCATGTTGAACCTCGTGGCTTTTGAATAAAATAACTATGGGAAATTTGAAGCTTTTAAGAAAAAGATGGTGTGATTGGAAGAGATTTTTAAGAAAAGGAAAGAAGCTGGACATGTAAAACCATGCTGGTGATTGAATTAATTAGTGAATGATAGTGTGAAAGAAGGTAAGAAAGAAATTGAGAAAATAAATTGCTTCTATTTCTGGAACTGTTAGTGTATCCCCAGGACTACATTTCTTTCTTTCCTCCTTCTTCCTTCCTTTCTCCTTCCTTCCTTCCTCCCTCCCCCCCTTCCTTCCTTCCCCTGTAACTGGCCCACAGGGGAGAGGTTGAACATGCTTCAGCTGATCTGACTTGAGTAACAGGAAAACTGAAAACTAGTTACACTAGAGGCCTCTTGCTTTTTGTGGGATAATTTCTCAGGAAAAATTAAAAAAAAAAGTAATGAACACAATTGGCTTTGGAAGTTTCAATGCAAATATTTATAATTTTGGAAGTTTCCAAATGCCTTTCCAAATGTTCCCAATTGCCTTTGCCTTATATAGAGATTTAACAGAATCATTAATGTCAATCAGAAACTCATTTTTGAAAGTTGAGAAAAAGCAGCTTTCACACAGGGAAGCCTGGGGCAAGCATAAACACATTACTTTTCTTTCCTACAAAAGAGTCTAAAAATTATCAAGGAACTCGTAAAATAAAATTAGCACTTCTATTGTGTGCTTCTTTAATAATCAACAATGTTGCTCGCAGTCCCAGCGCTCCGAACGACGGTGCCTCCGGTTGACAGCAACCTGAGCGGACCCGCGCCTAGGCCCTCCGCCAGGCCTGCGCTGCCTCGCCCCGGGAGAGGAAGACTGAGCCCGGCTCAGGCGGCTGGAGCGCGCGGGCCCGTTTCCTTTCAGCGATCAGTCCCCTGGCGTCCCAGCAGCGCCTTCCCCGCGATCGCGCGTCCCCAGCGCACGTCGCGGCTGCCAGCTGCTGCCCTGACCGCCGGCCCAGACGTGCCCGCGGACGCCGCTGACAGCGCCTGTGCCATGGGGCTGCCTACTCTGGAGTTCAGCGATTCCTACTTGGACAGCCCGGATTTCAGGGAGCGCTTGCAGTGTCAGGAGATTGAACTGGAGCGAACCAACAAGTTCATCAAGGAGCTCATTAAGGAGGGCTCTCCGCTCACTGGGGCGTTGAGGACAGGTAATGTTGATTGCCTACCCAGTTCCCTTACCCTTTCACCCTTTCCAAAGGAACACACCTCTACCCAGGTTGGGGATCTGTCTATGGCAGTGCAGAAATTTTCCCAGTCATTACAAGATTTCCAATTTGAATGTATTGATAATGCTCAAACAGATGATGAAATTAGTATTACTCAGTCACTAAAAGAATTTGCAAGGCTACTCATTGCAGTAGAAGAAGAAAGGCGAAGACTGATCCAAAACGCTAATGATGTATTAATTGCACCACTTGAGAAATTTCGAAAAGAACAGATTGGTGCAGCAAAAGGTGGAAAGAAGTTTGACAAAGAGTGAAAAATATTACTCTATCCTTGAAAAGCATTTAAATTTATCTGCAAAGAAAAAGGAGTCTCATTTGCAAGAGGCAGATACACAAATTGATCGAGCACATCAGAACTTCTATGAAGCATCATTAGAATGTCTTTAAATGGCTCACGCCTGTAATCCCAGCACTCTGGGAGGCCGAGGCGGGTGGATCACCTGAGGTCAGGAGTTCGAGACCAGCCTGACCAACATGGAGAAATCCCGTCTCTACTAAAAATACAAAATTAGCCAGGTGTGGTGGCACATGCCTGTAAAGCCAGCTACTCGGGAGGCTGAGGCAGGAGAATCGCTTGGACCCAGGAGGCAGAGGTTGCAGTGAGCCAAGGCTATGCCATTGCACTCCAGCCTGGGCAACAAGAGCAAAACTCCGTCTCAAAATAAATGAATAAACAAATAAATAAAAATAAATAAAAGAAAAAAGAATGTCTTTAAAATTCAAGCGGTTCAAGAAAAAAAGTTTGAATTTGTTGAACCGCTTTTGTCATTTCTTCAGGGTTTATTTACTTTTTTACCATGAGGGATATGAACTTGCCCAGGATTTGCACCGCATAAGCAACAGCTGCAGTTCGACTTGCAGAATACAAGGAATAATTTTGAAAGTACTCGACAAGACGTAGAGGGGTTGATGCAGAGGATGAAATCTGCCAACCAGGACTACAGACCACCCAGCCAGTGGACGATGGAAGGCTATCCGTATGTCCAGGAGAAACGACCGCTTGGTTTTATGTGGATTAAACAGCCTTGTTACTAGCTCACCGGAAATGTTCAAAATCTTGTATCCGACGAAAGACAGATTCAATTGACAACCACTTCTGCTTCGACATACAAGTAGTTGAAAGGCATGGGATCATCACATTACAGGCCTTCTCAGACGCTAATAGGAAACTCTGGCTTGAAGCCATGGATGGGAAGGAAACGATTTATACTCTGCCTGACATTATAAGCAAGAAAGAAGAAAGGTATTTGAATGAAGCAGGGTTCAATTTTGTGAGAAACTGCATTCAAGCTGTGGAAACAAGCAGTATCACCGTTTTAGGCCTCTACTGAATAGGAGGAGTGAACTCCAAAGTTCAAAAACTTGTGAATATCATATTTTCTCCTAAATCCCCTCCTGATATTGATATTGAACTGTGGGACAATAAGACAATGAGTGGGCTGAAAAACTACCTCAGGTGCTTTGCAGCACCACTGATGACTTACAAGTTACACAAAGATTTGTATCATTGCTGTTAAATCTGATGACCAAAACTACAGGGTGGAGGCTGTACATGCATTGGTGTGCAAATTGCCAGAGAAAAACAGAGAGATGCTGGACATCTTAATAAAACATCTGGTCAAAGTATCACTGCACAGCCAACAAAATCTCATGACTGTCTCAAATCTTGGTGTCATATTTGGCCCAACTCTAATGAGAGCACAAGAATAAACTGTAGCTGCTATGGTGAATATTAAATTTCAGAATATTGTGTTAGAAATTCTTACAGAGCACGATGAAACGATTTTTCATACTGCTCCAGACCCAAGCACTCCTCTTCCTCAGCCTCAGTCTCGATCTGGATCCCAAAAGACACAAGCAATCTGCCTCTCTACAGGCTCTAGGAAGTCCAGAGGGACGGGTACTCCATGCCTGGCTGAACCTGATAGTGACTCCTACAGCAGCAGCCCAGACAGCACCCCCATGGGGAGCAACAAGTCACTCTCTTCTCTTTCCTCAGAACAAAATAGCACTACAAAGTCAGCTTCCTGCCAGCCCAGGGAGAAATCTGGAGGGATTCCTTGGATTGCAACCCCGTCATCTTCCCATGGACAGAAAAGCCTTGGTCTCTGGACAACCAGTCCTGAATCAATTTCTAGAGAAGATGCAACAAAGACAGATGCAGAATCAGATTGCCAGAGTGTTGTTTCGGTCACTAGCCCAGGGGATGTTTCCCCACCCATAGACCTAGTCAAGAAAGGGCCTTATGGACTTTCAGGACTGAAAAGAGCTTCTGCTTCTTCTCTCAGATCCATCTCTGCAGCTGAAGGAAACACCAGCTACAGTGGATATATTCAAAGCTTAGCTTCTGTAGGTTCCAAGGAGACACCCAAAGCTTCAAACCCAGACCTGCCTCCAAAAATGTGCAGGAGGTTAAGACTAGACACCGCCTCAAGCAATGGCTATCAGCGTCCTGGCTCAGTAGTGGCAGCAAAAGCTCAACTGTTTGAAAATGTTGGTTCACCTAAGCCAGTTTCTTCTGGGCACCAAGCCAAAGCCATGTACTCCTGTAAAGCAGAGCACAGCATGAGTTTTCCTTCCCACAAGGAGTGATATTTTCCAGCGTGGCCCATCAGTGGAACCAGGATGGTTAAAGGCAACTTATGAAGGCAAAACGGGACTAGTTCCAGAAAATTATGTTGTCTTCCTCTACTACTATTTAGTGGATGGCAGTATCTTCATGGTATCCATGGTAACAAATAATAAGTGCTATGATTTTATCTGACACAGATACAAGGGGATCAGCCCACTAACTGAAAACAGTCAATTTCTATCAAGTTCTTCACCAGCAGACTATGTAGCTCCTTATTAATGGAAAAAAAAGGTTTAAAAGGTTGGCCATTCTTTTTTGGTTGGTTTATTTTAAAATTTCTTGTTTCTGAAAAATTTATTTTTGGATAATACGTAACTCTCCAGAATGTCTCTTCCATAGCAATTGTAGAGTTTCAAATACCGTATTAAGTACTATCTCCCAGAAATTTGGAAACCAGAAATCTGCTGTATGGATTTTGAGATGCGTCCTTTACTGCCTGGCATTCTCTGAGGATCTGTGAAACTGTTACTTAAAAATGTTACTGAAAAGCTAGTTACCTGCCCTTTGAGTGCCACAGTCCTGACCTGCTTGTTCTTGACACCTTACATATTACTTCAGAGTTCCCCACTGTGCAGACTCTCAGGTATTAACTGTATAAAACTCTTTACATGCTATTATAATCTGTAATCTCGATCTCTTCTACTATTTCTCTTCTACTATCTTTTCTACTGTTTCTAGAATAGGTTAAATACACATATACACCACAACTATGCCTCAGAAAAGTTATGCTTTTACAAATAAAAAGAATAGATTAGAATTAACAAGTAGGGTGAATAACAGTAGGCAGAGTCAGAATCAGAAATAAATATCAGGGGATCAAAATAAGAGAATGAAAAATATTCTGTAATAAAAATTAGCAATGTAATGTAAAAGTCTGATAAAAGATTATCTTTTTCTTTTACCTCTTTCTGTTGACCTCTGTACACTGTAATAAGGTGTTGCTGGATGGAACTTCTTGGTCTAGGTCCTTGGAGATCTTAGTAGTAATAACAGCATTCCTGACACTCTAATTACCCTCGGCTGAAACAGAAGGTAGTCTTTCAATGTACCAATCCCTTAGTCTATACTTGGTTTAAACACACTTGCCATCATCTGGTATCCTGCTAGATTAGAACCTCTTAAAAGCAAATTGGTTTTCTTTCAAAGACCAACTTGACTCCAAAGAGAGATACAGAATCCTACTTCTGCTGCTGCATAAAGAAATCTCAACCTTCATTTTACTTGAACACAGACCAAAGTGTTCCTGCTTCTGAGTTGTCTGTGAGCTAGTTCTATGGATGTTCCATTCAGATTTAAAGCTTTTTTATTGCACAGGACGTGGATATGAAGCCTAACTCTTGTATCTGATGGCAAGGCATATGTTGTAGCCACAGTGCTGGCGATGGTCCCTTTGCTGAAAGAAGCTACAGAAGCACTGATTCAAGCTGTGTTTGTGCTAGGAGTTTTAATCTTGTAGATTTGTGAGGATGGCTCTTTTTCCTTCATAATAGATTACATGTATAAGCAAGTCAGGGCCATGTACTGGAGACAGGCTAAAGCTGCTTTTCCCTTAAAGAAAGTTTCCTACAGACAAGGTATTTATGAGCATTGAGAAAGTCGGGACACGTACTCTAAATCACACAGAATGTTAATTCCACAGGAAGGCAATGCCAGACATTGGAAGAGGATCACATTCGACTTCTAATAGTAGTTCAATAACAAAACCTTAGCTTTTCAGAAACAATGTTGATACATTAGAATTGCCACATCCATACCTTCAAAACATGCAATGTGTGCACCCCAATCACTGCTTACAGTATAATCAGTATGACGATGAGATTGAGGGGGTCTAAATTTATCATCTCCTGTGTTATGTGAAAATATCCCTCAGTACAAAACATTTGTGTATTTCACAGATGACTCTTGTTTTGCCATAACGCTACAAAGTTTATGGAAACTAGTCAACTGAAGGATTTTTCTGTTGTGTGATATGTAAAGGTCTGAATAGTACAATCATCTTTGTATTCCTGCAGTGTTAAAAAGTAATAATCAACATGTCAGATTGTTGGGCTTTTCTTAGCAGATGTTTTCTAATTCAAAGTTTTTGGTTGTGTTTTTGTTTTTTAGTTCAAAGTTAATTTGTTGGCCTCTTGAAGATTAATTTGTCTAAGCTTTCTAGGAACTTCCAAACAGTGATATTCTCAAAAGGATTCAATAAACTAGTTCAAAAAATGTTCCTATCTTCTATTGCCTTAAATCTAATCATGTTCTGTGAACTGCAGTCCTAGTGTGTAACACGGCGTGATTTATCACCCAGAGTTCTCCACTGTATTTCAAAGTTGATTTACCTCAGGAAAACTGAGGGTTTATTGAGTAACTCAAATTTTTCCAGAGAAACTGGTTTGAAGTATCCAGTGCAACCTGCCAAGCTCTGTCTTTGTTTATAAACCCACTTACTGGTGACATCATTCAGGGAGTCCCTCTCTAAAAATCTTGAATTTTGTCTGGTCTTCTCGGATGAGGAATTCTGAACCTGGTACAATCTCATTCTAACTCTTCTCTTATGTACTAAGTACTTATATTATATACCTTTCTATAACTTAAGAGGAAAAGGCTGACATTTTTGGTATTCTTTCAGTGACATATTTTTCAGTGTCTAAGCTCACAATCATTCTTAATTAACTACATGATTTTTAATATAATTCCTACTACTTTGGGTTTTATTTCCCAGGTATGGACATTGTCCTTTTAATGTTTTCTTAAGGAACTATTCAGAGTACATTATTAACAACTTAAGGTCCTAAACAGATATACATGGGACATGGTTGTTGTAAAAAGAAACAAATCTGTAAGACACTAGGAAATTCAAAATGCTTTCAAGCTTTCTTTGAACTTTACTACTGAATGATTTATTTGCAACTTGTTATCTGGTATAGTGGGGAAGAGCCACTTATGTCTCTTTAAGCCAAGATATATTTAAGATAACAATAAAGATAAAATATCAGTTTCACTATCTAGATTTGATTTTGACACAATGAAAAGCTGATTGGTTCATAATCAAATGAACAAATTTTCCACAAGTAAGAGATGAAACCCCTGGCTTGGAAATCCTGGGGATTGACAGGTTGAACGTCCTTGGTCTGTGGTGAGCATGTTCACGTTTCAACACATGAGATCTGGTGTGCTTTCCGTAGCAGCTCCTCAGATTTTGAGAAAAACTAGAAGATAATTTTTTAAAAAGCAATGTTGAATACTTAGAATCGTATTTCTAATAAAAATAAGTCAAACTATTTAATTTTGATAAAGTTTCAAAACTAAACATGAACTGAACTTATACTTGATGACATAATTTTATAAATTCATGATGAATTTCTTATTCTGATTTATTTACTATTTTAAAAGATAGGTGTTTCTTTTCTTCCACTGTAAAAGTGTAATGTGTTCATTGTATTTGGAAAACGTGGAAAGTAGAAGATGACTGTTCTTATTTATTCACTTTTACAGAGGGTAATTTTTTCCACACCATAGAAGTAGAATAATCATACTTCTAATTTGAAAATTTGAAAATGTAAAAAAAAAAATTAATCCAAGATCATATCAACATTTAGGGCTAAGAGTTGAGATTATACTGAATATGGTTTTGCATTGAATATATTACAAGCCTTTTTGTGTCATTTACTATTTGATAAAACATGATTTTTAATGCCTGAATACTTTTCTAACACTTGTATGTATTGTTGTTTATTTAATCACTCCTCTATTGTGGAACATTCAAATTGGATCCAAGTTTACCATAAGTAATACTACAATAAAAATATCTATACATTATTTGTGATGTCTCTGGTTGTTTTCTTAGAGTGCCACCTTAATTATCTTTGTGAGAAAGTCCTCAAGAATCCTGCCATTAATTCAGATACTTTCCCCGCTATTGATATGTCTCTTTAAGAGTTCTGAAAATACTTAAGAAACTTAGTAAGAAGAAAGAAAATTAATCCTCTCTTCTGATTCTTCAGTTCCAATTCTCTGTGGCCACTGTATTTTTAAAAATCCTGTTGTCCAAAGCATCTCCCATTTAATTGTTTCTCTCTGACAGCAGGGAAACTGGAAGTTAGAGGTGATACCATAAAAGGAAATGAATGAAGCAGATGTATGAATTTTGATACATATAACAGATGTCTTTTGATCACACTTCCTGGGCAATATAGTAGTAATCAAAGGAAAACTGGTAACATTTTTCATTACTATGCTTTAAAGAAAAATTTCTAAGCCTCACAGAGCTGACATGGTTTATTACCTTCAGAAACACGGTAGTACTTAGCGTAAGTTAGAATCCATTCATTATTATGTGTGACTGGAGAGGTATATTGCTTAAAAACTATACCAGGCCCTACTTAGGAACAAGTTCCAACTGCATTTAAATCACTCTGTTTATGTCAAAATACTTAAAGTTAAATAGCAGAATCTAGAGGGGTCCTTGATTAACATGAGACAATAAATATTTGCAGAATCTGATGCCTACCAGAGGAAACACTAACCCAGACAGGAAAGTTCTTCAGAGTAAAAATCAAGAAGGGTGAGATTATCTATGCAATAGAAGTAAGTCTTGGCCTGGACCCAGACAAGATCATTGCACAAGAGATTGGTTTTGGAAGTAGATTTGGCTGAGATTAAAGTCTCGAGTGACATGAAGACAATGTTAAAGATAAATCCAAACTCTTCTTTATTGCTTGACACTTCTCCAATCAGCATCAACTTCATTCCTGGTAAGTTGGTGTAGTATGGTGAGTTCTGCCTTATTTCATACTTTATTTGGTTAGAATCTGGGGGAGGGGGTAAAGGTGTAGGTTGGTTATTTCAAATGTGCAGACGACCTCCACCAATTTTGCAGTATAGTGCTATTACTTAAGGGAATACACCCATAAAACTTTGATTTCCTAGTAATTCTGCTTTTGTGCATTCTTAATTTGAGACTCAGTGAGGGTGCAAGAGCTGTAGATTTGGCAAACACTGCACTATTTTCTCACATTTTTTCGATTTGCTAAAACCAGTAACAAATGTATTACCCCTTTTTTTCCTTTAATTTTTAAATCCACGGCCTTTTCACTGCCTTTACTTTCCATGTGTTGCCACTGTATCCTCCACTGAATCCCCCACATTGGGCCCAGCACTTGACACTTAGTAGGCACTCAACCAATACTTGTTGAATGAATGAGTTTAATGCACTGCAGTTTTTTTAGTTTTTAGATGATGTTGTACCTAATGCACATGCCTTCCTTCTTTCACTCCTTCATTAATCCTTTTGTTCATGTCTTTTACTTATGCCAAGCTGTCACACTGTGTTCATGAACTGACAGATTTATTTTTTCTTCCACAGCCCCAGAGCCAGCAAATGACTGACCTTAAACCTAAAACTGTAGGAGTTTGGTCAGTGTGGTGGGAAAAGTTGTAAGAAAAGGTTATAGGGAAAGACACAAACCTTCTTGGAAGAACGGGAGGTTTTGCAAAAGCTTCAAAAGAGAATTTAGCTGAAGGCAGTTAAATTCTCTTAAGAGCAAGGGTTAGATAACAAGGGAATGTAAAGAAACTTATCTAGATAAATTGTTCTACTCATATCTCTGGAAACCAACCTTTGATCATTCATGTGCAGGACTGCTCTCTACTTGGGGGGTTGACAATGTTAATTACCCACAAATTGTGTTTGCTCCAAGCCCTTGTCATTAAATCTGTACTAAATAAATGCAAGTGGGGCCAGCTTAGGGAAGCTGCACTCCTTTCGGCTGCTGCACTCTCTCATCGGCAGCACTGAGTGGTGCAGTCCCCTAGCCACACTGTCAGGAAAAATACCTGTGTCAGCGAACTCCTTTCATTCATCACTTGGCCAGTCTGCGGGACAGATCGGCATAAAACACCCATTGGTTTTCGCCTTTACTCTTGCAGAATGAGTTATAAAGCCAAAGACCTCAAGAAAAGCACACTCCTTAACAGCCAGTTCAGGGGTGACAGCCAGGGAATAAGAAAAAAGAACCTTCCAGAGGATGGAGCCACCACCAAAAATGATGGAAAAGAGGGTTCCTCCCAGAGAGCAGATTCAGAGGCTATTTAAGGAATTTCCCCATGCCCTGTGTAGGGAGCTTCTCACTACTTGCTACTCATGATTTCCTTATGGTTATACTCTAGGGACTGCTGCTTGCCTGTCTTCTCTTTCTTGCATAGCAGGTTTGTTTAATTTTATTTTTTTCTTCAATTATGGTGGTGTTTTCACTGTTCTACCATGACAAGAGGTAGAACAGAGATATTTTTTACCTCTACATGGGAGGCAGAAAATTGGCCTTTTTATTCAAGAATGCCAAACCAGAAGCTGACATATCAGAATCTGATACAGAGTACAGTCTATTCCCCTTTGGACTTTGGACCTTGGAATTTGAACTGGATGCAATAATGGTATGAGACCCTTGGGTAGGAATGAGTGTCTTGTATGTGTGGGAAAGACAGGAAGGCAGGTATTTGGTGACCTAAAAAGAAGGCCATGGCAGAACCTCATTAGTTGTTCAATAATCCTATTTTCCTTTCCTCCTGGGCACACAGCTATGTATTTTCCAGCCATCCTCATATATAGATGTAGCCCAGTAACACTTCTGAGGATGGAATATGGACAGATGTGATGGGCACTGCTGGACCTGGACCATAAAATCCTTCCACATGATGTCAGTGCCCCTTTTACCCCATTGGCAGCTGGATATTGTCATCCAGAGAGATGGATGACTTAGAAGCCACGTGCAGAAGATGGCAACCTTCCATCAGCATGGATCCTTGAGTGACTGTGGAGTGCAACGCCTTCTACCAGTTAGAACTACTGTGATTGACAATCACATTTCATTTGTATTAAGCTACTGATTTGGGGGGTTTATCTCCTTCAGCTCCCACATTAGTACAACTCATGCAGAATGGAGAGTGACTGTGAACACATGTGGCACAGGCTGCTGAAACCTAGGACTTTATAGATGAATTCCTGATTATACTCTCCTTTCTTGCAAAAAGCTTTTTTCAAATTAAATGTTATAATACAAATGTGAGTACTTAAATGTCTTTCTAATGAAATGATGACTAACTGTAGGAAAGAAAATGTAGGAATGTATACATCCTTGATAAGAGTGTGAAACTGATACAGGCAATGTAGAGAGTCTTGCTTAGGGATAATGAACAAAAGAACATACCTGGGTAAAAGAAATGAGAGGTTACTGATAACAAAACTAATATTTATATTGCACAATATAAAACATTATTTTATACTTAGGATTACATTTGATTTTTGCAAATCCCTGTGAAATAGCTATTATTATCAGATCCACTTTATGCATAATAAAAACAAGACTCATATGGGTTAGCTAACTAGGCTATGGTCTCTCCACCAAGCTCTACTTCTCTGATTGAGGAGATAGTAGTATCTAGAGCTTCAGTGTTCTTTCTACTGCCCTATGCTACCGCCCAGTGCAGATGTAAGAACAAAACCTACTAGTAAACTGCTATTGACTGTTTAGACCTTTAGCAACTTTAATTATCCAAAACATAGCTGTGAGACCAAAAAGAGGAAAACAGTTTGCAAAAGCCCACATTTATTACACCATGAAAGAGCCAGGTCTGTGAAATGTTGCCTAGAATTTGTGTACTAAACTCAGCAAAATGAATTAACAAACTCAGTGACCTCATTTTCTCCTAAATTACAGTAAATGGAAGATTTAAAAGATGAGAAAAATAAACACAGAAAACTTCAGTTAACAGGGTAGAGGATGACGCATTGAAAGATTGGGTGTCCATGTGTGGTATGTAAAGGCAGGTCCTATGAGTCTTAGGCAGGCCTAGGCACGTGTTCTCTCTTTTTGTTGTTTGATTCTCAATTTACGACAAATGAAGAACGAGGCCTTTACCTGGTCTGGATCGACTTGTTATGGAGCCCATGTGAAATGAAAATGATTCATAAACAAAACTGATTCCATCCCCAGCAACAGCAGAGATGACCATGAACAATTAGCCACCTGAGAATCCTCAACAATTCTTGGGGAATTCATTAATTACATTTTATTAAAGGGCAGGGATATCCAAGGTGACATATGGGTTACAAAGGCAAAGTATAATTTCTTTATGGGTTTTGTTAATGTGAAATATAAATTAATAAGCTTTTTGATTTTACTAATACAAACATACCCATCAATTGGTCTTCTTCAATTCAGAAATAACTAGAGTTTGAGGGTATCTTAAATCCAAAAAATAAAAACAAAAACCTAACCAGCAGCCATTTGCTGAATTCCTGAGTGCTTGGGACTCTCCATTTCTAGTCTAGCAAACATCTTCCAGTTGCAATTTTAAACCTTTTTTCCCAGATCTTTCAAGAAACCTCTAATAGTATCAAGTTCAGCACACAAAGCTAGCTTTCTGTAAGCAATCAGTCTCATCTACCCACCTTTACTTTAGACAGGCTCCTAAAGTCAACCTGAGAATAAAAAGGACTTTTCTTTTGTTATTAAAATCTGTTCTCTAGCCAGGTGTGGTGGCTCATACCTGTAATCCCAGCACTTTGTGAGGCTGAGACCAGAAAATTGCTTAAAACCAGGAGTTCGAGACTAACCAATTGCTTAAAACCAGGAGTTCGAGACTAGCCTCTACAATGTAGTGAGACCACCATGTCTACAAAAAAAAAAAAAAAAAAAAAAAAAATTAGCCAGGCATGGTGTCACACACCTGTGGTCCCAGCTACTTGGGAGGCTGAGGTGGGAGGATCACATGAGCCCAGGAGGTTGAGGCTGCAGTGAACCATGGTCATGCACTGCCCTCCAGCTATGGTGATAAGAGCAAGACAGATGTTTCAATAATTTAAAAAAAAGTCTGTCCTCTGCCTCAAATGGACTTTGCTGTCATATTAAAACTATTGAAATATGTATAAACCAGGTGTGGTGGCTCACACTTGTAATCCTAGCACTTTTAAGAGGCTGAGGCAGGAGGATTGCTTGAGACCACAAGTTCGAGACCAGCATAAGCAAGATAGTGATACCCCATCTCTACAAAAAATATGAAAACTAGCCAGCTGTGGCTGTGTGTGCCTATATTCCCAGCAACTCAGGAGGCTGAGACAAGAGAATCCCTTGAACCCAAGAATTTGAGGTTACAGTGAGCTGATTGCAAACTGTACTCCAATCTGGGAACCAGAGTGAGAACCTGTCTCAAAAAAAAAAAAAAAAAAAAAAAGGAAACAAAAGAAGAAGAAAATATGTATAAATGAATGTTTTAAATTGGAACAATTACTATAGCATGAAAATGCCCATTTGATGAGACGTGAAAATTTCTTCTAAAGTATTTATCCATTTCTGGTTTTGTAGCAAAGGCATTATTATACTTCTATAACTTGTCTTACAGAGTCAGATAGAATCAAGCAAAGTTGGCAGAGCCTAGGCATCTACCTAAAAGAAATGCTCTCTCCCATTTCCATGAATACTTTAACTCCTGAGTTCCAGTGGCACTATTTCTGGAGTCCTTTCCAAGGCACATAATCCTAAAGCAGGTGTCACTTGTTACTCTCTTTCAAAGCGTCTTGCTCTTTTTCTTCACAGTACTTTTCAAAATATTTAATATACATTTATTTCCTGTAAAAGTTGCCTACCTCACTGGACTTTAAGATCTATGAGGTTAATCCCATGTCTGTTTTATTTTCTACCTTATTGCCCCTGCTCCCCAGGCACAGAGCAATATGTACCTGATGTGTATTTGGCTCTCAATACACATTTGTCATATTTGTGTGTGTGCTTGTTCAACTTCTCTCGCTCTGTGTGCAGGTGTGTACTTTCTTGTCATTTCAGGACACTTAGGAATTTCCTTATTTTGCCACAAGTTCAGCTGCGCATTAAAACTGTTTCATAAAAACATTTTTTTTTTTCCAGAAAGAGTTTCACTCTGTTGCCCAATCTGGAGTGCAGTGGTGTGATCTCGGCTCACTGCAGCCTCTGCCTCCTGGATTCAAACCATTCTCCTGCCTCAGCCTCCCAAGTAGCTGGGATTACAGGCAACTGCCACCATGCTCAGCTAATTTTTGTATTTTTAGTATAGACAGGGTTTCACCATGTTGTCCAGACTGATATGGAACTACTTGGGAGGCTGAGGTGGGAGGATTCAGCTACCTTGGCCTCCCAAAGTGCTGGGATTACAGGGGTGAGCCACTGCACCAGGCTTAACATGTTTAGGTGTTTTGTATCAGAAGACATTTTTCTGGTCCTCTATTTCAGGAGTTGGCAAACTTCTGTAAAGGGCCAGATAATATTCTCAGCTTTGCGGGCCATGTGATTTATGTCCCAACTACTCAAATAATTCACATTTCCTATCCTCATCAGCATCACTTGAGTTCTAATTTTTTATTATTATTTAAGTAGTAGGAAATCTTCCAGCTGTCAAGATACAAAAGACCTTCAATGGGAGTGTCAGACTCTAAAAGATAAAGTTCAAACTGCCTCCCATATTTGAGTATGAATTTAAAGCTAATATTTGCTGAGCGCTTACTGTGGTTCAGGCACTATTCTAAGTGCCTTTCCTGTGTTAACCCCTTTACATCTCACAACGGTATGAAAGACAATGACCATTATAATCTCCACTTGGAAACTGAGGCTCAGTTACATAAAGTTACACCACCCACTGGTGGATAAAGGACACCAACTCAGGTCTCTCTGACTCCAGAAACCATGCTCCACTCAGAATGCTAACCCCCTAACACCCAGTCTTCTATCTCTTGATGAGTTCTGAATTATCACGCAGGTATTCGCCCTTCTCCAGTAGCCACCTTGCCTCAGAAACACATAATCTCACCCCAGCTTCAGAGAAAAGCTGATTGATCTCCATGCGCTCTTACACTCTAGACAGTGATTGGCTTACATCTGAGGTTTCTCAACAAACTAGTACATGGCATAATCTCAGGCCACAGGGGCTGGCCAGAAATGGACAGGTAACCTTAACTAGGCTGATGCGATGGGAGGGAAATTTGCTGAGGGTTTTTAGAAAACAAGTTTCATCAATCTTGGGAGAAAATCTTGGAGAGGGCCAGCCTCTCTTCATCCAGTCATTGCCATGTATGTGTGTAAAGCTTGAAGCTACAGCAAACATCTTATTCATCATGAAGATAAAACCAGAACAAAGTGGCAGAGTTGAGACTCACAAAGACCAAGGCAGCCAGAGCTCTAGTTGAATCACAGCTGCTCACCACTCTAGTGCTGGATTTTTTCCATTGTACATCAATACACCACATTTGTGTTTTAAACCAGTTTCAACTGGGTTTTCATTCAATGGAGTGTAACCTGACTGCAGTTATTTGAAATCTTTCAAGATCTGGCCTCAGCATACGTTTCTAGTCCTTGTTTTTACTTGTCTAGGGCCAAATAAATTACCCAGAGTTTCCCAAACACACCACACCGTTCATGGATTTGCAAGCGTGATTCTTTCTGCCTTCATTGTCCTTTGCTCTCCTCTCCCTGGAGAATTCATGTTGGGTTGCAATTATGTTTTAAATGTCTGTCTCCACCACTTGATTTGGCTACATCATTTTTGTCTTTACACTCTTTGCACTTCTCATGCACTTAAGACATAATAAGCGCTCCAATAAGTGTCTATAAGATTAATAAAAAAGATGGGCAACATGGAAATCTGAATCATAATATAAACTTTCTCTACAAGATACTTGCCCTGGCGCACTGGCTCATGCCTGTAATCCCAGCACTTTGGGAGGCCAAGGCTGTTGGATCATGAGGTCAGGAGTTCAAGACCAGCCTGGCCAAGATGGTGAAACCCTGTCTCTACCAAAAATAAAAAAATTAGCGAGATGTGGTGGTGGGCACCTATAATCCCAGCTACTTGGAAGGCTGAGGCAGAAAATTGCTTGAACCTTGGAGACAGAGGTTGCAATGAGCTGAGACTGCACCACTGCACTCCAGTTAAAAAAAAAAAAAACCATTTAGATCAATGCTGTCTGGTTAAATATTCTGTGATAATGGAAATATTCTATACCTGCCCTGTCCAATAAAGTAGCCACTAGGCAAGTGTGTCTATTGAGCATTTGAAATGTAGCTAGTATGATGCAAGAAATGAATTTTAAATTTCGTTTAATTATAACTGATTAAAAGTTAAGTAGCTAGCAGCTACTATACTGAATACCACAGATGTAGACAACAAATTTTAATAATTTTCCACACATGGGAATGAGTCACCTAAAATGATTTTAGATACCAAGCTAAATAAAAACATCTGGAGATGGTACTATTTTGACTCTAATAATTTTTTTGTTGAAAACAGTATCTACATATTATATATACACACATACATATACACACATATACATATAAATATATACACATACATATACATATAATCTAGAAATTTCTTTCCTTTCAAAGATACTTCATACCTATAACTTAAAAAATATAATTTTATCTTTGTCTTTATTTTGAATTTTCAGTCATTTCAAAGTTAATATGAGCAATAATATCATTAAAAAGTGGGCAAAGGATATGAACAGACACTTCCCAGAAGAAGTTGGCCAACAAACATATGAAAGAAAGCTCAACATTACTTATCATCAGATAAATGCAAATCAAAACCACAATGAGAGACCATCTCATGCCAGTCAGAATGGTGATTATTTAAAAGAGTCAGGATACAATACATGCTGGCGAGGCTGTGGAGAAATAGGAATGCTTTTACACTGTTGGTGAGGATATACATTAGTTTAATCATTGTGGAAGACAGCATGGTGATTCCCCAAGTATCTAAAACCAGAAATACCATTTGACCCTGCAATCCCATTACTCGGTATATACCCAAAGGAATATAAATCATTCTACTTATTGCAGCAAAATTTACAATAGCAAAGACTGGAACCAACCCAAGTGCCCATCAATGATAGACTGGATAAAGAAAATGTATTACATATACAGCATGGAATGCTATGCAGCCATGAAAAATGAATGACAGCATGTCCTTTGCAGGGACATGGATGAAACTGGAAGCCATCATCCTCAGCAAACTAACACAAGAACAGAAAACCAGACACTGCATGTTCTCATTCAGGGGGGGTTGAACATTGAGAACACATGGACACAGAGAGGGGAACAACATAAACCATGGTCTGTTGGGGGATGGGGTGAGGGGAGGGAACTTAGAGGACGGGTCAATAGGTGCAGCAAACCACCATGGCACACGTATACCTATACAACAAACCTGCACATTCTGTACATGTATCCTCTTTTTAGAAGCAGCAATAAAGAAAAATAAATGACCGCTTCGTTTCAGGAGGTAGAGTTTTCCTCTTAAAGTTTTTCAGATTTTTATCTCAAGGCTTTGGCTTTTTATGCATCTCACTACGTGTAATTTGCAGTTAATACTTCAATGCCTTATGCTCTTCTTCTCTCCTTAAAACAGTACATCTTTTTGCTTAACTAAAGTGGTGACTCTCTTTTTTTTTTTTTTTTTTTTGGTCAGTTCCTATTGCATTTTTCCGCATTTCGCACTCAGGTATTATAACCTGACACTGAGAATGTTAGTCTCAAAAAAAACCGGAAAAACGTTTTTCCAGTATAGATTAATTCTGTACTCTTGGCTTTTTCTGATGTATCCAAATTGTTCTATGTAACCAGGAAACTTCACATGCTCTTACTTTTTCTAAAAGCCATCCATTCCCCCTGGTGGAGGTACTACTTGTGTGTGTGTGTGTGTGTGTGTGTGTGTGTGTATTATTATTCTATAATATGGTTTACTTATAACCTTAGACACACACTCTTCCGGCATCTAATTGAATTAAAGTAGTTTTTCATGGGGTTTAATTTCCAGCTTACTCAAAAGGGCATATACCAAGAGAAATGGTCATACTACAAAAGGTTTTTTCTCTCTCTCTCTAAGTATTCTACCTAACAAGCAGATATTTTATGTTTTAAGATAGCTTCTTGTGGTTTGGGCTGTCTTCATTCGGGTTTTGAGCAGCTGAAAAAACTAAGTCATCTCTAATACAGGTCTAAGTATTTTTTTTTGTCTTGACTATGTAACTTTTGAATTTGTTTTTGAAGTCTTTCCATTATTACTCTGGTTAAATAAGTGACCATTATCTCTCAAGAATATGTAATTCCACTTTAATTAAATATTTTTAGGCTTTTTGCATCCAAACAAATGACAAACTTCCCCAGAATCAAATTCAAGTTTAAGTCTTTTTCACCTAAAATTGACTAAGGGATTTTCTAGTTGGGCTCCTGGGAAGTCTCAAAAGATTTGTCTCCCATTAGGCTTGTTTGACCAGCTCCCAAAATCTTCTCTAGTGTCCGTGAGCTTTCTTTCAAAACAATATGTAGCATTTCCCTTGCTAGTAAACCCCCAATCTTCTCTTTGTCCTTCACACATATAGAAGACCACCATGGTTTTCAGTTTTGTTCAGAACTACAATTCTGTGATTCCCAAATAAATTGTATACTTTAGAGATCCATCTTTATTTTGACTTCAATAGTGGTGATAAATTCATACAATATTCAAGAATATGTTTTATAACAATACTGTCAATTTAGAAATGCATTTTACTGTGATATAAAATCCTTAACTATTCTACTCCACTGACATTTTGTATGATTTTCTTACTAATTTACAAGCACTTAAAAATTCTTTATTTACATAAGGTTTATATTAGATATAATTTTGTGAGGAAAATAAAAGGTCGGTTTTCTATTTGCATTGTGCTAATTCAGACTGCACTTGGTTTTTCATGCACACCGGTATAAGCTAAAGTTTAGACAAATTATTGTAAAAACTGATACACATATAGACCATTATAGTGTTATTTTTAAAAGTACAAGAAACTACTTTAAAAGATCACAAGGAGATTACAGCAAATGAATCTTTATATTCATTACCTCAATGAAATATAATTTAACACTAGTTTCAATGTCTTTTTTTCCAAAAGACTAATTTTCAAGTGAAAGCTTTAGATCTTTGAAATAAAATTAAAGATAGAAAAGATACATAATTCATTTCAGCAGTTTTCTGAGAAATACCACATCTTCCAAAATATATGTGTTCTTATAAGAAATGGACTCTCTTTAGGCAATTAGAATATCAGTCTTCTACAACAGGCCAATTTTCAAAGCACTAGGCCTAAGTTCACTCAACCAGTCTCATGAAGCAAAAACTGAATTAAGATATTCCATTTATTTTAGTGCACATATTTATCAAGCAAAGAAACTATGGAACAAAGACTCTTTCTTGCTGAAGTTGTTGGGATTTCCATGGTGCTTAATGCGTGTTTTTTTAAATTGTGAGATCAAAGTTTGAACACAAATCTTGAGCCATTGTATATGTTACCTGGGTAAAAACATTAAACTTGATCTTTTCAAATATCTAATGGAATCCCAGGCACAGTGATTAAAATATGAAGTTAAATATTTAAGAGAAAATTAATCACTAATAATGAAATGAGTTGATTTTCTAAGAAAAGCAAGTATGTAATTAAGCAGACACTCTCAAAACCATTACAACATTCAAAAGCAATCAACATTACAAGTCTTAGGTTGTGTTTTAAATTCCTCATAACCTAAACATATACATTCATTAATTATTCACTTGCCATGATCAACAATGAAAGATGAGTTAGAAAAACCAGAGGCTTTAATTCAAAAATTACAGTCTTTGGTATTGCAGCAAGGAAATAACTTGCTGGTGAAATTAATGACTCCACCTGGCTTTATCTTGGCAATGTTCTGAAATACATGCAATGAACAACTTGACATTGTTTGATGTTCTTAATTCTTTACAGCCATCTCTATGGGTGGTCATAATAGATAAGATCAATCAGAAATGATCATATTATGAAACATAAATCACTTCACATGACTTATCTGGAAAATGTGCTGGTACTTACTTGCACCATCATCTCAAGTTCCAAGAGCCAAAAACATATACATGCTCAAGGAGGAGAATTTCCTTTCTGATTTTAGAACAGTCTGAAAGGGGGTGAAAAAATGAAAAAGGGGGAGCTTACAAATAACAAAAATGTATATCCCAAGTGAAAATTAGAATGTCTATGGAACTAGTAGCAGTAACAACAGTAGACGAAAGATAGGCTGTAGATGTGAAGAAGATGTCTACAAGGGAAGCACAAGACTCCAAATGCTCTTGCTACTAAAACGCAGATTCAAGCTTTACCATCTGTAATACTCTGCTGCCAAGTACATCTATGGCCACTGGTACTGTCTAAAATGAGGATGTATATTATTAAATCATCAAAAAGGACTGCATAGCAGAAACTTTTCTGATATCAAGGGATCGACTTAACTACAATTATATACAGGTGCCAATTTCCTCTGGAGTAAACTACCACACGGGGCCTCATGTACCAGTTAGATAATCCAAGTCAGCCTTTATTGCATAACCTATCTAAAAGATTGGACTCTACATTCTGGCTCTGCAGAACTGAGAGAAGAAATGTATAAAAAGGATAGTGATATTGCCTTTGTCTATGGGAATTCTTGAGTCTAATAAAAAAATCTGGGAAAAACCTAACTTCATGATTACACTTGGGCACATAGGTGATTAATATGAATGAAGTAACAACCATAAATACAATCGTAACCACAAGAACAACAGTAATTCAATTTTTCTCACTTCATAGGTGTTCTTATGGTATCTTGTAGGTGCTCTCCGCAAGCCTCAGGTGTTCTTCCATAATCTCAGTTGATGCAAAGGCAAACACCACACTCTCCTCTGTTCAATGTCTGCCATCACTGTCTTTTTGGCCTCTGACTCTTCCCTATACTACTTTCTATGCACTTGAGATCTTCACTGACATAGCTGGGCTCTGTATTTATTGATAAGAGTATCTCTTTTCTCTTAGACTAGGCATGACCAAAAGGTTAATCTGGCTTCAAAGATTAATGACAATGACCACTCAGTTTTTATTCAAGATCAATTTTATTTGTTGTAAAAACAAACAAGCGTTATGTTCCAGACAGATATAAGTGAGTAGACTTATGCCCTGGTGCCTCCTTGGCTCTTCACAGGATGCAAAAACAAATCTTGCCAGCAGGAGGTGGCAGGCTGCAGAGGTGGCTGGTTGCTCTTTGAGCCATCTTGGCCTTGCCTGGCATGCACAGGTCCCAGCACAGCAAAACATTCAGGGAGTTAGAGTGTTGCACAAAGGATTTTACCAACCTCTCACATTAAGCAGCATTCAAGGATTTGCTGACCACCACTTATGCAAATTTTGTGTTATGCTATAGCAATGAACTTACTTGTTCTATTTCTAAACAAAATATTGGGTTCACACACAGGCCTGGACAAAGCTTCCCACTTCTGAACTATTTACTGATCTTCTTATTCTCAAAGAATGCAAGATGAATGATGTGCAATACCATGGCTATGGCATGTGACTTTTCTAGACCTGGATGGTTAGTGTCCCAATATTTAACTGATTTTTGGGGGGGTGAAAATATGCCATAAGTTCTTCCTTCTATCATCCCCATCACTACCATACATGTAATGGCATAATCATGTCACAGTGTGTCCTCAGAATCACTATTCCTAGCTGAGTATACTAAGGCTTTCTATCTAGGTCAGTTCATTGTGTCTGTGTCTCCTCTAAACCCTCCTTCATCATGCCTACCTCGAAGAATTCAGCAAGTGATCATTCACGCAAGCTAAAGGATTTTAGCTTTCTCTGCCATAAAGATTATTGCTAAAATACATACCATACAACAAACCAACCCACTTCCAACAAATCTTACTGACTTCTCACAGAATACATAATGACTTTTATTGTGTCTCTTCCTTCTGTGTTTCTCTTTCCTAACTGAACTTTGTTCTTTATCCATGCCTTCTTCCAATCCTGACATATTTTAAAACCTTTAGCATTTCTGCCTATAATATTTGGGTTTTCTTCTTTTCCTATCTTTATTTGATAAGTCCCGTCAAATATTTTCCCCATAATCACAATGTTTTCTTTTCACTTTGCTCAAGAACTGAGTTATGAGCTCCAAATTTGGACAAACTCTACATTGGCTAAGTTTTAGTCATTTGCACTGCTAAGAAAGATGACAATTCAGCATGCTGAAGATGATATCCTCCCTTATAAAGGGGCTAACACAGAGGGCAATACTGTTCGTGCTTCTGAGTCTTGATCACAAGAATTGCTTTAGGCAATTACAATCATGTCTCCTCTGACATATCATATTAGTCAAGTGAGACAGAGAAAGAATATGTCCTATGTCACACAGCTGGGTGGTGACAGCTGCTTTAGCATCAGCACACTGCGTTCCCTCTGATTTCTTCATTCATCTCTAAGTAGCAGTAAAGCCGGTCCTGAATACTGACTTTGACACTCAGCTTTCTCCACATCCTTCCTGTCACTGCCTTTGAGACTACTTCAGATTCTTCCCTTAACTTCTATTTCTCCATTTGTAAAATTGGGTTGATGAGGGTATCTTCCTTCGGTAGCTGTGACAATAAAAATGGGATCATCATGCATCCTCCTTAGCCCCACGAGTAAGCTCCCAGTAAGTGAGGCTGTCATCATTACTGGATATTTAAGATTCTTTACCTATTTGAAAAACCCTAGTGACAGAGTCTCAGTTGCTTTTCTTTTTGCGTGAATGATCACTTGCTGAATTCACCAAGCAGGCGCTTTAACATTTACCTTCCTTTATTATGCTGGAGCATTTTTAATGTAGGAGGCTTCTGTGGCTTCTCACTATGACTGCTTTGTTTGTTCAAAACTTATACAGGTTGAGTATCCTTTATCTGAAATGCTTGGGTCAGAAGTGTGTTGGGTTTCAACTGTTTTCAGATTTTGGAATATTTGCTTCAATGCAATGAGGTATCTTGGGAATGGGAGCCATGTCTAAACACAAAATTCACTTATGCTTCATACACACTTAGCCACATACACATAACCTGAAGGTAATCTTATACAATATTTTAAATAATTTTATGCATGAAACAAAGTTTTGAATGTGTTTTGACTGTGACCCATCACATGAGGTAAGATGTGCGGAATTTTCCACTTGTGGCATCATGTCAGCACTCAAAACTTTTGGATTTTGGAGAATTTCAGATTTTGGATTTTCAGAGTAGGTGTGTTCAATCTGTATATATGGGTCAGATTCAGTTGTCTCCTTTAATCTTTGGCTGAAGGAAGCCCTAAAGACTTTGGGGCCTCAATCTCCCATATGCAGTGACATTCTCAAAGCCATTGACTCAGCTTCTCACCTGGGTTTCCTTCCAGTGAGCCACAGATAGAAGTCATAGATGATGGCAGGGGCCTGCTGGCTGATGGCATTCCAGTACTGGGTTCTGAAGTTGCTGGTGGTGAAATCAGCATATGGCCTCGTCAAAGCTCTCTCAAATGGAATTGGAATTTCAAAGGTTGCCAAGACCTGGAAACCTGGGGGAAAAAAGAGAGTAAGTGCTAGAGGAGAATAGGAGAATATAAGCCCATCATAGTGGAAGGTATTTATAATGGGTCACAGCAATAAAGACGAAGGATTTGCTGTGTAGAGTCAAGAATCAATTTCTGAGAACAACGTAAAGATTTTTATGCTAGGCAAGTGGTTATCTGCAAAATGAGACAATGTGAATGGGTTAAGAATTGGACCCTTTATTTGAAACATCTACTCTAAAACAAATTCTTGGGGAAACATGTAGTCAATAAAAGGGGGTACTGTTCAGAAAAACATAAATCCACATTTAATTCTAAGGTTATCTAGTCTATTCTGAAAGCCCCAAGAAAGAGGCTAGAAACTTTATTTCCCTGGCTGGACCATTACTGTCAGAACCATTTAGAAAGTTTCTTAATATTTTATTTGAATCTTTATTAAAAGTTTAACTTAAAAATTCTAAAGGCAAGATTTTCTTGTGTTAGCTTACTTTAAATATTTCTCTGGGAATATGTAAGACTCAACTGTCCACTCTGGTATCCAGGGTTTTATCCATAGTAGTGTTTTTATATTAATACTTAGATTAAGCTGAACTAAGAACTGTTTACATACATTTGTGAATTCAGCAGTTCTTTTGAAAAGATACTCATTTGAATTCAATTTTATTTAAGGTATGTAGGTTTTTGCAAAGCATATGCCTAAGCTCATTATTCAATTATGATGTCAGTTATTATAGTAATACGATTATTGCCCTACTTAAAAAAATTGGCATTTTTTTAAAATCTAAAAATCTATCTGAAAAATATAACTCCTCTTCAGAGAAGATTCTCAAGAATCATCTGGTCCATAGGGATTTATACTTTAAAAAGATGGTGGTAAATAAGAAAGTTATGTACAGGTTGATAGCATAAGAGATTCTGATCTCAACACTGATGTTCTGATCTATATATCCATATACTTATTCAACATTTCCACCTGGAGGTGTAAGAGACATTCACATTTAACAGCTCTAAAATGGGCCTCCTGATACACCCACTGCTAACCACCCCCCTCCCAATACATACACAAACTTGCTATTTCACCAGTCTTCTACCTCTAACCAAATGCTAATTCAATTTGTTTAGTAGTTCAGCCAAAAACTTTGGGGTTATCCTTGATTCTTCTCTTTCTTTAACAACCCACACACAATTGAACAAAATCTATCAGCTCTGTTTGAAAAATACCCAGAATCATAATTACCACCTGCTATCTCTCTGATCCAAACCACTACTGTAGCCTGGAATGTTGCAATACTGTCCTAAGTGGTCTCTGCCACTACCCCTGTAACCCTAGTCGGACCTCCATGTAGCAGCCAGAGGGATTCTTGTAAAATGTAACTCAGAGTGTATTACAGGAACGTCCCCATTCAGAGCCCTTCAGCGGAATCTCTTCTCATTTAGAGGCAAAGCCATGGTCTGCAAGGGTTTGCACTCTCTGCATCCTCACTCTCTCTGCCCACCACTCTGACTTCACCTCTTACCGCTCTCCCTCTCGGTGCTTCTGCTGCAGCCACACTGGCCTCCTTGCTGTCCTTGAATATGATTAAAGAACTTCAGCACTTGCTATTTCTTCAACTTGGAATATTTCATCCACGTGTCCCTCTGATTTGCCCTCTCACTTCTTTCAGGTCTCTACTAAGATGACACCTTATCAGAGAGACTTTCTTTGGCCATCACATATTAAATAGCAGCCTTCCCACAATACTGTTTACTTCTTTAATCTGTTTTATTTTTCTGCAATCACTCAACCATATCTGATGTATATTTCTCCTTTCTAAGATTTAAGTATCATAACAAAATTTTGTCTGTTTTGTTTGAACCTATACAGTACCTTGAAAAGTGGCTGAAGGTAATCAGTGCCTAATAAACATTTTTTGACTAAACGAATCAATAGATATCTCAGCAACATACACTTACTTTCCTTTTCCTAAATCTGTATCAATCCTTCCTTTAGTCATTTCAAATATATTTATTTAGCATTTAACACTTGCCAGGCACTGTGGTAGATGCTGAGGTAAAAAAAAATTACATATGATATATTCTTTGTCTTTAAAGAACTGGCAGTCTGGTGGGAGATGTGGACAATTCATGATTACAATATTTTGCCTGAGTATTCTGCTAGAGGCCAGTACAATATGCTCTGGAGGAATACAAAAGAAGCATCTAGCTCTGTCTGGGTGCCAGGAAGGGGAGGGGTGGGGCTAGGTTTGGAAAGGCTTTCTAAGAAAGCTGTCCATATGGTAATAGCAAGCATTTACTAAAATGTTCACTGTTCTAACCACTGTACTAAGCACTTTGTCTCACTACGTTCTCCCAAGAGCTCCCTAGAATAGAATAATTATTATTCTCACTGACAGATAAAAAAATTCATCTACAGGGAGAAACTGAGAGACTTTTTCCAACTGATACAATAAGAGTGGAGTCTACTAAATGGTGGGACGCATATCAGCATATAACATCTATGTGAGCATGGATTTCTGTTTAGTGATATATCCTCAGCACCAAGAATAATGTCTATTTAATAAATACAGGAGTGAGTGAATGAGCTATGATTTGAATCCAAGTCTATTAGATCTCAAAGCCCAAGACTTTTAACCATTAAGCTAATGTCTGTCTGATGTGAGGGACAAGGAGAAACTCATGCACATGTAGAAAATGTAATTTGGCAATTGGAAACTGCACTCTACATCCTCATAGGTCAAAGAAGAAATTCAAATGAAAAATGTTGAAGGATTAGAGAGTAATGATAACATAAACATTATACAACAAAATGTGTGGGATACAGCCAAAGTGGCACTTGAGGGAAATATGAAGCCATAAATGATGTATTAGACAAGCCAAATATTCATGGGCTATATTTCTAAGTTAAAGAGAAGAAAAACATAATCAAAGAAAGCAGGAGGAAGGGGAAAAAAGAGATAAGGCAATACATCTATGCAATAGAAAAGAAAGCAGCATAATAAAGAGTCAATAGGCTGGGCGCGGTGGCTCATGCCTATAATCCCAGCACTTTTGGAGGCCAAGGTGGGTGGATCACCTGAGGTCGGGAGTTCAAGACCAGCCTGACCAACGTGGAGAAACCCCATCTCTACTAAAAATACAAAATTAGCCAGGTGTGGTGGCGCATGTCTGTAATCCCAGCTACTCTACTCAGGAGGCTGAGGCAGGAGAACTGCTTCAACCCAGGAGGCCGAGGTCGTGGTGAGCCAAGAAAATGCCATTGTACTCCAGCCTGGGCAACAAGAGCGAGACTCCATCTCAAAAAAAAAAAAAAAAAGAAAGAAAGAACAAAGAAAAAAGTCAATAAAGCCTGAAGAAGTTGGTTCTTTCAAAAAAAGAAATAAAATAAACCCTTTGGAGACTAGCTGAGAAGAAAAGAGAAGACACACAAATATTATGAATTAAAAAAGAAGCATAATTACAGATACAGTTTAGGACAAAAATATTAATATAAAAAAGAATGTAAATACATTTTAGAACAAACAAAATCTTAGAAAAAGAGACAAATATAATTTACTAAAACTGATTCCAACAGAAAATGAAGCCTGCAAAATTCTTTAACTATTAAAGACACTGAAGCAATAAAAAATCTTCTCACAAAAAATTATAAATCAAGATAATTTAAAGGTGCTTTTCCCAAGTTTTCGAGGAATACATTACTCCACTATTACAAAAGCACTTTCAGATAATAGAAAAACAAGGGAACTATATGATTAGCAAACTGAATTAAACAAAATATAAAAAAAGATAACATGGTATGACCAAGTTGGGTTTATCCTAAAAATGGCAGGTGAGTTTAATATTTGAAGTCTTCCGCTTAAAATGAGCAGCAAGACAATAATACCTACTATTGCCATTTTTATTCACCATTATAGTAGAAGTTCAACAAGAAGGCTGGGTGCAGTGGCTCACTCCTGTAATCCCAGCACTTTGAGAGGCGAAGGCAAGCGGATCATGAGATCAGGAGATCGAGACCATCCTGGCTAACACGGTGAAACCCTGTCTCTACTAAAAATACAAAATTTAGCCAGGCGTGGTGGTGGGTGCCTGTAGTCCCAGCTACTCGGGAGGCTGAGGCAGGAGAATGGCGTGAACCCAGGAGACAGAGCTTGCAGTGAGCTGAGATGGTGCTATCAACAAGAAAAATAAAGACCTAAAGCTTGAAAAAATGGGGATAATACTGCTATTTTTGCAGATTATGATTATGTTAGGAAATTATGAGGAAATTTTATACAATTGCTAGCAATAATAAGTTTAGCAAGATAGCTGAATATAAGGTCAATATACAAAAATCAATTGCATTTGACATCATCCACAAACAATTAGAAAATGTATTTTTACAAAAGACATTTAAATTAGTTAAAAAAAAAAAGCATCAATTACCTAGGCCCTAGGTATAAATCTGATAAAAGATGCTTAAGATCTATATGCAGGAGATTAAAAACTCTTCTTAAGGGACACTAAAGGAGACAATTCAATGGAGAGATAGCCCATGTTCACCCACCCAGCTGTCTATCACTCCTTGTAATATCACCTGAGACTATATATGCTCAACCTCCTGTTAACATGGCTACTGCTCCTAGTAGGAAGCATTTTTATCCCTCTGAAGAGTCCCCAATAGGAAACACAAATGAGTTTAATTTGAATGCAACATCAAATTAATAGTAATAGCTTCCAGAAATGCTGTGTTAGAAGGGAATCTAGAACAGAGCCTTGGCACAGGGATAACCAATGTCGTATCAGCCCGCAGTGTTTGCTATAGGTGTGAGAGAGGTAGAGGAAACATGCAGGCCAGGTATTTTTCATTGTGGAAAAGCATTTTTCAATTCAAACCCACAATATATAAATGAGCCACAGTGTCCAGCTGCCCTGCAATAGAACTTTCAGTGTGGTACCATGGCTTACCATTGGAATATGAAGAGCTAGTGGTACCTATGTAACAGGGATAGAAGGGGTGCGTTAGTTAGTAGGTACTAAGAAATTCTACAGAATAGCAAAACTCCCTACTTTTATCTTCTACCATCATTAGATGTTTAAGTTGTACTCAAATTGATTTCCATGGTTTTTGTACATTGATCAGATTAAATCCCTTACATTCAGACAAATTAATCATTTGTATAGTACAGGGTTTCTCAAAGACCATTTCCACAAGCATCAAGAAACATCTAGATGCTTATTAAAAATATAGTTTTCTCAGCATCACCCAAGACCTTGGTCACAGGGTCCAAGGAATCTGGCTGTTGTTTTTATTCTCCCATAGTGATTCCTATTCACTTTTACAAATCACTAGTAGAGTAGTTAATGCACACCCAAGAGAAACAAGTTGCATAAATTAGTGATCACTATTACACACTCAATAAGGAAGGAATAATATCACCCGACTTTTCTAAATCTCATTGGTCATTGATCACGTCGCATTCTCAGTGACATATCAACAAGGGAAGGGGTGTGTATAGGACCCACTGCCCCAGCAGGGAGGAGTATTTCAGTATTTTATCACTGAGATTCTTTATAACTGCCAACTTTTGCTTTATTTCATCATTGTTTTTTAAAATCTCTATAGCCAATGGACCCCCTACTGCTTACAATCATGTATGTGTTCCCAATGACTCCTTTCCTTGGTAACCACAGTACATTCTAGTTAACTACCACACATTTACAATTTCTCATTATTTTGTCTCTTTGCTTACTTTTTGTCCTCCTCCCCATGTAGGCTCTAATCTCCATGACACACTGTCTATTTCTTCTCTGTGTCAGACACTAGTAATTATGCAGTTACATGGCTAAAGTACTTACCCATTTTGCCCCGGTTGCAGGGATTGAGGTTACCAGATGTACAGTGGTAGACTAACACTGACTTAGGTCTGGAAAATGAAATAAAAATTAAATAAATACAACTGAATGAAAAACTAATGAAAGAAAAATAAGGGAAAATAATATTTAGACAGAGTGGCTTCAATAATTCATCTGATTAAAGCAACCTATGCAAGAAGGCTTCTGTATTTTTTTCTTTCTTTGGGTTAATAAGCAAAATGGAAGAAGACTAGCAAAAGGGTGTGTGCGGAGGTGGGGGGATGTGTGTGTGTGAAAGAGATGTTAAATAGGAGTGACATATTATGAAGCACATATGTACGAGTTCACATAAAAAAATTTAATTCTGTTTACCACATACTAACACAGCCAAATGTATGAACAACCTGTTTTTTTTTCCTTTGTACCAGGAAACTTCCCCACACATAGTGATTGAACACTTTTGGCATTAACCAGAGTTCAATTAAAGAAAATTCTCTCATTTCATCCACTTCTATCTCCTTTGCCCTAAAAAAGAAAGCTGAATGTTAAACTACTGAGTAGAAAGAAAAGCCTTTTGGTTATCAAGAATTGTATGGTTAAGTGATTTAAATGTTTTATTACTTTGTGAGTAGCCAAGTACTAAACTGTATTTTGAAAACAACTGAATGTATATATGATGGCATATTAGGAACTCTATAAAATACTGAAACAAACACCCTCTCACATTTGGGGTCTTGTACAATGAAATGCCTATATTTGGAAAATGTGCCTAATACAATAACCCTCCCTCTCATGACATCTTTGAAAGCCCACTTGAGCATCCACACCTGTGAACTGCAGCACACACACCATCCTACAGCTAGTGGGAGATTGACGGCTGTATCACCTGGAATTGGAATTAAGTCTCCCACAGCCATTGGAGTAGCTTTTATGGACAGAAGAAACCCTTTCCCAGCCTGCACAGGAAAAAGAACATAAAATGTGAAACCAGGTCTTAAGTAACAGCTGGGGCTAAAGTATGTATCATCAAACTGATTATACTAGTGCAATAAGTGAAAACAGCTAACATCGATCCACTGCTTAACAGGTTCCCACACTAAGTCTGACTTCGTCAGCCTATCCTAGCTTCCCAGCCAAGCGCATCTTCAGCATTTTCTTGAACTACTCGTGTTCCTCACGTTCCTTTAGGGAATAAAATTCCTCATATTTTTGAGATATTAATAAACTTAGTTAATTACCAAACACCAAGAATAAACCTTCACATTTAAAAAATTAACTCATAAGACACGTTAAGAATTAAGGTTACACAAATTCCCCATTAATGTTTGTTTTCCATTTCCTTAATGATTTTGTTTTCTGCTAGGGTTTACTAACCTACAAGCAATAGTAAGCACTAAAAGTTTAAGAAAGTTTTATTTGAACAAAAATTAATTTGTGAAATTCCACAATTAATGACAAAAACTTTTTTGGCTTAGAAAAATGGCCTTATTATTTACTTTTTCTTCAGAATCTCATTTCACCTCACAGATCACTGATGTTATATAGATACAAGAGTTTGGACTTATTTATGTTAATAATTTGTTGAGTTTATGAAATTCATTCTTTCTGCTTTGCATGTTTCCCACTTTAATTTGAAATGATTAGCACTTTCTTATGTTACTCAATTCTCTTTTCTTATAACTAGCTCCCCTTCTTTTGGACATAAGAAACCAATTTAGAACATTTTTTAAAATGTAAATAAATATACAGCTTTGCATATAATGAAAACCGCTTTGGGATCACGTTAAAATAATGATGTTCTAAGTCACCAAACTTCACCCCAACTGAACTTTTTTAGGAGAAAGAGTTGAAGGCAGGTGGGAAGCAGAAAGAAAGGGGCTGCTAGAAAAATCCGGAATTCGAAGGAAGGTCTTTGTCACTACCATAATTCATTGTCTCATATTTCTATTTGAATTCATGTTGAACCCAGCTCTGGTAGGAATAGAGACAGAGTCTGAAGAGCAGTCTGAATCCCTAATAAGATTTAAACTCATTTAGATCACTGATTTCCCATTCATTGTACAAAAGAGTAAAGTGGGGTTTAGGCCCTGAATGCCTCAGTGTGAGCTGTGAACCCCACAGCTCTGCCGGATCAATGTGGACTTCAGGGAGATGGGCACTGAGGGCTGCTCACCTAGAGGAGCCACGTTTCTCCTTGTAAGACATTATTGAAAAGGCGTTGCCGGCACATGTCTACCTATGTAACAAACCTGCACGTTGTGCACATGTACCCTAGAACTTAAAATAGAATAATAAAAAAGAAAAGGCCTTGCCTATATTCACTGATGTTTGTATTTGAAAAATTTGCCCCAATATTGGTAGTTCTTTCTTGTATTCATTAAGAATTATTGATGTATACCTGCTTTCCATATACACACATAAACTCTTCTATGTGTTTTATAATAACGAATTTAATAATCTTTGAAGATATTTTTACTGCATCCTCAATTCACTGCACTAATTCATGCAATTATAAACTGAAGAAAGGAGGAAATACCCCATCTTGCGATAAATAAAGCAAAATCCTTGGCAGAACCATGCCCGCCTGTCCGCGCCCCGACCAGCCCTCCCGGGCAGCCACTCACCGGTGTCCGTCTTCCCAGCTTCGCGCCATGTGGCCAAGTGAATCCATCCTGCCGTCCATCTCCACTTTCACCAGCCCGTACCGCAAGCGCCGCCTGCAGGTGCGCTGACCCCGCGCCCAGCCCGAGGCCAGGGGAACCCACAACTACCTCAACAGCGTGCGGGACTCCATTCGGTCCACAGGGCTGGATGGCCTGGGGCCGAGGCCACCCCGAAGCCCCCGGCGACCCCGCCGTCTGCGTCCTATTACCCGAACACTGCACACCGCTGCCCTACGGCGCCCTGGAGCTGGACCCACTGCCACATGGCCCGCGCTGCTCAGCTGGTTTTTGTTGTTGTTGTTCTTTTGAGATGGAGTCTCCTTGGGTTGCCCAGGCTAGAGTGCGGTGGCGCGATCTCGGCTCACTGCAAGCTCCATCTCCTGGGTTCACGCCATTCTCCTGCCTCAGCCTCCGGAGTAGCTGGGACTACAGGCGCCCGCCACCGCACCCGGCTAATTGGTTTTTGTACTTTTAGTAGAGATGGGGTTTCACCTGTTAGCCAGGATGTTCTCCATCTCCTGACCTCGTGATCCGCCCGCCTCAGCCTTCCAAAGTGCTGGGACTACAGGCGTCCACCACCACGCCCGGCTACTTTTTTTTTTTTTGTATGTTTAGTAGAGACGCGGTTTCACCCTGTTAGCCAGGATGGTCTCCATCTCCTGACCCCGTGATCGGCCCGCCTTGGTCTCCCAAAGTGCTGGGATTACAGGCGTGAGCCACTGCGCCCTGCCTGCTCAACCGCTTTCAACTGGCGCTGCCCAGCCACCTGGTCAAAGCCCAGCACCCTGAAGCAGATGGCGGCAGCTGCGGCTGCGCACCCAGGTTCAGGTATGCATCGCGCGTCCTCTCAAACACTAGGGCGCCCCGGGCCTGCAGCTTCATGCATGCGAGGTCCCGGGTCCCTCCCATTCCGCCCCCAACACCTGCCCCTCAGCCCCTACGACCCGCACGCCTCCTTCCCGCTGCCCTTCCGTGGCCCTGGTTTGGGACACCCAGCCCGGCCTTCATGAGGCGCCCCCCGCCCAGCTCCGCCCCTCCACGCCCCTGTCTTTAGTCTCTTAGGCGGTGGCCGCCGCCGCCACAGCCCTGGGCCTGGCACCCCCAGTCGCCCGCGGCCTCCTTGTGGTGGCACCGGCGTCCCCGCTGGAGCTGCTGGAGGCCACGCCCAAGCGTGGCAGCTGCTCCTGGCCTGGGAACTGCAACACCAGGCATACCTATGTGGCTACGGCCAGACCTACAGCAAGAATTCTCCCCTGCAGGCACATCTGCGCAGCACACAAGTGACAAGCCCGACCACTGCCACTGGGATGGAAGCAGCTGGAAGTGTGCTCACTCAGACAAGCTAACGCTCCACCACCACAAGCACAGGGGCCACCGGCCATTTCAGGGCCATTGGTGCCACCACGCCTTCTTGCGCTCTGCCCACCTTGCCCTGCACAGGAAGCGGCACATGCAGCCCAGAGGCCTCCCCACCTGCACGCGGCCCCCTCCCAAACTGTGACTGGTATTTATTGCACCCAGAGAACTCGGCAGGGCGGTGTGGCTCCATAGGGTCTACCTCGACGACGAAGACGGCGCCACCGCCCCAGCCCCCATCTGTGACTGAAGACCAGGTGGGAAAAGACCACTATCCGCCTTGACGAGTTCTGTTTTTCAAAATGGTGCAATAATTAAGTGGCATCTTCCCTCCCACGGGGCATAAGACTTGATGTCCTTTGAGAAATAAGGGCCTTAATTTGTACTGTCTGCGACATTTTTTATAATATTGTACATAATAACTGGGACAGATATTGTTATTACTGTACATAGAGTGGCAGGGCTACTTGCCTCATTTTCCTAAGACTTTTGCTTCTTTTATTTTTAATTTTTAAAAAAGTTTTTTTTAAAAAGAAAAGAAAAATCCTTAATTCTCACTTTTCAAAATAGAACTCTTAAATAGTAATTGATAGCACTTTACCTCTGTTTTCCTGATAAAAAAAATTCTAAAAGAATAAAAACAATTTCATCCTGCCCCCATATTATAACCAGAATAATTGAAATAATATGCTTCAATTGATAGTAAAGTAGCATTTATGTTTTTGGATCAATGAAGCTAAGCCAGCACTAAGAATTTTCTTACTATTCCTCCACTACATTACAGTTACTTCCTCATCCCTATACATACCGCAATAATGAGTCAGCTACATCCATTTAGATTATCAACCCAACCCTAAAAGAAAGAAAATTTCCATTGGTTACACATTTCAGAAAATTGTTGTATCTTTGGAACATCTGCCGTCTAATCTTAATAAATTTCAAACAAGGGCACTGAGACTCCAGCCGATAGAACTATCTAATTCAGTATTATTAAGATCCCAAAGATCAATGGCAAAGCGTTGGCTATTTTCTGCAGTTTGTGCAAGAATTAAAATTTGGCCAGGATTGTTGTTTGTAGCAGGAGTCATGAATGGTTTTGTGGTGTTTTATGACAACTTAAGGGCTACAATGGACCTTGTCCTTATATCATGATCTGCTAAGCAATTCACCAACCATACTTCACCTCATTCCTGATTTTAGCCTCCTTAGGAGAACATTGAAAACATGATTGGTAATAATGTGTGTTGACTTGCTTAAAGATGTTACAGGAAAGATTATGCTTAAGAGTAGTTAGAGGGAAATGTCTTTTTGAGTTTGTTTCCTAAGCCCTAAGCCGTCTCTTTACCTTACAGTATAAAAGTCGAAATGCATATAATGGGAGACCAGATATACGGGAGGAGAAGATGAAGGGACTAATATTCGTTGAGCCTTTTAGTAGGGATCTACCTTTTACTAGAGACTGAGCACTCCTCATACATTGTCTCATTAAACCAACTCTCCAAAGTAGTATCTGTCCTGTTCTACCGAAAGAACAACTCAAAAATGTTGCATTGCCAGTAAGTGGTGGAGCTGGAATGTATCTGCCCCCAAAGCTTCACGGACTTGCTTTGAAGAAGATGGTATAATTCAAAGTACTTTCAAAAGGACATAGCAGTATACTGAGGTTAAAAAAAATTAGTATTCCCAAACTGAGATCCTTCTGTGAGCTTTGTAACCCTGGCAGTTAGTTGCAATACTACCAATTTGGCCATCAAGAACATTCTGATATGTTTAAGCTACAGTGGGAAAGCCAAGATATGAAAACATCACCCATGGGAATTTTGAGACTAGAGTAGTTAGAAGCTAATTTAAGATCTCCATCCAACTCTAAGATAGGGTAACTGCCAGAAGAGCCACATGATCCCAAAGTGGAATTTTGCCCTAGTATAATGGGTTAATATTTGATTGGCTGCACTTAGCTATAAATCCTGAGGAGAAGAAGAAGAAGAAAGACATCAGAAAATAATTGGGCTAGAAGAACCTTAGTTTGAAGGCAAAACACAGAATCCAGGTAAGTGGGCTTACCAGGAAAAGCTGGTGCGACGTTGCTCCGCACAATGGAGGGCCTTAGGATGGCAATGGTTAGGTTCCTGCTCTCCTGCTGCACCACCATTTCTCCCAAGGCCTTGCTATAGGTCTAAGTATTGGGACAATCTCCAATCCGCTTGGGAGTGATCTCGTCAATAATGGCGTTGTCTATACATAAAAGGTAGTCAGAATAAAAAGAATTCTAGCAACATGTGTTAGACAATAGACCAAAAGGAAAATGTGAGACACAGTCAAACAAAACTTCCACCTTTTAGCCTTGGTTCTGGAATTCAGAACAGTCACATGATACCAAGTTTGAGTGCATACCTGTCCAAAGCATGCATGAGCTCTTTTGTTTTCACTGCTAAGCCCAATCTTACAGTCAAATCCTATGCCCTCCTATCCAGACAGGTAGGTAGGTAGACGGATAGAATCAATAGCGATGCCACTTTATTACTACTACTAGTGTAGGGCTATTAATACTACTTTAGCGCTACTATTACTTTGTCAGTGCTAATTACTACTTTATCTGTAGCAGTATTAATTTGAGGTAATTACATACAACCTCTTTACTTCCTTTCCAACAAGGTCGTAAGTACATTCATTGCACATATTTTTGAGTCCCAATCATTCTCCCAGTAGTGTGCTGGAAGCTGTGTTCAGGGAGTTTGAGGCTCTCATCCAAGGTGTTTCAGTGGCAGCCCTGTTCAGTGTTGTCCTATAGAAACCCAGTGCAGTGATCCTGAAGAGTTTAGCTTTACATTTTAAAATTTTCATTCAATGCAAATCAAACCAGAGTGATTACTTTTGGCAGACTGACAATCTGTTTTACCAAATCTATGTAATGCATTTTGAAGGTCTGTTTAGAGTCTATGATAACAAATTGCTAATTATTTCCAGAGATTTTCAATGAATTCTGAAGTCTGTCAAGTGTGGTGATTATAGTACTCTGAAATTGCTTCAAAACCATGAATATTGAATACTCCTACTTACAAGATGACATGTATCATCAATAACTGAGTTACCATAGCATCAGCCTAAACTTTCTTAAAAATATGTCAGAACCAGCCGGGCACAGTGGCTCATGCCTGTAATCCCAGCATTTTGTGAGGCCATGGCAGGCAGATCACGAGGTCAGGAGATTGAGACCATCCTGGCCAACATGGTGAAACCCCGTCTCTACTAAAAATACAAAAATTAGCTGGGCATGGTGGCGTGCGCCTGTGATCCCAGCTATTCAGGAGGCTGAGGCAGGAGAATCACTTAAACCAGGGAGCAAAGGTTGCAGTAAGCTGAGATCTTGCCACTGCACTCCAGCCTGGTGACAGAGCAAAACTCCATCTCAAAAAAAAAAAAAAAAAAAGTCAGAACCATTTGATAACCCCAAAATCTATCTACAACTCTCTGAGAGAGCAAAAAAAATTATTGTCAATTAAATATGCAACATGTATTCTAGCTGACAGATCTATGTGGTTAAATTGTTAATATAACATAGCTTTTTAAAAATTAAGCTGTCGGAATATGCTAGGGTGATTTTTCTGATCAATGTGGTCCATTTATTTCTATTTTATACAACAGAACATAACTATACTATTTTGATTGTAGAAAATCTTCACTGTTACCACCTTGCTGACATGACACATTTTTGAACAACTAAGATGTGCATGAGGTTAAGACTCATTCAGAATCACAACTCTCAATATTAATGCCTCATTTGATCCTGGGGTAGAACATGGGCATTGACCATTATGTTTCCATTTTTCTTCCTTTGCTTCTGAGTGCTGAGTGTCTTCTGGATACTAAATGTCTTTTCATTTAAGTTGAATAGAGAAAGATTGAGGGGTTCTAGAATTAAAAACTTAAACTACATAGAAATATCAAGGATATTTTAATTATATGGTCACCTGGGGGCTGGGAAAGAGCATAGGATGATTCATACATCTCTCAATCTTAACAATAATCCTACCGTTACCTCATTTCATTTCTGTGTCAACAGTGGATTGACTGACCTAAGACCATTTCCCCTCAACTGCAAAACTATACAGTTTATGAAAACCAGGTCTTCAGGGAATAGAGCTTAATTTCAATAAGTCTGTAAAGAAAAAATTCCTAGAAAACATCAGAGCCCAAAAATGTACTGGGATTGTATGTCAGATGGCTAGTACCAGTTGCTGTCATTAATGTTGGGGCAGCCGGAAAGGATAATACTTGGAGGGATGGGGGCCTTATAAAGCTTAGTGAGTTTCCTTGTATTAGAAAATGTTGGGTTTTGTTGTTGTTGTTCTTGTTGTTTGTTGTTGTTGTTGTTGCTGTTTTGAAATGAAGTCTTACTCTTGTCGCCCAGGCTGGAGTGCAGTGGCACAATCTTGGCTCACTGTAATCTCCACTCCCCGGGTTCAAGCAATTCTCCTGCCTCAGCCTCCTGAGTAGCTGGGATTTCAGGTGCCCACCACACCTGGCTAATTTTTGTACTTTTAGTAGAGACGGGGTTTCACCATGTTGGCCAGGCTAGTCTCGAACCCCTCACCTCAGGTAATCTGCCCGCCTTGGCCTCCCAAAGTGCTGGGATTCCAGGCATGAAAAAATTTTGGTTTTATAGATTTCTAACAACACACATGGAAGAAATTTTAATATTCTATAGATGGCTTACCTCTGCTACTCTTAGCTGCACCTGTATTCCACTGTTTTATATTCTCGTTCCAATTTTACTTGTGAAAATGGCAATAATTATATTCATTCTAAATTCTCAGGTTATGAGGGTAAACAAAAATATTCACAACTGCATTTAAGCTGTTTGATAAAACAAAATGAGCCAATAAACCTAAGGCACTCCTATTTTTAGATAAAACAATCGGAGAGCATCATATATCTGTGTACGTAATAGTTGGTTTTAAAATGTCATTTCTGGCCATATGTGGTAGCTCAAGCCTGTAATCCCAGCACTTTGAGAGGCCAAGGAAGGAGGATCGCTTGAGTCCATGAGTTTGAGACCACCCTGGGCAACATAATAAGACCCAGTCTCTACAAAAAAAGGTTTAAAAATTAGCTGGGCATGGTGGTGTGCACCTGTAGTCCCAGCTATTCAGGAGGCTGAGGCAGGAGGATTGCTTGAGCCTGAGAGTTGAAGGCTGCAGTGAGCCATAATTGTGTCACCATACTCTAGCCTGGATGACAGAGTGAGACCCTGTCTCAAAATGAATGAATGAGTAAAACAAATAAAAATAAATTATCATTTATAATGCAGCCAGACAGGCCATCTGCTAGCTCATTCAGCCAGTTCCTAGGTTCAGACAGGAGATTAGTGTAAACATGCACATGCACTGATTGGGCAAAGCCCTTCTCAGGACTTTCACTCAATTCAGGGTTGCTGCTGCTGTTTGTTCTCAATATGTTTTTAAACAGTAAATAAGTTACCATGGATAAAAAACACTATATAAACCAAAATACGTGTCTGAAATTAATCCAAATGTTCTTCAGTATACTCAAGAAGATGTTTTGACCCAGGGGTCTCAAATTCTAAACTCGAATTGCTTCAGAAGAAGCATAAAGTCATTGAAAATTTCAGAAAGCAATATGTATGTCTATGTATGTACATACATAGACACATATACAATTTCTTCCAAAGATTACTATCAATTTTGCTTTCAAACTTATTGAATCAACATGATGATATCATTAATGGTTTCATTATTTATGTATTTATGGAATGAAATACTAAGAAGCATATGCATTTCCCATCCCCTGACCCTCCAATTTTATCTCATTCAACAAGTTGGCAAGCCTAGTGGTTTATGAGTAAATCTGTTAGAGAGTAAGTAGTGGACACACTGTCTTATGATAACGTTTGCTCTCTTTCTCCAGTCTAAATTATATAATTCACTTGATTGTTGTAGTTATCAAGTTGTATTTGTTCATCTGTCTGTCTGCCCACTAGACAGTGAGTCCAGGAGAGCAGGGATTATGATTTTTATCTCTGTGTCTAATCACTTTTCTGCCCCCAGGAGCCAGCTACCTTATTCAGTAAATGGATGCTCTTCCACATGGTAATCTTGATTGGCCAATTTCTGTACTATATAAGGTTTTGGGAAGCAGAGATGGACAATGATGAGACAGAGTGGATGTACTCAAAAAAAGACAAGGTTGTAGGGAGAATGCAGGAAAGGAAAGAAGGGGGTATCTTTGTACAGCAGGTAGCAAAATTGGAAGTCAAAGTGTCCAGTGGCAGTGGTGAAAAGTGTTGACCAACCTCGGTTTGATGAAGGTGGCGTGAAAGTCAACTTAAACTTTTCACTGGGAAGCAGGATATTTCTGAGCCTAATGCTTATGGAGAATTGCCCTCTGTATTTCCCTCCAGACTTTCATGAGGCACCCAGCTTGGCCCAAACATGAGCCAGATGCTGAATAGCCTACCAATGGCCTGCCAATGTGAAAATTATTCAGTTTGGCTAAGAAACAATTTACTCATATTCTGGTTTGTATTTGAAGCCTGCTAATATCAAAGTACACAGAATTTTCATTTTTATGTCAGCTACTTAGATGTCATTTTGAAGCTGTGCCATGATGAAATTAAAAACACAGGCCTGGCACAATGGCTTATGCCTGTAATCCCAACACTTTGGCCAAGGTCAGGAGGTGGAGAACAGCCTGGCCAAGATGGCGAAATCCCATCTCTACTAAAAACATAAAAATTAGCCAGGCACACTTGCGGGCACCTGGAATCCCAGCTACTCGGGAGGCTGAGGCAGGACAATAGCTGGAACCCAGGAGGCAGAGCCTGCAGTGAGCTGAGATCACGCATTGCACTGCAGCCTGGGAAACAAGAGCAAGACTCAAATCTCAAACAAACAAACAAAAAGCACAAGTGCTAGAGTCAGCTTTCACCATTCCCCTAGAACAGATCATCTTTTTCAGTGTTAACAATGTGTTCTATAGCAGGAAGTCAAGACTACTGTCCAAGGTCTGACCTCCTTTGATATCTCCTGGAGGGCTGTGATGAGGGCCACTGATGCTGGCTGTTGGGGTCTCCATTTCCCTGCCTCTCACCCCTGCGCCTTCAGGGCACACGCCACCTTTCCTTTTTTACATGGCAGACTAGCTGTGTCTTCTGGTGGCCACGTAGCTTCAGAAGTGTGGTTTTTAGTAGGTACAGATCTACTAGGAACTTTCATTCAATTAAAGCTTCTAGGAACTGAAAAACAACAGGAGACAAAGAGAGCAGGAGAAAGAGGAAGCATGGGGTATTAGAAGATAAATGATCCTCTTTTCAAATGAAGACTGCTTAATGAAAAATCTCCTTAAGGCACAATTTCCCAAACTTGCCTGGTCATCAGTGTGAATTACACAAGGCCCCTGGGAAAAATCCAGACTCCTGGGTGCCATTTTAGAACCACTAAATACATCTGCAGAAGTAAGAGTCTGGATAATCTGTATTTTCAACATGGCCTGGAAATTCCAACTGTCAGGTAAATTAGGGAATCACTAATTTAAAAGAAGTCCACTCCATCAACTTAAGTCGTTAAGATTTGAATATATCAGGATTAGCTCTCAAAAACACATTGCTTCTTGGAGTAAACATTTCAACAGAATTGAATTTTAAAATTATTAAATCCCCTAATGCTATCCCTCCCCCACTCCTCTAGCCCCCCACCCACTGACAGGTTCCGGTATGTGATGTTCCCCTCCCTGTGTCCATTTGTTCTCATTGTTCAGCTCCCACTTATGAGTGAACATGCGGTGTTTGGTTTTCTGTTTCTGTGTTCGTTAACTGAGAATGATGGCTTCCAGCTTCATCTATGTTCCTGCAAAGGACAGGAACTCATCCTTTTTTATGGCTGCAGAGTATTCCATGGTATATATGTGCCACATTTTCTTTATCCAGTCTATCACTGATGGGGATTTGGGTTGGTTTCAAGTCTTTGCTATTGGGAACAGTGCCGCAATAAACACATGTGTGCACGTGTCTTTATAGTAGAATGATTTATAATCCTTTGGGTATATACTCAGTAATGGGATTGCTGGGTCAAATGTATTTCTGGTTCTGGATCCTTGAGGAATCACTACACTGTCTTCCACAATGGTTGAACTAATTTACACTCCCACCAGCAATGTAAAAGCGTTCCTATTTCTCCATATCATAATGTAGCACCAAATGTAGATAAGCGCCTAATGTAGATGAGAGGTTGATGGGTGCAGCAAACTACCATGTCATGTGTATACCTATGTAACAAACCTGCATGTTCTCCACATGTATCCCAGAACTTAAAATATAATAAAAAAAGATTGAAAATTTTAAATTTTAATACAAAATTAGGACTTAGTTATTTGCAAAATACACTGTATTTTCAATGTGAAAAACAAAGGGTTATCGTATGTATTATCAATAAAGTTATATAGTTTTCCATAAAAATAACATTAATAATGGAAAATTCTAAAAGAAAAATAATTAAATTTCTTTTAGGACAATTTAAAAATGTATCTGTCAATTTTAACATGAAAATTCTCTTACATTTATACATCCCACATTCTAATAAGGACTAATTTTTATGAGCAGTAAAGAAATGTGTGTATGCGTGTCTGTATACTTATAGGTATATATCTGTTTCTGTGAAAATCTCTCTTTTAGAGTCAGAAAATCTGTTTGGTCCCAGTTCTTACTAATAATATATGATCTCACTAAAGATACTTAAATTCAATAAACTCAATAAACTTTACTCTCAATGAGGTAAGAATGAGAACACAGGTGCCAGCCATGAGCTGCGGTTCCACTGGCACAGGCTTCAGAGATCCTACCTTTAACATCCTCCTTTCATTCATTTGAGCCTGATAAGAAAGGAGTCTCTTGGGAGAGAAGCAAGCATACACCTTGGGGCCAGACAGCCCATGGTCAAAGTTGAACTCCACCACTGTTCAGCTGTGTGACTTTGGGCAAGTGACTTTTCCTCTCTGATCCTCATGATCCTTTTTGGTAAAAACAGCAGAATGACAGGTCTATGAAGATTGGAGGAAAGAAAAATGTGTGTCTTAGTTTAAGTTTCCTGGAAGTAGATCCTGAGGCAAAGATTCAAGTATAAAAATTTTATCTGGAGATGACTCCAGGACAGTAATTCTACTGTCAGTTCTTCCTTAGAGTACTAATTGCAGGCAACACCAGTAGAGGAGTGGGGAACTGAGACAGGAATGGAATGTAGCAGTTAAAGGGACCTTCATCAAGAAAGTTTCCACTGTGGGCAGCCAGGACTCAGCCCTGCCGGGTACCTCTGAGAGACAGCATAGAACATGTGCCTCAGAGTCATCCCACCCAGAGCAAGGGAGTTGGATTATTTATCCACCAATACACACCAGTCACTCCTCAGGGCTTCGTCCAAGGACATGATTCCTCCAGAATGCCCTGCCTGCACTGCAAGAATGAGACCTGGAGGGTCAATGGCAAGAGCCCTGACAGCGCCTCCAGCAGTGAGCAGGACCACAGCCTGGTGTGGAGAGTTTCAGTCCCTCAGTGACCCCAACACACACACACACACACACACATTCTCACACACACACACACACACACACACACCATACTCCAACACCAACAGAGAACATACACACATACACATACATGCATAGATGACTGTTACCCACTTACATCCTGGTGAATCCATGGGATAGAAGATAAGGTGGGAATCAGAGGGAAAAGCAAAATTAAGGGGAGTGAGGGTCTTGGGAACAAAATGAAAATATAGGCAGAAAATCAAGGGGGAAGAGTGCTCTGGACACCAAACGCCTGCTGGCTGGCACCTGCTCTACATACACTGTCAGTCATTCTCCAAGCAATCTCGTGGAGTCGAAGGAATTCCCCTCAATTACAGATGGTAGAAATGTAGTTCAGAAAAGAAAACTGATTTTACTAACTGATTTTACTGCTTCTGGGTTCTGCTCCTTTTCTTGCTAGGCAATCATGACAGAATTGACAAAAACATTTTCCCCCTTCACCACCTGGAGCAGAGCCAATGAGAGGGGCTGGGGAACAGGCCATGAGGCCCTGCACCCACCATTCAATGTCTTCAGGATTAGGACTCTTGCATCACAGGCTGGCAGCACTCCCGATGTCTGGGTGTTTTGTGAGGTTGTACAGGATCTAGTAGAGGCCACTGGCTCTGCTGTCATATCCTAAGAGGCAGCCAGGCAGACTTGGGTCTCTTGGCTGCTTCAGCACCAGAGGATGAACAGCGCCCATACACTGAGGCTTTGGGGAGAATGGGAGGAGGGAAAGGAAGGGCAGAATGGAGTGATGTAGGGTCCATCCATCATATCCCTGGATGGAGAGACCCCTGTTCCCACAGTAGTCCCACACCGGGACCACCACCAGCACTCATGAATATGCCAGCCTCCATTTATATGTCCTCGTCTGACAACTCCTTCCCATTTTCATCCTGGAGGCAAGACTCTGAACACACTAGCTCTGAGGACACCTGTGTGTAACCTGAGACAGTCCCTGAAGACCTTTCATCCAAGCAGGATCCCTCCTTTGCCATCTCCAGACCTGCCCCACAAGCTCCCTCCCTGGTCTCCTGGCTCTTGTTCACTCCTTCCAGGCAGCCTTCTATAGTCATCTCGAAAACATAGCTGACTGTCACTCCTTTATCCAGCACCTTCCATGGCTCCCCAGAGCCCTCCAGATCAAGTTCAAGTACCTTGATCAGACACTTGATCTCAAGCTCCATTCTACCTCCTGAATTAAGATCCTGGAGAAGCCACCTTGCTCAGCACAAGCGCATCAATAAAGTCCGAAGCCTTGAATGTGGCCTTGGCCTTGAGGAAGTCATCAACACCCTGGCTAGTGAGGGTGCGGTGCTGCTGCAAGATGATGGTGTCTGAAGTTGTGCACCAAGTCACAGGCCCTGCAGAAGCATCGCCCCTCAGGAATGGGTAGTACAGGAAGTCCAAGCACAGGCAGATCTACTGACGCCGTTACACTATGAGGGTACTGAGCTCCAAGATGTCAGCAGTATGTTCACTGGCATTCCTGCAGGGTGAGGCTAGGGAGAGGAAGCAGCTCCGTAACAGATATGAAACTCTGGAAGCCCTTCCCAGCCAAAATCTCTGGACCACATTACACCCAGAAATGGGTGCCCTCTCAGCACACTTCTCTCTGCCTCCCTCTCTGAGCTGCCTCCTGGCCCCACATGCCCCAGCCTGGACCAGGGCTTGGAGCCCAGCAGGTGTTCAGTTCATGGTGTTGACTGCTTCCTGGCACAGGAGAGCCCTTGGTAGCTCTGTGACTCCTCCTGTGGAACCCCTGCCTCTGCCTCAGGACCTCCCTATTCCCATGGGAAGACCCCAAGGATTGCCCCACCTGCCCAGGGATCCTCCAACCCCATAGGCCTTACTTGATGCCTTATCCCTCCCAGAACATGACATGTTTCTCACAAGGTGACTTACTTCCAAGGCCATCTGTGGATGTTTGCTGGGGACCTCTTGCTGTTCTCCTTTATGATCTGTAGGGCAGGACCAAGAGGAGAAACCAGCCCAACCTCAGAACAAACAAAGGCTCACTGCCACAAATGGCAACCACCAAACAGTCAGCAGTGCTTCTGGGAGGAAAGGAGGTTTCATTCCGCACAAAGCTCCTTGTTTGGTTTCTTTCTGAATCCGGGGAGGGGTAGGTACCAAGCCCAGCTTACCTGTGGTGTCTACATTACCATCTGTGCCTAGGATGTGCAAAGGGCCCCTACTCCCACCGCAGGGTTGACGTTCCCTCCAGCTGGAGACCTGGGCTCCTGACACCGCCTGGCCTGTTTGTCCTGCTCTGGATGAGCGGGGAAAGGCTGTAGCTGGTATTTCCCTAGGTCCTTGGTTTCTACCACCTAGACATCCAGCAGGAGTGACCATGTCTAGCACCACACCTGAAAGGGGACTCCCTTGTACAGCAGCCCAGACATCTACAGATGGAAGAGTGCTCAGTGAGACAGGCCACAGGGGTCCCCAGGGAGGATCAGGGGGTGGAGGATTCTGGAGGTTTCCAGCCTTGGGCTCTGTGGTTCCTCAAAGAGGTTAGGTCTACCTAGTACCAGGCCTCCCCTCCCACGATTCAAAGACTGAATGAGTGTCCAGCATCAGGAACTCTGTTCTGGACCTGTTTTTTCATTTAGGTCACCAAGGGACAACCCCTAACCCGAGCTAGGGATGGTCCAAGCTCTGGCATGAGATTTTCCTCCAGCAATGTGATGCTTACAGGGACAGGTAGAAAAGCTGGTGACCAGGCCTGCTGTCCTCTGGTTAAGGAGTGTGCCACCCACCCTCTGAGAGGCAGGTGGTGCCAGGCCACAGCACTGGGTGCCTGTACCCCTGGCTCTGCAGACACCGGTCATGGAGGTCCCTCCCTCCACATTACCTTCTTGCTGCTCCTAGATTTCTTCTAGTCATTAAGCACTTTGAGTCACTTTTCTGTGCATCCAATTTTACATTTTTGCTCTCAGATGAAACAGGATAAAGTATGCTGAGCTGCCAGGATTCCTGGAGGGGACCTTGGATGCTGAGTCTTGGGATCCAGGGCCCTGATGGGACTGAATCAGAAGGAGCCAGGGAAAGACAAAGATTGGGGCTGAGCCCCTATGACCCAATGGCCATTGGTGGCCTGGCCTTATGGTCCCAAGACACCTTGTTCTCAGGCCAGAAACACCATGGGCTTTGGTCGGGTCCCAGCCTCCCAGTAGTGTCCTGGCACTAGCAGGAGCTGACCCCTGAGCCACAACCGCAGTTCTGGGTTTGGGATTTGGTAAAACCACCTCAAGGACAGAGTCTTGGGATCGGGTTTGCCAGGAACCATGGTGCCTCCCAGAGATGGTGTGTCATTCCCACTCGCCACGAAATGTGCACACAGGCTGTCCCCATGTCCATCCCATCCCGCTGGACAGGATGGAGGAAGTCAGGGAACAGGCATGGTGGACAGCTGGGGTGCAGGGAGAGGCAGGTGCATGCTGGGAGGTCAGACCCTGCGAGGGCTGTGGAGGCATCAGGTGGAGTGGGCTCCAGGTGCACCTTCAGTGTACTGGGCACGTCTGAGGCCAGGCTCACTGGACCCTGGACGTGTGATGTGGTCAATCACTGGGGGAATGTTGTCAGGTCCCAGCCACCCGCCCTGGGCAGCACTGTCTCATCTCAGGACTGGACTTTCTGAGTCCTAAGACAAGACAGTGCTGCCAGGCCTCACAGCCTGGGAGGACCTGTTAAGTCCTCCATCCCTAGACTAGCCTCCCAACAGCAGGGACAGTCTCTTATCTTCACCTTCAGGGAACTGACTGATCCATCTCACTCTAAGCCAGTCGAGGCAGAGCTGAGGACCTGCACCAGTCTGGGAGCCAGTCCCCTCCCCAAATGGGCCTGAGGGAAGCACCATCCCTGTCCCAATCTGCCACAAGTTTCAGCCTAGGAGACACATGGGGAAGGGAGGATGGGGCATCCCTGCTGGCTGACACTGGAAAAGTGGGACCTGGGAGAATGGGGAGCACAAGGCTGGCAGGGGATGCTCCAGGCCCATGGAGAGCTCAGGCTGCACCATGCGGTTGCCCCTCCTGGGTGGAGTCTGTGCCCTCTACAGGATCTGAGAAAGTCCAGTCCTGAGATGGGACAGCGCTGCCCAGGGTAGGTAGCCGGGACCTGAGAGCAGTCCCCCAGGGAGTGACCACATCACCTGGCTGGGGTCCAGGGAGCTTGGGGTGATACCCACCCAGTGCACTGAGGGTGCACCTGGAGCCCAACCCACCTGACACCCTCACAGCCTTCACAGGGTCTGACGTCCCACCATGCACCTGCCTCTCCCTGCACCGCACTGCCCACCCTCCCTGTTCCCTGGCTTTCTCCATCCTGTGCAGCCCATAGACTGTGACCATCTCTCCAGCCACTCTGACCCTTTCTTCACCTTTGTCCTGTCAGAATCTCTGAGCAACATCTCCCAGGTCCATCCAAACAACTGCTTTGTCTACTTTTGACCGGGCCATTGGGCATCACTGGGCCATCCCAGCTGTCCAGAGGGCCCTCGATAACGTGCAATGCACCTGGCTTCTCCAAGCAGCGCTCAGCAGTCCCCACTGACCAGGTTCCTGCTGACCAGACCCCACACATCAGGTCTTCCCTGACCACACCCTCACTGATTAGACCCCCATCACCAGGACCCACTAACAAGACCCCCGCTGCCAGGCCAACAATGACCATGACTCCACTGACCAGGACCTTACTGACAAAGCCTCACGGACAAGGCCTCACTGAACAGGACCTTACTGACCAGGCCTCCCTGACAAGGCCTCACTGACCAGGTCCTTACTGACCAGGCCTCACTGACAAAGTCCTTACTAACAAGGCCTCACTGACCAGGACCTTATTGACAAGGCCTCACTGACAAGGCCTCATGGATGAGCTCCTTACTGACAATTCCTCACTGACCAGGTCCTTACTGACAAGGCCTCACGGACCAGGTCCTTACTGACAAGGCCTCACGGACCAGGTCCTTACTGACAAGGCCTCACAGACCAGGACCTTATTGACAAGGCCTCACGGACCAGGACCTTATTGACAAGGCCTCACGGACCAGGTCCTTACTGACAAGGCCCCACTGACAAGGCCTCATGGACCAGGTCCTAACTGAGAAGACCTCACTGACCAGGACCTTATTGACAAGGCCTCACTGACCAGGTCCTTACTGACAAGGCCCCACTGACAAGGCCTCACTGACAAGGTCCTTATTGACAAGGCCTCAGTGACCAGGACCTTACTGACAAGGCCTCACTGGCAAGGCCTCAAGGACCAGGTCCTTACTGACAAGGCCTCACTGACTAGGTCATTACTGACAAGGCCTCACTGATCAGATTCCACTGATCATGACCCCACTACCTGGACCCACAGATGAGGCCCCACTGACCAGGCCTCCAGGGAACAGGCTGCCACTGATCAGGCCCCTACTAACCAGGCCTGAGGTGACCAGATGCCCCTGACTGGGACCCTAGTGAGTAGGCCCCACTGAACAGGCACCGACTACTCAGGTCCCCGCTGACCGGGTCACCCCGTAGACCAGTGGTACAAAAGCCACCACTGACCAAGTCATCACTGACCAGGCCCCCACTGATGAGGTTCCACTGACCAGGCTGCCCTGATCAGGGCCCCACTGACAAGGGACTCACTGATGAGGACACGCCCACCAGGCCCTGCTGACTAGGTCCCATGTGACCAGTCCTCCACTGAATAGCACCCCTTGACCTGGTCACCAGTGACCCAGCCCATGCTGACCAGGCCACCACTAAGCCCAGCTGACCAGGTCGCCACCGGTCAAGCCCCACAGCCTAGGTCTGCACTGACCAGACACCAAGCAACTGGCTGCCAGTAGGTCCCCACTTGCCAAAACCCCCACTACTGGATCCCCCTAATGAGACCCTCCCTAAGCAGACCCCTGCTGGCCAGGTTCCCACTAAACAGGCCTCACTGACCAAGTCCCAACTGACTAGGTCCACTGAGCAGGCCCACACTGATCAGGCAGGCCCCTCCTAACCACATCAGAAGGCCAAGTGGCAATGAGATGTTTCATATGGCAGAAATAGAAGCAAGACACAGAGAGAAAAGAGGTGCCACAGCCCATTATACAACCAGATCACATGAGAACTCACTATCAGATCAGCATCAAGAAGATTAACCACTGGTGAAGGATCCACCACACACACCACCGCCTACTGTTTCCAGGCAGAAGCCTCCTGCAGAGGCAGAGCCTCTTGGGAAACTTCTACTATGGCAGTGCAGAAGGGAAATATGGGCTTGGAGCCCCCACACAGGAGGCCACCATCCTCCAGACCCCAGATTCATAAGCCCACCAACAGCCCGCACCCTCAGTATGCAAAAGCACTCAACACCAGCCCAGCCCATGAGAGCAGCCATGGGGGCTAAAGCCTGCAAAGCCACAGGAGCACTGCCCTAGCAGAGGTTTTCCATGAGGATGTGACTCTGCAGCAGGCTACTCCCCCTTCCTAATACCCACCATCCTCTCACCACCCTACTGACAACCCACTCCTCCCAACACTATCCACTTTATTTCCTTCCAACTCCAACCCCCTCCCATCCATGGTTAAATCACCTTCCACCAGGCCCCATCTCCAACATTCAAGATTACAATTCACATGAGTTTCTGTAGGGAAACACAGCCAAACCATGTTATTCTTACCCTGACCCTTCCGAATCTCATGTCCTTCTCACAGAGCAAAATACAATCACACCTTTTCAAAAGTTGCCAAAAGTCTTAACTCATTCCAGCATTAACTCAAATGTAAAAGGTTCAACGTCTCATCTGAGACAAGCCTACAGTCCCTTTTGCCTATAAGTCCCTGAATTTAAAAGGGTGTTCTTTTAAGACACAATGATGGTACACCCATTGGGTAAGCTTTCTCAGTCCAACAGGAAGAAATTTCCGAGCAAAATAACACAGATGGGACCACAGGACCAATGCAAGTCCAAAACCCAGGAGACCAGTATCCATTCAATCTCACTGCTCCAAAATCATGAAGAGAACTCACCATCACAAGGACAGAAATAAAGAGATTGTGTCTAATCATTTGTGAAGGAGCCACCATCACTTTTCACCCCTCACCCCCAACATAATCTCCCAATTCTCCCTATCCCCCACCTCCCAACCCCCACACTCCACCATGATTAAATCACTTTCCACCAGGCCCCACCTTTAACATTCCCCATTACAATTCCACACGAATTTTGGTAGGGACACAGAGCTAAATTTTATTATTCTGTCCCTGGCTCCCCAAATCTCATGTCCTTCTCACATTGCAAACTACAATGATAGCTTCCCTACAGTCCCCCAAAGTCTTATATCATTTCATCATTTATACAAATGTTCAAAGCTTAAAGTCTCATCTAACACAAGGCTGCAGACCCTTAGGCTCATGAGCCTCTGAAATATAAAGAAAGTTAACTACTTCCAAGGTACAATGCTTATACAGGCAATGGGTAAGCATTCCCAGCCAAAAGGAATAATTTTGCCAGAAAGAACAAAAGACAGAAAGGACTTACAGACCCCATGAAACTCCAAACCCAGAAGGCCATTCAATCCTACAGCTCCAAAATTACCCTTTTTGAAACCTTGTCCCACATCCAGGGCACAGGGATGTAAGGGCTGGGCTCCCAAGGCCTTGGGCAGCTCTGCACCTGTGGCTTTGCAGGGTTTATGCCCCACGGCTGTCTTCATGGGCTGGGCTGGTGTTGAGCACCTGTAGCTTTTACCCACTGACGGTACAAGCTGTTGCGGGGTCTATTAATCTGCAGTCTTCATGATGGTGGCCTCCAGTGTGGGGGCTCCAACCCCATATTTTCCTTCTGTACTGCCCTAGTAGAGGTTTCTTATGAGGTTCTGCCTTTTAGGAAGGCTTTCGCCTGGACACCCAGACATTTCCATACATCCTCCAAAATCTATAAAGAGCCTCCCAAGCCCCTAGGCTCATGCTCCATACAACCAGTGGCTTAACACTATGAGGAAGTTCATGAGAACTCACTATCACGAGGTCAGCATCAAGAAGATGGTGCTTAATCATTAGTGAAGGATCCGTCCCCAACCCACCTCCACCCCCTCCTGTTTCCGGACAGAAGCCTGAGGCAGAGCCTGAGCCTCTTGGAAAACCTGTACTATGGCAGTGCAGAAAAAAATATGGGCTTGGAGCCCCTATGCAGGAGGCCACCATCCTCCAGAGCCCAGATTCATAGACCCATCAACAGCTCGCACCTTCAGTATGGAAAAGCTACCGGCACTCAACACCAGCCCAGCCCATGAGAGCAGCCACGGGGGCTACACCCTGCAAAGCCACAGGTGCACAGTCCTAGCAGAGGTTTTCCACGAGCCTCTGCCTCTGCAGCAGGCTACTCCTCCTTCCTACTACCCCCACCCTCCCACCACCCTACAGCGAGCTTACTCCTCACCACGCTACCCACCTCTTTTTCCCTCCAACCCCACCCACCTCCCATCCATGATTAAATCACCTCCCACCAGGCTCCACCTCCAACATTCGGGACTGCAATTCCACATGAGTTTTTCTAGGGAAACACAGCCAAACCATATTATTCTGACCTTGACCCCCTCCGCCGAATCTCATGTCATTCTCGCAGAGTAAAATACAGTCATGCCTTTTCAAATGTTTACAAAAGCCTTAACTCATTCCAGCATTAACTCAAATGTAAGAAGTTCAAAGTCTTATCTGATACAAGGCTACGGTCTCTTCTGCCAATGAGTCCCTGAACTTAAAATGGAGTTCTTTTAAGGTACGATGATGGTACAGGCATTGGGTAAGCTTTCTCACTCCAAAGGGAAGAAATTTCCCAGAAAAATAACACAAATGGGACCACAGGCCCAATGCACATCCAAAACCCAGCAGGCCAGTATTCAAATCTCAAAGCTCCTAAACCATGAAGCAAACTCACTGTCAGAAGGACAGCATTACAAAGATGGTGTTTAACCATTTGTGAAGAATCTGCCCCCCATCTCTGCCTTTCCCCACAACCCCAACACAATCCCCCACAATGCTCCCAACCACCCCCACCTTCCAAACTCCACTCTCCACCATGATTAAATCACCTTCCACCAGTCCCCACCTTTAACTTTGCCCATTACAATTCCACGAGCTTTGGTAGGGACACAGAGCCAAATCATATTATTCTGTCCCTGGTCCCCGAAATCTCCTGCTTCTTACATTGCAGAATACAATGATACCTGCCCTACAGGCCCCCAAATCTTAAATAATTCCAGCATTTACTCAAATGTCCAAAGCCCAAAGTCTCGTCTGAGACAAGGCTACAGTCCGATCTGCCCCTGGGTTTCTGAATTATAAAGCAAGTTATCTAATTCCAAGGCACAATGATTGTACAGGCAATGAGTAAGCATTCCCAGCCAGTAGAAAAAAAAAATGCCAGAAAGAAAAACAAAACACAGATGGGACTCACAGGATACATGAACATCCAAAACCCAGCAGGCCAGTCATTCAATCCGACAGCTCCAAAATCATCCTTTTTGAATCCTTGTCCCACATCCATGGCACAGGGCTGTGAGGGCTGGGCTCCCAAGGCCTTGGGCAGATCTGCACCTGTGGCTTTGCAGCGTTCAGCACCCACAGCTGCCTCTCATGGACAGGGCTGTTTTGAATGCCTGTAGCTTTTCCACACTGAGGGTGCAAGATGTTGGTGGGTCTATGAATCTGGGGTTTGGAGAATGGAGCCTCCCTGTGAGGGGGCTTCAACCCTACATGGCCCTTCTTTGCTGCCCTAGCAGAGGTTTTCCATGAGCCTCTTGGAAAGGCTACTGCCTGGACACCCAGGCTTTTCTCTACATCCTCTGGAGTCCAGACAAGAGGCTCCAAAGCCTCTAGTCTCTTGCTCTCTTCACCTGCTGCCTTAACACTATGTGGAAGCCATCAAGGCTTGGAGCCACATGTGAAGTAGTGACCCAAGCTGTACCTGTGCATCATTCAGCCATGGCTGGAGCTGGGGCTGCAGGGATGCAGGCAGCAGTGTCCTGAGGATGCACACAGCAGCAGGGCCATGGAGCTGGCCCAGTAAACCATTCTTCTCTGCTAGGCCCCAGGGCCTGTGAGAGCAAAGGCTACTGCAAAGGTCTCTGAAATGCCTTCAAGGCCTTTTACCCTTTGTCTTGGACACTTGCACTAACCTCCTTTTTATGCAAATACTCTAAGCCTTATTGAATTTTCCCCCTGAAAATCAGCTTTTCTTTTTAACCACTTGACTAGGCTGCAAATTTTCCAAACTTCTGAGCTCCGCTTCTCATTTAAGTAGAAGATCCAACTTGAGGTCATTTCTTAGCTCATACATAACAACACAGGCTGTTCGACGCAGACAGGACACCTCTTGAGCTATGCTGCTTAGATGTTCATTCCACAAGATACATCCTAAATCATCACCCCCAAGTTCATAGATTCACAGATCTCCAGGGCAAGGTCACTGTGCAGCCTCTGTTGGGCAAATCAAATGTAGCTTTGGCTCCTATTCACAGGAAATTCCTGATTTTTATCCGAGAACTTTTAAGTCTGGCCTTCACTGTCCATCCTTCTGTCAGCCTTCTGATCACAAGTATTTAACAATTCTCTACAGGGGTCCAAGCTTTTCCTCATCTTGCTGTCTTTTAAGCTTTCCCAACTCTCCCGACCTCTGTCTTTTACCCACTACTGAACCTGCTTCTACATTATCAGCTCTCTGTGTCACAGCCTGGCAATGTGGTAAAAGAAGAAAAGTCCATTTTCAGGGAAAAAATTCACACAGGCTTCAGATATTTGCATGAAAAGAAGCTGAGTGCTGCTTGCCAAGACAATGGGGAAAAGGCCTTGAAGGCATTTCATAGGGAAAAGGCCCTGAAGGAATTTCATAGCTTCACTTCACAGTACTAACCTTCTGTATGATCAAAAAGAAAAGAGGTTTCATTGGCTCACGGTTCTGCAGGCTGCAAAGGAAGCACAGTGGCTTCTGCTTCTGGGAGGACTCAGGTGCCTCCCAATCATACTAGAAGACCAAGGGGCAAGGAGATGTTTCATACAGCAGGAGAAGGAGCAAGACAGAGAGAGGAAAGAGGTGCCACATCATGTTATACAAGCAGATCTCATGAGAACTCACTATCACGAGGTCAGCATCATGAAGATGGTGCTTAACCACTGGTGAAGGCTTCCACCCTGCAAAACTACCTCCCACTGTTTCCAGGCAGAAGCATGCTGCAGAGGCAGAGCCTCTTCAGAAACCTCTGCGAGGGCACTGCAGAAGGAAAATATGGGCTTGGAGGACTAACACAGGGAGCCACCAACCTCCAGACCACAGGTGCACCCTTGCAGAGGTGACTGGTTGCTCTTTGAGCCAGCTTGGCCTTGCCTGGCATACATAGGCCCCAGCTACTGACACGCTGCTCCGAGTGAGCTTGTCCTGCCTTGGCACAAATTCTGAGTCTGGCCAGGGCCACAGAAGGCCGAGTCCCTTGGATGGTAATCCTGGCTGCTTTCTGCACTTGAACATGAAGTCCTCCTCAAGAGGGCCTGTGGTCTGCCTCTTGGCAACCAAGAAGCCTGCAGTGCCATTCGACCCGAGGCATGGACTGGAGCCCCAAAGGCAGCGCACATCCTGCTCCTAACTCTGCCGCTCATTTCCTCTCTGTGGCTCCATTTGTAGCACAGTTGTTGCACTGAGACTTGTGCATGCCAGGCAAGGCCAAGCTGGCTCAAACAGCAACCAGCCACCTCTGCGAGTGTGTGCCAGGAGCAGCCAGACCAGCCACCAACCTCACTCGCTGCGGGACATGGTACATTGGTTCTTCTACCCTAAAGGTAGGGCCAAGAGGCAGACCACAGGCCGCCTTGAGGAGCACTTTATGTTCAAGTCCAGAAAGCAGCCAGGATTCCCACCAAGGGGACTCAGCCTTCTGTGGTCTGCACTGCCATACAAGCTCTGAGACATGGACTAGTGACATCTGCTTTATAGAAAAATTAACCTAAGATCTATTAAAGAGTTAAACATGCCATCTGATTTTACTCAGGCCTCTGCTCCATCAGCCCTCAGGTGGCAGCCACTCAGGCTGTGGGAACCTGGCCATCCCTGCTTCCTTCAGTGGGTGAGGTTGGTGGCTGGTCCAACTGGTCCAGGCGCACCCTTGTAGAGGTGGCTGGTTGCTCTTTGAGCCAGCTTGGCCTTCCCGGACATGCACAGGCCCCAGATACTAACACGCTGCTCTGAGTGAGCTTCTTCTGCCTTGACACAAATTCTAAGTCTCGCCAGGGCCACAAAAGGCCGAGTCCCCTGCGTGGCAATCATGGCTGCTTTCTGCACTTGAACATAAAGTCTTCCTCAAGACAGCCTGTGGTCTGCCTCTTGGCAACCAAGAAGCCCACAGTGCCATACGACCCGAGGCATGGACTGGAGCCCCAAAGGCAGCACACACCCGGCTCCTGAGCCTACTGCTCGTTTCCTCTCTGTGGCTCCATTTGTAGCACAGTTGTTGCACTGAGGCTTGTGCATGCCGGGGAAGGCCAAGCTGGCTCAAAGAGCAACCAGCCACCTCTGCAAGGGTGTGCCAGGAGCAGTTGTACCACTCACCCACTAGCGGCCGGACAAGGTACATCAGTTCTTCTACCCTAAAGGTGGGCCGCAGTGCCATCTGCTTTTCCTAATGCCTCTGCTCCATCAGCAATTAGGTGGCAGCCAAGGCAGGACAAGCTCACTCAGAACAGCGTGTTAGTACCTGGGGCCTGTGCATGCCAGGGAGGCCAAGCTGGCTCAAAGAGCAACCAGCCACCTCTGCAAGGTCTGGCCAGGGCTACAGAAGGCCGAGTCCCCTGGATGGTAATCCTGGCTGCTTTCTGCACTTGAACATAAAGTCCTCCTCCAGACGGCCTGTGGTCCACCTCTAGGCAACCAAGAAGCCCGCAGTGCTATATGACCCAAGGCATGGACTGGAGCCCCAAAGGCAGCGCACACCCTGCTCCTGAGCCTGCTGCTCCTTTCTTCTCTGTGGCTCCATTTGTAGCACAGTTGTTGCACTGAGGCTTGTGCATGCCGGGCAAGGCCAAGCTGGCTCAAAGAGCAACCAGCCACCTCTGCAAGGGTGTGCCAGGAGCAGGTGCACCAGTCACCAACTAGTGGCCGGACATGGTACATCAGTTCTTCTACCCTGAAGGTGGGCCACAGGGCCATCTGCTTTTCCTAAGGCCTCTGCTCCATCAGCAATTAGGTGGCAGCCAAGGCAGGACAGGCTCACTCAGAGCAGCGTGTTAGTACCTGGGGCCTGTGCATGCAAGGGAGGTGAAGCTGGCTCAAAGAGCAACCAGCCACCTCTGCAAGGTCTGGCCGGGGCGACAGAAGGCCGAGTCCCCTGGATGGTAATCCTGGCTGCTTTCTGCACTTGAACATAAAGTCCTCCGCAAGACGGCCTGTTTTCTGCCTCTAGGCAACCAAGAAGCCCGCAGTGCTATACCACTCGAGGCTTGGACTGGAGCCCCAAAGGCAGCGCACAGCCTGCTCCTGAGCCTGCTGCTCGTTTCCTCTCTGTGGCTCCATATGTAGCAGAGAGGTTGCACTGAGGCTTGTTCATGCCGGGCAAGGCCAAGCTGTCTCAAAGAGCAACCAGTCACCTCTGCGAGGGTGTGCCAGGAGCCGCTGCACCAGCCACCAACCTCACTTGCTGCTGCACATGGCACATCAGTACTTCTACCCTAAAGGTAGGGCCACAGGGCCATCTGCTTTTCCTAAGGCCTCTGCTCCATCAGCCATCAGGAAGCACCAATCAGGCTGTTGGAACCTGGCCATCCGTGCTTCCTTCAGTGGCTGAAGTTGGTGGCTGGTCCACCTGCTCCTGGCACACCTTTGCAGAGGTGGCTGGTTGCTCTTTGAGCCAGCTTGGCCCTGCCTGGCATGCATAGGCCTCAGCTACTGACACACTGCTCCAAGTGAGCTTGTCCTGCATTGGCACAAATTCTGAGTCTGGCCAGGGTCACAGAAGGCCAAGTCCCCTGGATGGTTATCCGGGCTGCTTTCTGCACTTGAACATAAAGTCTTCCTCAAGACAGCCTGTGGTCTGCCTCTTGGCAACCAAGAAGCCCACAGTGCCATACGACCCGAGGCATGGACTGGAGCCCCAAAGGCAGCACACACCCGGCTCCTGAGCCTACTGCTCGTTTCCTCTCTGTGGCTCCATTTGTAGCACAGTTGTTGCACTGAGGCTTGTGCATGCCAGGGAAGGCCAAGCTGGCTCAAAGAGCAACCAGCCACCTCTGCAAGGGTGTGCCAGGAGCAGGTGCACCAGTCACCAACTAGTGGCCGGACATGGTACATCAGTTCTTCTACCCTGAAGGTGGGCCACAGGGCCATCTGCTTTTCCTAAGGCCTCTGCTCCATGAGCCATCAGGAAGCACCAATCAGGCTGTTGGAACCTGGCCATCCGTGCTTCCTTCAGTGGCTGAAGTTGGTGGCTGGTCCACCTGCTCCTGGCACACCTTTGCAGAGGTGGCTGGTTGCTCTTTGAGCCAGCTTGGCCCTGCCTGGCATGCATAGGCCTCAGCTACTGACACACTGCTCCAAGTGAGCTTGTCCTGCATTGGCACAAATTCTGAGTCTGGCCAGGGTCACAGAAGGCCAAGTCCCCTGGATGGTTATCCGGGCTGCTTTCTGCACTTGAACATAAAGTCCTCCTCAAGATGGCCTGTTGTCTGCCTCTTGGCAACCAAGAAGCCTGCAGTGCCATACGAGTTCTGAGGCATGGACTAGAGGCCCAAAGGCAGAGCACACCCTGCTCCTGACCCTGCGGCTCGTTTCCTCTCTGTGGCTCCATTTGTAGCACAGTTGTTGCACTGAGGCTTGTGCATGCCAGGGAAGGGCCAAGCTGGCTCAAAGAGCAACCAGCCACCTCTGCAAGGGTGTGCCAGGAGCAGGTGCACCACTCACCCACCAGCGGCCGGACATGGTACATCAGTTCTTCTACCCTAAAGGTGGACCACAGTGCCATCTGCTTTTCCTAAGGCCTCTGCTCCATCAGCAATTAGGTGGCAGCCAAGGCAGGACAAGCTCACTCAGAGCAGCGTGTTAGTATCTGGGGCCTGTGCATGCCAGGAAGGCCAAGCTGGCTCAAAGAGCAACCAGCCACCTCTGCAAGGTCTGGCCAGGGCTACAGAAGGCCCCCCTGGATGGTAATCCTGGCTGCTTTCTGTACTTGAACATAAAGTCTTCCTCAAGACGGCCTGTGGTCTGCCTCCAGGCAAGTAAGAAGCCCGCGGTGCTATACAACTCGAGGCATGGACTGGAGCCCCAAAGGCAGCGCACACACTGCTCCTGAGCCTGCTGCTCGTTTCCTCTCTATGGCTCCATTTGTAGCACTGTTCTTGCACTGAGGCTTGTGCATGCCGGGCAAGGCCAAGCTGACTCAAAGAGCAACCAGTCACTTCTGCAAGGGTGCGCCAGGAGCCGGTGCACCAGCCACCAACCTCACTTGCTACCGGACATGGCACATCAGTACTTCTACCCCAAAGGTAGGGCCACAGGGCCATCTGCTTTTCCTAAGGCCTCTGCTCCATCAGCCATCAGGAGGCAGCCACTCAGGCTGTTGGAACCTGGCCATCCCAGCTTCCTTGAGTAGCTGAGGTTGCTGGATGGTCCACCTGCTCCTGGCACACCCTTGCAGAGTTGGCTGGTTGCTCTTTGAGCCAGCTTGGCCTTGCCTGGCATGCATAGGCCCCAGCTACTGACACGCTGCTCCGAGTGAGCTTGTCCTGCCTTGGCACAAATTCTGAGTCTGGCCAGGGCCACAGAAGGCCGAGTCCCTTGGATGGTAATCCTGGCTGCTTTCTGCACTTGAACATGAAGTCCTCCTCAAGAGGGCCTGAGGTCTGCCTCTTGGAAACCAAGAAGCCTGCAGTGCCATACGAGTTCTGAGGCATGGACTGGAGGCCCAAAGGCAGAGCACACCCTGCTCCTGACCCTGCGGCTCGTTTCCTCTCTGTGGCTCCGTTTGTAGCACAGTTGTTGCACTGAGGCTTGTGCATGCCAGGCAAGGCCAAGCTGGCTCAAACAGCAACCAGCCACCTCTGCGAGTGTGTGCCAGGAGCAGCCAGACCAGCCACCAACCTCACTCGCTGCGGGACATGGTACATTGGTTCTTCTACCCTAAAGGCAGGGCCAAGAGGCAGACCACAGGCCGTCTTGAGGAGGACTTTATGTTCAAGTGCAGAAAGCAGCCAGGATTGCCACCAAGGGGACTCAGCCTTCTGTGGTCTGCACTGCCATACAAGCTCTGAGACGTGGACTAGTGACATCTGCTTTATAGAAAAATTAACCTAAGATCTATTAAAGAGTTAAACATGCCATCTGATTTTACTCAGGCCTCTGCTCCATCAGCCCTCAGGTGGCAGCCACTCAGGCTGTGGGAACCTGGCCATCCCTGCTTCCTTCAGTGGGTGAGGTTGGTGGCTGGTCCAACTGGTCCAGGCGCACCCTTGTAGAGGTGGCTGGTTGCTCTTTGAGCCAGCTTGGCCTTCCCGGACATGCACAGGCCCCAGGTACTAACACGCTGCTCTGAGTGAGCTTCTCCTGCCTTGACACAAATTCTAAGTCTCGCCACGGCCACAAAAGGCCGAGTCCCCTGCGTGGCAATCATGGCTGCTTTCTGCACTTGAACATAAAGTCTTCCTCAAGACAGCCTGTGGTCTGCCTCTTGGCAACCAAGAAGCCCACAGTGCCATACGACCCGAGGCATGGACTGGAGCCCCAAAGGCAGCACACACCCGGCTCCTGAGCCTACTGCTCGTTTCCTCTCTGTGGCTCCATTTGTAGCACAGTTGTTGCACTGAGGCTTGTGCATGCCGGGGAAGGCCAAGCTGGCTCAAAGAGCAACCAGCCACCTCTGCAAGGGTGTGCCAGGAGCAGTTGTACCACTCACCCACTAGCGGCCGGACATGGTACATCAGTTCTTCTACCCTAAAGGTGGGCCGCAGTGCCATCTGCTTTTCCTAATGCCTCTGCTCCATCAGCAATTAGGTGGCAGCCAAGGCAGGACAAGCTCACTCAGAGCAGCGTGTTAGTACCTGGGGCCTGTGCATGCCAGGGAGGCCAAGCTGGCTCAAAGAGCAACCAGCCACCTCTGCAAGGTCTGGCCAGGGCTACAGAAGGCCGAGTCCCCTGGATGGTAATCCTGGCTGCTTTCTGCACTTGAACATAAAGTCCTCCGCAAGACGGCCTGTGGTCCACCTCTAGGCAACCAAGAAGCCCGCAGTGCTATACCACTCGAGGCTTGGACTGGAGCCCCAAAGGCAGCGCACAGCCTGCTCCTGAGCCTGCTGCTCGTTTCCTCTCTGTGGCTCCATATGTAGCAGAGAGGTTGCACTGAGGCTTGTTCATGCCGGGCAAGGCCAAGCTGTCTCAAAGAGCAACCAGTCACCTCTGCGAGGGTGTGCCAGGAGCCGCTGCACCAGCCACCAACCTCACTTGCTGCTGCACATGGCACATCAGTACTTCTACCCTAAAGGTAGGGCCACAGGGCCATCTGCTTTTCCTAAGGCCTCTGCTCCATCAGCCATCAGGAGGCAGCCACTCACGCTGTTGGAAACTGGCCATCCCAGCTTCCTTGAGTAGCTGAGGTTGCTGGCTGGTCCACCTTGTCCTGGCACACCCTTGCAGAGGTGGCTGGTTGCTCTTTGAGCCAGCTTGGCCTTGCCTGGCATGCATAGGTCCCAGCTACTGACACGCTGCTCTGAGAGAGCTAGTCCTGCCTTGGAACAAATTCTGAGTCTGGCCAGGGCCACAGAAGGCCGAGTCCCCTGGATGGTAATCCTGGCTGCTTTCTGCACTTGAACATGAAGTCCTCCTCGAGACGGCCTGTTGTGTGCCTCCTGGTAACCAAGAAGCCCACAGTGTCATATGACCCCTGAGGCATGGACTGGAGCCCCAAAGGCAGCGCACACCCTGCTCCTGAGCCTGCTGCTCATTTCCTCTCTGTGGCTCCATTTGTAGCACAGTTGTTGCACTGAGGCTTGTGCATGCCGGGCAAGGCCAAGCTGTCTCAAAGAGCAACCAGTCACCTCTGCGAGGGTGTGCCAGGAGCCGCTGCACCAGCCACCAACCTCACTTGCTGCTGCACATGGCACATCAGTACTTCTACCCTAAAGGTAGGGCCACAGGGCCATCTGCTTTTCCTAAGGCCTCTGCTCCATCAGTTATCAGGAGGCAGCCACTCAGGCTGTAGGAAACTGGCCATCCCAGCTTCCTTGAGTAGCTGAGGTTGCTGGCTGGTCCACCTGGTCCTGGCACACCCTTGCAGAGGTGGCTGGTTGCTCTTTGAGCCAGCTTGGCCTTGCCTGGCATGCACAGGCCCCAGGTACTAACACGTTGCTCCGAGTGAGCTTCTCCTGCCTTGACACAAATTCAAAGTCTGGACAGGGCCACAGAAGGCCAAGTCCCCTGGGTGGTAATCCTGGCTGCTTTCTGCACTTGAACATAAAGTCCTCCTCAAGACGGCCTGTGGTCTGCCTCTTGGCAACCAAGAAGCCTGCAATGCCATATGAGCCCTGAGGCATGGACTGGAGCCCCAAAGACAGCGCACACCCTGCTGCTGAGCCTGCTGCTCATTTCCTCTTTGGCTCCGTTTGTAGCACAGTAGTTGCACTGAGGCTTGTGCATCCCGAGCAAGGCCAAGCTGGCTCAAAGGCTGCGCACATCCTGCTCCTAACTCTGCCGCTCATTTCCTCTCTGTGGCTCCATTTGTAGCACAGTTGTTGCACTGAGACTTGTGCATGCCAGGCAAGGCCAAGCTGGCTCAAACAGCAACCAGCCACCTCTGCAAGTGTGTGCCAGGAGCAGCCAGACCAGCCACCAACCTCACTCGCTGCGGGACATGGTACATTGGTTCTTCTACCCTAAAGGCAGGGCCAAGAGGCAGACCACAGGCCGTCTTGAGGAGGACTTTATGTTCAAGTGCAGAAAGCAGCCAGGATTGCCACCAAGGGGACTCAGCCTTCTGTGGTCTGCACTGCCATACAAGCTCTGAGACGTGGACTAGTGACATCTGCTTTATAGAAAAATTAACCTAAGATCTATTAAAGAGTTAAACATGCCATCTGATTTTACTCAGGCCTCTGCTCCATCAGCCCTCAGGTGGCAGCCACTCAGGCTGTGGGAACCTGGCCATCCCTGCTTCCTTCAGTGGGTGAGGTTGGTGGCTGGTCCAACTGGTCCAGGCGCACCCTTGTAGAGGTGGCTGGTTGCTCTTTGAGCCAGCTTGGCCTTCCCGGACATGCACAGGCCCCAGGTACTAACACGCTGCTCTGAGTGAGCTTCTCCTGCCTTGACACAAATTCTAAGTCTCGCCACGGCCACAAAAGGCCGAGTCCCCTGCGTGGCAATCATGGCTGCTTTCTGCACTTGAACATGAAGTCCTCCTCAAGAGGGCCTGTGGTCTGCCTCTTGGCAACCAAGAAGCCTGCAGTGCAATACGACCCGAGGCATGGACTGGAGCCCCAAAGGCAGCGCACACCCTGCTGCTGAGCCTGCTGCTCATTTCCTCTTTGGCTCCGTTTGTAGCACAGTAGTTGCACTGAGGCTTGTGCATCCCGAGCAAGGCCAAGCTGGCTCAAAGAGAACCAGCCACCTCTGCAAGGGTGTGCCAGGAGCAACCGGACCAGCCACCAACCTCACTTGCTGCCAAACATGGTACATCGGTTCTTCTACCCTAAAGGTAGGGCCAAGAGGCAGACCACAGGCCGTCTTGAGGAGGACTTTATGTTCAAGTGCAGAAAGCAGCCAAGATTGCCACCCAGGGGACTCGGCCTTCTGTGGTCTGCAGTGCCATACGAGCTCTGAGGCATGGACTGGTGACATCTGCTTTATAGAAAAATTAACAAGATCCATTAAACAGTTAAACGTGCCATCTGATTTTCCTCAGGCCTCTGCTCCATCAGCCCTCAGGTGGCAGCTACTCAGGCTCCTGTAACCTGGTCATCCCTGCTTCCTTCAGTGGGTGAGGTTGGTGGCTAGTCCAACTGGTCCAGGCGCACCCTTGCAGAGGTGGCTGGTTGCTCTTTGAGCCAGCTTGGCCTTCCCTGGCATGCACAGGCCCCAGGTACCGACACGCTGCTCCGAGTGAGCTTGCCCTGCCCTGACACAAATTCTAAGTCTGGCCACGGCCACAGAAGGCCAAGTCCCCTGGGTGGTAATCCTGGCTGTTTTCTGCCCTTGAACATAAAGTCCTCCTCAAGATGGCCTGTGGTCTGCCTCTTGGCAAACAAGAAGCTCGCAGTGCCATACCATCCCTGAGGCACGGACTGGAGCGCCAAAGGCAGTGCACACCATGGTCTTGAGCCTGCTGCTCATTTCTTCTATGTGGCTCCATTTATAGCACAGTTATTCACTGATGCTTGTGCATGCCGGGCAAGGCCAAGCTGGCTCAAAGAGCAACCAGCCACATCTGTAAGGGTCCACTTGGAGCAGATGGACCAGCCACCAACCTCACCCACTCAAGGAAGTAGGGAATGCGTGTTTGTACCATGCATTTCACTACAAGTACATTCCCCTGAGGTTGGTGGCCTACATTTTCTTCTAGGTTTTTTGCTTTTAGGTCTTACGTTTAACTCTTTTATGCTTCTTAATTTTTGTATAAAGTGTAAGGAAGTGGCCCAGTTTCAGTTTGCTGCATATGGCTAGCCAGTTTTCCTAACACCATTTATTAAATAGGCAATCCTTTCCCCAGTGCTTACCTTTGTCAGTTTTGTCAAAGATCTGGTGGTTTTACATGTGTGGTGTCATTTCTGTGGCCTCTGTTCCATTCCATTGGTCTATATACCTGGTTTGGTACCAGTACCATGCTGTTTCCGTTACTGTGGCCTCGTAGAATAGTTTGAAGTCAGGTACTGTGATGCCTCCAGCTTTGTTCTTTTTGCTTAGGATTGTCTTGGCTATGTAGACTCTTTTTTGGTTCCATATGAAATTTAAAGTAGTTTTTCTAATTTTGTGAAGAAAGTCAATGGTAGCTTGATGGGGATAGCACTGAATCTATAAATCACTTTGGGTGGTATGGCACTCAGGCACAGAAATGTCCTTGTGTTAGGCAATACCATTCAGGACATAGGCATGGGCAGAGACTTCATCACTACAACACCAAAAGCAATGGCAACAAAAGCCAAAATTGACAAATGGGACCTAATTAAGCTAAAGAGTGTTTGCAGAGCAAAAGAAACTATCATCAGAATGAACAGGCAACCCACAGAATGGGAGAAAATTTTTGCAATCTATCCATCTGACAAACAGCTAATATGCAGAATCTACAAAGAACTTAAACAAATTTACAAGAAAAAAAACAACCCCATCAAAAAATGGGCAAAACATATGAACAGACACTTCCCAAATAAGACATTTATGCAGCTAAAGAACATGTGAAGCAAACCACATCATCACTGGTCATTAGAGAAATGGAAATCAAAACCACAATGAGATACAATCTCACACCACTTAGAATGGCCAACATTAAAAGATGAGGAAACAACAGATGTTGGAGAGGACGTGGAGAAATAGGAACGCTTTTACACTCTTGGTGGTAGTATAAATTAGTTCATCCATTGTGGAAGACAGTGTGACAATTCCTCAAGGATCTACAACTAGAAATACATTTAACCCAGCAATCCCATTACTGGGTATATACTGAAAAAATAATAAATCATTCTAATATAAAGACACATGCACACGTATGTTTACTGCGGCACAGTTCACAACAGCAAACACTTGGAACCAATCCAAATGCCCATCAATGATAGACTGGATAATGTGGCATATATACACTATGGAATGCTATGCACCCATAAAAAAGGATGAGTTCATGTCCTTTGCAGGGACATCGATGAAGCTGGAAATCATCACTCTCAGCAAACTAACACAAGAACAGAAAACCAAACACCTCATGTTCTCACTCGTAGGTGGGAACTGAACAATGAGAACACATGGACACAGAAGGGTAACATAACACACCGAGAACTGTTGTGGGGTGGGGGAGGAGGGAGGGATAGCATTAGGAGATATACCTAATGTTAAATGACGAGTTAATGGGTGCAGCACACCAACATGGCACATGTATACATATGTAACAAACCTGCACATTGTGCACATGTACCCTAAAACTTAAAGTATAATAATAAAATTTAAAAATTAAAAAAAAGTTTTAAAAAATTTCCAACTGGATTTTTTTTTGTTTTTTGTTTTTTGTGTTTTTTTTTTGTTTTGTTTTTGTTTTGCAGCCACAGGAGTTTTAGCCAATTCAGATGCCTTGCTCCCCACAATTTGGAACATTCCTTTGGATTTGACCAAGTCAGGAAGAGATGGGAGAAAAGTGAAACAACAATAAAACCCCAAACATAAACAAAAAGAGTTAAGCAAAACAAACAAATGCACAATTCATATGATTAACTGAGTGTTCTAATGGTAAGGAGGAATTAAAAGCAGCTGGTGGGTAATCTTAAATTTTAGTCATTAAACAAAAATTTTAAGACAAAACTCTAATTCAGCTACTTACCTGGAAATAAGGCTCAGACTGGGTGATCATTCTCTGCCATCTTAGAAGCTGGAAAAACTTACACTCACCTTCCCTGTCAGAAGCAAGCTGAAACTCAGGAAAGGAGGTGCCTGCTCTCCTTTGTCAATGGAAGCAGGAAAACTTGCCTTCCTTGTTGGAAATGAGTAAAACTTCAAAAAAGGAGTTGTACAGCAAAATCAACCTTACATCTCAACCAAATTTTCGGAGATCAGGGACTCTGTGAAAGGGAGAAGCTCCACAACCTCAGCAAATTATCCTATTGGTTTGGGCAATACAAATAGCCCAGGTTGGTATCAAGCAATAATGAGATTTATCAAAGGTCAGGACCACCTTTGTAATGTCCTTCTCTTTTTTTATCTTTATTGGTAGAGTCTGTTTTGTCAGAAACTGGGAGTGCAACACCTTTTTTCTGTTTTCCATTTGCTTGAAATATTTTTCTCCATTCCTTTATTTTGAGCCTATGTATGGCACTGCACATGAGATGGGTTGCTTGAAGACGGCATACTCCAGTGGGTCTTGGTTCTTTACCCAGCTTGCCCCGTGTCTTTCAATGGGAGCATTTAGCCCATTTACATTTAAGGTTAGTAATGGTATGTGTGGAATTTATCCTGTCGTCATGCTGTCAGCTGGTTATTTTGCAGACTTACATATGTGCTTGCTTTTTAGCATCATTGGACTGTGTACTTCAGTGTGTTTTTGTAGTAGCAGGTGATGATCTTTTCTTTCCATATTTAGTGCTTCCTTCAGGAGCTCTCGTAAGGTAGATCTGGTGATACCAAATTCCCTCAGCATTTGCTTGTCTGAAAAGGATCTTATTTCTCCTTCACTTATGATGCTTAATTTTGCTGGACATGAAATTCTGGGCTGAAATTTCTTTTCTTTAATGGCAGTTGATGTGGGTTGGGGTGTGTGCTGCACTCCCGTGTGCTCTCAGGGCAAGTAAAGCAAAACCCACCCGTGTAAACACACACAGCAAAGTGATTTAGGAAGTTTCCAAATAAAGGGCTGCCGTATGGAGAGGCAATGTGCAGGCTGGTGCGTGGCTCTAGAGGCCACCTTGCTGCAGCTCTCCACTGATATGGTACAGTCCACTAGCATGGAAGCTATGGTGTGGGCATCTACGAGTGCCCCGTAAGCAGGTGTGGCCAGGCTGGGGCCATGGGAGAGGCGAGCAGACTAAGGAGTGCTGAGATCAGACCAGCCCCATCTCAAGTGCAAGACTGCCCAGCCTCCAGAGATCAGGTCTCAGAGGAGAACTCTCTCAAAAGTGAACCCCCAGCACAGCACAGCTGCTCTACACAAACGTGGCTAGACTTCTTTTATTAAGCAAGTCTCCTTTTTTTAAAAAGGGAACTCTCGGACCTGATCTCTGCTGGGCAATCTTGCATATAAGATGTGGCTGGTATGACCTCAGCATTCCTAAAGTGCTGGGATAAAGTGTCTCACAAGGGCAAGTGGACCCTAGAGAGACAGCCATCCCTGACCTCTGGGCTCCACATCACCTGACTTGCTGCTCCACCACTTTGCTTGTTTCCTGGGTGCTCCATCCCAGAGACATGTGAGTTAGCAATCACTTAGTGTAATCAGCCCAGGATGGAGGGTCTGTGCTGTGGGCCCAAGCCAGGGTTCCCTGTCTGGTGATGAGTAGTGGAGGGTGTGTGGTACCCGTGGGAGATGGACTGGCTTGTTCTTTGGGTCAACTGCAGCTTATTGGAGGTGTTGATAGGGCACTTAGGGTCTTTGCACCCTTGCATCTTCTGAGGGTAGCAAGGGCAGTTCCACTGCAGAGGCAGTGGCAGAAAGGATTTCATTTGCTCCTGGAAGCTCTGTCCCAGGAACTGCAGAGTTGCTACTGGCTTGATAGCTCCAGTGGTGGGCTGGCTAGAGACCCAGGCCAGGAGGATCTGCCCATCAAGTAGAGAGCCCGGCCACTTTTCTGTAGGGCTGCTGTGGTATGCTGGGGGTCCCCTCCAGTCCCTAATTGCCTTGTATTTTCCACGGAAGATGATAGTCTGCCCCTTCCTCTGGAAGCTCTGTACCACTGAGGTACGAACCTGTTGCCAATCTGAACACACCTATAAGATGTGGCTGGAGGCAAGTTGAGAAGTCTTACCTAGTCAGGACGAACGAGAACAGGGACTTGCTTCAAAAAAAAAAGTCTGGCCACGTTTTTATAGAGCAGCTGTGCTGTGCTGGGGGTTCACTTCAGCCCCTGGTCCGCCTCAGACACTCTGAAGCCCTAAGGCTGAAATGGCTGGGTCGCCCAAACAGCAAAGATGACAATCTGGTCCTCCCCCTGGGAGCTCTGACTCAGGGAGGCCTGAGACCTCTGTCGGCCAGAGAACAGCAGTCAAGGTAGCCAGAGACCCTGGTTGAAAGACTTCACCCGCTGACTAGAAATGTGATCAGGGACTGACGTAAACAAGAGTCTGGCCACGTTTTTGTAGCGTGGCTGTGCTGTGCTGAGGTACCTCTTCCACCCCTTGTCAGCTTGGGCTCTCCAAAGCCCGCAGGCCAGAATGGCTAGTCACCGAAAGAGCAAAGGTGGGGGCCTGCCCCTCTCCGGGAGCTCTGTCCCAGGAACATTTCACATTTCCATTGGCCAAGGAATGCTGGTGGGGGTAGCTGGAGGCCCCAGTTGGGAGGTCCTGTCCAGTGAGGTGGAACAGGATCAGGGGCCTGCTTACAGAAGCAGTCTGGCCATGATTTGGTAAAGCAGCTATGCTGTGCTGTGGGATCTCTTCTGTCCCTCGTCGGTTTGTACTCTCCAAAGCCCGCAGGCTGGAATGACTACGTTGCCTGAACGGGAAAGATGGCGGCCTGCCCCGTCTTTTCTCTCAGAGTTTTATCTTGTTTCGTGGAGCTTAATTTTTAGCCTGTTGATTTTACTGTCTTCATTAGACTTGTTGAGAAAGAATCTGTTCTCTTTTAGGTGAGATAAATGAGAATTCATTGTCTTCTGTAAATAAACCTGTTCATGTCTTGTTCTCTGGAAAGAAGTCTCTTTCAGCTATCTGACTTTGGTCACAATCATGTAGAGCAGCAGCCAGTCTACAATGACGTAATTGAATTTCCATTTCCAGTGTTTCCTCGTTGTGTCTTACATTGTCCAGTTCAGAACTGAGCATTTTATTCTCAGTTGTCAACATGCTAAGCTGTCCACTGTACTGAAATACTGTGCTTCCTCAATTTGTTTTAAGGTGTGCACTTTTATCCAACTCTCCTCAAGTCAGAGTACAGGTAAGCCCTGGCTGCCTCCAGCCACTCTCAGGGAGACCAAAAGCCTTCATACACCCCAAGTTGGGGTACAAAAGAGGGGGGCCACGAAGGCTGATCATTCAAAATAAAACAAAATTAAAAAGTATTAAGGCGAAGATTCAAAAAATTTTGCATTATGTAATTTGCACAAAAGCAATGCTATCACCTCCCCTGTGTGAACTAGGGAGAGGACTGGGCCATTCTCCTTAGAGAGAAGTGGGGTGGCTTTTAGCAGGGCAAGGGGCTTCCTGAAACAATGCGTCTCACAATATTTGGAATGACTATTGAAAAGAAGAACAAGGTACAATCAAAGTCCTTGGCCACATTGTAGAACTTTGGAGGAAGCTTCCTCCAACCGACTGCTGTCACCTTCACCATTCCGGTTTTTAAATCCTGAGTCAAGCCAATAAAAAACAAAACAAAAAATGAAACAAGAAAACAAATAAAGCCATGCCAATCTCATGTTGTTTTCTGAGAAGTTTGGTTTTGTCAAGAAAGGGTGTAACGCAACTAAGTCAGAGTCCACCTACAAGCATTTGCGGTGGACAATGGAGGGGCCTGACTCATCATACTCCTGCTTGCTGATCCACATCTGCTGGAAGGTGGACAGCGAGGCCAGGATGGAGCCACCGACCCACACGGAGTACTTGCGCTTGGGAGGAGCAATGATCCTGATCTTCATCATGCTAGGCGCCAGGGCAGCGATCTCCTTCTGCATTCTGTGGGCCATGCCAGGGTACATGGTGGTGCCGCCAGACAGCACTGTGTTGGTGTACAGGTCTTTGCGGATGTCCACATCAGACTTCATGATGGAGTTGAAGGTAGTTTCATGGATGCCACAGGATTCCATGCCCAGGAAGCAAGGCTGGAAGAGCGCCTCGGGGCAGCGGAACCGCTCGTTGCCGATGGTGATGACCTGGCCATCGGGCAGCTCGTAGCTCTTCTCTAGGGAGGAGCTGGAGGCCACCGTGGCCATCTCCTGCTCGAAGTCCAGGGCAACATAGCACAGCTTCTCTTTGATGTCACGCACGATTTCCCGCTCGGCCATGGTGGTGAACCTATAGCCATGCTCGGTGAGGATCTTCATGAGGTAGTCAGGCAGTTCCCGCCCAGCCAGGTCTAGGCGCAGGGTGGCATGGGGGAGGGCATTCCCCTCATAGATGGGCACAGTGTGGGTGACCCCGTCACCAGAGTCCATCACGATGCCAGTAGTACGGCCAGAGGTGTACAGGGACAGCACAGCCTGGATGGCCACGTACATGGCTGGGGTGTTGAAGGTCTCAAACATGATCTGGGTCATCTTCTCGCGGTTGGCCTTAGGGTTCAGGGTGGCCTCGGTCAGCAGGACGGGGTGCTCCTCGGGAGCCACACGCAGCTCGTTGTAGAAGGTGTGGTGCCAGATCTTCTCCATGTCATCCCAGTTGGTGATGATGCCGTGTTCCATGGGGTACTTCAGGGTCAGGATGCCTCTTTTGCTCTGGGCCTCCTTGCCCACATAGGACTCTTTCTGATGCATGCCCCCCATCATGCCCTGCTGCCTGGGGCGCCCCACGATGGAAGGGAAGACAGCCCGGGGGGCATCGTCGCCCGCAAAGCCGGCCTTGCACATGCCAGAGCCGTTGTCAATGACGAGCACAGCGGTATCATCATCCATGGTGAGCTCATTCAATTGTAGAGCCTTTAAAAGATTATCATTCCTTTTTTTCACACTTTCAATATCCTCCAAATATTTCTTTTCTCTTAGCTGGCTCTGATGTTTCATTGTGTCTAGCTCCAGTCTTAGCATGGCAATTTCTTCCCGCAACGTACTATTTTCATGCAAGATGTCTTTTTCTTTCTTACAACTAAGAGAAAGCTAAGTAAACAAAGAGAACTTTTAGTTAGCACTCAATAGATTGACATATCATGATTTCTTCTGAAATTCAAAAATAACATGTATTTGTATAATGAAAGAATCCCCATAGTGGATATTTAACTGGAAAAAAATTGGACAAAACTTCAAACCTAATAAGAGTGTAAATTCCTCCAGTGATTTATTTTTCATCGTCTTTAAATAAATATTTAAACTTTTAGGAATCTGCTCCTAAATTCCTAAAAGTTTAAATATTTATTTAAAGACGATGAAAAATAAATCACTAGAGGATTTTTAAGAATCCCAGAATTAAAAAAAGCCTTTTTTCTGAGTTACAAAAAACCCAGAGGCATAAAATATAAGATTAATAATTTGACTACATTTTTAAGATTAGGTTTACACTCTGATATCTAACCTATCAACCACACCATCCTAAGAGCCTTAGCTATGCATATATTTGGACAGAAGCAATTTCTCAAAGTTCTTTAAGTTTCTTTTACTTAAGAACGTTTTACCGATATTCTACATTTCTAATATTTCTATACTCAGTTATAAGAATTACATTTATTTATAACTGTCAAATAAGCACTGTACCCTTCTACACTGTACACATCTGTATCTAGGCATTGCTCTTCTACATATAATACTGAACTCATTTAAGATCGCGATTCTTAAAAGGAGAGGTCAAAAAATATACACAGATGCAGGATTTTCCCCAGGTCTGCTGATGCTACTTCTAGTGATCCTCCACAAAACCACACTTACTTCTGTGGTGTAAATATATAAATACAAAAGAAACCTTTTGTTTCAAAATATGAATGGTAAATAAGATACAACTTATAGAGATTTTCTTAGAAATCATGAGATTATTTGCCATTGCGGTAACTTTTATTTCCTCTTTATAATGTTTGAAACAGTAGTAATGGTGAAATAGGGGAAATATACTGAACTATTTCTCCAGAAAGAAAATACTTATCAATAAATTATTACTAAATGTGTATCATGGCATGTCATTCTTTTCAAACCTCTTTACATTGAAATGAGAAACTACTTGGAGCAAACTGTTCCTCTCTGCAAAAGTAAGGATAATGGTATCCACAATGTGGCCTCTGACCCAGCTATACATTTCCTACTTTCTTATCAGTAAAAATAATCAATTGACTTCTCTATTAACATTTTTTAAAAAACTAATGTCCAAAAACGAGAAAATCTGTTTTCAGTAGCAAAACTTATTTCTGATGTGGAAAGATCATCAATTCTTATGAAAAATATCAAATACTTCTCCTTTGGATTGAGGCCATTGTGCAGGTCACTACTCAACTGTTGCAGGCAAATGAAGGTGAATTAAGAACATGGCTTTATCCTATACGTACGTATATAGATATATGACAAAGGATATATAGAATATATACACACATATATATGACTTAAAAATCCTTTATATTTCCAAAATACAGTTCTTTAAAATATACACACATATAAAAACATTTGAAAATAACTAAAGAAAATACCTCAGAATTCATTTTTTCAACCACTTCTATCTGCTTTTCTTCATGAATCAGAATCTCATCGTGTAATATTCCAGTGTTCTGTTCTTCACAAAATTGCTTCTGAGTATCATTTTGTTCGTCACTAGAAGAAATTTTAATTTTCATGAAATACTGGAGCTGTCCCTAAAATGATGTACAGGGCAAGATGGCGCCATCAGATGTCATTCACACAATGCATATCTGCACATTATTCCAAGACAAGGCAAAGGGGTCTCACATCTGTTAACCAGGTGTCCCCAACCATGCTGGCACCAGGGACTGCTTTTGTGGAAGATAATTTTTCCAGGAACCTGAGGTGGGGGATGGTTCCAGGATGATTCAAGTATATTACATTCATTGTGCACTTTATTTCTATTATTATTAATATATAATGAAATAATTATATCTCACCAAAATGTAGAATCAGTGGGAGCCCTGAGCTTGTTTTCCTGCAACTAGATGGTCCCATTTGGGGGTGACGGAAGATGGTGACAGATCAGAAAGGCATTCGATTCTCATAAGGAGTGAACAACCTATATCCCCCTGCATGAGCAACTTACAACAGGGTTCAGGTCACACTCAGGACAATCTAATGCCACCGCTGATCTGACAGGAGGAGGAGCTTGGGCGGTAATGCGAGCGACAGAGAGTGGCTGTAAACAGATGGAGCTTCACTTGCTCACCTGCCTCGAACCTCCTGCTGTGTGGCCCAGGTCCTAACAGGCCAGGGACTGCTAATGGTCTGTGTCCTGTAACCCATACTCTTTATGTTTATTGTTTGGAAACACTTTCTACTTATATTCTTGATTCCTATGTATTTTATAAACAACTTAGAAATTCCTTTTAGAACAAGACAGGGTCTAATATTATGTTTTTAACATAGGACTTTGAAATAATTTTATCTGTGTATGAGAGAGAGATGTGAAATAAACTCATCGTTAAGCACTTTCCATTTTACTTTTATTTCATGCATATTAAGAATAAAACTGGGAAGTCCTAGGCAGAGCAATTGGGCAAGAGAAATAAAGGGCATCCAAATTGGAAAAGAGGAAGTCAAACTATCTCTTCACCAATGATATTATCCCATACCTAGAAAACCCTAAAGACTCCTACAAAACACTCCTAGATTTGATACATGAATTCAGTAAAGTCTCAGAGGTTACAAAATAAATGAATACCAATCAGTAGCACCACTATACATCAACTACAACCAAGCTGAGAGTTCATATCAACAATCCAATCCCTTTTACAGTGGCTGCAAAAAGGTGTGAAGTACCTAGGAATATACTTAATGAAAAAAGTGAGTGATCTATATAAAGATAACTGGAAAACACCACCAAAGAAAATAACAGATGACACAAACAAATGAAAATACATCCTATGTTCATGGACTGAAAGAACTGATATAGTGAAAATGACCATAGTGCCCAAAGCAGTCTACACATTCTATACAATACCTACCAAAGTACCAATGTCATTCTTCACAGAATTATTTTAAAATGCTGACATTCATGTAGAACCACAAAAGAGCCTGAACAGCAACAGACATACCAAGCAAAAGGAACAAATATGTTGGCATCACATTACCTGACTTCAAATGATACTCTAAGACCACAGTAACAGAAGCAGCGTGGTACTCGTATAAAAACAGATACATAGATCAATGGAACAGAACAGACAACTCAGAAATAAAGCCACTACAACCAAGTGATCTCTGAGCAAGGATACAAAAACATACACTGGAGAAAGTACAGGTTATTCAATAAATGGTGCTGGGAAAAAAAGATAGCCACATGTGGAAGAATGAAACTGGATCTCTATCTCTCACCATATACAAAAATTAATTCAAGATGGATGAAAGGCCTAAACCTAAGACCTGAAAACATTGGCCTAGGCAAAGGATTTATGAGGAAGACCCTAAAAGCAAATCCAACAAAAATGAAAATAAATAAATAAGACCTAATTAAACTAAAAAGCTTCAGCACAGCAAAAGAAATAATCATCAGAGTAAAACAACAACTTATACAATGGGAAAATTTTGAAAATTATGATGCTAACAAAGGACTAATATCTATAACCTACAAGAAACTCAAACAAATCAACAGGAAAAACGCAAATAATTCCATTGGAAAGTGGCCAAATTACATGAATAGACATTTCTCAAAAGAAGATGTACAAACGGTAAACAAGCATATAAAAACACGCTAAATATCTCTAATCATCAGGGAAATGTACAATAAAACCACAGTGAGATATCACCTCACTGCAGCCAGAATGGCCACTATTAGAAATCAAAAAACAACAGATGTTGGTGTGGATGCGGTGAAAAGACAACAGTGATACACTGCTGGTGGGAATGCAACTTCATACAAATCTATGGAAAACAGTATGGAGATTTCTCAAAGAACTAAAAGTAGATCCTACCATTTTATCCAGCATTCTCATTTCCAGATATCTACATAAAATAAAAGAAATCATACTCTCAAAAGGACACCCGCATACATATGTTTACTGCAGCACAATTCACAATATGCAAAGATATGGAATCAACCAGTGTCCATCAACTGATGCGTGGAATAAAGAAAATGGACGTATATACATATATATATATCTCACATCACATACATGTATCATATATATGTATGTGTGTATATACACTCACACATATACATATGTACATAGCTGAGACTGGGTAATTCACACACATACATACCTGAGACTAGGTAATTCATAAAGGAAAGAGGATTAATTGATTCACAGTTACGCATGGCTGGGGAGGCCTCAGGAAACTTAACAACCATGGTAGAAGGGGAAGGGGAAGCAGGCACCTTCTTCATAAGGCGGCAGGAGAGAGAGAAGAGAGAAGTGAAGCGCAAAGAGCCCCTTATGAAACCATCAGCTCTTGTGAGGACTCACTCACTATCACAAGAACAGCATGGAGGAAACCGACCCCATGAGCCAATCACCTCCCAGCTGGTCTTTCCTCAACACCTGGGAATTACAATTTGACATGAGATTTGCATAGAAACACAAAGCCAAACTATTGCGGGGGGGGGGGGGGGTTATCCTTATTTTTAAAATATCTAAATGTCATTATTTATAATTCAAAATAGCAATTTTTATTACTTATGATTTTGTTTGAAAATAAAATGATCTCGTAAATTTTCTTCACTTTTAACCTATTCAGTCAAAATATAGAAAAAGCTAGATTTGCCAGCAGAAAATTGTTAACTTTTTAATGAGATAAAAATGTATAACAATATCACTATTATTGTACAGAGAAAAAAGTGAACAAGAAAAGGAATTTAAAAACACAGAATATGACTATCACATACATACATGAACTGACAAAGAGACTAAAATCTCCTACTGGAGATTATGTTAGGACTTGAGCAAAAGCTTCTAAAAATACCAAAAACAAAAACAAAACACTTATTTTTAAGAAATAAATTATACAGAGAACACTTCTGGTTAAGATGATGTATCAAAAAAAAAAAATCTTCGTGAGAGCTATTATTAACCAAGTCATCATAACCAAAACTTTAAATCCACAATTCTGGAATATTAAAAAGTTTCTTTTTGAACATAGTTAATGGAAGGCAACTTTTGAACAGAAAATTTCTGGTTAAAGTTGACTCAAACTTAGGAAAGAATTGACCTGTAGCCATGGTAACAAGAAGCCAGCCAGAGCCAGTTCAAAATCTAGTCAATCGATCAATGACCGACCACTGGCTGTGCTCACCAACCAATATCAGTGTGAGCAGCTTGCTTCTGAAAGACAGCCAAGCAGCAACAGCTGCTCCATCAGAATAGACAGTGCCTGACCAGTATAGTCTTACTATCGGAAGCAAAAAATTCCAACTGTCTTTTTATTTCAAATACCGAAGGTCCATAATCCCTTGGAAAGAATTTGTGAGTCCATTACATTTACCACCCTAAAAAAACTAAAATACTAGTGGCCGGATGTGGTGGCTTACACCTGTAATCCACCCAGGTGGGTGGACTGCCTGAGGTCAGGAGTTCAAGACCAGCCTGACAAACAGGATGAAACCCCGTCTCTACTAAAAATACAAAAATTAGCCGGGTGTCATGGCACGCACCTGTAATCCCAGCTCCTCAGGGGGCTGAGGTAGGAGAATCGCTTGAACCCAGGAGGCAGAGGTTGCAGTGAGCCGAGGTCACACCACTGCACTGCAGCCTGGGTGACAGAGCGAGACTCTGTCTCTAAATAAATAAAATACCAGTAAAGTTTGTAATTTCTCTAACTCATTTTACCATAATTGCAATTATCATGATTACCAGTAAAAGAATAGTGAATAACCACAATATTGGGCTTTTCTCCCTAAGTGAAAAAATATTAATATAAAGAATGTAGCTTATTATAAAAAGCCGAAAGAATTTTTAAAATACATATAATTACCAGGCAAAATTGTTAAAATGAACCTTGTCAAACATTTTTTAAGTGAGAATCAATCAAACAATATACCCGGGATAAACTCCATTCATTCATTTAATACCTATTTATTAGGTAGCTACGTCTGATAGGCTAGGCCTCTTTCTAGGAAGTGAGGATATGGTAATGAACAATAAAAACCCTATTCATGAGAGTGAGATAAACACACAATAACAACAGACAGATACGGCAAAATACACAGTACGTTAGAGGAGAAAAACTAAAGCAGGAAAATGAAATCTTTATGTGTTTGATGGGAAGGGTGGTGGGAAAGTTGGGATGGCCAGAAAAATCCCTGCTGAGAAAGAGGATTTTTCTTTAATACAAAGAAACTTTTATTTGTACATCAAAGACTCTAAAAAATGATGATGTTAACAGAGTTGATGTCAAGACACAAACAGGTTTGAAGTTAAAGATGATAAATCACTTTGTTTCATTGAACCTTCCCTCAATTACGTTAAGAGAGCATCCCTGGTATGTTCCCAATTGAATCTCAAGCCTGACGCGTCCTGATGATACAATCCTAATTCCTTTCTGTTAGTCCTCATTATCTCTCTTTTTTTTCATTTTCTTCATTTTCTCTGGATTAGGAATCGTGCTGGTACATGGTTCTTCCTCAGGAAGTGGTTATTCCTTAATGGGTTTCTTTTTACCCTTTTTCTTCTTCTTAGAAAGGGGATTTTAAGTAAAGAGCTGAAGTAATGGAAACAGTAAGCTAGAAGAATATCTGGGGAAAAAGCATTCCAGACACAGGGAACTGCTAAGTGCAGAGGTGTGCCTGGAGTCTTTAAGCACTAGGGATAGGTCAGGAATAGCAACAAGTTCAGTGTGGCTGAAACACAGCAATAGAGATAAGAAACAGAAGTTTCAGCAGGAGAGGTAACATGCCAGATGGTTTACTGCCTTTCAGTTATTAGGAGGAACTCTGCCACATACTCAGAGTGAAATAGGAGGCAATCAGAAGGGCAGGGGCAGAGGAATGACAACATTTGACTTATGTTTTAAATACATCCACTGAGATAAGAATTGATGAAAGGGGAAGTTTTTAAAAACCAGGACTATCAATTCCCGTCTATGACACTCATCTAAACTGCAGATGACGGTGGCTCAGATGTACAAGATAGACTGGCCTCTGGATATATTCTTCAGATAGACCTGACAAGATTTACTGAGAGATTAGATGTGAAGTGTCAGGACAGAGAGAAAGATCAGTCAAGAAGATCTTGACTGAGAGAGAAAGATCAGACACTGAGGTTTTTGGCAGAGCAACTGGAAGAGTTGCTGTTAACCAAAGTAGGAAAGACTACATGAGGTGTAGATTTCAGGAAGGACATCAGTAGCCCAATTTTGGATCTGACAAGTGTGTGATACCCAACAGCTAATCAAATAGAGATGTCAAGTAGGTGGGATGATATAGAGATCTGGAATTAAGGAAAGAGATCTAAGTTGGAGACATACATTTGGAAATCACTAGCATATACACAGTAGAAAAAGTCACGAGGGGCCAGGCACGGTGGCTCACGCCTGTAATCCCAACATGTCATGAGGCCAAGGCGGGCAGATCACCTGATGTCAGGAGTTTGAGACCAGCCTGGCCAACATGGGGAAACCTGTCTCTACTAAAAATACAAAAATTAGCCAGGCGTGGTGTTGCACACCTGTAATCCCAGCTACTCAGGAGGCTGAGGCAGGAGAAGTGCTGGAACTCATGAGGCAGAGGTTGCAATGAGCCAAGATCATGCCACTGAACTCCAGCCTGGGGGACAAAGTGAGACTCTGTCTTAAAAAAAAAAAAATTATGAGAAAGAAGATTGAGGACTGAGCCATGAGAAACAACAATGTCCAAAAGGAGAAAGATGAGGAGCAGCAAGCAAAACAGACCATGATAAACGGACTAGAAAGGCAGGAGGAAAAGCCTGAGGGAGTGAGGTCCTGAAAGCCAAGTGAAGACGCCATTAGGGAGGAGATGCCCTCCATTGGCTCAAATATTGCTGACAGATTAAATGAGGTGTAAGAAAAATGCCTAGATTTAGTACAGAAAAAAATTAGTGATAATCTTGAGGAAAAATAGTTCTGGAGGAGTGCTGAAATTGAAGACTTACCGGCATTGAGATCAAGAGTGAATGGAAAGAAAATTTGAGTTCATGAGTGTAGACAGTTCTTTAAGGACAATATACTTAACGCTCATGACTGAGAATGATGTAATTTTCATCCACAGTCATGGAAAAGTGATAGACAAGAAATAGTAGCTTCCAAATTTTACATACCAGGTGGAGTTTTCAAATTTTATGTAACCATTATATATTCTAAAGGTTATAAAAATTATACACATATGGCATTTAGAAATGTCAGACCAAGGTTTTAAAGGCCCTTTGAACATTTCTAGATTACATAAGCTGATTATCATTTTGTTCACGCTTATACATAAAGACCAAGAAATACTAAAACTCTCAAGGAGAATATTTCTTGCTTGATAAAAATCAGCCAATTCTAGGACAGTTGACACTCATCAAATATACGAAGTAATTGATCACAGTAAAATACTGAGTTCTATTAACAGGAATAAAGTGGGAGAAATGCAGAAAATAATCTTATTTTATAAATGTAGTTTTCAAAATCATATGAAGTCACTGGAAAAATATGGTGAGGTAAATACTGAAATATATCCTTTTCTCAAAGGGAGGATAATGTCACACATGCAGGGCACTTTTACAAATAAAAGTCACTGCATTAGCAGCACCTTCCTTTTAGCACAAGGGTCAGCAAATAAGCACCTGTGGGCCAAATCCAGCCCACTGCCCGTTTTTGTAAGTCAAGTATCTTGGAACACAGCCATGCTTATTCACTTTACAGTCCATAGTGTCAGTTAGCTGGGTGTGATGTTGCACACCCGTGGTCTCAGCTAGTAGAGACTGAGGTCAGAGGATCACTAGAGCCCAGAAAGTCGAGGCTGCAGTCAGCCATGATCACACAACTGCACTCCAGCCTGGGAAACAGAGTGAGACCCTGTCTCAAGAAAATCAATATATGTAGTCCACAAAGCCTAAAATATTTACTAACTAGCTCTTTGCAGAAAAAGCTGGCCAACTCCTGGTTTAGTAGATCAAAGATTCTTTGATGTATTTTAATAAAAGTTTTACCAAATATACTGAAATGTTTATATTAAATATAGATCCCCATGTACAATCGCTTGGCAATATTCAGATTGAGGGTCCAATATTTCAGCACTCAGGCACTGACAACAAAAATTTAGTAACTAGCAATCTTGTTGCTAACAAGGTACAGTGTCAATGTAGCATGTAGCTTCCATTTGCAACACAGCAGATATTACAAGAAATTTAACAAGAACTCTTAAGATGTGTCATCAAACTAAACGCTTTAAATACATTTTAATTGTGAAATAATCAGTATACCCTACATCTAACCTCATTTTTTAAAAATGGTTGCATAATACATTATTTTGGGGATATGGAAATTGAGCTATTTCCTATTGATAAGGAATTAGACTAGCTCCAAATTTTTTACATAATACTATAATAAATGTCCTTATACATAAGTATACATATAACATATCTATACAAATATCCTTTACATGTATTATATATGCTTACTGTTATATATGTGTGTGTGAATATGCTACTCAATTAATGTTCAAAATGTATTTACCAACAGTATATGAAATGTCTTTTTCAATGAAACCATTTCCCCTGCAGCAACACGGATGGAGCTGGAGGCCATTATCCTAAGAAAACTCATGCAGGAACAGAAAATCAAATGCCACATATTCTTACTCATTAGTGGGAACTAAACATGAGAACTCATGGACACAAAGAGGAGAATAACATACACTGGGGCCTACTTGAGGGAGGAGCATGGCAGGAGGGAGACGACCAAAAAACTACCTTTCGAGTATTTTGTTTACTATGTGGCTGGTGAAATAATCTGTACCCCAAGCCTCCATGATACAGTTTACCTATATAATAAACCTGCACACGTACCCCGAAGCTAAAATAAAAGTTCACTGAAAAGAGAAGAAAATGTCTTTTCCCTCACATTTGCCAATACTGGTTATTTTTCAAATAAATTAATGACTGGAAAAAAAACGGTAACTGATTGTTTGCTGATTTTCATTTTTCTGATTAACAGGCAAGGCTCAATATCCTAATAAAAGTATAAAATTTGTTCATCATGAATATTAGCTCAAATTAGGATTAGTTTGGCAGCACAAAGTTACCTCCTGTTCAATGTTGCCATAGGCTTACCTGTGATACTCTTCATTCTCAGTGTCAGGAAATTGCTGGCTTTCAGGTGTTCTGCTCTTCCTTGGAGGAATTAATCCATCATCACCATTGCCAGCAGTGGCACCATTAGTCAGGTTTTCTGGGAATCCGACATGAGTACTTCTGTGCTTCTTCATTTCTTCGATAGCCATAAAATTTTCTAGCTGGAAAATACAGAGAATAAGAAATTATCTACTTTAGGCACATTATCTATTGATAATCAGACTAAAACCAAGAAAGATAAAATAATTGGTCTAAAGCTCCTAAAGTGGCATTACCTAGCATTTTATGGCACCATTCGGGATTATTCCATAATAATGAAAGAATAGCTCTAGGGTTTGCACCTCTTCAAAATTCAATGTACAGAATTCTGAGTTAACTATTTAATTTTTCACTGATGATTTATGCTACTTACATGATAGGATCATGTATGCCTACATTTACTACACTTTGTTAAACAACATAATGTAAAAATCTAATTCAACACAAACGTTTGAATATAAAGGTATACCTCTCTATCACCATCCTTATTTATTTCTGGTTCTTGAGATCTTTTCTGCAGATGTAAAAACAGAAGGTTAATTTGCTTGTTGTATTTCTGTGACATTTCCTCTTTTGGAGTGCATGTTTTTAAAATAATTTTATTCTGAAGTAATCAAGTATGGACAATAAAAATTAGAAAGTAATTAAAATTAAACTGTTAAAATAAATAATAATTAAAATTAAGAATTAACTTTTTAATCTATGTTTAGCTACTGCCACATCACTGGCTTCTAACATGTGAAAAATAATTCACCTTAGACAAAGGGAGAAGAAAAACATGAACCAGCAAACTTAACTTTCTCACTATTTGTTTGGACTAAATTTAATTTGTTATGTGTTAAATCTACCAAAAATGAATCAGCAGATGATTTGTAGTGTTCCAAAATCTTCCTCACTTGAAAAGAGTTTACCTCATGAAACCCTAACTAGTGAGCACCTACAGTGCACTGAAGTGCTTTTTTAAAAGATTCCTAACTGGATTGTAGGCACCCTTTAAACTATTAGGAGCCGAAATCAACACCAAACAGAAAGAAATGCAAATTCTCACATTTTAATTGAAATTATATACTGTCATATGATAGTGTTATGTATCCAGATTATCTGCGTAAGTCCAGTTCTAATATATTCTAATGTGTACTAATGACAGCAGATAAAATTTTTTAATCTCTACTGATTTTCTGCAACTGAAATAAATTAGAATGTTATTGTGTTTGTGCACTAACACCAAAGGTCCCATTCTGCAAGATATGGTTCTTGTAATAGGCAGTTGGGTTGCTTTTATGACCTGGTTCCCTCCCTGAACAGAAACACTGAGGTCAACGAGAGACCACAAGGCAGGATATGTCCTTAACCTTGGTATCAGTGACTGACAATATAAAACTGTGGATTTTCAATCACAGGCCATGATTACTCTTTAACCATGAATCCAGCTCAGGGAATCAGTGTTACATTGTTCATAATTCCTATTGCTTAATAATATGATTCAATCATTGATGTTACTTTCTTTATCATGTTAGGGTGTTGTAAAAATAAAAGAACAAACAAAGTTCTGAAATTTGTTTTTGCCTCTATTCCAAAAGGAGAGATTAGCTATAAGCTAATCAAGAAGGCAGATAAGAATATTTTAAAATAAGAGTATTTTAAATTTTATAGTGGGTTATGTTGAAGTTAAATATCAAATATTAAATTAGAATCTATTGATTCTTCTGTTAATAAGGTTGCTGATTTTATTACAATAAATTTTAAGAATCTATTAAAATTTTTTTTTTTTTTTTTTTCACATGGAGTCTCGCTCTGTCACCCAGGCTGGAGTGTAGTGGTGGATGTCGGCTCACTGCAAGCTCCCTCTCCTGGGTTCATGCCATTCTCCTGCCTCAGCCTCCCGAGTAGCTGGGACTACAGGCACCCACCACCACGCCCAGCTAAGTTTTTGTATTTTTACTAGAGACGGGGTTTCACCATGTTAGCCAGGATGGTCTCGATCTCCAGACCTCGTGATCCACCTGCCTCAGCCTCTCAAAGTGCTGGGATTACAGGCGTGAGCCACCTTGCCTGGCCAAAAGATTCTTAAAAAAACAATCTACTGATTCTCAAAGCCTAGTCTGAAAGGTAATTTCATTTGGACTATCTAATATTATTAAGGCAAAAAAAACACAACATTAAACAAAAGTTTAAATTTAAAAGTTTCCATGCCTCTGGCTGGCCATTTTCACTGCCTTTAAGCCTTTGTGACTCTTCCTCTGATGTCAGCTTTAAGTCTTGTTCTGTTGAAAAATCCATACATTCAGTTAAAATCAACCACTTAAAACAGTTAAAAACTATTGCCTTTTAAAAACAGATTTGAGACATTTCATTTTATTTCATAAATTGAGTGTTTCATCTTTTGTGAAATTGTCATTTAAGAAATAATTCTCAAAAACTTCAAAAACCCACTTGGGGAGATAGCAGATGTCACCAGATTGAAGACAAACAAACATGTCAAAAATTCCCTCACAAATTCATCCACCCAACATCCATGAACAAAACCACCAGAAACACAGCTTTAAAATACAGTAGAAACATATAAGGTGACACAGTGTACTGTTCTCCACTTCCTAATAGTACCTTATAAATGATTTCCAAAATCACTGCTGACACCTTTATTAGTGTACAACATCTTCCTAATATCTAAAATGTTTCTCTCCACTATTCTGACAAATTTATTTTCTTTTTTTCTTTTTTCTTTTTTTTTTTTTATGAGCTAGAGTCTTCCTCTGTCACCAGGCTGGAATGCAGTGGTGTGATCAGCTCACTGCAACCTCCGCGACCCTGGTTCAAGTGATTCTCCTGCTTCAGTCTCCTGAGTAACTGTGATTACAGGCAAGCACCACCACACCCAGCTGATTTTTGTATTTTTAGTAGAGATGGGGTTTCACCATTGGACAGGATGGTCTCGATCTCCTGACCTCGTGATTCCCTCTGAAAGTGCTGGGATTACAGGTGTGAGCCACCACACCTGGCCTTATTTTCATCTTTTGAAACAATGCTATATGAAGTCTTCCTTGATTCTGCATGTCTTTCCCCAAATAAACAGGTACCTCCTTCCTTGAGGCTGCCTTAGTACTTTACTGATTTTTCTACTGCATCTTGACCACCTAAACTGTACATTATTCCTCCACGTCTGTCCCCTCTGCTCCAAGACTGCAGGGGAGAGTCTTGCACATCATCTTTGTAAAAACAGTCTTTGTTTTACTCAGAAATATTTTATTGAGTCCTGCTAAATACATGCTAGGCATTAGGGTTTAAAAAGAATTAAAATAAAGCATGTCAGAGATGGCTTTTCTAGAACACATGCCCAAGCAGAGACTTAAATATTGAGACTAGCCAGATTAAAAGGTGTAGAGGGCAGGAAAGGGTGACGGCATGCCACGCAGCAGCAAGAGCGGGAGCGACTCCTGAAAGAGTGAAAGTATTTGCCTACAATAGAAGGATGAGTGAGTAGGGCACTGCCAGCAGTTCAGTAATGCCAGAGACAGGGCACACAGGGAAAAGGGCTAAAGATGGAGAGTGGGGCAGAAGTCAGATTATGAAAGCATTATGTGTAATTTTAAGATGCTTGAACATTAATGTTCAAAAGTGGTCCCGGGTCCTATCTGCATTTAGATATAGATCATTTCAATGCCAAAACCAATATTCCTAGTGAACAATTATTCATTAAGACAAGGTGACAGATAGCTCATGTGGACACAGCTGAGATGATACAATGTAGCAAATTCTAAACAATTCTCATGAACACTTGGAAAGTCAGTTCTATAATAAAGTCATACAAATTATAATAAATCAGTAAATATTTGGTTTCGGAAGATGCTTTGTAAAGTTATAATGCATATGAATACAATTAACAGTCGTGAATTCAGAGCTGTGAAAATAAATCAAAGAAACCACATTGTGTTTGAGTCAGCAATCTTTAGATTTCTATCCAGTCTTCCCATCCAGTCCATAAATTCTAAGTATAATCCTGGTACTCACTCTCAAGTTTACGTTAAATACTATCCCATTACAAAAAAACACTCTTTCTCTTACTTCTTTTCATTATGTCCTGCTAAAAAGATTCTGATTGGCTGCAGGCGGCAAGAGGGAAAAACAAAAAGCACATTTTGCAGAAAATGATTATTTAGAAGTCAGAACTATGACATGAAGCCAAGCAGGGCACTCTAGGACCGAATTTGCTGTGCTGCCTTCATACGCTCCTTGCTCTTTCTTTTCTGGCAGCTGTGACTCACACAGGTCATGGAGAGTATCATTCCCTAAGAGGAACAACTCCGATATTCATCTTTATCTATTAAGTTCATCTGTCCCAATTCTGTGTTCTGTGGATGCTGACTTTCTGTCACGGACGATGATGCACATGGACATTTATTACTGACTTTCAGATTCTTGGATCTTTGACAAGTCTTATTACTTAGAGTCAAACTAGTAGGATGCGAGTTATAAATGCTGATTATCCAATTACCTACTCAAAATACCCTACACGAATATTCCATTAAACATGCATCGAAAAACATTAGTCATTCCTGCTGACCTGCTGCTCTTTGCTCTCCTGTATTCACCAGAAAATTTCCTACTCCTTCCTCATGTCCAGGTTAAATACTAGTGTGCAATCTGGAAACCTGTACATCATCTGAGATTTCTCTCTGTCCCCCAAGCCTTTCTCATTCAATTATCACTAAATCATATTGACTATACCTCTCTTCTGCCTCTGTTTTATATTCCCACTGCCACTGGGAACACAAACATTTACAAAATGACTTCTATTTAAAAGAAAACTGCCAACTATTAATGTTATTTCTTACAGGAAAAAAAATTAAGCAAAACAAGTGAAAAAGGCATAACGAAGGCCAACATAGTAAAATGAGTAACTGAGATTTCTAACGTTATTTATTTTACCATGGACGGGTGAAAACCTTGTAATACATTGATGCTACTCCAAGGATGTGTGACATGGAAACTATAGCTGACTACTGCAAAAGCTTCCTTTGTCTCCTGGTTTCTTTGCATGATTATCTCCCATCAATCCCAGGAAACTATAGGCCACAGGCCAAATCCAATCTGCATTATGGTTTTGTAAATAAAGTTTTATAGGAGCTCAGTCATGCCTGTTTGCTTACATATAATCATGGTGGCTTTCACACTACAACAGCAGACAACAGCACGGTTAAGTAGATATGACAGAGACCACATAGTCCAAAATATTTCCCACCTGGTCCTTTAAAGAAAAAGCTTGCTAACCCATTTTACACCATAACCAGAATGCCTTAATACTCAAATTTAATCTTGTGGCTCCCCTGCTCAAATTTCTCCAATGAGCCCCCTCCAGCACACATTGTTGGCTCCCTATCAATAGCCATTCCTCATTCTTTCTGGCAGAAAAAACATAAGTCTATTGGGATATTTAATATCCCAATCCCCCTCCTCAGCCTCAGAAAGAAATGTTTATTCTAAGCTAATCAGATATTTACCTTCCCAGTGCCTGGTTTGGGAATGAGCATGTGGTATGACCCAGCCAATGAAATGTTACAGGAAGCCCCTTGCATGCTTCTAAGTTTTCTCCCTGTTTAAAAGACACATGTGAAGAAAAGCAGCCCTTTCGATGTTGTGTTGTGAGAACAAGATGTTTGGAGCTGCTGCAGATTAGCCAACCACAAAAGGAGACGTGAATAAAACACTGTCAACAGCACAGCTGAAAGAGGGACAAGTGGGATCCCTAGGATATCAATGAACAAAAAAACAACTCTGGTTCCTAGTGTTTTAGGCACTGCTCATCTAGTATTTGCAGTCCAAAGCATTCTACCTGGTAAATTTCCCATGGCCCACAGGAAAAGACCTACTCATTTCTATAGTATTAAAAAGTCTATCGTAAACTTGCCTTAGCTAAGTATTCACCTCACTCCCAACCTCTGGTATCTCACACTTTTGGTACTAGCAAAAGTGAACTGCTCAGAAACCCTGCCATGTTCACTCAAGCATCTTGTCTTCTGCACTTGCTGCTCTTCCTCCCAAACGGGCAATCTCATTAGATGTTCCTTCTGGCAAACACACTATCTCACTCCATGTTCCTTCTGCCAAATGTCATTCCTCTGCTTCTTTCCCTGAAAAATTCTTCTCACTCTGCATGCTTACATTAAATCCTGCCTCCTTTCTTTCTAAAGCTTTCACTCCTCATCACATATGTCTGGCACACAATCAATATCACATATAATAAATCATAATTATAAGATTCCAGTGGGCATCTAGCACACAGTAAGCACTGAATAAAGCAGCAAAATAATAAAAATGACAATGATAATAATAACAAGCTCCTGTCTGTTTTTGTGTTCTGTAGCCTTAGAAAAACTGCTTAGTATCTAAAAGACATTTGACAGTTATTTGTTAAGTGGACAAGTGAAAACATAAATAAAAATGTTTTCTTTGTAAATTCTGTTGAAAAACCACAGAAATGAAATAGAAACACTTCTGTTGTGAGCACCTTAAAGATTAAAACTACATCTATTCCATCTTTGTCTCCTGCAACTTATAAAACCTAACTTACAGAAGCTCTTTGATAAATAGGTAGCTAAATTAAAGGTGTCCTCATACAGTTTGGATTGTACCATGTATTAGGTGTCCACATCCAGGTAGCATACTAGCATTTTTGTTACTGTGAAACATTTTTATATTTTTATTATAATCTGCTGACCCTTGCATTGGGAAAATTGTACATTATGACAATCTTTTGGCAAATGGTAGCAGAGCACCTTCTTCTAACAAAATTACTGTTATCATGACAATTAACCAGCCGGTGGAAGAACACATCTTGTTCCAACAAAGTAAATGCATCTCTTTCAACTTCAAAATAGGAGGAATGAAGTCAGTAACAGTGAGACCTTGTTGGCACAAGCATATGTAACATGACCTGTGCTTCACTGTTCTTTTGTGAACAAAAATTCCTTACTTTTACTTTTTAAATCTATGGTAGGACCTCCCAGAGCAGGGCTCCACAACTCCCCGGCCACAGACTGGTACCAGTCCACGGTCTGTGAGGAACCACGCCACACAGGAGTAGGTGCGCAGCAGGCAAGCCAGGGAAGCTTCATCTGTATTTACAGCCACTCCTTATGGTTCATATTACAGCCTCTACTCTGTCTCCAGTCAGATCAGTGATAGCATTAGATACTCATAGGAGCATGAACCCTGTTGTGAACTGCCCATCTGAGGGATCTAGGTTGTGTGCTTCGTATGAGAATCTAATGCCTGATGATCTGTCACTGTCTCACTTTGCCCCCAGAAGGGACCATCTAGTTGCAGAAAAATCAGCTCAGAGCTTCCACTGATTCTACATTATGGTAAGTTGTATAATTATTTTATTATATATTACAATGTAATAATAATATAAAGTAGCACAATAAGTGTAATGTGACTGAACAATCCTGAAACCATCCCCACCTTCCCCCAGCCCATGGAAAGATTGTCTTCCACAAAACCGGTCCCTGGTGCCAAAAAGATTGTGGACAACTGACCTAAAGTAATTCACTATCACAAGTCTTACCTGGGTTGCTGTTTTCAGAAGAGTATTTTGGCATCTGCTTTTCTTTGTAGTCAGAAAGTAATTCACAAATTCTATGTATAAAAATATAACAAATAAAATTACTGTTTTAAAATACTGATCTGGAAACTTACCAAATGTAAAATTCTTAGAGTATTTCAAACAATATCAGAATATCAGAACTTAACAGTATTATCCCATCCACTTATGCGTACGTTCTACAAACTTCTCATGAAGCTTCTAATTAAAGAAGAAAAAAAAGTAAGATGAAATACTCATAAATCGAGGGCACTTTGACCCAGTAAATTAACTTGCATTAGCCTGACATAATAGAAAGTGTCCCAACTCTAAATAAGTCCTAGCTCCATAATGAACAGCTATTTGCTCTTGAACAAGCTGCTTCTCTTAGGCTCAATGTCTTCTACAAAGTGAGGACTATGCTGCCTTATTTTACTAGGTTGTTATAATGATTTAACACGATAACATTTTTTTAAATGCTCAAAGAAATAGTAAAACAATGGAATAATTTGTTCCTAAACTTTATGACTGAAATTATCTTGGAATCCCAAATAAAACCCAGTGCGAATTTTGTTCATAGGTTCTAATATGCAAATGTTGTAGTTTTCAGGAAATGTTATTAAGTCCTAATTTTGCTTCTTAGTTGTCCTACTCTTTATGGCTTCTAATTCAGGGCATCTCAACTATGTCATAGTTTGTAACTAAATTTTTTCATAAATATCTCATTAAAGTAGATAATGTGATTGTCCACTATTACGGAGTTGATCAATCACGCCAAGGGCAGAAAAACCAATGGATGTCAAGACCTGACTTGGACCAATGATCCTTCTCTACAGACTCAAACTCTCAGCCAGATGTTTGTTACGATGATGCTTTATATACATGTTCATCTCCAGCTGACATGGGAGACGAAAACCCTACTTTTATTTTTTTTTAGGTTCCACGAAGAAGTTGTAAGTTGCCATTCTCTAATTTTTAACATACATACTAACAATATATTTGGTACACAACACCCCACACGTTATTTGGCTCTGGTGTCATCTCACAGACCACCTTACATGACTATTTTTATTGCGCAAATCACAATTTCAATGTTTTTGTGGCACCCATTCTGCTTTGATTCACACCATTTCCTTAAAGCTACTCAGCAAACAGTCAAATGACCTTCCAGTGACTGCGCAAAATATAGAATGCTTCAAAAATTTGTGTGGCCGCCTTATGCAAGGGCCAGCTCCTTGGGAGGCTGAGGCAGGAGAAATGCATGAACCCACGTTGCAATGAACTGAGATCGCGCCACTGCACTCCAGCCTGGGCGATACAGCGAGACTCCATCTCAAAAAAATAAAATAAAATAAAATAAAATAGTAAAGTTTGCAATTCCTCTGACTCAGTTTACCATAATGACAATTATGATTACTATTAAAGAATAAATAGTGAATAACCACAATATTGGGCTTTTCTCCCTAAATAAAAAAATTAATATAAAGAATGTAGCTTATTACAAAGAGCCAAAACGATTTTAAAAATGCAGACAATTACCAGGCAAAACTGTTAGGAAAGAACCATGTCAAACTTTTTTTTTTTTTTTTTTTTGAGATGGAGTCTTGCTCTGTCACCCAGGCTGGAGTGCAGTGGCACGATCTTGGCTCACTGCAAGCTCCGCCTCCCGGGTTCATGCCATTCTCCTGCCTCAGCCTCCATAGCAGCTGGGACTACAGGCGCATGCTGCCACACCCGGTTAATTTTTTTGTATTTTTAGTAGAGACGGGGTTTCACTGGTCTCCACCTCCTGACCTCATGATCCACCTGCCTCGGCCTCCCAAAGTGCTTTGATTACAGGTGTCAGCCACCATGCCCGACCCATGTCAAACATTTTCAAAGTGAGAATCAATCAAACAATATACACAGGATAAACTCCATTCACTTATTTAATAAGTATTTATTAGGTAGCTACATCCAATATGCTAAGCCTTTTTCTAAGCAGTGAAGATATGGTAGTGAAAAATAAAAACCCTATTCATGACAGTGAGAAAAACACACAATAACAACAGACAGATAAGGCAAAATATACGGTATGTTAGAGGAGAAAAACTAAAGCAGGAAAATGAAATGTTTATGTGTTTGATGGGGAGGGTGGTGGGAAAGTTGAGATGGCCAGAAGAGTCCCTGCTGAGAAAGGGTTTTTTTTTTCTAATACAAAAAACCTTTTATTTGTATATCAAAGACTCTAAGAAATGATGACATAAGGTTAACAGCGTTGATGTCAAGATACAAATAGGTTTGAAGTTAGAGATGATAAATCACTTTGTTTCATTGAACCTTGCCTTGATTACCTTAGAGAGCATTCCTTGTATGCTGCCAATTGCATCTTAAGCATGATGCGTCTGGGTAGTACACGGTTCTTCCTCAGAAAGTGGATGTTCCTTAATGTGTTTCTTTTTACCCTTTGTCTTCTTCTTCTTAGAAAGGCGGTTTTAAATAAAGAACTGAAGGAATGGAAAGAGTTAAGCTAGGAGGATATCTGGGGGAAAAGCATCCCAGACACAGGGAACTGCCAAGCACAGAGGTGTGTCTGGAGTCTTTAAGCACTAGGGGTAGATACGGGATGGCAAGAATTCAGTGTGGCTGAAGCAGAGCAAGGGAGATAATCAGGAGGAACTTTGACCCATACTCAGAGTGAAAAGGAGGCAATCAGAAGTGCTGGGGAAGAGGAATGACACAATTTGACTTATGTTTTAAATACATCCACTGAGTTAAGAATTGATGAAAAGGGAAGTTTTTAAAAGCCAGGACGATCAATTCCCAGTCTATGACACTCATGACTGCAGATGACAGTGGCTCAGATGTACAAGATATGACTGGCTTCTGGTCATATTCTTCAGGTAGACCTGACAAGATTTACTGAAAGATTAGATATGAGGTGTCAGAGGGACAGATGAGTCAAGAATGACAATGACATTTTTGGCAGAGCAATTGGAAGAGTTGCCCTTAACCAAAGTAGGAAAGACTACATGAGGTGTAGATTTCAGGAAGGACATCAGTAGCCCAATTTTGGATCTGACAAGTGTGTGATACCCAATAACTAACCAAATAGAGACGTCAAGTAGGCAGGCTGATATAAAAAATCTGGAATTAAGGAGAGAGATCTGAGCTGGAGACATACATTTGGAAATCACTAGCATATACACAATAGAAAAAGTCATGAGGGGCCGGGTGCAGTGGCTCACACCTGTAATCCCAACACTTTGTGAGGCCAAGGCAGACAGATCACCTGAGGTCAGGAGTTTGAGACCAGGCTGGCCAACATGGGGAAATGCTGTCTCTACTAAAAATACAAAAATTAGCCAGGCATGGTGGCACACACCTGTAATGCCAGCTACTCAGGAGGCTGAGGCAGGAGAATCACTTAAACCCAAGAGGCAGAAGTTGTAGTGAGCTGAGATCACACCACTGAACTCCAGCCTGGGGGACAGAGTCAAACTCCGTCTCAAAAAAAGAAAAAGAAAAAGTCAGGAGAAAGAAGATTGAGGACTGAGCCCTGGGAAACAACAATGTCCAAAAGGAGAAAGATGAGGAGGAGCAAGCAAAACAGACCATGATGAATGGACTAGAAATGCAGGAGGAAAAGCTTGAGGGAGTGAGGACCTGAAAGCCAAGTGAAGACGCCGTTAGGGAGGAGACGCCCTCCACTGGCTCAAATATTGCTGACAGATTAAATAAAATGAGGTGTAAGAAAAATGCATAATTTACAGAAAAAAATTGTGATAATCTTGAGGAAAAACAATGTTGGAGGACTGCTGAAATTGAAGACGCCGGTGTGAGATTAAGAGTGAATGAAAAGAAAATTTGAGTTCGTGAGTGTGGACAGTTCTTTTAAGGACATCATGCTTAGGAGTCATGACTGAGAATGTTGTAATTTTCTTCCACAGTCATGGAAAAGTAATAGACAAATAGTTTCAAGTTTTATATAACAGGTGTAGTTTTCAAATTTTATATAACAATTATATATTTTAAAGGTTATAAAAATTATACACATGTGGCATTAAAAATGCCAGACTGAGGTGTTAAATTCTTAAAACTATAGAACTAAAAGTCGCCTTGAACATTTCTAGATTACACATAAGCTGATTATCATTTTATTCATGCTTATACATAAAGACCAAGAAATACTAAAAGTTTCAAGGAGAGTATTTCTTGCTTGATAAAATCAGCCAATTCTAGGAAAACTGATACTCATCAAATATACAAAATAATTGATCACAGCAAAATACTGGGTTCTATTAACAGGAATAAAGTGGGAGAAATGCAGAAAATAATCTTATTTTATAAATGAAATTTTTAAAATTATATGAAGTCACTGTGGAAAAATATGGTGAGGTGAATACTGAAATATATCCTTTTCTCAAAGGAAGGATAATTTCACACACGCAGGGCACTTTTACAAATAGGAGTCACTTCACTTGCAGCACCTTCCTTTTAGCACAAGGGTCAGCAAATTAGCACCTTGGGCCAAATCCAGCCCACTGCCTGTTTTTGTAAGTCAAGTATTTTGGAACACAGCCATGCTTATTCACTTTACAGTCCACAGTGTCAATTAGCTGGGTGTGATGTTGCACACCTGTGGTCCCAACTAGTAGAGAGGCTGAGGTGGGAAGATCACTAGAGCTCAGAAAGTCAAGACTTCAGTGAGCCATGATCACACAACTGCACTCCAGCCTGGGAAACAGAGTGAGACCCTGTCTCAAAAATAAATTAATTTATATAGTCCACAAAGCCTAAAATATTTACTAACTGGCTCTTTGCAGAAAAAGCTGGCCAACTCCTGGTTTAGCAGATGAAAGATCCTTTGATATATTTTAATAAAAGTTTTACCCAATATACTGAAACGTTTATATTAAATACAGATCCCCATGTACAATCCCTTGGCAATATTCAGATTGAGGGTCCAATATTTCAGCACTCAGGCACTGACAATAAAAATTTAATGACTAGCAATCTTGTTGCTAACAAGGTACAGCATCAATATAGCATGTAGCTTCCATTTGCAACACAGGAAATATTACAAGAATTTTAACAAGAACTCTTAAGATGTCATCACTGATGCTTTAAATACACTTTAATTGTGAAATAATCAGTATACTCTAGATCTAACCTCACTTGTAAAAAATGGTTGCATACTACATTAATTTCTGGGTATGAAAATTGAGCTATTTCCTATTGGTAATGATTTACTTTTGATAATGATAATTTCCTATTGATAAGGATCCATCTTTTTGATATAATAATGCTGTAATAAATGTCCTTATACATAAGTATATATGTAACAAATCTACACAAATATCCTTTACATATATTATATATCCTTATTGTTATACATGTGTTTGTGAATATGCTACTAAATTAATGTTCAAAATGTATTTACCAGCAGTGTATGAAATGTCTTTTACAATGAAACCATTTCTTTTGCAGCAACACAGATGGAGCTGGAGGCCATTATCCTAAGCAAACTAATGCAGGAACAGAAGATCAAATGCCACATATTCTTACTCATTACTGGGAACTAAATAATGAGAACTCATGGACACAAAGAGGAGAATAACAGGCACCAAGGGTCTACTTGAAGGTGGAGCGTCGCGGGAGGGAGACGACCAAAAAACTAACTTTTGGTGTTTTGCTTATTATGTGGCTGATGAAATAATCTGCAGTCCAAATCTCCATGATACACTTTACCTATATAATAACCCTGCACATGTACCCCTGAAACTAAAAGAAAAGTTCACTAAAAAGAAAAGAAAATGCCTTTTCCCTCACATTTGCCAATACTGGTTATTTTTCAAATAAATTAATGCCTGGAAAAATGGTAACTCATTGTTCGCTGATTTTCATTTTTCTGATTAACGGGCAAGGCTGAATATCCTAGTAAAACTATAAAATTTGTTCATCATGAATATTAGCCCAAATTAGGGTTAGTTTGACAGCACATAGTTATCTTCTATTCAATGTTGCCATAGGCTTACCTGTGATACTCTTCACTTTCGTTGTCAGGAAATTGCTGATTTTCAGGTGTTCTGCTCTTCCTTTGAGGAATTAATCCATTATCACCATTGCCAGCAGTGACACCATTAGTCAGGTTTTCTAGTAATCCCACATTATTACTTTCATGCTTCTTCATTTCTTCTTCAACCTTGAGTGGGATATTAAGGATAGTTATCACTTTATTGAATAAAAAGAACCTTTTTAATTGATTCTATCAATTGACTCAGTTTGTCATTATTTTAGTCATTAAAAATATTTCACACTTAAATTTGATCATATATATAGAAATATTACCATATAACTTTAAGATGTAATTATCATCTCATTAATATATCACAGAAATTTTTGTAAAGTTTGCTTCATTTCTGTTTCAATGAATGAAACAGAATTTTCCAAAATTCAAAAAGGGCCCTCCTTCATTTTGTGCTTTTATTCTCAATCACTCTTCAGAATCTTATGTATGTATTTACCCCATTTGATTCATGGGAACACACAAATAAAAAGACAAAGATGCAAAATGTGTCCTCTTCCGTCTTTACCACCTAGATTTTACATTAAACAGTCAGATTTAGAGGATGACACACTGTGCGGCTTCAGGAATAGAAAGGAAGTTTGCCCTTTTCTGCGCTAAGATATTCTTCTACCCCACTGCCTTTGAGCATTCTTTTTTCATTTGGTTGCTGGGATATCAAAAACATGATGGTGCTCACTGAAAATGGGAGCCAAAGTTTGCCACAACACAAGAAGCAGAGTGAAACTGCTGACGTGCAAGCATGGAATTCCAGAAAATGAGATGCTCCCCAAATTTCACATTGAATAGCCATACAATTTTCTAGCTGGAAGATACACAGAATAAAAAGCTATCTTCTTTAGCCACATTATCTATTGATAATCAGACTAAAACCAAGAAAGATAAAATGATTGGTCCAAAGCTCCTAAAGTGGCATTACCTAGCATTTTATAGCACCATTCAGGATTGTTCCATAATAATCAAAGAATATCTCTAGGCTTTGTATCTCTTGAAAACTCAATGTACAGAATTCTTTCTGAGTTAAATATTAACTTTTTCACTGATGATTTATGCTACTTACATGATAGGATCATGTATGCCTACACTTACTACATTTTGTTAAACAACATAATGTAAAAATCTAATTCAACAGAAACATTTGAATATGAAGGTATACCTCTCTATCACCATCCTTATTTATTTCTGGTTCTTGAGACATTTTCTGCAGAGGCAAAAACAGAAGGTTAATTTGCTTGTTGTGTTTCTGTGATGTGTCCTCTTTTGGAGCGCATGTTTTAAAAAAATTTTATTCTTAACTAATCAAGTATGGACAATGAAAAATTAGAAAATAATTAAAATTAAAATTTAACTGTTAAATAAATAATAATTAAAATTAAGAATTAACTTTTTAATCTATGTTTAGCTACTGCCACATTACTGGCTTCTGACTAACATGTGAAAAATAATTCACCTTAGCCCAATGAAGAAAAAAAACGTGAACCAGCAAACTTAATTTGGTCACCATTTGTTTGGACTAAACTTAATTTGTTATGTGTTAAATCTACCAAAAATGAATCAGCAGATGATTTGTAGTGTTGCAAAACCTTCCTCACTTGAAAAGAGTTTACCTCATGAAACCCTAACTAGTGAGCCCCTACAGTGCACTGAAGTGCTTTTCTAAAAGATTCCTAACTGGATTGTAGGCACCATTTAAATTATTAGGAGCCGAAATCAACACCAAACAGAAAGAGATGCAAATTCTCAAATTTTAATTGAGATTATATACTGTCATATGATAGTGTTATGTATCCAGATTATCTGCTTAAGTCCAGTTCTAATATATTCTAATGTGTACTAATTACAGTGGATAAAGATTTTTTAACAATATGTACTAATTTTCTGCAACTGAAATAAATTAGAATGTTATTGTGTTTGTGCACTAACACCAAAGGTTCCATTCTGCAAGATATGATTCTTGTAATAGGCAGCTGTGTTGCTTTTATGACCTGGTTCCCTCCCTGAACAGAAACGCTGAGGTCAACGAGAGACCATAAGGCAGAATATATTTTTAAGCTTGGTATCAATGACTGACAATATAAAACTGCAGATTTTCAATCACTGGCCATGATTACTCCTTAACCATGAATCCAGCTCAGGGACCATCAGAGTTACATTGTTCATAATTCTATTGCTTAATAACATAATCCAATAATTGATGTACCTTCTTCATCATGTTCGGGTGTTGTAAAAATAAAAGAACAAAGTTCTGCAATTTGTTTTTGCCTCTATTCCAAAAGGAAAGATTAGCTATAAGCTAATCAAAAAGGCAGATGAGAGTATTTTAAATAAAAATATTATAAGAGTATTTTAAATTTTATAGTGGTTATGTTTTTTAAGTTAAATATCAAATGTTAAATTAGAATCCATTCTTCTGTTAATGAGATTACTGAATTTATTAAAATAAATTTTAACAATCTATTAAAAAATTCTTTAAAAAATCTATTGATTCTCAAAACCTAGTCTGAAAGGTAATTTCATTTGGACTATCTAATATTATTAAAGCAAAGAAAACAACATTAAATCAAAAATTTAAATTTAAAATTTTCCATGCCTCTGGCTGGCTATTTTCACTGCCTTTGAACCTTTGTGACTCTTCCTCTGATGTCAGCTTTAAGTCTTGTTCTGTTGAGAAATCCATATATTCAGTTAAAATGAACCACTTAGAACAGTTAAAAACTATTGCCTTTATAAAAATAGATTTAAGACAACATTTTATTTCATAAATTGAGTGTTTAGTTTTTCATGAAATAGTTATTTAGGAAATAATTCTCCCAAACTTCAACAAACCACTTGGGGAGACACCTGATGTCATTCACTCACAAATTCATCCACCCAACATAAATGAACAAAACCACCAGAAACACAACTTTAAAATACAGTAGAAGCATCTAAGGTAACACAGTATGTTGTTCTCCACTTCCTAATAGTGAAGCAGTAAATGTAAAGAAAAGGAAATTTAGTTTTAAAGAGAAACAAGTTTTCCCGCACTTAGCTAGTCTGACTCTAAGGATAGTAACAAGCAGGGCCCAGGAAAGGTCGTGGTGACCCTGCCTGAGAAGCCAGAGCCCACAGGTATGGGCTCCAGACATCCCAGAGCAAGGTTAAGAAAACAAAATCCTTTACTGTCTCCCCTTCCCCTCAGCATTCACTCAGAGCTGTTTTTACAAATGCATACTATTCGCAAGTTCCTGTTGACCTTCAATGCAGCTGCAAGGTCATAAGCTTTGCTGAGGTTGCAAAACTGTCACTATATGATTAACTGCCTTTGTTCTGCTTCTGTAAGCTTGCCTACATAAGCCAAGCCCTGTCTTTGTTCAGGGCTCAGCTTTCGGATGCAAATCTGCTGAGCTGTTGCGAACCTAAATGAAATCCTCCTGTTTCACCCACTTGGTCTCTCCTGCCTCCTGCTTTCTGCAACAATAGTACCTTACAAATGATTTCAAAAATTACTACTGACACCTTTATTAGTGTACAATGTCTTCCCAATATCTAAAATGTTTTCCTCCACTATTCTGACACATTTATTTTCATTTTTCTTTCTTTCTTTTTTTTTTTTTTTTTGAGCCAGGGTCTTGCTCTGTCACCAGGCTGGAGTGCAGTGGCGCAATCTCAGCTCACTGCAACCTCTGACACTCCCTGGTTCAAGCGATTCTCCTGTCTCAGTCTCCGGAGAAGCTGGGATTACAGGCATGTACCATCATGCCCAGCTAATTTTCGTGTTTTTAGTAGAGACGGGGTTTCACCATTGGCCATGATGGTCCTGATCTTTTGACCTTGTGATCTGCCTGCTCCAGCCTCCCAAAATGCTGGGATTAGAGGTGTGAGCCACCACACTTGTCCTTATATTTATCTTTTAAAACAATGCTATGAGAACGTCTTCCTTGATTCTGCATGTCTTTCCCCAGATAAACAGGTACCTCCTTCCTTGAGGCTGCCTTAGTACTTCACTGATTTTTCTACTGCATCTTTACCACCTGAACTGTACATTATTCCTCCACATGTCTGTCCCGTCTGCTCCAAGACTGCAGAGGACAGTCTTGAGCATCATCTTACTCACATTTTACTCAGAAATTTCTTATTGAGTCCTGCTAAATACATGTTAGGCATTAGGGTTTAAAAAGAATTAAAATAAAGCATGTCAGGGATGGCTTTTCTAGAAAACATGCCCAAGCAGAGACTTAAATATTGAGACTAGCCAGATTAAAAGGGGTAGAGGGCAGGAAAGGGTGACGGCATGCCACGCAGCAGCAAGAGCGGGAGCGAGGCCTGAAAGAGTGAAAGTATTTGCCTACAATAGGAGGATGAGTGAGTAGGGCATTGCCAGCAGCTCAGTAATGCCAGAGAAAGGGCACACAGGGAAAAGGCCTAAAGATGGAGAGTGGGGCAGAAGTCAGATTATGAAAGCCTTATGTGTAATTTTAAGATGCCTGGACATTAATGTTCAAGAGTGGTCCCTGATCCTATCTGCATTTAGATATAGATCACTTTAAATGCCAAAACCAATATTCCTACTGAACAATTATTCATTAAGACAAGGTGACAGATAGCTCATGTGGACAGAGCTGAGATGATACTATGTAGCAATTTCTCAATAATTCTCATGAACACTTGGAAAGTCAATTCTATAAGAAGTCAGAGAAATTATAATAAATCACTTAATACTTGGTTTGGGAAGGTGCTTTCTAAAGTTATAGTGCCTATGAATTTAACTAATAATTGTGAATTCAGAGCTGTGACAATAAAGCAAAGAAACCACATTGTGTTTGAGTCAGCAATCTTTAGATTTCTATCCAGTCTTCCTACCCAGTCCGTAAATTCTAACTATAATCCTGGTACTCACTCTCAAGTTTATGTTAAATACTAGCCTATACAAAAAACACTCTTTCTCTTTTTTCATTTTGTTATTTATATATTGCTTTGTTTAAAGGAAGAACACAAAAATGCCCTGCTAAAGGGATTCTGTTTGGTTGCAGGCTGCAAGCGGGGAAAAAATCAAAGTGTATTTCACAGAAAATGATTTTTTAGAAGTCAGAACTATGACATGAAGTCAAGCAGGGCACTCTAGGACTGAATTTGCTGTGCTGCCTTCATACGCTCCTTGCTCGCTCTTTTCTGGCAGCTGTGACTCACACAGGTCATGGAGAGTATCATTCCCTAAAAGGAACAACTCCGATATTCATCTTTATCCATTAAGTTCATCTGTCCCATTCTATGTCTGTGGATGCTAACTTTTGATCATTGATGGTGATACACATGGACATTTATCATCAACTTTCAGATTCTTGGATCTTTGACAAGTCTTATTAGTGAGAGTCAAACTAGTAGGATGCGAGTTATAAATGCTGGTTATCCAATTACCTATTCAAAATATCCTACATGAATTTTCCATTAAACGTGCATAGAAAAACATTAGTCATTCCTGCTGACCTGCTGCTCTTTGCTCTTCTGTATTCACCAGAAAATTTCCTCCTTCGTCCTCACATCCAGGTTAAATACTACTGTACAACCTGGAAACCTGGAAATTATCTGACATTTCTCTCTGTCCCCCAAGCCTTTCTCATTCAATTATCACTAAATCATATTGACGATACCTCTCTTCTGCCTCTGCTTTATATTCCCACTGCCACTGGGAACACAAACATTTACAAAATGGCTTTTATTTAAAAAAAAGCCTGCCAACTATTAATGTTATTTCTTACATAAAAAAAATTAAGCAAAACAAATGAAAAAAGCATAACACCAAAAAAACAAAGGCCAACATATTAAAACAAGTAGTTGAGATTCCTAACTTTATGTATTTCACTAAGGACGGGTGAAAACCTTGTAATACATTGATGCTACTCCAAGGATGTATGACAAGGAAACTATAGCTGACTACTGCGAAAACTTCCTTTGTCTCCTGGTTTCTTTACATGGTAAAGAACCTTCCATCAATCCCAGCAAACTATAGGCCACAGGCCAAATCCAATCTGCCTTATGGCTTTGTAAATAAAGTTTTATAGGAGCTCAGTCATGCCTGTTTGCTTACATATAATCATGGTGGCTTTCACACTACAACAGCAGACAACAGCAGGGTTAAGTAGATATGACAGAGACCACATAGTCTAAAATATTGCCCACCTGGCCATTTACAGAAAAAGCTTGCTAACCCGTTTTACACCATAACCAGAATGCCTTAATACTCAAATTTAATCTTGTGACTCCCCTGCTCAAATTTCTCCAATGAGCCCCTGCAGCACACATTGTTGGCTCCCTATCAATAGCCATTCCTTATTCTTTCTTGAAGAAGAAATCCAAGTCTATTGGGATATTTATTATCCCAATCCCCCTCCTCAGCCTCAGAAACAGAAATGTTTATTCTAAGCTAATCAGGTATTTACCTTCCCAGTGCCTGGTTTGGGAATGAGCATGTGGTGTGACCCAGCCAGTGAAATGTTACAGGAAGCCCTTTGCATGCTTCTAAGTTTTCTCCCTGTTTAAAAGACACATGTGAAGAAAAGCAGCCCTTGCGATGTTGTGTTGTGAGAACAAGATGTTTGGAGCTGCTGCGGATTAGCCAACCATGAAAGGAGACGTGAATAAAACACTGTCAACAGCACAGCTGAAAGAGGGAAAAGTGGGATCCTAGGATATCAATGAACAACCAAAACAACTCTGGTTCCTACTGTTTTAGCCACTGTTCATCTAGTATTTGCAGTCCAAAGCATTCTACCCAGTAAATTTCCCATGGCACACAGGATAAGACCTACTCATTTCTATAGTATTAAAAAGTCTATCATAAACTTGCCTTAGCTAAGTATTCACCTCATTCCCAACCTCTCGTATCACACACTTTTGGTACTAGCAAAAGTGAACTGCTCAGAAACCCTGCCATGTTCACTCAAGCATCTTGTCTTTTGCACTTGCTGCTCTTCCTCCCAAACAGGCAATCTCATTAGATGTTCCTTCTGGCAAACACACGACCTCGCTGCATGTTCCTTCTGCCAAACATTCTTCTTCTGCTTCTTTACCTAGAAAAATTCTTCTCTCTCTGCATGCTTACCTTAAATCATACCTACTTTTTCCCAAAACTTTCATTCCTCATCACATATGTCTGGCACATAATCAATATATAATAAATCATAATTATAAGCTTCCAGTGGGCATCTAGCACACAGTAAGCACTGAATAAAGTAGTAAAATAATGAAAATGACAATGATAACAAAAAGCTCCTGTCTGTATTTTTAATTGTTTGTGGTCTATAGCATTAGAAAAATGGTTACTATCTAAAAGACATTTGATAGTTATATGTTAAGTGGACAAGTGAAAACATAAATAGAAATGTTTTCTTTGTAAATTCTGTTGAAAAAGCACAGAAATGAAATGGAGACAGCTCTATTATGAGCACCTTAAAGATCAAAACTACATCTATTCCATCTTTGTCTCCTGCAACTTATAAAACCTAACTTACAAAAGCTCTTTGATAAATAGATGACTAAATTAAAGGTGTCCTCACACAGTTTGGACAATATAATGTATTAGGTGTCCACAACCAGGTAGCATACTAGCATTTTTGTTAGCGTGAAACGTTTTTCTGCTTTTATTATAATCTGCTGAGCCTAGAGTTGGGCAATTTGTATATTTATTATGACAATCTTTTGGCAAATGGTAGCAGAGCATCTTGTTCTAACAAAATTACTGTTATGATGACAATTAACCAGCAGGTAGAAGAACACATCTTGTTCCAACAAAGTAAATATATCTCTTTCCAACTTCAAATGAGGAGGAATGAAGTCAGTAATAGTGAGAACTTATTGGGACAAGCATATGTAACATGACTTGTGCTTCAGTGTTCTTTTGTGATCAAAAATTCCTTACTTTTACTTTTTTATCTATGGTAGGACCACGCAGAGCAGGGGTCCTCAACTCCCAGGCCACAGACTCATACCAGTCCATGGACTATTATGAACCACACCACACAGGAGGAGGTGAGCAGCAGGCAAGCCAGGGAAGCTTCATCTGTATTTACAGCCACTCCTTATGGCTCATATTACAGCCTCTACTCTGCCTCCAGTCAGATCAGTGATAGCATTAGATACTCATTGGAGCATGAACCCTGTTGTGAACTGCCCATCTGAGGGATCTAGGTTGTGTGCTTCGTATGAGAATCTAATGCCTGATGATCTGTCACTGTCTCACTTTGCCCCCAGATGAGACCATCCAGTTGCAGAAAAATAAGTTCAGAGCTTCCACGGATTCTACATTATGGTAAGTTGTATAATTATTTCATTATATATTACAATGTGATAATAATATAAAGTAGCACAATAAATGTAACATGATTGAATAATCCTGAAACCATCCCCACCCTCCCCCAGCCCATGGAAAAATTGTCTTCCACAAAACCGGTCCCTGGTGTCAAAAAGATTGGGGACAACTGACTAAAGTAATTCACTATCACAAGTCTTACCTGGATTGCTGTTTTCAGAAGAGATTTTTAGCATCTGTTTTTCTTTGTAGTCAGAAAGTAACTGGCAAATTCTATGTATAAAAATGTAATAAACCAAATTACTATTTTAATACTGATATAAAAAAACTTACCAAATGTAGAATTATTAAGAGTATTTCAAACAATATCAGAATAACAGAACTTAATAGTATTATCCCACCCACTTGTGAGTACATTCTACAAACTTCTCTTTAAGCTTCTAATTAAAGAAGAAAAAAATGTAAGGTGAAATAGTCATAAATCGAGGGCACTGTGACCCAGTAAATTAGCTAGCATTAGCATGACATAATAGAAAGTGTCCCAACTCTGCATAAGTCCTAGCTCCATAATGAACAGCTATTTGTTCTTGGACAACTTGCTTCTCTTAGGCTCAATGTCTTCTTCAACAAAGTGAGGACTTTGCTGCCTTATTTCACTAGGTTGTTATAAAGATTTAACGAGATAACATTTTTTAAATGCTCAGAGAAATAGTAAAGCAATGGAATAATCTGTTCCTAAACTTTATGACTAAAATTATCTTGGAATCCCAAATAAAACCCAATGCGTATTTTGTTCATAGGTTCTAATATGCAAATGTTGTAGTTTTCAGAAAATGTTATTAAGTCCTAATTTTGCTTCTTAGTTGTCCTACTCTTTATGGCTTATAATTCAGGGCATCTCAACTATGTCATAGTTTATAACTAAATTTATTCATAAATATCTCATTAAAGTAGATAATGTGATTGTCCACTATTACGGAGTTGATCAATCACACCAAGGGCAGAAAAACCAATGGATGTTAAGACCTGACTTGGACCAACGATCCTTCTCTACCGACTCAAACTCTCAGCCAGTAGATGTCTGTTAGGATAATGCTTTATATTGATGTTCAATTCCAGCTGACATGGGAGACCAAAAGTCTACTTTTATTTTTTTTTTAGTTTCCACGGAGAAGTAGCAAGCTGACATTCTGTAATTTTCGACATACATACTAACAATATATTTTGCACGGAACATGTTATTCAGCTCAAAGTCATCTCATAGACCATCTTACATGACTATTTTTGCAGCACAAATCACAATTTCAATATTTGGGTGGCACCCATTTTGCTTTGATTCACACTATTTCCTCAGAGCTAGTCAGCAAAAATAGTCAAATGACCTTCCAGTGACTGCACAAAATATGGAATGCTTCAAAGATCTGTCCTGCCTCCTTATGCAGAAGCCACGCTAACTTTCCCCGTATTGTTCCAATTTTAGGATATGTGCCGCCGAAGCAAGCACAAAGCCCTACTTTTACATATGATTAGTGATGCGTCATGGACAAGGCTTGGCTCTGTGAAGTCCAACTAACCTACTTGAGATTCTGAGAATTCTCTTCAATGGCTTCCTGTGAGCTAGAGTTTGAAAATATCTTAAAATCTTGAGCTAGAGATGGAAGTAGCTCCGATAATTTTCATTATCATGTAAATCAGATCACTCAAGGGGCCAACCACAGCTGGGAGCCACTGCTCAGGGCAAGGTTCATACGGGACTTTCTACTGCCCAAGGTTCTATACAGGATATAAAGGTGCCTCACAGTACAGATCTGGTAGCAAAGAGGAAACAGACACTGACCTCCTTCTGCCACATTATTTGAACCCCTCTCACCCTTTAGAACAAGCCCACCTAACATCTGCCAGAGAAAAGACCAACAACAGCCTCAAAGGATCTCTTACCATGAAGGTCTCAGCTAATTCCTGGCTAAGATGTGGGTTCCACATTAGGTTCTGAATATGCGGGGAAGGGTCAATTTGGTCACTTTGTGTGCGGATAAAGTCAGGATGCCCAGCGGCCAGAGCAGGGGGCTGGTGCTCTGGGAACAATGGCTGAGCATATAAGCATAGGTATGGGAATTAAAAAACATCAAAGTCACTGTATGAATCGCCATGAAGACTTGAGGGATCTGAATCTACTGATTCATCTTAAGGCAGCAGGACCAGTTTGAGTGGCCACAAAGCAGCAACAGAATCAACGGAAACAACAGAATGATTGCAATGTCTTTTTTCCTCCTCCTTCTGACTTGATAAAAGGGACTGTCTTCCTTGGATTTAGTGAACTCCTTCGGTTCTTGAAAAATTCAAGGAGTATGTAGGACATAGTCCCCAGAAGACAGTACAAGACTTTCCGCTAAACTGGACATTTCAAGACCCAAATAACTAATCAGAAAAATTAAAGATGTGACACTATTTTTTATCCCTGCATAGGTGTTACACTTGGATCAAATGAACAATGCTGGGATCTCTAAGGATAAAGATCTTAAAAGTCCTGAGATAAAGAATCCCGCACCCATTGGTACTTCTAACTTGTCTTGCTTTTTGTCTGATTTCTGGCTGATGCAGGGGACTAAAACTCACTGCCACGCGAAAACTACCTGAACCAAACTATGACATCTCACCTGATATGTGAGATGCAACTGTTATAATTATTTTAAACCTCAATTCAGCATTAACTAGCCTTTTAATGTAAACACTTACACATGATGATGACTAGAAACAGCATACTCTCTGGCCGTCTGTCCAGATAGATCTTGAGAAGATACATCAATATTTTGCTCAAGTAGAAGGCTGACTATACTTGCTGATCCACAACATACAGCAAGTATGAGAGCAGTTCTAAAATGACAGAGATAGGAACTGTAATAAAGTTATTTTTAAAGCTAATTTGATATACTTTACCAATGTAACATCTTGCCTGTCTGTGCAGAATCAAACATTTACATGCACTAAAAGACATAAGCAACCTGAGTGCTCAAGTGTTCATCTTTGTAAAATGCCACCAAGGTTAAAAGGAAGGGACCAAAAAAAACCCTCTTATCTCAGTGGGGTATTGCATAGCAGAAGCTACTAATTTAAAGTCCTTTGATGGGCAAGAAACAATGTTAGGGCCACTTATCTGAGGTGGACAAAGATTTAAGTGAAGATTTTGTCACAGCTTCCCTAGACTGACATGCTGTAATAGAAAATCAGCTAGGGGGTAAGAGAAATAAGAGCTCTCTGCATGCTCAAAGCAGTAATAATAATGGTAAGAATAGTAGTCATAGGAGTTTCAGTTAATGGTGCCAATAACCATGTGCTAGGCACTGAATTAAATGCCACATATATCTTTCTTACTTATGCACAGCCAACTTTGAAGGATATATTCTCCTACTTTTCATATATGACAACATATTTGGTGGTAAATAACGTCCCCAAGGTCACACACCTAGCAAGTAAGAAAGTTACTAATTAAACCCAGTCTTGTGTGAATCCAAAGCCTAGCTCTTTTCTCTTTATCACCCACGTACGGCTTGTCTTCATTAAAGGAAAAGTGTATCCACTTAAAACTATCTTCACTCCCTCTCTCCATACCAATTAAAAATAAAAACATCAAAATACACTGGAAAAACAAAAGGAAAAAAGCTGTTGAACCCACAGTATGTGGGAACAGCAATTAATTGTTATGTAGGGATAAGCTAACACTAATATTCTTCAAAGAAAGCAACTTAAAGCAAAGTCATTAAAAAGACAAAAGGATTTTCAACCCCTATTTATGTTTAATACAGCATATTTAATGGAAAAGCATGTAAGACACAGGTTAAAAACTATTAGAAAGGGTTAAGAAGTTCAATACTGAGTCATAAAGTAAACTAAAAGTTAAAGTTCAAACTTCATAAAATTAATATGAAATCCTTTAAGCTAACATAAGATCATGTAACCAAAAATGTCACATAACAAATAACATCAGTCAATATAATAAGAGAAGATGAATCCTACTAAAACTGTTCTTTATGTTGCCCAGCCCAAGTAATTGTTTTTCTACCTAACTGATTTGTGTTGATACTGATCACTACATCCCAGTAAGTATACATTAATCTTATTAATTTAATATTTATGACTTGAGTGACTGCTGTCCATCTACAACACACAGATTAAAAGAAAGAACTATACCTTCCATATCTATCCAGTGCATTTAAATTCGCTTTTTTCTTAATTAAAAATTTCACGACTTGCTGTTTTTGCTCATGTACACCAAGTAACAGTGGTGTGAGGCCATGCTGTAAAACAATATAAAGCAAAAACCTATGTAATTCAAAAAAGTACATATTCCTCAACCGAAGTGGAAACTTTATATAAGATCTTATGGACTTACACGCATAGAAGTAAATAAAATGTAGTCACTTCCTTCTCACTCTTCTGTGCTTTCCCACACGCTGCTCCTTCCCTTGGAAACACCCCTTCTCTGCCTCACCACAGTAACTCTAATCATCTCAAAAACTCACTTTAAACATTTACTGCTTCCAAGGCTCTTTGCTTCTAAACCAGCATTTGGCTTGGTGTTATTGGATGATAATATTTTTCCCATCTAAACAAAAAGCTTCTTGAGGGCAGGGGCTGTATCTTTTGTCTCTATATCCTCAACCCTAAGACAAATTGTGTATAAAGCAAGAATCTGCATGTAAAATATTTCTTTAGTTTCATGTTTTACCAAAAGTTCAACCTCCAACATGCAACAAAAATTGCTATTAAAACTCATACTGCCCATTTGAAAAAATTTTCCAACATTTATTTATTTAAAATCTATTTGTATTTAATTTTCCCAGATTGTTAACTAAACCATCAGTTCATAGGACTACTGAAACTAAATTAACAGAATTCCTATCTGTATTCTTAATAACTCCATGGTTTTTAGTGTTTAAAACTGCCATGCTGATTATGCCAAAGCTCTACATACTTAAGAGACACACTGGATAGTCCATAATACAGCGTCAATTGACAAAAAATGGTTTAGAATTTGCTACTATTCTAATTGAGAAAACTCTGCTCTTAACGACTTACTGACCTAAGTACTTGAATGACTGAACAAAGAGACACAAAATCCTGAGAGGGCCATCCTCTACTTATTGAAAGACTACTCACAGCAAATTTCTAAAGACCTTCTGAACGGCAGTGAATAACTGATGGTAGGAAGGAAAAGGTATTATTCTGTAAGCTGATACATACTACCAATAATATTCATTTTAATGTCTCAACCACAGAGATAAAAGTCAGACTAGGTCAGGAATGGTGGCTCACACCTGTAATCCTAGCATTTGGGGAGGCTGAGGTGGGTGAATCGCTTGAGCCCAGGAGTTCAAGACCAGCCTGAGAAACATGGCAAAAACCTCATCTCTACTGAAAAAAAAAAAAAAAAAACTGAGGTTGGAGGACCATCTGAGCTTGGAGAGGTCGAGGCTGCAGTGAGCTGTGATCACACCACTGCATTCCAGCCTGGGAAACAGAGTGAGACCCCATCTCAAAAAAAAAAAAAAGTCAGATTAATGTTATTGGAAAGATTTAAAGAAATCAGCACATATCCAACCCCAACTCTTCTAGAGATACCTTAAGTTTCTGAGACATAAGAATTTACATATTACATTTATGTATTGAGTGGTTCTTAAGCAGGAGTGTATCCAGATTTTGAGAAAATTGTTGTTGTTGTCGTTGTTGTTGTTGTTGTTGTTAGAGACAGGGTCTCATTATGTTGACCAGGCTAGACTCGAACTCCTGAGCTCAAGCAATCCTCCCACCTCAGCCTCCCTAGCAGCTGGGACTACAGCCATGCACCACCATGCCTGGCTTCAAGGAAACATTTTCAAATATACATATCCAGGCTTTATTAGACTTACTGTATCAAAATATTCAGAAAAAGCCTAGACTTGTTATTTAAACATTTTCCTCAGGTTACTAGGATGCACAATTCTAGCTGAAAGCTAGTGCAACAGACAATTACTTCAGTCTCATTTCTCACCCACATGACCAATTCCCTTTCTCATTTGAAGATTTGGCCAAAAAGAGTAAGGAGTAGGAGAGAGACCCATTTGCTGAAAACACCACATGATTTTCCCCGGTAAGAGAAGAACAGGGTCTAGTCAACTCAAAATCCAACTTGATCTTGTTACTTGTTTATCTTCCACCTTCCCATCCAGACACTCTAGATTTGAAAGCAGAGCTGAGACTCTCATTGGCCATTTCTACCAGAATAGGATACTAAGTCAGTTAATTACTTGATATTCCCTCTGCTCAAGGGTTTCCTCTTACATTACCACCTATTCACTGCCAATCTGGTTCCTCAGAGGCCTCCTAAAATTGATCTCTAGGTAGTTTACAACCCACTAACTCCCTCTCCCAAACTGAAAACTGTCATTCTCTAAAATTGAAGAGAACCTTGTCTCACCATGCAAAGGAAACAAATCAGTCAACAACAACAACAACACACACACACACAACCTCTTCATGGTCTTTTCCCTCCATTATCTAATTTCCAAATTGGCCTTGATATTTCTGATTGCTCTCTTTTTTGCTTTCCACTTCTGGCTCATGAGCAATCAGAAATATCTTAAGCCTTGCCAGTGAGAGGCGCATCACCTCGTATCTATTACTGTTTTTTAGGAACTTGCCAAAGGAGCAGGATCTCTATTCACTGAAACATGTTTAACTTTTCTTGGAGTTTTCATGTAAAACCTATTTCAGGGCAAATTTTGCCATTTTACATTCAATAGGGAAAAAACATCCTAGGAGGGAAAAATTGAAAAATAGTAAGTATTATCTTTTACAAATTCAGTGTTTTCAAAAAAAGTATTTACCACAAGTGCATTAAAAAAAAAAACTGTACCCTCTAATGCTTCTTTGAAAGTAACAATATTTAAAATGAAGTCTTAGATAATTAGGTCATTTCAAAATATTTCCATTCAGGTTATGCTTGAGCTTCCAAATATGGAAGACTGGCCCTTACACAGGTCAATGTTAAAATGAATGCATTTCAGTATTTTGAAGATAAAATTGGTAGATCTATACCTTGTTTTTTGATTCGATATCAGCACCATATAAGAGCAGTGCTTTGGCCATTAATTTATCTTCATTATAGATAGCGTAGTGCAGAGTGGTATTTCCATACTCATCTGGAATATTTGGATCAGTGCCATGTTCCAGCAACATTAACGCACATTCATCTTCCTGGCATTGTACGGCCTGTCAGTATTAGACCAAAAACAAATTACAAATCTTAGGAATTCAAAATAACATTCCACAGCTTTCACCAACTAGTTATATTTAAAGGAGAAAACTCATTTTTATGCCATGTATTGAAATCAAACCCACCTCATGCTGATATAGTTGGCTACTGCATACCTTTATCAGAGCTGTCCTCTTTTTGTTGTCAAGGACATTAAGTTGACATCGTCTGTCCAGCAGGAGTTTTACTACTTCTGAATTCCCATTGGCAGAGGCCAGATGTAGAGCAGTCCTATGAGAGTGAGAAGACTTTTTAGGAAATTGTAGTGCACTAGCTACAGCCATAGCAATGATTCATGTAACTGCAAACACTGAATAGCCTGCTATTACTCTGCCTTCAAAACAAACATTTAACTTTCCCATGAAAAAAGCACACTATTTATTATCTCTCATTGCTCGCTGTATTAATGAAAGGGCAGCCTATATGAATATAAAGAGCATAGCCCTTGGATGACATTCAACGTGGGCTGGAATCCTACTTGAAGCTCTGTCACTTCCTGGCTGTTGCTTAGCCTTTTGGGGTCTCAGTTTCCTCATCAATAAAATAGGAATGAAAATAGTAGCTTTCTCACAGGAAACCACTCTAATGCTTAAATGAGACTCTGCACAAAAGATATAGAATAGTTCCTAACACAAATAACAGCTCAATAATTGTTAGATATTTTAATTTTTACTAATACCACTAAAGACAACATTTGAATTGAGATGATACAATTATACCTACACTTTCAGGTGTGTTTTAAATATTACAGCTAACATTGTATTTTAGTGATTCTGAGATGATCATTGTCTCCATGTTGTCTCCACTGAAATACCACTTACAATTCATGATTTACTATAATTGGCGGCATTTAAATAATTCTCTTATTGAGGCATAAAATAATGGGGCATCACACAATCCCTGGTGTCTTACATGAAGTAGAATATGTTATAACAGGTCCGGGGCGGTTCCAGTCAGATGACCAGCATTTAGATAAATTTTGGTTCTTAAAAGAACTATGGAATAAGAAAGCTGAGGTGAAAACAAAAACAAATTTCTAAAATAAACCAATTCTTACTTTGGTTTTCAATAAACTTTAAGCCAAAGAAAACCTGGAATTCAAATGAATAGCATGGGCTCATTTTTGTCAATACTTAGATTTATACAATGTATGTACATCAGATATTTCCAATCATTCATATTAGGATTTAAGACTGTTATAAATTTTCTCCTTTTAAAACGGATTTATGAAACGATTTGTGGAGCTTTTTTCAACTGTTACATTCAGGGGTACACGTGCCAGATGTGCAGGTTTGTTACACAGGTAAACACGTGCACCAAGGGGGTTGGTTGTACAGATTATTTCATTACTCAGGTGTTAAGCCCAGTACCCATTCATTCTATTTCCTGCTTCCTTCCCTCCTCCCACCCTTCACCCTGTAATAGGCCCCAGTGTGTGTTGCTTCCCTCTAGGTATCTGTGTGTTCTCACCATTTAGCTCCCACCTATAAGTAAGAACATGCAATATTTGGTTTTCTCTTCCTTTGTTAGTTTGCTAAGGATAATGGCTTTCAACACCATCCATGTCCCTGCAAAGGACATGCTCTCGTTCCTTCTTTTATGGCTGCATAGTATTCCATGCTGTTTATGTACCACATTTTAGTTCTTAAAACAACTAAAACAGTCTTTCTCCAAGACTTATAAATTTTCAAAAGGGCAGTTAAGGGTTGTCTTTTACTATTTTCTACCTTCAGAAATGCTTCTGTTTGAAAGGAGGGAGGAAAAGCTTCAATTGAGATTAAGTCCTAATGCACCAATTTTAAATCTCTCATCTTGCTCAAGCCCAGCAGATAAACATGAAGTTTTCAAAGGTGGAAGGATCCTGAGAGATAGTAGAATATGCCTGCCACATAATAGGTGTCTGGCTTATGTCTGATGACTAAATGGATTGAAAGAATGGATGAACACAGCTTGGGAGTTCAATATTTTCAAAGAAAACTCCTGTCGAGTAATGCAATACATTTGCAATAGTAATAATCACTTACATTTGCTATTTTAATTTTCATAAACATATAACTCAACTAAAATGATTAATTCATACTTTTTACATGTTAATCTATATCTAATGAAAAGATAATTATGTAATAAAATGTATATACAATAAAATCTACAGGAACAGGTAAACACAATCCCTCTACTTCTGAAGAGGGTAAAAGTTCACGGAAGATAGCCAACCACAGATAGAAAAATAAATAATAGAATGTGACAAATTATTTGCATCTATGCAAGAAGCATATTCCTTCTCTTCCCAAGGATTATTGCATTACTAATGAACTTTAACTAAAACTTCAGATGTTCATTGCAGAAATCACAGATAAGAGAAAGGGAAAAACTTCACTTACAAATCCCCAGAAACAAGTTTGATTATATTTTCTACATGTTTTCAGCTAACACGAGCAGATTCTGTTCGTGTATATGTGTAACCGATTTTTTTTCTCACTTGTTATAGCAAAGTACATCTTTGCATGTCGACATATCTCTGTATCTACTGACAACCTCAATAGTTACATATTAGTCCATCCTATGGATGCACTGAAATTTGTCCATGAAATCTTTATATGGGTTCTTCTAAATACACTGCTATTTTAATCAATACTAAGAAAAACAGACCTCTATTTGGTAAAGATATTTCAGTATAATGGAATTGATGAGTAAAAAGCATAACATTTTAAAAATGTGGTTCTTACCACTAAAGTGTTTGTTTGAAAAGCTGTAGCAATTTAAACTTTAAATGACTACGTAAGTACCACTGTTCTTCATCCTCACAAACTTTGTGGATAAAAAACAGTATTTCATTCCTTTTTTTTTTCTTTTTTTTTTTTGAGATGGAGTCTCACTCTATCACCCAGGCTGGAATGTAGTGGCGCGATCTCGGCTCACTGCAACCTCCACCTCCCTGGTTCAAGCAATTCTCTTGCTTCAGCCTTCTAAGTAGCTGGGATTACAGGTGCGTGCCACCATGCCCAGCTAATTTTTTGTATTTTTAGTAGAGATGGGATTTCACCACACTGGCCAGGCTGGTCTCAAACTCCTGACTTCATGATCCACCTGCCTCAGCCTCCTAAAGTGCTGGGGTAACAGGCGTAAGCCACTGTACCCGGCCTTTCATTCCTCTTCTAACTTAAATAGAAAACAGTATTTCATTCCTCTTCTAACTTACATTCCTTCTTCTACCAGGAACGCTATCTTTTCCTATGTGCATAGGTCACTGGTAGATATGCAAAAAAAGTACTTTGCCCAATTTTAAAATGAGCTTATTTTATTATGTCTGCAAATATGGCCAGGCACAGTGGCTCACGCCTGTAACCCCAGCACTTGGGGAGGCCAAGGTGGGTGGATCACGAGGGCAGGAGTTCAAGACCTGCCTGGCCAAGATGGTGAAACCCCATCTCTACTAAAAATACAAAGCAATTAGCCAGGCGTGGTGGCAGGCGCCTGTAATCCCAGCTACTCAGTAGGCTGAAGCAGAGAATTGCTTGAACCTAGGAGGCAGAGGTTGCAGTGAGCCGAGATCGCACTACTGCACTCCAGCCGGGGCAGCAGAGTCAGACTCCATCCAAAAAAAAGTATATATATAAATATATATCTGCATATATAAATAGGCATTTGTATGTTTCTCTTCTGGTATGTTTCTCTTTTTGTATATTTAAATTTTTTAATCTATACTCTTATTTTTGTGACATAAAAATCTAGCTAGTTTTCTCCAAACATGAATTATGAACAATCCATCTTTTTCAAATAATAAAAAACACCACCATTATCAAGCGCTAAATTCTTAACATATATTTGGGTATTTCTAAATTTCCTATTCTGTTGTATTCATTGATGTCTTTTCAGCTGTTAGTAAACAATTTGTGGAAATAAATAACATGCACATTTTGATATCTGGAAAAGCAGCCTTTTTCCATTCTGTTACAAAAAATTAATTTATCACAATAATAAAAGACAGCATGTGTAATTTAAAAACGCTAAAACTTTGCTATTTTTATTTGGCTTAGGTAAAAGTGATAAATAGAAAAAGCTCCCATCTTTTTTTTTTTTTTTTGAAACGGAGTCTCGCTCTGTTGCCCAGGCTGGAGTGCAGTGGCACTATCTCGGCTCACTGCAAGCTCCACCTCCCGGGTTCACGCCATTCTCCTGCCTCAGCCTCCTGAGTAGCCGGGACTACAGGCGTCTACCACCGCACCCGGCTAATTTTTTTTATATTTTTTAGTAGAGACAGGGTTTCACCGTGTTAGCCAGGATGGTCTCAATCTCCTGACCTCATGATCCGCCCGCCTCCCAAAGTGCTGGGATTACAGGCGTGAGCCACCGCGCCCAGCCAAAAAGCTCACATCTTAAGAAAATTCAATCTTCCTGTTCAAGCACAGGAACCATCTTCCCATTTCAGTTTCCTTCTAAGGTTCCTCAGTAAAGAACATATTTACATACTGTACATTGATATAAAATCCATACTGGATTTTATTTGAAGAATATTTAGCCCTGAAGTTGATGTGTTATGGGGCTTCGTTCTTAGTTCTCAATATACACTTTTCTATAATGTATAGAACATTGTTTTAAAATCTGTAGATTAAAAATAATCTGCTGCATTGACTTAATTAATTTTGCAAGTTAAATCACTTTAAAACAGTCTATTAGTGTTCTATGAGGGAAATTATGATTGGAAATCAGCTAAAGTTTTGTTTTTGTGTTGCTGTTCATAAAGGGCCCTGTACCCTGACCTCTCTGAGGTTTCCACATCCAGGGTGGTGTGAGGCCTGCGGAGGCGAGAAAGCCAGGTCCCCCTCCTCCCCCGCCAGGAGGGTATGTCCCCATCATCCCCCCACGTCCCACCTCCTCCCAGCCCAGGCCTGGTTACCTCTTTTGCTTGTCCTGCTTGTTCACGTCAGTGTCCCTGAGCATGACGATGAGATCCTTTCTGGGGACTTTACCCCACCAGGCAGCTCTGTGGAGCTTGTCCAGATCTTCTCCACGGACGTGGTACCTGGGCTCCATGAAGGCACTGTCATCGTAGTCTCCCCAAGCGCCCACCTTGCTCTTGCTGCTCCCCCTGCAGCAGGGGAAGCAGTGGCAGCACCACTTGCCCATCTTGTTCCTGAGTGTCTTCATAGCAGAGTCGTCGTGGTCTCCAGAAGCGCCCACGTTGCTCTTGCCACTCCCCCTGCAGCAGGGGAAGCAGTGGCGGCACCACTTGCCCATCTTGCTCCTGAGTGTCTTCATAGCAGAGTCGTCGTGGTCTCCAGAAGTGCCCACGTTGCTCTTGCCGCTCTCCCTGCAGCAGGGGAAGCAACGGCAGCACCACTTGCCCATCTTGCTCCTGAGACCAAATGGCTTCTTCACAGAAGAGGCAGCCGGCATGGAATCAACCTCAACCACCATCTGCTTTTAACAGCCAGGAGAAGCCAGTAGTAGCCAACAGATCGCGTCTACCAACCAGTTTCACCAACTAGCAGGTAACTCCGGGTTTCCAATCTGTTTGAAGAGAAAAGTCAATCCCAGCCAAAACCTGCCAACCCCAGCAGGGGATTCCAGCCCAGCCCACCCCACCCAGGGAAAACCCACACCCACCCGAGGAAAGCCCACGCCCCCCCTGGGCGACCCCACGCCCACCCCAGAAAGGGCCAACCCCCGCCCCCAAGAAAACACCCAGCCCACCCAAGGGAATGCCAAACCCAGCAGAGAAAAGGTCAAGCCCAGCAAAGGAACACGAGAGAGAAAACGTCAATCCAAGCAGGAAACGTCAATCCAAGCTACCAACGCCAAGCCAAGCCAAGAACGCAAAGCCAAGCCAAGCCGCTACAGGCCAGCCAAGCCGTTAAAGCGCGTGCAGCATGCGCGTGCAAGCCATTACAGGCCAGCCAAGCCGTTACGCGCGTGCGGCGTGCGCGTGCAAGCCGTTACAGGCCGGCCAAACCGTTATGCGCGTGCGGCGTGCGCGTGCAAGCCGTTACAAGCCAGCCAAGCTGCTGCCGGGCGTGTGCGCGCGGCGTGCGCGTGCGCGTGCGGCGTGCTTATCTCAGGTGGCGTCAGGGCACGTGGCACAGACACTGGCCGATGCATGCAACGCGCCTGCTTAAGTCTTGGCGCCACGAATGTCACTGACAGCCTTGAGTTCCGGCAAACTTCGTGGGAGTCAGCTGAGCTTTCAAGCCACTGAGAAGCCTCTGGTGAAAAAAAAAAAGCCTCTTAAAGGAGGACTGGGGCTAAGCGTCTGGAACTTGAGGATGCTGACAGCCTCCTTTGAAAAAAGCCCCCAGGACACTCCTGGCGGTGCTGTTGTGCATGGCAGCAGCTGCAGCTGGGAGCTCGGGCTGACGGAGCTGGCTGCAAATGGCCTCAAAATCGCGGAGCACAAGACGCCCACCGAGCCCAGGGCCTGCCTGAGGTGCCTTCAACACCTGCTCCTCTTTGCTCCGCACCCAGAACACGAGGCCATCAGCAAGGGGGCATTTGGGGCCACAGGATTGCAGCCAGCTCCTGCCCCGGTGCAGTGTATACAGTGTATACTGCACAGGTGTTGGGTGCACCAAAATCTCCTGAATCACCTCTAAAGAACTTACTCATATAATCAAACACCACCTTTTCCCCAAAACCCTAGGAAATAAAATGAAGAACTTTTTGTTTATGCATACCACATATTTTTTAACTTTTTTCACAGGTTCATTGAGATACAATTTATATATTATTTAATTCACTCATTTAAAGTATAAAATTCAGTTTTTTAAGTGTATTAACTAGTTAAACAATCACCATGATTTTAGAACATTTTTATGCTCCTTAAAAGAAACTTTGCACCCATTAGCAATCTTTCCCTATTTTCCCCATTCTTCCTTTAAACCTCTCCCAGCCCTAGGCAATCATCCATCTATTACCTAAGAATTTGCCTATTCTGGAAGGATTTGCCTATTCTGGACATTTCATGTAAGTGGAATCATAATAATATAGTTACGTGTGACTTACTACTTTCATTTATCATGTTTTCAATGTTCATCCTTTTTGGAGCATGTATTAATATGTTTTTCTTTTTCATTGCCAAGTAATATTTTATTTTATGGACAGACCACATTTTATTAATCCACTCCAAAATTCATGGACATTTCTGTTGTTTCCTACTTTTTGTTGCTATAAATACTTTTATGTGTAAGGCATTTGTTTTAATTTATTTTTGGTGTATACATAGGAGTGAATTTACTGAGTCATGTGGTAATTCTGTATTTAACCTTTGAAGAACGGCTTCATTTTTCTGCATGTGGCTTGCCAATTATACCAGCAGCATATGTTGAATAGGGTGTCCTTTCCCATTTTCTTGTTTGCTTTGTCAAAGATTAGGTAGTCTGATGCCTCCAGGTTTGTTCTTTTTGCTAAAGATTGCTTTCGTTTTTCAGCATCTTTTGTGGTTCCATTCAGATTTTAGGACTAATTTTTCTATTTCTGTGAAGAATGACATTGGAATTTGACAGCGGTTGCATTTAATCTGTAGAATGCTTTGAGTAGCATTGAAATTTTGACAATATTAATTTTTTCAATTGATATAGGACTTTTTCTATTTGTCACTTTCAATTTCTTTCATCAATGTGCTATAATTTTCAGTATACAAATCGTTCACATCCTTCATTAAAATTACTCCTTGCTCTTTGATTTACTTATATATTTGTTTTGTTGCTATTATAAATGGAATTACCTTATTTTTCAGATAACAGTTTGTCATTGGTGTATAGAAGCCAATGTTAATTTTGTAACTCTCAACTTTATTGAATATAGTGTTTATCAGCTGTAATGGGTTTTTTGTGGAGTCTAAAACACAGACAATCTCACCCCTTCCCTTCCTATTTAGATGCCTTTCCTTTCTTTGCCTTGTATAATTACTCTGGCAAGTCAGTTACATATAACGTTCTCAGCATTTGTAATTTGACATCAAATCCATCTGTTGTAATACACTGATTGTTACTTTTCAACTCGAAAACATGGACATTTATCACTACTCTCCCTTTCTCTTGGTCTAGTTGTTATTTAAAAAAAAACCTATCAATGCAAACCAGGATATTTTTCTACAAAACAATTTCAAACACACTAAAAGGTTTTAATCTAACAATTTTTAAACTTTCTTTGTCAATGACTTTGAACTGTGGTCTCTCGGAACAAATCCAACACCTTTAGTAGAAAAATTATGTTAATTCCTACATTATCATTGGGTCTAGCCAAGAGTTGACCAAAGGTGATATTAACAGATATGCTTATTTATTACCTTGTTCTCAAAGTTCTAGCATAAGTCTTGAAAAATCTAGTAAAAATTTGTAAAGACTATAATTGCACAAACTCCCTCTCTCATGAGTCACACAGTTAATCCAGAATACTATTTCTAAGTTATTGGAAAGCCAACAAGTAAATATGATGTAGTGTATAAAAATAATCCTAATTTCATTGTATATTCTGTAAGTGACATATGCAATTGATACTATTTACTAAATATCTCATAATTATATTTATTTACATAGAAAAAAGGAATAAAAAACATATCTATTATCTAACATTTAAATGATTAAAAATACTTGAGATAGCATTGCTACATAAATGCTATGTAAATGCTGAAGAAAGTAAAAATGTCATTCCCTACATTTGCTAAATATATTGTGACACATTATAAGCATTTTTAAAATATATCACTAATGGTTGGGTCAAGTCAGCAAAAATGATTCTAAGTATTTAATTGTGGAAAAATTTAGTACAGGGGATAGTATTCATGTGATGGAAGGATTTTAAATGGAACCCAGAGATTAGCAGCAGCAGTAAGTTTTAATTGCATACCAGGTGCAGAGTCTAGGATACAAGACAGAACTGCAGATAAAATCTGACTCCTTCCAGCATAGCTAGGAGACATGGCTAACTCCACCTGTCCGGAGACCTTACCTAGAAATCTAACGGCTCCAAACCAGGTAAACAAAACTATTTTCCAAAGTCAAAGCATCAATTTATGACATTAAAGCACTTCTAAAACTTAACCTCTGACTTAAGTTAGACCAAATGGATAAATTTTGAAGATATTTTTATTTTACCACTGACTTTAACACCATCTTTATTTCCCAAAGATTACTGAAGTCACATGAAATAAAAGGCATTAGAGCTTCTATTTTTCTTACAAAATATTTAAGAGCTTTCATTTTCTTTTAAGCCGAGCCATTATATATACATCACATACACAACACTTCTAGACAAGAAAAGATCTAGCAGTTGTTCAGTTTTTCTTTCCCACTTTATGAATCATAACACAACTTCCACAGACTATCTACAACATGATTAAATTTATCTGACCTGTCCTGTATTTCCCTCTTTTGTAATTAGTCATTCTACTTTAGGACAACAATTTGCCATATAAGATCCTCTCTCATATAACATTTCTTTCCTTCATAACATTTCTTACAATAAATACATCTTCATATCCACAATTTTCTTTAGATCTCTCTCCCCTACTAATTTCTGATGCCCATCCAAACCAAAAAGGTCAGACAACGCAAGGCAAAACAGAGCAGAGCCTTAGATTTTTGAGAGGGACCTGTCTGCTTAAAGTTCTTGGGGTTCCATGAGGAAAACAGAGGTTTCTCCTAAAATGGGGTTTGTGGAACCTTCTGTTTTTCCTTAAGGAGTCCCAGGTTGTCAGAAATTACCTTAGATCCTCTCATGTGGGCATCAAGAGTGGCAACAAGAGAGACTGGGGTAATAATTCAGACAACTGAGCAGAAAAAGAAAAACTTACTACTGTCCCCACTGTAATGATGGATAAACTGAGGCACCATGCAGTTCAAAAATTCATGTTCACATAATTAGGATCCACAGCTCACTCTCTTAAATAATTTTGCCACCTCTATGCCCAGTCACTGATGCACCTGTATGGTAGCTCATGGCCCCCTTGGAACTTAGAACCTGGGTTTCATTCCTGCTCTACGGCTATATAATTCAACAATTTTCCTTTGAATTTGTTGGACTCTAACCCTGTATATCTCAAATTTTATTAGTATTACTGAATCTTAAAGGGAGCTGTGACGTCTTTAGTCTTTAGAAATATTAAACCTATAAACAAGGACTATATGAGGTTAAACAGTATTCAAATTTCTATATGCTTTAAAACATGGACACAATGTATTGAGAAACACACCTACAAAACTGCACCCCATCAACTCTGGACAAAAATTTAGATATTATCTCTTCAATATAACCTATCTAGTGGTATTTATACATATTCTTCCATGTATCAACGGTATATTACATGCTCATAACCTTAAAAATAACAAGTGTTCAAATTATAGGCCTTACACATTTCTACGGGCTTGAAAAATGATACAATATAGATTGTCTTTAAAGCAGTCAAGAAAATGCATAAACTTCTAGAGGAATCAGTAAAATAAAGATAAAAAGTTCACACCTAAAGTAGTAATACTAGGAATAAAAGAGGGCTCGACACTGCAGGTTCTTAGATACAAAAGTTAATAAAGCCTTGTTTTTGGTTGTGAATCTTTGCCTTAAAATACACACAGCTGACCGAGGTGGGTGGATCACCTGAGGTCAGGTGTTCTAGGCCAGCCTGGCCAACAGGGTGAAACCCCATCTCTACTAAAAATACAAAAAGTAGCCGGGCGTGGTGGCAGGCACCTATAATCCCAGCTACTCAGGGGGCCAAGGCAGGAGAACTGCTTTCACCCAGGAGGCAGGGGTTGCAGTGAGCCAAGATCGGGCCATCGTACTACAGCCTGGGGGACAAGAGCGAGACTTCATCTCAAAAAAAAAAAAAATTACACACAATTCTCCCGACTTCCTTTTTCTCTTGCAAAGAGGTGGTGATGAACCAGGTTTGCTCAGGCAGATGACAATACTCTTGAAAATGGTGGCAGAGAGCCAGGCGTGGTGGCTCACACCTCCAATCCCAGCACTTTGGGAAGCTGAGACAGGTGGATCACTTGAAGTCGGGAGTTCAAGACCAGCCTGACCAACATAGAGAAAACCCATCTCTATTAAAAACACAAAGTTAGCTGGGCATGGTGGCACATGCCTGCAATCCCAGTTACTCAGGAGGCTGAGGCAGGAGACTTGCTTGAACCCAGGAAGCGGAGGTTGCAGTGAGCCGAGATCGCCCCATTGCACTCCAGCCTGGGCAACAAGAGCAAAACTCCATCTCAAAAAAAAAAAAAAAAAAAAAGAAAGAAAACAAAGGAAATGGTGGCAGAGAAAATGAAGGCAATACAGTTCACTTAATAATCTCATAAATTAGAACTTACCCCGTGACTCCTGCATAGCTCCAAATATGTGAGAGAGATGAAATGGCTGTTTGCCACCAATATTTTTATGTGATGCTTCATTTTTTGATTCTCTGAATAACTACTTACAACGCATTAGCCCATTTATGCCAGAGGCTGCAATTTTTTGAATTTTTGCACGAGTGAAAAATCAAACCTTCTAATGACCTTGAGCAGTAGGATGTAATTAACTCCCTCATGCTTACCATTCCAATAATGGAACACTAGGCATAAGTGGTTTAACACAATCGTGAAAGCATAGCTATTCAAGTAACTAATTATACAACTGATTTTTTTCCTCATCCCTAAAACATAGTAAAGGACCAGTTATTTTAAAAATACAACACAGTGACAATTTTGGCTTGTTGTTTGTTAAGGCCATTGCTTGGCATAAAGAAAACAAAAAGAGGAGGAGAAACAAGAATAGAAACATGAAATAGAAGCAGCAGCAAAAGAAAATGAAGAGGAACAAGAAGATGAGAAGAATACACAGACTAGAATAAGCAAAAAGAACAGGTGCAGGAATTAGAAGGCCTATTATGACACCTTTTATCCCCTCCCCAATTCACAAAATTTGAAAAAGTCCAAGACCATCACAACAAAAAAGAAGGAAAAAATGGCCGGGAGTGGTGGCTCACGCCTATAATCCTAGCACTTTGGGAGGCCAAGGTGGGTGGATCATGAGGTCAGGTGATCTAGACCATCCTGGCTAACACTGTGAAACCCCATCTCTACTAAAAATACAAAAATAAAATTGGCTGGGCGTGGTGGCAGGCGCCTGTAGTCCCAGCTACTAGGGAGGCTGAGGCAGGAGGATGGTGTGAACCCAGGAAGCAGAGCTTGCAGTGAGCCGAGATCACACCACGGCACTCCAGCCTGGGCAAAAGAGCGAGACTCTGTCTCAAAAAAAAAAAAAAAAAAAAAAAAAAAGCCACACACACACACACACAGTCACCCCCTAAATTTTGTTAAGAATGAGACAATGCTGCCACTCATGCCTGGCTCAGAAGGAGGCCACCCTCCAGAGATTGCAAGAGAAGGGGGAGGACTCCTTTCCCTAAGTGCACCTCCACCACTGCCACCGAGGCCCATGGTACAGCACCAGCAGGTTCGTCCCCACCCCAGGTCGGACTGGGCCCTGCAGTGCTCCTACTCCCCCTTCCCAGTCCCCAGACTTTCTGCCACTACCACCACTAGCACCAATGCCAATACAATTGCTGTCGCCATCAATGCAGCAGCCCACCCTACAAGGTTCCTACCACCTTGCCCCCGCGGGCACCCTCCTACCACTCCTGTCGAGCTGCAGTCTCCGTGGCTGCCATCAGTCACACGAGGCGAGCTGCAGAGTCACGCCACATGCAGGCTCCAGCGTACCACAGGTGATTCCTTCTCCTCCTCCTCCAGCCTGGCTTGGAGCAGCTAGACGGGCAAAGCCAGAAAAGCCTAGAATGGGATGCAGGGAGTGGTAACGTTAGAGCCTCACCTTGTCATGCTGGCCACTGGGTGGCAGGGACCAGCTTCAGCTAAGGCACTCAGACCCACCCACCGAAGTCCAGCCTCTCTTTCTGGCAAAAGGTGGCCAGGAACTGGGGCGGGTGTGAGTGCCTATGCTGAAACCACCCCCATCCAGGTGCAACTGGCCAGAAATTGCTGGGCCCACCAGGGCTGCACTCCTTGGGGAGCAGGAGTAGGAGAAACTCAGACCCAGCCAGCCCTCCCCACTCAACTGCTGGTTCCCATTCCTGACACCTCCACCCACAGTGCCCTGTTCCCACAGTCCCCCGCGATGCCCACTAATCCCCACCCGGTAGTCCCAGGTGGTCTCCCCAACACAGAGCATGGGGTGTGGGCGGGAGGTGCAGGCCGGAGAACCGCAGTGGGTGTGGGGGCCCTGCCCTGCTCAAGATTGCACCAGGAGGAACTCTGGAGTCTGGAAAAGAGAAGAGTCACCCGAAGGAGCAAGGAGACCATGGCTGTTGCTGTCCCCACCACCTCTGCAGCCGACCAACACCACTGGCAGTATAGCCCCCATAGCAACCCTAACCTGACCCCTGCCGCCGGCAGTGTAGCCCCCGGACAGCACACCCACCACACCCTGTGCCAGTTGCAGGCAGTGTAACCCCAATACCCCCCCCAACCACCCCCTCCACAGGCAGTGTAGCACCCGATAGTGCCCACAACCTGACCCAGCCACAGGTGTTGCTGCACAAGACAATGCCTCAAAATCGCCGCCCCCACCCCACCACAGGTAGCGCAGCTCCTGATAGCGCACCCTGAGTAAGGGCAGTGCAGCACCCGACAACACTCCTAAACCACCCCCCGCTGCCAGCATTGTAGCTCCAAATAACCACCAAAACCACTCCCTGCCCCGGGCAGTGCAGCAGAAAATAGTGCCCCTAACCCCTCCCCCGCCACCGGCAGTACACGTTAGTGCACACAACCTGCCTCCCCCCCATCACCCCCGCCACCACGGGCAGTGTAGCCCCGGACAGCCAGCCAAAACCGCCCCCCTCCACCGCCAGCAATGCAACCTCGGAGAGTGCCCCCAACCAGCCCCCTGACACAGGCAGTGCAGCCTCGGGTAGTGAGCCCCAATAGGACACCCAACCCCTGCCCCCACAGGCGGGCAGTACATCCCCGGATAACTCACCTACACCAGGACATTTCTACCACTCTGGCCGAGCTGCAGTGTCCCACGTCACCACCAAACACAGCAAGGCGAGCCCCAGGGGCTCAGGCTCCAGCCTCCAGCATGCCGCTCCCTTCTACTCGTCTTCCTGCCTGGCAGGAGAAGCTCCCGCTACTGGTTGCCCTCCTACCACTGTCGACACCACCAACTGCAGTGAGCCAGTGTCCGAGGCTCCAGCCAGAAACAGGTAGCAGCCATGCCGGATACCAAACGCCCACACTTAAGAGCCTGAAATGACCTGACGCCACCTCCGCATGCTTTACCTACTGAGGTTACGCACATGTGGTTCCCAGACTACATGTTCTGATTGGATGAGAGAAAAACCTCTAGGCCTACTCTGATTGGACTTTATTTTCATGCTGTGATTGGTTGTCTTAAGACTGGCTCTCATCCAATCAGAACATGATAATAAAGTCCAATCCAAGTAACCCTGGAGGGTTTTTCTCATCCAATCAGAACATGCAGTCAGGAATCCTCCTGTATATAATCTCGGTATATGACTGCTGCTGAAGGGAAGTCAGGCTCTTCCACGTTCCCGTATTTTCCTGTGGAGCTGCTCAGTGCCCGGCTTAGAGGACCAGGAATGGGTAATCACCAGCCGTACGCTGGAGGCTGGAGCCGCTACACCGTGGCTCGCCTCGCTGCGACTGGTGGTAACCGCGACCGAGACGGCAGTGCGGCGGAAGCGGTAAGAGGAGGAAAAGAGTTTTGGGATAGATGGAGGGGGTAAAGAGGGTGGTTAGTGCCAAAGGGAAAAGAGGATAGTGAGCAGGAGAGCGCGTTGCAAAAAGGCGGTGGGGAAAAGATAGTGGGAAAAAAAGTTTTTGGGTAGATGGAGGGAGAAAAACGGGGTGGGGAGCGGGAGGGAGGGAAGGTTTTGCAGAAAGATGGTGGGTAAAATGTTTATGGGTAGATGGAGGAGGAAAAGAGGGTGGCAAGGGAGGAGGAAAGAGAGGGTGGTGGGGGGGAGAAACAGCGTTGAGCAGTAGGGAGAGAAGGTTTTGTGAAAAGACAGTGGGGAGAAAAGGTTTTGGGTAGATAGAGGGGGAAAAGAGGGTAACAGGTGGGGGAAGGGAAAAGGGTAGCCAGCGGGAGGAAGACAAGGTTTTGCAAAAAGATAGTGGGCAGGAAAGAAAGACGGTGGAGAAAGAAAAGACAGTGGGTAAAAAGTGTTTGGGTAGATGGTGGGGGGAAAGAGGGTAACGAGGAGGAGGAAAGAGGGTGACGAGAGGGAGCAGGGAAAGAGAGTTGGGAAAAAAATGGGAAAATAGTTTGGGGTAGATGGAAGGCAAAAAAGAGAGTGGCAAGCAGGATAGGGCAAAGAAGAGGACGAGTGGGAAGGGGGGAAGACTGTGAAAAGACAGTAGGGAATATTCTGGGGGGTGGATGGAGGGGGAAAAGGGGAGGTGAGCAGGAGTGGGGAGAAGGCTTTGCGAAAAGACTATGGTGAAATGTTTTTGGGTAGAGAAGGGAAAGAGGGTGGCAAGGAGGAGCGGGGGAAAAGACGATGAGGAAAACAGTTTTCGGGTAGATGAAGGGCGAAAAAGTGGTGAGCAGCAGGAGTGAGGAGAAGGGTTTGGGAAAAGACGGGAGAAAATGTTTTTGCTTAGATGAAGGAGCAAAAGAGGGTGATGAGAGTGGGATGGGGGAAAAGAAGGTGGCCAGGGAGAAAGGGAAAAGACGGTGGGAAAAACAGTGGGGAAAGTGGGTAAGTGGATGGGGAAAAGGGTGGTGAGTGAGAGAGCAGAGAAGGCTTTGCGAAATGACGGTGGGGAAAAATGGTGGGGAAAAAGTTTTGGGGTAGATGGAGGAAGAAAACAGGTGGCGAGGGGGAGGAGGCCAAAGGCGGTCGGGAAAAGAAGGTGGGAAAATAATGGTGGGAGACAAAGATTTGGGGTAGATTTTTTTTTAATCAGATTATTTGTATTTTTGCTTTTGAGTAGTTATTTATATATTTTGTGTATTAGCCCCTTGGCTGATGCATAGTTTGCAAATACTTTCTTCCATTCTCTGGGTTGTTTCTTCGTTCTACTGATTTCTTCCTGTGCTTTGCAGAAGCTTTTAAGTTTTATGTAATTACATCTTTGCTTTTGTTGCTTGTGCTTTTGACAAGTTTAATGTAATTACATCTTTGCTTTTGTTGCTTGTGCTTTTGATGTCTATTTGAAAATTCCTTGTCCTAACCAGTTTCATGAAGGATTTATCCTATGTTTTCTTCTCTAGTAGTTTTATAGTTTCAGGTCCTACATTTAAATCTTTATTTTGAGTAGATTTTTGTATATGGTAAGATAACGGCCTAGATGTATTCCTGTACATGTGGGTGTTGAGTTATCCTAGCAGTTTATTGAAGAGATTGTCCTTCCCGAATGTGTGTTCTTGGTGCCTTTGTTAAAAATGAGTACGCCATAAATGGGTGAATTTATTTCTGATTTCTCTATTCTGTTTCACTTGTCTATGTCTGTCATTCCTTCGTTTCTGTTTCTCCCCCGCCCCTTTTTTTGATAGTATTATGCTGTTTTGGTATTACCATGCTTACTACAGATTTGTAGTATGTTTTGAAGTCAGGTGTGATGCCTCCAGCTTTTCTTTTTATTCCAGATTCTTTTGTCTATCTGAGGTATTTTGCGTTTCCATGTGAATTTTAGGATTTTTTTTTTCTATTTCTATGAAGAATGTCTTTTGTAATTTAACATGGATTGCATTGACTCTCTAGATCACATTGGGTGATATAGACATTTTAACAATATTCTTCTAGTGCATGGACATGGGATATCTTTCCATTTACTTGTGTCTGCTTTAATAGCTTTCATCTGTGTTTTAGAGTTTCCATTGTGGGATCTTTTGTCTTTTTGGTTAAGTTTATCCCTAGATATAATTTTTTTGGTAATGAAATAGCTTTCTTGATTTCTTTCTTAGGTATTTCACTATTGGTGCATGGGCGTGCTACTGATTTTTATATGTTGATATTGTATCTTGCAACTTGACTAAATTATTTCTAGTAGGTGATTTTGTGGAATCTTTAGGGTTCTCTCTTTCTCTGTGTATATATATGATCATGTCACCTGCAAACAAACAGTTTGACTTCCTTTTTTCCAATTTGGATGCCTTTTATTGCATTCTCTTGTCTAATTGCCCCACTTAGGACTTCCAGTACTATGATGAATAAAAGTGGCGTAAAAGTAGCCACACTTGTTCCAGGCCTTAGAGGAAGAGTTTAAACATTTCCCCATTGATTATGATGTTAGCTGTGGGTTTGTCATATATGGCCTTTATTGCGCTGAGATATGTTCCTTCTGTACTCATGTTGTCCAGTTTTTGTCATGAAGGAATGTTGATTTTTATTTTTTTCAGCATCTACTGAAATGATTATATGGTTTTTGTTCTTGATTCGCTGAATGTGATGTCGCACATTTATTTGTGTTTTATTGAATCATCCTCATATTCCTGGGATGAATCCCACTTGATCATGGCAGATCATCTTTTTATTGTGTTGTCAAGTGCAATTTTCAAGTATTTTGCTGAAAATTTTTTTGCATCTGTGTTCATCAGGGATATTTAAAATGCCTGTGGTTTTCTTTTTGTGTTGTTTCCTGGTCTGGTTTTTGTACCATGTACCAGGGTCATGCTGTCCTCATAGAACAAGTTTCGAAGACTTCCTTTCTCTTCATTTTTTGGGGAATATTTTGAGTAAAATTCGTATTAACTCTTTAAAAAACGTTTGGTAGAATTCAGCAATAAAGCCATGATTCTTGTGTTTTTGTTTGATGGAAGACTTTTTATTACTGCTTTAATTACATTACTCATTATGGATCTTGTTCCGGTTTTTTGTTTATCATTCTATCTTGGGAATTTGTTATGTGTCCAGAAATTTATCACTTCTCCTAGATTTTCCAACTTGTTTTTATATAGGTGTTTTTAGTAATCTCTTACAATCCTTCATATTTCTGTGTTATCCATTGTAATGTCTCCTTTTTCATCTATCATTTTGTTTTGTTTTTCTTTTCCTTAGTCTAGTTAAAGCTTGTCAGTTTTGATTTTTTTCTAAAAAATCCAGCTCTTTGTTCCATTGACTTTTTGTATTTTTTGTTTCTATTTTTAAAATTTCTTCTCTAATCTTTATGATATTTTTTGTGCTAATTTTAGTATTTTATTTTTCTCGTTTTTCTCATTACTTCAGGTGTACTGTCAGGTTGGCTATTTGAGATCTTTCTATTTTCTCTGATGTAGGCATTTATAGCTATGCCCTTTTCCTCTTACAACTGCTTTTGCTGCATCCCACAGGATTTGTTATGTTGTGTTTCTTTTTTCAATAAATTTTTAATTTTCTTTTTATTTTTTCATTTATTTATTGGTTGTTCATGAGCATGTATTTTAATTTCCATGTATTTGTACAGTTTTTCCTCCTGTTATTGATTTCTAGTACTATTCCACTGTGGTCAGAAAAGATACTCGATATGATTTCAGTTTTGTTTTGTTTTGTTTTTTTTGAGACGGAGTCTCGCTCTGTCGCCTAGGCTGGAGTGCAGTGGCGCGATCTTGGCTCACGCAAGCTCCACCTCCCGGGTTCACGGCATTCTACTGCCTCAGCCTCCCCAGCAGCTAGGACTACAGGCGCACGCCGCCACGCCCAGCTAATTTTTGTATTTTTAGTAGAGATGGGGTTTCACTGTGTTAGCCAGGATGGTCTCTGTCTCCTGACCTTGTGATCCGCCCCCCTCGGCCTCCCAAAGTCCTGGGATTACAGGCATGAGCCACCGTGCCCGGCCATGATTTCAGTTTTTAAAAATGTGTTGTGACTTGTTTTTTGGCCTAATGCATAGTCTTTTGTGGATAATAATCCATATTCTATTCAGTGGAATGTGCATTATGCAGTTGCGGAGTGGAAAGCTGTGCAAATGTTAGGTCTATTCGGTATAGAGTACAGTTTAACTGATGATGTTTTGTTGTCTGGATGATCTGTCCATTGACGATAGTGGGGTGTTGATTATAGCGAAGCATTGAGGCATTCTGTTATTGTATTGCAGTCTATCCTTTAAGGTCTGTTAATATTTGCTTCTGTGTTTAGTTGCTTGAGTGCTGGTTGCATATACACTTATAATTGTTATGCTGCTGTTTACTTTTTCTCATTATATAATTATCTTCATTTTTTTCTTTTTTTGACTGAAAGTCTATATAATCTAAGTAGAGCTACTCCTGCTTTTTTTGTTTCCACAGGTGTGCGATATTATTTATCATGTCTTCACTTTCAGTCTATGTATGTCTATAGGTGAACTGAGTTTCTTGTAGGCAGTATATAATTGGGTCTTGTCTTTTAATTCATTCAGCCACTCTGTCTTAATTGGAGAATTTAATTCATTTATATTCAAGGTTATTATTAACAGGTAAAAACATACTACTGCCATTTTTTACTTGTTTTCTGGTTGTTTTGCTATTCTCTCTTTTTTCTTTTGTTCTTTCTCTCTTCCTTCCTCTTTCTCTTCTCTCTGATCTCTCTCTTTCTTTCTTTTCTTTCCTCCTTCCCTTCCTTCCTGTCTTTATTTGTAGTGAGATAATTTTTTCTGGTAGTGTGTTTCAATTGCTTGCTTTTCATTTTTAGGGTGTCTATTATTGATTTTTGTTTTCTGGTTACCATGAGGCTAAACAACATAATTATATCAAGTTATTTTAAACTGAAGAAAACTTAACTTTGATTTGTCCCAGCTACTCCGGAGACTCAGGTGGGAGGATTGCTTGACCCTGGGAGGCTGAGGTTACAGTGAGTTGAGATCGCGCCACTGCGAATATAAATAAATAAATAAACAAACAATAGCTTATAATGAATTCTGATTGTAAATTTTGAGATGATGATTGATAAGGTATAAAGAAGAAAGTGAAAATCATTCATAATCTCATTACTCAACTACTCCTAATGTTTTGGTACATATGCTTCCTAATTCATAACTCACTCTCTCTCTCTCTCTCTCTCTCTCTCTCTCTGTCTCTCTCTGTCTCTCTCTCTCACACACACACTCACACACACGTACACATAAAATAGATACATTTTATACACAGATACAATTTTATTGTAACATTTTAAGAAAAACAGCTTTGTAATTTTTTATTTAAAAATATTGGCCTGGCGCGGTGGCTCATGCCTGTAATCATAGCATTATGGGAGGCTGAGGCGGGCAGATCATGAGGTCAGGAGATCGAGACCATCCTGGCTAACATGGTGAAACCCCGTCTCTACTAAAAATACAAAAAAGAAATGAGCCGGGCGTGGTGGCGGGCGCCTGTAGTCCCAGCTACTTGGGAGGCTGAGGTAGGAGAATGGCGTGAACCCGGGAGGTGGAGCTTGCAGTGAGCTGAGATGGCACCACTGGACTCCAGCCTGGGCGACAGAGTGAGACTCCATCTCAAAAAAAAAAAAGAAAACTCAAGAATGACATGGCAGTGGTGAGTGGGATCCTGGGCATCCCTGGGGGAATTGGGGCTCCCCCAAGAGCTCCTGGGAGCACCACTGGGAGGGGCCTTCAAGGTTAGGGTGGCTGGGTAGGGGCTGGGCCTGACCTGAGACCCTGCCCACCAGGCCTCTTCCAGGCCAGGTTTGCTGTGCTGGGTGGGAACATGGGAGAAGTCACTCTCTGTCTGTGGCCCCCATCGGTGCCTCTGCCACCTGGCCCAGAGGGGGCAGGGACTCTGGGGAGGACAAAGCTGTGGGGGTAGGGAATATACCCAGGATCAGCCAACATTGTCTGCACAAGGGTGGAGGCTGAGAGAGAGGCCTCGGGAATCTGGCTGTGAGTGAGGACGGGCCTGGGGTGGGAAAGCCCCCTACATGGGGAACCCTTGGGTTCCGGGCTGCTGACCATGCCCATCCTGCTCCAGCCCACTGCCCCACTGCCCCCGGTGCCACTGACCAAACAGCAGTACCTATGCCAGCTGCTCCTGGATGCCATCCTGGCCAACATCCGCTCACCCTCTTCAACCATTCCCTGTACCGCATATTCATGCCAACCATGATTGCCATCCACAGCCCACCCATCACATACATCCAGCTGGGCTGGGCTTCGCAGAGGGTGGCTGCCTGGCCCTGGGCCATGTGTGCCCAGTGTGGTCACCATGGTGCCTCCCCAAGGCCCCAGTGGTATGCACCCAGAAGCACAGGCTTGAGGACGATGAGCAGCAGAGCATCCCCAGTGTGCTCCAGGGCCTGGTGGCCAGGTTGGAGCCCAAGTGCATGATAAACCTGGACCCTTCTCACTGCAGCAACAACGGCACCGTCCGCCTGATCTGCAAGCTGGGCGAGTGTCCAGGAGGGCCAGGCTGGCGCAAGAGAGCAACCCCCAACTGCAGCCCCAGGCCTCTGCTGTCCAAGCTGGAGGGCACAGTGCCCAGACCCCATCCTATGTTCACGTGCCAGCAGGTTGTCTGCTCTGTCTTCTGGGCCCAGGACAGACTGGCCATTGCCTCTGCCCCCACCCCCGGAGCCCACGCACCCTCACCTCCCCAACACAGATGCGGCTCTGCTTGCCTGGGGCCCTAGGGAGGTGGCACGCAGGACCTCTGGGCACCCATTGATGCAGGTCACTCTGGCTTCAGGTTTGGAAATCCGAGAGTGAGAGAGACATCCAGGCTTTGCCGCAAGCCTCACCAGAACCTCCCTGGGTGTGAAGAGTCCTGTTCGGGAGCAGGGCTGTGAGGCGGGGCAGGCCAGGGCTTGTCTGGGTCACAGGTACAGCCTTGTGTGTTGCAAACGACAAGGACCTCCCAAGTGTGCCACCATGTGCCCACCCACTACCCTACCCAGAGTCCACTGTGGATGGACCGGCAGTGGCTATACAGTGGGCAGACCCAGAGGGAGCTGTCTGGGGGCCCAGGGCAGGCAGGGGTCATTCTGGAACACCAGGCTTCCAGTGCTGCAGGGACAGCCTCTGTGCACTCCAGCCCCTCCCAGCTCAGGCCCCTCCCTCCCCTCTTCTGACTCCCCCTGCACGGGCAGGCGCAGGTTTTCCAGTGGTCACCTGAGAGAGAGGGGTCTCTGCTCTTCTTCTGTGTCCCTTTGCCCCTTCATCTTGTGTCAGGTCAGTTGTCCAGGGTGGCTGTGTTCAGTGGCTGAGGGGTGAGAAAGCCTACGGCTCAAGGACAGACCCTGCTTTTCCCAGAGGCCACCAGGGAGCTCAGCGGGGCTGACAGGTCCTACCAGTAGCTTGGGCACACAAGGCCCCATCTGGGCGATGTGGCTCCAGAGGGTCATGTTGACAGGAGTCAGTGTCCCTGAGCCCAGAGCTGGCACACAGCAGATCCAGGGCTGGGTCCCCAAGGTTGTCAGAGGCAAAGCCCTGGGCTCCAAACCCCATTCAGATTCAGTTCTTCACTGACAATGAGGCTCTGGGAGGAGAGCCCGATGGCCAGGCAGGCAGCGTGCAGGGCTCCTCCTGGTGCTTCAGCCAGTCCTGGGGCTGCCACTTCCCAGAGCACTGCCGGGTGTGCAGGCCGTGGGTGCAGCACCAGCTGCCTCAGGCTCATGCCCATTGTTCTGTTGCAGGCACCAACCCCTTCCTCAGGTCGGTGCACCACTGCGTGACCTCCAGGCAGCCACAGCCTGGAAAAGCACTCGGTTACCACCTTGCTCAACACCTGTGCCCGGAACATCCACAAGGCCTGCCTCGGCTGCTTAGCCAGGACTGCAGGGATGGCCCGCAGCCTCATCGGGGCCAAGGACGCATGCCTCCTGTCAGACACTTCTAGGTGTTGGCGTCCATGGAGAGCCTGGAGTTAGGTTAGCTTTCCTCCTTTTCTCTCCTGCCTTGGGGATCTGCCAAATGAAATCCCGCACTTGTACAGACTGAGATGGGCGTGGTGGAGCGGGCTGCTCGCCGTGGCCTGTCCAGGGTCCAGGTCCATCTCAGCGGCATGAGGGTGCGCTCAGGGTGTTGTTAGAGCATCTTGTGTGTGCTCAACACACCCCTGCTCCTTTCTATAGGAGAACACAGAGGACATAGGAAACCCTTCAAACACACATCGGATTCTCTGCTCACAGTTTTGGGTTCAGGCTGTGCTGCTTTGGGCAGGTGGGGCACCCCCCAGAGAAGCCCCTAAGTCCAGGGCACAGGCTGCCTATCGGAGGGAGGGCTGGCCCATGGCTGCTGCCAGCTCCCCACCACCAGCTGGGCCTCAGCCCTCACGGCATTCCTGCTGAGCACTGTGGGGCCCCCAGGGAGCAGGGGCACGGGGGATCCTGCTGCCGGCACCCCTGTGTCACTCGTGTGAGGGCCGTGTCCCCATTGTGAAGGATGAAGAGCCAGGCCCTCTGGACCCGCGTCCTCAGAACACTACGCACTGCCACCCAGAGAGTGCGGGCCTGGCGGTGGGTGGGGCCATGCAGTGAGTGCCTCCCTATGTTGCCCACTGCCCTGGGCACCGGCCAGCAGCCCTTTGGTGACAAGAGTCGCCCCTTTTAATGCATACCACCCCATCATCTGTGATTGTTATAATCTTGTTATTCCTGTGTTTGTCAGGACTCGTCACTGTGTCCCCCACTCCATGAAACTGGGCCTGCTGTCCTGTTAGGATGCTGTAAGCCCCCGGGCCTGGGCTGTCCTTTCTGACGCACTGTCCCATTCCTTGGCCTGGTTCATCCCCAGCTTCCTGGCAAAGTTCTGCTCCCTGAAGCAGGAAGAGGCTGAGATTAATGCCAACGAAGTGGGCCGTGGGCCTGGGAAGACTGTGTGGCTGGCTGAGGGTGGGCACTAAGCTGGCCACCCCACCCCCGACATGGACATGGCTGTGCTGTGGCGGAAGGGGTGGTGCGGGCATGGCCACGGCACTCGAGACAGCCCTCCGAGGAGGAGGGCGAGCCTGGCTGGACCCCCTGTCTGCGGTGCTGTGTCAGGGCAGCAGAGGACAGCCTCTTGCCCCCAGGAGTGTGCAGTGTGGGCAAGAGACAGAGTGATCATGTGTTTGGAACGCAGCTCCAGCCCAGCCAGGGGACCAGAAAAGCCCTCCCGCTTCCAGGGAGGATGTGCATGGCTCTGCCAATGCCTGTCTCCCAGGGCCGCTGGCAGGTCCCAGGATGCGCAAGACTGGGCTGCCCAGGCAGGTCCCTGCAGACAGCGGGGCCTGGGCTAGAGGCCAAGGGCTGGGACTGGGAAGGGACGCGACGCCTGATAGCCAGTGAGGAGCCAGGCACACAACTTGGAAATAAACAAGCTTTATTTTCAGTTTCAACAGGTAAGGCGATACCTGCTTCATCGTGTGCTTTTATGTAAATGCCAAATAGCAAAATAACAGCTAGAAAATAAACAGTTTGTCAGTTTGGAGATCAAGTACTTTATCTATCTTGAGTGTTATCTATCTTGGAATTTAGCCAGGCCTAAAAGTAGCGGAAGTGTCAGGAAATGCTATAGAGAGCCAATCTCCAGCTGCAGGTTGGTGGGCCTGGCACTGACCAGATGCGGGTAGCTCAAAGCACCGAGCGATGCAGGCGCCGTTTCTGCATTGCCTGCAGCCTCTTCTGCCTCTCGGCAAAGTTGTTCTTCGGGGTCTGCTTCAGTGCGGGCAGGATGGCACGCTCCGCCACAGGTGGGCTCAGAAGCAGGCTGGGGGCGGGTAGAGGGACTGTCACCGTGAGCATCCTCGCGAGTGGAGTGTGTGGGGAGTGCGGCCTGCATGGCCCTCACGGGGGCACAGAGAGGCCTCAGCGAGCTCCGCTTCTGCGCTGCCACGCTCCCTTCCCCACTCCCTCCCTGGGGCCCAGGCTGCAGGGCTGCCCCACTGTCCCCATGCCTGTGGGACTTACCATTTCTTGGAGAGGCTCTTGGTGGAGACCTTGGGGAAATGCGTGGCTTCTTGGTCCCTGGGTGAAGGAAGAGTCAGCAGTGAGCTGTGGATAGGCCCCCAGGGATGGGGCAGGGGTGCACCAGGCACTCACCTGGGAAAGCTAGCTTCCTCCGGGACTGCCTGGGGCCTCTGGCTCCCTTCCAGGAGGGACTTGAGGTGCTGCAGCTGAAAGGCAGGGGCAGGGGCGTGGTGGGGCCTGTGGCGGTGCCAGACTGCCCAGGGCCACCCCCACCACCCAGGGCCTCACCTCTTGGGTCTGCAGGAGGTTGGTATTCCACAGCTCGCGGATGAGCACTTCGCACTGCCTAAGTGTGGTGGGCTTTCGCAGGGGAAGGGGCAGGATCATTGGGGGGTGTGCCGCCGCCCCCATCTGCCTGCCCTGGTGCTGGCTGTTCCCCATACAGGCAGCTCCTGCGTTAGAGGCCTCTGCTTTCTCCTTTCTGAAACAGTCATTGCAGCAGCCAGAGGTGACCTGCCCAGGTGCGTCTAACCACCCACCCAGCATACCTCCCCAGGCAGCGCCCAGGCCAATGTGGGGAAGAGGGCCTGGTTCCCCTCTCCCACTGAGCAGGGTGCTCTGGGCACCAGGTGGGGGTCTCTGGGACTGGGGCCTGTCCCTTTCTCCCCTCTGAAGGTGCCCTAAGGGTCAGATGGGCTTCAGTGGGTGACCAGCTAGCTGCCAGGCTGCTCTTGATCGTGACCCCACACCCAGTGGGGCATCTTGCTCCAGGCCTGGTCTCGGGATGTGCAGATGCAGGAGCCTGTCCTGCTGGTTGCGCTGCTGAAAGTGTGCGCTCTGTAGCATCTCAGGGCAGTCCCGCAAACTCAGGGATCACCAGAACCTGTTCCTACTCTGACCTGCTGGCCTAGTGCCCTCCAAAGGCAGGCTGTGGCCAGGGGCAGCAAGCCTTCTCTTGGTCAGAATATTACTTTACTTTTCTCTGAGGAAGTGGTTTAGGGGCCGCTACTGGCCCCCCTCGTGGGCTCAGGTCAGCACAGGTACTCTGCAGGACCCCCAGGGGAAGGGAGGAAGACAGCGCCCACCGATGGGTAGAGCGTGGCCGTCATCTGCTATCATGAGCCCTGGAGACAGGCCCCTGGAGCTAGGGGCAGAGCAGTTGGCTGACTGCAGGGCGTGAGCCTAGTAAATGTAGTCATGGGGCCCTTAGGGTGCAGGCAAGACTTACCTGGCCTGCCCTTGCACCCCAGGAACACCCAAGCCTTACCTGGCCTGCCCTTGTACCCCAGGAACCTTGTCCAGCTTGCTGTTGTGAAGTAGGGGCTCCTCTTCCAGGTCCGCCTTCTGGGGGACGTCAGCTTTTGAATCTTGCTTGTTGAAGGAGCCGGGCTGGGGCCTGGCCTTGCCTTGAGAGTTGGCTGCAAGTCAGACCCTACAAGGCCGGTCACTGCAGGCACCAACAGTCACCGCCCAAGTTTTCCAGGAACAGCTGTGTGTACCCAAGAAGCCCCTGTCCCTGCCTCAGTTTCCTCCTCTGTAAAGGGAAGCCTGCCTTGGAGGGTTCTGGGGGGAATCAATGTGGTTCTGAGGGTGAAGCCCATGGGTGGTGCCTGTGAACACTCTAGAACAATCAACATAGTGGAAGCTGGCCCCATCTTGGGTAAAATGAAACTGCATGAGAGGCTTGGGACCCAGCCTGCATGGGTTTCCTCGGCAAGGACAAGGCCCGTCCAGCACCTGGGCCCATCACAGGAATGGTGAGGGTTAGGGCTGGGCTGAGGAAAATGCCCGGCCTCACAGAGTGGGGAAAAGAGGCTCTCTGCTCCCAGTTCACTCTGCAGAAGGTGCCATGAGCCCAGGGCTCCGTGGGCAGTGCCATCCCTCCTGTGTCCTGCCTGCTTGTGGCGGGGACACGGCCAAGCAGGGCTGCTGCTGGGCAGCCAGGGTACGTCCTCCCTAGGCGGCCACCCGGGGAGGCCCCTCCTGCCTGCTTGCTGCCCCACCCTGGGGTGCCTGCTGTGAGGCCTTACTGCCCTGTGACTGGTCCCTGGTCCTGCCCACCCCCCCTTAATCCCCTCCCGGTGGCTTCAGCTTGCAGGGCTCTTTTCAGCTGCACCTTCATCCCCAAATCCTGGAGCTTGGCCCAGCAGAGGGTACCTGGTCAGCACCCCTAGAGGCCACCCAGGCTGGGGTCCCCGTGGGGCACTCACCCCTGTGAGCACATGGACGCCAGCCTGCTCACCTGAATTAGAGATGGACTTGACAGACTGGAAGCTTGACGTGGAGAGGCTGTCTGCAGGAGAGCGCACAGTGTCGGCGCTACCGCCCGCAAGACGCCCATGCTTGCCTCCTGGCCTGTGTGTCCGTGAGGAGCCCTCCTTCAGCCTGGCAGGGCTGGGTCCTCCCGGCTCTACCCACACTCCGTTGATGCAGACCCAGCGAGCGCCCAAGGGAGCAGAGGCCCTGGAAAGGTGGTTTCCTGAGGGGCCATCTGGAAAGCAGGAGGGCTTGGGACACATGGAACAGCAGGTCCCGAGGGAGAGCATGGCCTCTTCCCGTGTCCTGTCAGCGTCCCCAGCACTGCAGGGCTGGGGCTGCCGACTTGGGCCACACTTTGCCCAGAACAGCTCACTGGAGTTGCCACAGCGGCTAGGGAAGGGCCCTCCCTCAACCCCATTCTCCATGTCTCTCTGGGAAGGGAGAGCCCTAGGCACTGCCCCAGCTACGATGTTCCCAGGCTGGCTCCATCCACCAGTCAGATGTCCTCCTGATGTCAGCCCCAGCCCCAAAGATAACGGGAAGTGAGCTCGAGACCACAACCCAGAATCCTGGGCTGGGTGGGGGCCGCTGTCAGGATGGGGAAGTGCCTTGGACAAGTGGCAAGGAAACAGGACTCTGCTTCCTCCCTTTGTCCCCATGGTTGCTGCCCAGATGGCAGGAAGGGATCCCTGGATGGAGTGTGTCCAGAGCCCCTGGGCCCCCAGCATGTCAGGACTCAGAGCCATAGGGCTGGAGATCCTGGGCCTGGCCACAGCAGCAATCTGAGGCAAAGATCTAGCAGGGCAGGGGCTGTCCCAGGGGTTCCTTCCCATTTCAGCTCTACTTGGAGGAGGGAGGTCTGGGGAGCACCCTGTGCCCACCTCCCCACTGCAATGACCTCAGGCCCTGGGCTTCCTGAGAGCAGCACGTGCTGTGCTTGGCTGCGTAACATCATCCAGCCACGGCTAGAGGTAGCGGCATCTGTCCAGGTCCCCCAGAACCTGTCCCCACTGGGTTGGCATACAGGGGCCAGTGCAGCCAGGTGGGCAAGGACAGTCTGGAGGGGCTCCCCTGGGTGGCAAGAGCATCCCATCAGGAACTGAAGGGCCCAGTTCTCACCTTTCTTCTGTGATGTCTGATTCATTATGAGCTTGTAACGGAGATCTGAAAGCAAGCACACGCTCTCCTCAGCACTTGTGAAACCACAGCCATTCTGAGAGAAGAAGCCTGGCCTGTCCTCTCCTGGCTGCTGAGCCCGAAAGTCCTGCCCCCCCACTGGCTGATTGGGCCCTGCCCCATGGATCCCGCTCTCCACCATGCCTTTGTCGTGGGTGTCAGGCCAGGAGTGGCCCCTGCCTGTTCCCTAGGCAGAGCCCACCTGGCATATCAGCCTCATCCATCTGAGATGACTGGAGGGCGTCCACACTGCCAGGCAGAACCTGGGCTTTAGGGGTACAGAGGTGAACTCTGGAATCCCTGGCTATGGCGGTGTCATGATCCCGTGGGCATCAGGGACTGGGGGGAGGCTCAAGAAGATATGAGGAACGGGGCGTCCTGAGGCTCAAGAAGACATGGGGAAGCGGGGTCCTGACAAAACAGACGCCTGGTGATGGGATACTCGGCACTCAGGTAAGGCAGCAGCAGGGAACGGGGCGGGAGAGGAGGCCGCGGGCACTGGTGCCCTTGCTGGAGCCCTCCTGAAGCAAGAGCGAGGAGCGGAGCCACATCCCACATCCTGGCGGGCCCTCCTCCTGCTCGGGGCAGGAGGGGTGGGGGAGGAGGGAGGGAGAAAGGGGGGCGTGGGGGTGAGGAGCAGCTAAGGGTGCAGTTGGGAAGGCCCCGCCGGAGGACAGCATGGGCACAGGCGAAGCGGGGACGGGGTGGGGGGCGGGGGAATGCCTGCTCCTGATCCGATGTGTTTAGCTGGAAGAAATTCACTGAGCTGCGCACTCGCACTTGGGCACGTTTCCCTGCATAAAGTTTTTGTTTGTTTGTTTTTGTTTTTTTTGAGACGGAGTCTCGCTCTGTCACCGAGGCTGGAGTGCAGTGGCAAGATCTCGGCTCACTGCAAGCTCCGCCTCCCGGGTTCACGCCATTCTCCTGCCTCAGCCTCCCGAGTAGCTGGGACTACAGACGCCCACCACCACACCCAGCTAACTTTTTGTATTTTTAGTAGAGACGGGGTTTCACCGTGTTAGCCAGGATGGTCTCGATCTCCTGACCTCGCGATCCGCCCGTCTCGGTCTCCCAAAGTGCTGGAATTACAGGCGTGAGCCGCCGCGCCCGGGCCCCTCTATAAAGTTTTTAACAGAGGTGTGTCTGACCCTGCTTGGAGAGGAGAGGACTGGCGGAGTCAGCATCTGAAATGCTGCTGCCCTAGGAGACAGGCAGACAGGTTCGGCACTGCCCGGGGGCCACGCGGGTCTCCCTCTGGGAGGAGGGGACAGCTCAGCGTGGCAGGGCGGGCTTACCGTCCTGTGTTCCCCCTGAGCCCAGGCGTGTGCTGGAGTTGATGGCTGTGTTTCTGTGCTGCGGGAGCGGCAGTGTTGAGTGTGCCTGGGGAGGCAGGGCCGGCCTAGGGCCCCGCGCCGGCTCACCCTTGTTTTCCCGCTTCAGATGCTCGATCTCCTCATGGAGCTTGGCCAGCATCTCCGAGTGCTGCTGCTGCAGGAACTGTAGGCTCTTCTCCAGGTCCAGGTTCCGTTTCTGCGGGTCGCTCTGCCTGAGCTGCGGGCTCTGCGGCCTCAAGGACTGGACGCCCACAGAGGGGCGCTGGCGCCGGCGCCGAGAGCCCGGGGTCGGCGAGCTGGGGGGCCGCGTCCCAGCCGCCACCCCCGCACCGCTCATATCGCCATCGCCAGGTACTCTCCCGCTGCCACTGCACCCCGGCTCAGTGGCCAGGCCGCCCTAGCCTGGCGCCCCGTCACCATGGAAACCGGGCGACGGAGGGCGCCAGGCGTTTGGCGGGGGCGGGGCCTGTCGCTGGCTCTTCCTGGGTGAGTAGTGATTTACAAGGCATCCAGGGCTGGGCGCCGGGGCTCACGCCTGTAATCCCCGAACTTTGGGAGGCCGAGGCGGACGGATCACTTGAGGTCAGGAGTTCCTGACCAGCCTGACCAACATGGCGAAACCCCGACTCTACTAAAAATACAAAATTTAGCCGGGCGTAGTGGCGGGAGCCAGTAATCCCAGCTACTCCGGAGGCTAAGGCAGGAGAATAGCTTGAACCGGGAGGCAGAGGTTGCAGTGAGCCGAGATCGCACCGCTGCACTCCAACCTGGGCGACAGAGACTCTATCTAAAATAATAATAATAATAATAATAATAATAATAATAATAATAAAAGGCATCCTTTCCAGCCTGGATGGAAAGTGAGCCCCTGTCTCTATAAAAATTAAAAGAAAAAAAACCCGGGCATGGTGGCTTGCGCCTGTAGTCCCAACTGCTCGGGAGGCTGAGGTGGGAGGATTGCTGGAACCCCGGAGGTCGAGGCTGCAGTGAGCTATGATGGCACCACTGAACTCCAGCCTAAGTGACAGAGTGAGATGCTGCCTAAAAATAAGAGGCCGGGCGCAGTGGTTCACACCTGTAATCCCAGCTACTCCGGAGGCTGAGGCAGGAGAATCACTTGAACCCAGGAGGTGGAGGTTGCAGTGAGCCAAGATCGCGCCATTGCACTCCAGCCTGGGCGACAGGGTGGGATTCTGTCTCAAAAAAAAAAAAAATAATAAATAAATAAATAAATTTAAAAATAATAAAAATAAAAAGTCTTTTTTTTTTTTACAAGGCCTGCCCTCAAAAAAAAAAAAAATCACAGCCAGGCCAATCATAATTTTGCCAGACACCAACAAACCTGGAGGAAGGGAACATAGCTAACCCCAGCCTGCTCTGGCTCTCCTTCCCCACATCTTACTGCCACATCAGCGGGGCTCCTGTATAATAACAGGGGATACAAGTGAAAGAACTGCTCATCTCAGAGCTTATTCGAGAAATCTCTAGGAAACCGTAAAGACAACAGGGAGACAAAAACTAAGACACTAGAGGAGGTTTAAGCCTCTGACACCTCCAGTTAACAAACAGCACACATGGCACAACCCCTAACCAGACCAACATAAAACTTCACACAGAAAGTCCATTTACTGGTTGAGCATGACCAGCCCTCAACAAAAACTTGCAAGGCATAATAAAAAACAACACAGTTCGAAGACACAGCAAGCATCAGAGCCACACTTAAATATGGCAGAGATGTTGGAATTATCAGACCAAGAAATGGAATACGACTATGATTAATATGCTAAGGGCTCTAATGGAAAAAGTGGACAACATGAGATTACAGACTGATAATGGGAACAGAGAGGTAGACGTTCTAAGAAATAATCTAAAGAAAATGTGAAGGCCAGGCAGGGTGGCTCATGTCTGTAATCCCAGCACTTTGGGAGGCTGAGTTGGGCAGATCATTTGAGGTCAGGAGCTCAAGACCAGCCTGGCCAACATGGTGATACCCCATCTCTACTAAAAAATACAAAAATTAGCTAGTGTGGTGGCATGCACCTGTAATTCCAGCTACTTGGGAAGCTAAGGTGGGAGGATTGCTTGAATCCAGGAGGTGGAGGTTGCAGTGAGCCGAGATCATGCCACTGCCCTCAAGCCTGGGCAACAGAGTAAGACTCCATCTCAAAAAAAAAAAAAAGAAGAAGAAAAGAAAAGAAAATGTGAGAAGTTGGCCAGGCACAGTGGCTTACACCGCTAATCCCAACACTTTGGGAGGCCGAGGTGGGTGAATCACTTGAGGTCAGGAGTTCAAGACCAGCCTGGGCAACATGGTGAAAACCCATCTCTACTAAAAATACAAAAATTATTGGGAGGCCGAGGCGGGCGGATCATGAGGTCAGGAGATCGAGACCATCCTGGCTAACACGGTAAAACCCCATCTCTACTAAAATACAAAAAATTAGCCAGGCATGGTGGTGGGCGCCTGTGGTCCCAGCTACTCGGGAAGCTGAGGTAGAAGAATGGCGTGAACCCGGGAGGCGGAGCTTGCAGTGAGCCAAGATCATGCCACTGCACTCCAGCCTGGGCGACAGAACAAGACTCCATCTCAAAAAAAAAAAAAGAAAAAAGAAAGGCAGGCATGGTGGTGCATGTCTGTAATCCCAGCTACTCAGGAGGCCGAGGCCAAAGAATTGCTTGAACCCAGGAGGTGAAGTTTCCAGCAAGCTGAGATCCTGCCACTGCACTCCATCCCGAGCAACAGAGTGAGACTCCATCTCAAAAAACTAAAAGAAAATGTAAGAAGTCAAAAACACAACAGAAATGAAAACTCAGGTGCATGGCTGATGCCTGTAATCCCAGCACTTTGAGAGGCCAAAGCAGGAGCATCTCTTGAGCCCAAGAGTTAGAGACCAGCCTGGGCAATATAGCCAGACCCTGACTCCACAAAAAACTAAAAAGTTTGCCTGCATGGTGGTGCACACCTGCAGTCCCAGCTACTGAGAAGGCTGAGATGCAGCGAGCCGTGATTGCACCACTGCACTCCAGCTTGGGCAACACAGAGAGACCCTGTTTCAAAAAAAGAAGGAAAAAGATATAGGAAATTTGGATCTAAAAAAAGGGAAGTGCATTAGAGAAGGAATAAAGTAAAATAAAATATAATCTTTATTATTATTTTTAATAGATGACAGGTTGTTCAAAAAAATTATGGCAACATGTATTTAGTAATTATGGTTTATGGATAGCTGGAATGAATGGTAGCAATATTATTGCTGGGAGGGAGGATATCCTGAGTGGAGAGAAATTCATCCAGGCAGGAGTGCAGTGGCGCGATTATAGCTCACTTGCAGCCTGGAACTCCTGGGCTCAAGCCATCCTCCTGCCTCAGCTTCCCTAGTAACTGGGATTACAGGCACACACCACGCCTGGCTAATTTTTTTTTTTTTTTTTGTCTTGCTATGTTGCCCAGATTGGTCTCAAACCCCTGGGCTGAGGCAATCTTCCTCCCTCAGCCTCCAGAAGTGTTGAAATTACAGGTATGAGCCACTGTGCCTGGTATATGGTTGCTTTTGAATGTCCTAGTCCTAAACATCTGGTTCCCAAGAAGGAGAAAAGAAAAATGAAGGCAGGAGGAGGTGCTGATCCATAAAAACCTCCTGGAAGGTGTGTACCCAGGGAGGCAGTGAGGGTTGAGGAGGGACGTTGCAAACATAGCAGTGGAGATTGCAGCAGTGGCTGCCTGCCTCTTTGTCTGCATTTTCACAATCAACAGCAGCCATCATCAATCAGAGCACAGATCCCCAGTATTTGGAGGATGGGGCTCTTATTGCCCGCTCTGGTTCCTGCAAGCTATAGGGAAGCTACTCCAGAAATGCATGCATGGCTGCTTGCACCACCAATTTAAATGCCACTTTCTTCTGAAAACACCCTTACAGACCTGCCAGGAAATAATGTGTAACCAGATATGAGTGCATCCGGTGGCCCAGACAAGCTGACATATAGAATTAACCATCACAAGTCCACCCCTTGTCAACCTGGCACCCATACACATCTCCTTAAACCATACGCACTCTCCAAATAAACACAATAACCCAGTGTTATTGTGTTAGCAGTGGAAGGTGTCCGAGTTAATAGTGTTAGCAGTGGAAGGTGTCCAAGTCACTGGCAGTGAATCCGGATGGGTCTTCAGCAACCACAATTCTTGGCTCCTCAGAAGAAGGAATTCGACTGAGGGGCATAAGGCAGAAAAAGAGACCGAAGCAAGTTTCAGAGCAGGAGTGGAAGTGTATTTTAAAAGGCTTTAGAACAGGAAAGAAAGGAAAGTACGCTTGGAAGAGACCTAAGTGGGCACATGAAAGTCAAGTGTGGTGTTTAACCTTGATCCTAGGACTTTCTAGACTGGCCCCTTTCCCATGATCCTTCCCTTAGGGTGGGCTGCCCACATGTACAGTACCCTCCTTACCCTTGGGAGTTCCTAAACACATGCAGTGTGTTTAGGAAACTGTATGCATGCCCATCTGAGGTTTTTGGGTGGGGTGCCCCCCGAAGGTCATACTCCACCACTTTGTCTCTTAATGCACATGCCTGGGAAGTTGATTCTCCCTGGAATCTGCATTCAATTAACACTTTAGTGAAATAGGTGTGGCCCATCAGGAAATGGCCTGTCCCTGGCGCCAGCTGCCAATTTATCACTTTTTTTATTTATTTATTTTTTGAGAAGGAGTCTCTTGTCACCCAGGCTGGAGTACAGTGGTACGATCTCGGCTTACTGCAACCTCTACATCCCAGGTTCAAGCGATCTTCTTGCCTCAGCCTCCCAAGTAACTGAGATTAGAGGCATGCGCCACCACACTAGCTAATTTTTGTATTTTCAGTAGAGATGGGATTTCAGCATGTTGGCCAGGCTGGTCTCAAACTCCTGACGTCAAGTGATCTTCCTGCCTCAGCCTCCTAAAGTGCTGGGATTACAGGCATGAGCCACTGCGCCTGGCCAAAAGTAGGAATTCTTGACTGGGAAATAATTTGATATATTTTCGCACCTTGTGACTTGAGAAAATTATGCTAGGAATTCTGGTTTTGGGAGTCAAGGGAAGCTAGCTTAATTTTTACAGTGAAGGCTACATAAGAGTCCGCTCTCCAGTGTGGTGGCTCACACCTGTAACCCTAGCACTTCAGGATGCGGAGGCGGTCGGATCACTTGAGCCTAGGAGTTCAAGACCAGCCTGGCAACACAGTGAGACCCCGTCTCTACAAAGAAATTTAAAAATTAGCAGGGTGCGGTGGCGCATGCCTGTAGTCCTGGCTACTTGGGATGCTGAGGCGGAAGGATTGCTTAAGCCCAGGAGTTAAGAGGCTGCAGTGAGCTGTCATGGTGCAGTGCACTCCAGCCTGGGCAATATAGCAAGACCTTGTCTCAAAACAGAGAGTTCTCTCTCATTTATATTGGAAATGTCAGGGTTATTGGTGAGAGCTGGCCTTTAGGGGATCTAACTTGCTCTTGGATGTCCAAGGGGAAAGGTATAGATTTCTCCCGACTGCACAGGGCCTCTGCTTGTGAGTTGCTTGCACAAGATGATCAGAATCTGACTTACCTTGGATCACGGGGGCGCTGGTATATCCTAGCGGTAGATCATGGAAGGGAGTGGGCCACGAATGGGATCCAGGGAACGGGATTGTCTCGGGGCAAGGAGGACGATGCGGAGGTGCGGGGGCAGGGGTGGTGTCAGGACAGGCTGAAGCTGCGCTGCCAGAGTCTCTGGGCCACGTGGTCAGAAAAGCATCGGATTTGGCCTGTTAGCAGGGGAGTGTGGCCCAATGGCAAAAAGTCAAGGGCATCCTAGGAGCTGAGGAGGCGGTGGCAGTGGCAGTTAGGGCAAACCACTCTGGAAGCATCCAGGGGTGGAGACAAGAATCTGCAGGAGCTCCTGCCTCCAGCCTGGCCTCCCTCCTCCTTGTGCCCCAGACAGAACTGCTTCCCCTGAGTTGCTCCAACTCGTCCTTCCCCGGAAGTCCCTCACAAGTGCCTCCTGGCCGGGCCCCCCCAACTGCATTTTGCTTCTGCTCTCATCCCAGCAGTCCCATTTTCTCTACAGTGAGAGTTCTTGGCAAAATTTAAATCCCATTTTATTGGCGAGGTCCCTACCCCCCACCTGGAAGTGGCTGGAACCCAGCTGCCCACTGCTGCCCTCGCTCCCCAGGGAGAAGCCACTGAGCACCAGCTGGCTTTGTGGCCATCGCTGTCCAGGTCCCAGCCACCAAGACCCTGACCCCTCACTCAGCTTTGCTGTTCTTGGTTCTCAATGCATTTTTGTCTGCCCTCCGCTCCTGGCCAGACAGTTCAGCCCCCAGCAACTCCCGCAATCCTCAGAGCTTCTGGAAGCCATAGACTTGGCAGCACATGTTCCCGGTGGTCAGCTTTTCTTTGAGAACAGGGTCTCACTCTGTCACCCAGGCTGGAGTATAGTGGCGTGATGAAGGCTCACTACAGCCTTGACCTCCTGGACCCTGATGATCCTCCAAACTCAGCATCCCAAGTAGCTGGGACCACACATGTGAACCGCCATGCCTAACTTTTTGAATCTTTTGTAAAGGCAGGGCAAAGTCTACTGTGCCTCTGAGAGAGGAAAGCATAGGAAGCCAGAGGTCCAGGCCTGTGGACACTAGCGGGAGGGGCCGACAGGGTGCCCAACAGTTGTTTCTGCAGCCCCCGTGTGCTCAGGGACTCTGTACAGGTGAACCTCCTAGAGACTGAGCCCAGGTGCCAGAAGACTCAGAAGCAAGGACATGTTTATTCAGATCCATGGTCGTTACAAGCTTCATTTTTGGTCACAGGCCCTAAAATGCCATTATGCTCAGTTTACATCAAAATACAAAGCCCAACATTTACAATTTCAAAAACATTAAAGCAAACCCCCAAAACCCCACACCGAAAACAAAGGCTTGGTTTGGAAATCACCACTGAGATGCTGTTCTCCCTCGCATGTCGCCTGTGGGGTGAATGAAGGTGAAGACCCCGTGCTGGTTTCTGTCAGAGAATCTGTAGTTGTATATTTTGAATACTTAAGTACCACTGAACGGTTGCCATGTCTTTGAGCACTTGATGTTACTGAAGTGACAATGCTTCTGACCATCTTTGGCTGCAGAGCAGAAACTGGCAGAATCCGACCCCATCGACCCAGCAGTGTCCCCAACGCCTGAGGACCAGCACCCATCTGTGACAAGGCACAGGGGTCCGCGATGTTGGCCACTGCTTTGGGTGATGTGCTCAATGGCTTGGGGTCTGCGGTGAAGCCCCTGGGCTCTGGGAGGGTCTTAGGCTCCTGAAACATGGAATTCTACGGCCCAGTCTTGGAACAGCTGGGAGAACATGAAGAACGCCCCTCACAGTGAAGAATCAGGACAGCCACTCTCTGGTTTTCTCACAACTCTAGAAACTTTGATTCTTTCCTGGAGTGGAGACTTAAGCCACTGTCCTGGTCCCACACAGAGAGAGGAAGCGCCACAACCCACTCTGCCAACCTCAAGGCCAGCCAGTGGGGAGGCCAGGCCCAGGTGGCTGTTGGCAGGCTGGCTCCCAAGCTTGGTGCAGCAGAGTAGCCAAATGGGCAGTGGAAAAAAGGCCCCGAGAGCTGGCTTGGCCGTGAGTCCTTGGCGGAGGGAGGGAAAGGCCGCCGCTGAGCTCTGCGCTGTCACAGAGCGTAGCTGTTGAGCCCTGGCAGCTACTCCTTTGCTGGGGCCCACCTGCCTTCCTTTCTTGGTTGCGTTTCCTCCAGATGCCTCTGCGGCTGCAGGAACCCCGCTCCAGAAGCCCGAGGATGACCGTGTTCCCTCCTGGAGGGGCTTCCCAGGTCCTCTCAGCCCAAGGGTGGGGCTGTGTGGCAAATCCCTCCAGCCTGCTCTGAAGGCAGCTGACACCTTCAGGGCTGGTGCAGCTTCCCCCGCTCGGTCAGCAGTGTCATGGCAGAGGCGTAGAGGACATAGCCCAGGGTGAGCAGCAGCGTGCATGGGAGGGGCCCGACGCAGAACAGAGAGGCCACGAAGAAGGCCAGCAGCAGCGAGACCAGCGTCCGGTAACTGCCCAGGAAGCGCAGGCTGAGCCTGGGGCCGCGGGTGTGGCCGGCCACCTGCCTCCGCCCCACAGGGCTCAGCAGGTGCCTGCTGGCCAGCCCAGGTTCTGTGAGGTGGTAGCGACAGAAGCTGCCGAGGAAGTCATCCCGGGAACACAGAGCCGCCATCTGTCCTGCAAACTGAAGCACAGACAGAGGCACGGGGATGTGGGGTGGTGGCACCACAGGCCTCAGGACAGCAGTACCCCACCCTCACAGGCCACCCCAGGACTGCACCCCAGGCAGGAGCATCTAGAACCCTCTCTGAAGACGCCAGGCCAGCCCTCCTGCCCACTCACTCTGTGGTTGATGGCAGACGACAGCCTAAAGAGTGTGCGGACCAAGCTGGCGATCTCATAGCTCCGGATGGGCTGCAGCTCCGGGTCCCCCTGGTACTCAATTTCAAACCTTCGCAGCCCATTGATGATCTAGAAAGCCAGGCCATGGGGATGGGTCAGAAAACACAGCCCCACACACAACTCAGAGGAGCCTGATGGCCTCTGCTCACAAGGGAGGAGGGAGCTGGGGACGGGTCAGGGCCCAGCCTGTGCGCCTCTGAGACACGGGCCTCTCACCTGGTACCGCCCCAGGGGCGTAAGGATGAGTCCGTCCTCACCCACGATGCAGTCGGGGAGTTGCTTTTTTCCATTCTCATCCTGGGTGGTGCCCAAGGCGAGTGTGAACTGCCTGAGCTGCGCTTCGCTGAGCTGCCAGAGAGAAATGCCACTGCCCTCAGCATCAAGATGAAGAGAGGGGACCAGTCTTCACCCCACCAGCCTACAACAGTGGCAACAAGGGGACCCAGCTATGACGCTCGGGGTGTGGGCCTGCCTCCCACAACACTGGGTCCATATGTGTGGGGCCTGGGACTGGTAGGTGGCTGACCACAGGCTGGGTGGAGTGGATCCTTCAGGGAAGGGGACCCTGATGGCGGTGGGGCAGGCCCCATAGCTCGTACCCGGAATATCTGGCGCAGGTACTCCAGGGCCTTCTCCAGGTATTCATCTGTCTTCCGGACACTGTCTTGCCCCATCTCGTCCAGGTCGTTGGCTGTGTAGGAGCCATTGGTGTCCATGGAGCTAAAGCCCAGCCATGAGAGGAAGGAGTGGCCAGCCGGGCTCTCCGCACACTGGTCGGAGATGGACTTGGCTGTGTGTTTGGCCTGTGTGATGAGCTGAGCGAGGCGCAGGACCTGCAAGGGAGGCGCGGGCAGGTCACCAGCAGGACAGGCCTGTGCTGCCACCCAGGCAGCCCCAAGAGCAATGCACAGCCAGACTGCTGAGCGTCAGGAGGAGTGGCTTCTGCCAGAAGACTTTTAAAGACTAAAGGATGATCTTCTACATTTGAAATTTCCCAAGAAACACTGCCTTCGTTATCAGGAAAAAATTAGACTTTACTAAAACGGGGGAAGGAGATATGGCGTCAAATCTATACCCAGCCTCCCTCCTTCCTGCTGGATCACAGCACTTCCCGGGTTCTGCTCAGCCCCATGGCTCCAGGGGCCCTGAGGACAGGCACCGCCGAACCACTCACCAGGGTGCGGGCCTCGGGCCCAAACATCGGGGTGTACTTGCAGTCCTGGCCCTCCAGGCTGTAGACGTGGCTCTTCACCTTGAAGGAGGCATCAGTGACCGCTGGTGGCCAGGGTGACAGGAAGCTCCCAGTGAATGTGGGGGCCGTGAAGAGTCGGTGCTGGCGGTGGGGGATGACCAGCTCTGGCTCCAGGAATAGCTGCTCACCTAGAAGGCAGGAGACGAACCTGGCACCCACTTCCCGGAGGCAGAGTACCCGACTGCTGCCCTTAGGATTCTGGGGTGTCTCTGAGGTGTCTGGGGAGCCATGACCCAGGGGTGTCCTCCTGAGGCCCTGCCTGGCAGCATCTCCCACACAGTAGGTGGCTGACATGGGGAGGGCGGATGGGGGAGCTGCTGGCTCACAGAGCCCCTAGCAGTGTCTGCAGGAGGTAAACAACAGGAGGATCGACAGAAACCAACGCCCAACCCAGCCAGGATGAATGCAAGGCAGAGACCAGGCTCACCTCCTGAAGCGGCCAACACGAGTTGCCAGGGAGAAACAGCGGGGTCACGGGGCCGCAGCTTGGACCGTGCCGGCCCGCTCTGTGGGCACACCTGCGATCCCCCACCCAGTGCCTGGTGGCTGCAGGGCAGGCAGGATCCAGCCGGTTTCAGACCTCACCACACAGACGTGTCCCAGGAGTCTCCACAGCACCCTTTGCCGGGGCCCACTCTGGGCGTGTGGGTCCCTCTTAAAGACCAGCCACCCCCAGCTAAGGGCCTGGCCCTGGTCTGGCTGGGTTGACGTATACCGGGCTGGCCCAGGCTGAGGACTTACCTTTCTGAATCATCTCAGCCAGGTTGGGCTGGGCAAAGACTTTGGCCACTCGGAACACCATGAGCGCGTGCTTGGGGCTGACCAGGTCTGTGCGGAGCGCGCGGTTCAGAAAGCCCACAAACAACTTGGTGTACATCAGCAGGTTCTCCTGGACAAAGGGTGCCCTGGGGACCGAGGTGGCAGGTTGGGGCCAGCCTTCCAACTGGAAGCATGCCCCTAATGCCCGGTCCGTGCCCCTAATGCCCTTGCTCACCCTTGGGCTTTCAGACTCTCCTTAGCCAAGGTGACAAGCTGTCACAGATGACAGCTCAGGGGGCCACGGGCAGGCAGGGAGGACAGGACAGAGGCAGGTAAGACCCAGGCCCTCTGAGGATGCCACATCCTTAGCAAGGCTGAGGCCCCTTTCCAAGTGGATGGAGGCCACCATGGCAGAGGCCAGCCCAGAGCCTGAGGGGGCTCAGGGAGGATCCCCCAGAGGGTCCAAAGGGGAATGCCTTGGGCAAGGAGGGGAGGGATCAGTGGCCATGCCAGGTGCCACGGAAGCCTGGGGGTCCGCTGTGAGGATCAAGCAGGGGATGAGGGGAAGACAGCCTCCCTCATCCCCTGCTTGATCACCGCTGCTCTGTTCTGTGCTGATGAAGGTCAAGGGATAGTTTGGGGGTGGCTAAACACTCATCTGGGACAGAAGGGAGAGGGGACAGGGCAGGATGGGTCACCCACAGCTTCCATAAGAAACCAATTCTAGGGCCTGGCAAAGTTGAGCCTAGGAAAAGGCTGGTCTGTGTTCCGCTCGGCAGGGGCTGGGAGAGGACTTCAGGAGGCCACGGGGGCCAGGGCCAGGCTGACCCCAGCACAGGCCGCTGGCTTGGCCTCCACCCACTGGAACAATATCCACCTGGGGGAGCCAGTGGCATGTCTGTGAGAGGAGCTGAGGCTCACCATTTCTCCGACACACACCGGGGCTGGGAGTCGCTGCCCGGAGCCTGCTTGTCAGGCGCGTACCGCCACGGCTGCAGGTAGCTCAGCCACATCTCCAGGACCTGTGGGGGAGGTGTGTGCTAAGGGCTCCGTGGCTGGGGGCCAAATACTCGGTGGCCTGGAGCCCAGATACCAGGCGGCAGCTGGGTGGGACTGACTCTTCTCACTTCCTCCAGAGGGCGCAGGAGAGACATGCACAGCCCTGTGAGGTTTGGCTCTTGCTGGCCCTCCAGAAGCCAGGGTGGGCTTTTCCCAGCCCAGGGGGCAGAGTACTCCCTGGTCAGGTAAGGGTAGGAACCTGCCCTGCACCAGACAGGTGGGACAGGGCAGGGCTTTCCTGAGGGCTGGCTTTGGAAACTCAAACAGAAAGAACAATGTGGCCCTCCAAGACCCCCTCCTTGCCAAGGCCTCTGTGATAACACTTGCTCTCCTCCTTTATCTGCCCCAAAGGACCTCCCACCTCAAGGCACACAGAGGACACAGGCACACGTGTGACGGGGCCAACACTCACAGCTCTGAACGATGCGTCCAGGGGCCAGTGGCCAAAGCAATGCTGCAAGAAGAGGTAGAGTTTCTGCTGGACGAACCTCGGGACAGCAGCCCTGCAGGGGATGGGGAGGGTCACCTGCTGCTTGCCCAGTAAGGAGGCCCTGCTCACAGATGACCCCAGGGCTCCCATCAGTGAGGGTTGGCTCCGCCGGGGGAGAGCACTGGGCACCTCCGGGAGGTTCAGCCCCATTCTTCAGAGGAAGAAATCAAGGTTCAGAGAGGTTAGGGAACATCCCAAGGACACACAGCACGCAGGCGGCCGAGTCAGCACAACTCCTGCACACACCTCACCCTCCGTCCCATACAAACAGCCCACTCTGCTGGCCCTGGTGGGCCTGGCAGTCAGGGCCACCCCAACTCTTCTGACAGGGTTGAAGAATATGAGATGCAAGAGATGGCAGCACAATGGGGCCTCTCTGGCCAGTCTGGAGAGAGAGGCTCTGGGAGCCAACTGGGCGGGGTGAGAGGACACCTGCCTAGGCCTGGAGAGGCCTCACGTGCTCTGTGAACAGAAAGGGACTCCCCTCACCCTGCCCTCCATGCCCTGGGGAGAGGTCGCTGTGGGCGACACCTTAGGAGGGGAAAGTGGGGGAGACGGCAGTGGTGGGAAGCCGCAAGGGCCACCCACCGTTTGAACTCCTCCAGGGGGCTGGTGGCGTGGGAGTGGGCGGAGGGTGAGGCCTGCTCTGGCTTCAGGCTGTTGGCAAAGGCGTGCAGGTGCTTCAGCAGCAGGCGCACCACCAACACATGCTCCTCAGTAGGCGTGAACGACTCCTGGGTGGAGAAGGAGGGGTGAGGGCCTGGGAAGGAGCGTGGCACCCATAGCACTCCGCCTCCAGGTCTGACCACATCCCGCCCTGAGCCAGTTGCTCTGCTGCCCCCACGGGAGGCATGAGCCAGGCCAGGAGTGGGGCCACCCCATGGGGCACCACTGTGCCTGGCACCCAGATGTGCCTTGCACTGCTTGGTCTGAACTGTGACCAGCTTGTGGTATGGAAGTGCTTGGCCCAGCGCCCACACAGCCCTGGGGAGGCCTCACTAAGACAGACACATCTGCAGAGGGCCTCCCAGCCCTGCTTCTGCACGGCTGCAAATCCGCAGCGGGTGGCACAGGCTGTGCCCTTGGGCGCTGGTGCCTGTCTTGATCCCCAGGGCAGGAGAAAGCCAGCATCACCCACAAGCTCTGGATCCAGGGTCTCCCACCTGCCTCCCAAGTGTGTGCAGAAAGCACATGGAACCCAGGTGTGGTGCCTCAGACCTGTAATTCCAGCACTTTGGGAGGCCAAGGTGGAAAGATCGCTAAGAAGAAGTTCGAGATTAGCCTAGACAACATAGGGACACCCTGTCTCTACAAAAAATTTTTAAAAGTTAGCTGGGTGTGGTGGTGCACACCTATAGTCCTAATGACTCAGGAGGCTAGGGTGGGAGGATCACTTCAGCCCAGGAGTTTGAGGCTGCAGTGAGCTAGGATCGTGCCACTGCACTCCAGCGTGGGTGAGAGTAAGACCTGGTTCAAAAATAAGAACCCCATGGCTTCACTTTCCTCCCCAATTCCTCCCACCTGCTCCTCATCCTGGACACAGCCAGATGAGAACTCGGCCCAGTAGAAGCCCCGGGCGTCACTTCCTCTGTTGCCCAGGGACCTGTGGTCAGGAAAACCCCAAGACAAAAGCACAGTCAAGCATATTAGGCCAAACTTTTTTTTTTTTTCTTGAGACAACGTCTCCCTCTGTCGCCCAGGCTGGAGCACAGTGGCGCAATCTCGGCTCACTGCAACCTCCGCCTCCAGGTTCAAGCAATTCTCCTGACTCAGCCTCCTGAGTAGCTGGGACGACAAGTGTGTGCCACCATGCCCAGCTAATTTTTATTTTTCATAGAGATGGGGTTTCACCATGTTGGCCTGACCTCAGGTCTCCCAAAGAGAGGGAATACAGGCGTGAGCCACTGTGTCCAGCCTAGGCCAAACTTTTGATTTGTAACATACAAGCAGGATCCTGGAGATCTAGCCGGAGAGGAAAGCCTTTTTGGTGGCCATGGGCTTCCTCTGGTTGTTTAGCATTGGGAGGGCAGGTGGGCGCATCGAGAGTAGACGAGGGCAGGGAAGTAGGGGTGCTGAGGGCAGGACCCTGAGTCTGAGTGGACATGCTCGCCTCTCCACACTTGTCCCCTAGCCCTTTGGGCCGTAACACATCTGTGCTGCTGAGGCTGGTGCAGGGCCCAGCCTCCAGGTATATCCTGGTATGCTGTAGACCCCGCACGGGCCACTGCCCATATCGCTACCCACTCAAGTCTCCCCGTCAGGAAACTGTCCCCACAGGTCCAAGTGACACACCCCAGAGATAAGTGGCTGAGTCTGAAGATGGAGCTATGGGGTGGGAGGCATTTTCTTTTTTTTGAGACAGGGTCTCACTCTGTCACCCGCGCTGTAGTGTCGTGGTCTCGGCTCACTGCAGCCTCTGCCTCCAGGGCTTAAGGGATCCTCCCATCTCAGCCTCCCGGGTAGCTGGGAACACAGGCGCACACACCACCACACCAGGCTAATTTTTGTATTTGTAGAGACAGGGGTTTCGCCATGTTGCCCAGGCTGGTCTCAAACTCCTGAGCTCAGGCAATCCGCCTGCCTCAACCTCCCAAAGTGCTGGGATTACAAGCATGAGCCATCGTGGCTGGCTATTTTTCTCTATCTGTATTGTTAAGTCTTTGGGCAATGAATTTGCATTGTTTTGGAAGAAAGGGCCAGGTGCGGTGGCTCACGCCTATAATCCCAACACTTTGGGAGGCCAAGGCAGGCAGATCACTTGAGGTCAGGAGTTTGAGACCAGCCTGGCCAATATGGTGAAACTACATCTCTACTAAAAATACAAAAATTAGCCGGGTGGGTGGCACATGCCTGTAATCCCAGCTACTCAAGAGGCTGAGGCAGAAGAATCACTTCAATCTGGGAGGTGGAGATTGCAGTGAGCCGAGACCATGTCAATGCATTCCAGCCTGGGCAACGGAGTGAGACTCCATCTCAAAAAAAAAAAAAAAAAGACAGAAGGAGAAAAGTATGAGACATAATACCTGTACCTATACTGCCCAACTAGAAGGGCACCAGTGGGGTGGGAAGTTAGACCAGGGTCTTTCTCCTCCTCCAGTCTCAGCCCAGGCCCTCCCTCCAATCCTGGCCTGGGATCCTGAGCCGTAACATCCTTCCTGCAGCTAAGGGGAGGGGAAGACCTCCACATGTGAACTGGAAAACTGCTTTCCCCTGCTGGTGCACTTGACCCACCTCACCTGGTCCTTCCGAAGGGTCTGGAGGGCCCACTGTCCGCCCCTGCCGCCGGCAGTCACATGGAACCCTCTCAGGCTATTTTCCCATAGGTTTGCTGAGCCAAACTTCTCCCTCAGCTCTGCACCCCTCCTGGGCCATGTTCCCACATGGAGTCCCTGGCCACAGTCACCTGCTTGCTTCTTAAGGATGTGTCCCCAAAGCCGCACATTTCCCACTGGGCTGAGACTCACAGCACCTCAGCTCACCCCACCTGGGTCTCGCTGGTCACCCTCCCACCATGGGGTTTGCCAGATGCTTTCTGGACCACTGTCCTCCCTCCCTGGCGCAAGCCCTCAGGTCCCTCCTCTCCTCTGCAGTGGCTCCTGCGGAATGAGGTGCCCCTGTGTGCTGTGGCCACCATCCCAGCCCACCAGCGCTAAGGAGCCAACACATTTTCTCATCTTATGCTCAAATTCCTGTTCAATCATGTGTGCTCTTTCCCAGGTGAATGGGACAGATCACTGGCTGTGAGCACAGCCCGTCTCCCCCGGCTCTCACAGATTCCTCTGTCATCCCTGAAGTCCCCTACAGGTCTGAACTCTGCTTCACTGACCTCAAATCCATCCACACACTTGTCATTTCTGCCTAGGCAGCTGCAACCTCTATGAGGTCACCACCCACTCTAATCTGCCTCTGGAGGTGTGTATGAGCGGCCAGGGCTCCCCAGGTGAAGGCCGGGTCCTGGCTGGGCTGTCAAGGACTGACAGCTTCTGTGGGCTATAGGGTCAAGCCCCAGGTCCTTCCCACCCCCTGCCTCACACGCAAGCTCTGGGTCACAGCACCTCCAGGCTGGGTGACAGTTCTGAACAAGGCAGAACCCACACCACCCGTAAGTCCCAGGCCTCTGCGTCTTCAGCTCCTTCCTAAGCGCCAGACCCTGCAGAGTGCAGTGAACCCAGCCACTGCTGAGGCCTGAGGACTCCAGCTCTTCAAACCAGGGCCAAGCACGAGGCCTCCAACACTGGAGAGCTTGTGACACCTCCACTGGCCTGGAGCCTGGACAGCCAGGGCCACATGCCCACATGCCTCGTTCTGCCACAAAGCCACCACCCCCACCCCCAACCAAACTAGTCTACAAAGCCAGGGGCCAAGCCAGGCTGGAGGCTGACCCCTGCCTCCCCCCGACACAGGGGCTTCGTTCTGCTTGGAACTAGCCTCTGAGTCACCAGCGGCCGGCCCCGGCGGCCCCTTGCTTTGCCAGGCATGGACATGCACTCTGGGCAGGAGGAAGGGAACGAATGAGCCAGTACTTGGTAGGCGTGGAGGGCCTGGAGGCTGGGTTGGGCGGGGCTGTAGAGGGCGCTGGAGACACTGAGTCGGTAGTGCAGAACCTCCAGCTGAGATAAGAAACAGAGAGATGCCGGAAGAGGCCGAAGAGCAGAGGACAAGAGAATGGGGTGGGGAAGGGGAGAGATAGGACCAGACACGGGAGGGGGAAGCGGAGAGAGAAAGAAAGCAATGAGAACGAGCCCAGGAGTGAGGAGAAAAAAACAAAAACAAAGCACGGTCAGTGACAATCCAAACAATTGCAGTCCCAGCAGCCGCGGGCCAGCGCAGCACCCCCCTCCACAACCAGGCCAGGGCTGTGGCCACACTCTCCTCGCTTTGAAGGCCCGGGCAGAGGGGCCTCCAGGTCACCTGGGTGGCCCCTCAGTATTGCTGGGGCCTAAAGGCCTCTCTAGCTCCTTGGAAGGGCCCAACTCACTGCCCTTCAAGACGGGACCCACTCTCCCCAGTGACTGAGGTCACACTATGTGTGGCAAATGCAAACCAGAGCCCTCCAAGAGCCCAGGGCCCTCACTGGGACATGCTGCCAGCCACCAAGACCTCAAGATCCTGAGGCTCAGAAAAGAAACCAGCGGAGCATGTTCCAGGAGGAGCACTCTGCCCAGAAAACACATGTGGAATTGACTGGATTTCCCTGGGTTGTCTTAAGAAATTTACCAAATTGGTATAAGACATGATTGATTCCTATGTGTCTAAAACTCAAATCAATGTCCCCTCCATGACTGGCTCTCTGAGAACTGAGGGCGAGGACAGGTCCCCAAGGGTAGCACAGAGACGAGGAGCACAGGCTCAGGCCACCAGGCCCTGCCCTCCACCCTCATAGTCTGGACGTCAGCTAAGGTGGTGTGCACATCAGCTCTGACTCCTGGAGGCAGCCTCTCCTACCGCACCAGAAACTCCCACCCTCCAGATACAGTGGGTTCCCAAGGGCGGGAGCCCCTGAGGATCTGGCCACAGCCACACACACCCAGAGGCAGCAGGAACCTGAGGCTGAGCTGGCTCCTAGCCAGGACCCTCCGACCTGCTGCCCTGCAGCACCACGGCCTGCCGAAGCACCCCTTCAGCCCAGTGCAGCCACAGCCGGCCTGGTGCACATCCTGCCCCGCCAGCAGCATGCCTCCTGCCCAAGCAGCACACCCACTGGGCTCCACACAGGAGAAATCAGAACACACGCCAGTCGCCATGACACGCAGAGCAGGGAGTGAAGGAGCAGGGCAGGGAGGTGTTGCCCTCCACAGCCTTCCTCTGTGCCAGACCTGGGGCTCAGGGAGGAATCAGACACATAGTTCCCCAGTGTGGCTCTGCCCTTGCTTGCAGGAACACAGTGGCCTACAGCGCCATGGCCATCCTTACTGCCCACAGGGCCACTGGGGAGCAAGCATGCATCCTGGACTCAAGCAGGGTGAGGAGGATGACCCCAGGAGCCTCACTTCCTGCATCTGAAAATAAGGGCTAGTGGGGACGGGCAGGGATTTCTGCATGGCAGTACGTGTAGCACAGGCCTGGACAAGCGGCAAGAAGCCTTGGGAGACACAGACCTCCACAGCTGCCTTTCTCTGACTCCCACCCACCAAGTTTTCTTGCGTTTTGTGTTTTGCCTGAACTGGAAGAGGCGAAGAGTGGAGCATCTCTGGGTACTTGGTCCGGCCACTGCAAGGTATTCTGAGCAGGGTCCACCCACCCCAAGGTCTGGCCAAGAGGAAGCAAATGTGGGGAAGAAGGGAACTGCACCTCCTGCCCTCCACAGGGACAGCCCCCTGCCCTTCCTCTGGCCCGTGAGGACACAGAATCCTCACAGGTGACAGCCTCAAAGAGCCTTTCTGGCTGACTCTTGAAAGTAGGTGTGCTTCCACTCCCTCAGAAGGCAGAAGGAGCAACAGGAACACAATGCGGTGCAGTGGCCTCTGCCCCTGCCAGGCCACGCCACGCCACGCCACATGCACGAGTGCTGAGTGTCCCAGAGCCCCACGGGAGGAGCAGGCTCAGGGAATAACCAGGCCCCCAGGCACCGGCCAGGAACATGCAGCAAGTCTGCTCTGGAAGCAGGAAGGGCACTGCAGGCTCTTTGTGACTCAAGAGGCCCAAGATGGGGTCCTCAGCTTTTCCCCATTCTCCGCCCATGTGATTCTGAGGGTGAGGATTTGGGGGACCCTATGCTCTGAGAGAGCCTCCACATGGCAAAGCATGGGGCCATGGAACTGGCTGCAGACTGTGGCAGAAGCAGACCCACAGCTCTTTGCCAGAACCAGAGGAAAAGTGACAGGATGCTCTTCTGAAGTTTAACTCCATCACCCACATTCTGGAGGAAGCCCTCAATAATTCTGTCAGTGACAAAGCCAAAGTTTCCCAAGCATACTGATGCACAGACGCCATGGGCACCAGACTACGTGGCTGATGCCACTTCAGGCAAGGGCACGGATGGGCATGAGTCAAGCTGCTCCATGGAGATGACTGACTGGAGATCTAAGGTTCACCTAGCTGCTTTCTCACTCTGACCGGTCCAGGGGTGGTGCTAGCTCCAGGAACGGCAACAGCAGGAATGACCCAGGGCCTCCGCCACCTCCATGCATCTGAAAGCAGCGTGCTGCCCAGAGAGAGAGAGCAGGGACAGGCGAGGCGGAGGGAGAGGAGGCAAGCCAGGCTGCATGCAGGGGGGCACCAGGTGCCACTCGCCACGAGAAGGGCTGCTTGCTCATGCTCTGGAGAAGGTGGGGGAGTAGGGTGAGCAGGCAAAGGAGGCTCCAGGCCACCCCTTCATGGGAAAGCACAAAGGCACTGCTGATGGTCGAGGAGACAGACAAGAAAGTGACTCCCTGAGGCATCGCAGCTCCCCCACTCCCAGAGCAAGAGCACCACAACCTCATCTGTTCCTGCTGCCAGGGAGGGGGCTCAGGAAGCTGCACAGGGAGGGCCCCGGAGAGGCCAGACTTCCAGGCCTCAAGTTTCTACACATCAGGGTGCAATGCCCCCTGCCCGCCACCGGAAACTAGAGAACGATGCCCACTTCTTATTTGGCTTCTGAGTGACAGGTGGGTGGTGGGTTTCTGCTTCCCACCATCCAGCCTGTGAAAACTCACTCAGAGGCAGGATAAGAAGCAGCAGGCTGAGCAGGGTCAGAAGCAGGAGGTGGGAAGAAAAACTGAAAACATACCTTGGCATGAGGGGACTGCATTTTTTGATACATCTCCAAGGAATAGTGATGAAGCCACATTTCAACAAAAACCTGCAAAAAAGCATTAGCTAGTCAAACCATTCTTGACAATGGTGTCAGACCATCCAGTGGGGAAAGGACAGTGTCTCCAACAAGCAGAGCTGGGAACACAGAATACCCATGTGCAGAACAGTGAAGCTGGGCCCTTCCTTCACACCATCACCAAAAAATAACTCAAAATGGGTAAGCGACCTGAGGATAAGCACTAAAACCATACACTCTTAGAAGAAAACATGGGAGAAAACTTCATAACACTAGATTTGGCAATGATTAATTAGATATGATGCCCAAAGCACAGGCAACAAAAGGAAAAAAAATAGACAACTAGACTTCATCAAAATCAACACTCTTGAGCATGAAAAAATACTATAGATAGAGTAAAAAGGCAACCAACAGGCATGGTGGCTCAACCCTGTCATCCCAGCACTTTGGGAGGCCGAGGTGGGTGGGATTACCTGAGGCCAGGAGTTCCAGACCAGCCTGGCCAACATAATGAAAATCTGTCTCTACAAAAAATACAAAAATTAGCTGGGTGTGGTGAGGCATCACACCTATAATCCCAGCGACTTGGGAGTCTGAGGTGGGAGGATTGCTTGTGCCCAGGAGTTTGAGACTGCAGTGAGCCAAGACTGCACCACTGCACTCTAGCCTGGCAACAAAGACAGACTCTGATTTAAAAAAAAAAAAAAAAAAAAAAAAAAAAAGGGCTGGGCACAGTGGCTCACACCTGTAATCCCAACACTTTGGGAGGCCAAGGCAGGTGGATCACCTGAGGTCAGGAGTTCGAGACCAGCCTGACCCAACATGGAGAAACAGTGTCTCTACTAAAAATACAAAATTAGCCGGGCGTGGTGGCGCATGCCTGTAATTCCAGCTCAGCTACTCAGGAGGCTGAGGCAGGAGAATCGCTTGAACCCAACAGGCAGAGGTTGTGGTAAGCCAAAATCGTGCCACTCCACTCCAACCTGGGCAACAAGAACAAAACTCGGTCTCAAAAAAAAAACAAAAAAAAAACCCAGCAACTCAAGTGTCTACTGAGAGATGAATGAATAAACACAATGTGGTACATCCACACAATGGAACACTATTCAGCCCTAAAAAGCAAGGAAATTCTGACACATGCTGTAACATGGATTAATCTTTAGTCCATTATGCTAAGTGAAGCATGCTACTCACACACAAATAAGTACTATGTGCTACGCATACTCTGGGTATGAGATCTAGGAGTCAACTCCATAGAAACAGAGAGCAGAATAGTGGTTGCCAGGTGCTGGGTGGGGAATTGTTTAATGGTTTGATTTCCTTGTTTTTCATTAGAAGAGATGGGGTCTCACTATGCTGGCCAGGCTGGTCTTGAACTCCCGGCCTTGAGCAATCCTTTCCTGCTGGGCCTCCCAACGCACTAAGATTAGAGGTGTGAGGCCCCTGCGCCCGGGCTGGTTCAGTTTCAGTTTTGCAAGATGAAAAGCATTCTGGAGATTGCATGCACAACAACATGACTGTATTCAACACTACTGACTGTACACTTGGAAATAGTTAAGACAATAAGTTTCATGTTATATATATCTTATAATTAAATTTTTTTCTTAGTTAAAAAAACAAAAAGGGCCGGGCACGGTGGCTCACGCCTGTAATCCCAACACTTTGGGAGGCCAAAGCAAATGGATCACTTGATGTCAGGAGTTCGAGACATGGTGAAACCCCATCTCTACTAAAAATGCAAAAATTAGCTGAGCATGGCAGTGGGCACCTGTAATCCTAGCTACTCGGGGGGCTGAGGCGGGAGAATCACCTGAACCTGAGAGGTGAAGGTTGCACAGAGCCAAGATTGAGCCACTGCACTCCAGCCTGGACAACAGAGGGAGACTCCATCTCAAAAAAAAAAAAAAAAAAAAAAAAAATGCTTTGGCCCAGGGAACAGCAGAACCTTCCAGTTCTTCCCTATAAGCGCTGTGTCATGATCTTCTGCCCTCTTCATGGCCAGCACAGCCTACGGTCCACACAGCCAAGAGCCATCTGGGCATCATGGTCCCCTCTGTGAACAGGGGCAACGGTTCTTACCATTCCACCCTGCGAGGATGCTGTGAAATGGTATGGAGGCTTCAAAAAGTGCAGCACCCCAAATACTAGGAGTTACATATAAGATGGGAGATAGAATCCTATCTTATCTACATGCCAGGCTGTAAAGCAAGGCTGTGGCTACCAAGTCAGCCCCAGGATCCAGCGTCAGAAGCAGCACCTGCTGAATCTCTCTGTGTGCCTAGAAGACACAGCCAGGACCTGGGAGTTGGCCAGCACTCAGGAAGTGAGCCAGCCCATACCATCCTGACAGGCTGGAGCCCCTCTGGGCAGACAAGGAAATCTGTCACCTACTACTTGGATCCCCTGAATCAATGGAAGGCCTGTGGAGGCTGCACAGACCCCTCACCATTCAGTGTCATGGAAACCAAAAGACTCTGCAACAATTATATCACCACAGGCAAAACGAAACAACTTCCATGGACAGGGGATCCTGGGATGAAAAACGCCATCAATGACATTCAAGTTAAAAGGGTGGGCAGATTTACTTTCATGTTTTCTAAATGTCACAGCAGGAAAATATCAACAATTTAGAATCAGCCCCGGGCTGAGGGGCCGCCTCTGGGACTCTGCCCCACATAGTGGAAGGTGGCAACAGTTTCTTTTCTTTTTCTTTTTTTTTTTTTGAGATGGAGTCTAGTTCTGTCACCCAGGCTGGAGTGCAATGGCACGATCTCAGCTTACTGCAGCCTCCACCTCCTGGGTTCAAGCGATTCTCCCGCCTCAGCCTCCCGAGTAGCTGGGATTACAGGCGCCTGCCACCACGCCCAACTAATTTTTGTGTTTTTAGTAGAGACGTGGTTTCACCATGCTGGCCAGGTTGGTCCCAAACTCCTGACCTCAGGTCATCTGCCCACCTAGGCCTCGCAAAGTGCTGGGGATTATAGGCACGAGCCACCATGCCCAGCTGGCTGAACAGTTTCTTTTGACCAGCTCAACTCTCACCTGGAGCAGAGTTTCTGACCTCCAGATCTCGTGGGAGGCGGGGTCTGCATTCACAGACGTCTGATGAGAGATGTGTCGCTTTAGGAGGCTAGTGTGGTGGAGGCCATAGGAAGCAAAGGGTATGGCTGGTGTCCTGAGGGAGACACAGAAACAGGCCCGAGTTACAGGCTCCCGCTGTAACTCGCTCCCGCTGTAACAGGGGCAATCTGGATATCAAAATCAACGAGAGCAGGGACAGATTACAACTTGTTCAATAGCACAATGCACACCTCCCCCCAGCCCCCTGATCCACACTGATATACCTGAATAAATAAATAGCAAAGAGAGAAGTCTTCCTTACCACAGAGTGACCATTGACCCACAAATCAATGAAGGAGGGATGAAGTTAGAGAACCACCATTTAGTAACCGCCCTATTAATAGCTGATTTGGTCAAGAATCAACAGTGAGGTTGGGCATGGGGGTTCACACCTGTGAGCATGGGGGCTCACACCAGCACCTTGGGAGACCAAGGCAGGAGGATTTCTTGAGGCCAGGCATTTGAGATCAGCCTGGGCAACAAAATGAGAACCTATCTCCACAAAAACATTGAAACATAAAACAGCTGGGCCTGGTGGCATGTGCCTGTAGTCCTAGCTACTTAGAAGGCTGAGGAGGGAGAATGGCCTGGGCCCACGAGTTGAGGCTATAGTGACAAATGATCGTACCAACTTCACTCCACCCTGGGGTGACAGAGCAAGACCCTGTTTCTAAAAAATTAAGAAATTCCCAGCCTGGGCAACATGGCAAAACCCTGTCTCCACAAAAAAATACAAAAATTAGCCAGGTGTGGTGATGCCTCCCTGTAGTCCCAGATACTTGGGGGGTTGAGACAGGAGGATCACTTGAGCCCAGGAGGTTGAGGTTGCTGTGAGCAGAGATCGTACCACTGCACTCCAGCCTGGGGTAAGAGAACAAGACCCTGTCTGCAAATAAAATCAATTTGAAAAAATAGGAGAATCAAAAGTGGATGTTAATACTACTGATAATTACATAGTCTCCATACATCTTCCCGGTAAATTCTCGTTATCAATTTTTTTTTGAGACAGGATCGTACCCTATCGCCTAGGCTGGAGTGCAATGATGCAATCACAGCTCACTGCAACCTCAACCTCCTAGACTTAGGCCTCCCAAGTAGCTGGGACCAACACCACCACGCCTGGCTGATGTTTTTCTTTTTAGTAGAAACAAGGTCATGCTATGTTGCCCAGGCACTATTAATTTTTTTTTTTTTTTTTTTGGTTGAGATACGGTCTCACTCTGTAGCCCAGGCTGGAGTACAGGGGCATGATCTTGGCTCACTGCTACCTCCGCCTCCTGGGTGCAAGCAATCCTCCCACCTCAGCCTCTCAAGTAGCTGGGATTACAGGCGCACACCACCACACCTGGTTATTTTTAAATTTTTGGTAGAGATGGGATTTTGCTATGTTGCCTGAGCTGGTCTCACACTCCTGAGCTCCAGTGATCCGCCCACCTCAGCCTCTCAAAGTCCTGGAATTACAGGCATGAGCCACCATGCCCAGCCTCATTACTATTTAACCTGGGCACAAAGTAATTATTTTACAATGGAAAAACCTGACCGGCACCTTTTTAACCCAGTGATAAAAGGGCACCTGGCAAGGACCAGGTGTCCCACTACGGTGCTCCTCCCAACAAAGCCCATGCTGGGCCTAGTCACCAGCAAATACCACACAGCCTAAGGGGCGGCCGCATGCTCTGGAGGGGTCAAGGTCAGGAAAGACAGAAAGGCAAGGGACCATTCCTGACTGAAGGGGACTAGAAATATCACTATATACAGTGGGTGAGCCTGTGAAACATCACTGCACACAGTGTGAGGCCTGGTGGCAATACTAACTTCCTGGTGTGGTTACAGGCACTGTGACTATATAGGATAATGCATTCGCTTCTAGGAAATACACTGAAATATTAAGAGGTCAAGGGATGCCATATCCTGTAGCTTACTCATATTGGCTTAGAGAAAAAAAAACACATACAATAGAGGTGGAAACCAACACATGCAGCAAAGTATTAACAGTTTGGAAATCTGGGTGAAGATCTATGAAAGTTTCTTTTTTTTTTTTTTCCCTGAGACAGGATCTTGTTCTGTTACCCCAGGCTAAAGTGCAGTGGCACGCTCACAGCTCATTGCTCCTGGGCACAAGTGATCCTCCCACCTCAGCCTCCTGAGTAGCTGGGACCATAGTTGCACATCACCATACTTGGCTAATTTTTTTTTTGTAGAAATGAGGTCTCCCGACGTTGCCCACACTGGTCTCGAATTCCTGGCCTCAAGTGATCCTCCCGCCTTGGCCTCCCAAAGTGTTGGGATTACAGGCGTGAGCCACTGTGCTCAGCCTGCAAGTTATTTTTATTATGCGTGGAAACTTATCTGTAAATCTGAAGTTATTTCAAAATAAAAAGTTAGGTGTGGTGACTTGCAACTGTAATTCCAGCTACTTGGGAAGCTGAGGCGGGAAGATTGCTGAGGCCAGGAGTTCAAGACCAGCCTGGGCAACACAGCGAGGCATCCCCATATCTCCGCAAAAAAAAAAAAAAAAGTTAAATTAGCTGGCTGTAGTGATGCATGCCTATAGTCACTGATGTGACAGGCTGGCTTGAGTGATGATTGTGCCACCAAGTGATGATTATGACACTGCACTCCAGCCTGTGTGACAGAGTAAGACCGTCTTTAAAAATACATAATGGCTAGGCCAGGAGCGGCGGCTCACACCTGTAATCCCAGCACTTTAGGGGGTCGAGGCAGGCAGATCACTTGTGGTAAGGAGTTCAAGATCAGTCTGCTCAACATGGTGAAACCCTGTCTCTACTAAAGATACAAAAATTAGCTGGGTGTGGTGACAGGCACCTGTAGTCCCAGCTACTTGGGACTGAGCCAGGAGAATCACTTGAAGCAGAGACAGCGCCACTGCACTCCAGCCTGGGCAACAGAGTAAGACCCTGTCAAAAAAAAAAAAAAAAGCACACAATGGACCAGTGTAGTGGTTCATGCCTGTAATCTCTGAACTTTGGGAGGCTAAGGCAGGAGGATCGCTCGAGCCCAGGAGTTCTAGAGCAGCCTGGGCAACATAGCAAGACCCATCTTACAAAAAAATAAAATAAAAGCTAGGTGTGGGGGTGCATGCTTATAGTACTAGCTACTTGGGAGGTTGAAGTGGGAGGATCACTTGAGCTCAGGAGGTCAATGTTGCAGTGAGTTGTGATCACAACACTGCACTCCAGGCTGAGCAACCCAGCCAGGCCCTGTCTCAAAAAAAAAAAAATGCTGGGTGCAGTAGCTCACACCTGTAATCCCAGCACTTTGTCTGAGGCCAAGGTGGACGGATTGCCTGAGGTCAGGAGTTTGAGGCCAGCCTGGCCAACATGGTGAAACCCCGTTACTACTAAAAATACAAAAATTAGTCGGGCATGCTGACCTGTGCCTGTAATCCCAGCTACTTGCGAGGCTGAGGTGGGAGAATCACTTGAACCCAGGAGATGGAGGTTGCAGTGAGCCAAGATCATGCCACTGCACCACTCCAGCATGGGCGACAGAGTGAGACTCCATCTCCAAACACAAAATAAAATAAAATAAAATAAAATAAATAAATAAACCCAAACCATATATATATAATTTCTTTTCTTTTTTTTTTTTGTGTGTGTGTACAGTGGTGCAATCTCAGCTCACCACAACCTCCGCCTCCCGGGTTCAAGCAATTCTCCCGCCTCAACCTCCTGAGTAGCTGGGATTACAGGTGTGCACCACCATGCCCAGCTAATTTTTGTATTTTTAGTAGACAAGGTTTCACCATGTTGGCTAGGCTGGTCTCGAATTCCTGACCTCAGGCGATCCCTCCACCTTGGCCTCCCAAAGTGCTGGGATTACAGGCATCAGTCACCACTCCCAGCCTACGTATATAATTTCTAATAGAAAAAATTAAAACAACCCAAAAAGTTAAAACAAGCAAAAAAACCAGGCATCAAAAACTGCTTGGCAGCTGAATTCTGCATCTAAGAGGGTGTGAATCTGCCTCACCTCCGAGTCCTCCACAGGATCAGCAACATTTCAGGGTCACTGATCACTGCCGCTACCTGGGCAGCGTCTCCTCCTTGCCACTCCCTTTCTCCCCTCCACCCTCTGGGGAATCTGTCCACACGTGAATTGTAGGTAAAGGCCTGGCCTGCCTTACACATGCCAGCAGATCTGGGGTGGGCCAGCATCTGCAGGAAGGGGCCTGCATGCAGCTTCCTGGGGAAGGCGATGGGCCAGTGAGATTAAAGAGGGTCAGAGGTGCACAGGCAGCTGCTGCTGGGGCAAGAGGGTCTCCTGGGAAGTCGGCCTGCGTTAGTGCCCACTGAGGACCCAGGACAGCCAGGCATGAGAGCCCCTGGTTCACACTCCCAACCTGTGCAGGCACGCATCAGGCTCAGCCTGTTTGGACTGACAAAACAGGCTCTTTGGCCCAGGGCCTCCCCTTCAAGATCTGCTCCTGGGGCCCATAGAGATTCCTATTTTTTTTGCTCATAGGACAACCTTTCCACCCTGCTCACTGACTCAGACACCGCCTGTGGGGACGGCTGCTCCATGCACAACACAGCCCATTCCCATGCAGGCCGTGGAGGCCTCCAGGGACCTGATAGCTTCAGTGATGGCCAAAGACACTGAACACTAAGGACAGATTGCCCGCCATACCCCACCCTCCAGTCTGTGCTAAGACAGCTGGGGATGGGGAATGAGGCATAAGAAAAATTGGGGAACCGTGGACAAAGGGTGGCAACATTGTCCCCGTGGGCGATGCAAGTGACCAGGCCACTCCCTTATGGAAGGGCCAGGTCTTAACAAAGGGCAGCCTTACCTGGGAGGTGGTGAGGGGCTGGTCCCCCCTGGGCTGGAGGAGAGTGGTGGGGGCACACTGCCTTCGGTGGGCAGGAACCATGACAGGTACCTGTCCACCAGGATGAAATAGGCACAGTCTGAAGTACGGACGTGGAGGGACACAGGAAGTGGCTGGAAAACCAAGCTAGTTGTTAGCATGGGCTCTGGACACTGCCAGGCCACCAAGCACCAACAAGTGCAGGGAAGCCCTGGGCCGTGGCCCCACCTCTCCCAGCAAAAGGCATCCCTTCCTTACCTTCTGAGTGATGAGGCTCAAGGCAAAGAAGAATATGTAATACTCGAACGGATCTGAGAGCAGCGTCAGGGGCAAACATGCAGGGTTGATGAGCCACCCCCCGCTCAGTGTCAAGTGCTGGGCCACCCACAGCCTCCCTACCTCAGGGCCACCAAAGGATACTCAGGGCCAAGTTCAGACCAAGGCCCCCAGTAGGGGTGAACTGGACCTTGTTGTGGTACAGAGGACTGTCAGGGAGGATGCACTCCTGGATGGACGCCTTCACAGGACCCTGCAGAGAGAGGCAGTGAGGCTTGTGGGCAGGTGCTGGTGCGTAGTGCCCGATACGCAGTACCCCACATGCACAGCAGCACTTTGGGAAGGCTGCTGGGGAAGAGACCCACACACAGAACCCACCTGTGGGGACAGTGCCCTGCCTCTGAGCAGTGCCTGAACAAGAGTCTTTGCTTAGAACTTCTCCTACCATCATCTCATAAAGAGCTGCAGACAGCAAGGGTAGCAGTCATGCAATACCCATTTCCTTTGCCTCTCACACCCCTGGAACGAATCGCTCCTCAATTTGCCCTCAGAGGACTGGAGGAGATTGCCCATCACCACAGGGCTGTGCAAGGCCCACTGCCCCGAGCACCACTCTCGCCACTGTGGTTTACTTACAGGCAAGTAGGAGACAGGAAAGTCGAACTTATAGTCTTCAGCTTGAAGCTTATAAACCAACTTCATCATTGGGCCACTGAACACGAAATTGAACAAACAAACAAAAACAGGGCAAATGAACTGCGAATTATCTTGCTTTGATTGTTTCTTAATCTTGAGAAATTCAGAGAGTGCTTTAAAGGTGGAATCACCATGAGGAATCACCCAGCCTCTCTCCGGTGACCAACCTACCTACCCAGGGTCGAGAAATTCCATCACGATGCTGTACTCCACAGGATTCACGCGCCCCTGTAAGCAGCGGAGGTTCCAGCCAACGAGGACACCATCTAGGCTGCCAAAAATGCTTTCTACCAGCCATGGGAAGATGGTGTGCAGCTCCTGAAACAATGTGTGGTGAAGCCGCGTGCAGGACCAGCACCCACTCCTGCCCCGGCTCTAGTCCTGCACCACCTGCTGCCCAGCTCCCTCTGAGGAAGCCACTCCCTGGCTAAGACCTATGGGATCAGCCCTGCACCCAAAGGAAGCCTGGTGCCATGGTGCCAACGACAAGAGCAGCTTTACGTTCTTCCAGTGGGGTACATGGCATACCAAGCAGTGTTGCTTTAGACTTGGGCCAGTTAAGTAAGTCAGCCTCCGATCAAAATACATTTTTTGTGTGTGATAGAAGATTAAATTAAGAAAAATAAATAAATTTAAAAAAAAACAAACAATGAAAATAAAAAAATATAAAATAAAAAAATAAACAAAATACATATTTATTGAGACAAGGTCTCACTCTGTTGCCCTGGCTGGAGTGCAGTGGCGCAATTATGGCTCACTGCAGCCTCGACTTCCTGGGCTCGAGCAATCCCCCCACCTCAGCTTCCTGAGTAAATGGGACTATAGGCACACACCACTACACTCAGCTAATTTTTAAATTTCTTGTAGAGATAGGTTCTCAGTATGTTGCCTAGGCTGGTTTTGAGCTCCTGGGCTTAAGTGATCCTCCCACCTCGGCCTCCCAAAGTGTTGAGATTACAGGCATGAGCCACCACAAAAAAAAGATTCTTTAAACAGTGATGGAAACTTCTGACTTGAAGGATGCTCTATCAGAAAGGAAAGCAACATCCTTTCCAGAGTGAAGCCCCTGAAACCTAACTGACCTATTGCCATTTGGTATTAACTCCTTGTCTAGGCCAGCTTCCTGGGCTTGACAATTCCAGGTGTGATTTAAATACATATTTTTAGTATTTACATCAGGGTTTCTCAATCTTGGTGCTGTTGACATTTTGGGCTAGATACTTCTTTGTCGCAGGGAGCTGTCCTGTGCTTTGCAGAATGTTTCCAGCAACCCTGGCCTCTACTTCTTAGAAGCTAGTAGCACACACTCCCCATCTACCTCCAGATGTGACAACCAAAAATGTCTCTGACATTGCCAAGTGTCCCTGAGGAACAGAGCATCTGTGGCTGAGAACCCCTGATCTACAAGTTCACATGTTTAAATGTGTCCGTAAACATAATGGTCATGGTAATGGCCAGGCCTCTGTGCCAGGCAGTGCTCGGGGTTGGGGCGGGGAGGGAAATTAGGAATTATAATAAAGTTCTTCAACGAATGTATAAGACATGCTCCAAAGAGAGACGTTAGCAGAGCTATACCTTTGCTGGAAAGTCCTCAATGACTTTAACCAAGTCTTGGCACTGCTGTGCAAAGGGCTTATTTATAGAGTCAGCTTTCAGGCTAGCCTAGAAGACAGAACAAAGCGAAAAAGTCACGAGGACATTCACTCTGCAGCTTTTAGTGGCACTCTGGCTTGAGTCAAACAGAAATCCAAGCAATAGGTTATGAGTCAGACCCATAACCTCTGGCCTGGTTCCCCAGCCCCTCATGTGTGTCAGTGGCCCAAAGAGTACTACTAGGAGAGGCCGTAGTTCTATGCTCTCTGGACCAGGAACTATCAGCCTTGTTTCCCAGTACCCCCTCAGAGTGCTGCACATGATCAGAACAGGATTGACTTCCACCAATCCATAAGTAGGGGTTGGTCCCAGAGTCAGCCCCACAGCCAGAAGAGGATCTTGACTGTGTAAGGGCACCCCTCACAAACCACAGAGTATAACTGAGTTTGTACGCATCAACTGGAAATTTCCAGCCTGATGGACCACCGTGATTACACCATTGTGATCATCAGTAAGAACGCCCAACAACATCACGGCTATGGCAGAAGCTCTCTTAAATGAGCTGTCCTTTATTCGGTAGACACTGAACCACTAAACCAATGATCTTAAAACACAGGGCAGACAAAAATTATAGATGGCTTCAGCCAAGTAGACACTAATCATGAAGGCAATGGAGAGGCCAGAAAAGACTCAGGACAAGGACTAATGAAATCTACCTAGTCGTGGGATGTGAGGAAAGCACCCTGACTACAAGGAGAAAAAGGGCATCTGTGCGAATGGATTAAGATCAGGAGAAACGGCTAGAATTTCAACCTAGAGAGCTTTGCCAAAGGATATCTAAGGCCTTGTCTACCTCCAAACAAGGGTGGATTTCACAGTGATTGAGACAGAGATGGAGACCTGAGCTATCTGGCCATGGGCCAGACCTGTTGACTCTAGTGGGGTGCACTGAGGAAGAATGTCCTTCCACATAAATGTTTACAAAAACACCTCCTAAGAACTAAAATTAGGAACTTTCATCACCAATACTTGCCTCATATCTAACTTCTCACTTCTCAGTATCATTTTTTTTTCCTTTTTGAGTCTTTACTATGTTGCCCAGGCTGGTCTCAAACTCTTGGGCTCAAGTAATCCTCCTGCCTCAGTCTCCTCAGTAGCTGGAACTCCAGGCATGAGCCACTGCACCCAGTTCTCAGCATCATGTTTAATACTTAAAGTGCAACCTAGCAGGCCCCCGCACAACAGTGTCTCCATTTTTCACTGATGACAGTTATGACTGATTATTAGAATACTTCATATCTATTTAAGAATTTACAAGTCATGAACATTCTGATATACATCCTTCTCACTTGCTCTTCCTCCTCCTCACACCCTTGGGAAGTAGAGAAAATAGAATTTGAATGAACTTGTGTGAGAAAACCCAGAGCCCAGAAGTTGAGTAACCCCAAGGTCCTGTAGTAATAAGGAGGCACAGTCAAGTTAAGGAGTCTGCCATTGTTTCCATCACATGCCCCTAAAAAACAACCACTACAGAGTTCTTCAAGTCAATGGGAAGAACACTCAAGTCCCACATCTACAGAACTATGGCCACACTGACACTCATGCAAGCAGTTGATATTTACCAGTAGAAAGCTGGGCTGCTGCAGGTGAGGGAACGCCATAGCAGCCTCCAGTGGAGAGTTGAAAATGGCCTTCTTAGCAAACCACTGTGGAAAAACAAAGACAAAATCTCAACATCTGTAACACAGCAGAATCTTTTTATATTATTTTTTTAGAGACAGGGTCTTGTTCTGTTGCCCAGGCTGGCATGCAGCAGCACGATCATAGCTCACTGCAACCTCAAACTCCTGGGTTCAAGCAATCCTCCCACGTCAGTCTCCTGAGTACAGGCACGTGCCACTATGCCTGGCTAATTTTCTTCTTTTTTGAGACAGGGTCTCGCTATGTTGCCCAGGCTAGTTTGTCAGGCTGTGATGCCCAGGATCCTGGCCTCCACTGATCCTCCTGCCTTGGCCTCCTAAGTGTTGGGGTTACAGGTGTGAGCCACTGCACCTGGCCCTAACAAAATATTACATAGTTTCACAATGCCCAGGAGAATATCACACATTACATTACCAATTCGCAACACACATTACATTGCCAATTCTCATGTCTTACTTATTGATTAGAGACAGGCTCTTGCTTGCTCACTCAGGCTGCAGTACAGTGGTGCGATCATAGCTCATTGCAACCTCAAACTCCTGAGCTCAAGTGATCCTCCTGCGTCAGCCTCCCAACTAGCGGGAACTACAGGCAAACATCAACAAGCCCAGCTAATTTTTGTACTTTTTGTAAAGATGGGGGTTTCATCATGTTGCTTAGACTGCTCTTGAACTCCCAGACTCAAGCGAACTATCCGCCTCAGCCTCCCAAAGTGCTGGGATTACAGGTGTGAGCCAACACGCCTGGCCAGCAATTCCCATCTTTTATAGAAATGCTGTTCTCAGCCGGGCATGGTGGCTCCCACCTGTAATCCTAGTACTTTGGGAGGCTGAGGCAGGAGGATCACCTGAGGTCAGGAGTTCAAGACCAGCCTGGCTAACATGGTGAAAACCCGTCTCTACCAAAATACAAAAATTAGCCGGGCATGATGGTGGGTGCCTATAATCCCAGCTACTCAGGAGGCTGAGACCCGAGAATCACTTGAACCCAGGAGAGGTGGTTGCAGTGAGCTGAGTCACACCACTGCACTCCAGCCTAGAAGGCTGAGCAAGACTCCATCTCAAAAAAAAAAAAAAGAAAAAAAGAAATACTGTTCTCCTGCAGCCCATAGTGGCCAGCTTCAGAGCCAAGTTTGTAGTACTGAATCCTCGGTAATGCTTGTACAGCATTTGTTATATACCAGGACTCGCTCTAAATGCTCTCTATATATCTCCTCATTTAATCCTCAGTGGTAGGCAGAATTCTAAAGATAGCAGCCCAAGATTCCCGACCCCTGTTTGTTCAATCAAATACTCATCTAGGTACTGCTATGACGGCATTTTGCACATCCAATTAGAGTCCTAAGTTAGTGGACCTTAAGTTACAGAGTAGTCCCCAGCTGACAGCCAGCAAGGAAACAAAGACCTTAGTTCTACAACTCCAAGGAACTGGATTCTGCCAGCAACCTAAATAAACCTGGAAGCAGCTTCTTCCCTAGAGTCTCCAGATAAGAGCAAAGCTACCAACACCTTGATTTTAATCTTGTAATGCCTGGACTTCTGCATACATAACTATGAGATAATAAATGGATGCCGGTTTAAGCTGCTAAGTTTGTCATACAAGAATAGAAAAACCAACCTCACAACAACCCGATGGGTACAGATGTACTATGACTGCAGGTCAGTACAGATGATGAAGGAGAGGCAGAAATGGGATAATTCACTTACCCCCACCCAGCTAGTAAGTGGCAGAACCAAGATTCCAATACAAACACCACCTCACAAAACTGAGACAGGGGCAAATCCCCTCCATATTACCTGTGCACTATGCAATGAACGGAGGGGAAGAGCAAGCTCTGCCAAGGGAGCCTTTGAATAAGCCATGAGAAAACTAGGATCAAAGGCCGGGCACCATGGCTCACACCTGTAATCCCAGCACTTTGGGAGGCCGCGGTGGGCAGATCACTTGAGGCCAGGAGTTTGAGACCAGTCTGGCCAACGTGGCAAAACCCCATCTCTACTAAAAATATAAAAATTAGCTGGGTGTGGTGGCGGGCACCTGTAGTCCCAGCAACTCGGGAGGCTGAGGCATGAGAAATGCTTGAGCCCAGGAGGCGGAGGTTGCAGTGAGCCAAGATCACACCATTGCACTCTAGCCGGGGTGATAGAGGGAAACTCTCAAAAAATGGAAAAAAAAAAAGAAAAAAAAAGAAAGAAAACTAAGATCAGCTTTCCAGAATCCTACCTCTCAGCTCACCCAGGTCAGAAATGAAAAATGCTCAGACCTAGACTTCACAGACAGGAAGTCTGCCAAGTCCCACTGGTGGGCTAGTTACAGTTTTCATGGCCCAGCTCTGCCCACTGCACAAGTAAAGGCACTGGGGTGACACCTGGCAGTCTGTGGAGGAAGAGAGGCTGGGTGTAAAGAGGCCATGTAGGCAGCTGTAGAGTGAGAGGAGACAGGAATCTCTGCCTCTCGGCAATAGGAACATCTCCCAAGTTTTTTCAATTCTTTTTTTTTTTTTTTTTTTGAGACAGAGTCTCGCTCTGTTGCCCAGGCTAGAGTCCTGTGGCGCTATCTTGGCTCACTGCAAGCTCCGCTTGGGTTCACGCCATTCTCCTGCCTCAGCCTCCCGAGTAGCTGGGACCACAGGCACTGGCCACCACACCCGGCTAATTTTTTTGTATTTTTAGTAGAGACGGGGTTTCACTGTATTAGCCAGGATGGTCTCGATCTCCTGACCTCGTGATCCGCCTGCCTCGGCCTCCCAAAGTGATGGGCTTACAGGCATGACCCACCGCGCCCAGCCTCTTTTTTCTTTTTTTGACTGAGTCTCACTCCATCATCTCACTGCAACCTCCACCTCCAAAGTTCAAACGGTTCTCGTGCCTCAGCCTCCCGAGTAGCTGGGATTACAGGGGCCTGCCACCACAGGCTGCCTAATTTTTCTATTTTTAGTAGAGGCGGGTTTCCCTATGCTGGCCAGGCTGGTCTCAAATTCCTGGCCTCAAGTGATCCGCTGCCTCAGCCTCCCAAAGTGCCGACTTTTTCAATTCTTTTTTGAGATGGAGTCTCGCTCCGTTGCCAAGCTGGAGTCCAATGGCATGATCTCGGCTCACTGCAACTTCCGACTCCCTGGTTCAAGCAATTCTCCTGCCTCAGCCTCCCGAGTAGCTGGAATTACAGGCACATGCCACCACATCCAGTTAATTTTTGTATTTTTAGTAGAGATGGGGTTTCACTATGTTGGCCAGACTGGTCTCAAACTCCTGACCTCGTGATCAGCCCTCCTCGGCCTCCCAAAGTGCAGAGATTACAGACGTGAGTCACCATGCCCGGCCGCTTTTTCTTTTTTCTCCTTTTTTTTTTTTTGAGATGGTCTCGCTCTGTCGCCCAGAGTGGAGTGCAGTGGCGCGATCTGGGCTCACTGCAAGCTCCGCCTCCCGGGTTCACGCCATTCTCCTGCCTCAGCCTCCCTAGTAGCTGGGATTACAGGCGCCCGCCACCACGCCCGGCTAATTGTTTTTTGTATTTTTAGTAGACAGGGTTTCACGTGTTAGCCAGGATGGTCTCGATCTCCTGACCTCGTGATCCGCCCGCCTCAGCCTCCCAAAGTGCTAGGATTACAAGCGTGAGCCACTGCGCCCGGCCAGCTTTCTCTTTTTCTTTTTTCAGACGGAGTCTCGCTCTGGGCTCTGTCGCACAGGCTGGAGTGCAGTGGCGCGATCTCAGCTCACTGCAACCTCCGCCTCGCGGGTGCAAGCAATTCTCTTACTCAGCCTCCCAAGTGGCTGGGATTACAGGCGCCCGCTACCACGCCCGGCTAATTTTTGTATTTTTTACTAGAGACGAGGTTTCACCATCTTGGCCAGGCTGGTCTTGAACTCCTGACCTCGTGATCCACCCGCCTGGGCCTCCCAAAGTGCTGGGATTACAGGCGTGAGTCACCGCTCCCGGCCTCAATTCTTAACCTAGCTATCAACTGCAGTGTTAAAGAAAAACGCCTCAGTCCTAAGGCACTTGGTCAAGAAAACGCTGCACTACTACAAAATGATCAAAGCAGCATTAAACTGTGGACTGTTCGGTAAGTGCGGAGCTCTAGAGACGATGAAGGGGAGAGCATCTCTGCTCAGAAGAAGCTTTCATGGGCAGCGACTGAAAGAATGAGGCCCAGAGGAATTTCTAGGAAATTTCCAAGAAAGGAAATTCAAACCCGAGAATTCCCAAGAGGTGTCTCCCACACCCCTGTTATCTGACTCTGCCATGGCCACCCTCCCCCGTCACAGGTCTCTGCGTGCCATGCACCTAGAGTCCACTTCATGGCGACTCTCCAACACCTATTTTCTCCAGGAGCTGCTTCGGACCCCGTTTGTTTTTTGTTTTGTTTTGTTTTTCTGACAGCGACAGCCCTTGGGCAACGCTAATCATTCCAAGCAAATTCTGTCATGCCAAGACCTCCCTTAACAGCACGCGCCCACTTGTTCCCAACTCTCCTGCCAATTGGGCTTCGGGAGCCTCCAAAACCAAGGCTCGGAGATGTGGAGCACACAGGGGAAGGGTCGAGCTGGGACCCACACCCGGCTCTTACACCCACACCGCCTGTTGAGCCCAAGGCTCAACTTCAACACAAAGCTCTCCTTCCCTCAATTCCTTCAACGAAGGTTAACCTTCAGCGAACACCTACCGGACCGGGACAGAGTGTACGAGCCGCGCGGGAAGGTGGCACAAAGGCATGGCCCAGAGGGGTGGCAGAAGACTCAACCGGGGCCCTCCACTCCCCAGCCTGCCCTGCCTGGGCAGAGCCGGCTGGCCGGCCCGAGTCCTGGGGCTCGCGGAGGAACGGAGATGGCCTCCGCAGGGGCTCGGGGAAGCCCCCAGGGCGCCGGACCGTCTCAGGCGCGCATCCCGCGCCACTCACCTGTGGGATCCATAGCGTCGCTCGCCTCAGAGATGGAAGCCGCCATTCCGCCACGGCGCCGAAAGTCGTCATCAAGCTGCGCGCAGAGCCACGCCCCGCGGCCGGGCGGGAAAAGCGCTTCCACCTCTTTGGGCCGTTACCTCAAAAGGCGCGTGCGCAAAGCGAAGGCCGGCCGGGCGGGGAAGAGAAATGGCGAGGCAGGAGTGCGGGGGAGGGAGTGGTCCTTAGCTGAATGCGCCTGCGTTGTGGCGGCCTCCGGCGCCCCAAGGTACTTTCTCCCCAGCAAGGAATCCGCGTGCGCGTAAGCAGTATTGTTGATTAGTGCCCCCCCCTTCCCCCCGCCCGCCCCGAAAAGCGACCCCTAGTGGTGCACCGGTGCGGACCAGAAAATTGCACGCTTTCTTGAAAGAGGCATTTACCGAGCGCCCAATGTATGCCTGGCACTGGGCTGGGTGCTGCCACCTAAGCGAGCACGACCAATGCAGTCTATCAGGGAGGCCCAGATCGCCAAGCAGCGGACCCCTGCGGTCCGCCATGCCACTCCCGGCTCCTAGAGCGCCGCTCAGCACACCGTGAGCGCCCAATAACTGTTGGGCTTCAATGACGCCGCGGAGGCGGCCCCGTCCCCGCGCTCCCGCCCCTCCCGCCAGGGCAGCCCGGGAGGCCAGACGTTGACGCTGCAGGGAGAGGGTGGTGGGCGCAGCCGCTAGGGGGCGCGGCGGGGCGGAGCGCACCTTTCCGCGGGCCGCGGGGATGGCGGCGCAGGGCGTAGGGCCTGGGCCGGGGTCGGCGGCGCCCCCGGGGCTGGAGGCGGCCCGGCAGAAGCTGGCGCTGCGGCGGAAGAAGGTGCTGAGCACCGAGGAGATGGAGCTGTACGAGCTGGCGCAGGCGGCGGGCGGCGCTATCGACCCCGACGTGTTCAAGTGAGCGGGGCGGGTGGGGGCCGCATGCTAGCCAGACACCCCCCGACCTCTGCTTTCCGGGTACGCCCGGCCCGCTGGTCGGGAGGAGCCCCCGCCCCCGTCCTTGTCGGGTCTTCAGGGAGGTGGCCGCGCCGGGCGGAGAGGGCTCACCGGCCCCGCGTCTGTCCCCGCCAGGATCCTGGTGGACCTGCTGAAGCTGAACGTGGCCCCCCTCGCCGTCTTCCAGATGCTCAAGTCCATGTGTGCCGGGCAGAGGCTAGCGAGCGAGCCCCAGGACCCTGCGGCCGTGTCTCTGCCCACGTCGAGCGTGCCCGAGACCCGAGGTCAGAGCTGGGCCCGCTGTCCCTGCCCCAGTGGCGGGGGTGGCGGGCGGGGAGGGGGCAGGCGCGGCACAGCGGCGGCGTGGCCCTGAGTGGCCAGGCCTGTCTGTCGGTCTAGGCCCAGCACCTGCAGGGCCCATCCGTGGGCTCTGCTCCTGGGCTTCGCTGCCAGCCTTAGGAGGCACGTCCAGGTCAGGTGGACGCAGAGTGCGTACCCCAGGGTGGTCCAGGCTGGGTAGGGCTCCTCCGCTTAGCTCCCCTCCACCTCTTCACTCAGGCCTTCATCCTACAACGTCGGGAATCAAGACAGTTTGGGGCTGGGCGCCCTGGCTCACGCCTATAATCTTTGGGACCCCAGGGCGGGAGGATCGTTTGAGGCCATGAGTTTTAGACCACTCTGGGTGACAGGGTGAGATCCTGTCTCTAAATGTTTTTCAAAAGACAGTCTCGATCTCTGTCCTGTGGTATACAGCATCCAGGGAAGTGCCCAGGGACCAGGGCAGGCAGAGGTCTTCCTGCCTTTACCCCACCTGGGCCCAGTTCCTGCGCAGGGGCTTGGCCAGTCCTGGTCAGCTTTCCCTCTGATGACTGCAGGAAGAGAGTCAGACGCGGAACTCCCAGGGTGCAGAGGCCTGCGGGGTCTGAAGGGCCTCCTCCCTCTCCAGTGTGGTGACTGGGCTGAGGAGATTCTGGGACTGAGAGTGTCATGGTGGAGCCTCTGTCCCTGCTCATCCTCTCCGCATGTTGCTTCTGCTCCCGATGGCTCTCTCTGAAATGCAGCACAACCTCCTAGGCCAATGGAAGAAGGCCCAGAGCTGGCTCCCTGCCTGGAAGCACGAGGAGACCCGCACAGGCATCCTGAGAAGGCGTGGAGAGCAGGCTGCCTTCATGGGGGGAGTGCCAGGGCCTGGGCACCCACACCCGCTGACCCAAGAGGGCCCGGGCACCTGCGTGCTGGCCTCTTCACTGACCTTCGCTCTGTCTGCTCTCTTTGTGTCTCTCTCTGACCTCCAGAGGCCTCCTTTCTCTCTGCCAGGAACAGTAGCCCCCCTGCAAGGCCCTCCTTTTCCTCCAGCCCGCAGCCTGCGGCCTCTCCGGTTCTGCTCCACAGCCCGGCTGCCACACACTCGCCTCTCTCTCCAGGCCCCCCGGGTTCCCTCCGCCTCTCTTGCTGCCTGTTCTCTCCTTTTGCAGGTTGCGTTTATTGGCTTATCTCTGGGGGTTGGTGCTCTCCCTTGTTTCCATGGAAACTGCCTGGCCCCAGGAGGCCCAAGCAGCTTTGAGCTCCAAGGGCAGGACCATGCAGGCCATCGCTGCCCTGCCGCTTAGCCACAGGGCACGATTTCTGACTCGGTTTATTAGAGACATAGTGTGGCAGTCTCTAGACCCCACAGTCGGGCTGGCATCTGGGGACAGGACCAACACCCCCACACCCCAGAGGCGAACTGTGGTGAGTGTAAAGAGCCCCTCTCCAAGGGAAGACAGCCGGCCAGAGTGCGGTGTGCTGTGCTGGAGAGCACAGCCCCAGGCGTGACAAACACCTCGGCCTCTTAGAAGTTGTCCCTTATCTGGACAGGAAGTCTGGAGGCTGAAACAGAGACTCCCACCTTCCCAGAGTCTCCTGGGCAGTGCCACACAGATGCCATATGCTGGCCCCGTGGCCACACTCCAGCACTCAGCCCCCTTGCCCACCTCACTCCTGAGTTAGCACACTTTCCAGGTGTCAGCAGGTGTGATCAGGGGCTCAGAGCCAGGGTCCTGTGAGAGCCCAGGGGTCTTTGGTTGCACCTCCTGCGTGCACTTCCTGACAGCGCCCACCTCACTGCCACCCAGAGCTCGGACCCAAGGGAGGGTGGAGAGGGGCTGAGGGACAGGCCTGGAGTAGGGGTGTATGCACTGCAGGCTGAGATGAGCAATTGAGGGGCAAGTGTCCAGCAGGAGGGAGAAACTGGGAACAGAGTCCTTGTCACTCCAGGGGATGTTGCTGCTCACTCAGCACTCACTCAGGGCTCTGGGAGCCAGGCCTAGCTCTCAGGGCAGAGGGTGTGGCAGGGAAGTGAGATGATCACACTCAGAGCCCAGTGAGAGGCAGTGAGGAAAACCACCAGCGAGACCAGTGTGGTGGCTCACACCTGTAATCCCAGCACTTTGGGAAGTCAAGGCAGGTGGATCCCTTGAGCTCAGGAGTTCAAGACCAGCCTGGGCAACATAGCAAGACCCCATCTCTACAAAAAATACAAAAACTAGCCAGGCAGGGCTGGGCGCGGTGGCTCACGCCTGTAATCCCAGCACTTTGGGAGGCCGAGGCGGGCGGATCTCGAGGTCAGGAGATTGAGACCATCCCGGCTAACACGGTGAAACCCCGTCTCTACTAAAAATACAAAAAAAATTAGCTGGGCGTGGTGGCAGGTGCCTGTAGTCCCAGCTACTCGGGAGGCTGAGGCAGAAGAATGGCGTGAACTTGGGAGGTGGAGCTTACAGTGAGCCGAGATCACACCACTGCACTCCAGCCTGGGGGACAGAGCGAGACTCCGTCTCAAAAAAAAAAAAAAACTAGCCAGGTGGGCATGGTGGTGGCGCCCATCTGTAGTCCCAGCTACTTGGGAGGCTGAGGTGGGAGGATCGCCTGAGCCTGAGGGGGATGTTGCCGTGAGCCAAGAGCTTGTGACTGGACTCCAGCCTGGGCAACAGAGCAAGACCCTGTCTCAAAAAAAAAAAAAAAAGAAAAACCGCTAGCAATGGAGATGGGAGGAGGCTTCAGAGCCCAGAGAGCAGCAAGGGTTACACAGGGGGGTAACAAGGGTTACAGCAGGAGGGGGGTCGGCAGAGCCCCACACGTGTGAGCTGGGGCAGTGGGAGGGCGTGGGTGAGGCAGAGCGCTGTCCAGGTGCTGGTAGGCCGGGGGCGGGAGGAGGCAGGTGGGGGGGCACGGTCAAGATGTATGTGAGGGTTGTGGCACTGGAAATGCAGGCATAGAGGGGCCAGGAGGATTAGGGGGTGCTGTGTGAGCGAATGGGGGCTCCGAGAGAATTTACCCAAGGACAGGAGTGGCCTGGAGTGCTGGGACCCTCAGGGTCATTTGTTCCTTGAGGGCTCTGTCCTGGAAGCATAGCCCAGGTCCTGTAGGCTGGGTGGCAGAAAGCCAGGACATGAGGGCACCGAGGCCCTGTGGAGATAGAGTGGAACCTGAGGAGGAGGTGGAGGGGAATGGGGCAGATGTGGGGCCACACCAGGAGTGTGCTGCTGAGTGAGAAGCAGAGGCCACAGATGGAATGCTGAGAGCTCTCTGAGGCCCACATGTTACAGCATCTGACCACACAGAGCTCCGGCTGCCCTGGTAATGGCAGAATCTGGGGTGGAGGACATAAGGGGGGTTGTTGGAGTGATCCGGCTGGGGGGCATGGAGGCCATAGGTTTCCCACAGGACTCGGGTGTGGAGTTCTCCAGGCTGTGGGCCAGGCCCTCTCAAGCTTGCCTCTGAGCTGCAGCAGGCACCCTGGGTCCTCTGGATGCCTGTCCCCCAGCCATCCAGACAGCCTGTGGGGACAACCACCACCAGATTCACTCATACCCACAGGGAAGGGGAAATAGAAAACCCCAGAAGCACAGAGGGGCAATGCTTGTCTTGGTGAGAGTCTGGAGTCATTGAGGGAAAAATAAATTCAGTCAAGCGTTCTATTTAAGTTTAGAGAAACTATACGTTTTAAAAGTTGTCCAGAGCATGCATGTAAGATGACGTTTGGAGTGTGGAAGCCATCTCACCTGAGCTGTGCTGCCTGATACAGGAACCTTGAGCCACACATGGCTGGCATGGTCATTGCACTGCGTGTGGTATGCACAGCAGATGCCAAATGACCGGTACAAAAGGGAATGCAAAAAACCCACCACACCTTGGGAGTCCACAGCTACTGGATCTCTTGAGCTCAGCAGTTCAGGACTAGCCAGGGCAACACAGGGAGACCCAATCTCTACAAAACACAAAAATTAGCAGGGCATGGTGGCACACATCTGTAGTTCCAGCTACTTGGGAGGCTGAGGTTGGAGGATTGCTTGAGCCTGGGAGGTTGAGGTTGCAGTGAGCTGTGACTGCACCACTGCACTCCAGCCTGGGTGAGAGAGTGAGACCCTGTCTCAAAAATAAACAAAAAACCCCAAAGTGAATGAGGCTGGGCATTGGTTCACACCTGTAATCCCAGCACTTTGGGAGGCTGAGGCAGGATCATCACTTGAAGCTCGGAGTTTGAGACCAGCCTGGGCAAAATAGCAAGACCCCACCCATTTCTACAAAGAAACAAGAAAAAGAACAGAGGTGAATGCAACATCTTATGAATAACTTATGTACTGATTACGTATTGAAATAATACGTTGGATATTTTAGATTAAAGTATTTGAGCTAATTCTGCATTTTCTTTTACTTTTTATTTATTTATTTATTTTTGAGACAGTCTTGTTCTGTCACCCAGGCTGGAGTGCAGTGGCACACTCATAGCTCACTGCAGCTTCAACCTCGTGGGCTCAGACAATCCTCCCACCTCCTCTTGAGTAGCTGGGACTACAGGTGCACACTACCACACGTGGCTAATTTTTTAATTTTTTGTAGAGATGGAGGTCTCACTGTGTTGTCCCAGCTGGTCTCTAGCTTCTGGCCTCAAAGGATCCTCCCGCCTTGGCCTCCCAAAGTAGTGGAATTACAGGCATGAGCCACTGACCCCTGCTGAGCCAGGCTGTTTTCAACATTCAATGGTCATTGACTATCTTTGGCGTTTAGGAGGGCCCTCCAGGGACCAGGCGTAGGGGCATCAGTCACCCCGCCCTCACACCCCAACCTGCAGCCACACTTGGTTCAATCCCACTGTCTAGCCCGTCTGACTCAGTAGCCCCTCCCGAGGGAGCAGGGCTAAGCAAAGCTGGTTTCCCCACTGCAAGGCACTGCAGGCCATTCTATTCTGGGCCTTCTCATCCTTCATAAAGTGAGGAGGCCTGAACAGGGCTCCCCACTAACCCTGAGAGCGCACAATTCCTGAAGATTTCCAGGATTTTCTTAGTATCAGTTATGGCTTAAAGTTATGTTGGTTTCACATTTCCAGGGTTTGTCAACCCTGTCAGATTTAAAGATAAGCATTATTAGCCAGGTGTGGCCCCATGCTTGTAGTCCCAGCTACATCGGAGGCTGAGGCAGGAAGATCCCTCCAGGCCGTGAGTTTGGGGCAGCAATGAACTGTGATTGCATCACTGTGCTCTAGACCAAGTGACAGAGCAAGACTCAGTCTCTAAACCCCCCTCCCCCACCACTCAAAAAAAAAAAAAAGCATTATTTGCTCTTTTCTGCTTCCCTCTCATCCTTGTTTCCAGAAGGGACTGGGTCATTGCTGAGGGGAGGAGAGGAAGCTCAGATGGCAGCAAGCTGAAGGGAAGCCGACTCTGAGTCAGGCCCAAGTCTGCGGCCTGCCATGCTGCGTGCTGTGGGGAGCTGAGAGCGCATGGGCACCTAAGCACCCAGATTAGGCTGCGGCTACAGAAGATCTGACTCTGTCTGGCCTGGCCTGCGGAGGGACTGTGGCCTCAGAGGAGGATGCTGGCCCAGTGTGGGAGCTGCTGCAGGGTGGCGGGGCCCGTCTGCTCATGGAAGACAGAATCCTTGCCCCTTGACCAGTCAGTGGGGACTAGAATTATGGCAGTTTGTACCACAAGAGATGCGTGGTGGCTATTGTCTGCTTTGTGCCTTTTTCACGAGTCACTGCTGGGCTGAGGTGGCCAATCATCACCCACCACGTGTTCCTGACTGCGCTCCTCCTTGGCTCAGGGCAACCCTGACTCCATCTTTGTTGAGTCAAGTGTGACAAGCTGACAGAGTTCCAAGCATGACACCGCTGTAACCCTCACCACCACCAGGCAAGAATGAGCAAAGATCTCATTCTCTGAGGAAGAACTCCCCGGAAACTCAAAAGGAGGGCCGTCCTATCCCTGCAGGGTATGGGGAGAATTTTCTGGTATTAGCATAGAAAGGGAGCTGGAGGTACCTCTGGAAGAGCGGGGGTCCACGGCATCTCAGACACAGGAGTCTCTGCTTGTTCAGGGTGACAGATGGTGAAACAGAAATGACCTAATGGATCTCTAGACACCCGGTTGCATCTTTTCTCCAGGAATCCAGTTTCCCATTGCAGGGTATTTGACTACACTTGATAAGAGGCCAGGGAAGGACCAGGATTGAGGCTGGGTGTTCTGTTGGCTGAACCCTTGTCTGGAGTCACCCTAAAAGTGATGGCAGGGGAGTTCCTGCAAGGGACTGCCCCAAACCTTTCCAGGATGAGAGCCAGTTGGGATTCCAAAGGAAGAAACACTTAATGCCAGGGTGGTCAGTCCAAAGCATTTGTTAGGGAGCTTACATACAGAGGGGGCTGCAGTGTACCCTCACGAGGGACAGCCAGGAAAGAGGTTGTGCCTAGGCACACCGCACTGAGGGGGTGGGGTGTGGAGTTTCTATGAGGGTGCAAGGAATTTGGCTGGGGTGGGACCAGTTTCCACGTGCTTAGCAACATGTCAGATCTTTCAGTGTTCCAGGCAACAACCTAAACGTGTATCAGTGTCTGGTAACATGCAAGCCCCAGCCAGGGTTTGAGCCTGCAGGGGGAACATGTAGCTGATTAGGTCAGAGTAGTCAAGGCACTTCCTCAGTCAGGACAAAGGAAACACTGGGGGGATGAAATGGGGGACCCAACACTGAGTCAGGCAGGGGACACATGCCCTGTTTAGAGCCCACAGGCCAGACCCTGCCAGGCCAGAGCAGGGGAGAGCCCTGGCCAAGGCACTCCACATGGGGGTCTGTGACCCCACGGGCAAGCCTGCTACCCGGGCACGTTTGTACCTTGGAGGGTCCTCTCAGTCTTGCCGATGCTGTCAACACCCTGAGCCCAGGGAAATCCATCCCATTAAAATAAAGGTCTGGCCCAAGTGTGGTTGCAGATTTTTCTTGGCTATCTTAAAGAGTAAAGTAAGCAAATTACAAATCAAAGAAACTCTGAACCAGTGGTCTTCATCCAAGAGAGCCTCTGGTGGTCAGAAGGAAAGTCTCAAGCATTCAGACTGTGGCAGGAACCCTGTCATGGAATCTGGCAGCTAAACCCGAAAGCAAGAGGCTTGACCACTGCAGAACACTCGGGTAGGTAGGAAACAATGAAAGAGCTTCCAAAATCAAAATCAGAAACCCAATTCCAGGACTTGGTGACTGCAGTACTTCCTGCCTGTCACCATCTAGGGCAGCTCAGATGTGCAGTCCAGCATGAACACACCTTGAGGATGAGGCAGCGCATCCCTGCTGCTGCCGCCGCTGATGGCACCATCAGGGCAGACTAGGTTTGCTGACCAGGCTAGGTGTGGACCAGCACACCTACCTTTCCCTAAATGGGCCCGTGGCATGTGTCCTTTCAAAATGTTCCCTTGGCAGTGTGCTCCTTGCATGGCTTTGCTCCTAGGACACATCCAAAAGGGTCCCCTGCACACTGCGAAGGGCTTCTGGGGCGTGACCTGTCTTTAGTGGTTCTGAGTCTCAGGACTTGGGGCTGATGCAGGGCCTCTAGCTGAAGGGACTTTGATGGAAATGTGCAGACACAAATGTTGCCCAAGGACCACGAGTACAGCAGGTGCTGCAGTTACGGGGCACGCCCATTCCTAATCATTGTGCTTTGTGTCTCCTCAGGGAGAAACAAAGGCAGCGCTGCCCTCGGGGGAGCATTGGCCCTGGCGGAACGCAGCAGCCGCGAAGGATCCAGCCAGAGGATGCCACGCCAGCCCAGCGCTACCAGGCTGCCCAAGGGGGGCGGGCCTGGGAAGAGCCCTACACGGGGCAGCACCTAGGATGGGGCAGAGACTTGTTGCATCTTTGTCCCCAGCAAAGGCTACATGTTACCTCCTTCAATTGATAATAAACCTTTCTGAGATGCAGAGGGTCCAGGTCAGATGTTGTCTACCGTTTTTTTTTTTTGTTTTTTTTTTTATATTAAGGCACACTTAGAATGAAGTTTCTGTGCCGGTCCTGGTTGTGCCACAGTGAACTAACCAGGTCCCTTCACCATGGGTCAACTTCCTGAACCTGATTTGGGTTCTGAGAAAAGGCATCTGGATTGCCAGGTCTTTTATAAATAGACGTCAACAAGCTTCACTTGAAGTGAAATGTGGGAGGTTTTTTTGGTTTTTTTGAAATGGAGTCTTGCTCTGTCACCCAAGCTGGAGTGCAGTGGTGCGATCTCGGCTCACTACAAGCTCCGCCTCCTGGGTTCACGCCATTCTCCTGCCTCAGCCTCCCAAGTAGCTGGGCCTACAGGTGCCCATCACCACGCCCGGCTAATTTTGTTGTATTTTTAGTAGAGACGGGGTTTCACTGTGTTAGCTAGGTTGGTCTCGATCTCCCACCTCATGGGAGGTTTTCTACCAAGGCAGTTGACAGTGCTGAGGGACAGGGTGGCTGTGTGTGCGCACAGAGGGCGAACGCTGCCTTCCAGGTTACCGTGGAGCACTGGGGTCAGCATGGGTGTGTTGTGACCTTCTGTGGGTCACGAATGCTGTGTGGAACTCGGTTAATATTCTTTCCCCCTCTAAAATGTCCTGACCTTACATATTTGACCCACAGCTTTAGAGACTTCATGGACAAGCCCCATCCACAGACCTCCAACACTTCATGCTCCCTTTTAGCCAGCATGACCCATCAATAAAGAAGCCCGAAAAATCACAAATTCAGTTGAAAACCCTGACTCAGCTTTCCTAGAATTTAGGAAATCTATACATTGAACGCCTGGCTTTGAAGAAACACTATTTTCCCCTGGTCAGGTTACTTCTGTGGCAGCTGCTTATGTACAGTCCTGCTGCACCCAACCCCACGCCAGCAGGGCAGGCTGGCACCCCACCGCTGTCCATGCAGGCTCTGGGGTCCCACCAGCTCCTGTAGGCAGAGCTAAGCTGCATGACACTCAGAGGTCTTGGTTTTATACAGAATCTTTAATTGCAAACAACTTGAAAGCAGCCATCCTAGGGGTGGCAGGGGAGAACCCACCACACCCTCCCCTCAGTATGCTTCGCCTTCTTCAGCCTCAGCTTCCACGGAATCCACGCCCACCTCTTCACAATCCTTCTCTAGAGCTGCCAGGTCCTCGCGGGCCTCAGAGAACTCTCCCTCTTCCATGCCTTCGCCCACGTACCAGTGCACAAAGGCCCACTTGGCATACATGAGATCGAACTTATGGACCAGGCGGGCCCAGGCCTCCGCAATGGCCGTGGTGTTGCTCAGCATGCACACGGCCCGCTGCACCTTGGCCAGGTCTCCCCCGGGGACCACTGTGGGGGGCTGGTAGTTAATGCCCACCTGCCAGAGAAGGGAAAGAAAGCAGTCCGTGAAGCTTATATCAAACCTAGAAATGGTAGCTACTTCTCCTCAAACAGAAGACACCCTGTAGGTGACACGGAGAATGCTCAGTTCACCTCACAAACGTCACTAAGCCCTTCTCTGCACCAGGCAGGGTGATAGTTCCAGACGAGGAATAGAGAAAGGAACCTTGGAGGTAGCCACCCTGGTGGGATCCCAAGCTACCTAAAGGGCTGTGTCCTAGTACCTGTGACATGTGATAGGTGCCCAGGTGAAGACAGTCTTCCCTCTGAAAATGTATGCTGCTTGTCTTCTTTGTAGATTACAATTAAATTCTGTAGCTAAACTTCTTCCACCCAGATAGATTCAGAGTACACAACTCTTGCCCATGCTATCACAAGGAACATCATACCCACTTCTGACCCACAAAACAAGCCACTGTGGATATGCAAAGGTAGCAGATCATGGGTCAAGAGTCATATGAATGCTGCTACCACAGCAGCAGGAAGTGGTCGAAGTGGTCCATGTGCCTGCCTAAGTAGGGGGTGACATTCCAAGGTGGTAACCAAAGGGGAAGCATTCCAAGTTTCAGAACTCGGTAATAACATGACCTGAGGTCCTGGCAGCAGTGCACAGGGTCAACTAGAGCAGGGATCAGCAAACTCGTTCTATAAATGACAACATCAGGCCAGGTGTGGTGGCTCAAGCCTGTGACCCCAGCACTTTGGGAGACAGGCGGGCAGATCACGTGAGGCCAGGGGTTTGAGACCAGCCTGGCCAACATGGCAAAATCCCATCTCTACTAAAAATACAAAAATTAGCCAGGCGTGGTGGCAGGTGCCTGTAATCCCAGCTACTTGGGAGGCTGAGGCAGAGAAGTGCTTGAACCCGGGAGGTGGAGGTTGCAGTGAGTCAAGATCGTGCCACTGCATTCCAACCTGGACGACAGAGCAAGATTGTCTCAAAAAAAAAAAAAAATTACCCGGGCATGGTGGTACATGTCTGTGTTCCCAGCTACTTGGGAGGCTGAGGTGAGAGAATCGCTAGAGTCTGGGAGGCAGAGGTTGCAGTGAGCCAGGATCACACTACTACAGCCTGAGAGACAAAGCGAGACCCTGTCTCAAAAAATAAATAAATAAATAAAGCTCACCACAGATATATAGTGTGATGACTCAGAAAGAGTTCAAAAGACATCACTGACCTGGGCGCAGTGGCTCACGACTGTAATCCCAGCACTTTGGGAGGCTGAGGCAGGCAGATCACCTGAGGTCAGGAGTTCAAGACCAACCTGTCCAACATGGCGAAACCCCGTCTCTACTAAAAATACAAAAATTAGCCGGGCATGGTGGCAGGTACCTGTAATCCCAGCTACTTGGGAGGGTGAGGCCAGAGAATTGCTTGAACCCGGGAGGCAGAGGTTGCAGTTAGCTGAGATCGCACCACTGCACTCCAGCCTGGTCGACAGAGCAAGACTGTCTCAAAAAAAAAAAAAAAAAAAAAATCACTGAATCAATTATCAACTCTGGTTCACTAACTTATGCCCACATGCCTAGCCCATGGAACAGGGATAGTCTCCCCAAAGGATGTGGGCCTTCAAGGCCAGTGTTATTTTGTGCATCTGCTGCTTGCTGAAAGGCCTCCATGTCACCCAGTCATACCTTAAATCCAGTCGGGCACCAATCCACAAACTGGATAGTGCGCTTGGTCTTGATGGTGGCGATGGCCGCATTGACGTCTTTGGGGACCACGTCCCCCCTGTACAACATGCAGCAGGCCATGTACTTGCCATGGCGAGGGTCACACTTGACCATCTGATTGGCTGGCTCGAAGCAGGCATTGGTGATCTCGGCCACAGACAGCTGCTCGTGGTAGGCCTTCTCAGCTGAGATGACTGGGGCGTAGGTGGCCAGGGGGAAGTGGATGCGGGGGTACGGCACGAGGTTGGTCTGGAATTCCGTCAAGTCCACATTCAGGGCCCCATCAAATCGCAGGGAGGCCGTGATGGAGGACACGATCTGCCCAATCAGGCGATTGAGGTTGGTGTACGTGGGACGTTCAATGTCCAGGTTGCGCCGACATATGTCATAGATGGCTTCATTGTCGACCATGAAGGCACAGTCAGAATGTTCCAGGGTCGTGTGGGTGGTTAGGATGGAGTTGTAGGGCTCCACCACGGCTGTGGAGACCTGGGGGGCTGGGTAAATGGCAAACTCTAGCTTGGACTTCTTGCTGTAATCCACTGAGAGCCGCTCCATGAGCAGAGATGCGAACCCAGAGCCAGTGCCGCCCCCAAAGCTGTGGAAGATGAGGAAGCCCTGCAGTCCTGTGCACAGATCCGCCTGAGAGAAACCAGACAACGTGAGCCAATGCCCGTGGAAGCCACACCACCAACCTCCAACAAGCCAGGGCCGCTTCTCTTTGCCTCTAAAGAGTTGATATGGATTCAAATCATCCATAATAAACATGCAATACACTTTGAAGCAAAGAAAAGCAAAGATCTACGGACAAATCACCATTGCAGACTCAGTAGGACTCAAGATGCTGGTCTAAGTTTTTGCTTGTTTGTTTGAGACGGAATCTTGCTCTGTTGCCCAGGTTAGAGTGCAGTGGTGCAATCTCAGCTCACTGCAACCTCCACCTTCCGAGTTCAAGCAATTCTTCTGCCTCAGCCTCTCAAGTAGCTGGCAGTACAGGTGTGTGCCACCACACCCAGCTAATTTTCGTATTTTTAGTAGACATAGAGTTTCACCATGTAGGCCAGGCTGGTCTCAAACTCCTGACCTCAGGTAATCCACCTGCTTTAGCCTCTCAAAGTGCTGGGATTACACGTGTGAGCCACCGCGCCCGGCCAAGATGCTGGTCTAAGTGTTGATAAAATGACTTCCCTTTCACATTCCAAGAACTACCCCTCCCATGCAAGACAATGGCCACATGAAACCTTCTCTTCTTACCAGTTTGCGGATCCGGTCCAGGACTAGGTCAACAATCTCCTTGCCGATGGTGTAATGGCCCCTGGCGTAATTACTGGCTGCATCTTCCTTCCCGGTGATCAGCTGCTCTGGGTGGAAGAGCTGCCTGTAGGTCCCTGTGCGCACTTCATCTGCAAAAGAGACAGTGTGTACTGTGAATTTTTAAGGCCTGTACTCACCAAGATGGACACATTCCAGGAGTGTTCACTTCTACAGAGCACATGCTGTTCAAAGTACATGACCTACATGTCATAGGTCAACAGTGGCAGTGTCTGGTAGAAAATGTCTCTGTGTGATAACCAAACTGCATATGCAATTTATGACTCTACGACGTTAAACTCAGCTTGTGGTATAAATGTCAGCACGACCAGTTCCCAGTGAAAGGAAATAAGCTCTTGCACTCCTACTCAGGTACATAATTCTTTCCTACGTGTAGCTACATCAAAGGCTGTAAGTTAAAAACTCTTACAACCTGGGCAGTCACCAGGTCAGTGTGACTTCTGCAGGGCAGTCCCATCAGGGCACCCTGGATGACCTGGGTCCCACAGGCTTTCAGGTGATGCTGTCATCTCCTGGGGGGCCACTGAAAGGTGCTGCCTCTTTGTAGCTCTCCTTGGAAACTACCTCAGGCTGCGAATCTGAAGGAAGCAAATGACTGTTCTGTACTTACCTTCTATGCCTAAGATGCAGGTCAAGACTCTCGTGCACCAGCATAAGAGAATGCACAGCATTCGGGAGGGAACCAATGCCACTGCACCCTGCAGGCAGGGCCACCTGAGCAGGGCTGAGGCAGCCATGAGGGAATCTCTTCACAGCCCATCTTACTGCTGGCAAAGCAGCTTTTCCCTGTAGGTCAGGTTTTCCTAAATTAGGAGCCGAGTCTCACAGACACTTTCATCACAAACCTTTCAGTTTCTCTCCTAACAATGCCATGGGCATATGCCTGTCTATCCCATCCTTTCAGCAGGAGGATTCAAAGGAGCCCACACGGGGCTTTACCAATGCTCTCCCACCCTCTCAGGAAAGCTGCCATCCAGTGCCCAGGCACCTACCGACCACAGTGGGCTCCAGGTCCACAAACACTGCTCTGGGCACGTGCTTGCCAGCTCCAGTCTCACTGAAGAACGTGTTGAAGGAGTCGTCCCCGCCACCAATGGTTTTATCACTTGGCATTTGACCATCGGGCTGAATTCCATGTTCAAGGCAGTACAGTTCCCAGCAGGCATTGCCGATCTGGACACCCGCCTGCCCCACGTGGATAGAGATACACTCGCGCTGTGAACCGGAACATAAATGTGAACCCATTCATTTCAAGGCAACTTGAAACTATATGGCATGCAAAATATTCTAATTTAATATTTATATAGTGCTTCAGTATCTGGCGCTTTCACAATCGATATTTCCTAGGAGGGTTAGTGACTGATCCCTTTATCGCTGTGAAAACTAATTGCTGTAAACCATACTAGCTAGTAAGTTCTAGAAGTAGCCCTAGAACCTGTTTGCCACTACACAAAACTTAGGTTATTTTAAAACTTGGAAGCCATTTAATGTCAATAATCAACCCCACATTATAGCCCGTCACAGTAATTCTCTGAAGAATAAGTAGCAGTTTTTGATTATGTCCTGATCAAAGGATAAGGTAGTCGGGTTGGGTAAGGAAATACAGAGTAGGTCCCAGGTCACCATGGTCCAAGCCCAGGTGCTCAGTGTGTGTCCTCTCTCTGCCCCCCAGTTCTACCCCGTCCATCATTCACCACCTGCTCTGTGCTCTCGAAGGCTGACCCTTGAGAACAGCATCAGAGGCCTTCCTCGCCCTCTGGCTTCTTGCTGGTTTGGTCAATGGCAGGCAGCAGTGGGATACTGGGGGGCTGGAGGAAAGCAGTGCCAGGGTACTCCCTCCTTGGCCCCTTCCTGCTCAACTGCTGTGGGTGACCTGAATCCCTCTCAAGGCTACACTTTTGGCAGGCTGCCCTCTTCATAAAACTACCCTCCTAATTTCTTGTAACCACGCCCTCTCTCTACCCCTTGAAGCCTACGGGTGTAATGGCTCCCAGACATCATCAGTGCTGGGACACTGCACTGTCCTTTGGTGGTTTCTTTAAACTCTGCCAAGCTGGGTGTGGTGGCTCATTCCTGTAATCCCAGCACTTTGGAAGGCTGAGGTGAGAGGATCACTTGGGACCAGTTTGAGACCAGCCTGGGTAACATAGTGAGTCCCTGTCCCTATGAAAAATTTACAAATTAGCCAGGTGTGGTGGCACACACCTGTAGTACCAGCTACTCGGAAGGCTGAGGCGGGAGGACTGCTGGAAGCCAGGGGTTCAAGGCTGCAGGGAGCCGTGATCTTGCAACTGTGTTCCAGCCTGGGCAACAGAGCATTTATTGAGTGCTGTCTCAAAAAAAAAAAAAAAAGAAAAGAAAAGAAAAAAGAAAAAGAAAGGAAAAAAAGGATAACTGACAAATCACAGCTATTCAGACTTGGGACTTGGGAATCTGTTATGTTAATGGGCTGCTTTTTTTGTTTGGTTTTTTGAGGCAGGGTCTCTGTGGCCCAGGCTGGAGTGCACTGGCGCCATCACGACTCACTGCAGCCTCAAAGTTCCAGGCTCGGCTGATCCTCCCACCTCAGCCTCCCGAGTAGCTGGAACCACAGACTCGCATCACCATGCCCGGGTAATTTTAGTATTTTTTTGTAGAGACTGGGTTTCGCCATGTTGGTCGGGCTGATCTTGAACTCCAGACATCAGGGGATCCGCCCGCCTCCACCTCCCCAAGGGCTGGGATTCCAGGCGTGAGCCGCCGCGCCTGGCCTAACGGTTGCCTTTAGGTGAACAAGGCAATGTTGCAGCAGCGTCTGAGCCTTAATTCCTCATCTGACCAATGTCCACAGCCCCAACCCCCGTCACCGAAGGCTCCTGCAGCTCCTCAGCTGTTTCCAGTAGCACAAAGACGTGTGAAGCGGGAGCAGCGCCCTCCTGTCTTCAGGAGGCGACGCCACTATTTGCTCTCTGGGGGACGGGATACCGTCAATGGTCCCCGTCCACTAAAGGCCGGCAGCTTCATCTAAAACAAAAGCCGCCGTCCCTGCCCTGGGACCTGCAGATCCAGGAAACGATCCCGTGTCCTCCTGTCCCGCACTAGACCCTGCGTCCTTCTCTGGCCTCCTCTCAGCGCCCAGGCCCGCAACAACGTCCCTCTGTCCACCCGAGGCCAACTTCGTCTGCCTGGGCATCTGCGGGGCGGGAGTGACCCGGGTCTTACCATGGCGAACTCCGCTGCTTCAGCCCAACGCTACTTCCAGACCTCAACCGGCTGCCACAGCTGCTGAGCGCCCAACTGCAATGACCTGCCCACGCGCGCCGCACAGGATTGGCCTGCCGGTGCCAGGCCGCCATTGGCTCGGAGTTCCTGGGAGGCAGGCCGAGGGCCGGATCCCAGTTCTGATTGGCCGTTGCTCAACACGTGTAGTGGGGATGCTCTCTGATTGGATGCAGGATTGGCGGGAAGGCAGCGGGGTCATCAAAGGCTGCGCGGTTGCTGAGGCATTTCCGGGGTGTCTTCCGACCAGGATTGGAACAGCTACTGCGCTGCCTCTGTGGGTCGCGGAACATTGCCTTGCTCCCAGTGTGCCACTGCCCCTCCCTGATTGCCCCAGGCCTGCTCCTCTCCCTGCCTAATTCAGATCTTTGCAAACAAGGCCACCTCTGAGAGGCCTTGCCGCCATCTACCCAAGTCACAGCAGCACCGCAATTATCCCCCTCTTCCCTGTTCCCACCCAGCACCCGGGAAGTGGCAGGATTCAATCACTTTTCTGACCCAAAGGGAGAAAACGGGCCGGGCGCGATGGCTAACGCCTGCAATCCCAGCACTTCGGGAGGCCGAGGCGGGTGGATCACTTGAGGTCAAGAGTTCCCGAGACCAGCCTGGCCAATATGGTGAAAACCCATCTCTACTAAAAACACAAAAATTACCCTGGCTGGTGGTAGGCACCTGTAATCCCAGCTACACGGGAGGCTGAGGTAGGAGAATCGCTTGAAACTGGGAGGCAGTTGTTGCAGTGAGCCGAGATTGGGCCACAGCACACTCCAGCCTGGGCAACAGAGCCAGACTCTGTCTCAAAAAAAAAAGGAAGAAAGGAGGCAAAATTAACGTAAGTGGAGAGGTTGGGCCAGGCACACCAGCTCATGCCTGTAATTCCAGTGCTTTGGGAGGCCACGGCAGGAGGATTGCTTCAGGTCAGGAGTTCGAGACCAGCCTGGGCAACGTGGTGAGTCCCACCTTGCCCGTTTCTACAAAAAATAAAATTAGCAAGGCATGGTGGCATGCGCCTGTAATCCCAGCTACTCAGGAGGCTGAGGCAGGAGAATCCCTTGAACCCGGGAGGCAGAGGTTACAGTGAGCTGAGATCACGCCACTGCACTCAAGCCTGGGTGACAGAGCAAAACTCCATCTTGAAAAAAAAAATAGTTTATTTGGGCCAAGTTTGAGAAGTGCAACCCTGGAGATGCAAGTTGTCTTAAAATATTAGCAGCAGTTATAAGTGGGTTTTTAAAGGAAAAGAAGAGGCAGTTCCTAAGTTGTTTACCAAGAATTTGAAATTAGAGAAGTCTTGCTGTGTTGTCCAGGCTAGTCTTGAACTCCTGACCTGAAGGGATCCTCCTACCTCGGCTGGCCTAGCCTGAGGAATTTATATTAAAATAACGTAAGCTATTTATTGGGCCAGGCGTGGTGGCTCACACCTGTAATCCCAACACTTTGGGAGGCCAAGGTAGGAGGATCACTTGAGGTCAGGAGTTCGAGACCAGCCTGGCCAACATGATGAAACCCTGTTTCTACTAAAAATACAAAAATTAGCCAGGTATGGTGGTGAGCACCTATAGTCCCAGCTACTTGGGAGGCTGAGGTAGGATAATCACTTGAACCCAGGAGGCAGAGTTTGCAGTGAGCCAAGATCATGCCATTGCACTCCAGCCTGGGCAACAGAGTAAAACTCCATCTCAAAAAAAAAAAGAAGGCAGGGCGTGGTGGCTCACGCCTGTAATCGCAGCACTTTGGGAGGCCAAGTCAGGCGGATCGCGAGGTCAGGAGATCGAGACCATCCTGGCTAACACGGTGAAACCCCGTCTCTACTAAAAATACAAAAAATTAGCCGGGCATGGCTGCAGGTGCCTGTAGTCCCAGCTACTCTGGATGCTGAGGCAGGAGGATGGCATGAACCCGGGAGGTGGAGCTTGCAGTGAGCCGAGATAACACCACTGCACTCCAGCCTGGGCAACACAGCGAGACTCTGTCTCAAAAAAAAAAAAAAAGCTATTTATTGTCTCTACATTGTCTACATTGTCTTTGGTATCACAAATTCCAGGAACAGGAAGATAATGGGTTGAGCTAGTCAGGAACAAAATGCCTTTAAACAGTCACCCCAGGGCATGAGTACAAGGCGTGTGACTGAAGTCCATATTCCTGTCTCTCTGGGCCTGATAAATTCTGCACACCTCACATAACTCAAAGTGCTGTGAACACTTTTTCTTATTTCTTTGGTGAGAGGGAGTGGGTTTATGGCCAACAGGAAAGGGGAAGGCACACCCCTGTCCCGGGAAGAGCAGAGTCAGGACCCAATACCCATTTTGGAGGACTTTGGAACAGTCACCTGATTCTTCCTTTTTATTTATTTATTTTTTGACACTGGTTCTCACTATGTTGACCAGGCTGGACTCAAATTCCTGGCCTCAAGTGATCCCCAAGCCTCAGCCTTCCTTGTAGGCTGGGACTACAGGTGTGTGATTCTTCCCAGTTTGAGTCTTCCATCCCTAAAGATCATCTTAGTGTGTATTCAGTTCTGGGGAAAGCCCTGGAGGAGACGTGCTGGCTTACCCCCAGCTCATCACCAGGATGCAGCATCCCACCATGTCATCTCCCTGGAGGGTGGCCAAGCAGGCCCTTAACTTTCCCTCCTGAGAGGAGAGCAGAGAAGAGAGAGGGAGCTCCCCCAGTGGGATGGGACTCACGAGGTCCAGGAGTTGAGACTTTTCTGTGGCCTTTGGGGACCTCTGAACAGTGCAATCAGGTCTTCCCTTAGAAAGATGCTTTGGCAAAAGGAGGAGGGGCAGGGACGGAGTTCTGCCGACAGCTGGGAAAATCAGAGGAGGCCACTGGCCCCTTCTCCCCAGGAGGGTGAATCCTTCTGTATTAGCCCCAGGCACCCTAAAAAATACCACTGACTGAGTGGCTTAAACAGCAGGGTTTTATTTTCTCACAGTTCTGGAGGCTAAAAGCCCCAGAGGCCTCTCTTCCTGGTTTGCACACAGCCACCTTCTCACCATGTCCTCCCACGGGGAGGTAGCATCCAAGCGCTCTGGTCTCTTATAAGGACATGAATCCTGTTGGATCAGGGCCCACCCTTATGACCTCACTTAACCTTCATCATCTCCTTATAGGCCCTGTCCCCAACTACAGTCACATTGGGGATTAGAGCTTCAGCGTCTAATATTGGCGGGGGGGGACACCATTCAGTCCATAGCCCCCCTTCCTCAGGGCTCCAACCACATCATGCACAGAACTCAGCTGTAGCCCACATCACACGGTGCTCTTCAGTCCAGCCACGCATCCTTCAGCGGCTGGGATACGTTCTCGACAATGCATCATCAGGTAATTTCGTTGACGTGAGAACATCACAGAGTGTTCTTAGACCAACCAAGGTGGTGCAGCCTACTGCACACCTAGGCCACATGGTATAGCATATAGCCCCTTGGCTACAGACCTGTACAGCAAGGATTTATGTATCTAAACACAGAAAAGCTACGGGAAAAATATGGTATTATAACTTTATGGGACCACTCTTATATATATGCTGTCTGTTGTTGACCGAAACATCATTATATGCTACGTGACTGCAATATTTATTTTTCTGATTATAAAAGTAACACATATTCCCAGTAGACAGTGTAGAAAATTAGCAACAAACTATTCTACTGTAAATGACAAAAGAAAAATTGAGCCTTGGACATGCCCATTTTTACTGTAAGTTATGATTCCATAATTGACTTGCAGTAAACAGTGTTTCTGGCCCCTAAGTATTGCTGCCTTGTGTATTTTATTTAGTATACAGCACTAAAAAAAACAGTCCTGTGAATTATTAAATCATTTCAATAAGTCAGCTAACAACGTTTACATATAGTTGCTACACAGAAAGGAACACAAATTATTTCCTCTTTTGCTCATATTCAAACAGGCTTGAGTGACAACTTGAGGACAAGGCGGCGCCTCGACAAGATTTCACACAGCAGCTACGGGGGCCAGAGAAGCAGCACCGCATGGTGTGGCAGGAGAAGGAGGACATGCACAAGGTAGGCAGTTTGGTTCTGGGTGAGAAAGGCTTAAGAGGCTTTGCAGAGTTTTGTAAGGTTCATTTCATACAGATGTTTACAGACCTCCTTGGGACTCCCACTCATGGACTGTCCCTGCTGCAAGCAGGACAACAGGGCCAAGCCTGGTTCCAGGGCCCCTGCTGTGCCCAGTTGCTACACAGCCCATGTCAGCTAGCTGGGCTTGGCTCCTTGCCATGGGTGCCTTTCAGCGTGCTGCCTGCAGCAGGCACCCACTTCACAGTCATCATCTGCCATCTCCAGTTCAACCCCGCAGAGTAAGCAGCAACTCCCCCAGCCCCGCCCATTCTGAATGAGGAACGATGTCCAGAGGGCACTGTGTTATCTGCAGTGACACGCTGCGCCTGACACCAGTGACCTCGTCCTTCTCTCTACACCATGCCCCCTGCTCTTAGAAGGGGCATCTTAGTAAGGACAGGGAACTGCAAAAGAGGACATATGTTAAAATGTGGCTGATTCCCCCATAACTCCTTTATAAATTTGGTTTTTAGTAAGATATCTGAACTTTATATTCAAATGCCATTAAGTATAGTAATAACACAATTAGGTTCTTTTTTCTTTTCTTTTTTCTTTTTTTTTTTTTTTTTTTGAGACAGAGTCTCTCTCTGTCACCAGGCTGCAGTCATGCGATCTCAGCTCACTGCATAGGCTCTGTTTTCTAAAATACATTCATTTATACACTGAAGTCCTTGGACCTGTAGTTTGTGATCTGTCCTCTAAAATGGGGCAGATTTTAAAACCAAATTGCTTCTTAAGATCATCTGTGGTATCATCCCCCTGCATGACTTGTCTGGGAGTGCAGTGTGGGCTGGGCGGCCTCTCATTGCTTGACACAGTCACAGTGACTCTGAGCTGGACCCAGAGAGGCCTGGGGAGGCCTTTCCTCCCCATGTGGGAGCCGCCCTGCCAGCTTGCTCCAGGTCTCGTCACTTCCAGTCTTAGTCCAGCAAGTGTGACAGTGACTAAACAGCCAGACTGTTGGCCAGATCAGCTGCAGGGAGGTCAGGGTCATCAGTGCAGCAAGTGGTAAGGTTGGGTTGTCAGTGCAGCTGAACTTGTGGTAAGTCCTACTTGTGGCCCTCCACCCAGGGAGTCTTTGATTTAAATCTCTTTCTTCTTAATTTTCTTTTCTTTCTTTTTTAGTTTTTTTAAGAGATGAGGTCTCACTATTTTGCCCAGGCGCTGGTCTTGAACTCCTGGGCTCAAGTGATCCTCCCACCTCAGCCTCCCAAAGTGCTGGGATGACAGGCTTGAGTGCCTGGCCTGATTTAAATCTTCAGCACTTTGCCTATGTATTTTTTTCTGCTTCTGCTTCTTCTTGTGTTTAAGTAACTAGATTGAGTGCCCAAATGCTTTATTCACCTTTGCAATTGTGTAGAAGACCTCGGGCAGAGGTTGGCATTACAGAGCCAGCTGTCCTGCTGTAAGTTACTCCATGCAGTTGCGAGGTCTTTCTTGGTGTGGGGTTGTTGCTCAGCACCTGAGCCCAGGTGGTCTTCCCATTGAATGTTTGGCTGGGGTGAGGTGAGCACAGGGCTTTTTCCAAGCAGGGGATTTCTCCCATCTGTGGCTTTAATCTGTAACCAGCATTGGCTGTCACTTGTAACTCTTTAATATAGTGTAAGACTAAATGTCCAGCCTTCCAGACCTTTGTTAAGCAAACATAAAACATCTGTAATTTTTTTTTCAGCAATTGGTTGAAGCTTCAGAGACATTGAAATCCCAAGCCAAAGAACTGAAAGATGCCCATCAGCAGCAAAAGCTGGCCCTGCAGGAGTTCTTGGAGCTCAATGAGCTCATGGCAGAGCTCTACTCCCAGAAGCAGAAGGTGTGGGACAAGGAGGAGGAGATGGAAGTAGCCATGCAGAAAGCTGACATGATGTGGCAGGAGATCTGAAGATCCAAGAAGCTCAGAAAGAGGATGCTGTTTAGCCAGATGTGGTGGCTCACGCCTGTAATCCCAGCACTTTGGGAGGTCGAGGCGGGTGGATGGCCTGAGGTCAGGAGTTTGAGACCAGCCTGGCCAACATGGTGAAACCCCGTCTCTATTAAAAATGCAAAAACTAACCAGGCATGGTATTGGGTGCCTGTAATCCTAGCTACTTGGGAGGCTGAAGCAGGAGAATTGCTTGAACCTGGGAGGCGGAGGTTGCAGTGAGCCAAGATCATGCCACTGCACTCCAGCCTGGGCATCAAGAGCAAAACTCTGTCTCAAAAAAAAAAAAAGGGGGGGTGGGGAGGAAGCTATTTAGATATTTCAGCGATGGTATTGACTGGACTTTTGTATGACCTTAATAAAACATCTTTGAAAACTTGGGCTGCATTATGTAAATTACTTTAAAATCATCTTAAGTTTTATGTGAACCCAAGTAAGTTGATCTGCCAAGCATTTATTTTGTGCTCATCCCTCAATATCTATTTGTGAAATTATTAAAAGAGGTTCCTAGTCCTAAGTTTTTAAAATTCCCTTTTAAGTAAGTAGAGGGTATTTATGCTGAGCTGTGATATGGCCCGGCTTAATTGAATAAGAGCACCTGCAGTCCATAAAGGGCCAATGGCAGTAGAAAGGCAAATCATAGTCTAGGACGCTTCAAGCCACTTGCTTTAGACCAGTGCTTCTGAAGCATCTTGGCCTAAGCACTCCTTTACACTCTTGCAAATTACTGGGGATCCCAAAGAGCTTCTACTTAGGTAGATTACAGCTCTCAATATGCACCACGGCAGAAATTAAAACTGAGAATTCTTTCAATACAACAAAAACCCATTACATGTTAACGTAAAGTTTGTAATGAAAAGTAACTATTTCTTTAAAAATCTAGTGAGAAGAATGGCATTTTTACATTTTTTTTATTTTATTTTAAGATGGAGTCTTGCTCTGTCACCCAGGCTGGAGTGCAGTGGCACAATCTCCGCTCACTGCAGCCTCTACCTCCCGGGTTCAAGCGATTCTCGTGCCTCGGCCTCTTGAGTAGCTGGGATTACAGACATGCACCACCATTCTCGGCTAATTTTTGTATTTTTAGTAGAGATGGGGTTTCACCATGTTGGCCAGGCTGGTCTCGAACTCCCGGCCTCAGGTGATCTGCCCTCCTCAGCCTCCCAAAGTCCTGGGATTACAGGCGTGAGCCACCGCACCCAGCCGCATTTTTACATTTTTTAATGTTTCTTTAATATCTGGCTTAATAGAACGTGCTCGGGTTCTCATGTCTGTTTCTGCACTCAATCTGTTTGGATACACTGTTCCGGATGAAGTACATGAAGAACTCCTGGTTCCCACAGATAGCTAATTAATTATTAAAAGAGATTACTGTGGTACTAGGTTTTAAAAATTCCCTTTTCAGTAAGTAGAGGGTATTTATTCTCTGACAATGTCTCAGGATCCCAAGGTTCTCAGCCCACAATTTGAGAACTGCTGCCCTAGGTATTCTGAATGTTCTGCTGTTGATGAGTGACATGTTTTAAGCAATGCTTACTTTAAAATTTGATTAAAGGCCAGGGGCAGTTGCTCACACCTCTAATCCTAGCTCTTTGGGAGGCCGAGGTGGGCCCATCGATTGAGCTGAGGAGTTCAAGACCAGTCTGGGCAACATAGTGAAACCCCATCTCTACCAAAAATACAAAAAGTTAGCTGGGTGTGGTGACATGCACATCTAGCATGAAGTACTCAGGAGGCTTAGTGGGAGGATCACTTGAGCCTGGGAGGTGGAGGTTGCAGTGAGCCGAGATTGTGCCACTGTACTCCAGCCTGGGCGACAGAGTGAGAATCTGTCTCAAAAAAATTCTATTAAAATTTATTTAATGAATCCCACAAATGAGAAGGTCTGAAAGCACATGCTCAAGTTCAGGGCCCTTTGCTGTTTAGCCACAGGATATCTGTTTGTTTTCTTCTTAGTTTATTTTGCAACCTAAATATATTTGTAGTTGTAGCCAGTTACAACTCAAGTTAATGAAACCCCTAACTAAGGATTACCATTCCACATCGGATGCAGTGATACGTTGCCTGGGATTTGTTCTCAAGCGGTTTGTGCGTAGGCAGAGATGAAGCAAGCTCAGCTCAAGCTGCTCACTGTCAGCCGACTACGGTGGCTTGCCTGTAATCCCAGCACTTTGGTGAGGCTGAGGTGGGCGGATCACCTGAGGTGGAGTTTGAGATTAGCCTGGCCAACACGGTGAAACCCCATCTCTACTAAAAAAAATACAAAAACTAGCCGGGCGAGGTGGTGTGTGCCTGTAATCCCAGCTAAACTGGAGGCTGAGGCATAAGAATCGCTTGAACCCAGGAGGTAGAGGTTGCAGTGAGCTGAGATCACACCACTGCATTCCAGCCTGGGCGACAGAGCAAGAATCTTGTCAAAAAAAAAAAGTCCTCTCCTTAGTGTCAAAGCCGAGGTGCCAGGCACAGGAGGTTCATTACTCTCTCTTCTTCTGTTCTTCTGTGTGTGTCTGAAATTGTCCATTTAAAAAATGAATCAGTGTTCTACAGAAATCAGAAGTACTTGTTTTCACAAATCAGTACCCTTTCTTGAAATCTTATCTCAAAATATCAACTTAAATTTGAATTTGAACTTGTTTTATTACTAACCAACCACTTCAGCTGAGCCCTGCGGTGTATTTCTGAAACTTTAATTTGTGATAAGATTGATAAAGGGTGAAAAAATACAAAGGTCCTTTAAGGTCTTGCTCTCTTACAAGTCCTTTGGGGAAGATCTAACTGGTAAGGCCGTGCTTCCTTTGTGTTAATGACAAGTGCGTCTTCGTTTCGTAGCTGGAAGCTCAGCTCAAGGACACTGTTGCTGAGGCCTCAAAGGAGTGCAGACGTCGTGAGCACGTCACGGACTTCAAGCAACAGAAAGTGAGCCTGAAGCCCTCGAGGTGGTGCTGGGTTAGAGTCTTTACTCTTACCCCAGACAGAAAGCTCATCCTTGCTGATCCCGGCACGTGGACATTGCCTTGTGTAATGTGCTGGTCCCGGCTGAGCGTTACCCAAGGCAGCTCCAGACAAAACAGGGATATGGAGAGGTGGGGAGGGACCCTGCCTTCGTGATTGTTTTCATTTTCATAGCCAAGTGTATTAGTCCATTCTCGCACTGCTATAAACAACTACCTGAGGCCGGCGCGGTGGCCGACGCCTGTAATCTCAGCAGTTTGGGAGACCGAGGTGGGTGGAGCACCTGAGGTCAGGAGTTTGACACCAGCCTGGCCAACATGGCGAAACCCCATCTCTATTAAAATACAAAAATTAACCAGGCGTGGTGGTGGGCGCCTGTAATCCCAGCTACTCGGGAGGCTGAAGCAGAAGAATTGCTTGAACCTGGGAGATGGAGGTTGCAGCGAGCCGAGATTGCGCTACTGCACTACAGCCTGGGTGACAGAAAAAAAAAAGAACTACATGAGACTGGGTAATTTATTAAAAAAAAAAAAAAAACCAACAGGTTTAATTGGCTCACAGTTCTGCAGGCTGTACCGGCTTCTGTTTCTGGGGAGGCCTCAGGAAACTTAACAATCATAGCAGAAGGGGAAGCAGGCACATCTTACATGGCCAGAGCAGGAGGAAGAGAGAGAGCGGGGAGATGCTACACACCTTTAAACAACCAGATCTCATGAGAACTCCTGACCTCGGGTGATCCACCTGGCTCGGCCTCCCATAGTGCTGGGATTACAGGCGTGAGCCACCATGCCCAACCCTATATTTTAATTTTCAAATGAAGTAATATATTTGGTCTTTTAAATAGGATGTTTTTATTCAGTTAAAAGATGCTAATTAGGCCAGCCCGGTGGCTCACCCCTGTAATCCCAGCACTCTGGGAGGCCAAGGCAGGTGGATCACCTGAGGTCAGGAGTTTGAGACCAGCCTGGCCAACATGGTGAAACCTTGTCTCTACTAAAAATACAAAAATTAGCCAGGCTTGGTGGTGGGTGTCTGTAGTCCCAGCTACTTGGGAGGCTGAGGCAGGAGAATCACTTGAACCTGGGAGGCAGAGGTTGCAGTGAGCCAAGATTGTGCCACTGTACTCCAGCCTGGGCGACAGAGCGAGACTCCATCTTGAACAAAACAAAACAAAAACAAAAACAAAAAAGAATTAATCACCTGAAATCATTAGGTCTATCAGTTTTAGATTTAGATTTGAATTGAAATGTCACTTAAATTAGATACAATTTAAAAATCCATATCATGAACTTAGTTTGGAAAAATCTCATGACAATTAAACTTTCTAAATCTTCAAAAGAACTTCCAGTGTTAATAATGCTAGCATACCACAGGATGCCGCGTGAGCAAGTTATGTAGTGAAATTGTCTCATCTCAGCTTTGTTACTTGTGGATAAACTCACATGCCAGAGGGTGTGGTCAGGGCTGTGAATTACAGGTGAGGCCAAGTGACCTCCCACTGCTGGTGGTCACTGTGACTTGTCAGACTCCACCTGCCCATGCAGTCACCACTTTAGCCAAGGATGCCAAGGGCAGTGGTGCTTGGGTAGGCGGCCAGCTGGGAGTGGAGTGGGGGTCTGTGTAGAGACAGGAGGGGTGATGGGATCCAGGAATAAGAACCACGGGAACCTCTGGGCCAGACACAGTGCATTTTTTTTTCTTTTTCTTTTTTTTTGAGACAGAGACTCACTCTGTTGCCCAGGCTGGAGTGCAGAGGCGCTGTCTTGGCTCACTCTACCTCCCAGGTTCAAGTGATTTTCCTTCCTCAGCTTCGCGAGTAGCTAGGACCACAGGCACGTGCCACCATGCTTGGCTAATTTTTTGTATTTTTAAGAGAGACGGGGTTTCACCGTGTTAGCCAGTATGGTCTCGATCTCCTGACCTCGTGATCCCCCTGCCTCAGCCTCCGAAAGTGCTGGGATTACAGGCGTGAGCCACCGCGCCCGGCCAAGAGTGCACTTTTTAAGTAAAGAACTTGTAAGTAGAGTCTGAATCCTGTGGAATATGTCTTCATCCCACTATTCATTTCTTTGTTATTACAGACCAGCTGAGCTAGTGAGCAAGAAACACAAGCACTGAAGCTGGAAGCGTCCCCATCAATTTCTGTGGCTGCCAGCACAGAACCGCAGGAAGTAACACAGCATTGTCCTACTGATGCTCTCACCTGGGGTCTGCCCTCATGTCCAAGTGACACAGCTGCCCTTGGTGACCAGAAGCCACTCACCTGGTCCCTGCATGCCAGCTTGCAGTGAGGACATCTGTCCAGGCACGAGAGCCCACCTTCCATTTTGAGAATTACTGTCAGTACCTCAGTTAGATAAGCTAGGCTTCTGCAATCATACTGAAGTGTAACATCCATACAACAAATTGCACAAATCACAGCATGTAACCTGGTGAATTTTTACAAAGTGAATATGCCCCAAAAACCAACACCCAGTTCTAGAAATAGAACATTAGCAGCCCCTCAGAAGCCCCTCAGAAGGCTGCTTTCTCCTTTCCTGACACTAGCATTCCTTGACTTTATTCTGCTTTCTAGCACTGTAGGTTAATTTTACTTGTTTTTAAACTTTATGTAAGTGGGGTTGTAAATTATATGTTCTGTGCCTGTCTTCTTTTGCTGCAACATTAGGAGTCATCCACATTATTGTATCAGGCAACACTTTGTTCATTCCCATAACCTATGGTATTTAACTAGATAAATATGCTACACTTTACTTATCCATTGTACTTCTGGTGAATATTTGTGGCATTTCAAAATTTGGGATATTACAAATAATAAAGGAATAAGCATTTTTACATGTCTTTCGGTGGACATATGCAGGCTTTTCACACACTTTTTAAAAACTGTTTAATAAACACCCTGTTTTGCAAGAAGTTCACATGCCAATTCATGTAGAGTTGCTTGAGTCTGTAACAACTGAATAGAGGTTAATTGTATGATGTCTTGTAATATGTTTCCTTGTTGGTCATTTAGTCATGTGGCAGAAACCACTAGTTGTTTGCTAAAATTCATTCTCTGTTTCCTCTATGGTAATGGACCCTCCACATTTTAAGCTAGGCAGATGGCTGCCCAGAATAAAGACTACCAATAAAGGTGCAATCATGTTCCTAAGTTCTTAGTAACAGGATGTAGTAGAAATATGGCATGGCAGATTCCAAGATCTTTCCTAAAGGGACACACTTTGCTTTCCTATCTCCCTTCCTCATTGCTGTGTATAAACATATACTGCCATCTTCCACCTTGGGGTTGCGGCTCATACAGTGGCCACAAGACAGAAGGAACCTGGGCCCTGATAAAATCAAGTGTTATATTTACCTTAGACTGCCTATGCAGGTTTTGACAAGAGCTACAATGGTTTTTCTACCACTCATAACTGAAATAAATTATAATATATAAGATAGTTTCCAATTTTTGATATTGTACACTATATAGCAGTGAACATTGTGCAATATATCTTTTTTTTGGAAATGTATAATAGTTTACTGTTGTAATTCATTTATAACATGTGTTGGACAACTTAGCTAATATGTTAATTGATTTATACAATTCCTTTCAATTTTATCTAAAAATAGCAGACCAAAATTAAATTAAGAAACTTACATAAGATTCCATTTGAGCATACATAAGGCCATGATACTTTAATGTGAACCACCATTTCTTGGAAGAAAGAAGACATCCAAATGTCCAATTCAGAGAGAAAGTTCCTGGCCAGTCATCCAGTAGACTCTCTCCACTCTTCAGTGCGAAGGTGATGCTTATATTTTTACAAATCTCTACAAAGCTCACATACAACAAGACAGTACATCCTAGATTTGTGACTGATATGAGCATTTAAGGCTGTCATTTTCAAGTATAAAAGTTTAGTGTTCCATTACCCAATCTGTGCAGTAGACATAGCTATAAGCTCAAGTCACATGAATTAACAGAAGCCCACCAAAGACATTTAAAAAATTATAATTTAGGCAACAGCAAGTTTAAATGTAGGAAAGGCTAGAAAAAAATGTGTAGATGAGATTGTTTCTCTAAAATGCATTAGGTTGTTCACAATGAAGCTTTGTCTAACACCATTATCTGATGCATGGCATATGCAATAAGGCAGATCCACAGCAGACCAAACAAGGAAGCTGAATTAGGTAATAGAACTAGTAATTAAGATGGTTCACCTCTAACACAGTTCTGCAGCCTGTTCCCCCGAGAGAAAGATTAGAAAAGGCTCCAGTGTACCAAATAAGCTTCACAGAAGAACATGAAAATTTTTCTCCAACTTTTTTTTTTGAAGCAGAGCCTGTCACTTAGGGACCAACTGCTTGTAGATGAAATAAATCAACATTAATTACTTCTAGCCTAATGTAATATGGCTGGAGAAAATGGGTCTCCGGAAGCCGGTATTTTGTTTAACTTACATTCTAGGTGTGTATATAAGTTCTCGCTCTATAACTTCTGCTGTGGTCCCAACATCTATATCTGAAAGGTGGAAGCAGCTGCTCTGTTACAATTTTCATGTAACATGCTTGGATTCTAGGTCTTTCCTCTTTAACACAACTTAAAGTTTCTTGTGGTTTGGTCAGCATACACACTTCTCATTTCATTTGATGTACACAGCCAAAGTGGGAATTAAAAAAAAATTACCATCTAGTTCAGAGAGCTAAATTGAGTCCAGCATTATGGCAAAGTCTGACCCAAAATTTTAATTTGTAATTTTAGCATGTGTCTCATGCACTTTGGGGAGCGTCAAACTAAATCTACAATTGCCCGAAGCCTTGTTACAGTTTAATGCACATTAACTAAAATGTGTACATTTTTAGTGTTCATGATAAATGCAGTTATGACCTTATTACACTTTAGGCATTCTTTAAGAAAGCACATTAAGCTTTAATATAGAAATATTTAGGTTACACTTGTGCTCAAGTAATAATAAAACATTTGTTCTTTTTTGATCTCATACATTCTCTCCTCAGGTATGGCCCATCTCCTGTACGCTTGGAGCGACCTTTGGCTATGTGGCTGGCCTTGTTATTTCACCACTCTGGATATACTGGAATAGAAAGCAACTTACATACAAGAACAATTAACTGGAACAAAGGGAGATATTTCTTTGTGCAGATTCTGTAAGGGCTGTGCAGAAATGTGTATGGTCAAAGCCAAGCAGTTCCATTTACAGCTCTGTTTTTTACGTAGTTACATGATGTGATTGTAGCTTTTTAAACTATGAAACCCCTGAGAGATTGTACCTTCTAGTTGAAATAAAGTATTTATAGTAGATTGTGGCTTCAGATACTGCTTACTGCTTCTTAAACCTTTAAGGAACATTCTTAATAAACTTTATGGAATTCTGGGGACAGGTTTTGTTTTCTTTCAAGTTTTGAACTGCTTCATTACCTATAAAAGGTCTGGGTATAGCTGTAGCATTTCATTTGCTTTCTCAGAGAAATGGCCAGTTTCCTTGGCCACTGAAGATGTTTCTCACGTAATTAAACAACAGTTTATACATCTTGATCCTATTCTTTTTTTTTTTACAGTGTGTTTCTTTGGAGTTAAAATGGCTATGATAGCCTCATCAAAAACAGTCTTCAATCCCTTCTGGGTTAAAGCTGAACATTCCACATAGCAGCATGCTCCTATCTCTTTTGCTAGTTTCTGTCCTTGTTCCACACATATAGGTTTTTCTTTCATATCATTCAGTCTTGCTAAAGTTTTGGGGTCATCTCGGAGATCAATCTGAGTTCTTATTAATAAAAAGGGTACATTTGGTGCGTATTCCTTAAGTTCCGGTACCCACTCCTCTTTCACATTTTGAAATGAGGCTGGATTTACCACCGAGAAGCATATAAGGAAGACGTCGGTCACTGGGTAAGATAAAGGCCTCAGACAGTCATAGTCTTCCTGTCCGGCCGTGTCATAGAGTCCTAGGAGGTACTACTTGCCCCCCACAGTGACGCTGACTGCTTAGTGGTCGAAGACGGTGGGCACGTACTCCTCCGGGAAGGCTTCGTTGGCATAGCTCATGAGTGGGCACGTCTTGCCCACCGCCCCGTCGCCGACCACCACGCACTTGAGCATCAGCGCGCCAGGCCCGTGAGCCACGCTGCTGCCCGCCGGCCTCCGGGCATGGTCCCCCCGGAGCCCCCGCCCCGGTCCCCGGGCTCAGCCCCAGCCCGCCTGGGGAGTCCGCCGCCGTCGCCGCCGCTCTGCGCCGCAGGCCGCCCCCCGACCGGCCCCATCCAGCGGCTCCCCTCGCCGGAGGGGAGGGGGCGGCGGGCCCGGGGCGCTGCCGCCGCGGCGGTCGCCGCCAGGATCCCCGCCCCGGCCCCGGTCGCTGCGCCTGCCCGCTGCCCCCGCCACTGGGCGCCCGCGCCCTCTCCCCGGCCTGGTCTCCCCAGGAGAGGATCCGCCGGATCATAAGCATCTTTTTTTTTTTTTTTTTTTGTGGAGTTTCGCTCTTGTTGTCCAGGCTGGAGTGCAATGGCACAATCTCGGCTCACCGCAACCTCCGCCTCCTGGATTCAAGTGATTCTCCTGCCTCAGCCTCCCAAGTAGCTGGGATTGCAGGCATGCGCCGCCACGTCCAGCTAATTTTGTATTTTTAGTAGAGATGGCGTTTCTCCATGTTGATCAGGCTGGTCTCAAACTCCTGACCTCAGGTGATCCGCCCACCTCAGCCTCCCAAAGTGCTGGGATTACAGGCATAAGCCACTGTGCCCAGCCTATCTTTTATCTTTATATATGTCTGTTTTATAGAAAAAAAAATTCTACAGGTGGAATTGCTAGGTCAAAAACTAAGAACACTTTTGGCCAGACACGGTGGCTCACGCCTGTAATCCCAGCACTTTGGGAGGCCGAGGCAGGCAGATCACCTTGAGGTCAGGAGTTCGAGACCACCCTGGCAAACATGGTGAAACCGTCTCTACTAAAAATACAAAAATTAGCCAGGCGTCAGGGTGTGCGCCTATAATCCCAGCTACTGGGGAGGCTGAGGCAGGAGGATCGCTTGAACCCAGGAGGCGGAGGTTGTAGTGAGCCGAGATCGTGCCATTGCACTCCAGCCTGGACAACAAGAGTGAAACTCCATCTCAAACAAACAAAAAAACTAAGAACACTTTATAGATACAACCCAATGTTTGTTCCTCCAAAATTACATTAACACTGACATAAGTGACATTTCTGTCTTAAAGACACTGGGTGTCAAATTGTTAAACCTCTTATATGTAAAAGAGAAACCAACAAAACAAAACAAAAGAACCAATGATCAAACCCTAATTATCTGTTTCACATCTTTGTTGTGGGAAGAAAGTTGAGCAGCTTTTCATTTGAAGAGCCTACTCTTCTTTCTTTTTTTGTGACTTGTCTGTTGAAATGCTTTGCCATGGAATAGTAATTCCATTGCAGAAGCTTTTTATAATGATTTTAATCAATATTTATAATATAGCTTTTCCCTCAATTTTGTTTCGATTAGCTTTACATTTTTTGATACATAGTAGAGCAAATCTTTTCACATTCTTATCGAATATAAGGTATTCGTATACATTTTTCTTCCAAAAGAAATCTGAAGTCAAGCACTGACGTTCGAAGAAAAAAAAACAATAATTTGATTAAAATTGTATTAAACATATTTAATTTGGAGGAGGCTGAGATAATCAAGATATAAATAATGCTGGATATTCTCATCTAGTCAGATGATGTCTCTCCATTAACTAACTCTTGTAGTCCAAGTAACATTCTGTAGATTTATCTGCATAGGGAATGCTCACTTTTTCTAAGTGCATATCAAGATATTTTAGAGTTTTCAATGTGAATAGAAACTTTTTGCTTGTACAAATTCAATTTGATTCAGTTTGATTCATGAGAATTCTTTTGAGTTTCATTTTATCTTTTATCTGTCCTCTTAACTCATTGTTTTTATTAATTTTTAATTTCATTTTCTGAAAATTATATCAGTGGCTGTGTAATTGATGTTTCATTCTAATATGTATATTTCATTTTTCCTGTCATATTGCACTGGGAATAAAACCTGAACAGTACTGAATACTCTCAGTGAAAGTAGTCATGCTTTTTCTCTTACCAACAGAAATTCCTTTAGTAATTCATCAAGATGTTTAATGTAGAATTCTTTAAAAAATCAAAACCACAATGAGATACCATGTCATGTCAGTTAGAATGGTGATCATTAAAGAGTCAGAAAACAACAGATGTTGGAGAGGATGTGGAGAAGTAGGAACACTTTTACACTGTTGGTGAAGCTGTAAATTAGTTCAACCATTGTAGAACACAGTGTGGTGATTCCTCAAGGATCTAGATCAAGAAATACCATTTGACCCAGCAATCCCATTACTGGGATTATAAGGATTTACATTTCCAAAGGATTATAAATCATTTTACTATAAAGACACATGCACATGTTTGTTCATTGCAGCACTATTCACAGTAGCAAAGACTTGGAACCAACCCAAATGCTCATCAATGATAGACTGGATAAAGAAAATGTGGCACATATACACCATGGAATACTACACAGCCATTAAAAAGGATGAGTTCATGTCCTTTACAAGGACATGGATGAAGCTGGAAACCATCATTCTCAGCAAACTAACACAGGAACAGAAAACCAAATATTGCATGTTCTCACTCATAAGTGGGAGGTTAACAATGAGAACACATGGACACAGGGAGGGGAACATCACACACTGGGGCCTGTTGGGGGTGGGGGGCTAGGGGAGGGATAGCATTAGGAGAAATACCTAATGTAGATGATGGGTTGATGGATGCAGCAAACCACCATGGCACATGTATACCTATGTAACAAACCTGCACATTCTGCACATTTACCCCAGAACTTAAAGTATAATTTTTAAAAAATCAAATTAAGGTATTATAAAGCTTTTAGATGTTTGTCTCACTTCAATACTATTTTTCTTTAGTTTACCATGTAACCATCCAAAACTAAATCATCCCCCACCTCAGTTAGGCATCTTAGCATAAGTCCAGTTACTCAGAAGTCTCAGCTTTGCTTCCTCTTCCCCTACAACCCACTTTTAGAATGTAAGCAAGTCCTCTCCTGGTTTTCTTTTCTCCATTCCTACATCTTAGTTAAAGCTTTTACATCTTCACCATGCAGACCACAAAGACCACTAAAAATGAGACAGATAATAGACACAGGCTCCCATTTCTGGGTTCTGGGACCAAAGTTTAAATCAGAAGCACAGCATAATGCTATTAATTGGTAGTGTGTTTGGGCCTTATTGAAAGAGCCTACCTCAAGTGTTGAGACAGAAATTGAAAATAATCATACAGGAAAATACTGTAGAACTCAGTAGTCCAGAAAGCTCTATTACAGGCTGGGCACTGGCTTATGCCTGGCTCATGCCTGTAATCTCAGCACTTTGGGTGGCTGAGGCAGGTGAATCATCTGAGGTCAGGAGTTTGAGACCAGCCTGCCAACATGGTGAAACCCCATCTCTACTAAAAACCCCAAAATCAAGCCAGGCATGGTGGCGTGCACCTGTAATCCCAGTTACTCCAGAGGCTGAGGCAGGAGAATCATTTGAACCCAGGAGACGGAGGTTGCAATGAGCCGAGATAGCACCATTGTACTCAAGCCTAGTCGACAGAGGGAGACTCTGTCAACAAAGAAAGAAAGGAAGAAAGAAAGGAAGGAAGGAAGGAAAGGAAAGCTCTATTACAGAAAGCAATGTGAATTGGAATTGCTTTATGGTCATAAAGGAAATATTTTGGCCACTCTGAGGGATGTTCCAGGCAATAGTTTCAGTCTTACTCTAGCTATATAACCCTCTCAGGTCAGCAAAAAGGGTCAAAAAAACCAGCCAGTGTTCAGAATGAACATGCATTTGAGATTTGTGAGAAGGAGAACTCACATCTAAAGTCTAGAAGAACAGGTCCTAGGTGTTCTGGCCGTAATTCATTGGTTACTGATACCATATGATTGCAATGACATTCTATGTTGTAAGGGCAATGCTTGCTGCCAAGACACAAAACCTTGTACAAAGCTTTCTGGTTTTGGCCCCTCGTTTAACAAAGATATAATTCTGGTTATTTTCTTTCTTTTTTTTTTTTTTTTTTTTTTTCTTTTTATTCCTCCCAGAGCCTTGCCATTTCTTCCCCACCCCCCTCCGCCCCCGTCCCCCGCTCTTTTTTTTTTTTTTTTTTTTTTTTTTAAGATGGAGTGTCGCTCTGTCACCAGGCTGGAGTGCAGTGGTGCGATCTCGGCTCAGGGCAACCTCTGACTCCCTAGTTCAAGCGATTCTCCTGCCTCAGCCTCCCGAGTAGCTGGGATTACAGGCACACGCCACCATGCCCAGCTAATTTTTGTATTTTTAGTAGAGACGGGGTTTCACCATGTTGGCCAGGATGGTCTCAATCTCCCGACCTCGGGATCTGTCCGCCTCGGCCTCGCAAAGTGCTGGGATTACAGGCGTGAGCCACTGTGCTCGGCAGCCATTTCTTCCTTTAATCTCCAGCTGTTTCACCCCAAGATGGTCAAGACAATTTTTTATTTTTATATTTTATTATTATTATTTTTGAGACGGAGTCTCGCTGTCGCCCAGGCTGGAGTGCAGAGGCGCGATCTCGGCTCACTGCAAGCTCCGCCTCCTGAGTTCACGCCATTCTCCTGCCTCAACCTCCGGAGTAGCTGGGACTACAGGCGCCCGCCACCGTGCCCAGCTAATTTTTTTGTATTTTTAGTAGAAACGGGGTTTCACCGTGTTAGCCAGGATGGTGTCGATCTCCTGACCTCGTGATCCGCCCGCCTCGGCCTCCCAAAGTGCTGGGATTACAGGCGTGAGCCACGGTGCCCGGCCAAGATTGCAAGAAGACAGGAAGTAACACTTTGTCCTCTAATTTATCTCATAGGTGAAACTTTCTTTCTTTTTTCTAAGAAGTACCACTAGAATATAATCCTAAAATTTAATGGTTGAGAGACTTAACTATAGAATTTGCTTTCTGTTGATGTTATAGGGGCTTCCTTCTAACTCAGATGAATTTACTCTGAAAATGGCAAATGGTTCCCCCACTTACCCGAGGATGGAAGAACAAGTTATAAGTTGCATTCACTTGCTGAAGATACCTTAAGTATTTAGAATTGCGATAATGTGCTGAACTCAAATAGTTGAAACAAGTAACTTCTGGGGCAGCAGGTACTTATGTCAGCAATTGGCTTATTCCTTGACGCCAATGTTTTGGCTTTGTTTGGTGAATTGGTGGTTGACTTGATCCTTACTTGCTATTCAGACTGCCTCTGATCTTTCTGAGAGCCAGAACAATCTGGATGGTTCATTTGACATTGGTCAGAAAGGTCCTTAATCTTTAAATACACCAGTTCAAGCACAGAGTCATAAGATGAGATGAGGAGATGAAAGGTGGCTCACTTTGGGAGGCTGAAGTGGGTGGACAGCTTGAGCCCAGGAGTTCGAGACCAGCCTGGGCAACATGGGGAAACCTCATCTCTATGAAAAACTACAAAAAATTAGCCAGACTTTGTGGTGCATGCCTGTATTCCCAGCTACCCAGGAGGCTGAGGTGGGAGGAACTGAGCCTGGAAGGCCGAGGCATCAGTGAGCTGTGGTTGCATCACTGCTCTACAGCCTGGGCAACAGAGTGAGACCCTGTCTCAAAAAAAAAAAAAAAAGACCAACAAAACAAAAAAAATTCAAATAGGCCCCTCCAAGGAGCAACCATTTGTCTACAAGGAGTAAGGAGACTTCTACATCTTGGCAGTACTTGAAGACGGTGGGAAATTATCACGTCACATTCTGTTACAGTTTGGGGGCTACTCCAAAAGAAATTTCTTAATGCAACACTTTCACAAGAAAAGATAATGTGCTACTAGTGCTACCATTGTATGAGTGAGAGAAGGGGAGTGATTAATGTGTTACAGCCTCTTCTCACTAGTATCTAAGAACATGAAATTCATGCAGCACACCCTTCCCTCTCCCAGCCACTTGGAATCAGTCCTTCACCATGTCCTTATTCACTTCACAAATTATCCATATGCATTGTGGTTACAACAGAAAGTGTAGATAAGAAAAGATACTTTACTGATGTCATAACTCATATAATTTCAAGTGTCTTACAGGGTCAAGTGTTCTTGTTCCAGTTATAATTGCTGCATAACAAACCACCCCAATCTCAGTGCCATACAATTGTATTAAAATAACAACATTTGTATTCCCAGATTTTATGGGTCAGGAGTTTAGTCTGGACACAGGGCAGACTGCTTATATGTCTGCTATGCCACATCTGGGGCATTTGCTTGGAAGACTCAAAGTTTAGGTGTGACAGCAGTTGGGAACAGGAATCACCTGTGTGTATCTTCATTCACATGCCTGGTAGTTGATGCTGATTATTGGCTGGGACCTCAGATGGACTACAGGCCAAACTGCCTCTGCACAGCCTCTGCACACGGGTTATTCTGTCCTCCTCACAGCATGTATAGCAGATGGGTTCTAAGAACAAATGTCCTAAGTAGGCAAGGCAGAAGTGCAAGGTGTTCTTACTATCGATCTTGGAGGGCACCATGGCATTACTTCCATTATACTCTATTGGTCAAAATAGTTACAAAATTCTGCCCAGCATGACACCACAGGTTTTTCTTTGGGGGCTCAGTATAAAAAGGCAGAACAGCCTCTGCCTGTTTATCTCTTATTCTTTTGCAGGAGTTTTGTGTTACATACAAATAAATATTTAGAGATATTGTCGTATTTCCCAGCTACCGAAGTCAACTGTGAAGAAGAGGCATTTACATCCCTCTATAGCAGTACCAAGAAGAGAGGTATCCTTGACTAAATAAGCAAGGCAAGATTACTCTTTCCAGACTCTGATTTCGGAGTTAGCAGATAGAACATCAGGCAGAAGTTCCTCTGTTGGTGTCACCTACAAAGCAACAAGCTTGAGAACTCTGTGTTCCAACTTGGGAGCTAGTCAGTCTCCCAGAGTGGGGGTATTTGGAGAGCAGGCTTGTGAAGAAGGCCAAGGAAACAGAAAGGACAGCTCTTAGGATACACTTTACTGAAGATATATCACTCAGACAAGATGCCCAGAAAGTTCAGGATTAACAAAGGTCTAGAGTCTTGTAACTCACTTCCTATGGAAGTTTATTGTGAACAACAACAGTAACAAAGCAGCCTCAATTCTCTAATCCTGCAGAGGGCTAAAGAACACCTATTACTCCCTGGAGCTTAATAGAGATGAAATCTTAGGATATAACTGCAGTATACATGCTTAGGATGACCAGGAAGATGGTTATAATTGTTATACCCTAGTTTAGGTGAAAACTACATGTAAGATATTGTGAGGTCCTTGAGTGGTTAGATGACTAAGGTATTAGTCATCCTGGAAGAAAATCTGGATCGATTAAATGTCAGATGAATTAGATGCACTAAAAATAAAAAGAGAAGCCAGAAAGTTGTCCTAGTAATAATCAGTCCATCCTTGCTTAGCACAGCTCCAGTATTACACAGATTTCAGTTACCACAGTTTAGTCCAATGACACCAGTCCCCCAACAACACAGTTCTGATATCAGTTGCTATGGTCTATTAACTATGAATAATTGGATAAAGGAGAAACTTCACTGCTAGACCTTCAACCCATAAATTGCTGCATGTATACCAGAGGCGCATTATGATCAGTGACCAATCATGTCACTTATTTCAATATCTATTGGTGATTGGTCACCACACATCTTTTTTTTTTTTTTTTTTTTTTTTTTTGAGACGGAGTCTTGTGTCTCCCTCTGTCGCCAGGCTGGAGTGCAGTGGCGCAATCTCGGCTCACTGCAACCTCTGCCTCCTGGGTTCAAGTGATTCTCCTGCCTCAGCCTCCCAAGTAGCTGGGACTGCAGGCAGGTGCCACCATGCCCAGCTAATTTTTGTATTTTTAGTAGAGACAGAGTTTCACCATGTTGGCCAGGATGGTCTCGATCTCTTAACCTCGTGATCCGCCCACATCAGCCTCCCAAAGTGCTGGCATTACAGGTGTGAGCCACCGCACCCGGCCCCACATCTTTTATTCAATTCACACACTGGCAACAAACCATGCAGCTGTGTTTTTTCCTTTTCTTCCAGTGATAAACCTGCATAACATTTTCAATAATGGCTAATCAAAAGAGAAAACTGGCCAACAGTGAAGTGTCAGAAAGATAAAAGCACAGCAAATAAAAATAGAGAACTCTGAATGCTAGTTACTTTTATGCATCAACTTGGCTAAGGGATGTCCAGACAGCTGGTAAAACATTAGTTCTGGTGTGTCTGTGAGGGTGTTTGCAGAAGACATTACCATGTAAATGAGTAGACTGAGTAAAGATCAGATCACCCTCACCAATGTGGGCATCATCTGATAGAACAAGAAGGTGGAGGAAGGGCAAATGTACTCCCCCTGTTTGAGCTGGGATATCCATCTTCTCCAGCACTTGGACACTGGCACTGTGGTTTTCCAGCCTTGGACTTGGACTTTGGACTGAATTATTCCACTGGTTTTCTTGGTTCTCCAGAATGCAGATGGTGGAACTTCTCAGCCTCTCTAATTGTGTAAGCCAATTTCCATAATAAAATAAATCTTTATATATACTTATATAAATCTTTATAGATCTTATAAATCTTCATATATATAAGATGAAATAAATATTTATGCCTCTGTGTGTGCGTATACTGTTTTCTGGAGAACACTGACTAGTATACTCTGAAAGTGAAATTCAAATTGAGTGTAAATGGAGTTATGGAAGAAATAGCTATTGGAGGTAATTTGCCACTGTTTGAGGCATTCCAGAGGAACTTAGGGAAGGCAGACTTAACAACATAAATGAAAATAGATGTGTTCATTCATTTTAGGATAAAGATGTCCCAAGAAAGTGACATGGCAAAACAAAACAAAACAAACAAAACTCACATTAACGGAATTATCAGAGGTATTTCATGACATTGAAAGCACAAAGAATAAATAGTTGGAAGCTGATTCAAACTTAGACAGGAGAATGACAGTTTGTCAAGGTATAGCTCACTCTGCACTGTAAGTATACTACAAGAAGAGGAGGGCCAGCTTCATTCAAACTATACTCCATAAGATTTTTACAAAGAAATAAAATATTGATTCGTGTTTCTGATGTTTTAAATTACACTATACTAAATATTAGTTTTACTATTTTTGAAAATGTTCCTGTACATTTATAACCTACAATAGTTTTTAATGTTTTGACAACATATTTTTAAAAGTCACAGAACAGTCAGAACATTCCCCTTTGATGCACGAGATCGCGTTCCATTTTCTGTTTGCAGTCATTTCTGTGGTCCCTCATTAGCATGCAAAGCAGGGCCTCCCTCTATATCTGTTCTAGGAAGTGACTGTGGGAAGGGAAATGAAATGGTGTATGTGGAGTGAAGCAAAACTGCAAGGACCACGATTGAGTGGCTGTGAAGAATAAGGCTGGAGATGGTAATCACTGTGCCTAGCAGAGAGAAAGGTAAAAAAGCTCTGAATCTTTCAGATTGTGCTGATTTACCCATGATCTTTTAAAGACAGGTTAATCCTCACTGAGGATTTGCCTCTGATGACAAATGTCTTCTTTAGGAGATGTTAGTTCAGTGATGTTATTTCAGCATTCAGGCCAACAAAGGCAGTCAGAAGAGGAATGCATGCCAGGTGTCCTAGAGGTCAGTAAAAAAGAAGAACTTGGTCTAGGGGAAGAATTATGAATGAGAGACTGCAGCAGAGCTAGAAGATGGTGCCCAGCAGAAGAGAATTGGAACAGATAGATCCCTGCTCTTTTAGAGCTTCAACGATGAAGCCTATTGTTCTGTGGTTTGAGGAATGCTCATCATTCACCATAGCTGGTTAACATAATTTATTAAGTTGAATCAAGTACAAAAGGAAAAAGTTCTTTCTAATAGGCCAGATTCCATGAGTGGAAATTCCTTGGAGTCAAACAGGGAGAAAATACGTCTCAGTGTTAAAGACTTTCCAGAGACTTCTTCCATTCCACTTTCCACCCCTCCTTAAATCACTCGCCAAAGAAATGCTTTGCTGGACACTAAAGTGGCCACAAATGTGTTCATAAGAAAACATCAGAATATAAAATTAATCATTGTCTCTTTTAGTTAACTTTTTTGGAGTGTGTGTGCAGGGTTAAAGGACAGATGCTATTAAGATGATAAACATCAGCCAGGTGCGGTGGCTCACGCCTGTAATCCCAGCACTTTGGGAGGCCGAGGCGGAGGCATCACCTGATGTTGGGAGTTCGAGACCAATCTGACCAACATGGAGAAACCCCGTCTCTACTAAAAATACAATATTAGCCGGGCGTGGTGGCACATGCCTGTAATCCCAGCTACTCCAGAGGCTGAGGCAGGAGAATTGCTTGAACCAAGGAGGCAGAGGTTGTGGTGAGCCAAGATCGCGCCATTGCACTCCAGCCTGGACAACAAGAGCAAAACCCCATCTCAAAAAAAAAAAAAAAAAAAAAAAAAAAAGATGATAAACATCACTGAAAAGTTTGGAAGTACTACCAGTTTCTATGACCAAGAGCTTTCCAAACAGCTGTAATTATTTGAAGGTCAATGAACTAAAAATGTCCATGTATCAGCTTTAGGCAAAAAGGTCATTAATGCTTTAGGGGACTGTAATAAGTCTGGAAGAGGCTAACTTGACTCTCACCTTCTGCAGTTCTCTATCAGATCACCCTGAGATCCTCTTCAACTGCCAGGCTCCTGGAAGGTCAGAGTCAAGCCAGTGACTGACTCCCTGACCAGCCACACAGAGCCTAAAGTTACAACCTACCTGGATTGGCAAGGTCTTCTACAACTTATGTAGCCCCCCATCCTTGGATGAGGTTGCCACCCACCCAATTCCCACCCAAAAGATCAGTCTTCTATGCTAGCTATGAAAAAAGAGAGGCAATGACAGTATTTTATTCCATTAGTGTTTGAAAAAAGTCTGCAACTTCTATGCAGGTATCTCAAAGCATCTAGGATTCCAGGGATGGACAGAAAGTCCTTCAATCACAACAGAATTCCTGTTTTGCTCTTTAAAAAAGGAGAGAGGACAGGCTGACGGATGCTGTGGGTGCATAGACTCACATGTTGTCCATGAAGTGGGGACTGTCCTCTAATTCTAAAGGAATAGCTTTGGTGACCGTTTTGCCATTGGTGCCATCTCTCAGGAAACTGATAATAAACTACAATGTTTTAAACTTGTACTATATCCAAGAGATATGTAGATATATAAAATATTTTGTTATTTAAATTCCACAAGCGTACAATGTAGGTATTATTTTCATTGCACAAATATGATAAATGAGACAATAATTTTCTCAAAGACACCCAGTTAAGCTGCCTGACTGCAAAGAGTTTCAGGCAATAAGATTTAGATTCCTTTAGTTCATCATCTTCTAAAGATGATGCTTTAATCATTGTTTAGCTGGTTACTGATCATACTCTTCTTAAAGCCCTTCCCCATGGGATTTGAAAAATCTGCTTCTAAGCATATCTGAAAGTTTTTTTAATTTTCAATTTTTTTTAGAGATGGGGTCTCACTATGTTGCCCGGGCTGGAGTGCCACGGCCATTCACAGGAGTGATCATAGTGCACTATAGCGTCAAACTCCTCAACTCAAGAGATCCTCCCGCCTCAGCCTCCTGAGTACAGGCTACAGGCATGTGCCACCATGCCCAGCCATAGCTTGAGGTTTTCACCTACAATAACTGAAGTTCCTACCTTGCCACTTCAGACCATCTACTAAGAAGTCATAGATATTACTTCAGGGAAAAAAATGCCTGGCTGCAAATAATTCCCTTTAACGGACTTGAAGATAGTTCTGTTAGTGTCTTCCAAGCATAGTTTTCAACTCAGATCCAGTGCTCATGCAATACTCCTTATCTACTGTGTCTTTGTTTCCAATAGCAATAACACATGAACTTAATAAATATGCTGTCTTTTTAAGAATTTACGGTCGGGTGTGGTGGCTCAAGCCTATACTCCCAGCACTTTGGGAGGCCAAGGTCTGTGGATCACAAGGTCAGAAGATGGAGACGATCCTGGCCAACACGGTGAAACCCCGACTCTACTAAAAATTAGCCGGGTATGGTGGTGGGCACCTGTAGTCCCAGCTACTCAGGAAGCTGAGGCAGGAGAATCGCTTGAACCCGGGAGGCGGAGCTTGCAGTGAGCCGAGATCGTGCCACTGCACTCCAGCCTGGGTGACAGGGCGAGACTCTGTCTCAAAAAAAAAAAAAAAAAAAGAATTTACATTGGTGTATGAATACAAAGACTGAAAAAATGTATTAGAAAGATTTATTATTTAAGAGATTCATTATGAAAGAGTTTAAATATGAAAGAAATTCATCAAAGGGTTTGTATATTTCAAGAAGAAAGTATGACATCATCTAAATACATATTGCTGGGTTAAATATTCTTTCCACCATAAGAGAAAAATCTATTCTCTTTTGTCCTAGTGTAAAACTCAGGACTTCTGCAGCTGCCCTTGTCTCTGAAATCTTCAACTTGCAGAGTTCTAAACACACACCCTACCTCACACCCCACGCAGTTACTCTGCGTCCACACAGCTGAGCTCTGTGTGTTTTAACAGTCATAGGATTTAATTACCACATCTTGTTCTGAAAGCTGAGATTTATAATTTCAATAAAGATTTCAACAGAAAGATGGTAAATAACTCAGAGGAACTTATTTATTTATTTATTTATTTTTGAGACACAGTCTGGCTTTGTCGCCCAGGCTGAAGTGCTGTGGCATGATCCCGGCTCACTGCAACCTCCACCTCCCGGGTTCAAGCGATTCTCCTGCCTCAGCCTCCCGAGTAGCTGGGATTATAGGTGTGCACAACCACACCCAGCTAAATTTTGTATTTTTAGTAGAGACGGGGTTTCATTATGTTGGCCAGGCTGGTCTCAAACTCCTGACCTCATGATCCACCCACCTCAGCCTCCCAAAGTGTTGGGATTACAGGTGTAAGCCACCACGCCCGGCCCTTCATAACAATGTATTATCTCTGAAATTCCCTTTCACAACAGTGACCTTGATTTGAAATTTTAAAAAAATCAGGCAAATCTATTAAGATATAATAAATAGAGAGTGGCTAAGAAACTCTGAAAACAGATATCAAGGACCTCAACTTCTAATGTTTATTTTTAATCATTTTAACAAATAAGCAAACTTTACAAGATTAGTGAGGTTCTGGTGTAAGAGATGTTTTCATAGTCCCTGAATGAGCCTCACCAGGCTTCCCACTAAAATGTGGCAGGGATGAGAGTGCACCTCACCACTGCAGAGCCCAGAATGGAGGCTCCCCTAGTTTCAGAACTTGGGAACAGTTTCCACCACTTGGCCTATCAAACACTCAGACTCAATGAAGAAACCCAATTGGTGGCTCAGACCTAGAAATGGAGTAAATCTGTTGGCCTGAATAAAAGGTCAAAAACATTTTGTACATGTCTGCAGAAAACTGGACTTTTCATCTATTGCAGGCATTGTTTTTACAGGCAAACAGAATGAGGTCTTCTATCTCTTTCTGTTTCCCCAGACACCTCCCCAAATCCTAAGTCCTCTCTCATACATTATATGTTCTATTTTTCACCCCTCTGTAACAGTCTAAAAAAGGATAACTGTGGAAGTAAGATAATGCCTATTAGGGAACATCTGGAAAATCAGAAAACTACAAAAAAGAAATAATCACCAGAGACACCTGATGTTCCTATTTCAGCCACTTCACTGCTCGGGCTGTTCAGCAGCCCTTGCGCTGCCTGCCAGTTCTGGTCTCCTTGCTTGCCCATCCTCCTAGACGACCGTTCCGTATTCTTCTCTTATTCAAACCTCAACATTTCCTCTCTGCTTCTCACTCTCACCTGAAGGCTTCAATTTTGATACAGGAGAAATCAGAATGGATCATTCTACAAAATGCAGCAGGCACAGACATCTGTCTCCATGCACTCGGCTTTCCCTGGCTTCTAGGGCCAACCCCCCACTTTGTACTGGATCCTGTTCCCCACTCCTCCTAAAGGACTTTGCTCCTGGAATTATTTCCATTCCTGCCTCATTAGTTTTTTCTTCTTTTTTAATGAGTCATTGCCAAGAAAAATGATGTACCGTAACATCTTGAATTGCAACTTCTAAAAACTTCCCATTTTCCTGATTCCTCAGTATCTCTACAAACAAGCTGTGGGCACCTTTCCCAGATGACCAGGTACACCAATGTGACAAGGCTGGTCCCTGTCACAAGTCCCCCTTCTTACTCTCCCCTGACCATGGCCTAGTGACATTTAAGCACACCCATGATATCCCCTCCTGCCTTTGCTGGTGAACCCCACCCTGATGCCCAATAAGGGTAACTGTCCACAGGAACCTGTTTGCCCTTGGCTCCCCACCTGCTTGGCTGAGCCCGCTTTGTTGGTGCTCTGCCCAGGTGATCCCCACAAGGTATGTCGTGCCTCCCTCTTTGGAACCTGTGAGTACAGTAAATCCTTTATTCATATGCCTTCCCAAAGTCATCTCCACAGCCTATTGGAATGTTCCTTAAGGACTCCACAAGGGGTACTTAATCCCTCATTTATAACACATACCTCCATCTTAAAAAAGCCCTCTCTTGAACCTGTATCTTTCTCAGCTACTACCCAATTTTAAGCTTCCCATTTCCAAGAAAAGTGACTGCAAGAGTTGTTCACATTCGCTCGGCGCCGCCCGCCCGGCCTCCCGAGAGGCTTTGGGGACTAGACCTTGGACGCGGATCCTTCCAGCGCTGCGCCCCGGGTCTGCATCCTCCTCCTCCGGGAAGCCCCGCCCCCAGGCCTAGCCCTCCTCCTCCTCTGGGAACCTCCCCCCTCAGGCCTAGCCCTCCTCCTCCTCCGGGAAGCCCCCCTAAGCCTCGCCTTCCTCCTCCGGGAAGCCCCCCAGGCCTTGCCCTCGTCCTCTGAGAAGCCCCACCTAGGCCTCGCCTTCCTCCTCCTCCAGGAAGCCCCCCCAGGCCTCGCCCTCCTCCTCCTCCGAGAAGCCCCCCAGGCCTCGCCCTCCTCCTCTCCCGGGAAGCCCCCTAAGCCTCGCCCTCCTCCTCCTCCGAGAAACCCCTAGGCCTCGCCCTCCTCCTCCCCCAGAAGCCATCCCCGCTCCCCCGACCCCCTAACTTGCTCTCCTCTGGGAAGCCACGGGGCCCCGGTGCACCAAGAGGCCGAATGGGACCCTGAGGGCACTCTGGCCGCGTCCGGCTCACGCGCCCCCTTCAGCGCCAGGTCTGGGGGATCCGCGCCTGCGCCCCGGGGCGACCCTGTCGCGGGGTCTGGCTGTCCAGGCCCGGGGGCCCGGGTGTCAGGCTGGTAGCAGGAAGGAAGGCGCTGGCCTCCCCACCGCATTCGCCCCATGCGGCGTCCCCGGGAAAGGCCGCAGAAGAGGCGCCGTCGGCACCCAAAGGGCCATGGACGGGGAGCGCCCTGCGTGGTGTTCGTGGCGCTGGCCTGGTCTCTGCGGATCAGAGGCGAAGCCAGCCTGGCTCTCGGGTCGCCCGTCTTCTGTCGAGCTGGCAACATCAGTGCGGTTCCCACCGCCATTTGCGCTTTCTCCTGGACCCTCTGCTTTTTATTGTTGATTTGTGGGAGCTCTTTGCATAGGGGCCCCGCCGTCGCAGCCTGGCGTTCTCGCAGGCGCATGCCCTCGGAACGCCGGGTGGGCTGCGGGCGCGACGGGACTCCTGGTCTCTCTTCCCCAGGACGGACACCGGCGTCGCCGCGTCCTACGAAGCCGGGCGCCGAGCGGGAGGCGCATCTGGGCCCCACCGGGGCTGCCCGCACCGAGCACGCGAACGCGCCCTCCCGCCCGGAGGCCGCGGGCGCTGCGGTCGGAGAACCGTAGAGCCACTCGGCTGGGCGTGGCGCGGCGGGGCGGGTAACGGGGCGGGACCTGGGCGACGGAAGTGCGTAGCCGCGCGGCATTCTGGGGCCGGAAGTGGGGCGCCAGCTGCGGGCTGGTGTCATGGCAGGTGGGCGGCGCCGCAGGAGGCGCCTGGCGGAGCTGACGGTGGACGAGTTCCTAGCTTCGGGCTTTGACTCTAAGTCCGAATACTCTCCAGAAGCGGAGACGCGGGAGGCACGCGAGGCTGCCCGGAGTCCGGATGAGCCGGGCGGGAGCCCCTCGGCCAGCCGGCGTAAAGGCCGTGCCTCTGAGCACAAAGATCAGCTCTCTCGGCTGAAGGACAGAGACGCCGAGTTCTACAAGTTCCTGCAGGAGAATGACCAGAGCCAGCTAAACTTCAGCGACTCGGACAGCTCTGAGGAGGAAGAGGAGCCGTTCCACTCCCTGCCATATGTGCTGGAGGAAGCCAGTGAGGATGAGGATGGAGCAGAGGAGGGGGAAGATGGGGACAGAGTCCCCAGAGGGCTGAAGGGGAAGAAGAATTGTGTTCCTGTGACCCTCGCCATGGTTGAGAGATGGAAGCAGGCAGCAAAGCAACGCCTCACTCCAAAGCTGTTCCATGAAGTGGTACAGGCGTTCCGAGCAGCTGTGGCCACCACCCAAGGGGACCAGGAAAGTGCTGAGGCCAACAAATTCCAGGTCACGGACAGTGCTGTGTTCAATGCTCTGGTCGTGTTCAATGCTCTGGTCACCTTCTGCATCAGAGACCTTACTGGCTGTCTCCAGAAGCTGCTGATTGGAAAGGTGGCAAAGGACAGCAGCAGGATGCTGCAGCCGTCCAGCAGCCTGCTCTGGGGGAAGCTCCGTGTGGACATCAAGGCGTACCTGGGCTCGGTCATACAGCTGGTGTCCTGTGTGGCAGAGACAGTGGTGTTGGCGGCCGTGCTATGGCACATCAGCGTGCTGGTGCCCTGCTTCCTGACCTTCCCCAAGCAGTGCTCAAGAGAATGGTGGTCGTATGGAGCACAGGGAAGGAGTCCCTGCGGGTGCTGGCTTTCCTGGTCCTCAGCAGAGTCTGCCGGCACAAGAAGGACACTTTCCTTGGCCCCATCCTCAAGCAAATGTACATCATGTATGTGAGGAACTGCAAGTTCACCTCGCCTGGTGCCCTCCCCTTCATCAGTTCCATGCAGCGGACCCTGACGGAGCTGCTGGCCTTGGAGCCGGGTGTGGCCTACCAGCACGCCTTCCTCTACATCCGCCAGCTCGCCATACACCTGCACAACGCCATGACCACCCGCAAGAAGGAAACGTCTGTGTACAACTGGCAGTACATGCACTGCCTCTTCCTGTGGTGCCGGGTCCTGAGCACTGTGGGCCCCAGCGAAGCCCTCCAGCCCTTGGTCTACTCCCTTGCCCAGGTCATCATTGGCTGTATCAAGCTCATCCCCACTGCCCGCTTCTACCCACTGCGAATGCACTGCATCCGTGCCCTGACGCTGCTCTCGGGGAGCTCGGGGGCCTTCATCCCAGTGCTGCCTTTCATCCTGGAGATGTTCCAGCAGGTCGACTTCAGCAGGAAGCCGGGGCGCATGAGCTCCAAGCCCATCAACTTCTCCGTGATCCTGAAGCTGTCCAATGTCAACCTGCAGGAGAAGGCGTACCAGGACGGCCTGGTGGAGCAGCTGTACGACCTCACCCTGGAGTACCTGCACAGCCAGGCACACTGCATCGGCTTCCCGGAGCTGGCGCTGCCTGTGGTCCTGCAGCTGAAGTTGTTCCTCCGGGAGCGCAAGGTGGCCAACTACTGCCGGCAGGTGCAGCAGCTGCTGGGGAAGGTTCAGGAGAACTCGGAACACATCTGCAGCCGCCGCCAGAGGGTTTCCTTTGGTGTCTCTGCAGGCAGTGGAAGCCTGGCAGAAGCTGACCCTGGAAGAGGGGACCCCCCTGACCTTGTACTACAGCCACTGGCGCAAGCTGCATGACCGGGAGATCCAGCTGGAGATCAGTGGCAAAGAGCGGCTGGAAGACCTGAACTTCCCTGAGATCAAACGAAGGAAGGTGGCTGACAGGAAGGATGAGGACAGGAAGCAATTTAAAGACCTCTTTGACCTGAACAGCTGTGAAGAGGACGACACCGAGGGATTCTTGGAAAGAGGGATACTGGGGCCCCTGAGCACTCGGCATGGGGTGGAAGAGGATAAAGAGGACAAGGAGGAGGGCGAGGAGGACAGCAGCAACTTGGAGGATGGAGACCCAGACGCAGAGGCGGGGCTGGCCCCTGGGGAGCTGCAGCGGCTGGCCCAGGGGCCGGAGGATGAGCTGGAGGATCTGCAGCTCTCAGAGGAGGACTGAGGCAGCCCATCTGGGGGGCCTGTAGGGGCTGCCGGGCTGGTGGCCAGTGTTTCCACCTCTCAGGCCTAGAGGCTGGCGTCTGTGCAGTTGGGGGAGGCAGTAGACAGGGGACAGGCTTTAATATTTATTTTTCAGCATGAACGACCAAACTTACCGAGAGCTAGGCTGGGCTGGCGTGGCTGCTGAAGCCCCACAGTTGTGGGCTGTTGAAGTCAGCTCCGCGGGGGAGCTGACCTTGACGTCAGCTGACGGAGACCAGTCCCAGTTCCAGGGGGAGGCCTGCAGGTCCCTGGCCCCTTCCACCACCTCTGCCCTCCGTCTGCAGACCTTGTCCGTCCGCACCAGGCTCTGCATTCACTCCCCCAAGTCTTTGGAAATTTGTTCCTTTCCTTTCAAGTCACATTTTCCTTTAAACTTTTTTGTTTTGCGTCTAAAACTGAAAGAAAGAAAGCTGTGGGAGGCAGGGCCATTGTAAAAAAAAAAAAAAAAAAAAGAGTTGTTCACATTCAACATTTTTTCTTTTCTTCTCTCTTCAACCCACTCCAGCATGGGCAACAAGCACACCCAAGTTGCTAAATCCAATGGTTGATGTTCAGTCCTGAGGTAATTTGACCTTGCAGCATCTTTTTGAGTCTGTGGGTCATGCTGTCCATGTCACACAATTTACTCCCTTGGCTTTTATGACCTCCTCACACTTGCTTGGTTTTCGGTCTACTTCATTGGCTCTTTCTTTGGCTGGATCTTTATGTTCCCAACTAGAACCCGTTGCATAATTTGCAGGGTGCAGTGCAGAATGAAAATGCAGGGCTCTTATTCAAAAATTATTAAAAGTTTCAAGATAGTGAGAGCAGAGCACTCAACAAAGCATGGGGCCCTTCTGAGCAAGAGGTCTTGCGTGATTGCAAAGATCTTGTGCCCATGAAGCCCTGTTCCCATCCTCAGAATGCAGCAAAGCACCTGCTCAGTGCTCATCTATAAATGATCTTGTCCAACCCAATTGGCTTTAGATGCCACATTCAGCAACAAGCTTCACATCTTACCTTCAACACCAATCTCTCCATTTTACTTCAGATTCAAATATTCAACTATCTATTCTCCATGTGCACTGAATATATGAAATGCACTCAAACTTAATATGTCCAAAATGGAACTTTCATTTCCCACCCAAATTCTTCCCATAGTTTTCCCCATGTCAATAAATACCAACTCCATTTTTCCAGTTATTCAGGCCAAAATCATTATAGCCATCCTGAACTTCGCACTTTTCTCTCACATTCTACATTCAATCCACCAAATCCTGCAAGCTCTACCTTCAAAATATTTCCTAAATCCGACCAGTCACGACCTTCACCACTTGCAACCCCGGTACAACTTTCTGTCCTGAGTCACCTAGTCTTCTAGTGTCATAGGCCTCTTGGCTTTCACTTCTGCCCTTCACAGTCTATTTGCCACACAGCCATCAGTTATCTTTTTAAAATGTAAGTCATAGTTTGTCACTTTCAAATCGCAAAGTTGAAACCTTTGAATGCCTTCCAACCTCACTCATAATTTTTTGTTAAGTCTTCAAAATATGGCCTAAAAAACTCTATGTAGCCAGCTTCTGGCTACCTCTCCACCCTCAGCTCCTATCACTACCCCCTCAGTCACTTCATCAGCCACATTGGCTTTCTTGCTGCTCCTCACTTTCCTTTGCACTGTGGTTTTCTCTGTCTGGAACACTCTTCACTCAGATATTTAAATGACTCGCTTTCTCAATTCAATCAGACTTCAATTTACAGGGCACCTCCTCAGAAAGCCTTCTGTACTGAACATAAATCTCAGCTTCCCTTGACTGTTTCCTTTGTTTAAAAGGTGGCACCCCTCTCCTGAACGAGGACCATGCCACACCACTGCCATCTTTGTTGAGTCCCCAGAACTGTCAGTAATCTGCAAAAGTCCCATTAGTTCCAAGTCTCCACTCACTTCTGATGAAATGTCCCATAACAGAGAATGCGATCTGCCTTCCTGGTCCACCGTCTAAAAGCCCAACAATGTTTTCCTAAAGAACAGGGCATTCGCTCTTCATGAGCAATAGAAAACAGGAGCCACAAAGAGCCAAGCAGCAAAGGGCAGAGAATAGATCTAGATAGATGATGAAGAATAACCAGTATACACTCTCTGTCCTCTTAATCTGTTTTGTTGCAGACTGATGTTTTACTCTATGTCTATGCATATGCACATATGCATGTACGTATACATGCGTGCAACTTGATGGCAAAGATCCCATCTTGTATGTTCCTTGTCATATCACCAGCTCCTACGGCAGTAACTGTCACATAGTAAATATTCAGCAAATATTCTTTTGAGAGAACGAATGAAGATGCAATACTATTAAATACATTCACAATTTCTCACCTTGTTCTTTTCACTCAACACAATCACTTTGGGTTGTTTTTTGGTGTGTGTGACAAGTATTCTTCTAAAAGAAATTATGATTTCTTTAAGGAATCTAGTCTAAATACACATGAAAGGAAAGGGACTACTGAACTAAATTATTTCAGCAAGACATTTAGAGAGTATTAGTGATTTTATAATAAATAATGCTATCATGTGATTTAAGTGTTCAAAGAAAAAAGTGGATGCTTTTCCTATTTGTAGTTCAAAAAAAAGATTTCATCAATCACAACGTGAGTCAAACCCAAGGATGATTATCGATGACTAGAACTATTAGAAAAAGCATTCGACAGGTAGGCAGTAAAGAAGGGTGGGAAGTTCAGAGTAATCACATAAACAAAGAAAGGAACTATCTAGAAGGCAGACCCATCAGGGGAGGGAAATTTCAAGGGAAGAAGACTGGACCCTGTTACCTGGGAAATAAGTAAGGCCACAGCACGGGGAGAAAAAAAGACTTGATACTTTTCAGAGAACAAAAAATCTGTCTTTGTTAATGCAAATGCATGTAATGCACAGTAGTTTGAGAGGTGCTAATGGGTTTTTTTATTGCTTTTCTTTGTCAATTACAAATTGCTCATTCCTGAAGATGAAACTAAAATGAGCCATTGAGTAAATTACTTCCAAAACAAGCTGGTGGAAAACGTGTAAACCTGTAAGTGAGTAATATTAAATCCTTACATGTTTTATAGGCATTTAGACTCCAGGCACACGCAATGTTTTATACCGATAATGACTATACATTTTTTAACTTATTACATAAAATTATATATGTTATAGTCCAGGCACAGTGGCTCACGCTTCTAGTCCCAGCACTTTAGGAGGTCAAGGCAGGAGGATCACTTAAGGCTGTGAGTTTGAGATCAGCCTTGGCAACATAGCAAGACCCTATCTCTACAACAAATAAATAAATAAATTAGCCAGGAGTGGTGGTACACACCTGTAGTCCCAGCTACTTGGGAGGCTGAGATAAGAGGAACACTTGAGCCCAGGACTTCAAGGTTGCAGTTAGCTATAATCGTGCCATTGTACTCTAGCCTAGGTGACAGGGCAAGATCCTGTCTCTTAAAAAAAAAAAAAAAAGTACTGGTAGGGCACAATGGCTCAAGCCTGTAATCCAATCACTTTGGGAGACCTCATGATCTCTTGATCTCTTCAACATGGTGAAACCCCGTCTCAACTAAAAATATAAAAATTAGCTAGGCATGGTGACACACACCTGTAGTCCCAGCTACTTGGGAGGCTGAGGCAGGAGAATCGCTTGAACCTGGGAGGTGGAGGTTGCAGTGAGCCGAGATCACACCGTTGCACTCCAGCCTGGCGACAGAGTGAGACTCCGTCTCAAAAAAAACAACAAAAAAAAGGCATTATTGAAAGTTTAGAACATAGCAATAAACAAAAGAAGAAAATATAAATCAAAACAAAAACAGCCACTGTAAATGTTTTAGTTTATAATATTTCAGATTTTTTCTACTAAGTAAATATATGATTATGAAAAGTTGTACTCATTACTGCTTAATATCCTGTTTTGTTGTTCATGAAATAATTTTTCATGAATATTTAACAGTGTAATTATATTATTGTCTCTTTTAAGCCAATACTATAACATAAATAACACATTATTAAAAATTAATCCATCACTGCAGTTTAAAAGTTAAAGAAAAAAAAACAAAATTCAACTTGGTCATAGCATATTAGTATTTTAATTTGAGACTGGATGAGTTTGCTAATATTTTACTCATAATGTAATTGTAGGTTTCTTATTGTGGGATATTTGTCAGGTTTTTATTTCAAGGCTAAGCTAATTTATAAAATAAACTAGGATATTATACATTATACATAAATTAGGATATTATACATTATACATAAATTAGGATTGTTTTCTATGCTTTAAAACAATGTTTTTCAAATTATCTGTGTGAAATCCTTTTTTGCAGTTTCCCATCCATTATGTACTGCTATTATGGTTAAAACAAAACAAAAAGAAATTAGTAGAAAATTAAAATAGTAAGCCACAAACAATCAAAATAAAAGTTTAATTTCTTTATGATTACATTCAATAGACACTAAATTTCTCTACCAAATTGCTGTAAAAGTCTCTAAATGCTGACTGTCATTGCCATATTTATCATGAACTTGTAACAAATAGTTCATGACCACCAGAAGCCCATGGACCACATTTTGAATAGTGCTGCTTGAAAGAAGACGCTTAATATGTTTAATGATACACATTTATCAGCAAAAAAATGCTGTTGAAATATTACCACAATATGTGAATTTTCATTTATTTACAAATCATATCTCTAATTAAAATTATTTTAATAATATTCTGGATGCTTAGATTTTAAGTGCTCAGCATCCTAAAGACCTCATCTTTTTTTTTTTTTTTTTTTGAGATGGAGTCTCATGTCTCGCTCTGTCACCCAGGCTGGAGTGCAGTGGCCTGATCTCCGCTCACTGCAAGCTCCGCCTCCCGGGTTCATGCCATTCTCCCGCCTCAGCCTCCCAAGTAGCTGGGACTACAGGTGCCTTCCACCATGCCCGGCTAATTTTTTGTATTTTCAGTAGAGACGGGGTTTCACCATGTTAGCCAGGATGGTCTCGATCTCCTGACCTTCTGATCCGCCCGCTTCAGCATCCCAAAGTGCTGGGATTACAGGCCTGAGCCACCGCGCCCGGCCGACCTCATCCTTTTATCAGTTAATTCGCAGGTACAATATCCAATTAAGATAAGATTTGCTATTGCTGATACTGTGTATGGATCTCTATTTTCCAGTAACATTTCTGATCACTTAAAATTACTGAGCCAATGCTTTTCATATCTGATTAGATCATCCTTGTGTTTGACTCATAATGTGATTGATGAAATCTTTTCCTTGAACTACAAATAGCAAAAGCATCATCTAGTAGTGCTCTGTCTTCAATCTGTGGCTTCTCTTCAGGAATATAATCATGCCACTTGTTCATTTTGTGAGGATTCCTTTCGTGACAACTATATGGTATAACCCACATAATTGGAAATTGCCATGCAGTGTTTAAAGAGCAAACACACTGGTGAGGGGACCAGGTGCCACCTACACTTTCTTTCAAGAATATCTGTTGGAGGCAACCTACAGAATGGGAGAAAATTTTTGCAATCTACTCATCTGACAAAGGGCTAATATCCAGAATCTACAATGAACTCAAACAAATTTACAAGAAAAAAACAGCCCCATCAAAAAGTGGGTGAAGGATATGAACAGACACTTCTCAAAAGAAGACATTTATGCAGCCAAAAGACACATGAAAAAATGCTCACCATCACTGGCCATCAGAGAAATGCAAATCAAAACCACAATGAGATACCATCTCACACCAGTTAGAATGGCGATCGTTAAAAACTCAGGAAACAACAGGTGCTGGAGAGGATGTGGAGAAATAGGAACACTTTTACACTGTTGGTGGGACTGTAAACTAGTTCAACCATTAGTGGAAGTCAGTGTGGCGATTCCTCAGGGATCTAGAACTAGAAATACCATTTGACCCAGCCATCCCATTACTGGGTATATACCCAAAGGATTATAAATCATGCTGCTATAAAGACACATGCACACATATGTTTATTGTGGCACTATTCACAATAGCAAAGACTTGGAACCAACCCAAATGTCCAACAATGATAGACTGGATTAAGAAAATGTGGCACATATACACCATGGAATACTATGCAGCCATAAAAAATGATGAGTTGATGTCCTTTGTAGGGACAGGGATGAAGCTGGAAACCATCATTCTCAGTAAACTATTGCAAGGTCAAAAAACCAAACACCTCATGTTCTCACTCATAGGTGGGAATTGAACAATGAGAACACATGGACACAGGAAGGGGAACTCACACACCGGGGCCTGTTGTGGGGTGGGGGGAGGGGGTTGGGATAGCATTAGGAGATATATCTAATGTTAAATGATGAGTTAATGGGTGCAGCACACCAACATGGCACATGTATACATATATAACTAACCTGCACATTGTGCACATGTACCCTAAAACTTAAAGTATAATAAAAAAAAAAGAATATCTGTTGGACCATGCGTGTGAATTGGCCATTTGACATAAGAACTCAGAGAGGGGGCCAGCTCAAGTAGTTAAATGCTATTAAAGTGAAACTGAAATTTATTATTTTATTAGGAAAAATAACTAAAGTTCTATTTCTTTAATCCATCCTAATGAATTTTTTGTGCAAACTTCATATTTAAAAAGACTATGGCTTTAGAACAGGTTTCTCTAAGGACAGTATGGTTCTCTAAGCATCTGTTTGTTTAAAATTCAGATTCCCAGATCCCATCCCATAACTACTATATCAAAGTCCCAAAGAGAAGATGGGGAGAGAGGAGAAAGGAATTCATATGTTTAATAAACTCCCCAAGTGATTATTGTGCATATATATATTTATTTATTTGAGACAGAGTCTTGCTCTGTTGCCCAGGCTGGAGTGCAGTGGCACAATCTCAGCTCACTGCAACCTCCACTTTCCAGATTCAAGCAATTCTTGTGCCTCAGCGTCCCAAGTAGCTGAGATTACAGACGTGCACCACCACACCCAGCTGAATTTTGTATTTTTAGTAGAGATGGGTTTTCACCACGTTGGCCAGGTTGGTCTCGAACTCCTGACCTCAAGTAATCTGCCTACCTTGGCCTCCCCCAAAATGCTGGGATTACAGGAGTGAGCCACCATGCCCAGCCAATATTTTGAAAACCAATGCTTCAGAGCAATTTAAAAAATAATCATAGGCATTACATATAATCCTCAAAGGTTACATGCACAAAACTGGGCATCTCTATTATGAAATAGTTGAGGACTCTGACATCCTTTTCAGCTTTTTTTCTATCATTCGAATTAGCCTTTTCTTTTTTCTGTTTCTTCTTGAGTCCATTTTAGTAATTTTTATCCTCCTAGGATATCATAATTTTAGTTAGCTTTTAAAAGAATTATTGTAATAAATTATATTTAGAAAATAATTTAGTATGCTTTTCTTTTCCATACCTGTCTGATCATGCATGTCCCTATATAGGGATACAAACTGCTAGTGATATCTTTAGTTTAAGGGAAATGAGAGAACAGAAGTTTAAAATTTATCTAGCTCAAACACAAAGAGAATGCAAACTGTTAAAAGATATTTTTAAGGGGAATGTGAGAACAGAGGTTTAAAATGTATTTAGTCAAACACAAAGAAAAAGAGAGTCGGCTGGGTACGGTGGCTCACGCCTGTAATCCTAGCACTTTGGGAGGCCGAGGTGGGTGGATCACTAGGTGAGAAGTTCGAGACCAGCCTGACCAACGTAGTGAAACTCCATCTCTACTAAAAATACAAAAATTAGCCGGCATGGTGGCTCACACCTATAATCCCAGCTACTTGAGAGGCTGAGGCAGAAGAATTGCTTGAACCTGGGAGGCAGAGGTTGCAGTGAGCAGAGATCGTGCCATTGCACTCCAGCCTGGGCAACGAGAGCAAAACTCTGTCTCAAAAAAAAAAAAAAGTAAAGAAAAAGAGAGTCAATATTTTGAAGTCCACATAAAAGATGATAGTTTGGAAAGCTGTTAGTTTACAAGAACCAAGATTTTTGAAAGAACAATTTTTGAAAATCAAAAGGCAAAGATTTGAAAGATAAAGGTATAACATTAGCCTACAAATAAACAATTAAGGTTGCGGTTTTCCAGGGAGTCAATAGGATGACAGAGAACCTGACAAGAACGAGGTCAGGGTGACCTGCATGGCTTCCAGGGATCACACAGAGAAGAGCAGAGATCATACTTGGAAAGAACTCAGTTTCTGCCCTAAAGAAGACCAATACAGCCAAACCAAGGGCAGTCGGGCAGGTGATGGAACCAAGCCACGCTGAAGTCTGTCCACCACCGTTCAGGGGAGTGCTGTTCCCCGTCCCACCAGGAGAACTGCTAGCATTGCCTTCATTGCCCCCCGTGAAGGTCTTCCTTTGATCGCTGTTTGCACCTCACTCCATGACACCCAGGAGAAATGTGACCCGTATACATCCTGATGTTTCAGTCAGCCCATCTCAACTCTACTATAAATATTTTTCAATAACCCAGCACTTTTTAAGGCCCCTAAAAGAAAGGGTAGAACCGTGGATGCCCGACAGGACTGGGTAGTGCAGAGAGAACCAGCAGCTCAACTTGGGTGGTTTCAGAAAAACAAAAAACAAAAAACAAAACAGTTCAAAACTTCACTTTGAGCCAGGACAGTGGAAAGAGCCACAGCTGTTCTATTAGTATCAGTATTTTTAGCAGAGTCTACTTTCCTCAGGCTGCAACTTTTCTTACTGGAAAAGTGCAACCACCTCTTAACTGATCTCCCTGAAACTGTTCTCTCCACCCTCCAGTCTTTTCTGTACATTGCTTGCAACAATTACCTTCCAAAAAATCAAATGTGGTCATGTTTCCTCTCTAGAAATCTTTATTATCCTGTTGTTGCATACAAGAGGAAGGCCAAACTCAGCAGCATTAACTGGACTGCCCTTCAAAACCCAGTCGCAGTCAAAATTTTAGCCTCAACCTATGCCTCTGCCAGTGTTTAAACTTAAATGTTAGCCATTTCAAACAGGGCAGAGCTTTTCCATACGGTTGAATATTTACTCACTGGTTCTTCCTCCTAGATTATCATGAACTTGGTTCTCTGCCCAGCAAACTCCTTCCCAACTCAAATACTATTATGACCCTATAAAAAGTTACTTGCTTTCTCTCTCATTTACCGAGGTGCTTTATTCAGATTAATCTAAAAGCATCCGTCAGATTCTTTTTTTTTTTTTTTTTTTGAGACGGAGTCTCACTCTCTCGCCCAGGCTGGAGTACAGTGGCATGATCCCAGCTCACTGCAAGCTCCGCCTTCCGGGTTCATGCCATTCTCCTGCCTCAGCCTCCCGAGTAGCTGGGACTACAGGTGCCCGCCACCATGCCCGGCTAATTGTTTGCATTTTTAGTAGAGACGGGGTTTCATCGTGTTAGCCAGGATGGTCTCGATCTCCTGACCTTGCGATCCGCCCGCCTCAGCCTCCCTAAGTGCTGGGATTACAAGCGTGAGTCACTGCGCCCAGCCCCGTCAGATTCTTTGATCATGATTTCCTCTTGTCTCTTTCCCTACTGGACTGACAGCTCCTTGAGAGCAGTGACTTCCTTCCACTTGCTCCTAGGAGCCACCCTATACATGTTTGTTGAATGACTCAGTCCACAATGAGTGACACAGCTGACTAACATAAAACTAAAATGACCTTTGTTCACACAACAGGCTACAGTACTTTGTTAATTGTTCTGATCCAGCTTTTTTTTTGTACTTGGAAGTTTATTTGTTCATCGTGCATCATTTCTCTATGTTTGGTCAATCATTCCAGCCTGACAAGGTAGTTTTTTTTTTTTAATCATTTTTTAAACCTTCTGAGTCTGTTATCCAAGGAATAATGTTGCCTCTTCCAGCTGCATCCTCAGCACCATTTATAATTGTGCCATCAATTCCCTCATCCAAGTTATAAATATCAGTTCTGGACAGAGAGTTTTACATGGCAGTTACCCTATCTTCTCTAGAATTATACTTATTTCTTGTTTTGTCAACTTGAATGTGAACTCCTCAAGACAGGCATCATGGACCTCTCATGTTTATGTTCTCTTAACTTTCTTGATTTTAATAAACACTACAAAATATCCTAGTGTCCCTTGATGGTGGTGACAGAAAGCGGGTTCTGGAATCAGATGACCGAGGATCAGACCACAGCCCCCCACCTGCAGGTCAACTTAGGCAAGTTTCTCAAACCCTTCTAGCCATCAATGACATTTTCTCATATACAAAATGTGGAAAAAAGTAGTACCTACATGACAGAATTGTCTTGAGAGAATAAAACAGATAATGTATGTAGAACGTTTCATGCTATACTTAATCCAGAGTGTTTAATATAATAATAGTTATTAGAGGTATTAGTTGAATAAAATAAATAATGGAAATATCAATGTCATCAAATCTACTAATTTATTACTCAAGTGTATACTTTGCTAGGGCTGCCATTACAAAGTACCACAGTCTGGGTGGCTTTAGCAACAGAAATCTATTTTCTCACAATTCTGGAGGCCAGATCTCCAAGATCAAGGTGTCAGCAGGGTTGACACCTTGAGGCCTTTTTTTTGTTTTGTTTTGAGGCCTTTATTCTTGGTTAGTAGGTGGCCATCTTCTCCTTGCACCTTCACATGGTCTTTCCTCTGTACCTGTCTGTGTCCTAATCTCCTCTACTTACCAGAGCACCAGTTATACTGGATTAGAGCCCACTCCAACAAACTCATTTAACCTTATTTATTTTTTTAAAGACCCAATCTTGAAATGCAGTCATTCTTAGACACTGAGAGTTAGGATATCAAACATAATTTTTTTTTGGAGAGGGGACACAATTCAGGCTGTGATAATCAGTAATAGCTATCACACCCATTATAAGTAATATCTAAGTTAGTCATGATCAGCTGTATAACCATCAACAACAACTCACTGACCCTTCTTTTGTCTTTTTTTTTGAAACAAGGTCTCGCTCTGTTACCCAGGCTGTAGTGCAGTGGCATGATCTTGGCTCACTGCAGCCTCAATCTCCCAGGCTCAAGTGATCCCCCAACCTCAACCCGCTGAGTAGCTGGGACTACAGGCATGTGCCACCACACCCAGCTGATTTTTATTTTCATTTTTTTTGAGATGGAGTTTCACTCTTGTTGCCCAGGCTGGAATGCAATGGTGCAATCTCGGCTCACAGCAACCTCTGCCTCCTGGGTTCAAGCCATTCTCCTGCCTCAGCCTCCCAAGTAGCTGAGATTACAGGCATGTGCCACCACGCCCGGCTAATTTTGTATTTTTAGTAGAGACGGGGTTTCTCCTTGTTGGTCAGGCTGGTCTCGAACTCCAGACCTTAGGTGATCCACCTGCCTCAGCCTCCCAAAGTGCTGGGATTACAGGCATGAGCCACCGTGCCCAGCCTGATTTTTTATTTATTTATTTTTTGTAGACACAGGGTTTCTCTATGTTGTCTAAGCTAGTCTCAGCTGAAACAGGGCTTAGCTCACACAGTTCAAAACTAGCTGAAGGCCTGACTTTCCCTGGTGACCATACCAGATACAATCATAAAGCAGGGAAAAAAGAGAATGTGCCTGGCGACTCCTCTTCTGGAAACTCTCTGGGAAATCCGTCCTTTTGGCCACTATCAATGCCTGGGGGCAGCTTAGATTGAAAACTGTGGTGCCCCATTAGCAGGCAACTTTCCTCCAAGAAAATGTTATTTTTCTTTCCCTTATTGAATTACTGGCTTCATTATATTGGGGTTTATTTGGGAGGGGAAATTTCTGTCTTCCTTGAATTAAAACCTGTGGTTAGACATGGTTCTTTTGTACATATACCGTTTCATAGGGTTTTGAAAAAAGGAAGGGATGAAGGAAAAGAAAATGATGAGGATAAAACCACCAGTTGGCTTAGTTCTCTGTAAATATTTTCTTTTTTTTTTGATTGACAAAGATTACGCAAGACTTTATTTTTACTTATAAAGTGAACATATTTAGAAACATTATTAATCCCTTAAAATAACCAAGATGTTGCTTATCAATAGGTATTAACTATATTATATACAATATATGAATATTTTATTATATAAAACATATTTATATAAATATAATGTATATAATATATAAAATAAGCTTTGGTAGTGAATAATAATGGTTAGCTTAATCAGTATAGTAATGATAATTTTTTGCTCTCCTGTGCAAATGACACTGGGATGTTCTTATAACTTTTATGTGCTCATCTATAATTTCATCTGTCTTTACAGAATCAGGAAAATTACTATCTTGTTCTCCATTCTACTTTTTGCACTTAGTCTCTGTCATGTAGTAAGAATTTGATAATCACTGTTAATTATTTTAGCTATAAAACCAAAGATTTGCAAGAAGTACGTATTTATGCTCATTCCATATTTGTAGAATTTACATTGATTGATTGTTTTTTGAAAAGATAATATTTTCATATGGTTAAAATTTATAAGGGAATATCATGAAGTATCTCTGTTTCCAATTCCCAACTTCCATTCCTGGTCTCAATCAGTATTATTAATTCTATTTTTTTAAATTTTATTATTATTATACTTTAAGTTTTAGGGTACATGTGCACAACGTGCAGGTTTGTTACATATGCATACATGTGCCATGCTGGTGTGCTGCACTCATTAACTCGTCATTTAGCATTAGGTGTATCTCCTAATGCTATCCCTCCCCTCTCCCCCCACCCCACAACAGTCCCCAGAGTGTGATGTTCCCCTTCCTGTGTCCATGTGTTCTCATTGTTCAATTCCCACCTATGAGTGAGAACATGCGGTGTTTGGTTTTTTGTCCTTGCAATAGTTTACTGAGAATGATGATTTCCAGTTTCATCCATGTCCCTACAAAGGACATGAACTCATCATTTTTTATGGCTGCATAGTATTCCATGGTGTATATGCACCACATTTTCTTAATCCAGTCTATCATTGTTGGACATTTAGGTTGCTTCCAAGGCTTTGCTATTGTGAATAGTGCCACAATAAACATACGTGTGCATGTGTCTTTATAGCAGCATGATTTATAATCCTTTGGGTATATACCCAGTAATGGGATGGCTGGGTCAAATGGTATTTCTAGTTCTAGATCCCTGAGTATTCACCACACTGACTTCCACAATGGTTGAACTAGCTTACAGTCCCACCAACAGTGTAAAAGTGTTCCTATTTCTCCACATCCTCTCCAGCACCTGTTGTTTCCTGACTTTTTAATGATTGCCATTCTAACTGGTGTGAGATGGTATCTCATTGTGGTTTTGATTTGCATTTCTCTGATGGCCAGTGATGGCGAGCATTTTTTCATGTGTCTTTTGGCTGCATAAATGTCTTCTTTTGAGAAGTGTCTGTTCATGTCCTTCGCCCACTTTTTGATGGGGTTGTTTGTTTTTTTCTTGTAAATTTGTTTGAGTTCATTGTAGATTCTGGATATTAGCCCTTTGTCAGATGAGTAGGTTGTGAAAATTTTCTCCCATTTTGTAGGTTGCCTGTTCACTCTGATGGTAGTTTCTTTTGCTGTGCAGAAGTTCTTTAGTTTAATTAGATCCCATTTGTCAATTTTGGCTTTTGTTGCCATTGCTTTTGGTGTTTTAGACATGAAGTCCTTGCCCATGCCTATGTCCTGAATGGTAATGCCTATGTTTTCTTCTAGGGTTTTTATGGTTTTAGGTCTAACGTTTAAGTGTTTAATCCATCTTGAATTAATTTTTGTATAAGGTGTAAGGAAGGGATCCAGTTTCAGCTTTCTACATATGGCTAGCCAGTTTTCCCAGCACCATTTATTAAACAGGATATCCTTTCCCCATTGCTTGTTTTTCTCAGGTTTGTCAAAGATCAGATATTCGCAGATATGCGGCGTTATTTCTGAGGGCTCTGTTCTGTTCCATTGATCTATATCTCTGTTTTGGTACCAGTACCATGCTGTTTTGGTTACTGTAGGCTTGTAGTATAGTTTGAAGGTCAGGTAGCATGATGCCTCCAGCTTTGTTCTTTTGGCTTAGGATTGACTTGGCAATGCAGGCTCTTGAAAAGTGATTTTCTAAATGCAGAGTTCTGATAACCTCAAACGGTCCCTTCCTTGGACGGTTATTTTGAAGAATAAGTAAGGAAGTATACACAGCATATTGCCTGACTGGTATTAAGCATTACATATTCTTTCAAAAAGGGTGGGCAGCTGGAGGGATGAGGCATGGCCCCCTTTTCCCAGGATCTTCTTTGGGCACATGGATGCCTAACCCTAAGCTGCAAAAATATGCAGCCCAACCCCCGAAGGAGAAGAAATGTCTGCTTCCTATTTGTCTTTGCGCGTGTGCTTTGCTTGGCCTTCTCAGGGTCTCTCTGGCACCAGAGCAGCCAAGCTGCTGGCCCACCATGGGCCCAGTGTCCTCACGCCTCCCAAGCAGACACCAGAGATTGTCAGGTTCCTCAAGCAGATGGTGGAAGGTTCTCCCTCCTCCTGTGGACCGGCACCCTCCTGTGCTGGATCGCATGTGGGATTCAGCACTACCAACAGTCCCTGGACAATATAAGTCTCTTGAGTGTCCCCTCCTGGTTTTGCTCAGGCAGTAACAGGGAGAACAGAGGCTGTCACTGCATGGGTGTGGGAAAAACAGTCATTTCCTCTGCTGTAAAACAGAAATGGTATCTGCCTTTCCAATGTCTCACAGGCAGTTTGTGCATGAATTTCACAAAAGAGAGAGACAGACATGAAGCACCCTGCATTTTTAAGAGGAAGAAAATATGCATCCATGTGAAGTATCTTTGGGCTCTGTTTCCTCCAAGCTAGCCTTTCCCTTTAACATGGAGAGCATGTGTGCCTGATGAGACCTGGGAAATCAAATCACAAAATTGAGTCCGCCACATGACGCTGACAGACAGAAACCAGAGGCAGCCAGCCACGTGTCGCAGGATTAAATTGACGTGAAATGTGCAGAATAGGCACATCCACAGGGCAGGAAGCAGATCAGTGGTGCCGGGACTGCGGATGGAGCAAAGGGTACTGCAGAGGGGCAGGGGGCATCTGCTGGCAGCATTGAGATGCTGAGGCTGAAGTGCAGGATGGTTGCACAACTCTGCAAACTTACAAAAAAATCAACAAATGGTGCACTTAACATAGGTGAATGCTGTGGCCTGTAAATTACACCAGGTCACAGCTGCCAGCATCACATCCTCCTATGGAGAGCCCCAGCCTCCAGGCTTGGGTCCTTGCTGCTGCCTATTTCTCTGGCTGATGCCCCTGCTCCTCACCCAGGTGTACTTGGCTATGTACTTGTCCTAGTTGTCATTTTGATAGGGATCTTTACTTGTTGGCAAGAGATAAAAAGCACTGACATCTTGTCCACCTCTTTAAGATGATCCTCAGGTGGGTGCCAGCCACCCCTCCTCTGGTCTCTGGTGACTCCCAGGTGAGGAAGCCTCAGGAGAGTAGGAGCTTGGGGCCCCAGGAGCCGAGAGTCCCTGCTCAAGCTCCGGCCTGCCCTTCCCTGTCTGAGAAAGCTTGGGCAAGTTACATCTCTCTGAACCCTGTTCCTCACAGGATTTTGATGATCAAGCGTGTTCCCATCCAGGAAAATGTGAATCACTGTCCAACATCTATGCCTGCTCTCAGCATTTGTGGACAGTTATCTGGGGGCTTCTGGAAGGAGCCTGTAGAAGGTCAGGGAGTTTCTTAACCAAAAGCAGAGGAGATCCACCTGGGATTGTTGATCTGTGACTGTTCTGAGACAGTCTGAGTCCCAAAATGCACTCAGCGAGGGGACCTAGCACTCCCCTCTCACCAGGAACCCTGACAGGTGTCCAAGGCAGGAAAGCCATGCTGGCCCTGGCTCAGGGAGCTGCTGGCTGGAGTGAAGGTTCTAGGTGCAAAGGATGCCTCCTGCCGAGCTCAAAGCAGGAGATCACCTTGTTAGAATTTCCCTGACCCTCACGAGATTATTAACACCTTCAGTGTTCTTCCCAGATGCCCAGCCAGTATAGCTCACCCTTGTTTCCCTTTCTATGAGGTCCAGGGCTCTTGCTTTGTTAGATCTGCCTGACAGCAGCCTTTTCTGGTTCCAAGAACATCTCTTTGAGCTTAAGAAAGAATAGTTCTTAGAGTCTTCAGCTCCTAGGTCAAACCATCTTCAGTTGTATTCTTGCCAATGTGACAGCTTCAGGTTCCAAGGCCTCCATGCTGGGGTTTGCTGCAGCACAGATTGGAGAGGAGGGCTGGGGTCCTTCTAGGATATGAGGCACCTGTCACAGCTTTCTTCTGCAGCAAGCTCTTGTCATCTCAGATTCTGAGGAGATCATCGCTGCAGAGCAGCTGGGGTGTGGGCATTGTGGAGGCTGAAGAGAAGACCAGATCTCTGCAGATATCAAGGTGCTGCCTTCTATGGGGTGTCGGGCAAGTGGCAGGGGCACCAGCCCTGGGGACTGTGCTTAGAGCAGCTGGTGTTCCACCTTTCCCTACCTCAGTGTAAGAGGCAAGGAACAAGGTGCCTAATTTTGATCTGTTTTCCACATTTCTTCTAGGTGGGTAACTCGCCCGTCATGGGGGAGTCTGAGCCCTAGGCCCGCTCCTCTGAGTTGCACACGAGACCCTCTTGGGAACAAGAACATCTGTTTCTCTTCTCCAACCTGTCTGGGAGGTGAGGCTGCTAGCTCTCGGGCTGCATGCCCACCCACACCCCTTCTCCCTTCTGGGGCCTCATGTCTGTTCTTTGTGACACCTTGTTACAAAGCTTGTCGTAGAGGAAGCATGAAACTGAAGGGCCTAGATGACACATGTTTGGTCTTCATAACATCACACGCTCATGGATCATGCAAGCGCTGAGGGAGGGCTACAAGCTGGCTGTGTGCCCCTCATAGCTAACATCCCTGGAATAAAATGTCTACTTCCCTGGTAGGCATCGCCACGGCATAGCGATCGGCACGGTGACCGCACACCACTGGTCATATTGCCTCCTTGATCTCAGGAGTTGGAAATGAGAAGACGCCATTGCCGCTGAGAGGGGGCACTGTGTTGGTCTGTGGCGGGAATGGCCATCTCCACCGGCACCCTTTTCTTCATCATGGCAGTGTCCCTGCAGTATCACATCCTGGACTCTGTTATATTCCTCACTGGCATCACTGTGGCCAATGTGCCCAAGGTGTCCTGGCCACTGTTACTGTGAGTCCCTGCTGTTAGGCAGCTGCACTCAGCCCTGTGGACACAGCATTGCTGCTCTCTCCACCAAGTCCAGGGCACCAACCCTCCCTGCCAGGGACAATCACGGCACCTTCTGAATAGACTGTTTCTTAGAGGGACAAAAGGAATTGTCTAAAATTAGACAAACTTACTTTAAAACAACAACAAAAATATTAACAGAAATAAGGATATTTTATAACGACAAAGGGTAAATTAATCAGGAAAATGTAAAACTTATTGACATGTATGCACTCAGGGAAAGAGTACAGAAACACAAGAAGCAAAACTTGACAGAAATGAAATAATTCAGCAATGATAGTTGGAGACTTTAGTACCCCACTTACACTAATGGGTATAACAACTAGACACAAGATAACAAGGAAATAGAAAATATGAACAACATCAGAAACCAAATACACCTAACAGATACATATAGAACACACCATTCAACAGCACAATCTGTATTCTTCCCAAATGCACACAGAACATTTTCTAAGACACTATGCAAAGCCATAAAACAAACACCAATTAAATTGAAGGATTAAAATAATACAAAGAATATTTTCTCATCATGATAAAAGCACATTAAGGATCAATGAAAGGAAGAAATCTGGGAAACTCCTAAAAATGTGAACATTAGCAGAAACTTTCCAAAATAATAAAAGGCCAAAAAAGAAACCACAAGTAGTATAAGACAGTATTTTAAGATAAATGAAAAAGTAGACAAAACCTAAAAAAAAAACTTACAGGATTAATTGAAAACCATGCTCTGAAGGAAGCTTACAGCAGAATTCCATCAATGAAAAAGCAGAAAAATCTCAAATCAATAACTAAATGCCTGTTAAAAACATTTAAATGGAAATGGCTGACCCCACTCATCTGAGAAAAGGATATCAGTTGGGGCAAAAATAGTCTTGTTGAAAAACCCTAGGAAGGAAGACTTGGAAAGGACACCCTCTGGAATTCAGGGCTGTGACAATAGTTTTGGAAATCTAGAAGGCAATGTGGATGCTCAGGGCCAGGCACGTGATCAGGAATGACCCAGGAAGACCCTAAGCTCTCACCTCTGACCTTCAAATTCTGCAAAAGAAGAAGGTAAAAAGAAGTTGTCATTAGATTAAAATAATTGGTTATAAGATGTTCTATACAAGCTTCATGGTAACCAAAAACCAAAATCCTATGATAGGTATGCACAAAATAGAAAGCAAGCAGTTAAAACATACTACCAGAGCAACTCACTTTTATACAAAGGAACACAGGAAGCACGAAAGAAAGGAAGAGAGGACCAAACAATCAACTAGAAAACAAGTAGCAAAATTGCAATACTATGCCCTTACCTATCAATAATAACACTGAAGGTAAATGGACTAAATGATCCAATCAAAAAACACAGAGTAGCTCAATCAATTAGAAGACAAGAGCCAACTATAGGCTTCCTACAAGAAATCCACTTCACCTATAAAGACACATATAGATTGAAAATGAAGGGGTTGAAAAAGACGTTCCATGAAATGAAAACCAAAAAAGAGCAGGAGTAGCTAGCTACACTTAGATGAGACAAAATAGATTTCAAGACAAAAACTGTAAAAAGAGACAATAAAGTTTATTATATAATCATCAATTCTTCAAGCTAATATAACTATTATAAATATATATGTACCCAGCATTGGAGCACTCAGATATATAAAGCAAATATTATTAGAGTTAGAGAGACAAATACCAATAAAGTAATAGCTGGGACTTTAACACCCCACTTTCAGCATTGAACAGATCATCTAAACAGAAAGTTAACAAAGAATCATCAGACAATCTGTACTGTAGACTCAATGGACCTAATACATATTTACAGAATATTTCATCCATCAGCTTCAGAATACACATCCTTCTCCCCAGCACATAAAACAGTCTCAAAGATTGGCCGTATGGTAGACCACAAAACACGTTTCAAAAAAATTTTTTTAAACATGAAATTACATTAAATATGTTTTTCTGACCACACTGGAATAAAACGAGAAATAACTAAAGAAACTTTGAAAACCATACAAACACATGGAAATTAAACTACATGCTTCTGAATGACCATTGAGTCAATGAAGAAATTAAGAAGAAAATGTTTTAAAAATTTCTTGAGACAAATGAAAATGGAAACACAATGTAACCAAATCTATGGGATACAACAAAAGCAGTACTAAGGGGGAAGTTTATAGCAATAAACACCTACATAAAAAGTAGAAAAACTTCCAATAAACAACCTAATGTTGCATCTTAAAGAAATAGCAAAGCAAGAGCAAAGCAAACCCAAAATTAGTAGAAGAAAAGAAATAACAAAGATCAGAGCAGAGGCCAGGGTGGTGGTTCACGCCCGTAATCCCAGCACTTTGGGAGGCCAAGGCAGGCGGACCACCTGAGGTCAAGAGTTTGAGACCAGCCTAGCCAACATAGCAAAACCGAGTCTCTACTATAAATACAAAAATTAGCCAGGCATGGTGGCTGGTGCCTGTAATCCCAGCTACTTGGGAGGCTGAGGCAGGAGAATCGCTTGAACGGGGGAGGCAGAGGTTACAGTGGGCTGAGATCGTGCCATTGCACTCCAGTCTGGGTGACAAAGCAAGAATCCGTCTCAAAACAAAACAAAACAAAATCAGAACAGAAATGGAGACTAAAAAAAATACAAAAGACCAATAAAATTTCCAGTTATATTGAATCATCAAAACCAGCAACAGACGCAGCAGCACAGGGCACAGCTGCAGCTACAGGAGCAGCAGCAACAGGCTTTGCAGGCCCAGTGCCAATACAGCAGCCACCAATGCAATGTCTGCTGCAGCCTGCCCCCTCCCAGGTCCTGCCCCAGCAGCTGCAGCAGATACGTCAACCACACCACCACTAGCAGCTGCCATAGTCCCGGCAACCTCCAGCTGCTCAGAACCAACCATTGCAGCTCCCGCCACAGTCAGTCACAGACCCAGCCTTTGGTGTGGCAAGTGCAAGCATTCCCTGGACAGATGTATGCCCAACAACAGCTGCAATTTGTCTGAGCTCCAAGGGTAGTTCAGCAGCTGCAAGTGCAGCCCCGCTGCAGCCGGTGCAGTCCTGGACGCAGTAGCTGACAGTGGTGCGGACCGCTGAGGCTCCCCAGGTGGTGGCTCCCGGAGTCCATGGTAGCCAGAGCAGCCTCCCCATGATGTCCTCGCCGTCGCAGGGCCAACAGGTGCAGACCCTGCAGTCGATGTCCCCTCCCCGACTGCCGTCCTCACAACCCGACTAGCCCCGGTCTCACAGCCCAACTCCAACATCAGCTCCGGCCCTGCCCCAGCGCCCAGTGGCTAGCTTCCTGCCCAGCCCCTCGCCGAAACCCTCCCAGAGCCCAGGGATGGCGCACCAGAACTTCAGAGTCCCATGACCCGGATCTTTAAACGCCCCTATGAAACGCGGCTCAGTCATGAGCCCAGCGGGCTCCAGCCGGGCCGAGCAGCAGCAGTGCCTGGACAAGCTAAAGCCGCTGCCCAAGTACAGGGAGCCCCTGCGCCGCCTGAGCAACGGGATCCACGGGAACCAAGACAGCAAAAGGGCTGCGGTAAGACGAGCCTTCTGGACGCTCTGACAGTCGGCTCCCAGCTGTGTCCCCTGGAGACCCTGTGGAAGCCTGAGATCGCCCTGGAGAAACGCAAGCATGACCTGGAGGTGCCCAAGCCCCGACTGCACCTGGTGCCGCTGACCACGCAGCAGCACTTGGCGCCTGCCGCTCCTGGACACACAGTCCTGGCCCGCATCTGCTCGCAGTCCTGAACCATTCCCTGCACCGCGCCTTGGTGCTGCCCAGCACAAACACCTTTCCAAAGGAGGCAAATCAAATACGCATCTATCTCAGTGAGCAGGGGAGAGACTTTAAATAAAATGGGAGGCAGGTTTGCCCTAAGCAGCTCCAAGCTTAAGTTTAATTTAATGATTTTGGGGGGCCCAAAATATTTTCCTTTCACAGGCGCAATGGGAGCTCAGGGTCTCCTGAGAGCATCTTGTGTGCAGGCTCGAGGCACCTCCACTCGCTTCCACAGGGGAACACGGAGGACACAAGAAACCCTTCACACACACGATTCTCTGATCGCAGTTTTGGATTCAGGCTCCCTGCTTTCGGCATCTGGACGCCGCAGGCGGAAGCTAGGGTCAGGGTGGAACGCTGCCTCTGGAGGGAGCCCGGGCCTAGAGGCTGCCGGGTCCCCGCTCCCAGCTGGAGCTCAGCCCTGCGGGCGCCCGAGGAGCGGGGGCATCGGAGATCCTGTCCTCCGCACCCCTGGCCCGCTCTCGGCTCAGGGCCGCACCCCAGCTGTGCAGGATGCCCCGCGATGTCTGGGGGCCCCGCGCTCAGAGCACCCCGGGCGCTCTGCGCCACTGCAGAGTGTGCAGCCCTGGCAGGGGAGCCGTGCCTCCCTCTGCTACCCACACTCGGGACCCAGAGCAGATCTCTGGCCCCAGGATCCCCCTTTTTAATGTGCGCTGCCCCATCATCCGTGATTTTTTCTTTTATTTTTCTTTTTTTGGACAGAGTTTCGCTTTGTTGTCCAGGCTGGAGTGCAATGGCGCGATCTTGGCTCCCTACAATCCCCGCCTCCTGGGTTCAAGCAATCATCGTGACTAAGCCTCCTGAGTAGCTGGGATTACAGGCGCCGGCCACCACGCCCAGCTGATTTTTTGTATTTTAGTAGAGGCGGGGTTTCACCATCTTGCCCAGGCTGGTTTCCAACTCCTGAGCTCAGGCAATCTGCCTGTCTGGACCTCCCAAAGCGCTGATTACAGGTGTGAGCCACAATGCCCGGCCTCGTGATTCTTACAATTGTATCACTCCTGTGTTTGTCCGGGGTTTATCACTGCAGCACCCCTTCTCCGTCCATCTGGGGCCCGCTGTCCCCTCAGGATGCTGTCAGCCTTGGAGCTGGCAGAGACCAGTCTGGCCCTGGATGCCCAGACCTTACCTCTCCTCTGTCGCAGGGTCCTCTTCCTACACCTTGTTCGCCCCCCAGCTTCCTGGCACAGTTCTTGCTCCCTGTAGCAGCAAGAGACTGAGCTTAATGCCAGGAAATCTGGGCTGTGGGACGGGAGGGTGGGCTGCCAGTGAGGGTGGCACTGAGCTGACCACCTAGGACAATGGTGGCACCTGGGGCTATGGCGATGGGGGCCACATGGGCTGGGCAAGGCACTCTGGAGATGGCTGCCCAGGAGAATGATGAACTGGTAGGACCACGCCTAAGCGGCCCTGTGTGAGGCAGGAGAGGCCAGCAGCTTGCCCCCAGCAGTGTGCTGTGTTTGTGAGGAAGCTGCCGGCCCAGGCAGTGCACCAGGAAAGCCCTCCGGTCTCCAAAGAGGGCCTGCACAGCTTTGCCAATGGTTTTTTTCCAGGGTAGCTGCCAGGTCCTGGAATGAGCAAGACTCAGCTGCCCAGAGGGGTCCCTGCGGACAGCAGGGGCTGGGATGGGACACCTGATAGCCAGTGAGAAATACAAGCACGACTTGAGAGAAACACAAGCCTTATTTTCAGTCTTACAAATAAGGCGATCCTCATTTTGTCATGTGCATTTGTGTACCCGCTGAATAGCAAAATAACAGCAAGAAAAGATGACAATTTATATTTTCATAGACTCAGAAAAAGTAACAGGCAACAGTGTGTTTCAAATTTTCGATTAGTTGATTTTACAGTGCAAACATGGAAGAATCTGCAGCATGCTAGGACAAAATAATTTTATTAATTTTATAATTTTACTGAGATTGCTATTTAAAATAATTAGATGTGGGGATACTACAGGAAAATAGGAAAAAGTTCATGCTGCAGATGAGTTTTTCAGATGAGTTTTCACAAATATTTTTGAATCTTGAATCTTTGAATAAGATGAAATTATTCTGAATATGTGTGTTTGGGTGATAACAGTTGCCAACAAAAATATGGCTCATAACACCAGTTTCATTTGATTGCCTTTGGTACATTTTAAAAAATGCTACACTACTTTATTCCACATTAGGTGAAATTTATTTTTTCTTACAGTCAGATTTTATCGTGTAAAAAACATTCTGGATATGTAGGTAAATTTGATTTATTATCTGATTATAGGAGTTTCTGATTGTAACTGACATTGTTTGGATACAGGAGAGTTAATTAATCATCATTAATGAATCACAGTTAATATGTCCATTACAGTTGAGTGCTACATCTTTACACTGGAAGAAGCAGTGGATGTGTAGCAGAAACTTTCGAGTAAAATAGTTCTGGGTTCTTATAATCCCTTCTCTGATATCTACCAACTCTGTGTCCTTAGGCAAGTTAATTACCATCACTTTCCTGATCCATAAAGGGAATAATACTAATATCTACAAAATATGGTTAGAGTGAAGTTTCATGAAGTGATGAATGTAAATAACCTGGCAGAGTGCCTGGGGATACAGCATGATTCATCACGATACCTGCTAATATTAATACTGTCTAGTTAGAAAATTATTTAGATAAAATCATCTGGGTAATCATCACGGTGTATTAGCAACACAAAATCAATTTATAACCTCTTTTTACTCCTTCTGCTGGAGAAGCTGTAAAGCCTAAAGATTTGCCTTCTCAGTTTCCTTCTGGCTAGAGCTAGTCATGAGACCTTGTGGCCAATGGAATGATACCAACATACAAGACTTCTGGAAAAACCGGACAGACTCAGGTGACCTAGATTTTAGCTGTTTGCCCCTTCTCTTTTCCCTTGTCTTTCTAATATCTGGGATGTGGGTGTGATGTTTGAAACTGTTCCAGCTGCCTTCAAACTGTAAGAATGGAAAAATAAAGAAACCTGAATCATTGATGAAATTTTTGAGCTACAATGTGAGAACCAACACATCTGCATCTAAGTGACTTTACTCAGTGGAGAAACTCTTGCCCCGATAACACTGAAACTTACATTATTGTTAGTTTCAGGAACATCCCCTAATCTGTTTATCTGAACAACAGACCACTCAACTAATCCTCATTTCTCTCTTCTCAGGACAGCAGATTATCCAAACCAACTAATCAACTGGCTATCTACCCAACAAGAGTCCCTTCCAAATCCTTACCTCCCTGTGTTCACTAACCCTTAGCTATTGTACCTTGAAGTTTACCCAGTTTCAAGCACGCCTCACGTTAAGAAAGCCATGTTAAACCAGACACCAAATATCTCACAACCGTCCTGCCTGTGGCCTCCTTACTATAAGTAGCTAGTAAGATGCTCTGCAAGTGGTGGTGTCCCATACAACAGTAAGCAGTAAACTTGCCTTTGGTTTATGAAGAGATTTTGGTGGACTTTTCAGGGACTTAATCAACAAATACTAGGGCTTGATTACATAGGATAAGATTCTTTCTCTTCCTTTTTTTTTCTTTAGAGACAGGATCTCACTCTGTCGCCCAGGCTGGAGTGGCATGGTGCGATCATAGCTCTCTGCAGACTCGATCTCCCAGGCTTAAGTGATCCCTCCACCTCAGCCTCCTGAGTACCTCAGACTACAGGTGCATACCACCATACCCAACTAATTTTTAAATTTTTTGTAGAGATGGGGGTCTCGCCATGTTCCCAGGTTGGTCTCAACTGCTGGCTCAAGCGATATTCCCGCCTCAGCCTCTCAAAGTTCTAGGCTAACAGGTGTGAGCCACTGTGCCCAGCCAAGATTCTTGATACAGGTAAAATGAACCTCTTTTGTTCAAGCCACTGAATTTTGGTTTCGTTTATTCCTGAGCATATCTCTAACAAATTGTGCAGCTATTATTGTTCATAAAGTAATTTATGTAAAGACTATACTAGAACAGTATTTACTATACTATATTTGCATAGGATTTAGCAGAGAAATCATCAAGTAATGGTAGTTTTCCTTACTTTATGGCCAGTCATTAAATGTTCGTTCACATAATCTTCATGAAAGGATTTTGAGGGACAATTTTTTTAAAGTACATTCTGTCTGGTCAGTCACAACTCAATTCAAAACCCCATTCTGCCATCTGCTCACTATGTGACCCTGGGCACATTGATGAACTCCTAATCAGGCCTCAGTTTCCACACATGTAAAATTGTCATAGCAACCTTACTAGATTTTTTAAGGAAAATAAAAATAACATTATTGATAAATAAATGTAAACTATTTAGGAGAAACTTAGTTCAATTATGAAGCATTCGATGTGTTATGCTTTCCTCAAAGCTTCATGTTGTTCATGGTTTGCCCCTGCCTTGTGAAAGCTCCCTACTGAAGTCTCAGCCCTCTGTTCTAAACTGCTCTCTTCTCCACCCTAAAAACAACAAGAATTTTAAACCTCTGTTAAATCTCTAAAAATTCTAAGATTAATTCCTATTAAAATGGTAACAGCTATTAAAATTTAATACAGGCTAAGGATCCCCTTACCTTGGGACCAGAAGTATTGTGGATTTGGGTTTTTTTTTTTTAAGACTTTGAAATATTTGCATATACATAATCAGATATGTTGGGGATGTAATCCAAGTCTAAACAGAAAGTTCATTTATGTTTTGTATACACCTTATACAAATAGCCTAAAACTAATTAGATAAAATATTTTAAATAATTTTACGCATAAAAACAAATCTGACTGCATTTTGACTGTGACCCATCACCTAAGGTCAGGTGTGGAATTTTCCACTTATGGCATCATGTCAGCACTCAAAAAGTTTCAGATGTTGGAGCATTTCAGATTTCAGTATTTTGGATTAAGATGCTCAATCTGTATGTTACCCTGCCTAGGATTTTTCTGTATCTAATGGTAGAATCTAATGACTTTGAAAAGACAAGGCAATCATTTCCCCTTTGTCAGTGAAGAATATATTTTTTTCTCTCTGAAGTTGAAATCACACTAGGTAAACATTTACCCGTCCATGTGTAACTCTAACATGGCCACATTATTGAGCACTTACCTGCCTAGAGTCAGCTATTGAATAAGTATATTAAGTCTGCAGAAGGCCGAAATACGCACATTTAGATGGACTAGGGCTACAGGGCAATGGGCTTTGGACATTTTGCTTTATAAAGGTAACAGATTTGACTCTGCAATTTCATCACTTTCATTATTTCCCTATTGTCTGAAAATATCCATTTCTGCCGATTCCTTTTACTTACATCAGCAACACTGCAATAATACAACTCAGAGAACCTTTCAACATATTCCTTTTCTTGTATAAGGAGTGGAATCTTTCAAAACAAAATAATAACTTTAAATTGTAGAAGTTTATGTACTTAACTTCAGATGTTTTCAATTATAATGACTAGTGATATTCATAGTAGAAGCACATAGTTTAAAGGGCTAAGAATTGATTTGAAATATGTCAGAATTAGAAAGAAAGGTTAATTTGTTTTGAACCAACGTGTCGTGGTTTAGGTAAGTGTTTCTCAACCTTGGCACTCTTGATGTTGGGGCTGAATGATTCTGTCGCTAGGCAGCTATCCAGTGCATTGTAGAATTGTGGCAGCATCTCCAGCCTCCACTCACTACACAGCAGTCCACCAGTAGCAGCACCCTTTTGTGACCACCAAAAATGTCTCTAACTATTGTCAAATGGTACGTGAGAGTGAAATTACTCGTTGGTAACCACTCATTTTGTTTTGGCATCCTTACAGTTGACATGTATCATTTTCTTGCTCAGTATTAGAAGCTTCTTGTACTTCAGGAACATGTTACATACTTCTTGTCAAGTTTCCATTTGTTAAGTGTTTCCACAGCAACACTTAACAGGCAGCTGCCCTTGGCAGTATTCCTTCACTGAGAAGAATAAATGGGAGCTGCCCCAGCTCCATCTTACTCTTATTCTCCTTTTCTTCTACTCATGCTAACTTCTTTCGACTACTTGCTCACCCTTCATGGGATGGTTCCTATTTATTCATGGATTCCATTGCCTAATAGCTTCTGCTTCAGTCCTTCCTATTCTGTGCCATTATTCTTAACTTTGCTATTTATCTCACTAAATTCCCCACTAGATAGTGCATTTGTCTTTACTGAAGACACAGAAAATTCTTACCAGGCCACTCCACAGACTTCAGGTCTGCCTTTAGAGGAAGGTCCTTCAGAACAGAATCCTGTTTGACTGGCTAAAGTCATTTTTAAGAAAACTGTTGTCATTTCTTTTAATATGAACCCAGGTCAAGGAAGGCATGCTGAGTTGTGGAGGTATAGGATGTTATTCCAGGCAGGCACTTTCCCTCCGTTATGTGATACAGATGAGATTTGAGCATTACCTTTTTGTCACTTGAAATTATATCTTACAAAAATACAAACAGATAGAGCATATACAGATACACATTAGAAAGGGTGAGGGGAACAGATACAGAGGAAGGAGGAAGAGAGACAGAGAGGGAGGGAGGGGGAGAGAAAGTGGCTTTGTGTGGAGCCAAGATGGTAACATGCCGAACTGAGAGGCATGAGAGAGAGAGACAGAAAGACACAGAGACAGAGAGAAACAAACAGACACAGACAAAGAAGGGGTTCCAGGAAAACAACAGGGCACTAAGACCTCAGAACTTTCATGCTACAGAGAAAAGGGGTCAATGCTGGCTCATTATCCAAATCCTGATTTCAAAGCAAAATACAATTAAAGTGGATTCAGAGAACTCGTGACCAGAAACATGAAGGGACCGTCTAACACCTTAGTAAGCCAAGACCACCACAATCCTGGAACATAAACACAAAGAACTCAATATATGCTTGTTGCAAGAAGAAAGTTAAAAAAAAATTGTGCCAAGGCCTGTGCTGAGAAAGAAGGTGGACACACCACCATCCTCAGGGAGCTACTTCTGAACACTCCTGGCAGAGTGAAACAGTCACTGTCAGTGATCAGATTAAAAATTACTTCATTATAATAACTGGACTTGTACCCTCCTCAACCCTCCTCCTTTGTGAATGCAATCCAGTTCCTGGACTTGCCTCACTGCCTACAAAGAAAACAAAAACAACAACCTCCTCCAAGTCCCCCACTGGGTACAACGTGCGCTCTGCAGCTTGGCTTTCTGAAATCACACAGGAAGGCACCTGCATGCATGTTTTTCTAGAGACAGCCCACGGCTTTCCTTAGGTTTCCCAAAGGATCTATGACCTGACCCCAAAGGTTCAGAATCACTACTTTTTAAAACACCCATTTGTGAGTATGTGCGGGAATGTTGTTGCTTCTCTTTTCTTCTTTGTATGTTGGCAATTGTCAGTGATGAAAAAAAAGAAATGGTTTCTAAGGAAAAAAAAATGATCCATATTCTCTAACAAGGAGTGTTAAAGGAGACCCCCCCAGATATTAGGACAGCAATGAGGGACCATGTGTGAAGTTGACAGTTGGATGCTGTCCACGAGCGTGGGGCCAACACTGACAATCACAGCAGGGAGGCTTCCCCAGGAGAACTCCCTTCATCTCTAACTCCTCCCATATATGCAAACTCCCAATGACAGCTGCCCAGAATCCTGCTTCAAGGCTATAGTGGATGCCACGGTTGACCCCTTCCTTTCCAGCCCTGACCACTGTGCTGTCACCTTACAATGTGGGGCATGGGGGTGGTATGGAGCAAATCTGACCTCAGCTCCAGGTGTGGACCCTGATGGGTTCAATTTGTCTCCCCTGCCCATAGTCACTGGTTCAAATGATCCAGGCTTAACCTGATGAAAAGTTGGCAAAGTCCTGGACAAAGGGATTGGTTTAGCTTTGAACATGGGGCTCAGTTTGGGCCAATGCGACTTAAGGGGAGGGGTATGGGAAAGGGGGTTTTACAATGGGAAACAGGAAGTGTTTGGCATGTAAGACTGAACCTGCTGCAGCCATATGCCCATGCTCCAGGAAGCCAGGCTCAGGATGAAGTCAACACCAAGGCAAGCAGAATCACAAAATTCAAAGAAACTGAGGTCTCAGTGATACTGTGGAACCACTGGTCGAACTGACCCTAAACCTGCTCTGCTTCTCATCCTTTAAGTTATCTGAACCCAGAAATGTCCTCCACTGTTTACCCAGGTGGAAGCGGTTTCCTATCATTCACAAAGGAGTCACAAACAATATGAAGTCCTAACTAAAACAGAAAGGATGTTCGTGTTAAAACACAAAGTTGAGGCTGGGCATGGTGGCTCATGCCTGTGATCCCAACACTTTGGGAGGCTGAGGTGGGTGGATCACTTGAGGTCGGGAGTTCGAGACCAACCTGGCCAACATAGTGAAACCCCGTCTCCACTAAAAATACAAAAAAATTAGCTGGGCGTGGTGGCGGGTGCCTATAATCCCAGCTACTGGGAGGCTGAGGCAGGAGACTTGCTTGAACCAGGGATGCAGAGGTTGCGGTGAGCCGAGATCGTGCCACTGCACTGCAGCCTGGGCGACAGCCACGAGACTCCATCTCAAAAACAAACAAACGAACAAACCCACAAAGTTGATCCTTTTCCCTACAGCCATGCCAAAAGGAACTAAAGAAAAATATGGAACTAACGTGTATTTAGCACATAAAGCTCAACAGTAACGCACTGCCCTGTGTTGACAGAAATGAATCCAGCTGTCAGATGAGTGGCTTGGCTGGAAACCCTTATGACTGCTTCTCCTCAAGACATTTTTAAGATAGTGTATTAAAAAAATACCCCAACAACTAACCTTACACGAAATGAATATTTTCCACTAAAAAGACTTAAAAGCGGCACATTAAAATGAATAAGATTCTATAATAGAAAACTATTCTGACCATCATTTGGGGGCAATTCATAATCTTCCTATTCCCGAACGGTTTTGTTTTTTACCCTATACCACACCCAGAATGGATGGAATGATGAAACTACAATTTTCCCTCAACAAACCATTTCAGTTGGGTGCATGATAAAAACCCTGCCAATAGCCACTTTGGCTACATTTAAAAACTTTTGTACACAGGTCGTGAACCTAGTTCTCAATTGGTTGGGTCTTTTTGGTTTGGGGTTTTCTCCCATGTTGGGAATCTCTCTATCCCGAGACATTTTCAAACACCTGACAGTGACCTGGCTTCCCAGTGCTCCATTCTCCTAAACACGGCTGACTCGGCTTGGCATCCTGTCCCCTTCTCCCTCCTCACCAGGCAGCTATATGGATGGTAGCCTGCGTCCGCCAGAAATCATCAGTAGCATTTGTTGAGTACCTACTAGGTACTTACTGGAGAAACATCACTAATCCTTCCAGAAATAGATTCTCTCAGCTTTATAGATATGGAAACTGAGGTCCAAGTCTCACCTGGCAAGTAGAAGAGCCAGCTTCGGCCCTGGTTTCTCTGACTCCTCCACCCAGCTCTCTGCCAAGCAAAGTGCAGGAAAACAGCTGCACAGGGAAACAACCAGGCAGCCGCACTGAGCAGCCTTTTGATACAGTCCAGATGCTCTCAGGCACAGGCAACGTGCAGAGGGGTCCCAAATGGCAATCCTGCACTTCCAGAATGGCCTCGATGTCAAGTAGCCTCACACATTAGGAACTCCTTTAAAATAAATGGAAATGGGTGGAAAACATCCACGAATATGCACATTGGAAATAACAGGCAGGACAGACACAGCACCTGTGCCGGGCTGTAGGGTGGGCGGGAAAGCCAGGCCTGTGTCCCAGCCTAAGGGGCAGTTCACCCCCACAGGGCTCTTGAGAAGCCAGGAGATGGCTCTTCTTCCTCCTGAGCAGGAGAGGGTTCACAGTATGCCTGGCAGTGGGAGAAAGGGGTGTGCAGGGCCTCTCGCTGTGAAAACAGGCTTGGGGCACTTCTTAGAACTGCGAAGAAGACTTTCAGCTGCTCCCCTGCCCTGTGTCTGACACATGGCTGCTGGCATAGGGCCCAGCCTCCCCAGTGAACTCCACTGGGACTTGCTTATGTGGTTGTTTTCCAGCGCCCCAAGGCAGCCACCTCTCCTGCTTCCTAACCACCTCCTCTTCCTGGGTCTGTAACACGGGTTTGCATTAAGGTTCCAGGCCCTCTGCCCTCCTTTCCCTGCACATTCCTTCCAGGCTCCATTGTCTCCCATAATTACCTCTTCCCTGTTGGCAGCTCCCTGATTTCCAGCTCCAACCCTGAAACCCAGCTCCACTCTAGCAGCCACCTGCCGGCAGCTGTGAGGTGTCTTCCACTCCAGAACCCTCTCTCACCCTTTCCTGGGGTACCCACTCCTGGCTCAAACCTGACTGATTTTTGATCCCTTGCACTTCTCTAATTCCAAATTCTACAGATTCTTCCCCAAAACCTTCTAAACAAATCCATCCCCAGATATGAAAAGATGACCTAACGGCAGGAATCAGGAGTGAGCCACAGGCAGCAGTGGCCTCCAGAATCATAGAAGGGTGCACATTCCATACCCCACCAGCCCAGAGAAACTCATCCACAGACAAAAACACCATGCTGGTCAATCAGGATACAAGCCATAGTTTTCAACTTCTGCTCAAAAAAGTAGAATCCAAACTCCCTAGCCTGTCATTTAAAAAATTTTCCATGAGCTGCTCTCACCTTAAATTTCAGTCCTTGCTGCTCCACTGGGAGCGTCTGATCTGGTGAGACTGGACAAGGAATTTTCCCTCATGCTTGGGGCAGCATCTTATCTTCCCACCACTTGCATCTGTCCATTCTTTGAGGGCAGTTGAAATGCCGCTTGCTCCCTGAGCCTGCAGGGCCAGTGCTCTCCTTTGACAGCACCCATGAGAGCCACCTGGCCAGGCTGTTGGGACATGTTCCTCACTCATCTCCCTTCTCCATCAGTGGCCTTCAGGGAAAACTATAGCAGTGTGGGAACCCCACCTGTGGTGGTGACACAGGCCCCATGACCCAGGGCCCTTCAGTGGATGGGGACAGGTCCCTGATCTCAGGGCTGCAGGTTACCTAGCTGGGTCCTGCCCTGCCCCCTTTAGAAACCATGCTCCCAGACAAGACCCCATCCAGGGTGGAAGAGCAGCCCAGCCCCGCCCTGCAGCTGCACTCACTCCCAGCTGTTCCAGGGCCTGTGCAAAGCAATTGCCTCCTGAGCCCGGGCTGCAGCTGCAAGCACACATGTAGGAGGAAGGGAGGCGGGGGCCAAGCAGCAGATGAGGCTGCAGCCTGCAATTACAGTGGGCCAGTGGGCCAGCTCAAGTATGGCTGGGCAGAGGAGGCGAGGCTGGGGGCTGATGTGGTTCTCGTGTCTCTTGGCCTAAGAACTTACATCTGGGCGCTGAGGGAAAGGGCAGTGCCACAGGGGCACAGAGCGGGTGTCCCAGGGGCTGGGAATTTATGCCGCTGCTAGGGTGGAGGCTTGGGTCCCACTGTCTGTAGGATGTGGGAAGGGCTGAGTGTGGATGGGGCCCACACTTGTGACGCTTCCTGAATGTCTGCATTGCACACTAAGCTCTTGCATCCAGCCCTGGACTCAGGCGTTCAGAAGAAGCTTCCACAGTGGCACTGGGCCTGAGGAGTCAGGAGCCCATCCCTGGTGCTCAGCAGCCCCCGGGTCCTTCCGCGTGGTGACCCTTGGTGACTGAGGCCTGAGGTTCAAGGCAGTCAGGGTTCTCATGGGCAGGCTGCAGCTGCTGCTGTACTGCCGGGCCAAGGGGCAGCTCCATCGCATCCCCCAATATGGAGACACCATCTTCACATAAAATCACACTCAGAGGCTCTGAGCAGATGTGAATTTGGGAAACACTTCAGCTGAGGACAAACACCAACTTCAGGAGGGGCAGCTTCCTGGGGCAGCCCAGCTTGACTCACATCAAGGCCTGGCAGACCCAGGGGGCACATTCCACCTCTGTGCAGTGGGGGCTCAGGCAACTTCCTTGGGGAGTCTCTGACCTGGGTTCTCCTGTGCCTGGGACCAGTCAAGGAAGGAGCTGCTCCCTGTCCTTGGAAAGGGTGCGCTAGGCCATAGCATGGGGCCTGGTGCTGGCAGGGGAGGGTTTCAGAGCCAGAGGAATGTGTGTGGGCTGAAGGTGGCAGCGCTGGGATGGCGATGGGTCCAGCAGGGAGCATAGGGTTGGGGGACGTGGGTGCCAAGGCCCAGAAGCCAGGAGGAGGCAGGAGGGACAGCATTGTGCCTAGAACCTGGGAAGAGACAGAGGGGATCCCCAAGGTGGGTCCCCAGTTTAAAGTCGCAGGTGCCCTCTGCTGTGGCCACAGATGGCCAGGGAATAGGAAAACCCCACAGTGGAGTTGGCCCAGGCAGGGCTGAACACCCATTGGGAGCACCCCAAGTGCAGGGTGGGCGACTGGGAGCTGGCCTGGGGGTACAGCTGCTGCCCGGCTGACTAAAATTCACCAGTGGTTGCCGTGGTTCAGATGTCCCTCTCATGGCCATGACTGGGGGACACAGTGGAGAATGGGCACAGGCTCCCAGGTCAGTGAGGACAGTGCAGGTGTCGGGGACTTGAGGGAGGGGAGTAGCACTGGGCAGGCCCCTGGCCAAGCCTGGATGACGGGGCAGGAAGAAGGGCAGGGAGTACCATGTGCCCGGCCGTGCACTGTGGACACGGGGGCTTCCCTGCTCCCGTCCTGGTGGCCAGAGTGAGGATGTTCTGTGCTTCTTCAAGGACATCAACCGCCTCCCCTTCCTGGGACCTTGGACAAGGTGCACTGTCCAGGTTCCCCCCACCGGCCTCACAGGGTCTGGTGAGTACGGCAGTGGGACAGGGCCACTCTTGGCCCAGGCTGCAGTGAGCACTCAGCCAACCTGGCCACAGTCTGGTCACTGGGGACCTGGTGTCTGCTGCCCACAGGCCTAAGGACCCCAACACCCGTCCCAGCCCAGGCTCCCCAAGGCTGGGCAGATGAGGGTGAGAGGCCCCTGTTCGCTGGGACCCATTCTTGACAGGCTGGGCTGGGCTGTGCAGGGGCACACCCGCTCTGGGGGGATGTGGGGTGGGGACACTTCTGGGCCTGGTTCTGTTGGCCCCAAGGACAGACATGGCATCCCTGGCAACAGCTACACCAGAGGCTCAGGAGCCAGGAGACAGAGCCCAGGCCGGCTGGGCCCCTACTAGGGATGAGTTACAGGGGCTGCAGATGCAGAGGGACTCTCTGGGGGGGTCAGCACCAGGGGACAGACAGAGGCTGCAGTCCCCCCGCCCCAGGCTGGGACAGAGGATGAGCCAGCCCCCACCCTTCCCCACCCAGCATTCCCCAGGGGCTGCTGTCACCCTGCACACAAGAAGCTGTCCCAGGCTGTCACCATCTGACACTGCCCAGGCTCTCCCCTCGGAATCCCTGATTAGCAACTATGGCCACCCTAGTCCCTCCCACTAACCTTGGGCAGAGCACAGGGACCCTGATCTCATCTCCACTGCTGCCACCTCCACCCCCAGTATGGTGCATAACTGGGCTGGGAGGGGGATCCCAGGACGGTGCACGCTTGGGGAGCCCCGGCACCCAGGCAGTGGGAGGCCAGGGAGGAGCCGTCCCTCTGGGCATAGCACGGTCACTGCAGACCATGGGTCGGCCTCAGCGCTGAGGACCCACCAGCACACAGGAGGCGCTCAGTAAATGCTGGAGGAGTAAGTGACGGTCCACGTGGTGTGAAACTCCTGTGCCCTGGAGCCCTACCCAGACTCCAGCACCGTGACGTTTATTTCTCCCACCCCAAGCCCCCCTCAGTGACACCCTGGGACCCTTAACAAATGCCTTTTTCTTCCAGGGTCCATCTGGACCTCAGGGCCCTCTAGGATACCCAGGACCTCCAGGTGTCAAGGTAACTGACCTCCAGGCTGGGGATAAAGGACTGTGTTGAAGGGAGCGAGATGGGGTCTCAGGGGCTCGCTCCTTCCAACCCACCTCCATCCCCTGGCCACTCTGTCATCCTCTAATTTCAGGGTGCAGATGGAAATCGGGGTCTGAAGGGCCATAAGATGCAAAGGTGAGCAGAATTTCCCAGCACCTCACTCCTGCCATTGCTGCTCCTCAGCCTGCCCCTGGCTGCCCTCCAGCTCCTGATCCCACCCTTCCACCCATGTTCTCAGAATCCTCCATTAGAGCCCCCGGCCCTCTGTCATCTGTGGGGTCATCTCACCTCCACCTTTCTCAGGGGATGGCTTTCTGAGGTTCAAAGGTGACGTAGATGTGAAAGGTGTCAGGCTGAGTAGAGACCCCACACTGGCCCCAACTCCATGTCCTAATGATTCTCCACTCTGGAGCCCCCAAGCACCGGTTCATTCCATGGAGGCCCCGGGTTCCTCAATTCCAGTGCTGTGCATCCTTGGGGGCCTGGTCCCTGCAGGACAGCAAACCCATGATCTGCATCGCGCTGGCCCTGGATCACCACACTCTCTATACCCCACAGGCTCCCTCTCCTGCAACAGCTACTGGGATCCGCCAGCCCCACTCGGCCTCACTGGTGCCCCTTTCTCCTCTGGGCCCAGACCTCATCCCCAGGCCTCCACGCTTACCTCTCCCACTCTCTCACTCATGGTGAGGCTGGAGCCCTGGTTCCAGAGGAGAGGATGGTCCCAAGGAGCAAAAGGAAACAATGAACTGACTAGAGATCCTGGGCTTCCCAGGGCTCACAGGCAAGATGATGATGGGAAGAGAGGTCTGTGCCTGGACCCTCTAGGGATGTGGGCACTAGGTCAGGACGGGCATGCAGGGTGCCCACAGCTGACATCAGCCAGTCAATTGAAGATGGCCGTGCCTTAATTATGCTCCTCTCTCTGTAAACGGCACCTGCTGGCTGCTGATGGGTTGAGGAACCTATAGGAAAAGTCAAGGAAAAGCCACTGTGTGAAGAGTTGATTGGAGATGAGGCACAGAGTGGCTGCAGGTCCCAGGCAAAGTGAACATGCCCAGGCTCAGAGCAGTAGCTTCGAAAAGGGAGTGTCCAACAGCAGTGAGACTTGTGGTCTCCAGGGCTGACTCCCCCCAGCCCTCGCCATGTGCAGGCACTGTGCTAAGGTGTTCTCTCCATCCTGTGAGGTGGGCGTGGATGGTCCTGTTTTGCAGATGAGACTCTCCAGAGGCACAGGAAGGCTTGGTCATCACACCAGCAGTGATGGGCAGGCCAGGGGCTGAGTCAGGGCAGTCTGGCTGCAGAATTGCTGCTCCCAACCCTTGCTCCACAGCATCCTGGGCAGGAGGAGCCCTGGAACATCAGGAGGAAGGGGACAGGTTGGGGAGTTGGGGTGTTGTGCCACGTGGGCAAAGGGCAGGGGGCCTGCAGGGTGACTGATCTTGGTGGATGGAGCAGGAGTGGGTGCTGGGACAGATGGTACTGAGGTCGGCAGGTGGGCTGCAGCTGGATCACAGTGACCCTGAGGACTTGACAGGGCTGCAGGCACAGGAAAGCAGGATCCCAGCACTAGAGTTGGGGAAAATTCACCCTCTGGAAGGAGATACTGCAAAAGGCAGCCATGGGGCAGGAGAGAAGGGGCTAGGAGCTGGGGTGTGTGGGTGCACTGGGGGATGGGGCATGGCCCTCACATGTGAGGGTCGGGGTCTCCAGAAAGTAGCACCAGGGCCTCCTCTCACTCCTAATTGCTCCCTGTCCCTCCACAGGGCAAGCTGGGTGTTCCTGGTCTGCCTGGCTACCCCGGATGCCAGGAACTCAGGGTGACACCGGGTGTGTGCCCCTCCTCCTTTTCACTTCCCTGACTTCGATTCCAGGGAGCACAGACTAGCAGAGCAGTGGGGGGCCCTCAAGAGTGTTTAGCGGCCCCCAATCTACAGATGAGAGAGAGGCCGAGAGCAGCAGGGGTTTGTCCCAGGCCACCTCATTTGTGGCAGGATCCAGGTCTCCATGCCGCTGCCTGCATGGCCTCTGCTGGCCCCCTCTGCTCCTTCCCGAGCCTGACCTCTCATAACTTCTCAATTTCCCCGCTTCTCCTTCCTCACCAGGGACTCCTGGGATTTCCTGGCTTTCCTGGAGTCAGTGGGGAGAACGGAGCCTGAGGAAGCTGGGGATAGGGAGAAGGTGTGGAGGGAAAGGCTGGAGGGGTGTGGGGGGGGCTCTGTGGGGAGGCACGCCCCGGGGGATGTCCACTCCATTCCCACCAGGGCCTGTCAAGGAAGTCAGGGCCTCGAGGAGAATGGGGCCTCATGGCAAGTGCAAGGGAGAGAAACAGGGGGCTCAAGGTCCAAATGGGTTTGGGTTTTTCTGACAACAACACTCCCCTCTCTAGGGTCCACAGGGTCAGCCGGGTCCTCGAGGTGCCACTGGGAAGTCTGGAGCTAAGGTCAGTGGTCTCTGCAGGGCTCCCCCTGACCCCTGCCCACTGAGCCCCAGCTCTCCCTCAACCACCTGACCTTGGGGACAACTGAGGAGCAGCTCCTCCCACTCTGTTTCCCCCATAGGGAACATCGGGGGCGAAGGCCTCCATGGGCCCCCCAGAGACAGGGTGTGTGTGGCATGAGTGTCCTCTCTCTCCATGCTCCCAGGGAGCCTGGGTGAGCCAGCTCCTTCCTCACCCCAGTGAGGACCCCAGCCCCTGCCCCCATTCTCCTGACTCAGCCCACCTCTGTCCCTAGGGTCTTCCTGATTAATGTGTCTGGTCCTCTGCCTCCCTTTCCCCAGGCCATAAACTCTAGTCTTGTCTCAGGGGCCAAGAGAAGCCCCTTTCCCCAGGAGGGCTTCACTGTCTCCCTGTAGTGACCTTGGAGCACTTATCCTGGCCTCTGCCCCAGAAATGGGCCCACCTCCCTAAGCAATGACGCCTATTTCTGCTCCTCCTTCAGGGCCCACAAAGCGCCCCAGGACGCATTGGGAACCTGGGTCCCCCTGGAGAGATGGTCACTGGGAAGGGGGTGAATGGACAAGTATTTCAACTGAGGGATGAAAGTTGGTTTTCTGACAACTTTGATTGGGGAGACATAAAAGAATGAGATGTGAGGAATACCAGGATTTTCTGATGGGGCAAATAGGTTTTTGACATCAATCTCTTTGCAGGGGGAGCCAGGAGATTCAGGATCTCCAGGGATCCAGGGTGAGCCAGGTGTCAAGGAGACTGACAGCTCCAGGGCCCTACTTTCCAACCCCTTTCACCCCCCTCACTGCCCCCCACTTTTCCTGTGACCTCTTTGAGCTGGAGCTCCTCTGTGGCCAGGAGTATCTGCTCTGGACCATACTCTCAATAAGCCCTTCCCCTCTTACCTCCAAGGGAAAGAGACCAGGGTCTCCCCTTATAGGCTGGACTTTCTGTGTCTGTCACATTGTCCCTGAGGGCAGTAGGGGGTGGCTGAAGGTGTCTTTGAAGCAGAGGCTGCATCCCTGATCTTCAAGAACCCCCAGACCATCTGTGCCCTTCACTTGTTCTGCAGCACCCATGTGGGGAGCATGGGGAGAATACAGTAGAGTTGGGGCAGCTGGGAGAGGCAGGACCACCAGGGCCTTAAAGGACACTGGGGTCAGGTGACCGCCCCAAAGGGAACCCTGCAATTTTGGGGGCATGGAGGCTGAGGCCTCTCAGCCCTTGCGAATGACAGCCCTGGGATCATGGGTGACTGTGAGCAAGGATCTTGGAGTGTGGGGAGCCCAGGAGTGGGGGGATGCCTGGGAGGGAGGCTCTGGGAATGGGATCTCCTGGGAGGATTCTTGGGGTCTGGGACCCAAAGAGAAAGTGAGAAAGGCCCTGTGGCTAATACCCTAAAGCATTAGATGGCATTCAGTGAGTGCATGAAGTGGAGAGGGGGCACTTCGATAAAATCACTTTTCACCCTTCCTATGCAATCAAAGATATCCTAGGTTTAATTTTTCTCCTCCTCCTTTTAATAATGCTAGTACTATCTTCACTTGACCTCCTGAGTGACCTAGATAATTATGCCTTAGCCAACCCCTCAAAATAGTCATCTACTTTATTTTATGATCAGGATGAGCAACCTATTCAAACTATGACTAATCGGCACATTACAAGCCATCGCCTAATTTCATATGAAGTTACCCTAGCCATCAGCCTATTATCAGTTCTACTGATAAGCAGCTTATCAGGGGAAATTCAGCCAGATATCGGGTGAAATTCACCCCCGATATTTCACATAGGTTCTTTTCTATTTTCCCTAAGTGTTGGCTGGTCTGAGAAATAAAGGGACAGAGTACAAAAGAGAGAAATTTTAAAGCTGGGTGTCAAGGGGAGACATCACATGTTGGCATGTTCCGTGATGCCCCCCGAGCCACAAAACCAGCAAGTTTTTCTTAGTAATTTTCAAAAGGGGAGGGAGTGTTCGAATAAGGTGTGCGTCACAGAGATCACATGCTTCACAAGGTAATAGAATATCACAAGGCAAATGGAGGCAGGGCAAGATCACAGGACCACAGGATCGGGGCGAAATTAAAATTACTAATGAAGTTTCGGGCACGCATTGTCATTGATAACATCTTATCAGGAAACAGGGTTTGAGAGCAGACAACCGGTCTGGCCAAAATTTATTAGGCGGGAATTTCCTCATCCTAATAAGCCTGGGAGCGCTACAGGAGACTGGGGCTTATTTCATCCCACAGCTGTGACCGTAAAAGATGGCTGCCCCCAAAGCGGCCATTTTAGAGGCCTACCCTCAGGGATGCATTCTCTTTCTCAGGGATGTTCCTTGCTGAGAAAAAGAATTCAGTGATATTTCTCCCATTTGCTTTTGAAAGAAGAGAAATATGGCTCTGTTCCGCCTGGCTCATTGGCAGAGTTTAAGGTTATCTCTCTTGTTCCCTGAACATTGCTGTTATCCTGTTCTTTTTTCAAGGTGCCCAGATTTCATATTGTTCAAACACACATGTTCTACAAACAATTTGTGCAGTTAACGCAATCATCACAGGGTCCTGAGGCGACATACATCCTCCTCAGCTTACGAAGATGACGGGATTAAGAGATTAAAGTAAAGACAGGCATAGGAAATCACAAGGATATTAATTGGGGAAGTGATAAGTGTCCATGAAATCTTCACAATTTATGTTCAGAGACTGTAGTAAAGACAGGCGTAAGAAATTATAAAAGTACTAATTTGGGGAACTAATAAATGTCCATGAAATCTTCACAATCCACGTTCTTCTACCATGGCTTCAGCCGGTCCCTCCATTCGGGGTCCCTGACTTCCCCCAACAGCAGCTCATTCAATTTATATATACTTATCACAACACAAGAATCCCTCTGGCTACTCCTACCATCATGACCCCTAGCCATAATATTTATTTCTGCATTAGCAGAAACTAACCGAGCCCCTTTTGACCTAACAGAAGGAGAATCAGAGTTAGTCTCAGGTTTCAACATCAAATATGCCACAGGTCCATTTGCCCTCTTCTTTATAGCAGAATACATGAATATTATAATAATAAATTCCCTAACTACTACAATTTTCCTAGGAACAATTACACTCTATGTATTCACCAGAACTCTATACTACATATTTCATTACCAAGACCCTCCTCTTAACCTCCCTATTTTTATGAATTCGAACAGCTTATCCCCAATTCTGCTATGATTAACTTATACATCTCTTATGAAAAAACTTTCTACCACTTACACTAGCATTCTGTGTATGATACATCTCAATACCCATCATAATCTCCAGCATCCCACCCCAAACGTAAGAAACATGTCTGACAAAAGAATTACTTTGACAGAATAAACAACAGAGGTTGAAATCCTCATATTTCTAGGACTATAGGAATTGAACCCATCCCTGAGAATCCAAAATTCTCCATGCTACCTATCACACCACGTCCTAAAGTAAGGTCAGCTAAATAAGCTATCAGGCCCATATCCCAAAAATGTTGGTTACATCCTTCCCATACTAATTAACCTATTAGCTCAGCTTATCATCTACTTTACTATTTCTACAGGTACCCTTATCACAATGCTAGCCTCACACTGATTTTTCATCTGAACAGGCTTAGAAAGAAATATACTAGCCCTCGCCCCAATCTTAATTAAAAAATAAATCCCCGCTCCACAGAAGCAGCCACTAAATATTTCCTTATACAGGCAACCACATCTATAGTCCTCATAATCGGTATTCTCTCCAATAATCTGTTATCTGGACAGTGAACAACAATAAATACTGTTAATCAGTTTTCATCCCTAATAATAATAATAGCCTTAGTAATAAAATTAGGAATAACCCCCTTTCACTTCTGAGTTCCAGAAGTAACCCAAGGAACTTCTCTAACATCTGGCATACTTCTCCTCACGTGACAAAAACTAACCCCTATTTCAATTCAATTCAATCAAATTTTTCCATCAATAAATACAAATATTCTCCTATCTATCTATTTTAGTGGGCAGTTGAGGAGGACTCAACCAAACACAACCATGTAAAATTTTAGCCTACTCCTCAACCACTCATATAGACTGAATAATAGCAGTACTAATGTATAACCCAAACATTACCATTTTTACCCTAATTATCTATTTCATCCCAACAATTGCTGCATTCCAAGTACTCAACCTGAATTCAAGCACCACAACCTTATCACTATCTCACATTTAAAACAAATTAACATGATTAATATCTATAATCCTATCAATTTTATTATCCCTAGGATGTTTACCCCCATTAACAGGATTCCTACCTAAATGAATTATTATCCAAGAGTTTACAAAAAATAAGTCTTATTATCCCAACCATCATAGCCATCATAACTTTACTCAACCTATATTTTTATATATGCTTAATTTACTCCACTTCAGTGACAATATTCCCCACATCCAATAATATAAAAAGAAAATGACAGTTCGAAAACACAAAACCCGTATTATTCCTCCCCCCACTCATCATCTTCTCTACCTTCCTCCTACCAATATCTCCATTGACACTATTTATAATCTAGAAACGGAGGTTAAGTAAGACCAAGAGCCTTCGAAGCTCTTAGCAAGTACATTATACTTAAGTTCTGCAAAAACCTAAGGACTGTAAAATTCTACTCTGTATCAATTGAACGCAAATCAATCACTTTAATTAAGCTAAGCCCTTACTAGATTGATGGGACTTAAACCCACGAACATTTAATTAACAGATAAACACCCTAATCAACTGGCTTCAATCTACTTCTCCTGCCATTGGGGGAGAAAGGTGGGAGAAGCCCCGGCAGGATTGAAGCTGCTTCTTTGAATTTGCAATTCAACATGAAAATCACCTCGGGGCTGGTAAAAAGAGGTCTTGATCTCTGTTTTTAGATTACAGTCTAATGCTTACTCAGCCATTTTACCTTTTTCTCACTTCACTTATGTTCACCAACTGTTGACTGTTCTCAGCCAACTATAAAGATACCGGGATATTCTATCTACTATTCAGTGCATGAGCAGGGATAGTGGGTCCAGATTTAAGCCTCCTTATTCAAGCTGAACTGGGCCAACCAGGTACTCTTTTAGGAGATGATCAAATTTATAATGTCATCATTACAGCTCATGCATTTGTCATAATTTTCTTTATAGTAATGCCAATTATAATTGGAGGCTTCGGCAACTGATTAGTTCCTCTGATAATTGCCCCCCCAATATAGCATTTCCCTGCATAAATAGTAGGAGTTTCCGACTCCTCTCACCCTCTTTCCTACTATTATTTGCATCCGCTATAGTAGAGGCAGGCGCTGGAACCGGCTGAACAGTCTACCCCCACCCCCCCACCCCTTAGCAGGAAATCTAACACATGCGGGAGCCTCTGTAGATTTAACCATCTTTTCACTCCATTTGGCAGGTGTTTCTTCTATTTTAGGGCTATTAACTTTATTACCACAATTATTAATATAAACCCCCAGCCATGTCCCAATATCACACACTCCTCTTCATCTGATCAGTCTTAATTACAGCAGTTCTTCTACTCCTTTCTCTCCCAGTCCTAGCTGCTGGCATTACTATATTGTTAACTGACCGCAATCTTAATACTACTTTTTTTCGACCCAGCTAGTGGAGGTGATCCTATCTTATATCAGCATTTATTCTGATTCTTCGGTCACCCCGAAGTCTCTCTCATCTTACCAGGCTTCGGATAATTTCCCATATCATAACATATTATTCTGGAAAAAAAAAGAACCATTTGGGTATATGGGCATAGTATGAGCCATAATATCAATTGGCTTCTTAGGGTTTATCGTATGGGCCCACCACATATTTACAGTAGGAATAGATGTAGATACATGAGCATATTTCACCTCTGCTACTATAATTATTGCTATTCCTACTGGTGTCAAAGTCTTTAGCTGGCTAGCTACACTTCACAGCAGTAGTATCAAATGATCCCCCACAATGCTCTGAGCCCTGGGATTTATTTTCCTTTTTACAACAGGAGGCCTAACCGGCATCGTACTAGCCAATTCATCACTGGATATTGTACTACATGATATTATGCTGTAGCCCATTTCCATTATGTCTTATCAAAAGGAGCCATATTTGCCATTATGGGAGGCTTTGTTCACTGATTCCCTCTATTTTCAGGTTATACTCAATCAAATCTATGCTAAAACTCACTTTGCTATTATATTTGTAAGTGCGAATTTAACTTTTTTCCCACAACACTTCTTCGGCCTATCTGGTATGCCTTGACGTTACTCCAGTTATCCTGACGTGTACACTGCATGAAATATTATTTCATCCTAGGCTCATTTATTTCCCTAACAGCAGTAATACTAATAATTTTCATGGTCTGAGAAGCCTTCACTTCAAAATGAAAAGTTCTAATAGTTGAGCAACCATCTACCCACTTAGAATGACTATATGGCTGTCCACCAACCCATCACACATTCGAAGAACCAACCTACATGAAGACCTAAGTGAAAAAGGAGGGAATCGAACCCCCCACAGACTGGTTTCAAGCCAATCCCATAACCTCTGTGACCTTCTCAATAAGATATTAGTGAAATTATTTCATAACTTTGTCAAAGTTAAGTTATAGGTTAAGCCGTATATATCTTAATGGCCCATACAGTTCAATTAGGTCTTCAAGATGCTTCATTTGCTATTACAGAATAACTACTTACCTTCCATGACCACATCCTTGTCATTGTTTTCCTAATTAGTTCCCTGGTTCTATACGTTATTTCTCTAATACTCACAATAAAATTGACTAACAATAGCACCATAGATGCCCAAGAAATAGAGACTGTCTGAATGATCTTGCCTGCTAGCATCTTAATCTTAACTGCCCTCCCATCCCTACGTATGTAATATACAACAGATGAAGTCAATAAGCCTTCTCTCACCGTTAAAACAATCGGACATCAATGGTATTGAAGCTACTAGTGTACAGATTATGAAGAGTTAAGCTTCTATTCTTATATGCTTCCAACAGCAGACCTAAAACCAAAAGAACTCCGACTCCTTGAAGTCGATAACCGAACAATCCTCCCAATAGAAATTCCCATCCGCATGTTAACCTCATCTGAAGATGTCCTGCACTCATGAACTATTCCCTCATTAGGTTTAAAAACAGATGCAGTCCCTGGACGCTTAAACCAATTTACCTTAACCACTACACGACCAGGCTTCAACTACAGACAATGCTCAGAAATCTGTGGATCTAATCACGGTTTTATACCTATTGTTCTAGAACTAGTTCCATTAAAAACTTTTGAAACTTGATCTATAGCCACACGATAATATCACTGTAAAATTACCCCAGTGTTAACCTTTTAAGTTAAAGATCGAGAGAAATCATACCTCTCTAGAGTGAATGCCTCAGCTAGATACCTCCACATGACCTATTATTGTATCAATAATCGTAACTTTATTTTCCATTATTCAATTAAAAATTTCAAATTTCATCTACCATACACCCCCTTCACCAAAAACAGTTAAAGTACAAAAACATAACAACCCTTGAGAACTAAAATGAACAAAAATCTGTTCACCTCATTTATCGCCCCAACAATCCTAGGGTTACCCACAGCAGCACTAATCATCTTGTTCCCCTCCACACTCCTTCCAACCTCCAACTATCTAGTCAATAACTGATTAATTTCTATTCAACAATGACTAGTTCAACTTATCCTAAAACAAATAATTATACGTAACATTAAAGGACAAGCCCGATCCCTTATACTGATATCTCTAATTCTCTTTATTGCCTTAACCAATCTCCTTGGACTCCTACCAGACTCATTTACACCAACTACCCAACCATCAATAAATCTAGCTACAGCAATCCCCTTATGAGCAGGCACAGTAATCACAGGCTTCCGCTTTAAAACTAAAAACTCCTTAGCTCACTTCCTACCACAAGGCACACGCATACCACTTATTCCTATACCAGTATTCACCGAAACCATTAGTCTATTTATTCAACCAACAGCACTAGCTGTACGTCTAACAGCCAACCTTATAGCCAGTCACTTACTCATGCGCTTAATTGGAGGAGCCACACTAGTATTATCAACTACTAACCTTCCCACAGCTTCAATCACCTTTATTATTCTAATTCTATTAACCATGCTCCAATCTGCTGTGGCCCTTATCCAAGCTTATGTCTTTACGCTTTTAGTAAGCCTTTATTTCTATGACAATACATAATGACCCACCAAACACACACCTATCATTTAGTCAAACCCAGCCCTTGACCATTAACAGGGGCTCTCTCAGCTCTCCTAATAACATCCGCCCTAGCTATATGACTTCACTTTAACTCTATTACTCTTTTAACCCTGGGCCTACTAACCAATACACTGACTATATATCAATGGTGATGTGACATTATCCGAGAAAGTACATTTCCAGGCCATGATACAACAACTGTTCAAAAAGGCCTCCGATGTGGAATAGTCGTATTTGTTATCTCAGAAGTATTTGTCTTTGCTGGATTCTTTTGAGCATTCTACCATTCTAGTCTAGCCCCAGCTCCAGAATTAGGAGGACACTGATCTCCAACAAGCATTTCTCCCCTCGACCCCCTGGAAGTACCCCTCCTGAACACATCTGTATTACTTGCATCAGGGGTTTCAATTACTTGAGCCCATCACAGCATAATAGAAAATAATCGAAAACAAGTAATTCAAGCACTACTTTTCACAATTATCTTAGGCATTTGCTTCACCCTCCTACAAGTCTCAGAATACTTAGAGGCTCCCTTTGCTATTTCTGATGGAATTTATGGCCCAACATTTTTTATAGCTACAGGCTTTTATGGACTTCACATCATTATTGGATCAACTTTCCTTACTATCTGCCTTCTCTGCCAATTAAAATACCACTTTACATCCAGCCATCATTTTGGCTTTGAAGCCACCGCCTGATATTGACACTATGTAGATGTAGTATGACTATTCTCATATATTTCTATCTACTGATGAGGGTCTTACTCTTTTAGTATAAACAGTACCATTGACTTCCAATCAATTAGTTTCGATAGTATCTGAAAAAGAGTAATTAACCTAACACTAGCCCTAGTAATCAACACCCTACTAGCCCTGTCACTTACAGCTATTACATTCTGGCTCCCACAACTTAATATTTATACAGAAAAATCCAGCCCCTACAAATGCGGATTTGACTCGTTATCCTCTGCCCTCATTCCTTTCTCCACAAAATTATTTCTAGTAGCCATCACATTCCTCCTATTTGACTTAGAAATCACCCTACTGCTACCCTTACCATGAGCCCTTCAAACAACCTGACACTAATAATTAGTACATCCTTTATGCTAGTTATCATTTTAATCCTAGGGTTAACTTATGAATGAACTCAAAAAGGATTAGACTGAACTGAATTGGTAAGTAGTTTAAGCCAAAATAAATGATTTTGACTCATTAGTTATGACAGAACATGTTTACCAAATGCCCTCTATTTACATAAATATTATATTCACATACACCATGTCACTTCTGGGGGTATTAATCTATCCATCCCACCTAATATCATCCCTACTATGCCTACAAGGAATAATATTATCATTATTCATCATAAATACCCTTTTAACTTTAAGTATACATTTTACCCTAGCAACGTAGTACCCATCACCCTACTAGTATCTGCTGCCTGCGAAGCCGCAGTGGGCCTTGCGTTACTAGTTTCAATTTCCAACACATATGGCTTAAACTATGTGCATAACCTAAATTTACTTCGACGGTAAAAATTATCATTCCAACAATTATACTGCTACCAATAACATGACTCTCTGATAATCCTATACTCTGGATCAATATAACCACTCACAGCCTAATTATCAGCTTTATTTCCCTATTATTCTTTAATCAATTCAACGACAATCTATTCAACTTCTCATCAACTTTTCTCCTCTGATCCCCTAACATCACCCCTTCTAATCTTAACAGCCTGGCCATTAACTCTTATAATTATAGCAAGCCAGTATCACCTCTCCAGTGAATCCCTCCCACAGAAAAAGCTCTATATTTCCATATTGATCTCCCTACAAGTTTTTCTAATTATGGCATTTACAGCCACGGAACTAATTATATTTTATATTCTCTTTGAAGCTACACTTATCCCCACCTTAATTATTATTACCCGCTGGGGCAACCAACCAGAATGCCTCAATGCAAGCACATATTTCTTACCTTACAAACTAGTAGGATCTCTCCCCCTACTTATTATACTTACTTACACCCAAAATATCCTAGGCTCACTGAGCATAATAATAATAACATTTTTTAATACCCAAGAACTATTGATTTCCTGATCCAACAACTTTATATGGTGTGTATAATGGCTTTTATGGTAAAAATACCCCTATACGGACTTCACCTATGACTTCCTAAAGCCCATGTAGAAACCCCTATTGCTAGCTCAATGGTACTTGCAGCAGGACTCCTAAAACTAGGCGGCTATGGCATAACACGACTTAACCCTTATCCTCAGCCCCCTGACAGAATATATAGTCTATCCCTTCCTCATGTTATCCTTATGAGGTATAGTTATGACAAGCTCTATCTGTCTATGACAAACTGAGCTAAAGTCACTTATTGCATATTCCTCCGTAAGCCATATGGCACTTGTTATTATGGCTATCCTTATTCAAATCCCCTGAAGCTTTACCAGTTTAATTATCCTCGTAATTGCCCACGGACTTACTTCGTCCCTACTTTTCTGCCTAGCAAATTCAAACTACAAGCGAATCCACAGCCGAACCATATTACTCTCTCGAGGGCTTCAAACATTATTTCCACTAATAGCCTTTTGATGGCTTATAGCAAATCTTACTAACCCTGCCTTACCCCCCTCCACTAATCTAATAGGAGAACTCCTCGTAATAGTGGCTTCTTTCTCCTGATCAAATATTACCATTATGCTTATAGGATGTAATATATTAATCACTGCCCTTTATCTCCATCACATACTTGTCACAACACAACGATGAACACTTACTTATTATATTAACAGTATTAAGCCCTCCTTTACATGAGAAAATATATTAATATTTATACACCTTTCACCTATTCTCCTATTATCTCTAAACCCTAAAATTATTATACAGTCAGTTTAATCAAAATGTTAGATTGTGGATCTAATAATAGAAGTCTGCTGCTTCTTATTTACCAAGAAAGTGTGCAAGAACTGCTAACTCATGCCCCCATGCCTGACAATATGGCTTTCTCAACTTTTAGAGGATAAGAGCTATCTGTTGGTCCTAGGAACCAAAAATATTGGTGCAACTCCAAATAAAAGTAATAATCACATATTACCATAATAACCTTAATCTCCTTAACCTTACCAATTATTATTACCTTCATAAACCCTTACAAGAAGAACTCGTACCCATATTACATAAAAATAGCTATCGCATGCACCTTCACCATTAGCCTCATTCCCACAACAATGTTTATATATACAGACCAATAACCCATCATCTCAAACTGATATTGAATAACAATCCAAACCTTTAAACTCTCATTAAGCTTCAAACTAGACTACTTCTCCATAATGTTTATTCCAGTAGCACTATTTGTCACCTGATTATAGAATTCTCAATATGATATATAAAGTCAGATCCTAATTTTGATCAGTTTTTCAAATATTTACTTATTTTCCACACCACAATATTAATTCTAGTTACCGCCAACAACTTTTTCAACTTTTTGTTGGATGAGAAGGCATAGGAATTGTGTCTTTTCTACTAACTGGCTGATGACATGGCTGAGCAGATGCTAATACAACAGCCCTGCAAGTGATCCTACATAATCGCATTGGCGATATTGGCTTCATTTTAGCTATAGCATGATTCCTCACATCCTCCAATACATGAGAGCCTCAACAAATATTTATCCTAAATCCTACCCCCGATCTTCTTCCATTAATTGGCCTTCTCTTAGCAGCAGCAGGAAAAACAGCCCAACTTGGCCTCCACTCCTCACTTCCTTCCGCCATGGAAGGCCCAGCCCCTGTCTCAGCCCTACTCCACTCTAGTAATATAGCTGTGGCAGGGGTTTTCCTACTTCTTCGTTTCTACTCCTTAATAGAAAATAATGTGTTAATCCAAACCCTTACACTATGTCTAGGAGCTATTACCACTTTTTTACAGCAATCTGTGCTTTAACACAAAATGATATTGAAAAAATCGTAGCACTCTCCACCTCAAGTCAACTAGGCCTTAGAATAACCACAATTGGCATTAATCAACCACACCTAGCATTCCTACACATCTGCACCCACGCCTTTTTCAAAGTTATATTATTTATGTGTTCAGGATCCATCATCCACAGCCTCAACGATGAACAAGACATCTGAAAAACAGGACTATTTAAGACTTTACCCCTTACTTTCTCCTCCCTTATTATTGGCAGCCTAGCACTTATGGGTATGCCCTTCCTCACAGGCTTTTACTCTAAAGATCTCATCATCGAAACTGCAAACACGTCATATACCAACGCCTGAGCCCTCTCTTATTATTTTCATTGCCACTTCCCTAACAAGCGTCTATAGTATCCAGATTATCTTCTTCGCCCTAATAGGACAACCCCACTTCCCAACCCTAATCAACATTAATGAAAATATTCCTTCCCTAATAAATCCAATTAAACACCTTATAGTTGACAGCATCTTCGCTGGGTTTCTCCTCACCAATAGCATTGTCCCTGCTTCATCCCTACAAACAACAATAGCACCTCATCTAAAACTTGCAGCCCTAGGTGTAAACATCCTAGGGCTTTTACTGGCTATAGAACTGAGTTCTATAACTAATAATCTTACAATAAAACACCCATTACAAATATTCAACTTTTCTAACATATTAGGATTTTACTCAATCACAATTCACTGTATAACCCCTCACTCAAGCCTATCTACAAGCCAAAACCTGGCATCACTTCTATTAGATCTAATTTGACTAGAAAAGTCCATACCAAAAACAACTTCACAAACCCAAATCACAGCCTCCGTTACTATAAGTACTCAAAAAGGCCTATTTAAATCTTATTTCCTCTTTTTTTATTCCATCCTTTTTGACTTTACTCTTAAGTATTTAATCTGTTGCCCTGAGTAATTTCAATTATAACATCAACACCAGCCAACAATGTTCAACCAGCAACCACCACCAATCAACACTCATAATTATAGAAAGCACCCGCACCCACAGAATCTTCACGAACCAACCCTGGCCCCTCACCCTCAAAAATTATTCAACTTCCCATACTATTAAAATTAACTACAATCACCAGTCCATCATACTCACTCATCAACTTAACACCAACTCTACTGCTAAACCCAATAATAACGTTTCTAAAACCACAATGCTTGATCCTCACTCCTCTGGATATTCCTTAATAGCCACCACCGCAGTATAGCCAAAAACAACCATCATCCCCTACAAGTAAATCAAAAAGACTATTAATCCCATAAAAGCCCCACCATAATTTAGTACAATAACGCAACCCATAGCACCACTAATAATTAACCCTAAGACCCCATAAATTGGAGGTTTAGAAGAAAAACCTACAAATCCCATAACCAAAAGAACACTTAATCAGAACAAAGCGTATGTCATTATTCCCACATGGATTATAACCATGACTAATGATAAGAAAAACCATTGTCATATTTCAACTATAAGAACACTAATGACCATAATACGTAAAACAAATCCACTAATAAAAATCATTAATTATTCACTCATCGACCTCCCCACTCCATCTCATATCTCTATATGATGAAACTTGGGCTGACTTCTTGGCACCTGCTTAATCCTTCAGATCATCACAGGGTTATATCTGGCCATACATTACACACCAGATACCTCAATTTCTTTCTCTTCAGTCGCCTATATTAACCGAGATGTGAACTACAGCTGAATTACCCGCTTTTTTCACGCTAACGGTACTTCAACATTCTTCATCTGCCTCTTCCTACATGTCGGCCGAGGCTTATATTATGGCTCATTCACATATTTGGAAACCTGAAACACTGGCATTATTCTCTTGCTTACAACCACAGCAACAGCGTTTATAGGCTATGTGCTTCCATGAGGCCAAATATCACTCTGAGGCGCCACAGTAACCACAAACCTAATATCAGCTACTCCATATGTCGGGACTGACCTTGCCCAGTGAATCTGAGGTGATTTTCAGTTGACAAAGCCACTCTTACACGATTCTTCACCTTCCATTTCATCTTACCTTTCATCATTATAGCCCTAACAATTCTCCACCACCTATTCCTTCACGAAACAGGGTCTAATAACCCCTCAGGAAATCTCATCACACTCCGATAAAAGAGACCCTCTTCCTAGGGAGGCGGTGTGGGGGATTGGTCAGAGTGGTGGGAAAAACTATAGGGAAAGGACACAAACCTTCTGAAAGGTCGGAAGTTTCTACAGAGCCCCAGGAGGAGAATAGCTGAAGGCAGCTGTTCTATAACCCTGAGGTAGAGGGCAAGGAGTAGCTACAAGGGAGTGTGGGGGAATTTTTCTTAAACAAGATTGTTCACTTACATCAACCAGGAACTGACCTTTGATCATCCGTGCGCCTGACGTTCCCTGAAAGGGGAACAATAAATGTTAATTACCTACAGGTTGTGTCGGCTCCAGGTTTTCACCATTGTGCCTGCACTGAATAAAAGCAAGCAGCTCCAGCTTCTCACAGCTGCTCTCTGGCCACTGGGGCTGGGCAGTCACCTAGCTGCCTTACACTGCATACCTGTGTCTGAGTACTCATTTCATCCATCAGCCAGGGTCTGTGGGACAGATCCGGCAAGGTGGCAGGCACTGTCTGTACAGAGGGAGAGGGTGGCATGTGCCTGTGGTAGTCTGTGTTGAGCGGGCTTAAGGGGCTGTGACCTTGATCCTTGTTCTCTCTTTGGATCAGGGTCTTGATTTTCCTGGAGACCCTGACCCCCCTGGAGAAGGTGACTTGGGTGTCTTAGGGAGGGGGAAGGGGAAAAGAGGGTGGGGCTTCTATGAGGAGCCTCCATGTGGCTAATGGGCTTGGGTACTGGGAAGCTGGAGATATGGCAGGACAGGCAGGGGGATGGGAGGATTGGCAGTTTTAGGGGTGATGCCAGCCAGGTTGGGGCCTCCTCTGGCCTTGCTTCACCCCTGCAGGGCCAGGACAGTGCTAAGGGTGACTGTGGCAAGGATGGCGAACCAGGACAATCTGTGAATGACCAGTGACCCCACCACCCCCACTGAGCCCCAGCCTTCAGCCCCTTAGCCCTCTTCTATACCCACGCCTGAGAGGTCCCTTGGCTGGAGGCCAAACACACACCCATCCCAGTTCTTCTCTTCCTAGGCATTCCCTGGTCCCACTGGGGAGAACAGACCCCCTGGGCCACTAGTCAAGTGGGTGAGTGAGGTGGGCTCTGGGACCCTGGGAGGCAGTCCCTGGGCCATGTGGTAGAGATTGGGCAATGGCTGGTGGGGCGGGCAGGGAGATGCCTGCTATCTGTGCTGTCCCTGATGTGTGCATGGGGCGGGGGGGCATGAGCACACGGGTTTATGAGTCTGTGACCTCCTGGGTATGTTGTTCCTGAGGTTTGGTGAACATGTTCTCAACAGCGGTGGTCATGTTTACTGACCAATCAATGGACACTGGTGGAGGGACGGGCCAGCTTTTCTGCTGGGCCAGAGGTTAACCTGGGCCACCAGGTGGGGTGTGGGCGACTGGCTCTTCCCCAAATGCACAGACGCCTCTGCATTTTCACAACAGGACCTCTGCATCTGTGTGTGTGTGCCATGTGTGTGCAATGTGTCTATAGTATGTGCATGTGTGCAGTGTGTGTGTGTGTGTGTGTGTGTGTGTAGCACAGAAAGGGGAAGACTGGCGCCTGGCTGCCTAGGCCTCATGTTCTCTCCCTTCCCGTCCCATTTGCAGGGTCTCACTGGCATGCCTGGTCCCCAGAGCCAATGAGGAGTAAAGCCCAGGTGAAAGAGAGGCTGCCCCTGGGTGCTGGAGCCTCCCCTCTGCCTTCCTGCCCCTCAGGTGCCTCGTCTCCAGATGTCTACCCACCCCCATCCATGTATCCCATGTTGACCCCTCCTGGGGATGGGGTTTCCTATAGTTATTGCTGCTCTGGGGCTCCCAGGCTTCGGGCCCTCCTCCCTGCCTCACCCCTTCCACTTTGAACCCCTGCTCCAATTCACATCCCCTCTGCTGCCTTTCAGGACACGTTCCTTGTGTGCATTTCAGGGCCTCCAGGTGCTGTGGGTGCCTTGGGTCCCACAGGCCCAGCTGGTGCTGATGGTCTGAGGGGCTCTGGGGTTCAGTGTGAGTCACTGCAGGCGAGGGCTGGGCTTGGGGAGGAGGGTGAAAAGCCCGGAGAGGAGTGCAATGTGGGGTGCTCCTCCTCATCCCTGGGGTCCCCTCAAATCTGCAGGGTCAGCAAGGCCGACCTGGAGCCACAGGCCAAGCTGGGCCTTCCAGTCCTGTGGTGAGTGACTGGGATGGGGCTGGTGAGGGGTGAGGGTGGGCGCCCTGAGGCAGCCAGCTAAGACCCTGCAGGAAGTGGGAGGCGATGGGAGAACCGAGTTACCGCCTCTCTCTGGAGAGAGGGACTTCCTGTCTCCCCAAAGGGACCCCCAGGGCTTCCTGGCTTTGGGAGCGATGCTGGAGCCGAGGAAGAGGTGAGTGACAAACACATGGCCAGGTGTGTCTCCCATCACCCTCAGCCCTGAAGCCTGTGGGACTCTGAGGGGCCTGCTCTGCTCCAGGCCCCCAGCCGCCAGGCCCCGGGGTCCCTGCTCAGTGAGGGCCACCCACAGACCCTGTGCCCAGGGCATTCTCTGTGTCTTGGCCTTTCTCCCCCATCCATGTGACTCCTCCTGTGTTCCCCGACCACCTGCTCCCTTCTCTAGGGGCCGCTCAGGTCTCACTGGACTGATTGGGCCCCCTGGAGGAGCAGGGAGAGAATGGGGATCAGGGTCTTCCTGGCCCTCAGGGCTCCCCTGAACAGAAAGGGAGAGGTGAGTACAGGGCCTGGTCCTGGAGGGTGGGGGGAGGGGTGGGGAGTGGGAGGATGGGGTTAAAACTCAGCTGTGGGTGAGGGAGCAGATGCTCTGGAGTTTGGGGGGAGGAGGGCCCAGTTGAGCCAGGTCCTTCCCTAGGGTACCCCAGGAGCATCCACCCCATTGGTCCTGGAGACTCCCTGGCCTCCCCGTGAGCACTGCTTCTGTTCCTGCACTAAATCCTGAACCCCACTGTTGCCTCCCTTGACTTCCAGTGTAACACGCCAAGTCCTCAGGGTCCCCATTTGTCCTCATGCCTCCAGTGCTTCCTCCCCACACTTCCAGAGCTCCAATGTCCCCAGATTTCCTCAGGCCTGCCCCTCCTGTGTAGGAACTCGAGGCTGCTGTGGACTTGGGACCTGGCCTCTGCACTCCTGAATCCTGTCTTTCCCCTGCCGTGACTGGCTCTTTCTTGTTCTTTGTGTCACAGGGACACTGGCTCAAAAGGAGCCAAAGGAGGCGCAGTGAGTGACCCCTGTTGGACTGGACACTGTCTCTTCAAGGCAAACAGACTCCCCCCAGGGAGCCCCTGATTCCCAACCAGGAGACTGACTTCACCCTTCTGTGACCTTAATCCCATGTGTGACATCTTGACCTCTCCATGACCTCATTTGTCCTCGCCCGACAGGAGAGGACCACAGCCCCAACCAGGGCTGTGCTTGGGAGGCCTTCTGGATTTTCTGCCACTTGGCAGCAACAGGGGAAGCTTGTGGGACCCCCTGGGATGATGCCACAGAGGTGCGAGCTGGTCTCTGGCTGCCCGTCCCTGCCCATAGTGCACCCCCTCAGGGCCCAGTGGTTTGGCGGTTGTGGAAATGGAGAGAAGCCTTTTGGAATTCATACTGGAGAAGGGATAAACAGGACTCAGTCATGGGTCGTTTAGGACACTGGGAGATACAGGATGAAGAAACTCTCCCAGAGTCTCAGACTAATTCATAAATTAAAATACAGGCTCCAGCTCTGGCACTGTGGCTCATGCCTGGAATCCACGTGCTTTGGGAAGCTGAGGCAGGAGGACAGCTTGAGACCAGAGTTGGAGGCCAGCCTGCGGACACAGCCAGGAAAAGAAAGTGGCTGCCAGAAGGTGCCCGACCGCCAGGCCCGAGGCACCCTGGAGGGATCCGCGGGGAGGGACCCGCAGACCGAGGAAGGCATGCAGCTGCCCCACAGGTGGCCCGGCCTCTTCCTGGCCCCCTCACGTACATGTGCAGAGACCGTTCCTTGTCTTCGGAAGGTGAACTTGGAACAATTCCCACGGGACACTGCGAATGACGGCGGCTGGGCTTGGGCTCCCCTCTCCGTCCTCAGAGCATGGCCAGGCCCATGGCTGCTGCTCTTTGCCCGAGAGCATGGGAGATTGCCCCAGGGGGCGCGCCCGGCAGGGCCCTGCTGTGCTACCTGGAACCAAGAGGCCTGGCCGCAGTCTCTGACCCCACTCCCGCAGGGGACTGCGCAGGACACAGATGCCGAGGCCGGCGTGGTGGCTACGCCTGTGGTCCCAGCTGCTCGGGTGAGGCGAGAGGAGCGCAGGAGCCTGGGAGGCCGAGGCTGCAGTGAGCCGAGAGGGCCACTGAGCCCCAGCCTCAGCGACACAGCTAGACCCTGTCAAGGAAAGGGGAAGGAAGGAAAGGGAAAGCAAAGAAAAGAAAACAAAAAAGCAGAAGCAAACGGGCAAGAGGCCAGCGTGTGGTCCCGGGCTGGCCTCAGTAGTAAAGATGCTCGGAGGATTGATTGATTTGCCGGATTCTGCGCGGTTTCCCAGCCTGTGCCTGGTTGCAGTGCCCTCCCTGTGGTCGCTGGCTGCCCGGACCCATACCCAGCCCCACGCCTGCCCTGCCCTCTTCCCAGCCAGAGTCACGTGAAAAGACCCGTGGAGGTACAGGAGGGCGGCCCTGTATCTGTCTCATCCCCCAAATACCTTGTCACTAGGACCACGTTGCCTGAGATGCCCATTCCATCTCTGTCCTTAAAGGCGTCACTTTTTTTTTTTTTTTTTGAGACGGAGTCTTGCTCTGTCTCCAGGCTGCAGTGCAGTGGCGCCATCTCGGCTCACTGCAACCTCCGCCTCCTGGGTTCAAGCGATTCCATTGCCTCAACCTCCCGAGTAGGTAGGACTACAGGTGTGTGCCACCTCGCCCAGCTAATTTTTTGAATTTTTAAGTACAGAGGGGGTTTCATCATGTTGGCCAGGATTGTCTCCATATCCTGACCTCGTGATCCACCCGTCTCAGCCTCCCAAAGTGTTAGGATTACAGGCGTGAGCCACTCGCCAGGCCAAGGCTTCACCTTTTAACAGGTCCTACTGGAAGCATGTTCAGGACTTTCATGTGGTCCTAAACTTCGTGAGGGAGAGTGAGAAACTGCCCCCCATCGCAGTGATGAGATTACCGCGTGGAGGTGACTTGGAGGTCCGCCCGCGCCCTGGGATGGAGCCTCGGCCAAGCTCCCGGGAAAGTACTTAAAAAGGCCACTAGCAAGCGCGCGATGAACGGCGCAAACACCTACGGGACGGCTCGAGATCGCAGGCTGGCGAGGGCCATCGCAGCTGCCACCCGCACGCCCGACACCGTCCGGGTCCACCTGGGATCGCCGTCCCGGCCCGGGTGGGCGGAGGGGCCCCGACACCACCCCAGAGCCCCAGCTTTGGAGCTCCCCAACGCCACAGCCAGGCACAGTGCGACCCCGGCAGCAGAGGGGGCACTTGGACCATTTGTTCATAGTCTGGGACCTCCGGTCCCACGAGAGCAGCTGCGAGAAGGCGACCGACTCCTCCTGCAGCTCCGGGGCCGCGCCTGCGGGGTCGCAGCTCCGGAGAGGACAGGGCCTTGCTCCAGGCGAGGAGGCCGGGGGCGCCTGGCCAGGACTTGCCCAACGGGTTCCTGGCAGGCATGGACCTGAAACCTGAAACCAAGAAAGGACTGCGAGAGAAAGTGGATGAGTCCCTTTTAACGCCACCATTTCCGAGTGCAGTTCTTTCTAAACCTTAAAACAAAGCCCAGAAGCCATCAAGGACATGGCTGAGAAGCTAACCACGGCATTCACACCAAATTTATCTTCTGCAGTGCGACCAAGCCAAAGGACAACAAATGGGTGTGGGCCGCAGTTGTGCAAATATTTGTATAAGAGCATCGATTTCAGGTGGGCTCAGTGGCTGCGCCTGTAATCCCAGTGCCTTGGGAGGCCGAGGCAGGAGGATCGCTTGAGGCCAGGAGTTGGAGACCAGCCTCAGCAACACAGTGAGATCCCATCTCTTAAAAAAAAAAGAAAGAATGTCGATTTCAGCATTACTTACCATAATAACAAAAAAAGAAAGAAAGAAGAAATAATAGGCATTAAGAGGGACCTACTTAAATAAATCCTAGTACATCCATACAACACAATACTATGAATTTATGGAGTTTTTAAAATAAGGTAAATGTTGATGAACTGTTAAATGAAATACTCTTTCGCCTCACTCATACAAACTAACTGCAAATGGGTCACACACTTAAATGTAAAACATGAAACTATAAAACTTTAAGGGAGAAATTCTAAAAGAAAAATGGGGGACCTAGAGCTGGATAAATATTTTAGGCTTGATACCAAAAGCATGACCCATAAAAATTTGGATAAATCAGAGTTCATCAAAACTTAAAACCTAGGTTCTGTGAAAGACTATCTTAAGAGGATTAAATGATAAAATACAAACCAGTAGAAAAGACAGACATTCCTGGGCGACATTTCAGGTTCTGTTCCAGACTACCACAATAAAAGCAAATAGGGAAATAAAGCCAGTTACACAAGCTTTTTGGTTTTCCAGTGCATACAAAAGTGGAGTTTACATATATTATAGTCTATTAAGTGTGCAATAGCATTGCCTCTAAAACAATGTACATTCCTTAATTTTAAAATACCTTATTGCTAGCCAGGTGCCATGACTCATGCCTGTAAATGTCACTTTGAGGGTTGAAGTGGGAGGATCACTTGAGCCTAGGAGTTCAAGACAGCTTGGGCAACATTGTGAGACCAAATCTCTACCAAAGAAAAGTTTCTTAAATTAGCTGAGCATGGTGGCACACGCCTGTAGTCCCAGCTACTCAAGAGGCTGAGGTGTGAGGATCACATTAGCCTAGGAGTTAGAGGCTGGTGTGATCTATGATTGAGCCACTGCACTACGGCCTGGGTGACAGAGCGAGACTCCATCTCAAAAAAAAAAAAAAAAAAAAAAAAAAAACACTAAATAAATATTGCTTAAAAATGCTATAGAAGATCTGAGCCTTCAGTGAGTCCTACATAATCTCTTTGCTTCCTTGATGCTGATGACTGCTGATTGATCAGGGTGGTGGTTCCTGAGTGACCAGCAATTTCTGAAAACAAGATTCATCAATTAAGTTTGCCACATTGAAGAACTATTCCTTTCACAAAAGACTTCTCTGCAGCATGCAGTGTTGTTTGATATTTTACCCACAGTAGAACTACTTTCAAAATCATCTCAAACCCTGCTGTGGCTTTGTCAAGTTTCTGTGCTATTCGGAGTCCTTTTTGTCATTTCAACCATGTGCATAGCATCTTCACCAGGAGTAGATTCCTTCTGAAGAAGTCACTTTCTTTCCTCATCCATAAGAAGCAACTCATCTATGCAAGTTTGATGCTGAGACTGCAGCAATTCAGTCCCATCTTCAGGCCTCACTTCTTCTTCTTCTTTTTTTTTTTTTTTTGAGATGGTGTCTTGCTCTGTCGCCCAGGCTGGAGTGCAGTGGCACAATTACGGCTCACTGCAACCTCCGCCTCTCAGGTTCAAGCGATTCTCCTGCCTCAGCCTCCTGGGTAGCTGGGACTACAGGTGTGTGCCACCATACCTGGCTAATTTTTTTTCAGTAGAGACAGGGTTTCACCGTGTTAGCCAGGATGGTCTCGATCTCCTGATCTCGTGATCCACCCACCTCGGCCTCTCAAAGTGCTGGGATTACAGGCCTGAGCCACCGCACCTGGCCACCTCACTTCTAATTCTAGTTCTCTTCCTATTTCCACCACATCCACAGTTACTTCCTCCACTGAAGTCCTGAACCTCTCAAAGTCACCCATGAGGGTTGGAATCCACTTCTTCCAAACTCCTGTGCATGTGGATATTTTGACCTCATCCCATGGATCACACATGTTCTAGATGTCTAACTACACCTAGAATGGTGATTCTTTTCTAGGTTTTGAATTTACTCTGCCCAGACCCATCAGAGGAATCACTATCTGTGGCAGCTATAGTCTTACAAAATGTATTTCTTAATAAGAATTCAAAGTCAGAATTACTCCTTGACCCATGGGCTACAGAATGGATGTTGTGTAAGCAGACATGTAAACAACATTCATCTCCTTGCACATCTCCATCAGAGCTCTTGGGTGACCAGGTGCATTGCCAATAAGCAGTAATATTCTGAAAGGAAGCTTTATTCCCGAGCAGGTCTCACAGTGGGCTTAAAGTGTTCAGCATATCATGCTGTAAGTAGATGTGCTGCCATCCAGGCTTTGATTTTCCATTTGTAGAGCACAGGAAGAGTGGGTTTAGCATAATTTTTAAGGCCCTGGGGTTTTTGCAGTGGTAAATGAGCACTAACTTCCACTTCAAGTCACTGGCTGCATTAGCCCCTAACAAGAGTCAGCCTGTCCTTTGAAGCTTTGAAGCCAAGGCATTTACTTTGGTTCTTTATCTATGAAAGATCTGGATGGCATCTTACCCAGTAGAAGACTGTTTCATCTGCATTGAAAATCTGTTGTTTAGTGTAGCTGCCTTCATCAAAGATCTGAACTAGGTCTTCTGGATAATTTACCACAGCTTCTCCATTGGCACTCGCTGCTTCACCCTGCACTCTTATGTTATGGAGATGGCTTCTTTCCCCCTTAAACTTCATGAGCCAACCTCTGCTAAGCTTCAAACTTCTATTCTGCAGCTTTCTAGCCTCTCTCAGCCTTCATGAAATTGAAAAGCCTTATGACCTTGCTCTGGATTAGGCTTTGGCATAAGGGAATATTGGGGCTGGTTTGATCTATCCAGACCACTCAAACTTTCTCCATATGAGCAATAAGGCTGTTTTTTCTTCCTCTTTTTTTTTTTTGTTTTTTTTTTTTGAGATGGGGTCTTCCTCTGTTGCCCAGGCTGGAGTGCAGTGGCACGATCTTTACTCACTGAGGTCTTGACCTCCCAGGCTCAAGCAATCCTCCCACCTCAGCCTCCCGAGTAGCTGGGACTACAGGCATGTGCCACCATGCCCAGCTAATTTTTTTATTTTTTGTAGAGACAGGGTTTCACCATGTTGCCCCCAGGCTGATCTGGCCAAACTCCTGGGCTCAAGAGATCTGTTCACCTTGGCTTCCCAAAGTGCTGGAATTACAGGCGTGAGCCACTGCACCCAGCCTGTTTTGCTTTCTTATCATTTGTGGGTTCACTGGCTTAGCACTTTTAATTTCCTTCAAGAACTTTTCCTTTGTATTCACAACTGGCTAGCTGTTTCGTGCAAAAGGCCTAGCGTGCTGGTCTGAGCTTTCCACATGCTTTCCTCGGTAGCTGAGTTTGGGATTTAAAGTGAGAGATGTGCAACTCCTCCTTTCACTTGAACACTTACGAGCCCATAGCAGGCTTACAGATTATTGTATTTTCAATATTGTTGGGTCTCAGGGAATAGGGAGGTCTGAGGAGAGAGATACAGACAGCTGGATAAACAGCTGGCTGGTGCAGCAGTCAGAGCACACACACCATGTATGGATTAGGTTCACCGTCTTATGTGGGTGCTGTTCATGGTGCCCCAAACCAATGACAATGATAGCGTCAAAGATCACTGATCACAGATCACCATAACAGATATAGTAATAATTCAAATGTTTGAAATATGGCGAGAATTACCAAAATGTGACACAGAGACCCAAAGTGAGCACATGCTATTGGAAAAATGGCAGTCTTTTTGGATGCAGTTTTGCCATAAACCTTCAATTTGTAAAAAAAAAAGAAAGAAAGAAAGAAAAAAGAAGAAAAGAGCAATATCTGCAAAATATGATAAAAATAAAGCAATAAAGTAAAGTGCAATAAAATTAGTCTGCCTGGATTTGCAAATTCTGTCTCCAACCAGTGCTGGGATCCATAATATGCAAAGAACCCTCAAAATTAAACATTCTGTGAGTATCAAATTCGAGAATTTGGTATAAAAATGCATCTACTTCTAAAAGTGAAAACTACAACAAAAAGAAGGAGTTGCTTTGCTTAGAAACTTTTGAAGCGCACTGCATTATTTTTATTTATCCGCATGATTGCCAGGTAATCTGCATATCAAAATAAGAGGTTTCAGATGCCATAAAATTAATTACCATTGAATTTCTGACAGAGGAGATTTGGGAGAATATAGGCAACATTAAATATAAGAGGAAGTTTGATAAGTTTAAGAACTATGACCACAAAAGCTTTTTGGATGTGGCAACTTTCAATTAGAACTGATTGAAAGTGAATAAACTTTGAGAAGATTTTCTACCACTCTGTGGGTTGTCTGTTTACTCTGCTGATTGTTTCTTTTGCTGTGCAGAAGCTTTTTAGTTAAGTCCCATCTATTTATCTTTTTGTTGCATTTGCTTTTGGGTTCTTGGTCATGAAGTGTTTGCATAAGCCAGTCATCTAGCAGGGTTTTTCTGATGTTATCATCTAGAATTTTTATGGTTTCAGGTCTTAGATTTAAGTCTTTGATCCATCTTGACTTGATTTTTATATAAGATGACAGAGCTCTTTCCTTCTGCTGCTGCGGCTGCAGCCATGAGTACTGCTCAGGCTTCAGAAGAGGCTCGCCTCTAGTGTCCTCCACTGTGGCAAGAAGGAGGTCTAGTTGGACCCCATTGAGACCAATGAAATTGCTAATGCCAACTCTCATCAGCAGATCCAGAAGCTGATCAAAGATGGGCTGATCATCCACAAGCCTGTGATTGTCCATTCCCAGGCTCAATGCTGGAAAAACACCTTGGCCTGCCGGAAGGGCAGGCACATGGGCATAGGTAAGCAGAAGCGTACAGCCAATGCCCAAATACCAGAGAAGGTCACATGGATGAGGAAAATACTGCACCGGCTGCTCAGAAGATACCGTGAATCGAAGAAGATTGATGGCCACATGTATCACAGCCTGTACCTGAAGGTAAAGGGGAATGTATTCAAAAACAAGTGGATTGTCATGGAACACATCAACAAGCTGAAGGCAGACAAGGCCCACAAGAAGCTCCTGGCTGACCAGGCTGAGGCCCCCAGGTCTAAGACCTAGGAGGCACGCAAGCACCTTGAAGAGTGCCTCCAGGCCAAGAAGGAAGAGATCATCAAGACTGCCCAAAGAGGAAGAGACCAAGAAATAAAAGCTCCCCCTTTGTCTGTACATACTGCCCTCTGTGATTACATAGATCAGCCATTAAAATAAAACAAGCCTTAAAAAAAAAAAGATGAGAGATGAGGATCTAGTTTCATTCTTCTGCATGTGGCTTGCCAATTGTCCCAGGACCATCTGTTGAACAGGGTGTCCTTTCCCCATGTTATGTTTTTGTTTGCTTTGTCTAAGATCAGTTGGCTGTAAGTATTTGGTTATATTTCTGGGTTCTGTATTCTTTCCATTGATCTATGAGCCTATTTTCATATCAGTACCATGCTGTTTTGATGACCATGGCCTTATAGCAGAGTTTGAAGTTGGGTAATGTGATGTTCCAGATTTGTTCTTTTTGCATAGTCTTGCTTTGGCTATGTGGGCTCTTTCTTGGTTTCCTGTGAATTTTAGGATTGTTTTCTCTAGCTCTGTGATGAATGATGGTGGTATTTTGATGAGAATTGTGCTGAATTTGTACATTGTTTTTGGCGGTATGGTCCTTTTCACCATATTGATTCTACCCACCCATGAGCATGGGATGTGTTTCCATTTGTTTGTGTCATCTATAATTTCTTTCAGAAGTGTTTTGTAGTTTTCCTTGTAGAGGTCTTTCATGTCCTTGTTTAGGTATAAACCTAAGAGGGTTTGTGTGTGTGTGTGTGGTTTTTTTTGCAGCTATTGTAAAAGGGGTTGAGTTCTTGATTTGATTCTCAGCTTGGTCTCTGTTGGTATATAGCAGAGCTACTGATTTCTGTACATTAATTTTGTATCCTGAAACTTTGTTGAATTCATTTATACATCTGACAAAGGACTAATATCCAGAATCTACAAAGAACTCAAACAAATCCGCCAAAAGAAAACAAACACTCCCATCAAGAAGTGAGCAAAGGACATGAACAGACAATTCTCAAAAGATACACAAATGGCCAACAAACATAAGGAAAAATGCTCAACATCACTAATGATCAGGGAAATGCAAATCAAAACCACAATGTGATACCACCTTACTCCTGCAAGAATGGCCATAATAATAAAAAATAGATGTTGACATGCATATTGTGAAAAGGGAACACTTAAGGCATGAGGCATGAGATATAATGGACTTTGGAGACTTGGGGGAAAGTGGGGAGGGGAGTGAGGAATAAAAGACTACACATTGGGTACAGTGCATACTGTTTGGGTAATAGGTGCACCAAAAGCTCAGAAATCACTACTAAACAACTTATTTATGTCATCGAATACCACCTGTTCCCCAAAAACCAATCGGAATAAAAATATAAACAAAAACAAAAAAAGAAAGTGAATAAACTACCATGAATAAAGCTAATAATTAAAGTTATTTTAATTATCCATCTAGAGGACTTATTGGCTAGTGTTACCTTCCAACAGCTATGGTTATGTGCCACAGTTTGTAACAATGGGATATGAGTGGAAATGATCACTGACTTTACTAAATCTTGGCCTTAAAACATGCACTTCATCTTCTACCCCCTTCCCCTTCCCGTTGCAAAGTCATGGTGATAAACCAGGTTTGTTCATGCAGATGACAATACTTTTGGAAATGATGGCAGAGAAATAAAATGAAAAGAATATTGTTGTGGGAGAATGATGGCTGGTGGTGTAGGGGTAAAAGAATTTACAAAGAGAGTTGTAGGTAAAGAAAGGCAGATTTATTAGAGAAAGTAGAAAAATATGTTACCAGGGAGACAATGGGCAAGTCAGCAGAAGCTCACTGCAAGGAAACAAAAGCTTGCCAGAGATTTTATAGCACGGTGTTCATGCTGTCTATTGAAGAAGGCTTTGTGTAGAAGGTTGCAGTGAGCTAACTTGCAGGTGTCTGGTGATAGCTGGGCACAGGAAGACAGTGAGCTACTTGTGCAGGACAGCTATGAGTCCTGGACCATGAAGAAAGGCAGATTTGTGGCTTATCTGCTTTCTCTTTTTGCTTTCCCTTGCTCCTACCAGCCTGACTTCTTTTCCCCAATCAGGACTCCGCAAATATAGTTCACTTAATGATCACGTAAATTGGAGTTTATTACCCATGTGACTTTTGCATATATCCAGACTAATATGTGACAATATATATTTCTACTTTGTCTGTGCCACAGTATTTGTATATCTTTAGTTGTCTGATCTACAGTATTGTATGTCTTGTTATGGAACAACTTATACTAGTATAGAATTATTAGCTGTGTTTTAAAATTTTTTTGTAGACATGTTGTGTGTTCTCACATCCAATAGAAGTGTGTAACAGGTTATCTTCTACCCATTTTTCTCAATATCTGTGTCATTTCAAAATCCATCAATTGTGGAGGCAAAAGGAACATACTTATCTTTTTTGTAATAATGAGGTTAAGTATATTTTTATTTTTGTAGAAATTTGCAATTTTTGGTCTTTTTATATGTTTTGATCACTTTCCATTTTTTAGAGTTCTGTAACTAATTTGTAGCCAATGGGTAAGATTTATCTGGTTTATCAGGTATGGTTTATTTAAAAGCCATTTTTTCCATTTTGTTACCTTTTGTTAATTATTTTATAAGCTTTTTGGCTGCAGATTAGTTTTGTTTATTTCCAACGCATTAATATTTTCTTTTTTTCTTCTTTGTATATGTGCTTGGAAGACCTTCTTCTGTGATATCAGATCAAACTCAGATATTCAAGATTTGTTGCTAAGACATTATTTCATTAGCGTAGAAAAGAAATTAAGTTAATTTACCTTAATATTTATAAATCAAGTTAAACTCACATAACAATATGGTAAATATTATTTTGCATAGTTCAGGAATGTGTTTAATGATTTTACTTGAACTGACTGACTGGCTACAAGTCAATGAATTTGTGCTTGGTAAAGATTCAGCATCAAAAACTACATAATTCTTAGATCAAAAGTAAGGTGTATCATTTCAGTTGAAATAAATTACTTATAACAGTTTTGAGGTATAACTGACATAAAATAAACTCACATAGTGTATTTTTTTCATCAAAGAATGCAAAATTTCAACAGATTTGAAAAGGGTATATATAACCCAAAACATTAGTGAGTACTTATTCTCTAATTTATTCTTCCTAATAAGATTAATGTTGGTCTAAGTTTATCATGTGTATGATTTATCATATGGAAAAAAATGTTCCTTTAAAGCTAATTCTTAAATATGTGCACTGAAGATTCTCAAATAACATTTAGACAAATACAACGATAATATTGTGATTTCTTGCATAGTGGTTGCATTATTTATCATGTTATATAAGAATTTCCTTTTAGCTTTGAGGTGAAATAGTTTCTGCCACTAATATTTTCTATGCTGCTAATATAAAATTAGCATTAAATTTTTTTATTCCTTGAATAACTATTTACAACATATTAGTAGGGTTATAGATCTTTAAAAAAACATAGCTATTCCAGTATCTAGTTATGCAACTAACTTTTTGCCACATCTCTAAAACATTGTAATGGACAGATTATTTTTTAAAAATACAACACACTGGCATTTATTTGTAATACAGTTTTGCTTTGTTGTTTGTTAATTCCATTGTGTAGGGAAAAAAAGAAAAAAAGGAAGAGGAAGAGATGGAGAAGAAATAAGAATACAAACAAGAAATAGAAAAAGCAGCTAAGAAAATGAAGAGGAGCAAGAATAAGATGAGAAGATGAAGACAAGTCAAGAAGAAAGGAGAAAAAGCAGGTGAGGGAATTTAGAAACCCTCTTATACGATAAATCTATTTTTCCCTCACTGATTCATAAAATTTGAAAACATCCAGGACTATCACAACCAAAAACAAGCAAAAAGATACAAAAATAATTATGCCCGAAATTTTTTAAATGTACATATGTATTTTTTGCTATGACAAAGCCTCTCTTCTCACTTACTAGTTTTATCAATGCTTGCTTCAATATTTCAGAAATAGAATTTTTCATGTTGTGACTTTCCTGAATTGTCAAGAGATTGAATTTGGATTGAACTCTGGAATTTATTGATTATCAATATTTTAATAGCACAGGACAAGTATATATTTTTCAGGAAATATGTTTTGCATGATGTTTTACCCTAATAATTTACTTTCATAGAGTGATTAAAACTCTGCAAACAGTAAGCATGATATTTAAGTATTCAAATATTTTTAAATATTTGTCATTTTCTTTGATAAATGTCATAACTTTCAAATGTATATATCTGAGGTAACAGTGAGTTTGAATTTTTCCATCACTGACTATATTATAAATAAGTCAATTAGCTCTTATTAGTATTAGGCTTTTGTTATTGATGTGAACCTACTCAATATTATACAAAATAAGTTACTATTTATACTTCAAACCTGTGATGGTGGTTTTTAAATTATAGCAAAAATACATATAAAATTTACCATCTTAATCATTTTAAGTGTACAGATCATAAGTATTAACTATATTCACACTGCTGTGCAACAGATTTGCAGAAATTTCCCATCTGGCAAAACTGTAATTCTAAAGCCACTGAGTAACAACTCCCCATTTCCTGCCTCTTGTGGTGGTTTTAAATACAATGCAATATATACTAGCTGAAAATAGAAAAAAGAAATATACGAAAATATTAAATGTATAGCACAAAAAATGAATAATAGGATAACTTTGGCTATGACTTTAAATGAGAGAATCCAAAGTAAAATAATGGTATATAATATAAATATATAAGATGCACAAGTACACTTAAAATATTTAAAATTTAATATTAACAAAAATAAATGTAATATACCACACAAATAGGTATTCAACAAAACTAAATACAATTATGTTTAATACTTTTAACTATGTTATACCATGAATAAAATCCTATCAACTTTTGAATATCTAGGCAAGGAAACCAACTACATCTCTTCTTTAAGAAAGATCCCACAATGAAAACTATAACACATTGATGAGATATTAAAGCAGACACAAGTACATGGAAACATATCCTATGTCCATGCACTAGAATATTGTTAAAATATCTATATCACCCAATGTGATCTACAGAAACAGTGCAATCCATGTTAAATTACAAAAGACATTCTTCATAGAAATAAAAAACTAACATTCACATGGAAATCCAAAATACCTCAGGTAGACAAAATAATCTTGAAAAAAAAGAAAAAAGCTGGAGGCATGACACTCCCTGATTTCAAAATATACTACAAATCTATAGTAACCAAAGCAACATGGTACTGTCAAAAAAAAGCGGGGCAGGAGAGACAGAGAAAGAGACGAATGACAGACAGACAGACATAGACAAATAAAACAGAAAACAGAAATTCACACATTTACAGTGAACTCATTTTTAACAAAGGCACCAAGAACACACATTCGGGAAGGACAATCTCTTCAATAAACTGTGCTACGAAAGCCCAACCCACATGTAGAAGACTGTATCTAGACCATTATCTTAACATACACAAAAATCAACTCAAAGATTTAGGACCTGAAACTGTGAAACCACTGGAGAAAAAAACATAGAATGAATGCTTCATTCAATTGGTTAGAACAAGGAATTTTCAAATAGACATCAAAAGCACAAGCAACAAAAGCAAAAATAGACAAATGCAATTACATTAAACTTAAAAGCTTCAGCAAGGTGGAGGAAGCAGTAGAATTAAGAAACAATCCAGAGAATGGCAGAAAGTATTTGGAAACTATGCATCAGGCAAGGGGTTAATAAAAAAAAATAAAGAAATAAAACTACTCAAAAGCAAAAATACAAATAATCTGATTTTAAAAATCAGAAAAATATCTACCCAAAACCTTTGTCTCCCACCATTATTTCCCCACCTTCTTTTCCCGACCGCCTTTGGCCCCCTCCCTCTCGCCACCCTTTTTCTTCCTCCATCTACCCCAAAACTTTTTCCCCACCATCTTTTCCCCACCGTCCTTTTGCAACGCCTTCTCGTGCTCGCTACCCTCTTTTCCCTTTGGCACCAACCACGCTGTTTAGCCCCCTCCATCTATCCCAAAACTAGTTTCCTTCTCCTACCACTCCAGCCGCGCTGCAGTCTCCGTGGCCACCACCAACAGTCACCACCAACAACCAGAGGGAGGCGAGCTGTGGGGTCACAAGCTCCAGCCTCCAGCGTACTGCCAGCGATTTCCCATTCCTGGTCCTCCAAGCCAGGCACTGAGCAGCTCAACAGTCCAGCCACGCTGCAGTCTCTGTTGCCACCACCAACCGCAGCGAGGTGGGCCGCAGTGTTGCACGCTCCAGCCTACAGCTGGGGATTTCCCATTCCTGGTCCTCTAAGCCAGAGACTGAGCAACTCAACACGAAGGTATGGGAAACTGGAAGGGCCTGACTTCCCTTCGGCATCAGAGTTATGCACATGGGGGTTCCTGTACTGCATGTTCTGATTGGATGAGAAAAAACCTCCAGGCTTACTCGGATTGGACTTTATTATCATGTTCTGATTGGATGAGAGCAAGTCTTAAAACAAGCAATCACAGCATGAAAGTAAAGTCCAATTAGAGTAGGCCTTCGGGTTTTCTCTCATCCAATCAGAACATGTAGTCCAGGAACCGCAGGTGCGTAACCTCAGTATATAAAGCATGCAGAGGCAGTGTCAGGTCATTTTAGGCTCTTCTGTGTTAGCGCTGTGTACGTGGCTTAGAGAACTAGGAGAAGAGGCCACTGCCTGCCACTGGCTGGAGCCCGGGGCACTGGCTAGCTGTGGTTGGTGGTGGCGACGGAGCAGTAGGAGGGCGACGGGCAGTGGGAGTTTTTCCTGCCAGGCTGGAGGACAAGGAGAAGGGAGAGGCATTGCCGCATGTTGGAGGCTGAAGCCTGCGCCACCGAGGCTCCCCTCGCTGGGGTTGGTGGTGACGTCGGACACTACAGCTCAGCTAGAGTGGTAGAAATGTTGTGGGGTAGGTGAGTTTTCCAGGGCTGCACTGCCTGCCTCTGGGGGCAGGGGTTGGGTGTCCCATTGGGTCTCACCACCAGAGGCTGCACTGCCTGTGGCAGGAGACTGGTTGGGGGCACTCTCTGGGGTTGAATTGCTGGCAGTGGGGCAGGTTGGCTGGCTATGGGGGGCTACATTGCCTGCAGTGGTGGGGGTGGTGTGGGGAGGCAGGTTGTGTGCACTAACGTGTACTGCCAGTGGAGGGGGATGGGTTGGGGTGCTATCTTCTGTGCACTACCGGTGGCAGGGGGTGGGTTGGGTGGAGTTCTTTGGGGCTACAATGCTGGCAGTAGGGGGTGGTTTAGGGGCATTGTCGGGTGCTGCACTGTCCGTGACTGGGGGTGCGCTATCAGGAGCTGCACTGCTCGAGGTGGGGTTGGGGGGGCAGGTTTCGGGTGCTATCTAGTGCAGCAACACCCATGGCTGGGTCAGGTTGTGGGCACTATTGGGTGCTACACTGCCTGCTCTGGGGGAGGGAGGGTGCTTTGGGGGGGATATTGGGGTTACACACCCTGCAGCTGGTGCGGGGTTTGTTTGGTGTGCTATCCAGGGGCTACACTGTTGGTGGCAGGCAGCAGGCGGCAGGTTAGGGGTGCTATCAGGGGCTACACTGCTAGTGGCGTTGGCAGGCTGCGGAGGTGGCAGTGACAGCAGTGGCCTCCTTCCTCCTTCAGGTGGTCTCCAAGGAAGGGACCGTTCTCCTCTTCCCCAATTCCAGACTCTAGAGAGTGATCTCCTCCTCCTTGCACAATCTTGAGTATGACAGGGCCCCCACACCCACCGTGGTTCTCTGGCCCATGCTCTCATGCTCTGTGTTGCAGAGACAACCTGGGACTACTGGGCAGGGAGTAGTGGGCACCACTGTGGTGGGGGTGGGGGGATAGGGCACTGTGGGTGGAGGCATCAGGAACGGGAACCAGAACTTGGGTGGGCAGGGCTGGCTGGGCCTGAGTTTCTCCTACTCCTGCTCCCTGAGGAGTGCAGCCCTGGTGGACCCAGCAATTTCTGTCCAGCAGGACCTGACCTAGGGCTGGTTTCAGCAAAGGCACACACACTCACCCTGGGCCCCAGTTCCTGGCCAGCTTTTGCCAGAAGGAGAGGCTGGACTTTGGAGGGTGGGTGTGAGTGCCTTTGCTGAAACTGGTCCCTGCCACCCAGTGGCCAGCGTGACAAGGTGAGGCTCTAATGCTACCACTCCCTGCATCCCGTTTTAGGCTTTTCTAGCTTTGCCCATCTAGCTGCTCCAAGCCAGGCTGGAGGAGGAGGAAGAGGAGGAGTCATCTATGGTACATTGGAGCCTGCAGATGGCATGGCTTTGCAGCTCGCCTTATGCGGTTGGTGGCAGCAACAGAGACTGCAGCTCCCCCGGAGCAGTAGGAGGGCTACTGCGGGTCCAGGTGGTAGGATCCTTGCAGGGTGGGCTGGCGCATTGAGGGCGACAGCAGTTGTATTGGCATCGGTGCTAGTGGTGGTAGCAGCAGCAAGTCTGGGGATCTGGAGCACTGCAGGACCCAGCCCGACCTGGGGTGGGGAGGAACTTGCCGGTGCTGTACTGTGGGCCATGGTGGCAGTGGTGGAGGTGCACCTAGAGCAAGAAGGAGTCCTCCCCCTTTTCCTGCCATCTCTAAAGGGTGCCCTCCTCCTGCTAGTGCCTGAGGCAGGCGTGAGTGGCACCATTGTCTCATTCTTAACAAAAAGATACACAGATTCTTAACTATTTGTGTATCTTTTTGCTTGTTTTTTGTTGTGATAGTCTTGGACTTTTTCAAATGTCATGAATCGGGGAAGGGATAAAAGGTATCATAATAGGCCTTCCAATTCCTACATCTGTTCTTTTTCCTTTCTTCCAGTTTGTATTTTCTTCTTCTTATTTTCTTGTTCCTCTTCATTTTCTTTGCTGCTGCTTCTGTTTCATCTTTCTATTCTTGTTTCTCTTCCTGTTTTTGTTTTCTTTATGCCAACCAATGGCCTTAACAAACAACAAACCAAAACTGAGTTAAAAAGAAACTACTTGTCCCTGTGGTGTATTTTTAAAATAACTGGTCCCTTACTGTGTTTTAGAGTTGAGGAAAAAAAATAGTTGCATAATTAGTTACACAAATAACTATGCTTTCATGATCCTGTTAACCCACTTATGCAAAGAGTGTTCCATTATTGCAATGCTATGCATGTGGGAGTTATTTGCTCCCTACTGCTCAAGGTCATCACCAAGGTCTGATTTTTCACTCAGCAAAAATTCAAAAAACTGCAACCTTCTGCACAAATGGGTTAATGCATCATAAGTAGTTATTCGAGGAATCAAAAAATGAAGCATCACATAAAATATTGGTAGCAAACAGCCATTTCACCTCTCACAAATATTTGTCTGGAGCTATGCAAGAGGCTCAGGGGTAATAAGTTCCAATTTATGAGATTATTAAGTGAACCGTATCCCTTCATTGGCCAGGCACGGTGGCTCATGCCTGTAATCCCAGCACTTTGGGAGGCCGAGGTGGGTGGATCATGAGGTCAGGAGATCGAGACCATCCTGGCTAACAGGGTGAAACCCCGTCTCTACTAACAATACAAAAAAAAAATAGCTGGACGTGGCGGTGTGTGCCTGTAGTCCCAGCTGCTGGGGAGGCTGAGGCAGGAGAATGGTGTGAACCCGGGAGGCGGAGCTTGCAGTGAGCCGAGATTGTGCTACTGCAGTCCAGCCTGAGTGACAGAGCGAGACTCCATCTCAAAAAAAAAAAAAAAAGAATCCAAGCTAGTTTTTAATTTAAAATAGGAGTAATTTTTCCAGATAAAAATATTGTTATGAGGTTTTTCATTGTCTTCTCATGAGATATAAGCTCCATAAGAATGGAGGCCTTGTCGGTTGTGTCCACTACTAGAGAAAACATCATTTTAGGGTCCAGAATAGTGCCTCACATATAGCAGAATTTCTCTAAATATTGATGAATTAATGGATGGAAATAGTTCAGCAAAGTTCAATACTTGATTTCTAGTAAACGTTCTTATATAATAAATGGTAGATACTATTAGTAATAATATTCATAACACAAAGTGCCTATTGTATACACTGTACTTGTTGTCTGTCTTGTATTTTTATTAGATCTTTATAAAAACATCTTATGGGCCAGGTGCAGTGGCTAACGCCTGTAATCCCAACACTTTGGGAGGCTGAGGCGGGCAGATCACAAGGTCATGAGATCGAGACCATCCTGGCTAACACGGTGAAACCCCGTCTCTACTAAAAATACAAAAAATTAGCCGGGCGTGGTGGTGGGTGCCTGTAGTCCCAGCTACTCGGGAGGCTGAGGTAGGAGAATGGTATGAACCTGGGAGGCAGAGTTTGCAGCCAGCCTGGGTGACAGAGCGAGACTCTGTCTCAAAAAAAAAAAAAAAGCTTATGGTAAAATTATCATCTGCACTGTACAGATCAGGACGTAAGGACAGGCTGAGTGGTGAGCTCAACTTAACTAGTGGTGGAGCAAATCTAGATAAACTGAGTTCTTAACCTCTATGCTGTGCAAATAATTACAATAATGATGATGATGTTGGCGATGATAAGGATGATGGTGATGATAGTGATGGTAATTATGATGGTGATGATGGTGAAGATGATGGTGATGTTGGTGAGTATGGTGATGTGATGTTGGTGATGATGGTTAATGCTGGTGATGACAGTGATGGGGGTCATGGTAGTGATGATGGTGATGATGATGATGAAGATCACAAAGTTGAAGAAGCAGCAGGAAGAGGCAGCCATGAACTTGCTCCTAACGCTGGTTCTATCAACATAGTTAGGAAACATAATATATAGTTTCTAATCTCCTGTGTAATTTCTGGCCATAGTTGCCCTCTGGCAAGGAGCAAGATGCAGACAAGCCATAGCTAAACGAACTCAAGAAGGCATCAGGCTGTATCACTAGGTCACCCTAGCTGGTGTTGCAAGATTCCAGATGATGGTGAGGCTTCAGGATTCAGGAGCTAGCTCACTGAAGAAAGAGCATGGCAAGATCTGAGCAGAGTATCAGAGCCCTAACCAAGTCAGCCACAGGTTAGGACAGGGCCAGAGACTCACCAGGAAATGGAGAGCCAAGTAGAGAAACCAAGGCAGCTATCCAAGAATAAGACATCATTCAATGGGTGGAAGACTTTTGCAAAGTCAAAATTGAATAGAACTGTGGATGCCCATGGCTGCTCCTTGCACACACGAGAATTTATTCATCGCAAAACGTTTATAACACATCTGTGTGCTAACACTGGGGACACAACAAAAATGAAACAACCCAGCTCACACTCTCGTGTACTTCAAATTCTAGTTGATGCAGTACAAAACATCCTAATAAATAAGCAAGGTAGTTCTAGATTGTGGTAAGAGTAATGAAGTAAATAGACATGATCATGTGAAGAATGAGTGGGAAAAGTACTTCAGATAGAGTCATTTGAATATAACTCTTTGAGAAAGTCAGAATTTGATCTTCAACAGGGCACCCTGGATACCAGATCCAAAGCATTAAAACTAATTCTAGATGCTTCTGGCTGGTAGTCTGAAGCTGTTAAATGGCCCTGTAGCTCAAGCCAGGACAGCCCCAAAAAGATCAGGGATGTTAGTAGCCCCTGAAGGTAGAAACAGAGGAAGCAGGAGAATGGGGCACAGCAGACCTATACTGCACACTTTAGATTTGTTAATTAATCCAACCTCCTTTGCAATCCTATGAGTTAGGCATTAATTGCTCTTTTACAGATGAGAATACTGAGATGCAGAGAGGTCACCTTTTTTGCATAACTCTTTTATAGCACAGCTTAGATGTGAATCTAAGTTTAAATGACTCCAGTGATAATTCTATTTCCATTATACCGGGGGAAATATAATTCCCCTAGCTGAGTGAAAGGGACACTTATTCTCAGGCTTTTAATGCTGAGAAGAATTGTTTCTATATCCTCATGAAAGAGGAGGTTGTAGAGCCTCACATTCAAGGAAAAGATAATGTTAGAAGTATGAACCCATAGGGACTTTTATGACTGTCTCAGAGAGGATGTGAGGCTTCTCATGCATAATAGCTGAGAAGTCTGGAAGATTCTGGAAACTTTGTCAAGGCCCCATATTTGCAAAATTATTTCTTCTTCATGGGGTAATACATGGTGTTCTGCAGTAAACACATTTTGGAGAAAGAGCTAGTGAGATATCTTCTGGAGGAGTGCATGGGGCTGAAATACAGTGAGAAACTGGGAAACTATTGAGATGGGACCCTGTTGTACATCAGAGTGAGGGAGAGTCCCAAAGGAGGTGAAGGCAACCCAGCCAGGCTCAGGGCCTGTGTTTGAAGAAGTTCAGCAGCTTCAAGTTACCTAAAAGAAATACAACAAAAAGGGAAGGCACTGTTACAGAAAGGAGTATGAAAATAAATGAATTGATCCATGTAAACACTTAACATATCTGTTGAGAGATGAAAACCCTGAGCTAGGACACTTACATTCATTAACTTTTTTAACTTTCGTGATAACCACATTGAGTACACTTTTTCCTATTTTATATAGCATGAAGCTGAGTCCCAGAGTGGTCAAATTAATGGCTGCTGAGTAGTGTAAAGACTTTGTTCAGAGTCACAGAACTAGTATGTGTTGAACCTGGAATTCAGACCCTGGTGTGCCTCCAAGACCTTAGTTCTTTCACCCATACCAAATAACTCCACTAGAAAGGGAGCAGAGTCAGTCTTCTGTGATGCCTCATGGTAATCATTGCTTTCTTTTCCAAGGGTTCATATCCTTTTATAACCCAATCAAGGACCATGCCCCTGAATTATATAAATTTCTCAGTCTATTGCTTGCAAAACTCACTTTGTTCCTTTTTTTGTCCATCGTCAAATCACTGACATCTCACCGAGTTATCATAAGACAAATAGTAACAGTGAATAATTATCAGAGCAACTATAATAACAGAGACCTCAAAGTCTTTCTCAACTCCCCCTCTCCTCCATATTTTTGACCTGAGAATCCTATGTCTTAAACCCGTTATCCTGTTGTTTTCTTCCTTTCATGCCCTTCTCATCTCTCACCTGTAGGTCAACGGGCCTCACTCCATCCAGGTCATCTCGCTACTCATCATCCACACCAGGGTCCATCTTTCAAAGACGGAGTCATGACTACTCCCTCCCCTGTTTAGCACCCTTTGTGGCCTTGCCATCACCTCTGACTACCAGATTCCTTCACTATCTGTCCTGTAAGTCCTGGAAGACATGATCTTGGGATCTGGCCTTTGTCCCTCTTTCCAAAAATGTTTCTTCTCATCCCTGTATAGGTGCTCAAAACACTAGCTACCAAAATGGGCCCTGTGACCCTCTCTAATACATTTAAATGGAGAACTCCTTCTGCCTTGAACACACAATCCTATACCTTGAACCAGCTCACTTCTTGAGAGCCAAAGGTTTGCCTCCTCCTGGATGTCTTCCCTGATTACACTGTTTTAGGTACTCTACCTTTGCACCCCCATAGTGCTCTGTGCTACACCTATCCCTTTGCTGATACTTCCTGTGCTTATTGGAAATATTGTTCGGCAAATATCCAGTCGCTTGCCCTCCCATTGTTGGAGAGTAGGGTATAGGTTCCTGCCCCACTGAGGCTGGGCTTGGCCATATGACCTATTTTGGCCAATGGAATGTTAGCAGGGATGATATAAGCAGAGGCTTAAATGTGCTTGCATGATTGGGCTTGCCCTCCTGCGCTCCTATGATACGTTATGAGAACAGAATGCCCTGAGTAGTTGCTGATCCTTTAGCCTGGCTGCAGAATGAATCCACAGGGAACAGACATGAACCAAGCTCTCAGCCTGGAGCCAAACCAGCTTATTGGTCATGTAAAACAGGAGTGACTAGCTGAGTTCAGCCCTAGAGTATTCTTGTCCTAAAATATTCCAAGCTGGAATATTCTCATAGACCTGAAAATATGAGAAGACATAGTTGTTGAAGGCCAGTGGTTTACCACACAGGACTACATTTCAATTGACAACAAATATTTATTTTTTTACCTGCTTTTTCCCCTCTCTAAAGCTATGAACAACTGAAGGGCAAAGACTGTCTCTCATACATATAAGACTACACCTTCTTGGCCGGGCACGGTGGCTCATGCCTGTAATCCCAGAACTTTGGGAGGCTGAGATGGGCGGATCACAAGGTCAGGAGATCGAGACCATCCTGGCTAACATGGTGAAACTCCGTCTCTACCAAAAAAAAAAAAAAAAATTAGCCAGGCGTGGTGGCGGGCGCCTGTAGTCCCAGCTACTCGGGAGGCTGAGGCAGGAGAATGGCGTGAACCCGGGAGGCAGAGCTTGCGGTGAGCCGAGATTGTGCCACTGCACTCCAGCCTGGGCGACAGAGCAAGACTCCGTCTCCAAAAAAAAAAAAAAAAAAGACTACACCCCCCCACATCCAACATGCAATTTGGCATCTTAGAGAGTGCCCTATGTGTGTTTAAAGAAAGAAGGGAGGGAGAAGGAAAGAGAAGGAGGAGGGTAGAAGAGAAGAAGGCAAGGGGAAGGAAAAGAGAAAGGAAAGAAAGAAGGAAAGAATGATGATATTCTTAGTAAAGTGCCCAAGCCTTTGTTAAAATAGCCTTTCATTGGTACTTGAATTTAATGATTAAACCCCATGCCAACAAAACTGTCAGAAAAGATACAGAAAGGAAGAAATAAAGTGAAAAGTTACCAAAATGACCATAAATCAACCTAAATTCATTCCAGAAAGACTGAAACTAGGCTACTTCACCATCTTCAAGGCTGTCCAGGTCCTACAAAAATGAAGTTACTTCTAGCAGTGGTTGGACATCAATTGACACAATGACATCTACTGAAGAAGACGAAGAGGGTAATCAGAGAAGAGTGGGCAAGAGCCGTGAGGCAGAGATTCTTCTGGGGCCACAGCAGTAACCATCGCGGACATGATCTCCTGCTTCCCTTGCCTATCCTGCCCAGGTGGGGATGATTGACATTGAGTGCCATACGTAAAAGTTGAGTGGGCATCAGTGAGAGGGAATTTATGACAAACAGCAGGTGTGTTAAAGTCAGGATTTCATACTTGCTGATGATTTGGCATGAACTATCTTCCTTAAGCCTTCTCGTTTGTAGAAATAATTTTTACTTTTATTTTCATCTTTCCTGACACCTTAGGAAAGACAGCACCAAGTTCAAATTTCTGATCCAAAGGTTTTTCAGTTTTCAAGACTGTACTTTATCCAGACAAGGAAGATAAAAAATTATTCAAACTTTCCTTAGAGGTTCCCTAATAGCCTCCCCAATGGCTGCCCAGTCTCCCACCCAAATACCCTTCCTAGGTAGGGAGAATAATGTGTCGGCAGCTGTGGAGACCCCTGCCTTCTGCTGTTCTGGACAGGGGCTGCTTGCCCTTGGTATACCCAGCAGGTCCAGGCAGCAATGAATAAGAACAGGGATTTCAGAGAGTGTTCTATTTGGGTTTGAATTCCAGTATTGCCATTTACTTGATGATTGACCTTGGCAGGTTATGTACCCTGGGCTTCAGTGTCCTTACCAGTAAGTATAAAAGCACCTGCTCCTTTGGTGCCCATTTCCCATTCCTCTTCTTCTGGTGCTGGCACCCTGACCCTCTTCAATGTGACATGCTGCCTCTACACCTTTGGCCTTCTGCACATGCTGTCCCTTTGCCTTTCTTATACTCCCTTTTCTAGATACTCCAAACCTTCCCATCCCACACTCCTCTCACTGGCTTCCTCTGCAGCAGACTCCTATTCAGTGCCAGGATCCTGCCTCCTTCAGGAAGCCTCCTCTCCTCCACTGGACCATACGTTCTGTGAGGAAGGAACAACATCAGTCCTGGGCAACAGTGCCCAGCATAGGGCCCTGAAGCATTGCAGATCCATATTCATTGTTTCTGAAAGAATAAGAAAGGAACAATTCTGGAATATGACTGTAGGTTTTGTGTGTGTGTGTGTGTGTGTGTGTGTGTGTGTGCGCCTGTGCGTGCATGTGCATGCAGATATTTGGATTCCATGGCGATCCTCCCCAAGATTCTGGCAATAGCACAGATGTGGATACCCTCTTCTCAGCTTGGCCTGGCTTCTCATCTCCTTCCCGCTGCCTTTCTTCACTAACAATCTATTCCAGGTAGCCTTCTTCTCTAGCATGCTCCTGTTTCTCAGCTGGGGCTCCTGCTCTCCATTCCCTCTGCTTTGTTACGCTAGTGAGTTGTGATGTACACATTGGAAACTTCAGGTACTCTCTTCAACCCTATTCTAAAAATCCTAGAGCTGGAGCTCATCAAATAACAGCAACAGCTAACACTTAATTGGTCTCTGGCTATGTTCCAGGCACTTTCAAATGTGTATTCCCTCCTTGAATCTCCACACAACTCTCCATGTTAGGTAGTATTATTACCTTTATATCCCCAGTTAATAGACTATGACTCTAAAGGCCAGAGAGTTTAAGCATCTTGCCAAAGTTCATAAAGCTAGCAGGTGGTGCGGCTAGGGTTCCACATGGTTTATCAATCGTCTGTACTATCTTTTGTGGTTTATCAATGGTCTGTACTATCTTTTGGCCAAAAGAGTGGACACCTTGCCCCCTTCTTCCACCATTCAGTCTCTCATCTTGTTCCTTGCAGTTTTCAAAGAGCTTAGGTTTGATACTCATACCCTCAATGCCTTTTCTGGCTCTATTTTCTTCCAGCTCTGTTCTGCTGCTAGATACTTGACAATGTCTCTCCAGTGTCTGACCTTGACCTGTGGTTCAGACTAGGGGAATCCCAACCTGGTTTTTGGCTTCTGTTTAGAACTTGTCTGGCCTGGTGTAACCCTGGCAGTCATTCAACTCAAGGTCATGGCTATTCTCTGTCACAGTTCCTCCTTTCTGACCCTTTGGATACCAAATCCACTTGCTTACACTTATTATACCTCCATCCCACCCATTAGAATTGGGAATATCTGTCTATGGCTTCTATGCCCCTCACTCCCTCTGGATTCCCTGTATAGGCACCCTTTTCCCTGCCAAGTGTCCTAAGCAAACATCACAGACTCTGAGTCTTATTATGAAAAGAGCAATTATTATAGAAATAAGAGATTACCATCTGCCATGTACTGAGCAAAGGGGTTTACATATATTAACTCATCTGACCCTCCCATTGGCATTCTGTGAGATGGAGGTAACACAATTCTGTATTAAAGGTGAGGGGGCTGAGATTCAGAGAAGTAAAAGAATGGCATGTTTTAGGCTGGGCACGGTGGTTCACACCTGTAATCCCAGCACTTTGGGAGGCTGAGGTGGGCAGATCACGAGGTCAGGAGATCAAGACCATCCTGGCCAACATGGTGAAACCCCATCTCTACTAAAAACACAAAAATTAGCTGGGCATGGTGGCACCTGCCTGTAATCCCAACTACTCGGGAGGCTGAGGCGGGAGAATCACTTGAACCAGGGAGTTGGAAGTTGCAGTGAGCTGTGATCGTGCCACTGCACTAAAGCCTGGTGACAGAGCAAGACTGCATCTCAAAAAAAAAAAAAAGCATGTTTTATGTGGCAGAGCCTGGTTTAAACTCCCAACCCGTAAGACTCCCAAGTCTGTGCTCTATGCTACCATCATCTGAACCCAAACAGACCCTTGCACTGGGGTTGGGCTCCCCTTCCTCTCCTGACCTTTCCTGCTGGTTCCTCAACTCCAACCAGCATCATCTTTCCTCTGATGTCATCTTCTGTTCTTTGACCACACCCTTCCATCCTAAAGGACATGGTCTGAGGCTTCTTCCAAATTCTACTGCTAAAGTGTCTCTTATTTCTGTGAAGGGACAAACTAGAAATGACAGAGTAACAAAGGAAGGGAAGTGGCTGTTTCCAGAAACTCCTGGAGGTTTAGGCCATTGCCTGTGCCGTTTGCCATCTTGTCACTGGTTTGTCCCTGGCCTGGCCATTGGAAGCTCACTAGGGCTTGAGTCCTTTCAGTTTGGGAATCATCACACTCCTCCCTCTTCTCAATATTGCCTTCCCTTACAGTATGGGCAGATGACACCCTCTTCTCAATCATTCAGCATATTCAGTCAGCAGTAAAATGTTTTTGAGGTTTGTAGAGTTCCTCCTTTGTGCCTTAGCTTTCACCAGGTTGTTCTTAGCAGAGTTGGAAAGGACCAAGTAAGAACAGGCAATCACAAAGCCACATGATAAGGTGTCAGATAGACCTGAGTTCAAATTTGAGCTCCTTCACTTATTCACAACACATCCCTTAAGGAACTTAATCTATTTATCTAAGTCTCAGTTAATAGACTGAGACTACTCTCTATCCTGTTCAGAGTAGGGAAGATAGAGCATGGAGATAGTATTTACCTTATAGGGTAGTTGTGATATAATGCATATAAAAGCACTCATCTCAGTGACAGACACATAAAAAGGGCTCAATAATAATCGTAATAAATTGCTGTGAAAATGATGGTGGTTATGATGGTGGTACTGATGGTGTTGGTAGTGATAGTGGAGGTGGTGATGGTAGTGATGATGGTGGCAATGATGGTTGTTGTTGGTGGTGGTGGTATTGGTGATGATGGTGATGGTTGTGTGGTGACACTGGTGATGATGATGATGGTGGTGACAGTGGTGGTGGTGGTGATGATCATGGTGGTGGTGAACACAGACAGAATCAGAGCACTCTGGAAACGGCATAGAGTTGGGAGTGAGAGGAAGGTGCTTAGTGGGAGTTGCCCAGAAATGAGTCCTAAAATGAGTTTTTAAAATAAGAACAAGCAAAAGAGTTGAAGCAGAAAGTTGGGTCAAAAGTAAAAGGGTATTTTAGGCAGGAGAAGATAATTTGCAAAAGGTAAGAAGGTAGAGAAACCATGTAACAGGCAACCCACCCACCCCTAGAGGCTCTGAAGGAGGGCTGGATACCTTGCAGAATTGAAAGCCTTTTCCAACTTTTTTTTTTTTTTTTTTGAGATGGAGTCTCGCTCTGTCGCCCAGGCTGGAGTGTGGTGGCGCCATCTTGGCTCACTGCAAGCTCCATCTCCTGGGTTCATGCCATTCTCCTGCCTCAGCCTCCGGAGTAGCTGGGACTACAAGCGCCCGCCACCACGCCTGGCTAATTTTTTTTTATTTTTAGTAGAGACGGAGTTTCACCGTGTGAGCCAGGATGGTGTCGATCTCCTGACCTCGTGATCTGCCCGCTTTGGCCTCCCAAAGTGCTGGGATTACAGGCGTGAGCCACCGCCCCCAGCCCTTTTCCAACTTTTGAATCAGATTTGACTCTTGCTTCTCATACTCCCGGGTTTCTATTTCCAGCCCCTGGAGTCATTCAGAAGATATCACGCCTTTTTTCTGGAATTATATTTCTGCTATCTGGGGTGGGGGTGCCTTGTGACTCAGCCCCCCAGGGCTAAGGGTCAGGCTGAAATGTGCCTGAACTCAAATGGACTGGAGGAGGACAGGCACCCAGAGGAGAGACAGCTGCTTGGATGTCTAGGGTCCCTTGGGACAAAGCTGCCTCCTGTGACTAAGGTGCCAGATTTCAGGACTCAGGGGTCCAGGGTGCAGAGGCCTGGGCTCCTGCATGCCTGCAGCAGTCACCTGGCTTGTCCACATGAACTGCCTGCGTCCCTCCTCTCTGTGCCTGCATGTCCTGGGATCCAAGGCTGTGGCACCCTCAGCAACTCCATCTCCATGTGGTAGCTCACAAGGTCAGGGTGCTGGCGGCACGTGCAGCACTGCAGGTTGTTTGTGGCAATAGAGAAGGGCTGGGCAGTGGTGTCCAGGAGGTGCTCCAGCCGCTGCTTCTGGACCAGCAGCAGGTCTGACTCTTTGCCAGCACCTCCACCTCACGCTGCAGCTCCGACTTCCAGCCGTGGAATCCCGCAGGTGCTCACTCACCCTGACGTGGAGTCCCATACCACACCTGTGCCTGGGTCTGGGCTGCCAGTTGCTGGCTCTCGGGCCACTACCACTCTGACTGCTGGCAGTCTGACTGCTGGTGATCTGCGAAGGCCTGGTGGCAGTGGCCATAGCAGTTCTAGAACCACTCGTCCAGCAGGTGGTTGGCTGAGCCCGCAGTGGCCAGGCCTGAGGAGTGCAGTCACCTGTGTTGCAAGCCACGTAGTCCATCTTACAGGGGCGGCAAAGTCTGTGGTGCCAGGTGCATAGTCAGGAGCACATCCATCTACACTGTGGTGCCAGGCGCCCATCAGGGCTGGGGCAGTGAAGGGTGTGGTCAGCTGGGTGCAGTTAATGGGGCAGCTCCAGTTGCTCTGACCCAGAGAAGGATGTGCCTCCCTGTTGCCTGGGTGACACTGTACACACCAAGGGCCTTTTGTTGCTGGGCAATGGGGATCCCTCCCCTGGTGGCTGGAGGAGGGGCATTCAAGGTGGGCAGAACTGCCCTCTTAAAGTGCCAGGCAGGCCCAGGCCCACCCTCCCTCCCCCTGCCATGAGCCAAGCAGCAGTGGCCAAGGGTTCTCTCCACCTAGAGGATCCTAGGGCGCTCTCTCCCCTTCTTTGGTTCATCCAATTGTTGTTCCAGGTTTGATATCTGATCCCATCCTGCGAGGAGCTCAGGGCTCAGGATGAACAGGACAGAAGAGGCTCTGCCCACCTGCACCCCCATTGGGGCAGATGGGCTGTGGCTTTTGGGTGGGCCTCAGGGTGGGTGTTGTGGGTGCTGACTGGGACGGTGTTATCGTATATCTAAACATCTAAATCCTACAGCAGGGTGGCTGTTCCCCGTGCCCTAGTGGCCCCATACACCAGCGTTCAGAACCTGGGGGTGGGGTCAGGAAGGCCCTGGAGGCCCCCACACTCCTTTCCACACTCTGCTTGCATTCCCCCAGGGACGGGGTGCTCCTTCTTCATGGAAACCCTGAGGGACCCCCCACAGTGTGATCCCACTTTCAGGGTCTGCCAGCCAGAGAGTGGGGCCCTCAGGCCACGTGCAGCCTGCTGGGTCTCAGCCTCACAGGCTCCCAGGTGCTGGCAGCCCACTGAGCCCCAGGTCAGGGGGTGTCCATGAGAGTTCCTTGGGCAGAGTCCAGAGATGGGGAGGGCAGGGCTGAGGTCACCCCAGTCACTCGGCAGCCACCAGGAGGTAGGGGCCCTGTGATGGGTGTTCCTGTGGCAGGGATGATTGGAGGGACAGAGTTGCCTGCTCAGGGGCTGAGAGGCAGTCATGAGACCATAGAAGGGGACCTTGAACACTGGGTGGCCCCAGGGAGGTTTTGGTTTTTTGGCATAACTTTGTTGCCCTGGAGAATGGGGAGGCCTTGGAGTTAATTCAGCTGGGAACTGAGGAGCAGCAGATAAGAATAAGGGTGCTTGGACTAGACCCCAAAGGTCCTGCAGGAGGAAAGAAGAAAGGAGCACTGCCCTGGTCAGCTGGCTCTGGGACTCAGCCCAGTGGGATGAAACCTGACAGCTGTAGCAGCTGAGCAAGAGTAGCGCCTCTGTGAACCAGGTCATGGTGGACTCCTTTGTGCCCCTATACTTTGCCAGTCTGCAGGGCCAGGCATGGTGCATGCAGCTACTGCTGGCTGCGGGGGCCTAGGTGAGTGGCCCTTCCGGACAGAACCCCCAGACCCACTGAAGCTGCCAGAATGGAGAAGATTAGCTCAGGTGCACTCTGCGGGGAGGAAAAGAAGTAAAGGGTGGTCAGCATTCTGTGAAATGCAAGCTCACAGCCTTACCAGAGCCCATTGAGGGGACTTCAGAGGAAAGGCAGGAGGGGACAGAACAGGGTGTGCTTGGAGCTGAGGGAGGAGAGACTACACCTGGTCCACTGCACAGGGGGAGCAGGAAGCCCAGGGCTTGGCTGTCAGGAGGTCATGGAGGCTGAAGGAAAGGCAGTCTGAGGCCGGGTGCGGTGGCTCACACCTGTAGTCCCAGCGCTTTGGGAGGCGAGGCAGGCAGAACACGAGGTCAGGAGATCGAGAAAATCCTGGCTAACACGGTGAAATCCCGGTGAAACCCTGTCTCTACTAAAAATTCAAAAAATTAGCTGGGCGTGGTGGCGGGCACCTGTAGTCCCAACTACTCGGGAGGCTGAGGCACAAGAATCCCTTGAACCTGGGAGGCAGAGGTTGCAGTGAGCCAAGATCGCGCCACTGCACTCCAGCCTGGGTGACAGAGCGAGACTCTGTCTCAAAAAAAGAAAAGAAAAGAAAAGAAAAAAGAAAAGGCAGTCTGAGCAAAATGGTGGTGGGAGAACCAGCCCTGCAGTGGGCCGGGGCCAGCAGGCCAGCATCTGATAGACACAGGCTCCTGGGTGTAGCTGGGCTCGGGTGCAGAGCTGCCATTTGAGCCCAAAGAGAATGGTATAGGCTCTAGGATGCCTGAGAGGGACACTGGAAAACCAGCTATCTGAGAAAAAGAGCAAAACCAACATTCTGCTTTGCAGCTTTCCCTGGTGAAAATCCTCACTCTTTGGCTGTTTTTCAGCTGTGAGTGGTTTCCAGCCAGCAGAATTACTGGCTATTTAGCAGCTGGCTCTGCTGAGCAGCAAATACTGGCCCTGTACACCCCTGGACAATTTCTAACGGATTCCCCCCTGCCCCCCATCTCAGAGTTCAAAGGGTGAGGAGGAAGTGAAGACAGTGGGAGTACTGTTTACTCTTCCCAAAAGCTTGGAATGGAAAAAGTGCCAGAGTGTACCCAAATAGAAGCTGAATTTGTACAAATTCTAAGTAGAATTTGCCAATTTGAGGGGCTGCCTTTTTCCTGGCCCCTCTCTGTTATGCTAGAGAAGGTGTGGTCAGTGATCTCAGGCAGTCCTTCCTGTTGGGGCTTGAGTTTTTATTGACTGCCTCTCTCCCAGCTTGGAACCTAGGGCTCCTCTGTCCTGCTCTGTTTTTAGTAGGTGTTAGGGGTAGGGCTAGTGAGGGGGAAGCTGAGCTTATCCTGTCCTGACACAAAATAACCCCAAATGGGATGGCTTCTACACTCAGGAGGCTATGGGTGCTCCCCTTAGCTCTGGGAAGCTGAGCCACAAGGCATCCCCACCCCAAGGATGCTCCTGGCTGAAACAGTTGCTTCAGAGGTGGAAACCCAGGCCTGGGCCATCACTGCAGGTGTGGACAGGTGGGGTGGGCTGGGAGCCACTGCTCTCATTCATCCTATACAGAGCCCTGGCCCCAACGATCTGCACCCCCAGGTCCCCTCTTTTCCGAATGTCCTTTGTCCCTTCCGAATCCACAACTTGTCCATGGGGCAGCCCCATAGGATGAGGGAGTTCCCCAGTCCTGACCCCAGTGCTAGCTCTGAAGAATTCTGTCACCTCTCAGAACCTGGGACCTCCCTGTGAACGCACTGTAGGCCTGTGGACATTCATGAAAGATGTGGGTTGGGAGCAGCTGGTCCGGGGCCTCAGGGAGCCCCTTTGTTGCACCCCCAAACTCAGGCCAAAACCTTGAGTCCCTCCCTCCCCCTCATGCCTTCCCTCTTCCCTGCCTTCCTTTCCCCCAGACCCCTCCCCCTGCACCCTCTCAGTGCTTCAAGAACTCCCTCAGCTCCTATGCAAAGGGCCAAGGGTGCCTGCCCAGTGATGGAAACACTGAGAGTGCAGGAACAGAGGCAAACTCACAGGACAGAGGGGCACAAGACTTGTGCCCTGGCACACAAGGAGGTATCCCGTGGTGGAGACGAAGACTCCAGTCACAGAGAAGAGGGTTGCTCCCATACACAGAAAATGAAACTGTCCAGGCACTGAAAAGAAATGTGGGGTTCCCCTCCTGTTCTTGGTGTGAGGATAGCCTCTGTCAGCACAGAACCCCATGGGGCAGCCTGGATAGGCATTTGGGCCCCATGGGTTGGGGTCCTCAGGGGGCTGTCCGGGGACCAGGGGCAGGCTGACATCCCTTGGTGCATTGGGCAAGCAGCAGTGATGACCCCCAGAAGTACATGGCCTACCGCGTCCATTATCCCACCATCGTACAGCTGGCCAGCTACCAGCGAGCGGCTGGCACTGTGCAGGCACCATCCAGTGCTTCCTGTCCCTCGTCCCCAAATAAAGAGCATGTTAGCTTTCTTTCTTTCTTTTTTTTTTTTTTTTTTGAGTTGGAGTCTCGCTCTGTTGCCCAGGCTGGAGTGCAGTGGCGCAACCTTGGCTCCCTGCAAGCTCCGCCTCCCGGGTTCACGCCATTCTCCTGCCTCAGCCTCCCGAGTAGCTGGGACTACAGGCTCCCGCCACCACACCCAGCTAATTTTTTGTGTTTTTTAGTAGAGACGGGGTTTCACCATGTTAGCCAGGATGGTCTCTGTCTCCTGAACTTGTGATCCGCCTGCCTCGGCCTCCCAAAGTGCTGGGATTACAGGCGTGAGCCACCATGCCTGGCAAAGGGCGTGTTAGCTTTCTGCATGGGACGTGTGTGCCAGGTGCAGCCTCTAGTTGCCATCCGTCTGGGTTGGCATCTCAGTCCCCTTGTGCCCCACTCTGCCCATGGACTCAACATCCCAACTGTGGAAGACACAGGGTCAGAGCCAAGGACAAGGAGTCCCTGTGCCTCAGAGAACAGGACAAGCCCTGGTAGGGACTGGGGCTCCACAGCGCAGCCCAGCTGGACCGTGTGTCTAGCCCAGAGCCGGGCCATCCAGCTCCCTCTCCCTGCTCCCTCACCAGTGCTGGCTTCTCTGTCCCTTCACCAGAGTCTTGAGGCCTTGAGACATACTTTGGGACCACTGCATCACTCACTCCACTTCCTCTCCCTGCACCTCCAGGTCCCCCGCTTCAGCTCACAATACCCCTCAGGACAGGGCACTCACCCCATCCAAAGCTCCTCCCACTGCTGGATGTACCTGCTGGGGCGACCCCCCAGACAGGGCCTTGCCCAGACAGTGCCCCCTTTAGCAGCCCCTTTCTGTCCCCAATGTCAGTGCCCACCCCCCGCCCAGTTCTCAGTGCCCAGGATCCCCGAGGCTCAGATGGGCAGATCAGCAGGGGCACGTGGAGCTCCCACAGCACTCCGCAGGACGGGACCCACCCAGAAAGCATGTGGGTGGGGGGCCCTTTTCCAGGACCCAGGCCCACAGGGCTCTTGTCCCAGCCTGGAGGGGATGGGCGGGTAACAGGTACCAGCCCCTCTACCCATGTGGACACCCAGCTGGGCATGTACTCCCACAGGGCAGGGCGTGGGCAGGTAGCACCCAAGCTCTCTGATCTCTTACAAGGACACAAATCCTATTGGATCAGGGCCCACCCTTATGACCTCACTTAACCTTTACCATCTCCTTATAGGCCTTGTCTGCAAATACAGTCAGGTTGGGCATTAGAACTTCAGCATCTAATATTGGGGGTGGGGAGCGGGACACAATTCAGTCCTTAGCCCTCTCCTTCCTCAGGACTCCAGCCACATCATGCACAGAACTATGGCCTGTATCCCATGGTGCTCCTCAGTACAGTCTGGGATACATTCTCAGAAATGAATCATTAGGTGATTTCATTGTTGTGAGAAGATCATAGGGTGTATGTAGACAAACCTAGACGGTGTAGCCTACTGCACACCCAGATCACGTGGTACAGCATATTGTCCCTCAGCTACAGACCATATAGCAAGTATTTGTGCATCTAAACACAGAAAAGCTACAGTAAAAATATGACATTATAATCATATGGGACCACTGTTGTATATGCAGTCTGTCATTGACCAAAACATCATTATATGCCGCATGACTATAATATTTATTTTTCTGATTACAAAAGTAACACATAATCCCGGTAGAAAGTAAATCTTACTAGTACCAATCCTCCATAATTGGGGATACTTCAAATTTTCATTATTATAAATAGCACTTCAATCAACACGTTTAGCCATCAGTCTCTTTTTGCATTTCTAGTTATTTCTCTGGAGCTGATGAGTCAAATGATTGGATCAAAGGACATGTGCAGTTGTGGACTCTTGCTGCATGATAAATTGCCTTCCAAAAGGTTGTGCCAGTTAGCATTCCCACAAGTAGAGTTTGGGAATGCCAGTTGCACACCTCCTTATATTTTAATAGTTTCCTGAGGTCACCAGAACATGAACATCTGGAGGACAGCAGCTTGCTTGGGCATCACGGACCCCATGTCCAGCTCAATGTACAGCACATAGTAGGGAATTGCGTTACATGAACGAAGATGTTTTTGATTAACTTTCTGGAAACAGTCTTAAAATTAGAGAAAAGTTCTAAGTTTTACACAAAGAACATTTTCCCCCAGAAACATTTGAGAGTAAATCACCCCAGATTACTTTGGTGAGTGTTGCTACGGGTCAGAACATTCTAACTACAATGCAACTTTCATAATCAGAAAGTTAATATGAATACATTGTTAGGTAATACATTCTGTTATGTAACCCTCAGATTCTTTTTAAGTTTTATTACTTGTCTGTAATGTCCTTTACAGCAAAAGGATCTCATTCAAATTCATGGATTGCATTTAGTTGTCATGTCTCTTAGACTCCTTCAGTCTGGAACAGCTCCTCAGTCTTTCCTTGACCTTCATGACCTTTACTCTTTTGAAAAGCAAAGTCCAGTAATGTAGAAATTTCCTCAGTTGGGTTTCTCTGATGTTTCTTTTAGTATTAGACTTGGACCATACATTTTTTGATGAGTATCCTGTGATCTCATTGCATCTTACCATGGGACCTACAATTTTGATTTGTTTTGTTATTGGTGATGTTAGCCTTGATCACCAATGGTGGCATATGCTGGGTTTCTCCTCTGTCATGTTATTTTTTCACCTTGTAATTAATTTGTATTTTGTGAGGAGGAAATTTGAGACTATGGAAATACATCTGTTCCTCATTAGACTTTCAATTTACTCATTTACTGGTATCAACATGGATTCATGGCTTATTTCATTCAGTGGGTTATAATTTGTTAATATTTTTTAAATCAGCTTTTCTTTTTAGAAATGCTTTATTTTTACAATTTCAGATTTAGAGAAAAAAATTATAAGAATTGTACAAAAAATTCTTGGATGTAATTCCTCAGATATTAACACTTTACCACATTTGCTTTATTCATTCTCCTCCTTTTCTCTTTCTAGATAAATACAAATATATATATATAATGAATTTTTTGTGAACATTTTGTAAGTTTTGAACCTGATGCCTCTGTAAATATTTCAGTGTGTGCTTCCTAAAAATAATTATCTTACATTATTATGGTATGATTCACAAATGAGGAAATTCAAGTTTGTCTAATATTAATATCTAATCTACAGACCTTATTCAGATTGTGCCAGCTGTCTCCCTAATATCCTTTGTAGCCAAAGAAAATCAAAGATGGGGATTCACAGTCCATGATGTTTTGTGTCCAGTTATCCTGTTTCTTTAGTCTCTTAATCTGAGATAGTTTCTCAGTCTTTTTGGTTTTCATGGCATTTATGTTTATTTTTGTTCTGTTTTGTTTGGTTTGGTTTTTTTGAGACGGAGCCTCATTGCTGAACGTGAAAATACATTGCTCATCTGATATGTGTATATACATGTATGTTGTAAATACTTTGCAAGTATGTTGTGTTTTGTTGATTTTTTTTCTTATATATGGGGTGTTTTAATTTTTATTTTGCTAAACCAACCTTCAAAATGTTTGCTCGTGAAGTCCTTAGGAAGGTCTTTGTCAACGTGAAAATGTATCTGTATGCCAGGCGCGGTGGCTCATGCCTGTAATCCCAGCACTTTGGGAGGCTGAGGCGGGTGGATCAGGAGTTCGAGATCAGCCTGACCAACATGGTGAAACCCCGTTTCTACTAAAAATACAAAAATTAGCTGGGCATGGTGGTGCATGCCTGTAATCCTAGCTACTTGGGAGGCTGAGGCAAGAGGATTGCTTGAACCTGGGAGGCGGAGGTTACAGTGAGCCAAGATCGCGCCACTGCACTCTAGCCTGGGTGACAGGGCGAGACTCTCTTTCTCAAAAAAAAAAAAAAAAGTATCTGTATAAATAGGCATTTGTGTTTTCTTCTGGTAGTTTTCTCATTTTGTATATTTAAAATTTTTAATCTATATTCCACCAGGAACCTATTTTTGTGACATAAAAATCAGCTAGTTTTCTCCAAACAGCAGGCATTCCATTTATGAATAATTCATCTTTTTCTACTAATATGAAATGTCACCATTATCAAGTTCTAAATTATTTCATATATATGGGTGTTTCTGGATTTTCTAGTCTGTTCCATTCATTTATGTCTTTCAGCTGTTAGTAAATGACTTATAGAAATTAATGGCACATTTTGATATCGAGGAAGGCAAGTCATTTTTCGTTGCATTACAAAAAAATTTTAATGTCATCATAACAGTAAAAGACAGCAAGTGTAATTTTTAAACGTTAAAACTTTGGTGTTTTTATTTGGTTTAGGCAAAATTGATAAATACAGAAAGAGCTCACATCTTGAGAAAATTCTTTCTATTCAAGAACATGAACCATCTTCCCACTTTCCTTCTAAGGTTCCTCAGTAAAGTATATATTTACATAGGGGTACGTGGATAGAAAATGGATATTGGATTTTATCTAAAGAATTTTTAGCCCAGAAGTTGATACATTATGGGAACTATTTCTCTCATTATACACTTTTCTATAATGTGAATAACATGTTTAAAAGTGTATACCTTAAAAATATTATATAGACAATTCTGTGAGTTAAATCACTTTAAAATTGTCTCTAAAGTGCACTATAGGGAGATTATGGGTGCACTGGAAACCAGCTAAAGTGTTGTTTTCATTTTGCTGCTCATAGAGAGACCCAGGCCTTGACTCCTCTGAGGCTTCCACATCCCAGGTGCTGCGGGCCCTGCTTAGCTGTATTCCTAGGTATTTTATGTTCTGTGTGTGTGGCTATTATGAATGTGATTGTGTTCTAGATTTGGCACTCAGCTTGAACACTATTGGTGTATAGAAATGCTTATTATTTTTGTAAATTGATTTTATATCCAAAAACCCTGCTGAAGTTGTTTATCATACCTAGGAGCTTTTGGGGAGATACTATGGAGTTTTCTAGGTATAAAATCATATCATCTGCAAACAGAGATAAATTTGACTTCATCTCTTCTTATTTTAGGATACCTTTTGTTCCTTTCTCTTGCCTGATTGCTCTGGCTAGGACTTCCGGTAGTATATTGAATAGGAGTGGTGAGAATGGGCATCCTTGTCTTGCTCCAGTTCTCAAGGGGAATGCTTCCAGCTTTTGCCTGTTCAGTATGATGTTGACTGTGGGTTTGTCATAGATTGCTGTTATGATTTTGAGTTATGTTCCTTTAATGCCAGTTTGTTGGCGGTTTTTAACATGAAGGGATGCTGAATTTTATCAAAATCCTTTTCTACCTCTATTGAGATGATCATGTGGTTTTTATTTTTTGTTCTGTTTAGATGGATGAATTACATTTATTGATTTGCATATATTGAACCAAACTTGTATCCCAGGGATAAAGCCTACTTTATCATGGTGAATGAGCTTTCTGATGCGTTGCTGGATTCAGTTGGCTAGTATTTTGTTGAGGATGTTTGCATCTATGTTTATCAAGGATATTGGCCTGAACTTTTCTTTTTTATTGTGTCTCTGCCAGGTTTGGGCATCAAGATGGCACTGGTCTCATAGAGTGAGTTAGGGAGGAGCCCCTTCTCCTCAATTTTTGGAATAGTTTCAGTAGGAATGGTACCAGCTCTTCCTTATATGTTTGGTAGAATTCAATTGTGAATCAATCTGGTCCTGGGCTTTTGGTAGGCTTTTTATTATTGATCCCATTTAAGAATTCATTATTAGCATGTTTAGGGTTTGAGTTTCTTCCTGGTTCTCTCTTGGGGAGTTGTATATTTCCAGGAATTTACCCATTTGTTCTAGGTTTTCTACTTTGTGTGCAAAGAGGTGTTCACAATAGTCTCTGATGGATTTCTGTATTTCCTTGGGGTTGGTGGTAATGTCCCCTTTGTCATTTCTTACTGTGTTTATTTGGATATTCACAAACCACTGTTCATTGAAATAAAAGAGGATACAAACAAATGGAAGAACATTCCATGCTCTGGGTAGGAAGAATCAATATGGTGAAAATGGACATACTGCCCAAGGTAATTTATAGATTCAATACCATCCCCATCAAGCTACCAATGACTTTCTTCACAGAATTGATAAAAACTACTTTAAAGTTCACAAATTTCATATAAGCATTCAGTCACTTCATATTTTTGGCTAAGGTTGATGGTGGTTTTTGATAACTGTGGGAGTTTTTTTTCAAAATAATACAAAGATTCCTTTTTTTCTTCTTGGGAATTCTGTTTAACAGCCAGTTTCTCACATTTCCTCTCTAATTTGTCTCCCTTCTTCTACCATTTTATCCCACTTCTGCCTCTTTCATCAACTGGTTTATGATTTCTAAGAGAGTTACACAGAAGTAACAAGCATCTCTGGTTTAAGAACAACAGGTTGTCAACATGCTCCAGGACAACAGTAGCAAAATATATGAGGTTAGAGTCTAAAATCATTTCTGCAGAGCAGAAAAGATGAGGAAGCATAAAAGATAAGCACATTTAAGTAAAATTGTTCACTTATATATAATTCTTCAGTAATAAAGGGCAACCACAGAGACGTTCTCACTATACATACATCTCCCTCAGAATCCATATAATCCATGCTTTTTTGCATTATAACCATTTTTATTTAAATATAGACCCTACTCAGTAGACACCCATCTACTGAAACATAAAACCATCTCCTTTTAATTTGCTCATTTGGTAGATTCACTGGACAATATATATCTAAGGAGAGAAATATAATATCTGGAATATATATATGTATATATTGGACACATATATAGAGAGAGAGAACATAAGATCTGGAAAATATTAAAGGTTTTTTCATTTCTTTATAACATGAAATACTCCATTTCATTATTTTTAACTCCAAAAAAGTCTGCATCTGATTGCTAATGGTATATCAATTCACCTTAAAAATTCCATTTAGGTGTTCAGTAAACAAAACCCAGAAATACTACTTTCTTCCTAAAGGAAAGCAAAAAAACATGATCATCCACTTTAATTACATGGTCTCTATCACATAATTTATGGAACCTGTGGGTTTTAACTGTGCAAATTTGGTGTAAAAAAAAATTGACATGGATGAGATTACTAACTAGAGGTCTTTAAGATGAGTTTGATTTAACTGCTGCTGCTTCTGCTTCACTCACTATAAGTCCATCAACATCCTCTTCTAGTCTTACAGTTAAGTCTGAAGGCTTTCAGCATTAAGAAATATATATACAGGGCCAGGCGTGGTGGCTCACACCTGTAATCCCAGCACTTTGGGAGGCTGAGGTGGGCGGATCATGAGGTCAGGAGTTCAAGACCAGCTTGGCCAACATGGTGAAACCCCCATCCTTACTAAAAATACAAAATTAGCCGGGTGTGGTGGTGCACACCAAAAATCCCAGCTACTCAGGAGGCTGAGGCAGGAGAATCACTTGAACCTGGGAAGCAGAGGTTGCAGTGAGCCAAGATTGCACCATTGCACTCCAGCCTGGGTGAGAGAGCAAGACTCCATCTCAAAAAAAAAAAAAAAAAAAGAGAAAAGAAATACATATACAAAAGACTCGTGTAACTCTGTGTCCCATAAGGTTGAATTCTAAGAGACTTTCATTAGTAATAAATGTATGCAATATATATGATTTTGAACCTAAATGACACTAACTGGTTGAGCAAGGATAAAGTGCTTCTTCTATGAAACCAATCCAGAAGACCTTAGAATTTCACATGCTAGAGATCTTAAATTTTCACTCATTTGACAGATCCTTCTGTGTGACAGATACTCTTATCCTGGGTCACAATCTTGCCTTATATTTTTTTTCTTTTTCTTAAAAAGAAGTCAGACTTTCCCCTACAGGAAGGCATTCCACCAGTCTTTTTGAGATGGAGTCTCACTCTGTCCCCCAGGCTGGAGTGCAGAATGCGATGGCACGAACACAGCTCACTGCAACCTCCTCCTCCCAGGTTCAAGCGATTCTCCTTTCTCAGCCTCCCGAGTAGCTGGGATTACAGGGGTACACCACCCTGCCTGGCTAATTTTTGTATATTTTTAGTGGAGATGGGGCTTCACCATGTTGGCCAGGCTGGTCTTGAACCCCTGACCTCAAGTGATCCGTCCGCCTCAGCCTCCCAAAGTGCTGGGGTTACAGGTGTGAGCCACCACGCCTGGCCCACCAGTCTTTTTACTACAATACTCTCCAGGATATTTTCAGAGATGAAAAAGGCACTTAATACTCCTATTCTCTGCAGCATTTTTTAACCCTCCTCAGAGAGTCTGATCCCTCTATTCTAATGCTCTGCCTGATGCTGAGAGAATGAGGAAATTTCATCTATTGAATACCTATTAAAATGTATTAGGTACCTACCTATAAAGCACTCCATTTAGCTTTAGAGATGCAAAGGTGTTCAAAAGAAGCTTCCTGGAACTCCGCAAGTGGGGAAGGCAGAAATAGACACAATAAATTATAGAACAGTTTATTACAAAAGTACAAATCAAACATTGTGAAGAAACAGAGAAAGCAGCTGGAAATACATCCTAAACAGAAAAAAGCTAGAGGGATAGTCTTTCCCTTGCACTAAGGTACAACAGCATACCGAGGAGAGAAATACAGAGAGACACTAAACAAAAACAAGGCTATAACCTGAGTTAACCAACATGAGAGGAAGGACAAAGAATGAGGCTCTCACAAGGTCATTCCTGAGTTTTAACATAATCAGATAGGAAAGCTTTCAGCAGAATGCAAGGGGAATCAGAAGGCAACATCATCTCCCACTGTCCCTTATCAATTAAATATGTACATGTTCTTCCGCCCAGGCTGAAAACATGATTCTCAAGGAATATAAAAAACCCAGTGCTGCTTTAATTGACAAAGCACTGAAACAGACTGTCCCTCCCCACGTAATGATAAAAATGCGCCAAAGTCGGCCGGGCATGGTGGCTCATGCCTGTAATCCCAGCACTTTGGGAGGTCAAGGCAGGATCACGAGGTCAGGAGATCGAGACCATCCTGGCTAATACCGTGAGACCCCGTCTCTACTAAAAATACAAAAACTTAGCCGGGCCCGGTGGCGGGCGTCTGTAGTCCCAGCTGCTGGGGAGGCTGAGGCAGGAGAATGGCGTGAACCCGGGAGGCGGAGCTTGCAGTGAACAGAGATCGCGCCGCTGCACTCCAGCCTGGGCAACAGAGCGAGACAATGTCTCGGGGAAAAAAGAAAGCCCCAAAGTCAGAGTTAATCAGCTGGGGCCTGTCGCAGTCTGGCCACATGCAGTAAGGGAAGGAGGCAGGCACAGTTCTTCTTCCCTAATTCCATCCACCCTCCCTCAGCTACCAAATTATGGTTTCTGATCCTGCAAGAGTCAAATTTGCAAAGGGTGGTTGAGTTCTTATCTGACTGATAACAGTTGTAAGATAATTTCCAGCAATCTTTATATGGCATTGAAAGGTGACAATGTGCTAGCAGCCCTTGCTTGCTCTCGGCGCCTCCTTGGCCTCGGCGTCCCTTCTGGCCACGCTGGAGAAGCCCTTCAGCCCACCGCTGCGCTGTGGGGGCCCCTCTCGGGGTCTGGCCGGAGCCCGCTCCCTCTGCTGGCGGGGAGGTGTGGAGGGACAGGCGCGGGCGGGAGCCCGGGCTGCGCAGGGCGCTGGAGGGCTGGCGCGGTTCCGGGTTGGGCGCGCCTCTGCTGCCCTGCACTCCGCGCCGCCGTCGGGCGCCTGCTGGGCTTGATTGGAGGACGGGCTCCCTCTGGGCTGCAAGAGTGCCCCGGCTAGGTGCCGCAAAGTCCCGCAGCCAGTGCCATTGAGAGGTGAAGCCTGCTGGGCTTCTGGTTGGGTGGGGACTTGGAGAGCCTTTCTGTCTAGCTAAAGGTTTGTAAACGCACCAATCAGCACTCTGTGTCTGTGCCACCCGAGCCAGTGGGGGCAACACGTTTGGGTTTCCTTCCTTGCTGTGGAAGGTTTGTTCTTTTGCTCTTTGTGCTAAATCTTGCTGCTGCTCGCTCTTTGGGTCCGTGCTGCCTTTATGAGCTGTAACAGTCACTGCTAAGGTATGCAGCTTCACTCTGAGGCCAGGCCCGCGAGACCACGAACCCACTGGAAGAAAGAACAACTCCAGAGGCGCCGCCTTTAAGAGCTGTAGCACTCACCGGGAAGGTCTGCAGTTTCAGTCCTGAAGTCAGCAAGACCATGAACCCACCAGCAGGAAGAAACTCTGGACACATATGAACATCTGAAGGAACAAACTCCAGACACACCATCTTTAAAAACTGTAACACTCGCCGCGAGGGCCCGTGGCTTCATTCTTGAAGTCAGCAAGACCAAGAACCCACCAATTCCAGACACAGCATTTATTTTAAAACCAACTCTCTCAGGAGTATTTCTCTGCCCACGGGTGTCCTCACCTCCAATTGCTTTAACCTGAATGAACGCACTCCATCCTGGCCTTTGTTTTCTCACAGCTCCTAAGGCATCCAGAGATCCACTTTGAATTATACTCTTCTGAGGCCTCTTCACACCTTTAATAGGCCCTTTCACATGGGATTTAAAATGGATCCTCCCTCCCCATAATGGCTCACTGTCTTTTGCCCGTGACCAACATCTGGGCCTCTGTAAACACTCAAGCATTCTTTGCCAAAACAAATTCGGAGAGTGCAGACAAGTCTCAACACAGTAACAATTCTCCCTTTCTCAGACAAAGCAGCTCACCAGCCACCAGCCCTTCTCTCAGCCTTGATTTCCTGGATGAGTCAAATACCTGCTTCCAGAAGCAGAACATTCACAGCAAGCTCTCTGAAGTAGGATTTATTTAAGAAATAAGTGTCCTCCCACCCTCCCTGTTTGGCAACTTAGTAATTTTTTTAATGAAATGCGTTCTCACATTCATAACAGATTAGCCACCCGTTATATTGTCATGGTGATGGAAGATGGAAGTAGTTCAGAAAACATCGCTTTTATATATAATTTAATTAAGTTTCTATTGTGAAAGGGAAGGAAAGATTATATTCCTGACTAAAATAAGGATTCATGTGTAACAGAGTGGGGACAGAAAGGTATTTGCATAGAAATAAAATATTTGTTTCAAAGGTACCAACTCTCCAAATCATGTCCACTACTCAGTATTATTTTTTCAATCCAAAGTCTTTATTCCGACATATTTTATTAAAACATGACACATTAAAATTAAGAAATATGCTTATAACTAAATGGATGTGGTTTTCAAAGTGACTGTAGAATTTTTTATTCTAACAAGCAGTGTATGAGGGTTATAGTTTCTCCACATCTTTTACGGTACTTCTTATGGTCTGCCTTTTTTATTGTCCATTTTAAAATGTTATAACCATTTAAATTCTGATTGTAACTGAATTACAACTCTCTACTCTTAGATTTAAACATTTTATATGCAGTTAATTTGAAGCACAATTACTGCATCTTAAGTTTCCATTGATGTACATAAAATTATGATTTACCAACAACCAAATAATATTTTATTATAAAAGATAAATGGTAATATCAAGAGATAATGGATATCCTTCAACAATTTTAGCTTGCAAATTAAAAATGCTTCCCAAGAGCTAAGGGCACAATTTTTATTCGCATCTAGTAGAGTCACCAACCATAAAATCATTTCTTTCAACTTTATGACTGACATTTCTCAAATAAGCTGTTCTAAATCCTGATTGTTCTTTTTTTAAATATGCATGCTGCAAGGTTGCTAATTTGCAATAGGTGTCATCATGACAATAGACTGACAAAGTATCTCACACCCTTGAATTATACTAACTCAAGAATGGATGGGAAAGCATTGCCAAAGAGAGACTAATGCTTCCATTCTTCAATGAAACTAGTAATACATCCCTATCAAGAAGAGAGTTATCTCACTTCCAGTTTCTTTCTTCCCCTCAAGAACAACTTGAATCTCTTTGGCATCCAAAGTCTCAGAGGCCAATAAAGCCTCTGCTAGATTCTTACACTCTTTTGCATGAGTGTTCAAGATATGTTTTGCTCATTCATATGAGTCCTGAAATAGAAAAGCAGATACATAAAAAGCAGAAAATGTGGGCTGGGTGCGGTGGCTCATGCTTGTAATCCCAGTACTTTGGGAGACTGAGGCAGGTGGATCGCTTGACCCTCAGGAGTAGGAGACCAGCCTGGGCAACATGGCAAAACCCCATCTGTACAAAAAATACAAAAACAAATTAGCCAGGCATGGTATCACACTCTTGTTGTCCCAGCTACTCAGGAGGCTGAGGCAGGAGGATCACTCAAACCCGGAAGACAGAGGTTGCAGCGAGCCGAGATTGTGCCACTGCACTCTAGTCCAAGTGACAGAGGGCAGACCCTGTCTCAAAAAAATGGAGGAAGGAAGGAAGGAAGGAGAAAGAAAGGAAAGAGAGAAAGAAAGATGAAAGATAAAAAAAGGAAGGAAAGGAAAGAGAAAGAAAGAAATGTAGGGGAAACAAAACCCAAACTCAATGGGTAAAGCTATAGAAACTTTATATATCCTTAAAAATGTGAAATCTATAGATTTAAATTTATAAAAGCTTGGTTTTGTAGTGTAAATAATTTGTGCATCATAAATAGTAAGGAAAAGAGAATATGCTTTCTAGAAAGGCAGAGACCTCATCTTCTGACAGTCCCTAAACCTTTCCATTATACAAACTTTCATATACTTAACTAGTCTAAAGCATTCCTTTGACCTCCTCAAATTAAAACCTGGCTCTCTCCTGCCAAGACTACCTTTCCTAAATCCTCTCAAGTGTTATTTCTTCACTTGAGGGTGAAGCAGTGAGCTCTTCGTACCCATCACCACTTCCAGACCGTTACTAACCCATCCTCTTGTAGAAAGCAGTCTTCCTGTGAAGAGACCAAACCATTCAACCAAAGTTCTATCCAACCCCCTTTGTTGTGCCATCTAACAAATACCCTAATTAAATTCTTCATTCACTAGGGACTCTGGCACTTAGCTCAGTATTCCTCTTCATTCCAAGACCTCCCTGAAAGGATCAGTAACTTCAACATCGAGATGGAACACATAACCAACATAACCAGCCTCTCCACTGAGCTACAGACCCACATATTCTACCTTGAAATCTTTAACCAAGATAGCTAAAATTCAACATGTATAAAACTAAACTCATGAAGCTGGGTACAGGGGCACACACCTGTAGTCCCAGCTACTCAGGAGGCTGAGGTGGAGGATGGTATCCTTTCAGCCTTGGAATTCAAGTCCAGCGTGGAAAGCATAGCAAGATCCTATCTCCAAAAAACAAAAACGAAAAAACTACGCACTTCCAGTCCAGTTTAGTCTCCAGTTTCTGCAGTGAAAGGCACAAACAGTTGCATGAGGCAGAAATCTGGAAAACAGCTTTAATTGCTCTTTCACCCCTCACATCCAAAACATTGCAAAGACACACTAATTCCACTACATCAGTATCTCTTGAACTCACCCACATTTCTTCATTTCTACTTTCACCAACCTAACCCAACCATCACTGCTCTGCGAGGCCAGAGTCCAGGGGTTCTCATTCCGGAATCAACTGTGTGACCTCCTTGTTGGGGGTCTCGGACAGGGCAGGAAGAAGGTGTTCCCTCCCCTTTGATTTATTTTTTATTTTTTATTTTTGTTTTTGTTTTTTTGTTTTTTTTGTTTTTGAGACGGAGTCTCGCTTTGTCTCCCAGGCTGGAGTGCAGTGGCGCAATCTTGGCTCACTGCAAGCTCCACCTCCCCGATTCAAGCGATTCTCCTGCCTCAGCCTCCCGAGTAACTGGGACTATAGGCGCCCGCCACCACGCCCAGCTAATTTTTTGTATTTTTAGTAGAGACGGGGGTTCACCATGTTGGCCAGGATGGTCTCGATCTCCTGACCTCGTGATCCACCCGCCTCGGCCTCCCAAAGTGCTGGGATTACAGGTGTGAGCCACCGCGCCCGGCCTTCATTTTTTATTAAGCACTGTGCCAGCGGTCTCCGTGGGTGTGAGCCCTTGTACTGCACGGGGTTCGAGGGACAAACTGCGACAGCATCAAGGCAGACAACACCACAGCAGTCTACAAATACTATCAAGGACTCGCGGGATGCGGTGGATCCCGGAAGAGGCTGCTGGCGCACCGACCCCGTGAGCCACCAGGCCCTGGGCCGTCCTGGCAGTGCGGTCTCCCGCCGTAAGGTGGAATGGGCCGTAGAGAGTGATTGTGTTGCCAGCCATGTGTCCGCGTTGCCTGACATGGAGCCACTCAGCCGGCTCCATGGCACCTGGAGGAGAGCCACACCCCCTCCTCACTCCTTGCCCGCTTCTGTGGAGTTTTTTGACAACCAGAAGTAGCCAATTAATTTGAGCTGCCCGAAGCACTTGATACCTTGGTTTAGGAGAAACTCTGGATGACTCAAAGTTTCACAATTTAGGAATGAGATTCACCAGACACCCGTTAGACGGCAAAACGTAGCTGTGCCCCGGACTGGTGCTGCCACCTGGTGGGGCCAGTCTGTAAGCAAGGGCGGCCTAGTGGCCGTCATTGTAGCCCACCAAACCACCCTGCTTGCTGGGCCCGCTGCTTCAATAGGTTTTATTATTATTTAGGTAACATTATTCAGATTAGGAAATGACTGATATTGAAAAGATAAGACATGAGTGACGCTGAAACATTTTACTCACAGTTCCCGAGAGAGCACGTGTTATGGGGTGGGGAGGGGTTTGATTAGCTCAGAGTGAGAGAGTCCAGTGGTTGCAAGTATGAACTTAATCGGGTGCCCAAGAAGGGAAACTGACCTCTAGCCAGGGCCTCAAAAGTGGGTCAAGGCAGCATTTTTAAAACTTTGTTATAGGAATCCACTGTTTTTGCAGTTTGTCCCTCCACGTGCTCTGTCTTGGGTTGAACAGTGTCTCCCCATCAAAAAGAAAAAAAATATCGTGTCTACCCACAACCTCAGAAGATGATTTAATTTGGGAATAGAATCTTGCAGATGTAATTAAGTTAAGGTGATTTGTACTGGATTAGAGTAGGCTCTTTTTTCTGTGTGTGTTTTTTTTTTTTTTTTTTTTTTTTTGTCTGTTTGTTTTGTTTTGTTTTGTTTGTTTGGAGATGGAGTTTCACTTTTGTTGCCCAGGCTAGAGTGCAGTAGCGCTCTCTCGGCCCACAGCAACCTCCGCCTCCTGGGTTCAAGTGATTCTTCTGCCTTAGCCTCCCAAGTAGCTGGGATTACAGGCATGCGCCACCATGCCCAGGTAATTTTGTATTTTCGGTAGAGACGGGGTTTCTCCATGTTGGTCAGGCTGGTCTCCAACTCCCAACCTCAGGTGATCCACCTGCCTCGCTCTCCCAAATTGCTGGGATTATAGGCGTGAGCCACCACACCCAGCTTAGAGTAGGTTCTATATCCAGTGACTGCTGTTCTTGCAGGAGAAGGAGAGGACACGTGGATACATATGGAGAAGAAGGCCACGTGAAGGATGGGGCCAGAGATCAGAGCGATGTAGCTACAACTCAAGGAGTGCCAGGGACAATCAGAACCACCAGAAGCTAGGACAAGCAGAGAAGCGTTCTTCCCTAGAGCCTTCAGAGGACACACAGGTCTGCCAGCACCTGGATTCCAGACTTCTGACTTTCATAACTGTGAGAGGATAAATTATGAAGTTTGTGTTAAATTACTGTGGCAGCCTAGGAAACCAATACAGACACTGGTGCCAGGAAGTAGGATGTTTCTGTAACAAATAACTAAAACGTGGAAGGAGCTTTGGAATCAGGGAGAGGCTGGAAGAAGTTTGAGGCACGTGATAGAAAAAGCCTAGAATCCATTAAGGAAACAGTTGATGGAGATGTGGACAGTAACTCTAATGAAAGCTCAGAAGGAAGTGAGAAGAGCTGTAGAGAAGCTTCTATCCTCTTAGCAGGGGTCCCCAACCCCCAGGCCAAGGACTGGTACAGGTCCCTGGCTGTTAGGAACCAGGCCACACAGCAGGAGGTGAGCGGCCAGTGATCCAGCATTACCGCCTGAGCTCCGCCTCCTGTCATACCAGCGGGGCATTAGATTCTCATAGGAGCATGAACCCTATTGGGAACTGTGCATGCTGGGGATCGAAGCTGTGCAGTCCTTATGAGAATCTAACTAATGCCTGATGATCTAAGGTGGAACAGCTTCATCCTGAAGCCATCCCATAATCCTCCCAGCCCCCCAGCCCCTGTCCCTGGTGCCAAAAAGGTTGAGGACTGATGCTCTTAGAGAATACATATATTGTCATGAACAGAATGTTAGTAGAAACCTAATGTTAAAGGTGCCTCTGGTGAGGTCTTAGAAAGAAATGAGGAACATATTCTTTGACAGCTGAGTAAAAGAGATCTTTGTTATAAAGTGGTAGAGAACTTGACTAAATTGTGTTCTGTTGTTATGTGGAAAGTAGACATGATAAATAATAAGCTTGGATATTAAACGCTTGGATATTTAGTTGAGGGAAGTGTTGAAGGTACAACCTGCTTGCTGCTAATAGGAACTGTGAGAGGAAAAAGTTACATCGAGCAAAGAACAGTCAAGCAGAAAGGAGCTGGCACTTAATGATTTAGGGGCTCTCGGGATGTCCAGATTACAAAGACTACAAAAATTAGGAAACTCACTGTTAGAAAGTGTACTCTGGAAAGAGGACCAAGGGTGTGGCTGGATAACATTTTGCTAAAGAGATTGGACATGTGACTCATGGAACCACTCCACCACCTCAGCAGAAGCCAGAAATAGAGATGGGGTTACCAAGGAAAGATCTGTGGAGGGCCCCTTTGTCTGTTGGCTGAAACCCCATGAATTATGCAGGAGACAAAGGTTTTGAGATTCTGATAGCAGTAGAAACATGGCAGCCTGGAATCTAAGGGACAGAGATGGAATGGAATAAAGGAAGGCCATGGGGCTTCCAAAATTCCACAGGCAGGCAACTGGCTGATGGAGGCATTCTGCTGCAGAAATGTTTTATCTCCCATCTTGTAATTTTCTGTTGAAAGCCAAACATGCATAAGGTGAGAGGAACTGAGGTAAATAGGCTTTTAGTGTGAAGTTTTATATTTATCTGACTAAGGAGGGAGGCTGTGTTTCTTGTTTGCTGTAGCTGTAAATGTCAGAGGCTAAAATTTCCTCTAGTGTCCTTGTTTTTGCATCCCCTGTTGCCTTTGGGTTTCCCTAGAGACTGCTTCTTACATAAATTCTGGGCCTTGCAGTTCTTTCAGCTGCAATCCCTTGTTAATATATAGGAGCCCTAAGTGATGTGGCAGTAAGATGTGGGGACAGCAGGGAGTGGTCTATAAACCCATGATCAGGGCCCAGTCTTGTTGTGAACCAGTGGTCCCTAGGCTGTGCCACTCACAAGTGCTTCTCAGCTTTTTTTTAATGTGAGTTGGAAGACTAAAGCAGACTGGAGGTGGATATTTTCCTTCCCTTGGGTTGGGTAGGCTCTGGTAGTTGCTCTGACTTTAAGCCTTTGTTAAAGAGGACAGGACGTTATGTGTGCATTTCAAAGTGGTTACACTTTCCTCCCCTTGCCAGAAGCTCCAGCAGATTTTTCTCTGATTTTCACCCAAGAACAAGATAGAATTCCTGGAGCTAAAACCCATGAGACTGTGGGGGCCCCTTAAGGCTATGTCCCCAGCATCTTTTCTCTCTTATGCTTACATGCCCAGGCTCTAGCAGTTAGTCAGTTACCCTTTAAGTTTTCCTACAGGTTGCTGGCTGCAGCAGCAGCTTCTGTGCCTGGCAAGCTGTAGCTCTGTATTTGCCTTTCCTTCTCATTTTCAGGGGAGTGGTTTGCCACGTGACCTCAATTTTCTGAGGAATCGAAGAGTTGTTGATTTTCCAGTTCGTTCAGCTTTTTTCTTGTTGTAAGGATGGAAGTGATGATTTTGAAGCTCTTTATGTGCCAGAACAAAAATTTTCATTGGTATGCTTACTAGTGATAATTATAAAAAACAAAGGTATGAATGAATGAATGAATGAGTGTGGCAGTAATTGCTGAAGACATGACCTCAGCCTTACATACAATCTCCCTGGATTAATTGAGCAAGCCAAAAAACAATGTCTTTTTTAGTTAAGAGGTCTGACTCTGTAGCCCAGGTTGGAGGGTACTGGCATGACCTCGGCTCACTGCAGCCTCAACCTCCTGGGCTCAGGCGATCCTCCAGCCTCAGCCTCCTTAGTAGCTGGGACTGAAGCTGCCGCCTCACCCAGCTGGGTTCTCCTTTCCACCGGACATGTGTTTGTGTGCTGGCACGAAGGCATCATTGAAGTTTGAAGTTGGTTTTCTGCTGGGGGAGTGGAGTCAAGCCCGGACTGTCCCAGTGAGAAAACGGGAACCCTGACTACTGGACAAAACAAAGCAGCAGCAAGAGAGAAAGGTAAATTTTTCCAGAGTGCTATGCTCCCAGTAGACTTCCTAGGACTTCCTATCCCTGCCTTGCAGAGGCAGCTCACGGACCCGAGGTGGCTCCTGCCAACCTGAGCAAGTGCGCTGGAGCGTGATGGAGGCCAGTGGGGATCTGCCTTCTGCTGGGGGTTCCACAGCAACACATTTTGAATATTTTCAATGTTATCGGGCATTTCACTACTTCTAATATTCACATCTGCGATGTATATAGCATCTAATATACTCAGTAAGCTATTGATGGTCAAAACAACTAGCTAATGTCATGATGAAAATGGTCACTGCCATCAAAACACACAGCGATGGGGCCCGGATCTCCCTGGGCCTGTTTCTCCAAGTTCAAGTGAAGAGGAAATACCCAATCTGGCCTGGAGCGTTCTAGTGGCGAAAAGTCAAAGTTCTTCTGGCGAACATTTTCAAGTTGAAAGAAAAAAATATACACCCGCAAAAAAAAAAAAAAAAGCCACTTTTGTTCCCATACCGGGAGTCGAACCCGGGCCACCTGGGTGAAAACCAGGAATCCTAACCGCTAGACCATATGGGAACTGCTGAAAGGTGACGCCACCGTGTCTGTATACGTGACATGCGTCAGCTTCACCGCCAGCGCCTCCCAACTACCACTGCGCAGCACTGAGCTCCTGCTGTCCCTGTAGAAACTCGTATGACTGCAGCCGTGCCAGACTCGCTGCATGAACCCAGTCTCTCGACTTAGCCCTGGTGGGACAAGCCACTTCCCCACAGAAGCCAGAATCCCCTTTCCTGGCGGTCTCCCCAAGAGCTGGAGTTAGGGCAGAAGGTCAGGGCAGCAAGTTAAGGATGCTTTGCTAAAGATTTGCTGTCTTCATCCAACCCTATTTGCAGAGCCCATGGCCTCGCCCTGATAGGAGGATGGCCACCTGTGAGTCCAGCCCCAAGCCAGCAGTGGGAGGCACGTGCCCACCCCAGTGTCCGCCCACAATCAGCAGCGAAGGGCGTGCTCCACGGGGTCGCACCTCCTCCTGGAAGAATTTGTGGCCCCAGCAAAATTGACTTATTTTTTTCCTTACTTTGGCTTCAGAATCTCACTAACTGGAACCTTGTGGATAGGATCTTTGTTACAAAAGGCAACCTTTGGTGAGGTTTGGGGGCAGATACCCGTTTTTCCTGCAGTCACAGGGGTTCCATTTGAGTTCCCCCATTAGTCTTTTCCCTGGCAACTCAAGGTCAACAGGGCCAATAAACGACCCCTCAACCCAACGCGAATCTGCCATACAGGGATTATGTTAAAGTTCAAGAAGTAAAACAATGTGGTACTGGTGTATTGACAGTAATGTCCACGAAACAGAATGAAAACCCCCAAATTACATTAGGTTTACACTGGGAGTTAGCAAAACAAAAGGGCAGCATTAACCGACATACAGCACGTGGGAGGATGGTGGAAAAGCTGGACATGACTCACTGGACATTTCAACTGAAACCACAGAGGTTCTTGAAAATGCTGGAGAATTCCCTGATTGCCTTATCAGTTACAAACCCAAATTCAGAATCATGTGACAGCTGGATACATTCAACTGTACGTACAAATAATGATCAAAAAACACAAAAGTTGGGTAGTGGTTACCATAGCTTTTACTGTAGTTATTCATTAAGCTATTCAACTGTTCTGTGCAGTTTGATGTTTTATTTTACAATAAAAAGTCAAAAAAAATAAGCAAAAAGATAAACTGGAAAATAAGACTTACATCTCATATATATGGACAAAGGACCAATTACCTCCAAACATAAACAGCTCCTAGAAATTACTGCAAAGATCAACAACCCAGTAGAAAAATGAATGAAGTTCCCAGAACAGAAAACACAAGTGGCCCTTCAAAAAAATGAAGAGAGGCTCAGCCTCTTATGGTAAGACAAAGAGACAGGATTTTAAAAACCTAGGCCTCTTCCTAGAGTTCCCTTAAATATCTAGGCCAGATCATTTTTACTTCCTGGCTTAGACCCTGCCAAGGGCTGCCCAGCTACTCAGGTGTTTGTGTCCTTGTGGACTCAAGTCATATTGTCCTGATCTTTTGGCTGAGTACGGTTTTCTCCTCCAGCAAAGACAATTTGGAGGATGTACTAAGCATGAAGCGCTACTTCCTGGCCCCCATCTCTCTTCGCACAGTGTTCCATCATCCAGCCATGAAAGCACAGCTGAGTGATCCAAGAGGCAGTTCCAATTGTTGACTAACGTGTACCTGCCTATGTGAGTGTGTCCTATGGGAACTCAGGCCTTAGAATGGTTTCAAAGTAGTGGCTTTCAAAATTACTGTTTGCCTCTTCAAACTTCACACCTAAGGAAAATGGAAACATGCAGAGCAGGGACACAGAAGGGGCATTAGCTGGCGTGGGGTAGGGGCAAGAGCTAATTGTGAAGGAAGAAGGCCTGAGATCACGTAGCCATGTCGGAGAACAGCTGTGCTCGCTGCCCTGCCTCTTTGCGCGCATGTCAGGCAGCCCCAGGCTCCAGCTGCTTGAGTTTCTCTTGGAGTCCCCGGAGCTGGCTTCGACCCCAGTCAATGCGGTTCTGGAGGCTGGCTATGTCTGCGGCCAGCTGCAGGCCTGGAGGAAAGGAGAGAAGGTCACCATGGTATCTGTAGTGTAACACACGACCCAGGAGGATCTGGATATCCCCAGAAATTGGAAAGGCTTCAGGCCTCTCTGCCCCCCACACTTGTCCCAAAACATTCCAGGTACGGCCCTGCATTGGCTGCTCCAGAACCTCTGAGGCCTTACACCTCCTTCAGGTCTTTGCTAAAATGTCACCTCCTTAGACTTCCTGGACCCATTATATCACCCACCAGGAACTAAAAATTCACAGATAGTAATACCATTTCATGCCCTCATTTCCTTCCTTCCCCCATTATTACAGCATCTCTCTGCCCTCACCTGCTCTCCCTCCACTTCTTTTCTCTGTTAGTCCACACTCTGGATCCACCTCTAGATGGCTTTTGCTGATGTCTCTGCTGGAACAGCTGCTGCCCAGTCCTCCGGGCAGCTCTCGTCTTCGGCCTCCTGTTCAGCAGCAGGGCTGACCACACATTGGATCACTCGCTCCAGGAAACACTTTCTCTTCTTGGCCTCCAGGACACCTGCCCCCAGGTGTTGCTCCTCAGTTTCCTTGACTGGCTTCTCCCCTCTTCTCCCTCACCTCCCGTCCATACTCCCCAGGCCCTCTGCTGATCTCATCCTATCTCAGCTTTAAACCAGTGTTTGTGTCAAAAACTTTGGAATTTAAACACCAGTGCTATGCAGTGGACTCCCAAATCTCTCTCCAGCCCAGGCCTCTCCCAAACTCCAGATACATGTGCCCAAGTGCCCACTCAGACTCTCCAGCAGGGCGTCGGTGGATACCACACAGACCACACCAACTCCTGCCTTCTGGAATCCTCTCAGCTGCCCACAGCAGGTGAGGGTCGCTCCATCCTCCCAGGGGTTCTGGGTGGAGACCGCAGGCTCTCCTGGACTCCTTTCCTTCCCTTACTCCCATATCTTATCTGTCAGCAAATTCTGGGGCTTCTATTCTTAAAACCTGTGCAGGTTCCCACCACTTACCTCCTCCTCCAGTGACGCTATCTGCTTCTCACACTGGCTGCTCCCTGACACCTACTTCCTCCCTCTGCTCTGTGTCCCCGCCCAGCACCCAAGCATTCCTGTGACCCTGTACAGCCAGTTGCACCATCCTCTGCTCAGAGCCTCTCTGTGGGTCCCACAGTCTTCATCAGGGCTTACATCACCTGACTCCACTCTAGGCCACCGGCCTCGGCACATACCAGATATATCTGGCTTCAGGGCTTTTGTCCTGGCTGGTTCCTCCATCTAGAGCACTGTTCCCCAAAATCACCCACAAAGCTTTTCCTTCACCTCCTCAGAGAGACCTCCCCTGGCCCACTCCTGTCCCACTCCATTATGTGTTTTTCATAACAATTTTCACAGCCTGACTTATGTTAAGGGCCTACTTATTTGCACGTTGCCTTTGTCTGCTTCTAAACATTACATGAAAAGTGTTTGTCTCTTTTGTTCCCTGCTGTATCCCCAGCAGCTAGCATGAACCCGAATGCTGCCAACAACCAGTAAATGCTTTTGGAAAAAATAATGGGTGTACAACGGAAGTTTGGATGGAGGAAAACCTGCAAAGCCTTTCACAGACTAACCCCAGCCATGGCAGCAGTGCTCAAGTGTTCCCTGTGGATAGAGGGTCTGAGGGCCACAGAGCCAAACAACACGGTCCACTCACCATCCCGGAAGCTTGCTTGAGCCTGACGTAGACTGTGAGGAACTAGGATTCCAAACCAGTTCAGGGGGTCCTGAGGGGCCTCAGAGGACTCCGGTTCTGGGGTCTTAGTGGGGCCCTTGCGCCTCCGCAGACCTGAGGAAAGAAAGGTTGGAGGAGGCTGGGATCTTACTCCCTGACCTTTATCATCTTGGTGACAATGTTGAGCTTGATCTGAGCTCATGATTCTATAAAACACTGTTGGTTGGAAAATTCCAACTTTGGGGTTCCAGGAAACAGCTTACCACAAAACACAGCCTTTCCCCTTGTGATTCAGATGAGACTGTTTGTCCACTCTTTCCCGTGACTCCTGTAAGACCCACTGATGACCCTGTTTGCCTGTGACACTGATCTTACCCATTGTACCTGAACATGCCAACAGACCAGACATAGACGTTCCAACTCCCCATTCTTTGTCTCAGGATGATTAACTGGGATTAGAAGTTTGTCCCTCTGAAACTAGCTAGACACACAGATAAATATTTTCTGTTCAGCTGACTGAAATGTATGTGATTGTAAATCTATTCCCAGTGTAAAGCAACTCACCAACAATTTCTCTACTTCCTATAAAAGTCTAAGGCAAAACCACCCTACAAAAACATTCTGTTCTTCTGCTCTGGGATGCTCTCTCTTATCGCAAAAACCTAATTTAAATCATCTCCATAATTTGCATTTTGTCTTTGACACTGGGAAGGGGTTCTGCAGAAGGAAGAGGGGGCTCACCTGCTTCGCGAGGCCCCACCTCCTCTGGGGCGTGGACACCAGCTCTCACCACCTTGAACTTCTGGAGTCCCTCCTGGGCCTCGCTGAAGGACGAGAAGGGAGGATGGAGCTTTGGCAGCCCGGGCCTAGAACGCGCCCGCCCGCCCACCCAGCCCAGCATGGAAGCTTCCTCACCTGGCGTGGAGGCAGACCTGGGGCTCCATGTGGGAAGCATACTGCAGGGGCCCTACCGACTTGGCGCCCATCGCGTAGCGAGCCTTGGCGAGCGAGAGCCAGCCCTGCAGGGAGAGGAAAGCGGTGAGACTCAGTTTACGCCCGTGTACCCTCCTGCCCGCCCCAGGCGCCTACCTCCTCCACCCGGGCGTTCAACACCGTTCGTTTCCCCTCCAGCTCCTCCAGGTCCCCAAGCAGCTGCAGGACCAGCGAATCCAGCTCCGCTCGCAGGTCAAGCGCCGCCATGGACACACCTCCAGATCTGGAGCCACCTTCTTCCTTGTCACCCTCCGCAGTTTGGCAGGACAGCCAATAGGCACACGAGATCCTCCATCAAGGGGCGTTCCCATCTGGGGATCCCCACGCCGGCAGCACCAAGGCCTCTGGGTCAGCTTCTTTAAGGGCAAGCGCCCTTAGAGAAGCAGCACGGAAGCAACCAATCAACTGGTTTCTCCAATTAGCCCCCAAGTGGATCAGCCTGCTGAACTGTCGGCTAGGGTTATAGGTGGTTCTGAGTCCTTCCGGAAGCTGCCGAATCTTAGAAGTCGCGCCACTGTTGTGGCGATGGAAGAAGGCGAAGCTCTACAGAAACCATTTTGGTTGAGGGAAGAGTGGTTTTAAAGTTAATTTGGAAAGGAGCCGGCAAGCAACCTTCAGTCGGTGTGCGGTTTTTACAGTTGAACTGTTTCCAGCCGCTAATTATGATTGTTTTAGCGGTTCGTCATCTGAAAACTGCATTCTGCACGGCGGTGGTGGGGGGAGGACGAGGATGGAGAAGCCTGGGCGGACATATTTATTAGCTGCGGTCCTAAGTCACGTGTGACATTCTGTATCCAGTCTATCGGTTATCCCAAGGAGAACGCCCTGCCGGAATGGCCAATCGCCTTGAGATGTCCCCGCCCTATTCGCCATCTTAACATAGGGCATTCCCCACAGCTGCAGGCACCAGTGAAGCGTCTAAGGGACCATCTTGGTTGAGGGCGGAAGTGAGGACTGTGTCGCGCTGGAGGAGCCCACAGATTCTCCCGGACCCACGTGGAAGCGGCACTCAAGATGGTAGGAGAATGAGCTCCTGTTTCGGAGGTCCGGGGCGCGTGAAGTGCTGGGGATGTGGCTCTGGGGACTTGGAGGCTCAGCGGCTCCGGGGCTCCGGGGTTCCGGGGCTCGGGAGCGAGTAGTGAGTGACTGGGCCTGCTGTTCCCACAGCTGCGCCGCGAGGCCCGCCTGCGCCGCGAGTACCTGTACCGCAAGGCCCGGGAGGAGGCGCAGCGCTCAGCCCAGGAGAGGAAGGAGCGGCTGCGGCGCGCGCTGGAAGGTAAGGCATCGGCCCCGCGGGCGTCTGCGTGGTAAACCACCCCGGCACGCATTTGTGTTCGAATATCCGAGCGTCTTTCCAAATGCTTGCCGGCCGTTTTCCTTGCCCATTGGGTTCTCCTGTTGGTTTTGAGAGTGTTTCTTCCGTGTGATGGTATTAATTACTTGTCACTGACGTTGCAGTACCCGGGTTTTGCAGCTTGCCCGCTGTGTGCAGTGTGTCAAGTTCGTCCCAAGTTTTAAAGACTTTATCTTGTCCTGTAGAAATTCTCTTTAGAGCGGTGGCTCACTGCTGTAATCCCAGCACTTTGGGAGGCCGAGGCGGGCGGATCATGAGGTCAGGAGTTCGAGCCTGACCAACATGGTGAAATCTCGTCTCTACTAAACATACAAAAATTAGCCGGCCGTGGTGGCACGCGCCTGTAATCCCAGCTACTCAGGAGGCTGAGGCAGGAGAATCGCTTGAACCCGGGAGGCGGAGGTTGCAGTGAGCCGAGATCCTGCCACTGCACTCCAGCCTGGGCAAAAAAGCAAGACTCCGTCTCAAAAAAAAAAAAAAAAAGAAATTCTCTCTAAAGACTATCTGGATAGCGCTGGTGCTGCAGACTGCGCTGCCCATCCTCCCTGCAGGAGTTCCTCTGAGCTCCGTGGGGAACAGTGCTGGCCCCGAGTGCGCACCTGGAGCGCTGTGCTCTGCGGTAGGCAGCCTGTGGTCCAGGGCCCGCTGAAGCCATGCCTTCGAAGCGCTGTGGGCATCGTGACCAACGGTTTTGCTGTCTGAGAGCTTAAAGGTCTCTGGTCCACCATCATACGTACAGAACAGTCTATATTTCTTTTCAAAAGTAATTTTTAAGGCCGAGCGCTGTGGCTCACGCCTGTAATCCCAGCACTTTGGGAGGCCGAAGCGGGTGGATCACGAGGTCAGGAGATCGAGACCATCCTGGCTAACACGGTGAAACCCCGTCTCTACTAAAAATATAAAAAATTAGCCGGGCGCCGTGGCGGGCTCCTGTAGTCCCAGCTACTCGCCAGCCTGAGGCAGGAGAATGGCGTGAACCCAGGAAGCGGAGCTTGCAGTGAGCCGAGATGGCACCACTGCACTGCTCTGCCTGGGTGACAGAGCGAGACTCCGTCTCAAAAAAAAAAAAAATCGATGTTTAGATTTCTACCTGATTATAAAAGCAATACAGTACATTAAGATATTTTAGAAAGTCCTCAAGTCATGAGACTAAAGAAAATGAAGTCCTAGTAACCACTGTTTATGGGGGTTGGCCTGTAGAAAGTTTTGTCACCTCTATCCATGCTTTATCCAAGCTCAGAAAGGGCTGAGGTATTTTTATTTCAAGCATGTGCAGGCTAATAAGCTGTGGTGTATTGGATGAGCTGAGGTCTCCATGCTTGTGACTCACTCAGCCCCTCTCTCTTCCCTCTGCAGAAAACCGCCTGATTCCCACTGAGTTACGCCGAGAGGCTCTGGCCTTACAGGGGTCCCTGGAGTTTGATGATGCTGGAGGTGAAGGTAACTATACAAGGTAGCCCTCCCCAACACTGAGCTGGCAGGTCTCCAGTCCTTCCTCAGACACACCGGGCACCATCCCATCAGAGGAAACTGCTCCTGGAACTGTCCCCCATGCCCTTGTCACTGCACAGATGGCATTGCAGGGCTCTCCCTGAGTGTGCCCTGTCCCACTTACATGGCACACATGGGAGTGCCTCACTGACTCTGCACCTGGCTTGTTAATTACCTCCCCCACTGGAGTGCCTGCTGGGGAAAGACAGTGTCCCTCACACATTATTGGTGCCCATACGTTTATTCACTGCATTATTCAAGAAACAAGAAAGGAATCCCAAACATTATAGATATTTGTTACGAGGGAAAAGAGTTTGTCACCGTTGGCCTTAGCAGAGTGTGGATTTCGTTGTGTAATGGAGTAGCTGCTTAGCCCCATGTGACTAATATAGCTTAAGCAAACTACAATTAAACAAAAGATTCTGTTTCTCAGCCACGCTTGTGCTCAGCAGCCAGAGTAGTTGGAGGCTGCCCTCTTGCCCGGTGTGCATGTGGAGCATTCCTATTGTTGAAGGCTTCGGCAGACAGCGACATCCAGGCGGTCTTGGCTGCCCCGAAGTTAGCATTTCATTCCCAAGACTGTCATGTTCTTGCCCCTCGTGCTCCTGACAGGTGTGACCAGCCACGTGGATGATGAATACCGATGGGCAGGAGTCGAGGATCCCAAGGTTATGATCACTACCTCCCGAGACCCCAGTTCCCGCCTCAAGATGTTTGCAAAGGTACTGGTGAGCAGGGAGTGAGGGAGAGACACCCAGGACACACAGCCCCAGTCCTGACTGTACACTGCCATCCACGCCCAGGAGCTGAAGCTGGTGTTCCCGGGCGCCCAGCGAATGAACCGAGGTCGACATGAAGTGGGGGCACTGGTGCGAGCCTGCAAAGCCAACGGCGTCACCGATCTGCTGGTCGTTCACGAGCATCGGGGCACACCTGGTAAGGCCGGAGGGAGGGAGTCGGGGTGGGAGCCGTCTGAGGGCAGACGGGGTCTCTGACAGCCACCTTTCCCCGCCAGTGGGGCTCATCGTCAGCCACCTGCCCTTTGGTCCTACTGCCTACTTCACGCTGTGCAATGTGGTCATGCGGCATGACATCCCAGACCTGGGCACCATGTCGGAGGCCAAGCCCCACCTCATCACACACGGCTTCTCCTCCCGCCTGGGCAAGCGGGTGAGTCTGGGGGCCTTCAGGCTGGGGCTGCGGGCCAGGCCAGGCATTTGCCACTCTGTTTCCCTCTCTTTCCTTGTGCCCCAGGTCTCTGACATCCTCCGATACCTATTTCCCGTGCCCAAAGATGACAGCCACCGGGTCATCACCTTCGCAAACCAGGACGACTACATATCATTCCGGTGGGTCCACGGGCCATGCCCCAGGAAAGCATCCCCACCCTGTGTACCTCGTGCTGCTTGCCGTTGACCCACAGCTGTTCCCTCCCAGGCACCATGTGTATAAGAAGACAGACCACCGCAACGTGGAGCTCACTGAGGTCGGGCCCCGCTTTGAGCTGAAGCGTGAGTTTGAGGCTGAATCCCGTGTCTGGGGTGGGGAGGGGAGGCTGGCTGTGCCGGGGCTGATGCCATCCCTGCCTGCAGTGTACATGATCCGTCTGGGCACGCTGGAGCAGGAGGCCACAGCAGACGTGGAGTGGCGCTGGCACCCTTACACCAATACCGCACGCAAGAGAGTCTTCCTGAGCACCGAGTGAGCACACTCACCACTCAGTCAGGACATGGACTTGGAACTCAGGATGGGGCTGTCATAGACAGACCCACCAGTAGGAACTGTCACAGAATGGCCTGCTGAACTGGGATGTGGAACTGTGGCGGGTGGAGAGGTCTGAATAAACCGTCTGTGTCATGGCCCCGCCTGCCTCTGAGTGGTCAGGCCAAGTCTGCAGGGCAAAGCCCATGGGATCCCTTTGGGTGGGGACCTGATGGCTGTGGGACGTGCTTGGGCCTGGAGTCAGTGTGGGGGTTAACAGAGAGAGAGATTTGATGCTAACGTCCCCTCAAGAGTGAGGGTCATATGAGCTCTTCAGCAGGCAGATGTGGGTAGCAGGGCCAGCCTGTGTCAGGGGCAGCCCACCAAGTTAACTCACTGAGTGGAAGCCGCCAGTGTGCCAACGCGGAGGGGACAGGCCACACCCAGTGCTCAGCAGCTGATTCCTCATGTAAGTGGCATCATGTGGTATTTGTTTTGTGTCTGGCTTATTTCTATTAACATAATGTTCTCCAGGTTCCTCCATGTTATTGCAAATGATAGGATTTCTTTCCTTGTAAAAAATAACATGCCACATTTTCTTACCAATCCGTCCACCAATAGACACTTAGGTCGTTTTCATAGTTTGGCAGTTGTGGAAATGCTGCAGTAAACATGGGAGTATAGCTATCTTTTGAAGATAATGATTTCATCTCTTTTTTATATGTATACCCAGAAGTGGGATTGCTGCATCAAATGGTGGTTCTATTTTTAATTTTTTGAGGAACCGCCATACTGTTTTCCATAAAGGCTGTACTAATTTCCATTCTCACCAACAGTTCACTAGGGTTCCCTTTTCTCCACATTGTTGCCAACATTCTTTATCTTGTGTTTTTTAATAACAGCTATCCTAACAGGTATGAGGTGATCTCTCTCATTGCGGTTTTGATTTGCATTTCCCTAACGGTTGGTGATACTGAGCATTTTTGCATACACCGGGTCATTTGTTCTTTGTTGTTGACTTGAGTCCCTTATATAGTTTGGATACTGCTGTGGCCTGAATGTTTGTGTCCCCCAAAAATTCGTATATTGAACTCTCATCCCTAAGGTCAACAGTTTAGGGAAGCGATTAGGTCCTGAGGACTCTGCCCTCTTGCATAGAATTAGTGCTCTTATAAAAGATGCCCGAGGGAGCTCTTTTGCCCCTCCTGCCATGTGAGGACACAGCTAGAAGCTACCATCTGTGAACCAGGAAGCCCCCCTCACCAGACACTGAATCTGCTGGAGCCACCATCTTGGACTTCCCAGCCTCCAGAGCTGTGAGAAATAAATGCCTGTTGTTTAAGCTACCCAGTCTGTGGTATTTTGTTAGAACAGCCCAAGTTGAGACAGATAGTAACCCTTTACCAGATACATGGTTTGCAAATAGTTTTTCCCACTCTGTAGATATAGCCATTGAGAAGCTCCTCAAGATAGACATTAAATACAAAGAAGCATGGTGTGAAACGCCATGTGTGATATGCTGTCAGTGTGCAAAAGAGGCAGGGAGGGCCCTGCACTTGCATGTATGTGCTGCATCATCCCCAGAAGGCTGAACTCCTTGCTGGTGCACTGGGTACCCAGGGAGGAGGGAGGTTCTTTACTGTAATGTTAGCAGGTGAACATTGTATCCACTTGACCACGAAGAACTGCCCTCTTGAGTTCTCTGCCCATTTTTTGGGGGGGTACAGGCGGACACTTGGAAGACATCCTTATGATAAAAAAGCATACAGAAGGCCTGGTGCAGTCACTCACACCTGTAATAATCCCAGCGCTTTGGGAGGTCAAGGCAAGGAGGTTCACTTGAAGTCAGGAGTTTGAGACCAGCCTGGGCAATACAGGGAGAGCTCATCTCTACAAAACATTTTTAAAAACACACACAAGTGCACATGGTGAAAAGTAAACCATCATCCTCCTTCCACCCCAAAGAACCCATCCCTAGTCTCCAGAGGTCATCAGTATTGACTTTTTAAAGAAGCTGGACTGATATCTTTTATTCATGGTATCCATAAGTTTGTTGACTGTTAATTATATTTTAACCTGAAAGGGATCATGTTGTGCACACTACTCTGAACCTTGCATCTTACCCTTTAATGACAAATGGATGCCACAGGGCTCCAAGGCTGTCTAGTACACATGGATCTGCCTCCTTCCTTGTGGCTACATTGTTGGGTGGCTTCCTGTTTTTACCCCCACAAATACTGCTTCGAGAGCATCATTGAACATACTTCTGTGCATATTTATGCAAGTGTATCTGATGCATACATCCCTACAAGAGGAATTCGGGCGTGGTGGCTCACACCTGTAATCCCAGCACTTCGGGAGGCTGAGGCGGGCGGATCACCTGAGGTCCGGAATTCAAGACCAGCCTGGCCAACATAGTGAAACCCCATCTCTACTAAAAATACAAAAAATTGACCTGGCATGGTGGCGGGTGCCTGTAATCCCAGCAGCTCAGGAGGCTGAGGCAGGAGAATCGCTTGAACCCGGGAAGTAGAGGTTGCAGTGAGCCAAGATCACGCCATTGCACTCCAGCCTGGGCAACAAGAGCAAGACTCCGTCTCAATAAAAAGAAAACACTAAAATAAAATGATAGTAGAGGTTGTGTCTCTCCACAGGCACCATCACAAGATGTGAGCACCTGCTCCCCAGGTGAGCCCTGGGCATCATCAGAGGTTTTAACCTCTGTCACGCACTAGGTGCAAAATGTTTCCCCAATTGCATTTGCATTTCTTTAGTTACTCTGGAGGTTGTGCCTCTTTTCAAATACTTACTGGCCTTGTGTGTTATGTATTTTCTGTGATGGGTCTGCTCTCCTTATAGATGCATTTGTTCACCTCTAGATTGATTGTTTTAAATCTTGTTAGTTGTGGAAAATTTGAAACATACAAGAGCAGAGAAGATGGTATAGTGAGTCGCTGAGCCGGTTTTGATGTGAGCCAGTCTTCATAGCTCACCCACTCCCTGTATCCACTCCACCAGTTTTTAAAGTAGATCTCAGACATCAGAGCATTTCATCCATATGTATTTCCATGTATATCTCTAAAAGATAAGGACTCAACAACAACAAAAAAATTATTACACATAAAATTATCAATGATCATTCCTTTATATCATCAGATATCCACTTAATGTTCAGCTTGCCTTGATTAGAGTGTGCTTGTTTCGACTAAGATCGACATCAGGTCCATTCATTGCAAATAATTGACAAGTCTTTTAAAAACAGCTTTATTGCGATAGTCAACATATTACACAATTCACAGCGCAGGTTGAACTCACAGCCTTGTGCGCCCGTCCCTGTGCATCAATGATTTTTTAAAAATCATATTCATAGGGCTGTGTAACCATCACCACAATCTAATTTTGGAACATTTTTTGTCCCCCTCTGCCCCCACTGCCCCGGAGAGAAACCCCATACGCATTAGCTGTCACTCTAATCCCCTCCCTCCCACCAGGCCCCAGCCCCTCTGGCAACCACTAGTCTACTTTTGGCCAGACTCTGCTGAGACATTAGAACAGGATTTATTTATTTATTTTATTTTATTTTATTTTTGAGACGGAGTCTCGCTCTGTCGCCCAGGCTGGAGTGCAGTGGTGCAACCTCGGCTCACTGCAAGCTCCGCCTCCCGGGTTCACGCCATTCTCCTGCCTCAGCCTCCCGAGTAGCTGGGACTACAGGTGCCTGCCACCACACCTGGCTCATTTTTTGTATTTTTAGTAGAGACGGGGTTTCACCGTGTTAGCCAGGATGGTCTCGATCTCCTGACCTCATGATCTGCCCACCTCGGCCTCCCAAAGTGCTGAGATTACAGGCGTGAGCCACTGTGCCCAGCCTTAGAACAGGATTTTTTTTTTTTAATTAATACTTTTGGTCTCTATAGATTTGCTGTTTCTGAACATTTCATGTAAATGGAATAATACGTCTTTTCTGACTGGCTTCTTCCACTTAGCATAATGTTTTCTAAGCTTATTCACAGTGTAATTTATTTATGTCAGCACTTCATTTCTTTTCATTGCCAAATAATATTCCATGTATGTCCCTATACATGGGGTATTATTATATGCCACATTTGATCCATCAGTTGATGAAATTTAGGTTGTTTGCCACATTTGGGCCATTGTGAACAATGCTGCTATGAGCATTTGTGTGTTAAGTCTTGAGTCTCTCTATAAGATTGTCTGTTTCTTTGCAGTTTACTCAGTTAGGAAACTGGTTTGTCTTAATAGACCTTTCACCGTCTGGATGTTGCTGATCTTAACACTGTGGTGTCATTTAACATTTTTGTCTGCCGTTGTGTTTTCTCTGAATTAATATTGAGATCTAGAGGCTCAATCAGATATACCTGCAAATTTTTTTAGCAGTAATACTTGATGAGGGTGTTATGTTCTTTCATTAGGAATCTCAGTGCCTGCCTGGGAGTCGTTTTTGTGATGTCAGTAGGCAGTATTATTGCATAGCTCCATTAATTTATTAGGGGTTCAAACTTGGTGCCTATTTCTCAAGAAATTAATATGGAAGCTTTTTGCATTACAGTTTCAAATTCATTAAACTGGTGTGTGTAAGTACTTAGTGTAGTTTTTTTCTTTTTTTTTTTTTTTTGAGATGGAGTCTCGTTCTGTTGCCCAGGCTGGAGTGCAGTGGCGCAATCGCTGCTCACTCCGCCTCCGGGGTTCAAGCGATTCTCCTGCCTCCGCCTCCCAAGTAGCTGGGACTACAGGCGCCCGCCACCATGCCTGGCTAATTTTTTGTATTTTTAGTAGAGATGAGGTTTCACCATGTTAGCCAGGATGGTCTCGATCTCCTGACCTCGTGATCCACCCACCTCGGCTTCCCAAAGTACTAGGATTACAGGCATGAGCCACCACGCCTGGCCTAGTTAGTGTATTTTAACTAGCTACCTTATTAAATTTTCTCATAAGTCCTTACAGTTTTTCATAAGAGTTTCTAAAACTTTGTAGCTGATTATGCTATATGCCAGTTAGCATTTCTGATGGGCCCCTCCCTCCTTTCTCCTTGCCACCCTGCATTGCCTAGGACTTCAGAACACCCTGGTCAGCAGCAGCAGTGAGGGTGCCCCCTCATTATAGGAATCCTTCCAGAGGTGTTTACACTCACCCAAGCATGGATGCACACTCATTTCTCTCTGGTGTTATAATTGATGGGCAGACAGCAATGCACACGGATCCATGCATCCCTTTGGTTGTCCTGGGAACTGCACTCAGCCATGACACATGGGCTGTGCAATCAGGGCCCACAGACACGGCCCTCATCTGTGCAGGACCCTGGCCGGCATTTGCTGACAATAACATGGCCAGTTGGTCTTTTCTAAATAAAGCACCGCATACAGAGGAAGTATGCTGAAGCTGGGCTAGCATCAGGTGTAGAAACTGCAGGCTGAGGAGGCAGCAGCCTGACCCGGCCTGTCAGTCATGGAAGTCCCAGAGTGCTGCCAGCGTTGCTGTTAGAGCACTTGTCTGCCCGAGTTTATTTCCTCCAGGGGCACATCGGGGGCCTGCTCTGGGCCATGCAGATGCCCAGGCTCTGCCCTGGAGTAGTGGGGGAAAAGTTGGTATGAGCATTTTAAAGATGGGGAAGAGGGCTTTCCCCTCTATTCCTAGTGGTTTCCCCTCCTTTCTGAAGCAGAATTGCAGGACAGCTCCCGAGGGCAGCAGGTCAGCCTCCACAAAGAGCTGGGGGTTGTGGGGTTTGGTGGTAGCGCTGAGAAGGGGTAGGGTGGCTTTCTCTTTGGCCTCTTTCTCTTTGGCTTTCTCTTTCCACCGCGCTGAGCTGCTGACCCTTTCCCATGGAGCGATCAGGAGGAGTCTTTGATTCAGAACACTGAAACCTGGCACGCCTGAGGAGAGTTAGAGGAGACAGGAACAAAAGCTCTCCCAGAGGACTTAGAGCTCTCAGGCATCGGACGGGAGGGGGACACAGCCACATGCTTCCTCTTGCACTGAAGAGGGTTGCCTTTTTCCTGTTTGCTAAATGCCAGACTTGTGGATGGACCAACAGGACAACTTGCCCAGCTTGAAGGTTTTTAACAGAATGAAGCAATGGGAAAATGTTTTCAAATTTATGCCCCCCCTTCCACTTTTGTTTTAACTTAGAGGAGGGAGTAAGGAGGTGGGCGTGGCAATATCAGAAAGGGAAACTAGCAGTGTAATAATAATATTAATAGTACCAAGTGTATACTGCAAGCCAAGTGCTGTTCTATCTAAATGCTTTATATACAATGATTTCCTTAAATTCTCACAATAAAGCAACAAGAAGAGACACAGTCCTACAGAGGAGGAAATTGAGACATAGAAATTAAATGACTTGCCCAAGGTCATACTGAGAAAGTCATGGTGCCAGAATTCTAACTCAAACATTTTGGTTCCAGTCTTCTGCCCTTTTTTTATTTTTATTTATTGATTTTTTTTTTTTGAGGCGGAGTCTTGCTCTGTCGCCCAGGCTGGAGTGCAGTGGCACAATCTCGGCTCACTGCAAGCTCCGCCTCCCGGGTTCAAGCCATTCTCCTGCCTCAGCCTCCCGAGCAGCTGGGACTACAGGTGCCCGCCACCACGCCCGGCTAATTTTTTGTACTTTTAATAGAGAACGGGGTTTCACTGTGTTAGCCAGGATGGTCTCTGCCCTTTTTTAACTAAGCAAAAAAGGAAGCTGGAGAAGAACTGTACCCTGGAGATGCCAGCAGTCTCCAAGGAGCTCCCCGCAAGCATCCCAGAGGAAGGGGTGTCTGCCAGGGGTCTCCACTGTAGTTTCTCTTTTCCCCTTTGCAGGCTCAGAGCAGGCTGAACTCACAGCCTTGTGCACCTGTCCCTGTGCATCTTCCTCTACCTTGTCCTCTTGGCTCTGTTGAGCGGCCCATGTAGCCACACTGACTGGTGGGCAGGTGACAGACTGGCACATGGCACGTGGGCTTTGGTACACTTGGGGTCTCTGTAGCAGTGCCAGCAGCTCCCACTGTGCAAGACTGCTGCTGGCAGCGTGAACAGGAGGGCCACCAGCAGCAGTGAGTCTCATTGCAAGAACACAGCTGGCAGTCCTCCGGGAGAGAAAAGCCGGGGTGGGCCAGGGCCTCTGGAAGATGTGGGGTCTTCCCATCCCCCACACCTAGCCTGAGCTGAACAGAGGGCAAGCTAAGAGTTTGGATGTTTGGAGAGACATGAGGAACGGTCAGGTGTCAGGAGGACAGGTGGGTTAAACAACAAGGTGGGGCTTGGAGTGAGGGTGAACACGAGGACAGAAAGACACTCAAGGCAGCTGGAAGTACAAATGGCAGACTACAGCCTCAGCCACTTAATGTTCACAGGCCACAAGGCAGCATCTGGCTAGTCACTCAGATCCTCTAATAGACAAACCACCAAACACACACACACACACACACACACACACACACCCTGGCTGGACAGACTTCCAGATGGACAGAATCCCAGGGAAACACCCAGCTGGACAAACAGACAGATTACTGACAGATGGGTAGACCCTCAGCCAGACATCCAAATAGGCCTGTGGCCAGAGAGACACCTGGGCCCCCCAGCCAGGCAAAGGTCAGAATCCCTCAAGGACAGGTGCCCTCCCCAAAATGGACAGAGACATTACCCCAGAGGAGAGAACACCCCACCCACCTAGTCAACCAGACCTTCAGCTGGACGACATGCCCTCCACCAGTCAGACAGACCTCAGCCTATGAGGACAGGCCCTCAACAGGATCCCTGCTGCTGGACAGAGATCCTCTAGCCCATAAAGACTGCCCTGAATAACCATGTGTGCTCAGGGGCTCACATTTTCCCAGAAAATGTCTTTATTTTCTGAAAGCTTACTGATGCTTCTGTATTCTACCTCCCTGGATCTCCATGGCCATCCACAAACCCTCAATGATTATACTGAGAGTCACTATCATGCACTGAGCAGAGCTCTCAATGACTTCCCAGACTCTTCGGACCCTTCAATTACTAACACTCCAAATCCCAATGGCCCCACAATTACTTTCACTTCTTGTCCCAAGTATCCACTGGCCTCCCAATGACTGTCATTAATATCTACTGACACCCCCCCCCCCATGAACATCCAAGGGACCCCGACTGGCTTCCAATGAATTCCCTATCACCACCATCCTAAACAATTACCTCCCTGAGAATGCTCAAAGATGAAACTGATAAATGATGAACATGAATCTCACAGTGACCCCTGCGGACCCCACGATAAATCAAACAGCCCTAGCTGCTGATCCCCACAGAGCCACTTTGATCGCTCCATCACTTCAGCCAAGGTCAGCAAACGACAGCCTGTAGGCCACACACACACACTAGAATAATTCATGACACATGAACATTACATGAAATTCTGATTTCTTTGTCCATAAATGGTTTCTTTGGGACACAGCCACACTATATTGTCTGCTTTCATGCTGCCACAGCTGAGTTAAGCAGCTGGGGCAGCGATAGCAAAGCCAAAACCACTTCCTACCGGGACCTTTAAGAAAGTGTGCCCTTAAATACTCTGATAGCCCCTAGTGAATTAAATTGACCACCTGACATCATGCCCCTGTTGACCCTTCAGAGACTCAGGCACACATCCAGGCCCCAATGCTACCTTTCAACCCCTCAACGACCTCAAACTGGTGTCCACTGACGCCCCTTCCAGTGACACCCCTCTTAATTCTTCCGACCTCGGCGAGAAGGGGGCTAACCTAGGCCTGTCCTTGAAGAGACCCAGGTGCCAGTCCATTCTCTCCAGCCTCCCCTCGGTGATCCCGGAAGCTGGAACGGCGGCTCTCCTCTGACCTCTGCACACTTTCTGAAGATGGGAGTGTCAGGGCAGGCAAAAAAGAGAAGCTCTTCGTTCCCCAGAACCCACTTCCAGTGCCTCAGTTCTGTTTCCCAGCAGGCTTGTGCAGGTCGAGATGCTCACACAGGACTGACCCTGGTGCCCCAGCGCATCCGGGAAAAAGGAACCACAAATTCCTCGGGAAATACACAGAGAAGATCCCGCTGCCACTTGGCCTTTCCCACGGCGTGGCTGCCCCTCCCCGGCCTCCCTTGGGCCCGGCTGGAGCGCACAGCGCGGGACGCCCCCGACCCGGGGTCCTCTGGCACGAGGGGCAGCCTGATCTCGGCGACCGTCTCCACCCAAGGCTGCTGCCCGCCCCAGCTCGGACTCCGCGCGGCCTGGCTCCCAGGGGACGGGCGGGAGGGCCCGGCGAGACCGCTCGGCCGTCCACCCAGAGCCGGCACCCGGAGGTCGGCCCCTGGGCGCGGATCCCGATCTGAGGGCGGGTCCCAAGCGGCAGGGAGCGAACCTGGGACCGTGCCACCCCCCCACCAGTGGGCGCGGCAGCCGAAAAAAAGGGGAAGCGCCGGCGCTGGACTCTGCTCAGGGCAGCCCGCGAGGACCTAGGGCTCCGGCCACAGCGGCCCGAGCGCCCGGGGTGGGGCTACGCGGGCTCAGAACACGGTGGCTGGGGCGCCCTGCCCGCCGCTGCGCGCTTCCATTGGCTGCCGAGGCAAGGGCGGGGACTCAGTCACCGGCCTCCGCCTCCCGCGGCGTCCACACTCGCCGCGCGCGCGGCGGCCGGGCTGGACCTTGCTGGCCCGCGGCGCCATGAGCCGCAGCCTGGACTCGGCGCGGAGCTTCCTGGAGCGGCTGGAAGCGCGGGGCGGCCGGGAGGGGGCAGTCCTCGCCGGCGAGTTCAGCGTGAGTGGCACACGGGGTCCGCGAGCGGCGCGCCCCGGCCCTGGCCCTGCGTACGCCTGTCCTCCGCGCACGGCGGGCTCTGCCTTTCTGTCTCGGTGTCCCCGGTGTCTCCCCGCCTCGGGGGGTCTCTCCGTGTTTCTCTCCCCAGCACTTCTCTGTCGCTCTTGCTGTCTCCGTCTTCACTCTCTGCCCCCCGGCCCCGGAGCGCGACGTCCACGGCCAGGCCGGGACGGACCGTGCACACCCTCGTTCCCGGTGTCCTCGTCGCGCTCCCGGAACAACCTGGCTGCGGGCGGGACAGGTGGGGCGGGCGCCGCAGGGGAGGGCGGGCGGCCCTGCTGCGCTGGACAGCCCCGGCCCCGCCGCTTCTGGCGACCTGACTGTCCCCTGTGACCACAGGAAGGAAGGGGCTGCAGCAGGGCGAAGAGGAACACGGAGGCTGTGGCGTGGTGAGGGTGTGAACGCCGGGCTCGAATCCGCGTCCGGGCCCGAATCCGCTTCCCGTCCCGAATCCGCGTCCCGGCCATCCGCGTGTGGTCCAGGCGGTCTACCTGGCCCCTCTGACCTCGGCTTCTCCCTTGGTGAAATGGGGACATGAATGACCAAACTGGTCTAAGGATTAAATGATGTGGGTGAAAAGCACTTAGTACATATTGGGCGCACACTTCGTAGGGGCGTTCGTCACTGCCTATAAAGATTCTAAACGTGGGCCAGGTGCGGTGGCTCACACCTGTAATCCCAGCACTTTGGGAGGCCGAGGTGGGAGGATCGCTTGAGCTCAGGAGTTCGAGACCAGCCTGGGCAACACAGCGAAACCCCGTCTCTACTAAAAATACAAAAATCAACTGGGCATGGGCGCATGCCTGTAATCCCAGCTACTAGGGAGCAGAGACAGGGGACTCGCTTGAACCTGGGAGGCAGAGGTTGCAGTGAGCTGAGATGGTTCCACTGCACAGCTGAGATGGTGCCACTGCACTCCAGCCTGGGCCACAGAGTGAGATCCCATCTCAAACAAAACAAAACCAAACAAAAAATCTAAACGTTACAATACAGGTAGTGCAAGCCCAGCATTAGGAAGGCTCACGCAGAATGCTAGGCACTGTACATTACAGTTGATGACGTGTTTAAAGTGTAATCGCTTATGTACCAGACATAGAAACATACCATACAAACGCATAAACTGATATATGGTGACATGTATCAAGTTTAGAAATATGACAAATATATAAAAGTATTATAAATGACCGTTTATACAATAAACATTGCATAACTGCATAAAACAATACAACAAATGAATATAACAAAGATTATAATTTATAAAATGACCAAAGTTATTTGATAAATTCATAAGTAGATATAAAATATGTAACAGATGGCCGGGCACGGTGGCTCACGCCTATAATCCCAGCACTTTGGGAGGCCGAGGCGGGCGGATCACGAGGTCAGGAGATCCACACCATCCTGGCTAACACGGTGAAACCCCGTCTCTACTAAACACACAAAAAATTAGCTGGGCGTGGTGGCGGGCGCCTGTAGTCCCAGCTACTCGGGTGGCTGAGGCAGGAGAATGGCGTGAACCCGGGAGGCGGAGCTTGCAGTGAGCCGAGATCGCGCCACTGCAGTCCAGCCTGGGCAACAGAGCGAGACTCCATCTCAAAAAAAAAAAAAAAAAAAGTAACAGATAATTATAAACCTAAGTAATTTACACACATGTAGAAACATTGTATATAAGAAACTAAGAAATGCATAATAAATGTAAAATATATAATTATACAATATAAGAATGTGTGTAACAAATGTAAACATAATACCCATGTGATATATGACATCATGCGACTGGGTGGGTTCTGAACCGTGTACAGTGCGGAGGGCCTCACATGCGGAAGGCTGGGTGGCGAGGGCACCCCTGCTCCCCAAGCCTGCCTCCCGCATGTGCAGGAATCACTGCGCTCTTCTAGGTGTTCCCACTACACAAGGGCATCATGAGGGCTTAAATGACCCAATGGACACAAGTAAAGCACTTAGAATAGTGGCTGGCACACAGTGGTGGCATGGGTGTTACTTATTATCATTGAGATTACGAATACCTGACGATGATGGTAATACACGATTCACTAATTATTATTATAATCTCCCAGTAACACAGTGCCTATAGTATCTTGTACATAATATGTTATCCATTATAATGCCTATGCATTCATTGTACATTGTCTTATATGTTTAGCTACATAGCCCATAATATATTTCATTACAGTTATTGCTTACAAGACAATGTCACAGATTGAGTGTGCAGGGGGTGGGTGCCGAGAGGGTCTGAGTTCAACCCTCACCGTGTGACTTCCTGGTTGGGACCTTCCACAAGTCGCTGAACCACGTGGTGCATAAACTTTCCCGCCTGCACAATGGGGACGTCAATAATAGTACCCACGTCGTAGGAACCTGTGATGATTACATGCCCTTAGCACAGAGAGTGGCACAGAGAAGGTGCCCTGGGTCACTATTTCGGTATCATTATTATTAGGCAGGCCCAGTGCCATCAGGGTCTGCACTCACCTCCCCAGGCCACTGGCTTTGTATCCTGCAAGCGTGCCTAGGTGGCCTGGGACTCTGACCTGGCTCCTCTCCTGTCTTCTCCCCTCCCTGACCCACTCATAATGCTCTACCAGGACATCCAGGCCTGCTCGGCCGCCTGGAAGGCTGACGGCGTGTGCTCCACCGTGGCCGGCAGTCGGCCAGAGAACGTGAGGAAGAACCGCTACAAAGACGTGCTGCCTTGTAAGTCGGGGCTTCCGTAGGGAGTCGGTGCAGCCTTGCACGCCCTGCCACGTCCAGGCGTCAGTGTGCACTGGAGTCACCCACTGTGCTCTCCTCCCAGAGCCTCACCCTCTGCACTGCTCAGCAGCCCACAAGGGCACCTTGGTGGGATCTCTGCATGTGTGTGGTCCCCTGCTGGCTTTCAGCTAGGGGGCTGTCAGAGGCTCCGTCACCCTATCCTACCCAAACTCCACGTTTCTCACCTTATCTGCTGACAGATGATCAGACGCGAGTAATCCTCTCCCTGCTCCAGGAAGAGGGACACAGCGACTACATTAATGGCAACTTCATCCGGGTGAGGGTTGGGGTCACGGAAGGAGGTGGACTGGGAGTGGCCAGGGGTGGGCCGCAGAATCTCAGTCGTGAATTCGGCCTTCACCAGGGCGTGGATGGAAGCCTGGCCTACATTGCCACGCAAGGACCCTTGCCTCACACCCTGCTAGACTTCTGGAGACTGGTCTGGGAGTTTGGGGTCAAGGTCAGCACTTGGGGGTGCGGCACAATGGTGGGGTCAACATCTAAGTACCCCCTCGGCAGTTTCCCTGGCCCCCTCACCCAAATCACCTTCCTCTCCCCTGACCCTCCTTGTCTAGGTGATCCTGATGGCCTGTCGAGAGATAGAGAATGGGCGGGTAGGTGCCCTCTGCCCCCAGGTTTCATGTCCTTGTGGGAGGAGGGAGGAGGGATCTTGCTAGCTCCTCCTTGACCCCAGGACCCGAGGGTCCAGCTCTTGGAGTGACCTTATTGTAGCTCTGTGGGAAGCCCCATTGTTCCTCTAAGTTTTTGTTGATATGTTATTCATCCCCCAGTGTTGGCAACCCCTCTCCTGCTGGGCTTCCCAGCCATTTCACACCTTAGACCATAAGGCCCTATTCTGACTGCTTCCCCTGTAGGCTCTGATCTCTCTTTCCACCTCTCTTCCCTTTATTCACTCCACTCTAACAACTCTGGTCTCTGCTGTTCCCATGTTCCAGGGATGGCTCTGCCTCAGGGTCTGTGCCTTGGCTATTCCTTCAGCCTAGGACATCCTTCCCTGTGGCTTGCTCTATCACCTCCTTCAGGTCTTTGCTCAAATGGTAATTCCTCAATGAGACCTTCCGGGGTGGGTCTTCACACCATTTTAAACTCTCAGCACTTCCATTCTCCCTCCCTTGTCCTACTTTTCCTTCTTTCTTCACAGTTCTTATGAACTCCTAACACACTGGATAATCTACAAATGTATTATGTACATTGTTTATGCTTAATCTCCCTGATTTAGAAGGTAAGATCCACAAGGCCAGGGATTTTTGTTTTGCCTGTTAACATAAATTAGTTACTAAATAAATAAATGCATGTCAATATTGAAGGCTGAAGGCACATAGCTTCATGTGGTTTCTACATTCTTGCCTACTCCATGGATGGGGTAGGGGTTCCCTGGGGTGACTAGCTGATGGTGGAGGCTGTATGATCTGTAGTCTTGTCTCTTTCTCATTCCTGATTTTGGTAATTTGTGTTCTCTCTCTCTCTCTGTCTCATCTCTCTATTTCGCTATCTCTTTTTTCATGCTCCTGCCTGTTTTTTGTAAACAGTGTATTAGAACACAGCCACACTCATTTATTTACATATTGTGTATGCCTGCTTTTATGCTACAGTGGCAGAGTTGAGTAGTTGCAAGTTGAATAAATTATATGGCCTGTAAATTCTAAAGTATTTATCTGACCCTTTATAAAAATGTCAGCCAATCTTTGGACTAGAAGTTTATCATTTTATTATTTTTTCAAAGAACCTGCTTTGGTTGTATTCATTTGTATTCATTTTCTCTATTGATTTTTTCATTTTCCACTTTTTTTTTTTTTGAGACAGAGTCTTGCTCTGTTGCCCAGACTGGAGTGCAGTGGTGCAATCTTAGCTCACTGCAACCTCTGCCTCCCAAGTTCAAGCAATTCTCCTGCCCCAGACTCCTGAGTAGCTAGGAATACAGACACATGCCACCACGCCCAACTAATTCATTTTCTACTTTAATTTCAAGTGTACTTGAAAACAATGTGTATTCTGCTTTGGTTGGCTGGAGTGTCCTGTAAATACCAATTAGGTCAACTGACAGACTTTTTAAAAAGACACTTTTATATCTTTACTGTATATTTTATATCTTTACTGATTTATTTTCTCTAAATGTATGGATTGCTTAGAGAGGAGTGTTGAAATTACCAACTGTTCAATAAGTATTAATTAGGTCAAGTTTGTCAACAGCACTATTCAAGTCTTATTTCTGACAATTTTTTTTGTCTGCTTGCCCTATTATTTGCTGAAAGAGGAATGTTGAAATCTGCTTTAACTATTCTTTCAGTTTTACTTTTCATGTTTTAAAACTTTATGATTGAGTACATATACATTTAGGATTATGTCTTCCTAATGATTGGATCCCTTTCTAATATGTAATGACTCTTTATTTGTTAATATTTTTTTCTGAAGTGTACTTTGATATTAATACAGCCATTTAAATTTCTTTCTTTTCTTTCTCTTTCTTTCTTTCTTTCTTTCTTTCTTTCTTTCTTTCTTTCTTTCTTTCTTTCCTTTCTTTCCTTTCTTTCCTTTCTTTCTTTCTGTTTTTTTGAGATGCAGTTTCCCTCGTCACCCAGGCTGGAGTTCAATGGCGCGATCTTGGCTCACTGCAACCTTTGCCTCCCAGGTTCAAGCGATTCTCCTGCCTCAGCCTCTCGAGTAGCTGGGATTGCAGGTGCCTGCCACCACGCCCAGCTAATTTTTGTATTTTTAGTAGAGATGGGGTTTCACCATGTTGGCCAGGCTGGTCTCAAACTCCTGCCCTCAGGTGATCCACCCGCCTCAGCCTCCCAAAGTCCTGAGATTACAGGCATGAGCCACCGCCCTCGGCCTTAAATTTCTTTAGAGTTTGCATATGTCTTTTCCCATTCTTTTACTTTGTATCTATGTTCATCTTTATTTTTTAGTGTGTTTCTTGTAGGTGGTGTATTGTAGGGACTTTTTTTTTTTAAGACAGAGGGGAATGGAGTGGTGCAATCATAGTTCACTGTAACCTCAAAATCCTGGGCTCAAATGATCATGCTAGCGCAGCCTCCCTGAGGAGTTGGGACTACAGGCATACACCACCGTGCCTGATTAATTGTTTTTTATTTCTTGTAGAGATTAAGTCTCACGTATAATCCAGGCTGGTCTCGAACTCCTGGCCTCAAGCTGTCCTTCCACCTCGGCCTCCCAAAGTGCTAAGATTACAGGCATGAGCCACTGCATCTAGCCAGGACTTACTTTTAAATCTAATCTGACAGTCTCTGCCTTTAATTGGAATATTCAGCCTTTAATGTAATTATCAATAATGTTGGGTTTAAACCTACCATCTTGCTATTTGTTTTCTATTTGCTCTGTTTGTTCTTTTCTTCTTTTTTTCTCTTTCAGAGTGAGAATTTTTTATTAATCTATTGCATAGTAATTATTCCCTTATTAGCTATACATCTTTATTTTAAATATTTAGTTGTGGCTTTAGGGTTTACAATATATATCTTTAACTTATAGTCTATAGTCAAATAATATTCTACATTTCATGTAAAATGTCAGAACTTTACTGTAGTATATTTCGATTACCCCTTTCCATGCTTTGTGCTATTGTTACTATATATTATAGTTCTATATATAAAATATACTCCACAGTACACTGCTATTATAGTTGTTTTAGAATATCTTTTTAAACAGCTTTATTGATATACAATTCAGTCATTTAAAGTGTACAGTTCCATCATTTTTCTATATTCCTGAGCTATGCAACTATTACCACAGTAAGATTTTTGTTTTTGTTTTTGTTTTTGTTTTTGAGACGGAGCCTCGCTCTGTCCTCCAGGCTGGAGTGCAATGGCGCGATCTCAGCTCGCTGCAACCTCCGCCTCCCGGGTCCACGCCATTCTCCTGCCTCAGCCTCCCGAGTAGCTAGGACTACAGGCGCCTGCCACCACGCCCGGCTAATTTTTTGTATTTTTAGTAGAGACGGGGTTTCACCGTGTTAGCCAGGATGGTCTCAATCTCCTGACCTCGTGATCCGCCCACCTCAGCCTCCCAAAGTGCTGGGATTACAGGCATGAGCCACCGTGCCCGGCCTACCACAATAAGTTTTTGAACATTTTCATCATTCCATAAAAAAATCCAGGCCAGACATGGTGGCTCATGCCTGTAATCCCAGCACTTTGGGAGGCTGAGACTGGTGGATCACGAGGTCAGGAGATCAAGACCATCCTGGCCAACATAGTGAAACCCCGTCTCTACTAAAAATACAAACATTAGCTGGGCATGGTGGCATGTGCCTGTAATCCCAGCAACTCGGGAGGCTGAGGCAGAAGAATAGCTTGAACCAGGGAGTTGGAGGTTGCAGTGAGCTGAGATTGTGCCACTACACTGCAGCCTGGCCACAGAGCAAGACTGTCTCTCAAAAAAAAAGAAAAAGAAAAGAAATCCTATATCCATTAGCAGTCACTCCCCATTTCCCAGCAACCTCTACAGCCCCAGACAATCCCTAATCTATTTTTGCCTTTATACATTTGCTTACTTTGGACATTTCATATAATTGAATCACATAATATGTAGCCTTTTTTTGCTTAGCATTTTTGTTTTGTTTTGTTTTGTTTGCTGAATACTATTCCATTGAATGGATCTACCACATTTTACTTATTGGTTGACAGAAATTGGGTTCTTTCTACTTTTTGGCTATTATGAACAGTGCTGCTATCAACACTGATATACAAGTCTCTGTGTAGATGTGGGTTTTCATGTCTCTTGGGTATTGCTGGGAATTGCTGGGCTATATGGAAACTCTATTTTTAACATTTTGAGGAAGTGCCAAACTGTTTTCCACAGTGGCAGCATCATTTTACATTTCCACGGCAATGTTTGAGGGTCCCCATTTCTTCTCCCTGATGCTTGTTACTGTCTTTTTTTTTTTTTTAATTATAGCCATCCTAGGGGTTGTGAAGTGGTATGCCATTGTGTCTTTCTTTAAATTATGTGGTAAAATATACATAACATAAAATTTGCCAGTTTATAGGTGCTGTGAGGAATGTTAAAAATAATTTTGCCATTTAAACCATTTCAAGTGTACAATTCAATTGAATTAAGTACATTCACAATGGATTAACCATTCCTACTGTCTATTTTCAGAACATGTTCATCATCCCAAACAGAAATTCTGTATTCATTAAACAATAACTCCCCATTCCCCCATTTCCAGGTAACCTCTATTCTCCTTTCTGTCCCTATGAATTTGCCTATTCTAGGTACCTCATGCAAGTGGAATCAGGAATACACTAATATACAATACTTGTCCTTTTTTCAAGGTTCATCCATGTTGCAGTGTGTATCAGAATTTCACTGTTTTCAAGGCCAAATAATATTTCATTGTATGTATATATCACATTTTGTTTATCCATTCGCCTGTTGGACATCTGGGTTGTTTGTACCTTTTGACTATTGTAAATAAGGCGGCTACAAACATTGGTATACAGGCTGGACACAGTGGCTCACGCCTGTAATCCCAGCACTTTGGGAGGCCGAAGCAGGCAGATCACGAGGTCAGGAGATCGAGACCAGCCTGGCTAACACGATGAAATCCCACCTCTACTAAAAATACAAAAAATTAGCCAGGCGTGGTGGCAGCCGCCTGTAGTCCCAGCTACTCGGGAGGCTGAGGCAAGAGAATGGTGTGAACCCATGAGGCGGAGCTTGCAGTGAGCCGAGATCGCACCACCGCACTCCAGCCTGGGCGACAGAGCGAGACTCCGTCTCAAAACAACAACAACAACAACAACAAAAAATTGGTATACTAGTATCTGTTTGAATCCCTGTTTTCAGTTCCCTGGGTATACACCTAGCATGGAATTGCTGGATCATATGATAACGCTATGTTCAACATTTTGTTTTCCACAGTGGCTGTACCATTTTACGTTCCCATCAGCAGAGAGAGAGAGAGGGAGGGAGGGACATGTGTAGTTTAATGACAGGGATATGGTCTGCATTGTTAAGACTATCTTGTCATTGTGTAAACATCATAGAGTATACTTACACAAACATAGATAGTATATACATTTTTTATTTATATATTTTTCATATGGAAAACCAAATGTCCCAGCACCATTACTGAGTATCAATCATTTCCCCAACTTAATATGCAGTGTCAATATCAAGTGCCATGTATCAGGTTTCTACATATGCTCCATTATAATCTATGGCACCACCATTGTATATGTGGTCTGTTGTTAACCAAAACATCATTATGTGGCATATGACAATGACATATATGCCATCCTAATGAGTGGGAAGTGGTACCTCATTGTGGTTTTGGTTTTCATGTGCTTATTCGTCCATTTGTATATCTTCTCTGGCCAAATGTCTATTCATGTCATTTATTCATTTTAAAATTGGGCTATTTGGGGTTGTCTTTTTATTATTGAGTTGTAAGCGTTATTCTGTATATAAGTCCCTTATCAGTACATGATTTAAAATGTCTTTCCCATTCTGTGGGTTGTCATTCCACTTTCTTGATGGTGTGTTTTGAAGCACAAACATTTTGTGAAACTTTAATTCCAATCTATTGTGTTGCTGTGCTTTTGGTGTATCTGAGAAGTCATTGTCTAATCAGAGGTCATAAAGACTTACTCCTGTTCTTCCTTCTAAGTGTTTTATAGTTTTCTTGCTTACAGTTAGGTCTCAGATTTACTTTGAATGAACTTTTGTATGTGATGTGAGATAGGGGTCCACATTCACTCTTTTGCATGTGACTATCCAGTTGTTCCAGCACCATTTGTTGAAAAGACTATGCTTTGCCCATTGAACCGTCTTGGCCCCTTTGTTGAAAATTAATTGGCCATAAATATAAGGGTTTATTTCTGAACTCTCAATTTTATTAAGCTGATTGATGTGTTTATCCTTGTGCCAGTGTAACATAGTTTTGATTATTATACCTTTGTAGAAGTTCTGAAATCAGGAAGTATGAGTCTTCCAAATTTGTTCTTTTTTCCAAGATTGTTTTGGCTATTTTGGGTAGGTCCCCTGCTGTGCAGAAGAGTTAAACATGGCAAGCATAAATGTTTATGCTTAGAAAGGCCTTCCTGTAAGGTTGACTCTTGGGTGGCCTCTAGAAACCTAGGTTTCTGATAACAGTGGCTCACTATGCCTGAACTGTTAATACAAACAATATGCTTTATGCAGAACACCTGTTCTCCTGCTGGTAGTCTGACATTTTGGTACAGGCTAGGCAGAGTGTGCCTACATTCTGTGCAGACGGTGCCCCAATAAAAATCCTGGGCACTGAGTTTCTAATGAACTTTTTTATGAAACGCTGTTGAGTTTTGTCAAATTTTGTTCTTTGCATCTATTCAGATGATCGTGTGTTTTGTATTCTACTAATATGGTGTATGACATTGACTTTCATATGTTGAACCAATCTTGCATTCCTGGAATTAATCCCACTTAGTCATGGTGTTTAATACTTTGCTAGTACTTCATTGAGAATTTTTGTGTCTATGTTTGTGAGATATTGGTTAGTAGTTTTCTTTTCTTGTGATGTCTTTGGTTTTGGTGCCAGGGTAATACTAGCCTCATACAATATGTTGGGAAATGGTTCCTCTCAGTTTTTTGCAAGAGTTTGTGAAAGGCTGGTATTAATTCCTCTTTGTTTGATAAAATTCACTAGATTATCTTTTAAAGATGTTTAAAATGAAATATCTTTTACATTTAGCCACTTACTTTTCTCCCTGTTATTTTGTGTAGATCTGTATTTCCATTTGTATCACGTTCCTTTTGTATGCAGAGCTTACTTATTCTATTTATTTAAGAGATAGGGTCTCACTCTGTCATACAGGCTGGAGTGCAGTGTGCAGTCACCACTCACTGCAGCCTCAAACTCCTGGGCTTAAGCAATCCTCCCACCTCAGCCTGCCAAGTAGTTGGGAGTACAGGTGTGCCACTGCACTCAGCTAACTAAAAAAGATTTTTTTTAGATACAGGCTAGCTATGTTGCCAACACACCTAGCTAATTTTAATTTTTTTTTTTTTTTTTTTTTTTTTTTTAAGATACAGGCTATGTTGCTCAGGCTGGTGTTGAAGTGGCCTCAAGCAATCCTCCTGCCTTAGCCTCTCAAATAGCTGGAGCAGCCACTGTCTGTAAGCATCTGAAGAGCTTACTCTAATATTTCTCATAATGCAGATTTGTTTGTGATGAATTCCCTCAGCTTTCATTTGTCTGAAAAGGTTTTCAGCATTTTTAGGATATCATAGCATTGACTTGCCGTTTCTGACAAAATGTTGCTATAATTCTTAACTTTGTTCCTCAGTATGTGATGTGTCCTTTTGTGCATAATGCTTTTAAGATTTTCTCTTCTGGGGCCTGGTGTGGTGGCTCATGCCTGTAATCCCAGCACTTTGGGAGGCCAAGGTAGGTGTATCACTTGAGGTCAGGAGTTCGAGACCAGCCCGGCCAACCTGGTGAAACCCTGTCTCTACTAAAAATACAAAAAAAGGTTGGACATGGTGGTGTGTGTCTGTAATCCCAGCTACTCAGGAGCCTGAGGCAGGAGAATCGCTTGAACCTGGGAGTTGCAGGTTGCAGTGAGCCGAGATTGAGCCACTGCACGCCAAGCCTGGGTGACAGAGCAAGGGTCTCAAAAAAAAATTTTTTTTTCTCTTCTTCATTCTTTTTCAGTAATTTGATCATGATCTGCCTTGGCGTGACTTTCTTTAGGTTTAGGTTTATTCTCCCTCTGGTTCATTGACTTTCTTGGATTTGTGGGTTCATAGTTTCATCGAATTTGGGAAAATTTTCACCTATTATTTCTTTACATAAAGTTTCTGTTATCCCCCTTTCTCCTTTCCTTCTGGACTCCACGTGCACATACACTAGACTGGTATATTTCTACAGAGAACTGATTCTTTTTCATTTTTTTCATTTCATTTTGAATTATTTATATTGCTATGTTTTCATGTCTATTGATCCTTTCTTCTAGTGTCTACCCTGCTATTAGTGGATTTTTCATTTCATATATTTTATTTTTCCTCTTTATAAATTCCATTCAGGTTATTTTTTGTATCTTTCATTCCACTCTGCATCATGTTCATGTTTTCCTTTTCATCTTTGAGTGTATTTGTAATAGCCATTTTAAGATTTTTGCTTCTTTCCTGAACTGTTATTTCTGGGCCCTTTCCTATTGACTAATTTTTCTCCTGGTTATGGGTCACACTTTCCTGCTTCTTTGTATGTCCAGCAAAATTTTATTGGATGCTTGATATTTTGAATTTTGCACAGGTAAGTGTTGGATTGTTTTCTTTAGAGTGTTTTGCCTTTTCAGGAACTTTTGGATGGTTGATCAAGTAGCCTTTGTTCTAGAATTAATTTAGCCGTACTTCTAATGTGTGGTCATTCTAGGTTCCCTACTAAATGCCCCTTATAGTTGATAATGCCTCTACACTCTAGCTAGAGGGAATGTGAATTCTTTCTCATCATGAGCTCAAGGAAATGTTCATCCTACAGATCCCTACTATTCTTTCATGGTAAGTTATTCTTGCCTGGCCTCATGGGGTTTCATGTTGTATATATTCAGATTATTCAACCAAAGAATCAAGGAGGGGACTTCTATGCAAGTTATTGTTTTGTTTTTATTTGCATACCTCTGTTCCTTCCAGGACTCTGCCCTGCAAATTCTAGCTGCTTTTGCCTCCTTGAGCCATGGTCTCTGGCTCAACTCAGTGGGATCATTAGACTCATGTCTTACAGCCTGGTGACACTTCCATGCAATAAGCCGGAGTGGTCTGTTCAGTGACCACAGTACTGCAACACCTGCCAACCAGTGTCTGAAAATAGTGGCTCATGTATTTTGTCCAGTTTCTAGTTGCTTACAGTGGGAGGGTATCCTGGACTGTATTTCCCCTGCATGGTCAGCAGCGCACCTCCATTGAGTCTGCATGTGTTTAATCTGATGGCTCTGTTGGCTGGCGTCTGTTATAGGTTATAAGTATAGCTGCCTGTGCTTCCACCACGAGCACCTGGGGTGTCTTGTGGCATGATTGAGCTAGCTCTGAAGCTGACTCCCTCTTCTCACTCCCTGCCTTTTCTCCCTTACCTTTTGCAGAAAAGGTGTGAGCGGTACTGGGCCCAGGAGCAGGAGCCACTGCAGACTGGGCTTTTCTGCATCACTCTGGTGAGCTGTGGGAGTTTTCAAGGAAGATTCCCAGGGTGGAAAGGCTTTGGGTTGGGCCTAAAAGGTTGAATGATTTAACCCACAGTCCACTCATACTGCAGGAAACCCTCTGGTGTTAGCCTGCAAATAGTTAGAACTTACTATAGGGATAGCCTTTGCATTTTTATTTTGGCTACAATCAGTTAATCTCTGTCATGTAAATGTGCCTGGTTAGGTTGTTGAAATTCTTACTTCTCTTACCATTTCAAAAGAGCTTGGGGAACTCTCTCAAGTCATACATACAGTTAGTACTTAATAAATGCAATAAAAGTTTCATTTTAGAACAAAAGACATCTCTTTTCATTGCAAAAGGGCTTGTGTTTTTATAATAGTTCCTCTTTTGCTCCTGTGTCAAATGTTTCCTTAATGAAAGCTTTGGGGAAAGTTTGGGCTATATGAATTTTTAAAATGTTTTCTGTATTTGATTTTTTAATCAGGAATGCTTTGCTTTCTATAAATGTCTTCTGGTACCTATGATCTTTGTTCTCCTCCCTCTTCTTACTTGCCCCACCCCCCTTACTCAGATAAAGGAGAAGTGGCTGAATGAGGACATCATGCTCAGGACCCTCAAGGTCACATTCCAGAAGGTACTGTGACAGGGGAGGAGGAGGTAAAGGGGCTCCTGAAAGGGGAGAGGTTTCCTCTCCTGTAAAAATGGGCATCATACTAGTACCCACTTCCTCAGTTATTGTCTGGTAGACATAAATGGAAGATGCCTAGAAGTGGGCCTGGTGTATAGTAGATGGCCAATTAATGCTTTTTTCTTTTTTTTCCTAAGTCTTTTGCTCATCTTTTTCTGTGTTTCAGGAGTCCCGTTCTGTGTACCAGCTACAGTATATGTCCTGGCCAGACCGTGGGGTCCCCAGCAGTCCTGACCACATGCTCGCCATGGTGGAGGAAGCCCGTCGCCTCCAGGGATCTGGCCCTGAACCCCTCTGTGTCCACTGCAGGTTTTGGAAATGGGCTTCAGGAGGGTCTGGTGAGGCAGAGGGGACAGAGCATGGAGGGGAGTACAGGGCATGGGGCTAGTCTTGTAGTCTGAGTGCCTATTTTGAGAACCCTTGCTCACCCTCCATGGACTGTAATTGTGAGCACTTGTTCAGCACAGACTCAGCTGGGGAATAAGCACACAGCTCTTGCTCAACAAAATGTAAGTGATTAAAAAGGTTTTCCTTGTTCAGATATAATCTGAAGATTCTGGGAATCAAGAGGCTCTGCAGGGGATCCATCAGGACCCTCACCCCCATCCCCAAATGCCCCATCTAAAAGGGGTTGTGGTCAGGACCTGACCAGGCACACTCTGATTCTCTTGTCAGTGCGGGTTGTGGGCGAACAGGCGTCCTGTGCACCGTGGATTATGTGAGGCAGCTGCTCCTGACCCAGGTACGATACAGGCATCCTGTGTGTGCAGTGTGCTGCCCATGACCACGTGTCCTGCTCAAGTGCCTTGTCTGTCTGCCCCAGATGATCCCACCTGACTTCAGTCTCTTTGATGTGGTCCTTAAGATGAGGAAGCAGCGGCCTGCGGCCGTGCAGACAGAGGTGAACCCTGGGTCTCCTAATCTTCAGGGACAGTGGCCCACTGCTGTCATTTGCCCCTGCCTTCCCTTCTTGATGGTCCCTCACCCCAACAGGAGCAGTACAGGTTCCTGTACCACACGGTGGCTCAGATGTTCTGCTCCACACTCCAGAATGCCAGCCCCCACTACCAGAACATCAAAGAGGTACAGAGGCTCCTTTCCCACTCTCCTGTCCACCATCAGCACCCTCAGAGACCAGGACCCCGAGCAGGGTCCAGCCCCCGGGACTACTGGGAGCAGGCACTGACTATGACATCCACCTGTGCCCTCCTCCAGGCATCCTTATCAGGCTCTCCCATCTTAAGCTTTCTCCCAGAGCCCCTTGAGAGGCCTGGCCAGCTTCCTCCCTCAGGAGCCTCCCCTCCTGTTTTTCTTCAGAATTGTGCCCCACTCTACGACGATGCCCTCTTCCTCCGGACTCCCCAGGCACTTCTCGCCATACCCCGCCCACCAGGAGGGGTCCTCAGGTACCCGGCTCCATCCCCGGATTCTTCCCTGCCCAATTTCTCAGGCTAACCCCTTCTTCATCCTTGGAACACCAGTCCGTTCCTTGTTCACTTCGCCAAGTGTTCGCTGGCCCTTTCTTCGAATTGAGCTCTGGGAACCCACCCCAAGATGATTCAATTATCCCAAGATGATTCATTTACCCCTTGCCTCTGCCTCTAAGGCTTGCCCTGCCTTCTGAGTTAGGCCTTTCCTGGATCCTCTAATCAAACCTTAATTCAGGTGGCTCACCCCTGTAATCCCAGCACTTCGGGAGGCCAAGGAGGGCGGATCACTTGAGCCCAGCTGGAGACCAGCCTGGTTAACATGGTGAAACCCTGTCTCTACTAAAAATACAAAAATTAGCCAGGCGTGCTGGTGAGAGCCTGTAATCCCAGCTACTCCGGAGGCTGAGGCAGGAGAGTCGCTTGAGCCCGGGAGGTGGAGGTTGCAGTAAGCCGAGATCGCACCACGGCAGTCCAGCCTGGGCGACAGAGCGAGATCCTGTCTCAAAAAAACAACAAAAAAAATTCAGCAAATAATTCTAGACGCCGCCTTCTTGTCAGGCCGCACGTTGGGTGCTGCGGACATGGGATTGAGCCGCCTTCGCAGCGGAGACTTAAGGCCCTTGTCCTTGCGGCCATCCCTTCCTGTCTTCTATGCCACTTCCGCATTCTTTTGTTCAGTAGACGTTGACACAGAAATGACCACCCCTCAAACCAACACTCTGCCCCAAATTACCCTCCAGGCTGACCCCGTTCCTCCTTCATCCCCCTAACTTGCAGGGCGCTAGGGACACAGAAGCGAGGCCTCCAACCCAAGGAGCCCTCCCTCCCATCTAGCGCACCGCCTCGGCGGGAAGGAAGCCCGTGGTTTGCGCGCTGAGCAGCCTCCCCACTCCCGCCCTGCCCAGCGCCGCCGTTTCACTTCCTCCCGGCCCTCCCTGCCTGCAGGAGCATCTCTGTGCCCGGGTCCCCGGGCCACGCCATGGCTGACACCTACGCGGTGGTGCAGAAGCGCGGGGCTCCAGCGGGCGCCGGGAGTGGGACGCAGACGGGGACGGGGACGGGGACGGGGGCGCGCAGCGCGGAGGAGGCGCCGCTCTACAGCAAGGTGACGCCGCGCGCCCAGCGACCCGGGGCGCACGCGGAGGACGCGAGGGGGACGCTGCCTGGCCGCGGTGAGTCGAGGCTTGCTCCTTCTCAGGGCATCATCCTGCTGTGATCCGCAGGGCGGAACCATCCTGCAGTGGTCCGTCAGGCCCTGGCGGCCGCGGGGACCCCAGCCGCTAGCCTGGCCACGCCCCGACGCTGATGTCCAGGCGTCCCTGGCCACGCCCCGGAAGCGCCCCCTGGCGGTCGCAGTCGCGGTCCAGGGGCAGGGTTCCTGGCAATACTTGTCTTGGCCGCGCCCAAAGGCTGGAGGCCACGTCCGGGGTGTGTGCCTTCTCCCGCCCGGCGCCCTCGGCTCTCCCCTTCGGGCCTCCGGGGAAGCGTCCCCGCTAGGGGTGGGGTCTTGGGACTCCCTGGGGCTTCCGGAGCTGACCCGTGGGGGGTCTGCTGCCCTCAGTTCCTGCTGACCAAAGTCCTGCCGGATCTGGCGCCTACGAGGACGTGGCGGGTGGAGCTCAGACCGGTGGGCTAGGTAAGTCAGGTAGAGCCTGGGTTGCTGGGACTTTGCTGCTTTGAGTGAACCCAGGAGTCTGGGGTTGATGGGGCATGGAGCTTAGTCCTGTGGATGTGGCTGCAGTGAACCAGGAGGACCTGGAGGCGGGGGGATGGCCTTCTTCATGTCTGCCAGCTTCCACACACCTCAGCTTCTCCATGAGACCCACGGCACCCTTCTTCTCCCAGGTTTCAACCTGCGCATTGGGAGGCCGAAGGGTCCCCGGGACCCGCCTGCTGAGTGGACCCGGGTGTAAGTCTAACGCCAGTTCCTGCCTGTTGCCTCTTGTGAGCTCGGACTGCTGATGCCCCGGTGCTGCTGAGCGCCGTGCGCAGAATGGAAACAGTGGGCCTGGATCAAAGTTAAAGTTTCTCAGGGTGGGAAATGTGGGGGCTTTGCCCCAATGACTGTAGCATTCAAGGCTTGAGGCTGGAGGAGGTAGCTAGGGTATAGTGGCTGGTGAGGCTGCACAGAGCAGATTCAAGAAAGAAGATCAGGAAGGGGCATGACCCCTGAGTTATGAAGGGGAGAAGGGACAGATGAGCTTCCGGAGACTGCTCTCCTCACCACACAGCACTAGTCCATCCTCAGCACCTGAGCCTCCCTCACTTGGACACTCAGGGGACCACACAGAGAAGTGGATGGACACTTCGCCATCCAGGCAGAACTAAGCCAGGCATAACCACAGCCAAGCAGATTAACCCCAGGCAGACCGATAAAAAGACCTCCAGATAGGCAGACAGACAGATGGACCACCAACCTGGACAGACAGCCAAAGCTTCAGAGATACAGTCCACAGGTGGACAAAGGGATCCCCAGCCAGAGAGAGAGAGACCAGCCAACAGCTTGATAGACCAGTGCAGCCAGAGAGACCACCAAACAGAGCCCCCAAAAGACAGACATCTCTGCTAGCTGGACAGCCAGGTGGACCCCCTAAGTTAGATTACTAGACAGATATAAACAGATCCCCTGCTGAACAGATACACAGAGTTCTCAGACCCCACCCCCACCCTCAGGTGGGCTGGCTGGCTGACAGACCTTCTGGCCAGACAGACTCCTAACCAACCAGATGGACTGCCAGACAGGCAGACATCAGCCACATGGAATCCTGACATCCCAGCCAGCCGGCCAGACTCTCATCTTGATGTCTTGATGGATGGACCCCAGCTAGTCAGACATGATCCTCCAGATTGACAGACAAGTCCCCCAAATGAGTACACATCTCCAGCTATTCAGACAGATGGACCCCCAGCAAATCAGGACCTATCTAGGCAGACCCCAGCCAGACCCCCGCCAGACAGACTCCCAACCAGACTGACCCCTTACTATTCACACAGCCTGCCGAGTAGCTGGGACTACAGGTCTAATTTTTTTTTTTTTTAAGAAATGAGTTTTTGCCATGTTGCCCAGACTGGTCTTGAACTCCCAACCTCAAGCAATCCTCCTGCCTCAGCCTCCCAAAGTGCTGAGATTACAGGTGTGAGCCACCAGGCTCAGCCCCCTAAGATTTGAAACACTTTAAATGGCCCATGGTAGGGTTCCTGCTAGGATAAAACATTAAGCGGCTGTTAAAAGAAATAAAAGGAGGACACGTCTCTGTGCACTGGTGTGGACAAATCTCCAAGTCACTGCAAAATGGAAAAAGTATAAGATGCTCTTTCCCTGAACCTCAAGGGTCCCGCCCCTCTCACTTTCAGGTCTCTGGACCTCTGACTGACACTGTGCCTGCCCAGGTCCCTGTATGCACTGCCACAGTGCCCTGGGCCCCATGTCCACCCCTGTCCTGCCCTTCTCTGGGATAGGGCTGGCCTTCCTCTGCCTCTGCCTGGCTGCATCCATGGTCGATCTCAAGTGCCTTGGCATGAACTCCACTCTCCTGCAGCCTTCAATCAAGGAATGATGGGGATGTGTACATACCCCACCCCACCCCTTGGCAGGGTGATGCTGAGGTGTGGATTTTTAACAGTTCCCAGACTTTCCCAGGAGGCTTGGGTTTGGGTGCCCACAGTGGGAGCTGGTGTGATATCATACCTTCGCCGGCCGCCTTTCCTTCCTGTTCTCTGTGCCCCTACTCCCACTCTAGAGCTGCCCCGTTTCTCTGTTTTCGTGAAAGAGCTGACCCTGTGCTGCCTCCCACTCTCCCAATGCCCCTGCCACTCCTGTGAGCCTGCTGCTGGTGAGGTCGGTGCTGACCTCTGTGTTGCTGGATAATGAGTCATCTATCTCTGGAGGAGAAGAAAGGCAGGTCCTCCACAGCCCTGATAAAATCTCCAAGTCTCCCAGTTTCGGGTCCCTCTCCTGGGATGCAGACCCACTGCCTGCCCAGCTGGTACGATCCACATGCCCTCTTCTTGGGAATAGGGGCATGGGAAAGTGACTAAAGATACTGTTCTGGCTGCTGTGTTCACTGTGAGTAATAAACTGTCCATTTCTCCGATTCAGAGGTCTGTTTTTCCTTTTTTTCTTCCCCAAAGATGGAGTCTTGCTCTGTCGCCCAGGCTGGAGTACAATGTCGCAATCTTGGCTCACTACAACCTCTGTCTCCGCCTCCCAGGTTCAAGCAATTCTTCTGCCTCAGCCTCTCAAGTAGCTGGGATTAAACGCGTGTACCACTATGCCCAGCTAATATTTGTATTTTTAGTAGAGATGGGGTTTCACCACGTTGGCAAGGCTGGTCTCGAACTCCTGACCTCGTGATCTACCTGCCCCTGCCTCACGAAGTGCTGGGATTACTGGCGTGAGTCACTGCTCCCGGCCTTGGTCTGGTGTTTTATACACATGTGCATGTGATGTGGAGCTGTGCAGGCCACCTTGTCAGCATGCGAGGAGGGTCCAGTCTCTGCGCCTTCTTGGTTTCTGACTTCACACCCAGTAGCCTCACTCCTGGCCCAGCATGGCAAGCACAGTTTCCACTCAGGCATTTGCCCTGGTTATTCTCTCTGCCTTGGATACTTTTCTCCTAGATTCTGCCTCTAATATATTTGAACATTTACCTCTTAATATTGTTTCCTGTCTCTCCTGATCAGAATGTAAGCTGCGTGAGGGCAGGAGTTTTTGTTTGGTTTACAGCTACTGTCCCAGCTCCGAGAACAGTGCTGACACTTAGGAAGTGTGCAGGCTGATTTATCTCACACCATTTACTCCGGGTTTCCTCACTTCTAGTAAAGTATGACACCTTGTCTCAAATATTCTTTTCCTCTTTCCAGACCCATGTCTTTGCTCATGTAGATCACTACTTCAGGCTGACATAAAAACCGTTCTCTTGTTAAGAAAGCTCAGCAATGGGAGAGGCAATCCTCCACCCGTCTCTTGCTCTCCTACAGGTCTTTCCTGGAGGTAGTGGGTTGAATGGTGGCCCCCAAAAAGATAGGTCCAAGTCCTAACTTCTAGAACCTGTGAATGCGACCTTATTTGGAAAAAGGGTCTTTGCAAATGTAATTAAAACACCTGGAGATGAAATCATCCTGTATTTAGGATGGGCCCTAAACCCAATGATGTCTTTATAAGAGAAAAGAGAGAGAGACGCAGAGACAAAGAGAAGAAGGTCATTGAGATGGAGGCAGAGATGGGGATGAAGTGTCTGCAAACCAAGGAATGCCAAAGATTGCCAGCAAACCACCAGGGGCCAGGAGAGAGGCCTGGCCGATTCTCCCTCACAGACAGTAGAGGGAACCACCCTGCTGACCCGTCAGTTTCAGGCTTTGGGACCTCAGAACTGTAAGAGAATAAACATGTTTTGAGCCACACGGTTTATAGTCATTTGTTATGGCAGCCACAGGAAACTCACACACTGGGTATCCAGGAATGCAAGGCCTGGCCGCTCCTGAACTGGGCATCTCAGAGCTGTGTTTGCAATAGGACACTGCAGCAGGTGATGTTTCCTTCTGGATATGCCCTGAGCTCAGGGCTCCTCTTCTGCAGTGCAGCCCACTGGGTGCACAGCATCTGTCTGGGCTCTCACAAACCCCCATGGGATGTGGGGGTCAATGGGACCGTTGCAGGCACCATACTCGTGTTGCTTTGTTTCTGACCCAGTAGGAACAGTGAAGGCTCAGCTGTCAGTTTCCAAGTAGGATCGGATCTGATGATGCCTCCTTTTCACAGGAGTTAGTTACTTCTCCTTTTCTGCTTTCAACATCCCCTGCCTTGACTTCTCTCCTTTGTATGGCATTTGTTTGTCTTAGACCGTGACGTCCTGAGAGAAAACTAGGCCCCATTTGTGGTTAGGTTGGTTTCCAATCTCAGGGGCAGAGAGCTGCTTTACATAATTGATGAAAACTTTGTTTCTGTTTCCTAACTCTCGATTCAGTGCTTTTTTCACATACTCCCAAGCTTACATGTCCTTGCTACCTTCAGAAACAAAACATGGTATTAAAAGTTGCTGCTGGATATTGGGCAGCTGATATCTGACCTCATGAAGCAGAAGGGGAGGGTGAGGAATTGCCACTTGCAATAGGGATCCCCTGAGCTTCCCTGATACTAACATGGTGGGGGGGGGGGCTTGATAAAAAACAAAGGGCAGGCTCAAGAGCTCAGGGCTGCTGCTGAGAGTCTAATGGCTTCTCAGCCCCTGGTAACCTTACCCTCCAGGCCCTACTCCCACCTCCTCTCCTGCCTCCCACCCGGTCAGTGCTCCACCAAACTTCACTGCCTTACTGGAGTGCTCCTCCCTACCCTCTCCTTCGGCCCAGTCTCCTTCATCCCGGGAGACCCAGCTCACATCTCACCTGCCCTGGGGATGTGGGGCCTTCTCCCTCTCCAGAATTTCTCTTCCCTCACACTGCTCCTCAGAGCACTTGGTGTCCACTTCATCACACCCCTGCCCTGGGCCGGCAGGATCCGGGGGCTACAGGCAGGTTCTATGGGTCAGGGATGGGTCTTGCTCCTCTTTGCCACCTAGGTGTTTGGAGCTTCCCCTGCACAGAGCAGTGCTCCGCAAATGCTTGTGGATTTCAGCTCAGTCAGTGTAATTGCTCAGTTGTGTACCAGAGAAATGGTCTTGTTGGAAAGAGCCTGCAGAATGCCAACTGCAGCCTCAGCGAAGGTGATAGAAAATATCACTAAGCAACGATGGCTTATCACTCTTTGTTCAATTATAGCTAAGTTCAGCCCAAACATAAGGTCAATATCTGAATAAACTATGCAGTAAGTGGGAATTGTTTCATTTATTTTATGGCATAGTTATTTTAGAATATACAAAATGGTCGAGGAGACATGAATCCTTAAGAGTGTATGAAAAAGACAAGTGTTTATAAAGCCATACCAGCATCCAATCAATGTCAGAAGCTTTAAGAGCTGAGAAATGTCCAAACATAAAGTGTACTTGAGAAGTGATTTCCATTGGATTCCATTGCTCTCAAACAGACCCTGGCTCTGCAGCCTTACTTTTGAGGATGACTTCTCCAACAGATCTGTCTGCCTGTCTGGGGACAGATGATTGATGAGGTCAGCAAGCTGAACGATGTCACCTCTCCAGCCCCAAGCCTTTTTCAGGTACCAGAAATGGGAATTTTTATATTATCTCATTTAACATGTCTTGGCGAGCAGGACCCCAGGTTTTTAAGTCTTTGGGTTCTCCCATAGGTTTAGCACTGAGTTGTTGATCAATAAACATTTTTTGAATTTAATAAGAAAAGAAAAGCTTGGTGGGAAAGAGCTCTAAAGTTGAACTTTCTCCACCCTGACCTTCAAACCAGTCAAAGAGCCCCACCAGGGTTTGGGATCAGTAGCTCTGCCACTGCCAGCCAATGTTTCAAATTTGCATTGTCATATGTACAGCAGATGCCTCTAAGCAGTCAGCATCCAGAATATCAACAATTACTTGCAATATTTTGGTGAGATAGCCGACTTCCCCAGAAATGTGCCTACTGTATACACACCATCCCCAGTGTTGACATTTGGAAAATGGGAGAATCTCATGATCTCCTTGAACCTGGGACAAATGTGTTTGGTCCCTTCCTCACTGAGGCTGAACAAAGTCCATTCCAACCCTGCAATACAGAAATGTGGCCCAAGTTGCTGAGTGAGTGGGGAGGAAGTAGTCGCTGCATAGGCCGCTGGCAACTACTCATTCAGAGGCCTTTGTTCGTTTGATTTTGCTTAGACAAACCTGACCCCATAGGCACACTCAATTCATCAGCTCATGTGTCCCATGTGCCAGCAACAGAATAGTGTGCCTAAGATGTGTTCTCTAAGTGACTGAACTTTCCTGCTTTTCAGGCAGTCTAGTGATGGGTCAAGAGAGCCTAAGAGCTATTTGAATTGAGGAGGATTTTGATTACACTAGAATAATCAGACTTCAAGAAATTTACCATTAACACCAACTATGTGCAGCTCTCACCATTAGTGTCTGTCTTCCTACACAAGTTTATTGTTAAATTATATTTGTCTTTTTTTTTTTCCTGGAAAGGCAAGTTAGATGTCTAGGGGATTTTATGTCTGATAAATGCCTCTAGTTGGAGATGTATTACAAAGAAATTTAGACTCCCCAGGACTGAGTGGAGTAATTAGTGTATTTCTAGAATGGCTTCACCATTTGCTGGAAGACAGAATATGCTTCATGGCCATCTCCTACCAATTTTTGGCTCCTTCTTTCTCCTCCCCAATGCCCCACCCCTACTCTTTCCAACATCAGCTATTTTTATGTTTTCCCCAAATCTGAAGCTTCTTGATATATGTAGTTTTGAAGAGAGACGCACAACACTGTTTTCTTCTAGATAGCTGAGTTCTGTGGTTCTAAGATGAATAGCTAGTTCTAGCTTTAATGTGGAATTGAGGACATGGTGTTTTGGGTAGGTGAGAGACAGAAAATCATGATATGTTAGAACTAGAAAGCACCATGTTTCCTAGATGAGGGAAAGGGGAGAGGATGCAGGTAGTGGTGGTGAGGAACTCAGTCAGGAGACAGTTACCAGTGGATGTGAAGAAGGATAAGGGCAACAGAAATGGAGGTGCGACTACAAAGTGGTAAAAGAACATTGACTACCTGCTCAGGGCCAATGACCTGCAGGCAAGCAGGTCAAAGCAGGGAGTTCTTGGCAGGTGAAATTTATAACAAGATAGAGTGCTTCTTGCAGTGTCTGTTCTTTTTTTTAGGGACAGCGTCTCATTCTGTCACCCAGGCTGGAGTGCAGTGGCTGGATCATGGCTCACTGCAGCCTCGGCCACCTGAGCTCAAGCAGTCCTCGCATCTCAGCCTCCCAGGTTGATGGGACTGCAGGCACATGCCACCATGTCCAGCCTAGTGTCTGTTCTTCAGGTTAGCAAGAGCAGGGTGGATCTAGGGCTCTGAGCAGGACTGGCTGATCAAATGTCTTATTCACACTGGGAAGCTGTTCCCCCGCATGAGAGCAAGAGATAAGCCCACATCCTGTGTGGCCTCTGGATGCCCTTTGAAGCTGTATCTGGGTTCCAGCTTAGGGAGCTAGAGTCACTGGGAGGGCAGAGCAGGCACAGGAGAGTCAGAGTTGCCAGTCTTGCTTTGGTTCCACAGGTTTAAGGGACAGAATTTGCTTCAGTGGCTTTGTCTCCACCTGGTTTCATTCCCACATTCACACCCACAGGGGTGACACTCGGAATGTGTGGAAGGAGGAGCCAGGGTGTTGGGACAGGGCAGGCTGGGGGCAAGGCCAGTTTTCAACCCCATGGACCTGCGAGGGGGTGGCATGCATTCAGCCCCTGCCTGTGTCTCTGGTCTGGAAGGAATTGTTGGCATTAAAGGACGTGCCAAGGGCTAGGCACACTCAGAGAGCAGGGTGCAAGTGGGAGGCGAGGAAGGAGGGGATGCTGTGCAGGGTACTGGGGGCATGTGCAGCCGCTCACCTGACCTGCTGGACAGGCCATGGCTCAGGCACCGGCCTGCGACCAGCACAGGTGGATCAGATTGGTCTCCCAGTCAGGAGTTGGGAAGTTGAGGGCCAGGAGTTACTGGATTACCCAGAATACTCAGACTTAAAAAGCAAGCGGAGAAACTTGCTGTGTGTGCTTAGATGTGGACATGGAAAGGCCTTGCTGGAAAAAAAAAGAGCAGAATGTAAAGTATACGTTGCAGGAGATGAGTAGACCCAGACGTGGGGTTGTACTGTGCCTGAGATGCCATGGGACACCCTGTTCTGGAGGACCCCGAATAGCCACACCCAGATTCCTGACTCAGGGAAGCTGTGAGATAAGAAGTATTGTTGTTCAAGCTTCTAAGATTGGGAATAATTTGTTTTACACAGTAGATATGAAATGTAAAACATGTCACCTGAAAGGACATGGACTGTTTGGGGACTCCCCTAAAATCCATCCTTTAGATCAGGAGCCTGCCCAGGATTTGCTCTCACCCTCTGGGACCTGGTGACTCTCGTCCAAGATGCTCCTTCTCACCTGGCTTTAATTCTGGGGCCAGCCTGACCCCTGCCAAGGCCGAATATTAGGTCTTTCTGCTACCAGAAAGTTCCTGAGCACGACTGAGCTGTCCTCTCACTGGAGAAGTCATCCCCAGCTGGCAGTCAACAGAGTGGATTTACAACTGTGCCCATACCCTCTTGGCAGTCACCAAAACACGAACTTGGTTGTCATTGTTTGGTCCTCAGAAGCGTCATCAATTTGGAGTATATGGGGAAAACATCCAATTTCTGGACCTCAGCAGCTGGTAGTTATGCCTCATGAAGCCAGGTCCAGGAACTTAGCCAGTCTCCCTCTAGGACATTCTATGTCATCTCCCTATACCATCATCACAGTGAAAAGACGGACAAGGGGCAGGTCTGTCCCCTAGGGAGTCAGTCCTCAGGAAGTATTTGTTGAATGAATAAAGATTTTCCCTTACATGACTGATAGTACACTATATTTATAGTCGTATGTCTCACTTCTCTATTTAGCACTGTCCTTGAGTGTCTCTGGGCCAGTGAGCCATCTTTGTAGGGCTGCATCACACACCAGCTTATGGTGGCCACTCGTGGTCATGCCATCCTCAGCCTTGTCTGCACTCTGCCCTGCCCAGCATGGCCTGTGGCACGTATTTGCTTTGTAAAACTTCTTTACTGCACCTATATATGGAGGGCATTTTCTCTGTTAATAATAATGGTGAGATGTACATACATTTTTTCTTTCTTTCTTTTTTTTTTTTTTTGTTGAGTCTGTCGCCAGGCTGGAGTGCAGTGGCGTAATCTCGGCTCACTGCAACCTTCGCCTCCCAGGTTCAAGCGATTCTCCTGCCTCAGCCTCCCGAGTAGCTGGGATTACAGGCGTGAGTCACTGTACCCGGCCTTACATTTTTCATTTGCGTGTGTATCTATTTGCTTATGATTGATGCCCAAAAGTGGACTCCTTGGGTTAAAAGGCAGTGAGAAAGAGAACAGCAGCCCCTGACATGCAGGAGCTGGGCCCTGGTATTCTGCTGAATGTAAACTATGTCATGGAACATAACATGTCAGGCAAGTCCACCCCGACCATGAGGGATCGAGACAGGACCAAGCCCCTCTGGACTCACATCTGAGCACAAATGCACCATCCCCGCCACAGAAGCCACGATGCCCTGTGCTGGCTGCTTGAGCATGGCGGCTGCCTTGCTGGGCAGCTCTTGCCTGGCTTCCTTCCTCCTGCTTGTAAAGAAAGACCCCCAACCCTAGAGCTAGCCCCACTTCCTGACAGCATCCATCCAAGCAGAGCCCGGGTTCCTCAAACCCCCTTGCAGGTCACCCAAGCCCTAATCCTATCATCGTTTCTTTCTAACAACCTTACTGAGTGGGACACACAAGGCTCCCCAGGGTATGCGTTCTTCCTTGCTGCAATGAGGAACAAGCCCAGTTTATTAGCCTACAGTGTGCTCTGGTGGTCTCTGACTGAGGGGTAGGGGAGAACATGGTTAAGACACATTAAACCAAACTCTTTTTCCAAAAGGTTGTACCAATTTACATTCCCACCTGCAGGTGAATCTGCATTGTCTTCCTTCCAGAATTGTTGAGAAGATCAAATTAAATGAAATGATGTGGTGTTGACCAAACAAAGGCCTTTCTCCATGGGGAAGTTGCTCTTCCTCAACAGAGAGCACCTTCCCAGGGATCTTACCCCTGGAGGGGAGTTAGCCCTAAAACCAAGGTTGGTGTTCAAATAAGATGGCAAATTTCACATCTCAAATGCCATCACTCCAAATTCACTCATTCATTCTATGAATATTCAGTGTCTATGATATGCCTTGCAGATAGATCAGTGAATAGATCAATGAAAGCTCTGCCCTTTTTAACTCAAAGTTTTCACTTATAGCAAGAAGAGATGGACAATAAATCTAAAATATGCATAAATAATGTTGACATATTATTTGTTGCTGACCAATGCCATAAAGAAAACTAGAAAGTGAGGGAGAGGAAGGCTTCTGGCATGGGCAGACAGATTGCTCTTGGCCAGTGACCAGGGCTGCATGTCAGAGGGAGGCCATGTGGAAATGGGGGCTGTTTGGGGAGTGAGGGAGGAAAGCCCATTGACTCACCTCCACCTTCAGACTATATTGTGTTCTTTGTCAGCTTAGAAAATACTGCATATTTAATCAAGTTACCAAAATAATTTGAAAATGAAATTTGACAAATGGATTCTACTATTCATCTGTGAGAGAAAATGTCCAGGAACAGCTTTAAATTTTAAGAGCTGTAGCAATTAAGGCCGGGCGCAGTGCCTCACACCTGTAATCCCAGCACTTTGGGAGGCCGAGGCGGGTGGATCACGAGGTCAGGAGTTCAAGACGAGCCTGGCCAAAATGGTGAAATCCCCTCTCTACTAAAACTAAAGAAAATTAGCTAGGCATGGTGGCGGGTGCCTTGTAGTCCCAGCTACTCGGGAGGCTGAGGCAGGAGAATCGCTTGAATCCGGAAGGTGGAGTTTGCAGTGAGCCGAGATTGCACCACTGCACTCCAGCCTGGGCGACAGAGTGAGACTCCATCTCAAAAATAAAAAAAAAAAAAAAAAAAGAAAGAAAAAAGAGCTATAGCAATTAAAATGGCAGAGATGGAGCAATGGAACAAAATTTAGGTCTGAAAAAAAGCCCATGTATATTGGGAATTATGGGATGTTTTGAATGGGTGGGAAAAGTGAATAGATTGGTGTTTAGAGAACTGATTACAAAGGTGGAAAAAAATAATTTGGCAGCTCTGTTTTTCACCTTAACAAACATACATTTCACAAGGATTTTTTTTTTTTCTTTTTGAGATGGAGTCTCGCTCTATAGCCCAGGCTGAAGTACAGTATGGCACAATCTTGGCTCACTGCAACCTCCGCCTCCCAGGTTCAAGCAATTCTTCTGCCTCAGCCTCCCAAGTAGCTGGGACTACAGGTGCACGCCACCACACCCGGCTAATTTTTGTATTTTTGGTAAGGACACGGTTTCACCATATTAGCCAGGCTGGTCTTGAACTCCTGACCTCATGATCCACCCGCCTCGGCCTCCCAAAGTGCTGGGATTATAGGCGTGAGCCACTGCACCTGGACAGATTTCACAAGGAATTTTTAAAAGCTAAACATTTAGGGCCGGGTGCGGTGGCTCATGCCTGTAATCCCAACACTTTGGGAGGCCAAGGCGGGCAGATCACAAGGTCAGGAAATCGAGACCATCCTGGCCAACATGGTGAAACCCCATCTCTACTAAAAATACAAAAAATTAGCTGGGCGGCGTGTGCCTGTAATCCCAGGTAATTGGGAGGCTGAGGCAGGAAAATGGCGTGAACCCAGGAGGCAGAGCTTGCAGTGAGCCGAGATCGTGCCTCTGCGCTCCAGCCTGAGCAACAGAGTGAGACTCCATCTCAAAAAAAAAAAAAAAGCTAAATATTAAAAAAATTATAGAGGTATATCTGAAAATATGGAATATTACATACCCTTGGGGTAGAAAATGCCTATCCACATATCTAGCATCTGTCTCTCTTATGACTATATTTGGAAGTAATACATGTGATCAAAATAAATGAAAAGAATGGAAGAACTTTTTTTTTTTTTGAGACAGCGTCTCACTCTTGTTGCCCGGGCTGGAGTGCAGTGGTATGATCTTGGCTCACTGCAACCTCGACCTCCCAAGTTCAAACAATTCTCCTGCCTCAGCCTCCCAAGTCACTGGGACTACAGGCGCCTGCCACCACACCCAGCTATTTTTTTTTTTTTTTTGGTATTTGTAGCAGAGATAGGGTTTCACCATGTTGGCCAGGATGGTCTCGATATCTTGACCTCATGATCCACCCCCCTCAGCCTCCCAAAGTGCTGAGATTATAGGCGTGAGCCACCGCGTTCAGCCAGGAAGAATTTTTTAAAGGTTAAAATATATGTATGTGTATATATGTATATATGTATATGTCAACTAAAATTGGCTTACAATTCTAACTCTCTTTAATAATTATAGAACACTTAACTAGGGTCCCTAGATGAATTATCAGGCATTGTCAATACTATTTGCCTTGAAAAGGGTCCAATATATTGCTCCCTTTGGGAAATGCTAGTGCACACCACAGATGGTGCAGGAAACCACTGGCAGAGTGGCCACTCTCTCTCCCACCCCGTCATTGACATGACAAACAGCATCCCCTCGTTTTACACTAGGCCAGATCATGAAGAAACTAAGCTATGCTTCATTTTGTGCAAATCCATTGCATCCAGATTTGTAAGCCATCATGTATGAGGTAATGATTTGTTTTTACCAAACTATACAATAACATTTTTGGTTCCACATGTAAGAGCCAGGAACAGCCAGAGAGTGTTGGTTAGCTGATCCAGCTAACCAACTGTAAGGCACAGTCCCCTGCTCTGGTTCTGACAAGTACTGATGGCCACATCTGGGACCTGAGGCAGCAAAGACCCTTCTCGGTGGCCACTCAGCCAGACTTCACACAGGCCCGGGGTGCTGCTCATGGCCATTCAGATATACAGCTGCAAGGCCTGGAGGCCACACTTCAAAAACGGCAACAGGCAATTCTCATTCTTCTCCTCTGCCTCTTCCCACTATTTCTCTGTTTTCAATTCCTCTTTCTTGTTTTGCACACAAAGTTCCCTGAGATGTGCTTAACTCAGCTGGCTTAGCCACAGCCCAGCATAGGGCACTCAGCTATGCCCTGTTCTCAAAGCAGACCCATCACAGGCTGCTGGGCTTCCTAGAGCCAGCATCCTTATGCAGGTGTCACTTATCTAATACAGGTGCCACTAGCCATGTGTGGCTATTTCAATTCGTTTATTAAAAGCAAATAAAAATTTTAAAAATCCAGTCCCTCCATTGCACCAGTCACATTTTTTTTTTTTTTTTTTTGAGACGGAGTCTCGCACTCTCGCCAACGCTGGAGTACAGTGGTGCCATCTCAGCTCACTGCAAGCTCCGCCTCCCAGGTTCACACCATTCTCCTACCTCAGCCTCCCGAGTAGCTGGGACTACCGGCGCCCGCCACTACACCTGGTAATTTTTTGTATTTTTGGTAGAGACAGAGTTTCACCATGTTAGCCAAGATGGTCTCGATCTCCTGACCTTGTGATCTGCCTGCCTTGGCCTCCCAAAGTGCTGGGATTACAGGCATGAGCCACCATGCCCAGCCTCCACCAGTCACATTTCAATTGCTCAGTAAGCACACATGGCTTGTGGCAGCCATGCTGGATCCAGGTCCAGAACATTCCACGGTGGCAGGAAGTGCTACTGGACAGTGCTGCTGTCCCCAGCACTGAGGACAGTGGTTGCCAAGTTATCCTCCCCTACAGCTTTGTCCATTGACATGTCTGCAGAGCACAATGACAGTGACTGTTCCCCAGACCTTACCATCGGGGCTATTACCAAACTTTTCAGTCCTTGCTTATAAGACTTTTTTATTTTTTTGCTTGAATTTGCAAGTTTTTAATTATCAGTGAGGTTGAGTATGTCTCATATGCTTGTGACCAAGTGTATTCTTTTTTTCTGAAGTAACATTCATATCCTTCATCATTTTTCCACTTTTTTTTATCTCATTGATTGAAAAGTTTCTTTGATAAGGTCCTTTGCATATTGAGAACAAAGGTCACCATTGTTTCTATGGGTGAAGAGGCCTCAAGCTTAGTGGGGTGGGCACTTAAGAAGTGTGAACATTTATGCGCTTTGACCCACTTGCAATAATTTATTCTCCAAAAACAACTGAAAGTTCAACAGAAGGCAAGAGCTGTGTGTCCAGTGGTATTCATTTAAAAAGAAAAAAAAAAAAAGCAAAGGAAACAGGCTGGGTGGGGTGGCTTATGCATTTGGCAGGCTGAGGCAGGAGGATGGCTTGAGCCCAGCAGTTTGAGACTAGGCTGGGAAGCACGGTGAGACCTCGTCTCTACAAAAAATTTAAAAACTTTTAAAAAACAGGAAACAACCAACCCCTACAGTTGAGAATTATTTTGGGATGATATGCACCATGGAAAATGCTTCCGATACAATATTGAGTGAAATAAGCCAAATGCAAACTCGCTACATGAGAATAACAGCCACAGAGAAATATGCAAATTTCCTCATGCAAATAGCCTCTTCCCGGAAAAGAATATGGAAAAATAGAAACAGCGATGTGTAACAGGTGGAGTTGCAGGAGACCCTTTTACCAATAAACTTAATCAGGAGATAATGTGCCCAGAGGTGGAGAGGGATGGAAGCAAGTGGGCAGAGGTGCACGTGTCCTCTGAGAGAAGGTATTCACTGGACATTACCCCATGTACTGGAAAGGAGCCCTCCTTCCTATCCGGGTGCCCCAGCATCAGTCACAGGGCACAACTATGTCATGTTTGTCGTGGCTGTCTCTGATTTTTTTCTGTTTTTCTTAACATTTTTCTTTGGATGTCATCTGATCCTTCTTTTTACTTTTCACATCACAAATACCAGTACAATTAATAAAATAAAAATATTTTCATCAGAGTACTCTGTAATTATTACATCACCCCCAGAAGTGCACACGCCAGGGTCTGGGGAATGCAAGAGACTAAAGGAACTACATGTTGGCTTGACACTTTTGTTCTGCTGAATGAGCTCAGTTTAGATGGTGCTCAAGCCAACAGAGGAGCTTCCTGGACACAGCCTGTTTGCGGCTTTGCCCTGAGCCCCCTGCCAGGTCAGCAAGACTGCAAATGCCTGGAGCCACACTGAGCAGATGCTGGGCCTCCGGCTCGGCAGGGCTGTCAGCAATGGACACTGGGTGGAGAGCCTGGTGTTAGAGGCCACTGACTACTGATGATGATTTAGCAAAGTACAAGAAATGGTTTCTTTCCAGAGTCTCTTACCCAAAATTAAGCAGTGGGTAAGATAAATATTCTTAGGAATGAACCTCCTGGATAAAAGCACCAGCTCTGGGAGAACTCTGACAAGCAAATGGCAAAGGTGCTGGGTGACAACCATGGCCCCTAAGCCTGGTTGCAGCTCCCCAGCTTCCAGAGTACACCTACTCTCTAGCTGGAAAAACTTAAGAAATCGTTACTACTGGAAGTGGGGGTATGAGTCTCCACTTTACATTTCCACGTTCCCACGTTATCTGCCTGGCTGCTCTCCAGAGAGTGGGTGGACATGGAGAAACAGGAGCACAGCATTCAAAAGGGATCATCTCAAATCCAAGGTTATCCATGGACATGACTTACCTTTTCTTTGGGTTAGCACACACTGTTTCATTGTCAGAGATATTAAAAATAGGATCGGGGAAAGAGGGGCCTAGTTTGCTAGTTTGCATGGCAGCAACAGTGAGCACAAGCTCGTGACTTTCTGCTCACAGCAGTTGCTGTGGTTGGTTCCTTGACAACTCAGAGGTTGACTGTGTGCTCACACCATGGGCACCTCACACACAGATGTGAGTGTCTCAGGCAGGCAAGCGCTGCCTGTTGTTCCTGAGTTCCATGTTGATCTCAGACCATATCTTCATGCCTGCTCTCACTCCCCATCTTAGCTCTAGGTCAAATGTCTGGTATGTTGTCTAGGCCCCTGATTCTCTCCCGAACATGCGGATGCCACACTAGACATTTGACCTGGGGATCAGAAGTCCCGCATGCATCTCACTTGACTAACTCAAGGAATCAGCAAGACTGCTTTCCTTCTGGGGTCTCTAGGGGAGAATCTGTATCCTGTGTCTTCCAGCTTCCAGTGGCTGCAGCAGTCCTTGGCCTGTGGCCCCTTCCTCCATCTTCAAAGCTAGCTGCATAGCATCTTTAAATCTCTCTCTGACCTTGCTTCCGTCATCGTCTCTCCTCTGACTGACTTTCTTCCTCCCTCTTCCACATTTGAGGACCCTTGTGATTCCACTGGGCCAACCTGAGTCACCAGTATACCCTCCTTATCTGGGATCAGCTAGTTGGCAACCTTAATCTTACCTGCAACCTTGATTTCCCCTTTGTTATATAAACCACTATAGTCACAGATTCCAGCAATTGTGACAGGGACATCTCTGAGGGGCCATTAATTTGCCCACCATAGATGTTAATTAATATTACATGAATAAAAGGAATGGAGTTTTCTGTTAAAGAGTTTTATTTTCAAAGGGACATACAGCTGTTGATACATGAAGGTATACTATATCTTTCCAAAAGAGGAATCTCATAGTCAGAGTTCTCCAAAGTGATGTCACCACAGAACCTCCTTCCACAGAGTTGCTCCCAGGCCCAACTGTTGGGAAACACTGTGACAAAGCTAGAGTGCTCCAGGTTTTCAACGAGGCACTTACAAGGTTCCCTCATGATAGCTCTGTGTGTGACAAGGAGAAACGCGCTGGATGACTTTATTATTAAGTGGACTTTCAACTATTCGAGAGCCAGTAAACAGAACGATGGCAACCTGGGAGCAGGGTCTACAGTGCGTGCCATGGGGCTTCCTCCTTGTCCAAGGGATGAATGAGGACTTTCTCATTCACTTAAGTATTTTCAGTTAGTGCAAACAGTAGGCTGTGAATGCTCTGGGTAACTAGGATCTTGACAAGCTTGGGAGACCATGGCAGTGCTCTGGGCCCGCAGCACCACTGAGCATAGTGTAACTCACCCACCTCTAAAGCCTTTGCCCTTAGATGGTGTCCTGCCAAGCGGCTCTTTTGGGAAGAGTTTAACACTTGCTTGGCTCGTGTGGGGTGGTTAGCTGGGTGGATCACTTCCACCTCTGAAGGCTCAAGCCCTGCTAAGGAGCCCAAATCTTTCATGCTTTTAAAGCCTTTTACTTAGGAGGAAAAAATGCTAGAAGATGAGCTAACCTGGTACTTTAGAATCACTTCAGTTGTAACTGGGATCTTTCTCCAAGCCCAAGATGTGAGTGTTCCCATATCTCAGTCCCAGAAGCCCCAATAGTGGACTGCATACTTTCTGCCCAAATGACAAGCTCCCATCGACTGAGCGTCATCATAGTTTAACCTGTGTTTAAAAGCAGATTCTTTGCCAGGCATTCTAGGGCACTGAAAAACTGTGATGAGCAATGCAGACTACCTACCTGGAGTGCATTGCAGTTTCTGGGGTCACTGGTGACCCAGGCCCTCACAGTGTCCTCCCACCCAGCCACCCCCACTTGCTGACATACCTCCCACCCACCCGGCAGCAACCGTGCCAGCCTCAGATGGGAATCGAGGGTGTGCCCATCAGGGCTGCCCACTTTTCTTGCAGCTGAGAGGAGTCAAGTGACTTAGTTCTGGTCTCCTAGGGAAGTGGTTTCTTCCACACAAGACAGGCTTGCAAGGCGGCCTGTGTTCCTTCTACTTCCTGGTGGAGTGCAGCCATCTGCGGCCATGAAACAACCAGTCTCAGGACAAGATGGCTTCCAGCTGCTCCCTGCCAAGCAGGAAGAAGGAAACACACAAGGTGCTGGTGGCCTTGGGCAGCTGAACACACCCAGGGATGTCTGCTTCCAGCTTCCTTGTTTAGGGCGGCTGAGTGGCTGGGGGAGCTACACAGACCTGCGGGGGTTTAGGGCTGCAGCCAATGCGCCCTGGCTGGGGTCTCCCTTCGGACCCACACCCACCCTGGCCACCTGCCTGAAACCCAGGAGGTTGGCTGGGGAACCTCCAGGGTGTACAGTTACACGCTGTACTCTGGGGTGGCGGACAGGGGGTCACTTGCACTCTGTCCCCAGGGTACCCGTGCAGTCCCTGCCCTTCCGGCCCGCGGTGGGAGTGTGCTGCAGCCTCGGGCGCTGATCTGCAGCCTGTCACCTGCGCCAACGCCCCTTAACGCCCTTCTTCTCATCCCCATTTTCCGGTGCCCACCAGTCCCCTCGTGCTGACAGACGACTCAGCGTGTCTCCCCAGAGCTGCTCTGCGAACTGCACCCGTGGAGGAGCCCATACTTTCTGAACAGCCGCTTTGATCTACTTAAGCACTGCCGTGTTTTCATAGCTATGGCCCAGCTATATCATAGGACATATATCCTATGTCATAGCATAGCGGTGACAGCAGCAGGCGGCGTTGGGGCGGGGCGGGGCCAGAGTGACAGGCAGCCCTGCGGGCCCCTGGCCCCTCCCCACAGCCCCTGAGACTTGTGCGGCCCGCAGGAATCTTCTGGCGGCCACCCGGTTCGCCGGCAGCACTGTATCAGTTTCTACATGGCTCCTCTCCCAGCCCCTTACGTGGCTTATTTCGTGTCAATTCTAGGGAGGTTCTACCGTTTCCGTTCGCCGGGGGTCTGGAACGCGCACGGGCCCTGGGCGAGCCTCCCTGAGCGCCGCCACGTCCGCCTTCGTCGTCCTCCCAACCGGACCCCGCACCCCCGCCCTCCCTAGCGCTGTGCTGGACGCTTCTCTGTGAGGAGAGTCCCTCGCCCCTTCTTCAGATTTGGGAATGGACTCTCGGGCACCTGAAGCGCCTGCTCAGGATCAGGCCGGCACCTGGACATGAATCCCAAACAGAAAGCCTGAGCCCTGCCTGGCGCTTTCGCGGCTGCTGGCACGGCTGCGCAGAAACGCCAGCGTCCCTGGACCGAGCGCGGGGAGGGGCAGGCTTCCAGCAGCGCTGTCCACTGGGAAGAAGACACAACCCACATTTTTAGATTTTCCAGTTTCCACGTTGAAAAAGCAAAAAGACATGAGATTGATTTGTGACCCAGTGTATCAAAAATATTATTTAACCGATTAATCAATATGAACAATTGTTCATTAGATATTTTACTTGTTTTTAGGACTACGTTTTCAAAATCCGGTGAGAATTTTATACTCACAGCACATCTCAGCGCTGCAGCTCACGCAGGGGCGCCTCCAGCGTCAGGCTTTCTGGGCTCCTGGCTGCGTGCTGCTGGGCACGTTGCTTAATATGGCAAAGTCCCCATTTTTCTCATCCAGAAAACGGAGATCAAAGTACAGGTGCCAATTTCATAGGACTACAGTGAAGATCAAATGAGAGAGCTCAGCCAAGAATATAAGACCCATGCATGGTCTGTGGAAGTCTCGTGGTCTTTAAGGTAATTTGCATGATTTGGGGATTCTGAAAGATTTTGGAGTCAGGACAGATAGATTACAGCACCACTCTGCCACTCACCAATCACTTATTAGGCTGGTCACCTCCTCTAGCCTGGCCCTTCCATCTGCACAGCCTTTGCCCCTGGGCAGTGAGCCTTGGGTCTCCTTCCCAGCCGTGGCTCACGCCTGTAATCCTAGCACTTTGGAAGGCAGGGGCGGATGGATCACATGAAGTCAGGAGTTGGAGACCAGCCTGATCAATATGGTGAAACCCCGTCTCTATTAAAAATACAAAAATTAGCCGGGCATGGTGGCATGTGCCTATAGTCCTAGCTACTTGGGAGGCTGAGGCAGGAGAATCGCTTGAACCTGGGAGGCAGAGGTTGCAGTGAGCTGAGATGGCGCCACTGCACTCAAGCCTGGATAACAGAGCGAGACTTTGTCTCAAAAAAAAAGAGAATCGTCTAGAAGGGTTTTAAAACACCCGTGTCAGGGGCCCACCAACAAATATTCTCTCCAAAAAGATACACTTTGTGGCTTTTTTTTTTTTTTTTTTTTTTTTTTTGAGACAGAGTCTCGCTCTGTCGCCCAGGCTGGAGAGCAGTGGCACCATCTTACTGAAACCTCTGCCTCCCGGGCTCAAGCAGTCCTCCCACCTCAGCCTCCCAAGTAGCTGGGACTACAGGCACACACTACCACGCCCAACTAATTTTTTTATTTTTTTTGTAGAGACAGGGTTTCACCATGTTGCCCAGGCTGGTCTCAAACTCCCAGGCTCAAGCAATTTGCTGGCCTCGGCCTCCCAAAGTGCTGAGATTACAGGCATGAGCCACTGCACCTGGCCTTACCTTATGGCTTTTCAAAATCAGGTCATGGCCAAAAATCAGTTTTAAAACTAAAGAGTTGGGAGTTTCCTTGGTTATCTCCAATCTCATCTCACTTCTAACTGATGGCAGGAACGGGGGTCTGCCCTGACCCAGGGTCCTCCCATTTAGGACCGTCTTGGATCCGTCTCCTTAAGTCTTGGCCTAGCCTTCTCCTTAAGATTTTGATGACACAATCATTGGTTTCCCTGCAGCAGTCAGATGTGGCTTCCCTTTTACAGAACAGTCAGGTAGGGTGCCCAGCTGGTGTTCTGGCCTCCACGGGCAGGCAGCAGGGAGGGTTTCCAGGTGGCCCAGGGCTTATCACAGCTTCACTCCTCAGACCATCAACAAATGCCTGAGATGACACATTTCATTGGCATTTCTTCTCTCTTAAGTCTTCTGTAGCACTTCCCAGTTTACAAAGCACCTCCTCCGCAGGCTTTCTCCAGCTACACAACTTTAGATCAAGTCACAGGAACCTGAAGGACACCACAGGTGCTTCCAGCAAGGGCATCTGGAAGGCCTGTGGTCCGCGGTGGCTCAGGAAGGTAAGTGCGTTCTGACACCCACTAGCCTGCTCACCTGGGCCTTCCTAGCCCAGGTTCCTCACCTGTGAACAAGGACAGTGGGAGCAGTTCCTTACAGGACTCTAATGAGAGCTGTTGAGGAGATACATCCCTAGCAAGGCAGAGTCCTCTCCACAAAACAGAAAAGGAAGAAGGCAGTTTCGTTAATGACTAAGCATATCTAACTACAGTGTGTTGCAGCTCACCTGTGAAGAGAGCACACACAGACAGAAAACCCAGCAACTTTTTTTTTTTTTTTTGAGATGGAGTCTCACTCTGTCACCCAGGCTGGAGTGCAGTGGCATGATCTTGGCTCACTGCAAGCTCCGCCTCCCGGGTTCACACCACTCTCCTGCCTCAGCCTCCCAATTACCTGGGACTACAGGTGCCCGCCACCACGCCCAGCTAATTTTTTGTATTTTTAGTAGAGATGGGGTTTCACCATGTTGGCCAGGATGGTCTCGATCTCCTGACCTCGTGATCTGCCCGCCTTGGCCTCCCAAAGTGTTGGGATTACAGGCATGAGCCACCGCACCCGGCCCTAAGTGTTTAGCTTTTAAAAATTCCTTGTGAAATCTGTCCAGGTGCAGTGGCTCACGCCTATAATCCCAGCACTTTGGGAGGCCGAGGCGGGTGGATCATGAGGTCAGGAGTTCAAGACCAGCCTGGCTAATATGGTGAAACCGTGTCCTTACCAAAAATACAAAAATTAGCCGGGTGTGGTGGCGTGCACCTGTAGTCCCAGCTACTTGGGAGGCTGAGGCAGAAGAATTGCTTGAACCTGAGAGGCGGAGGTTGCAGTGAGCCAAGATCATGCCATACTGTACTTCAGCCTGGGCTATAGAGCGAGACTCCATCTCAAAAAGGAAAAAAAAATCCTTGTGAAATGTATGTTTGTTAATGGTGAAAAACAGAGCTGCCAAATTATTTTTTTCCACCTTTTTAATCAGTTCTCTAAACACCAATCTATTCCCTTTTCCCACCCATTCAAAACATCCCATAATCCCCAATATGCATGGGCTTTTTTTCAGACCTAAATTTTGTTCCATTGCTCCATCTCTGCCATTTTAATTGCTATAGCTCTTTTATCTTTCTTTCTTTCTTTCTTTTTGAGATGGAGTCTCTCTCTGTCGCCCAGGCTGGAGTACAGTGGCACAATCTCGGCTCACTGCAATCTCCACCTTCTGGGTTCAAGGGATTCTCCTGCCTCAGCCTCCCGAGTAGCTGGGACTACAGGCGCCTGCCACCACGCCCAGCTAATTTTTTGTGTTTTTTAGTAGAGACGGGGTTTCATTGTGTTGGCCAGGCTGCTCTCGAACTCCTGACCTCATGATCTGCCTGCCTCAGCCTCCCAAAGTGCTGGGATTACAAACATAAGCCACTGCACCCAGACCAGATTAGATTTTTTTAAAAAACATGATGCAGACCGTGGCTCATGCCTGTAATCCCAGCACTTTGGGAAATCGTGGCAGGCAGATCACTTGAGGTCATGAGTTCGAAACCAGCCTTGCCAACATGGTGAAACCCCATCTCTACTAAAAATACAGAAAAAATTAGCCAGGAGTGGTGGTGGGCACCTGTAATCCCAGCTACTCGGGAGGCTGAGGCAGGAGAATTGCTTGAACCCAGAAGGCAGAGGTTGCATTGAGCCAAGATTGTGCCACTGCACTCCAGCCTGGGCAACAGAGCAAGACTCCATCTCAAAATAAATAAACAAATAAAAACATGATCCATCTATATGCTGCCTATAAAACATTTAGATACAAAGACATTCAAAGTAAAATGATGGAAAAAGATATTACATTACAAAGGTAAACAATGGAAAAAGATAGCTGATAGAAAAAGCTGAGTAGGCCAGGCATGGTGGCTCATGCCTATAATACCAGCACTTTGGGAGGCTGAGGCAGCTGGATAACCTGAAGTCAGGAGTTCAAGACCAGCCCGGCCAACATGAAGAAACCCCGTCTCTACTAAAAATACAAAACTTAGCAGGGCATGGTGGCAAATGCCAGTAATCCCAGCTACTTAGGAGGCTGAGGCAGGGGAATTGCTTGAATCCAGGAGGCAGAGGTTGCAGTAAGCTGAGATCATGCCACTGCTCTCCAACCTGGGAGACACAGCGAGAGTCAGTCTCAAAAAAGAAAGAAAAAGCTGCGTGGCCATATTGTAATCAGACAAAATAGATTTTAAATCAAAAAGATTACAAGACACAAAGACTCATTTGATAAAAGTTTCAACCCACCAAAAAGATATAGTTATAAAATATAAACACCTAGCAGCAGAGCCCCAAAATATATGAAACAAAAATCAACAGAATTGAAGGAAAAAAACAGACAATGCTATAATAGTTGGAGACTTCAATACCTCATTTAAAATAATGGATAGCACAACTAGAGAGAAGATCAATACAGAAACAGAGGCCTGAACAACATTCTAATTGATTAGACATAACAGAACACTCCACTCAACAATAGCAGAATATACATTTTTTCTCATGTCAATTCTACAGAACAAACCACAAAAAGATAATAAATTTTAAAACATTGAAATCACAAAGTATTTTGTCTGATTACAGTGGAATGAAACTAGAACTCATTCTTAGAAGGAAAACTCACAAATATGTGGAAATTAAACAACATAAACAACCAGTGGGTCAAAGAAAAAGTCACTACAGAAATTAGAAAACCCCTCCATACTAATGAAAAAGAAAACACAAAGTACCAAAACTTCTGGGATGTAATGAAAGCAGGGCTAAGAGGGAAATGTAAGCTGTAAATGCCTACATTATGAAAGAAGAAAGATTACAAATCAGCAATTTAATTATATATTTTTAGAAACTAAAAAAAAAAGAGAACAAACTAAACCCAAGCAGAAGGAAGGAAATAATAAAGATTAGAGTGGGCCGGGCGCGGTGGCTCACGCCTGTAATCCCAGCAACTTTGGGAGGCCAAGACAGGCAGATCTTGAGGTCAGGAGATCGAGACTATCCTGGCTAACACGGTGAAACCCCGTCTCTACTAAAAATACAAAAAATTAGCCAGGCGTGGTGGCAGGCTACTCAGGCTACTCAGGAGGCAGAGGCAGGAGAATGGCGTGAACTCGGGAGGCGGAGCTTGCAGTGAGACGAGATCGCACCACGGCATTCCAGCCTGGGCAACAGAGCAAGACTCTGTCTCAAAAAAAAAAAAAAAAAAAAAGATTAGAGTGAAGATTAATGAAATAGTGAATAGGAAAACAATAGAAAAATCAATGAAACCAAAAGTTGGTTATTTGAAAAGATTAACAAAATTGGCAAATCTGTAGCTATATTTACTAAGAAAAAAATAGGATAAATTACTGAAATCATAAACGAAAGAAGAGACATTGTTCCTGATAATACAGAAATTGATAGATTAGAATATAATGAACAACTGCATGCCTACACACTGGATAACCCAGTGAAATAGGCAAATTCCTAGAAATGTACAAATCTACCAAAACCAATGTGAAAAGAGTTAGAAAATGTGAATAGACCTATAAAAAGTAAGAAGGTTGAATCAGTAAGTCAAAAACCTCCCAACAAAGAGAAGCCCAGGAGAAATGGCTTTACTTTTAAATTATACCAAACATTTATGTGAGAATTAACACCAGTCCTTCTCACAATCTTTCAAAACAATGAAAAGGAGGGAACATTTCCAAATTCATCTTATGAAGCCAGCATTATCCTAATACCACAGTCAGACAGAGACACTATACTGTCTGACTGTGGAGACATGAATGAAATGAAAACTACAGACCAATGTCTTTTAGGAACTTTGATGCAAAAATCCTCAACAAAATGCTAGCAAATTCAGCAGCATAATAAAAGGATTAAAAACCATGACAAAATGGAATTTATCCCTGGAATGAAAAGGTGGCCCAGTATGTGAAAATCAAGCAATCACTCCCATATTAACAGGATAAAGCAGGGGACCATGAACAGAATGCAGAAAAAAAGCATTTGAAAAAAAATCCAACTCCCTTTCGTGATAAAAAACATTAAATTAGGAACAGAAAGGAATGTCCGCAACATAAAGTCCACATACAAAAAACAGTTAACATCATACTTAATGGTGAAAGACCAAAAAATTTCCCTGTACAATCAGGATGAGGACAATGAAACCCACTTTCACCACTTCTATTCAACATAGTCCTGAAAGTTACGGCTAGAGCAATTAGGGGAAAAAGGGAAATAAAAGATAACCAATTTGTCGGGGAAGAAGTAAAAGTATCTCTCTTCACAGATGACATATGTAGAAAACCCTAGAATTACTTTCACATGAGCGCGCACACACACACAGGGCTAAGTAAACTAAATCAGCAAAACCAACACCCATAAATGAGTTGTATTTCTACACACTAGCAATAAGCAATCTGAAAAGGAAATTTAAAAAACAATTTCATTTACAGTAACACCACAAAAGTTAAAATAGGAATAAATTAAACCAAGGAGGCAGAAGACTGGTACTCTGAAAAGTACAAAAGAGTGCTGAAAGAAATGAGAGAAGACTTGAATGAATGGAAAGATATTCTGTGTTCACGGATGGGAAAACTCGATATAGTTAAGATGACAATACTACCCAATGTGATCTAAAAATTCTGTGTAATCTCTATCCAAATCTTAATGGCATTTTTTTGCAGCTTAGAAAAAATCCATTCTAGGCCGGGCGTGGTGGCTCACGCCTGTAATCCCAGCATTTGGGAGGCTGAGGCGTGTGGATCATGAGGTCAGGAGATCAAGACCATCCTGGCTAATACACTGAAACCCTGTCTCTACTAAAAATACAAAAAATTAGCCGGGCGTGGTGGCGGGTGCCTGTAGTCCCAGCTACTCAGGAGGCTGAGGCAGGAGAATGGCGTGAACCTGGGGGGCAGAACTTGCAGTAAGCCGAGATCCTGCCACTGTACTGCAGCCTGGGCGACAGAGCAAGACTCCTCCGTCTCAAAAAAAAAAAAAAAAGAAAAATCCATTCTGAAATTCATTTGGAATTTCAAAGGACCCTGATTAGCTAAAACAATCTTGGAAAACTTGGAGGATCCACATTTCTTGATTTCAAAACTTACTACAAAACTACAGTAATCAAAAGTGTGGTACTGGCATAAGGACAGAAATATAGACCAATGAAATAGAATACAAAGCCCAGCAATAAACCCTCACATTGATTTTCAACTGATTTTCTACTATACTGTCAAGACCATTGAATGGGAACAGTCTTACTAACAAATGGTACTGAGAAAACTAGATATCCATATGCAAAAAAATGAAATTGGACCCTTACCTCACCTCACATACAAATATCAACTCAAAACATATCAAAGACCTAAACGTAAAAGCTAAAACTACAAAATTCTTAGGAAAAAATAGGAAAGAATCCTCATGACTTGAATTTGGCAATAATTGCTTAAACATGACCACAAAAGCATGGCAGCAAAAGAAAAAATAGATAAATCAGATTCCATCAAAATTTAAACATTAGTGCATAAAAGGAAACTACAGTATCAACAGAGTAAAAAGATAATTCATGGAATGGCAGAAAGTTTCAAATCATGTATCTGTTAAGTGATTAATATCTGGAATATACAAAAATTCCTACAGCTGAACAAAAAAATTCAACCAAATTAACACTGGGCAAGGGATTTGCATAGACGTTTCTCCAAAGAAGATATACAAATAGACAACAAGCACATGAAAAGATGCCCAACATCATCAGTCACTAGGGAAATACAAACCTAAATCACACTGAGTTACCACTTCATATTCACTGGGATGGCTATTACAAAAATTAAAATAATGGGAAAAGGAAAATAACAAGATAACAGTGTTGGTGAGGACATGGAGAAACTGGAACCTGCATGCAATGTTGATAGAAGTTTAAAATGGTGCAGCCACTGTGGAAAATAGTTTGGCCATTCCTTAAAAAGCTGAACATAGAATTACTCTGTGACCCAGAAATCTCACTCCTAGGTATGTACTCAAAAGAACTAAGTTGGATGTGGTGACACATACCTGTAATCTCAGCTACTCAGGAGGCTAAGACAGGAGGATGGCTTGAGCCCAGGAGTTTGAGACCAGCCTGGGCAATATAATGAGACCCTATCTCTAAAAAAAAAAAAAAAAAAAAAAAAAGAAAGAAAGAAAAAAAGAAAAAACTGAAGAAGATACTTGTACACCAATGTTCATAGCAGCATTATTCATGATAGCTAAGAGATAGAAACAACCCAAATGTCTATCAACAGATGAATGGGTAAACAAAATGTGGTATAGCCATACAATGGAGTATTATTCAGCCTTTAAAAAGGAAGAAATTCTGACACATTGCTACGGATGAATCTTGAAGGCATTATGTTAAGTGAAATAAGCCAATCACAAAAGGACAAATATTGCATGATTCCATTTATATGAGGTATCTAGAATAGGCAAATTCATAGAAACAGAAAGTAGAATAGAGGCTACCTAGGGATGGGGAGAGCATAGAATAGGGTTTAGTGCTTAATGAATACAGAGCTACTGTTTGAGGTTATGAAAAAGTTCCAGAAATAGTGGTGATAGGTGCACCACATTTGAATGTACTTAATGCCACTGAATTCTGCACTTTAAAATAAATTGAAATTTACACTTAAATTTAGGTCTTTGATCCATTTTGAGTTAATCCTTTTCTCAGCAACTGATAAAACAATGATGCAGAAAATCAGCAAGGAGAGAACATCAGAGCAACACAATCAACCAACAGAACCACTGCACGCAACAATAGCAAGCTACAAGTTATTTTCAAACATCTATGAAACATCCACCAAGGCCGACATTGTCCTGTGCCATAAAACAAGTCTCAACAAAATTTAAAGTACAGAAATCTGCAGAGTACATTCCCTGACCATGGAATAAAACCATAAATCTATGACAGAAAGAAAACAGAAAAACTCCAATCATGTAAAAAGTAAGCAACATACTTCTAAATAATCCATAGGTGAAAAGGGAAATCTCAAAGGAAATTAAAAATACATGGAACTGAGTGAAAATTAAAATAGAACATATCAAAATATGTGGGATATACCAAAAGCAGTGTTGAGATTCTTATATCACTGAATGCTTGAATTAATTAAAGAGAAAAATTGTCCAGTCAACAATCAAAGTCCCTACTCAAGAAACTAGGAAAAGGAAAACAAAATAAAGTAAACATGGGAGGGAAATAATGAAGAGGAGAAATTTTCATCTTACTGATTTCTCCTCTTCATTATTTCCCATTTTCTCCTCTTCATTATTTCCCTCCCATGCTTGCTTTTTGTGTTTTCTACTGTTCTAGTAAAGAAAAGTTAAAAAAGAAAAAAGCAATTAACAAATCTGTTTTAAAAGCTGACAAAAGAGAAAAGACACAAATTACCCATGTCAGGAATGAAGCCGAGCCATGACTGCTGCTCCCGCCGCCACTGAACAGCTAATAAGGGAATATCTTAATATCTTAATATCTTAATCTTGTAGATATGTGAGGATGGCTCTTTTTCCTTCATAATAGATTACATGTATAAGCAAGTCAGGGCCATGTACTGGAGACAGGCTAAAGCTGCTTTTCCCTTAAAGAAAGTTTCCTACAGACAAGGTATTTATGAGCATTGAGAAAGTCGGGACACGTACTCTAAATCACAAAGAGTGTTAATTCCACAGGAAGGCAACGCCAGACATTGGAAGAGGATCACATTCGACTTCTAATAGTAGTTCAATAACAAAACCTTAGCTTTTCAGAAACAATGTTAACATACGTTAGAATTGCCACATCCATACCTTCAAAACATGCAATGTGTGCACCCCAATCACTGCTTACAGTATAATCAGTATGACGATGAGATTGAGGGGGTCTAAATTTAAGTGTATCATCTCCTGTGTTATGTGAAAATATCCCTCAGTACAAAACATTTGTGTATTTCACAGATGACTCTTGTTTTGCCATAACGCTACAAAGTTTATGGAAACTAGTCAACTGAAGGATTTTTCTGTTGTGTGATATGTAAAGGTCTGAATAGTAAAATCATCTTTGCATTCCTGAAGTGTTAAAAAATAATAATCAACATGTCAGATTGTTGGGCTTTTCTTAGCAGATGTTTTCTAATTCAAAGTTTTTGGTTGTGTTTTTGTTTTTTAGTTCAAAGTTAATTTGTTTGCCTCTTGAAGATTAATTTGTCTCAGCTTTCTAGGAACTGCCAAACAGTGATATTCTCAAAAGGATTCAATAAACTAGTTCAAAAAATGTTCCTATCTTCTATTGCCTTAAATCTAATCATGTTCTGTGAACTGCAGTCCTAGTGTGTAGCACGGCGTGATTTATCACCCAGAGTTCTCCACTGTATTTCAAAGTTGATTTACCTCAGGAAAACTGAGGGTTTATTGAGTAACTCAAATTTTTCCAGAGAAACTGGTTTGAAGTATCCAGTGCAACTTGCCAAGCTCTGTCTTTGTTTATAAACTCACTTACTGGTGACATCATTCAGGGTAGTCCCTCTCTAAAAACCTTGAATTTTGTCTGGTCTTCTCGGATGAGGAATTCTGAACCTGGTACAATCTCATTCTAACTCTTCTCTTATGTACTAAGTACTTATATTATATACCTTTCTGTAACTTAACAGGAAAAGGCTGACCATTTTTGGTATTTTTTCAGTGACACATTTTTCAGTGTCTAAGCTCACACTCATTTGTAATTAACTACATGATTTTTAATACAATTTCTACTACTTTGGGTTTTATTTCCCAGGTATAGACATTGTCCTCTTAATGTTTTCTTAAGGAATTATTCAGAGTAGATTATTAACAACTTAAGGTCCTAAACAGATATACATGGGACATGGTTGTTGTAAAAAGAAACAAATCTGTAAGACACTAGGAAATTCAAAATGCTTTCAAGCTTTCTTTGAACTTTACTACTGAATGATTTATTTGCAACTCATTATCTGGTGTAGTGGGGAAGAGCTACTTATGTCTCTTTAAGCCAAGATATATTTAAGATAACAATAAAGATAAAATATATATTTCACTATCTAGATTTGATTTTGACACAATGAAAAGCTGATTGGTTCACAATTAAATGGACAAATTTTCCACAAGTAAGAGATGAAACTCCTGGCTTGGAAATCCTGGGGATTGACAGGTTGAATGTCCTTGGTCTGTGGTGAGCATGTTCACATTTCAACACATGAGATCTGGTGTGCTTTCCGTATCAGCTCCTCAGATTTTGTGAAAAACTAGAAGATAATTTTTTAAAAAGCAATGTTGAATACTTAGAATCATATTTCTAATAAAAATAAGTCAAACTATTTAATTTTGATAAACAGTTTCAAAACAAACATGAACTGAACTTATACTTGATGACATAATTTTGTAAATTCATGATGAATTTGTCTTATTCTGATTTATTTACTGTTTTAAAAGATAGATGTTTCTTTTCTACCACTGTGAAAGTGTAATGTGTTCATTGTATTTGGAAAACGTGGAAAGTAGAAGATGACTGTTCTTACTTTTTCACTTTTACAGAGGGTAATTTTTTCCACACCATAGAAGTAGAATAATCATACTTCTAATTTGAAAATTTGAAAATGTGAAAAAAAAAAATTAATCCAAGATCATATGAACATTTAGGGCTAAGAGTTGAGATTATACTGAATATGGTTTTGCATTGAATATATTACAAGCCTTTTTGTGTCATTTAGTATTTGATAAAACATGATTTTTAATGCCTGAATACTCTTCTAACACTTGTATGTATTGTTGTTGATTGAATCTTTCCTCTATTGTGGAACATTCAAATTGGATCCAAGTTTACCATAAGTAATAATACAATAAAAATATCTATACATTATTTGTGATGTCTCTGGTTGTTTTCTTAGAGTGCCACCTTAATTATCTTTGTGAGAAAGTCCTCAAGAATCCTGCCATTAATTCAGATACTTTCCCTGCTATTGATATGTCCCTTTAAGAGCTCTGAAAATACTTAAGAAACTTAGTAAGAAGAAAGAAAATTAATCCTCTCTTCTGATTCTTCAGTTCCAATTCTCTGTGGCCACTGGATTTTTAAAAATCCTGTTGTCCAAAGCAGCTCCCATTTAATTGTTTCTCTCTGACAGTAGGGAAACTGGAAGTCAGAGGTGATACCATAAAAGGAAATGAATGAAGCAGATGTATGAATTTTGATACATACAACAGATGTCTTTTGATGACACTTCCTGGGCAATATAGTAGTAATCAAAGGAAAACTGGTAACATTTTTGGTTACTATGCTTTAAAGAAAAATTTATAAGCCTCACACAGCTGACATGGTTTATTTACCTTCAGGAACACGGTAGTACTTAGCGTAAGTTAGAATCCATTCATTATTACGTGTGACTGGAGAGATATATTGCTTAAAAGCTATACCAGGCCCTACTTAGGAACAAGTTACAACTGCATTTAAATCACTCTGTTTATGTCAAAATAGTTAAATAGCAGAATCTAGAGGGGGTCTTGATTAACATGAGACAATAAATATTTGCAGAATCTGATGCCTACCAGAGGAAACTCTAACCCAGACAGGAAAGTTCTTCAGAGTAAAAATCAAGAAGGGTGAGAGTGGCTATGCAATAGAAGTAAGCCTTGGCCTGGACCCAGACAAGATCATTGCACAAGAGATTGGTTTTGGAAGTAGATTTGGCTGAGATTAAAGTCTTGAGTGACATGAAGACAATGTTAAAGATAAATCCAAACTCTTCTTTATTGCTTGACACTTTTCCAATCAGCATCAACTTCATTCCTGGTAAGTTGGTGTAGCATGGTGAGTTCTGCCTTATTTCATACTTTATTTGGTTAGAATCTGGGGGAGGGGGTAAAGGTGCAGGTTGGTTATTTCAAATGTGCAGACGACCTCCACCAATTTTGCAGTATAGTGCTATTACTTCAGGGAATACACCCATAAAACTTTGATTTCCTAGTAATTCTGCTTTTGTGCATTCTTAATTTGAGACTCAGTGAGGGTGAAAGAGTTGTAGATTTGGCAAACGCTGCACTATTTTCTCACATTTTTTCGATTTGCTAAGACCAATAACAAATGTATTACTCCTTTTTTTCCTTTAATTTTTAAATCCATGGCCTTTTCACTGCCTTTACTTTCCATGTGTTGCCACTGTATCCTCCACTGTATCCCCCACATTGGTCCCAGCACTTGACACTTAGTAGGCACTCAACCAATACTTGTTGAGTGAACAAGTTTAATGCATTCCAGTTTTTTTAGTTTTTAGATGATGTTGTGCCTAATGCACACTCCTTCCTTCTTTCACTCCTTCATTAATCCTTTTGTTCATGTCTTTTACTTATGCCAAGCTGTCACACTGTGTGCATGAACTGAGGGATTTAGTTTTTCTTCCACAGCCCCAGAGCCAGCAAATGACTGACCTTAAATCTAAAACTGTAGGAGTTTGGTCAGGGTGGTGGGAAAAGTTGTAAGAAAAGGTTATAGGGAAAGACACAAATCTTCTTGGAAGAATGGGAGGTTTTGCAAAAGCTTCAAAGGAGAATTTAGCTGAAGGCAGTTAAATTCTCTTAAGAGCAAGGGTTAGATAACAAGGGAATGTAAAGAAACTTATCTAGATAAATTGTTCTACTTATATCTCTGGAAACCAACCTTTGATCATTCATGTGCAGGACTGCTCTCTACTTGCAGGGGTTGACAATGTTAATTACCCACAAATTGTGTTTGCTCCAAGCCCTTGTCATTAAATCTGTACTAAATAAATTCAAGTGGGGCCAGCTTAGGGGGCTGCACTCCTTTTGGCTGCTGCACTCTCTCATTGGCAGTGCTGAGTGGTGCAGTCCCCTAGCTCACTGTCAGGAAAAATACCTGTGTCAGGGAACTCCTTTCATTCATCGCTTGGCCAGAGTCTGCGGGACAGATCAGCATAAAACACCCATTAGTTTTCACCTTTACTCTTGCAGCATGAGTTATAAAGCCAAAGACCTCAAGAAAAGCACACTCCTTAACAGCCAGTTCAGAGGTGACAGCCAGCGAATAAGAAATAAGAACCTTCCAGAGGATGGAGCCACCACCAAAAATGACAGAAAAGAGGGTTCCTCCCAGAGAGTAGATTCAGAGGCTATTTAAGGAATTTCTCCATGCCCAGTGTAGGGAGCTTCTCACTACTTGCTACTCAGGATTTCCTTATGATTATAATCTAGGGACTGCTGCTTGCCTGCCTGTCTTCTCTTTCCTGCATAGCAGGTTTCTTTATTTGTTTAATTTTATTTTTTTCTTCAATTATGGTGGTCTTTTCACTGTTCTACCATGACAAGAGGTAGAAGAGAGACATTTTTTACCCCTACATGGGAGGCAGAAAATTGGCCTTTTTATTCAAGAATGCCAAACCAGAAGCTGACATATCAGAATCTGATACAAAGGATAGTCTATTCCCCTTTGGACTTTGGACCTTGGACTTTGAACTGGATGCAATAATGGTATGAGACCCTTGGGTAGGAATGAGTGTCTTGTATGTGTGGGAAAGACAGGAAAGCAGATATTTGGTGACCTAAAAAGAAGGCCATGGCAGAACCTCATTAGCTATTCAGCAATCCTATTTTCCTTTCCTCCTGGGCACACAGCTATGTATTTTCCAGCCATCCTTGTACTTAGATGTAGCCCAGTGACACTTCTGAGAGTGGAATATGGACAGATGTGATGGGCACTGCTGGGACTGGACCATAAAATCCTTCCACATTATGTCAGTGCCTCTTTTACTCCATTGGCAGCTGGATATTGTCATCCAGAGAGATGGATGACTTAGAAGCCACGTGCAGAAGATGGCAACCTTCCATCAGCATGGATCCTTGAGTGACTGTGGAGTGCAACGCCTTCTACCAGTTAGAACTACTGTGATTGACAATCACATTTCATTTGTATTAAGCTACTGATTTGGGGGGTTTATCTCCTTCAGCTCCCACATTAGTACAACTCATGCAGAATGGAGAGTGACTGTGAACACACATGGCACAGGCTGGTGAAACCTAGGACTTTATAGATGAATTTCTGATTATACTCTCCTTTCTTGCAAAAAGCTTTTTTCAAATTAAATGTTATAATATAAATGTGAATACTAAATGTCTTTCTAATGAAATGATGACTAACTGTAGAAAAGAAAATGTAGGAATGTATACATCCTTGATAAGAGTGTGAAACTGACACAGGCAATGTAGAGAGTCTTGCTTACGGATAATGAACAAAAGAACATACCTGGGTAAAAGAAATGAGAGGTTACTGATAACAAAACTAATATCTATATTGCACAATATAAAACATTATTTTATACTTAGGATTACATTTGATTTTTGCAAATCCCTGTGAAATAGCTATTATTATCAGATCCACTTTATGCATAATAAAAACAAGACTCATATGGGTTAGCTAACTAGGCTATGGTCTCTCCACCAAGCTCTACTTCTCTGATTGAGGAGATAGTAGTATCTAGAGCTTCAGTGTTCTTTCTACCGCCCTATGCTACCACCCAGTGCAGATGTAAGAACAAAACCTACTAGTAACCTGCTATTGACTGTTTAGAACTTTAGCAACTTTAATTATCCAAAACATAGCTGTGAGACCAAAAAGAGGAAAACAGTTTGCAAAAGCCCACATTTATTACACCATGAAAGAGCCAGGTCTGTGAAATGTTGCCTAGAATTTGTGTACTAAACTCAGCAAAATGAATTAACAAACTCAGTGACCTCATTTTCTCCTAAATTTCAGTAAATGGAAGATTTAAAAGATGAGAAAAATAAAGACAGAAAATTTCAGTTGACAGGGTAGAGGACCCATTGAAAGATTGGATGTCTATGTGTGGTATGTAAAGGCAGGTCCTACGAGTGTTAGGCCGGCCTAGGCACGTGTTCTCTCTTTTTTGTTGTTTGATTCTCAATTTATGACAAATGAAGAATGAGGCCTTTACCTGGTCTGGATCGACTTGTTATGGAGCTCACGTGAAATGAAAATGATTCATAAACAAAACTGATCCATCCCCAGCAACAGCAGAGATGACCATGAACAATTAGCCACCTGAGAATCCTCAACAATTCTTGGGGAATGCCATTAATTACATTTTATTAAAGGGCAGGGATATCCAAGCTGACATATGGGTTACAAAGGCAAAGTATAATTTCTTTATGGGTTTTGATAATGTGAAATATAAATTAATAAGCTTTTCAATTTTACTAATACAAACATACCCATCAATTGGTCATCTTCAATTCAGAAATAACTAAAGTTTGAGGGTATCTTAAATCCAAAAAATAAAAACAAAAACCTAACCAGCAGCCATTTGCTGAATTCCTGAGTGCTTAGGACTCTCCATTTCTAGTCTAGCAAACATCTTCCAGTTGCAATTTTAAACTTTTTTCCCACATCTTTCAAGAAACCTCTAATAGTATCAAGTTCAGCACACAAAGCTAGCTTTCTGTAAGCAGTCTCATCTACCCACCTTTACTTTAGACAGGCCCCTAAAGTCAACCTTAGTATAAAAAGGACTTTTCTTTTATTATTAAAAGTCTGTTCTCTAGCCAGGTGTGATGGCTCATACCTGTAATCCCAGCACTTTGTGAGGCTGAGACCAGAAAATTGTTTAAAACCAGGAGTTCAAGACTACCTTGTACAATGTAGTGAGGCCACCATGTCTACAAAAAAAAAAAAAAAAAAAAAAATTAGCCGGGCATGGTGTTGCACACCTGTGGTCCCAGCTACTTGGGAGGCTGAGGTGGGAGGATCACATGAGCCTGGTGGATGAGGCTGCAGTGAACCATGGTCATGCACTGCCCTCCAGCCTTGGTGATAAGAGCAAGACAGATGTTTCAATAATTAAAAAAATAAAAGTCTGTCCTCTGCCTCAAACGGACTTTGCTGTTATATTAAAATGATTGAAATATGTATAAACCAGGTGTGGTGGCTCACACTTGTAATCCTAGCACTTTTAAGAGGCTGAGGCAGGAGGATTGCTTGAGACCACAAGTTCAACACCAGCATAAGCAAGATAGTGAGGCCCTATCTGTATAAAAAGTATGAAAACTAGCCAGCTGTGGCTGTGTGTGCCTATATTCCCAGCAGCTCAGGAGGCTGAGACAAGAGAATCCCTTGAACCCAAGAATTTGAGGTTACAGTGAGCTGATTGTGAACTGCACTCCAATCTGGGAACCAGAGTGAGAACCTGTCTCAAAAAAAGAAAAAAAAAAAAAAAGAAAGAAAGAAAAAGAAAAGAAGAAAATATGTATAAACGAATGTTTTAAATTGGAACAATTACTATAGCATCAAAACGCACATTTGATGAGATGTGAAAATTTATTCTTAAGTATTTATCCATTTCTGGTTTTGTAGCAAAGGCATTATTATACTTCTATAACTTGTCTAATAGAATCAGATAGAATCAAGCAAAGTTGGCAGAGCCTAGGCATCTACCTAAAAGAAATGCTCTCTCCCATTTCCGTGAACACATTAACTCCTCCTGAGTTCCAGTGGCACTATTTCTGGAGTCCTTTTCAAGGCACATAATCCTAAAGCAGGTGTCACTTGTTACTCTCTTTCAAAGCGTCTTGCTCTTTTTCTTCACAGTACTTTTCAAAATATTTAATATACACTTATTTCTTATAGAAGTTGCCTACCTCACTGGACTTTAAGATCTATGAGGTTAATCCCATGTCTGTTTTGTTTTCTACCTTATTGCCCCTGCTCCCCAGGCACAGAGCAATATGTACCTGACGTATATTTGGCTCTCAATACACATTTGTCATATTTGTGTGTGTGCTTGTTCAACTTCTCTCACTCTGTTTGTGTGTAGGTGTGTACTTTCTTGTCATTTTGGGACACTTAGGAATTTCCTTATTTTGCTTCAAGTTCAGCTATGCATTAAAACTATTTTATAAAAACTTTTTTTTTTTTTTTTTTTTTTTTTTTTCAGAAAGAGTTTCACTCTGTTGCCCAGTCTGGAGTGCAGTGGTGTGATCTCGGCTCACTGCAGCCTCTGCCTCCTGGATTCAAACCACTCTCCTGCCTCAGCCTCCCAAGTAGCTGGGATTACAGGCAACTGCCACCATGGTCACCTAATTTTTGTATTTTTGGTAGAGACAGGGTTTCACCATGTTGTCCAGGCTGATATGGAACTACTGGGGAGTCTGAGATGGGAGGATTCAGCTACCTTGGCCTCCCAAAGTGCTGGGATTACAGGGGTGAGCCACTGCACCAGGCTTAACATGTTTAGGTGTTTTATATCAGAAGACATTTTTCTGGTCCTCTATTTCAGGAGTTGGCAAACTTCTGTAAAGGGCCAGATAATATCCTCAGCTTCATGGGCCATGTGATTTCTGTCCCAACTACTCAACTAATTCACATTTCCTGTCATCATCAGCATCACTTGAGTTCTAATCTTTTATTATTATTTAAGTAGTAGGAAATCTTCTAGCTGTCAAGATACAAAAGACCTTCAATGGGAGTGTCAGACTCTAAAAGATAAAGCTCAAACTCCCTCCCATATTTGAATATGAATTTAAAGCTAATATTTGCTGAGCGCTTACTGCGGTTCAGGCACTATTCTAAGTGCCTTTCCTACGTTAACCTCTTTACATCTCACAATGGTATGAAAGAGAATGACCATTATAATCTCCATTTGGAAACTGAGGCTCAGTTACATAAAGTTACACCACGCAGTGGTGGATAAAGGACACCAACTCAGGTCTGACTCCAGAAACCATGCTCCACTCAGAATGCTAACCCCCTAACACCCAGTCTTCTATCTCTTGATGAGTTCTGAATTATCACGCAGGTATTCACCCTTTTCCAGTAGCCACCTTGCCTCAGAAACACATAATCTCACCCCATCTTCAGAGAAAAGCTGATTGATCTCCATGCACTCTTACACTCTCAACAGTGATTGGCTTATATCTGAGGTTTCTCAACAAATTAGTACATGGTATAATCTCAGGCCACAGGGGCTGGCCAGAAATGGACAGGTAACCTTAACTAGGCTGATGCGATGGGAGGGAAATTTGCTGAGGGTTTTTAGAGAACAAGTTTCATCAATCTTGGGAGAAAATCTTGGAGAGGGCCAGCCTCTCTTCATCCAATCATTGCCATGTATGTCTGTAAAGCTTGAAGCTACAGCAAACATCTTATTCATCATGAGGATAAAACCAGAACAAAGTGGCAGAGTTGAGAGACTCAAAGACCAAGGCAGCCAGAGCTCTAGTTGAATCACAGCTGCTCACCACTCTAGTGCTGGATTTTTTCCATTGTACATCAATACACCACCTTTGTGTTTTAAACCAGTTTCAACTGGCTTTTCATTCATTGGAATGTAACCTGACTGCAGTTATTTGAAATCTTTCAAGATCTGGCCTCAGCATACCTTTCTAGTCCTTATTTTTACTAGTCTAGGGCTAAATAAATTACCCAGAGTTTCCCAAACACACCACAGCTTTCATGGATTTGCAAGCGTGATTCTTTCTGCCTTCATTGTCCTTTGCTCTCCTCTCCCTGGAGAATTCATGTTGGGTTGCAATTATGTTTTAAATGTCTGTCTCCACCACTTGATTTGGCTACATGATTTTTGTCTTTACACTCTTTGCACTTCTCATGCACTTAAGACATAATAAGGGCTCCATTAAGTGTCTGTAAGATTAATTAAAAAGATGGGCAACATGGAAATCTGAATCATAATATAAACTCTCTCTACAAGATACTTGGCCTGGCGCAGTGGCTCATGCCTAATCCCAGCACTTTGGGAGGCCAAGGCTGGTGGATCATGAGGTCAGGAGTTCAAGACCAGCCCCGCCAAGATGGTGAAACCCCGTCTCTACTAAAAATAAAAAAATTAGCCGGGTGTGCTCGTAGGCGCCTATAATCCCAGCTACTTGGGAGGCTGAGGCAGAAAATTGTTTGAACCTGGGAGACAGAGGTTGCAGTGAGCTGAGATTGCACCACTGCACTCCAGTTTAAAAAACAAACAAACAAACAAAAAAACCAACCATTTAGATCAATGCTGTCTGGTTAAATATTCTGTGATACCTGCCCTGTCCAATAAAGAAGCCGCTAGCCAAGTGCGTCTATTGAGCATTTGAAATGTAGCTAGTATGACGGAAGAACTGAATTTTAAATTTCATTTAATTATAACTGATTAAAAGTAGCTAGTGGCTACTATACTGAATATCACAGATGTAGACAACAAATTTTAAAAATTTTCCAAACATGGGAATGAGTCACCTAAATGATTTTAGATACCAAGCTGAATAAAAACATCTCAAGATGGTACTACTTCGGCTCTAATAATTTTTTTGTTGAAAACAATATCTATATATTATATATACAAACACATATATACACACATATGCATATAAATATATACACATATGTATATATATATAATCTGGAGGTTTCTTTCCTTTCAAAAATACTTCATACCTGTAACTTAAAAAATATAATTTTATCTTTATTGTCTTTATTTTGAATTTTCAGTCATTTCAAAATTAATATGAGCAATATCATTAAAAAGTGGGCAAAGGATATGAACAGACACTTCTCAAAGGAAGTTGGCCAACAAACATATGAAAGAAAGCTCAACATCACTGATCATCAGAGAAATGCAAATCAAAACCACAATGAGAGACCATCTCATGCCAGTCAGAATGGTGATTATTTAAAAGAGTCAGGATACAATAGATGCTGGTGAGGCTGTGGAGAAATAGGAATGCTTTTACACTGTTGGTGAGGATATACATTAGTTTAATCATTGTGGAAGACAGCATGGTGATTCCCCATGTATCTAAAACCAGAAATACCATTTGACCCTGCAATCCCATTACTGGGTATATACCCAAAGGAATATAAATCATTCTACTTATTGCAGCACAATTTACAATAGCAAAGACTGGAACCAACCCAAATGCCCATCAACAATAGACTGGATAAAGAAAATGTGTTACATATACACCATGGAATACTATGCAGCCATGAAAAATGAATGAGAGCATGTCCTTTGCAGGGACATGGGTGAAACTGGAAGCCATCATCCTTGGCAAACAAACACAAGAACAGAAAACCAGACACTGCATGTACTCATTCAGTGGGAGTTGAACATTGAGAACACATGGACACAGAGAGGGGAACAACATACACCATGGTCTGCTGGGGGATATGGGGGTGAGGGGAGGGAACTTAGAGGACGGGTCAATAGGTGCAGCAAACCACCATGGCACACGTATACCTATACAACAAACCTGCACATTCTGTACATGTATCTTCTTTTTAGAAGCAGCAATAAAGAAAAATAAATGATCGCTTCATTTCAGGAGGTGGAGTTTTCCTCTTAAAGTTTTTCAGATTTTTATCTCAAGGGTTTGGCTTTTTATGCATCTCACTACATGTAATTTGCAGTTAATACATCCATGCCTTCTGCTCTTACTTCTCTCCTTAAAACATTACATCTTTTTGCTTAACTAAAGTGGTGACTCTCTCTCTCATTTTCTTTTTTTTTCTTTTTTTTTTGTCAGTTCCTATTGCATTTTTCCCCACTTCGCACTCTGGTATTATAACCTGACACTGAGAATGTTTGCCTCAAAAAAACTGGAAAAACAATGTTTTTCCAGTATAGACGAATTCTGTACTCGGCTTTTCCTGATGTATCCAAATTGTTCTATGCAACCAGGAAATTTCACATGCTCTTACTTTTTCTAAAAGCCATCCATTCCACCTGGTGGAGGTACTACTTGTGTGTGTGTGTGTGTGTGTGTGTGTGTGTGTGTGTGTGTGTGTGTGTGTATTATTATCCTATAATATGGTTTACTTATAACCTTAGACACACACTCTTCCAGTGTCTAATTGAATTAAAGTAGTTTTTCATGGGGTTTAATTTCCAGCTTACTCAAAAGGGCATATACCAAGAGAAATGGTCATACTACAAAAGGTTTTTTTTCTCTCTCTCTAAGTAATCCACCTAATAAGCAGGTATTTTATGTTTCAAGATAGCTTCCTGTGGTTTGGGCTGTCTTTATTCGGGTTTTGACCACCTGAAAAAACTAAGTCATCTCTAATACAGGTCTAACTATTTTTTTTCTCTTGACTATGTAACTTTTGAATTTGTTTTTGAAGTCTTTCCATTATTACTCTGGTTAAATAAGTGACCATTATCTCTCAAGGATATGTAATTCTACTTTAATTAAATATTTTTAGGCTTTTTGAATCCAAACAAATGACAAACTTCCCCAGAATCAAATTCAAATTTAACTCTTTTTCACCTAAAATTGACTAAGGGATTTTCTAGTTGGGATCCTGGGAAGTCTCAAAAGATTTGTCTCCCATTAGGCTTGTTTGACCAGCTCCCAAATTCTTCTCTAGTGTCTGTGAGCTTTCTTTCAAAACAATATGTAGCATTTCCCTTGCTAGTAAACCCCCAATCTTCTCTTTGTCCTTCACACATATAGAAGACCACCGTGGTTTTCAGTTTTGTTCAGAACTACAATTCTGTGATTCCCAAATAAATTGCATACTTTAGAGATTCATCTTTATTTTGACTTCAGTAGTGGTGATAAACTCTGATACAATAATCAAGAATATGTTTTATAACAATACTAAGTAAATTTAGAAATGCATTTTACTGCGATATAAAATCCTTAACTTTTCTCCTCCACTGACATTATGTATGATTTTGTTATTAATTTACAAGCACCTAAAAATTCTTTTACATAAGGTTTATATTAATTTTGTGAGGAAAATAAAAGGTCGGTTTTCTATTTGCATTGTGCTAATTCAGACTGCACTTGGTTCTTCATGCACACTGGTATAAGCGAAGTTTAGACAAATTATTGTAAAAACTGATAAACATATAGACCATTATATTGTTATTTTTAAAAGCACAAGAAACTAAAAGATCACAAGGAGATTACAGCAAATGAATCTTCATATTCATTACCTCAATGAAATTAATTTAACACTAGTTTCAATGTCTTTTTTTTCCAAAAGACTAATTTTCAAGTGAAACCTTTAGATCTTTGAAAGTAATAGAAGTAAAGATAAAGATAGAAAAGATACATAATTCATTTCAGTAGTTTTCTGAGAAATACCACATTTTCCAAAATATATATATTCTTATAAGAAATGGATTCTCTTTAGGCTACTAGAATATCAATCTTCTACAATAGGCCAATTTTCAAAGCACTAGGCCTATGTTCACTCAACCAGTCTCATGAAGCAAAAACTGAATTAAGATATTCCATTTATTTTATTCCACGTATTTATCAAGCAAAGAAACTGTGGAACAAAGACTCTTTCTTGCTGAAGTTGCTGGGATTTCCATGGTGCTTAATGTGTATTTTTTTAAATTGTGAGATCAAAGAACACAAATCTTCAGCCATTGTATATGTTACCTGGGTAAAAAAATTAAACTTGATCTTTTCAAATATCTAATGGAATCCCAGGCATAGTGATTATTAAAATATAAAGTTAAATATTTAAGAGAAAATTAATCACTAATAATGAAATGAGTTGATTTTCTAAGAAAAGCAAGTATGTAATTAAGGAATCATTAGCAGACACTCTCAAAACCATTACAACATTTAAAAGCAATCAACATTACAACTCTTAGGGTGTGTTTTAAATTCCTCATAACCTAAACATATACATTCACTAATTATTCACTTGCCATGATCAACAATGAAAGATGAGTTAGAAAAACCAGAGGTTTTAATTCTAAAATAACAATCTTTGGCACTGCAGCAAGGAAATAACTAGCTGGTGAAATTAATGACTCCACCTGGCTTTATCTTGGTAATGTTCTGAAATACATGCAATGAACAACTTGACATTGTTTGATGTTCTTAATTCTTTACAGCCATCTCTATGGGTGGTCATAATAGATAAGATCAATCAGAAATGATCATATTATGAAATGTAAATCACTTCACATGACTTATCTGGAAAATGTCCTTGTACTTTACTTGCACCATCTCAAGTTCCAAGAGCCAAAAACATATACATGCTCATGGAGGAGAATTTCCTTTCTGATTTTAGAACAGTCTGAAATGGAGTGAAAAAATGAAAAAGAAGGGGGAGCTTACAAATAACAAAAATGTATATCCCAAGTGAAAATTAGAATGTCTATGGAACTAGTAGCAGTAACAACAGTAGACGAAAGATAGGCTGTAGATGTGAAGAAGATGTCTACAAGGGAAGCACAAGACTCCAAATGCTCTTGCTACTAAAACGCAGATTCAAGCTTTACCATCTGTAATACTCTGCTGCCAAGTACATCTATGGCCACTGCTACTATCTAAAATGAGGATATATATTAAGAAATCATCAAAAAGGACTGCATAGCAGAAACTTTTCTGATATCAAGGGATCAACTTAACTACAATTATATGCAAGTGCCAATTTCCTCTGGAGTAAACTACCACACGGGGCCTCATGTACCAGTTAGATAATCCAAGTCAGCCTTTATTGCATTGGACTCTACATTTTGGCTCTGCAGAACTGAGACAAGAAATGTATGAATAGGATAGTGATATTGCCTTTGTCTATGGGAATTCTTGAGTCTAATAAAAAAAACTGGGAAAAATCTAACTTCATGATTACACTTGGGCACATAGGTGATTAATACGAATGAAGTAACAACCATAAATACAATCATAACCACAAGAACAACAGTAATTCAAATTTTCTCACTTCATAGATGTTCTTAGAATGCTTTATTGGTATCTTGTAGGTGCTCTCCCCAAGCCTCAGGTGTTCTTCCATAATCTCAGTTGATGCAGAGGCAAACACCACACTCTCCTCTGTTCAATGTCTGCCATTCCTGTCTTTTTGGCCTCTGACTCTTCCCTATACTACTGTCCATGCACTTGAGATCTTCACTGACATAGCTGGGCTCTGTATTTATTGATAAGAATATCTCTTTTCTCTTAGACTAGGCATGACCAAAAGGTTAATCTGGGTTCAAAGATTAATGACAACGACCACTCACTTTTTATTCAAGATCAATTTTATTTGTTGTAAAAACAAACATGGGTTATGTTCCAGACAAACAGATATAAGTGAGTAGACTTATGCCCTGGTGCCTCCTTGGCTCTTCACAGGATGCAAAAACAAATCCTGCCAGCAGGAGGTGGCAGATTGCAGAGGTGGCTGGTTGCTCTTTCAGCCAGCTTGGCCTTGTCTGGCATGCACAGGTCCCAGCACAGCAAAACATTCAGGGAGTTAGAGTGTTGCACAAAGGATTTTACCAACCTCTCACATTAAGCAGCATTCAAGGATTTGCTGACCACCACTTATGCAAATTTTGTGTTATGCTATAGCAATGAACTTACTTGTTCTATTTCTAAACAAAACATTGGGTTCACACACAGGCCTGGACAAAGCTTCCCACTTCTGAACTATTTACTGATCTTCTTATTCTCAAAGAATGCAAGATGAATGATGTGCAATACCATGGCTATGGCATGTGACTTTTCTTGACCTGGATGGTTAGTGTCCCAATATTTAACTGATTTTTGTGGGGGTGAAAATATGCCATAAGTTCTTCCTTCTATCATCCCCATCACTACCATACATGTAATGACATAATCATGTCACAGTGTGCCCTCAGAATCACTATTCCTAGCTGAGTATACTAAGGCTTTCTATCTAGGTCAGTTCATTGTGTCTGTGTCTCCTCTAAACCCTCCTTCATCATGCCTACCTTGAGGAATTCAGCAAGTGATCATTCACGCAAGCTAAAGGATTTTAGCTTTCTCTGCCATAAAGATTATTGCTAAAATACATACCATACAACAAACCAACCCATTTCCCACAAATCTTACTGTCTGACTTCTCACAGAATACATAATGACTTTTATTGTGTCTCTTCCTTCTGTGTTTCTCTTTCCTAACTGAACTTTGTTCTTTATCCATGCCTTCTTCCAATCCTGACATATTTTAAAACCTTTAGCATTTCTGCCTATAATATTTGAGTTTTCTTCTTTTCCTATCTTTATTTGATAAGTCCCGTACAAATATTTTCCCCATAATCACAATGTTTTCTTTTCACTTTGCTCAAGAACTGAGTTATGAGCTCCAAATTTGGACAAACTCTACATTGGCTAAGTTTTAGTCATTTGCACTGCTAAGAAAGATGACAATTCAGCATGCTGAAGATGACTTCCTCCCTTATAAAGGGGCTAACACAGAGGGCAATACTGTTCATGCTTCTGATTCTTGATCACAAGAATTGCTTTAGGCAATTACAATCATGTCTCCCCTGACACAACATATTAGTCAAGTGAGACAGAGAAAGAAGATGTCCTATGTCACACAGCTGGGTGGTGACAGCCGCTTTAGCATCAGCACACTGCGTTCCCTCTGATTTCTTCATTCATCTCTAAGTAGCAGTAAATCCGGTCTTGAATACTGACTTTGACACTCAGCTTTCTCCACATCCTTCCTGTCACTTCCTTTGAGACTACTTCAGATTCTTCCCTGAGCTTCTATTTCTCCATTTGTAAAATTGGGTTGATGAGGGTATCTTCCTTCGGTAGCTGTGACAATAAAAATGGGATCATCACGCATCCTCCTTAGCCCCACGAGTAAGCTCCCAGTAAGTGAGGTTGTCATCATTACTGGATATTTAAGATTCTCTACCTATTTGAAAAACCCTAGTGACAGCGTCTCAGTTGGTTTTCTTTTTGTGTGAATGATCACTTGCTGAATTCATCAAGCAGGCGCTTTAACATTTACCTTCCTTTATTATGCTGGAGTATTTTTAATGTAGGAGGCTTCTGTGGCTTCTCACTATGACTGCTTTGTTTGTTCAAAACTTACACAGATTGAGTATCCTTTATCTGAAATGCTTGGGTCAGAAGTGTGTTGGGTTTCAACTGTTTTCAGATTTTGGAATATTTGCTTCAATGCAATGAGGTATCTTGGGAATGGGACCCATGTCTAAACACAAAATTCACTTACATTTCATACACACTTAGCCACATACACATAACCTGAAGGTAATCTTATACAATATTTTAAATAATTTTATGCATGAAACAAAGTTTTGAATGTGTTTTGACTGTGACCCATCACATGAGGTAAGATGTGTGGAATTTTCCACTTGTGGCATCATGTCAGCACTCAAAACTTTTTGGATTTTGGAGAATTTCAGATTTTGGATTTTCAGAGTAGGTGTGTTCAATCTGTATATATGGGTCAGATTCAGCTGTCTCCTTTAATCTTTGGCTGAAGGAAGCCCTAAAGACTTTGGGGCCTCAATCTCCCATATGCAGTGACATTCTCAAGGCCATTGACTCAGCTTCTCACCTGGGTTTCCTTCCAATGAGCCACAGATAGAAGTCACAGATAATGGCAGGGGCCTGCTGGCTGATGGCATTCCAGTACTGGGTTGTGAAGTTGCTTGTGGTGAAATCAGCATATGGCCTCCTCAAAGCTCTCGCAAATGGAGTTGGAATTTCAGAGGTTGCCAAGACCTGGAATCCTGGGGAAAAAAAGAGAGTAAGTGATAGAGGAGAATAGGAGAATATAAGCCCATCACACTGGAAGGTATTTATAATGGGTCACAACAATAAAGATGAAGGATTTGCTGTGTAGAGTCAAGAATCAATTTCTGAGAACAACGTAAAGATTTTTATGCTAGGCAAGTGGTTATCTGCAAAATGAAACAATGTGAATGGGTTAAGAATTGGACCCTTTATTTGAAACACCTACTCTAAAACAAATTCTTGGGGAAACACATGTAGTCAACAAAAGGGGGTACTCTTCAGAAAAACATAAATCCACATTTAATTCTAAGGTTACCTAGTCTATTCTGAAAGCCCCAAGACACAGGCTAGAAACTTTATTTCCTTGGCTGGACCATTACTTTCAGAACCATTTAGAAAGTTTCTTAATGTTTTATTTGAATCTTTATTAAAAGTTTAACTTAAAAATTCTAAAGGCAAGATTTTCTTGTGTTAGCTTACTTTAAATATTTCTCTGGGAATATGTCAGACTCAGTTGTCCACTCTGGTATCCAGGGTTTTATTCATAATAGTGTTTTTCTTTTTATATTAATACTTAGATTAAGCTTAATTAAGAACTTTTTATGTACATTTGTGAATTCAGTAGTTCTTTTGAAAAGATACTCATTTGAATTCAATTTTATTTAAGGTATGTAGGTTTTTGCAAAGCATATGCCTAAGCTCATTATTCAATTATGATGTCAGTTATTATAGTAATACGATTATTGCCCTACTTAAAAAAATGCCAGCTAAAAATCTATCTGAAAAATATAACTCCTCTTCAGAGAAGATTCTTAAGAATCATCTGTTCCATAGGGATTTATACTTTAAAAAGATGGTGGTAAATAAAAAAGTTATGTACAGGTTGATAGCATAAGAGATTCTGATCTCAACACTGATGTTCTGATCTATATATCCATATACTTGTTCAACATTTCCACCTGGAGGTGTAAGAGACATTCACATTTAACAGCTCTAAAATGGGCCTCCTGATACACCCACTGCTAACCACCCCCCTCCCAATACATACACAAACTTGCTATTTCACCAGTCTTCTACCTCTAACCAAATGCTAATTCAATTTGTTTAGTAGTTCAGCCAAAAACTTTGGGGTTATCCTTGATTCTTCTCTCTCTTTAACAACCCACACACAATTGAACAAAATCTATCAGCTCCCTGTTTGAAAAATACCCAGAATCATAATTTCCACCTGCTATCTCTCTGATCCAAACCACTACTGTAGCCTGGAATGTTGCAATACTGTCCTAAGTGGTCTCTGCCACTACCCCTGTAACCCTAGTTGGACCTCCATGTAGCAGCCAGAGGGATTCTTGTAAAATGTAACTCAGAGTGTATTACAGGAACGTCCCCATTCAGAGCCCTTCAACGGAATCTCTTCTCATTTAGAGGCAAAGCCATGGTCTGCAAGGGCTTGCACTCTCTGCATCCTCACTCTCTCTGCCCACCACTCTGACTTCACCTCTTACCGCTCTCCCTCTCGGTGCTTCTGCTGCAGCCATACTGGCCTCCTTGCTGTCCTTGAATATTATTAAAGAACTTCAGCACTTACTGTTTCTTCAACTTGGAATATTTCATCCACGTGTCCCTCTGATTTGCCCTCTCACTTCTTTCAGGTCTCTACTAAGATGACACCTTATCAGAGAGACTTTCTTTGGCCATCACTTATCAAATAGCAGCCTTCCCACAATACTGTTTACTTCTTTAATCTGTTTTATTTTTCTGCAATCACTCAACCATATCTGATGTATATTTCTCCTTTCTAAGATTTAAGTACCGTAACAAAATTTTGTCTGTTTTGTTTGAACCTATACAGTACCTTGAAAAGTGGCTGACAGGTAATCAGTGCCTAATAAACATTTTTTGACTAAACGAATGAATAAATATCTCAGCAAAATACACTTACTTTCCTTTTCCTAAATCTGTATCAATCCTTCCTTTAGTCATTCCAAATATATTTATTCAGCATTTAACACTTGCCAGGCACTGTGGTAGATGCTGAGGTAAAAAAAAATTACATATGATATATTCTTTGTCTTTAAAGAACTGGCGATCTGGTGGGAGATGTGGACAATTCATGATTACAATCTTTTGCCTGAGTATTCTGCTAGAGGCCGGTACAATACGCTCTGGAGGAACACAAAAGAAGCATCTAGCTCTGTCTGGGTGCCCGGAAGGGGAGGGGTGGGGCTGGGTTAGGAAAGGCTTTCTGAGAAAGCTGTCCATATGGTAATAGCAAGCATTTACTAAAATGTTCACTGTTCTAACCACTGTACTAAGCACTTTATCTCACTACGTTCTCCCAAGAGCTCCCTAGAATAGAATAATTATTATTCTCACTGACAGATAAAAAAATTCATCTACAGGGAGAAACTGAGAGACTTTTTCCAACTGATACAACTAATAAGTAGTGGAGTCTACTAAATTGCGGGATGCATACCAGCAAATAACATCTATGTGAGCACGGATTTCTGTTTAGTGATATGTCCTCAGCACCAAGAATAATGTCTATTTAATAAATACAGGAGTGAGTGAATGAGCTATGATTTGAATCCAAGTCTATTAGATCTCAAAACCCAAGACTTTTAACCATTAAGCTACTGTCTTTCTGATGTGAGGGACAAGGAGAAACTCATGCACATGTAGAAAATGTAATTTGGCAATTGAAAACTGTACTCTACATCCTCAAAGGTCAAAGAAGAAATTCAAATGAAAAATGTTTAAGGATTAGAGAGTAATGATAACATAAACATCATACAACAAAATGTGTGGGATACAGCCAAAGTGGCATTGAGGGAAGTATAAAGCCATAAATGATGTATTAGACAAGCCAAATATTCATGGGCTATATTTCTAAGTTAAAGAGAAGAAAAACATAATCAAAGAAAACAGGAGGAAGGGGAAAAAAGACATAAGGCAATACATCTATGCAATAGAAAACAAAGCAGCATAATAAAGAGTCAATAGGCTGGGTGCGGCGGCTCATGCCTGTAATCCTAGCACTTTTGCAGGCCGAGGTGGGTGGATCACCTGAGGTTGGGAGTTCAAGACCAGCCTGACCAACATGGAGAAACCCCATCTCTACTAAAAATACAAAATTAGCCAGGTGTGGTGGTGCGTGTCTGTAATCCCAGCTACTCTACTCAGGAGGCTGAGGCAGGAGAACTGCTTGAACTCGGGAGGCAAAGGTTGTGGTAAGCCAAGATCATGCCATTGTACTCCAGCCTGGGCAACAAGAGCGAGACTCCATCTCCAAAAAAAAAAAAAAGAAAGAAAGAAAGAAAAAAGAAAAAAGTCAATAAAGCCTGAAGAAGTTGGTTCTTTCAAAAAAAGAAATAAAATAAAACCTTTGAAGACTAGCTGAGAAGAAAAGAGAAGACACACAAATATTATGAATTTAAAAAGAAGCATAATTACAGATACAGTTTAGGACAAAAATATGAATATGAAAAAAAGAATGTAAATACATTTTAAAACAGACAAAATCTTAGAAAAAGAGACAAATATAATTTACTAAAACTGATTCCAGCAGAAAATGAAGCCCGCAAAATTCTTTAACTATTAAAGACACTGAAGCAATAAAAAATCTTCTCACAAAAAATTATAAATCCAGATAATTTAAAGGTGCTTTTCCCAAGTTTTCAAGGAATAGATTACTCCACTATTACACAAGCACTTTCAGAGAATAGAAAAACAAGGGAACTATATGATTAGCAAACTGAATTAAACAAAATATAAAAAAAGATAACATGGTATGACCAAGTTGGGTTTATCCTAAAAATGGCAGGTGAGTTTAATATTTGAAGTCTTCTGCTTAAAATTAGCAGCAAGACAACAATACGTACTCTTGCCATTTTTATTCACCATTATAGTAGAAGTTCAACAAGAAGGCTGGGCGCAGTGGCTCACGCCTGTAATCCCAGCACTTTGAAAGGCCAAGGCAAGTGGATCATGAGATCAGGAGATCGAGACCATCCTGGCTAACACGGTGAAACCCTGTCTCTACTAAAAATACAAAAATTAGCCAGGCATGGTGGTGGGTGCCTCTAGTCCCAGCTACTCGGGAGGCTGAGGCAGGAGAATGGAGTGAACCCAGGAGGCAGAGCTTGCAGTGAGCTGAGATGGTGCCATCAACAAGAAAAATAAAGACCTAAAGCTTGAAAAAATGGGGATAATACTGGTATTTTTGCAGATTAAATAACTGTCTACATAGGAAATCATGAGGAAATATTATACAATTTCTAGCAATAATAAGTTTAGCAAGATAGGGGAATATATGGTCAATATACAACAATCAATTGCATTTGACATCATCCACAAACAATTAGAAAATATATTTTTACAAAACACATTTAAATTAGTAAAAAAACAAACAAACAAAAAGCATCAATTACCTAGGCCCTAGGTATAAATCTGATAAAAGATGCTTAAGACCTGTATGCAGGAGATCAAAAACTCTTCTTAAGGGACACTAAAGGAGACAATTCCATGGAGAGATAGCCCATGTTCACCCACTCAGCTGTCTATCACTCCTTGTAATATCACCTGAGACTATATATGCTCAACCTCCTGTTAACATGGCTACTGCTCCCAGTAGGCAGCATTTTTATCCCTCCTAAGAGTCCCAGATAGGAAACACCAATGAGTTTAATTTGAATGCGACATCAAATTAATAGTAATAGCTTCCAGAAATGCTGTTAGAAGGGAATCTAGAACAGAGCCTTGGCACAGGGATAACCAATGTCTTATCAGCCCACAGTGTTTGCTATAGGTGTGAGAGAGGTAGAGGAAACAGGCATGCCAGGCATTTTTCATTCCTGGAAAGCATTTTCCAATTCAAAGTCACAATATATAAATCAGCCACAGTGTCTAGCTGCCCTGCAATAGAACTTTCAGTGCGGTACCATGGCTTATCATTGGAATATGAAGAGCTAGTGGTACCTATGTAACAGGGATAGAAGGGGTGCGTTAGTTAGTAGGTACTAAGTAATCCTACAGAATAGCAAAACTCCCTACTTTTATCTTCTACCATCATTAGATGTTTAAGTTGTACTCAAATTGATTTCCATGGTTTTTGTACATTGACCAGATTAAATCCCTTACATTCAGACAAATTAATCATTTGTATAGTACAGGGTTTCTCAAAGAGCATTTCCCCAAGCATCAAGAATCATTTAGATGCTTATTAAAAATATAGTTTCCTCAGCATCACCCAAGACCTTGGTCCCAGGGTCCAAGGAATCTGCGTGTTGTTTTTATTTTCCCATAGTGATTCCTATTCACTTTTACAAATCACTAGTAGAGTAGTTAACACACACCCAAGAGAAACAAGTTGCATAAATTAGTGATCAGTATTACACACTCAATAAGGAAGGAATAACATCACCCGACTTTTCTAAATCTCATTGGTCATTGATCACATTGCATTCTCAGTGACATATCAAGAAGGGAAGGGGTGTGTATAGGACCCACTGCCCCAGCAGGGAGGAGTATTTCAGTATTTTATCACTGAGATTTTTTATAACTATCAACTTTTGCTTTATTTCATCATTGTTTTTTAAAATCTCCATAGCCAATGGACCCCCTACTGCTTACAATCACGTATGTGTTCCCAATGACTGCTTTCCTTGGTAACCACAGTACATTCTAGTTAACTACCACACATTTACAATTTCTCATTATTTTGCCTCTTTGCTTACTTTTTGTCTTTCTCCCCATGTAGGCTCTAAGCTCCATGACACACTGTCTATTTTTTCTCTGTGTCAGACACTAGTAATTATGCAGTTACATGGCTAAAGTACTTACACATTTTGCTCCGGTTGCAGGGATTGAGGTTACCAGACGTACAGTGGTAGACTAACATTGACTTAGGTCTGGAAAATGAAATAAAAATTAAATAAATACAACAGAATGGGAAACTAATGAAGGAAAAATAAGGGAAAATAATATTTAGACAGAGTGGCTTCAATAATTCATCTGATTAACGCAACCTATGCAAGAAGGCTTCCATATTTTTTTCTTTCTTTGGGTTAATAAGCAAAATGGAAGAAGACTAGCAAAAGGGTATGTGTGGGGGGGATGACTGTGTGTGTGAAAGAGATGTTAAATAGGAGTGACATATTATGAAGCACATATGTGTGAGTTCACATAAGAAAAGTTTAATTCTGTTTACCACTTACTAACACAGCCAAGTGTATGAACAACCTGTTTTTTTTTCCTTTGTACCAGGAAACTTCCCCACACATAGTGATTGAACACTTTTGGCATTAATCAGAGTTCAATTAAAAAAATACTCTGTCATTTCATCCACTTCTATCTCCTTTGCCCTAAAAAAGAAAGCTGAATGTTAAACTACTGAATAGAAAGAAAAGCCTTTTGGTTATCAAGAATTGTATGGTTAAGTGATTTAAATGTTTTATTACTTTGTGAGTAGCCAAATACTAAACTGTATTTTGAAAACAACTGAATGTATATATGATGGCATATTAGGAACTCTATAAAACACTGAAACAAACACCCTCTCACATTTGGGGTCTTGTACAATGAAATGCCTATATTTGGAAAATGTGCCTAATACATTACCCCTCCCTCTCATGACATCTTTGAAAGCCCACTTGAGCATCCACACCTGTGAACTGCAGCACACCATCCTACAGCTAGTGGGAGACTGACGGCTGTATCACCTGGAATTGGAATTAAGTCTCCCACAGCCATTGGAGTAGCTTTTATGGACAGAAGAAACCCTTTCCCAGCCTGCACAGAAAAAGAACATAAAATGTGAAACCAGGTCTTAAGTAACAGCTGGGGCTGAAGTATGTACCATCAAACTGATTATACTAGTGCAATAAGTGAAAACAGCTAACATCGATCCACTGCTTACCAGGTTCCCACACTAAGTCTGACTTCGTCAGCCTATCCTAGCTTCCCAGCCAAGCGCATCTTCAGCATTTTCTTGAACTACTCGTGTTCCTCACGTTCCTTTAGGGAATAAAATTCCTCATATTTGTGAGAGATTAATAAACTTAATTACCAAACACCAAGAATAAACCTTCACATTTTAAAAATTAACTCATAAGACACGTTAAGAATTAAGATTACATAAATTTCCCATTAATGTTTGTTTTCCATTTCCTTAATGATTTTGTTTTCTGCTAGGGTTTACTAACCTACAAGCAATAGTAGGCAGTAAAAGTTTAAGAAAGTTTTATTTGAAAAAAAATTAATTGGTGAAATTCCACAACTAATGACAAAAACTTTTTTGGCTTAGAAAAATGGCCTTATTATTTACTTTTTCTTCAGAATCTCATTTCACCTCACAGATCACTGATGTTATATAGATACAAGAGTTTGGAATTATTTATGTTAATAATTTGTTGAGTTTATGAAATTCATTCTTTCTGCTTTGCATGTTTCCCACTTTAATTTGAAATGATTAGCACTTTCTTATGTTACTCAGTTCTCTTTTCTTATAACTAGCTCCCCTTCTTTTGGACATAAGAAACCAATTTAGAACATTTTTTAAAATGTGAATAAATATGCAGCTTTGCATATAATGAAAACCGCTTTGGGATCACGTTAAAATAATGATGTTCTAAGTCATCAAACGTTCACCCCAACTGAACTTTTTTAGGAGAAAGAGTTGAAGGCAGGTGGGAAGCAGAAAGAAAGGGGCTGCTAGAAAAATCCGGAATTCGAAGGAAGGTCTTTGTCACTACCATAATTCATTGTCTCATATTTCTATTTGAATTCATGTTGAACCCAGCTCTGGGAGGAATAGAGACAGAGTCTGAAGGGCAGTCTGAATCCCTAATAAGATTTAAACTCATTTAGATCACTGATTTCCCATTCATTGTACAAAAGAGTAAAGTGGGGTTTAGGCCCTGAATGCCTCAGTGTGAGCTGTGAACCCCACAGCTCTGCCGGATCAATGTGGACTTCAGGGAGATGCGCACTGAGGGCTGCTCACCTAGAGGAGCCACGTTTCTCCTTGTAAGACATTATTGAAAAGGCGTTGCCGGCACATGTCGACCTATGTAACAAACCTGCACGTTGTGCACATGTACCCTAGAACTTAAAATAGAATAATAAAAAAGAAAAGGCCTTGCCTATATTCACTGATGTTTGTATTTGAAAAATTTGCCCCAATATTGGTAGTTCTTTCTTGTATTCATTAAGAATTATTGATGTATACCTGCTTTCCATACACACACATAAACTCTTCTATGTGTTTTATAATAACGAATTTAATAATCTTTGAAGATATTTTTACTGCATCCTCAATTCACTGCACTAATTCATGCAATTATAAACTGCAGGAAGGAGGAAATACCCCCATCTTGCGATAAATAAAGCAAAATCCTTGGCAGAACCATGCCCGCCTGTCCGCGCCCCGACCAGCCCTCCCGGGCAGCCACTCACCGGTGTCCGTCTTCCCAGCTCCCCGCCATGTCGCCAAGTGAATCCATCCTGCCGTCCGTCTCCACTTTCACCAGCCCGTACCGCAAGCGCCGCCTGCAGGAGCGCTGACCCTGCGCCGAGCCCGAGGCCAGGGGAACCCACAACTACCTCAACAGCGTGTGGGACTCCATTCGGTCCACAGGGCTGGATGGCCTGGGGCCGAGGCCACCCCGAAGCCCCCGGCGACCCCACCGTCTGCGTCCTATTACCCGAACACTGCACGCCGCTGCCCTAGGGCGCCCTGGAGCTGGACCCGCTGCCAGAAGGCCCGCGCTGCTCAGCTGGTTTTTGTTGTTTTTGTTGTTGTTGTTGTTGTTGTTGTTGTTGTTGTTGTTGTTTTGAGATGGAGTCTCCTTGTGTCGTCCAGGCTAGAGTGCATTGGCGCGATCTCGGCTCACTGCAAGCTCCATCTCCTGGGTTCACGCCATTCTCCTGCCTCAGCCTCCGGAGTAGCTGGGACTACAGGCGCCCGCCACCGCACCCGGCTAATTGGTTTTTGTACTTTTAGTAGAGACGGGGTTTCACCTGTTAGCCAGGATGTTCTCCATCTCCTGACCTCGTGATCCGCCCGCCTCAGCCTTCCAAAGTGCTGAGACTACAGGCGCCCGCCACCACGCCCGGCTACTTTTTTTTTTTTGTATGTTTAGTAGAGATGGGGTTTCACCGTGTTAGCCAGGATGGTCTCGATCTCCTGACCCCGTGATCGGCCCGCCTTGGTCTCCCAAAGTGCTGGGATTACAGGCGTGAGCCACTGCGCCCGGCCTGCTCAACCGCTTTCAACTGGCGCTGCCCAGCCGCCTGGTCAAAGCCCAACCCCCTGAGGCAGATGGCGGCAGCTGCGGCTGCGCACCCAGGTTCAGGCATGGACCGCGCGTCCTCAAACACTAGGGCGCCCCGGGCCTGCGGCTTCATGCATGCGAGGTCCCGGGTCCCTCCCATTCCGCCCCCAACACCCGCCCCTCAGCCCCTACGGCCCGCACGCCTCCTTCCCGCTGCCTTTCCGTGGCCCTGGTTTGGGACACCCAGCCCGGCCTTCATGAGGCGCCCCCCACCCAGCTCCGCCCCTCCACGCCCCTGTCTTTAGTCTCTTAGGCGTTGGCCGCCACCGCCACAGCCCTGGGCCTGGCACCCCCAGTCGCCCGCAGTCTCCTTGTGGTGGCACCGGCGTCCCCGCTGGAGCGGCTGGAGGCCAAGCCCAAGCATGACAGCTGCTCCTGGCCTGGGAACCGCAACACCGGGCATACCTATGCGGCTACGGCCAGACCTACAGCAAGAATTCTCCCTTGCAGGCACATCTGCGCAGCACACAAGTGACAAGCCCGACCACTGCCACTGGGATGGAAGCAGCTGGAAGCGTGCTCACTCAGACAAGCTAACGCTCCACCACCACAAGCACAGGGGCCACTGGCCATTTCAGGGCCATTGGTGCCACCACGCCTTCTTGCGCTCTGCCCACCTTGCCCTGCACAGGAAGCGGCACATGCAGCCCAGAGGCCTCCCCACCTGCACACGGCCCCCTCCCAAACTGTGACTGGTATTTATTGCACCCAGAGAACTCGGCAGGGCGGTGTGGCTCCATAGGGTCTACCTCGACGACGAAGACGGCGCCACTGCCCCAGCCCCCATCTGTGACTGAAGACCAGGTGGGAAAAGACCACTATCCGCCTTGACGAGTTCTGTTTTTCAAAATGGTGCAATAATTAAGTGGCATCTTCCCTCCCACGGGGCATAAGACTTGATGTCCTTTGAGAAATAAGTGCCTTAATTTGTACTGTCTGCGACATTTTTTATAATATTGTACATAATAACTGGGACAGATATTGTTATTACTGTACATAGAGTGGCAGGGCTACTTGCCTCCTTTTCCTAAGACTTTTGCTTCTTTTATTTTTAATTTTTAAAAAAGTCTTTTTTAAAAAGAAAAGAAAAATCCTTATTAAAGACTTTTCAAAATAGAACTCTTAAATAGTAATTGATAGCACTTTACCTCTGTTTTCCTGATAAAAAAAATTCTAAAAGAATAAAAACAATTTCATCCTGCCTCCATATTATAACCAGAATAATTGAAATAATATGCTTCAATTGATAGTAAAGTAGCATTTATGTTTTTGGATCAATGAAGCTAAGCCAGCACTAAGAATTTTCTTACTATTCCTCCACTACATTACAGTTACTTCTTCATCCCTATACATACCGCAATAATGAGTCAGCTACATCCATTTAGATTATCAACCCAACCCTAAAAGAAAGAAAATTTCCATTGGTTACACATTTCAGAAAATTGTTGTATCTTTGGAGCATCTGCCGTCTAATCTTAATAAATTTCAAACAAGGGCACTGAGACTCCAGCCGATAGAACTATCTAATTCAGTATGATTAAGATCCCAAAGATCAATGGCAAAGCATTGGCTATTTTCTGCAGTTTGTGCAAGAATTAAAATTTGGCCAGGATTGTTGTTTGTAGCAGGAGTCATGAATGGTTTTGTGGCGTTTTATGACAACTTAAGGGCTACAATGGACCTTGTCCTTATATCATGATCTGCTAAGCAATTCACCAACCATACTTCACCTCATTCCTGATTTTAGCCTCCTTAGGAGAACATTGAAAACATGATTGGTAATAATGTGTATTGACTTGCTTAAAGATGTTACAGGAAAGATTATGCTTAAGAGTAGTTAGAGGGAAATGTATTTTTCAGTTTGTTTCCTAAGCCCTAAGCCGTCTCTTTACCTTACAGTATAAAAGTCGAAATGCGTATAATGGGAGACCAGATATACGGGAAGAGAAGATGAAGGGACTAATATTCGTTGAGCCTTTTAGTAGGGATCTACCTTTTACTAGAGATTGAGCACTCCTCATACATTGTCTCATTAAACCAACTCTCCAAAGTAGTATCTGTCCTGTTCTACCGAAAGAACAACTCAAAAATGTTGCATTGCCAGTAAGTGGTGGAGCTGGAATGTATCTGCCCTCAAAGCTTCACGGACTTGCTTTGAAGAAGATGGTATAATTCAAAGTACTTTCAAAAGGACATAGCAGTATACTGAGGTTAAAAAAAATTAGTATTCCCAAACTGATATCCTTCTGTGAGCTTTGTCACCCTGGCAGTTAGTTGCAATACTACCAATTTGGCCATCAAGAACATTCTGATATGTTTAAGCTACAGTGGGAAAGCCAAGATATGAAAACATCACCCATGGGAATTTTGAGACTAGAGTAGTTAGAAGCTAATTTAAGATCTCCATCCAACTCTAAGATAGGGTAACTGCCAGAAGAGCCGCATGATCCCAAAGTGGAATTTTGCCCTAGTATAATGGGTTAATATTTGATTGGCTGCACTTAACTATAAATCCTGAGGAGAAGAAGAAGAAGAAAGACATCAGAAAATAATTGGGCTAGAAGAACCTTAGTTTGAAAGCAAAACACAGAATCCAGGTAAGTGGGCTTACCAGGAAAAGCTGGTGCCACGTTGCTCTGCACAATGCAGGGCCTTAGGATGGCAATGGTTAGGTTCCTGCTCTCCTGCTGCACCACCATTTCTCCCAAGGCCTTGCTATAGGTCTAAGTATTGGGACAATCTCCAATCCGCTTGGGAGTGATCTCGTCAATAATGGCGTTGTCTATACATAAAAGGTAGTCAGAGTAAAAAGAATTCTAGCAACATGTGTTAGACAATAGACCAAAAGGAAAATGTGAGACACAGTCAAACAAAACTTCCACCTTTTAGCCTTGGTTCTGGAATTCAGAACAGTCACATGATACCAAGTTTGAGCGCGTACCTGTCCAAAGCATGCATGAGCTCTTTTGTCTTCACTGCTAAGCCCAATCTTACAGTCAAATCCTATGCCCTCCCATCCAGACAGGTAGGTAGGTAGACGGATAGAATCAATAGCGATGCCACTTTATTACTACTACTAGTATAGGGCTATTAGTACTACTTTAGCGCTACTATTACTTTGTCAGTACTGATTACTACTTTATCTGTAGTAGTATTAATTTGAGGTAATTACATACAACCTCTTTACTTCCTTTCCAACAAGCTCGTAAGTACATTCATTGCACATATTTTTGAGTCCCAATCATTCTCCCAGTAGTGTGCTGGAAGCTGTGTTCAGGGAGTTTGAGGCTCTCCTCCAAGGTGTTTCAGTGGCAGCCCTGTTCAGTGTTGTCCTATAGAAACCCAGTGCAGTGATCCTGAAGAGTTTAGCTTTACATTTTAAAATTTTCCTTCAATGCAAATCAAACCAAGGTGATTACTTTTGGCAGACTGACAATCTGTTTTACCAAATCTATGTAATGCATTTTGAAGGTCTGTTTAGAGTCTATGATAACAAATTGCTAATTATTTCCAGAGATTTTCAATGAATTCTGAAGTCTGTCAAGTGTGGTGATTATAGTACTCTGAAATTGCTTCAAAACCATGAATATTGAATACTCCTACTTACAAGATGACATGTATCATGAATAACTGAGTTACCATAGCATCAGCCTAGTCTTTCTTAAAAATATGTCAGAACCAGCCGGGCACAGTCACTCATGCCTGTAATCCCAGCATTTTGGGAGGCCATGGCGGGCAGATCACGAGGTCAGGAGATTGAGACCATCCTGGCCAACATGGTGAAACCCCGTCTCTACTAAAAATACAAAAATTAGCTGGGCATGGTGGCGTGCGCCTGTGATCCCAGCTATTCAGGAGGCTGAGGCAGGAGAATCACTTAAACCAGGGAGCAAAGGTTGCAGTAAGCTGAGATCTTGCCACTGCACTCCAGCCTGGTGACAGAGCAAGACTCCATCTCAAAAAAAAAAAAAAAAAAAAGTCAGAACCATTTGATAACCCCAAAATCTATCTACAACTCTCTGAGAGAGCAAAAAAAATTATTGTCAATTAAATATGCAACATGTATTCTAGCTGACAGATCTATGTGGTTAAATTGTTAATATAACATAGCTTTTTAAAAATTAAGCTGTCGGAATATGCTAGGGTGATTTTTCTGATCAATGTGGTCCATTTATTTCTATTTTATACAACAGAACATAACTATACTATTTTGATTGTAGAAAATCTTCACTGTTACCACCTTGCTGACATGACACATTTTTGAACAACTAAGATGTGCATGAGGTTAAGACTCATTCAGAATCACAACTCTCAATATTAATGCCTCATTTGATCCTGGGGTAGAACATGGGCATTGACCATTATGTTTCCATTTTTCTTCCTTTGCTTCTGAGTGCTGAGTGTCTTCTGGATACTAAATGTCTTTTCATTCAAGTTGAATAGAGAAAGATTGAGGGGTTCTAGAATTAAAAACTTAAACTACATAGAAATATCAAGGATATTTTAATTATATGGTCACCTGGGGGCTGGGAAAGAGCATAGGATGATTCATACATCTCTCAATCTTAACAATAATCCTACCGTTACCTCATTTCATTTCTGTGTCAACAGTGGATTGACTGACCTAAGACCATTTCCCCTCAACTGCAAAACTATACAGTTTATGAAAACCAGGTCTTGAGGGAATAGAGCTTAATTTCAATAAGTCTGTAAAGAAAAAATTCCTAGAAAACATCAGAGCCCAAAAATGTACTGGGATTGTATGTCAGATGGCTAGTACCAGTTGCTGTCATTAATGTTGGGGCAGCCGGAAAGGATAATACTTGGAGGGATGGGGGCCTTATAAAGCTTAGTGAGTTTCCTTGTATTAGAAAATGTTGGGTTTTGTTGTTGTTCTTGTTGTTTGTTGTTGTTGTTGTTGCTGTTTTGAAATGAAGTCTTACTCTTGTCGCCCAGGCTGGAGTGCAGTGGCACAATCTTGGCTCACTGTAATCTCCACTCCCCGGGTTCAAGCAATTCTCCTGCCTCAGCCTCCTGAGTAGCTGGGATTTCAGGTGCCCACCACACCTGGCTAATTTTTGTACTTTTAGTAGAGACGGGGTTTCACCATGTTGGCCAGGCTAGTCTCGAACCCCTCACCTCAGGTAATCTGCCCGCCTTGGCCTCCCAAAGTGCTGGGATTCCAGGCATGAAAAAATTTTGGTTTTATAGATTTCTAACAACACACATGGAAGAAATTTTAATATTCTATAGATGGCTTACCTCTGCTACTCTTAGCTGCACCTGTATTCCACTGTTTTATATTCTCGTTCCAATTTTACTTGTGAAAATGGCAATAATTATATTCATTCTAAATTCTCAGGTTATGAGGGTAAACAAAAATATTCACAACTGCATTTAAGTTGTTTGATAAAACAAAATGAGCCAATAAACCTAAGGCACTCCTATTTTTAGATAAAACAATCAGAGAGCATCATATATCTGTGTACGTAATAGTTGGTTTTAAAATGTCATTTCTGGCCATATGTGGTAGCTCAAGCCTGTAATCCCAGCACTTTGAGAGGCCAAGGAAGGAGGATCGCTTGAGTCCACGAGTTTGAGACCAGCCTGGGCAACATAATAAGACCCAGTCCCTACAAAAAAAGTTTTAAAAATTAGCTGGGCATGGTGGTGTGCACCTGTAGTCCCAGCTACTCAGAAGGCTGAGACAGGAGGATTGCTTGAGCCTGAGAGTTGAAGGCTGCAGTGAGCCATAATTGTGTCACCATACTCTAGCCTGGATGACAGAGTGAGACCCTGTCTCAAAATGAATGAATGAGTAAAACAAATAAAAATAAATTATCATTTATAATGCAGCCAGACAGGCCATCTGCTAGCTCATTCAGCCAGTTCCTAGGTTCAGACAGGAGATTAGTGTAAACATGCACATGCACTGATTGGGCAAAGCCCTTCTCAGGACTTTCATTCAATTCAGGGTTGCTGCTGTTGTTTGTTCTCAATATGTTTTTAAACAGTAAATAAGTTACCATGGATAAAAAACACTATATAAACCAAAATACATGTCTGAAATTAATCCAAATGTTCTTCAGTATACTCAAGAAGATGTTTTGACCCAGGGGTCTCAAATACTAAACTCGAATTGCTTCAGAAGAAGCATAAAGTCATTGAAAATTTCAGAAAGCAATATGTATGTCTATGTATGTACATACATAGACACATATACAATTTCTTCCAAAGATTACTATCAATTTTGCTTTCAAACTTATTGAATCAACATGATGATATCATTAATGGTTTCATTATTTATGTATTTATGGAATGAAATACTAAGAAGCATATGGATTTCCCCTCCCCTGACCCTCCAATTTTATCTCATTCAACAAGTTGGCAAGCCTAGTGGTTTATGAGGAAATCTGTTAGAGAGTAAGTAGTGGACACACTGTCTTATGATAACGTTTGCTCTCTCTTTCTCCAGTCTAAATTATATAATTCACTTGATTGTTGTAGTTATCAAGTTGTATTTGTTCATCTGTCTGTCTCCCCACTGGACAGTGCATCCAGGAGAGCAGGGATTATGATTTTTATCTCTGTGTCTAATCACTTTTCTGCCCCCAGGAGCCAGCTACCTTATTCAGTAAATGGATGCTCTTCCACATGGTAATCTTGATTGGCCAATTTCTGTACTATATAAGGTTTTGGGAAGCAGAGATGGACAATGATGAGACAGAGTGGATATACTCAAAAAAAGACAAGGTTGTAGGGAGAATGCAGGAAAGGAAGGAAGGGGGTATCTTTGTAGAGCAGGTAGCAAAATTGGAAGTCAAAGTGTCCAGTGGCAGTGGTGAAAAGTGTTGACCAACCTCGGTTTGATGAAGGTGGCGTGAAAGTCAACTTAAACTTTTCACTGGGAAGCAGGATATTTCTGAGCCTAATGCTTATGGAGAATTGGCCTCTGTATTTCCCTCCAGACTTTCATGAGGCACCCGGCTTGGCCCAAACATGAGCCAGATGCTGAATGGCCTGCCAATGCCTGCCAATGTGAAAATTATTCAGTTTGGTTAAGAAACAATTTACTCATATTCTGGTTTGTATTTGAAGCCTGCTAATATCAAAGTACACAGAATTTTCATTTTTATGTCAGCTACTTAGATGTCATTTTGAAGCTGTGCCACTATGAAATTAAAAACACAGGCCGGGCACAATGGCTTATGCCTGTAATCCCAACACTTTGGCCAAGGTCAGGAGTTGGAGAACAGCCTGGCCAACATGGCGAAATCCCATCTCTACTAAAAACATAAAAATTAGCCAGGCACACTTGCGGGCACCTGGAATCCCAGCTACTCGGGAGGCTGAGGCAGGACAATAGCTGGAACCCAGGAGGCAGAGCCTGCAGTGAGCTGAGATCACGCATTGCACTGTAGCCTGGGAAACAAGAGCAAGACTCAATCTCAAACAAACAAACAAAAAGTACAAGTGCTAGAGTCAGCTTTCACCATTCCCCTAGAACAGATCATCTTTTTCAGTGTTAACAATGTGTTCTATAGCAGGAAGTCAAGACTACTGTCCAAGGTCTGACCTCCTTTGATATCTCCTGGAGGGCTGTGATGAGGGCCACTGCTGCTGGCTGTTGGGGTCTCCATTTCCCTGCCTCTCACCCCTGCACCTTCAGGGCACACGCCACCTTTCCTTTTTTACATGGCAGACTAGCTGTGTCTTCTGGTGGCCACGTAGCTTCAGAAGTGTGGTTTTTAGTAGGTACAGATCTACTAGGAACTTTCATTCAATTAAAGCTTCTAGGAACTGAAAGACAACAGGAGACAAAGAGAGCAGGAGAAAGAGGAAGCATGGGGTATTAGAAGATAAATGATCCTCTTTTCAAATGAAGACTGCTTAATGAAAAGTCTCCTTAAGGCACAATTTCCCAAACTTGCCTGGTCATCAGTGTGAATTACACAAGGCCCCTGGGAAAAATCCAGACTCCTGGGTGCCATTTTAGAACCACTAAATACATCTGCAGAGGTAAGAGTCTGGATAATCTGTATTTTCAACATGGCCTGGAAATTCCAACTGTCAGGTAAATTAGGGAATCACTAATTTAAAAGAAGTCCACTCCATCAACTTAAGTCGTTAAGATTTGAATATATCAGGATTAGCTCTCAAAAACACATTGCTTCTTGGAGTAAACATTTCAACAGAATTGAATTTTAAAATTATTAAATCCCCTAATGCTATCCCTCCCCCACTCCCCTAGCCCCCCACCCACTGACAGGTTCTGGTATGTGATGTTCCCCTCCCTGTGTCCATTTGTTCTCATTGTTCAGCTCCCACTTATGAGTGAGAACATGTGGTGTTTGTTTTTCTGTTTCTGTGTTCGTTTGCTGAGAATGATGACTTCCAGCTTCATCTATGTTCCTGCAAAGGACATGAACTCATCCTTTTTTATGGCTGCAGAGTATTCCATGGTGTATAGGTGCCACATTTTCTTTATCCAGTCTATCACTGATGGGGATTTGGGTTGGTTTCAAGTCTTTGCTATTGGGAACAGTGCCGCAATAAACATATGTGCGCATGTGTCTTTATAGTAGAATGATTTATAATCCTTTGGGTATATACCCAGTAATGGGATTGCTGGGTCAGATGTATTTCTGGTTCTGGATCCTTGAGGAATCACTACACTGTCTTCCACAATGGTTGAACTAATTTACACTCCCACCAACAGTGTAAAAGCGTTCCTATTTCTCCACATCATAATGTAGCACCGAATGTAGATGAGTGCCTAATGTAGATGAGAGGTTGATGGGTGCAGCAAACTACCATGTCATGTGTATACCTATGTAACAAACCTGCACGTTCTCCACATGTATCCCAGAACTTAAAATATAATAATAAAAAAGATTGAAAATTTAAAATTTTAATACAAAATTAGGACTTAGTTATTTGCAAAATACACTGTATTTTCAATTTGAAAAACAAAGGGTTATTGTATGTATTATCAATAAAGTTATATAGTTTCTCATAAAAATAACATTAATAATGGAAAATTCTAAAAGGAAAATAATTAAATTTATTTTAGGACAATTTAAAAATGTATCTGTCAATTTTAACATGAAAATTCTCTTACATTTATACATCCCACATTCTAATAAGGACTAATTTTTATGAGCAGTAAAGAAATGTGTGTATGCGTGTCTGTATACTTACAGGTATATATCTGTTTCTGTGAAAATCTCTCTTTTAGAGTCAGAAAATCTGTTTGGTCCCAGTTCTTACTAATAATATATGATCTCACTAAAGATACTTAAATTCAATAAACTCAATAAACTTTACTCTTAATGAGGTAAGAATGAGAACACAGGTGCCAGCCATGAGCTGCGGTTCCACTGGCACAGGCTTCAGAGATCCTACCTTTAACATCCTCCTTTCATTCATTTGAGCCTGATAAGAAAGTTGTCTCTTGGGAGAGAAGCAAGCATACACCTTGGGGCCAGACAGCCCACGGTCAAAGTTGAACTCCACCACTGTTCAGCTGTGTGACTTTGGGCAAATGACTTTTCCTCTCTGATCCTCATGATCCTTTTTGGTAAAAACAGCAGAATGACAGGTCTATGAAGATTGGAGGAAAGAAAAATGTGTGTCTTAGTTTAAGTTTCCTGGAAGTAGATCCTGAGGCAAAGATTCAAGTATAAAAATTTTATCTGGAGATGACTCCAGGACAGTAATTCTACTGCCAGTTCTTCCTTAGAGTACTAATTGCAGGCAACACCAGTAGAGGAGTGGGGAACTGAGACAGGAATGGAATGTAGCAGTTAAAGGGACCTTCATCAAGAAAGTTTCCACTGTGGGCAGCCAGGACTCAGCCCTGCCGGGTACCTCTGAGAGACAGCATAGAACATGTGCCTCAGAGTCATCCCACCCAGAGCAAGGGAGCTGGGTTATTTATCCACCAATACACACCAGTCACTCCTCAGGGCTTCTTCCAAGGACATGATTCCTCCAGAATGCCCTGCCTGCACTGCAAGAATGAGACCTGGAGGGTCAATGGCAAGAGCCCTGACAGCGCCTCCAGCAGTGAGCAGGACCACAGCCTGGTGTGGAGAGTTTCAGTCCCTCAGTGACCCCAACACACACACACACACACACACACACACACACACACACACACACACATTCTCTCTCTCTCACACACACACACACACACACACATTCTTTCTCTCTCACACACACACACCATACTCCAACACCAACAGAGAACATACATACATACACATACATGCATAGATGACTGTTACCCACTTACATCCTGGTGAATCCATGGGAAAGAAGATAAGGTGGGAATCAGAGGGAAAAGCAAAATTAAGGGGAGTGAGGGTCTTGGGAACAAAATGAAAATATAGGCAGAAAATCAAGGGGGAAGAGTGGTCTGGACACCAAACGCCTGCTGGCTGGCACCTGCTCTACATACACTGTCAGTCATTCTCCAAGCAACCTCGTGGAGTCGAAGGAATTCCCCTCAATTAGAGATGGCAGAAATGTAGTTCAGAAAAGAAAACTGATTTTACTAACTGATTTTACTGCTTCTGGGTTCTGCTCCTTTTCTTGCTAGGCAATCATGACAGAATTGACAAAAACATTTTCCCCCTTCACCACCCGGAGCAGAGCCAATGAGAGGGGCTGGGGAACAGGCCATGAGGCCCTGCACCCACCATTCAATGTCTTCAGGATTAGGACTCTTGCATCACAGGCTGGCAGCACTCCCGATGTCTGGGTGTTTTGTGAGGTTGTACAGGATCTAGTAGAGGCCACTGGCTCTGCTGTCATATCCTAAGAGGCAGCCAGGCAGACTTGGGTCTCTTGGCTGCTTCAGCACCAGAGGATGAACAGCGCCCATACACTGAGGCTTTCGGGAGAATGGGAGGAGGGAAAGGAAGGGCAGAATGGAGTGATGTAGGGTCCATCCATCATATCCCTGGATGGAGAGACCCCTGTTCCCACAGTAGTCCCACACCGGGACCACCACCAGCACTCATGAATATGCCAGCCTCCATTTATATGTCCTCGTCTGACAACTCCTTCCCATTTTCATCCTGGAGGCAAGACTCTGAACACACTAGCTCTGAGGACACCTGTGTGTAACCTGAGACAGTCCCTGAAGACCTTTCATCCAAGCAGGATCCCTCCCTCGCCATCTCCAGACCTGCCCCACAAGCTCCCTCCCTGGTCTCCTGGCTCTTGTTCACTCCTTCCAGGCAGGCTTCTACAGTCATCTCGAAAACATAGCTGACTGTCACTCCTTTATCCAGCATCTTCCATGGCTCCCCAGAGCCCTCCAGATCAAGTTCAAGTACCTTGATCAGACACTTGATCTCAAGCTCCATTCTACCTCCTGAATTAAGATCCCGGAGAAGCCACCTTGCTCAGCACAAGCGCATCAATGAAGTCCGAAGCCTTGAATGTGGCCTTGGCCTTGAGGAAGTCATCAACACCCTGGCTAGTGAGGGTGCGGTGCTGCTGCAAGATGATGGTGTCTGAAGTTGTGCACCAAGTCACAGGCCCTGCAGAAGCATCGCCCCTCAGGAATGGGTAGTACAGGAAGTCCCAGCACAGGCAGATCTGCTGACGCCGTTACACTATGAGGGTACTGAGCTCCAAGATGTCAGCAATAAGTTCACTGGCATTCCTGCAGGGTGAGGCTAGGGAGAGGAAGCAGCTCCGTAACACATATGAAACTCTGGAAGCCCTTCCCAGCCAAAATCTCTGGACCACATTACACCCAGAAATGGGTGCCCTCTCAGCACACTTCTCTCTGCCTCCCTCTCTGAGCTGCCTCCTGGCCCCACATGCCCCAGCCTGGACCAGGGCTTGGAGCCCAGCAGGTGTTCAGTTCATGGTGTTGACTGCTTCCTGGCACAGGAGAGCCTTTGGTAGCTCTGTGACTCCTCCTGTGGAACCCCTGCCTCTGCCTCAGGACCTCCCTATTCCCATGGGAAGACTCCAAGGATTGCCCCACCTGCCCAGGGATCCTCCAACCCCATAGGCCTTACTTGATGCCTTATCCCTCCCAGAACATGACATGCTTCTCACAAGGTGACTTATTTCCAAGGCCATCTGTGGATGTTTGCTGGGGACCTCTTGCTCTTCTCCTTTATGATCTGTAGGGCAGGGCCAAGAGGAGAAACCAGCCCAACCTCAGAACAAACAAAGGCTCACTGCCACAAATGGCAACCACCAAACAGTCAGCAGTGCTTCTGGGAGGAAAGGAGGTTTCATTCCGCACAAAGCTCCTTGTTTGGTTTCTTTCTGAATCCGGGGAGGGGTAGGTACCAAGCCCAGCTTACCTGCGGTGTCTACATTACCATCTGTGCCTAGGATGTGCAAAGGGCCCCTGCTCCCACCGAAGGGTTGACGTTCCCTCCAGCTGGAGACCTGGGCTCCTGACACCGCCTGGCCTGTTTGTCCTGCTCTGGATGAGCATGGAAAGGCTGTACCTGGTATTTCCCTAGGTCCTTGGTTTCTACCACCTAGACATCCAGCAGGAGTGACCATGTCTAGCACCACACCTGAAAGGGGACTCCCTTGTACAGCAGCCCAGACATCTACAGATGGAAGAGTGCTCAGTGAGACAGGCCACAGGGGTCCCCAGGGAGGATCAGGGGGTGGAGGATTCTGGAGGTTTCCAGCCTTGGGCTCTGTGGTTCCTCAAAGAGGTTAGGTCTACCTAGTACCAGGCCTCCCCTCCCACGATTCAAAGACTGAATGAGTGTCCAGCATCAGGAACTCTGTTCTGGACCTGTTTTTTCATTTAGGTCACCAAGGGACAACCCCTAACCCCTGAGCTAGGGATGGTCCAAGCTCTGGCATGAGATTTTCCTCCAGCAATGTGATGCTTACAGGGACAGGTAGAAAAGCTGGTGACCAGGCCTGCTGTCCTCTGGGTAAGGAGTGTGCCACCCACCCTCTGAGATGCAGGTGGTGCCAGGCCACAGCACTGGGTGCCTGTACCCCTGGCTCTGCAGACACCGGTCATGGAGGTCCCTCCCTCCACATTACCTTCTTGCTGCTCCTAGATTTCTTCTAGTCATTAAGCACTTTGAGTCACTTTTCTGTGCATCCAATTTTACATTTTTGCTCTCAGATGAAACAGAATAAAGTATGCTGAGCTGCCAGGATTCCTGGAGGGGACCTTGGATGCTGAGTCTTGGGATCCAGGGCCCTGATGGGACTGAACCAGAAAGAGCCAGGGAAGGACAAAGATTGGGGCTGAGCCCCTATGATTTGGGGCTCAGCCCCCAATGGCCATTGGTGGGCTGGCCTTATGGTCCCAAGACACCTTGTCCTCAGGCCAGAGGCACCATGGGCTTTGGTCGGGTCCCAGCCTCCCAGTAGTGTCCTGGCACTAGCAGGAGCTGACCCCTGAGCCACAACTGCAGTTCTGGGTTTGGGGTTTGGTAAAACCACCTCAAGGACAGAGTCTTGGGATCGGGTTTGCCAGGAACCATGGTGCCTCCCAGAGATGGTGTGTCACTCCCACTCGCCACGAAATGTGCACACAGGCTGTCCCCATGTCCATCCCATCCCGCTGGACAGGATGGAGGAAGTCAGGGAACAGGCATGGTGGACAGCTGGGGTGCAGGGAGAGGCAGGTGCATGCTGGGAGGTCAGGCCCTGCGAGGGCTGTGGAGGCATCAGGTGGAGCGGGCTCCAGGTGCACCTTCAGTGTACTGGGCACGTCTGAGGCCAGGCTCACTGGACCCTGGATGTGTGATGTGGTCAATCACTGGGGGAATGTTGTCAGGTCCCAGACACCCACCCTGGGCAGCACTGTCTCATCTCAGGACTGGACTTTCTGAGTCCTAAGACAAGACAGTGCTGCCCAGGCCTGACAGCCTGGGAGGACCTGTTACGTCCTCCATCCCTAGACTAGCCTCCCAACAGCAGGGACAGTCTCTTATCTTCACCTTCAGGGAACTGACTGATCCATCTCACTCTAAGCCAATCGAGGCAGAGCTGAGGACCTGCACCAGTCTGGGAGCCAGTCCCCTCCCCAAATGGGCCTGAGGGAAGCACCATCCCTGTCCCAATCTGCCACAAGTTTCAGCCCAGGAGACACATGGGGAAGGGAGGACGGGGCATCCCTGCTGGCTGACACTGGAAAAGTGGGACCTGGGAGAATGGGGAGCACAAGGCTGGCAGGGGATGCTCCAGGCCCATGGAGAGCTCAGGCTGCACCATGGGGTTGCCCCTCCTGGGTGGAGGCTGTGCCCTCTACAGGATCTGAGGAAGTCCAGTCCTGAGATGGGACAGCGCTGCCCAGGGTAGGTAGCCGGGACCTGAGAGCAGTCCCCCAGGGAGTGACCACATCACCTGGCTGGGGTCCAGGGAGCTTGGGGTGAGACCCACCCAGTGCACTGAGGGTGCACCTGGAGCCCAACCCACCTGACACCCTCACAGCCTTCACAGGGTCTGACGTCCCACCATGCACCTACCTCTCCCTGCACCGCACTGCCCACCCTGCCTGTTCCCTGGCTTTCTCCATCCTGTGCAGCCCATAGACTGTGACCATCTCTCCAGACACTCTGACCCTTTCTTCACCTTTGTCCTGTCAGAATCTCTGAGCAACATCTCCCAGGTCCATCCAAACAACTGCTTTGTCCACTTTTGACCAGGCCGTTGGGCATCACTGGGCCATCCCAGCTGTCCAGAGGGCCCTTGATAACGTGCAATGCACCTGGCTTCTCCAAGCAGCACTCAGCAGTCCCCACTGACCAGGTTCCTGCTGACCAGACCCCACACATCAGGTCTTCCCTGACCACACCCTCACTGATTAGATCCCCATCACCAGGACCCACTAACAAGACCCCTGCTTCCAGGCCAACAATGACCATGACTCCACTGACCAGGACCTTACTGACAAGGCCTCATGGACAAGGCCTCACTGAACAGGACCTTACTGACCAGGCCTCCCTGACAAGGCCTCACTGACCAGGTCCTTACTGACCAGGCCTCACTGACAAGGCCTCACTGACAAAGTCCTTACTAACAAGGCCTCACTGACCAGGACCTTATTGACAAGGCCTCATGGATGAGCTCCTTACTGACAAGTCCTCACTGACCAGGACCTTATTGACAAGGCCTCACGGACCAGGTCCTTACTGACAAGTCCTCACTGACCAGGACCTTATTGACAAGGCCTCACTGACCAGGTCCTTACTGACAAGGCCTCACTGACAAGGCCTCATGGACCAGGTCCTAACTGAGACCTCACTGATCAGGACCTTATTGACAAGGCCTCACTGACCAGGTCCTTACTGACAAGGCCCCACTGACAAGGCCTCACTGACAAGGTCATTACTGACAAGGCATCACTGATCAGATTCCACTGATCATGACCCCACTACCTGGCCCCACAGATGAGGCCCCACTGACCAGGCCTCCAGGGAACAGGCTGCCACTGATCAGGCCCCTACTAACCAGGCCTGAGGTGACCAGATGCCCCTGACTGGGACCCTAGTGAGTAGGCCCCACTGAACAGGCACCGACTGCTCAGGTCCCCGCTGACCAGGTCACCCCGTAGACCAGTGGTACAAAAGCCACCACTGACCAAGTCATCACTGACCAGGCCCCCACTGATGAGGTTCCACTGACCAGGCTGCCCTGATCAGGGCCCCACTGACAAGGGCCTCACTGATGAGGACAAGCCCACCAGGCCCTGCTGACTAGGTCCCATGTGACTAGTCCTCCACTGAATAGCAGCCCTTGACCTGGTCACCAGTGACCCAGCCCATGCTGACCAGGCCACCACTAAGCCCAGCTGACCAGGTCGCCACTGGTCAAGCCCCACAGCCCAGGTCTGCACTGACCAGACACCAAACAACTGGCTGCCAATAGGTCCCCACTCGCCAAAACCCCCACTACTGGATCCCCCTAATGAGACCCTCCCTAAGCAGACCCCTGCTGGCCAGGCTCCCACTAAACAGGCCTCACTGACCAAGTCCCAACTGACTAGGTCCACTGAGCAGGCCCACACTGATCAGGCCCCTCCTAACCACATCAGAAGGCCAAGTGGCAATGAGATGTTTCATATGGCAGAAATAGAAGCAAGACACAGAGAGAAAAGAGGTGCCACAGCCCATTATACAACCAGATCACATGAGAACTCACTATCAGATCAGCATCAAGAAGATTAACCACTGGTGAAGGATCCACCACACACACCACCGCCTACTGTTTCCAGGCAGAAGCCTCCTGCAGAGGCAGAGCCTCTTGGGAAACTTCTACTATGGCAGTGCAGAAGGGAAATATGGGCTTGGAGCCCCCACACAGGAGGCCACCATCCTCCAGACCCCAGATTCATAAGCCCACCAACAGCCCGCACCCTCAGTATGCAAAAGCACTCAACACCAGCCCAGCCCATGAGAGCAGCCATGGGGGCTAAAGCCTGCAAAGCCACAGGAGCACTGCCCTAGCAGAGGTTTTCCATGAGGATGTGACTCTGCAGCAGGCTACTCCCGCTTCCTAATACCCACCATCCTCTCACCACCCTACTGACAACCCACTCCTCCCAACACTATCCACTTTATTTCCTTCCAACTCCAACCCCCTCCCATCCATGGTTAAATCACCTTCCACCAGGCCCCATCTCCAACATTCAAGATTACAATTCACATGAGTTTCTGTAGGGAAACACAGCCAAACCATGTTATTCTGACCCTGACCCCTCTGAATCTCATGTCCTTCTCACAGAGCAAAATACAATCACACCTTTTCAAAAGTTGCCAAAAGTCTTAACTCATTCCAGCATTAACTCAAATGTAAAAGGTTCAACGTCTCATCTGAGACAAGCCTACAGTCCCTTTTGCCTATAAGTCCCTGAATTTAAAAGGGTGTTCTTTTAAGACACAATGATGGTACACCCATTGGGTAAGCTTTCTCAGTCCAACGGGAAGAAATTTCCCAGCAAAATAACACAGATGGGACCACAGGACCAATGCAAGTCCAAAACCCAGGAGACCAGTATCCATTCAATCTCACTGCTCCAAAATCATGAAGAGAACTCACCATCACAAGGACAGAAATAAGGAGATTGTGTCTAATCATTTGTGAAGGAGCCACCATCACTTTTCACCCCTCACCCCCAACATAATCTCCCCATTCTCCCTATCCCCCACCTCCCAACCCCCACTCTCCACCATGATTAAATCACCTTCCACCAGGCCCCACCTTTAACATTCCCCATTACAATTCCACACGAATTTTGGTAGGGACACAGAGCTAAATTTTATTATTCTCTCCCTGGCTCCCCAAATCTCATGTCCTTCTCACATTGCAAACTACAATGATAGCTTCCCTACAGTCCCCCAAAGTCTTATATCATTTCATCATTTATACAAATGTTCAAAGCTTAAAGTCTCATCTAACACAAGGCTGCAGACCCTTAGGCTCATGAGCCTCTGAAATATAAAGAAAGTTAACTACTTCCAAGGTACAATGCTTATACAGGCAATGGGTAAGCATTCCCAGCCAAAAGGAATAATTTTGCCAGAAAGAACAAAACACAGAAAGGACTCACAGGCCCCATGAAACTCCAAACCCAGAAGGCCAGTCACTCAATCCTACAGCTCCAAAATTACCCTTTTTGAAACCTTGTCCCACATCCAGGGCACAGGGATGTAAGGGCTGGGCTCCCAAGGCCTTGGGCAGCTCTGCACCTGTGGCTTTGCAGGGTTTATACCCCACGGCTGTCTTCATGGGCTGGGCTGGTGTTGAGCGCCTGTAGCTTTTACCCACTGACGGTACAAGCTGTTGCGGGGTGTATTAATCTGCGGTCTTCATGATGGTGGCCTCCAGTGTGGGGGCTCCAACCCCATATTTTCCTTCTGCACTGCCCTAGTAGAGGTTTCTTATGAGGTTCTGCCTTTTAGGAAGGCTTTTGCCTAGACACCCAGACATTTCCATACATCCTCCAAAATCTATACAGAGCCTCCCAAGCCCCTAGGCTCATGCTCCATCCAACCAGTGGCTTAACACTATGAGGAAGTTCATGAGAACTCACTATCACGAGGTCAGCATCAAGAAGATGGTGCTTAATCATTAGTGAAGGATCCGTCCCCAACCCACCTCCACCCCCTCCTGTTTCCGGACAGAAGCCTGAGGCAGAGCCTGAGCCTCTTGGAAAACCTGTACTATGGCAGTGCAGAAGAAAAATTTGGGCTTGGAGCCCCTATGCAGGAGGCCACCATCCTCCAGAGCCCAGATTCATAGACCCATCAACAGCTCGCACCTTCAGTATGGAAAAGCTACCGGCACTCAACACCAGCCCAGCCCATGAGAGCAGCCACGGGGGCTACACCCTGCAAAGCCACAGGTGCACAGTCCTAGCAGAGGTTTTCCACGAGCCTCTGCCTCTGCAGCAGGCTACTCCTCCTTCCTACTACCCCCACCCTCCCACCACCCTACAGCGAGCTTACTCCTCACCACGCTACCCACCTCTTTTTCCCTCCAACCCCACCCACCTCCCATCCATGATTAAATCACCTCCCACCAGGCTCCACCTCCAACATTCGGGATTGCAATTCCACATGAGTTTTTCTAGGGAAACACAGCCAAACCATATTATTCTGACCTTGACCCCCTCCCCCGAATCTCATGTCATTCTCACAGAGTAAAATACAGTCATGCCTTTTCAAATGTTTACAAAAGCCTTAACTCATTCCAGCATTAACTCAAATGTAAGAAGTTCAAAGTCTTACCTGATACAAGGCTACGGTCTCTTCTGCCAAGGAGTCCCTGAACTTAAAATGGAGTTCTTTTAAGGTACGATGATGGTACAGGCATTGGGTAAGCTTTCTCACTCCAAAGGGAAGAAATTTCCCAGAAAAATAACACAAATGGGACCACAGGCCCAATGCACGTCCAAAACCCAGCAGGCCAGTATTCAAATCTCAAAGCTCCTAAACCATGAAGCAAACTCACTATCAGAAGGACAGCATTACAAAGATGGTGTTTAACCATTTGTGAAGAATCTGCCCCCCACCTCTGCTTTTCCCCGCAACCCCAACACAATCCCCCCCAATGCTCCCAACCACCCCCACCTTCCAAACTCCACTCTCCACCATGATTAAATCACCTTCCACCAGTCCCCACCTTTAACTTTGCCCATTACAATTCCACATGAGCTTTGGTAGGGACACAGAGCCAAATCATATTATTCTGTCCCTGGTCCCCCAAATCTCCTGTTTCTTACATTGCAGAATACAATGATACCTTCCCTACAGTCCCCCAAATCTTAAATAATTCCAGCATTTACTCAAATGTCCAAAGCCCAAAGTCTCGTCTGAGACAAGGCTACAGTCCGATCTGCCCCTGAGTTTCTGAATTATAAAGCAAGTTAACTAATTCCAAGGCACAATGATTGTACATGCAATGGGTAAGCATTCCCAGCCAGTAGAAAAAAAATGCCAGAAAGAAAAACAAAACACAGATGGGACTCACAGGATACATGAACATCCAAAACCCAGCAGGCCAGTCATTCAATCCGACAGCTCCAAAATCATCCTTTTTGAATCCTCGTCCCACATCCATGGCACAGGGCTGTGAGGGCTGGGCTCCCAAGGCCTTGGGCAGATCTGTACCTGTGGCTTCGCAGCGTTCAGCACCCACAGCTGCCTCTCATGGACAGGGCTGTTTTGAATGCCTGTAGCTTTTCCACACTGAGGGTGCAAGATGTTGGTGGGTCTATGAATCTGGGGTTTGGAGAATGGAGCCTCCCTGTGAGGGGGCTTCAACCCTACATGGCCCTTCTTTGCTGCCCTAGCAGAGGTTTTCCATGAGCCTCTTGGAAAGGCTACTGCCTGGACACCCAGGCTTTTCTCTACATCCTCTGGAGTCCAGACAAGAGGCTCCAAAGCCTCTAGTCTCTTGCTCTCTTCACCTGCTGCCTTAACACTATGTGGAAGCCATCAAGGCTTGGAGCCACATCTGAAGTAGTGACCCAAGCTGTACCTGTGCATCATTCAGCCATGGCTGGAGCTGGGGCTGCAGGGATGCAGGCAGCAGTGTCCTGAGGATGCACACAGCAGCAGGGCCATGGAGCTGGCCCAGGAAGCCATTCTTCTCTGTTAGGCCCCAGGGCCTGTGAGAGCAAGGGCTACTGCAAAGGTCTCTGAAATGCCTCCAAGGCCTTTTACCCTTTGTCTTGGATACTTGCACTAAGCTCCTTTTTATGCAAATACTCTAAGCCGTATTGAATTTTCCCCCTGAAAATCAGCTTTTCTTTTTGACCACTTGACTAGGCTGCAAATTTTCCAAACTTTTAAGCTCCGCTTCTCATTTAAGTAGAAGTTCCAACTTGAGGTCATTTCTTAGCTCATACATAACAACACAGGCTGTTCGACGCAGACAGGACACCTCTTGAGCTATGCTGCTCAGATGTTCATTCCACAAGATACATCCTAAATCATCACCCCCAAGTTCATAGTTTCACAGATCTCCAGGGCAAGGTCACTGTGCAGCCTCTGTTGGGCAAATCAAATGTAGTATTGGCTCCTATTCACAGGAAATTCCTGGTTTTCATCCGAGAACTTTTAAGTCTGGCCTTCACTGTCCATCCTTCTGTCAGCCTTCTGATCACAAGTATTTAACAATTCTCTACAGTGGTCCAAGCTTTTCCTCATCTTGCTGTCTTTTAAGCTTTCCCAACTCTCCCGACCTCTGTCTTTTACCCACTACTGAACCTGCTTCTACATTATCAGCTCTCTGTGTCACAGCCTGGCAATGTGGTAAAAGAAGAAAAGTCCATTTTCAGGGAAAAAATTCACATAGGCTTCAGATATTTGCATGAAAAGAAGCTGAGTGCTGCTTGCCAAGACAATGGGGAAAAGGCCTTGAAGGCATTTCATAGGGAAAAGACCTTGAAGGAATTTCATAGCTTCCCTTCACAGTACTAACCTTCTGTATGATCAAAAAGAAAAGAGGTTTCATTGGCTCACAGTTCTGCAGGCTGCAAAGGAAGCATAGTAGTTTCTGCTTCTGGGAGGACTCAGGTGCTCCCAATCTTACTAGAAGACCAAGCGGCAAGGAGATGTTTCATACAGCAGGAGAAGGAGCAAGACAGAGAGAGGAAAGAGGTGCCACATCATGTTATACAAGCAGATCTCATGAGAAATCACTATCACGAGGTCAGCATCATGAAGATGCTGCTTAACCATTGGTGAAGGCTTCCACCCTGCAAAACTACCTCCCATTGTTTCCAGGCAGAAGCATGCTGCAGAGGCAGAGCTTCTTCGGAAACCTCTGTGAGGCCAGTGCAGAAGGAAAATATGGGCTTGGAGGACTAACACAGGGAGCCACCACCCTCCAGACCACAGGCGCACCCTTGCAGAGGTGACTGGTTGCTCTTTGAGCCAGCTTGGCCTTGCCTGGCATGCACAGGCCCCAGGTAGCAACATGCTGCTCCGAGTGAGCTTGTCCTGCCTTGACACAAATTCTAAGTCTGGCCAGGGCCACAGAAGGCCGAGTCCCCTAGATGCTAATCCTGGCTACTTTCTGCACTTGAACATGAAGTCCTCCTCAAGACGGCCTGTGGTCTGCCTCTTGGCAACTAAGAAGCCCGCAGTGCCATATGACACCTGAGGCATGGACTGCAGCCCCAAAGGCAGCGCACACCCTGCTCCTGAGCCTGCTGCTTGTTTCCTCTCTGTGGCTCCATTTGTAGCACTGTTGTTGCACTGAGGCTTGTGCATGCCAGGCAAGGCCAAGCTGGCTCAAAGAGCAACCAGTCACCTCTGCAAGGGTGCGCCAGGAGCCGGTGCACCAGCCACCAACCTCACTTGCTGCCAGACATGGCACATCAGTACTTCTACCCTAAAGGTAGGGCCACAAGGCCATCTGCTTTTCCTAAGGCCTCTGCTCCATCAGCCAACAGGAGACAGCCACTCAGGCTGTTGGAACCTGGCCATCCCGGCTTCCTTCAGTGAGTGAAGCTGGTGGCTGGTCCAACTGGTCCAGGCGCACCCTTGTAGAGGTGGCTGGTTCCGCTTTGAGCCAGCTTGGCCTTGCCTGGCATGCACAGGCCCCAGGTACTAACACGCTGCTCCAAGTGAGCTTGTCCTGCCTTGACACAAATTCTAAGTCTGGCCAGGGCCACAGAAGGCCGAGTCCCCTGAGTGGTAATCCTGGCTGCTTTCTGCACTTCAACATAAAGTCTTCCTCAAGACAGCCTGTGGTCTGCCTCTTGGCAACCAAGAAGCCCGCAGTGCCATAGGACCCGAGGCATGGACTGGAGCCCCAAAGGCAGCGCACACCCTGCTCCTAAGTCTGCCACTCGTTTCCTCTCTGTGGCTCCATTTGTAGCACTGTTGTTGCACTGAGGCTTGTGCATGCCAGGCAAGGCCAAGCTGGCTCAAAGAGCAACCAGTCACTTCTGCAAGGGTGCGGCAGGAGCCGCTGCACCAGCCACCAACCTCACTTGCTACCGGACATGGCACATCAGTACTTCTACCCTAAAGGTAGGGCCACAGGGCCATCTACTTTTCCTAAGGCCTCTGCTCCATCAGCCATCAGGAGACAGCCACTCAGGCTCTTGGAACCTGGCCATCCCTGCTTCCTTCAGTGGCTGAAGTTGGTGGCTGGTCCACCTGCTCCTGGCACACCTTTGCAGAGGTGGCTGGTTGCTCTTTGAGCCAGCTTGGCCCTGCCTGGCATGCATAGGCCCCAGCTACTGACACACTGCTCCAAGTGAGCTTGTCCTGCATTGGCACGAATTCTGAGTCTGGCCAGGGTCACAGAAGGCCAAGTCCCCTGGAAGGTTATCCTGGCTGCTTTCTGCACTTGAACATAAAGTCCTCCTCAAGATGGCCTGTTGTCTGACTCTTGGCAACCAAGAAGCCTGCAGTGCCATACGAGTTCTGAGGCATGGACTGGAGCCCCAAAGGCAGAGCACACCCTGCTCCTGACCCTGCTGCTCATTTCCTCTCTGTGGCTCCGTTTGTAGCACAGTTGTTGCACTGAGGCTTGTGCATGCCAGGGAAGGCCAAGCTGGCTCAAAGAGCAACCAGCCACCTCTGCAAGGGTGTGCCAGGAGCAGGTGCACCACTCACCCACTAGCGGCCGGACATGGTACATCAGTTCTTCTACCCTAAAGGTGGGCCACAGTGCCATCTGCTTTTCCTAAGGCTTCTGCTCCATCAGCAATTAGGTGGCAGCCAAGGCAGGACAAGCTCACTCGGAGCAGCATGTTAGTACCTGGGGCCTGTGCATGCCAGGGAGGCCAAGCTGACTCAAAGAGCAACCAGCCACCTCTGCAAGGTCTGGCCACGGCTACAGAAGGCCCCCCTGGATGGTAATCCTGGCTGCTTTCTGTACTTGAACATAAAGTCTTCCTCAAGACGGCCTGTGGTCTGCCTCCAGGCAAGCAAGAAGCCCGCAGTGCTATATGACTCGAGGCATGGACTGGAGCCCCAAAGGCGGCGCACACCCTGCTCCTGAGCCTGCTGCTCGTTTCCTCTCTATGGCTCCATTTGTAGCACTGTTGTTGCACTGAGGCTTGTGCATGCCGGGCAAGGCCAAGCTGACTCAAAGAGCAACCAGTCACTTCTGCAAGGGTGCGCCAGGAACCGGTGCACCAGCCACCAACCTCACTTGCTACCGGACATGGCACATCAGTACTTCTACCCTAAAGGTAGGGCCACAGGGCCATCTGCTTTTCCTAAGGCCTCTGCTCCATCAGCCATCAGGAGGCAGCCACTCAGGCTGTTGGAACCTGGCCATCCCAGCTTCCTTGAGTAGCTGAGGTTGCTGGCTGGTCCACCTGCTCCTGGCACACCCTTGCAGAGGTGGCTGGTTGCTCTTTGAGCCAGCTTGGCCTTGCCTGGCATGCATAGGCCCAGCTACTGACACACTGCTCCAAGTGAGCTTGTCCTGCCTTGACACAAATTCTAAGTCTGGCCAGGGCCACAGAAGGCCGAGTCCCCTAGATGCTAATCCTGGCTACTTTCTGCATTTGAACATGAAGTCCTCCTCAAGACAGCCTGTGGTCTGCCTCTTGGCAACTAAGAAGCCCGCAGTGCCATATGACGCCTGAGGCATGGACTGCAGCCCCAAAGGCAGCGCACACCCTGCTCCTGAGCCTGCTGCTTGTTTCCTCTCTGTGGCTCCATTTGTAGCACTGTTGTTGCACTGAGGCTTGTGCATGCCAGGCAAGGCCAAGCTGGCTCAAAGAGCAACCAGTCACCTCTGCAAGGGTGCGCCAGGAGCCGGTGCACCAGCCACCAACCTCACTTGCTGCCAGACATGGCACATCAGTACTTCTACCCTAAAGGTAGGGCCACAAGGCCATCTGCTTTTCCTAAGGCCTCTGCTCCATCAGCCATCAGGAGACAGCCACTCAGGCTGTTGGAACCTGGCCATCCCGGCTTCCTTCAGTGGGTGAAGCTGGTGGCTGGTCCAGTTGGTCAAGGCTCACCCTTGTAGAGGTGGCTGGTTCCGCTTTGAGCCAGCTTGGCCTTGCCTGGCATGCACAGGCCCCAGGTACTAACACACTGCTCCAAGTGAGCTTGTCCTGCCTTGACACAAATTCTAAGTCTGGCAAGGGCCACAGAAGGCCGAGTCCCCAGAGTGGTAATTCTGGCTGCTTTCTGCACTTCAACATAAAGTCTTCCTCAAGACAGCCTGTGGTCTGCCTCTTGGCAACCAAGAAGCCCGCAGTGCCATAGGACCCGAGGCATGGACTGGAGCCCCAAAGGCAGCGCACACCCTGCTCCTAAGTCTGCCACTCGTTTCCTCTCTGTGGCTCCATTTGTAGCACTGTTGTTGCACTGAGGCTTGTGCATGCCAGGCAAGGCCAAGCTGGCTCAAAGAGCAACCAGTCACTTCTGCAAGGGTGCGGCAGGAGCCGCTGCACCAGCCACCAACCTCACTTGCTACCGGACATGGCACATCAGTACTTCTACCCTAAAGGTAGGGCCACAGGGCCATCTACTTTTCCTAAGGCCTCTGCTCCATCAGCCATCAGGAGACAGCCACTCAGGCTCTTGGAACCTGGCCATCCCTGCTTCCTTCAGTGGCTGAAGTTGGTGGCTGGTCCACCTGCTCCTGGCACACCTTTGCAGAGGTGGCTGGTTGCTCTTTGAGCCAGCTTGGCCCTGCCTGGCATGCACAGGCCCCAGGTACTGACACGCTGCTCCGAGTGAGCTTGTCCTGCCTTGGCACAAATTCTGAGTCTGGCCAGGGCCACAGAAGGCCGAGTCCCCTGGATGGTAATCCTGGCTGCTTTCTGCACTTGAACATGAAGTCCTCCTCGAGACGGCCTGTTGTGTGCCTCCTGGTAACCAAGAAGCCCACAGTGTCATACGACCCCTGAGGCATGGACTGGAGCCCCAAAGGCAGCACACACCCTGCTGCTGAGCCCGCTGCTCATTCCCTCTCTGTGGCTCCATTTGTAGCAGAGTAGTTGCACTGAGGCTTGTGCATGCTGGGCAAGGCCAAGCTGGCTCAAACAGCAACCAGCCACATCTGCAAGGGTGTGCCAGGAGCAGTCGGACCAGCCACCAACCTCACTCGCTGCCGGACATGGTACATCGGTTCTTCTACCCTAAAGGTAGGGCCAAGAGGCAGACCACAGGCCGTCTTGAGGAGGACTTTATGTTCAAGTGCAGAAAGCAGCCAAGATTACCACCCAGGGGACTTGCCCTTCTGTGCTCCGCAGTGCCATACAAGCCTGAGGCATGGACTGGCGACATCTGCTTTATAGATAAATTAACTTAAGATCCATTAAAGAGTTAAATGTGCCATCTGACTTTCCCCAGGCCTCTCCTCCATCAGCCCCCAGGTGGCAGCCACTCAGGGTGTTGTAACCTGGCCATCCCTGCTTCCTTCAGTGGGTGAGGTTGGTGGCTGGTCCAACTGGTCCAGGCGCACCCTTGAAGAGGTGCCTCGTTGCTCTTTGAGCCAGCTTGGCCTTGCCTGGCATGCACAGGCCCCAGGTACTGACACGCTGCTCCGAGTGAGCTTCTCCTGCCTTGACACAAATTCTAAGTCTGGACAGGGCCACAGAAGGCTGAGTCCCTTGGATGGTAATCCTGGCTGCCTTCTGCACTTGAACATGAAGTCCTCCTCAAGACGGCCTGTGGTCTGCCTCTTGGCAACTAAGAAGCCTGCAGTGCCATACGACCCGAGGCATGGACTGGAGCCCCAAAGGCAGCGCACACCCTGCTCCTAAGTCTGCCGCTCATTTCCTCTCTGTGGCTCCATTTGTAGCACAGTTGTTGCACTGAGACTTGTGCATGCCGGTCAAGGCCAAGCTGGCTCAAACAGCAACCAGCCACCTCTGCAAGGGTGTGCCAGGAGCAGGTGCACCAGTCACCAACTAGTGGCCAGACATGGTACATCAGTTCTTCTACCCTGAAGGTGGGCCACAGTGCCATCTGCTTTTCCTAAGGCCTCTGCTCCATCAGCAATTAGGTGGCAGCCAAGGCAGGACAGGCTCACTCAGAGCAGCGTGTTAGTACCTGGGGCCTGTGCATGCAAGGGAGATGAAGCTGGCTCAAAGAGCAACCAGCCACCTCTGCAAGGTCTGGCCGGGGCCACAGAAGGCTGAGTCCCCTGGATGGTAATCCTGGCTGCTTTCTGCACTTGAACATAAAGTCCTCCTCAAGATGGCCTGTTTTCTGCCTCTAGGCAACCAAGAGGCCCACAGTGCTATACGACTCGAGGCTTGGACTGGAGCCCCAAAGGCAGCGCACAGCCTGCTCCTGAGCCTGCTGCTCGTTTCCTCTCTGTGGCTCCATATGTAGCAGAGAGGTTGCACTGAGGCTTGTTCACGCTGGGCAAGGCCAAGCTGGCTCAAAGAGCAACCAGTCACCTCTGCGAGGGTGTGCCAGGAGCCGCTGCACCAGCCACCAACCTCACTTGCTGCCACACATGGCACATCAGTACTTCTACCCTAAAGGTAGGGCCACAGGCCCATCTGCTTTTCCTAAGGCCTCTGCTCCATCAGCCATCAGGAGACAGCCACTCCGGCTGTTGGAACCTGGCCATCCCTGCTTCCTTCAGTGGGTGAAGCTGGTGGCTGGTCCAACTGGTCCAGTTGCACCATTGCAGAGGTGGCTGGTTGCTCTTTGAGCCAGCTTGGCCTTGCCTGGCATGCATAGGTCCCAGCTACTGACACGCTGCTCCGAGTGAGCTTGTCCTGCCTTGGCACAAATTCTGAGTCTGGCCAGGGCCACAGAAGGCCGAGTCCCCTGGATGGTAATCCTGGCTGCTTTCTGCACTTGAACATGAAGTCCTCCTCAAGACGGCCTGTGGTCTGCCTCTTGGCAACTAAGAAGCCCGCAGTGCCATATGACGCCTGAGGCATGGACTGCAGCCCCAAAGGCAGCGCACACCCTGCTCCTGAGCCTGCTGCTTGTTTCCTCTCTGTGGCTCCATTTGTAGCACTGTTGTTGCACTGAGGCTTGTGCATGCCAGGCAAGGCCAAGCTGGCTCAAAGAGCAACCAGTCACCTCTGCGAGGGTGTGCCAGGAGCAACCGGACCAGCCACCAACCTCACTTGCTGCCAAACATGGTACATTGGTTCTTCTACCCTAAAGGTAGGGCCAAGAGGCAGACCACAGGCCATCTTGAGGAGGACTTTATGTTCAAGTGCAGAAAGCAGCCAGGATTGCCACCCAGGGGACTCGGCCTTCTGTGGTCTGCAGTGCCATATGAGCTCTGAGGCATGGACTGGTGACATCTGCTTTATAGAAAAATTAACTTAAGATCCATTAAACAGTTAAACGTGCCATCTGATTTTCCTCAGGCCTCTGCTCCATCAGCCCTCAGGTGGCAGCTACTCAGGCTCTCGTAACCTGGTCATCCCTGCTTCCTTCTGTGGGTGAGGTTGGTGGCTAGTCCACCTGGTCCAGGCGCACCCTTGCAGAGGTGGCTGGTTGCTCTTTGAGCCAGCCTGGCCTTCCCTGGCATGCACAGGCCCCAGGTACCAACACGCTGCTCCGAGTGAGCTTGCCATGCCTTGACACAAATTCTAAGTCTGGCCACGGCCACAGAAGGCCAAGTCCCCTGGGTGGTAATCCTGGCTGTTTTCTGCACTTGAACATAAAGTCCTCCTCAAGATGGCCTGTGGTCTGCCTCTTGGCAACCAAGAAGCTCGCAGTGCCATACCATCCCTGAGGCACGGACTGGAGCCCCAAAGGCAGTGCACACCATGGTCTTGAGCCTGCTGCTCATTTCCTCTATGTGGCTCCATTTATAGCACAGTTATTCACTGATGCTTGTGCATGCTGGGCAAGGCCAAGCTGGCTCAAAGAGCAACCAGCCACATCTGTAAGGGTCCACTTGGAGCAGATGGACCAGCCACCAACCTCACCCACTCAAGGAAGTAGGGAATGTGTGTTTGTACCATGCATTTCACTACAAGTACATTTCCCCTGAGGTTGGTGGCCTACATTTTCTTCTAGATTTTTTGCTTTTAGGTCTTACATTTAACTCTTTTATCCTTCTTAAGTTAATTTTTGTATAAAGTGTAAGGAAGTGGCCCAGTTTCAGTTTGCTGCATATGGCTAGACAGTTTTCCTAACACCATTTATTAAATAGGCAATCCTTTCCCCAGTGCTTACCTTTGTCAGTTTTGTCAAAGATGTGGTGGTTTTACATGTGTGGTGCCATTTCTGTGGCCTCTGTTCTATTCCATTGGTCTATATATCTGGTTTGGTACCAGTACCATGCTGTTTCCGTTACTGTGGCCTTGTAGAATAGTTTGAAGTCAGGTACTGTGATGCCTCCAGCTTTGTTCTTTTTGCTTAGGATTGTCTTGGCTATGTAGACTCTTTTTTGGTTCCATATGAAATTTAAAGTAGTTTTTCTAATTTTGTGAAGAAAGTCAATGGTAGCTTGATGGGGATAGCACTGAATCTATAAATCACTTTGGGTGGTATGGCACTCAGGCACAGAAATGTCCTTGTGTTAGGCAATACCATTCAGGACATAGGCATGGGCAGAGACTTCATCACTACAACACCAAAAGCAATGGCAACAAAAGCCAAAATTGACAAATGGAACCTAATTAAGCTAAAGAGTGTCTGCAGAGCAAAAGAAACTATCATCAGAGTGAACAGGCAACCCACAGAATGGGAGAAAATTTTTGCAATCTATCCATCTGGCAAACGGCTAATATGCAGAATCTACAAAGAACTTAAACAAATTTACAAGAAAAAAAACAACCCCATCAAAAAATGGGCAAAACATATGAACAGACACTTCCCAAATAAGACATTTATGCAGCTAAAGAACATGTGAAGCAAACCACATCATCACTGGTCATTAGAGAAACGGAAATCAAAACCACAATGAGATACAATCTCACACCACTTAGAATGGCCAACATTAAAAGATGAGGAAACAACAGATGTTGGAGAGGACGTGGAGAAATAGGAACGCTTTTACACTCTTGGTGGTAGTATAAATTAGTTCATCCATTGTGGAAGACAGTGTGACAATTCCTCAAGGATCTACAACTAGAAATACATTTAACCCAGCAATCCCATTACTGGGTATATACTGAAAAAATAATAAATCATTCTAATATAAAGACACATGCACACGTATGTTTACTGCGGCACAGTTCACAACAGCAAACACTTGGAAGCAACCCAAACGCCCATCAATGATAGACTGGATAATGTGGCATATATACACTATGGAATGCTATGCACCCATAAAAAAGGATGAGTTCATGTCCTTTGCAGGGACATGGATGAAGCTGGAAATCATCATTCTCAGCAAACAAACACAAGAACAGAAAACCAAACACCTCATGTTCTCACTCGTAGGTGGGAACTGAACAATGAGAACACGTGGACACAGAAGGGTAACATAACACACCGAGAACTGTTGTGGGGTGGGGGAGCAGGGAGGGATAGCATTAGGAGATATACCTCATGTTAAATGACGAGTTAATGGGTGCAGCACACCAACATGGCACATGTATACATATGTAACAAACCTGCACATTGTGCACATGTACCCTAAAACTTAAAGTATAATAATAAAATTTAAAAATTAAAAAAAAGTTTTAAAAAATTTCCAACTGGATTTTTTTTTGTTTTTTGTGGTTTTTTTTTTTGTTGTTTTTTTGTTTTGTTTTGTTTTTGTTTTTGTTTTGCAGCCCCAGGAGTTTTAGCCAATTCAGATGCCTTGCTCCCCACAATTTGGAACATTCCTTTGGATTTGACCAAGTCAGGAAGAGATGGGAGAAAAGTGAAACAACAATAAAACCCCAAACATAAACAAAAAGAGTTAAGCAAAACAAACAAATGCACAATTCATATGATTAACTGAGTGTTCTAATGGTAAGGAGGAATTAAAAGCAGCTGGTGGGTAATCTTAAATTTTAGTCATTAAGGAAAAATTTTAAGACAAAACTCTAATTCAGCTACTTACCTGGAAATAAGGCTCAGACTGGGTGATCATTCTCTGCCATCTTAGAAGCTGGAAAAACTTACACTCACCTTCCCTGTCAGAAGCAAGCTGAAACTCAGGAAAGGAGGTGCCTGCTCTCCTTTGTCAATGGAAGCAGGAAAACTTGCCTTCCTTGTTGGAAATGAGTAAAACTTCAAAAAAGGAGTTGTACAGCAAAATCAACCTTACATCTCAACCAAATTTTCGGAGATCAGGGACTCTGTGAAGGGGAGAAGCTCCACAACCTCAGCAAATTATCCTATTGGTTTGGGCAATACAAATAGCCCAGGTTGGTATCAAGCAATAATGAGATTTATCAAAGGTCAGGACCACCTTTGTAATGTCCTTCTCTTTTTTTATCTTTATTGGTAGAGTCTGTTTTGTCAGAAACTGGGAGTGCAACACCTTTTTTCTGTTTTCCATTTGCTTGAAATATTTTTCTCCATTCCTTTATTTTGAGCCTATGTATGGCACTGCACGTGAGATGGGTTGCTTGAAGACGGCATACTCCAGTGGGTCTTGGTTCTTTACCCAGCTTGCCCCGTGTCTTTCAATGGGAGCATTTAGCCCATTTACATTTAAGGTTAGTAATGGTATGTGTGGATTTTATCCTGTCGTCATGCTGTCAGCTGGTTATTTTGCAGACTTACATATGTGCTTGCTTTTTAGCATCATTGGACTGTGTACTTCAGTGTGTTTTTGTAGTAGCAGGTGATGATCTTTTCTTTCCATATTTAGTGCTTCCTTCAGGAGCTCTCGTAAGGTAGATCTGGTGATACCAAATTCCCTCAGCACTTGCTTGTCTGAAAAGGATCTTATTTCTCCTTCACTTATGATGCTTAATTTTGCTGGACATGAAATTCTGGGCTGAAATTTCTTTTCTTTAATGGCAGTTGATGTGGGTTGGGGTGTGTGCTGCACTCCTGTGTGCTCTCAGGGCAAGTAAAGCAAAACCCACCCGTGTAAACACACACAGCAAAGTGATTTAGGAAGTTTCCAAATAAAGGGCTGCCGTATGGAGAGGCAATGTGCAGGCTGGTGCGTGGCTCTAGGGGCCACCTTGCTGCAGCTCTCCACTGATATGGTACAGTCCACTAGCACGGAAGCTATGGTGTGGGCATCTAAGAGTGCCCCGTAAGCAGGTGTGGCCAGGCTGGGGCCATGGGAGAGGCGAGCAGACTAAGGAGTGCTGAGATCAGACCAGCCCCATCTCAAGTGCAAGATTGCCCAGCCTCCAGAGATCAGGTCTCAGAGGAGAACTCTCTCAAAAGTGAACCCCCAGCACAGCACAGCCGCTCTACACAAACGTGGCTAGACTTCTTTTATTAAGCAAGTCTCCTTTTTTTAAAAAGGGAACTCTCGGACCTGATCTCTGCTGGGCAATCTTGCATATAAGATGTGGCTGGTATGACCTCAGTATTCCTAAAGTGCTGGGATAAAGTGTCTCACAAGGGCAAGTGGACCCTAGAGAGACAGCCATCCCTGACCTCTGGGCTCCACATCACCTGACTTGCTGCTCCACCACTTTGCTTGTTTCCTGGGTGCTCCATCCCAGAGACATGTGAGTTAGCAATCACTTAGTGTAATCAGCCCAGGATGGAGGGTCTGTGCTGTGGGCCCAAGCCAGGGTTCCCTGTCTGGTGATGAGTAGTGGAGGGTGTGTGGTACCCGTGGGAGATGGACTGGCTTGTTCTTTGGGTCAACTGCAGCTTATTGGAGGTGTTGATAGGGCACTTAGGGTCTTTGCTCCCTTGCATCTTCTGAGGGCAGCAAGGGCAGTTCCACTGCAGAGGCAGTGGCAGAAAGGATTTCATTTGCTCCTGGAAGCTCTGTCCCAGGAACTGCAGAGTTGCTACTGGCTTGATAGCTCCAGTGGTGGGCTGGCTAGAGACCCAGGCCAGGAGGATCTGCCCATCAAGTAGAGAGCCTGGCCACTTTTCTGTAGGGCTGCTGTGGTATGCTGGGGGTCCCCTCCAGTCCCTAATTGCCTTGTATTTTCCAGGGAAGATGATAGTCTGCCCCTTCCTCTGGAAGCTCTGTACCACTGAGGTACGAACCTGTTGCCAATCTGAACACACCTATAAGATGTGGCTGGAGGCAAGTTGAGAAGTCTTACCTAGTCAGGACGAACAAGAACAGGGACTTGCTTCAAAAAGAAAAGTCTGGCCACGTTTTTATAGAGCAGCTGTGCTGTGCTGGGGGTTCACTTCAGCCCCTGGTCCGCCTCAGACACTCTGAAGCCCTAAGGCTGAAATGCCTGGGTCGCCCCAACAGCAAAGATGACAATCTGGTCCTCCCCCTGGGAGCTCTGACTCAGGGAGGCCTGAGACCTCTGTCGGCCAGAGAACAGCAGTCAAGGTAGCCAGAGACCCTGGTTGAAAGACTTCACCCACTGACTAGAAATGTGGTCAGGGACTGACGTAAACAAGAGTCTGGCCACGTTTTGGTAGCGTGGCTGTGCTGTGCTGAGGTACCTCTTCCACCCCTTGTCAGCTTGGGCTCTCCAAAGCCCGCAGGCCAGAATGGCTAGTCACCGAAAGAGCAAAGGTGGGGGCCTGCCCCTCTCCGGGAGCTCTGTCCCAGGAACATTTCACATTTCCATTGGCCAAGGAATGCTGGTGGGGGTAGCTGGAGGCCCCAGTTGGGAGGTCCTGTCCAGTGAGATGGAACAGGATCAGGGGCCTGCTTACAGAAGCAGTCTGGCCATGATTTGGTAAAGCAGCTATGCTGTGCTGTGGGATCTCTTCTGTCCCTCGTCGGTTTGTACTCTCCAAAGCCCGCAGGCTGGAATGACTAAGTTGCCTGAACGGGAAAGATGGCGGCCTGCCCCGTCTTTTCTCTCAGAGTTTTATCTTGTTTCATGGAGCTTAATTTTTAGCCTGTTGATTTTACTGTCTACGTTAGACTTGTTGAGAAAGAATCTGTTCTCTTTTAGGTGAGATAAATGAGAATTCATTGTCTTCTGTAAATAAACCTGTTCATGTCTTGTTCTCTGGAAAGAAGTCTCTTTCAGCTATCTGACTTTGGTCACAATCATGTAGAGCAGCAGCCAGTCTACAATGACGTAATTGAATTTCCATTTCCGGTGTTTCCTCGTTGTGTCTTACATTGTCCAGTTCAGAACTGAGCATTTTATTCTCAGTTGTCAACATGCTAAGCTGTCCACTGTACTGAAATACTGTGCTTCCTCAATTTTTTTTAAGGTGTGCACTTTTATCCAACTCTCCTCAAGTCAGAGTACAGGTAAGCCCTGGCTGCCTCCAGCCACTCTCAGGGAGACCAAAAGCCTTCATACACCCCAAGTTGGGGTACAAAAGAGGGGGGCCACGAAGGCTGATCATTCAAAATAAAACAAAATTAAAAAGTATTAAGGCGAAGATTCAAAAAATTTTGCATTATGTAATCTGCACAAAAGCAATGCTATCACCTCCCCTGTGTGAACTAGGGAGAGGACTGGGCCATTCTCCTTAGAGAGAAGTGGGGTGGCTTTTAGCAGGGCAAGGGGCTTCCTGAAACAATGCGTCTCACAATATTTGGAATGACTATTGAAAAGAAGAACAATGTACAATCAAAGTCCTTGGCCACATTGTAGAACTTTGGAGGAAGCTTCCTCCAACCGACTGCTGTCACCTTCACCATTCCGGTTTTTAAATCCTGAGTCAAGCCAATAAAAAACAAAACAAAAAATGAAACAAGAAAACAAATAAAGCCATGCCAATCTCATGTTGTTTTCTGAGAAGTTTGGTTTTGTCAAGAAAGGGTGTAACGCAACTAAGTCAGAGTCCACCTAGAAGCATTTGCGGTGGACAATGGAGGGGCCTGACTCATCATACTCCTGCTTGCTGATCCACATCTGCTGGAAGGTGGACAGCGAGGCCAGGATGGAGCCACCGACCCACACGGAGTACTTGCGCTTGGGAGGAGCAATGATCCTGATCTTCAACATGCTAGGCGCCAGGGCAGCGATCTCCTTCTGCATTCTGTGGGCCATGCCAGGGTACATGGTGGTGCCGCCAGACAGCACTGTGTTGGTGTACAGGTCTTTGCGGATGTCCACATCAGACTTCATGATGGAGTTGAAGGTAGTTTCATGGATGCCACAGGATTCCATGCCCAGGAAGCAAGGCTGGAAGAGCGCCTCGGGGCAGCGGAACCACTCGTTGCCGATGGTGATGACCTGGCCATCGGGCAGCTCGTAGCTCTTCTCTAGGGAGGAGCTGGAGGCCGCCATGGCCATCTCCTGCTCGAAGTCCAGGGCAACATAGCACAGCTTCTCTTTGATGTCACGCACGATTTCCCGCTCGGCCATGGTGGTGAACCTATAGCCACGCTCGGTGAGGATCTTCATGAGGTAGTCAGTCAGTTCCCGCCCAGCCAGGTCTAGGCGCAGGGTGGCATGGGGGAGGGCATTCCCATCATAGATGGGCACAGTGTGGGTGACCCCGTCACCAGAGTCCATCACGATGCCAGTAGTACGGCCAGAGGTGTACAGGGACAGCATGGCCTGGATGGCCACGTACATGGCTGGGGTGTTGAAGGTCTCAAACATGATCTGGGTCATCTTCTCGCGGTTGGCCTTGGGGTTCAGGGGGGCCTCGGTCAGCAGGATGGGGTGCTCCTCAGGGGCCACACGCAGCTCGTTGTAGAAGGTGTGGTGCCAGATCTTCTCCATGTCATCCCAGTTGGTGATGATGCCGTGTTCCATGGGGTACTTCAGGGTCAGGATGCCTCTCTTGCTCTGGGCCTCCTTGCCCACATAGGACTCTTTCTGATGCATGCCCCCCATCATGCCCTGCTGCCTGGGGCGCCCCACGATGGAAGGGAAGACAGCCCGGGGGGCATCGTCGCCCGCAAAGCCGGCCTTGCACATGCCAGAGCCGTTGTCAATGACGAGCACGGCGGTATCATCATCCATGGTGAGCTCATTCAATTGTAGAGCCTTTAAAAGATTATCATTCTTTTTTTTCACACTTTCAATATCCTCCAAATATTTCTTTTTTCTTAGCTGGCTCTGATGTTTCATTGTGTCTAGCTCCAGTCTTAGCATGGCAATTTCTTCCCGCAACGTACTATTTTCATGCAAGAAGTCTTTTTCTTTCTTACAACTAAGAGAAAGCTAAGTAAACAAAGAGAACTTTTAGTTAGCACTCAATAGATTGACATATCATTATTTCTTCTGAAATTCAAAAATAACATGTATTTGTATAATGAAAGAATCCCCATAGTGGATATTTAACTGGAAAAAAATTGGACAAAACTTCAAACCTAATAAGAGTGTAAATTCCTCCAGTGATTTATTTTTCATCGCCTTTAAATAAATATTTAAACTTTTAGGAATCTGCTCCTAAATTCCTAAAAGTTTAAATATTTATTTAAAGACGATGAAAAATAAATCACTAGAGGATTTTTAAGAATCCCAGAATTAAAAAAGCCTTTTTCTGAGTTACAAAAAACCCAGAGGCATAAAATATAAGATTAACAATTTGACTACATTTTTAAGATTAGGTTTACACTCTGATATCTAACCTATCAACCACACCATCCTAAGAGCCTTAGCTATGCATATATTTGGACAGAAGCAATTTCTCAAAGTTCTTAAAGTTCTTTTACTGAAGAACATTTTACCGATATTCTACATTTCTAATATTTCTATACTCAGTTATAAGAATTACATTTATTTATAACTGTCAAATCTAAGCACTGTACCCTTCTACACTGTACACATCTGTATCTAGGCATTCCACTTCTACATATAACACTGAACTCATTTAAGATCGCGATTCTTAAAAGGAGAGGTCAAAAAATATACACAGATGCAGGATTTTCCCCAGGTCTGCTGATGCTACTTCTAGTGATCCTCCACAAAACCACACTTACTTCTGTGGTGTAAATATATAAATACAAAAGAAACCTTTTGTTTCAAAATATGAATGGTAAATAAGATACAACTTATAGAGATTTTCTTAGAAATCATGAGATTATTTGCCATTGCGGTAACTTTTATTTCCTCTTTATAATGTTTGAAACAGTAGTAATGGTGAAATAGGGGAAATATACTGAACTATTTCTCCAGAAACAAAATACTTATCAATAAATTATTACTAAATGTGTATCATGGCATGTCATTGTTTTCAAACCTCTTTACACTGAAATGAGAAACTACTTGGAGCAAACTGTTCCTCTCTGCAAAAGTAAGGATAATGGTATCCACAATGTGGCCTCTGACCCAGCTATACATTTCCTACTTTCTTATCAGTAAAAATAATCAATTGACTTCTCTATTAACATTTTTTAAAAAACTAATGTCCAAAAATGAGAAAATCTGTTTTCAGTAGCAAAACTTATTTCTGATGTGGAAAGATCGTCAATTCTTATGAAAAACATCAAATACTTCTCCTTTGGATTGAGGCCATTGTGCAAGTCACTACTCAACTGTTGCAGGCAAATGAAGGTGAATTAAGAACATGGCTTTATCCTATACGTACGTATATAGATATATGACAAAGGATATATAGAATATATACACACATATATATGACTTAAAAATCCTTTATATTTCCAAAATACAGTTCTTTAAAATATACACACATATAAAAACATTTGAAAATAACTAAAGAAAATACCTCAGAATTCATTTTTTCAACCACTTCTATCTGCTTTTCTTCATGAATCAGAATCTCATCGTGTAATATTCCAGTGTTCTGTTCTTCACAAAATTGCTTCTGAGTATCATTTTGTTCGTCACTAGAAGAAATTTTAATTTTCATGAAATACTGGAGCTGTCCCTAAAATGATGTACAGGGCAAGATGGCGCCATCAGATGTCATTCACACAATGCATATCTGCACATTATTCCAAGACAAGGCAAAGGGGTCTCACATCTGTTAACCAGGTGTCCCCAACCATGCTGGCACCAGGGACTGGTTTTGTGGAAGATAATTTTTCCAGGAACCTGAGGTGGGGGATGGTTCCAGGATGATTCAAGTATATTACATTCATTGTGCACTTTATTTCTATTATTATTAATATATAATGAAATAATTATATCTCACCAAAATGTAGAATCAGAGGGAGCCCTGAGCTTGTTTTCCTGCAACTAGATGGTCCCATTTGGGGGTGACGGAAGATGGTGACAGATCAGAAAGGCATTCGATTCTCATAAGGAGTGAACAACCTATATCCCCCTGCATGAGCAACTTACAACAGGGTTCAGGTCACACTCAGGACAATCTAATGCCACCGCTGATCTGACAGGAGGAGGAGCTCGGGCGGTAATGCGAGCGACAGAGAGTGGCTGTAAACAGATGGAGCTTCACTTGCTCACCTGCCTCGAACCTCCTGCTGTGTGGCCCAGGTCCTAACAGGCCAGGGATTGCTAATGGTCTGTGTCCTGTAACCCATACTCTTTATGTTTATTGTTTGGAAACACTTTCTACTTATATTCTTGATTCCTATGTATTTTATAAACAACTTAGAAATTCCTTTTAGAACAAGACAGGGTATAATATGTTTTTAACATAGGACTTTGAAATAATTTTATCTGTGTATGAGAGAGAGATGTGAAATAAACTCATCGTTAAGCACTTTCCATTTTACTTTTATTTCATGCATATTAAAAATAAAACTGGGAAGTCCTAGGCAGAGCAATTGGGCAAGAGAAATAAAGGGCATCCAAATTGGAAAAGAGGAAGTCAAACTATCTCTTCACCAATGATATTATCCTATACCTAGAAAACCCTAAAGACTCCTACAAAACACTCCTAGATTTGATACATGAATTCAGTAAAGTCTCAGAGGTTACAAAATAAATGAATACCAATCAGTAGCACCACTATACACCAACTACAACCAAGCTGAGAGTTCATATCAACAATCCAATCCCTTTTACAGTGGCTGCAAAAAAGTGTGAAGCACCTAGGAATATACTTAATGAAAAAAGTGAGTGATCTATATAAAGATAACTGGAAAACACCACCAAAGAAAATAACAGATGACACAAACAAATGAAAATACATCCTATGTTCATGGACTGAAAGAACTGATATAGTGAAAATGACCATAGTGCCCAAAGCAGTCTACACATTCTATACAATACCTACCAAAGTACCAATGTCATTCTTCACAGAATTATTTTAAAATGCTGACATTCATGTAGAACCACAAAAGAGCCTGAACAGCAACAGACATACCAAGCAAAAGGAACAAATATGTTGGCATCACATTACCTGACTTCAAATGATACTCTAAGACCACAGTAACAGAAGCAGCGTGGTACTCGTATAAAAACAGATACATAGATCAATGGAACAGAACAGACAACTCAGAAATAAAGCCACTACAACCAAGTGATCTCTGAGCAAGGATACAAAAACATACACTGGAGAAAGTACAGGTTATTCAATAAATGGTGCTGGGAAAAAAAGATAGCCACATGTGGAAGAATGAAACTGGATCTCTATCTCTCACCATATACAAAAATTAATTCAAGATGGATGAAAGGCCTAAACCTAAGACCTGAAAACATTGGCCTAGGCAAAGGATTTATGAGGAAGACCCTAAAAGCAAATCCAACAAAAATGTAAATAAATAAATAAGACCTAATTAAACTAAAAAGCTTCAGCACAGCAAAAGAAATAATCATCAAACAACAACTTATACAATGGGAAAATTTTGAAAATTATGACGCTAACAAACGACTAATATCTATAACCTACAAGAAACTCAAACAAATCAACAGGAAAAACGCAAATAATTCCATTGGAAAGTGGCCAAATTACATGAATAGACATTTCTCAAAAGAAGAGGTACAAACGGTAAACAAGCATATAAAAACATGCTAAATATCTCTAATCATCAGGGAAATGTACAATAAAACCACAGTGAGATATCACCTCACTGCAGCCAGAATGGCCACTATTAGAAATCAAAAAACAACAGATGTTGGTGTGGACGCGGTGAAAAGACAACAGTGATACACTGCTGGTGGGAATGCAACTTCATACAAATCTATGGAAAACAGTATGGAGAGTTCTCAAAGAACTAAAAGTAGATCCTACCATTTTATCCAACATTCTCATTTCCAGATATCTACACAAAATAAAAGAAATCGTACTCTCAAAAGGACACCCGCACACATATGTTTACTGCAGCACAATTCACAATATGCAAAGATATGGAATCAACCAGTGTCCATCAACTGATGAGTGGAATAAAGAAAATGGACGTATATACATATATATATCTCACATCACATATATGTATCATATATATGTATGTGTGTATATACACTCACACATATACATATGTACATAGCTGAGACTGGGTAATTCACACACATACATACCTGAGACTAGGTAATTCATAAAGGAAAGAGGATTAATTGATTCACAGTTACGCATGGCTGGGGAGGCCTCAGGAAACTTAACAACCATGGTAGAAGGGGAAGGGGAAGCAGGCACCTTCTTCATAAGGCGGCGGGAGAGAGAGAAGAGAGAAGTGAAGCGCAAAGAGCCCCTTATGAAACCGTCAGCTCTTGTGAGAACTCACTCACTATCACAAGAACAGCATGGAGGAAACCGACCCCATGAGCCAATCACCTCCCAGCTGGTCTTTCCTCAACACCTGGTAATTACAATTTGACATGAGATTTGCATAGAAACACAAAGCCAAACTATTGGGGGGGGGGGTATCCTTATTTTTAAAATATCTAAATGTCATTATTTATAATTCAAAATAGCAATTTTTATTACTTATGATTTTGTTTGAAAACAAAATGATCTCGTAAATTTTCTTCACTTTTAACCTATTCAGTCAAAATATAGAAAAAGCTAGATTTGCCAGCAGAAAATTGTAACAACTTTTTAATGAGATAAAAATGTATAACAATATCACTAGTATTGTACAGAGAAAAAAGTGAACAAGAAAAGGAATTTAAAAACACAGAATATGACTATCATATACATACATGAACTGACAAAGAGACTAAAATCTCCTACTGGAGATTATGTTAGGACTTGAGCAAAAGCTTCTAAAAATACCAAAAACAAAAACAAAACAATTATTTTTAAGAAATAAATTATACAGAGAACTCTTCTGGTTAAGATGATGTATCAAAAAAAAAAATCTTCGTGAGAGCTATTATTAACCAAGTCATCATAACCAAAACTTTAAATCCACAATTCTGGAATATTAAAAAGTTTCTTTTTGAACATAGTTAATGGAAGGCAACTTTTGAACAGAAAATTTCTGGTTAAAGTTGACTCAAACTTAGGAAAGAATTGACCTGTAGCCATGGTAACAAGAAGCCAGCCAGAGCCAGTTCAAAATCTAGTCAATCGATCAATGACCACTGGCCTTGCTCACCAACCAATATCAGTGTGAGCAGCCTGCTTCTGAAAGACAGCCAAGCAGCAACAGCTGCTCCATCAGAATAGACAGTGCCTGACCAGTATAGTCTTACTATCGGAAGCAAAAAATTCCAACTGTCTTTTTATTTCAAATACCGAAGGTCCATAATCCCTTGGAAAGAATTTGTGAGTCCATTACATTTACCACCCTAAAAAAAATAAAATACTAGTGGCCGGATGTGGTGGCTTACACCTGTAATCCACCCAGCACTTTGTGAGGATGAGGTGGGTGGACTGCCTGAGGTCAGGAGTTCAAGACCAGCCTGACAAACAGGATGAAACCCCGTCTCTACTAAAAATACAAAAATTAGCCGGGTGTCATGGCACGCACCTGTAATCCCAGCTCCTCAGGGGGCTGAGGTAGGAGAATCGCCTGAACCCAGGAGGCAGAGGTTGCAGTGAGCCGAGGTCACACCACTGCACTGCAGCCTGGGTGACAGAGCGAGACTCTGTCTCTAAATAAATAAAATACCAGTAAAGCTTGTAATTTCTCTAACTCATTTTACCATAATTGCAATTATCATGATTACCAGTAAAAGAATAGTGAATAACCACAATATTGGGCTTTTCTCCCTAAGTGAAAAAATATTAATATAAAGAATGTAGCTTATTATAAAAAGCCGAAAGAATTTTTAAAATACATATAATTACCAGGCAAAATTGTTAAAATGAACCTTGTCAAACATTTTTTAAGTGAGAATCAATCAAACAATATACCCGGGATAAACTCCATTCATTCATTTAATACCTATTTATTAGGTAGCTACGTCTGATAGGCTAGGCCTTTTTCTAGGAAGTGAGGATATGGTAATGAACAATAAAAACCCTATTCATGAGAGTGAGATAAACACACAATAACAACAGACAGATACGGCAAAATACACAGTACGTTAGAGGAGAAAAACCAAAGCAGGAAAATGAAATCTTTATGTGTTTGATGGGAAGGGTGGTGGGAAAGTTGGGATGGCCAGAAAAGTCCCTGCTGAGAAAGAGGATTTTTCTTTAATATAAAGAAACTTTTATTTGTACATCAAAGACTCTAAAAGATGATGATGTTAACAGAGTTGATGTCAAGACACAAATAGGTTTGAAGTTAGAGATGATAAATCACTTTGTTTCATTGAAACTTCCCTCAATTACGTTAGAGAGCATCCCTGGTATGTTCCCAATCGAATCTCAAGCCTGACGCGTCCTGATGATACAATCCTAATTCCTTTCTGTTAGTCCTCATTATCTCTCTTTTTTTTCATTTTCTTCATTTTCTCTGGGCTAGGAATTGTGCTGGTACATGGTTCTCCCTCAGGAAGTGGTTATTCCTTAATGGGTTTCTTTTTACCCTTTTTCTTCTTCTTAGAAAGGGGATTTTAAGTAAAGAGCTGAAGTAATGGAAACAGTAAGCTAGAAGAATATCTGGGGAAAAAGCATTCCAGACACAGGGAACTGCTAAGTGCAGAGGTGTGCCTGGAGTCTTTAAGCACTAAGGGATAGGTAAGGAATAACAACAAGTTCAGTGTGGCTGAAACACAGCAATAGAGATAAGAAACAGAAGTTTCAGCAGGAGAGGTAACATGCCAGATGGTTTACTGCCTTTCAGTTATTAGGAGGAACTCTGCCACATACTCAGAGTGAAATGGGAGGCAATCAGAACGGCTGGGGCAGAGGAATGACAACATTTGACTTATGTTTTAAATACATCCACTGAGATAAGAATTGATGAAAGGGGAAGCTTTTAAAAACCAGGACTATCAATTCCCAGTCTATGACACTCATCTAAACTGCAGATGACGGTGGCTCAGTTGTATAAGATAGACTGGCCTCTGGATATATTCTTCAGATAGACCTGACAAGATTTACTGAGAGATTAGATGTGAAGTGTCAGGACAGAGAGAAAGATCAGTCAAGAATAACACTGAGGTTTTTGGCAGAGCAACTGGAAGAGTTGCTGTTAACCAAAGTAGGAAAGACTACATGAGGTGTAGATTTCAGGAAGGACATCAGTAGCCCAATTTTGGATCTGACAAGTGTGTGATACCCAACAGCTAATCAAATAGAGATGTCAAGTAGGTGGGATGATATAGAGATCTGGAATTAAGGAAAGAGATCTAAGTTGGAGACATACATTTGGAAATCACTAGCATATACACAGTAGAAAAAGTCATGAGGGGCCAGGCACGGTGGCTCACGCCTGTAATCCCAACATGTCATGAGGCCAAGGCGGGCAGATCACCTGATGTCAGGAGTTTGAGACCAGCCTGGCCAACATGGGGAAACCTGTCTCTACTAAAAATACAAAAATTAGCCAGGCGTGGTGTCGCACACCTGTAATCCCAGCTACTCAGGAGGCTGAGGCAGGAGAAGTGCTGGAACTCATGAGGCAGAGGTTGCAATGAGCCAAGATCATGCCACTGAACTCCAGCCTGGGGGACAAAGCGAGACTCTGTCTTAAAAAAAAAAAAAAAAAAAAAAAAAAAACCATGAGAAAGAAGATTGAGGACTGAGCCATGAGAAACAACAATGTCCAAAAGGAGAAAGATGAGGAGCAGCAAGCAAAACAGACCATGATAAACGGACTAGAAAGGCAGGAGGAAAAGCCTGAGGGAGTGAGGTCCTGAAAGCCAAGTGAAGACGCCATTAGGGAGGAGATGCCCTCCATTGGCTCAAATATTGCTGACAGATTAAATGAGGTGTAAGAAAAATGCCTAGATTTAGTACAGAAAAAAATTAGTGATAATCTTGAGGAAAAACAACTCTGGAGGAGTGCTGAAATTGAAGACTTACCGGCATTGAGATCAAGAGTGAATGGAAAGAAAATTTGAGTTCATGAGTGTAGACAGTTCTTTAAGGACAACATACTTAACGCTCATGACTGAGAATGATGTAATTTTCATCCACAGTCATGGAAAAGTGATAGACAAGAAATAGTAGCTTCCAAATTTTACATAACAGGTGGAGTTTTCAAATTTTATGTAACAATTATATATTCTAAAGGTTATAAAAATTATACACATATGGCATTTAGAAATGTCAGACCAAGGTTTTTAAAGGCCCTTTGAACATTTCTAGATTACATAAGCTGATTATCATTTTGTTCATGCTTATACATAAAGACCAAGAAATACTAAAACTCTCAAGGAGAATATTTCTTGCTTGATAAAAATCAGCCAATTCTAGGACAGTTGACACTCATCAAATATACAAAGTAATTGATCACAGTAAAATACTGAGTTCTATTAACAGGAATAAAGTGGGAGAAATGCAGAAAATAATCTTATTTTATAAATGTAGTTTTCAAAATCATATGAAGTCACTGGAAAAATACGGTGAGGTGAATACTGAAATATATCCTTTTCTCAAAGGGAGGATAATGTCACACATGCAGGGCACTTTTACAAATAAAAGTCACTGCATTAGCAGCACCTTCCTTTTAGCACAAGGGTCAGCAAATAAGCACCTGTGGGCCAAATCCAGCCCACTGCCCGTTTTTGTAAGTCAAGTATCTTGGAACACAGCCATGCTTATTCACTTTACAGTCCATAGTGTCAGTTAGCTGGGTGTGATGTTGCACACCTGTGGTCTCAGCTAGTAGAGACTGAGGTCAGAGGATCACTAGAGCCCAGAAAGTCGAGGCTGCAGTGAGCCATGATCACACAACTGCACTCCAGCCTGGGAAACAGAGTGAGACCCTGTCTCAAGAAAATCAATATATGTAGTCCACAAAGCCTAAAATATTTACTAACTAGCTCTTTGCAGAAAAAGCTGGCCAACTCCTGGTTTAGTAGATCAAAGATTCTTTGATGTATTTTAATAAAAGTTTTACCAAATATACTGAAATGTTTATATTAAATATAGATCCCCATGTACAATCCCTTGGCAATATTCAGATTGAGGGTCCAATATTTCAGCACTCAGGCACTGACAACAAAAATTTAGTAACTAGCAATCTTGTTGCTAACAAGGTACAGTGTCAATGTAGCATGTAGCTTCCATTTGCAACACAGCAGATATTACAAGAATTTTAACAAGAACTCTTAAGATGTGTCATCAAACTAAACGCTTTAAATACATTTTAATTGTGAAATAATCAGTATACCCTACATCTAACCTCATTTTTTAAAAATGGTTGCATAATACATTATTTTGGGGATATGGAAATTGAGCTATTTCCTATTGATAAGCAATTAGACTAGTTCCAAATTTTTTACATAATAATACTATAATAAATGTCCTTATACATAAGTATACATATAACATATCTATACAAATATCCTTTACATGTATTATATATGCTTACTCTGTTATATATGTGTGTGTGAATATGCTACTCAATTAATGTTCAAAATGTATTTACCAACAGTATATGAAATGTCTTTTTCAATGAAACCATTTCCCCTGCAGCAACACGGATGGAGCTGGAGGCCATTATCCTAAGAAAACTCATGCAGGAACAGAAAATCAAATGCCACATATTCTTACTCATTAGTGGGAACTAAACATGAGAACTCATGGACACAAAGAGGAGAATAACATACACTGGGGCCTACTTGAGGGAGGAGCATGGCAGGAGGGAGACGACCAAAAAACTACCTTTCGAGTATTTTGTTTATTATGTGGCTGGTGAAATAATCTGTACCCCAAGCCTCCATGATACAGTTTACCTATATAATAAACCTGCACACGTACCCGAAGCTAAAATAAAAGTTCACTGAAAAGAGAAGAAAATGCCTTTTCCCTCACATTTGCCAATACTGGTTATTTTTCAAATAAATTAATGACTGGAAAAAAAACGGTAACTGATTGTTTGCTGATTTTCATTTTTCTGATTAACAGGCAAGGCTCAATATCCTAATAAAAGTATAAAATTTGTTCATCATGAATATTAGCTCAAATTAGGATTAGTTTGACAGCACAAAGTTACCTCCTGTTCAATGTTGCCATAGGCTTACCTGTGATACTCTTCATTCTCAGTGTCAGGAAATTGCTGGCTTTCAGGTGTTCTGCTCTTCCTTGGAGGAATTAATCCATCATCACCATTGCCAGCAGTGGCACCATTAGTCAGGTTTTCTGGGAATCCGACGTGAGTACTTCCGTGCTTCTTCATTTCTTCGATAGCCATAAAATTTTCTAGCTGGAAAATACAGAGAATAAGAAATTATCTACTTTAGGCACATTATCTACTGATAATCAGACTAAAACCAAGAAAGATAAAATAATTGGTCTAAAGCTCCTAAAGTGGCATTACCTAGCATTTTATGGCACCATTCGGGATTATTCCATAATAATGAAAGAATAGCTCTAGGGTTTGCACCTCTTCAAAATTCAATGTACAGAATTCTGAGTTAACTATTTAATTTTTCACTGATGATTTATGCTACTTACATGATAGGATCATGTATGCCTACATTTACTACACTTTGTTAAACAACATAATGTAAAAATCTAATTCAACACAAACATTTGAATATAAAGGTATACCTCTCTATCACCATCCTTATTTATTTCTGGTTCTTGAGATCTTTTCTGCAGATGTAAAAACAGAAGGTTAATTTGCTTGTTGTATTTCTGTGACATTTCCTCTTTTGGAGTGCATGTTTTTAAAATAATTTTATTCTGAAGTAATCAAGTATGGACAATAAAAATTAGAAAGTAATTAAAATTAAACTGTTTAAATAAATAATAATTAAAATTAAGAATTAACTTTTTAATCTATGTTTAGCTACTGCCACATCACTGGCTTCTAACATGTGAAAAATAATTCACCTTAGACAAAGGGAGAAGAAAAACATGAACCAGCAAACTTAACTTTCTCACTATTTGTTTGGACTAAACTTAATTTGTTATGTGTTAAATCTACCAAAAATGAATCAGCAGATGATTTGTAGTGTTCCAAAATCTTCCTCACTTGAAAAGAGTTTACCTCATGAAACCCTAACTAGTGAGCCCCTACAGTGCACTGAAGTGCTTTTTTAAAAGATTCCTAACTGGATTGTAGGCACCCTTTAAACTATTAGGAGCCGAAATCAACACCAAACAGAAAGAAATGCAAATTCTCACATTTTAATTGAAATTATATACTGTCATATGATAGTGTTATGTATCCAGATTATCTGCGTAAGTCCAGTTCTAATATATTCTAATGTGTACTAATGACAGCAGATAGAATTTTTTAATCTGTACTGATTTTCTGCAACTGAAATAAATTAGAATGTTATTGTGTTTGTGCACTAACACCAAAGGTCCCATTCTGCAAGATATGGTTCTTGTAATAGGCAGTTGGGTTGCTTTTATGACCTGGTTCCCTCCCTGAACAGAAACACTGAGGTCAACGAGAGACCACAAGGCAGGATATGTCCTTAACCTTGGTATCAGTGACTGACAATATAAAACTGTGGATTTTCAATCACAGGCCATGATTACTCTTTAACCATGAATCCAGCTCAGGGAATCAGTGTTACATTGTTCATAATTCCTATTGCTTAATAATATGATTCAATCATTGATGTTACTTTCTTTATCATGTTAGGGTGTTGTAAAAATAAAAGAACAAACAAAGTTCTGAAATTTGTTTTTGCCTCTATTCCAAAAGGAGAGATTAGCTATAAGCTAATCAAGAAGGCAGATAAGAATATTTTAAAATAAGAGTATTTTAAATTTTATAGTGGGTTATGTTGAAGTTAAATATCAAATATTAAATTAGAATCTATTGATTCTTCTGTTAAGAAGGTTGCTGATTTTATTACAATAAATTTTAAGAACCTATTAAAATATATATATATATTTTTTTCAGATGGAGTCTTGCTCTGTCACCCAGGCTGGAGTGTAGTGGTGGATGTCGGCTCACTGCAAGCTCCCTCTCCTGGGTTCATGCCATTCTCCTGCCTCAGCCTCCCGAGTAGCTGGGACTACAGGCACCCGCCACCACGCCCAGCTAAGTTTTTGTATTTTTACTAGAGACGGGGTTTCACCATGTTAGCCAGGATGGTCTCGATCTCCAGACCTCGTGATCCACCTGCCTCAGCCTCTCAAAGTGCTGGGATTACAGGCGTGAGCCACCTTGCCTGGCCAAAAGATTCTTAAAAAAACAATCTACTGATTCTCAAAGCCTAGTCTGAAAGGTAATTTCATTTGGACTATCTACTATTATTAAGGCAAAAAACACACAACATTAAACAAAAGTTTAAATTTAAAAGTTTCCATGCCTCTGGCTGGCCATTTTCACTGCCTTTAAGCCTTTGTGACTCTTCCTCTGATGTCAGCTTTAAGTCTTGTTCTGTTGAAAAATCCATATATTCAGTTAAAATCAACCACTTAGAACAGTTAAAAACTATTGCCTTTTAAAAACGGATTTGAGACATTTCATTTTATTTCATAAATTGAGTGTTTCATCTTTTGTGAAATTGTCATTTAAGAAATAATTCTCAAAAACTTCAAAAACCCACTTGGGGAGATACCAGATGTCACCAGATTGAAGACAAACAAACATGTCAAAAATTCCCTCACAAATTCATCCACCCAACATCCATGAACAAAACCACCAGAAACACAGCTTTAAAATACAGTAGAAACATATAAGGTGACACAGTGTACTGTTCTCCACTTCCTAATAGTACCTTATAAATGATTTCCAAAATCACTGCTGACACCTTTATTAGTGTACAACGTCTTCCTAATATCTAAAATGTTTCCCTCCACTATTCTGACAAATTTATTTTCTTTTTTTCTTTTTTCTTTTTTTTTTTTTATGAACCAGGGTCTTCCTCTGTCACCAGGCTGGAATGCAGTGGCATGATCAGCTCACTGCAACCTCCGCCTCCCTGGTTCAAGTGATTCTCCTGCTTCAGTCTCCTGAGTAACTGTGATTACAGGCAAGCACCACCACACCCAGCTGATTTTTGTATTTTTAGTAGAGATGGGGTTTCACCATTGGACAGGATGGTCTCGATCTCCTGACCTCGTGATCCCCTCTGAAAGTGCTGGGATTACAGGTGTGAGCCACCACACCTGGCCTTATTTTCATCTTTTGAAACAATGCTATGTGAAGTCTTCCTTGATTTTGCATGTCTTTCCCCAAATAAACAGGTACCTCCTTCCTTGAGGCTGCCTTAGTACTTTACTGATTTTTCTACTGCATCTTGACCACCTAAACTGTACATTATTCCTCCACATGTCTGTCCCCTCTGCTCCAAGACTGCAGGGGAGAGTCTTGCACATCATCTTTGTAAAAACAGTCTTTGTTTTACTCAGAAATATTTTATTGAGTCCTGCTAAATACATGCTAGGCATTAGGGTTTAAAAAGAATTAAAATAAAGCCTGTCAGAGATGGCTTTTCTAGAACACATGCCCAAGCAGAGACTTAAATATTGAGACTAGCCAGATTAAAAGGGGTAGAGGGCAGGAAAGGGTGACGGCATACCATGCAGCAGCAAGAGCGGGAGCGAGGCCTGAAAGAGTGAAAGTATTTGCCTACAATAGAAGGATGAGTGAGTAGGGCATTGCCAGCAGCTCAGTAATGCCAGAGACAGTGCACACAGGGAAAAGGGCTAAAGATGGAGAGTGGGGCAGAAGTCAGATTATGAAAGCCTTATGTGTAATTTTAAGATGCTTGGACATTAATGTTCAAAAGTGGTCCCGGGTCCTATCTGCATTTAGATATAGATCATTTCAATGCCAAAACCAATATTCCTAGTGAACAATTATTCATTAAGACAAGGTGACAGATAGCTCATGTGGACACAGCTGAGATGATACAATGTAGCAAATACTAAACAATTCTCATGAACACTTGGAAAGTCAGTTCTATAATAAAGTCATACAAATTATACTAAATCAGTAAATATTTGGTTTGGGAAGATGCTTTGTAAAGTTATAGTGCATATGAATACAATTAACAGTCGTGAATTCAGAGCTGTGAAAATAAATCAAAGAAACCACATTGTGTTTGAGTCAGCAATCTTTAGATTTCTATCCAGTCTTTCCATCCAGTCCATAAATTCTAAGTATAATCCTGGTACTCACTCTCAAGTTTACGTTAAATACTATCCCATACAAAAAAACACTCTTTCTCTTACTTCTTTTCATTATGTCCTGCTAAAAAATTCTGATTGGCTGCAGGCGGCAAGAGGGAAAAACACAAAGCACATTTTGCAGAAAATGATTATTTAGAAGTCAGAACTATGACATGAAGCCAAGCAGGGCACTCTAGGACCGAATTTGCTGTGCTGCCTTCATATGCTCCTTGCTCTTTCTTTTCTGGCAGCTGTGACTCACACAGGTCATGGAGAGTATCATTCCCTAAGAGGAACAACTCCGATATTCATCTTTATCTATTAAGTTCATCTGTCCCAATTCTGTGTTCTGTGGATGCTGACTTTCTGTCACGGACGATGATGCACATGGACATTTATTACTGACTTTCAGATTCTTGGATCTTTGACAAGTCTTATTACTGAGAATCAAACTAGTAGGATGTGAGTTATAAATGCTGATTATCCAATGACCTACTCAAAATATCCTACACGAATATTCCATTAAACATGCATAGAAAAAAATTAGTCATTCCTGCTGACCTGCTGCTCTTTGCTCTCCTGTATTCACCAGAAAATTTCCTACTCCTTCCTCATGTCCAGGTTAAATACTAGTGTACAATCTGGAAACCTGTACATCATCTGAGATTTCTCTCTGTCCCCCAAGCCTTTCTCATTCAATTATCACTAAATCATATTGACTATACCTCTCTTCTGCCTCTGTTTTATATTCCCACTGCCACTGGGAACATAAACATTTACAAAATGACTTCTATTTAAAAGAAAACTGCCAACTATTAATGTTATTTCTTACAGGAAAAAAAAATTAAGCAAAACAAGTGAAAAAGGCATAACGAAGGCCAACATAGTAAAATGAGTAACTGAGATTTCTAACATTATTTATTTCACCATGGACGGGTGAAAACCTTATAATACATTGATGCTACTCCAAGGATGTGTAACATGGAAACTATAGCTGACTACTGCAAAAGCTTCCTTTGTCTCCTGGTTTCTTTGCATGATTATCTCCCATCAATCCCAGGAAACTATAGGCCACAGGCCAAATCCAATCTGCATTATGGTTTTGTAAATAAAGTTTTATAGGAGCTCAGTCATGCCTGTTTGCTTACATATAATCATGGTGGCTTTCACACTACAACAGCAGACAACAGCAGGGTTAAGTAGATATGACAGAGACCACATAGTCTAAAATATTTCCCACCTGGTCCTTTAAAGAAAAAGCCTGCTAACCCATTTTACACCATAACCAGAACGCCTTAATACTCAAATTTAATCTTGTGACTCCCCTGCTCAAATTTCTCCAATGAGCCCCTGCAGCACACATTGTTGGCTCCCTATCAATAGCCATTCCTCATTCTTTCTGGCAGAAAAAATATAAGTCTATTGGGATATTTAATATCCCAATCCCCCTCCTCAGCCTCAGAAACAGAAATGTTTATTCTAAGCTAATCAGGTATTTACCTTCCCAGTGCCTGGTTTGGGAATGAGCATGTGGTGTGACCCAGCCAATGAAATGTTACAGGAAGCCCCTTGCATGCTTCTAAGTTTTCTCCCTGTTTAAAAGACACACGTGAAGAAAAGCAGCCCTTGCGATGTTGTGTTGTGAGAACAAGATGTTTGGAGCTGCTGCGGATTAGCCAACCACGAAAGGAGACGTGAGTAAAACACTGTCAACAGCACAGCTGAAAGAGGGACAGGTGGGATCCTAGGATATCAATGAATAAAAAAACAACTCTGGTTCCTACTGTTTTAGCCACTGCTCATCTAGTATTTGCAGTCCAAAGCATTCTACCTGGTCAATTCCCATGGCCCACAGGATAAGAGCTACTCATTTCTATAGTATTAAAAAGTCTATCATAAACTTGCCTTAGCTAAGTATTCACCTCACTCCCAACCTCTGGTATCTCACACTTTTGGTAATAGCAAAAGTGAACTGCTCAGAAACCCTGCCATGTTCACTCAAGCATCTTGTCTTCTGCACTTGCTGCTCTTCCTCCCAAACGGGCAATCTCATTAGATGTTCCTTCTGGCAAACACACAATCTCACTCCATGTTCCTTCTGCCAAATGTCATTCTTCTGCTTCTTTCCCTGAAAAATTCTTCTCACTCTGCATGCTTACATTAAATCCTGCCTCCTTTCTTTCTAAAGCTTTCACTCCTCATCACATATGTCTGGCACATAATCAATATCACATATAATAAATCATAATTATAAGATTCCAGTGGGCATCTAGCACACAGTAAGCACTGAATAAAGCAGCAAAATAATAAAAATGACAATGATAATAATAATAAGCTCCTGTCTGTGTTTTTGTGTTCTGTAGCCTTAGAAAAACTGCTTAGTATCTAAAAGACATTTGACAGTTATTTGTTAAGTGGACAAGTGAAAACATAAATAAAAATGTTTTCTTTGTAAATTCTGTTGAAAAACCACAGAAATGAAATAGAAACACTTCTGTTGTGAGCACCTTAAAGATTAAAACTACATCTATTCCATCTTGTCTCCTGCAACTTATAAAACCTAACTTACAGAAGCTCTTTGATAAATAGGTAGCCAAATTAAAGGTGTCCTCATACAGTTTGGATTGTACCATGTATTAGGTGTCCACATCCAGGTAGCATACTAGCATTTTTGTTACTGTGAAACATTTTTATATTTTTATTATAATCTGCTGACCCTTGCATTGGGAAAATTGTACATTATGACAATCTTTTGGCAAATGGTAGCAGAGCATCTTCTTCTAACAAAATTACTGTTATCATGACAATTAACCAGCTGGTGGAAGAACACATCTTGTTCCAACAAAGTAAATGCATCTCTTTCAACTTCAAAACAGGAGGAATGAAGTCAGTAATAGTGAGACCTTGTTGGCACAAGCATATGTAACATGATCTGTGCTTCACTGTTCTTTTGTGAACAAAAATTCCTTACTTTTACTTTTTAAATCTATGGTAGGACCTCCCAGAGCAGGGCTCCACAACTCCCAGGCCACAGACTGGTACCAGTCCACGGTCTGTTAGGAACCATGCCACACAGGAGGAGGTGCACAGCAGGCAAGCCAGGGAAGCTTCATCTGTATTTACAGCCACTCCTTATGGCTCATATTGCAGCCTCTACTCTGCCTCCAGTCAGATCAGTGATAGCATTAGATATTCATAGGAGCATGAACCCTGTTGTGAACTGCCCATCTGAGGGATCTAGGTTGTGTGCTTCCTATGAGAATCTAATGCCTGATGATCTGTCACTGTCTCACTTTGCCCCCAGAAGGGACCATCTAGTTGCAGAAAAATAAGCTCAGAGCTTCCACTGATTCTACATTATGGTAAGTCGTATAATTATTTTATTATATATTACAATGTAATAATAATATAAAGTAGCACAATAAGTGTAATGTGACCGAACAATCCTGAAACCATCCCCACCTTCCCCCAGCCCATGGAAAGATTGTCTTCCACAAAACCGGTCCCTGGTGTCAAAAAGATTGTGGACAACTGACCTAAAGTAATTCACTATCACAAGTCTTACCTGGGTTGCTGTTTTCAGAAGAGTATTTTGGCATCTGTTTTTCTTTGTAGTCAGAAACTAATTCGCAAATTCTATGTATAAAAATATAACAAATAAAATTACTGTTTTAAAATACTGATCTGGAAACTTACCAAATGTAAAATTCTTAGAGTATTTCAAACAATATCAGAATATCAGAACTTAACAGTATTATCCCATCCACTTATGCGTACGTTCTACAAACTTCTCATGAAGCTTCTAATTAAAGAAGAAAAAAAAGTAAGATGAAATACTCATAAATCGAGGGCACTGTGACCCAGTAAATTAACTTGCATTAGCCTGACATAATAGAAAGTGTCCCAACTCTAAATAAGTCCTAGCTCCATAATGAACAGCTATTTGCTCTTGAACAAGCTGCTTCTCTTAGGCTTAATGTCTTCTTCTACAAAGTGAGGACTACGCTGCCTTATTTTACTAGGTTGTTATAATGATTTAACAAGATAACATTTTTTTAAATGCTCAAAGAAATAGTAAAACAATGGAATAATTTGTTCCTAAACTTTATGACTGAAATTATCTTGGAATCCCAAATAAAACCCAGTGCGAATTTTGTTCATAGGTTCTAATATGCAAATGTTGTAGTTTTCAGGAAACGTTATTAAGTCCTAATTTTGCTTCTTAGTTGTCCTACTCTTTATGGCTTCTAATTCAGGGCATCTCAACTATGTCATAGTTTGTAACTAAATTTTTTCATAAATATCTCATTAAAGTAGATAATGTGATTGTCCACTATTACGGAGTTGATCAATCACGCCAAGGGCAGAAAAACCAATGGATGTTAAGACCTGACTTGGACCAATGATCCTTCTCTACAGACTCAAACTCTCAGCCAGATGTTTGTTACGATGATGCTTTATATACATGTTCATCTCCAGCTGACATGGGAGATGAAAACCCTACTTTTATTTTTTTTTTTTTAGGTTCCACGAAGAAGTTGCAAGTTGGCATTCTCTAATTTTTAACATACATACTAACAATATATTTTGTACACAACACCCCACATGTTATTTGGCTCTGGTGTCATCTCACAGACCACCTTACATGACTATTTTTATTGCGCAAATCACAATTTCAATGTTTTTGTGGCACCCATTCTGCTTTGATTCACACCATTTCCTTAAAGCTACTCAGCAAACAGTCAAATGACCTTCCAGTGACTGCGCAAAATATAGAATGCTTCAAAAATTTGTGTGGCCGCCTTATGCAAGGGCCAGCTCCTTGGGAGGCTGAGGCAGGAGAAATGCATGAACCCACGTTGCAATGAACTGAGATCGCGCCACTGCACTCCAGCCTGGGCGATACAGTGAGACTCCATCTCAAAAAAATAAAATAAAATAAAATAAAATAGTAAAGTTTGCAATTCCTCTGACTCAGTTTACCATAATTACAATTATGATTACTATTAAAGCATAAATAGTGAATAACCACAATATTGGGCTTTTCTCCCTAAATAAAAAAATTAATATAAACAATGTAGCTTATTATAAAGAGCCAAAACGATTTTAAAAATGCAGACAATTACCAGGCAAAACTGTTAGAAAGAACCATGTCAAACTTGTTTTTTTTTTTTTGAGACGGAGTCTTGCTCTGTCACCCAGGCTGGAGTGCAGTGCAACGATCTCGGCTCACTGCAAGCTCCGCCTCCTGGGTTCATGCCATTCTCCTGCCTCAGCCTCCATAGCAGCTGGGACTACAGGCGCATGCCACCACACCCGGTTAATTTTTTTGTATTTTTAGTAGAGATGGGGTTTCACTGGTCTCGATCTCCTGACCTCGTGATCCGCCTGCCTCGGCCTCCCAAAGTGCTGTGATTACAGGTGTGAGCCACCATGCCCGACCTACGGCAAACATTTTTAAAGTGAGAATCAATCAAACAATATACACAGGATAAACTCCATTCACTTATTTAACAAGTATTTATTAGGTAGCTACATCCAATATGCTAAGCCTTTTTCTAAGCAGTGAAGATATGGTAGTGAAAAATAAAAACCCTATTCATGACAGTGAGAAAAACACACAATAACAACAGACAGATAAGGCAAAATATACGGTATGTTAGAGGAGAAAAACTAAAGCAGGAAAATGAAATGTTTATGTGTTTGATGGGGAGGGTGGTGGGAAAGTTGAGATGGCCAGAAGAGTCCCTGCTGAGAAAGGGTTTTTTTTTTCTAATACAAAAAACCTTTTATTTGTATATCAAAGACTCTAAGAAACGATGACATAAGGTTAACAGCGCTGATGTCAAGATACAAATAGGTTTGAAGTTAGAGATGATAAATCACTTTGTTTCATTGAACCTTGCCTTGATTACCTTAGAGAGCATTCCTTGTATGCTCCCAATTGCATCTTAAGCATGATGTGTCTGGGTAGTACACGGCTCTTCCTCAGAAAGTGGATGTTCCTTAATGTGTTTCTTTTTACCCTTTTCTTCTTCTTAGAAAGGTGGTTTTAAATAAAGAACTGAAGGAATGGAAAGAGTAAGCTAGGAGGATATCTGGGGAAAAAGCATCCCAGACACAGGGAACTGCCAAGCACAGAGGTGTGTCTGGAGTCTTTAAGCACTAGGGGTAGATACGGGATGGCAAGAATTCAGTGTGGCTGAAGCAGAGCAAGGGAGATAATCAGGAGGAACTTTGACCCATACTCAGAGTGAAAAGGAGGCAATCAGAAGTGCTGGGGCAGAGGAATGACACAATTTGACTTATGTTTTAAATACATCCACTGAGTTAAGAATTGATGAAAAGGGAAGTTTTTAAAAGCCAGGACGATCAATTCCCAGTCTATGACACTCATCTAGACTGCAGATGACAGTGGCTCAGATGTACAAGATATGACTGGCTTCTGGACATATTCTTCAGGTAGACCTGACAAGATTTACTGAAAGATTAGATATGAGGTGTCAGAGGGACAGATGAGTCAAGAATGACACTGACATTTTTGGCAGAGCAATTGGAAAAGTTGCCCTTAACCAAAGTAGGAAAGACTACATGAGGTGTAGATTTCAGGAAGGACATCAGTAGCCCAATTTTGGATCTGACACGTGTGTGATACCCAATAACTAACCAAATAGAGACGTCAAGTAGGCAGGCTGATATAGAAATCTGGAATTAAGGAGAGAGATCTGAGCTGGAGACATACATTTGGAAATCACTAGCATATACACAATAGAAAAAGTCACGAGGGGCCGGGTGCAGTGGCTCACACCTGTAATCCCAACACTTTGTGAGGCCAAGGCAGACAGATCACCTGAGATCAGGAGTTTGAGACCAGGCTGGCCAACATGGGGAAATGCTGTCTCTACTAAAAATACAAAAATTAGCCAGGCATGGTGGCACACACCTGTAATGCCAGCTACTCAGGAGGCTGAGGCAGGAGAATCACTTAAACCCAAGAGGCAGAAGTTGTAGTGAGCTGAGATCACACCACTGAACTCCAGCCTGGGGGACAGAGTCAAACTCCGTCTCAAAAAAAGAAAAAGAAAAAGTCAGGAGAAAGAAGATTGAGGACTGAGCCCTGGGAAACAACAATGTCCAAAAGGAGAAAGATGAGGAGGAGCAAGCAAAACAGACCATGATGAATGGACTAGAAATGCAGGAGGAAAAGCTTGAGGGAGTGAGGTCCTGAAAGCCAAGTGAAGACGCCGTTAGGGAGGAGACGCCCTCCACTGGCTCAAATATTGCTGACAGATTAAATAAAATGAGGTGTAAGAAAAAATGCATAATTTACAGAAAAAAAATTGTGATAATCTTGAGGAAAAACAATGTTGGAGGACTGCTGAAATTGAAGACGCCGGTGTGAGATTAAGAGTGAATGAAAAGAAAATTTGAGTTCGTGAGTGTGGACAGTTCTTTTAAGGACATCATGCTTAGGAGTCATGACTGAGAATGTTGTAATTTTCTTCCACAGTCATGGAAAAGTAATAGACAAATAGTTTCAAGTTTTATATAACAGGTGTAGTTTTCAAATTTTATATAACAATAATATATTTTAAAGGTTATAAAAATTATACACATGTGGCATTAAAAATGCCAGACTGAGGTGTTAAATTCTTAAAACTATAGAACTAAAAGTCGCCTTGAACATTTCTAGATTACACATAAGCTGATTATCATTTTATTCATGCTTATGCATAAAGACCAAGAAATACTAAAAGTTTCAAGGAGAGTATTTCTTGCTTGATAAAATCAGCCAATTCTAGGACAACTGATACTCATCAAATATACAAAGTAATTGATCACAGCAAAATACTGGGTTCTATTAACAGGAATAAAGTGGGAGAAATGCAGACAATAATCTTATTTTATAAATGAAATTTTTAAAATTATATGAAGTCACTGTGGAAAAATATGGTGAGGTGAATACTGAAATATATCCTTTTCTCAAAGGAAGGATAATTTCACACACGCAGGGCACTTTTACAAATAAGAGTCACTTCACTTGCAGCACCTTCCTTTTAGCACAAGGGTCAGCAAACTAGCACCTTGGGCCAAATCCAGCCCACTGCCTGTTTTTGTAAGTCAAGTATTTTGGAACACAGCCATGCTTATTCACTTTACAGTCCACAGTGTCAATTAGCTGGGTGTGATGTTGCACACCTATGGTCCCAACTAGTAGAGAGGCTGAGGTGGGAGGATCACTAGAGCTCAGAAAGTCAAGACTGCAGTGAGCCATGATCACACAACTGCACTCCAGCCTGGGAAACAGAGTGAGACCCTGTCTCAAAAATAAATTAATTTATATAGTCCACAAAGCCTAAAATATTTACTAACTGGCTCTTTGCAGAAAAAGCTGGCCAACTCCTGGTTTAGCAGATGAAAGATCCTTTGATACATTTTAATAAAAGTTTTACCCAATATACTGAAACGTTTATATTAAATACAGATCCCCATGTACAATCCCTTGGCAATATTCAGATTGAGGGTCCAATATTTCAGCACTCAGGCACTGACATAAAAATTTAATAACTAGCAATCTTGTTGCTAACAAGGTACAGCATCAATATAGCATGTAGCTTCCATTTGCAACACAGGAAATATTACAAGAATTTTAACAAGAACTCTTAAGATGTCATCACTGATGCTTTAAATACACTTTAATTGTGAAATAATCAGTATACTCTAGATCTAACCTCACTTGTAAAAAATGGTTGCATACTACATTAATTTCTGGGTATGAAAATTGAGCTATTTCCTATTGGTAATGATTTACTTTTGATAATGATAATTTCCTATTGATAAGGATCCATCTTTTTGATATAATAATGCTGTAATAAATGTCCTTATACATAAGTATATATGTAACATCTACACAAATATCCTTTACATATATTATATATCCTTATTGTTATACATGTGTTTGTGAATATGCTACTAAATTAATGTTCAAAATGTATTTACCAGCAGTGTATGAAATGTCTTTTACAATGAAACCATTTCTTTTGCAGCAACACAGATGGAGCTGGAGGCCATTATCCTAAGCAAACTAATGCAGGAACAGAAGATCAAATGCCACATATTCTTACTCATTAGTGGGAACTAAATAATGAGAACTCATGGACACAAAGAGGAGAATAACAGGCACCAGGGTCTACTTGAAGGTGGAGCGTCACGGGAGGGAGACGACCAAAAAACTAACTTTTGGTGTTTTGCTTATTATGTGGCTGATGAAATAATCTGCAGTCCAAATCTCCATGATACACTTTACCTATATAATAACCCTGCACATGTACCCCTGAAACTAAAAGAAAAGTTCACTAAAAAGAAAAGAAAATGCCTTTTCCCTCACATTTGCCAATACTGGTTATTTTTCAAATAAATTAATGCCTGGAAAAATGGTAACTCATTGTTCGCTGATTTTCATTTTTCTGATTAACGGGCAAGGCTGAATATCCTAGTAAAACTATAAAATTTGTTCATCATGAATATTAGCCCAAACTAGGGTTAGTTTGACAGCACATAGTTATCTCCTGTTCAATGTTGCCATAGGCTTACCTGTGATACTCTTCACTTTCGTTGTCAGGAAATTGCTGATTTTCAGGTGTTCTGCTCTTCCTTTGAGGAATTAATCCATCATCACCATTGCCAGCAGTGACACCATTACTCAGGTTTTCTAGTAATCCCACATTATTACTTTCATGCTTCTTCATTTCTTCTTCAACCTTGAGTGGGATATTAAGGATAGTTATCACTTTATTGAATAAAAAGAACCTTTTTAATTGATTCTATCAATTGACTCAGTTTGTCATTATTTTAGTCATTAAAAATATTTCACACTTAAATTTGATCATATATATAGAAATATTACCATATAACTTTAAGATGTAATTATCATATCATTAATATATCACAGAAATTTTTGTAAAGTTTGCTTCATTTCTGTTTCAATGAATGAAACAGAATTTTCCAAAATTCAAAAAGGGCCCTCCTTCATTTTATGCTTTTATTCTCAATCACTCTTCAGAATCTTATGTATGTATTTACCCCATTTGACTCATGGGAACACGCAAATAAAAAGACAAAGATGCAAAATGTGTCTTCTGTCTTTACCACCTAGATTTTACATTAAACAGTCAGATTTAGAGGATGACACACTGTGCGGCTTCAGGAACAGAAAGGAAGTTTGCCCTTTTCTGCGCTAAGATATTCTTCTACCCCACTGCCTTTGAGCATTCTTTTTTCATTTGGTTGCTGGGATATCAAAAACATGATGGTGCTCACTGAAAATGGGAGCCAAAGTTTGCCACAACACAAGAAGCAGAGTGAAACTGCTGACGTGCAAGCATGGAATTCCAGAAAATGAGATGCTCCCCAAATTTCACATTGAATAGCCATACAATTTTCTAGCTGGAAGATACACAGAATAAGAAGCTATCTTCTTTAGCCACATTATCTATTGATAATCAGACTAAAACCAAGAAAGATAAAATGATTGGTCCAAAGCTCCTAAAGTGGCATTACCTAGCATTTTATGGCACCATTCAGGATTGTTCCATAATAATCAAAGAATATCTCTAGGCTTTGTATCTCTTGAAAACTCAAAGTACAGAATTCTTTCTGAGTTAAATATTAACTTTTTCACTCATGATTTATGCTACTTACATGATAGGATCATGTATGCCTACACTTACTACATTTTGTTAAACAACATAATGTAAAAATCTAATTCAACAGAAACATTTGAATATGAAGGTATACCTCTCTATCACCATCCTTATTTATTTCTGGTTCTTGAGACATTTTCTGCAGAGGCAAAAACAGAAGGTTAATTTGCTTGTTGTGTTTCTGTGATGTCTCCTCTTTTGGAGCGCATGTTTTAAAAAAATTTTATTCTTAACTAATGAAGTATGGACGATGAAAAATTAGAAAATAATTAAAATTAAAATTTAACTGTTAAATAAATAATAATTAAAATTAAGAATTAACTTTTTAATCTATGTTTAGCTACTGCCACATTACTGGCTTCTGACTAACATGTGAAAAATAATTCACCTTAGCCCAACGAAGAAAAAAAACGTGAACCAGCAAACTTAACTTGGTCACCATTTGTTTGGACTAAACTTGTTATGTGTTAAATCTACCAAAAATGAATCAGCAGATGATTTGTAGTGTTCCAAAATCTTCCTCACTTGAAAAGAGTTTACCTCATGAAACCCTAACTAGTGAGCCCCTACAGTGCACTGAAGTGCTTTTCTAAAAGATTCCTAACTGGATTGTAGGCACCATTTAAATTATTAGGAGCCGAAATCAACACCAAACAGAAAGAGATGCAATTTCTCAAATTTTAATTGAGATTATATACTGTCATATGATAGTGTTATGTATCCAGATTATCTGCTTAAGTCCAGTTCTAATATATTCTAATGTGTACTAATTACAGTGGATAAAGATTTTTTTAATAATATGTACTAATTTTCTGCAACTGAAATAAATTAGAATGTTATTGTGTTTGTGCACTAACACCAAAGGTTCCATTCTGCAAGATATGATTCTTGTAATAGGCAGCTGTGTTGCTTTTATGACCTGGTTCCCTCCCTGAACAGAAACGCTGAGGTCAATGAGAGACCATAAGGCAGAATATATTTTTAACCTTGGTATCAGTGACTGACAATATAAAACTGCAGATTTTCAATCACTGGCCATGATTACTCCTTAACCATGAATCCAGCTCAGGGACCATCAGAGTTACATTGTTCATAATTCTATTGCTTAATAACATAATCCAATAATTGATGTACCTTCTTCATCATGTTCGGGTGTTGTAAAAATAAAAGAACAAAGTTCTGAAATTTGTTTTTGCCTCTATTCCAAAAGGAAAGATTAGCTATAAGCTAATCAAAAAGGCAGATGAGAATATTTTAAATAAAAATATTATAAAATAAGAGTATTTTAAATTTTATAGTGGTTATGTTTTTTAAGTTAAATATCAAATGTTAAATTAGAATCCATTCTTCTGTTAATGAGATTACTGAATTTATTAAAATAAATTTTAACAATCTATTAAAAAATTCTTTAAAAAATCTATTGATTCTCAAAACCTAGTCTGAAAGGTAATTTCATTTGGACTATCTAATATTATTAAAGCAAAGAAAACAACATTAAATCAAAAATTTAAATTTAAAATTTCCCATGCCTCTGGCTGGCTATTTTCACTGCCTTTGAACCTTTGTGACTCTTCCTCTGATGTCAGCTTTAAGTCTTGTTCTGTTGAGAAATCCATATATTCAGTTAAAATGAACCACTTAGAACAGTTAAAAACTATTGCCTTTATAAAAATAGATTTAAGACAACATTTTATTTCATAAATTGAGTGTTTAGTTTTTCATGAAATAGTTATTTAGGAAATAATTCTCCCAAACTTCAACAAACCACTTGGGGAGACACCTGATGTCATTCACTCACAAATTCATCCACCCAACATAAATGAACAAAACCACCAGAAACACAACTTTAAAATACAGTAGAAACATATAAGGTAACACAGTATGTTGTTCTCCACTTCCTAATAGTGAAGCAGTAAATGTAAAGAAAAGGAAATTTAGTTTTAAAGAGAAACAAGTTTTCCCGCACTTAGCTAGTCTGACTCTAAGGATAGTAACAAGCAGGGCCCAGGAAAGGTCATGGTGACCCTGCCTGAGAAGCCAGAGCCCACAGGTATGGGCTCCAGACATCCCACAGCAAGGTTAAGAAAACAAAATCCTTTACTGTCTCCCCTTCCCCTCAGCATTCACTCAGAGCTGTTTTTACAAATGCATATTATTTGCAAGTTCCTGTTGTCCTTCAATGCAGCTGCAAGGTCATAAGCTACGCTGAGGTTGCAAAACTGTCACTATATGATTAACTGCCTTTGTTCTGCTTCTGTAAGCTTGCCTACATAAGCCAAGCCCTGTCTTTGTTCAGGGCTCAGCTTTCGGATGCAAATCCGCTGAGCTGGTGCGAACCTAAATGAAATCCTCCTGTTTCACCCACTTGGTCTCTCCTGCCTCCTGTTTTCTGCAACAATAGTACCTTACAAATGATTTCAAAAATTACTACTGACACCTTTATTAGTGTACAATCTCTTCCCAATATCTAAAATGTTTCCCTCCACGATTCAGACATATTTATTTTCATTTTTCTTTCTTTTTTTTTTTTTGAGCCAGGGTCTTGCTCTGTCACCAGGCTGGAGTGCAGTGGCGCAATCTCAGCTCACTGCAACCTCTGACACTCCCTGGTTCAAGCGATTCTCCTGTCTCAGTCTCCGGAGAAGCTGGGATTACAGGCATGCACCATCATGCCCTGCTAATTTTCGTGTTTTTAGTAGAGACGGGGTTTCACCATTGGCCATGATGGTCCTGATCTTTTGACCTTGTGATCTGCCTGCTCCAGCCTCCCAAAATGCTGGGATTAGAGGTGTGAGCCACCACACTTATCCTTATTTTTATCTTTTAAAACAATGCTATGAGAACGTCTTCCTTGATTCTGCATGTCTTTCCCCAGATAAACAGGTACCTCCTTCCTTGAGGCTGCCTTAGTACTTCACTGATTTTTCTACTGCATCTTTACCACCTGAACTCTACATTATTCCTCCACATGTCTGTCCCGTCTGCTCCAAGACTGCAGAGGACAGTCTTGCACATCATCTTACTCACATTTTACTCAGAAATTTCTTATTGAGTCCTGCTAAATACATGCTAGGCATTAGGGTTTAAAAACAATTAAAATAAAGCATGTCAGGGATGGCTTTTCTAGAAAACATGCCCAAGCAGAGACTTAAATATTGAGACTAGCCAGATTAAAAGGGGTAGAGGGCAGGAAAGGGTGACGGCATGCCACACAGCAGCAAGAGCGGGAGCGAGGCCTGAAAGAGTGAAAATATTTGCCTACAATAGAAGGATGAGTGAGTAGGGCATTGCCAGCAGCTCAGTAATGCCAGAGAAAGGGCACACAGGGAAAAGGCCTAAAGATGGAGAGTGGGGCAGAAGTCAGATTATGAAAGCCTTATGTGTAATTTTAAGATGCCTGGACATTAATGTTCAAGAGAGGTCCCTGATCCTATCTGCATTTAGATATAGATCACTTTAAATGCCAAAACCAATATTCCTAGTGAACCATTATTCATTAAGACAAGGTGACAGATAGCTCATGTGGACACAGCTGAGATGATACTATGTAGCAAATTCTCAATAATTCTCATGAACACTTGGAAAGTCAATTCTATAAGAAGTCAGAGAAATTATAATAAATCACTTAATACTTGGTTTGGGAAGGTGATTTCTAAAGTTATAGTGCCTATGAATTTAACTAATAATTGTGAATTCAGAGCTGTGACAATAAAGCAAAGAAACCACATTGCGTTTGAGTCAGCAATCTTTAGATTTCTATCTAGTCTTCCTACCCAGTCCATAAATTCTAACTCCTGGTACTCACTCTCAAGTTTATGTTAAATACTAGCCTATACAAAAAACACTCTTTCTCTTTTTTCATTTTGTTATTTATATATTGCTTTGTTTAAAGGAAGAACACAAAAATGCCCTGCTAAAGGGATTCTGTTTGGTTGCAGGCTGCAAGCGGGGAAAAAATCAAAGTGTATTTTGCAGAAAATGATTTTTTAGAAGTCAGAACTATGACATGAAGTCAAGCAGGGCACTCTAGGACCGAATTTGCTGTGCTGCCTTCATATGCTCCTTGCTCGCTCTTTTCTGGCAGCTGTGACTCACACAGGTCATGGAGAGTATCATTCCCTAAAAGGAACAACTCCGATATTCATCTTTATCCATTAAGTTCATCTGTCCCATTCTATGTCTGTGGATGCTAACTTTTGATCATTGATGGTGATACACATGGACATTTATCATCAACTTTCAGATTCTTGGATCTTTGACAAGTCTTATTAGTGAGAGTCAAACTAGTAGGATGCGAGTTATAAATGCTGGTTATCCAATTACCTACTCAAAATATCCTACATGAATATTCCATTAAACGTGCATAGAAAAACATTAGTCATTCCTGCTGACCTGCTGCTCTTTGCTCTTCAGTATTCACCAGAAAATTTCCTCCTTCTTCCTCACATCCAGGTTAAATACTACTGTACAACCTGGAAACCTGGAAATTATCTGACATTTCTCTCTGTCCCCCAAGCCTTTCTCATTCAATTATTACTAAATCATATTGACGATACCTCTCTTCTGCCTCTGCTTTATATTCCCACTGCCACTGGGAACACAAACATTTACAAAATGGCTTTTATTTAAAAAAAAAGCCTGCCAACTATTAATGTTATTTCTTACATGAAAAAAAATTAAGCAAAACAAATGAAAAAAGCATATCACCAAAAAAACAAAGGCCAACATATTAAAACAAGTAGTTGAGATTCCTAACTTTATGTATTTCACTAAGGACGGGTGAAAACCTTGTAATACATTGATGCTACTCCAAGGATGTATGACAAGGAAACTATAGCTGACTACTGCAAAAACTTCCTTTGTCTCCTGGTTTCTTTACATGGTAAAGAACCTTCCATCAATCCCAGCAAACTATAGGCCACAGGCCAAATCCAATCTGCATTATGGTTTTGTAAATAAAGTTTTATAGGAGCTCAGTCATGCCTGTTTGCTTACATATAATCATGGTGGCTTTCACACTACAACAGCAGACAACAGCAGGGTTAAGTAGATATGACAGAGACCACATAGTCTAAAATATTGCCCACCTGGCCATTTACAGAAAAAGCTTGCTAACCCGTTTTACACCATAACCAGAATGCCTTAATACTCAAATTTAATCTTGTGACTCCCCTGCTCAAATTTCTCCAATGAGCCCCTGCAGCACACATTGTTGGCTCCCTATCAGTAGCCATTCCTTATTCTTTCTTGAAGAAGAAATCCAAGTCTATTGGGATATTTATTATCCCAATCCCCCTCCTCAGCCTCAGAAACAGAAATGTTTATTCTAAGCTAATCAGGTATTTACCTTCCCAGTGCCTGGTTTGGGAATGAGCATGTGGTGTGACCCAGCCAATGAAATGTTACAGGAAGCCCCTTGCATGCTTCTAAGTTTTCTCCCTGTTTAAAAGACACATGTGAAGAAAAGCAGCCCTTGCGATGTTGTGTTGTGAGAACAAGATGTTTGGAGCTGCTGCGGATTAGCCAACCATGAAAGGAGACGTGAATAAAACACTGCCAACAGCACAGCTGAAAGAGGGAAAAGTGGGATCCTAGGATATCAATGAACAACCAAAACAACTCTGGTTCTTACTGTTTTAGCCACTGTTCATCTAGTATTTGCAGTCCAAAGCATTCTACCCGGTAAATTTCCCATGGCACACAGGATAAGACCTACTCATCTCTATAGTATTAAAAAGTATATCATAAACTTGCCTTAGCTAAGTATTCACCTCGTTCCCAACCTCTGGTATCTCACACTTTTGGTACTAGCAAAAGTGAACTGCTCAGAAACCCTGCCATGTTCACTCAAGCATCTTGTCTTTTGCACTTGCTGCTCTTCCTCCCAAACAGGCAATCTCATTAGATGTTCCTTCTGGCAAACACACGACCTCGCTGCATGTTCCTTCTGCCAAACATTCTTCTTCTGCTTCTTTACCTAGAAAAATTCTTCTCTCTCTGCATGCTTACCTTAAATCATACCTACTTTTTCCCAAAACTTTCATTCCTCATATGTCTGGCACATAATCAATATATAATAAATCATAATTATAAGCTTCCAGTGGGCATCTAGCACACAGTAAGCACTGAATAAAGTAGTAAAATAATGAAAATGGCAATGATAAGAAAAAGCTCCTGTCTGTATTTTTAATTGTCTGTGGTCTATAGCATTAGAAAAATGGTTACCATCTAAAAGACATTTGATAGTTATATGTTAAGTGGACAAGTGAAAACATAAATAGCAATGTTTTCTTTGTAAATTCTGTTGAAAAAGCACAGAAATGAAATGGAGACAGCTCTATTATGAGCACCTTAAAGATCAAAACTACATCTATTCCATCTTTGTCTCCTGCGACTTATAAAACCTAACTTACAAAAGCTCTTTGATAAATAGATGGCTAAATTAAAGGTGTCCTCATACAGTTTGGACTATATAATGTATTAGGTGTCCACAACCAGGTAGCATACTAGCATTTTTGTTAGTGTGAAACGTTTTTCTGCTTTTATTATAATCTGCTGAGCCTAGAGTTGGGCAATTTGTATATTTATTATGACAATCTTTTGGCAAATGGTAGCAGAGCATCTTGTTCTAACAAAATTACTGTTATGATGACAATTAACCAGCAGGTAGAAGAACACATCTTGTTCCAACAAAGTAAATATATCTCTTTCCAACTTCAAATGAGGAGGAATGAAGTCAATAATAGTGAGACCTTATTGGGACAAGCATATGTAACATGACTTGTGCTTCAGTGTTCTTTTGTGATCAAAAATTCCTTACTTTTACTTTTTTATCTATGGTAGGACCACGCAGAGCAGGGGTCCTCAACTCCCAGGCCACACACTCATACCAGTCCATGGACTATTATGAACCACACCACACAGGAGGAGGTGAGCAGCAGGCAAGCCAGGGAAGCTTCATCTGTATTTACAGCCACTCCTTATGGCTCATATTACCGCCTGTACTCTGCCTCCAGTCAGATCAGTGATAGCATTAGATACTCATTGGAGCATGAACCTGTTGTGAACTGCCCATCTGAGGGATCTAGGTTGTGTGCTTCGTATGAGAATCTAATGCCTGATGATCTGTCACTGTCTCACTTTGCCCCCAGATGAGACCATCCAGTTGCAGAAAAATGAGTTCAGAGCTTCCACGGATTCTACATTATGGTAAGTTGTGTAATTATTTCATTATATATTACAATGTGATAATAATATAAAGTAGCACAATAAATGTAACATGATTGAATAATCCTGAAACCATCCCCACCTTCCCCCAGCCCATGGAAAAATTGTCTTCCACAAAACCGGTCCCTGGTGTCAAAAAGGTTGGGGACAACTGACTAAAGTAATTCACTATCACAAGTCTTACCTGGATTGCTGTTTTCAGAAGAGATTTTTAGCATCTGTTTTTCTTTGTAGTCAGAAAGTAACTGGCAAATTCTATGTATAAAAATGTAATAAACCAAATTACTATTTTAATACTGATATAAAAAAACTTACCAAATGTAGAATTATTAAGAGTATTTCAAACAATATCAGAATATCAGAACTTAATAGTATTATCCCATCCACTTATGAGTACATTCTACAAACTTCTCTTTAAGCTTCTAATTAAAGACGAAAAAAATGTAAGGTGAAATACTCATAAATCAAGGGCACTGTGACCCAGTAAATTAGCTAGCATTAGCATGACATAATAGAAAGTGTCCCAACTCTGCATAAGTCCTAGCTCCATAATGAACAGCTATTTGTTCTTGGGCAACTTGCTTCTCTTAGGCTCAATGTCTTCTTCAACAAAGTGAGGACTTTGCTGCCTTATTTCACTAGGTTGTTATAAAGATTTAACGAGATAACATTTTTTAAATGCTCAGAGAAATAGTAAAGCAATGGAATAATCTGTTCCTAAACTTTATGACTAAAATTATCTTGGAATCCCAAATAAAACCCAATGCGTATTTTGTTCATAGGTTCTAATATGCAAATGTTGTAGTTTTCAGAAAATGTTATTAAGTCCTAATTTTGCTTCTTAGTTGTCCTACTCTTTATGGCTTATAATTCAGGGCATCTCAACTATGTCATAGTTTATAACTAAATTTATTCATAAATATCTCATTAAAGTAGATAATGTGATTGTCCACTATTACGGAGTTGATCAATCACACCAAGGGCAGAAAAACCAATGGATGTTAAGACCTGACTTGGACCAACGATCCTTCTCTACAGACTCAAACTCTCAGCCAGTAGATGTCTGTTAGGATAATGCTTTATATTGATGTTCAATTCCAGCTGACATGGGAGACCAAAAGTCTACTTTTATTTATTTTAGTTTCCACGGAGAAGTAGCAAGCTGACATTCTGTAATTTTCGACATACATACTAACAATATATTTTGCACCGAACATGTTATTCAGGTCTAAGTCATCTCATAGACCATCTTACATGACTATTTTTGCAGCAGAAATCACAATTTCAATATTTGGGTGGCACCCATTTTGCTTTGATTCACACTATTTCCTCAGAGCTAGTCAGCAAATAGTCAAATGACCTTCCAGTGACTGCACAAAATATGGAATGCTTCAAAGATCTGTGCTGCCTCCTTATGCAGAAGCCACGCTAACTTTCCCCGTATTGTTCCAATTTTAGGATATGTGCCGCCGAAGCAAGCACAAAGCCCTACTTTTACACATGATTAGTGATGCGTCATGGACAAGGCTTGGCTCTGTGAAGTCCAACTAACCTACTTGAGATTCTGAGAATTCTCTTCAATGGCTTCCTGTGAGCTAGAGTTTGAAAATATTTTAAAATCTTGAGCTAGAGATGGAAGTAGCTTCCACGATTTTCATTATCATGTAAATCAGATCACTCAAGGGGCCAACCACAGCTGGGAGCCACTGCTCAGGGGAAGGTTCATATGGGACTTTCTACTGCCCAAGGTTCTATACAGGATATAAAGGTGCCTCACAGTACAGATCTGGTAGCAAAGAAGAAGAAACAAACACTGATCTCTTTCTGCCACATTATTTGAACCCCTCTCACCCTTTAGAACAAGCCCACCTAATATCTGCTAGAGAAAAGACCAACAACAGCCTCAAAGGATCTCTTACCATGAAGGTCTCAGCTAATTCCTGGCTAAGATGTGGGTTCCACATTAGGTTCTGAATATGTGGGGAAGGGTCAATTTGGTCACTTTGTGTGCGGATAAAGTCAAGATGCCCAGCGGCCAGAGCAGGGGGCTGGTGCTCTGGGAACAATGGCTGAGCATATAAGCATAGGTATGGGAATTAAAAAACATCAAAGTCACTGTATGAATCGCCATGAAGACTTGAGGGATCTGAATCTACTGATTCATCTTAAGGCAGCAGGACCAGTTTGAGTGGCCACAAAGCAGCAACAGAATCAACGGAAACAACAGAATGATTGCAATGTCTTTTTTCCTCCTCCTTCTGACTTGATAAAAGGGACTGTCTTCCTTGGATTTAGTAAACCCCTTCGGTTCTTGAAAAATTCAAGGAGTATGTAGGACATAGTGCCCAGAAGACAGTACAAGACTTTCCGCTAAACTGGACATTTCAAGACCCAAATAACTAATCAGAAAAATTAAAGATGTGACACTATTTTTTATCCCATGCATAGGTGTTACACTTGGATCAAATGAACAATGCTGGGATCTCTAAGGATAAAGATCTTAAAAGTCCTGAGATAAAGAATCCCGCACCCATTGGTACTTCTAACTTGTCTTGCTTTTTGTCTGATTTCTGGCTGATGCAGGGGACTAACTCACTGCCACGCGAAAACTACCTGAACCAAACTATGACATCTCACCTGATATGTCAGATGCAACTGTTATAATTATTTTAAACCTCAATTCAGCATTAACTAGCCTTTTAATGTGAACACTTACACATGATGATGACTAGAAACAGCATACTCTCTGGCCGTCTGTCCAGATAGATCTTGAGAAGATACATCAATATTTTGCTCAAGTAGAAGGCTGACTATACTTGCTGATCCACAACATACAGCAAGTATGAGAGCAGTTCTAAAATGACAGAGATAGGAACTGTAATAAAGTTATTTTTAAAGCTAATTTGATATACTTTACCAATGTAACATCTTGCCTGTCTGTGCAGAATCAAACATTTACATGCACTAAAAGACATAAGCATCTTGAGTGCTCAAGTGTTCATCTTTGTAAAATACCACAAAAGTTAAAAGGAAGGGACCAAAAAAAACCCTCTTATCTCAGTGGGGTATTGCATAGCAGAAGCTACTAATTTAACATCCTTTGATGGGCAAGAAACAATGTTAGGGCCACTTATCTGAAGTGGACAAAGATTTAAGTGAAGAGTTTGTCACAGCTTCCCTAGACAGATATGCTGTAATAGAAAATCAGCTAGGGGGTAAGAGAAATAAGAGCTCTCTGCATGCTCAAAGCAGTAATATTAACAATGGTAAGAATAGTAGTCATAGGAGTTTCAGTTAATGGTGCCAATAACCATGTGCTAGGCACTGAATTAAATCCTACATTTATCTTTCTTACTTATGCACAGCCAACTTTTAAGGATATATTCTCCTACTTTTCATACATGACAACACATTTGGTGGTAAATAACATCCCCAAGGTCACACACCTAGCAAGTAAGAAAGTTAGGAATTAACCCAGTCTTGTGTGAATCCAAAGCCTAGCTCTTTTCTCTTTATCACCCACCTACATCTTGCCTTCATTAAAGGAAAAGTGTATCCACTTAAAACTATCTTCACTCCCTCTCTCCATACCAATTAAAACTAAAAACACCAAAATACACTGGAAATAAAAAAGGAAAAAAGCTGTTGAACCCACAGTATGTGGGAACAGCAATTAATTGTCATGTAGCGATAAGCTAACATTAATATTCTTCAAAGAAAGCAACTTAAAGCAGAGTCATTGAAAAGACAAAAGGATTTTCAACCCCTATTTATGTTTAATACAGTATATTTAGTGGAAAAGCATGTAAGACACAGAGGTTAAAAACTATTAGAAAGGGTTAAGAAGTTCAATACTGAGTCATAAAGTAAACTAAAAGTTAAAGTTCAAACTTCATAAAATTAATATGAAATGCCTTTAGCTAACATAAGATCATGTAACCAAAAACGTCACATAACAAATAACATCAGTCAATATAATGAGAAGACGAATCCTACTAAAACTGTTCTTTATGTTGCCCAGTCCAAGTAATTGTTTTTCTACCTAACTGATTTGTGTTGATACTGATCACTACATCCCAGTAAGTATACATTAATCTTATTAATTTAATATTTATGACTTGAGTGACTGCTATCCATCTAGAACACAGATTAAAAGAAAGAACTATACCTTCCATATCTATCCAGCGCATTTAAATTCGCTTTTTTCTTGATTAAAAATTTCACCACTTGCTGTTTTTGCTCATGTACACCAAGTAGCAGTGGTGTGAGGCCATGCTGTAAAACAATATAAAGCAAAAACCTATGTAATTCAAAAAAGTACATATTCCTCAACCGAAGTGGAAACTTTATATAAGATCTTATGGACTTACACGCATAGAAGTAAATAAAATGTAGTCGCTTCCTTCTCACTCTTCTGTGCTTTCCCACACGCTGCTCCTTCCCTTGGAAACACCCCTTCTCTGCCTCACCACAGTACCTCTAATCATCTCAAAAACTCACTTTAAACATTTACTGCTTCCAAGGCTCTTTGCTTCTAAACCAGCATTTGGCATGGTGTTATTGGATGATAATATTTTTCCCATCTAAACAAAAAGCTTCTTGAGGGCAGGGGCTGTATCTTTTGTCTCTATATCCTCAACCCTAAGACAAATTGTGTATAAAGCAAGAATCTGCATGTAAAATATTTCTTTAGTTTCATGTTTTACCAAAAGTTCAACCTCCAACATGCAACAAAAATTGCTGTTAAAACTCATACTGCCCATTTGAAAAAATTTTCCAACATTTATTTATTTAAAATCTATTTGTATTTAATTTTCCCAGATTGTTAACTAAACCATCAGTTCATAGGACTACTGAAACTAAATTAACAGAATTCCTATCTGTATTCTTAATAACTCCATGGTTTTTAGTGTTTAAAACTGCCATGCTGATTATGCCAAAGCTCTACATACTTAAGAGACACACTGGATAGTCCATAATACAGCGTCAATTGACAAAAAATGGTTTAGAATTTGCTACAATTCTAATTGAGAAAACTCTGCTCTTAACGACTTACTGACCTAAGTACTTGAATGACTGAACAAAGAGACACAAAATCCTGAGAGGGCCATACTCACAGCAAATTTCTAAAGACCTTCTGAATGGCAGTGAATAACTGATGGTAGAAAGGAAAAGGTATTATTCTGTAAGCTGATACATACTACCAATAATATTCATTTTAAGGTCTCAACCACAGAGATAAAAGTCAGACTAGGTCAGGAATGGTGGCTCACACCTGTAATCCTAGCATTTGGGGAGGCTGAGGTGGGTGAATCGCTTGAGCCCAGGAGTTCAAGACCAGCCTGAGAAACATGGCAAAAACCTCATCTCTACTGAAAAATAAAAAAAAATAAAAAAAATAAAATAAAATAAAAAAAACTGAGGTTGGAGGACCATCTGAGCTTGGAGAGGTCGAGGCTGCAGTGAGCTGTGATCACACCACTGCATTCCAGCCTGGGAAACAGAGTGAGACCCCATCTCAAAAAAAAAAAAAAAAAAAAAAAAAGTCAGATTAATGTTATTGGAAAGATTTAAAGAAATCAGCACATATCCAACCCCAACTCTTCTAGAGATACCTTAAGTTTCTGAGACATAAGAATTTACATATTACATTTATGTATTGAGTGGTTCTTAAGCAGGAGTGTATCCAGATTTTGAGAAAATTGTTGTTGTTGTCGTCGTCGTTGTTGTTGTTGTTGTTGTTAGAGACAGGGTCTCATTATGTTGACCAGGCTAGACTCGAACTCCTGAGCTCAAGCAATCCTCCCACCTCAGCCTCCCTAGCAGCTGGGACTACAGCCATGCACCACCATGCCTGGCTTCAAGGAAACATTTTCAAATATACATATCCAGGCTTTATTAGACTTACTGTATCAAAATATTCAGAAAAAGCCTAGACTTGTTGATTATTTAAACATTTTCCTCAGGTTACTGGGATGCACAATTCTAGCTGAAAGCTAGTGCAACAGACAATTACTTCAGTCTCATTTCTCACCCATATGACCAGTTCCCTTTCTCATTTGAAGATTTGGCCAAAAAGAGTAAGGAGTAGGAGAGAGACCCATTTGCTGAAAACACCACATGATTTTCCCCGGTAAGAGAAGAACAGGGTCTAGTCAACTCAAAATCCAACTTGATCTTGTTACTTATTTATCTTCCACCTTCCCATCCAGACACTCTAGATTTGAAAGCAGAGCTGAGACTCTAATTGGCCATTTCTACCAGAATAGGATACTAAGTCAGTTAATTACTTGATATTCCCTCTGCTCAAGGGTTTCCCCTTACATTACCACCTATTCACTGCCAATCTGGTTCCTCAGAGGCCTCCTAAAATTGATCTCTATTCAGTTTACAACCCACTAACTCCCTCTCCCAAACTGAAAACTGTCATTCTCTAAAATTGAAGAGAACCTTGTCTCAACATACAAAGGGAACAAATCAATCAACAACGACAACACACACACACACACAACCTCTTCATGGTCTTTTCCCTCTATTACCTAATTTCCAAATTGGCCTTGATATTTCTGATTGCTCTCTTTTCCGCTTTCCACTTCTGCCTCATGAGCAATCAGAAATATCTTAAGCCTTGCCACTGACAGGCGCATCACCTTCGTATCTATTACTGTTTCTTAGGAACTTGCCAAAGGGGCAGGATCTCTATTCATTGAAACATATTTAAGTTTTCTTGGAGTTTTCATGTAAAACCTATTTCAGGGCAAATTTTGCCATTTTACATTCATTAGGGGAAAAAAATCCTAGGAGGGAAAAATTGAAAAATAGTAAGTATTACCTTCTACAAATTCAGTGCTTTCAAAAAAATTATTTACCACAAGCGCATTAAAAAAAAAACTGTACCCTCTAATGCTTCTTTGAAAGTAACAATATTTAAAATGAAGTCTTAGATAATTAGGTCATTTCAAAATATTTTCATTCAGGTTATGCTTGAGCTTCCAAATATGGAAGACTGGCCCTTACACAGGTCAATGTTAAAATGAATGCATTTCAGTATTTGAAGATAAAATTGGTAGATCTATACCTTGTTTTTTGATTCGATATCAGCACCGTATAAGAGCAGTGCTTTGGCCATTAATTTATCTTCATTGTAGATAGCGTAGTGTAGAGTGGTATTTCCATACTCATCTGGAATGTTTGGATCAGTGCCATGTTCCAGCAACATTAACGCACATTCATCTTCCTGGCATTGTACGGCCTGTCAGTATTAGACCAAAAACAAATTACAAATCCTAGGAATTCAAAATAACATTCCACAGCTTTCACCACCTAAGTTATATTTAAAGGAGAAAACTCATTTTTATGCTATGTATTGAAATCAAACCCACCTCATGCTGATATAGTTGGCTACTGCATACCTTTGTCAGAGCTGTCCTCTTTTTGTTGTCAAGGACATTAAGTTGACATCGTCTGTCCAGCAGGAGTTTTACTACTCCTGAATTCCCATTGGCAGAGGCCAGATGTAGAGCAGTCCTATGAGAGTGACAAGACTTTTTAGGAAATTGTAGTGCACTAGCTACAGCCATAGCAATGATTCATGTAATTGCAAACACTGAATAGCCTGCTATTACTCTGCCTTCAAAACAAACATTTAACTTTCCCATGAAAAAAGCACACTATTTATTATCTCTCTTTACTCGCTGTATTAATGAAAGAGCATCCTATATGAATACAAAGAGCATAGCCCTTGGATGACATTCAACTTGAGCTGGAATCCTACTTGAAGCTCTGTCACTTCCTGGCTGTTGCTTAGCCTTTTGGGGTCTCAGTTTCCTCATCAATAAAATAGGAATGAAAATAGTAGCTTTCTTACGGGAAACCACTGTAATGCTTAAATGAGACTCTGCACAAAAGATATAGAATAGTTCCTAACACAAATAACAGCTCAATAATTGTTAGATATTTTAATTTTTACTAATACCACTAAAGACAACATTTGAATTGAGATGATACAATTATACCTGCACTTTCAGGTGTGTTTTAAATATTACAGCTAACATTGTATTTTAGTGATTCTGAGATGATCATTGTCTCCATGTTGTCTCCACTGAAATACCACTTACAATTCATGATTTACTATAATTTGCGGCATTTAAATAATTCTCTTATTGAGGCATAAAATAATGGGGCATCATACAATCCCTGGTGTCTTACATTAAGTAGAATATGTTACAACAGGTCTGGGGCGGTTCCAGTCAGATGACCAGCATTTAGATAAATTTTAGTTCCTAAAAGAACTATGGAATAAGAGAGCAGAGGTGAAAACAAAAACAAATTTCTAAAATAAACCAATTCTTACTTTGGTTTTCAATAAACTTTAAGTCAAAGAAAACTTGGAATTCAAATGAATAGCATGGGCTCATTTTTGTCAACACTTAGATTTATACAATGTATGTACATCAGATATTTCCAATCATTCATATTAGGATTTAAGACTGTTATAAATTTTCTTGTTTTAAAATGGATTTATGAAACTATTTGTGGAGCTTTTTTCAACTTTTACATTCAGGGATACATGTGCTGGATGTGCAGGTTTGTTACATAGGTAAATGTGCACCAAGGGTGTTGGTTGTACAGATTATTTCATTACCCAGGTGTTAAGCCCAGTACCTGTTCATTCTATTTCCTGCTTCTTTCCCTCTTCCCACCCTCCACCCTCTGATAGGCCCCAGTGTGTGTTCCTTCCCTCTAGGTATCTGTGTGTTCTCATCATTTAGCTCCCACCTGTAATTGAGAACGTGCTGTATTTGGTTTTCTCTTCCTATGTTAGTTTGCTAAGGATAATGGCTTTCAACACCATCCATGTCCCTGCAAAGGACATGCTCTCGTTCCTTCTTTTATGGCTGCATATTATTCCATGCTGTTTATGTACCACATTTTAGTTCTTAAAACAACTAAAACAGTCTTTTCCCCAAGACATAAATTTTCAAAAGGGCAGTTAAAGGTTATCTATTACTATTTTCTACCTCCAGAAATGCTTTTGTTTGAAAGGAGGGAGGAAAAGCTTCAATTGAGATTAAGTCCTAATGCCCCAATTTTAAATCTCTCAGCTTGCTCAAGCCCAGCAGGAAAACATGTAGTTTTCAAAGACGGAAGGATCCTGAGAGATAGTAGAATATGCCTGCCACATAATAGGTGTCTGGCTTATGTCTGATGACTAAATGGATAGGAAAAATGGATGAACACAGCTTGGGAGTTCAATATTTTTAAAGAAAACTCCTATAGAGTAGCGCAATACATTTGCAATAGCAATAATCATTTATATTTGCTATTTTAATTTTCATAAATATATAACTCAACTAAAATGATTAATTCATACTTTTTACATGTTAATCTATATATAATGAAAAGATAATTATGGAATAAAATGTATATATAATAAAATCTACAGGAACAGGTAAACACGACCCCTCTTCTTCTGAAGAGGGTAAAAGTTCACAGAAAATAGCCAACCACAGAAATAAAAATAAATAATAGAATGTGAGGAATTATTTGCATCTATGCAAGAAGCATATTCCTTCTCTTCCCAAGGATTATTGCATTAGTAATGAACCTTAACTACAACTTCAGATGTTCATTGCAGAAATCACAGATAAGAGAAAGGGAAAAACTTCACTTACAAATCCCCAGAAACAAGTTTGATTATATTTTCTACAGATTTGCAGCTAACACGAGCAGATTCTGTTCGTGTATATGTGTAACAAACTGATTTTTTTCTCACTTGATATAGCAAAGTACATCTTTGCACGTCGACATATCTCTGTATCTACTGACACCCTCAATAGTTACATATTATTCCATCCTATGGATGCACTGAAATTTGTTCATAAAATCTTTATATGGGTTCTTCTAAATACACTGCTATTTTAAGCAATACTAAGAAAAACACATCTATTTCGTAAAGATATTTCAGTATAATGGAATTGATAAGTAAAAAGCATACACATTTTTAAAATGTAGTTCTTACCACTAAAGTGTCTGTTTGAAAAGCTGCAGCAACTTAAACTTTAAACAACTACATAAGTACCACTGTTCTTCATCCTCACAAACTTTGTGGATGGAAAACAGTATTTCATTCCTTTTTTTTTTTTTTTCTTTTTTTTTTGAGATGGAGTCTCACTCTATCACCCAGGCTGGAATGTAGTGGCGCGATCTCGGCTCACTGCAACCTCCACCTCCCTGGTTCAAGCAATTCTCTTGCTTCAGCCTCCTGAGTAGCTGGGATTACAGGTGCGTGCCACCATGCCCAGCTAATTTTTTGTATTTTTAGTAGAGATGGGATTTCACCACACTGGCCAGGCTGGTCTCAAACTCCTGACTTCATGATCCACCGCCTCAGCCTCCTAAAGTGCTGGGATAACAGGCGTAAGCCACTGCACCCGGCCTTTCATTCCTCTTCTAACTTAAATAGAAAGCAGTATTTCATTCCTCTTCTAACTTAAATTCCTTCTTCTACCAGGAACACTGTATTTTCCTATGTGCATAGGTCACTGGTAGATATGCAAAAAAAGTACTTTGCCCAATTTTAAAATGAGCTTATTTTATTATGTCTGCATATATACACCAGGCACGGTGGCTCACGCCTGTAACCCCAGCACTTGGGGAGGCCAAGGTGGGTGGATCACGAGGACAGGAGTTCAAGACCTGCCTGGCCAAGATGGTGAAACCCCATCTCTAGTAAAAATACAAAACAATTAGCCAGGCATGGTGGCAGGCGCCTGTAATCCCAGCTACTCAGTAGGCTGAAGCAGAGAATTGCTTGAACCTAGGAGGCAGAGGTTGCAGTGAGCCGAGATCACACCACTGCACTCCAGCTTGGGCTACAGAGTGAGACTCCACCAAAAAAAAAAGGATATATATATATATATATATATATATATATATATATATATATATACACACACACACACACACACATATATATGTATATATATACACACACATATATATGTATATATACATATGTATATATATGTATATATGTGTATATATATGTATATATATATATATCTGCGTATATAAATAGGCATTTATATTTTTTCTGGTATGTTTCTCCTTTTGTATGTTTAAAATTTTTAATCTATACTCTTATTTTTGTGACATAAAAATCTAGCTAGTTTTCTCCAAAAATGAATTATGAACAATCCATCTTTTTTAAATAATACAAAACATCACCATTATCAAGTGCTAAATTCTTACATATATTTGGGTATTTCTAAATTTCCTATTCTGTTCTATTCATTGATGTCTTTTCAGCTGTTAGTAAACAATTTGTGGAAATAAATAACACATGCACATTTTGATATCTGGAAAAGCAAGCCTTTTTCCATTCTGTTACAAAAAATTAATTTATCACAATAATAAAAGACAGCATGTGTAATTTAAAAACGCTAAAACTTTGCTATTTTTATTTGGCTTATGTAAAAGTGATAAATAGAAAAAGCTCACATCTTTTTTTTTTTTTTTTTTTTTGAGACGGAATCTCGCTCTGTCTCCCAGGCTGGAGTGCGGTGGCACTATCTTGGCTCACTGCAAGCTCCGCCTCCCGAGTTCACGCCATTCTCCTGCCTCAGCCTCCTGAGTAGCTGGGACTACAGGCACCTGCCACCGTGCCCGGCTAATTTTTTTTATAATTTTTAGTAGAGACAGGGTTTCACCGTGTTAGCCAGGATGGTCTCGATCTCCTGACCTCGTGATCCGCCCGCCTCCCCAAAGTGCTGGGATTACAGGCATGAGCCACCGCGCCCAGCCAAAAAGCTCACATCTTAAGAAAATTCAATCTTCCTATTCAAGCACAGGAACCATCTTCCCATTTCAGTTTCCTTCTAAGGTTCCTCAGTAAAGAACGTATTTACATAGGGTACATTGATATAAAATCCATACTGGATTTTATTTGAAGAATATTTAGCCCTGAAGTTGATGTGTTATGGGGCTTCATTCTTAGTTCTCAATATACACTTTTCTATAATGTATAGAACATTGTTTTAAAATCTGTAGATTAAAAATAATCTGCTGCATTGACTTAATTAATTTTGCAAGTTAAATCACTTTAAAACAGTCTATTAGTGTTCTACGAGGGAAATTATAATTTGATTGGAAATCAGCTAAAGTTTTTTTTGTGTGTGTTGCTGTTCATAAAGGGGCCTGTGCCCTGACCTCTCTGAGGTTTCCACAACCAGGGTGCTGTGAGGCCTGCGGAGGTGAGAAAGCCAGGTCCCCCTCCTCCCCCGCCAGGAGGGTATGTCCCCATCATCCCCCGACCTCCCACCTCCTCCCAGCCCAGGCCTGGTTACCTCTTTTGCTTGTCCTGCTTGTTCACGTCAGTGTCCCTGAGCATGACGATCAGATCCTTTCTGGCGACTTTACCCCACCAGGCAGCTCTGTGGAGCTTGTCCAGATCTTCTCGACGGACGTGGTATCTCGGCTCCACGAAGGCGCTGTCGTCGTAGTCTCCCCAAGCACCCACGTTGCTCTTGCCGCTCCCCCTGCAGCAGGGGAAGCAGTGGCAGCACCACTTGCCCATCTTGCTCCTGAGCGTCTTCATAGCGGAGTCGTCGTGGTCTCCAGAAGTGCCCACGTTGCTCTTGCCACTCCCCCTGCAGCAGGGGAAGCAGTGGCAGCACCACTTGCCCATCTTGCTCCTGAGTGTCTTCATAGTGGAGTCGTCCTGGTCTCCAGAAGTGCCCACGTTGCTCTTGCCGCTCCCCCTGCAGCAGGGGAAGCAGTGGCGGCACCACTTGCCCATCTTGCTCCTGAGAACAAATGGCTTCTTCACAGAAGAGGCAGCCGGCATTGAATCAACCTCAGCTACCATCTGCTTTTAACAGCCTGGGGAGGCCGGTAGTAGCGAGCAGATCACGTCTACCAACCAGTTTCACCAACTAGCAGGTAACTCCGGGTTTCCAATCTGTTTGAAGAGAAAAGTCAATCCCAGCCAAAACCTGCCAACCCCAGCAGGTAAGCCCAACCCACCCCACCCAGGGAAAACCCACACCCACCCGGGGAAAGCCCACGCCCACCCGAGGAAGGGCCAACCCCCCCCCCCAAGAAAACACCCAGCCCACCCAAGGGAATGCCAAACCCAGCAGAGAAAAGGTCAAGCCTAGCAAGGGAACGCGAGAGAGGAAACGCCAATCCAAGGAGGAAACGTCAATCCAAGGAGGAACACCAGGCCAAGCGACCAACACCAAGCCAAGCAAAGAACGCAAAGCCAAGCCAAGCCGCTACAGGCCAGCCAAGCAGTTACCCGCGTGCAGCATGCGCGTGCAAGCCGTTACAGGCCAGCCAAGCCATTACGCGCGTGCGGCGTGCGCGTGCAAGCCGTTACAGGCCAGCCAAACCGCTATGCGCGTGTGGCGTGCGCGTGCAAGCCATTACAAGCCAGCCAAGCCGCTGCCGCGTGCGCGTGCGGCGTGCGCGTGCGGCGTGCAGCGTGTGCATCTCAGGTGGCGTCAGTGCATGTGGCACAGACAGTGGCCAATGCGTGCAACCGCGTGTTTAAATCTTGGCGCCACGAATGTCACCGACAGCCTTATGTTCCTGGCAAACTTCATGGGACTCAGCTGAGCTTTCAGGCCATTGAGAAGCCTCTGGTGAAAAAAAAGCCTCTTGAAGCAGGACTGGGGCTAAGCGGCTGGAACTTGAGGATGCTGACAGCCTCCTCTGAAGAAAGCCCCCAGGACACTCCTGGCGGTGCTGTTGTGCGTGGCAGCGTCTGCAGCTCGGAGCTGGGGCTGGAGGAGCTGGCTGCAAATGGCCTCAAAATCCCGGAGCACAAGATGCCCACTGAGCCCAGCGCCTGCCTGAGGTGCCTTTGACACCTGGTCCTCTTTGCTCTGCACCCAGAACACGAGGCCATCAGCGAGGGGGCATTTGGGGCCACAGGATCGCGGCCAGCTCCTGCCCCGGTGCCCCCTGCCCGGTGTCCAAGCCAGGGCCAACAGCTATAGGGCTTCTGGCCTGGGGGGCTCTGCTCCACTGGCATGCAATAGGGTCAAGGTGCAGACCGCTGTGTCCACGCCGGCAAGAGGGGGCTTGGAGGAGCAGTCACAGGACAGTACTCTCCCCTCCTGTGGATGACTCCTTCCTGCCCTTTCCTCTCTCTGCTAAAGCCTCCAACGTTCTCTGTCCCATCCATATGCTCCACTTATGCCCCTGCTTTTGCTTTGATTTTCTCATTAAAATAAATCTGCAGGCTGGCTGGGTGCAGTGGCTCATGCCTGTAATCCCAGCACTTTGGGAGACCGAGGCAGGTGGATCACCTGAGGTCGGGAGTTCGAGACCAGCCTGACCAACATGGAGAAACCTTGTCTCTACTAAAAATACAAAATTAGCCAGGCGTGGTGGTGCACGCCTGTAATCCCAGCTACTTGGGAGGCTGAGGCAGGAGAATCGCTTGATCCCGAGAGGCGGAGGTTGCGGTGAGCCAAGATACTGCCATTGCACTCCAGCCTGGGCAACAAGAGCAAAAGTCCATCTCATAAATAAATAAATAAATAAATAAATAAATAAATAAATAAATAAATAAAATAGATCTGCAGGCTGCCCCCTCACGGCAACGTGTCTTCCCTGCATTACTGCAGAAGGATGGCCACACCCCTGCCCTGGCGGACTAGACCTCTTAAGGACACCTCTGCCTTCCACCTCACTCCTGAATCACCCACTTCTTCCTCTCTAGTCAGTTGGACAAACGTGCTTTTTCCTGGCCCATCTTTAAAACATCCTCTTCATGCTTCGCTCTCCAGCTGCATCCCATTTCTCTGTTCCCCTGTAGAGCAAAATGGCTCCAAAGCGTGGTCTCGTCTTACCTTGAACACCCCTCCTCCCTCTCGCTATGTGAGCTACTCCAGTTCAGCTCTCCACCTCTGCACTACCCTGAACCTGCTCCTGCCGGCAGCAATGGCCTATGGAGAAGTGCAGCCCCCAGCTGTAAGACAGGGGGCCTCCCTCCCTGCTGCTCCTCAGCACCCCCTGCACGTGGCTTCCTGGACCACTCCTCTCCCGCTCCAAGGCCCCTCCTCCGCGCACATTTCGGGACTCCTGGCTGCCCAAGGCCGCTCTTCTGTTTTCTGTCCACACCTGCTCCCTGGGGTTGCATTTATTCCCGCAGCTCCAAATGCCACCTGCCTGCTCATCGCGCCCCGCCCAGGCCTCTCCCTCGCTAGGAGCGTCTCCTCCGTTTTTCCACTTGATGCTCATAGACACCACCTCTCGCCCTTCCTTCACAGTCAGCTCCAAACAAAACAGTCTCCGTTTCAGTTCATGGCTCCTCAGGACGGAAAACCCCGAGTCCTCCCCGTGTGCTCTTTCTCTCACACCCAGATCCAACCCAGCATTAATCCCTGCGACTCTTGCAAGCTTCCAGCCTCCACCGCCCTGACCTAGGCTCCGGGTCCCCTCGCAGCCGCCTCCACCCTGCGCCCTGCGGTTCATGCTCCACACAGGCTCAAAAGTCAGATCGCGCCTCCCTGGCTCCACCAGAGAGCAGGCCTGCGAGGCCTACAGCAGGGGCCAGCACTCCCTGCTCCTTCCTGGGCCCAGCGCACTCTTTGCAGGCATCCTGGCTCCCTCAGCAGAGGAGGTCTTGCCAGAGTGTCACTTTCTCTGTGAAACACTCCAAATGTCCCTTTATGCCCTCATTTTTTTACTCTCCATAGCATTTTTCTTCCTCTAATATACTATTTACTTATGTTGTTTATTTTCTTTCTTCTCCTACCAGAATGTACTGGCCATAAAGGCAGAACTTTTTTTCCTGCTTTGTTTACCTTTGTATCCCTGGTAGCACAGACGTATTTAATATTTAATTGTTGAGAGAATGAATGAATATGCTCCCCCTATTTACCTATCACTCTGCTGCCCTGCAACGGGCCCTCAGCTTCCTGCTAACAAAGATTCTCTGCTTGGCCAAAGGGTAGTCCAGCTCCCGAGCCTCCTCCTACGTCCATCTGTGCACGTCCTGGTAAAATCCAGTTTCACCAAGAACCTTGGTAAGTCAGTTTAGCAAGAAGCCCCTACCCTCAATACCTCATCGCCCTCCATATCTGATGAGGCTCCTCATCCTCCATCGTCCCCAAGGTGAAGTCTGACCACCATGGCCTGTCGTCAGCAAGAATCCTATTGGGCCAGATTAGCCAGAGTCCTTTAACTCTGAATCACCTTTTAGTCATTTTCCACCCACTGCCCCCAACCCTGCTCCTTGGTTATCAGCTCCCCCTCGCCCATGCTGTATTTGAGTTGAACCTGATCTATCTCGATCCACCTATACCTACCTCAATGGTCTGGAATAAAGTCCACCTGCCATGCTAGTAACGTTGAGTAATTTTTCTTTAACACTGCTCATGCTGACCTTATACCTGCTGACCTCAGCCCCTCTCTCCACCACTCTGTGTCCTCCACCCAGTTTTGCTGGCTCTTCCAAGCAGACAATGTCCTCCCTGCTTTCTGTTTCCACAGTCTTTCCTCCGCATCTCTTCTTGGACACTAATGATTGATGTGTTCATCTCCCCTCCCTTCCACACTAAGCTTAGCCCCACAGCCTCTTGTCTAAGACTAGCTGAAGTAGTGCTTGAAGAAACCAGCTCTGAGAGGTTAAACGGTCTGCCAAAACCAGTGAGGTCCCTACCTCTGTGCATTCACACCTGCCACCTCTGGAAAGAGACCTGGCACTGCACCCTGCTGAGGCTGCCCAGCTACCCTGAGCCCTCGCCCAATGCCACCAACAGTGAATCTGCATCAGAGACACTGGACTGAACCCTAGCTTTTGGCGATTTGCTAAGTTAGAGAAATCACGTGTTTAGCATTGAACCCAAGCAGCACCTGTCTTAGTCTGTTATATGCTGTTTATAGCAGAAAACGTGAAACTGGGTAATTGATAAAGAAAAGAAATTTTCATTTCTCTCCCAAGGTCGAGGGAGCACATCTGGTGAGGAACTTCTTGCTGGTGAGGACTCTGCAGAGTCCCAAGGCAGTGTAGGACAGTCCATGGCAAGGAGGTGGAGCATGCTGATGCTACCTCTTCTTCTTCTTCCTTTAAAGCCTTCAGTCCCATTGATATCATAATGCACTAATCCATTAACTCATGGTGGATGAGTCCATTCGTGAGAATGAAGCCCTCAGGACCCAATCGCCACTTAAAGAACCCAACTTCTCACACTGCCACACTGGGGATTCAGTTTCAGCAGGAGTTTCAGACAGGACAAACACTGCTATCATAGCCACCCCTCTTCTCATGCCACCCAGGCTGGGACCCCAGCCTACCCTGCAACTTAGCCACAGGGCACAAGCCCCAAGGCCTCCTACCCCCTGCCACATTCAGGAGTCCCACCCAGTCTTCCTGAAAGGCTCCCACTCTTCCTTCTTCTTTCCAGCCAGAATGGCCGTAAATCACACACCCCTCCTTCCTGTTCAAATCAGGTACCCCTCCTTCCGTCTCCCAGCATGTGACCTCTATCACACCTCACACTGGAGCTGGCAGAGGGAAGGTGCTTTCTTCTTAACTTAGTGAGCCAGGGCCTGAGCAGGCTCTCAGGAGTGCTGGTGACTGAATTAGGAGGGTGGGAGCGTGCAGCAATGTCAACAGAGGTGCACCTGCTGGAGAGATTTCAGGAAATCCCTAAGCAGCTATTGTTCATAAACAGTTGTGTGACAATAGTTATTTGCAGCTCAAACACAAAGTCAACAATTAATAAACTATGTGGCATGAGGGGATTGTTGTCTTTGTGAAAATAGGAAGCTTATTTTTTCATTTGTACACATTCATGGGGTACATGTGCAATTTTGTTACATGCATGGATTGCATAGTGGCCAAGTTGGGGCTTTTAGGATATCCGTCACCAGAATAATGTACATTGCACCCATTAACCAATTTCTCCTCCTCCTCCTCCCTGCCACCCCTTCACCCTTTGTCTCCATTGTCTCTCATCTTACTTTCAGCATACATATTTTTTAGCTCCCAATTATGAGTGAGCACATGCAATGTTTGTCTTTCTATGCCTGGCTTATTTCACTTAAGAACTTAAGATAATGGCTTCCATTTCCATCCAGGTTGCTGCAAAAGACATGATTTCGTTCTTTTTATGGCTGAATAGTTTACCATTGTGTATATATGGCACATTATCTTTATCCGTTTATCCAATGATGGACACCTTGGTCGATTCCTTATCTTTGCGATTGTGAAGCTTTGACTTATTAATGAAGTGGCTTGAAATTCACCCAGGAAATTGCTGAGGTCTTATCAGAACTGAGTCCTTTGCTGGGTCTGCAGTCATTTGGATCAAGCATGACCTTATTCCCAGCAGGGTGGGCATTCAGAACTGCAGAGCTCTACTCCACACAGCCCCTCTGGGTCCCTTATTGGACCTGGGCCTGAAGAAAAGAAAATCTGTCTCTGCATTTTATGCAAAAGTACGGTTATTACTGGTTTGTTTTGTTGTTGTTGTTTGTTTTTTGTTTGTTTGTTTGTTTTGACAGAGTTTTGCTCTTGTCGCCCCGGCTGGAGTGCAATGGCATGATCTCGGCTCACTGCAACCTCTGCCTCCCGGGTTCCAGCGATTCTCCTGCTTCAGCCTCCTGAGTAGGAGGGATTACAGGCATGTGCCACCACGCCCGGCTAATTTTGTATTTTTAGTAGAAACAGGGTTTCACCATGTTGGCCAGGCTGGTCTCCAACTCCTGACCTCAAGTGATCTGCCTGCCTTGGCCTCCCATAGTGCTGGGATTACAGGTGTGAGCCACTGCACTTGGCCCGATTATTACTTTTTATCTTAAAACCTTGAAATTATCCCTCAAAAAAGGCTGTTCATGTTATTAAGTTTTTTGGTTTTTGTTTTTTTTTTTGTTTTGTTTTTTTTTGAGACAGAGTCTCTCTCTGTTGTCCAGGCTGGAGTGCAGTGGCGCGATCTCGGCTCACTGCAAGCTCTGCCTCCTGGGTTCACGCCATTCTCCCGCCTCAGCCTCCCAAGCAGCTGGGACTACAAGCACCTGCCACCGCGCCCAGCTAATTTTTTGTATTGTTAGTAGAGACGGGGTTTCACCATGTTAGCCAAGATGGTCTCGATCTCCTGACCTCATGATCCGCCTGCCTCGGGCTCCCAAAGTGCTGGGATTACAGGCGTGAGCCACCACTCCTGGCCCATTTTATTAACTCTTAAATTGAGCTCAGTTCTCTATGTGAACTCAGTTGTCAATCATTAAAACTGGTAGGTTGGCTGTTTCAAGGCAAAATCTACTTCTTACTCCAAACTGGTTTCCTTTTCAAATTTAAACAGGGAGGAAGCCCCAGCCCAACTGGCTGGATCCCAGAGCTGCAGGTGACAACCCCCATGCACCCTCTGAGTCTCACTGTGAAATCCAGAACATTGGTGTGCAGTCTGGAGGGACTAGTGTTAAGCTCTTTATATATCAAGTGCTATCTATGAACAAATGAGGTTGATTCACAGAGTTTCATCAGCAGGGCATCATCCCCCAATAAAATACTAACTTTAAAGTTAATTCTTATTGTAGATCCATATAGAAGTGCTTCATATGGAAAATTACCTTTTAAGGGGCCCAAAAGACATGTGGCTATACCAAGAACAAAATGCAGGTTAGCAAAGCCCTGCATCAATGTTTATAATTAAGTGGTTCTTATTATATTGAGGCAAAATCCAGACTTTTGCTTCATCAAATTTTAGAATAAATCAGCTTTAACAAGTAGAATTAAATGAGATATAATCTAGTAAGAAGTTAGAAATTGAGAACAAAATCCAATAGAAAGGAAGATTGAGATATGAACTGAGGGGTTCATGGTGCTTACCGCTTGGGATTCTGAGGCAAAAACGCATCTCATCCCCAAATGGAATTTAGGCTGGATGGTCCAGGGTTCTGGAGCACTGTTGTTAATTCAGTTCCATCTAATACAGATTTGTGGGAACACAGCCTCATTTTTCAGACATCCTAAATATGAAAATATTCAGGAAGAAGATGTCATGATGTATGTAATTTACTTTAAAATTCTTCACTAAAAACAAAATAGCACATATGGCAAAACGAGTTTAATCTATGGGTGTGGCTAAGTCTCTGACAGGGCCCCAAAGAGTCCTTCCTGGCCTTCATGCCAATGTGCAACCTCCACCCTTAGAGTGGCCCTGGACTCACCTCTAACAGACAGCAGGTCACAAAAGGCGGGGACTCCCACTCTCTCACCCTCTCCCTCCTACCCTAGGGGAGGCCATATGTGCTGGTGCAGGGGAGAGGCCACCAGGCTGGAAGTGGAGGGTGTAGGGGCTGGGTGGAGGAAAGGGCAGGAAAGACCCTTCCAAGCCCAAATGCTTCTGGTCAAAGCACTCAGGCACTGCAGGGTCCTGGCTGTTTCCTGAATGCCACCCAGTTGAAAGGGAAGCTCCTGAGGGAGGGTGCTTCTCTGTGTCCCAGTCCTCAGGGCTCTGCAGCAGCACTGGCACTGCCATGGGAAGATAAAATGGTCTTGATGCCTGACCCAGCTCTGAGCCCAGAGGTGAGGACAGACTGATTCCCCTCCTTGAGCCTGCACTCCCAGGAGGGCCCCTGCACGCCAGGCCTGTCCTTCAGCACGTGACTGCCTGCCTCCCTGAAAGATCCAATCTCTCTCTTTTTTTTTTTTTTTTTTTTTTTGAGACAGAGTCTCACTCTGTCACCCAGGCTGGAGTGCAGTGGCACAATCTCAGCTCACTGCAACCTCCGCCTCCCAGATTCATGTGATTCATTGCTTTTGTTTGTTTGTTTGTTTCTTGAGACAGAGTCTCACTCTGTTACCCAGGCTGGAGTGCAGTGGCGCAATCTCAGCTCACTGCAACCCCGCCTCCCGGGTTCAAGTAATTCTCCTGCCTCAGCCTCCCAAGTAGCTGGGACTACAGGCGCCCACCACCATGCCTGGCTAATTTTTGTACTTTTTTTTTAGTAGAGACAGGGTTTCACCATGTTAGCCAAAATGGTCTCCATCTCCTGACTTCGTGATCCACCCGCCTCGGCCTCCCAAAGTGTTGGGATTACTGGTGTGAGCCACCGTGCCCGGCCCCCATCTCTCTCTTAAAGTGCATTATTTTCAGCTTCCATTTTTACTTCAGGGAATTTTTGCTTTCTGCACCATGTTTTGTTCAAGTACATCTTTTCTGGCAGGTATTTTGTATGATTTAGAGACTAAAAGCATTGCTAATTATGCTAAATAAAAATTGGTATAATTAATAAAGGTCCTTATCTGAGCATAGCATCATCTGGAAAATGAAGTTTGGTCCTGGAGCCCGACTGCTTGCGGAGGTGATGTTCTGTCCAGCATGGTCACTGCCTGGAGGCCAAAATGAGCATCTCAGACTGTGCTGGGCTTTCTGAAGGGCCACACAACAGTTCAGATTCACCATTTGATTTAAAGGAACATCAGCCGGACTCACGCCATTGCCTTTGAGGACTGTCTACAGGGTCCCCCCGTGAATGAAAATGTCTGTGTAAGGACCCTGCGTAAAAGATGCTCTCTGTAATTCTAGAAAGCCACCAGTACAAATGCACTCTAAATGCAGCAAAAATTACTAAATTACATAACACATAACAATCATGGAAAAACAAAAACCTGGTGTATCTGTCAGCTCGGGCTGCCCTAACCAAATGCCGCAGGCTGGGAGGCCTAACCCACAGAGACATTTCCTCTCACAGTTCTGGAGGCTGGAAGTCTGAAGTCAAGGCGTCACCAGATTTGGGTTCCCCGGAGTCCTCCTTTATCGGTATGTGGATAGCTACCATCTCACTGTGCTCTTCCAAAAGGTAGAAAAACCAAATATGCATCAACAGATGACAAACAGACAAAATGCGGTGGATGGGTGTTCGTGAAATATTATTCAGTCACAAAAGGAGTGAAGCTCTGATGTGCGCTACAGCACAGATGGACCTAAGACATTATGCTACGTGGCATAGGCCGGACGCAAAAGGAAAATACTGCATGATTCCCCTCACATGCAATCTCTAGATGAGGAAAATGTGTGGAGACAGAAAGCAGCCCCACCCAAGAAGCCAGGAGGGTGGAGAAAGGTGTTTCTCACTCCCCACAGGTGCCGGGGACAGCCCACTTGGACAGCCATCGCTTTAAAGTCCTCCTCAGAGAATCCCTTCACACCTAATTTGTTGCAGAGCATTTTCCTTCATGATGGATGTGCTGAGAACATTGACGGGGCCTCCAGTCCTGGCACGGGGTTCCGGTCCCACACACTCTATGAGCCAGAACATTCCTCTGGAGTTTTGACGGGTGGGTCGGCTCCAGCCTTATCTGTTCACAGCTGATAAGGAGAAAAGAGGCCCTTTCCTGGCAGGGACCCACCTCCTCCCTTCCAGTGCTCCCAGGCAACCCTTCCAGCTGGGCCTCTTGATGGCAAACAGGGCAGCGCCTCTGCAGTAAAATGCAAAACCCTTTTATAAGACCTTTGAGTCAATGCGGCAACCTGGGACCGCTTTGTGTGGAGAGCAAGTGACAGTTTGGCGAAAATAGGTCATCAGAAGCTTTATTGCCTGGCCATCAGCCCTTCTCCTCAGAGCCGACTGCAGAGCTTAAGCAAACAGCTTAAGCACGTCGCACTGCTATTTCTTGCTTCTCAGTTCTGTCTTGCTGGCAAGACATTTTTTTTTCCTAGTTTCCACTTATAAAGTGCAGATTTTCAAAATCTTACTCTACATATGAAATGTCATGATGTATTGGAGTTTTTAAAACTTCAAGAAAAAAGTTAGGGAGGAAACAAATGAAATAAAATTGGCAAAGGCTGATACTTAATTGTTGAACCTGGGTTTATTGGCTCATTCTACCAGCCTTTGTGTATGTTTGGAAATGTCCACTAAGGTAAAATTTAATAAATAAACTGTGGGGGAAAGTTAGATTTTAGAGGCTGCTTTTAAAGCTTTACTATTGTCAGAGAGGTTTGGTTTCAATATCACTCTGTAAAATGAACAGTTTTAAAACTTATTTATACAAAAAATACAATCATCTAGCTTATATACATCTTCATTTTAGTATACAAACAATTTAGCTCATGCAAAAGATTCTATTAACTTAAAGTCATAAAATGTACTTACTTTTACATATAATTAAATGATGCAATTAACCAGTAGTAACCACTGAGTTTAAAAGTGTATTTTTCGGCCGGGCGCAGTGGCTCATGCCAGTAATCCCAGCACTTTGGGAGGCCGAGGCGGGTGGATCACGAGGTCAGGAGATCAAGACCATCCTGGCTAACACGGTGAAACCCCGTCTCTACTAAAAATACAAAAAAATTAGCCAGGCATGGTGGTGGGCGCCTGTAGTCCCAGCTACTCGGGAGGCTGAGGCAGGAGAATGGTGTGAATCCGGGAGGCGGAGGTTGCAGTGAGCCGAGATTGCACCACTGCACTCCAGCCTGGGCCACAGAGCTAGACTCCGTCTCAAAAAAATAAAGTGTGTTTTTCACCGGACACGGTGGGTTTGTGCCTGTAATCCCAGCACTTTGGGAGGCAGAGGCAGGAGGATCGCTTAAGGCCAGAAGTTAGAGGACAGCCTGGGAAACATAGCAAGATCCCTATCTCTACAAAATAAAAAAAAAATTAGCTGGGCATAGGGGCGCGAGCCTGTAGTCCTAGCCACTCAGAGGCTGGGGTAGGAGGATCACTTAAGCCCAGAAGTTCGAGGATGTGGTGAGCTATGATCGCCCACTGCACTCCAGCCTGGCTGACAGAGTGACACTTTGCCTCTAAAAAACAAAATTAACAAGGTGTTTGTCTCATGACTTACAGCACTTACAGATGCTTGATGAAGTCCTGGGGCACCTTCCTCCATGTGCTCTGCCCACTCGGGTCTGCTGGCCTTGACCTGGTCCTTGCAGCCCACAGGACCCATTGCTGGGAGGCCCCCCAGGGTAGCCCGGTCCTCCAATTTCCTATTGCTTTATTTAACAGCCTCTTTAATAAACCTCACACGTAAAGATGTAAGAAATTAAATCACCATTAAAGACTATTTCAGCCTTGGAGGAAGAATACTATTTTTAGAAATGAGTTTTTATATTAAAATCACAGAACAATTTGCAACACTGGGTTGCAAAGTGTCTTCTTTAGTGCTGATAAAAGGGGCTCAGTCCCTATTCTGGTAGTTAGAAAAGCAGATTTAGAAGGTGCTAGAAAATACCCCAAATCACTCCTTCCTTGGGTTCCGTTTGGATTCAGCAGGCTCCTCTGGCGATGGGCGGGCGCCGCAGTTGCGCCTGTGCTCCCAAGGGCTCGCCTTAAATACCTGTGGGTATCTCCTCATCATATCGGTGCCATTCATGTTTCTCAGAGATCTAACTGCCAAAGGACTTAAACTCTCTAAGCCTCCCTTTCTCTCTTTTCACGTGGGGGATAATAATAGTGCCTACCCTAGAGGGTCCTATAGTAAATGGGGGCAGTGCCCCTCCCCCACTTGCTGGGCACAGAGAAGAGGCTCCATCTGCAGAGTAAGGGGGCCTCTCTTAAAGCAGGGGTGACGTGCTTTCCCTTATCCTCGTGTTCCCCACTCAGGGCGGCTGGGACCCCAGGCTGTTGCCTGTGCCCCACACAGGAGCTCCCTCTCCCACAGGGCCCCTCACCATCTCCCAGTACAAGTAGTATGCAGTAGAAAATCTCCACCTTCCTGTGAAAGCTTTTTGTTCATGTTGGGATTTTTTTTTTTTTCCAGTGAGAAAATGGCTCGTCACCTTGGATACCAATGTTTTACATCAGGGATTGGTCACTCCTGCTGCTGTCAGCACTGTAAACACTGCTGGGGGGAGTCAGCCCAAGTCCCCACCCCCCAGCCAGGTCTCATAGAGGGAATTGTTCTTCAGGCTCGGAGGGGCCTGCCTGTCACTGCGCCCCCGACCCTAGCTCAGGGACTGCAGAACTCAAGATACCATCCCGTTTCTCCTGGCTGAGGAAGGGAAGGGAACATCCACATCTTCTGTACTCGTCCATTCTGTGTCCCCGGGGCCTGGAGTAAAGACACCTTCAAATGCAGAGACTCTTCAGATTCAGCTTTCCTGGAAACTGATCTTCAATGCACTAAGAGAAGGAGACTCTCAAACCAAAAATGACCTGGAGGCACCATGTCAGGTAAGGACAGAGGTCATGAGATCTTAGAGCCAAGAAGGGGTCTTAAGAGCCTCAGAATAAATCGTAGTGCATGAGCCACTGTTCATTAAAGGAGGTGTACACTTTCTGTCTCAAAATCTTTCTAAGCCATAGCAAAATTAACAAAAACCTACAAGTTACAAAATGATTGCCTTATTCATTATAATTATTTTACATAATTTTATATTTATATATAATGATGGCATTGTATTTTTATGTGTATGTGAATTTCTGCTTATACTTCTAAAGATACTTTCAACTTCAATGATTTTCTTTAAATATTCTAGGCTTCTGTTTACGGTCAGTTTGGCATTACAGATCATCAATTTGGGAAACAGTAAGAAACATTTTATTCATAATTTCAGTTTTAATTGCATAAAATATTTGTTTCTCAATCATTATCAGTCTCACATTTTCAATATTTTTTAAAGGCTATCAAAGAGAGAAACATAACGGCGGTAGAGAGGAAGTCACCAAGGTTGCCACTCAGAAGCACCGACAGTCACCGCTCAACTGGACCTCCAGTCATTTCGGAGAGGTGACTGGGAGCGCCGAGGGCTGGGGGCCGGAGGAGCCGCTCCCATACTCCTGGGCTTTCGGAGAGGGTAAGTTGCAGCGCTGCCCACAAAATCCGGGGCGTCATCTCAGTCTGCGGACTCAGAGTTTAGGACCTGAGAATATGTAGGATAAATTCAGGATAAAATCCAAGGAGAGCATTTTGTTATCTTCAAATGATGATGCACTTACAAAGCTATAAAGCTAGAGACAGTTCCTAGTGAGGTGTTAAAAAGTTTTACTCTTTCATTGGTAAAACGTTGTATTTGCTCTTCAATGGTTATTTTGCTGCAGATCTAGAGAACTGTGATTTAAATGTGTTGAAAATAAATATCCCAAGCCAAGATAACAGCGGACTCTTGCTTGGCTTCTCCCAGACACCGCGTCCCCAGGAGGCCCCTCGCCGGTGGGTTTGGCGTCATCACACCCGTGGGTGGTCCCGCCCAGGAGGCCTGTGCTTAATCACTGTCAGGTGAAGCCACAGCCAGAGGTTAACATGTGAAAGGAAGGGAGAGAGCAAGCCCGGCTTGCAGGCCGCACCCCTGATAGTTTGTTTCACATCCCTAACAAGCAGGGTTTACCTGAGCAAACACACTTGGCTGGAGGCTGATTTTACTGCCTCCCCTGGGCGGCCACGTTCGGCCCCGTCCCTGCGGGGAGGGCCACGGGCCGCGGGGGGCGCGGGGCTGACGCCCGGGTGACCCCGCAGGTGCGTCCGCGCGGCCGCGCTGCTGCAGGAACGGCGGTACCTGCGTGCTGGGCAGCTTCTGCGTGTGCCCGGCCCACTTCACCGGCCGCTACTGCGAGCATGACCAGAGGCGCAGGTGGGCACAGGGGTGCGCGGGGTGGGGACGGGGGTGGGCGCCGGGTGAGGGACCTGCGGGTCTGGGGGCGCGGGAGTAGGCGTCAGGAGAGGGGCGCGCGGGTGCGGGGGCGCGGGAGTGGGCGCCGGGCGATGGGCGCGCGGGTTGGGGGGCGCGGGAGTTGGCGCCGGGGGAGGGATGCGCGGGTGGGGGAGCGGCGCAGGAGTGGGCGCCGGGCGAGGGGCGCGCGGGCCACCGCATTGATGCAGGTCCCCGTCTTCTCAGTGAATGCGGCGCCCTGGAGCACGGAGCCTGGACCCTCCGCGCCTGCCACCTCTGCAGGTGCATCTTCGGGGCCCTGCACTGCCTCCCCCTCCAGACGCCTGACCGCTGTGGTAAGAGGCCCTGTGATTCGGTCCCCAGCTCACCCCCGCACGCGGTTGCGCCTTCATTGCGGCTCACCCTCCATACCGATCCACAGTGCATCTTCCAGTGCCAGGCCACATAGCATTTAGCAAAGTAGATCGATTCATCATTGAAGAAAGTCGCATTCATTGGGAATCATATAGTGAATTAAATTTTGTTTTGAAGTTCTCATATCCAGATTGCTGAGTTTAAAAATGATTTCCAAACCATGTCCTCACATGTCCGTTTCAGTGAGCAGAATTTCAGGAGATGACCAGCTGGTAATCGGAGAGGAAGCTGGGAGACAAGTTAGCTGCGTAAATCTCAGGTGGTTTCCCTGCACTAGGCCAGCACCATCTGCTCAGCTGTGGGACCAGCAGGGACACAGGCAGGAGCCGCATTTCCCTCTGGAATCCTGTGCCTTCTCTCCTCTCCTCTTTGGTGATCACTGGCTGGGGCTAGCAATGGAGGGCACAGCTAGTGAAGGCCCAGCCTCTTGGCCCCAGCCCGAGCTCTGCCCTCTCCCAGGCCTGGGTGGGCTGGTGGTGCAGTGTCCAGAGGCACACCTGATGAAGCCAAGGCCCCTGATCCACTCTCCTGCCCCCTCCCTCCACTTCAGTCAGCCCTGGGCACCTCCATCTGTCAAAGAGCACAGCCCCGCAACCCCACTTCCCACCTGTCGCTCTCAGGCCGTCCTGCTAGGGCTGCATGGAGGGCAGCACCAGTGGCCCAAAGATCTTCAACCCGGCTCCCCCAGCCTCCCTCTTGCTCTTGGAGGCCCACAATGGAGGAGTACACAATGCATGCTTAGCTCTCCTTCACCTTCCTGTCCTCTCTTCTCTCCCTGGTAGGACCAGCAGTCAAGGGACACTCTTAATAGAGGCACAGCCCCCAACCCCACTTCCCACCCTGCTCCCTTCTCCTCAGCTAGCTCTGCATGGTGCCAGCAGGGAAGAGCACTCCCCCCCTGCCGTGCAGACCACATTTTCCCAAAGCACCCCCTCTTCTATGTGTGCTCCTTTTGCTGGGCCTCTGCCTCTGAAGTCACCAGCTGCTCCTCTATGCCCTAGAGACAGGAGGACACAGATTTCATGGACAGGCATCAGAATCACAGGGGGTGCTTGTGTGGTCCTCACAGATGAAGTCAGTTCCCACCTGCCATTAGGCCGCCCCAGCAGGAATGTGGGGAAGGGACTAGCTGTCATGACTTCCAGGATATCTGGTCATGATTTTACATTCTTGGAAACATCCAGTGCTGGGACTGCTATTTGCCAAGGACAATGATAATGGCTCTGAAAATGTGGCCTCTGTTCATCAAAGCTAGACAAAATAGTGCAGTCATCCTTCAGAGTCATCTGTCAGGTGCAGAGAGGGCAGTAACACCTTTGTGTTCTTTTACCCATTCATCCTGCTTCAAGGCAAGTTACAGTGATGCTGGTGATGGCTGTGCTGATGGTGGTTATGATGACTTGAAGTTTGACAACAGTGATGATAGATGGAACATCCTCCGTGGCAGGTGCCATTGCAATAGGGCAAGCTCTTCTGGGTGTTACAGCATGAGAGGAGCCCTCAGTGTATTTCAGGCACTTTATATACCCATTATCCCATTTAACTCTTATGAAAGCCAATGAAGTAGGTACACCTTTTACATTTGGGGAAGCTGAGACACAGAGAGATCAACTCCTACAGATAGTAAACAGGGTCTGATTCTTTACCTTGTGCCATTCCTGTAGTCTTTTTTTTTTTTTGAGATGGAGTCTCACTCTGTCGCCCGGGCTGGGGTGCAGTGGCGCAGTCTCGGCTCACTGCAAGCTCCACCTCCAGGGTTCATGCCATTCTCCTGCCTCAGCTTCCTGAGTAGCTGGGACTACAGGCACCTGCCACCACGCCCAGCTAACTTTTTTTATTTTTTATTTTTAGTAGAGACGGGGTTTAACCATGTTAGCCAGGATGGTCTCGATCTCCTGACCTTGTGATCCGCCCACCTCAGCCTCCCAAAGTGCTGGGATTACAGGCGTGAGCCACCGTGCCCGGCCCATTCTTGTACTCTTTCTATAAGAGTAATTATCAATATGACTGGGTACAGTGGCTCATGCCTATAATCCCAGCACTCTAGGAGGCTTAGGTGGGAAGATTGCTTGAGGCCAGGAGTTCGAGAACAGCCTGGGCAATATAGCAAGACCTGTCTCTACAAAAAATTAGCCAGGTGTGGTGACGAGCACCTCTGGTCCCAACTACTTGGGAGGCTGAGAGGCAAAAGGATCACTTGAGCCTAGGAGTGTGAGGTTACAGTGAGCTATGATTGCACCACTGCACTCCAACCTGGGTGACAGAGCGAGACCCTGTCTCTTAAAAAGAAAAGAAAGAATAAATATGAAACAAATGAAGATTTTTTTATAGTGTTGTATAGAATATAGAAAATTTGGTCATGTTCCAAAGCCAACAGCACAGTAATAGATAAGTAAATGTTTTAAATCCTTTAATGGGAGATTATGATGGTTTTGAAGAGTATGTGGAAGATAGAATATGTTGCTACAAAAGCATGGCTGCTGCAGGGACTCTCTGTCTGGGGATCACCAAGAGCCCTCCTTGCTCTGACTGATGCTCTGCGGGTCCAAGAATGAAAAGCTTCCATGTAGCAGGGACTTTTGCGCAGTCCTGAGCTAGCCAGGATCTCCTTGTTAGTCTAAGGGGGTGGTTCTTTCTACTGTGGCCCTAAAGCATCAAGTATCAGTTTTCACAAGCATCAAGAGACAGTTTACTACTCTAAAATTCAGAGTCTGTGGAATGACACAGTGATGTAGCCAACTCAGGTGTCTTCAGAGATGGGCAGGTAACACGGAAGTGAGATGGGGCCCGGTGAAGACTCACCTCACTGCTGCAAACTCATTTTTAAACATGCCATTCTGGCAAAAACCCACCAACCAACCAACAAGCAAACAAACATCCGTGGGCCAGACCCAGTCTACAGACCTCTGGGATGCCATTGGAATGGCTCTCACAGGTCCTGGCACCAGCTGACTCTGAGCCTGTAAGCATACACCCTGTGTCCAGCCCTCCTGTTTCCTTCCCTCAGGGGAAGGCCAGCACGGACCCAGTACTGCTGACCCCTTTCTCACCTGAATAGCTTCACATGCTGTGAGCGCCTGTCTTAGCACCAGCTTCTCTGGAGCCTCGTCTGAGCCTAGACGTTAGCATTCCTGTTTGGGGATTCTGGCACCCCTGGAACAATCCTCTCTCCCAAGGTGGGGTGCTATGGGGAGGTGGCACCCAAGCCTGGAGTGAGCCTGACCTGGCCAATGCTACCACAGCTTACCTGTGGACAGGTGTAGAGTGGTTCTTGCTGCAGGTGTTCATCTGCATCATTCCTTGTTAATTTCCAGTTTCATGCTCATGCCAGGTTCCCAAGTCCAGAGGACATCTCCTGGAGGTATAGCAGAGGGCAGGGCAGGCCTGGTCAGGGGGCAGGGAGGTGGCTGGCCTTTGCTCAGTGGCCCCGGGGAGAGGATCCCTGTAGTTGGGCATGCTCTTCTACCAGCCTGACCCCACTCCAAGACAGGCCTGGACTCGCTTGTGAGAATGTTCTAGTGGTGCTGGTTGCCATGCCTGCAAGGTTGTCCGCTTCACATGGCAACCACCACCCAGGGCATTAGCCAAGACCCTGCCCAGCCCCACCACTCCAGAGATTCCCATTCCGCTGTTCTGGGCTGGGGTCCCAGCTACACAAAGACCAAGGCTCAGGGACCCTCAGGGTTCAGCATGAATGAAGCCTGCTGTGAGGGGTGGGGAGGGGACACAGGGACTAGGCGTTCAGGCATGGCCTCCTATGACCAGCGGTGTGGGCGAGGGGGCCGGCAGGTGAGTCCCATGGGGCGCGGCGCCACTCACAGGGCTAGGCCTCCTCAGAACAGCAGCCAGACTTTGGATGGCTGCACCCTCCTGCTCTATCAGCTGTCCCTCGTCAAAGAAATATTTCGAGCACTCATTTGGGGAAAAGTGGAACCTTTGTTGCAGCAGATGGAAGCGAGCTGATTTATATACTATAGCACTGTTTTAAATCGGGTCTATGTGCCCCATCGCTCAATGACCTGGAGCGGGACTCCCTGAAAGGTCACGGGCCAAATGAAAAAGACGGAAGGGCTGTTGTTCGTTCCCCCTTTAAACACAGTACTGTAATTCTCCTTCAGCTCTCCGAGTTCTACAAACATTTAGAGGCTTCCCTCTGTGCAGCCGGCCGGGACTGGCCTCCGCACACCTCACCCTGCAGCGCGTCCCAGGGACAGAGCCTAGTGAGGGCGCAGGAGAAAAGGGCCTGCAGAAGGCAGGGAGCAGGCGTTTCTATTGCACTCTCTCAAACCGAGCCGGAACACTTTATTTCATACATCTCCGGTTTCTCTGTTTTTCCAGACCCGAAAGACTTCCTGGCCTCCCACGCTCACGGGCCGAGCGCCGGGGGCGCGCCCAGCCTGCTACTCTTGCTGCCCTGCGCACTCCTGCACCGCCTCCTGCGCCCGGATGCGCCCGCGCACCCTCGGTCCCTGGTCCCTTCCGTCCTCCAGCGGGAGCGGCGCCCCTGCGGAAGGCCGGGACTTGGGCATCGCCTTTAATTTTCTATGTTGTAAATAATAGATGTGTTTAGTTTACCGTAAGCTGAAGCACTGGGTGAATATTTTTATTGGGTAATAAATATTTTCATGAAAGCGCCTTTGGCTCCAGATCCTTGGGAGAGGGACACGTGTGTCCCCAGCACCACTGTGACCGGTAGGTAGAGACAGCAGAACAACAGCGAGAAGGAGCCAAAGCTGGAGCCAGAAAGCCTGGCACCGCCACCTTCCCCTGACAGTTAGCACCTTCCTTTCACAACATCTCCCTTAAGGGGGAAGCGTCTGCTGTGGAACCCACCGCAAGGCAACGCAGGCAGAGTTCAGCCTGAAGAGCGCCAGGCCAGCCTCCTCTGTCTTCCGAGCACCGCTTCTCAGGTCGCTTCCCAATCTGAGGAGGCTGTCGTGTCCACAACCAGTCCAGGGGGATGTGCGCCACTAGCTGAGGACGCCAGGCCCGGCGACACCACAAAGGCTTGGCCATGCGGAATGTGCCCTCAAGAGCACACACTTCGGGTAGAAGGCACTTGCATTGAGCTCTTCAGCTTTTTAAATCCACTGTAGTTCATGAGCCTGTGTGACACAATTACTTTTACATTTTATATTGTCAATTAGTTTATTGGCATTTTCAATCTTTTCAACTATTGGCTATGAAAATATGAATTTAACGTAACATTCAAATGAGTATTAAAGAAAAATAAAGTAGAACTTCATTAGAGGGCTGGCTTGGAGTTCATTGGTTCATGAGAAAAATAATTATTCAAGTATTGAGACATAAATATTTCTAGGCATTAATATTTTTTGAGACCCGGCGCGGGGGCTCACGCCTGTAATCTCAGCACTTTGGGAGGCCGAGGTGGGCGGATCACGAGGTCAGGAGATCGAGACCATCCTGGCTAACACGGTGAAACCCCGTCTCTACTAAAAATACAAAAAAAAAAAAAATTAGCTGGGCGTGGTGGCGGGCGCCTGTAGTCCTAGCTACTTGGGAGGCTGAGGCAGAATGGTGTGAGTGAACCCGGGAAGCGCAGCTCGCAGTGAGCCGAGATTGCGCCACTGCACTCCAGCCTGGGCGACAGAGCGAGACTCCGTCTCAAAAATATATATATATTTATACCAAAGTTGTTTCAAGTGTGTTCTGAGCAGTACCTTTCCTTATTTCAGTTTATTGTAGGAATCAACAAGTGATGAACTTTGCAAATTAGCCTAAGAGCTTGATGAATATGTATATGCTATTCATAAAATTTGTGTTTACAAAATGCCTATTTTTTACAACACTGGCAGGCAAAAAAGACACTGCCTTATTTTCAGTAGGTGCACTTAGGAAATGGAACTTGAGAGGTCACAGTTGTGGTTAAAAGGAAAACTGAGAACTGTTCAATATTAGTATGAATAGGGTATAAATACGTTTTAATTAGAAAATTAGAAATCAGGCTCTATGGATTTCTCTACTAGAATACTAGAATGGATCCTTCTAGTGGAATGATTCTTGATTATAAGCAAGAAAGCCAAAGTTACCATTTATCTGTCTACTAACTGAGAAGCCCTTAAGTACCTAGCTCTGAAAAGACAAGGAGAATTTGAAGATAAAAGGCATTTTCTTTTGGCAGCCCAGGCGTCCAGGGAGACAGTTAAAAAGGAGAAACTTCTCAGGAGAGAAAAGAGCAATGCTGGGCTCATGGCTGTTAGCTTCACATAAATGTGTCCCAGATCTTAGCTGTCCCCCGCAGTCGAGGAGGAGAGATAGAGAAATCCCCCTAGGCCACTATCTGCCAGCACCCCTTGCTGGGAAGAGCCTGTTCACACCTCTGGCTTTGCTCACCCGGATGGAGGGAGGGCATCTCCCTTCCCAGAGCAGTCCCCAGCTGTGTCCATTCTGCAGTGTTTATAGAAGCTGCCCTTTCCTTGCCAGCTTAGCCCTGGCTCAGTCATCCCCCACACATCCTAGAAGAGCAAAATCTGTCCTCACATCCCCTCTCCGAGGGAGCCACTCACCAGCGACACTGGGAGGAGACGCAGGGGATGCATAAGGACTTGTACCAGCACAGGGCTGGTATGTTCAGCCCATTCCTATGTTGGGGTTTAACTTCGGAGCCCCAGCGAATGCCTGCCGGCTGAGGGGCACTCTTGTTCCTTTCAGCCACATCACAATTTCCCCCCTCTAGCCTAGAACCAAATCGACTCTTCTGGCTGTGAGCGTTCAAAAGCAGTCTCTGGATATTTTCCCAGTTTCCATTGTCTGCAAAGCCACTCTGGCACATACAGCCATACATCACACCACAAAAGTTTCTGGGAGTGACTTTTCCACAGAATTCAGTTTTGAGTATTTAAAATTAAGTTTGATAAGCTTTCTATGCGCAGGCACTTATCTCACTTGGACTGTCTGTTATAGGGAAAGGAAAACAAGGGGCTGTGTCTCCCATGGTTACAGCTGCTCGACTCACATTGATCTGGCCAGCACCTGGACCCCTTCAGAACCCCAGCACAGTACTAAGGAAGTTTGTGGCCACAGAGCTAGCTGGATCCCCAGGAGCTGAGTGCTGCCAAGTGAGTGGGGCCCTAGGCTGGGAAATGTCTGCAGTACTCCCAGGGGAAGGATGTGCTGCTCAGTGTGTAAGAACTGGCGCTCCAGAAACAAAACAGGTGCATCAGTATGCTGATATCACTTGTTTTTTGTTTTTGTTTTTTTATTTTTTATTTTTTGAGATGGAATCACGCTTTGTCGCCCAGGCTGGAAGTGCAGTGGTGCGATCTCGGCTCATTGCAAACTCCACCTCCCGGGTTCACACCATTCTCCTGCCTCAGCCTCCCAAGTAGCTGGGACTACAGGCACCCGCCACCATGCCCGGCTAACTTTGTGTATTTTTAGTAGAGACGGGGTTTCACTGTGTTAGCCAGGATGGTCTCGATCTCCTGACCTCGTGATCCACCCGCCTCGGCCTCCCTAAGTGCTGGGTGGGATTACAGGCCTGAGCCTCTGCACCCGGCCGATATCACTTTATTATAAGTTTTACTGATATAAAGTACATTATAGCACAGAATTTCAAGTAACAACAAAATATACAGTACTCTTTACTCCATATAGCCTATATGCTTTTGTTGATTTTTATCAGATCTTCTATCTGTACTCAAACCTATGGTTGTGATGCAACCATGATTTGACAAGTGGAGTTGCATCCCAACTCACTGACTCTCCAACAAATTTATTGTCATTAAATCTGAAATGTGATCTACTGTAGAACTATGTCTAATCCTTATACAAATTATGTTAATTACCTGAAACAGCTAAACTCTGGCACTACATATGTGAGAACATTACTAGTTTGTTCGCGAGTGATTTATTTGCCGAGTCAGTTCGTTTTCAAATGAGATTCGTTTTAACCAGATATGGTAAGAATGCAGACCTGGAAATGATGTCAAGGAGGAAAAAGTGTGTATACTCACTTAGAAACAGGAGGCGTGTCATGCAGGGCCACATGGGGCAGCCCCAGGGTGGGCCGGGAGGCAGAGGGAGTGGGCACTGTGGGCAGGAGCCTGTACTGTGGCTTCTGTGGGAAGGAGTAGGTGAGGCAGGGGCAGATGGTGTAGGGTTGGCTAGTGAGTCATTTCTGCAGGCTTCAGGGCACAGGGGCTGTCCCTAGTTGCCTGGTACATTTTCCCCTTGCTCCCTTTGCTTCCTGACCAACCCTGGTGCCTCTCCATGTGGCCCTGTGTGGACTGTCCTCCTGCCCTATGAATATAATAAACTATCTTTTCATCATTTCCATGTCTGCATTCTTGTCCTACCTAAATAACAATAAAACCCACATTTAAAAACAAATAGGCAAGAGCTGTTCACACCATTAGAACCGCCATGGACTAAGGAGCCACTGAGGCCTTGCTTCTGGGCTGTCCTTGCTAAAGCTCCCCTGATGCTGGTGGGGTGACTTTCTGTCTCGTTGGCGGGGCACACCCCAGAGCCGAGACGAGGATGATGAGTAACAAGCATCTGCTCGGACCCAGCATTGTGCTCAGCAGCCTGCTGCTGCCTCTGAGGTTTACTCTCTGGCAAGGACACCTCAGTAAACCTAGGGGGAAGTCTCATCACCACCCAGAACATGCTCACTGGGTTCTAAACGGACACACCCTGCTTCAGAATCTGTCACGGAATCAATGACTTCATTTAATAATGAATCTCAGGCGGGGTGCAGTGGCTCACGCCTGTAATCCCTGCACTTTGGGAGGCCGAGGCGGGTGGATCACAAGGTCAGGAGTTCGAGACCAGCCTGGCCAACATGGTGAAACCCCGACTCTACTAAAAATACAAAAAAAAAAAAAAAAATCAGCCGGGTGTGGTGGCAAATGCCTGTAATGTCAGCTACTCCAGAGGCTGAGGCAGGAGAATTGCTTGAACCGGGGAGGCGGAGGTTGCAGTGAGCAGAGATTGTGCCACTGCACTCCAGCCTGGACGACAAAGCTAGACTCTGTCTCAAAAAAAAATAATAGGCCAGGCGCTGTGGCTCACGCCTGTAATCCCAGCACTTTGGGAGGCCGAGGTGGGCGGATCACGAGGTCAGGAGATCGAGACCATCCTGGCTAACATGGTTAAACCCCGTCTCTACTAAAAATGCACAAAATTAGCCGGGCATGGTGGCAGGCGCCTGTAGTCCTAGCTACTCGGGAGGCTGAGGTGGGAGAATGGCGTGAACCCAGGAAGCAGAGCTTGCAGTGAGCCAAGCTCGGCCACTGCACTCCATCCAGCCTGGGCGACACAGCCAGACTCCCTCTCAAAAAAAAAAAAAAAAAATAATAATAATAATAATAATAAATCTCACCTCCAAGCAGACCTTTGTATTTTTCCCTCATGGCATGTGATAGATCATGATGAAAGAAAAGCCACCTTTACGGTCTTTGACTTATGTAGAAAACCCAGGCTTGAGGAGGTGGGAGAATTCAGCAGGTCCGGAAGCCAGCGAACAGGAAATCAGGGGGCTGCAGTTTGGCCCCTGGATTCCAACCCCCAGGCACCTTTTCTGCAGTCTAGGAGAGACTGTAAACCTCCACTACAAGTTTGACGTCAATTATCATTTTAACCCTTGTTCCTGAGCCTCCCTGTGTGGGGTGCTTGCCAGGCCTGAGACTTCAGTCATCCCAGAGTCTTTGCTCCCTCAGACACTTTTGGCATCAAATGAAAACTTCCAGCCAGGTACACAGTGGCTCACCCCTGTAATCACCACACTTTGGGAGGCTGAGGCAGGAGGATCACTGAGCCCTGGAGGTAGAGGCTGCAGTGAACTATATAATATGATGCCACCGCTGCACTCCAGCCTAAGCTACAGAGCAAGACCCTGTCTCAAAAATTTTTAAATTAAAATTAAATAATATATTTTTTTTTAATAAAAGAAACTTCCCCCACTGCAGCATCACTCCAGCCCCTCTCTCATTCCCATTGGTATTACAGGCGGCCTCAGTCAGCCCTCCCAGGATCTCAATAGCTGGAAGGCAGGACAGGGTTCCTGCCTTCTGCAGTCAGACCTCGGTGTAGCCACATCCGCCAAGTGCTGCTGAGAACCTCAGGAAAAAGGAGCCATTGGGCAGAGCTGGGGGAATCATCCTCCAAGTTTCACCATTTGGGGTCTAATATTTTGCTTTAAACAATGTTGCCAAGAATAGGAAATGCCGTTATCGTGTGGAAAGTCTGTCTCTTTCACTCCTGCCCGCCATAATTCCTGTGTGGTGAGCAAGAAACACTATAATATGAAAATCGACATGAGGGTTTCTTCAGGGAAGAGCGTCAGGACCGCACATGGTCCTCTTCCTGCGCGGGAAGGCGCAGGCTGAGAAAAGCTCCGCAGGGGATGGGGGAGGGGGTGCCGCGCCCCACCCGAGTCCGCCCACTCTACCCGTTGAAATTCTTGCTGTGCTCTGCACACCTTTGCAAGGAAACCCGTCGAGGTTGTCATTTTGAGTAAATATAAATATAAAATGAGGCCAGGCACAGTGGGTCACCCCTGTAATCTTAGCACTTTGAGAGGCCGAGGCAGGAGAATCACTTGAGCCCGGGAGTTCGAGACCAGCCTGGGCAACATAATGAGATTCCTTCCTTACGAAAAAGTCTTAAAAAATTAGCCAGGCGTGGTGGTGCGCGTCTGTGGTCCCAGCTACTCGGGAGGCTGAAGAGGGAGGATCACGTGAGCCCAGGAAGTAGAGGCTGCAGGGAGCCGTGATCACACCACTGCACTCCAGCCTGGGAGACAGAATGAGACTCTGTCTCAGATACATGAATAAATAAAAACACAGATGGCCAGGTGCGGTGGCGCTCACTCCTGTAATCCCAGCCCTTTGGGAGGCTGAGACGGGCGGATCACGAGGTCAGGAGTTCAAGACCATCCTGACCAACATGGTGAAACCCCATCTCTACTAAAAATACAAACATAGGCCAGGCGCGGTGGCTCACGCCTGTAATCCCAGCACTTTGGGAGGCCGAGACGGGCGGATCACGAGGTCAGGAGATCGAGACCATCCTGGCTAACACGGTGAAACCCTGTCTCTACTAAAAATACAAAAAAAAATTAGCCGGGCATGGTGGCGCGCGCCTGTAGTCCCAGCTACACGGGAGGCTGAGGCAGGAGAATGGCGTGAACCCGGGAGGCGGAGCTTGCAGTGAGTCGAGATCGCGCCACTGCACTCCAGCCTGGGCGACAGAGCGAAACTCCGTCTCAAAAAAAAAAAAAAATACAAACATTAGCTTGGTGTGGTGGCACATGCCTGTAATCCCAGCTACTCAGCAGACTGAGGCAGGAGAATCACTTGAACCTGGAAGGTGGAGGTTGCAGTGAGCGGATATTGACCCACTGCACTCCAGCCCGGGCGACAGAGTGAGACTCTGTAAAAAAAAAAAAAAAAAAAAACAAGAAAAACTCAAACACATTATAGTTTGAGTTTCCTTCTGGCTCATGTATATGTGTGAAATACATTGTATTTAAATAGAATTGTTTGCCCCAGAGAGACCCCTCACCCCTTTTGCCAAGTGAGGACACCGCCAGAAGGCATCATCTATGGAAGTGGGTCCTCACCAGACACCAAATCAGCCAGCACCTTGAAAATAGACTTCACTTCTCCAGAACTGTGAGAACTAAATTTCTCTTTTTTTGTTTTGTTTTGTTTTGTTTTTCCTTTTTTCTTTTTTTCTTTTTTTTTTTTTTTTTTGACACAGAGTCTCGCTCTGTCGCCCAGGCTGGAGTGCAGTGGTGCCATCTCGGCTCACTGCAAGCTCCGCCTCCCAGGTTCATGCCATTCTCCTGCCTCAGCCTCCCGAGTAGCTGGGACTATAGGCGCCCACCACCGTGCCTGGCTAATTTTGATATTTTTAGTAGAGATGGGGTTTCACTATGTTGGCCAGGCTGGTCTTGGACTCCTGACCTCGTGATCCACCCGCCTCGGCCTCCCAAAGTGCTGGAATTACAGGCGTGAGCCACCAAGCCCGGCCGTTTCTGTTCTTTACAAGCCATCCAGCCTATGGCATTTTATTATAGCAGCCCAAACAGACTAAGACATTACTTATGTTCCTTTTATCTGTTTCCCAATCTTGTAAATAAATAAAATAAATAAAAATCAATATAACTCGATTTTTCACATTTAAAAAGCAGCATCTTCTGTAACATTTTCATGTTAGAACATGAAACATAGAACTATGTCTTTCTTACCATAGCATAAGTTTTTAAAATTGAAGTTTTGGTGGTTGTGTTTATGGAAAGAAAAATTACCATTAGGGGACAAAGAAAGAGCTCCCGGAAACTCTTCATTTTTAGGAGACAGGGTCTTGCTCTGTCACCCAGGGTGGAGTGCAGTGGTGTGATCATAGCTCACTGCTGCCTCAAACTCCTGGGCTCAAGGGATTCTCCTGCCTCAGGCTCTGGAGAAGCTAGGATTGCAGTCGCACACCACCATGACTGGCTAATTTTTGTATTTTTATTATAGTAAAGACAGGATTTCACCATGTTGGCCAGGCTGGTCTCCAACTCCTGGGCTCAAGTGATCCACCATCAGCTCTCCTTGAGTCTCTAGCCTGCTGGCCTGCCTGCCAACCTCCGTAATCTCATAAGCCAATTCCCTAAGATGAAAAGTCTCACTATACAATATACATACACATCCTATTGGTTCTGTTTCTCTGGAGAACTCCAACACAGCTCCACTCCTGGGCCTTGACTTCTGCTGTTTTTGCAAAGGTCTGCTGAGGTGCAGCCCAATTGTGAGCTCTGAGAAGGCCCTCCCAGCAGAGACCACTGTGCGTCCCAGACATGTGATGACCATTCTCATGGCAGGCTTCCCTCTAGAACATGGCCTAGCAGATCCCCGTTCTCTTTCTACATTTCCAATGTCTTTATGAAGATCTTTTTTTTTCTGAGATGGAGTCTCGCTCTGTCGCCCAGGCTGGAGTGCAGTGGCACGATCTCAGCTCACTGCAGCCTCCGCCTCCCAGGTTCACACCATTCTCCTGCCTCAGCCTTCCGAGTAGCTGGGACTACAGGTGCCCGCCACCACACCTGGCTAATTCTTTGTATTTTTAGTAGAGATGGGGTTTCACTGTGTTAGCCAGGATGGTCTCGATCTCCTGACCTTGTGATCTGCCCACCTTGGCCTCCCAAAGTGCTGGGATTACAGGTGTGAGCCACCACGACTGGCCGAAGATTTTTTTTTAAATAATACAATCAACACTTTTATTGATTTCTGTGTTTGTTTTAAGCAGGAGAGCTGACCCAAGTGACCGAGGCCACCTGCAGCTGCTCTCTCCACTTGCCATGGGAGCCTCAGCCGAAGATGTGGGAATGAAGTAGTCAGGGCATTTGTTTCCATGAAAATCCTCTTTGTGAGGCCGCCTTGGCTGGCTGTGTCCCTCGGCTGAGTGTCCCTGCTCCTCTCAGGCACCCTCTCCCCACGGCTCCTACTTCACTGGTCCCTCAGGGCCTTGGGTGGCAAGAGCTCTGCTTCTGATGCCTGTGCCAGGCCCCTGCCCTGGGCTTTCCCGGAGCCTTCAGCCCAAACATACCTGGGTGATTAGTACTTTTGTAAATAAATGCTCTACAAATTACCCCAACTAAAGTGGACGGGCTCCAAAGTCCACACTGTGACAGCCATACCTTTAAAGTAACGACTGGCTTCCTCTTTCATCTGCATTGACCCTGTTTGCTCAATGTAATGTGGTCTTTAATTCAACGATTACATTTTGCATATGTAATATTTTGACTTGGTTCTTTTCGGTAGTTTCTTTGTCTTAGGTCTTATTACTAATAATATTTTTCTGTATCCAAAAAGATATTTATTGTGCTTATTAAATATGTTTGGTCTGTCTTTTCCAGCAACTCTACTTCCAGTAGTGGATGCTGTGCAGCCTACTGTGTTTCGGTGGGCATTGGACTCTTAAGATAGGCAGCTGCTCCAGTGCACGTGTGTGCATTCCCTGGGCTTAGCAGCTCCTGGTCACCCTGTCTGCACTAGCAAGGCTCCCAGTGAGTCAACGAGGAGGGTGGCCCCAGAGCAGAGGGCCCCAGGCACGAAGCACCTCACTCACTCTCTCCTGCATCCTGCCACCCCACAAGCCACTCCTGCAGGCGGGCCTGCCGGTGAAAGCCCTGGAGGAGATCACAGTGGAAGAGGCCCATTTCCCTGGATAGCAACTGTCCCACCCAGGGGGGGTTCAGGAGGAGGATGGAGGGCACACAACACCGGTGGCTTGTGGGGCCCTCACACTGGCTGACACAGCCACCTTGCAATCCTGACACCTGAGCGGGACCAGGCAGCATTTGTCACGAGGTGTGGGAGGCAAGCAACAAGAGCAGAGTGTGAACAGCCTTCTTAAGTCTGGCTCCTGGCTGCCCCATCCTCCATTCCCAGCTACAGCCGCCCAGGGTAACTTCAGTTTCTCCAAGATTTTCTCACTGATTTTGGTTAGTTTCTGAAATGCACACTGCCTTCTCGCCTCCACAGCTCACCCAGGGTCGATTTTGGAGAGGGAGCCAGTAGCCCGTGCAGCACAACACATGGAGGCCTGGAGCCCCTGACGATGGGTCTAGGGAAAACCACGCAGGGGCCACTCCCAGCCTTTCCGTAGCACCACTCACTGGCCCTGCAGATCTGTTCTGTTCCCTGATGTCAGTATTGTGGCCTGGGGTCCTCCCTTGCCACTGACCAGATAGAATCTGGCCACACTAGAGACAGGCCAGCTAGAGCCTCTCAAGGCAGTCTGGGAAGGTGAGACAGGGCCGGAGGCCTCTGGAAACAGCTGCACTCATGGAAAGCACAAGGCTTCTGAGCTCTCTCTGGAGATGTGGGTTTGAATCCCTGTTCCAGTATTTACTACCAAGTGACCTTAGACAAGTTCCTAACCACGCTGGGCTTCGGGTTCCAGATCTATAAAAAGAGACTGAATGCGGCTTGTGGTCCTGAGGTGGGTTCCAGGCGCAGAAACCTACAGGCGCTGTGCTCCAGCAGGCCTGCGGAGCTCCTAGGTGTGGATTTGCAGCCACAGAATCGGAGGAGGCCAGAGGAACTTCATGGACAGGCAGGCCATTGCGTAACTCCATGCTTCACGTAGGAACATGCCTGCTGATGGACAAAGCACAAGTCACCACGTGAGGGAACTCCAGCCCAGCCAGCATGGGGCCACCATGGGCAGAGGGAAAGTGGCAGTTCTGGCAACAGCGGTGGCTAATGCTCTAAATCTGAACTGATCAAGTGCTAATTCCCACCTCAGGGCCCAGCAGTCCCACTCTGCAGCCCCATAACTGAGTTTGCCATCAGGAGAGGAAATGCTTTCTTCTCGCTTCCAGACACTGCTGAGCTTGTAAAGCCAGATACCGTGCTGGGCATAGGTGTCTGGCTCAGTGGCACCTCACCAGGAAGGAGGGAAGGAAGGCTCTGAGTTGGAAAGGAAACCTCTGCATTAGTGTCAGAGGGCTTCAAGACCAAGAGATTCTGCCGATCATTCCCATGAGACTTCACTTGTTCCCACCTGCTGGTGAGGGCCTGGGCTATCTGGGTGACAACAGGACTAGAAATAATTTGCACAGAACACCTGGATGGCACTTGGGGCACAATGTACCTTCAGTGAAGGGGGGCTGCTCTCTTTTTATTGTGAGTTCAGGTTGGGGGTTGCGGGAGAGCTGCGGTGCGAGGCCCTTCGAGAGTCCTGCTGACTCGTTAGGATACAAACCTGACTCAGACAGGTTTACAGGGGCAACTCAGAGTCTGGTTTATGGGCTCAGTGCTGGACCAGCAAGTCCTGGGTCAGCTAAGCCACAACCCCTACAAGCTGGAGCAAGCCACAGGGATGGGGGCTGGGTTTCTGGAGGCAGGGAGAGGGCAGGGCAGCGGGTACAGGGGGCAGTCAGCTGAGAGCTGGCCCATGGGACACAGCTCTGGTACTGCTGACCGAAGACCTCAGCCCCCTTCACAGTTTACTTGCAAGCTGTCGAGGAGAGCCTCTGTGACCTGCGCACCTGGAAGATGCCGCTTCATCCCTGACCGGTGCACAACACCCAGCTCCAGGAGGACAGGCAGCTTCTTCCATGTGGGGAGGCCCTGGCCCCATTTTTCTGGAAGACTGCATGCCCTGGAGGACCCGAATGGGGCCTGAGTCTGCGCGACCCAACTTCCCAAGGAGAGTGACTTGGCTCCCATATGGTCAGCCTGGACCCTGCCCAGGGAGGAGGGAGACCTTCCCTCCCTGAGGAGCTGGAGACACAGTGGAGCATGGGAGATGGCTCTGGTGGGCCAGAAACCAGAGCAAGAAGCTTCTTGGGTGGTTTTTAGTTTGTCAGGCCTGAGGCAGGGGTGGCCTTGGGTGGACAGGAGAGCTCAGAGATGGAAACACGTCAGGAGTGTGCAGAGCTCAGCAAGGAGGCCGGCCTGAGGTGGGCATGCTTGTGGTAAGAGGCCAGGGGCCCTGGCCCTTCACAGGCTCCCCAGGAGAATCAGCAGCAGGAGGAACATGTGAGCAGCCAGAAGGGCTGCGCAGAGCCCGGGCTTGTGGACGATGCCCTGAGAGGTCATGCTGTCCAGGGCTGGGGGTGTTTCCTGAGGAGGAGCCAAGGCGGGATCTGGAGGGGTGCTCTCCCTCTTCTTCTGGCTGATCCAGTTGGTGAAGTAGGGGAGCCTGGTGAAGACCCTGGGACCGACGGGTGAGCAGCAGTCGAGGCTCCAACTAGACAGCCCCATCAGGAACCAGGTGCCATTTAATGGGCAGACGAGGGGACCCCTGGAGTCTCGCTGAGAACAGAGAGGACATGGGTGGTAGGGACCAAGACAGGGAGGGACACGCATTGTTCAGGGCACAGGAGGGGACCTTACGCTTCTCCAGGATGGAATGTGGGAAGCAAGGTGTGGGGCAGGTGTCTCCACTGTCTGAGTGAGTGGTGCTCATCAGTCACCTGGGCGATGTTAGAAGCCCAGACCCAGGAGGGACCTCCTGGATCAAAATCTCGAGCACGGGGCCCTGGAGCTTCACTCCACAAAGCTCCCAAGGAGACCCTGGGCAGAGCCTCCATCCTGGCAGTCACAAACCCATGAGAATAAGCAGGGGATTCTAGGAGATGGACATCCAGGCCTAGCCCTCCTGACCCCAGTGGGGAGAAGGCACTGCCTGTGGTCCCCAGGGTGGCTGGGTGCCAGCCTGGAGGAATGGCTGTGCCTTGGCCTGAATCTTCCTCCAAGCACTGCATCCCACCAGTATTTTTTTTTTTTTTTTTTTTTTTGAGACAGAGACTCGCTCTGTGCCCAGGCTGGAGTGCAGTGACGCGATCTCAGCTCACTGCAAGCTCCGCTTCCTGGGTTCACCCCATTCTCCTGCCTCAGCCTCCCGAGTAGCTGGGACTACAGGCACCCGCCACCACACCAGCTAATTTTTTGTCTTTTTAGTAGAGACGGGGTTTCACCATGTTAGCCAGGATGGTTTCGATCTCCTGACCTCGTGATCCACCCGCCTCGGCCTCCCAAAGTGCTGGGATTACAGGCATGAGCCACCGCGCCCGGCCATTTTTGTTCTTTTTTAAACTTTTTTTAAAAAATTAAAATGGAGATGGAGATCTTGCCATGTTACCAGCAGATCTTGAACTGATGGTATCAAGTGATCTTCCCGCCTTGGCCTCCAAGGTGCTGGGATTAAATCTAGTCCCGAATCCAGATGTCCTTCACTTATTAAGGTCTCTAGTGTTCCCTCCATTTCTTGGTTGAGCTTTTTAGAAAATGCCAGGCTGTGGGATGTGCTGAGGGGAAAAGAGGTGCTGCCCGTGCCCAGCGTGGGGGTAGGGCAAGTGCCAGGGGTTCCCAGGTGAGCGCGGGGGATTGTGAGTGTGGCAGGGCCCCCAAGCGGGGAAGTCCCTGACATCATGGGCAGAGCACCCGCATCCCATAGGCCAAAAAGGGAAACCCAAGGAAACAAGCATCCTCCTGCCATCTGTGCAATCAACATGACCAAGTCTTTCTGTGTGCACACAGCACTGAAGAGGCCCCGAGGGACCTTCCACATGAACAGACATCGCAGACGGGGGGTGTGGATCGGGGCGGCCTGGAAGGACCCCAGAAGGGCTGCTCTAATTCTAGAGCTTCTCTGAGCCAACACAGGAAGGAGGGGCAAGACCTGACTGTGCCAGCCCACAGCCTCCTCAGAGGGCAGGGAACCCATGGGACCTGGTGCAGATTCTGTCTGATAGGATGGTACTGGCCTGAGCCCCATCAGGACACAACTGCAGGAGAAGGGATGGCAGAGGCTGGCGGGAAATGGTCAACAGACGGGACTTGCCATATCTGACCCTTTCTCTCTGTCTAAGGAAATGGGGCAAGGCAGGGGAAGCAGGCCCAGTGGTGCACAGTGGGCTGTTGGTGTCAGGAGGCTGAAGGGCCCCTCCAAGGAGGAGAGCAGAGAGCAGGAGGGGCCGCCCACAGTGTCTGATGGGGGATGCTGCACCAACGCCTGACAGCATGGCTGTGGTGAGGACGGAGCCCAGGAAGCAAGAGAGGGCACAGGCAGGCACCCTGGGGTGAGCCCTGCTGGGATGGGTGGGGTGGGAGGAGGTTGTGGGGAGCAGGGAGGGTGCCTGTAGGGCATTTTGTGATGAGAGTCATCGAAGAATGTTTCTGCACCATGAGGTGACCAAAGAGAGAGAAAGAAAAAGAGGGAGGCGCAACAGAGGGAGAGGAGGCCGGGCACGGTGTCTCACACCTGTAATCCCAGCACTTTTGGGATGCTGAGGCAGGCAGATCACTTGAGGTCAGGAGTTTGAGACCAGCCCAGCTAACATGATGAAACCCCATCTCTACTAAAAATATAAAAATTAGCTGGGCGTGGTAGTGCATCCCAGTTACTCAGGAAGCTGAGGCAGGAGAATCACTTGAACCCAGGAGGCAGAGGTTGCAGTGAGCCGAGATTGCACTACAGCACTCTAGCATGGGCGATAAAGTAAGGCCCTGTATCAAAAAAAAAAAAAAAAAAAAAAGAGGGAGAGGATCCTGCAGGAGTCCTCCTGGGACCCACAGCTCCCAAGAAGGGCAGGGCCTCTCCAAGCTTGACTGTGGCTGTGACCCCTCACCTTGGGTGATACACTTCCTCTCTGGGCCTCAGTTCCCCGCACTATAAAATGAAAAGATTACACATAGTGGGATAAGACATTCATAATATATGAACATATCCAATAATGGGCTCATAGCCACAATAGATAAAGAACTCCTATGATTCAGAATGAAAGGCAGACAATCCCATAGTTGGCAAAAAACTTGCACGGACACTTTACAAAAGAGGCAATAAACATATAACAAAGGGCTTATCTTCACCAGTCACCAGAGAAATGCACATTAAAAACCATACACAAGAGTTCATATGAAAATGGCAGACAATTTGAAGGACTGGCAACAACAGGGTGCAACCTGAACTATCACTCACCAGCTGGTGGAAATGCAAATTGGTACAACCAGGTTGCAGAGTTTCTCAGATGATCAACGAGAGATGAACATGTGCATGTCTCATGGCAAGGCAATTCCATTGCCAGGGGGACCGCCAACCAGAATGGGAACCTATGTGCTCTGAAATGCATACACCAGGAAGTTCACAGCAATTCCATTTGCAACAGCCTCAGATGGGAACCACCCAAATGCCACCCACACTAGAATGGATGAGTAAATTGCAGTGTCTTTGCACAGTGGAATAGCATACGGCAATAAAAATGAACAATACAGACTGCACGCCAGATGGATGCATCCCACAGACACAACATTGACTGATGGGACCAGGCAAAAGCTTGCATACCATATGGCTTCACTCAGCTAAAAGTCCCCACATGAAGCTATGGTGCTTTAGAAAGCAGGCAGAGTTATCCTGGGGGAGTTAGCGTCAGGAATGGGCAAGGATGAAACCCACGGGTGCCGGGTACATGAGTGGTCAGTCTCTGAAAATTCCTCCACAGGACACTTGTACTTTTGCCCTTTCCTGTGCATGGTGTGCTTCAATAAGGTTTCTTTTTCCTTTCTTTCTTTTTTTCTTCTTTTTTTTTTTTTTTGAGACGGAGTCTCACTCTGTCACCCAGGCTGGAGTGCGGTGGCATGATCTCAGCTCACTGCAACTGCCGCCTCCCGGGTTCAAGCGATTCTCCTGCCTCAGCCTCCCAAGTAGCTGGGATTATAGGCACGTGCCACCATGCCCGGCTGATTTTTGTATTTTTAGTAGAGATGGGGTTTCACCATGTTGGTCAGGCTGGTCTCAAACTCCTGACCTCAGGTGATCCACCCGCCTCGACCTCCCAAAGCGCTGGGATTACAGACGTGAGCCACTGTACCCTACCAACAACGTTTCTTAAAAGATACAAAAAAACAGATGGGCCAGTGCTTGTTGGGAGTTTCTGTCCTGGCTCCGACACCTCAGGCTTGGCTGGGCTCAGGAAGAAGTCGGGGCTGGGGCAGGGTCCAGAGGAGACCCTGTGGCAGAGGCCCAGGGCAGCACAGGGGAGAGAGAGTGAGCCCACTCACTCGGCAAATGGCCTTTCCTGTTATGAGGTCCCCAGCGCACAGCATGTCCTCGTGGATGGTGTAGTCACTGCTGCTTGGCTGGCCGGGGTACTGGGGCTGGAAAAAGGATCCGCAGACAGTGTTGTCCATGACACCGACCTCTGCCTCCTGAAGTTGGAAGGGCTCAGGCAGGAAGACTGTGGGAGGAGATGTCAGATGTGGGAGGAGATGTCAGATGTGGGAGGAGGTGTCAGATGTGGGCCTCAACTGCAGCTGCAGCCAGAGGGAAGCCCTCCCTCCCCAGCCTGCTGGCCCAGGGAGAGCACACGAAGATAAGGGGACAGCCAAAGGGGGAGGGCCTGCAGTAGGAAGAACCAGGAGGGAGGCCAATGTGGCTGCAAGGGAGCAGGCGTGGGGTGAAAGGTGAGGTGCAGCCGCCTCAGGGCCCAGAGCAGGGGCCCTCCTAGCCAGGATGTGGTGTTGGAGGTGTCGTTCCAAGCACACTGGGACACAATAGAAGGGTCAAAAACAAGCCCTCTGGCTGCTAAGAGGAGGCAGAGCTGGAGGCAGGGAGGGTGGCAGCTGGATTGCCAGCCTGGCCGGTGGCATACCTAGCAGGTGCTGGGTGGGTTTGAGCAGTGTAGCAGTGTGACAAATCAGGCATGGCCCTTCCTCAAGGAGCAACTGGTCTGGGGACACTTGGGCTCTGTTTCCAGATGTCGCTCCCAGATCTGGCCTGGGGTCCCCATGTGGGAGCAGCGCGATGACAGGGGCCGACCCCTGCACAATGCCTGCCCTGTGTGGGCCTCATGTGTCCTTGGGGGCTGCCGGTGTGTGGAGAGAGAAGGATGACTAGAGCCCAGATCTCTCATCAAGGTCGGTGGCTCTCTGCTCAGTAGCTGATCCAACTAACTGGTGACTTCCCCAGGCCCTAGCTCCTCCTTTCCCACCTGGAGAATCTTCTCTGCCTTGATTCTTAGAGAATGACAGTCCCTTGGAGGCCGAGGAGGGCAGATCACCTGCGGTCGGGAATTCGAAACCAGCCTGACCAACATGGAGCAACCCGTCTCTACTAAAAATACAAAATTAGCCAGGTGTGGTGGTGCATGCCTGTCATCCTAGCTACTCAGGAGGATGAGGCAGAAGAATCGCTTGAACCCGGGAGGTGGGGGTTGTGGTGAGCCGATATCATGCCATCCCACTCCAGCCTGGACAACAAGAGCAAGACTCCGTCTCAAAAAAAAAAAAAAAAATAGTTTGAGAATGACAGTCCCAGGAGGCTGTCTTTGGAGGGCTGGCTGCTCTCATGACTAGGGCCACGTGACTGGCATTCAGTGGCCAAGGCAGGGAGGCCAGCTCTGGCCTGTTCATGGAAGAAAGTCCTGTCCCAAATGCCTCCTCTGAGATATTCTGCCAGATCATGACCCCACAAATAATGCCAAATTGCCATTCTACTTTTTTGCACTCATCATTACATTTCCCTAAATCAAAAGCATTCACTCTTTTGCTAGAGTCTTTGCCTAACATTTCTTCCCTCTCAGTCTACAAATATACAAATATATGACAAATATACTGGGTGAGCAGTGAGGTTCACATTCACAGAGATAAGTGTTCTTGAGCCATAAACACTTGGACTGGAGGACAGGCCTGCTCTTTTTTTTCTTGAGACAGAGTCTCACTCTGTTGCCAGGCTGGAGTGCAGTGGTGCGATCTCGGCTCACTGCAACCTCCGCCTCCCAGGTTCAAGCGATTCTCCTGTCTCAGCCTCCTGAGTAGCTGGGATTACAGGCACGTGCCACCATGCCCAGTTAATTTCTGTGTGTGTGTGTGTGTGTGTGTGTGTGTGTGTGTGTGTGTGTGTGTATAAAATATATATATATATATATATTTTTTTTTCTTTTTTTAGTAGAGATGTGGTTTCACCATGTTGGCCAGGATGGTCTCGATCTTCTGACCTCGTGATCCACCCACCTCAGGCTCCCAAAGTGCTGGGATTACAGGCGTGAGCCACCGCACCCGCAGGCCTGCTCTTACTTGCTACTGATGCCCGGCACCTTCCACAGCTGTGGAAGCTCCAGTAGAGTTTGGTGAGGCCCTGGAGGAGGTCAGATGGCAGCAGGCCCTTGTAATCAGGGTGGAGTCAGAAACATTCAGAACCAGGGAATCCTGAATGGCTCAGAGTCAAAGAGCCCAAGTACCTGCCTCCAAAAGTGGGAGAAGCTCAGGCCGCTTGACCCATGCCAGGGGGAATTGTGACACTAGGGAGGACTGGCAGAGCCCCGAAGCGGCCTCCCGCACCTTCACCTGCATTGCCTGCCCTGCACTGCTCACCATCCTCGGTGACCATTCCCCAACCAGATATCCAGCAGGAGCTGTCAGGGGCCAGCCACGTGGTTGGTTCCGGAAGGCAGGCGGGGAGGATGTGGGAGCTGAATTCCACATGATGGTGCAGCTGCAGCAGGGTGATGTCACTCCCCATGCGGTGCAACTCGTTATAGTCAGCGTGCACCATGATCTTATTCACTGTCATCTGCTTGCTGTGCTCTGTGGGATGGCTTTGCTGGTCATACCCAAGCAGGATCCGGTAATCAGATGGGTTAGTGGACCTGTTGTGGGGAGGCTCCTCTGAATGCTGGGCCGGCACCCTCACCCCGGCTGCCCACCTGGAAGGCACCCAGACCCCACCATCACTCTGGGGTTTCTGTCTCCTCCCTTCCTCGTGTCAGATAGCCCTGCTTTGCTCTTGACACAAGCTTGAGGGCCTACAGCCTCAGGACACTTGGCCTTGGATGATTCCTGATGGCTTTCCCAGCATGCCCCAGACTCAAAGGAGTAGAGAATCTTAGTGCAGAAAACACTGGCGATGCATTACACTTCACCCCTTCATTTCAGAAAAGAAGAGACTTGGCTCATTCCTAGCTCTGACCAGAACCTTCCCAAGGCCCCATGACCTACAGCAATTCTCAAAGACCCTGTTTCCCTAGCCAGCATGCTCCACCCACTTCTCCCCGGTTCTCACACACCACCTTCTCCAAGGCTGCCCCACCTGGTGACAGGAACTCAGTAGGTATTTGTGAAGCACATGGAGGAGTTAATGGAACTGAACTTCTTGTTTCCAGAAAACGAGTGACTTTCCAACCCACAGGTCCTGGCTGTGTGGTTCTCCTCCCCCAACATGGCTGCATCCACCTCCCCCAAGGCCTCTCCTGCTCTAAGCCCCTGTCTGGCACAGGGTCTACCATGGTCCTGGGCTTGCGCCTCACTTTCCTGACAGGATGAGAAGCCTCAGAGTGGGGCTTGCATCTCTATGTACCACACAATGGGCCTCACTTGAGGCCTGGCACCTGTGGATGCTGAATAAATGAGTGGGACCTGAGGAGGATGCTACAGCCAGCTATGTCCAAAGCTCTGGCTTCCTGGCTCAGAATTGGACATCCTCCCTGACTCCCTTTGGGCACACAGCGAGCCCAGGAAGCATCGGAGGAGTAACTCAGTCTCTTGACCCTCTGCCTCACACCTCCTGGGACAGAGGCCATCTGTTTCATCCCTCACTCTGGTCTGTGGGGACGGTGGCAAATAATTCTCCAGAAGTGACAAAAACCCCCTGGTGGCTGGACATACAGAGTCGCAGGACCCTTCTGGGGAAGAATGTGCCAGCATATGTGGGTAGCCAGGACCTAGGGGAGCCTCCGGCAGGTGTTCCCCGGACAGCCTGCAATGAGCCCTGGTTGGAAGGGGCCAGGTGCTCGACCATGCCTGCCTGGCCCTGAGAAGCCCTGGGACTGTCACTCTGTCTTATCACCTGAAGTGTGTGTCAAGTGTGTGGCCTGGGACACTGCACACCCACTACCATTTACACAAGAAAAACCGAGGCCCACTGAGATTGTGTGGATGGCCTAGAGCTGGGCAAGATGCAGAAACCAAAGTTCACCCTGAGGGGAACATTAGGATTTTGATTCCTAAAGTTTACAGCAGACGGAGAATGGGCTGGAAGTGGTTCCCTTTAGAACAAAAGTCTGTTTTCCTGTATTTATTGACAGTCCCAACTAGAGTGAGTTAATTTTCATTTAGCTATTTATTTTATTTTATTTTTGAGACAAGATCTGGCTTTGTGGCCCAGGCTGGAGTGCAGTGGCACAACCACATTTCACTGCAGCCTCGACCTCCCTGGGCTCAGGTGATCCTCCTGCCTCAGCCTCCTCAGTAGCAGGGACCACAGGCCTGCCCCATCGTACTTGGCTAATTTTTTTATTTTTAGTAGAGATGGGTTTTGCCATGTTGCCCAGGCTGGTCTTGAACTCTTGGGCTCAAGCAATCCACCTGCCTTGGCCTCCTAAAGTGCTGGGATTACAGGTGTGAGCCACCGTGACAGGCCTTAACTATTTATTTTTACTTTTAATTATTTACTTATTTTCAGACAGGTCTCATTCTGTCACCCAGGGTGGAGTGCAATGGTGTGATCACAGTCACTTGCAGCCTTGACCTCCCAGGCTCAAGTGATCCTCCCAAGTAGCTGGGACTACAGGCGCACACCACCAGGCCCGGCTAATTTTTGTACTTTTTGTAGAGATGAGGTGTCACTATGTTGCCCAGGCTGGTCTGGAATTCCTGGACTCATACAATCCTCCCACCTTAGCCTCCCAAGTACTAGGATTACAGGTGTGAGCCATCACACCCGGCTCCATTTAGCTATTTCAAAGTAATGTGCAATGTAATGAGGCAACCACACCATCTTAGCAGGCTGACCAATGTGGTGTGGGGTGGGGTGGGGTTGGGGAATGCCCAACCCCAGAGTGAGAGATGAGGTAGGAGCCTCTGCTTGGGAGATGCCACACAGTTGGTCAGGAGACTGGAGCAGAGTGACGAGCAGGGACAGCATTCCAGGCACAGGGCACTGCTGGGTCAAAGGCAGGACACCTGGGGCAGCAAACTGTCCCAGAACAAAGCGTACAAAGAAAAGACTGCGCCCTCACTTTGGGCTTCCCTCTTGCATGCACTCCCACAGCGGGGCCCGTGGAGGGAAGATGCATCTTTGGAAGCAGTGAGCAGCAGAGGCCACCCAGTTGCTGTCGATGAGGGCAGCTCCACAGATGTGCCCGCCTAGGTAGAGGAGACTGGCCTGCCATGGCCACCGCTAAGGCTCAGCCCTCTGGCCTCCAAAGATCTTCCCGGTGGGCCTCCCGGAGGAATTGCCGCTGAATCTGGCCTTCTCACACACTGTGGAGACAGCCCAGCAATGAGGTGCCTGCACGAAGGACGCCAGCCAGCCCCGGGTGCCCCCAAATATCAGGATCAACAGGACTCGGGGCCACCAGGCCCCTCCTCTCACTTCACAGGAGGGACAAGTCCAAGGCTCAGGTTGAAGCCACGTGGCCCATGTGACAGCACCACCTGGATGACCCGGGAGCACACAGCCCATGGCCCCCTGTCAGGGGCGACGGCCCGTGGGGCTACGGGGTGAGCACTGGGCCCGACTTTTCCCAGGCCTCAATGCCGTTTGTGATGGCGCAGAAGCTGCCTGCTACAGAAGGGATGTACTGCTCCACTGCGCGGCCCCTAAGCGGCAGTGCCCTCCCTTCCCGGCCCAGTGTTCTCCCAGACTGAAGCGAACGAGAGACAGTCCGCGCACAATCCCGTCTGCAGTAGCATTTCCCCATCCTGGAAATGAGGGTGTGTGGGGCGCTGGACTGTAGAGGCCTGAGATCCAACCCGGCAGAGCCAGCGGGGGAGCGCCCCGCCCTCTCCCCTCCTTCCAAAGGCGCCTTCCTCCCAGGGCCCGGAGAGCCAGACCTGGCCTGGCTGGGCCCTCCTGGCGGGTGTCCTCATCGGGCGGAGGGGGACGGCCACGAGAGGCAGGCGACCTCTGCTCCTCGCTCTGTCTGGGCCACCCCTGCCCGCTCACCTGCAGAGAGGGACGAGGTGGACTAGACGCGCAGCGGCAGGAGGATTGGCCAGAGGAGGGAGGCGGCCAGTGCGCAGTGCCCCCGCCGGCCCTGGCCTGAGCGCTCTGCCCCTGCTTCCCTCATCAGGCCGGTGGCCTGGGCGTCCCCGACGGGGCGGAGAGCGCGGGGCGTGGCCAACCGCGGGGCTCCAGGAAAACGCCTGCGTCCATCAGGATGCTGGGACTGGATCTCGCGCGGCGGGTGCGGGGAGCCCAGGTCGGTAGGAGGCAGGGGTCGCTGGAAACCCCCAGAGCATCACAGGGCCCCTCCCTCCAGGAAGTCCACTGTGCAGGGGAGACATGAAGGCAACTATGGCCCAAGCCCAGAAATATACAGTAATGATGAGAGGGCAAGTGCTTACATCACGTCATCAAGCATTTCCAGCTTGCTTTCCGAGTTCAACCCACTCCTCCATAAGGACGCCGGCTCAAGGGATTAGGTCAGGCCCACTAGGGACAATACAATATCCTTTTCTTAAACTCCAGCATACAACAGTCACGAGAGGGCTGTGCCATCTCAGTCACAGGTCCCTCCACACTCAACAGGAGGGTCATAGACAACAGCTGAGTGGCAGCGAGTCATCTTAGAATTCTACCTAACACAGCCCAACCTCCGGCCTCCAGTGACGCATGTCCCTCCCAATCCCCAAAATGCATTCAGCATACCTCAAGGTTACCAAGAGCCTCATCCTGTTACTGGAAAGGGGCCGATTCAGACATCAAGACAGGATTCTTGGATCTTGCAGAAGAAAGAGTTCGGGCGGGTCCATAAAGTGAAAGCAAGTTTATTAAGAAAGTAAAAGAATAAAAGAATGGCTACCCCATAGGCAGAGCAGTCCTGAGGGCTGCTGGTTGCCCATTTTTATGGTTATTTCTTGATTATATGCTAAACAAGGGGTGGATTATTCATGGGTTTTCAGGGAAAGGGATGGACAATTAACAGAACTGAGAGTTCCTCCCCCTTTTAGACCATGTAAGGTAACTTCCTGACCTTGCCGTGAACTGTCATGGCACTGGTGGGAGTGTCTCTTAGCATGCTAATGTATTATAACTAGTATATAATGAGCATTGAGGACCACCAGAAGTCACTCTCGTTGCCATCTTGGTTTTGGTGGGTTTTGGCCGGCTTCTTTACCCCAACCTATTTTATCAACAAGATTTTTATGACTTGTATCTTTTGCCTACCTCCTATCTCATCCTGTGACTTAGAATACCTAACCTCCTGGGGGCTGGCCACGGTGACTCACACCTGCAATCCCAGCACTTTGGGAGGCCGAGGCGGGCGGATCACCTGAGGTCAGGAGCTCGAGACCAGCCTGGCCAACATGGTGAAACCCCGTCTCTACTTAAAATACAAAAATTAGCCAGGCATGGTGGCGGGTGCCTGTAAGTCCCAGCTACTGGGGAGGCTGAGGCAGGAGAATAGCTTGGACCTGGGAGGCGGAGGCTGCGGTGAGCCGAGATCACACCACTGCACTCCAGCCTGGGTGACAGAGCTAGACTTTGTCTAAAAAAAAAAAAAAAAGGCCAGGCGCGGTGGCTCACGCCTGTAATCCCAGCACTTTGGGAGGCGGAGGCAGGCAGATCACAAAGTCAGTAGATTGAGACCATCCTAGCTAACACGGTGAAACCCCGTCTCTACTAAAAAATACAAAAAAATTAGCTGGGGGTGGTGGTGGGTGCCTGTAGTCCCAGCTACTTAGGAGACTGAGGCAGGAGAATGATGTGAACCCGGGAGGCGGAGCTTGCAGTGAGCCAAGACTGCGCCACTGCACTCCAGCCTGGGCAACAGAGCGGTGAGACTCCATCTCAAAAAAAAAAAAAAAAAAAAAAAAAAAATGCTTAACCTCCTGGGAATGCAGCCCAGTAGGTCTCAACCTCATTTTACCGGCCCCTATTCAAGATGGAATTGCTCTGGTTCGAACGCTTCTGGCAATCTCATTAGAGTCTCAACTTAAAATTCAAAATCTCATCATCTAAATCTAAATAGAATTATCTCATCAGCTCAAAATCCACAATCTCATCATTTAAATACTCCAAATAGAATATGGATGAGGTTCCCAGCTGTAATCTGCTAAACACAGCCCTTGAGTACAATTCTTCCTCACCTGTGGACCTATGAAATTAAAGAAACTTCCTACCCCAACATTCTGCACATACAATGACAAGATGGGCACAGCATAATGCTCAAAAGGAAGTTGGGGGAATGGACAGTGAAAAGCAGTTACTGGTCCGTAACAGCTTTTATATCCTTCTGGACAAACTCCATTAGGTTTCAAGGCCTGGGAGAAAATTCTCTGTGGCTCTCAGCTCTGGTCATCCTTCCTTTTTTATACAAAGTAGCACGTTTGCATCCAAGTAGTTCTATTGCCTTGCTTCCCGCAAGTGGAATTCTGGGGGCCTTCTTTCATGGTGTACTTTCCCTGTCCCTGTCAGTATGAGCTGGGAATGTTCTGCTGACATAAACATCTCAAGAACCTCATAGTCCTTGTAAGTGTGTTTCACCAGTTTCACTTCATTAGATAAAGTCACATGCACAATATTTTTGAGATAGTCCCTCCTCCACCTGGGCCTCCTGCTGAGATGGCAGCGGGCTTGGGGCCCTCTGTTGTGACTATACCTCAATGTCTTGAAAGGGCCCTTTGATCGACTGACTTTTCTGACCTCTTGGTCTTTCTGGGGTCTTAGCAGAACATTATAGTGTCGACCTTTTCTCTGTGCTGTGGTTTCAGTGACCATCTCTGACTTTTAGCATCTTTTGACATCTGGAGAGGCTAAGAATTTTCAAAACCCTCCAGTCCTGGTTCCTTTTGGTTTAGCAGTTCTTGCCTCAGTTTATCTCTCTTCCTTCACATTTTGCTATAAGTAGCAAGATGAAACCAGGTAGCACCTCAAAGCGTTGCTTAGAAATCTCCTAAGCCACATGAAACTGCCTTTGCAAAATTATAACTGTAAGAGAAATCTGACATAGTTGACTCCATCTTGCTTCTGACCTCCAAGCTGTCCTTGGTCATTCCTGGGGCTAAGCCAAGCTAACTTTGAGAAGAATTTAGTTTATAGTTTAATTTGAAAGCAAGGATAATAATAGCTCCTCCCGAAAACTAATCCCTTCCTTGCTCAGGGACTGAAAACCACCTTTGGTAAGACTAACGAAAGGCCACAAGAATAGGATTATGGGAGGGGACTAAATTCTGATAAGGTAGGCATAGTTTCTATAATCCCTTACAGCTCAGGAGTCAGATGGCCAGAGGTCACAAGATTTGTGACTCTTCCAATTGCTCCTGTAGATAATGTCACTATTGTAGAACCTAAGATCGTTTTTTTTTTTTTAGATTTTTCAGACTGACCCCACCTAGACTTGTGACTCATGACTCAAATGGCCCTGTGACCCCACCCAGAGGTGGACTCAGTGCACGGGAACCATTTTCCACACCTCTATAATTTCATCCCCAACCAATCAGCTGCACTTATTCCCTAACCCCCTGTCCATCAATTGTCCATAAAATCCCCTGGCTTCTGAGCCTTCAGGGAGACCAATTTGAGTGAGAATGCCAGTTCTCCTGTGTGAGCTGGGCTTGGTCAATGAAAGTCTTTCTCTACTGCAACAGCACAGTCTCAGTAGATTGATTTTGTCTGTGCAGCAGGCAGGAAGAACCTGTCTGGTGATATGTGATTACACATATGTGCAAACAGGCCCCTGAAAGTTTGCTCCCTACACAGCAGCTGGACACAATTTCTGCTGTGACGCCACCAGGACCTACCCCGTTTCCAGTGGCATACCCCCCACCTGGTGAGCTCTCAACCATGGAAGCCTTAAATTCTAGATTTCTATGCACAGTCTATCCGAGGAAATAGAGGCTTTCCCTAAGGTAGTTTAAGTTTTTTAAATGAGGTTCCTCAAAATATTTCCAGGCCCCATCCACTGCCCAGTTCCAAAACTACCGGCATATTTTTAAATGTTTCTTACAGCAGCACCTCATTCCTGGAACCAAAATTCCTATTAGTGTTCTGTTGCCGTGCAACAAATTGCCACAAACCTCGTGGCTTAAAACAACACAAATATATGACCATGCCATGCCCATGGGTGAGGAGTCTGGCATGGCCCAACTTGGTTCTCTGCTGAAGGTCTCATGCTCAAGGTGTCGACTGGCCACAAGTTCTCTGAAGGCTCTGCAGAAGAATTTGCCTTCCAGCCCATTTAGGTTGTTGGCAAAATTCCGTTTCTTGCAGTTGAATGACTGAGGCACTCATTTGCTTGTTGGGAGCCACTGTCGACTCCTGTAGGCCACTTGGCTGCTTCCCACAGGCCCTCTCACAATACCGCAGCTTTCTCCTTCAGGGGTAGCCTCAGGATCTCTTGCATCAAATCCTTCCTAGGCTTTGAATCTTTGACTTCTCCTGTTTGTGACCTCTAGACCCAGATACAAAGGACTCCCATGATTTGGTCTGAACTTTCAAGGACATCACCCTTCCTTAATCAATAATCTCCCTTTCTTAAAGTGCTATATGGTTAACACAGTCACAAGACTGATAGCCCATTATATTCACAGTCCCTCCCACCCTTGTGGGGAGGAATTACATAGGATGTGGGTTGTTGAGGGTTAGCTTAGAATTCTCCCTACCACAGTCTCCTATGAGACAGATTCTGCTAACGCAGACACGAGATGCAGAAAAGTAAATTGATAATTTCCTTTTTTTACTTTTTTATTTTTTATTTTTTTTGAGACAGAATCTTGCTCTGTCGCCCAGGCTGGAATGCAATGGCGCAGTCTCTGCTCACTGCATCCTCCACCTCCCGGACTCAAGCCATTCTCCTGCCTCAGCCTCCCAAGTAGCTGGGATTGTAGGCACATGCCACCACGCCCAGCTATATTTTGTATTTTTCGTAGAGATGGGATTTCTCTATGTCGGCCAAGCTGGTCTAGATCTCCTGACCTCAGGTGATCCGCCCACCTCAGCCTCCCAAACTGCTGGGATTACACGCATGAGCCACTGTGCCCAGCCCTTTTTTTTTTTTTTTTTAATAGTTTCACTCTTGTAGCCCAGACTGGGGTGCAATGGTGCAATCTCGGCTCACTGCAACCTCTGCTTCCTGGGTCCTGGGTTCAAGGCTGGTCTTGAACTCCTGACCTCATGTGATCCACCTACCTCGGCCTCCTAAAGTGCTGGGATTACAGGAGTGAACCACTGCACCTGACCAATTGATGATTTCAATGTACTGTGAAAAGAACCAGAATAAACACAGGCAAAAGAGTCTCAAGTTTACACATGGAACAATGGTGTATTTCTAACTTATCTACTTTTATCTACCCTTTAAAAAATACTTGATCTTTTTATACTCTCTGAACTGTTTCTTTTCTTTGTAAATCATACATCTGATAAAAGGTTAATATACAGAATATTTTCTTTTTAAACTTCTACAACTGAACAACAAGAATCAAAGAACCCAATTCAAAAACGGGCACAGGACTTGAATAGACATTTCTTTTTTCTTCTTCTTCTTCTTTTTGAGACAGAGTTTCACTGTTGTTGCCCAGGCTGGGGTGCAGTGGTGCGATCTTGGCTCACTGCAACCTCTGCCTCCCAGGTCCAAGCTATTCTCCTGCCTCAGCCTCCTGAGTAGCTAGGATTACAGGCGCCTGCCACCACGCCCAGTTAATTTTTTTTGTATTTTTAGTTGAGACGGGGTTTCACCATGTTGGTCAGGCTTGTCTTGAACTCCTGACCTCAGGTGATCCACCTGCCTCGGCCTCCTAAAGTGCTGGGATTACAGGCGTGAGCCACTGCACCCGGCTTTGAATAGACATTTCTCTAAAGAAGATATACAAATAGCCAATAGCATATGAAAAGATGCTCAACATCACTAATCATTAGGGAAATGCAAATGAAAACAATGAGATACTACTTCACATCCCTTGGGATGACTACCATTAAAAACACAGAAAATAAAAACCGTTGTTGAGGATGTAGAGAAACCGGAACCCTGCGCACTGCTGTTGGGAATCTGAAACGGTGCAGATGCTGTGAATGCCAGTTCCTCAAACAATTGAACATCAAGTTTAAAAATAAAACTTAAACTTCACTTAAAATTTAAACGTAAAATTATGGTAGTTCCTCAAAAAATTAAACAGAATTACCCTTTGGTCAGCAATTCCACTTCGGGGTATACACCCGGAAGAATTGAAAGCAGGGTCTCAAAGCGACAATTGTCTGCCTAGAAGCATCATTCACGAAGCCCAGAGGTGGAATCAACCCAAGCGTCCATCTGTAGATGAATGGATAAATAAAATGTGGTATAAACACTCAGTGGGATAGTATTCACCCTTGAAAAGGAATGAAATTCTGATGCATAGTACAACGGCTGAACTTTAAAGACATTAAGTGAAAGAAGGCAGCCACACCAGCACAGGCACTGTGGGGCTCCACTCCCATGAGGTGCCTCGAGAGGCCAGAGTCCTAGAAACAGGAAGTAGAATGGTGGGGGCTGGAGGGAGGGGAACAGGGAGTTCGTGTTGAATGGGGACAGAGCGTCAGTTTGGGAAGATAAAAAGGTCCTGGAGACGGACGGTGGTAATGGCTGCACAACAGTGTGAATGTACCTCATGCCACTGAACTGTACACTTAAGACTGGTTAAAATGACAAATTTATGTTATGTATATTTTACCACAATTTAAAAAATACTGGAAAAAAGTAATGTGTCCCTCCCCAATATAGCCAGAGGTGTAGAGGATGAGACTGAGAATTGTATAGGGAAGCTAGAGGGGGTGGGCAACGCAAGAAGTCTGAGGGTGGCCACAGAGGAGGCGCCCGGAGTGGGGTGCGGAGGTGTCACACAGGGTGGGTGACACTGGGCGGGGCCGAAACACACTAGGCGGGTGGGTGAGGACGAAGGTGGCCTGGCCCCAGGAAGCTGCAGGAACACTGTCTTCAGGGAGGTGAAAGGGGCTTTGGAGAGCTGGGGTGCTGGAATGCACTGCTAACCATCTGGGCTGTTCCTCAGGCATCCAGGGACCACACCTCCCACACCATGTCACCTCACAATCATGCGCATTGTCAGTTTGCAGATGAGGAGCCTGAAGCCAAGGAAAACCCACCTCATGTGGGGAGCATGGGCATGGGGAGCATGGGCGTGGGCAGGCCTGCTGGCCACCTGCCCCTCTGTGTCCTGCTGCTGGTCCTAAGCACGACCCCTCTTGCCTGGCCCAAGCTGCTCCCAAGTGAGCGCAGAAGAAAGATATTGTTCAGTCTGGATACGGGACAGGGTTGCCACAGTCACAAGCTGGGTGGGCCTACAGAGTAGGAGGTTCCCAGTGACAGCCTGTAGTGCGTGAGCAGAGGTGGGACTCCAGGCAGGCTGTGGGCACCCAGTGGGGCAAGTGCCCTGAAGCCTCACAGCCACCCCTGCACTCCCCCTCACAGACGAGGTGCCAGCATCACCCAGTGGCACAGTGACCTGCAGGCAGGTTCAGGGCAGCACTGGGCCTCAGCGGAAGGGCTCTGGTGACCAATGCCCTCACGGCCTCTCTCCACAGGCTCAAGGTGCCAAGGGGCTGTGCTCTCCCATGCCATGCCCTGCATGCCAGACCAGACAGCGCCTTCCTCTTCTCATTGCATTCTCACCACCAGATGGTTTTTCCTCTGTCTGTTTTCCAGGAATAAGTTGCTCTGAGCTTGCCACGAGGTGGCAGTGTTAAACTGTTTTATAAGGGCCTAATCAGCTTGTAGGCCCGGGACCTAAAATCACAGCCCCAAACCCTGGACTGGTACCTACTGTTCCCTCCATCAGCAGCCTCAGTTTACCTGTGGCTCCCGCATCCCCTCCAAGCCATCCACACCACCCCAGACCCGCAGGAGCATCCTGTTTCTCCTCCTCCCCTCGGGAGGGAAAGTTCACTCTTTCTGGGAATCCCTTTAGCGCTCAGTGGGGACTTTCGAGTTCCCCCCTCTCTTCCTCTGTGGGTCCCCGGGTGTGCCAACCACCTTTCTCACTGTATTCATCAGTGTTCTCCAGAGGCAGAGAACTAATAGGAGATATATATATATCTCCTATATATATATATAAAATATATAAAACATTTTTATATATATATATATATATATATAAAAGGGAATTTATTGAGAATTGACTCCTTTATTAAGGAGAATTGACTCACGTGATCACAAGGTGAAGTCCCATGATAGGCCATCTGCAAGCTGAGGATCACGGAAGCCAGTAGTGGCTTAGTCTGAGTCCAAAAACCTCAAAAGTAGGGAAGCCAACAGTGCAGCCTTAAGTCTGTGGCCGAAGGCCCGAGAACCCCTGGCAAACCACTGGTGTAGGTCCGAGAGTCCAAAAGCTGAAGAACTAGGAGCCTGATATGCAAGAGCGTGAAGCATTCAGCACGGAAGAAGGATGAAGGCCAGGAGACCCAGCAAGTCAGCTTCTTCCACCTTCTTCTGCCTGCTTTTTCTAGCCACACTGGCAGCCTACTGGATGGTGCTCACCCACATTACAGGTGGGTCTTCCTCTCCCAGTCCACTGACTCAAATGTTAATCTCTGCTGGCAACACCCAGAAACAGCCAGAAACAATACTTTGCATCCTTCAATCCAATCAAGTTGACACTTAATATTAACCACTAACCACCACACTCACCTTCCCCGCTGCTCTGCAAGCACTGTTGGGGCAGAGGCCACGTCTCACTTGTGTTGCTGACGGCATGGGCAGTGGGAGATGTTGCTCTCTGAGGCCTCTGTGACTGCCTCCTCCTCCCCAGCCATGGTGATGAGGCTGGAGGAAGGCAGTGACTGCCATTCCAGAGAGATGTTGTTGCAGGATCAGGAAGAACAGAGGGGCAGGGTTGAGAGGCGCCATCTCACACTGCGCACCCCTGTGCAGGGCCTCCCGTCTGAGACTGAGGTTGGTGTCACATGGTCCCCTGATGCCTTCAGATCATCTACAGGGGCACAGACTATGTTCCATTCTATGTTGAGAGTGAGGGGTGCCGCTACCCTGCCTGCATGTTGTCTGAGAGAGGAAAGTGCTCTTATTCTTTGGACATAGTTCCAGAGGACTCGGGTCACTGGTGTTGAAGGCAAAGCATCCCTTCCCTGTCTCAGCTATATTTGAAGAAACCTTCAGTGCCTGCCTTGACAGAGCAGGTTCCAGTAAGTGGCAGGTGAAGACACCTGGAGAAGTGAGGCTGTCCACTCCTGCTGGCATCAGATGTGCTGGTGCTACAGGGATGGTGACAACAGATGGCTGTCCTACCACATGACCAGGAGGGGAACACAGCTCCTTATGCTACCTACAACGCAACACATCTAGATCCAAACAAGAACCCGCCTCCTCCTCAGTGCCGAGGGTCCACCTCCAAAGTGGTGCCTGAATGAACTTAGCAAACCTCACAGCACTTGACGGGAGACCGGCCCACCCTGTAGGGCCTAGGCTCCTCTGAGGGTCCCGTGACCACTCCAGCAGGGCCTTCTCACACGCTGCTGGGGAGTGTAGGGTGGATGCTGTGGAGGGCAACACGGCGCATCTCGTACAGCTGACCATGTGATTCCTCCTGCTAGAGAAACATCCTAGGTGAACATTCAGACTCCACCTAGCAACCTTGTCACTGCCCTGCTTGTAAGACTGGAAAAAAGCAAAAACATCCATCAAGGAGCAGCGGAGAAATAAGTGGTGAGGTGCCCAGAGAAGGGAACGCTGTAGAGCATTTTCATAGAATGAACTAGGCCTGTGAATGGCAACAGCGTTGGCCCGGAAGGTGGGATGTTGAGTGGAAAATGCCAGCAGTAGAATGAAGCAACCATACCAAATATAGAATAAATGCTATATATAGTTCAGGGACCATGTATTTGCAGCAAAAGTTCAAAAATATGGGCAGGAGGAAGATACAGTAACTTCAGGGTGGATACTGTGCAGGGAGGGAGAGAATAGGCCAGAGGATGGTGACAAAGGGGTCTGTAACTGTATGTGAGAGGCTTTGCTGTGTTAAAAAATGTATACAATATGTAATATATGTTTACATGTAAATATATTTATATCTAGTTATATGTAACATAAAACGTTATATAAAAATAATTAGAAGCAGGCCAGACGCGGTGGCTCACACCTGTAATCCCAGCTACTCGGGAGGCCGAGGCAGGAGAATCACTTGAACCAGGGTGTCGAAGGTTACAGTGAGCCGAGATTGCACCACTGCACTCCAGCCTGGCAACAGAGTGAGACTTGTCTAAAAAAAAAAAAAAGATTAATTTACAGCAAACGCTTTGTAAGCACTCTTGTATTAGCACTGTGACCTATCTGAAATATACTGAAAAGGCCGGGCACAGCGGTTCACACCTGTAATCCCAGCACTTTGGAAGCCCAAAGCAGGAGGATCACTTGAGGCCAGAAGTTTGAGGTTATAAGTCTGAGAATAGCCTGGACAACATAGTGAGACTCTGTCTCTCCAAAAAAATTTTTAAAATTAAAACCTTAGCCGTGCCTGGTGATGCATGCCTGTAGTCCCAGCTACTTGGGAGGCTGAGGCAGGAGGATCGCTTGAGCCCAGGAGGTTGGGGTTGACTCCAACCTGGGTGACAGAGTGAGACTCCATCTCTAGAAAAAAATAATTTATAGCAAACACTTTGTTCTTTTACTAGCACTGTGCAGTATTTGAAATACACTGAGAAATGCAGACCAGGATTAGCAGACACTCATGGACCCACTATCCAGGATTAGCGAATGTTCACATTTTGCCATATTTGCTTCCAATTATTATTATTATTATTATTATTATTATTATTAGAGACGGAGTCTTGCTCTGTCGCCCAGGCTGGAGTGCAGTGGTGCAATCTTGGTTCACTGCAACCTCCGCCTCCCGGGTTCAAGCGATTCTCCTGCCTCAGCCTCCCAAGTAGTTGGGATTACAGGTGCGTGCCACCACGCCCAGCTAAGTTTTGTATTTTTAGTAGAAACAGGGTTTTGCCATGTTGGCCAGGCTGGTCTTGAACTCCTGACCTCAACTGACCCACCTGCCTTGGCCTCCCAAAGTGCTGGGATTACAGGTGTGAGCCACCGCGTCTGGCCTGCTTCTAATTATTTTTATATAACGTTTTATGTTACATATAACTAGATATAAATATATTTACATGTAAACATATATTACATATTGTATACATTTTTTAACACAGCAAAGCCTCTCACATACAGTTACAGACCCCTTTGTCACCATCCTCTGGCCTATTCTCTCCCTCCCTGCACAGTATCCACCCTGAAGTTACTGTATCTTCCTCCTGCCCATATTTTTGAACTTTTGCTGCAAATACATGGTCCCTGAACTATATATAGCATTTATTCTATATTTGGTATGGTTGCTTCATTCTACTGCTGGCATTTTCCACTCAACATCCCACCTTCCGGGCCAACGCTGTTGCCATTCACAGGCCTAGTTCATTCTATGAAAATGCTCTACAGCGTTCCCTTCTCTGGGCACCTCACCACTTATTTCTCCGCTGCTCCTTGATGGATGTTTTTGCTTTTTTCCAGTCTTACAAGCAGGGCAGTGACAAGGTTGCTAGGTGGAGTCTGAATGTTCACCTAGGATGTTTCTCTAGCAGGAGGAATCACATGGTCAGCTGTACGAGATGCGCCGTGTTGCCCTCCACAGCATCCACCCTACACTCCCCAGCAGCGTGTGAGAAGGCCCTGCTGGAGTGGTCACGGGACCCTCAGAGGAGCCTAGGCCCTACAGGGTGGGCCGGTCTCCCGTCAAGTGCTGTGAGGTTTGCTAAGTTCATTCAGGCACCACTTTGGAGGTGGACCCTCGGCACTGAGGAGGAGGCGGGTTCTTGTTTGGATCTAGATGTGTTGCGTTGTAGGTAGCATAAGGAGCTGTGTTCCCCTCCTGGTCATGTGGTAGGACAGCCATCTGTTGTCACCATCCCTGTAGCACCAGCACATCTGATGCCAGCAGGAGTGGACAGCCTCACTTCTCCAGGTGTCTTCACCTGCCACTTACTGGAACCTGCTCTGTCAAGGCAGGCACTGAAGGTTTCTTCAAATATAGCTGAGACAGGGAAGGGATGCTTTGCCTTCAACACCAGTGACCCGAGTCCTCTGGAACTATGTCCAAAGAATAAGAGCACTTTCCTCTCTCAGACAACATGCAGGCAGGGTAGCGGCACCCCTCACTCTCAACATAGAATGGAACATAGTCTGTGCCCCTGTAGATGATCTGAAGGCATCAGGGGACCATGTGACACCAACCTCAGTCTCAGACGGGAGGCCCTGCACAGGGGTGCGCAGTGTGAGATGGCGCCTCTCAACCCTGCCCCTCTGTTCTTCCTGATCCTGCAACAACATCTCTCTGGAATGGCAGTCACTGCCTTCCTCCAGCCTCATCACCATGGCTGGGGAGGAGGAGGCAGTCACAGAGGCCTCAGAGAGCAACATCTCCCACTGCCCATGCCGTCAGCAACACAAGTGAGACGTGGCCTCTGCCCCAACAGTGCTTGCAGAGCAGCGGGGAAGGTGAGTGTGGTGGTTAGTGGTTAATATTAAGTGTCAACTTGATTGGATTGAAGGATGCAAAGTATTGTTTCTGGCTGTTTCTGGGTGTTGCCAGCAGAGATTAACATTTGAGTCAGTGGACTGGGAGAGGAAGACCCACCTGTAATGTGGGTGAGCACCATCCAGTAGGCTGCCAGTGTGGCTAGAAAAAGCAGGCAGAAGAAGGTGGAAGAAGCTGACTTGCTGGGTCTCCTGGCCTTCATCCTTCTTCCGTGCTGAATGCTTCACGCTCTTGCATATCAGGCTCCTAGTTCTTCAGCTTTTGGACTCTCGGACCTACACCAGTGGTTTGCCAGGGGTTCTCGGGCCTTCGGCCACAGACTTAAGGCTGCACTGTTGGCTTCCCTACTTTTGAGGTTTTTGGACTCAGACTAAGCCACTACTGGCTTCCGTGATCCTCAGCTTGCAGATGGCCTATCATGGGACTTCACCTTGTGATCACGTGAGTCAATTCTCCTTAATAAAGGAGTCAATTCTCAATAAATTCCCTTTTATATATATATATATATATATATATATAAATGTTTTATATATTTTATATATATATATAGGAGATATATATATATCTCCTATTAGTTCTCTGCCTCTGGAGAACACTGATGAATACAGTGAGAAAGGTGGTTGGCACACCCGGGGACCCACAGAGGAAGAGAGGGGGGAACTCGAAAGTCCCCACTGAGCGCTAAAGGGATTCCCAGAAAGAGTGAACTTTCCCTCCCGAGGGGAGGAGGAGAAACAGGATGCTCCTGCGGGTCTGGGGTGGTGTGGATGGCTTGGAGGGGATGCGGGAGCCACAGGTAAACTGAGGCTGCTGATGGAGGGAACAGTAGGTACCAGTCCAGGGTTTGGGGCTGTGATTTTAGGTCCCGGGCCTACAAGCTGATTAGGCCCTTATAAAACAGTTTAACACTGCCACCTCGTGGCAAGCTCAGAGCAACTTATTCCTGGAAAACAGACAGAGGAAAAACCATCTGGTGGTGAGAATGCAATGAGAAGAGGAAGGCGCTGTCTGGTCTGGCATGCAGGGCATGGCATGGGAGAGCACAGCCCCTTGGCACCTTGAGCCTGTGGAGAGAGGCCGTGAGGGCATTGGTCACCAGAGCCCTTCCGCTGAGGCCCAGTGCTGCCCTGAACCTGCCTGCAGGTCACTGTGCCACTGGGTGATGCTGGCACCTCGTCTGTGAGGGGGAGTGCAGGGGTGGCTGTGAGGCTTCAGGGCACTTGCCCCACTGGGTGCCCACAGCCTGCCTGGAGTCCCACCTCTGCTCACGCACTACAGGCTGTCACTGGGAACCTCCTACTCTGTAGGCCCACCCAGCTTGTGACTGTGGCAACCCTGTCCCGTATCCAGACTGAACAATATCTTTCTTCTGCGCTCACTTGGGAGCAGCTTGGGCCAGGCAAGAGGGGTCGTGCTTAGGACCAGCAGCAGGACACAGAGGGGCAGGTGGCCAGCAGGCCTGCCCACGCCCATGCTCCCCATGCCCATGCTCCCCACATGAGGTGGGTTTTCCTTGGCTTCAGGCTCCTCATCTGCAAACTGACAATGCGCATGATTGTGAGGTGACATGGTGTGGGAGGTGTGGTCCCTGGATGCCTGAGGAACAGCCCAGATGGTTAGCAGTGCATTCCAGCACCCCAGCTCTCCAAAGCCCCTTTCACCTCCCTGAAGACAGTGTTCCTGCAGCTTCCTGGGGCCAGGCCACCTTCGTCCTCACCCACCCGCCTAGTGTGTTTCGGCCCCGCCCAGTGTCACCCACCCTGTGTGACACCTCCGCACCCCACTCCGGGCGCCTCCTCTGTGGCCACCCTCAGACTTCTTGCGTTGCCCACCCCCTCTAGCTTCCCTATACAATTCTCAGTCTCATCCTCTACACCTCTGGCTATATTGGGGAGGGACACATTACTTTTTTCCAGTATTTTTTAAATTGTGGTAAAATATACATAACATAAATTTGTCATTTTAACCAGTCTTAAGTGTACAGTTCAGTGGCATGAGGTACATTCACACTGTTGTGCAGCCATTACCACCGTCCATCTCCAGGACCTTTTTATCTTCCCAAACTGACGCTCTGTCCCCATTCAACACGAACTCCCTGTTCCCCTCCCTCCAGCCCCCACCATTCTACTTCCTGTTTCTAGGACTCTGGCCTCTCGAGGCACCTCATGGGAGTGGAGCCCCACAGTGCCTGTGCTGGTGTGGCTGCCTTCTTTCACTTAATGTCTTTAAAGTTCAGCCGTTGTACTATGCATCAGAATTTCATTCCTTTTCAAGGGTGAATACTATCCCACTGAGTGTTTATACCACATTTTATTTATCCATTCATCTACAGATGGACGCTTGGGTTGATTCCACCTCTGGGCTTCGTGAATGATGCTTCTAGGCAGACAATTGTCGCTTTGAGACCCTGCTTTCAATTCTTCCGGGTGTATACCCCGAAGTGGAATTGCTGACCAAAGGGTAATTCTGTTTAATTTTTTGAGGAACTACCATAATTTTACGTTTAAATTTTAAGTGAAGTTTAAGTTTTATTTTTAAACTTGATGTTCAATTGTTTGAGGAACTGGCATTCACAGCATCTGCACCGTTTCAGATTCCCAACAGCAGTGCGCAGGGTTCCGGTTTCTCTACATCCTCAACAACGGTTTTTATTTTCTGTGTTTTTAATGGTAGTCATCCCAAGGGATGTGAAGTAGTATCTCATTGTTTTCATTTGCATTTCCCTAATGATTAGTGATGTTGAGCATCTTTTCATATGCTATTGGCTATTTGTATATCTTCTTTAGAGAAATGTCTATTCAAAGCCGGGTGCAGTGGCTCACGCCTGTAATCCCAGCACTTTAGGAGGCCGAGGCAGGTGGATCACCTGAGGTCAGGAGTTCAAGACAAGCCTGACCAACATGGTGAAACCCCGTCTCAACTAAAAATACAAAAAAAATTAACTGGGCGTGGTGGCAGGCGCCTGTAATCCTAGCTACTCAGGAGGCTGAGGCAGGAGAATAGCTTGGACCTGGGAGGCAGAGGTTGCAGTGAGCCAAGATCGCACCACTGCACCCCAGCCTGGGCAACAACAGTGAAACTCTGTCTCAAAAAGAAGAAGAAGAAGAAAAAAGAAATGTCTATTCAAGTCCTGTGCCCGTTTTTGAATTGGGTTCTTTGATTCTTGTTGTTCAGTTGTAGAAGTTTAAAAAGAAAATATTCTGTATATTAACCTTTTATCAGATGTATGATTTACAAAGAAAAGAAACAGTTCAGAGAGTATAAAAAGATCAAGTATTTTTTAAAGGGTAGATAAAAGTAGATAAGTTAGAAATACACCATTGTTCCATGTGTAAACTTGAGACTCTTTTGCCTGTGTTTATTCTGGTTCTTTTCACAGTACATTGAAATCATCAATTGGTCAGGTGCAGTGGTTCACTCCTGTAATCCCAGCACTTTAGGAGGCCGAGGTAGGTGGATCACATGAGGTCAGGAGTTCAAGACCAGCCTTGAACCCAGGACCCAGGAAGCAGAGGTTGCAGTGAGCCGAGATTGCACCATTGCACCCCAGTCTGGGCTACAAGAGTGAAACTATTAAAAAAAAAAAAAAAAAGGGCTGGGCACAGTGGCTCATGCGTGTAATCCCAGCAGTTTGGGAGGCTGAGGTGGGCGGATCACCTGAGGTCAGGAGATCTAGACCAGCTTGGCCGACATAGAGAAATCCCATCTCTACGAAAAATACAAAATATAGCTGGGCGTGGTGGCATGTGCCTACAATCCCAGCTACTTGGGAGGCTGAGGCAGGAGAATGGCTTGAGTCCGGGAGGTGGAGGATGCAGTGAGCAGAGACTGCGCCATTGCATTCCAGCCTGGGCGACAGAGCAAGATTCTGTCTCAAAAAAAATAAAAAATAAAAAAGTAAAAAAAGGAAATTATCAATTTACTTTTCTGCATCTCGTGTCTGCGTTAGCAGAATCTGTCTCATAGGAGACTGTGGTAGGGAGAATTCTAAGCTAACCCTCAACAACCCACATCCTATGTAATTCCTCCCCACAAGGGTGGGAGGGACTGTGAATATAATGGGCTATCAGTCTTGTGACTGTGTTAACCATATAGCACTTTAAGAAAGGGAGATTATTGATTAAGGAAGGGTGATGTCCTTGAAAGTTCAGACCAAATCATGGGAGTCCTTTGTATCTGGGTCTAGAGGTCACAAACAGGAGAAGTCAAAGATTCAAAGCCTAGGAAGGATTTGATGCAAGAGATCCTGAGGCTACCCCTGAAGGAGAAAGCTGCGGTATTGTGAGAGGGCCTGTGGGAAGCAGCCAAGTGGCCTACAGGAGTCGACAGTGGCTCCCAACAAGCAAATGAGTGCCTCAGTCATTCAACTGCAAGAAACGGAATTTTGCCAACAACCTAAATGGGCTGGAAGGCAAATTCTTCTGCAGAGCCTTCAGAGAACTTGTGGCCAGTCGACACCTTGAGCATGAGACCTTCAGCAGAGAACCAAGTTGGGCCATGCCAGACTCCTCACCCATGGGCATGGCATGGTCATATATTTGTGTTGTTTTAAGCCACGAGGTTTGTGGCAATTTGTTGCACGGCAACAGAACACTAATAGGAATTTTGGTTCCAGGAATGAGGTGCTGCTGTAAGAAACATTTAAAAATATGCCGGTAGTTTTGGAACTGGGCAGTGGATGGGGCCTGGAAATATTTTGAGGAACCTCATTTAAAAAACTTAAACTACCTTAGGGAAAGCCTCTATTTCCTCGGATAGACTGTGCATAGAAATCTAGAATTTAAGGCTTCCATGGTTGAGAGCTCACCAGGTGGGGGGTATGCCACTGGAAACGGGGTAGGTCCTGGTGGCGTCACAGCAGAAATTGTGTCCAGCTGCTGTGTAGGGAGCAAACTTTCAGGGGCCTGTTTGCACATATGTGTAATCACATATCACCAGACAGGTTCTTCCTGCCTGCTGCACAGACAAAATCAATCTACTGAGACTGTGCTGTTGCAGTAGAGAAAGACTTTCATTGACCAAGCCCAGCTCACACAGGAGAACTGGCATTCTCACTCAAATTGGTCTCCCTGAAGGCTCAGAAGCCAGGGGATTTTATGGACAATTGATGGACAGGGGGTTAGGGAATAAGTGCAGCTGATTGGTTGGGGATGAAATTATAGAGGTGTGGAAAATGGTTCCCGTGCACTGAGTCCACCTCTGGGTGGGGTCACAGGGCCATTTGAGTCATGAGTCACAAGTCTAGGTGGGGTCAGTCTGAAAAATCTAAAAAAAAAAAAACGATCTTAGGTTCTACAATAGTGACATTATCTACAGGAGCAATTGGAAGAGTCACAAATCTTGTGACCTCTGGCCATCTGACTCCTGAGCTGTAAGGGATTATAGAAACTATGCCTACCTTATCAGAATTTAGTCCCCTCCCATAATCCTATTCTTGTGGCCTTTCGTTAGTCTTACCAAAGGTGGTTTTCAGTCCCTGAGCAAGGAAGGGATTAGTTTTCGGGAGGAGCTATTATTATCCTTGCTTTCAAATTAAACTATAAACTAAATTCTTCTCAAAGTTAGCTTGGCTTAGCCCCAGGAATGACCAAGGACAGCTTGGAGGTCAGAAGCAAGATGGAGTCAACTATGTCAGATTTCTCTTACAGTTATAATTTTGCAAAGGCAGTTTCATGTGGCTTAGGAGATTTCTAAGCAACGCTTTGAGGTGCTACCTGGTTTCATCTTGCTACTTATAGCAAAATGTGAAGGAAGAGAGATAAACTGAGGCAAGAACTGCTAAACCAAAAGGAACCAGGACTGGAGGGTTTTGAAAATTCTTAGCCTCTCCAGATGTCAAAAGATGCTAAAAGTCAGAGATGGTCACTGAAACCACAGCACAGAGAAAAGGTCGACACTATAATGTTCTGCTAAGACCCCAGAAAGACCAAGAGGTCAGAAAAGTCAGTCGATCAAAGGGCCCTTTCAAGACATTGAGGTATAGTCACAACAGAGGGCCCCAAGCCCGCTGCCATCTCAGCAGGAGGCCCAGGTGGAGGAGGGACTATCTCAAAAATATTGTGCATGTGACTTTATCTAATGAAGTGAAACTGGTGAAACACACTTACAAGGACTATGAGGTTCTTGAGATGTTTATGTCAGCAGAACATTCCCAGCTCATACTGACAGGGACAGGGAAAGTACACCATGAAAGAAGGCCCCCAGAATTCCACTTGCGGGAAGCAAGGCAATAGAACTACTTGGATGCAAACGTGCTACTTTGTATAAAAAAGGAAGGATGACCAGAGCTGAGAGCCACAGAGAATTTTCTCCCAGGCCTTGAAACCTAATGGAGTTTGTCCAGAAGGATATAAAAGCTGTTACGGACCAGTAACTGCTTTTCACTGTCCATTCCCCCAACTTCCTTTTGAGCATTATGCTGTGCCCATCTTGTCATTGTATGTGCAGAATGTTGGGGTAGGAAGTTTCTTTAATTTCATAGGTCCACAGGTGAGGAAGAATTGTACTCAAGGGCTGTGTTTAGCAGATTACAGCTGGGAACCTCATCCATATTCTATTTGGAGTATTTAAATGATGAGATTGTGGATTTTGAGCTGATGAGATAATTCTATTTAGATTTAGATGATGAGATTTTGAATTTTAAGTTGAGACTCTAATGAGATTGCCAGAAGCGTTCGAACCAGAGCAATTCCATCTTGAATAGGGGCCGGTAAAATGAGGTTGAGACCTACTGGGCTGCATTCCCAGGAGGTTAAGCATTTTTTTTTTTTTTTTTTTTTTTTTTTTGAGATGGAGTCTCACCGCTCTGTTGCCCAGGCTGGAGTGCAGTGGCGCAGTCTTGGCTCACTGCAAGCTCCGCCTCCCGGGTTCACATCATTCTCCTGCCTCAGTCTCCTAAGTAGCTGGGACTACAGGCACCCACCACCACCCCCAGCTAATTTTTTTGTATTTTTTAGTAGAGACGGGGTTTCACCGTGTTAGCTAGGATGGTCTCAATCTACTGACTTTGTGATCTGCCTGCCTCCGCCTCCCAAAGTGCTGGGATTACAGGCGTGAGCCACCGCGCCTGGCCTTTTTTTTTTTTTTTTAGACAAAGTCTAGCTCTGTCACCCAGGCTGGAGTGCAGTGGTGTGATCTCGGCTCACCGCAGCCTCCGCCTCCCAGGTCCAAGCTATTCTCCTGCCTCAGCCTCCCCAGTAGCTGGGACTTACAGGCACCCGCCACCATGCCTGGCTAATTTTTGTATTTTAAGTAGAGACGGGGTTTCACCATGTTGGCCAGGCTGGTCTCGAGCTCCTGACCTCAGGTGATCCGCCCGCCTCGGCCTCCCAAAGTGCTGGGATTGCAGGTGTGAGTCACCGTGGCCAGCCCCCAGGAGGTTAGGTATTCTAAGTCACAGGATGAGATAGGAGGTAGGCAAAAGATACAAGTCATAAAAATCTTGTTGATAAAATAGGTTGGGGTAAAGAAGCCGGCCAAAACCCACCAAAACCAAGATGGCAACGAGAGTGACTTCTGGTGGTCCTCAATGCTCATTATATACTAGTTATAATACATTAGCATGCTAAGAGACACTCCCACCAGTGCCATGACAGTTCACGGCAAGGTCAGGAAGTTACCTTACATGGTCTAAAAGGGGGAGGAACTCTCAGTTCTGTTAATTGTCCATCCCTTTCCCTGAAAACCCATGAATAATCCACCCCTTGTTTAGCATATAATCAAGAAATAACCATAAAAATGGGCAACCAGCAGCCCTCAGGACTGCTCTGCCTATGGGGTAGCCATTCTTTTATTCTTTTACTTTCTTAATAAACTTGCTTTCACTTTATGGACCCGCCCGAACTCTTTCTTCTGCAAGATCCAAGAATCCTGTCTTGATGTCTGAATCGGCCCCTTTCCAGTAACAGGATGAGGCTCTTGGTAACCTTGAGGTATGCTGAATGCATTTTGGGGATTGGGAGGGACATGCGTCACTGGAGGCCGGAGGTTGGGCTGTGTTAGGTAGAATTCTAAGATGACTCGCTGCCACTCAGCTGTTGTCTATGACCCTCCTGTTGAGTGTGGAGGGACCTGTGACTGAGATGGCACAGCCCTCTCGTGACTGTTGTATGCTGGAGTTTAAGAAAAGGATATTGTATTGTCCCTAGTGGGCCTGACCTAATCCCTTGAGCCGGCGTCCTTATGGAGGAGTGGGTTGAACTCGGAAAGCAAGCTGGAAATGCTTGATGACGTGATGTAAGCACTTGCCCTCTCATCATTACTGTATATTTCTGGGCTTGGGCCATAGTTGCCTTCATGTCTCCCCTGCACAGTGGACTTCCTGGAGGGAGGGGCCCTGTGATGCTCTGGGGGTTTCCAGCGACCCCTGCCTCCTACCGACCTGGGCTCCCCGCACCCGCCGCGCGAGATCCAGTCCCAGCATCCTGATGGACGCAGGCGTTTTCCTGGAGCCCCGCGGTTGGCCACGCCCCGCGCTCTCCGCCCCGTCGGGGACGCCCAGGCCACCGGCCTGATGAGGGAAGCAGGGGCAGAGCGCTCAGGCCAGGGCCGGCGGGGGCACTGCGCACTGGCCGCCTCCCTCCTCTGGCCAATCCTCCTGCCGCTGCGCGTCTAGTCCACCTCGTCCCTCTCTGCAGGTGAGCGGGCAGGGGTGGCCCAGACAGAGCGAGGAGCAGAGGTCGCCTGCCTCTCGTGGCCGTCCCCCTCCGCCCGATGAGGACACCCGCCAGGAGGGCCCAGCCAGGCCAGGTCTGGCTCTCCGGGCCCTGGGAGGAAGGCGCCTTTGGAAGGAGGGGAGAGGGCGGGGCGCTCCCCCGCTGGCTCTGCCGGGTTGGATCTCAGGCCTCTACAGTCCAGCGCCCCACACACCCTCATTTCCAGGATGGGGAAATGCTACTGCAGACGGGATTGTGCGCGGACTGTCTCTCGTTCGCTTCAGTCTGGGAGAACACTGGGCCGGGAAGGGAGGGCACTGCCGCTTAGGGGCCGCGCAGTGGAGCAGTACATCCCTTCTGTAGCAGGCAGCTTCTGCGCCATCACAAACGGCATTGAGGCCTGGGAAAAGTCGGGCCCAGTGCTCACCCCGTAGCCCCACGGGCCGTCGCCCCTGACAGGGGGCCATGGGCTGTGTGCTCCCGGGTCATCCAGGTGGTGCTGTCACATGGGCCACGTGGCTTCAACCTGAGCCTTGGACTTGTCCCTCCTGTGAAGTGAGAGGAGGGGCCTGGTGGCCCCGAGTCCTGTTGATCCTGATATTTGGGGGCACCCGGGGCTGGCTGGCGTCCTTCGTGCAGGCACCTCATTGCTGGGCTGTCTCCACAGTGTGTGAGAAGGCCAGATTCAGCGGCAATTCCTCCGGGAGGCCCACCGGGAAGATCTTTGGAGGCCAGAGGGCTGAGCCTTAGCGGTGGCCATGGCAGGCCAGTCTCCTCTACCTAGGCGGGCACATCTGTGGAGCTGCCCTCATCGACAGCAACTGGGTGGCCTCTGCTGCTCACTGCTTCCAAAGATGCATCTTCCCTCCACGGGCCCCGCTGTGGGAGTGCATGCAAGAGGGAAGCCCAAAGTGAGGGCGCAGTCTTTTCTTTGTACGCTTTGTTCTGGGACAGTTTGCTGCCCCAGGTGTCCTGCCTTTGACCCAGCAGTGCCCTGTGCCTGGAATGCTGTCCCTGCTCGTCACTCTGCTCCAGTCTCCTGACCAACTGTGTGGCATCTCCCAAGCAGAGGCTCCTACCTCATCTCTCACTCTGGGGTTGGGCATTCCCCAACCCCACCCCACCCCACACCACATTGGTCAGCCTGCTAAGATGGTGTGGTTGCCTCATTACATTGCACATTACTTTGAAATAGCTAAATGGAGCCGGGTGTGATGGCTCACACCTGTAATCCTAGTACTTGGGAGGCTAAGGTGGGAGGATTGTATGAGTCCAGGAATTCCAGACCAGCCTGGGCAACATAGTGACACCTCATCTCTACAAAAAGTACAAAAATTAGCCGGGCCTGGTGGTGTGCGCCTGTAGTCCCAGCTACTTGGGAGGATCACTTGAGCCTGGGAGGTCAAGGCTGCAAGTGACTGTGATCACACCATTGCACTCCACCCTGGGTGACAGAATGAGACCTGTCTGAAAATAAGTAAATAATTAAAAGTAAAAATAAATAGTTAAGGCCTGTCACGGTGGCTCACACCTGTAATCCCAGCACTTTAGGAGGCCAAGGCAGGTGGATTGCTTGAGCCCAAGAGTTCAAGACCAGCCTGGGCAACATGGCAAAACCCATCTCTACTAAAAATAAAAAAATTAGCCAAGTACGATGGGGCAGGCCTGTGGTCCCTGCTACTGAGGAGGCTGAGGCAGGAGGATCACCTGAGCCCAGGGAGGTCGAGGCTGCAGTGAAATGTGGTTGTGCCACTGCACTCCAGCCTGGGCCACAAAGCCAGATCTTGTCTCAAAAATAAAATAAAATAAATAGCTAAATGAAAATTAACTCACTCTAGTTGGGACTGTCAATAAATACAGGAAAACAGACTTTCGTTCTAAAGGGAACCACTTCCAGCCCATTCTCCGTCTGCTGTAAACTTTAGGAATCAAAATCCTAATGTTCCCCTCAGGGTGAACTTTGGTTTCTGCATCTTGCCCAGCTCTAGGCCATCCACACAATCTCAGTGGGCCTCGGTTTTTCTTGTGTAAATGGTAGTGGGTGTGCAGTGTCCCAGGCCACACACTTGACACACACTTCAGGTGATAAGACAGAGTGACAGTCCCAGGGCTTCTCAGGGCCAGGCAGGCATGGTCGAGCACCTGGCCCCTTCCAACCAGGGCTCATTGCAGGCTGTCCGGGGAACACCTGCCGGAGGCTCCCCTAGGTCCTGGCTACCCACATATGCTGGCACATTCTTCCCCAGAAGGGTCCTGCGACTCTGTATGTCCAGCCACCAGGGGGTTTTTGTCACTTCTGGAGAATTATTTGCCACCGTCCCCACAGACCAGAGTGAGGGATGAAACAGATGGCCTCTGTCCCAGGAGGTGTGAGGCAGAGGGTCAAGAGACTGAGTTACTCCTCCGATGCTTCCTGGGCTCGCTGTGTGCCCAAAGGGAGTCAGGGAGGATGTCCAATTCTGAGCCAGGAAGCCAGAGCTTTGGACATAGCTGGCTGTAGCATCCTCCTCAGGTCCCACTCATTTATTCAGCATCCACAGGTGCCAGGCCTCAAGTGAGGCCCATTGTGTGGTACATAGAGATGCAAGCCCCACTCTGAGGCTTCTCATCCTGTCAGGAAAGTGAGGCGCAAGCCCAGGACCATGGTAGACCCTGTGCCAGACAGGGGCTTAGAGCAGGAGAGGCCTTGGGGGAGGTGGATGCAGCCATGTTGGGGGAGGAGAACCACACAGCCAGGACCTGTGGGTTGGAAAGTCACTCGTTTTCTGGAAACAAGAAGTTCAGTTCCATTAACTCCTCCATGTGCTTCACAAATACCTACTGAGTTCCTGTCACCAGGTGGGGCAGCCTTGGAGAAGGTGGTGTGTGAGAACCGGGGAGAAGTGGGTGGAGCATGCTGGCTAGGGAAACAGGGTCTTTGAGAATTGCTGTAGGTCATGGGGCCTTGGGAAGGTTCTGGTCAGAGCTAGGAATGAGCCAAGTCTCTTCTTTTCTGAAATGAAGGGGTGAAGTGTAATGCATCGCCAGTGTTTTCTGCACTAAGATTCTCTACTCCTTTGAGTCTGGGGCATGCTGGGAAAGCCATCAGGAATCATCCAAGGCCAAGTGTCCTGAGGCTGTAGGCCCTCAAGCTTGTGTCAAGAGCAAAGCAGGGCTATCTGACACGAGGAAGGGAGGAGACAGAAACCCCAGAGTGATGGTGGGGTCTGGGTGCCTTCCAGGTGGGCAGCCGGGGTGAGGGTGCCGGCCCAGCATTCAGAGGAGCCTCCCCACAACAGGTCCACTAACCCATCTGATTACCGGATCCTGCTTGGGTATGACCAGCAAAGCCATCCCACAGAGCACAGCAAGCAGATGACAGTGAATAAGATCATGGTGCACGCTGACTATAACGAGTTGCACCGCATGGGGAGTGACATCACCCTGCTGCAGCTGCACCGTCATGTGGAATTCAGCTCCCACATCCTCCCCGCCTGCCTTCCGGAACCAACCACGTGGCTGGCCCCTGACAGCTCCTGCTGGATATCTGGTTGGGGAATGGTCACCGAGGATGGTGAGCAGTGCAGGGCAGGCAATGCAGGTGAAGGTGCGGGAGGCCGCTTCGGGGCTCTGCCAGTCCTCCCTAGTGTCACAATTCCCCCTGGCATGGGTCAAGCGGCCTGAGCTTCTCCCACTTTTGGAGGCAGGTACTTGGGCTCTTTGACTCTGAGCCATTCAGGATTCCCTGGTTCTGAATGTTTCTGACTCCACCCTGATTACAAGGGCCTGCTGCCATCTGACCTCCTCCAGGGCCTCACCAAACTCTACTGGAGCTTCCACAGCTGTGGAAGGTGCTGGGCATCAGTAGCAAGTAAGAGCAGGCCTGCGGGTGCGGTGGCTCACGCCTGTAATCCCAGCACTTTGGGAGCCTGAGGTGGGTGGATCACGAGGTCAGAAGATCGAGACCATCCTGGCCAACATGGTGAAACCACATCTCTACTAATAAAAGAAAAAAAATATATGTATATATATTTTATACACACACACACACACACACACACACACACACACACACAGAAATTAACTGGGCATGGTGGCACTTGCCTGTAATCCCAGCTACTCAGGAGGCTGAGACAGGAGAATCGCTTGAACCTGGGAGGCGGAGGTTGCAGTGAGCCGAGATCGCACCACTGCACTCCAGCCTGGCAACAGAGTGAGACTCTGTCTCAAGAAAAAAAAGAGCAGGCCTGTCCTCCAGTCCAAGTGTTTATGGCTCAAGAACACTTATCTCTGTGAATGTGAACCTCACTGCTCACCCAGTATATTTGTCATATATTTGTATATTTGTAGACTGAGAGGGAAGAAATGTTAGGCAAAGACTCTAGCAAAAGAGTGAATGCTTTTGATTTAGGGAAATGTAATGATGAGTGCAAAAAAGTAGAATGGCAATTTGGCATTATTTGTGGGGTCATGATCTGGCAGAATATCTCAGAGGAGGCATTTGGGACAGGACTTTCTTCCATGAACAGGCCAGAGCTGGCCTCCCTGCCTTGGCCACTGAATGCCAGTCACGTGGCCCTAGTCATGAGAGCAGCCAGCCCTCCAAAGACAGCCTCCTGGGACTGTCATTCTCAAACTATTTTTTTTTTTTTTTTTGAGACGGAGTCTTGCTCTTGTTGTCCAGGCTGGAGTGGGATGGCATGATATCGGCTCACCACAACCCCCACCTCCCGGGTTCAAGCGATTCTTCTGCCTCATCCTCCTGAGTAGCTAGGATGACAGGCATGCACCACCACACCTGGCTAATTTTGTATTTTTAGTAGAGACGGGTTGCTCCATGTTGGTCAGGCTGGTTTCGAATTCCCGACCGCAGGTGATCTGCCCTCCTCGGCCTCCAAGGGACTGTCATTCTCTAAGAATCAAGGCAGAGAAGATTCTCCAGGTGGGAAAGGAGGAGCTAGGGCCTGGGGAAGTCACCAGTTAGTTGGATCAGCTACTGAGCAGAGAGCCACCGACCTTGATGAGAGATCTGGGCTCTAGTCATCCTTCTCTCTCCACACACCGGCAGCCCCCAAGGACACATGAGGCCCACACAGGGCAGGCATTGTGCAGGGGTCGGCCCCTGTCATCGCGCTGCTCCCACATGGGGACCCCAGGCCAGATCTGGGAGCGACATCTGGAAACAGAGCCCAAGTGTCCCCAGACCAGTTGCTCCTTGAGGAAGGGCCATGCCTGATTTGTCACACTGCTACACTGCTCAAACCCACCCAGCACCTGCTAGGTATGCCACCGGCCAGGCTGGCAATCCAGCTGCCACCCTCCCTGCCTCCAGCTCTGCCTCCTCTTAGCAGCCAGAGGGCTTGTTTTTGACCCTTCTATTGTGTCCCAGTGTGCTTGGAACGACACCTCCAACACCACATCCTGGCTAGGAGGGCCCCTGCTCTGGGCCCTGAGGCGGCTGCACCTCACCTTTCACCCCACGCCTGCTCCCTTGCAGCCACATTGGCCTCCCTCCTGGTTCTTCCTACTGCAGGCCCTCCCCCTTTGGCTGTCCCCTTATCTTCGTGTGCTCTCCCTGGGCCAGCAGGCTGGGGAGGGAGGGCTTCCCTCTGGCTGCAGCTGCAGTTGAGGCCCACATCTGACACCTCCTCCCACATCTGACATCTCCTCCCACATCTGACATCTCCTCCCACAGTCTTCCTGCCTGAGCCCTTCCAACTTCAGGAGGCAGAGGTCGGTGTCATGGACAACACTGTCTGCGGATCCTTTTTCCAGCCCCAGTACCCCGGCCAGCCAAGCAGCAGTGACTACACCATCCACGAGGACATGCTGTGCGCTGGGGACCTCATAACAGGAAAGGCCATTTGCCGAGTGAGTGGGCTCACTCTCTCTCCCCTGTGCTGCCCTGGGCCTCTGCCACAGGGTCTCCTCTGGACCCTGCCCCAGCCCCGACTTCTTCCTGAGCCCAGCCAAGCCTGAGGTGTCGGAGCCAGGACAGAAACTCCCAACAAGCACTGGCCCATCTGTTTTTTTTGTATCTTTTAAGAAACGTTGTTGGTAGGGTACAGTGGCTCACGTCTGTAATCCCAGCGCTTTGGGAGGTCGAGGCGGGTGGATCACCTGAGGTCAGGAGTTTGAGACCAGCCTGACCAACATGGTGAAACCCCATCTCTACTAAAAATACAAAAATCAGCCGGGCATGGTGGCACGTGCCTATAATCCCAGCTACTTGGGAGGCTGAGGCAGGAGAATCGCTTGAACCCGGGAGGCGGCAGTTGCAGTGAGCTGAGATCATGCCACCGCACTCCAGCCTGGGTGACAGAGTGAGACTCCGTCTCAAAAAAAAAAAAAAAAAAAGAAAAAAAGAAAGAAAGGAAAAAGAAACCTTATTGAAGCACACCATGCACAGGAAAGGGCAAAAGTACAAGTGTCCTGTGGAGGAATTTTCAGAGACTGACCACTCATGTACCCGGCACCCGTGGGTTTCATCCTTGCCCATTCCTGACGCTAACTCCCCCAGGATAACTCTGCCTGCTTTCTAAAGCACCATAGCTTCATGTGGGGACTTTTAGCTGAGTGAAGCCATATGGTATGCAAGCTTTTGCCTGGTCCCATCAGTCAATGTTGTGTCTGTGGGATGCATCCATCTGGCGTGCAGTCTGTATTGTTCATTTTTATTGCCGTATGCTATTCCACTGTGCAAAGACACTGCAATTTACTCATCCATTCTAGTGTGGGTGGCATTTGGGTGGTTCCCATCTGAGGCTGTTGCAAATGGAATTGCTGTGAACTTCCTGGTGTATGCATTTCAGAGCACATAGGTTCCCATTCTGGTTGGCGGTCCCCCTGGCAATGGAATTGCCTTGCCATGAGACATGCACATGTTCATCTCTCGTTGATCATCTGAGAAACTCTGCAACCTGGTTGTACCAATTTGCATTTCCACCAGCTGGTGAGTGATAGTTCAGGTTGCACCCTGTTGTTGCCAGTCCTTCAAATTGTCTGCCATTTTCATATGAACTCTTGTGTATGGTTTTTAATGTGCATTTCTCTGGTGACTGGTGAAGATAAGCCCTTTGTTATATGTTTATTGCCTCTTTTGTAAAGTGTCCGTGCAAGTTTTTTGCCAACTATGGGATTGTCTGCCTTTCATTCTGAATCATAGGAGTTCTTTATCTATTGTGGCTATGAGCCCATTATTGGATATGTTCATATATTATGAATGTCTTATCCCACTATGTGTAATCTTTTCATTTTATAGTGCGGGGAACTGAGGCCCAGAGAGGAAGTGTATCACCCAAGGTGAGGGGTCACAGCCACAGTCAAGCTTGGAGAGGCCCTGCCCTTCTTGGGAGCTGTGGGTCCCAGGAGGACTCCTGCAGGATCCTCTCCCTCTTTTTTTTTTTTTTTTTTTTTTGATACAGGGCCTTACTTTATCGCCCATGCTAGAGTGCTGTAGTGCAATCTCGGCTCACTGCAACCTCTGCCTCCTGGGTTCAAGTGATTCTCCTGCCTCAGCTTCCTGAGTAACTGGGATGCACTACCACGCCCAGCTAATTTTTATATTTTTAGTAGAGATGGGGTTTCATCATGTTAGCTGGGCTGGTCTCAAACTCCTGACCTCAAGTGATCTGCCTGCCTCAGCATCCCAAAAGTGCTGGGATTACAGGTGTGAGACACCGTGCCCGGCCTCCTCTCCCTCTGTTGCGCCTCCCTCTTTTTCTTTCTCTCTCTTTGGTCACCTCATGGTGCAGAAACATTCTTCGATGACTCTCATCACAAAATGCCCTACAGGCACCCTCCCTGCTCCCCACAACCTCCTCCCACCCCACCCATCCCAGCAGGGCTCACCCCAGGGTGCCTGCCTGTGCCCTCTCTTGCTTCCTGGGCTCCGTCCTCACCACAGCCATGCTGTCAGGCGTTGGTGCAGCATCCCCCATCAGACACTGTGGGCGGCCCCTCCTGCTCTCTGCTCTCCTCCTTGGAGGGGCCCTTCAGCCTCCTGACACCAACAGCCCACTGTGCACCACTGGGCCTGCTTCCCCTGCCTTGCCCCATTTCCTTAGACAGAGAGAAAGGGTCAGATATGGCAAGTCCCGTCTGTTGACCATTTCCCGCCAGCCTCTGCCATCCCTTCTCCTGCAGTTGTGTCCTGATGGGGCTCAGGCCAGTACCATCCTATCAGACAGAATCTGCACCAGGTCCCATGGGTTCCCTGCCCTCTGAGGAGGCTGTGGGCTGGCACAGTCAGGTCTTGCCCCTCCTTCCTGTGTTGGCTCAGAGAAGCTCTAGAATTAGAGCAGCCCTTCTGGGGTCCTTCCAGGCCGCCCCGATCCACACCCCACGTCTGCGATGTCTGTTCATGTGGAAGGTCCCTCGGGGCCTCTTCAGTGCTGTGTGCACACAGAAAGACTTGGTCATGTTGATTGCACAGATGGCAGGAGGATGCTTGTTTCCTTGGGTTTCCCTTTTTGGCCTATGGGATGCGGGTGCTCTGCCCATGATGTCAGGGACTTCCCCGCTTGGGGGCCCTGCCACACTCACAATCCCCCGCGCTCACCTGGGAACCCCTGGCACTTGCCCTACCCCCACGCTGGGCACGGGCAGCACCTCTTTTCCCCTCAGCACATCCCACAGCCTGGCATTTTCTAAAAAGCTCAACCAAGAAATGGAGGGAACACTAGAGACCTTAATAAGTGAAGGACATCTGGATTTGGGACTAGATTTAATCCCAGCACCTTGGAGGCCAAGGCGGGAAGATCACTTGATACCATCAGTTCAAGATCTGCTGGTAACATGGCAAGATCTCCATCTCCATTTTAATTTTTTAAAAAAAGTTTAAAAAAGAACAAAAATGGCCGGGCGCGGTGGCTCATGCCTGTAATCCCAGCACTTTGGGAGGCCGAGGCGGGTGGATCACGAGGTCAGGAGATCGAAACCATCCTGGCTAACATGGTGAAACCCCGTCTCTACTAAAAAGACAAAAAATTAGCTGGTGTGGTGGCGGGTGCCTGTAGTCCCAGCTACTCGGGAGACTGAGGCAGGAGAATGGGGTGAACCCAGGAAGCGGAGCTTGCAGTGAGCTGAGATCGCGTCACTGCACTCCAGCCTGGGCACAGAGCGAGTCTCTGTCTCAAAAAAAAAAAAAAAAAAAAATACTGGTGGGATGCAGTGCTTGGAGGAAGATTCAGGCCAAGGCACAGCCATTCCTCCAGGCTGGCACCCAGCCACCCTGGGGACCACAGGCAGTGCCTTCTCCCCACTGGGGTCAGGAGGGCTAGGCCTGGATGTCCATCTCCTAGAATCCCCTGCTTATTCTCATGGGTTTGTGACTGCCAGGATGGAGGCTCTGCCCAGGGTCTCCTTGGGAGCTTTGTGGAGTGAAGCTCCAGGGCCCCGTGCTCGAGATTTTGATCCAGGAGGTCCCTCCTGGGTCTGGGCTTCTAACATCGCCCAGGTGACTGATGAGCGCCACTCACTCAGACAGTGGAGACACCTGCCCCACACCTTGCTTCCCACATTCCATCCTGGAGAAGCGTAAGGTCCCCTCCTGTGCCCTGAACAATGCGTGTCCCTCCCTGTCTTGGTCCCTACCACCCATGTCCTCTCTGTTCTCAGCGAGACTCCAGGGGTCCCCTCGTCTGCCCATTAAATGGCACCTGGTTCCTGATGGGGCTGTCTAGTTGGAGCCTCGACTGCTGCTCACCCGTCGGTCCCAGGGTCTTCACCAGGCTCCCCTACTTCACCAACTGGATCAGCCAGAAGAAGAGGGAGAGCACCCCTCCAGATCCCGCCTTGGCTCCTCCTCAGGAAACACCCCCAGCCCTGGACAGCATGACCTCTCAGGGCATCGTCCACAAGCCCGGGCTCTGCGCAGCCCTTCTGGCTGCTCACATGTTCCTCCTGCTGCTGATTCTCCTGGGGAGCCTGTGAAGGGCCAGGGCCCCTGGCCTCTTACCACAAGCATGCCCACCTCAGGCCGGCCTCCTTGCTGAGCTCTGCACACTCCTGACGTGTTTCCATCTCTGAGCTCTCCTGTCCACCCAAGGCCACCCCTGCCTCAGGCCTGACAAACTAAAAACCACCCAAGAAGCTTCTGGCTCTGGTTTCTGGCCCACCAGAGCCATCTCCCATGCTCCACTGTGTCTCCAGCTCCTCAGGGAGGGAAGGTCTCCCTCCTCCCTGGGCAGGGTCCAGGCTGACCATATGGGAGCCAAGTCACTCTCCTTGGGAAGTTGGGTCGCGCAGACTCAGGCCCCATTCGGGTCCTCCAGGGCATGCAGTCTTCCAGAAAAATGGGGCCAGGGCCTCCCCACATGGAAGAAGCTGCCTGTCCTCCTGGAGCTGGGTGTTGTGCACCGGTCAGGGATGAAGCGGCATCTTCCAGGTGCGCAGGTCACAGAGGCTCTCCTCGACAGCTTGCAAGTAAACTGTGAAGGGGGCTGAGGTCTTCGGTCAGCAGTACCAGAGCTGTGTCCCATGGGTCAGCTCTCAGCTGACTGCCCCCTGTACCCGCTGCCCTGCCCTCTCCCTGCCTCCAGAAACCCAGCCCCCATCCCTGTGGCTTGCTCCAGCTTGTAGGGGTTGTGGCTTAGCTGACCCAGGACTTGCTGGTCCAGCACTGAGCCCATAAACCAGACTCTGAGTTGCCCCTGTAAACCTGTCTGAGTCAGGTTTGTATCCTAGCGAGTCAGCAGGACTCTCGAAGGGCCTCGCACCGCAGCTCTCCCGCAACCCCCAACCTGAACTCACAATAAAAAGAGGGCAGCCCCCCTTCACTGAAGGTACATTGTGCCCCAAGTGCCATCCAGGTGTTCTGTGCAAATTATTTCTAGTCCTGTTGTCACCCAGATAGCCCAGGCCCTCACCAGCAGGTGGGAACAAGTGAAGTCTCATGGGAATGATCGGCAGAATCTCTTGGTCTTGAAGCCCTCTGACACTAATGCAGAGGTTTCCTTTCCAACTCAGAGCCTTCCTTCCCTCCTTCCTGGTGAGGTGCCACTGAGCCAGACACCTATGCCCAGCACGGTATCTGGCTTTACAAGCTCAGCAGTGTCTGGAAGCGAGAAGAAAGCATTTCCTCTCCTGATGGCAAACTCAGTTATGGGGCTGCAGAGTGGGACTGCTGGGCCCTGAGGTGGGAATTAGCACTTGATCAGTTCAGATTTAGAGCATTAGCCACCGCTGTTGCCAGAACTGCCACTTTCCCTCTGCCCATGGTGGCCCCATGCTGGCTGGGCTGGAGTTCCCTCACGTGGTGACTTGTGCTTTGTCCATCAGCAGGCATGTTCCTACGTGAAGCATGGAGTTACGCAATGGCCTGCCTGTCCATGAAGTTCCTCTGGCCTCCTCCGATTCTGTGGCTGCAAATCCACACCTAGGAGCTCCGCAGGCCTGCTGGAGCACAGCGCCTGTAGGTTTCTGCGCCTGGAACCCACCTCAGGACCACAAGCCGCATTCAGTCTCTTTTTATAGATCTGGAACCCGAAGCCCAGCGTGGTTAGGAACTTGTCTAAGGTCACTTGGTAGTAAATACTGGAACAGGGATTCAAACCCACATCTCCAGAGAGAGCTCAGAAGCCTTGTGCTTTCCATGAGTGCAGCTGTTTCCAGAGGCCTCCGGCCCTGTCTCACCTTCCCAGACTGCCTTGAGAGGCTCTAGCTGGCCTGTCTCTAGTGTGGCCAGATTCTATCTGGTCAGTGGCAAGGGAGGACCCCAGGCCACAATACTGACATCAGGGAACAGAACAGATCTGCAGGGCCAGTGAGTGGTGCTACGGAAAGGCTGGGAGTGGCCCCTGCGTGGTTTTCCCTAGACCCATCGTCAGGGGCTCCAGGCCTCCATGTGTTGTGCTGCACGGGCTACTGGCTCCCTCTCCAAAATCGACCCTGGGTGAGCTGTGGAGGCGAGAAGGCAGTGTGCATTTCAGAAACTAACCAAAATCAGTGAGAAAATCTTGGAGAAACTGAAGTTACCCTGGGCGGCTGTAGCTGGGAATGGAGGATGGGGCAGCCAGGAGCCAGACTTAAGAAGGCTGTTCACACTCTGCTCTTGTTGCTTGCCTCCCACACCTCGTGACAAATGCTGCCTGGTCCCGCTCAGGTGTCAGGATTGCAAGGTGGCTGTGTCAGCCAGTGTGAGGGCCCCACAAGCCACCGGTGTTGTGTGCCCTCCATCCTCCTCCTGAAACCCCCCTGGGTGGGACAGTTGCTATCCAGGGAAATGGGCCTCTTCCACTGTGATCTCCTCCAGGGCTTTCACCGGCAGGCCCGCCTGCAGGAGTGGCTTGTGGGGTGGCAGGATGCAGGAGAGAGTGAGTGAGGTGCTTCGTGCCTGGGGCCCTCTGCTCTGGGGCCACCCTCCTCGTTGACTCACTGGGAGCCTTGCTAGTGCAGACAGGGTGACCAGGAGCTGCTAAGCCCAGGGAATGCACACACGTGCACTGGAGCAGCTGCCTATCTTAAGAGTCCAATGCCCACCGAAACACAGTAGGCTGCACAGCATCCACTACTGGAAGTAGAGTTGCTGGAAAAGACAGACCAAACATACTTAATAAGCACAATAAATATCTTTTTGGATACAGAAAAATATTATTAGTAATAAGACCTAAGACAAAGAAACTACCGAAAAGAACCAAGTCAAAATATTACATATGCAAAATGTAATCGTTGAATTAAAGACCACATTACATTGAGCAAACAGGGTCAATGCAGATGAAAGAGGAAGCCAGTCGTTACTTTAAAGGTATGGCTGTCACAGTGTGGACTTTGGAGCCGGTCCACTTTAGTTGGGGTAATTTGTAGAGCATTTATTTACAAAAGTACTAATCACCCAGGTATGTTTGGGCTGAAGGCTCCGGGAAAGCCCAGGGCAGGGGCCTGGCACAGGCATCAGAAGCAGAGCTCTTGCCACCCAAGGCCCTGAGGGACCAGTGAAGTAGGAGCCGTGGGGAGAGGGTGCCTGAGAGGAGCAGGGACACTCAGCCGAGGGACACAGCCAGCCAAGGCGGCCTCACAAAGAGGATTTTCATGGAAACAAATGCCCTGACTACTTCATTCCCACATCTTCGGCTGAGGCTCCCATGGCAAGTGGAGAGAGCAGCTGCAGGTGGCCTCGGTCACTTGGGTCAGCTCTCCTGCTTAAAACAAACACAGAAATCAATAAAAGTGTTGATTGTATTATTTAAAAAAAAATCTTCGGCCAGTCGTGGTGGCTCACACCTGTAATCCCAGCACTTTGGGAGGCCAAGGTGGGCAGATCACAAGGTCAGGAGATCGAGACCATCCTGGCTAACACAGTGAAACCCCATCTCTACTAAAAATACAAAGAATTAGCCAGGTGTGGTGGCGGGCACCTGTAGTCCCAGCTACTCGGAAGGCTGAGGCAGGAGAATGGTGTGAACCTGGGAGGCGGAGGTTGCAGTGAGCTGAGATCGTGCCACTGCACTCCAGCCTGGGCGACAGAGCGAGACTCCATCTCAGAAAAAAAAAAATCTTCATAAAGACATTGGAAATGTAGAAAGAGAACGGGGATCTGCTAGGCCATGTTCTAGAGGGAAGCCTGCCATGAGAATGGTCATCACATGTCTGGGACGCACAGTGGTCTCTGCTGGGAGGGCCTTCTCAGAGCTCACAATTGGGCTGCACCTCAGCAGACCTTTGCAAAAACAGCAGAAGTCAAGGCCCAGGAGTGGAGCTGTGTTGGAGTTCTCCAGAGAAACAGAACCAATAGGATGTGTATGTATATTGTATAGTGAGACTTTTCATCTTAGGGAATTGGCTTATGAGATTACGGAGGTTGGCAGGCAGGCCAGCAGGCTAGAGACTCAAGGAGAGCTGATGGTGGATCACTTGAGCCCAGGAGTTGGAGACCAGCCTGGCCAACATGGTGAAATCCTGTCTTTACTATAATAAAAACACAAAAATTAGCCAGTCATGGTGGTGTGCGACTGCAATCCTAGCTTCTCCGGAGCCTGAGGCAGGAGAATCCCTTGAGCCCAGGAGTTTGAGGCAGCAGTGAGCTATGATCACACCACTGCACTCCACCCTGGGTGACAGAGCAAGACCCTGTCTCCTAAAAATGAAGAGTTTCCGGGAGCTCTTTCTTTGTCCCCTAATGGTAATTTTTCTTTCCATAAACACAACCACCAAAACTTCAATTTTAAAAACTTATGCTATGGTAAGAAAGACATAGTTCTATGTTTCATGTTCTAACATGAAAATGTTACAGAAGATGCTGCTTTTTAAATGTGAAAAATCGAGTTATATTGATTTTTATTTATTTTATTTATTTACAAGATTGGGAAACAGATAAAAGGAACATAAGTAATGTCTTAGTCTGTTTGGGCTGCTATAATAAAATGCCATAGGCTGGATGGCTTGTAAAGAACAGAAACGGCCGGGCTTGGTGGCTCACGCCTGTAATTCCAGCACTTTGGGAGGCCGAGGCGGGTGGATCACGAGGTCAGGAGTCCAAGACCAGCCTGGCCAACATAGTGAAACCCCATCTCTACTAAAAATATCAAAATTAGCCAGGCACGGTGGTGGGCGCCTATAGTCCCAGCTACTCGGGAGGCTGAGGCAGGAGAATGGCATGAACCTGGGAGGCGGAGCTTGCAGTGAGCCGAGATGGCACCACTGCACTCCAGCCTGGGCGACAGAGCGAGACTCTGTGTCAAAAAAAAAAAAAAAAAAGAAAAAAAGAAAAAAGGAAAAACAAAACAAAACAAAACAAAAAAAGAGAAATTTAGTTCTCACAGTTCTGGAGAAGTGAAGTCTATTTTCAAGGTGCTGGCTGATTTGGTGTCTGGTGAGGACCCACTTCCATAGATGATGCCTTCTGGCTGTGTCCTCACTTGGCAAAAGGGGTGAGGGGTCTCTCTGGGGCAAACAATTCTATTTAAATACAATGTATTTCACACATATACATGAGCCAGAAGGAAACTCAAACTATAATGTGTTTGAGTTTTTCTTGTTTTTTTTTTTTTTTTTTTTTTTACAGAGTCTCACTCTGTCGCCCGGGCTGGAGTGCAGTGGGTCAATATCCGCTCACTGCAACCTCCACCTTCCAGGTTCAAGTGATTCTCCTGCCTCAGTCTGCTGAGTAGCTGGGATTACAGGCATGTGCCACCACACCAAGCTAATGTTTGTATTTTTTTTTTTTTTTTTTTTTTGAGACGGAGTTTCGCTCTGTCGCCCAGGCTGGAGTGCAGTGGCGCGATCTCGACTCACTGCAAGCTCCGCCTCCCGGGTTCACGCCATTCTCCTGCCTCAGCCTCCCGTGTAGCTGGGACTACAGGCGCGCGCCACCATGCCCGGCTAATTTTTTTTTTGTATTTTTAGTAGAGACAGGGTTTCACCGTGTTAGCCAGGATGGTCTCGATCTCCTGACCTCGTGATCCGCCCGTCTCGGCCTCCCAAAGTGCTGGGATTACAGGCGTGAGCCACCGCGCCCGGCCTATGTTTGTATTTTTAGTAGAGATGGGGTTTCACCATGTTGGTCAGGATGGTCTTGAACTCCTGACCTCGTGATCCGCCCGTCTCAGCCTCCCAAAGGGCTGGGATTACAGGAGTGAGCGCCACCGCACCTGGCCATCTGTGTTTTTATTTATTCATGTATCTGAGACAGAGTCTCATTCTGTCTCCCAGGCTGGAGTGCAGTGGTGTGATCACGGCTCCCTGCAGCCTCTACTTCCTGGGCTCACGTGATCCTCCCTCTTCAGCCTCCCGAGTAGCTGGGACCACAGACGCGCACCACCACGCCTGGCTAATTTTTTAAGACTTTTTCGTAAGGAAGGAATCTCATTATGTTGCCCAGGCTGGTCTCGAACTCCCGGGCTCAAGTGATTCTCCTGCCTCAGCCTCTCAAAGTGCTAAGATTACAGGGGTGACCCACTGTGCCTGGCCTCATTTTATATTTATATTTACTCAAAATGACAACCTCGACGGGTTTCCTTGCAAAGGTGTGCAGAGCACAGCAAGAATTTCAACGGGTAGAGTGGGCGGACTCGGGTGGGGCGCGGCACCCCCTCCCCCATCCCCTGCGGAGCTTTTCTCAGCCTGCGCCTTCCCGCGCAGGAAGAGGACCATGTGCGGTCCTGACGCTCTTCCCTGAAGAAACCCTCATGTCGATTTTCATATTATAGTGTTTCTTGCTCACCACACAGGAATTATGGCGGGCAGGAGTGAAAGAGACAGACTTTCCACACGATAACGGCATTTCCTATTCTTGGCAACATTGTTTAAAGCAAAATATTAGACCCCAAATGGTGAAACTTGGAGGATGATTCCCCCAGCTCTGCCCAATGGCTCCTTTTTCCTGAGGTTCTCAGCAGCACTTGGCGGATGTGGCTACACCGAGGTCTGACTGCAGAAGGCAGGAACCCTGTCCTGCCTTCCAGCTATTGAGATCCTGGGAGGGCTGACTGAGGCCGCCTGTAATACCAATGGGAATGAGAGAGGGGCTGGAGTGATGCTGCAGTGGGGGAAGTTTCTTTTATTAAAAAAAAATATATTATTTAATTTTAATTTAAAAATTTTTGAGACAGGGTCTTGCTCTGTAGCTTAGGCTGGAGTGCAGCGGTGGCATCATATTATATAGTTCACTGCAGCCTCTACCTCCAGGGCTCAGTGATCCTCCTGCCTCAGCCTCCCAAAGTGTGGTGATTACAGGGGTGAGCCACTGTGTACCTGGCTGGAAGTTTTCATTTGATGCCAAAAGTGTCTGAGGGAGCAAAGACTCTGGGATGACTGAAGTCTCAGGCCTGGCAAGCACCCCACACAGGGAGGCTCAGGAACAAGGGTTAAAATGATAATTGACGTCAAACTTGTAGTGGAGGTTTACAGTCTCTCCTAGACTGCAGAAAAGGTGCCTGGGGGTTGGAATCCAGGGGCCAAACTGCAGCCCCCTGATTTCCTGTTCGCTGGCTTCCGGACCTGCTGAATTCTCCCACCTCCTCAAGCCTGGGTTTTCTACATAAGTCAAAGACCGTAAAGGTGGCTTTTCTTTCATCATGATCTATCACATGCCATGAGGGAAAAATACAAAGGTCTGCTTGGAGGTGAGATTTATTATTATTATTATTATTATTATTATTATTATTATTATTTTTTTTTTTTTTTTGAGAGGGAGTCTGGCTGTGTCGCCCAGGCTGGATGGAGTGCAGTGGCCGAGCTTGGCTCACTGCAAGCTCTGCTTCCTGGGTTCACGCCATTCTCCCACCTCAGCCTCCCGAGTAGCTAGGACTACAGGCGCCTGCCACCATGCCCGGCTAATTTTGTGCATTTTTAGTAGAGACGGGGTTTAACCATGTTAGCCAGGATGGTCTCGATCTCCTGACCTCGTGATCCGCCCACCTCGGCCTCCCAAAGTGCTGGGATTACAGGCGTGAGCCACAGCGCCTGGCCTATTATTTTTTTTTGAGACAGAGTCTAGCTTTGTCGTCCAGGCTGGAGTGCAGTGGCACAATCTCTGCTCACTGCAACCTCCGCCTCCCCGGTTCAAGCAATTCTCCTGCCTCAGCCTCTGGAGTAGCTGACATTACAGGCATTTGCCACCACACCCGGCTGATTTTTTTTTTTTTTTTTTTTGTATTTTTAGTAGAGTCGGGGTTTCACCATGTTGGCCAGGCTGGTCTCGAACTCCTGACCTTGTGATCCACCCGCCTCGGCCTCCCAAAGTGCAGGGATTACAGGCGTGAGCCACTGCACCCCGCCTGAGATTCATTATTAAATGAAGTCATTGATTCCGTGACAGATTCTGAAGCAGGGTGTGTCCGTTTAGAACCCAGTGAGCATGTTCTGGGTGGTGATGAGACTTCCCCCTAGGTTTACTGAGGTGTCCTTGCCAGAGAGTAAACCTCAGAGGCAGCAGCAGGCTGCTGAGCACAATGCTGGGTCCGAGCAGATGCTTGTTACTCATCATCCTCGTCTCGGCTCTGGGGTGTGCCCCGCCAACGAGACAGAAAGTCACCCCACCAGCATCAGGGGAGCTTTAGCAAGGACAGCCCAGAAGCAAGGCCTCAGTGGCTCCTTAGTCCATGGCGGTTCTAATGGTGTGAACAGCTCTTGCCTATTTGTTTTTAAATGTGGGTTTTATTGTTATTTAGGTAGGACAAGAATGCAGACATGGAAATGATGAAAAGATAGTTTATTATATTCATAGGGCAGGAGGACAGTCCACCCCACCCCACACAGGGCCACATGGAGAGGCACCAGGGTTGGTCAGGAAGCAAAGGGAGCAAGGGGAAAATGTACCAGGCAACTAGGGACAGCCCCTGTGCCCTGAAGCCTGCAGAAATGACTCACTAGCCAACCCTACACCATCTGCCCCTGCCTCACCTACTCCTTCCCACAGAAGCCACAGTACAGGCTCCTGCCCACAGTGCCCACTCCCTCTGCCTCCCGGCCCACCCTGGGGCTGCCCCATGTGGCCCTGCATGACACGCCTCCTGTTTCTAAGTGAGTATACACACTTTTTCCTCCTTGACATCATTTCCAGGTCTGCATTCTTACCATATCTGGTTAAAACGAATCTCATTTGAAAACGAACTGACTCGGCAAATAAATCACTCGCGAACAAACTAGTAATGTTCTCACATATGTAGTGCCAGAGTTTAGCTGTTTCAGGTAATTAACATAATTTGTATAAGGATTAGACATAGTTCTACAGTAGATCACATTTCAGATTTAATGACAATAAATTTGTTGGAGAGTCAGTGAGTTGGGATGCAACTCCACTTGTCAAATCATGGTTGCATCACAACCATAGGTTTGAGTACAGATAGAAGATCTGATAAAAATCAACAAAAGCATATAGGCTACATGGAGTAAAGAGTACTGTATATTTTGTTGTTACTTGAAATTCTGTGCTATAATGTACTTTATATCAGTAAAACTTATAATAAAGTGATATCGGCCGGGTGCAGAGGCTCAGGCCTGTAATCCCACCCAGCACTTAGGGAGGCCGAGGCGGGTGGATCACGAGGTCAGGAGATCGAGACCATCCTGGCTAACACAGTGAAACCCCGTCTCTACTAAAAATACACAAAGTTAGCCGGGCATGGTGGCGGGTGCCTGTAGTCCCAGCTACTTGGGAGGCTGAGGCAGGAGAATGGTGTGAACCCGGGAGGTGGAGTTTGCAATGAGCCGAGATCGCACCACTGCACTTCCAGCCTGGGCGACAAAGCGTGATTCCATCTCAAAAAATAAAAAATAAAAAAACAAAAACAAAAAACAAGTGATATCAGCATACTGATGCACCTGTTTTGTTTCTGGAGCGCCAGTTCTTACACACTGAGCAGCACATCCTTCCCCTGGGAGTACTGCAGACATTTCCCAGCCTAGGGCCCCACTCACTTGGCAGCACTCAGCTCCTGGGGATCCAGCTAGCTCTGTGGCCACAAACTTCCTTAGTACTGTGCTGGGGTTCTGAAGGGGTCCAGGTGCTGGCCAGATCAATGTGAGTCGAGCAGCTGTAACCATGGGAGACACAGCCCCTTGTTTTCCTTTCCCTATAACAGACAGTCCAAGTGAGATAAGTGCCTGCGCATAGAAAGCTTATCAAACTTAATTTTAAATACTCAAAACTGAATTCTGTGGAAAAGTCACTCCCAGAAACTTTTGTGGTGTGATGTATGGCTGTATGTGCCAGAGTGGCTTTGCAGACAATGGAAACTGGGAAAATATCCAGAGACTGCTTTTGAACGCTCACAGCCAGAAGAGTCGATTTGGTTCTAGGCTAGAGTGGGGAAATTGTGATGTGGCTGAAAGGAACAAGAGTGCCCCTCAGCCGGCAGGCATTCGCTGGGGCTCCGAAGTTAAACCCCAACATAGGAATGGGCTGAACATACCAGCCCTGTGCTGGTACAAGTCCTTATGCATCCCCTGCGTCTCCTCCCAGTGTCGCTGGTGAGTGGCTCCCTCGGAGAGGGGATGTGAGGACAGATTTTGCTCTTCTGGGATGTGTGGGGGATGACTGAGCCAGGGCTAAGCTGGCAAGGAAAGGGCAGCTTCTATAAACACTGCAGAATGGACACAGCTGGGGACTGCTCTGGGAAGGGAGATGCCCTCCCTCCATCCGGGTGAGCAAAGCCAGAGGTGTGAACAGGCTCTTCCCAGCAAGGGGTGCTGGCAGATAGTGGCCTAGGGGGATTTCTCTATCTCTCCTCCTCGACTGCGGGGGACAGATAAGATCTGGGACACATTTATGTGAAGCTAACAGCCATGAGCCCAGCATTGCTCTTTTCTCTCCTGAGAAGTTTCTCCTTTTTAACTGTCTCCCTGGACGCCTGGGCTGCCAAAAGAAAATGCCTTTTATCTTCAAATTCTCCTTGTCTTTTCAGAGCTAGGTACTTAAGGGCTTCTCAGTTAGTAGACAGATAAATGGTAACTTTGGCTTTCTTGCTTATAATCAAGAATCATTCCACTAGAAGGATCCATTCTAGTATTCTAGTAGAGAAATCCATAGAGCCTGATTTCTAATTTTCTAATTAAAACGTATTTATACCCTATTCATACTAATATTGAACAGTTCTCAGTTTTCCTTTTAACCACAACTGTGACCTCTCAAGTTCCATTTCCTAAGTGCACCTACTGAAAATAAGGCAGTGTCTTTTTTGCCTGCCAGTGTTGTAAAAAATAGGCATTTTGTAAACACAAATTTTATGAATAGCATATACATATTCATCAAGCTCTTAGGCTAATTTGCAAAGTTCATCACTTGTTGATTCCTACAATAAACTGAAATAAGGAAAGGTACTGCTCAGAACACACTTGAAACAACTTTGGTATAAATATATATATATTTTTGAGACGGAGTCTCGCTCTGTCGCCCAGGCTGGAGTGCAGTGGCGCAATCTCGGCTCACTGCGAGCTGCGCTTCCCGGGTTCACTCACACCATTCTGCCTCAGCCTCCCAAGTAGCTAGGACTACAGGCGCCCGCCACCACGCCCAGCTAATTTTTTTTTTTTTTTTGTATTTTTAGTAGAGACGGGGTTTCACCGTGTTAGCCAGGATGGTCTCGATCTCCTGACCTCGTGATCCGCCCACCTCGGCCTCCCAAAGTGCTGAGATTACAGGCGTGAGCCCCCGCGCCGGGTCTCAAAAAATATTAATGCCTAGAAATATTTATGTCTCAATACTTGAATAATTATTTTTCTCATGAACCAATGAACTCCAAGCCAGCCCTCTAATGAAGTTCTACTTTATTTTTCTTTAATACTCATTTGAATGTTACGTTAAATTCATATTTTCATAGCCAATAGTTGAAAAGATTGAAAATGCCAATAAACTAATTGACAATATAAAATGTAAAAGTAATTATGTCACACAGGCTCATGAACTACAGTGGATTTAAAAAGCTGAAGAGCTCAATGCAAGTGCCCTCTACCCGAAGTGTGTGCTCTTGAGGGCACATTCCGCATGGCCAAGCCTTTGTGGTGTCGCCGGGCCTGGCGTCCTCAGCTAGTGGCGCACATCCCCCTGGACTGGTTGTGGACACGACAGCCTCCTCAGATTGGGAAGCGACCTGAGAAGCGGTGCTCGGAAGACAGAGGAGGCTGGCCTGGCGCTCTTCAGGCTGAACTCTGCCTGCGTTGCCTTGCGGTGGGTTCCACAGCAGACGCTTCCCCCTTAAGGGAGATGTTGTGAAAGGAAGGTGCTAACTGTCAGGGGAAGGTGGCGGTGCCAGGCTTTCTGGCTCCAGCTTTGGCTCCTTCTCGCTGTTGTTCTGCTGTCTCTACCTACCGGTCACAGTGGTGCTGGGGACACACGTGTCCCTCTCCCAAGGATCTGGAGCCAAAGGCGCTTTCATGAAAATATTTATTACCCAATAAAAATATTCACCCAGTGCTTCAGCTTACGGTAAACTAAACACATCTATTATTTACAACATAGAAAATTAAAGGCGATGCCCAAGTCCCGGCCTTCCGCAGGGGCGCCGCTCCCGCTGGAGGACGGAAGGGACCAGGGACCGAGGGTGCGCGGGCGCATCCGGGCGCAGGAGGCGGTGCAGGAGTGCGCAGGGCAGCAAGAGTAGCAGGCTGGGCGCGCCCCCGGCGCTCGGCCCGTGAGCGTGGGAGGCCAGGAAGTCTTTCGGGTCTGGAAAAACAGAGAAACCGGAGATGTATGAAATAAAGTGTTCCGGCTCGGTTTGAGAGAGTGCAATAGAAACGCCTGCTCCCTGCCTTCTGCAGGCCCTTTTCTCCTGCGCCCTCACTAGGCTCTGTCCCTGGGACGCGCTGCAGGGTGAGGTGTGCGGAGGCCAGTCCCGGCCGGCTGCACAGAGGGAAGCCTCTAAATGTTTGTAGAACTCGGAGAGCTGAAGGAGAATTACAGTACTGTGTTTAAAGGGGGAACGAAGAACAGCCCTTCCGTCTTTTTCATTTGGCCCGTGACCTTTCAGGGAGTCCCGCTCCAGGTCATTGAGCGATGGGGCACATAGACCCGATTTAAAACAGTGCTATAGTATATAAATCAGCTCGCTTCCGTCTGCTGCAACAAAGGTTCCACTTTTCCCCAAATGAGTGCTCGAAATATTTCTTTGACGAGGGACAGCTGATAGAGCAGGAGGGTGCAGCCATCCAAAGTCTGGCTGCTGTTCTGAGGAGGCCTAGCCCTGTGAGTGGCGCCGCGCCCCATGGGACTCACCTGCCGGCCCCCTCGCCCACACCGCTGGTCATAGGAGGCCATGCCTGAACGCCTAGTCCCTGTGTCCCCTCCCCACCCCTCACAGCAGGCTTCATTCATGCTGAACCCTGAGGGTCCCTGAGCCTTGGTCTTTGTGTAGCTGGGACCCCAGCCCAGAACAGCGGAATGGGAATCTCTGGAGTGGTGGGGCTGGGCAGGGTCTTGGCTAATGCCCTGGGTGGTGGTTGCCATGTGAAGCGGACAACCTTGCAGGCATGGCAACCAGCACCACTAGAACATTCTCACAAGCGAGTCCAGGCCTGTCTTGGAGTGGGGTCAGGCTGGTAGAAGAGCATGCCCAACTACAGGGATCCTCTCCCCGGGGCCACTGAGCAAAGGCCAGCCACCTCCCTGCCCCCTGACCAGGCCTGCCCTGCCCTCTGCTATACCTCCAGGAGATGTCCTCTGGACTTGGGAACCTGGCATGAGCATGAAACTGGAAATTAACAAGGAATGATGCAGATGAACACCTGCAGCAAGAACCACTCTACACCTGTCCACAGGTAGGCTGTGGTAGCATTGGCCAGGTCAGGCTCACTCCAGGCTTGGGTGCCACCTCCCCATAGCACCCCCCACCTTGGGAGAGAGGATTGTTCCAGGGGTGCCAGAATCCCCAAACAGGAATGCTAACGTCTAGGCTCAGACGAGGCTCCAGAGAAGCTGGTGCTAAGACAGGCGCTCACAGCATGTGAAGCTATTCAGGTGAGAAAGGGGTCAGCAGTACTGGGTCCGTGCTGGCCTTCCCCTGAGGGAAGGAAACAGGAGGGCTGGACACAGGGTGTATGCTTACAGGCTCAGAGTCAGCTGGTGCCAGGACCTGTGAGAGCCATTCCAATGGCATCCCAGAGGTCTGTAGACTGGGTCTGGCCCACGGATGTTTGTTTGCTTGTTGGTTGGTTGGTGGGTTTTTGCCAGAATGGCATGTTTAAAAATGAGTTTGCAGCAGTGAGGTGAGTCTTCACCGGGCCCCATCTCACTTCCGTGTTACCTGCCCATCTCTGAAGACACCTGAGTTGGCTACATCACTGTGTCATTCCACAGACTCTGAATTTTAGAGTAGTAAACTGTCTCTTGATGCTTGTGAAAACTGATACTTGATGCTTTAGGGCCACAGTAGAAAGAACCACCCCCTTAGACTAACAAGGAGATCCTGGCTAGCTCAGGACTGCGCAAAAGTCCCTGCTACATGGAAGCTTTTCATTCTTGGACCTGCAGAGCATCAGTCAGAGCAAGGAGGGCTCTTGGTGATCCCCAGACAGAGAGTCCCTGCAGCAGCCATGCTTTTGTAGCAACATATTCTATCTTCCACATACTCTTCAAAACCATCATAATCTCCCATTAAAGGATTTAAAACATTTACTTATCTATTACTGTGCTGTTGGCTTTGGAACATGACCAAATTTTCTATATTCTATACAACACTATAAAAAAATCTTCATTTGTTTCATATTTATTCTTTCTTTTCTTTTTAAGAGACAGGGTCTCGCTCTGTCACCCAGGTTGGAGTGCAGTGGTGCAATCATAGCTCACTGTAACCTCACACTCCTAGGCTCAAGTGATCCTTTTGCCTCTCAGCCTCCCAAGTAGTTGGGACCAGAGGTGCTCGTCACCACACCTGGCTAATTTTTTGTAGAGACAGGTCTTGCTATATTGCCCAGGCCGTTCTCGAACTCCTGGCCTCAAGCAATCTTCCCACCTAAGCCTCCTAGAGTGCTGGGATTATAGGCATGAGCCACTGTACCCAGTCATATTGATAATTACTCTTATAGAAAGAGTACAAGAATGGGCCGGGCACGGTGGCTCACGCCTGTAATCCCAGCACTTTGGGAGGCTGAGGTGGGCGGATCACAAGGTCAGGAGATCGAGACCATCCTGGCTAACATGGTTAAACCCCGTCTCTACTAAAAATAAAAAATAAAAAAAGTTAGCTGGGCGTGGTGGCAGGTGCCTGTAGTCCCAGCTACTCAGGAAGCTGAGGCAGGAGAATGGCATGAACCCTGGAGGTGGAGCTTGCAGTGAGCCGAGACTGCGCCACTGCACCCCAGCCCGGGCGACAGAGTGAGACTCCATCTCAAAAAAAAAAAGACTACAGGAATGGCACAAGGTAAAGAATCAGACCCTGTTTACTATCTGTAGGAGTTGATCTCTCTGTGTCTCAGCTTCCCCAAATGTAAAAGGTGTACCTACTTCATTGGCTTTCATAAGAGTTAAATGGGATAATGGGTATATAAAGTGCCTGAAATACACTGAGGGCTCCTCTCATGCTGTAACACCCAGAAGAGCTTGCCCTATTGCAATGGCACCTGCCACGGAGGATGTTCCATCTATCATCACTGTTGTCAAACTTCAAGTCATCATAACCACCATCAGCACAGCCATCACCAGCATCACTGTAACTTGCCTTGAAGCAGGATGAATGGGTAAAAGAACACAAAGGTGTTACTGCCCTCTCTGCACCTGACAGATGACTCTGAAGGATGACTGCACTATTTTGTCTAGCTTTGATGAACAGAGGCCACATTTTCAGAGCCATTATCATTGTCCTTGGCAAATAGCAGTCCCAGCACTGGATGTTTCCAAGAATGTAAAATCATGACCAGATATCCTGGAAGTCATGACAGCTAGTCCCTTCCCCACATTCCTGCTGGGGCGGCCTAATGGCAGGTGGGAACTGACTTCATCTGTGAGGACCACACAAGCACCCCCTGTGATTCTGATGCCTGTCCATGAAATCTGTGTCCTCCTGTCTCTAGGGCATAGAGGAGCAGCTGGTGACTTCAGAGGCAGAGGCCCAGCAAAAGGAGCACACATAGAAGAGGGGGTGCTTTGGGAAAATGTGGTCTGCACGGCAGGCGGGGAGTGCTCTTCCCTGCTGGCACCATGCAGAGCTAGCTGAGGAGAAGGGAGCAGGGTGGGAAGTGGGGTTGGGGGCTGTGCCTCTATTAAGAGTGTCCCTTGACTGCTGGTCCTACCAGGGAGAGAAGAGAGGACAGGAAGGTGAAGGAGAGCTAAGCATGCATTGTGTACTCCTCCATTGTGGGCCTCCAAGAGCAAGAGGGAGGCTGGGGGAGCCGGGTTGAAGATCTTTGGGCCACTGGTGCTGCCCTCCATGCAGCCCTAGCAGGACGGCCTGAGAGCGACAGGTGGGAAGTGGGGTTGCGGGGCTGTGCTCTTTGACAGATGGAGGTGCCCAGGGCTGACTGAAGTGGAGGGAGGGGGCAGGAGAGTGGATCAGGGGCCTTGGCTTCATCAGGTGTGCCTCTGGACACTGCACCACCAGCCCACCCGGGCCTGGGAGAGGGCAGAGCTCGGGCTGGGGCCAAGAGGCTGGGCCTTCACTAGCTGTGCCCTCCATTGCTAGCCCCAGCCAGTGATCACCAAAGAGGAGAGGAGAGAAGGCACAGGATTCCAGAGGGAAATGCGGCTCCTGCCTGTGTCCCTGCTGGTCCCACAGCTGAGCAGATGGTGCTGGCCTAGTGCAGGGAAACCACCTGAGATTTACGCAGCTAACTTGTCTCCCAGCTTCCTCTCCGATTACCAGCTGGTCATCTCCTGAAATTCTGCTCACTGAAACGGACATGTGAGGACATGGTTTGGAAATCATTTTTAAACTCAGCAATCTGGATATGAGAACTTCAAAACAAAATTTAATTCACTATATGATTCCCAATGAATGCGACTTTCTTCAATGATGAATCGATCTACTTTGCTAAATGCTATGTGGCCTGGCACTGGAAGATGCACTGTGGATCGGTATGGAGGGTGAGCCGCAATGAAGGCGCAACCGCGTGCGGGGGTGAGCTGGGGACCGAATCACAGGGCCTCTTACCACAGCGGTCAGGCGTCTGGAGGGGGAGGCAGTGCAGGGCCCCGAAGATGCACCTGCAGAGGTGGCAGGCGCGGAGGGTCCAGGCTCCGTGCTCCAGGGCGCCGCATTCACTGAGAAGACGGGGACCTGCATCAATGCGGTGGCCCGCGCGCCCCTCGCCCGGCGCCCACTCCTGCGCCGCTCCCCCACCCGCGCATCCCTCCCCCGGCGCCAACTCCCGCGCCCCCCAACCCGCGCGCCCATCGCCCGGCGCCCACTCCCGCGCCCCCGCACCCGCGCGCCCCTCTCCTGACGCCTACTCCCGCGCCCCCAGACCCGCAGGTCCCTCACCCGGCGCCCACCCCCGTCCCCACCCCGCGCACCCCTGTGCCCACCTGCGCCTCTGGTCATGCTCGCAGTAGCGGCCGGTGAAGTGGGCCGGGCACACGCAGAAGCTGCCCAGCACGCAGGTACCGCCGTTCCTGCAGCAGCGCGGCCGCGCGGACGCACCTGCGGGGTCACCCGGGCGTCAGCCCCGCGCCCCCCGCGGCCCGTGGCCCTCCCCGCAGGGACGGGGCCGAACGTGGCCGCCCAGGGGAGGCAGTAAAATCAGCCTCCAGCCAAGTGTGTTTGCTCAGGTAAACCCTGCTTGTTAGGGATGTGAAACAAACTATCAGGGGTGCGGCCTGCAAGCCGGGCTTGCTCTCTCCCTTCCTTTCACATGTTAACCTCTGGCTGTGGCTTCACCTGACAGTGATTAAGCACAGGCCTCCTGGGCGGGACCACCCACGGGTGTGATGACGCCAAACCCACCGGCGAGGGGCCTCCTGGGGACGCGGTGTCTGGGAGAAGCCAAGCAAGAGTCCGCTGTTATCTTGGCTTGGGATATTTATTTTCAACACATTTAAATCACAGTTCTCTAGATCTGCAGCAAAATAACCATTGAAGAGCAAATACAACGTTTTACCAATGAAAGAGTAAAGCTTTTTAACACCTCACTAGGAACTGTCTCTAGCTTTATAGCTTTGTAAGTGCATCATCATTTGAAGATAACAAAATGCTCTCCTTGGATTTTATCCTGAATTTATCCTACATATTCTCAGGTCCTAAACTCTGAGTCCGCAGACTGAGATGACGCCCCGGATTTTGTGGGCAGCGCTGCAACTTACCCTCTCCGAAAGCCCGGGAGTAGGGGAGCGGCTCCTCCGGCCCCCAGCCCTCGGCGCTCCCAGTCACCTCTCCGAAATGACTGGAGGTCCAGTTGAGCGGTGACTGTCGGTGCTTCTGAGTGGCAACCTTGGTGACTTCCTCTCTACCGCCGTTATGTTTCTCTCTTTGATAGCCTTTAAAAAATATTGAAAATGTGAGACTGATAATGATTGAGAAACAAATATTTTATGCAATTAAAACTGAAATTATGAATAAAATGTTTCTTACTGTTTCCCAAATTGATGATCTGTAATGCCAAACTGACCGTAAACAGAAGCCTAGAATATTTAAAGAAAATCATTGAAGTTGAAAGTATCTTTAGAAGTATAAGCAGAAATTCACATACACATAAAAATACAATGCCATCATTATATATAAATATAAAATTATGTAAAATAATTATAATGAATAAGGCAATCATTTTGTAACTTGTAGGTTTTTGTTAATTTTGCTATGGCTTAGAAAGATTTTGAGACAGAAAGTGTACACCTCCTTTAATGAACAGTGGCTCATGCACTACGATTTATTCTGAGGCTCTTAAGACCCCTTCTTGGCTCTAAGATCTCATGACCTCTGTCCTTACCTGACATGGTGCCTCCAGGTCATTTTTGGTTTGAGAGTCTCCTTCTCTTAGTGCATTGAAGATCAGTTTCCAGGAAAGCTGAATCTGAAGAGTCTCTGCATTTGAAGGTGTCTTTACTCCAGGCCCCGGGGACACAGAATGGACGAGTACAGAAGATGTGGATGTTCCCTTCCCTTCCTCAGCCAGGAGAAACGGGATGGTATCTTGAGTTCTGCAGTCCCTGAGCTAGGGTCGGGGGCGCAGTGACAGGCAGGCCCCTCCGAGCCTGAAGAACAATTCCCTCTATGAGACCTGGCTGGGGGGTGGGGACTTGGGCTGACTCCCCCCAGCAGTGTTTACAGTGCTGACAGCAGCAGGAGTGACCAATCCCTGATGTAAAACATTGGTATCCAAGGTGACGAGCCATTTTCTCACTGGAAAAAAAAAAAAATCCCAACATGAACAAAAAGCTTTCACAGGAAGGTGGAGATTTTCTACTGCATACTACTTGTACTGGGAGATGGTGAGGGGCCCTGTGGGAGAGGGAGCTCCTGTGTGGGGCACAGGCAACAGCCTGGGGTCCCAGCCGCCCTGAGTGGGGAACACGAGGATAAGGGAAAGCACGTCACCCCTGCTTTAAGAGAGGCCCCCTTACTCTGCAGATGGAGCCTCTTCTCTGTGCCCAGCAAGTGGGGGAGGGGCACTGCCCCCATTTACTATAGGACCCTCTAGGGTAGGCACTATTATTATCCCCCACGTGAAAAGAGAGAAAGGGAGGCTTAGAGAGTTTAAGTCCTTTGGCAGTTAGATCTCTGAGAAACATGAATGGCACCGATATGATGAGGAGATACCCACAGGTATTTAAGGCGAGCCCTTAGGAGCACAGGCGCAACTGCGGCGCCCGCCCATCGCCAGAGGAGCCTGCTGAATCCAAACGGAACCCAAGGAAGGAGTGATTTGGGGTATTTTCTAGCACCTTCTAAATCTGCTTTTCTAACTACCAGAATAGGGACTGAGCCCCTTTTATCAGCACTAAAGAAGACACTTTGCAACCCAGTGTTGCAAATTGTTCTGTGATTTTAATATAAAAACTCATTTCTAAAAATAGTATTCTTCCTCCAAGGCTGAAATAGTCTTTAATGGTGATTTAATTTCTTACATCTTTACGTGTGAGGTTTATTAAAGAGGCTGTTAAATAAAGCAATAGGAAATTGGAGGACCGGGCTACCCTGGGGGGCCTCCCAGCAATGGGTCCTGTGGGCTGCAAGGACCAGGTCAAGGCCAGCAGACCCGAGTGGGCAGAGCACATGGAGGAAGGTGCCCCAGGACTTCATCAAGCATCTGTAAGTGCTGTAAGTCATGAGACAAACACCTTGTTAATTTTGTTTTTTAGAGGCAAAGTGTCACTCTGTCAGCCAGGCTGGAGTGCAGTGGGCGATCATAGCTCACCACATCCTCGAACTTCTGGGCTTAAGTGATCCTCCTACCCCAGCCTCTGAGTGGCTAGGACTACAGGCTCGCGCCCCTATGCCCAGCTAATTTTTTTTTTATTTTGTAGAGATAGGGATCTTGCTATGTTTCCCAGGCTGTCCTCTAACTTCTGGCCTTAAGCGATCCTCCTGCCTCTGCCTCCCAAAGTGCTGGGATTACAGGCACAAACCCACCGTGTCCGGTGAAAAACACACTTTATTTTTTTGAGACGGAGTCTAGCTCTGTGGCCCAGGCTGGAGTGCAGTGGTGCAATCTCGGCTCACTGCAACCTCCGCCTCCCGGATTCACACCATTCTCCTGCCTCAGCCTCCCGAGTAGCTGGGACTACAGGCGCCCACCACCATGCCTGGCTAATTTTTTTGTATTTTTAGTAGAGACGGGGTTTCACCGTGTTAGCCAGGATGGTCTTGATCTCCTGACCTCGTGATCCACCCGCCTCGGCCTCCCAAAGTGCTGGGATTACTGGCATGAGCCACTGCGCCCGGCCGAAAAATACACTTTTAAACTCAGTGGTTACTACTGGTTAATTGCATCATTTAATTATATGTAAAAGTAAGTACATTTTATGACTTTAAGTTAATAGAATCTTTTGCATGAGCTAAATTGTTTGTATACTAAAATGAAGATGTATATAAGCTAGATGATTGTATTTTTTGTATAAATAAGTTTTAAAACTGTTCATTTTACAGAGTGATATTGAAACCAAACCTCTCTGACAATAGTAAAGCTTTAAAAGCAGCCTCTAAAATCTAACTTTCCCCCACAGTTTATTTATTAAATTTTACCTTAGTGGACATTTCCAAACATACACAAAGGCTGGTAGAATGAGCCAATAAACCCAGGTTCAACAATTAAGTATCAGCCTTTGCCAATTTTATTTCATTTGTTTCCTCCCTAACTTTTTTCTTGAAGTTTTAAAAACTCCAATACATCATGACATTTCATATGTAGAGTAAGATTTTGAAAATCTGCACTTTATAAGTGGAAACTAGGAAAAAAAAACGTCTTGCCAGCAAGACAGAACTGAGAAGCAAGAAATAGCAGTGCGACGTGCTTAAGCTGTTTGCTTAAGCTCTGCAGTCGGCTCTGAGGAGAAGGGCTGATGGCCAGGCAATAAAGCTTCTGATGACCTATTTTCGCCAAACTGTCACTTGCTCTCCACACAAAGCGGTCCCAGGTTGCCGCATTGACTCAAAGGTCTTATAAAAGGGTTTTGCATTTTACTGCAGAGGCGCTGCCCTGTTTGCCATCAAGAGGCCCAGCTGGAAGGGTTGCCTGGGAGCACTGGAAGGGAGGAGGTGGGTCCCTGCCAGGAAAGGGCCTCTTTTCTCCTTATCAGCTGTGAACAGATAAGGCTGGAGCCGACCCACCCGTCAAAACTCCAGAGGAATGTTCTGGCTCATAGAGTGTGTGGGACCGGAACCCCGTGCCAGGACTGGAGGCCCCGTCAATGTTCTCAGCACATCCATCATGAAGGAAAATGCTCTGCAACAAATTAGGTGTGAAGGGATTCTCTGAGGAGGACTTTAAAGCGATGGCTGTCCAAGTGGGCTGTCCCCGGCACCTGTGGGGAGTGAGAAACACCTTTCTCCACCCTCCTGGCTTCTTGGGTGGGGCTGCTTTCTGTCTCACACATTTTCCTCATCTAGAGATTGCATGTGAGGGGAATCATGCAGTATTTTCCTTTTGCGTCCGGCCTATGCCACGTAGCATAATGTCTTTTAGGTCCATCTGTGCTGTAGCGCACATCAGAGCTTCACTCCTTTTGTGACTGAATAATATTTCACGAACACCCATCCACCGCATTTTGTCTGTTTGTCATCTGTTGATGCATATTTGGTTTTTCTACCTTTTGGAAGAGCACAGTGAGATGGTAGCTATCCACATACCGATAAAGGAGGACTCCGGGGAACCCAAATCTGGTGACGCCTTGATTTCAGACTTCCAGCCTCCAGAACTGTGAGAGGAAATGTCTCTGTGGGTTAGGCCTCCCAGCCTGCGGCATTTGGTTAGGGCAGCCCGAGCTGACAGATACACCAGGTTTTTGTTTTTCCATGATTGTTATGTGTTATGTAATTTAGTAATTTTTGCTGCATTTAGAGTGCATTTGTACTGGTGGCTTTCTAGAATTACAGAGAGCATCTTTTACGCAGGGTCCTTACACAGACATTTTCATTCACGGGGGGACCCTGTAGACAGTCCTCAAAGGCAATGGCGTGAGTCCGGCTGATGTTCCTTTAAATCAAATGGTGAATCTGAACTGTTGTGTGGCCCTTCAGAAAGCCCAGCACAGTCTGAGATGCTCATTTTGGCCTCCAGGCAGTGACCATGCTGGACAGAACATCACCTCCGCAAGCAGTCGGGCTCCAGGACCAAACTTCATTTTCCAGATGATGCTATGCTCAGATAAGGACCTTTATTAATTATACCAATTTTTATTTAGCATAATTAGCAATGCTTTTAGTCTCTAAATCATACAAAATACCTGCCAGAAAAGATGTACTTGAACAAAACATGGTGCAGAAAGCAAAAATTCCCTGAAGTAAAAATGGAAGCTGAAAATAATGCACTTTAAGAGAGAGATGGGGGCCGGGCACGGTGGCTCACACCAGTAATCCCAACACTTTGGGAGGCTGAGGCGGGTGGATCACGAAGTCAGGAGATGGAGACCATTTTGGCTAACATGGTGAAACCCTGTCTCTACTAAAAAAAAAGTACAAAAATTAGCCAGGCATGGTGGTGGGTGCCTGTAGTCCCAGCTACTTGGGAGGCTGAGGCAGGAGAATTACTTGAACCCGGGAGGCGGGGTTGCAGTGAGCTGAGATTGCGCCACTGCACTCCAGCCTGGGTAACAGAGTGAGACTCTGTCTCAAGAAACAAACAAACAAACAAAAGCAATGAATCACATGAATCTGGGAGGCGGAGGTTGCAGTGAGCTGAGATTGTGCCACTGCACTCCAGCCTGGGTGACAGAGTGAGACTCTGTCTCAAAAAAAAAAGAGAGAGATTGGATCTTTCAGGGAGGCAGGCAGTCACGTGCTGAAGGACAGGCCTGGCGTGCAGGGGCCCTCCTGGGAGTGCAGGCTCAAGGAGGGGAATCAGCCTGTCCTCACCTCTGGGCTCAGAGCTGGGTCAGGCATCAAGACCATTTTATCTTCCCATGGCAGTGCCAGTGCTGCTGCAGAGCCCTGAGGACTGGGACACAGAGAAGCACCCTCCCTCAGGAGCTTCCCTTTCAACTGGGTGGCATTCAGGAAACAGCCAGGACCCTGCAGTGCCTGAGTGCTTTGACCAGAAGCATTTGGGCTTGGAAGGGTCTTTCCTGCCCTTTCCTCCACCCAGCCCCTACACCCTCCACTTCCAGCCTGGTGGCCTCTCCCCTGCACCAGCACATATGGCCTCCCCTAGGGTAGGAGGGAGAGGGTGAGAGAGTGGGAGTCCCCGCCTTTTGTGACCTGCTGTCTGTTAGAGGTGAGTCCAGGGCCACTCTAAGGGTGGAGGTTGCACATTGGCATGAAGGCCAGGAAGGACTCTTTGGGGCCCTGTCAGAGACTTAGCCACACCCATAGATTAAACTCGTTTTGCCATATGTGCTATTTTGTTTTTAGTGAAGAATTTTAAAGTAAATTACATACATCATGACATCTTCTTCCTGAATATTTTCATATTTAGGATGTCTGAAAAATGAGGCTGTGTTCCCACAAATCTGTATTAGATGGAACTGAATTAACAACAGTGCTCCAGAACCCTGGACCATCCAGCCTAAATTCCATTTGGGGATGAGATGCGTTTTTGCCTCAGAATCCCAAGCGGTAAGCACCATCAACCCCTCAGTTCATATCTCAATCTTCCTTTCTATTGGATTTTGTTCTCAATTTCTAACTTCTTACTAGATTATATCTCATTTAATTCTACTTGTTAAAGCTGATTTATTCTAAAATTTGATGAAGCAAAAGTCTGGATTTTGCCTCAATATAATAAGAACCACTTAATTATAAACATTGATGCAGGGCTTTGCTAACCTGCATTTTGTTCTTGGTATAGCCACATGTCTTTGGGGCCCCTTAAAAGGTAATTTTCCATATGAAGCACTTCTATATGGATCTACAATAAGAATTAACTTTAAAGTTAGTATTTTATTGGGGGATGATGCCCTGCTGATGAAACTCTGTGAATCAACCTCATTTGTTCATAGATAGCACTTGATATATAAAGAGCTTAACACTAGTCCCTCCAGACTGCACACCAATGTTCTGGATTTCACAGTGAGACTCAGAGGGTGCATGGGGGTTGTCACCTGCAGCTCTGGGATCCAGCCAGTTGGGCTGGGGCTTCCTCCCTGTTTAAATTTGAAAAGGAAACCAGTTTGGAGTAAGAAGTAGATTTTGCCTTGAAACAGCCAACCTACCAGTTTTAATGATTGACAACTGAGTTCACATAGAGAACTGAGCTCAATTTAAGAGTTAATAAAATGGGCCAGGAGTGGTGGCTCACGCCTGTAATCCCAGCACTTTGGGAGCCCGAGGCAGGCGGATCATGAGGTCAGGAGATCGAGACCATCTTGGCTAACATGGTGAAACCCCGTCTCTACTAACAATACAAAAAATTAGCTGGGCGCGGTGGCAGGTGCTTGTAGTCCCAGCTGCTTGGGAGGCTGAGGCGGGAGAATGGCGTGAACCCAGGAGGCAGAGCTTGCAGTGAGCCGAGATCGCGCCACTGCACTCCAGCCTGGACAACAGAGAGAGACTCTGTCTCAAAAAAAAACAAAAAAAAAAAAACAAAAACCAAAAAACTTAATAACATGAACAGCCTTTTTTGAGGGATAATTTCAAGGTTTTAAGATAAAAAGTAATAATCGGGCCAAGTGCAGTGGCTCACACCTGTAATCCCAGCACTATGGGAGGCCAAGGCAGGCAGATCACTTGAGGTCAGGAGTTGGAGACCAGCCTGGCCAACATGGTGAAACCCTGTTTCTACTAAAAATACAAAATTAGCCGGGCGTGGTGGCACATGCCTGTAATCCCTCCTACTCAGGAGGCTGAAGCAGGAGAATCGCTGGAACCCGGGAGGCAGAGGTTGCAGTGAGCCGAGATCATGCCATTGCACTCCAGCCGGGGCGACAAGAGCAAAACTCTGTCAAAACAAACAAACAAACAAAAAACAAACAACAACAACAAAACAAACCAGTAATAACCGTACTTTTGCATAAAATGCAGAGACAGATTTTCTTTTCTTCAGGCCCAGGTCCAATAAGGGACCCAGAGGGGCTGTGTGGAGTAGAGCTCTGCAGTTCTGAATGCCCACCCTGCTGGGAATAAGGTCATGCTTGATCCAAATGACTGCAGACCCAGCAAAGGACTCAGTTCTGATAAGACCTCAGCAATTTCCTGGGTGAATTTCAAGCCACTTCATTAATAAGTCAAAGCTTCACAATCGCAAAGATAAGGAATCGACCAAGGTGTCCATCATTGGATAAACGGATAAAGATAATGTGCCATATATACACAATGGTAAACTATTCAGCCATAAAAAGAACGAAATCATGTCTTTTGCAGCAACCTGGATGGAAATGGAAGCCATTATCTTAAGTTCTTAAGTGAAATAAGCCAGGCATAGAAAGACAAACATTGCATGTGCTCACTCATAATTGGGAGCTAAAAAATATGTATGCTGAAAGTAAGATGAGAGACAATGGAGACAAAGGGTGAAGGGGTGGCAGGGAGGAGGAGGAGGAGAAATTGGTTAATGGGTGCAATGTACATTATTCTGGTGACGGATATCCTAAAAGCCCCAACTTGGCCACTATGCAATCCATGCATGTAACAAAATTGCACATGTACCCCATGAATGTGTACAAATGAAAAAATAAGCTTCCTATTTTCACAAAGACAACAATCCCCTCATGCCACATAGTTTATTAATTGTTGACTTTGTGTTTGAGCTGCAAATAACTATTGTCACACAACTGTTTATGAACAATAGCTGCTTAGGGATTTCCTGAAATCTCTCCAGCAGGTGCACCTCTGTTGACATTGCTGCACGCTCCCACCCTCCTAATTCAGTCACCAGCACTCCTGAGAGCCTGCTCAGGCCCTGGCTCACTAAGTTAAGAAGAAAGCACCTTCCCTCTGCCAGCTCCAGTGTGAGGTGTGATAGAGGTCACATGCTGGGAGACGGAAGGAGGGGTACCTGATTTGAACAGGAAGGAGGGGTGTGTGATTTACGGCCATTCTGGCTGGAAAGAAGAAGGAAGAGTGGGAGCCTTTCAGGAAGACTGGGTGGGACTCCTGAATGTGGCAGGGGGTAGGAGGCCTTGGGGCTTGTGCCCTGTGGCTAAGTTGCAGGGTAGGCTGGGGTCCCAGCCTGGGTGGCATGAGAAGAGGGGTGGCTATGATAGCAGTGTTTGTCCTGTCTGAAACTCCTGCTGAAACTGAATCCCCAGTGTGGCAGTGTGAGAAGTTGGGTTCTTTAAGTGGCGATTGGGTCCTGAGGGCTTCATTCTCACGAATGGACTCATCCACCATGAGTTAATGGATTAGTGCATTATGATATCAATGGGACTGAAGGCTTTAAAGGAAGAAGAAGAAGAGGTAGCATCAGCATGCTCCACCTCCTTGCCATGGACTGTCCTACACTGCCTTGGGACTCTGCAGAGTCCTCACCAGCAAGAAGTTCCTCACCAGATGTGCTCCCTCGACCTTGGGAGAGAAATGAAAATTTCTTTTCTTTATCAATTACCCAGTTTCACGTTTTCTGCTATAAACAGCATATAACAGACTAAGACAGGTGCTGCTTGGGTTCAATGCTAAACACGTGATTTCTCTAACTTAGCAAATCGCCAAAAGCTAGGGTTCAGTCCAGTGTCTCTGATGCAGATTCACTGTTGGTGGCATTGGGCAAGGGCTCAGGGTAGCTGGGCAGCCTCAGCAGGGTGCAGTGCCAGGTCTCTTTCCAGAGGTGGCAGGTGTGAATGCACAGAGGTAGGGACCTCACTGGTTTTGGCAGACCGTTTAACCTCTCAGAGCTGGTTTCTTCAAGCACTACTTCAGCTAGTCTTAGACAAGAGGCTGTGGGGCTAAGCTTAGTGTGGAAGGGAGGGGAGATGAACACATCAATCATTAGTGTCCAAGAAGAGATGCGGAGGAAAGACTGTGGAAACAGAAAGCAGGGAGGACATTGTCTGCTTGGAAGAGCCAGCAAAACTGGGTGGAGGACACAGAGTGGTGGAGAGAGGGGCTGAGGTCAGCAGGTATAAGGTCAGCATGAGCAGTGTTAAAGAAAAATTACTCAACGTTACTAGCATGGCAGGTGGACTTTATTCCAGACCATTGAGGTAGGTATAGGTGGATCGAGATAGATCAGGTTCAACTCAAATACAGCATGGGCGAGGGGGAGCTGATAACCAAGGAGCAGGGTTGGGGGCAGTGGGTGGAAAATGACTAAAAGGTGATTCAGAGTTAAAGGACTCTGGCTAATCTGGCCCAATAGGATTCTTGCTGACGACAGGCCATGGTGGTCAGACTTCACCTTGGGGACGATGGAGGATGAGGAGCCTCATCAGATATGGAGGGCGATGAGGTATTGAGGGTAGGGGCTTCTTGCTAAACTGACTTACCAAGGTTCTTGGTGAAACTGAATTTTACCAGGACGTGCACAGATGGACGTAGGAGGAGGTTCGGGAGCTGGACTACCCTTTGGCCAAGCAGAGAATCTTTGTTAGCAGGAAGCTGAGGGCCCGTTGCAGGGCAGCAGAGTGATAGGTAAATAGGGGGAGCATATTCATTCATTCTCTCAACAATTAAATATTAAATACGTCTGTGCTACCAGGGATACAAAGGTAAACAAAGCAGGAAAAAAAGTTCTGCCTTTATGGCCAGTACATTCTGGTAGGAGAAGAAAGAAAATAAACAACATAAGTAAATAGTATATTAGAGGAAGAAAAATGCTATGGAGAGTAAAAAAATGAGGGCATAAAGGGACATTTGGAGTGTTTCACAGAGAAAGTGACACTCTGGCAAGACCTCCTCTGCTGAGGGAGCCAGGATGCCTGCAAAGAGTGCGCTGGGCCCAGGAAGGAGCAGGGAGTGCTGGCCCCTGCTGTAGGCCTCGCAGGCCTGCTCTCTGGTGGAGCCAGGGAGGCGCGATCTGACTTTTGAGCCTGTGTGGAGCATGAACCGCAGGGCGCAGGGTGGAGGCGGCTGCGAGGGGACCCGGAGCCTAGGTCAGGGCGGTGGAGGCTGGAAGCTTGCAAGAGTCGCAGGGATTAATGCTGGGTTGGATCTGGGTGTGAGAGAAAGAGCACACGGGGAGGACTCGGGGTTTTCCGTCCTGAGGAGCCATGAACTGAAACGGAGACTGTTTTGTTTGGAGCTGACTGTGAAGGAAGGGCGAGAGGTGGTGTCTATGAGCATCAAGTGGAAAAACGGAGGAGACGCTCCTAGCGAGGGAGAGGCCTGGGCGGGGCGCGATGAGCAGGCAGGTGGCATTTGGAGCTGCGGGAATAAATGCAACCCCAGGGAGCAGGTGTGGACAGAAAACAGAAGAGCGGCCTTGGGCAGCCAGGAGTCCCGAAATGTGCGCGGAGGAGGGGCCTTGGAGCGGGAGAGGAGTGGTCCAGGAAGCCACGTGCAGGGGGTGCTGAGGAGCAGCAGGGAGGGAGGCCCCCTGTCTTACAGCTGGGGGCTGCACTTCTCCATAGGCCATTGCTGCCGGCAGGAGCAGGTTCAGGGTAGTGCAGAGGTGGAGAGCTGAACTGGAGTAGCTCACATAGCGAGAGGGAGGAGGGGTGTTCAAGGTAAGACGAGACCACGCTTTGGAGCCATTTTGCTCTACAGGGGAACAGAGAAATGGGATGCAGCTGGAGAGCGAAGCATGAAGAGGATGTTTTAAAGATGGGCCAGGAAAAAGCACGTTTGTACAACTGACTAGAGAGGAAGAAGTGGGTGATTCAGGAGTGAGGTGGAAGGCAGAGGTGTCCTTAAGAGGTCTAGTCCGCCAGGGCAGGGGTGTGGCCATCCTTCTGCAGTAATGCAGGGAAGACACGTTGCCGTGAGGGGGCAGCCTGCAGATCTATTTTATTTATTTATTTATTTATTTATTTATTTATTTATTTATTTATGAGATGGACTTTTGCTCTTGTTGCCCAGGCTGGAGTGCAATGGCAGTATCTTGGCTCACCGCAACCTCCGCCTCTCGGGATCAAGCGATTCTCCTGCCTCAGCCTCCCAAGTAGCTGGGATTACAGGCGTGCACCACCACGCCTGGCTAATTTTGTATTTTTAGTAGAGACAAGGTTTCTCCATGTTGGTCAGGCTGGTCTCGAACTCCCGACCTCAGGTGATCCACCTGCCTCGGTCTCCCAAAGTTCTGGGATTACAGGCATGAGCCACTGCACCCAGCCAGCCTGCAGATTTATTTTAATGAGAAAATCAAAGCAAAAGCAGGGGCATAAGTGGAGCATATGGATGGGACAGAGAACGTTGGAGGCTTTAGCAGAGAGAGGAAAGGGCAGGAAGGAGTCATCCACAGGAGGGGAGAGTACTGTCCTGTGACTGCTCCTCCAAGCCCCCTCTTGCCGGCGTGGACACAGCGGTCTGCACCTTGACCCTATTGCATGCCAGTGGAGCAGAGCCCCCCAGGCCAGAAGCCCTATAGCTGTTGGCCCTGGCTTGGACACCGGGCAGGGGGCACCGGGGCAGGAGCTGGCCGCGATCCTGTGGCCCCAAATGCCCCCTCGCTGATGGCCTCGTGTTCTGGGTGCAGAGCAAAGAGGACCAGGTGTCAAAGGCACCTCAGGCAGGCGCTGGGCTCAGTGGGCATCTTGTGCTCCGGGATTTTGAGGCCATTTGCAGCCAGCTCCTCCAGCCCCAGCTCCGAGCTGCAGACGCTGCCACGCACAACAGCACCGCCAGGAGTGTCCCGGGGGCTTTCTTCAGAGGAGGCTGTCAGCATCCTCAAGTTCCAGCCGCTTAGCCCCAGTCCTGCTTCAAGAGGCTTTTTTTTCACCAGAGGCTTCTCAATGGCCTGAAAGCTCAGCTGACTCCCATGAAGTTTGCCAGGAACATAAGGCTGTCGGTGACATTCGTGGCGCCAAGATTTAAACACGCGGTTGCACGCATTGGCCACTGTCTGTGCCACATGCACTGACGCCACCTGAGATGCACACGCTGCACGCCGCACGCGCACGCCGCACGCGCACGCCGCACGCGCACGCGGCAGCGGCTTGGCTGGCTTGTAATGGCTTGCACGCGCACGCCACACGCGCATAGCGGTTTGGCTGGCCTGTAACGGCTTGCACGCGCACGCCGCACGCGCGTAATGGCTTGGCTGGCCTGTAACGGCTTGCACGCGCATGCTGCACGCGGGTAACTGCTTGGCTGGCCTGTAGCGGCTTGGCTTGGCTTTGCGTTCTTTGCTTGGCTTGGTGTTGGTCGCTTGGCCTGGTGTTCCTCCTTGGATTGACGTTTCCTCCTTGGATTGGCGTTTCCTCTCTCGCGTTCCCTTGCTAGGCTTGACCTTTTCTCTGCTGGGTTTGGCATTCCCTTGGGTGGGCTGGGTGTTTTCTTGGGGGGGGGGGGGTTGGCCCTTCCTCGGGTGGGCGTGGGCTTTCCCCGGGTGGGTGTGGGTTTTCCCTGGGTGGGGTGGGTTGGGCTTACCTGCTGGGGTTGGCAGGTTTTGGCTGGGATTGACTTTTCTCTTCAAACAGATTGGAAACCCGGAGTTACCTGCTAGTTGGTGAAACTGGTTGGTAGACGTGATCTGCTCGCTACTACCGGCCTCCCCAGGCTGTTAAAAGCAGATGGTAGCTGAGGTTGATTCAATGCCGGCTGCCTCTTCTGTGAAGAAGCCATTTGTTCTCAGGAGCAAGATGGGCAAGTGGTGCCGCCACTGCTTCCCCTGCTGCAGGGGGAGCGGCAAGAGCAACGTGGGCACTTCTGGAGACCAGGACGACTCCACTATGAAGACACTCAGGAGCAAGATGGGCAAGTGGTGCTGCCACTGCTTCCCCTGCTGCAGGGGGAGCGGCAAGAGCAACGTGGGTGCTTGGGGAGACTACGACGACAGCGCCTTCGTGGAGCCGAGATACCACGTCCGTCGAGAAGATCTGGACAAGCTCCACAGAGCTGCCTGGTGGGGTAAAGTCGCCAGAAAGGATCTGATCGTCATGCTCAGGGACACTGACGTGAACAAGCAGGACAAGCAAAAGAGGTAACCAGGCCTGGGCTGGGAGGAGGTGGGAGGTCGGGGGATGATGGGGACATACCCTCCTGGCGGGGGAGGAGGGGGACCTGGCTTTCTCACCTCCGCAGGCCTCACACCACCCTGGTTGTGGAAACCTCAGAGAGGTCAGGGCACAGGCCCCTTTATGAACAGCAACACACACAAAAAAAACTTTAGCTGATTTCCAATCAAATTATAATTTCCCTCGTAGAACACTAATAGACTGTTTTAAAGTGATTTAACTTGCAAAATTAATTAAGTCAATGCAGCAGATTATTTTTAATCTACAGATTTTAAAACAATGTTCTATACATTATAGAAAAGTGTATATTGAGAACTAAGAATGAAGCCCCATAACACATCAACTTCAGGGCTAAATATTCTTCAAATAAAATCCAGTATGGATTTTATATCAATGTACCCTATGTAAATACGTTCTTTACTGAGGAACCTTAGAAGGAAACTGAAATGGGAAGATGGTTCCTGTGCTTGAATAGGAAGATTGAATTTTCTTAAGATGTGAGCTTTTTGGCTGGGCGCGGTGGCTCATGCCTGTAATCCCAGCACTTTGGGAGGCGGGCGGATCACGAGGTCAGGAGATCGAGACCATCCTGGCTAACACGGTGAAACCCTGTCTCTACTAAAAATTATAAAAAAAATTAGCCGGGCACGGTGGCAGGTGCCTGTAGTCCCAGCTACTCAGGAGGCTGAGGCAGGAGAATGGCGTGAACTCGGGAGGCGGAGCTTGCAGTGAGCCAAGATAGTGCCACCGCACTCCAGCCTGGGAGACAGAGCGAGATTCCGTCTCAAAAAAAAAAAAAAAAAAAAAAGATGTGAGCTTTTTCTATTTATCACTTTTACATAAGCCAAATAAAAATAGCAAAGTTTTAGCGTTTTTAAATTACACATGCTGTCTTTTATTATTGTGATAAATTAATTTTTTGTAACAGAATGGAAAAAGGCTTGCTTTTCCAGATATCAAAATGTGCATGTGTTATTTATTTCCACAAATTGTTTACTAACAGCTGAAAAGACATCAATGAATAGAACAGAATAGGAAATTTAGAAATACCCAAATATATGTAAGAATTTAGCACTTGATAATGGTGATGTTTTGTATTATTTAAAAAAGATGGATTGTTCATAATTCATTTTTGGAGAAAACTAGCTAGATTTTTATGTCACAAAAATAAGAGTATAGATTAAAAATTTTAAACATACAAAAGGAGAAACATACCAGAAAAAATATAAATGCCTATTTATATACGCAGATATATATACATATATATACATATATATACACATATATACATATATATACATATGTATATATACATATATATACATATGTATATATACATATATATACATATGTATATATACATATATATGTGTGTGTATATATATACATATATATGTGTGTGTGTGTGTATATATATATATATATATATATATACTTTTTTTTTTGGTGGAGTCTCACTCTGTAGCCCAAGCTGGAGTGCAGTGGTGTGATCTCGGCTCACTGCAACCTCTGCCTCCTAGGTTCAAGCAATTCTCTGCTTCAGCCTACTGAGTAGCTGGGATTACAGGCGCCTGCCACCATGCCTGGCTAATTGTTTTGTATTTTTACTAGAGATGGGGTTTCACCATCTTGGCCAGGCAGGTCTTGAACTCCTGTCCTCGTGATCCACCCACTTTGGCCTCCCCAAGTGCTGGGGTTACAGGCGTGAGCCACCGTGCCTGGTGTATATATGCAGACATAATAAAATAAGCTCATTTTAAAATTGGGCAAAGTACTTTTTTTGCATATCTACCAGTGACCTATGCACATAGGAAAATACAGTGTTCCTGGTAGAAGAAGGAATTTAAGTTAGAAGAGGAATGAAATACTGCTTTCTATTTAAGTTAGAAGAGGAATGAAAGGCCGGGTGCAGTGGCTTACGCCTGTTATCCCAGCACTTTAGGAGGCTGAGGCGGTGGATCATGAAGTCAGGAGTTTGAGACCAGCCTGGCCAGTGTGGTGAAATCCCATCTCTACTAAAAATACAAAAAATTAGCTGGGCATGGTGGCACGCACCTGTAATCCCAGCTACTCAGGAGGCTGAAGCAAGAGAATTGCTTGAACCAGGGAGGTGGAGGTTGCAGTGAGCCGAGATCGCGCCACTACATTCCAGCCTGAGTGATAGAGTGAGACTCCATCTCAAAAAAAAAAGAAAAAAAAAAAAAAAAGGAATGAAATACTGTTTTCTATCCACAAAGTTTGTGAGGATGAAGAACAGTGGTACTTATGTAGTTGTTTAAAGTTTAAGTTGCTGCAGCTTTTCAAACAGACACTTTAGTGGTAAGAACTACATTTTAAAAATGTGTATGCTTTTTACTTATCAATTCCATTATACTGAAATATCTTTACGAAATAGATGTGTTTTTCTTAGTATTGCTTAAAATAGCAGTGTATTTAGAAGAACCCATATAAAGATTTTATGAACAAATTTCAGTGCATCCATAGGATGGAATAATATGTAACTATTGAGGGTGTCAGTAGATACAGAGATATGTCGACGTGCAAAGATGTACTTTGCTATATCAAGTGAGAAAAAAATCAGTTTGTTACACATATACACGAACAGAATCTGCTCGTGTTAGCTGAAAATCTGTAGAAAATATGATCAAACTTGTTTCTGGGGATTTGTAAGTGAAGTTTTTCCCTTTCTCTTATCTGTGATTTCTGCAATGAACATCTGAAGTTGTAGTTAAGGTTCATTACTAATGCAATAATCCTTGGGAAGAGAAGGAATATGCTTCTTGCATAGATGCAAATAATTCCTCACATTCTATTATTTATTTTTATTTCTGTGGTTGGCTATTTTCTGTGAACTTTTACCCTCTTCAGAAGAAGAGGGGTCGTGTTTACCTGTTCCTGTAGATTTTATTATATATACATTTTATTCCATAATTATCTTTTCATTATATATAGATTAACATGTAAAAAGTATGAATTAATCATTTTAGTTGAGTTATATATTTATGAAAATTAAAATAGCAAATATAAATGATTATTGCTATTGCAAATGTATTGCGCTACTCTATAGGAGTTTTCTTTAAAAATATTGAACTCCCAAGCTGTGTTCATCCATTTTTCCTATCCATTTAGTCATCAGACATAAGCCAGACACCTATTATGTGGCAGGCATATTCTACTATCTCTCAGGATCCTTCCGTCTTTGAAAACTACATGTTTTCCTGCTGGGCTTGAGCAAGCTGAGAGATTTAAAATTGGGGCATTAGGACTTAATCTCAATTGAAGCTTTTCCTCCCTCCTTTCAAACAAAAGCATTTCTGGAGGTAGAAAATAGTAATAGATAACCTTTAACTGCCCTTTTGAAAATTTATGTCTTGGGGAAAAGACTGTTTTAGTTGTTTTAAGAACTAAAATGTGGTACATAAACAGCATGGAATAATATGCAGCCATAAAAGAAGGAACGAGAGCATGTCCTTTGCAGGGACATGGATGGTGTTGAAAGCCATTATCCTTAGCAAACTAACATAGGAAGAGAAAACCAAATACAGCACGTTCTCAATTACAGGTGGGAGCTAAATGGTGAGAACACACAGATACCTAGAGGGAAGGAACACACACTGGGGCCTATCAGAGGGTGGAGGGTGGGAAGAGGGAAAGAAGCAGGAAATAGAACGAACGGGTACTGGGCTTAACACCTGGGTAATGAAATAATCTGTACAACCAACCCCCTTGGTGCACATTTACCTATGTAACAAACCTGCACATCCGGCACATGTATCCCTGAATGTAAAAGTTGAAAAAAGCTCCACAAATAGTTTCATAAATCCATTTTAAAACAACAAAATTTATAACAGTCTTAAATCCTAATATGAATGATTGGAAATATCTGATGTACATACATTGTATAAATCTAAGTGTTGACAAAAATGAGCCCATGCTATTCATTTGAATTCCAAGTTTTCTTTGACTTAAAGTTTATTGAAAACCAAAGTAAGAATTGGTTTATTTTAGAAATTTGTTTTTGTTTTCACCTCTGCTCTCTTATTCCATAGTTCTTTTAGGAACTAAAATTTATCTAAATGCTGGTCATCTGACTGGAACCGCCCCAGACCTGTTGTAACATATTCTACTTAATGTAAGACACCAGGGATTGTATGATGCCCCATTATTTTATGCCTCAATAAGAGAATTATTTAAATGCCGCAAATTATAGTAAATCATGAATTGTAAGTGGTATTTCAGTGGACACAACATGGAGACAATGATCATCTCAGAATCACTAAAATACAATGTTAGCTGTAATATTTAAAACACACCTGAAAGTGCAGGTATAATTGTATCATCTCAATTCAAATGTTGTCTTTAGTGGTATTAGTAAAAATTAAAATATCTAACAATTATTGAGCTGTTATTTGTGTTAGGAACTATTCTATATCTTTTGTGCAGAGTCTCATTTAAGCATTACAGTGGTTTCCCGTAAGAAAGCTACTATTTTCATTCCTATTTTATTGATGAGGAAACTGAGACCCCAAAAGGCTAAGCAACAGCCAGGAAGTGACAGAGCTTCAAGTAGGATTCCAGCTCAAGTTGAATGTCATCCAAGGGCTATGCTCTTTGTATTCATATAGGATGCTCTTTCATTAATACAGCGAGTAAAGAGAGATAATAAATAGTGTGCTTTTTTCATGGGAAAGTTAAATGTTTGTTTTGAAGGCAGAGTAATAGCAGGCTATTCAGTGTTTGCAATTACATGAATCATTGCTATGGCTGTAGCTAGTGCACTACAATTTCCTAAAAAGTCTTGTCACTCTCATAGGACTGCTCTACATCTGGCCTCTGCCAATGGGAATTCAGGAGTAGTAAAACTCCTGCTGGACAGACGATGTCAACTTAATGTCCTTGACAACAAAAAGAGGACAGCTCTGACAAAGGTATGCAGTAGCCAACTATATCAGCATGAGGTGGGTTTGATTTCAATACATAGCATAAAAATGAGTTTTCTCCTTTAAATATAACTTAGGTGGTGAAAGCTGTGGAATGTTATTTTGAATTCCTAGGATTTGTAATTTGTTTTTGGTCTAATACTGACAGGCCGTACAATGCCAGGAAGATGAATGTGCGTTAATGTTGCTGGAACATGGCACTGATCCAAACATTCCAGATGAGTATGGAAATACCACTCTACACTACGCTATCTACAATGAAGATAAATTAATGGCCAAAGCACTGCTCTTATACGGTGCTGATATCGAATCAAAAAACAAGGTATAGATCTACCAATTTTATCTTCAAATACTGAAATGCATTCATTTTAACATTGACCTGTGTAAGGGCCAGTCTTCCATATTTGGAAGCTCAAGCATAACCTGAATGAAAATATTTTGAAATGACCTAATTATCTAAGACTTCATTTTAAATATTGTTACTTTCAAAGAAGCATTAGAGGGTACAGTTTTTTTTTTAATGCGCTTGTGGTAAATAATTTTTTTGAAAGCACTGAATTTGTAGAAGGTAATACTTACTATTTTTCAATTTTTCCCTCCTAGGATTTTTTTCCCCTAATGAATGTAAAATGGCAAAATTTGCCCTGAAATAGGTTTTACATGAAAACTCCAAGAAAACTTAAATATGTTTCAATGAATAGAGATCCTGCCCCTTTGGCAAGTTCCTAAGAAACAGTAATAGATACGAAGGTGATGCGCCTGTCAGTGGCAAGGCTTAAGATATTTCTGATTGCTCATGAGGCAGAAGTGGAAAGCGGAAAAGAGAGCAATCAGAAATATCAAGGCCAATTTGGAAATTAGGTAATAGAGGGAAAAGACCATGAAGAGGTTGTGTGTGTGTGTGTGTTGTCGTTGTTGATTGATTTGTTCCCTTTGTATGGTGAGACAAGGTTCTCTTCAATTTTAGAGAATGACAGTTTTCAGTTTGGGAGAGGGAGTTAGTGGGTTGTAAACTGAATAGAGATCAATTTTAGGAGGCCTCTGAGGAACCAGATTGGCAGTGAATAGGTGGTAATGTAAGGGGAAACCCTTGAGCAGAGGGAATATCAAGTAATTAACTGACTTAGTATCCTATTCTGGTAGAAATGGCCAATTAGAGTCTCAGCTCTGCTTTCAAATCTAGAGTGTCTGGATGGGAAGGTGGAAGATAAATAAGTAACAAGATCAAGTTGGATTTTGAGTTGACTAGACCCTGTTCTTCTCTTACCGGGGAAAATCATGTGGTGTTTTCAGCAAATGGGTCTCTCTCCTACTCCTTACTCTTTTTGGCCAAATCTTCAAATGAGAAAGGGAATTGGTCATATGGGTGAGAAATGAGACTGAAGTAATTGTCTGTTGCACTAGCTTTCAGCTAGAATTGTGCATCCCAGTAACCTGAGGAAAATGTTTAAATAATCAACAAGTCTAGGCTTTTTCTGAATATTTTGATACAGTAAGTCTAATAAAGCCTGGATATGTATATTTGAAAATGTTTCCTTGAAGCCAGGCATGGTGGTGCATGGCTGTAGTCCCAGCTGCTAGGGAGGCTGAGGTGGGAGGATTGCTTGAGCTCAGGAGTTCGAGTCTAGCCTGGTCAACATAATGAGACCCTGTCTCTAACAACAACAACAACAACAACAACGACGACGACAACAACAACAATTTTCTCAAAATCTGGATACACTCCTGCTTAAGAACCACTCAATACATAAATGTAATATGTAAATTCTTATGTCTCAGAAACTTAAGGTATCTCTAGAAGAGTTGGGGTTGGATATGTGCTGATTTCTTTAAATCTTTCCAATAACATTAATCTGACTTTTTTTTTTTTTTTTTTTTTTTTTGAGATGGGGTCTCACTCTGTTTCCCAGGCTGGAATGCAGTGGTGTGATCACAGCTCACTGCAGCCTCGACCTCTCCAAGCTCAGATGGTCCTCCAACCTCAGTTTTTTTTATTTTATTTTATTTTTTTTATTTTTTTTTATTTTTCAGTAGAGATGAGGTTTTTGCCATGTTTCTCAGGCTGGTCTTGAACTCCTGGGCTCAAGCGATTCACCCACCTCAGCCTCCCCAAATGCTAGGATTACAGGTGTGAGCCACCATTCCTGACCTAGTCTGACTTTTATCTCTGTGGTTGAGACATTAAAATGAATATTATTGGTAGTATGTATCAGCTTACAGAATAATACCTTTTCCTTTCTACCATCAGTTATTCACTGCCATTCAGAAGGTCTTTAGAAATTTGCTGTGAGTATGGCCCTCTCAGGATTTTGTGTCTCTTTGTTCAGTCATTCAAGTACTTAGGTCAGTAAGTCGTTAAGAGCAGAGTTTTCTCAATTAGAATTGTAGCAAATTCTAAACCATTTTTTGTCAATTGACGCTGTATTATGGACTATCCAGTGTGTCTCTTAAGTATGTAGAGCTTTGGCATAATCAGCATGGCAGTTTTAAACACTAAAAACCATGGAGTTATTAAGAATACAGATAGGAATTCTGTTAATTTAGTTTCAGTAGTCCTATGAACTGATGGTTTAGTTAACAATCTGGGAAAATTAAATACAAATAGATTTTAAATAAATAAATGTTGGAAAATTTTTTCAAATGGGCAGTATGAGTTTTAATAGCAATTTTTGTTGCATGTTGGAGGTTGAACTTTTGGTAAAACATGAAACTAAAGAAATATTTTACATGCAGATTCTTGCTTTATACACAATTTGTCTTAGGGTTGAGGATATAGAGACAAAAGATACAGCCCCTGCCCTCAAGAAGCTTTTTGTTTAGATGGGAAAAATATTATCATCCAATAACACCATGCCAAATGCTGGTTTAGAAGCAAAGAGCCTTGGAAGCAGTAAATGTTTAAAGTGAGTTTTTGAGATGATTAGAGTTACTGTGGTGAGGCAGAGAAGGGGTGTTTCCAAGGGAAGGAGCAGCGTGTGGGAAAGCACAGAAGAGTGAGAAGGAAGTGACTACATTTTATTTACTTCTATGCGTGTAAGTCCATAAGATCTTATATAAAGTTTCCACTTTGGTTGAGGAATATGTACTTTTTTGAATTACATAGGTTTTTGCTTTATATTGTTTTACAGCATGGCCTCACACCACTGCTACTTGGTGTACATGAGCAAAAACAGCAAGTGGTGAAATTTTTAATCAAGAAAAAAGCGAATTTAAATGCACTGGATAGATATGGAAGGTATAGTTCTTTCTTTTAATCTGTGTTCTAGATGGATAGCAGTCACTCAAGTCATAAATATTAAATTAATAAGATTAATGTATACTTACTGGGATGTAGTGATCAGTATCAACACAAATCAGTTAGGTAGAAAAACAATTACTTGGACTGGGCAACATAAAGAACAGTTTTAGTAGGATTCGTCTTCTCATTATATTGACTGATGTTATTTGTTATGTGACGTTTTTGGTTACATGATCTTATGTTAGCTAAAGGCATTTCATATTAATTTTATGAAGTTTGAACTTTAACTTTTAGTTTACTTTATGACTCAGTATTGAACTTCTTAACCCTTTCTAATAGTTTTTAACCTCTGTGTCTTACATGCTTTTCCACTAAATATGCTGTATTAAACATAAATAGGGGTTGAAAATCCTTTTGTCTTTTCAATGACTCTGCTTTAAGTTGCTTTCTTTGAAGAATATTAATGTTAGCTTATTGCTACATGACAATTAATTGCTGTTCCCACATACTGTGGGTTCAACAGCTTTTTTCCTTTTTTATTTCCAGTGTATTTTGGTGTTTTTAGTTTTAATTGGTATGGAGAGAGGGAGTGAAGATAGTTTTAAGTGGATACACTTTTCCTTTAATGAAGGCAAGATGTAGGTGGGTGATAAAGAGAAAAGAGCTAGGCTTTGGATTCACACAAGACTGGGTTAATTCCTAACTTTCTTACTTGCTAGGTGTGTGACCTTGGGGATGTTATTTACCACCAAATGTGTTGTCATGTATGAAAAGTAGGAGAATATATCCTTAAAAGTTGGCTGTGCATAAGTAAGAAAGATAAATGTAGGATTTAATTCAGTGCCTAGCACATGGTTATTGGCACCATTAACTGAAACTCCTATGACTACTATTCTTACCATTGTTAATATTACTGCTTTGAGCATGCAGAGAGCTCTTATTTCTCTTACCCCCTAGCTGATTTTCTATTACAGCATATCTGTCTAGGGAAGCTGTGACAAACTCTTCACTTAAATCTTTGTCCACTTCAGATAAGTGGCCCTAACATTGTTTCTTGCCCATCAAAGGATGTTAAATTAGTAGCTTCTGCTATGCAATACCCCACTGAGATAAGAGGGTTTTTTTTGGTCCCTTCCTTTTAACCTTTGTGGTATTTTACAAAGATGAACACTTGAGCACTCAAGATGCTTATGTCTTTTAGTGCATGTAAATGTTTGATTCTGCACAGACAGGCAAGATGTTACATTGGTAAAGTATATCAAATTAGCTTTAAAAATAACTTTATTACAGTTCCTATCTCTGTCATTTTAGAACTGCTCTCATACTTGCTGTATGTTGTGGATCAGCAAGTATAGTCAGCCTTCTACTTGAGCAAAATATTGATGTATCTTCTCAAGATCTATCTGGACAGACGGCCAGAGAGTATGCTGTTTCTAGTCATCATCATGTGTAAGTGTTCACATTAAAAGGCTAGTTAATGCTGAATTGAGGTTTAAAATAATTATAACAGTTGCATCTTACATATCAGGTGAGATGTCATAGTTTGGTTCAGGTAGTTTTCGCGTGGCAGTGAGTTAGTCCCCTGCATCAGCCAGAAATCAGACAAAAAGCAAGACAAGTTAGAAGTACCAATGGGTGCGGGATTCTTTATCTCAGGACTTTTAAGATCTTTATCCTTAGAGATCCCAGCATTGTTCATTTGATCCAAGTGTAACACCTATGCATGGGATAAAAAATAGTGTCACATCTTTAATTTTTCTGATTAGTTATTTGGGTCTTGAAATGTCCAGTTTAGCGGAAAGTCTTGTACTGTCTTCTGGGCACTATGTCCTACATACTCCTTGAATTTTTCAAGAACCGAAGGGGTTTACTAAATCCAAGGAAGACAGTCCCTTTTATCAAGTCAGAAGGAGGAGGAAAAAAGACATTGCAATCATTCTGTTGTTTCCGTTGATTCTGTTGCTGCTTTGTGGCCACTCAAACTGGTCCTGCTGCCTTAAGATGAATCAGTAGATTCAGATCCCTCAAGTCTTCATGGCGATTCATACAGTGACTTTGATGTTTTTTAATTCCCATACCTATGCTTATATGCTCAGCCATTGTTCCCAGAGCACCAGCCCCCTGCTCTGGCCGCTGGGCATCTTGACTTTATCCGCACACAAAGTGACCAAATTGACCCTTCCCCACATATTCAGAACCTAATGTGGAACCCACATCTTAGCCAGGAATTAGCTGAGACCTTCATGGTAAGAGATCCTTTGAGGCTGTTGTTGGTCTTTTCTCTAGCAGATATTAGGTGGGCTTGTTCTAAAGGGTGAGAGGGGTTCAAATAATGTGGCAGAAAGAGATCAGTGTTTGTTTCTTCTTCTTTGCTACCAGATCTGTACTGTGAGGCACCTTTATATCCTGTATAGAACCTTGGGCAGTAGAAAGTCCCATATGAACCTTCCCCTGAGCAGTGGCTCCCAGCTGTGGTTGGCCCCTTGAGTGATCTGATTTACATGATAATGAAAATTGTCCCAGCTACTTCCATCTCTAGCTCAAGATTTTAAAATATTTTCAAACTCTAGCTCACAGGAAGCCATTGAAGAGAATTCTCAGAATCTCAAGTAGGTTAGTTGGACTTAACAGAGCCAAGCCTTGTCCATGACGCATCACTAATCATGTGTAAAAGTAGGGCTTTGTGCTTGCTTCGGCGGCACATATCCTAAAATTGGAACAATACGGGGAAAGTTAGCGTGGCTTCTGCATAAGGAGGCAGCACAGATCTTTGAAGCATTCCATATTTTGTGCAGTCACTGGAAGGTCATTTGACTATTTGCTGACTAGCTCTAAGGAATTAGTGTGAATCAAAGCAAAATGGGTGCCACCCAAATATTGAAATTGTGATTTCTGCTGCAAAAATAGTCATGTAAGATGGTCTATGAGATGACTTAGACCTGAATAACATGTTCGGTGCAAAATATATTGTTAGTATGTATGTCGAAAATTACAGAATGTCAGCTTGCTACTTCTCCGTGGAAACTAAAATAAATAAAAGTAGACTTTTGGTCTCCCATGTCAGCTGGAATTGAACATCAATATAAAGCATTATCCTAACAGACATCTACTGGCTGAGAGTTTGAGTCTGTAGAGAAGGATCGTTGGTCCAAGTCAGGTCTTAACATCCATTGGTTTTTCTGCCCTTGGTGTGATTGATCAACTCCGTAATAGTGGACAATCACATTATCTACTTTAATGAGATATTTATGAATAAATTTAGTTATAAACTATGACATAGTTGAGATGCCCTGAATTATAAGCCATAAAGAGTAGGACAACTAAGAAGCAAAATTAGGACTTAATAACATTTTCTGAAAACTACAACATTTGCATATTAGAACCTATGAACAAAATACGCATTGGGTTTTATTTGGGATTCCAAGATAATTTTAGTCATAAAGTTTAGGAACAGATTATTCCATTGCTTTACTATTTCTCTGAGCATTTAAAAAATGTTATCTCGTTAAATCTTTATAACAACCTAGTGAAATAAGGCAGCAAAGTCCTCACTTTGTTGAAGAAGACATTGAGCCTAAGAGAAACAAGTTGTCCAAGAACAAATAGCTGTTCATTATGGAGCTAGGACTTATGCAGAGTTGGGACACTTTCTATTATGTCATGCTAATGCTAGCTAATTTACTGGGTCACAGTGCCCTTGATTTATGAGTATTTCACCTTACATTTTTTTCGTCTTTAATTAGAAGCTTAAAGAGAAGTTTGTAGAATGTACTCATAAGTGGATGGGATAATACTATTAAGTTCTGATATTCTGATATTGTTTGAAATACTCTTAATAATTCTGCATTTGGTAAGATTTTTATATCAGTATTAAAATAGTAATTTGGTTTATTACATTTTTATACATAGAATTTGCCAGTTACTTTCTGACTACAAAGAAAAACAGATGCTAAAAATCTCTTCTGAAAACAGCAATCCAGGTAAGACTTGTGATAGTGAATTACTTTAGTCAGTTGTCCCCAACCTTTTTGACACCAGGGACCGGTTTTGTGGAAGACAATTTTTCCATGGGCTGGGGGAAGGTGGGGATGGTTTCAGGATTATTCAATCATGTTACATTTATTGTGCTACTTTATATTATTATCACATTGTAATATATAATGAAATAATTACACAACTTACCATAATGTAGAATCCGTGGAAGCTCTGAACTAATTTTTCTGCAACTGGATGGTCTCATCTGGGGGCAAAGTGAGACAGTGACAGATCATCAGGCATTAGATTCTCATACGAAGCACACAACCTAGATCCCTCAGATGGGCAGTTCACAACAGGTTCATGCTCCAATGAGTATCTAATGCTATCACTGATCTGACTGGAGGCAGAGTACAGGCGGTAATATGAGCCATAGGGAGTGGCTGTAAATACAGATGAAGCTTCCCTGGCTTGCCTGCTGCTCACCTCCTCCTGTGTGGTGTGGTTCATAATAGTCCATGGACTGGTATGAGTGTGTGGCCTGGGAGTTGAGGACCCCTGCTCTGCGTGGTCCTACCATAGATAAAAAAGTAAAAGTAAGGAATTTTTGATCACAAAAGAACACTGAAGCACAAGTCATGTTACATATGCTTGTCCCAATAAGGTCTCACTATTACTGACTTCATTCCTCCTCATTTGAAGTTGGAAAGAGATATATTTACTTTGTTGGAACAAGATGTGTTCTCCTACCTGCTGGTTAATTGTCATCATAACAGTAATTTTGTTAGAACAAGATGCTCTGCTACCATTTGCCAAAAGATTGTCATAATAAATATACAAATTGCCCAACTCTAGGCTCAGCAGATTATAATAAAAGCAGAAAAACGTTTCACACTAACAAAAATGCTAGTATGCTACCTGGTTGTGGACACCTAATACATTATATAGTCCAAACTGTATGAGGACACCTTTAATTTAGCCATCTATTTATCAAAGAGCTTTTGTAAGTTAGGTTTTATAAGTTGCAGGAGACAAAGATGGAATAGATGTAGTTTTGATCTTTAAGGTGCTCATAATAGAGCTGTCTCCATTTCATTTCTGTGCTTTTTCAACAGAATTTACAAAGAAAACATTGCTATTTATGTTTTCACTTGTCCACTTAACATATAACTATCAAATGTCTTTTAGATAGTAACCATTTTTCTAATGCTATAGACCACAAACAATTAAAAATACAGACAGGAGCTTTTTGTTATCATTGTCATTTTCATTATTTTACTACTTTATTCAGTGCTTACTGTGTGCTAGATGCCCACTGGAAGCTTATAATTATGATTTATTATATATTGATTATGTGCCAGACATATGAGGAATGAAAGTTTTGGAAAAAAGTAGGTATGATTTAAGGTAAGCATGCAGAGAGAGAAGAATTTTTCTAGGTAAAGAAGCAGAAGAAGAATGTTTGGCAGAAGGAACATGCAGCGAGGTCGTGTGTTTGCCAGAAGGAACATCTAATGAGATTGCCTGTTTGGGAGGAAGAGCAGCAAGTGCAAAAGACAAGATGCTTGAGTGAACATGGCAGGGTTTCTGAGCAGTTCACTTTTGCTAGTACCAAAAGTGTGAGATACCAGAAGTTGGGAGTGAGGTGAATACTTAGCTAAGGCAAGTTTATGATATACTTTTTAATACTATAGAGATGAGTAGGTCTTATCCTGTGTGCCATGGGAAATTTACCGGGTAGAATGCTTTGGACTGCAAATACTAGATGAACAGTGGCTAAAACAGTAAGAACCAGAGTTGTTTTGGTTGTTCTTTGATATCCTAGGATCCCACTTTTCCCTCTTTCAGCTGTGCTGTTGGCAGTGTTTTATTCACGTCTCCTTTCATGGTTGGCTAATCCGCAGCAGCTCCAAACATCTTGTTCTCACAACACAACATCGCAAGGGCTGCTTTTCTTCACATGTGTCTTTTAAACAGGGAGAAAACTTAGAAGCATGCAAGGGGCTTCCTGTAACATTTCATTGGCTGGGTCACACCACATGCTCATTCCCAAACCAGGCACTGGGAAGGTAAATACCTGATTAGCTTAGAATAAACATTTCTGTTTCTGAGGCTGAGGAGGGGGATTGGGATAATAAATATCCCAATAGACTTGGATTTCTTCTTCAAGAAAGAATAAGGAATGGCTATTGATAGGGAGCCAACAATGTGTGCTGCAGGGGCTCATTGGAGAAATTTGAGCAGGGGAGTCACAAGATTAAATTTGAGTATTAAGGCATTCTGGTTATGGTGTAAAACGGGTTAGCAAGCTTTTTCTGTAAATGGCCAGGTGGGCAATATTTTAGACTATGTGGTCTCTGTCATATCTACTTAACCCTGCTGTTGTCTGCTGTTGTAGTGTGAAAGCCACCATGATTATATGTAAGCAAACAGGCATGACTGAGCTCCTATAAAACTTTATTTACAAAACCATAAGGCAGATTGGATTTGGCCTGTGGCCTATAGTTTGCTGGGATTGATGGAAGGTTCTTTACCCTGTAAAGAAACCAGGAGACAAAGGAAGTTTTTGCAGTAGTCAGCTATAGTTTCCTTGTCATACATCCTTGGAGTAGCATCAATGTATTACAAGGTTTTCACCCGTCCTTAGTGAAATACATAAAGTTAGGAATCTCAACTACTTGTTTTAATATGTTGGCCTTTGTTTTTTTGGTGTTATGCTTTTTTCATTTGTTTTGCTTAATTTTTTTTCATGTAAGAAATAACATTAATAGTTGGCAGGCTTTTTTTTAAATAAAAGCCATTTTGTAAATGTTTGTGTTCCCAGTGGCAGTGGGAATATAAAGCAGAGGCAGAAGAGAGGTATCGTCAATATGATTTAGTAATAATTGAATGAGAAAGCCTTGGGGGACAGAGAGAAATGTCAGATAATTTCCAGGTTTCCAGGTTGTACAGTAGTATTTAACCTGGATGTGAGGAAGAAGGAGGAAATTTTCTGGTGAATACCGAAGAGCAAAGAGCAGCAGGTCAGCAGGAATGACTAATGTTTTTCTATGCATGTTTAATGGAAAATTCATGTAGGATATTTTGAGTAGGTAATTGGATAACCAGCATTTATAACTCGCATCCTACTAGTTTGACTCTCACTAATAAGACTTGTCAAAGATCCAAGAATCTGAAAGTTGATGATAAATGTCCATGTGTATCACCATCAATGATCAAAAGTTAGCATCCACAGACATAGAATGGGACAGATGAACTTAATGGATAAAGATGAATATTGGAGTTGTTCCTTTTAGGGAATGATACTCTCCATGACCTGTGTGAGTCACAGCTGCCAGAAAAGAGCGAGCAAGGAGCATATGAAGGCAGCACAGCAAATTCAGTCCTAGAGTGCCCTGCTTGACTTCATGTCATAGTTCTGACTTCTAAAAAATCATTTTCTGCAAAATACACTTTGATTTTTTCCCCGCTTGCAGCCTGCAACCAAACAGAATCCCTTTAGCAGGGCATTTTTGTGTTCTTCCTTTAAACAAAGCAATATATAAATAACAAAATGAAAAAAGAGAAAGAGTGTTTTTTGTATAGGCTAGTATTTAACATAAACTTGAGAGTGAGTACCAGGATTATAGTTAGAATTTACGGACTGGGTAGGAAGACTGGATAGAAATCTAAAGATTGCTGACTCAAACACAATGTGGTTTCTTTGCTTTATTGTCACAGCTCTGAATTCACAATTATTAGTTAAATTCATAGGCACTATAACTTTAGAAATCACCTTCCCAAACCAAGTATTAAGTGATTTATTATAATTTCTCTGACTTCTTATAGAATTGACTTTCCAAGTGTTCATGAGAATTATTGAGAATTTGCTACATAGTATCATCTCAGCTGTGTCCACATGAGCTATCTGTCACCTTGTCTTAATGAATAATGGTTCACTAGGAATATTGGTTTTGGCATTTAAAGTGATCTATATCTAAATGCAGATAGGATCAGGGACCTCTCTTGAACATTAATGTCCAGGCATCTTAAAATTACACATAAGGCTTTCATAATCTGACTTCTGCCCCACTCTCCATCTTTAGGCCTTTTCCCTGTGTGCCCTTTCTCTGGCATTACTGAGCTGCTGGCAATGCCCTACTCACTCATCCTGCTATTGTAGGCAAATATTTTCACTCTTTCAGGCCTCGCTCCCGCTCTTGCTGCTGTGTGGCATGCCGTCACCCTTTCCTGCCCTCTACCCCTTTTAATCTGGCTAGTCTCAATATTTAAGTCTCTGCTTGGGCATGTTTTCTAGAAAAGCCATCCCTGACATGCTTTATTTTAATTGTTTTTAAACCCTAATGCCTAGCATGTATTTAGCAGGACTCAATAAGAAATTTCTGAGTAAAATGTGAGTAAGATGATGTGCAAGACTGTCCTCTGCAGTCTTGGAGCAGACGGGACAGACATGTGGAGGAATAATGTAGAGTTCAGGTGGTAAAGATGCAGTAGAAAAATCAGTGAAGTACTAAGGCAGCCTCAAGGAAGGAGGTACCTGTTTATCTGGGGAAAGACATGCAGAATCAAGGAAGACGTTCTCATAGCATTGTTTTAAAAGATAAAAATAAGGATAAGTGTGGTGGCTCACACCTCTAATCCCAGCATTTTGGGAGGCTGGAGCAGGCAGATCACAAGGTCAAAAGATCAGGACCATCATGGCCAATGGTGAAACCCCATCTCTACTAAAAACACGAAAATTAGCAGGGCCTGATGGTGCATGCCTGTAATCCCAGCTTCTCCGGAGACTGAGACAGGAGAATCGCTTGAACCAGGGAGTGTCAGAGGTTGCAGTGAGCTGAGATTGCGACACTGCACTCCAGCCTGGTGACAGAGCAAGACCCTGGCTCAAAAAAAAAAAAGAAAGAAAAATGAAAATAAATATGTCCGAATCGTGGAGGGAAACATTTTAGATATTGGGAAGACATTGTACACTAATAAAGGTGTCAGTAGTAATTTTTGAAATCATTTGTAAGGTACTATTGTTGCAGAAAACAGGAAGCAGGAGAGACCAAGTGGGTGAAACAGGAGGATTTCATTTAGGTTCGCACCAGCTCAGCGGATTTGCATCCGAAAGCTGAGCCCTGAACAAAGACAGGGCTTGGCTTATGTAGGCAAGCTTACAGAAGCAGAACAAAGGCAGTTAATCATATAGTGACAGTTTTGCAACCTCAGCGTAGCTTATGACCTTGCAGCTGCATTGAAGGACAACAGGAACTTGCAAATAATATGCATTTGTAAAAACAGCTCTGAGTGAATGCTGAGGGGAAGGGGAGACAGTAAAGGATTTTGTTTTCTTAACCTTGCTGTGGGATGTCTGGAGCCCATACCTGTGGGCTCTGGCTTTTCAGGCAGGGTCACCATGACCTTTCCTGGGCCCTGCTTGTTACTATCCTTAGAGTCAGACTAGCTAAGTGCAGGAAAACTTGTTTCTCTTTAAAACTAAATTTCCTTTTCTTTACATTTACTGCTTCACTATTAGGAAGTGGAGAACAACATACTGTGTTACCTTATATGTTTCTACTGTATTTTAAAGTTGTGTTTCTGGTGGTTTTGTTCATTTATGTTGGGTGGATGAATTTGTGAGTGAATGACATCAGGTGTCTCCCCAAGTGGTTTGTTGAAGTTTGGGAGAATTATTTCCTAAATAACTATTTCATGAAAAACTAAACACTCAATTTATGAAATAAAATGTTGTCTTAAATCTATTTTTATAAAGGCAATAGTTTTTAACTGTTCTAAGTGGTTCATTTTAACTGAATATATGGATTTCTCAACAGAACAAGACTTAAAGCTGACATCAGAGGAAGAGTCACAAAGGTTCAAAGGCAGTGAAAATAGCCAGCCAGAGGCATGGGAAATTTTAAATTTAAATTTTTGATTTAATGTTGTTTTCTTTGCTTTAATAATATTAGATAGTCCAAATGAAATTACCTTTCAGACTAGGTTTTGAGAATCAATAGATTTTTTAAAGAATTTTTTAATAGATTGTTAAAATTTATTTTAATAAATTCAGTAATCTCATTAACAGAAGAATGGATTCTAATTTAACATTTGATATTTAACTTAAAAAACATAACCACTATAAAATTTAAAATACTCTTATTTTATAATATTTTTATTTAAAATATTCTCATCTGCCTTTTTGATTAGCTTATAGCTAATCTTTCCTTTTGGAATAGAGGCAAAAACAAATTTCAGAACTTTGTTCTTTTATTTTTACAACACCCGAACATGATGAAGAAGGTACATCAATTATTGGATTATGTTATTAAGCAATAGAATTATGAACAATGTAACTCTGATGGTCCCTGAGCTGGATTCATGGTTAAGGAGTAATCATGGCCAGTGATTGAAAATCTGCAGTTTTATATTGTCAGTCACTGATACCAAGCTTAAAAATATATTCTGCCTTATGGTCTCTCATTGACCTCAGCGTTTCTGTTCAGGGAGGGAACCAGGTCATAAAAGCAACACAGCTGCCTATTACAAGAATCATATCTTGCAGAATGGAACCTTTGGTGTTAGTGCACAAACACAATAACATTCTAATTTATTTCAGTTGCAGAAAATTAGTACATATTATTAAAAAATCTTTATCCACTGTAATTAGTACACATTAGAATATATTAGAACTGGACTTAAGCAGATAATCTGGATACATAACACTATCATATGACAGTATATAATCTCAATTAAAATTGGAGAATTTGCATCTCTTTCTGTTTGGTGTTGATTTCGGCTCCTAATAATTTAAATGGTGCCTACAATCCAGTTAGGAATCTTTTAGAAAAGCACTTCAGTGCACTGTAGGGGCTCACTTGTTAGGGTTTCATGAGGTAAACTCTTTTCAAGTGAGGAAGGTTTTGGAATACTACAAATCATCTGCTGATTCATTTTTGGTAGATTTAACACATAACAAGTTTAGTCCAAACAAATGGTGACCAAGTTAAGTTTGCTGGTTCACGTTTTTTTTCTTCCTTGGGCTAAGGTGAATTATTTTTCACATGTTAGTCAGAAGCCAGTAATGTGGCAGTAGCTAAACATAGATTAAAAAGTTAATTCTTAATTTTAATTATTATTTATTTAACAGTTAAATTTTAATTTTAATTATTTTCTAATTTTTCATCGTCCATACTTCATTAGTTAAGAATAAAATTTTTTTAAAACATGCGCTCCAAAAGAGGAGACATCACAGAAACACAACAAGCAAATTAACCTTCTGTTTTTGCCTCTGCAGAAAATGTCTCAAGAACCAGAAATAAATAAGGATGGTGATAGAGAGGTATACCTTCATATTCAAATGTTTCTGTTGAATTAGATTTTTACATTATGTTGTTTAACAAAATGTAGTAAGTGTAGGCATACATGATCCTATCATGTAAGTAGCATAAATCATGAGTGAAAAAGTTAATATTTAACTCAGAAAGAATTCTGTACTTTGAGTTTTCAAGAGATACAAACCCTAGAGATATTCTTTGATTATTATGGAACAATCCTGAATGGTGCCATAAAATGCTAGGTAATGCCACTTTAGGAGCTTTGGACCAATCATTTTATCTTTCTTGGTTTTAGTCTGATTATCAATAGATAATGTGGCTAAAGAAGATAGCTTCTTATTCTGTGTATCTTCCAGCTAGATAATTGTATGGCTATTCAATGTGAAATTTGGGGAGCATCTCATTTTCTGGAATTCCATGCTTGCACGTCAGCAGTTTCACTCTGCTTCTTGTGTTTTGGCAAACTTTGGCTCCCATTTTCAGTGAGCACCATCATGTTTTTGATATCTCAGCAACCAAATGAAAAAAGAATGCTCAAAGGCAGTGGGGGAGAAGAATATCTTAGCGCAGAAAAGGGCAAACTTCCTTTCTATTCCTGAAGCCGCACAGTGTGTCATCCTCTAAATCTGACTGTTTAATGTAAAATCTAGGTGGTAAAGACAGAAGACACATTTTGCATCTTTGTCTTTTTATTTGCGTGTTCCCATGAGTCAAATGGGGTAAATACATACATAAGATTCTGAAGAGTGATTGAGAATAAAAGCACAAAATGAAGGAGGGCCCTTTTTGAATTTTGGAAAATTCTGTTTCATTCATTGAAACAGAAATGAAGCAAACTTTACAAAAATTTCTGTGATATATTAATGAGATGATAATTACATCTTAAAGTTATATGGTAATATTTCTATATATATGATCAAATTTAAGTGTGAAATATTTTTAATGACTAAAATAATGACAAACTGAGTCAATTGATAGAATCAATTAAAAAGGTTCTTTTTATTCAATAAAGTGATAACTATCCTTAATATCCCACTCAAGGTTGAAGAAGAAATGAAGAAGCATGAAAGTAATAATGTGGGATTACTAGAAAACCTGAGTAATGGTGTCACTGCTGGCAATGGTGATGATGGATTAATTCCTCAAAGGAAGAGCAGAACACCTGAAAATCAGCAATTTCCTGACAACGAAAGTGAAGAGTATCACAGGTAAGCCTATGGCAACATTGAACAGGAGATAACTATGTGCTGTCAAACTAACCCTAGTTTGGGCTAATATTCATGATGAACAAATTTTATAGTTTTACTAGGATATTCAGCCTTGCCCATTAATCAGAAAAATGAAAATCAGCGAACAATGAGTTACCATTTTTCCAGTCATTAATTTATTTGAAAAATAACCAGTATTGGCAAATGTGAGGGAAAAGGCATTTTCTTTTCTTTTTAGTGAACTTTTCTTTTAGTTTCAGGGGTACATGTGCAGGGTTATTATATAGGTAAAGTGTATCATGGAGATTTGGACGGCAGATTATTTCATCAGCCACATAATAAGCAAAACACCAAAAGTTAGTTTTTTGGTCATCTCCCTCCCGCGACGCTCCACCTTCAAGTAGACCCTGGTGCCTGTTATTCTCCTCTTTGTGTCCATGAGTTCTCATTATTTAGTTCCCACTAATGAGTAAGAATATGTGGCATTTGATTTTCTGTTCCTGCATTAGTTTGCTTAGGATAATGGCCTCCAGCTCCATCTGTGTTGCTGCAAAAGAAATGGTTTCATTGTAAAAGACATTTCATACACTGCTGGTAAATACATTTTGAACATTAATTTAGTAGCATATTCACAAACACATGTATAACAATAAGGATATATAATATATGTAAAGGATATTTGTGTAGATTTGTTACATATATACTTATGTATAAGGACATTTATTACAGCATTATTATATCAAAAAGATGGATCCTTATCAATAGGAAATTATCATTATCAAAAGTAAATCATTACCAATAGGAAATAGCTCAATTTTCATACCCAGAAATTAATGTAGTATGCAACCATTTTTTACAAGTGAGGTTAGATCTAGAGTATACTGATTATTTCACAATTAAAGTGTATTTAAAGCATCAGTGATGACATCTTAAGAGTTCTTGTTAAAATTCTTGTAATATTTCCTGTGTTGCAAATGGAAGCTACATGCTATATTGACGCTGTACCTTGTTAGCAACAAGATTGCTAGTTATTAAATTTTTATTGTCAGTGCCTGAGTGCTGAAATATTGGACCCTCAATCTGAATATTGCCAAGGGATTGTACATGGGGATCTGTATTTAATATAAACGTTTCAGTATATTGGGTAAAACTTTTATTAAAATATATCAAAGGATCTTTCATCTGCTAAACCAGGAGTTGGCCAGCTTTTTCTGCAAAGAGCCAGTTAGTAAATATTTTAGGCTTTGTGGACTATATAAATTAATTTATTTTTGAGACAGGGTCTCACTCTGTTTCCCAGGCTGGAGTGCAGTTGTGTGATCATGGCTCACTGCAGTCTTGACTTTCTGAGCTCTAGTGATCCTCCCACCTCAGCCTCTCTACTAGTTGGGACCACAGGTGTGCAACATCACACCCAGCTAATTGACACTATGGACTGTAAAGTGAATAAGCATGGCTGTGTTCCAAAATACTTGACTTACAAAAACAGGCAGTGGGCTGGATTTGGCCCAAGGTGCTAATTTGCTGACCCTTGTGCTAAAAGGAAGGTGCTGCAAGTGAAGTGACTCTTATTTGTAAAAGTGCCCTGCGTGTGTGAAATTATCCTTCCTTTGAGAAAAGGATATATTTCAGTATTCACCTCACCATATTTTTCCACAGTGACTTCATATAATTTTAAAAATTTCATTTATAAAATAAGATTATTGTCTGCATTTCTCCCACTTTATTCCTGTTAATAGAACCCAGTATTTTGCTGTGATCAATTACTTTGTATATTTGATGAGTATCAGTTGTCCTAGAATTGGCTGATTTTATCAAGCAAGAAATACTCTCCTTGAAACTTTTAGTATTTCTTGGTCTTTATGCATAAGCATGAATAAAATGATAATCAGCTTATGTGTAATCTAGAAATGTTCAAGGCGACTTTTAGTTCTATAGTTTTAAGAATTTAACACCTCAGTCTGGCATTTTTAATGCCACATGTGTATAATTTTTATAACCTTTAAAATATATTATTGTTATATAAAATTTGAAAACTACACCTGTTATATAAAACTTGAAACTATTTGTCTATTACTTTTCCATGACTGTGGAAGAAAATTACAACATTCTCAGTCATGACTCCTAAGCATGATGTCCTTAAAAGAACTGTCCACACTCACGAACTCAAATTTTCTTTTCATTCACTCTTAATCTCACACCGGCGTCTTCAATTTCAGCAGTCCTCCAACATTGTTTTTCCTCAAGATTATCACAATTTTTTTCTGTAAATTATGCATTTTTTCTTACACCTCATTTTATTTAATCTGTCAGCAATATTTGAGCCAGTGGAGGGCGTCTCCTCCCTAACGGCGTCTTCACTTGGCTTTCAGGACCTCACTCCCTCAAGCTTTTCCTCCTGCATTTCTAGTCCATTCATCATGGTCTGTTTTGCTTGCTCCTCCTCATCTTTCTCCTTTTGGACATTGTTGTTTCCCAGGGCTCAGTCCTCAATCTTCTTTCTCCTGACTTTTTCTTTTTCTTTTTTTGAGACGGAGTTTGACTCTGTCCCCCAGGCTGGAGTTCAGTGGTGTGATCTCAGCTCACTACAACTTCTGCCTCTTGGGTTTAAGTGATTCTCCTGCCTCAGCCTCCTGAGTAGCTGGCATTACAGGTGTGTGCCACCATGCCTGGCTAATTTTTGTATTTTTAGTAGAGACAGCATTTCCCCATGTTGGCCAGCCTGGTCTCAAACTCCTGATCTCAGGTGATCTGTCTGCCTTGGCCTCACAAAGTGTTGGGATTACAGGTGTGAGCCACTGCACCCGGCCCCTCGTGACTTTTTCTATTATGTATATGCTAGTGATTTCCAAATGTATGTCTCCAGCTCAGATCTCTCTCCTTAATTCCAGATTTCTATATCAGCCTGCCTACTTGACGTCTCTATTTGGTTAGTTATTGGGTATCACACACGTGTCAGATCCAAAATTGGGCTACTGATGTCCTTCCTGAAATCTACACCTCATGTAGTCTTTCCTATTTTGGTTAAGGGCAACTTTTCCAATTGCTCTGCCAAAAATGTCAGTGTCATTCTTGACTCATCTGTCCCTCTGACACCTCATATCTAATCTTTCAGTAAATCTTGTCAGGTCTACCTGAAGAATATGTCCAGAAGCCAGTCATATCTTGTACATCTGAGCCACTGTCATCTGCAGTCTAGATGAGTGTCATAGACTGGGAATTGATCGTCCTGGCTTTTAAAAACTTCCCTTTTCATCAATTCTTAACTCAGTGGATGTATTTAAAACATAAGTCAAATTGTGTCATTCCTCTGCCCCAGCACTTCTGATTGCCTCCTTTTCACTCTGAGTATGGGTCAAAGTTCCTCCTGATTATCTCCCTTGCTCTGCTTCAGCCACACTGAATTCTTGCCATCCTGTATCTACCCCTAGTGCTTAAAGACTCCAGACACACCTCTGTGCTTGGCAGTTCCCTGTGTCTGGGATGCTTTTTCCCCAGATATCCTCCTAGCTTACTCTTTCCATTCCTTCAGTTCTTTATTTAAAACCACCTTTCTAAGAAGAAGAAAAGGGTAAAAAGAAACACATTAAGGAACATCCACTTTCTGAGGAAGAACCGTGTACTACCCAGACACATCATGCTTAAGATGCAATTGGGAGCATACAAGGAATGCTCTCTAAGGTAATCAAGGCAAGGTTCAATGAAACAAAGTGATTTATCATCTCTAACTTCAAACCTATTTGTATCTTGACATCAACGCTGTTAACCTTATGTCATCGTTTCTTAGAGTCTTTGATATACAAATAAAAGGTTTTTTGTATTAGAAAAAAAAAAACCCTTTCTCAGCAGAGACTCTTCTGGCCATCTCAACTTTCCCACCACCCTCCCCATCAAACACATAAACATTTCATTTTCCTGCTTTAGTTTTTCTCCTCTAACATACCGTATATTTTGCCTTATCTGTCTGTTGTTATTGTGTGTTTTTCTCACTGTCATGAATAGGGTTTTTATTTTTCACTACCATATCTTCACTGCTTAGAAAAAGGCTTAGCATATTGGATGTAGCTACCTAATAAATACTTGTTAAATAAGTGAATGGAGTTTATCCTGTGTATATTGTTTGATTGATTCTCACTTTAAAAATGTTTGACGTAGGTCGGGCATGGTGGCTCACACCTGTAATCACAGCACTTTGGGAGGCCAAGGCAGGCGGATCACGAGGTCAGGAGATCGAGACCAGTGAAACCCCATCTCTACTAAAAATACAAAAAAATTAACCGGGTGTGGTGGCATGCGCCTGTAGTCCCAGCTGCTATGGAGGCTGAGGCAGGAGAATGGCATGAACCCGGGAGGCGGAGCTTGCAGTGAGCCGAGATCGTTGCACTGCACTCCAGCCTGGGTGACAGAGCAAGACTCCGTCTCAAAAAAAAAAAAAAAACAAGTTTGACATGGTTCTTTCTAACAGTTTTGCCTGGTAATTGTCTGCATTTTTAAAATCGTTTTGGCTCTTTATAATAAGCTACATTGTTTATATTAATTTTTTTATTTAGGGAGAAAAGCCCAATATTGTGGTTATTCACTATTTATTCTTTAATAGTAATCATAATTGTAATTATGGTAAACTGAGTCAGAGGAATTGCAAACTTTACTATTTTATTTTATTTTATTTTATTTTTTTGAGATGGAGTCTCGCTGTATCGCCCAGGCTGGAGTGCAGTGGCGCGATCTCAGTTCATTGCAACGTGGGTTCATGCATTTCTCCTGCCTCAGCCTCCCAAGGAGCTGGCCCTCGCATAAGGCGGCCACACAAATTTTTGAAGCATTCTATATTTTGCGCAGTCACTGGAAGGTCATTTGACTGTTTGCTGAGTAGCTTTAAGGAAATGGTGTGAATCAAAGCAGAATGGGTGCCACAAAAACATTGAAATTGTGATTTGCGCAATAAAAATAGTCATGTAAGGTGGTCTGTGAGATGACACCAGAGCCAAATAACGTGTGGGGTGTTGTGTACAAAATATATTGTTAGTATGTATGTTAAAAATTAGAGAATGCCAACTTGCAACTTCTTCGTGGAACCTAAAAAAAAAAATAAAAGTAGGGTTTTCATCTCCCATGTCAGCTGGAGATGAACATGTATATAAAGCATCATCGTAACAAACATCTGGCTGAGAGTTTGAGTCTGTAGAGAAGGATCATTGGTCCAAGTCAGGTCTTAACATCCATTGGTTTTTCTGCCCTTGGCGTGATTCATCAACTCCGTAATAGTGGACAATCACATTATCTACTTTAATGAGATATTTATGAAAAAATTTAGTTACAAACTATGACATAGTTGAGATGCCCTGAATTAGAAGCCATAAAGAGTAGGACAGCTAAGAAGCAAAATTAGGACTTAATAACGTTTCCTGAAAACTACAACATTTGCATATTAGAACCTATGAACAAAATTCGCACTGGGTTTTATTTGGGATTCCAAGATAATTTCAGTCATAAAGTTTAGGAACAAATTATTCCATTGTTTTACTATTTCTTTGAGCATTTAAAAAAATGTTATCTTGTTAAATCATTATAACAACCTAGTAAAATAAGGCAGCATAGTCCTCACTTTGTAGAAGAAGACATTAAGCCTAAGAGAAGCAGCTTGTTCAAGAGCAAATAGCTGTTCATTATGGAGCTAGGACTTATTTAGAGTTGGGACACTTTCTATTATGTCAGGCTAACGCAAGTTAATTTACTGGGTCACAGTGCCCTCGATTTATGAGTATTTCATCTTACTTTTTTTTCTTCTTTAATTAGAAGCTTCATGAGAAGTTTGTAGAACGTACGCATAAGTGGATGGGATAATACTGTTAAGTTCTGATATTCTGATATTGTTTGAAATACTCTAAGAATTTTACATTTGGTAAGTTTCCAGATCAGTATTTTAAAACAGTAATTTTATTTGTTATATTTTTATACATAGAATTTGCGAATTAGTTTCTGACTACAAAGAAAAACAGATGCCAAAATACTCTTCTGAAAACAGCAACCCAGGTAAGACTTGTGATAGTGAATTACTTTAGGTCAGTTGTCCACAATCTTTTTGACACCAGGGACCGGTTTTGTGGAAGACAATCTTTCCATGGGCTGGGGGAAGGTGGGGATGGTTTCAGGATTGTTCAGTCACATTACACTTATTGTGCTACTTTATATTATTATTACATTGTAATATATAATAAAATAATTATACAACTTACCATAATGTAGAATCAGTGGAAGCTCTGAGCTGATTTTTCTGCAACTAGATGGTCCCTTCTGGGGGCAAAGTGAGACAGTGACAGATCATCAGGCATTAGATTCTCATAGGAAGCACACAACCTAGATCCCTCAGATGGGCAGTTCACAACAGGGTTCATGCTCCTATGAGTATCTAATGCTATCACTGATCTGACTGGAGGCAGAGTAGAGGCTGCAATATGAGCCATAAGGAGTGGCTGTAAATACAGATGAAGCTTCCCTGGCTTGCCTGCTGCGCACCTCCTCCTGTGTGGCATGGTTCCTAACAGACCGTGGACTGGTACCAGTCTGTGGCCTGGGAGTTGTGGAGCCCTGCTCTGGGAGGTCCTACCATAGATTTAAAAAGTAAAAGTAAGGAATTTTTGTTCACAAAAGAACAGTGAAGCACAGGTCATGTTACATATGCTTGTGCCAACAAGGTCTCACTATTACTGACTTCATTCCTCCTGTTTTGAAGTTGAAAGAGATGCATTTACTTTGTTGGAACAAGATGTGTTCTTCCACCGGCTGGTTAATTGTCATGATAACAGTAATTTTGTTAGAAGAAGGTGCTCTGCTACCATTTGCCAAAAGATTGTCATAATGTACAATTTTCCCAATGCAAGGGTCAGCAGATTATAATAAAAATATAAAAATGTTTCACAGTAACAAAAATGCTAGTATGCTACCTGGATGTGGACACCTAATACATGGTACAATCCAAACTGTATGAGGACACCTTTAATTTGGCTACCTATTTATCAAAGAGCTTCTGTAAGTTAGGTTTTATAAGTTGCAGGAGACAAGATGGAATAGATGTAGTTTTAATCTTTAAGGTGCTCACAACAGAAGTGTTTCTATTTCATTTCTGTGGTTTTTCAACAGAATTTACAAAGAAAACATTTTTATTTATGTTTTCACTTGTCCACTTAACAAATAACTGTCAAATGTCTTTTAGATACTAAGCAGTTTTTCTAAGGCTACAGAACACAAAAACACAGACAGGAGCTTGTTATTATTATCATTGTCATTTTTATTATTTTGCTGCTTTATTCAGTGCTTACTGTGTGCTAGATGCCCACTGGAATCTTATAATTATGATTTATTATATGTGATATTGATTATGTGCCAGACATATGTGATGAGGAGTGAAAGCTTTAGAAAGAAAGGAGGCAGGATTTAATGTAAGCATGCAGAGTGAGAAGAATTTTTCAGGGAAAGAAGCAGAAGAATGACATTTGGCAGAAGGAACATGGAGTGAGATTGTGTGTTTGCCAGAAGGAACATCTAATGAGATTGCCCATTTGGGAGGAAGAGCAGCAAGTGCAGAAGACAAGATGCTTGAGTGAACATGGCAGGGTTTCTGAGCAGTTCACTTTTGGTATTACCAAAAGTGTGAGATACCAGAGGTTGGGAGTGAGGTGAATACTTAGCTAAGGCAAGTTTATGATAGACTTTTTAATACTATAGAAATGAGTAGCTCTTATCCTGTGGGCCATGGGAATTGACCAGGTAGAATGCTTTGGACTGCAAATACTAGATGAGCAGTGGCTAAAACAGTAGGAACCAGAGTTGTTTTTTTATTCATTGATATCCTAGGATCCCACCTGTCCCTCTTTCAGCTGTGCTGTTGACAGTGTTTTATTCACGTCTCCTTTCGTGGTTGGCTAATCCGCAGCAGCTCCAAACATCTTGTTCTCACAACACAACATCGCAAGGGCTGCTTTTCTTCACGTGTGTCTTTTAAACAGGGAGGAAACTTAGAAGCATGCAAGGGGCTTCCTGTAACATTTCATTGGCTGGGTCATACCACATGCTCATTCCCAAACCAGGCACTGGGAAGGTAAATACCTGATTAGCTTAGAATAAACATTTCTGTTTCTGAGGCTGAGGAGGGGGATTGGGATATTAAATATCCCAATAGACTTATGTTTTTTCTGCCAGAAAGAATGAGGAATGGCTATTGATAGGGAGCCAACAATGTGTGCTGCAGGGGCTCATTGGAGAAATTTGAGCAGGGGAGTCACAAGATTAAATTTGAGTATTAAGGCGTTCTGGTTATGGTGTAAAATGGGTTAGCAGGCTTTTTCTTTAAAGGACCAGGTGGGCAATATTTTAGACTATGTGGTCTCTGTCATATCTACTTAACCGTGCTGTTGTCTGCTGTTGTAGTGTGAAAGCCACCATGATTATATGTAAGCAAACAGGCATGACTGAGCTCCTATAAAACTTTATTTACAAAACCATAATGCAGATTGGATTTGGCCTGTGGCCTATAGTTTCCTGGGATTGATGGGAGATAATCATGCAAAGAAACCAGGAGACAAAGGAAGTTTTTGCAGTAGTCAGCTATAGTTTCCATGTCACACATCCTTGGAGTAGCATCAATGTATTATAAGGTTTTCACCCGTCCATGGTGAAATAAATAATGTTAGAAATCTCAGTTACTTATTTTACTATGTTGGCCTTCGTTATGCCTTTTTCACTTGTTTTGCTTAATTTTTTTCCTGTAAGAAATAACATTAATAGTTGGCAGTTTTCTTTTAAATAGAAGTCATTTTGTAAATGTTTGTGTTCCCAGTGGCAGTGGGAATATAAAACAGAGGCAGAAGAGAGGTATAGTCAATATGATTTAGTGATAATTGAATGAGAAAGGCTTGGGGGACAGAGAGAAATCTCAGATGATGTACAGGTTTCCAGATTGTACACTAGTATTTAACCTGGACATGAGGAAGGAGTAGGAAATTTTCTGGTGAATACAGGAGAGCAAAGAGCAGCAGGTCAGCAGGAATGACTAATTTTTTTCTATGCATGTTTAATGGAATATTCGTGTAGGATATTTTGAGTAGGTCATTGGATAATCAGCATTTATAACTCACATCCTACTAGTTTGACTCTCAGTAATAAGACTTGTCAAAGATCCAAGAATCTGAAAGTCAGTAATAAATGTCCATGTGCATCACCGTCTGTGACAGAAAGTCAGCATCCACAGAACACAGAATTGGGACAGATGAACTTAATAGATGAAGATGAATATCAGAGTTGTTCCTCTTAGGGAATGATACTCTCCATGACCTGTGTGAGTCACAGCTGCCAGAAAAGAAAGAGCAAGGAGCGTATGAAGGCAGCTCAGCAAATTCGGTCCTAGAGTGCCCTGCTTGGCTTCATGTCATAGTTCTGACTTCTAAATAATCATTTTCTGCAAAATGTGCTTTGTGTTTTTCCCTCTTGCCGCCTGCAGCCAATCAGAATTTTTTAGCAGGACATAATGAAAAGAAGTAAGAGAAAGAGTGTTTTTTTGTATGGGATAGTATTTAACGTAAACTTGAGAGTGAGTACCAGGATTATACTTAGAATTTATGGACTGGATGGAAAGACTGGATAGAAATCTAAAGATTGCTGACTCAAACACAATGTGGTTTCTTTGATTTATTTTCACAGCTCTGAATTCACGACTGTTAATTGTATTCATATGCACTATAACTTTACAAAGCATCTTCCCAAACCAAATATTTACTGATTTAGTATAATTTGTATGACTTTATTATAGAACTGACTTTCCAAGTGTTCATGAGAATTGTTTAGTATTTGCTACATTGTATCATCTCAGCTGTGTCCACATGAGCTATCTGTCACCTTGTCTTAATGAATAATTGTTCACTAGGAATATTGGTTTTGGCATTGAAATGATCTATATCTAAATGCAGATAGGACCCGGGACCACTTTTGAACATTAATGTCCAAGCATCTTAAAATTACACATAAGGCTTTCATAATCTGACTTCTGCCCCACTCTCCATCTTTAGCCCTTTTCCCTGTGTGCCCTGTCTCTGGCATTACTGAGCTGCTGGCAATGCCCTACTCACTCATCCTTCTATTGTAGGCAAATACTTTCACTCTTTCAGGCCTCGCTCCCGCTCTTGCTGCTGCGTGGCATGCCGTCACCCTTTCCTGCCCTCTACCCCTTTTAATCTGGCTAGTCTCAATATTTAAGTCTCTGCTTGGGCATGTGTTCTAGAAAAGCCATCTCTGACAGGCTTTATTTTAATTCTTTTTAAACCCTAATGCCTAGCATGTATTTAGCAGGACTCAATAAAATATTTCTGAGTAAAACAAAGACTGTTTTTACAAAGATGATGTGCAAGACTCTCCCCTGCAGTCTTGGAGCAGAGGGGACAGACATGTGGAGGAATAATGTACAGTTTAGGTGGTCAAGATGCAGTAGAAAAATCAGTAAAGTACTAAGGCAGCCTCAAGGAAGGAGGTACCTGTTTATCTGGGGAAAGACATGCAGAATGAAGGAAGACTTCACATAGCATTGTTTCAAAAGATGAAAATAAGGCCAGGTGTGGTGGCTCACACCTGTAATCCCAGCACTTTCAGAGGGGATCACGAGGTCAGGAGATCGAGACCATCCTGTCCAATGGTGAAACCCCATCTCTACTAAAAATACAAAAATCAGCTGGGTGTGGTGGTGCTTGCCTGTAATCACAGTTACTCAGGAGACTGAAGCAGGAGAATCACTTGAACCAGGGAGGCGGAGGTTGCAGTGAGCTGATCATGCCACTGCATTCCAGCCTGGTGACAGAGGAAGACCCTGACTCATTAAAAAAAAAAAAAGAAAAAAAGAAAATAAATTTGTCAGAATAGTGGAGGGAAACATTTTAGATATTAGGAAGATGTTGTACACTAATAAAGGTGTCAGCAGTGATTTTGGAAATCATTTATAAGGTACTATTAGGAAGTGGAGAACAGTACACTGTGTCACCTTATATGTTTCTACTGTATTTTAAAGCTGTGTTTCTGGTGGTTTTGTTCATGGATGTTGGGTGGATGAATTTGTGAGGGAATTTTTGACATGTTTGTTTGTCTTCAATCTGGTGACATCTGGTATCTCCCCAAGTGGGTTTTTGAAGTTTTTGAGAATTATTTCTTAAATGACAATTTCACAAAAGATGAAACACTCAATTTATGAAATAAAATGAAATGTCTCAAATCCGTTTTTAAAAGGCAATAGTTTTTAACTGTTCTAAGTGGTTGATTTTAACTGAATATATGGATTTTTCAACAGAACAAGACTTAAAGCTGACATCAGAGGAAGAGTCACAAAGGCTTAAAGGCAGTGAAAATGGCCAGCCAGAGGCATGGAAACTTTTAAATTTAAACTTTTGTTTAATGTTGTGTGTTTTTTGCCTTAATAATAGTAGATAGTCCAAATGAAATTACCTTTCAGACTAGGCTTTGAGAATCAGTAGATTGTTTTTTTAAGAATCTTTTGGCCAGGCAAGGTGGCTCACGCCTGTAATCCCAGCACTTTGAGAGGCTGAGGCAGGTGGATCACGAGGTCTGGAGATCGAGACCATCCTGGCTAACATGGTGAAACCCCGTCTCTAGTAAAAATACAAAAACTTAGCTGGGCGTGGTGGCGGGTGCCTGTAGTCCCAGCTACTCGGGAGGCTGAGGCAGGAGAATGGCATGAACTCAGGAGAGGGAGCTTGCAGTGAGCCGACATCCACCACTACACTCCAGCCTGGGTGACAGAGCGAGACTCCATCTGAAAAAAATATATATATATATTTTAATAGATTCTTAAAATTTATTGTAATAAAATCAGCAACCTTGTTAACAGAAGAATCAATAGATTCTAATTTAATATTTGATATTTAACTTCAACATAACCCACTATAAAATTTAAAATACTCTTATTTTAAAATATTCTTATCTGCCTTCTTGATTAGCTTATAGCTAATCTCTCCTTTTGGAATAGAGGCAAAAACAAATTTCAGAACTTTGTTTGTTCTTTTATTTTTACAACACCCTAACATGATAAAGAAAGTAACATCAATGATTGAATCATATTATTAAGCAATAGGAATTATGAACAATGTAACACTGATTCCCTGAGCTGGATTCATGGTTAAAGAGTAATCATGGCCTGTGATTGAAAATCCACAGTTTTATATTGTCAGTCACTGATACCAAGGTTAAGGACATATCCTGCCTTGTGGTCTCTCGTTGACCTCAGTGTTTCTGTTCAGGGAGGGAACCAGGTCATAAAAGCAACCCAACTGCCTATTACAAGAACCATATCTTGCAGAATGGGACCTTTGGTGTTAGTGCACAAACACAATAACATTCTAATTTATTTCAGTTGCAGAAAATCAGTAGAGATTAAAAAATTTTATCTGCTGTCATTAGTACACATTAGAATATATTAGAACTGGACTTACGCAGATAATCTGGATACATAACACTATCATATGACAGTATATAATTTCAATTAAAATGTGAGAATTTGCATTTCTTTCTGTTTGGTGTTGATTTCGGCTCCTAATAGTTTAAAGGGTGCCTACAATCCAGTTAGGAATCTTTTAAAAAAGCACTTCAGTGCACTGTAGGTGCTCACTAGTTAGGGTTTCATGAGGTAAACTCTTTTCAAGTGAGGAAGATTTTGGAACACTACAAATCATCTGCTGATTCATTTTTGGTAGATTTAACACATAACAAATTAAATTTAGTCCAAACAAATAGTGAGAAAGTTAAGTTTGCTGGTTCATGTTTTTCTTCTCCCTTTGTCTAAGGTGAATTATTTTTCACATGTTAGAAGCCAGTGATGTGGCAGTAGCTAAACATAGATTAAAAAGTTAATTCTTAATTTTAATTATTATTTATTTATTTTAACAGTTTAATTTTAATTACTTTCTAATTTTTATTGTCCATACTTGATTACTTCAGAATAAAATTATTTTAAAAACATGCACTCCAAAAGAGGAAATGTCACAGAAATACAACAAGCAAATTAACCTTCTGTTTTTACATCTGCAGAAAAGATCTCAAGAACCAGAAATAAATAAGGATGGTGATAGAGAGGTATACCTTTATATTCAAATGTTTGTGTTGAATTAGATTTTTACATTATGTTGTTTAACAAAGTGTAGTAAATGTAGGCATACATGATCCTATCATGTAAGTAGCATAAATCATCAGTGAAAAATTAAATAGTTAACTCAGAATTCTGTACATTGAATTTTGAAGAGGTGCAAACCCTAGAGCTATTCTTTCATTATTATGGAATAATCCCGAATGGTGCCATAAAATGCTAGGTAATGCCACTTTAGGAACTTTAGACCAATTATTTTATCTTTCTTGGTTTTAGTCTGATTATCAGTAGATAATGTGCCTAAAGTAGATAATTTCTTATTCTCTGTATTTTCCAGCTAGAAAATTTTATGGCTATCGAAGAAATGAAGAAGCACGGAAGTACTCACGTCGGATTCCCAGAAAACCTGACTAATGGTGCCACTGCTGGCAATGGTGATGATGGATTAATTCCTCCAAGGAAGAGCAGAACACCTGAAAGCCAGCAATTTCCTGACACTGAGAATGAAGAGTATCACAGGTAAGCCTATGGCAACATTGAACAGGAGGTAACTTTGTGCTGTCAAACTAATCCTAATTTGAGCTAATATTCATGATGAACAAATTTTATACTTTTATTAGGATATTGAGCCTTGCCTGTTAATCAGAAAAATGAAAATCAGCAAACAATCAGTTACCGTTTTTTTTCCAGTCGTTAATTTATTTGAAAAATAACCAGTATTGACAAATGTGAGGGAAAAGGCATTTTCTTCTCTTTTCAGTGAACTTTTATTTTAGCTTCGGGGTACGTGTGCAGGTTTATTATATAGGTAAACTGTATCATGGAGGCTTGGGGTACAGATTATTTCACCAGCCACATAATAAACAAAATACTCGAAAGGTAGTTTTTTGGTCGTCTCCCTCCTGCCATGCTCCTCCCTCAAGTAGGCCCCAGTGTATGTTATTCTCCTCTTTGTGTCCATGAGTTCTCATGTTTAGTTCCCACTAATGAGTAAGAATATGTGGCATTTGATTTTCTGTTCCTGCATGAGTTTTCTTAGGATAATGGCCTCCAGCTCCATCCGTGTTGCTGCAGGGGAAATGGTTTCATTGAAAAAGACATTTCATATACTGTTGGTAAATACATTTTGAACATTAATTGAGTAGCATATTCACACACACATATATAACAGAGTAAGCATATATAATACATGTAAAGGATATTTGTATAGATATGTTATATGTATACTTATGTATAAGGACATTTATTATAGTATTATTATGTAAAAAATTTGGAGCTAGTCTAATTGCTTATCAATAGGAAATAGCTCAATTTCCGTATCCCCAAAATAATGTATTATGCAACCATTTTAAAAAAATGAGGTTAGATGTAGGGTATACTGATTATTTCACAATTAAAATGTATTTAAAGCGTTTAGTTTGATGACACATCTTAAGAGTTCTTGTTAAAATTCTTGTAATATCTGCTGTGTTGCAAATGGAAGCTACATGCTACATTGACACTGTACCTTGTTAGCAACAAGATTGCTAGTTACTAAATTTTTGTTGTCAGTGCCTGAGTGCTGAAATATTGGACCCTCAATCTGAATATTGCCAAGGGATTGTACATGGGGATCTATATTTAATATAAACATTTCAGTATATTTGGTAAAACTTTTATTAAAATACATCAAAGAATCTTTGATCTACTAAACCAGGAGTTGGCCAGCTTTTTCTGCAAAGAGCTAGTTAGTAAATATTTTAGGCTTTGTGGACTACATATATTTATTTTCTTGAGACAGGGTCTCACTCTGTTTCCCAGGCTGGAGTGCAGTTGTGTGATCATGGCTCACTGCAGCCTCGACTTTCTGGGCTCTAGTGATCCTCTGACCTCAGTCTCTACTAGCTGAGACCACAGGTGTGCAACATCACACCCAGCTAACTGACACTATGGACTGTAAAGTGAATAAGCATGGCTGTGTTCCAAGATACTTGACTTACAAAAACGGGCAGTGGGCTGGATTTGGCCCACAGGTGCTTATTTGCTGACCCTTGTGCTAAAAGGAAGGTGCTGCTAATGCAGTGACTTTTATTTGTAAAAGTGCCCTGCATGTGTGACATTATCCTCCCTTTGAGAAAAGGATATATTTCAGTATTCACCTCACCGTATTTTTCCAGTGACTTCATATGATTTTGAAAACTACATTTATAAAATAAGATTATTTTCTGCATTTCTCCCACTTTATTCCTGTTAATAGAACTCAGTATTTTACTGTGATCAATTACTTCATATATTTGATGAGTGTCAACTGTCCTAGAATTGGCTGATTTTTATCAAGCAAGAAATATTCTCCTTGAGAGTTTTAGTATTTCTTGGTCTTTATGTATAAGCATGAACAAAATGATAATCAGCTTATGTAATCTAGAAATGTGCAAAGGGCCTTTAAAACCTTGGTCTGACATTTCTAAATGCCATATGTGTATAATTTTTATAACCTTTAGAATATATAATTGTTACATAAAATTTGAAAACTCCACCTGTTATGTAAAATTTGGAAGCTACTATTTCTTGTCTATCACTTTTCCATGACTGTGGATGAAAATTACATCATTCTCAGTCATGAGCGTTAAGTATGTTGTCCTTAAAGAACTGTCTACACTCATGAACTCAAATTTTCTTTCCATTCACTCTTGATCTCAATGCCGGTAAGTCTTCAATTTCAGCACTCCTCCAGAGTTGTTTTTCCTCAAGATTATCACTAATTTTTTTCTGTACTAAATCTAGGCATTTTTCTTACATCTCATTTAATCTGTCAGCAATATTTGAGCCAATGGAGGGCATCTCCTCCCTAATGGCGTCTTCACTTGGCTTTCAGGACCTCACTCCCTCAGGCTTTTCCTCCTGCCTTTCTAGTCCGTTTATCATGGTCTGTTTTGCTTGCTGCTCCTCATCTTTCTCCTTTTGGACATTGTTGTTTCTCATGGCTCAGTCCTCAATCTTCTTTCTCATAGTTTTTTTTTTTTTTTTTTTTTTTTTTTTTAAGACAGAGTCTCGCTTTGTCCCCCAGGCTGGAGTTCAGTGGCATGATCTTGGCTCATTGCAACCTCTGCCTCATGAGTTCCAGCACTTCTCCTGCCTCAGCCTCCTGAGTAGCTGGGATTACAGGTGTGCGACACCACGCCTGGCTAATTTTTGTATTTTTAGTAGAGACAGGTTTCCCCATGTTGGCCAGGCTGGTCTCAAACTCCTGACATCAGGTGATCTGCCCGCCTTGGCCTCATGACATGTTGGGATTACAGGCGTGAGCCACCGTGCCTGGCCCCTCATGACTTTTTCTACTGTGTATATGCTAGTGATTTCCAAATGTATGTCTCCAACTTAGATCTCTTTCCTTAATTCCAGATCTCTATATCATCCCACCTACTTGACATCTCTATTTGATTAGCTGTTGGGTATCACACACTTGTCAGATCCAAAATTGGGCTACTGATGTCCTTCCTGAAATCTACACCTCATGTAGTCTTTCCTACTTTGGTTAACAGCAACTCTTCCAGTTGCTCTGCCAAAAACCTCAGTGTCATTCTTGACTGATCTTTCTCTCTGTCCTGACACTTCACATCTAATCTCTCAGTAAATCTTGTCAGGTCTATCTGAAGAATATATCCAGAGGCCAGTCTATCTTGTACAACTGAGCCACCGTCATCTGCAGTTTAGATGAGTGTCATAGACTGAGAATTGATAGTCCTGGTTTTTAAAAGCTTCCCCTTTCATCAATTCTTATCTCAGTGGATGTATTTAAAACATAAGTCAAATGTTGTCATTCCTCTGCCCCAGCCCTTCTGATTGCCTCCCATTTCACTCTGAGTATGTGGCAGAGTTCCTCCTAATAACTGAAAGGCAGTAAACCATCTGGCATGTTACCTCTCCTGCTGAAACTTCTGTTTCTTATCTCTATTGCTGTGTTTCAGCCACACTGAACTTGTTGTTATTCCTTACCTATCCCTTAGTGCTTAAAGACTCCAGGCACACCTCTGCACTTAGCAGTTCCCTGTGTCTGGAATGCTTTTTCCCCAGATATTCTTCTAGCTTACTGTTTCCATTACTTCAGCTCTTTACTTAAAATCCCCTTTCTAAGAAGAAGAAAAAGGGTAAAAAGAAACCCATTAAGGAATAACCACTTCCTGAGGGAGAACCATGTACCAGCACAATTCCTAGCCCAGAGAAAATGAAGAAAATGAAAAAAAAGAGAGATAATGAGGACTAACAGAAAGGAATTAGGATTGTATCATCAGGACACGTCAGGCTTCAGATTCAATTGGGAACATACCAGGGATGCTCTCTAACGTAATTGAGGGAAGTTTCAATGAAACAAAGTGATTTATCATCTCTAACTTCAAACCTATTTGTGTCTTGACATCAACTCTGTTAACATCATCATTTTTTAGAGTCTTTGATGTACAAATAAAAGTTTCTTTGTATTAAAGAAAAATCCTCTTTCTCAGCAGGGACTTTTCTGGCCATCCCAACTTTCCCACCACCCTTCCCATCAAACACATAAAGATTTCATTTTCCTGCTTTAGTTTTTCTCCTCTAACGTACTGTGTATTTTGCCGTATCTGTCTGTTGTTATTGTGTGTTTATCTCACTCTCATGAATAGGGTTTTTATTGTTCATTACCATATCCTCACTTCCTAGAAAAAGGCCTAGCCTATCAGACGTAGCTACCTAATAAATAGGTATTAAATGAATGAATGGAGTTTATCCCAGGTATATTGTTTGATTGATTCTCACTTAAAAAATGTTTGACAAGGTTCATTTTAACAATTTTGCCTGGTAATTATATGTATTTTAAAAATTCTTTCGGCTTTTTATAATAAGCTACATTCTTTATATTAATATTTTTTCACTTAGGGAGAAAAGCCCAATATTGTGGTTATTCACTATTCTTTTACTGGTAATCATGATAATTGCAATTATGGTAAAATGAGTTAGAGAAATTACAAGCTTTACTGGTATTTTATTTATTTAGAGACAGAGTCTCGCTCTGTCACCCAGGCTGCAGTGCAGTGGTGTGACCTCGGCTCACTGCAACCTCTGCCTCCTGGGTTCAGGCGATTCTCCTACCTCAGCCCCCTGAGGAGCTGGGATTACAGGTGCGTGCCATGACACCCGGCTAATTTTTGTATTTTTAGTAGAGACGGGGTTTCATCCTGTTTGTCAGGCTGGTCTTGAACTCCTGACCTCAGGCAGTCCACCCACCTCATCCTCACAAAGTGCTGGGTGGATTACAGGTGTAAGCCACCACATCCGGCCACTAGTATTTTATTTTTTTTAGGGTGGTAAATGTAATGGACTCACAAATTCTTTCCAAGGGATTATGGACCTTCGGTATTTGAAATAAAAAGACAGTTGGAATTTTTTGCTTCCGATAGTAAGACTATACTGGTCAGGCACTGTCTATTCTGATGGAGCAGCTGTTGCTGCTTGGCTGTCTTTCAGAAGCAAGCTGCTCACACTGATATTGGTTGGTGAGCAAGGCCAGTGGTCATTGATCGATTGACTAGATTTTGAACTGGCTCTGGCTGGCTTCTTGTTACCATGGCTACAGGTCAATTCTTTCCTAAGTTTGAGTCAACTTTAACCAGAAATTTTCTGTTCAAAAGTTGCCTTCCATTAACTATGTTCAAAAAGAAACTTTTTAATATTCCAGAATTGTGGATTTAAAGTTTTGGTTATGATGACTTGGTTAATAATAGCTCTCACGAAGATTTTTTTTTTTGATACATCATCTTAACCAGAAGAGTTCTCTGTATAATTTATTTCTTAAAAATAATTGTTTTGTTTTTGTTTTTGGTATTTTTAGAAGCTTTTGCTCAAGTCCTAACATAATCTCCAGTAGGAGATTTTAGTCTCTTTGTCAGTTCATGTATGTATATGATAGTCATATTCTGTGTTTTTAAATTCCTTTTCTTGTTCACTTTTTTCTCTGTACAATACTAGTGATATTGTTATGCATTTTTATCTCATTAAAAAGTTGTTACAATTTTCTGCTGGCAAATCTAGCTTTTTCTATATTTTGACTGAATAGGTTAAAAGTGAAGAAAATTTATGAGATCATTTTGTTTTCAAACAAAATCATAAGTAATAAAAATTGCTATTTTGAATTATAAATAATGACATTTAGATATTTTAAAAATAAGGATACCCCCCCCCAATAGTTTGGCTTTGTGTTTCTATGCAAATCTCATGTCAAATTGTAATTCCCAGGTGTTGAGGAAAGACCAGCTGGGAGGTGATTGGCTCATGGGGTCGGTTTCCTCCATGCTGTTCTTGTGATAGTGAGTGAGTTCTCACAAGAGCTGACGGTTTCATAAGGGGCTCTTTGCGCTTCACTTCTCTCTTCTCTCTCTCCCGCCGCCTTATGAAGAAGGTGCCTGCTTCCCCTTCCCCTTCTACCATGGTTGTTAAGTTTCCTGAGGCCTCCCCAGCCATGCGTAACTGTGAATCAAATAATCCTCTTTCCTTTATGAATTACCTAGTCTCAGGTATGTATGTGTGTGAATTACCCAGTCTCAGCTATGTACATATGTATATGTGTGAGTGTATATACACACATACATATATATGATACATATATGTGATGTGAGATATATATATGTATATACGTCCATTTTCTTTATTCCACTCATCAGTTGATGGACACTGGTTGATTCCATATCTTTGCATATTGTGAATTGTGCTGCAGTAAACATATGTGTGCGGGTGTCCTTTTGAGAGTACGATTTCTTTTATTTTGTGTAGATATCTGGAAATGAGAATGTTGGATAAAATGGTAGGATCTACTTTTAGTTCTTTGAGAACTCTCCATACTGTTTTCCATAGATTTGTATGAAGTTGCATTCCCACCAGCAGTGTATCACTGTTGTCTTTTCACCGCGTCCACACCAACATCTGTTGTTTTTTGATTTCTAATAGTGGCCATTCTGGCTGCAGTGAGGTGATATCTCACTGTGGTTTTATTGTACATTTCCCTGATGATTAGAGATATTTAGCATGTTTTTATATGCTTGTTTACCGTTTGTACCTCTTCTTTTGAGAAATGTCTATTCATGTAATTTGGCCACTTTCCAATGGAATTATTTGCGTTTTTCCTGTTGATTTGTTTGAGTTTCTTGTAGGTTATAGATATTAGTCCTTTGTTAGCATCATAATTTTCAAAATTTTCCCATTGTATAAGTTGTTGTTTTACTCTGATGATTATTTCTTTTGCTGTGCTGAAGCTTTTTAGTTTAATTAGGTCTTATTTATTTATTTTCATTTTTGTTGGATTTGCTTTTAGGGTCTTCCTCATAAATCCTTTGCCTAGGCCAATGTTTTCAGGTCTTAGGTTTAGGCCTTTCATCCATCTTGAATTAATTTTTGTATATGGTGAGAGATAGAGATCCAGTTTCATTCTTCAACATGTGGCTATCTTTTTTTCCCAGCACCATTTATTGAATAACCTGTACTTTCTCCAGTGTATGTTTTTGTATCCTTGCTCAGAGATCACTTGGTTGTAGTGGCTTTATTTCTGAGTTGTCTGTTCTGTTCCATTGATCTATGTATCTGTTTTTATACGAGTACCACGCTGCTTCTGTTACTGTGGTCTTAGAGTATCATTTGAAGTCAGGTAATGCGATGCCAACATATTTGTTCCTTTTGCTTGGTATGTCTGTTGCTGTTCAGGCTCTTTTGTGGTTCTACATGAATGTCAGCATTTTAAAATAATTCTGTGAAGAATGACATTGGTACTTTGGTAGGTATTGTATAGAATGTGTAGACTGCTTTGGGCACTATGGTCATTTTCACTATATCAGTTCTTTCAGTCCATGAACATAGGATGTATTTTCATTTGTTTGTGTCATCTGTTATTTTCTTTGGTGGTGTTTTCCAGTTATCTTTATATAGATCACTCACTTTTTTCATTAAGTATATTCCTAGGTGCTTCACACTTTTTTGCAGCCACTGTAAAAGGGATTGGATTGTTGATATGAACTCTCAGCTTGGTTGTAGTTGGTGTATAGTGGTGCTACTGATTGGTATTCATTTATTTTGTAACCTCTGAGACTTTACTGAATTCATGTATCAAATCTAGGAGTGTTTTGTAGGAGTCTTTAGGGTTTTCTAGGTATAGGATAATATCATTGGTGAAGAGATAGTTTGACTTCCTCTTTTCCAATTTGGATGCCCTTTATTTCTCTTGCCCAATTGCTCTGCCTAGGACTTCCCAGTTTTATTTTTAATATGCATGAAATAAAAGTAAAATGGAAAGTGCTTAACGATGAGTTTATTTCACATCTCTCTCTCATACACAGATAAAATTATTTCAAAGTCCTATGTTAAAAACATATTATACCCTGTCTTGTTCTAAAAGGAATTTCTAAGTTGTTTATAAAATACATAGGAATCAAGAATATAAGTAGAAAGTGTTTCCAAACAATAAACATAAAGAGTATGGGTTACAGGACACAGACCATTAGCAATCCCTGGCCTGTTAGGACCTGGGCCACACAGCAGGAGGTTCGAGGCAGGTGAGCAAGTGAAGCTCCATCTGTTTACAGCCACTCTCTGTCACTCGCATTACCGCCCGAGCTCCTCCTCCTGTCAGATCAGCGGTGGCATTAGATTGTCCTGAGTGTGACCTGAACCCTGTTGTAAGTTGCTCATGCAGGGGGATATAGGTTGTTCACTCCTTATGAGAATCGAATGCCTTTCTGATCTGTCACCATCTTCCGTCACCCCCAAATGGGACCATCTAGTTGCAGGAAAACAAGCTCAGGGCTCCCACTGATTCTACATTTTGGTGAGATATAATTATTTCATTATATATTAATAATAATAGAAATAAAGTGCACAATGAATGTAATTTACTTGAATCATCCTGGAACCATCCCCCACCTCAGGTTCCTGTAAAAATTATCTTCCACAAAACCAGTCCCTGGTGCCAGCATGGTTGGGGACACCTGGTTAACAGATGTGAGACCCCTTTGCCTTGTCTTGGAATAATGTGCAGATATGCATTGTGTGAATGACATCTGATGGCGCCATCTTGCCCTGTACATCATTTTAGGGACAGCTCCAGTATTTCATGAAAATTAAAATTTCTTCTAGTGACGAACAAAATGATACTCAGAAGCAATTTTGTGAAGAACAGAACACTGGAATATTACACGATGAGATTCTGATTCATGAAGAAAAGCAGATAGAAGTGGTTGAAAAAATGAATTCTGAGGTATTTTCTTTAGTTATTTTCAAATGTTTTTATATGTGTGTATATTTTAAAGAACTGTATTTTGGAAATATAAAGGATTTTTAAGTCATATATATGTGTGTATATATTCTATATATCCTTTGTCATATATCTATATACGTACATATAGGATAAAGCCATGTTCTTAATTCACCTTCATTTGCCTGCAACAGTTGAGTAGTGACCTGCACAATGGCCTCAATCCAAAGGAGAAGTATTTGATGTTTTTCATAAGAATTGACGATCTTTCCACATCAGAAATAAGTTTTGCTACTGAAAACAGATTTTCTCGTTTTTGGACATTAGTTTTTTAAAAAATGTTAATAGAGAAGTCAATTGATTATTTTCACTGATAAGAAAGTAGGAAATGTACAGCTGGGTCAGAGGCCACATTGTGGATACCATTATCCTTACTTTTGCAGAGAGGAACAGTTTGCTCCAAGTAGTTTCTCATTTCAATGTAAAGAGGTTTGAAAACAATGACATGCCATGATACACATTTAGTAATAATTTATTGATAAGTATTTTCTTTCTGGAGAAATAGTTCAGTATATTTCCCCTATTTCACCATTACTACTGTTTCAAACATTATAAAGAGGAAATAAAAGTTACCGCAATGGCAAATAATCTCATGATTTCTAAGAAAATCTCTATAAGTTGTATCTTATTTACCATTCATATTTTGAAACAAAAGGTTTCTTTTGTATTTATATATTTACACCACAGAAGTAAGTGTGATTTTGTGGAGGATCACTAGAAGTAGCATCAGCAGACCTGGGGAAAATCCTGCATCTGTGTATATTTTTTGACCTCTCCTTTTAAGAATCGCGATCTTAAATGAGTTCAGTGTTATATGTAGAAGTGGAATGCCTAGATACAGATGTGTACAGTGTAGAAGGGTACAGTGCTTAGATTTGACAGTTATAAATAAATGTAATTCTTATAACTGAGTATAGAAATATTAGAAATGTAGAATATCGGTAAAATGTTCTTCAGTAAAAGAACTTAAAGAACTTTGAGAAATTCCTTCTGTCCAAATATATGCATAGCTAAGGCTCTTAGGATGGTGTGGTTGATAGGTTAGATATCAGAGTGTAAACCTAATCTTAAAAATGTAGTCAAATTGTTAATCTTATATTTTATGCCTCTGGGTTTTTTGTAACTCAGAAAAAGGCTTTTTTAATTCTGGGATTCTTAAAAATCCTCTAGTGATTTATTTTTCATCGTCTTTAAATAAATATTTAAACTTTTAGGAATTTAGGAGCAGATTCCTAAAAGTTTAAATATTTATTTAAAGACGATGAAAAATAAATCACTGGAGGAATTTACACTCTTATTAGGTTTGAAGTTTTGTCCAATTTTTTTCCAGTTAAATATCCACTATGGGGATTCTTTCATTATACAAATACATGTTATTTTTGAATTTCAAAAGAAATCATGTTATGTCAATCTATTGAGTGCTAACTAAAAGTTCTCTTTGTTTACTTAGCTTTCTCTTAGTTGTAAGAAAGAAAGAGACTTCTTGCATGAAAATAGTATGTTGCGGGAAGAAATTGCCATGCTAAGACTGGAGCTAGACACAATGAAACATCAGAGCCAGCTAAGAAAAAAGAAATATTTGGAGGATATTGAAAGTGTGAAAAAAAAGAATGATAATCTTTTAAAGGCTCTACAATTGAATGAGCTCACCATGGATGATGATACCGCTGTGCTCGTCATTGACAACGGCTCTGGCATGTGCAAGGCCGGCTTTGCGGGCGACGATGCCCCCCGGGCTGTCTTCCCTTCCATCGTGGGGTGCCCCAGGCAGCAGGGCATGATGGGGGGCATGCATCAGAAAGAGTCCTATGTGGGCAAGGAGGCCCAGAGCAAGAGAGGCATCCTGACCCTGAAGTACCCCATGGAACACGGCATCATCACCAACTGGGATGACATGGAGAAGATCTGGCACCACACCTTCTACAACGAGCTGCGTGTGGCCCCCGAGGAGCACCCCATCCTGCTGACCGAGGCCCCCCTGAACCCCAAGGCCAACCGCGAGAAGATGACCCAGATCATGTTTGAGACCTTCAACACCCCAGCCATGTACGTGGCCATCCAGGCCATGCTGTCCCTGTACACCTCTGGCCGTACTACTGGCATCGTGATGGACTCTGGTGACGGGGTCACCCACACTGTGCCCATCTATGATGGGAATGCCCTCCCCCATGCCACCCTGCGCCTAGACCTGGCTGGGCGGGAACTGACTGACTACCTCATGAAGATCCTCACCGAGCGTGGCTATAGGTTCACCACCATGGCCGAGCGGGAAATCGTGCGTGACATCAAAGAGAAGCTGTGCTATGTTGCCCTGGACTTCGAGCAGGAGATGGCCATGGTGGCCTCCAGCTCCTCCCTAGAGAAGAGCTACGAGCTGCCCGATGGCCAGGTCATCACCATCAGCAACGAGTGGTTCCGCTGCCCCGAGGCGCTCTTCCAGCCTTGCTTCCTGGGCATGGAATCCTGTGGCATCCATGAAACTACCTTCAACTCCATCATGAAGTCTGATGTGGACATCCGCAAAGACCTGTACACCAACACAGTGCTGTCTGGCGGCACCACCATGTACCCTGGCATGGCCCACAGAATGCAGAAGGAGATCGCTGCCCTGGCGCCTAGCATGATGAAGATCAGGATCATTGCTCCTCCCAAGCGCAAGTACTCCGTGTGGGTCGGTGGCTCCATCCTGGCCTCGCTGTCCACCTTCCAGCAGATGTGGATCAGCAAGCAGGAGTATGATGAGTCAGGCCCCTCCATTGTCCACCGCAAATGCTTCTAGGTGGACTCTGACTTAGTTGCGTTACACCCTTTCTTGACAAAACCAAACTTCTCAGAAAACAACATGAGATTGGCATGGCTTTATTTGTTTTCTTGTTTCATTTTTTGTTTTGTTTTTTATTGGCTTGACTCAGGATTTAAAAACCGGAATGGTGAAGGTGACAGCAGTCGGTTGGAGGAAGCTTCCTCCAAAGTTCTACAATGTGGCCAAGGACTTTGATTGTACATTGTTCTTCTTTTCAATAGTCATTCCAAATATTGTGAGACGCATTGTTTCAGGAAGCCCCTTGCACTGCTAAAAGCCACCCCACTTCTCTCTAAGGAGAATGGCCCAGTCCTCTCCCTAGTTCACACAGGGGAGGTGATAGCATTGCTTTTGTGCAAATTACATAATGCAAAATTTTTTGAATCTTCGCCTTAATACTTTTTAATTTTGTTTTATTTTGAATGATCAGCCTTCGTGGCCCCCCTCTTTTGTACCCCAACTTGGGGTGTATGAAGGCTTTTGGTCTCCCTGAGAGTGGCTGGAGGCAGCCAGGGCTTACCTGTACTCTGACTTGAGGAGAGTTGGATAAAAGTGCACACCTTAAAAAAAATTGAGGAAGCACAGTATTTCAGTACAGTGGACAGCTTAGCATGTTGACAACTGAGAATAAAATGCTCAGTTCTGAACTGGACAATGTAAGACACAACGAGGAAACACCGGAAATGGAAATTCAATTACGTCATTGTAGACTGGCTGCTGCTCTACATGATTGTGACCAAAGTCAGATAGCTGAAAGAGACTTCTTTCCAGAGAACAAGACATGAACAGGTTTATTTACAGAAGACAATGAATTCTCATTTATCTCACCTAAAAGAGAACAGATTCTTTCTCAACAAGTCTAATGTAGACAGTAAAATCAACAGGCTAAAAATTAAGCTCCATGAAACAAGATAAAACTCTGAGAGAAAAGACGGGGCAGGCCGCCATCTTTCCCGTTCAGGCAACTTAGTCATTCCAGCCTGCGGGCTTTGGAGAGTACAAACCGACGAGGGACAGAAGAGATCCCACAGCACAGCATAGCTGCTTTACCAAATCATGGCCAGACTGCTTCTGTAAGCAGGCCCCTGATCCTGTTCCATCTCACTGGACAGGACCTCCCAACTGGGGCCTCCAGCTACCCCCACCAGCATTCCTTGGCCAATGGAAATGTGAAATGTTCCTGGGACAGAGCTCCCGGAGAGGGGCAGGCCCCCACCTTTGGTCTTTCGGTGACTAGCCATTCTGGCCTGCGGGTTTTGGAGAGCCCAAGCTGACAAGGGGTGGAAGACGTGCCTCAGCACAGCACAGCCACGCTACAAAAACGTGGCCAGACTCTTGTTTACGTCAGTCCCTGACCACATTTCTAGTCAGCGGGTGAAGTCTTTCAACCAGGGTCTCTGGCTACCTTGACTGCTGTTCTCTGGCCGACAGAGGTCTCAGGCCTCCCTGAGTCAGAGCTCCCAGGGGGAGGACCAGATTGTCATCTTTGCTGTTTGGGCGACCCAGGCATTTCAGCCTTAGGGCTTCAGAGTGTCTGAGGCGGACCAGGGGCTGAAGTGAACCCCCAGCACAGCACAGCTGCTCTATAAAAACGTGGCCAGACTTTTCTTTTTGAAGCAAGTCCCTGTTCTTGTTCGTCCTGACTAGGTAAGACTTCTCAACTTGCCTCCAGCCACATCTTACAGGTGTGTTCAGATTGGCAACAGGTTCGTACCTCAGTGGTACAGAGCTTCCAGAGGAAGGGGCAGACTATCATCTTCCCTGGAAAATACAAGGCAATTAGGGACTGGAGGGGACCCCCAGCATACCACAGCAGCCCTACAGAAAAGTGGCCGGGCTCTCTACTTGATGGGCAGATCCTCCTGGCCTGGGTCTCTAGCCAGCCCACCACTGGAGCTATCAAGCCAGTAGCAACTCTGCAGTTCCTGGGACAGAGCTTCCAGGAGCAAATGAAATCCTTTCTGCCACTGCCTCTGCAGTGGAACTGCCCTTGCTGCCCTCAGAAGATGCAAGGGAGCAAAGACCCTAAGTGCCCTATCAACACCTCCAATAAGCTGCAGTTGACCCAAAGAACAAGCCAGTCCATCTCCCACGGGTACCACACACCCTCCACTACTCATCACCAGACAGGGAACCCTGGCTTGGGCCCACAGCACAGACCCTCCATCCTGGGCTGATTACACTAAGTGATTGCTAACTCACATGTCTCTGGGATGGAGCACCCAGGAAACAAGCAAAGTGGTGGAGCAGCAAGTCAGGTGATGTGGAGCCCAGAGGTCAGGGATGGCTGTCTCTCTAGGGTCCACTTGCCCTTGTGAGACACTTTATCCCAGCACTTTAGGAATGCTGAGGTCATACCAGCCACATCTTATATGCAAGATTGCCCAGCAGAGATCAGGTCCGAGAGTTCCCTTTTTAAAAAAAGGAGACTTGCTTAATAAAAGAAGTCTAGCCACGTTTGTGTAGAGCTGCTGTGCTGTGCTGGGGGTTCACTTTTGAGAGAGTTCTCCTCTGAGACCTGATCTCTGGAGGCTGGGCAATCTTGCACTTGAGATGGGGCTGGTCTGATCTCAGCACTCCTTAGTCTGCTCGCCTCTCCCATGGCCCCAGCCTGGCCACACCTGCTTACGGGGCACTCTTAGATGCCCACACCATAGCTTCCATGCTAGTGGACTGTACCGTATCAGTGGAGAGCTGCAGCAAGGTGGCCCCTAGAGCCACGCACCAGCCTGCACATTGCCTCTCCATACGGCAGCCCTTTATTTGGAAACTTCCTAAATCACTTTGCTGTGTGTGTTTACACGGGTGGGTTTTGCTTTACTTGCCCTGAGAGCACACGGGAGTGCAGCACACACCCCAACCCACATCAACTGCCATTAAAGAAAAGAAATTTCAGCCCAGAATTTCATGTCCAGCAAAATTAAGCATCATAAGTGAAGGAGAAATAAGATCCTTTTCAGACAAGCAAGTGCTGAGGGAATTTGGTATCACCAGATCTACCTTACGAGAGCTCCTGAAGGAAGCACTAAATATGGAAAGAAAAGATCATCACCTGCTACTACAAAAACACACTGAAGTACACAGTCCAATGATGCTAAAAAGCAAGCACATATGTAAGTCTGCAAAATAACCAGCTGACAGCATGACGACAGGATAAAATCCACACATACCATTACTAACCTTAAATGTAAATGGGCTAAATGCTCCCATTGAAAGACACGGGGCAAGCTGGGTAAAGAACCAAGACCCACTGGAGTATGCCGTCTTCAAGCAACCCATCTCACGTGCAGTGCCATACATAGGCTCAAAATAAAGGAATGGAGAAAAATATTTCAAGCAAATGGAAAACAGAAAAAAGGTGTTGCACTCCCAGTTTCTGACAAAACAGACTCTACCAATAAAGATAAAAAAAGAGAAGGACATTACAAAGGTGGTCCTGACCTTTGATAAATCTCATTATTGCTTGATACCAACCTGGGCTATTTGTATTGCCCAAACCAATAGGATAATTTGCTGAGGTTGTGGAGCTTCTCCCCTTCACAGAGTCCCTGATCTCCGAAAATTTGGTTGAGATGTAAGGTTGATTTTGCTGTACAACTCCTTTTTTGAAGTTTTACTCATTTCCAACAAGGAAGGCAAGTTTTCCTGCTTCCATTGACAAAGGAGAGCAGGCACCTCCTTTCCTGAGTTTCAGCTTGCTTCTGACAGGGAAGGTGAGTGTAAGTTTTTCCAGCTTCTAAGATGGCAGAGAATGATCACCCAGTCTGAGCCTTATTTCCAGGTAAGTAGCTGAATTAGAGTTTTGTCTTAAAATTTTTCCTTAATGACTAAAATTTAAGATTACCCACCAGCTGCTTTTAATTCCTCCTTACCATTAGAACACTCAGTTAATCATATGAATTGTGCATTTGTTTGTTTTGCTTAACTCTTTTTGTTTATGTTTGGGGTTTTATTGTTGTTTCACTTTTCTCCCATCTCTTCCTGACTTGGTCAAATCCAAAGGAATGTTCCAAATTGTGGGAGCAAGGCATCTGAATTGGCTAAAACTCCTGTGGCTGCAAAACAAAAACAAAAACAAAACAAAACAAAAAAGCAAAAAAAAAAACCCACAAAAAACAAAAAAAAATCCAGTTGGAAATTTTTTAAAACTTTTTTTTAATTTTTAAATTTTATTATTATACTTTAAGTTTTAGGGTACATGTGCACAATGTGCAGGTTTGTTACATATGTATACATGTGCCATGTTGGTGTGCTGCACCCATTAACTCGTCATTTAACATTAGGTATATCTCCTAATGCTATCCCTCCCTGCTCCCCCACCCCACAACAGTTCTCGGTGTGTTATGTTACCCTTCTGTGTCCACGTGTTCTCATTGTTCAGTTCCCACCTACGAGTGAGAACATGAGGTGTTTGGTTTTCTGTTCTTGTGTTAGTTTGCTGAGAATGATGATTTCCAGCTTCATCCATGTCCCTGCAAAGGACATGAACTCATCCTTTTTTATGGGTGCATAGCATTCCATAGTGTATATATGCCACATTATCCAGTCTATCATTGATTGGCGTTTGGGTTGCTTCCAAGTGTTTGCTGTTGTGAACTGTGCCGCAGTAAACATACGTGTGCATGTGTCTTTATATTAGAATGATTTATTATTTTTTCAGTATATACCCAGTAATGGGATTGCTGGGTTAAATGTATTTCTAGTTGTAGATCCTTGAGGAATTGTCACACTGTCTTCCACAATGGATGAACTAATTTATACTACCACCAAGAGTGTAAAAGCGTTCCTATTTCTCCACGTCCTCTCCAACATCTGTTGTTTCCTCATCTTTTAATGTTGGCTATTCTAAGTGGTGTGAGATTGTATCTCATTGTGGTTTTGATTTCCGTTTCTCTAATGACCAGTGATGATGTGGTTTGCTTCACATGTTCTTTAGCTGCATAAATGTCTTATTTGGGAAGTGTCTGTTCATATGTTTTGCCCATTTTTTGATGGGGTTGTTTTTTTTCTTATAAATTTGTTTAAGTTCTTTGTAGATTCTCCATATTAGCCGTTTGCCAGATGGATAGATTGCAAAAATTTTCTCCCATTCTGTGGGTTGCCTGTTCACTCTGATGATAGTTTCTTTTGCTCTGCAGACACTCTTTAGCTTAATTAGGTCCCATTTGTCAATTTTGGCTTTTGTTGCCATTGCTTTTGGTGTTGTAGTGATGAAGTCTCTGCCCATGCCTATGTCCTGAATGGTATTGCCTAACACAAGGACATTTCTGTGCCTGAGTGCCATACCACCCAAAGTGATTTATAGATTCAGTGCTATCCCCATCAAGCTACCATTGACTTTCTTCACAAAATTAGAAAAACTACTTTAAATTTCATATGGAACCAAAAAAGAGTCTACATAGCCAAGACAATCCTAAGCAAAAAGAACAAAGCTGGAGGCATCACAGTACCTGGCTTCAAACTATTCTACAAGGCCACAGTAACGGAAACAGCATGGTACTGGTACCAAACCAGATATATAGACCAATGGAATAGAACAGAGGCCACAGAAATGGCACCACACATGTAAAACCACCACATCTTTGACAAAACTGACAAAGGTAAGCACTGGGGAAAGGATTGCCTATTTAATAAATGGTGTTAGGAAAACTGTCTAGCCATATGCAGCAAACTGAAACTGGGCCACTTCCTTACACTTTATACAAAAATTAACTTAAGAAGGATAAAAGAGTTAAACGTAAGACCTAAAAGCAAAAAATCTAGAAGAAAATGTAGGCCACCAACCTCAGGGGAAATGTACTTGTAGTGAAATGCATGGTACAAACACACATTCCCTACTTCCTTGAGTGGGTGAGGTTGGTGGCTGGTCCATCTGCTCCAAGTGGACCCTTACAGATGTGGCTGGTTGCTCTTTGAGCCAGCTTGGCCTTGCCCGGCATGCACAAGCATCAGTGAATAACTGTGCTATAAATGGAGCCACATAGAGGAAATGAGCAGCAGGCTCAAGACCAGGGTGTGCACTGCCTTTGGGGCTCCAGTCCGTGCCTCAGGGATGGTATGGCACTGCGAGCTTCTTGGTTGCCAAGAGGCAGACCACAGGCCATCTTGAGGAGGACTTTATGTTCAAGTGCAGAAAACAGCCAGGATTACCACCCAGGGGACTTGGCCTTCTGTGGCCGTGGCCAGACTTAGAATTTGTGTCAAGGCATGGCAAGCTCACTCGGAGCAGCGTGTTGGTACCTGGGGCCTGTGCATGCCAGACAAGGCCAGGCTGGCTCAAAGAGCAACCAGCCACCTCTGCAAGGGTGCGCCTGGACCAGGTGGACTAGCCACCAACCTCACCCACAGAAGGAAGCAGGGGTGACCAGGTTACGAGAGCCTGAGTAGCTGCCACCTGAGGGCTGATGGAGCAGAGGCCCGAGGAAAATCAGATGGCACGTTTAACTGTTTAATGGATCTTAAGTTAATTTTTCTATAAAGCAGATGTCACCAGTCCATGCCTCAGAGCTCGTATGGCACTGCAGACCACAGAAGGCCGAGTCCCCTGGGTGGCAATCCTGGCTGCTTTCTGCACTTGAACATAAAGTCCTCCTCAAGACGGCCTGTGGTCTGCCTCTTGGCCCTACCTTTAGGGTAGAAGAACCAATGTACCATGTTCAGCAGCAAGTGAGGTTGGTGGCTGGTCCGGTTGCTCCTGGCACACCCTTGCAGAGGTGGCTGGTTGCTGTTTGAGCCAGCTTGGCCTTGCCCGGCATGCACAAGCCTCAGTGCAATTACTGTGCTACAAACGGAGCCACAGAGAGGGAATGAGCAGCAGGCTCAGCAGCAGGGTGTGCGCTGTCTCTGGGGCTCCAGTCCATGCCTCAGGGCTCGTATGGCATTGCAGGCTTCTTGGTTGCCAAGAGGCAGACCACAGGCCGTCTTGAGGAGGACTTTATGTTCAAGTGCAGAAAGCAGCCAGGATTACCATCCAGGGGACTTAGCCTTCTGTGACCCTGGCCAGACTCAGAATTTGTGCCAATGCAGGACAAGCTCACTCCGAGCAGCGTGTCAGTAGCTGGGGCCTATGCATGCCAGGCAAGGCCAAGCTGACTCAAAGAGCAACCAGCCACCTCTGCAAGGGTGTGCCAAGAGCAGGTGGACCAGCCAGCAACCTCAGCTACTCAAGGAACCTGGGATGGCCAGTTTCCTACAGCGTGAGTGGCTGCCTCCTGATGGCTGATGGAGCAGAGGCCTTAGGAAAAGCAGATGGCCCTGTGGCCCTACCTTTAGGGTAGAAGTACTGATGTGCCATGTGTGGCAGCAAGTGAGGTTGGTGGCTGGTGCAGCGGCTCCTGGCACACCCTCGCAGAGGTGACTGGTTGCTCTTTGAGCCAGGTTGGCCTTGCCCGGCGTGAACAAGCCTCAGTGCAACCTCTCTGCTACATATGGAGCCACAGAGAGGAAACGAGCAGCAGGCTCAGGAGCAGGCTGTGCGCTGCCTTTGGGGCTCCAGTCCAAGCCTCGAGTCGTATAGCACTGCGGGCCTCTTGGTTGCCTAGAGGCAGAAAACAGGCCATCTTGAGGAGGACTTTATGTTCAAGTGCAGAAAGCAGCCAGGATTACCATCCAGGGGACTCGGCCTTCTGTGGCCCCGGCCAGACCTTGCAGAGGTGGCTGGTTGCTCTTTGAGCCAGCTTCACCTCCCTTGCATGCACAGGCCCCAGGTACTAACACGCTGCTCTGAATGAGCCTGTCCTGCCTTGGCTGCCACCTAATTGCTGATGGAGCAGAGGCCTTAGGAAAAGCAGATGGCACTGTGGCCCACCTTCAGGGTAGAAGAACTGATGTACCATGTCCGGCCACTAGTTGGTGACTGGTGCACCTGCTCCTGGCACACCCTTGCAGAGGTGGCTGGTTGCTGTTTGAGCCAGCTTGGCCTTGCCCGGCATGCACAAGTCTCAGTGCAATAACTGTGCTACAAATGGAGCCACAGAGAGGAAATGAGCGGCAGACTTAGGAGCAGGGTGTGTGCTGCCTTTGGGGCTCCAGTCCATGCCTCAGGGGTCGTATGACACTGTGGGCTTCTTGGTTACCAGGAGGCACACAACAGGCCGTCTCGAGGAGGACTTCATGTTCAAGTGCAGAAAGCAGCCAGGATTACCATCCAGGGGACTCGGCCTTCTGTGGCCCTGGCCACACTCAGAATTTGTGCCAAGGCAGGACAAGCTCACTTGGAGCAGTGTGTCAGTAGCTGGGCCTATGCATGCCAGGCAAGGCCAAGCTGGCTCAAAGAGCAACCAGCCACCTCTGCAAGGGTGTGCCAGGAGCAGGTGGACCAGCCAGCAACCTCAGCTACTCAAGGAAGCTGGGATGGCCAGGTTCCAACAGCCTGAGTGGCTGCCTCCTGATGGCTGATGGAGCAGAGGCCTTAGGAAAAGCAGATGGCCCTGTGGCCCTACCTTTAGGGTAGAAGTACTGATGTGCCATGTCCGGTAGCAAGTGAGGTTGGTGGCTGGTGCACCGGCTCCTGGCGCACCCTTGCAGAAGTGACTGGTTGCTCTTTGAGTCAGCTTGGCCTTGCCCGGCATGCACAAGCCTCAGTGCAACAACAGTGCTACAAATGGAGCCATAGAGAGGAAACGAGCAGCAGGCTCAGGAGCAGGGTGTGCGCTGCCTTTGGAGCTCCAGTCCATGCCTCGCGTCGTATAGCACTGCGGGCTTCTTGCTTGCCTGGAGGCAGACCACAGGCCGTCTTGAGGAAGACTTTATGTTCAAGTACAGAAAGCAGCCAGGATTACCATCCAGGGGGGCCTTCTGTAGCCCTGGCCAGACCTTGCAGAGGTGGCTGGTTGCTCTTTGACTCAGCTTGGCCTCCCTGGCATGCACAGGCCCCAGGTACTAACATGCTGCTCCGAGTGAGCTTGTCCTGCCTTGGCTGCCACCTAATTGCTGATGGAGCAGAAGCCTTAGGAAAAGCAGATGGCACTGTGGCCCACCTTTAGGGTAGAAGAACTGATGTACCATGTCCGGCCGCTAGTGGGTGAGTGGTGCACCTGCTCCTGGCACACCCTTGCAGAGGTGGCTGGTTGCTCTTTGAGCCAGCTTGGCCTTCCCTGGCATGCACAAGCCTCAGTGCAACAACTGTGCTACAAATGGAGCCACAGAGAGGAAACGAGCAGCAGGGTCAGGAGCAGGGTGTGCGCTGCCTTTGGGGCTCCAGTCCATGCCTCGGGTCGTATAGTACTGCGGGCTTCTTGCTTGCCTAGAGGCAGACCACAGGCCGTCTTGAGGAGGACTTTATGTTCAAGTGCAGAAAGCAGCCAGGATTACCACCCAGGGGACTTGGCCTTCTGTGGCCCTGTCCAGACTTAGAATTTGTGTCAAGGCAGGAGAAGCTCACTCGGAGCAGCGTGTTAGTACCTGGGGCCTGTGCATGCCAGGCAAGGCCAAGCTGGCTCAAAGAGCAACGAGGCACCTCTGCAAGGGTGCGCCTGGACCAATTGTACCAGCCACCAACCTCACCCACTGAAGGAAGCAGGGATGGCCAGGTTACAACAGCCTGAGTGGCTGCCACCTGGGGGCTGATGGAGCAGAGGCCTGAGGAAACTCAGATGGCACATTTAACTCTTTAATGGATCTTAAGTTAATTTTTCTATAAAGCAGATGTCACCAGTCCATGCCTCAGGCTTGTATGGCACTGCGGAGCACAGAAGGGCGAGTCCCCTGGGTGGTAATCTTGGCTGCTTTCTGCACTTGAACATAAAGTCCTCCTCAAGACGGCCTGTGGTCTGCCTCTTGGCCCTACCTTTAGGGTAGAAGAACCGATGTACCATGTCCGGCGGCGAGTGAGGTTGGTGGCTGGTCCGGCTGCTCCTGGCACACCCTTGCAGATGTGGCTGGTTGCTGTTTGAGCCAGCTTGGCCTTGCCCGGCATGCACAAGCCTCAGTGCAACTACTCTGCTACAAATGGAGCCACAGAGAGGGAATGAGCAGCGGGCTCAGCAGCAGGGTGTGTGCTGCCTTTGGGGCTCCAGTCCATGCCTCAGGGGTCATATGACACTGCAGGCTTCTTGGTTACCAGGAGGCACACAACAGGCCATCTCGAGGAGGACTTTATGTTCAAGTGCAGAAAGCAGCCAGGATTACCATCCAGGGGACTCGGCCTTCTGTGGCCCTGGCCAGACTCAGAATTTGTGCCAAGGCAGGACAAGCTCACTCGGAGCAGCGTGTCAGTAGCTGGGACCTATGCATGCCAGACAAGGCCAAGCTGGCTCAAAGAGCAACCAGCCACCTCTGCAAGGGTGTGCCAAGAGCAGGTGGACCAGCCAGCAACCTCAGCTACTCAAGGAAGCTGGGATGGCCAGTTTCTAACAGCATGAGTGGCTGCCTCCTGATGGCTGATGGAGCAGAGGCCTTAGGAAAAGCAGATGGCCCTAGTGGCCCTACCTTTAGGGGAGAAGTACTGATGTGCCACAGAGAGGAAACGAGCAGCAGGCTCAGGAGCAGGCTGTGCGCTGCCTTTGGGGCTCCAGTCCAAGCCTCGAGTCGTATAGCACTGCGGGCCTCTTGGTTGCCTAGAGGCAGAAAACAGGCCATCTTGAGGAGGACTTTATGTTCAAGTGCAGAAAGCAGCCAGGATTACCATCCAGGGGACTCGGCCTTCTGTGGCCCCGGCCAGACCTTGCAGAGGTGGCTGGTTGCTCTTTGAGCCAGCTTCACCTCCCTTGCATGCACAGGCCCCAGGCACTAACACGCTGCTCTGAGTGAGCCTGTCCTGCCTTGGCTGCCACCTAATTGCTGATGGAGCAGAGGCCTTAGGAAAAGCAGATGGCACTGTGGCCTACCTTCAGGGTAGAAGAACTGATGTACCTTGCCCGGCATGCACAAGTCTCAGTGCAACAACTGTGCTACAAATGGAGCCACAGAGAGGAAATGAGCGGCAGACTTAGGAGCAGGGTGTGTGCTGCCTTTGGGGCTCCAGTCCATGCCTCGGGTCGTATGGCACTGCAGGCTTCTTGGTTGCCAAGAGGCAGACCACAGGCCGTCTTGAGGAGGACTTCATGTTCAAGTGCAGAAGGCAGCCAGGATTACCATCCAAGGGACTCAGCCTTCTGTGGCCCTGGCCACACTCAGAATTTGTGCCAAGGCAGGACAAGCTCACTTGGAGCAGTGTGTCAGTAGCTGGGCCTATGCATGCCAGGCAAGGCCAAGCTGGCTCAAAGAGCAACCAGCCACCTCTGCAAGGGTGTGCCAGGAGCAGGTGGACCAGCCAGCAACCTCAGCTACTCAAGGAAGCTGGGATGGCCAGGTTCCAACAGCCTGAGTGGCTGCCTCCTGATGGCTGATGGAGCAGAGGCCTTAGGAAAAGCAGATGGCCCTGTGGCCCTACCTTTAGGGTAGAAGTACTGATGTGCCATGTCCGGTAGCAAGTGAGGTTGGTGGCTGGTGCACCGGCTCCTGGCGCACCCTTGCAGAAGTGACTGGTTGCTCTTTGAGTCAGCTTGGCCTTGCCTGGCATGCACAAGCCTCAGTGCAACAACAGTGCTACAAATGGAGCCATAGAGAGGAAACGAGCAGCAAGCTCAGGAGCAGGGTGTGCGCTGCCTTTGGGGCTCCAGTCCCTGCCTTGAGTCGTATAGCACTGCGGGCTTCTTGCTTGCCTGGAGGCAGACTACAGGCCGTCTTGAGGAAGACTTTATGTTCAAGTACAGAAAGCAGCCAGGATTACCATCCAGGGGGGCCTTCTGTAGCCCTGGCCAGACCTTGCAGAGGTGGCTGGTTGCTCTTTGAGTCAGTTTGGCCTCCCTGGCATGCACAGGCCCCAGGTACTAAGATGCTGCTCCGAGTGAGCTTGTCCTGCCTTGGCTGCCACCTAATTGCTGATGGAGCAGAAGCCTTAGGAAAAGCAGATGGCACTGTGGCCCACCTTTAGGGTAGAAGAACTGATGTACCATGTCCGGCCGCTAGTGGGTGAGTGGTGCACCTGCTCCTGGCACACCCTTGCAGAGGTGGCTGGTTGCTCTTTGAGCCAGCTTGGCCTTCCCTGGCATGCACAAGCCTCAGTGCAACAACTGTGCTACAAACGGAGCCACAGAGAGGAAACGAGCAGCAGGGTCAGGAGCAGGGTGTGCGCTGCCTTTGGGGCTCCAGTCCATGCCTCGGGTCGTATAGTACTGCGGGCTTCTTGCTTGCCTAGAGGCAGACCACAGGCCGTCTTGAGGAGGACTTTATGTTCAAGTGCAGAAAGCAGCCAGGATAACCTTCCAGGGGACTTGGCCTTCTGTGACCCTGGCAGACTCAGAATTCGTGCCAATGCAGGACAAGCTCACTCGGAGCAGCGTGTTTGTACCTGGGGCCTATGCATGCCAGGCAGGTCCAAGCTGGCTCAAAGAGCAACCAGCCACCTCTGCAAAGGTGTGCCAGGATCAGGTGGACCAGCCACCAACTTCAGCCACTGAAGGAAGCAGGGATGGCCAGGTTCCAAGAGCCTGAGTGGCTGTCTCCTGATGGCTGATGGATCAGAGGCCTTAGGAAAAGCAGATGGCCCTGTGGCCCTACCTTTAGGGTAGAAGTACTGATGTGCCATGTCCGGTAGCAAGTGAGGTTGGTGGTTGGTGCAGCGGCTCCTGGCGCACCCTTGCAGAAGTGACTGGTTGCTCTTTGAGCCAGCTTGGCCTTGCCTGGCATGCACAAGCCTCAGTGCAACAACAGTGGTACAAATGGAGCCACAGAGAGGAAACGAGTGGCAGACTTAGGAGCAGGGTGTGCGCTGCCTTTGGGGCTCCAGTCTATGCCTCGGGTCCTATGGCACTGTGGGCTTCTTGGTTGCCAAGAGGCAGACCACAGGCTGTCTTGAGGAAGACTTTATGTTGAAGTGCAGAAAGCAGCCAGGATTACCACTCAGGGGACTCGGCCTTCTGTGGCCCTGGCCAGACTTAGAATTTGTGCCAAGGCAGGACAAGCTCACTTGGAGCAGCGTGTTAGTACCTGGGGCCTGTGCATGCCAGGCAAGGCCAAGCTGGCTGAAAGCAGAACCAGCCACCTCTACAAGGGTGCGCCTGGACCAGTTGGACCAGCCACCAGCTTCACCCACTGAAGGAAGCCGGGATGGCCAGGTTCCAACAGCCTGAGTGGCTGTCTCCTGATGGCTGATGGAGCAGAGGCCTTAGGAAAAGCAGATGGCCTTGTGGCCCTACCTTTAGGGTAGAAGTACTGATGTGCCATGTCTGGCAGCAAGTGAGGTTGGTGGCTGGTGCACCGGCTCCTGGCACACCCTTGCAGAGGTGACTGGTTGCTCTTTGAGCCAGCTTGGCCTTGCCTGGCATGCACAAGCCTCAGTGCAACAACAGTGCTACAAATGGAGCCACAGAGAGGAAACAAGCAGCAGGCTCAGGAGCAGGGTGTGCGCTGCCTTTGGGGCTTCAGTCCATGCCTCAGGCGTCATATGGCACTGCGGGCTTCTTAGTTGCCAAGAGGCAGACCACAGGCCGTCTTGAGGAGGACTTCATGTTCAAGTGCAGAAAGTAGCCAGGATTAGCATCTAGGGGACTCGGCCTTCTGTGGCCCTGGCCAGACTTAGAATTTGTGTCAAGGCAGGACAAGCTCACTCGGAGCAGCATGTTGCTACCTGGGGCCTGTGCATGCCAGGCAAGGCCAAGCTGGCTCAAAGAGCAACCAGTCACCTCTGCAAGGGTGCGCCTGTGGTCTGGATGGTGGTGGCTCCCTGTGTTAGTCCTCCAAGCCCATATTTTCCTTCTGCACTGGCCTCACAGAGGTTTCCGAAGAAGCTCTGCCTCTGCAGCATGCTTCTGCCTGGAAACAATGGGAGGTAGTTTTGCAGGGTGGAAGCCTTCACCAATGGTTAAACAGCATCTTCATGATGCTGACCTCGTGATAGTGAGTTCTCATGAGATCTGCTTGTATAACATGATGTGGCACTTCTTTCCTCTCTCTGTCTTGCTCCTTCTCCTGCTGTATGAAACATCTCCTTGCCGCTTGGTCTTCTAGTATGATTGGGAGCACCTGAGTCCTCCCAGAAGCAGAAACCACTATGCTTCCTTTGCAGCCTGCAGAACTGTGAGCCAATGAAACCTCTTTTCTTTTTGATCATACAGAAGGTTAGTACTGTGAAGTGAAGCTATGAAATTCCTTCAAGGCCTTTTCCCTATGAAATGCCTTCAAGGCCTTTTCCCCATTGTCTTGGCAAGCAGCACTCAGCTTCTTTTCATGCAAATATCTGAAGCCTATGTGATTTTTTTCCCTGAAAATGGACTTTTCTTCTTTTACCACATTGCCAGGCTGTGACACAGAGAGCTGATAATGTAGAAGCAGGTTCAGTAGTGGGTAAAAGACAGAGGTCGGGAGAGTTGGGAAAGCTTAAAAGACAGCAAGATGAGGAAAAGCTTGGACCACTGTAGAGAATTGTTAAATACTTGTGATCAGAAGGCTGACAGAAGGATGGACAGTGAAGGCCAGACTTAAAAGTTCTCGGATGAAAACCAGGAATTTCCTGTGAATAGGAGCCAATACTACATTTGATTTGCCCAACAGAGGCTGCACAGTGACCTTGCCCTGGAGATCTGTGAAACTATGAACTTGGGGGTGATGATTTAGGATGTATCTTGTGGAATGAACATCTGAGCAGCATAGCTCAAGAGGTGTCCTGTCTGCGTCGAACAGCCTGTGTTGTTATGTATGAGCTAAGAAATGACCTCAAATTGGAACTTCTACTTAAATGAGAAGCAGAGCTCAAAAGTTTGGAAAATTTGCAGCCTAGTCAAGTGGTCAAAAAGAAAAGCTGATTTTCAGGGGGAAAATTCAATACGGCTTAGAGTATTTGCATAAAAAGGAGCTTAGTGCAAGTATCCAAGACAAAGGGTAAAAGGCCTTGGAGGCATTTCAGAGACCTTTGCAGTAGCTCTTGCTCTCACAGGCCCTGGGGCCTAGCAGAGAAGAATGGCTTCCTGGGCCAGCTCCATGGCCCTGCTGCTGTGTGCATCCTCAGGACACTGCTGCCTGCATCCCTGCAGCCCCAGCTCCAGCCATGGCTGAATGATGCACAGGTACAGCTTGGGTCACTACTTCAGATGTGGCTCCAAGCCTTGATGGCTTCCACATAGTGTTAAGGCAGCAGGTGAAGAGAGCAAGAGACTAGAGGCTTTGGAGCCTCTTGTCTGGACTCCAGAGGATGTAGAGAAAAGCCTGGGTGTCCAGGCAGTAGCCTTTCCAAGAGGCTCATGGAAAACCTCTGCTAGGGCAGCAAAGAAGGGCCATGTAGGGTTGAAGCCCCCTCACAGGGAGGCTCCATTCTCCAAACCCCAGATTCATAGACCCACCAACATCTTGCACCCTCAGTGTGGAAAAGCTACAGGCATTCAAAACAGCCCTGTCCATGAGAGGCAGCTGTGGGTGCTGAACGCTGCGAAGCCACAGGTACAGATCTGCCCAAGGCCTTGGGAGCCCAGCCCTCACAGCCCTGTGCCATGGATGTGGGACGAGGATTCAAAAAGGATGATTTTGGAGCTGTCGGATTGAATGACTGGCCTGCTGGGTTTTGGATGTTCATGTATCCTGTGAGTCCCATCTGTGTTTTGTTTTTCTTTCTGGCATTTTTTTTCTACTGGCTGGGAATGCTTACCCATTGCCTGTACAATCATTGTGCCTTGGAATTAGTTAACTTGCTTTATAATTCAGAAACTCAGGGGCAGATCGGACTGTAGCCTTGTCTCAGACGAGACTTTGGGCTTTGGACATTTGAGTAAATGCTGGAATTATTTAAGATTTGGGGGACTGTAGGGAAGGTATCATTGTATTCTGCAATGTAAGAAACAGGAGATTTGGGGGACCAGGGACAGAATAATATGATTTGGCTCTGTGTCCCTACCAAAGCTCATGTGGAATTGTAATGGGCAAAGTTAAAGGTGGGGACTGGTGGAAGGTGATTTAATCATGGTGGAGAGTGGAGTTTGGAAGGTGGGGGTGGTTGGGAGCATTGGGGGTGATTGTGTTGGGGTTGCAGGGAAAGGCAGAGGTGGGGGGCAGATTCTTCACAAATGGTTAAACACCATCTTTGTAATGCTGTCCTTCTGATAGTGAGTTTGCTTCATGGTTTAGGAGCTTTGAGATTTGAATACTGGCCTGCTGGGTTTTGGATGTGCATTGGGCCTGTGGTCCCATTTGTGTTATTTTTCTGGGAAATTTCTTCCCTTTGGAGTGAGAAAGCTTACCCAATGCCTGTACCATCATCGTACCTTAAAAGAACTCCATTTTAAGTTCAGGGACTCCTTGGCAGAAGAGACCGTAGCCTTGTATCAGATAAGACTTTGAACTTCTTACATTTGAGTTAATGCTGGAATGAGTTAAGGCTTTTGTAAACATTTGAAAAGGCATGACTGTATTTTACTCTGTGAGAATGACATGAGATTCGGGGGAGGGGGTCAAGGTCAGAATAATATGGTTTGGCTGTGTTTCCCTAGAAAAACTCATGTGGAATTGCAATCCCGAATGTTGGAGGTGGAGCCTGGTGGGAGGTGATTTAATCATGGATGGGAGGTGGGTGGGGTTGGAGGGAAAAAGAGGTGGGTAGCGTGGTGAGGAGTAAGCTCGCTGTAGGGTGGTGGGAGGGTGGGGGTAGTAGGAAGGAGGAGTAGCCTGCTGCAGAGGCAGAGGCTCGTAGAAAACCTCTGCTAGGACTGTGCACCTGTGGCTTTGCAGGGTGTAGCCCCCGTGGCTGCTCTCATGGGCTGGGCTGGTGTTGAGTGCCGGTAGCTTTTCCATACTGAAGGTGCGAGCTGTTGATGGGTCTATGAATCTGGGCTCTGGAGGATGGTGACCTCCTGCATAGGGGCTCCAAGCCCAAATTTTTCTTCTGCACTGCCATAGTACAGGTTTTCCAAGAGGCTCAGGCTCTGCCTCAGGCTTCTGTCCGGAAACAGGAGGGGGTGGAGGTGGGTTGGGGACGGATCCTTCACTAATGATTAAGCACCATCTTCTTGATGCTGACCTCGTGATAGTGAGTTCTCATGAACTTCCTCATAGTGTTAAGCCACTGGTTGGATGGAGCATGAGCCTAGGGGCTTGGGAGGCTCTGTATAGATTTTGGAGGATGTATGGAAATGTCTGGGTGTCTAGGCAAAAGCCTTCCTAAAAGGCAGAACCTCATAAGAAACCTCTACTAGGGCAGTGCAGAAGGAAAATATGGGGTTGGAGCCCCCACACTGGAGGCCACCATCATGAAGACCGCAGATTAATAGACCCCGCAACAGCTTGTACCGTCAGTGGGTAAAAGCTACAGGCGCTCAACACCAGCCCAGCCCATGAAGACAGCCGTGGGGTATAAACCCTGCAAAGCCACAGGTGCAGAGCTGCCCAAGGCCTTGGGAGCCCAGCCCTTACATCCCTGTGCCCTGGATGTGGGACAAGGTTTCAAAAAGGGTAATTTTGGAGCTGTAGGATTGAATGACTGGCCTTCTGGGTTTGGAGTTTCATGGGGCCTGTGAGTCCTTTCTGTGTTTTGTTCTTTCTGGCAAAATTATTCCTTTTGGCTGGGAATGCTTACCCATTGCCTGTATAAGCATTGTACCTTGGAAGTAGTTAACTTTCTTTATATTTCAGAGGCTCATGAGCCTAAGGGTCTGCAGCCTTGTGTTAGATGAGACTTTAAGCTTTGAACATTTGTATAAATGATGAAATGATATAAGACTTTGGGGGACTGTAGGGAAGCTATCATTGTAGTTTGCAATGTGAGAAGGACATGAGATTTGGGGAGCCAGGGAGAGAATAATAAAATTTAGCTCTGTGTCCCTACCAAAATTCGTGTGGAATTGTAATGGGGAATGTTAAAGGTGGGGCCTGGTGGAAGGTGATTTAATCATGGTGGAGAGTGGGGGTTGGGAGGTGGGGGATAGGGAGAATGGGGAGATTATGTTGGGGGTGAGGGGTGAAAAGTGATGGTGGCTCCTTCACAAATGATTAGACACAATCTCCTTATTTCTGTCCTTGTGATGGTGAGTTCTCTTCATGATTTTGGAGCAGTGAGATTGAATGGATACTGGTCTCCTGGGTTTTGGACTTGCATTGGTCCTGTGGTCCCATCTGTGTTATTTTGCTGGGAAATTTCTTCCCGTTGGACTGAGAAAGCTTACCCAATGGGTGTACCATCATTGTGTCTTAAAAGAACACCCTTTTAAATTCAGGGACTTATAGGCAAAAGGGACTGTAGGCTTGTCTCAGATGAGACGTTGAACCTTTTACATTTGAGTTAATGCTGGAATGAGTTAAGACTTTTGGCAACTTTTGAAAAGGTGTGATTGTATTTTGCTCTGTGAGAAGGACATGAGATTCGGAGGGGTCAGGGTCAGAATAACATGGTTTGGCTGTGTTTCCCTACAGAAACTCATGTGAATTGTAATCTTGAATGTTGGAGATGGGGCCTGGTGGAAGGTGATTTAACCATGGATGGGAGGGGGTTGGAATTGGAAGGAAATAAAGTGGATAGTGTTGGGAGGAGTGGGTTGTCAGTAGGGTGGTGAGAGGATGGTGGGTATTAGGAAGCGGGAGTAGCCTGCTGCAGAGTCACATCCTTATGGAAAACCTCTGCTAGGGCAGTGCTCCTGTGGCTTTGCAGGCTTTAGCCCCCATGGCTGCTCTCATGGGCTGGGCTGGTGTTGAGTGCTTTTGCATACTGAGGGTGCGGGCTGTTGGTGGGCTTATGAATCTGGGGTCTGGAGGATGGTGGCCTCCTGTGTGGGGGCTCCAAGCCCATATTTCCCTTCTGCACTGCCATAGTAGAAGTTTCCCAAGAGGCTCTGCCTCTGCAGGAGGCTTCTGCCTGGAAACAGTAGGCGGTGGTGTGTGTGGTGGATCCTTCACCAGTGGTTAATCTTCTTGATGCTGATCTGATAGTGAGTTCTCATGTGATCTGGTTGTATAATGGGCTGTGGCACCTCTTTTCTCTCTGTGTCTTGCTTCTATTTCTGCCATATGAAACATCTCATTGCCACTTGGCCTTCTGATGTGGTTAGGAGGGGCCTGATCAGTGTGGGCCTGCTCAGTGGACCTAGTCAGTTGGGACTTGGTCAGTGAGGCCTGTTTAGTGGGAGCCTGGCCAGCAGGGGTCTGCTTAGGGAGGGTCTCATTAGGGGGATCCAGTAGTGGGGGTTTTGGCGAGTGGGGACCTATTGGCAGCCAGTTGTTTGGTGTCTGGTCAGTGCAGACCTGGGCTGTGGGGCTTGACCAGTGGCGACCTGGTCAGCTGGGCTTAGTGGTGGCCTGGTCAGCATGGGCTGGGTCACTGGTGACCAGGTCAAGGGCTGCTATTCAGTGGAGGACTGGTCACATGGGACCTAGTCAGCAGGGCCTGGTGGGCTTGTCCTCATCAGTGAGGCCCTTGTCAGTGGGGCCCTGATCAGGGCAGCCTGGTCAGTGGAACCTCATCAGTGGGGGCCTGGTCAGTGATGACTTGGTCAGTGGTGGCTTTTGTACCACTGGTCTACGGGGTGACCTGGTCAGCGGGGACCTGAGCAGTCGGTGCCTGTTCAGTGGGGCCTACTCACTAGGGTCCCAGTCAGGGGCATCTGCTCACCTCAGGCCTGGTTAGTAGGGGCCTGATCAGTGGCAGCCTGTTCCCTGGAGGCCTGGTCAGTGGGGCCTCATCTGTGGGGCCAGGTAGTGGGGTCATGATCAGTGGAATCTGATCAGTGATGCCTTGTCAGTAATGACCTTGTCAGTGAGGCCTTGTCAGTGGGGCCTTGTCAGTAAGGACCTGGTCAGTGAGGCCTTGTCAATAAGGTCCTGATCAGTGAGGTCTCAGTTAGGACCTGGTCCATGAGGCCTTGTCAGTGAGGCCTTGTCAGTAAGGACCTGGTCAGTGAGGCCTTGTCAATAAGGTCCTGGTCAGTGAGGACTTGTCAGTAAGGACCTGGTCCGTGAGGCCTTGTCAATAAGGTCCTGGTCAGTGAGGACTTGTCAGTAAGGAGCTCATCCATGAGGCCTTGTCAATAAGGTCCTGGTCAGTGAGGCCTTGTTAGTAAGGACTTTGTCAGTGAGGCCTTGTCAGTGAGGCCTGGTCAGTAAGGACCTGGTCAGTGAGGCCTTGTCAGGGAGGCCTGGTCAGTAAGGTCCTGTTCAGTGAGGCCTTGTCCATGAGGCCTTGTCAGTAAGGTCCTGGTCAGTGGAGTCATGGTCATTGTTGGCCTGGAAGCAGGGGTCTTGTTAGTGGGTCCTGGTGATGGGGATCTAATCAGTGAGGGTGTGGTCAGGGAAGACCTGATGTGTGGGGTCTGGTCAGCAGGAACCTGGTCAGTGGGGACTGCTGAGTGCTGCTTGGAGAAGCCAGGTGCATTGCACGTTATCGAGGGCCCTCTGGACAGCTGGGATGGCCCAGTGATGCCCAACGGCCTGGTCAAAAGTGGACAAAGCAGTTGTTTGGATGGACCTGGGAGATGTTGCTCAGAGATTCTGACAGGACAAAGGTGAAGAAAGGGTCAGAGTGTCTGGAGAGATGGTCACAGTCTATGGGCTGCACAGGATGGAGAAAGCCAGGGAACAGGCAGGGTGGGCAGTGCGGTGCAGGGAGAGGTAGGTGCATGGTGGGACGTCAGACCCTGTGAAGGCTGTGAGGGTGTCAGGTGGGTTGGGCTCCAGGTGCACCCTCAGTGCACTGGGTGGGTCTCACCCCAAGCTCCCTGGACCCCAGCCAGGTGATGTGGTCACTCCCTGGGGGACTGCTCTCAGGTCCCGGCTACCTACCCTGGGCAGCGCTGTCCCATCTCAGGACTGGACTTCCTCAGATCCTGTAGAGGGCACAGCCTCCACCCAGGAGGGGCAACCCCATGGTGCAGCCTGAGCTCTCCATGGGCCTGGAGCATCCCCTGCCAGCCTTGTGCTCCCCATTCTCCCAGGTCCCACTTTTCCAGTGTCAGCCAGCAGGGATGCCCCGTCCTCCCTTCCCCATGTGTCTCCTGGGCTGAAACTTGTGGCAGATTGGGACAGGGATGGTGCTTCCCTCAGGCCCATTTGGGGAGGGGACTGGCTCCCAGACTGGTGCAGGTCCTCAGCTCTGCCTCGATTGGCTTAGAGTGAGATGGATCAGTCAGTTCCCTGAAGGTGAAGATAAGAGACTGTCCCTGCTGTTGGGAGGCTAGTCTAGGGATGGAGGACGTAACAGGTCCTCCCAGGCTGTCAGGCCTGGGCAGCACTGTCTTGTCTTAGGACTCAGAAAGTCCAGTCCTGAGATGAGACAGTGCTGCCCAGGGTGGGTGTCTGGGACCTGACAACATTCCCCCAGTGATTGACCACATCACACATCCAGGGTCCAGTGAGCCTGGCCTCAGACGTGCCCAGTACACTGAAGGTGCACCTGGAGCCCGCTCCACCTGATGCCTCCACAGCCCTCGCAGGGCCTGACCTCCCAGCATGCACCTGCCTCTCCCTGCACCCCAGCTGTCCACCATGCCTGTTCCCTGACTTCCTCCATCCTGTCCAGCGGGATGGGATGGACATGGGGACAGCCTGTGTGCACATTTCGTGGCGAGTGGGAGTGACACACCATCTCTGGGAGGCACCATGGTTCCTGGCAAACCCGATCCCAAGACTCTGTCCTTGAGGTGGTTTTACCAAACCCCAAACCCAGAACTGCAGTTGTGGCTCAGGGGTCAGCTCCTGCTAGTGCCAGGACACTACTGGGAGGCTGGGACCCGACCAAAGCCCATGGTGCCTCTGGCCTGAGGACAAGGTGTCTTGGGACCATAAGGCCAGCCCACCAATGGCCATTGGGGGCTGAGCCCCAAATCATAGGGGCTCAGCCCCAATCTTTGTCCTTCCCTGGCTCCTTCTGGTTCAGTCCCATCAGGGCCCTGGATCCCAAGACTCAGCATCCAAGGTCCCCTCCAGGAATCCTGGCAGCTCAGCATACTTTATTCTGTTTCATCTGAGAGCAAAAATGTAAAATTGGATGCACAGAAAAGTGACTCAAAGTGCTTAATGACTAGAAGAAATCTAGGAGCAGCAAGAAGGTAATGTGGAGGGAGGGACCTCCATGACCGGTGTCTGCAGAGCCAGGGGTACAGGCACCCAGTGCTGTGGCCTGGCACCACCTGCATCTCAGAGGGTGGGTGGCACACTCCTTACCCAGAGGACAGCAGGCCTGGTCACCAGCTTTTCTACCTGTCCCTGTAAGCATCACATTGCTGGAGGAAAATCTCATGCCAGAGCTTGGACCATCCCTAGCTCAGGGGTTAGGGGTTGTCCCTTGGTGACCTAAATGAAAAAACAGGTCCAGAACAGAGTTCCTGATGCTGGACACTCATTCAGTCTTTGAATCGTGGGAGGGGAGGCCTGGTACTAGGTAGACCTAACCTCTTTGAGGAACCACAGAGCCCAAGGCTGGAAACCTCCAGAATCCTCCACCCCCTGATCCTCCCTGGGGACCCCTGTGGCCTGTCTCACTGAGCACTCTTCCATCTGTAGATGTCTGGGCTGCTGTACAAGGGAGTCCCCTTTCAGGTGTGGTGCTAGACATGGTCACTCCTGCTGGATGTCTAGGTGGTAGAAACCAAGGACCTAGGGAAATACCAGGTACAGCCTTTCCATGCTCATCCAGAGCAGGACAAACAGGCCAGGCGGTGTCAGGAGCCCAGGTCTCCAGCTGGAGGGAACGTCAACCCTTCGGTGGGAGCAGGGGCCCTTTGCACATCCTAGGCACAGATGGTAATGTAGACACCACAGGTAAGCTGGGCTTGGTACCTACCCCTCCCCGGATTCAGAAAGAAACCAAACAAGGAGCTTTGTGCGGAATGAAACCTCCTTTCCTCCCAGAAGCACTGCTGACTGTTTGGTGGTTGCCATTTGTGGCAGTGAGCCTTTGTTTGTTCTGAGGTTGGGCTGGTTTCTCCTCTTGGCCCTGCCCTACAGATCATAAAGGAGAAGAGCAAGAGGTCCCCAGCAAACATCCACAGATGGCCTTGGAAATAAGTCACCTTGTGAGAAACATGTCATGTTCTGGGAGGGATAAGGCATCAAGTAAGGCCTATGGGGTTGGAGGATCCCTGGGCAGGTGGGGCAATCCTTGGGGTCTTCCCATGGGAATAGGGAGGTCCTGAGGCAGAGGCAGGGGTTCCACAGGAGGAGTCACAGAGCTACCAAAGGCTCTCCTGTGCCAGGAAGCAGTCAACACCATGAACTGAACACCTGCTGGGCTCCAAGCCCTGGTCCAGGCTGGGGCATGTGGGGCCAGGAGGCAGCTCAGAGAGGGAGGCAGAGAGAAGTGTGCTGAGAGGGCACCCATTTCTGGGTGTAATGTGGTCCAGAGATTTTGGCTGGGAAGGGCTTCCAGAGTTTCATATGTGTTACGGAGCTGCTTCCTCTCCCTAGCCTCACCCTGCAGGAATGCCAGTGAACTTATTGCTGACATCTTGGAGCTCAGTACCCTCATAGTGTAACGGCGTCAGCAGATCTGCCTGTGCTGGGACTTCCTGTACTACCCATTCCTGAGGGGCAATGCTTCTGCAGGGCCTGTGACTTGGTGCACAACTTCAGACACCATCATCTTGCAGCAGCACCGCACCCTCACTAGCCAGGGTGTTGATGACTTCCTCAAGGCCAAGGCCACATTCAAGGCTTCGGACTTCATTGATGCGCTTGTGCTGAGCAAGGTGGCTTCTCCGGGATCTTAATTCAGGAGGTAGAATGGAGCTTGAGATCAAGTGTCTGATCAAGGTACTTGAACTTGATCTGGAGGGCTCTGGGGAGCCATGGAAGATGCTGGATAAAGGAGTGACAGTCAGCTATGTTTTCGAGATGACTGTAGAAGCCTGCCTGGAAGGAGTGAACAAGAGCCAGGAGACCAGGGAGGGAGCTTGTGGGGCAGGTCTGGAGATGGTGAGGGAGGGATCCTGCTTGGATGAAAGGTCTTCAGGGACTGTCTCAGGTTACACACAGGTGTCCTCAGAGCTAGTGTGTTCAGAGTCTTGCCTCCAGGATGAAAATGGGAAGGAGTTGTCAGACGAGGACATATAAATGGAGGCTGGCATATTCATGAGTGCTGGTGGTGGTCCCGGTGTGGGACTACTGTGGGAACAGGGGTCTCTCCATCCAGGGATATGATGGATGGACCCTACATCACTCCATTCTGCCCTTCCTTTCCCTCCTCCCATTCTCCCGAAAGCCTCAGTGTATGGGCGCTGTTCATCCTCTGGTGCTGAAGCAGCCAAGAGACCCAAGTCTGCCTGGCTGCCTCTTAGGATATGACAGCAGAGCCAGTGGCCTCTACTAGATCCTGTACAACCTCACAAAACACCCAGACATCGGGAGTGCTGCCAGCCTGTGATGCAAGAGTCCTAATCCTGAAGACATTGAATGGTGGGTGCAGGGCCTCATGGCCTGTTCCCCAGCCCCTCTCATTGGCTCTGCTCCAGGTGGTGAAGGGGGAAAATGTTTTTGTCAATTCTGTCATGATTGCCTAGCAAGAAAAGGAGCAGAACCCAGAAGCAGTAAAATCAGTTAGTAAAATCAGTTTTCTTTTCTGAACTACATTTCTGCCATCTCTAATTGAGGGGAATTCCTTCGACTCCACGAGGTTGCTTGGAGAATGACTGACAGTGTATGTAGAGCAGGTGCCAGCCAGCAGGCGTTTGGTGTCCAGACCACTCTTCCCCCTTGATTTTCTGCCTATATTTTCATTTTGTTCCCAAGACCCTCACTCCCCTTAATTTTGCTTTTCCCTCTGATTCCCACCTTATCTTCTTTCCCATGGATTCACCAGGATGTAAGTGGGTAACAGTCATCTATGCTTGTATGTGTATGTATGTATGTTCTCTGTTGGTGTTGGAGTATGGTGTGTGTGTGTGAGAGAGAAAGAATGTGTGTGTGTGTGTGTTTGTGAGAGAGAGAGAATGTGTGTGTGTGTGTGTGTGTGTGTGTGTGTGTGTGTGTTCGGGTCACTGAGGGACTGAAACTCTCCACACCAGGCTGTGGTCCTGCTCACTGCTGGAGGCGCTGTCAGGGCTCTTGCCATTGACCCTCCAGGTCTCATTCTTGCAGTGCAGGCAGGGCATTCTGGAGGAATCATGTCCTTGGAAGAAGCCCTGAGGAGTGACTGGTGTGTATTGGTGGATAAATAACCCAGCTCCCTTGCTCTGGGTGGGATGACTCTGAGGCACATGTTCTATGCTGTCTCTCAGAGGTACCCGGCAGGGCTGAGTCCTGGCTGCCCACAGTGGAAACTTTCTTGATGAAGGTCCCTTTAACTGCTACATTCCATTCCTGTCTCAGTTCCCCACTCCTCTACTGGTGTTGCCTGCAATTAGTACTCTAAGGAAGAACTGGCAGTAGAATTACTGTCCTGGAGTCATCTCCAGATAAAATTTTTATACTTGAATCTTTGCCTCAGGATCTACTTCCAGGAAACTTAAACTAAGACACACATTTTTCTTTCCTCCAATCTTCATAGACCTGTCATTCTGCTGTTTTTACCAAAAAGGATCATGAGGATCAGAGAGGAAAAGTCACTTGCCCAAAGTCACACAGCTGAACAGTGGTGGAGTTCAACTTTGACCGTGGGCTGTCTGGCCCCAAGGTGTATGCTTGCTTCTCTCCCAAGAGACAACTTTCTTATCAGGCTCAAATGAATGAAAGGAGGATGTTAAAGGTAGGATCTCTGAAGCCTGTGCCAGTGGAACCGCAGCTCATGGCTGGCACCTGTGTTCTCATTCTTACCTCATTAAGAGTAAAGTTTATTGAGTTTATTGAATTTAAGTATCTTTAGTGAGATCATATATTATTAGTAAGAACTGGGACCAAACAGATTTTCTGACTCTAAAAGAGAGATTTTCACAGAAACAGATATATACCTGTAAGTATACAGACACGCATACACACATTTCTTTACTGCTCATAAAAATTAGTCCTTATTAGAATGTGGGATGTATAAATGTAAGAGAATTTTCATGTTAAAATTGACAGATACATTTTTAAATTGTCCTAAAATAAATTTAATTATTTTTCTTTTAGAATTTTCCATTATTAATGTTATTTTTATGAGAAACTATATAACTTTATTGATAATACATACAATAACCCTTTGTTTTTCAAATTGAAAATACAGTGTATTTTGCAAATAACTAAGTCCTAATTTTGTATTAAAATTTTAAATTTTCAATCTTTTTTATTATTATATTTTAAGTTCTGGGATACATGTGGAGAACGTGCAGGTTTGTTACATAGGTATACACATGACATGGTAGTTTGCTGCACCCATCAACCTCTCATCTACATTAGGCACTCATCTACATTCGGTGCTACATTATGATGTGGAGAAATAGGAACGCTTTTACACTGTTGGTGGGAGTGTAAATTAGTTCAACCATTGTGGAAGACAGTGTAGTGATTCCTCAAGGATCCAGAACCAGAAATACATCTGACCCAGCAATCCCATTACTGGGTATATACCCAAAGGATTATAAATCATTCTACTATAAAGACACATGCGCACATATGTTTATTGCGGCACTGTTCCCAATAGCAAAGACTTGAAACCAACCCAAATCCCCATCAGTGATAGACTGGATAAAGAAAATGTGGCACCTATACACCATGGAATACTCTGCAGCCATAAAAAAGGATGAGTTCATGTCCTTTGCAGGAACATAGATGAAGCTGGAAGTCATCATTCTCAGCAAACGAACACAGAAACAGAAAAACAAACACCACATGTTCTCACTCATAAGTGGGAGCTGAACAATGAGAACAAATGGACACAGGGAGGGGAACATCACATACCAGAACCTGTCAGTGGGTGGGGGGCTAGGGGAGTGGGGGAGGGATAGCATTAGGGGATTTAATAATTTTAAAATTCAATTCTGTTGAAATGTTTACTCCAAGAAGCAATGTGTTTTTGAGAGCTAATCCTGATATATTCAAATCTTAACGACTTAAGTTGATGGAGTGGACTTCTTTTAAATTAGTGATTCCCTAATTTACCTGACAGTTGGAATTTCCAGGCCATGTTGAAAATACAGATTATCCAGACTCTTACCTCTGCAGATGTATTTAGTGGTTCTAAAATGGCACCCAGGAGTCTGGATTTTTCCCAGGGGCCTTGTGTAATTCACACTGATGACCAGGCAAGTTTGGGAAATTGTGCCTTAAGGAGACTTTTCATTAAGCAGTCTTCATTTGAAAAGAGGATCATTTATCTTCTAATACCCCATGCTTCCTCTTTCTCCTGCTCTCTTTGTCTCCTGTTGTCTTTCAGTTCCTAGAAGCTTTAATTGAATGAAAGTTCCTAGTAGATCTGTACCTACTAAAAACCACACTTCTGAAGCTACGTGGCCACCAGAAGACACAGCTAGTCTGCCATGTAAAAAAGGAAAGGTGGCGTGTGCCCTGAAGGTGCAGGGGTGAGAGCAGGGAAATGGAGACCCCAACAGCCAGCAGCAGTGGCCCTCATCACAGCCCTCCAGGAGATATCAAAGGAGGTCAGACCTTGGACAGTAGTCTTGACTTCCTGCTATAGAACACATTGTTAACACTGAAAAAGATGATCTGTTCTAGGGGAATGGTGAAAGCTGACTCTAGCACTTGTACTTTTTGTTTGTTTGTTTGAGATTGAGTCTTGCTCTTGTTTCCCAGGCTGGAGTGCAATGGGTGATCTCAGCTCACTGCAGGCTCTGCCTCCTGGGTTCCAGCTATTGTCCTGCCTCAGCCTCCCGAGTAGCTGGGATTCCAGGTGCCCGCAAGTGTGCCTGGCTAATTTTTATGTTTTTAGTAGAGATGGGATTTCGCCATGTTGGCCAGGCTGTTCTCCAACTCCTGACCTTGGCCAAAGTGTTGGGATTACAGGCATAAGCCATTGTGCCCGGCCTGTGTTTTTAATTTCATCGTGGCACAGCTTCAAAATGACATCTAAGTAGCTGACATAAAAATGAAAATTCTGTGTACTTTGATATTAGCAGGCTTCAAATACAAACCAGAATATGAGTAAATTGTTTCTTAACCAAACTGAATAATTTTCACATTGGCAGGCATTGGCAGGCCATTCAGCATCTGGCTCATGTTTGGGCCAAGCCGGGTGCCTCATGAAAGTCTGGAGGGAAATACAGAGGCCAATTCTCCATAAGCATTAGGCTCAGAAATATCCTGCTTCCCAGTGAAAAGTTTAAGTTGACTTTCACGCCACCTTCATCAAACCGAGGTTGGTCAACACTTTTCACCACTGCCACTGGACACTTTGACTTCCAATTTTGCTACCTGCTCTACAAAGATACCCCCTTCCTTCCTTTCCTGCATTCTCCCTACAACCTTGTCTTTTTTTGAGTATATCCACTCTGTCTCATCATTGTCCATCTCTGCTTCCCAAAACCTTATATAGTACAGAAATTGGCCAATCAAGATTACCATGTGGAAGAGCATCCATTTACTGAATAAGGTAGCTGGCTCCTGGGGGCAGAAAAGTGATTAGACACAGAGATAAAAATCATAATCCCTGCTCTCCTGGACGCACTGTCCAGTGGGGAGACAGACAGATGAACAAATACAACTTGATAACTACAACAATCAAGTGAATTATATAATTTAGACTGGAGAAAGAGAGAGCAAACGTTATCATAAGACAGTGTGTCCACTACTTACTCTCTAACAGATTTCCTCATAAACCACTAGGCTTGCCAACTTGTTGAATGAGATAAAATTGGAGGGTCAGGGGAGGGGAAATCCATATGCTTCTTAGTATTTCATTCCATAAATACATAAATAATGAAACCATCAATGATATCATCATGTTGATTCAATAAGTTTGAAAGCAAAATTGATAGTAATCTTTGGAAGAAATTGTATATGTGTCTATGTATGTACATACATAGACATACATATTGCTTTCTGAAATTTTCAATGACTTTATGCTTCTTCTGAAGCAATTCGAGTTTAGTATTTGAGACCCCTGGGTCAAAACATCTTCTTGAGTATACTGAAGAACATTTGGATTAATTTCAGACATGTATTTTGGTTTATATAGTGTTTTTTATCCATGGTAACTTATTTACTGTTTAAAAACATATTGAGAACAAACAACAGCAGCAACCCTGAATTGAATGAAAGTCCTGAGAAGGGCTTTGCCCAATCAGTGCATGTGCATGTTTACACTAATCTCCTGTCTGAACCTAGGAACTGGCTGAATGAGCTAGCAGATGGCCTGTCTGGCTGCATTATAAATGATAATTTATTTTTATTTGTTTTACTCATTCATTCATTTTGAGACAGGGTCTCACTCTGTCATCCAGGCTAGAGTATGGTGACACAATTATGGCTCACTGCAGCCTTCAACTCTCAGGCTCAAGCAATCCTCCTGTCTCAGCCTTCTGAGTAGCTGGGACTACAGGTGCACACCACCATGCCCAGCTAATTTTTAAAACTTTTTTTGTAGGGACTGGGTCTTATTATGTTGCCCAGGCTGGTCTCAAACTCGTGGACTCAAGCGATCCTCCTTCCTTGGCCTCTCAAAGTGCTGGGATTACAGGCTTGAGCTACCACATATGGCCAGAAATGACATTTTAAAACCAACTATTACGTACACAGATATATGATGCTCTCTGATTGTTTTATCTAAAAATAGGAGTGCCTTAGGTTTATTGGCTCATTTTGTTTTATCAAACAACTTAAATGCAGTTGTGAATATTTTTGTCTACCCTCATAACCTGAGAATTTAGAATGAATATAATTATTGCCATTTTCACAAGTAAAATTGGAACGAGAATATAAAACAGTGGAATACAGGTGCAGCTAAGAGTAGCAGAGGTAAGCCATCTATAGAATATTAAAATTTCTTCCATGTGTGTTGTTAGAAATCTATAAAACCAAAATTTTTTCATGCCTGGAATCCCAGCACTTTGGGAGGCCAAGGCGGGCAGATTACCTGAGGTGAGGAGTTCGAGACTAGCCTGGCCAACATGGTGAAACCCCGTCTCTACTAAAAGTACAAAAATTAGCCAGGTGTGGTGGGCACCTGAAATCCCAGCTACTCAGGAGGCTGAGGCAGGAGAATTGCTTGAACCCGGGGAGTGGAGATTACAGTGAGCCAAGATTGTGCCACTGCACTCCAGCCTGGGTGACAAGAGTAAGACTTCATTTCAAAACAGCAACAACAACAACAACAAACAACAAGAACAACAACAAAACCCAACATTTGCTAATACAAGGAAACTCACTAAGCTTTATAAGGCCCCCATCCCTCCAAGTATTATCCTTTCCGGCTGCCCCAACATTAATGACAGCAACTGGTACTAGCCATCTGACATACAATCCCAGTACATTTTTGGGCTCTGATGTTTTCTAGGAATTTTTTCTTTACAGACTTATTGAAATTAAGCTCTATTCCCTCAAGACCTGGTTTTCATAAACTGTATAGTTTTGCAGTTGAGGGGAAATGGTCTTAGGTCAGTCAATCCACTGTTGACACAGAAATGAAATGAGGTAACGGTAGGATTATTGTTAAGATTGAGAGATGTATGAATCATCCTATGCTCTTTCCCAGCCCCCAGGTGACCATATAATTAAAATATCCTTGATATTTCTATGTAGTTTAAGTTTTTAATTCTAGAACCCCTCAATCTTTCTCTATTCAACTTAAATGAAAAGACATTTGAGTATCCAGAAGACACTCAGCACTCAGAAGCAAAGGAAGAAAAATGGAAACATAATGGTCAATGCCCATGTTCTACCCCAGGATCAAATGAGGCATTAATATTGAGAGTTGTGATTCTGAATGAGTCTTAACCTCATGTACATCTTAGTTGTTCAAAAATGTGTCATGTCAGCAAGGTGGTAACAGTGAAGATTTTCTACAATCAAAATAGTATAGTTATGTTCTGTTGTATAAAATAGAAATAAATGGACCACATTGATCAGAAAAATCACCCTAGCATATTCCGACAGCTTAATTTTTAAAAAGCTATGTTATATTAACAATTTAACCACATAGATCTGTCAGCTAGAATACATGTTGCATATTTAATTGACAATAATTTTTTTTGCTCTCTCAGAGAGTTGTAGATAGATTTTGGGGTTATCAAATGGTTCTGACTTCTTTTTTTTTTTTTTTTTTGAGATGGAGTCTTGCTCTGTCACCAGGCTGGAGTGCAGTGGCAAGATCTCAGCTTACTGCAACCTTTGCTCCCTGGTTTAAGTGATTCTCCTGCCTCAGCCTCCTGAATAGCTGGGATTACAGGCGCACGCCACCATGCCCAGCTAATTTTTGTATTTTTAGTAGAGACGGGGTTTCACCATGTTGGCCAGGATGGTCTCAATCTCCTGACCTCATGATCTGCCCGCCATGGCCTCCCAAAATGCTGGGATTACAGGCATGAGTGACTGTGCCCGGCTGGTTCTGACATATTTTTAAGAAAGACTAGGCTGATGCTATGGTAACTCAGTTATACATGATACATGTCATCTTGTAAGTAGGAGTATTCAATATTCATGGTTTTGAAGCAATTTCAGAGTACTATAATCACCACACTTGACAGACTTCAGAATTCATTGAAAATCTCTGGAAATAATTAGCAATTTGTTATCATAGACTCTAAACAGACCTTCAAAATGCATTACATAGATTTGGTAAAACAGATTGTCAGTCTGCCAAAAGTAATCACCTTGGTTTGATTTGCATTGAAGGAAAATTTTAAAATGTAAAGCTAAACTCTTCAGGATCACTGCACTGGGTTTCTATAGGACAACACTGAACAGGGCTGCCACTGAAACACCTTGGAGGAGAGCCTCAAACTCCCTGAACACAGCTTCCAGCACACTACTGGGAGAATGATTGGGACTCAAAAATATGTGCAATGAATGTACTTACGAGCTTGTTGGAAAGGAAGTAAAGAGGTTGTATGTAATTACCTCAAATTAATACTACTACAGATAAAGTAGTAATCAGTACTGACAAAGTAATAGTAGCGCTAAAGTAGTACTAATAGCCCTATACTAGTAGTAGTAATAAAGTGGCATCGCTATTGATTCTATCCGTCTACCTACCTACCTGTCTGGATGGGAGGGCATAGGATTTGACTGTAAGATTGGGCTTAGCAGTGAAGACAAAAGAGCTCATGCATGCTTTGGACAGGTACGCGCTCAAACTTGGTATCATGTGACTGTTCTGAATTCCAGAACCAAGGCTAAAAGGTGGAAGTTTTGTTTGACTGTGTCTCACATTTTCCTTTTGGTCTATTGTCTAACACATGTTGCTAGAATTCTTTTTACTCTGACTACCTTTTATGTATAGACAACGCCATTATTGACGAGATCACTCCCAAGCGGATTGGAGATTGTCCCAATACTTAGACCTGTAGCAAGGCCTTGGGAGAAATGGTGGTGCAGCAGGAGAGCAGGAACCTAACCATTGCCATCCTAAGGCCCTGCATTGTGCGGAGCAACGTGGCACCAGCTTTTCCTGGTAAGCCCACTTACCTGGATTCTGTGTTTTGCTTTCAAACTAAGGTTCTTCTAGCCCAATTATTTTCTGATGTCTTTCTTCTTCTTCTTCTCCTCAGGATTTATAGCTAAGTGCAGCCAATCAAATATTAACCCATTATACTAGGGCAAAATTCCACTTTGGGATCATGCGGCTCTTCTGGCAGTTACCCTATCTTAGAGTTGGATGGAGATCTTAAATTAGCTTCTAACTACTCTAGTCTCAAAATTCCCATGGGTGATGTTTTCATATCTTGGCTTTCCCACTGTAGCTTAAACATATCAGAATGTTCTTGATGGCCAAATTGGTAGTATTGCAACTAACTGCCAGGGTTACAAAGCTCACAGAAGGATCTCAGTTTGGGAGTACTAATTTTTTTTAACCTCAGTATACTGCTATGTCCTTTTGAAAGTACTTTGAATTATACCATCTTCTTCAAAGCAAGTCCGTGAAGCTTTGAGGGCAGATACATTCCAGCTCCACCACTTACTGGCAATGCAACATTTTTGAGTTGTTCTTTCGGTAGAACAGGACAGATACTACTTTGGAGAGTTGGTTTAATGAGACAATGTATGAGGAGTGCTCAATCTCTAGTAAAAGGTAGATCCCTACTAAAAGGCTCAACGAATATTAGTCCCTTCATCTTCTCTTCCCGTATATCTGGTCTCCCATTATACGCATTTCGACTTTTATACTGTAAGGTAAAGAGACGGCTTAGGGCTTAGGAAACAAACTGAAAAATACATTTCCCTCTAACTACTCTTAAGCATAATCTTTCCTGTAACATCTTTAAGCAAGTCAATACACATTATTACCAATCATGTTTTCAATGTTCTCCTAAGGAGGCTAAAATCAGGAATGAGGTGAAGTATGGTTGGTGAATTGCTTAGCAGATCATGATATAAGGACAAGGTCCATTGTAGCCCTTAAGTTGTCATAAAACGCCACAAAACCATTCATGACTCCTGCTACAAACAACAATCCTGGCCAAATTTTAATTCTTGCACAAACTGCAGAAAATAGCCAATGCTTTGCCATTGATCTTTGGGATCTTAATCATACTGAATTAGATAGTTCTATCGGCTGGAGTCTCAGTGCCCTTGTTTGAAATTTATTAAGATTAGACGGCAGATGTTCCAAAGATACAACAATTTTCTGAAATGTGTAACCAATGGAAATTTTCTTTCTTTTAGGGTTGGGTTGATAATCTAAATGGATGTAGCCGACTCATTATTGCGGTATGTATAGGGATGAAGAAGTAACTGTAATGTAGTGGAGGAATAGTAAGAAAATTCTTAGTGCTGGCTTAGCTTCATTGATCCAAAAACATAAATGCTACTTTACTATCAATTGAAGCATATTATTTCAATTATTCTGGTTATAATATGGAGGCAGGATGAAATTGTTTTTATTCTTTTAGAATTTTTTTTATCAGGAAAACAGAGGTAAAGTGCTATCAATTACTATTTAAGAGTTCTATTTTGAAAAGTCTTTAATAAGGATTTTTCTTTTCTTTTTAAAAAAGACTTTCTTAAAAATTAAAAATAAAAGAAGCAAAAGTCTTAGGAAAATGAGGCAAGTAGCCCTGCCACTCTATGTACAGTAATAACAATATCTGTCCCAGTTATTATGTACAATATTATAAAAAATGTCACAGACAGTACAAATTAAGGCACTTATTTCTCAAAGGACATCAAGTCTTATGCCCCGTGGGAGGGAAGATGCCACTTAATTATTGCACCATTTTGAAAAACAGAACTCGTCAAGGCGGATAGTGGTCTTTTCCCACCTGGTCTTCAGTCACAGATGGGGGCTGGGGCGGTGGCGCCGTCTTCGTCATCGAGGTAGACCCTATGGAGCCACACCGCCCTGCCGAGTTCTCTGGGTGCAATAAATACCAGTCACAGTTTGGGAGGGGGCCGTGTGCAGGTGGGGAGGCCTCTGGGCTGCATGTGCCGCTTCCTGTGCAGGGCAAGGTGGGCGGAGCGCAAGAAGGCGTGGTGGCACCAATGGCCCTGAAATGGCCAGTGGCCCCTGTGCTTGTGGTGGTGGAGCGTTAGCTTGTCTGAGTGAGCACGCTTCCAGCTGCTTCCATCCCAGTGGCAGTGGTCGGGCTTGTCACTTGTGTGCTGCGCAGATGTGCCTGCAAGGGAGAATTCTTGCTGTAGGTCTGGCCGTAGCCGCATAGGTATGCCCGGTGTTGCGGTTCCCAGGCCAGGAGCAGCTGTCATGCTTGGGCTTGGCCTCCAGCAGCTCCAGCGGGGACGCCGGTGCCACCACAAGGAGACTGCGGGCGACTGGGGGTGCCAGGCCCAGGGCTGTGGCGGTGGCGGCCAACGCCTAAGAGACTAAAGACAGGGGCGTGGAGGGGCGGAGCTGGGTGGGGGGCGCCTCATGAAGGCCGGGCTGGGTGTCCCAAACCAGGGCCACGGAAAGGCAGCGGGAAGGAGGCGTGCGGGCCGTAGGGGCTGAGGGGCGGGTGTTGGGGGCGGAATGGGAGGGACCCGGGACCTCGCATGCATGAAGCCGCAGGCCCGGGGCGCCCTAGTGTTTGAGGACGCGCGGTCCATGCCTGAACCTGGGTGCGCAGCCGCAGCTGCCGCCATCTGCCTCAGGGGGCTGGGCTTTGACCAGGCGGCTGGGCAGCGCCAGTTGAAAGCGGTTGAGCAGGCCGGGCGCAGTGGCTCACGCCTGTAATCCCAGCACTTTGGGAGGCCAAGGCGGGCCGATCACGGGGTCAGGAGATCGAGACCATCCTGGCTAACACGGTGAAACCCCATCTCTACTAAACATACAAAAAAAAAAAGTAGCCGGGCGTGGTGGCGGGCGCCTGTAGTCTCAGCACTTTGGAAGGCTGAGGCGGGCGGATCACGAGGTCAGGAGATGGAGAACATCCTGGCTAACAGGTGAAACCCCGTCTCTACTAAAAGTACAAAAACCAATTAGCCGGGTGCGGTGGCGGGCGCCTGTAGTCCCAGCTACTCCGGAGGCTGAGGCAGGAGAATGGCGTGAACCCAGGAGATGGAGCTTGCAGTGAGCCGAGATCGCGCCAATGCACTCTAGCCTGGGCGACACAAGGAGACTCCATCTCAAAACAACAACAACAACAACAACAACAACAACAACAAAAACCAGCTGAGCAGCGCGGGCCTTCTGGCAGCGGGTCCAGCTCCAGGGCGCCCTAGGGCAGCGGCGTGCAGTGTTCGGGTAATAGGACGCAGACGGCGGGGTCGCCGGGGGCTTCGGGGTGGCCTCGGCCCCAGGCCATCCAGCCCTGTGGACCGAATGGAGTCCCGCACGCTGTTGAGGTAGTCGTGGGTTCCCCTGGCCTCGGGCTCGGCGCGGGGTCAGCGCTCCTGCAGGTGGCGCTTGCGGTACGGGCTGGTGAAAGTGGAGACGGACGGCAGGATGGATTCACTTGGCGACATGGCGAGGAGCTGGGAAGACGGACACCGGTGAGTGGCTGCCCGGGAGGGCTGGTCGGGGCGCGGACAGGCGGGCATGGTTCTGCCAAGGATTTTGCTTTATTTATCGCAAGATGGGGGTATTTCCTCCTTCCTGCAGTTTATAATTGCATGAATTAGTGCAGTGAATTGAGGATGCAGTAAAAATATCTTCAAAGATTATTAAATTCGTTATTATAAAACACATAGAAGAGTTTATGTGTGTGTATGGAAAGCAGGTATACATCAATAATTCTTAATGAATACAAGAAAGAACTACCAATATTGGGGCAAATTTTTCAAATACAAACATCAGTGAATATAGGCAAGGCCTTTTCTTTTTTATTATTCTATTTTAAGTTCTAGGGTACATGTGCACAACGTGCAGGTTTGTTACATAGGTCGACATGTGCCGGCAACGCCTTTTCAATAATGTCTTACAAGGAGAAACGTGGCTCCTCTAGGTGAGCAGCCCTCAGTGCGCATCTCCCTGAAGTCCACATTGATCCGGCAGAGCTGTGGGGTTCACAGCTCACACTGAGGCATTCAGAGCCTAAACCCCACTTTACTCTTTTGTACAATGAATGGGAAATCAGTGATCTAAATGAGTTTAAATCTTATTAGGGATTCAGACTGCCCTTCAGACTCTGTCTCTATTCCTCCCAGAGCTGGGTTCAACATGAATTCAAATAGAAATATGAGACAATGAATTATGGTAGTGACAAAGACCTTCCTTCGAATTCCGGATTTTTCTAGCAGCCCCTTTCTTTCTGCTTCCCACCTGCCTTCAACTCTTTCTCCTAAAAAAGTTCAGTTGGGGTGAACGTTTGATGACTTAGAACATCATTATTTTAACGTGATCCCAAAGCGGTTTTCATTATATGCAAAGCTGCATATTTATTCACATTTTAAAAAATGTTCTAAATTGGTTTCTTATGTCCAAAAGAAGGGGAGCTAGTTATAAGAAAAGAGAACTGAGTAACATAAGAAAGTGCTAATCATTTCAAATTAAAGTGGGAAACATGCAAAGCAGAAAGAATGAATTTCATAAACTCAACAAATTATTAACATAAATAATTCCAAACTCTTGTATCTATATAACATCAGTGATCTGTGAGGTGAAATGAGATTCTGAAGAAAAACTAAATAATAAGGCCATTTTTCTAAGCCAAAAAAGTTTTTGTCATTAGTTGTGGAATTTCACCAATTAATTTTTTTTCAAATAAAACTTTCTTAAACTTTTAGTGCCTACTATTGCTTGTAGGTTAGTAAGCCCTAGCAGAAAACAAAATCATTAAGGAAATGGAAAACAAACATTAATGGGAAATTTATGTAATCTTAATTCTTAACGTGTCTTATGAGTTAATTTTTAAAATATGAAGGTTTATTCTTGGTGTTTGGTAATTAAGTTTATTAATCTCTCACAAATATGAGGAATTTTATTCCCTAAAGGAACGTGAGGAACACGAGTAGTTCAAGAAAATGCTGAAGATGCGCTTGGCTGGGAAGCTAGGATAGGCTGACGAAGTCAGACTTAGTGTGGGAACCTGGTAAGCAGTGGATCGATGTTAGCTGTTTTCACTTATTGCACTAGTATAATCAGTTTGATGATACATACTTCATTCAGCCCCAGCTGTTACTTAAGACCTGGTTTCACATTTTATGTTCTTTTTCCTGTGCAGGCTGGGAAAGGGTTTCTTCTGTCCATAAAAGCTACTCCAATGGCTGTGGGAGACTTAATTCCAATTCCAGGTGATACAGCCGTCAGTCTCCCACTAGCTGTAGGATGGTGTGCTGCAGTTCACAGGTGTGGATGCTCAAGTGGGCTTTCAAAGATGTCATGAGAGGGAGGGGTTATTGTATTAGGCACATTTTCCAAATATAGGCATTTCATTGTACAAGACCCCAAATGTGAGAGGGTGTTTGTTTCAGTGTTTTATAGAGTTCCTAATATGCCATCATATATACATTCAGTTGTTTTCAAAATACAGTTTAGTATTTGGCTACTCACAAAGTAATAAAACATTTAAATCACTTAACCATACAATTCTTGGTAACCAAAAGGCTTTTCTTTCTATTCAGTAGTTTAACATCCAGCTTTCTTTTTTAGGGCAAAGGAGATAGAAGTGGATGAAATGACAGAGTATTTTTTTAATTGTACTCTGATTAATGCCAAAAGTGTTCAATCACTATGTGTGGGGAAGTTTCCTGGTACAAAGGAAAAAAAAACAGGTTGTTCATACACTTGGCTGTGTTAGTAAGTGGTAAACAGAATTAAACTTTTCTTATGTGAACTCACACATATGTGCTTCATGTCACTCCTATTTAACATCTCTTTCACACACACAGTCATCCCCCCCACACATACCCTTTTGCTAGTCTTCTTCCATTTTGCTTATTAACCCAAAGAAAGAAAAAATATGGAAGCCTTCTTGCATAAGTTGCGTTAATCAGATGAATTATTGAAGCCACTCTGTCTAAATATTATTTTCCCTTATTTTTCCTTCATTAGTTTCCCATTCTGTTGTATTTATTTAATTTTTATTTCATTTTCCAGACCTAAGTCAATGTTAGTCTACCACTGTACGTCTGGTAACCTCAATCCCTGCAACCGGAGCAAAATGTGTAAGTACTTTAGCCATGTAACTGCATAATTACTAGTGTCTGACACAGAGAAAAAATAGACAGTGTGTCATGGAGCTTAGAGCCTACATGGGGAGAAAGACAAAAAGTAAGCAAAGAGGCAAAATAATGAGAAATTGTAAATGTGTGGTAGTTAACTAGAATGTACTGTGGTTACCAAGGAAAGCAGTCATTGGGAACACATACGTGATTGTAAGCAGTAGGGGGTCCATTGGCTATAGAGATTTTAAAAAACAATGATGAAATAAAGCAAAAGTTGACAGTTATAAAAAATCTCAGTGATAAAATACTGAAATACTCCTCCCTGCTGGGGCAGTGGGTCCTATACACACCCCTTCCCTTCTTGATATGTCACTAAGAATGCAACGTGATCAATGACCAATGAGATTTAGAAAAGTCGGGTGATGTTATTCCTTCCTTATTGAGTGTGTAATACTGATCACTAATTTATGCAACTTGTTTCTCTTGGGTGTGCGTTAACTACTCTACTAGTGATTTGTAAAAGTGAATAGGAATCACTATGGGAAAATAAAAACAACACGCAGATTCCTTGGACCCTGGGACCAAGGTCTTGGGTGATGCTGAGGAAACTATATTTTTAATAAGCATCTAAATGATTCTTGATGCTTGGGGAAATGCTCTTTGAGAAACCCTGTACTATACAAATGATTAATTTGTCTGAATGTAAGGGATTTAATCTGGTCAATGTACAAAAACCATGGAAATCAATTTGAGTACAACTTAAACATCTAATGATGGTAGAAGATAAAAGTAGGGAGTTTTGCTATTCTGTAGGATTACTTAGTACCTACTAACTAACGCACCCCTTCTATCCCTGTTACATAGGTACCACTAGCTCTTCATATTCCAATGATAAGTCATGGTACCGCACTGAAAGTTCTATTGCAGGGCAGCTAGACACTGTGGCTGATTTATATATTGTGACTTTGAATTGGAAAATGCTTTCCAGGAATGAAAAATGCCTGGCATGCCTGTTTCCTCTACCTCTCTCACACCTATAGCAAACACTGTGGGCTAATAAGACATTGGTTATCCCTGTGCCAAGGCTCTGTTCTAGATTCCCTTCTAACAGCATTTCTGGAAGCTATTACTATTAATTTGATGTTGCATTCAAATTAAACTCATTGGTGTTTCCTATCTGGGACTCTTAGGAGGGATAAAAATGCTGCCTACTGGGAGCAGTAGCCATGTTAACAGGAGGTTGAGCATATATAGTCTCAGGTGATATTACAAGGAGTGATAGACAGCTGGGTGGGTGAACATGGGCTGTCTCTCCATGGAATTGTCTCCTTTAGTGTCCCTTAAGAAGAGTTTTTGATCTCCTGCATACAGGTCTTAAGCATCTTTTATCAGATTTATACCTAGGGCCTAGGTAATTGATGCTTTTTGTTTGTTTGTTTTTTTACTAATTTAAATGTGTTTTGTAAAAATATATTTTCTAATTGTTTGTGGATGATGTCAAATGCAATTGATTTTTGTATATTGACCATATATTCCCCTATCTTGCTAAACTTATTATTGCTAGAAATTGTATAATATTTCCTCATGATTTCCTATGTAGACAGTTATTTAATCTGCAAAAATACCAGTATTATCCCCATTTTTTCAAGCTTTAGGTCTTTATTTTTCTTGTTGATGGCACCATCTCAGATCACTGCAAGCTCTGCCTCCTGGGTTCACTCCATTCTCCTGCCTCAGCCTCCCGAGTAGCTGGGACTAGAGGCACCCACCACCATGCCTGGCTAATTTTTGTATTTTTAGTAGAGACAGGGTTTCACCGTGTTAGCCAGGATGGTCTCAATCTCCTGATCTCATGATCCACTTGCCTTGGCCTTTCAAAGTGCTGGGATTACAGGCGTGAGCCACTGCGCCCAGCCTTCTTGTTGAACTTCTACTATAATGGTGAATAAAAATGGCAATAGTACGTATTGTTGTCTTGCTGCTAATTTTAAGCAGAAGACTTCAAATATTAAACTCACCTGCCATTTTTAGGATAAACCCAACTTGGTCATACCATGTTATCTTTTTTTATATTTTGTTTAATTCAGTTTGCCAATCATATAGTTCCCTTGTTTTTCTGTTCTCTGAAAGTGCTTGTGTAATAGTGGAGTAATCTATTCCTTGAAAACTTGGGAAAAGCACCTTTAAATTATCTGGATTTATAATTTTTTGTGAGAAGATTTTTTATTGCTTCAGTGTCTTTAATAGTTAAAGAATTTTGCGGGCTTCATTTTCTGCTGGAATCAGTTTTAGTAAATTATATTTGTCTCTTTTTCTAAGATTTTGTCTGTTTTAAAATGTATTTACATTCATTTTTTTCATATTCATATTTTTGTCCTAAACTGTATCTGTAATTATGCTTCTTTTTAAATTCATAATATTTGTGTGTCTTCTCTTTTCTTCTCAGCTAGTCTTCAAAGGTTTTATTTTATTTCTTTTTTTGAAAGAACCAACTTCTTCAGGCTTTATTGACTTTTTTCTTTTTTCTTTCTTTCTTTCTTTTTTTTTTTTTTTGAGATGGAGTCTTGCTCTTGTTGCCCAGGCTGGAGTACAATGGCATGATCTTGGCTTACCACAACCTTTGCCTCCCGAGTTCAAGCAGTTCTCCTGCCTCAGCCTCCTGAGTAGAGTAGCTGGGATTACAGACACGCACCACCACACCTGGCTAATTTTGTATTTTTAGTAGAGATGGGGTTCTCCATGTTGGTCAGGCTGGTCTTGAACTCCCAACCTCAGGTGATCCACCCACCTCGGCCTGCAAAAGTGCTAGGATTACAGGCATGAGCCGCCGCACCCAGCCTATTGACTCTTTATTATGCTGCTTTGTTTTCTATTGCATAGATGTATTGCCTTATGTCTTTTTTCCCCTTCCTTTTGTTTTCTTTGATTATGTTTTTCTTCTCTTTAACTTAGAAATATAGCCCATGAATATTTGGCTTGTCTAATACATCATTTATGGCTTTATACTTCCCTCAATGCCACTTTGGCTGTATCCCACACATTTTGTTGTATGATGTTTATGTTATCATTACTCTCTAATCCTTAAACATTTTTCATTTGAATTTCTTCTTTGACCTTTGAGGATGTAGAGTGCAGTTTTCAATTGCCAAATTACATTTTCTACATGTGCATGAGTTTCTCCTTGTCCCTCACATCAGAAAGACAGTAGCTTAATGGTTAAAAGTCTTGGGCTTTGAGATCTAATAGACTTGGATTCAAATCATAGCTCATTCACTCACTCCTGTATTTATTAAATAGACATTATTCTTGGTGCTGAGGATATATCACTAAACAGAAATCCGTGCTCACATAGATGTTATTTGCGGTATGCATCCTGCAATTTAGTAGACTCCACTACTTATTAGTTGTATCAGTTGGAAAAAGTCTCTCAGTTTCTCCCTGTAGATGAATTTTTTTATCTGTCAGTGAGAATAATAATTATTCTATTCTAGGGAGCTCTTGGGAGAACGTAGTGAGATAAAGTGCTTAGTACAGTGGTTAGAACAGTGAACATTTTAGTAAATGCTTGCTATTACCATATGGACAGCTTTCTCAGAAAGCCTTTCCTAACCCAGCCCCACCCCTCCCCTTCCTGGCACCCAGACAGAGCTAGATGCTTCTTTTGTGTTCCTCCAGAGCGTATTGTACCGGCCTCTAGCAGAATACTCAGGCAAAAGATTGTAATCATGAATTGTCCACATCTCCCACCAGATTGCCAGTTCTTTAAAGACAAAGAATATATCATATGTAATTTTTTTTTACCTCAGCATCTACCACAGTGCCTGGCAAGTGTTAAATGCTGAATAAATATATTTGAAATGACTAAAGGAAGGATTGATACAGATTTAGGAAAAGGAAAGTAAGTGTATTTTGCTGAGATATTTATTCATTCGTTTAGTCAAAAAATGTTTATTAGGCACTGATTACCTGTCAGCCACTTTTCAAGGTACTGTATAGGTTCAAACAAAACAGGCAAAATTTTGTTATGGTACTTAAATCTTAGAAAGGAGAAATATACATCAGATATGGTTGAGTGATTGCAGAAAAATAAAACAGATTAAAGAAGTAAACAGTATTGTGGGAAGGCTGCTATTTGATAAGTGATGGCCAAAGAAAGTCTCTCTGATAAGGTGTCATCTTAGTAGAGACCTGAAAGAAGTGAGAGGGCAAATCAGAGGGACACGTGGATGAAATATTCCAAGTTGAAGAAACAGTAAGTGCTGAAGTTCTTTAATAATATTCAAGGACAGCAAGGAGGCCAATATGGCTGCAGCAGAAGCACTGAGAGGGAGAGCGGTAAGAGGTGAAGTCAGAGTGGTGGGCAGAGAGAGTGAGGATGCAGAGAGTGCAAGCCCTTGCAGACCATGGCTTTGCCTCTAAATGAGAAGAGATTCCGTTGAAGGGCTCTGAAAGGGGAAGTTCCTGTAATACACTCTGAGTTACATTTTACAAGAATCCCTCTGGCTGCTACATGGAGGTCCAACTAGGGTTACAGGGGTAGTGGCAGAGACCACTTAGGACAGTATTGCAACATTCCAGGCTACAGTAGTGGTTTGGATCAGAGAGATAGCAGGTGGAAATTATGATTCTGGGTATTTTTCAAACAGAGAGCTGATAGATTTTGTTCAATTGTGTGTGGGTTGTTAAAGAGAGAGAAGAATCAAGGATAACCCCAAAGTTTTTGGCTGAACTACTAAACAAATTGAATTAGCATTTGGTTAGAGGTAGAAGACTGGTGAAATAGCAAGTTTGTGTATGTATTGGGAGGGGGGTGGTTAGCAGTGGGTGTATCAGGAGGCCCATTTTAGAGCTGTTAAATGTGAATGTCTCTTACACCTCCAGGTGGAAATGTTGAACAAGTATATGGATATATAGATCAGAACATCAGTGTTGAGATCAGAATCTCTTATGCTATCAACCTGTACATAACTTTTTTATTTACCACCATCTTTTTAAAGTATAAATCCCTATGGAACAGATGATTCTTAAGAATCTTCTCTGAAGAGGAGTTATATTTTTCAGATAGATTTTTAGCTGGCATTTTTTTAAGTAGGGCAATAATCGTATTACTATAATAACTGACATCATAATTGAATAATGAGCTTAGGCATATGCTTTGCAAAAACCTACATACCTTAAATAAAATTGAATTCAAATGAGTATCTTTTCAAAAGAACTACTGAATTCACAAATGTACATAAAAAGTTCTTAATTAAGCTTAATCTAAGTATTAATATAAAAAGAAAAACACTATTATGAATAAAACCCTGGATACCAGAGTGGACAACTGAGTCTGACATATTCCCAGAGAAATATTTAAAGTAAGCTAACACAAGAAAATCTTGCCTTTAGAATTTTTAAGTTAAACTTTTAATAAAGATTCAAATAAAACATTAAGAAACTTTCTAAATGGTTCTGAAAGTAATGGTCCAGCCAGGGAAATAAAGTTTCTAGCCTGTGTCTTGGGGCTTTCAGAATAGACTAGATAACCTTAGAATTAAATGTGGATTTATGTTTTTCTGAAGAGTACCCCCTTTTGTTGACTACATGTGTTTCCCCAAGAATTTGTTGTAGAGTAGATGTTTCAAATAAAGGGTCCAATTCTTAACCCATTCACATTGTTTCATTTTGCAGATAACCACTTGCCTAGCATAAAAATCTTTACGTTGTTCTCAGAAATTGATTCTTGACTCTACACAGCAAATCCTTCATCTTTATTGTTGTGACCCATTATAAATACCTTCCAGTGTGATGGGCTTATATTCTCCTATTCTCCTCTATCACTTACTCTCTTTTTTTCCCCAGGATTCCAGGTCTTGGCAACCTTTGAAATTCCAATTCCATTTGCAAGAGCTTTGAGGAGGCCATATGCTGATTTCACCACAAGCAACTTCACAACCCAGTACTGGAATGCCATCAGCCAGCAGGCCCCTGCCATTATCTGTGACTTCTATCTGTGGCTCATTGGAAGGAAACCCAGGTGAGAAGCTGAGTCAATGGCTTTGAGAATGTCACTGCATATGGGAGATTGAGGCCCCAAAGTCTTTAGGGCTTCCTTCAGCCAAAGATTAAAGGAGACAACTGAATCTGACCCATATATACAGATTGAACACACCTACTCTGAAAATCCAAAATCTGAAATTCTCCAAAATCCAAAAAGTTTTGAGTGCTGACATGATGCCACAAGTGGAAAATTCCACACATCTTACCTCATGTGATGGGTCACAGTCAAAACACATTCAAAACTTTGTTTCATGCATAAAATTATTTAAAATATTGTATAAGATTACCTTCAGGTTATGTGTATGTGGCTAAGTGTGTATGAAATGTAAGTGAATTTTGTGTTTAGATATGGGTCCCATTCCCAAGATACCTCATTGCATTGAAGCAAATATTCCAAAATCTGAAAACAGTTGAAACCCAACACACTTCTGACCCAAGCATTTCAGATAAAGGATACTCAATCTGTGTAAGTTTTGAACAAACAAAGCAGTCATAGTGAGAAGCCACAGAAGCCTCCTACATTAAAAATACTCCAGCATAATAAAGGAAGGTAAATGTTAAAGCGCCTGCTTGATGAATTCAGCAAGTGATCATTCACACAAAAAGAAAACCAACTGAGACGCTGTCACTAGGGTTTTTCAAATAGGTAGAGAATCTTAAATATCCAGTAATGATGACAACCTCACTTACTGGGAGCTTACTCGTGGGGCTAAGGAGGATGCGTGATGATCCCATTTTTATTGTCACAGCTACCGAAGGAAGATACCCTCATCAACCCAATTTTACAAATGGAGAAATAGAAGCTCAGGGAAGAATCTGAAGTAGTCTCAAAGGAAGTGACAGGAAGGATGTGGAGAAAGCTGAGTGTCAAAGTCAGTATTCAGGACCGGCTTTACTGCTACTTAGAGATGAATGAAGAAATCAGAGGGAACGCAGTGTGCTGATGCTAAAGCGGCTGTCACCACCCAGCTGTGTGACATAGGACATCTTCTTTCTCTGTCTCACTTGAATAATATGATGTGTCAGAGGAGACATGATTGTAATTGCCTAAAGCAATTCTTGTGATCAAGAATCAGAAGCATGAACAGTATTGCCCTCTGTGTTAGCCCCTTTATAAGGGAGGAAGTCATCTTCAGCATGCTGAATTGTCATCTTTCTTAGCAGTGCAAATGACTAAAACTTAGCCAATGTAGAGTTTGTCCAAATTTGGAGCTCATAACTCAGTTCTTGAGCAAAGTGAAAAGAAAACATTGTGATTATGGGGAAAATATTTGTACGGGACTTATCAAATAAAGATAGGAAAAGAAGAAAACTCAAATATTATAGGCAGAAATGCTAAAGGTTTTAAAATATGTCAGGATTGGAAGAAGGCATGGATAAAGAACAAAGTTCAGTTAGGAAAGAGAAACACAGAAGGAAGAGACACAATAAAAGTCATTATGTATTCTGTGAGAAGTCAGACAGTAAGATTTGTGGGAAATGGGTTGGTTTGTTGTATGGTATGTATTTTAGCAATAATCTTTATGGCAGAGAAAGCTAAAATCCTTTAGCTTGCGTGAATGATCACTTGCTGAATTCCTCAAGGTAGGCATGATGAAGGAGGGTTTAGAGGAGACACAGACACAATGAACTGACCTAGATAGAAAGCCTTAGTATACTCAGCTAGGAATAGTGATTCTGAGGGCACACTGTGACATGATTATGTCATTACATGTATGGTAGTGATGGGGATGATAGAAGGAAGAACTTATGGCATATTTTCACCCCCACAAAAGTCAGTTAAATATTGGGACACTAACCATCCAGGTCAAGAAAAGTCACATGCCATAGCCATGGTATTGCACATCATTCATCTTGCATTCTTTGAGAATAAGAAGATCAGTAAATAGTTCAGAAGTGGGAAGCTTTGTCCAGGCCTGTGTGTGAACCCAATGTTTTGTTTAGAAATAGAACAAGTAAGTTCATTGCTATAGCATAACACAAAATTTGCATAAGTGGTGGTCAGCAAATCCTTGAATGCTGCTTAATGTGAGAGGTTGGTAAAATCCTTTGTGCAACACTCTAACTCCCTGAATGTTTTGCTGTGCTGGGACCTGTGCATGCCAGACAAGGCCAAGCTGGCTGAAAGAGCAACCAGCCACCTCTGCAACCTGCCACCTCCTGCTGGCAGGATTTGTTTTTGCATCCTGTGAAGAGCCAAGGAGGCACCAGGGCATAAGTCTACTCACTTATATCTGTTTGTCTGGAACATAACCCATGTTTGTTTTTACAACAAATAAAATTGATCTTGAATAAAAAGTGAGTGGTCGTTGTCATTAATCTTTGAACCCAGATTAACCTTTTGGTCATGCCTAGTCTAAGAGAAAAGACATATTCTTATCAATAAATACAGAGCCCAGCTATGTCAGTGAAGATCTCAAGTGCATGGACAGTAGTATAGGGAAGAGTCAGAGGCCAAAAAGACAGGAATGGCAGACATTGAACAGAGGAGAGTGTGGTGTTTGCCTCTGCATCAACTGAGATTATGGAAGAACACCTGAGGCTTGGGGAGAGCACCTACAAGATACCAATAAAGCATTCTAAGAACATCTATGAAGTGAGAAAATTTGAATTACTGTTGTTCTTGTGGTTATGATTGTATTTATGGTTGTTACTTCATTCGTATTAATCACCTATGTGCCCAAGTGTAATCATGAAGTTAGATTTTTCCCAGTTTTTTTTATTAGACTCAAGAATTCCCATAGACAAAGGCAATATCACTATCCTATTCATACATTTCTTGTCTCAGTTCTGCAGAGCCAAAATGTAGAGTCCAATGCAATAAAGGCTGACTTGGATTATCTAACTGGTACATGAGGCCCCGTGTGGTAGTTTACTCCAGAGGAAATTGGCACTTGCATATAATTGTAGTTAAGTTGATCCCTTGATATCAGAAAAGTTTCTGCTATGCAGTCCTTTTTGATGATTTCTTAATATATATCCTCATTTTAGATAGTAGCAGTGGCCATAGATGTACTTGGCAGCAGAGTATTACAGATGGTAAAGCTTGAATCTGCGTTTTAGTAGCAAGAGCATTTGGAGTCTTGTGCTTCCCTTGTAGACATCTTCTTCACATCTACAGCCTATCTTTCGTCTACTGTTGTTACTGCTACTAGTTCCATAGACATTCTAATTTTCACTTGGGATATAATTTTTGTTATTTGTAAGCTCCCCCTTCTTTTTCATTTTTTCACTCCATTTCAGACTGTTCTAAAATCAGAAAGGAAATTCTCCTCCATGAGCATGTATATGTTTTTGGCTCTTGGAACTTGAGATGGTGCAAGTAAAGTACAAGGACATTTTCCAGATAAGTCATGTGAAGTGATTTACATTTCATAATATGATCATTTCTGATTGATCTTATCTATTAAGACCACCCATAGAGATGGCTGTAAAGAATTAAGAACATCAAACAATGTCAAGTTGTTCATTGCATGTATTTCAGAACATTGCCAAGATAAAGCCAGGTGGAGTCATTAATTTCACCAGCTGGTTATTTCCTTGCTGCAGTACCAAAGATTGTTATTTTAGAATTAAAACCTCTGGTTTTTCTAACTCATCTTTCATTGTTGATCATGGCAAGTGAATAATTAGTGAATGTATATGTTTGGGTTATGAGGAATTTAAAACACACCCTAAGAGTTGTAATGTTGATTGCTTTTAAATGTTGTAATGGTTTTGAGAGTGTCTGCTAATGATTCCTTAATTACATACTTGCTTTTCTTAGAAAATCAACTCATTTCATTATTAGTGATTAATTTTCTCTTAAATATTTAACTTTATATTTTAATAATCACTATGCCTGGGATTCCATTAGATATTTGAAAAGACCAAGTTTAATTTTTTTACCCAGGTAACATATACAATGGCTGAAGATTTGTGTTCTTTGATCTCACAATTTAAAAAAATACACATTAAGCACCATGGAAATCCCAGCAACTTCAGCAAGAAAGAGTCTTTGTTCCACAGTTTCTTTGCTTGATAAATACGTGGAATAAAATAAATGGAATATCTTAATTCAGTTTTTGCTTCATGAGACTGGTTGAGTGAACATAGGCCTAGTGCTTTGAAAATAGGCCTATTGTAGAAGATTGATATTCTAGTAGCCTAAAGAGAATCCATTTCTTATAAGAATATATATATTTTGGAAAATGTGGTATTTCTCAGAAAACTACTGAAATGAATTATGTATCTTTTCTATCTTTATCTTTACTTCTATTACTTTCAAAGATCTAAAGGTTTCACTTGAAAATTAGTCTTTTGGAAAAAAAAGACATTGAAACTAGTGTTAAATTAATTTCATTGAGGTAATGAATATGAAGATTCATTTGCTGTAATCTCCTTGTGATCTTTTAGTTTCTTGTGCTTTTAAAAATAACAATATAATGGTCTATATGTTTATCAGTTTTTACAATAATTTGTCTAAACTTCGCTTATACCAGTGTGCATGAAGAACCAAGTGCAGTCTGAATTAGCACAATGCAAACAGAAAACCGACCTTTTATTTTCCTCACAAAATTAATATAAACCTTATGTAAAAGAATTTTTAGGTGCTTGTAAATTAATAACAAAATCATACATAATGTCAGTGGAGGAGAAAAGTTAAGGATTTTATATTGCAGTAAAATGCATTTCTAAATTTACTTAGTATTGTTATAAAACATATTCTTGAATATTGTATCAGAGTTTATCACCACTACTGAAGTCAAAATAAAGATGGATCTCTAAAGTATGCAATTTATTTGGGAATCACAGAATTGTAGTTCTGAACAAAACTGAAAACCACGGTGGTCTTCTATATGTGTGAAGGACAAAGAGAAGATTGGGGGTTTACTAGCGAGGGAAATGCTACATATTGTTTTGAAAGAAAGCTCACAGACACTAGAGAAGAATTTGGGAGCTGGTCAAACAAGCCTAATGGGAGACAAATCTTTTGAGACTTCCCAGGATCCCAACTAGAAAATCCCTTAGTCAATTTTAGGTGAAAAAGAGTTAAATTTGAATTTGATTCTGGGGAAGTTTGTCATTTGTTTGGATTCAAAAAGCCTAAAAATATTTAATTAAAGTAGAATTACATATCCTTGAGAGATAATGGTCACTTATTTAACCAGAGTAATAATGGAAAGACTTCAAAAACAAATTCAAAAGTTACATAGTCAAGAGAAAAAAAATAGTTAGACCTGTATTAGAGATGACTTAGTTTTTTCAGGTGGTCAAAACCCGAATAAAGACAGCCCAAACCACAGGAAGCTATCTTGAAACATAAAATACCTGCTTATTAGGTGGATTACTTAGAGAGAGAGAAAAAAAACCTTTTGTAGTATGACCATTTCTCTTGGTATATGCCCTTTTGAGTAAGCTGGAAATTAAACCCCATGAAAAACTACTTTAATTCAATTAGACACTGGAAGAGTGTGTGTCTAAGGTTATAAGTAAACCATATTATAGGATAATAATACACACACACACACACACACACACACACACACACACAAGTAGTACCTCCACCAGGTGGAATGGATGGCTTTTAGAAAAAGTAAGAGCATGTGAAATTTCCTGGTTACATAGAACAATTTGGATACATCAGGAAAAGCCGAGTACAGAATTCGTCTATACTGGAAAAACATTGTTTTTCCAGTTTTTTTGAGGCAAACATTCTCAGTGTCAGGTTATAATACCAGAGTGCGAAGTGGGGAAAAATGCAATAGGAACTGACAAAAAAAAAGAAAAAAAAAGAAAATGAGAGAGAGAGTCACCACTCACCACACAAAAAGATGTAATGTTTTAAGGAGAGAAGTAAGAGCAGAAGGCATGGATGTATTAACTGCAAATTACATGTAGTGAGATGCATAAAAAGCCAAACCCTTGAGATAAAAATCTGAAAAACTTTAAGAGGAAAACTCCACCTCCTGAAATGAAGCGATCATTTATTTTTCTTTATTGCTGCTTCTAAAAAGAAGATACATGTACAGAATGTGCAGGTTTGTTGTATAGGTATACGTGTGCCATGGTGGTTTGCTGCACCTATTGACCCGTCCTCTAAGTTCCCTCCCCTCACCCCCATATCCCCCAGCAGACCATGGTGTATGTTGTTCCCCTCTCTGTGTCCATGTGTTCTCAATGTTCAACTCCCACTGAATGAGTACATGCAGTGTCTGGTTTTCTGTTCTTGTGTTTGTTTGCCAAGGATGATGGCTTCCAGTTTCACCCATGTCCCTGCAAAGGACGTGCTCTCATTCATTTTTCATGGCTGCATAGTATTCCATGGTGTATATGTAACACATTTTCTTTATCCAGTCTATTGTTGATGGGCATTTGGGTTGGTTCCAGTCTTTGCTATTGTAAATTGTGCTGCAATAAGTAGAATGATTTATATTCCTTTGGGTATATACCCAGTAATGGGATTGCAGGGTCAAATGGTATTTCTGGTTTTAGATACATGGGGAATCACCATGCTGTCTTCCACAATGATTAAACTAATGTATATCCTCACCAACAGTGTAAAAGCATTCCTATTTCTCCACAGCCTCACCAGCATCTATTGTATCCTGACTCTTTTAAATAATCACCATTCTGACTGGCATGAGATGGTCTCTCATTGTGGTTTTGATTTGCATTTCTCTGATGATCAGTGATGTTGAGCTTTCTTTCATATGTTTGTTGGCCAACTTCCTTTGAGAAGTGTCTGTTCATATCCTTTGCCCACTTTTTAATGATATTGCTCATATTAATTTTGAAATGACTGAAAATTCAAAATAAAGACAATAAAGATAAAATTATATTTTTTAAGTTACAGGTATGAAGTATTTTTGAAAGGAAAGAAACCTCCAGATTATATATATATACATATGTGTATATATTTATATGCATATGTGTGTATATATGTATTTGTATATATAATATATAGATATTGTTTTCAACAAAAAAATTATTAGAGCCGAAGTAGTACCATCTTGAGATGTTTTTATTCAGCTTGGTATCTAAAATCATTTAGGTGACTCATTCCCATGTTTGGAAAATTTTTAAAATTTGTTGTCTACATCTGTGATATTCAGTATAGTAGCCACTAGCTACTTTTAATCAGTTATAATTAAATGAAATTTAAAATTCAGTTCTTCCGTCATACTAGCTACATTTCAAATGCTCAATAGACGCACTTGGCTAGCGGCTTCTTTATTGGACAGGGCAGGTATCACAGAATATTTAACCAGACAGCATTGATCTAAATGGTTGGTTTTTTTGTTTGTTTGTTTGTTTTTTAAACTGGAGTGCAGTGGTGCAATCTCAGCTCACTGCAACCTCTGTCTCCCAGGTTCAAACAATTTTCTGCCTCAGCCTCCCAAGTAGCTGGGATTATAGGCGCCTACGAGCACACCCGGCTAATTTTTTTATTTTTAGTAGAGACGGGGTTTCACCATCTTGGCGGGGCTGGTCTTGAACTCCTGACCTCATGATCCACCAGCCTTGGCCTCCCAAAGTGCTGGGATTAGGCATGAGCCACTGCACCAGGCCAAGTATCTTGTAGAGAGAGTTTATATTATGATTCAGATTTCCATGTTGCCCATCTTTTTAATTAATCTTACAGACACTTAATGGAGCCCTTATTATGTCTTAAGTGCATGAGAAGTGCAAAGAGTGTAAAGACAAAAATCATGTAGCCAAATCAAGTGGTGGAGACAGACATTTAAAACATAATTGCAACCCAACATGAATTCTCCAGGGAGAGGAGAGCAAAGGACAATGAAGGCAGAAAGAATCACGCTTGCAAATCCATGAAAGCTGTGGTGTGTTTGGGAAACTCTGGGTAATTTATTTAGCCCTAGACTAGTAAAAATAAGGACTAGAAAGGTATGCTGAGGCCAGATCTTGAAAGATTTCAAATAACTGCAGTCAGGTTACATTCCAATGAATGAAAAGCCAGTTGAAACTGGTTTAAAACACAAAGGTGGTGTATTGATGTACAATGGAAAAAATCCAGCACTAGAGTGGTGAGCAGCTGTGATTCAACTAGAACTCTGGCTGCCTTGGTCTTTGAGTCTCTCAACTCTGCCACTTTGTTCTGGTTTTATCCTCATGATGAATAAGATGTTTGCTGTAGCTTCAAGCTTTGCACACATAATATGGCAATCTTTGGATGAAGAGAGGCTGGCCCTCTTCAAGATTTTCTCCCAAGATTGATGAAACTTGTTTTCTAAAAACCCTCAGCAAATTTCCCTCCCATCGCATCAGCTTAGTTAAGGTTACCTGTCCATTTCTGGCCAGCCCCTGTGGCCTGAGATTATGCCATGTACTAATTTGTTGAGAAACCTCAGACGTAAGCCAATCACTGTCTAGAATGTAAGAGTGCATGGAGATCAATCAGCTTTTCTCTGAAGCTGGGGTGAGATTATGTGTTTCTGAGGCAAGGTCGCTACTGGAGAAGGGTGAATACCTGCGTGATAATTCAGAACTCATCAAGAGATAGAAGACTGGGTGTTAGGGGGTTAGCATTCTGAGTGGAGCATGGTTTCTGAAGTCAGACCTGAGTTGGTGTCCTTTATCCACCACTGCGTGGTGTAACTTTATGTAACTGAGCCTCAGTTTCCAAATGGAGATTATAATGGTCATTCTCTTTCATACCATTGTGAGATGTAAAAAGGTTAACATAGGAAAGGCACTTAGAATAGTGCCTGAACCACAGTAAGCGCTCAGCAAATATTAGCTTTAAATTCATACTCAAATATGGGAGGGAGTTTGAGCTTTATCTTTTAGAGTCTGACACTCCCATTGAAGGTCTTTTGTATCTTGACAGCTAGAAGATTTCCTACTACTTAAATAATAATAAAAGATTAGAACTCAAGTGATGCTGATGATGACAGGAAATGTGAATTAGTTGAGTAGTTGGGACAGAAATCACATGGCCCGCAAAGCTGAGAATATTATCTGGCCCTTTACAGAAGTTTGCCAACTCCTGAAATAGAGGACCAGAAAAATGTCTTCTGATATAAAACACCTAAACATGTTAAGCCTGGTGCAGTGGCTCACCCCTGTAATCCCAGCACTTTGGGAGGCCAAGGTAGCTGAATCCTCCCATCTCAGACTCCCCAGTAGTTCCATATCAGCCTGGACAACATGGTGAAACCCTGTCTCTACCAAAAATACAAAAATTAGCTGAGCATGGTGGCAGTTGCCTGTAATCCCAGCTACTTGGGAGGCTGAGGCAGGAGAGTGGTTTGAATCCAGGAGGCAGAGGCTACAGTGAGCCGAGATCACACCACTGCACTCCAGACTGGGCAACAGAGTGAAACTCTTTCTGAAAAAAAAAAAAAAAAAAGTTTTTATAAAATAGTTTTAATGCATAGCTGAACTTGAAGCAAAATAAGGAAATTCCTAAGTGTCCCAAAATGACAAGAAAGTACACACCTACACACAAACAGAGTGAGAGAAGTTGAACAAGCACACACACAAATATGACAAATGTGTATTGAGAGCCAAATATACGTCAGGTACATATTGCTCTGTGCCTGGGGAGCAGGGGCAATAAGGTAGAAAACAAAACAGACATGGGATTAACCTCATAGATCTTAAAGTCCAGTGAGGTAGGCAACTTCTATAAGAAATAAATGTATATTAAATATTTTGAAAAGTACTGTGAAGAAAAAGAGCAAGATGCTTTGAAAGAGAGTAACAAGTGACACCTGCTTTAGGATTAGGTGCCTTGAAAAGGACTCCAGAAATAGTGCCACTGGAACTCAGGAGGAGTTAATGTATTCACGGAAATGGGAGAGAGCATTTCTTTTAGGTAGATGCCTAGGCTCTGCCAACTTTGCTTGATTCTATCTGATTCTATTAGACAAGTTATAGAAGTATAATAATGCCTTTGCTACAAAACCAGAAATGGATAAATACTTAAGAATAAATTTTCACATCTCATCAAATGTGCGTTTTGATGCTATAGTAATTGTTCCAATTTAAAACATTCATTTATACATATTTTCTTCTTTTCTTTTCTTTTTCTTTCTTTCTTTTTTTTTTTTTTTCTTTTTTTGAGACAGGTTCTCACTCTGGTTCCCAGATTGGAGTGCAGTTCACAATCAGCTCACTGTAACCTCAAATTCTTGGGTTCAAGGGATTCTCTTGTCTCAGCCTCCTGAGCTGCTGGGAATATAGGCACACACAGCCACAGCTGGCTAGTTTTCATACTTTTTATACAGATAGGGCCTCACTATCTTGCTTATGCTGGTGTTGAACTTGTGGTCTCAAGCAATCCTCCTGCCTCAGCCTCTTAAAAGTGCTAGGATTACAAGTGTGAGCCACCACACCTGGTTTATACATATTTCAATCATTTTAATATAACAGCAAAGTCCGTTTGAGGCAGAGGACAGACTTTTATTTTTTTAATTATTGAAACATCTGTCTTGCTCTTATCACCAAGGCTGGAGGGCAGTGCATGACCATGGTTCACTGCAGCCTCATCCACCAGGCTCATGTGATCCTCCCACCTCAGCCTCCCAAGTAGCTGGGACCACAGATGTGCAACACCATGCCCGGCTAATTTTTTTTTTTTTTTTTTTTTTTTTTTGTAGACATGGTGGCCTCACTACATTGTACAGGGTAGTCTTGAACTCCTGGTTTTAAGCAATGTTCTGGTCTCAGCCTCACAAAGTGCTGGGATTACAGGTATGAGCCATCACACCTGGCTAGAGAACAGACTTTTAATAATAAAAGAAAAGTCCTTTTTATACTAAGGTTGACTTTAGGGGCCTGTCTAAAGTAAAGGTGGGTAGATGAGACTGCTTACAGAAAGCTAGCTTTGTGTGCTGAACTTGATACTATTAGAGGTTTCTTGAAAGATGTGGGAAAAAAGTTTAAAATTGCAACTGGAAGATGTTTGCTAGACTAGAAATGGAGAGTCCTAAGCACTCAGGAATTCAGCAAATGGCTGCTGGTTAGGTTTTTGTTTTTATTTTTTGGATTTAAGATACCCTCAAACTTTAGTTATTTCTGAATTGAAGATGACCAATTGATGGGTATGTTTGTATTAGTAAAATTGAAAAGCTTATTAATTTATATTTCACATTATCAAAACCCATAAAGAAATTATACTTTGCCTTTGTAACCCATATGTCAGCTTGGATATCCCTGCCCTTTAATAAAATGTAATTATTGGCATTCCCCAAGAATTGTTGAGGATTCTCAGGTGGCTAATTGTTCATGGTCATCTCTGCTGTTGCTGGGGATGGATCAGTTTTGTTTATGAATCATTTTCATTTCACGTGAGCTCCATAACAAGTCGATCCAGACCAGGTAAAGGCCTCATTCTTCATTTGTCATAAATTGAGAATCAAACAACAAAAAAGAGAGAACACGTGCCTAGGCCGGCCTAACACTCGTAGGACCTGCCTTTACATACCACACATAGACATCCAATCTTTCAATGGGTCCTCTACCCTGTCAACTGAAATTTTCTGTCTTTATTTTTCTCATCTTTTAAATCTTCCATTTACTGAAATTTAGGAGAAAATGAGGTCACTGAGTTTGTTAATTCATTTTGCTGAGTTTAGTACACAAATTCTAGGCAACATTTCACAGACCTGGCTCTTTCATGGTGTAATAAATGTGGGCTTTTGCAAACTGTTTTCCTCTTTTTGGTCTCACAGCTATGTTTTGGATAATTAAAGTTGCTAAAGTTCTAAACAGTCAATAGCAGGTTACTAGTAGGTTTTGTTCTTACATCTGCACTGGGTGGTAGCATAGGGCGGTAGAAAGAACACTGAAGCTCTAGTTACTACTATCTCCTCAATCAGAGAAGTAGAGCTTGGTGGAGAGACCATAGCCTAGTTAGCTAACCCATATGAGTCTTGTTTTTAGTATGCATAAAGTGGATCTGATAATAATAGCTATTTCACAGGGATTTGCAAAAATCAAATGTAATCCTAAGTATAAAATAATGTTTTATATTGTGCAATATAAATATTAGTTTTGTTATCAGTAACCTCTCATTTCTTTTACCCAGGTATGTTCTTTTGTTCATTATCCGTAAGCAAGACTCTCTACATTGCCTGTGTCAGTTTCACACTCTTATCAAGGATGTATACATTCCTACATTTTCTTTTCTACAGTTAGTCATCATTTCATTAGAAAGACATTTAGTATTCACATTTATATTATAACATTTAATTTGAAAAAAGCTTTTTGCAAGAAAGGAGAGTATAATCAGAAATTCATCTATAAAGTCCTAGGTTTCACCAGCCTGTGCCATGTGTGTTCACAGTCACTCTCCATTCTGCATGAGTTGTACTAATGTGGGAGCTGAAGGAGATAAACCCCCCAAATCAGTAGCTTAATACAAATGAAATGTGATTGTCAATCACAGTAGTTCTAACTGGTAGAAGGCGTTGCACTCCACAGTCACTCAAGGATCCATGCTGATGGAAGGTTGCCATCTTCTGCACGTGGCTTCTAAGTCATCCATCTCTCTGGATGACAATATCCAGCTGCCAATGGAGTAAAAGAGGCACTGACATAATGTGGAAGGATTTTATGGTCCAGTCCCAGCAGTGCCCATCACATCTGTCCATATTCCACTCTCAGAAGTGTCACTGGGCTACATCTAAGTACAAGGATGGCTGGAAAATACATAGCTGTGTGCCCAGGAGGAAAGGAAAATAGGATTGCTGAATAGCTAATGAGGTTCTGCCATGGCCTTCTTTTTAGGTCACCAAATATCTGCTTTCCTGTCTTTCCCACACATACAAGACACTCATTCCTACCCAAGGGTCTCATACCATTATTGCATCCAGTTCAAAGTCCAAGGTCCAAAGTCCAAAGGGGAATAGACTATCCTTTGTATCAGATTCTGATATGTCAGCTTCTGGTTTGGCATTCTTGAATAAAAAGGCCAATTTTCTGCCTCCCATGTAGGGGTAAAAAATGTCTCTCTTCTACCTCTTGTCATGGTAGAACAGTGAAAAGACCACCATAATTGAAGAAAAAAATAAAATTAAACAAATAAAGAAACCTGCTATGCAGGAAAGAGAAGACAGGCAGGCAAGCAGCAGTCCCTAGATTATAATCATAAGGAAATCCTGAGTAGCAAGTAGTGAGAAGCTCCCTACACTGGGCATGGAGAAATTCCTTAAATAGCCTCTGAATCTACTCTCTGGGAGGAACCCTCTTTTCTGTCATTTTTGGTGGTGGCTCCATCCTCTGGAAGGTTCTTATTTCTTATTCGCTGGCTGTCACCTCTGAACTGGCTGTTAAGGAGTGTGCTTTTCTTGAGGTCTTTGGCTTTATAACTCATGCTGCAAGAGTAAAGGTGAAAACTAATGGGTGTTTTATGCTGATCTGTCCCGCAGACTCTGGCCAAGCGATGAATGAAAGGAGTTCCCTGACACAGGTATTTTTCCTGACAGTGAGCTAGGGGACTGCACCACTCAGCACTGCCAATGAGAGAGTGCAGCAGCCAAAAGGAGTGCAGCCCCCTAAGCTGGCCCCACTTGAATTTATTTAGTACAGATTTAATGACAAGGGCTTGGAGCAAACACAATTTGTGGGTAATTAACATTGTCAACCCCTGCAAGTAGAGAGCAGTCCTGCACATGAATGATCAAAGGTTGGTTTCCAGAGATATAAGTAGAACAATTTATCTAGATAAGTTTCTTTACATTCCCTTGTTATCTAACCCTTGCTCTTAAGAGAATTTAACTGCCTTCAGCTAAATTCTCCTTTGAAGCTTTTGCAAAACCTCCCATTCTTCCAAGAAGATTTGTGTCTTTCCCTATAACCTTTTCTTACAACTTTTCCCACCACCCTGACCAAACTCCTACAGTTTTAGGTTTAAGGTCAGTCATTTGCTGGCTCTGGGGCTGTGGAAGAAAAACTAAATCCCTCAGTTCATGCACACAGTGTGACAGCTTGGCATAAGTAAAAGACATGAACAAAAGGATTAATGAAGGAGTGAAAGAAGGAAGGAGTGTGCATTAGGCACAACATCATCTAAAAACTAAAAAAACTAGAATGCATTAAACTTGTTCACTCAACAAGTATTGGTTGAGTGCCTACTAAGTGTCAAGTGCTGGGCCCAATGTGGGGGATACAGTGGAGGATACAGTGGCAACACATGGAAAGTAAAGGCAGTGAAAAGGCCATGGATTTAAAAATTAAAGGAAAAAAAGGGGTAATACATTTGTTATTGGTCTTAGCAAATCGAAAAAATGTGAGAAAATAGTGCAGCGTTTGCCAAATCTACAACTCTTTCACCCTCACTGAGTCTCAAATTAAGAATGCACAAAAGCAGAATTACTAGGAAATCAAAGTTTTATGGGTGTATTCCCTGAAGTAATAGCACTATACTGCAAAATTGGTGGAGGCCGTCTGCACATTTGAAATAACCAACCTGCACCTTTACCCCCTCCCCCAGATTCTAACCAAATAAAGTATGAAATAAGGCAGAACTCACCATGCTACACCAACTTACCAGGAATGAAGTTGATGCTGATTGGAAAAGTGTCAAGCAATAAAGAAGAGTTTGGATTTATCTTTAACATTGTCTTCATGTCACTCAAGACTTTAATCTCAGCCAAATCTACTTCCAAAACCAATCTCTTGTGCAATGATCTTGTCTGGGTCCAGGCCAAGGCTTACTTCTATTGCATAGCCACTCTCACCCTTCTTGATTTTCACTCTGAAGAACTTTCCTGTCTGGGTTAGAGTTTCCTCTGGTAGGCATCAGATTCTGCAAATATTTATTGTCTCATGTTAATCAAGACCCCCTCTAGATTCTGCTATTTAACTTTAACTATTTTGACATAAACAGAGTGATTTAAATGCAGTTGTAACTTGTTCCTAAGTAGGGCCTGGTATAGCTTTTAAGCAATATATCTCTCCAGTCACACGTAATAATGAATGGATTCTAACTTACGCTAAGTACTACCGTGTTCCTGAAGGTAAATAAACCATGTCAGCTGTGTGAGGCTTATAAATTTTTCTTTAAAGCATAGTAACCAAAAATGTTACCAGTTTTCCTTTGATTACTACTATATTGCCCAGGAAGTGTGATCAAAAGACATCTGTTGTATGTATCAAAATTCATACATCTGTTTCATTCATTTCCTTTTATGGTATCACCTCTGACTTCCAGTTTCCCTACTGTCAGAGAGAAACAATTAAATGGGAGCTGCTTTGGACAACAGGATTTTTAAAAATCCAGTGGCCACAGAGAATTGGAACTGAAGAATCAGAAGAGAGGATTAATTTTCTTTCTTCTTACTAAGTTTCTTAAGTATTTTCAGAGCTCTTAAAGGGACATATCAATAGCAGGGAAAGTATCTGAATTAATGGCAGGATTCTTGAGGACTTTCTCACAAAGATAATTAAGGTGGCACTCTAAGAAAACAACCAGAGACATCACAAATAATGTATAGATATTTTTATTGTATTATTACTTATGGTAAACTTGGATCCAATTTGAATGTTCCACAATAGAGGAAAGATTCAATCAACAACAATACATACAAGTGTTAGAAAAGTATTCAGGCATTAAAAATCATGTTTTATCAAATACTAAATGACACAAAAAGGCTTGTAATATATTCAATGCAAAACCATATTCAGTATAATCTCAACTCTTAGCCCTAAATGTTCATATGATCTTGGATTAATTTTTTTTTTTTACATTTTCAAATTTTCAAATTAGAAGTATGATTATTCTACTTCTATGGTGTGGAAAAAATTACCCTCTGTAAAAGTGAAAAAGTAAGAACAGTCATCTTCTACTTTCCACGTTTTCCAAATACAATGAACACATTACACTTTCACAGTGGTAGAAAAGAAACATCTATCTTTTAAAACAGTAAATAAATCAGAATAAGACAAATTCATCATGAATTTACAAAATTATGTCATCAAGTATAAGTTCAGTTCATGTTTAGTTTTGAAACTGTTTATCAAAATTAAATAGTTTGACTTATTTTTATTAGAAATATGATTCTAAGTATTCAACATTGCTTTTTAAAAAATTATCTTCTAGTTTTTCACAAAATCTGAGGAGCTGATACGGAAAGCACACCAGATCTCATGTGTTGAAATGTGAACATGCTCACCACAGACCAAGGACATTCAACCTGTCAATCCCCAGGATTTCCAAGCCAGGAGTTTCATCTCTTACTTGTGGAAAATTTGTCCATTTAATTGTGAACCAATCAGCTTTTCATTGTGTCAAAATCAAATCTGGATAGTGAAATATATATTTTATCTTTATTGTTATCTTAAATATATCTTGGCTTAAAGAGACATAAGTAGCTCTTCCCCACTACACCAGATAATGAGTTGCAAATAAATCATTCAGTAGTAAAGTTCAAAGAAAGCTTGAAAGCATTTTGAATTTCCTAGTGTCTTACAGATTTGTTTCTTTTTACAACAACCATGTCCCATGTATATCTGTTTAGGACCTTAAGTTGTTAATAATCTACTCTGAATAATTCCTTAAGAAAACATTAAAAGGACAATGTCTATACCTGGGAAATAAAACCCAAAGTAGTAGAAATTATATTAAAAATCATGTAGTTAATTACAAATGAGTGTGAGCTTAGACACTGAAAAATGTGTCACTGAAAAAATACCAAAAATGGTCAGCCTTTTCCTGTTAAGTTACAGAAAGGTATATAATATAAGTACTTAGTACATAAGAGAAGAGTTAGAATGAGATTGTACCAGGTTCAGAATTCCTCATCCGAGAAGACCAGACAAAATTCAAGGTTTTTAGAGAGGGACTACCCTGAATGATGTCACCAGTAAGTGAGTTTATAAACAAAGACAGAGCTTGGCAAGTTGCACTGGATACTTCAAACCAGTTTCTCTGGAAAAATTTGAGTTACTCAATAAACCCTCAGTTTTCCTGAGGTAAATCAACTTTGAAATACAGTGGAGAACTCTGGGTGATAAATCACGCCGTGCTACACACTAGGACTGCAGTTCACAGAACGTGATTAGATTTAAGGCAATAGAAGATAGGAACATTTTTTGAACTAGTTTATTGAATCCTTTTGAGAATATCACTGTTTGGCAGTTCCTAGAAAGCTTAGACAAATTAATCTTCAAGAGGCAAACAAATTAACTTTGAACTAAAAAACAAAAACACAACCAAAAACTTTGAATTAGAAAACATCTGCTAAGAAAAGCCCAACAATCTGACATGTTGATTATTATTTTTTAACACTTCAGGAATGCAAAGATGATTTTACTATTCAGACCTTTACATATCACACAACAGAAAAATCCTTCAGTTGACTAGTTTCCATAAACTTTGTAGCGTTATGGCAAAACAAGAGTCATCTGTGAAATACACAAATGTTTTGTACTGAGGGATATTTTCACATAACACAGGAGATGATACACTTAAATTTAGACCCCCTCAATCTCATCGTCATACTGATTATACTGTAAGCAGTGATTGGGGTGCACACACTGTAACCTTCGACACCCTGGTTCAAGTGATTCTCCTGCCTCGGCCTCCCGAGTAGCTGGGATTACAGGCACGCGCCACCACATCCAGCTAATTTTTGTATTTTTGGTAGAGAGGGGGTTTCACCATGTTGGCCAGGATGGTCTTGATTTCCTAACCTTGTGATCCACCCACCTCAGCCTCCTTAAGTGCTGGGATCACAGGCGTGAGCCACCGCACCCTGCCAATTAATCTTTAAAGTTAAGTGAACACAACAGGCCGGGACCTGCAGGAGTGCTCCAGGCAGAGGGGCAGCGCGTGGGTGGACTCTGGGCTGGGCATGGGCGGGGTGTGCTGAGCAGAGGACAGTGGGTGGGGCAGCTGCCGCCCTGCAGGGAGGGTAGCCACAGGGCTTTGCAGACCAGGACACCAGCTGCGATGACTTTAATTATCATCCAGACTTCATGGACCTTCAGGAGGCTTCAGTGGGGGGTGGACATGGTGGTCAGAAGAGAAATATGGTCATCGACTAAAGAGGCTTTTCAAAGGCTTCACATGTGTGCCAAAATCCAATAAAATAAACTCCACCACTCAAGTCAGTGGATAAATAAAAAGTCACTCTGCCATGAGGAGAAGGGTGATAGAGATGCTAGTGTGTGTAGGAGGAGAGCCTACGCACACTAGGAGGAGCAGGAGGCAGGCCAGTTGCATGCCAGGAAGAAGGACCAAACACCATTATCATCCTTGCCAGCGCCCCCAGGTGCATACAATCATTATATTTATCCTTTCCAGAACTGACTGGGCACCGCTCTGAGCCAGCAGCCACCATGTGAAGTGGGACTGGGGCACAGGGCCAAAGAGACCCAGCCTGGCAAGGAGCTCAGTGTGGTAGAGGGGGTCTAGCCAGAAATTGAAAGAAAGGAGGGAGAAATATTGGGGGACTATGGGAGCTGTCAGAATTAGTTTATCTTTAGCAGTATATATTACTTAATTATTTTTTAAAATCCAGGTTTAACCAAGAGATGCAGCAACATTCCAATATCCTTTGATATGGATTGGAAATCTAATTGCAATGATGTCAATATGCTCAAGATCTCTCAGATCTCGAGGAGTGTTCCAGAAAAGCACCATACCTCTGACACTCCTGATCAATTTAAAACCTGGCTTTGGAGGAGCACTCCTCTTCCCTACCTCTGGCCCATCACAAGGACACTTCCCTCTGCTTCCAGGACTCCTCTAGCCCATCGTCTACCTGGATGTTCACTCTGTCCTTGCAGATGCTGAGTTTAGTCTTGTTGCTCTGCAGTTTAAGTTGCTTCTCTCCACCTTCCTGTCACAGCCAAGGAAGCCCATGTGAAATGCCATGGCGTGGCCCTGGCCTCTGCTCAAACTGAGTCTTTGGCCTCAGATTTCCTCTTCATCTTTTCCCCCCATCTAAATCCGCTGGCCTTAAAGACAAGCCGTTTAATAATCTTCAGTCTGGCATTTGCCTCTCTGCACAATAGGCACTGAGGGTACACCAGTGGGCAGGACAGACACAGCCCCTGCCTTCATGGAGCTGATCCTGATAGCAAGGTTAGGCATAACATTAAACATTAAGAAAAATTGTAGTAAATGGTGTAAGAGGAATAAAGGGCAATATATGAGTACAGGCATACCTTAGTGCATACAAGGTATGTACCATAATAACTGATGAAGGTGGCTACACTAAACAACAAATTTTCCACGTAGATGAAACAGCTTTCTATCGAAAGAAGATGCTGCCAGCCTGAGCAACATGGAGAAACTCCTTCTCTACTAAAATAAAAAAAAAAAATGGCTAGGCATGGTGATGCATGCCTGTAGTCCCAGCTACTAGGGAGGCTGAGATGGGAGAATCACCTGAGCCTGGGAAGTCAAGGCTGCAGTGAGCTGTGATTACACCACTGCACTCCAGCCTGCATGACAAGTGAGACTCTGTCAAAACAAACAAACAAACAAACAAACAAACAAACAAAAAACAAAAAAAAAAGAAAGAAGATGCCATCTAGGACTTTCATAGCTAGAGAGCAGAAGTCAATGTCTGGCTTCAAAGTTTCAAAATAACAGACTGACTCTCTTGTTAGGAGTTAATGCAGCTGGTGATGTTAAGTTGAAGCCAATGCTTATTTATCATTCTGAAAATCAGAGGGCCCTTAAGAATTATGCTAAATCTACTCTGCCTGTGCTCTATCAATGCAACAATAAAGCCTGGGTGAGAGCACATCTGTTTACAGAACGGTTTACTGAATATTTTAAGCCCACTGTTGAGACCTACTTCTCAGAAAAAAAGATTCCTTTCAAAATATTACTGCTCATTGACAAGGCACCTAAGAGCTCTGGTGGAGATGTATATAAGGAGGTTAAGGTTTATGTGCTTGCTAACACAACATTCATTTTTCAGCCCATGGACCAATAAGTAATTTCAACTTTTGTCTTATTAAGAAATACATTTCATAAGGCTATAGCTGCCATAAATAGTGATTCCTGTGATGGATCTGGGCAAAGTAAATCGAAAACTGTCTGGAAAGAATTTACCATTTTAAATGCCAATAGGAACATTCATTATTCATGGTAGGAATTCAAAATGTCAACATTAACAGGTGTTTGGAAGAAGTTGTTTTCAACCCCCATAGATAACTTTGAGAGGTTCAAGACTTCAGTGGGGGAAGTAACTGCAGATGTGGTGGAATTAGCAAGAGAGCTAGAATTAGAAGTGGAGTCTGAAGATGTGACTGAATTGTTGCAATCTCATGATAAAACTGTAAGAGATGAGGAGTTGCTTCTTATGAATGAGCAAAGAAAGTGGTTTAATAAGATGAAATCTACTCTTGGTGAAGATACTGTGAATGTTATTGAAATATTACATCCACTTCATTGATAAGACAGCAGTAGACCTTGAGAGGACTGACTCCAGATTTGGAAGAAGTTCTATTTACTGTAGGTAAAATGCTATCAAACAGCACTGCATGCCATGGAGAAATCTTTCATGAAAGGAAGGGTCAATTAATGCAGCAAACCTCATTGTCTTATTTTCAGAAATTGCCACAGCCACCCCAGCCTTCAGCAATCACCGCCCTGATCAGTCAGCAGTCATCAACATCGAGGCAAGGCTCTCCACCAGCAAAAAGATTATCACTTGCTGAAGCCTCAGATGATTGTTAGCATTTTTTAGCAATAAAGTATTTGAAAATTAGGGTATATACATTTTTTTTTAGACATAGTGCTATTGCACACTTACTAGACTACATTATAGTGTAAACATAACTTTTTTTTATTATTATACTTTAAGTTCTAGGGTACATGTGCACAACGTGTAGGTTTGTTACATATGTATACATGTGCCATGTTGGTGTGCTGCACCCATTAACTCATCATTTACATTAGGTATATCTCCTAATGCTATCCCTCCCCCCTTCTCCCACCCCATGACAGGCCCCAGTGTGTGGTGTTCCCCACCCTGTGTCCAAGTGTTCTCATTGTTCAATTCCCACCTATGAGTGAGAACATGCGGTGTTTGGTTTTCTGTCCTTGCGATAATTTGCTCAGAATGATGGTTTCCAGCTTCATCCATGTCCCTACAAAGGACATGAACTCATCCTTTTTTATGGCTGCATAGTATTCCATGGTGTATATGCGCCACATTTTCTTAATCCAGTCTATCATTGATGGACATTTGGGTTGAGTGTAAACATAACTTTTACATGGACTGAGAAACTAAAATTCATGTGACTTGCTTTCTTGTGATATTCACTTTATTGTGCTGGTATGGAACCAAACCTGCACTATCTCTGAGGTATGCCTGTATAAAGCAGGGAGCTGAGGTCCATTCTAAGCATCAGGAGACATTTTCCAGAAGAGTCATTCAAACTGAGATCTGGCTGAGCAGAAGTGAAATGTGCGAAGAGGGTAGCAATGTCCCCAGATAACAAAGGTTGTGCATTCTTTAACGAGTAGAAGGGGTGCAAGAGAGCTGGAGCACAGAGGATTGATGTGGGAGGGACAAGGGATAGTGATATAGTTTGGATGTTTGTCCCATCCAAATCTCATGGTGAAATGTGATTCTGAATGTTGAAGGTGGGGCCTGGTGGGAGGTAATTGGGTCCTGGGGCAGATCCCATGATTTGGCACCATCCTTTTGGTGGTAAGTGAGCTCTCACTCAGTTAGTTCATGTGAGATCTGGTTGTTTTAAAGTCTAGGACCTCCCCCCACACCTTGCTTCCACTCTCGCCATGTGACATGCCTTCTCCCCCTTTGCCTTCCACCATGACTGTAAGCATCCTGAGGCCCTCACCAGAAGAGGACACTGGTACCACACTTCCTGTACAGCCTGCAGAACTGTGAGCCAAAATGAAACTATTTTCTTTATAAATTACCCAGCCTCAGGTATTTCTTCATGGCAATGTAAGAATGTGCTAACACAGATGGGCTGCTGTAGGGCTTGTGCATTAAGACCAAGATTTTGGTTTTTATCTATCTTAAGAGTGATGAGAAATCAGTGGGGAGTTTGATTTAATATGGGATAATCACCATCACAACATGATATGATGGTGGTGATGATAATGGTGAAGAGGAGGATGATGATGGTGATGATGGTAGTGATGATGGTGCTGATGATAGTGATGTAATGATGGTGATGATGGTGCTGACAGTGATGATGGAGTTGATGATAGTGATGGTGATGATGATAATGATGGTGGTGATGGTGCTGATGATAGTGATGATGGTGTTGATGATAATGATGGTAATGAAGTGCTAATGATAGTGATGATGATGATGATGTTGACAGTGATGATGGTGCTGATGATAGTGATGATGATAATAGTGATGGATGGTGCTGATGAAGATAGTGATGATAATGATGGTGGTAATAACAAAAGTGGTGGTGATGATATGGCTGCTACGGTTTGGACGTGTTTCTTAAAGTTCATGTATTGGAAACTTAATCCCTAATGCAACAGTGTTGAGAGGTGAGACCTCTAAGTGGTGATTAGGTAATGGGGGCTCTTTCTTCATGAATGAATTAATGGTGTTATAATGGAAGTGAAAGTGGGTTAGTTATCTTGGGAGTGGGTTCTTGATAAAAGGATGAGTTTGGCCTCCTTCCCTTCTCTTTCTCACATGTGCTGTCTTGCCCTTCCACCTTCCATCATGGCATGACGAGCAAGAAGACCCTCACAAGACACTGGCACCTTGAACTTGAACTTCACAGCCTCAAAAACTGTAAGAAATAAATCTCTGTTTTTTATAAATTACCCAGTCTCAGGTATTCTGTTATAGTAGCATTAAACAGATCATGACAATGGTGATGGTGATGGTGGTAATGTGATGATGGTGATGGTGATGATGATGAGATAAGGGTGAGGGTGATGGTAATAGTGATGAAGACATGAAGATAATAAAGATATGTTGACTGATATTGATGGAGACTATGATAATGATGAAGAGTCCAGTACCAATGCCAGCCAGGAAGGTAGAGGTAGAAAGATCATCCAGGGAACAGATGGAGCGAGGATGGAAATAACACAGGATTTGGAGTGAGACATGCCTATTCTCTGCCACTTATTTGCTAGGTGGCCTTGGGAAAATTAATTGGCCTCATATGCATGTCAATTTCCTGATCCTCATCAGGGTTCTGGAGGATGAAAGGAAATGTAAAATGGTACCCAGAATTTGCCACGTCAGTTCTTTGTGTATTACCTCTGCCACACATGCATGTACCCAGGTGCAATGATGAGGGCCCGGGGGCGGGGGGGCTGGAGATTTTCTCTGCTCCTGCAGCTAGGTCAGGTGACATGGCCAGTTGCTGAGGGACATTGCATTGCTGCCAGGAAACCAAGAACCCCTGTTTAGATAATCCTTTTCAACCTGGCTGCCAGCTGCCTTTGGGAGCTGCTGTGTGATGGGAGGCCCAGCTGGGAGTCTCAGTCACCTCTGCCAGTGCCCACTGCCCACCCTCTGACTCCCCGAGCCTTGACCTGACACCACGGTGAGTAACTCCTGTCCTGCTGCCACCATTGGGGGCCATAGCAACAGGGTCTGCATGTCTCAGGAAAGAGAGCTTTTTTTTTTTTTTTTTTTTTTTTTTTATGGAGTTTTGCTCTTCTTGCCCAGACTGGAGTGCAATGGTGTGATCTTGGCTCACTGCAACCTTCGCCTCCTGGGTTCAAGAGATTCTCCTGCCTCAGCCTCCTGAGTAGCTGGGATTACAGGCATGTGCCACCACGCCCAGCTAATTTTTGTATTTTTAGTAGAGACAGGGTTTCTCCATGTTGATCAGGCTGGTTTCAAACTCCTGACCTCAGGTGATCTGCCTGTCTCGGCCTCCCAAAGTGCAAAGTGCTGGGATTACAGGCGTGAGCCACCGCTCCCCGCCAAAAGATGGCTTCTTACTAACACTGAACTCTCTCAAAAGGTGACCTTAGGCAGGGCACTTAACCTCCCTGGGCTTCAGTTTCCCACAGAGCAGCATGTCATTTCTGTGAGTGTGCTCAGTGCCTGCACAGAAGGTGCTCCACGATGAGGCTGTGGGTGGTCACTGTTACCTCATCTCAGCCGGAGGACCCAGGAGCATGTCCATTCTGTGGTTTAAACATGTTTGCATTAGGCACGCCTACAGCCTCAGTTTACCTCCACCTTCCTAGAGGGCAGGGACACTCCAGCATCCCCAGGCTCTTGAAGGGCCACGGATGGCTGAGATTCAACTTCCAAAGTTATGTTCAGATTCACTAGCCTGTGCTGCACACCCACCCCGCGTCTGCACCCAAGGCCAGCAGGCCCGTCCTGACCCATAATGATTACAGGAACGGGGCAAAGGAGTTAAAGGCTGCAGGGTCCTAACCAGGGAGGCCAGCTCTGTGACCCCAGAGCTGGCACTGGGTGACCCCACATCTGGGGTTGATTACAGTGTAGAAACTAAGGGTGGTTCTGAGAAAGCCCATCTTCCCTTTCGGAGAAACCGCGATGCCATAGGGCGGACCCCGCCTCCCTGTCCCCGCGCCCTGGGCTGCACTCCCTAGGGCCCCGGACTGCATTTTCCCAGGAGGGCAGCCTGGATAGGGAACCTCGGCAAGTGAGACCAAACTGATGTTCCCTTAGGGGCAGCACCCGCTCGGTGCTCTGAGATTGTTGTATGGGCTATTTAATTCCTAAGATGATTCTCAGCAGGAGGCAGGCTCTGTATCATCCCAGCGGCTTTTTCACCTTGGGAGTTTCGCGCTTTCCGATTCCATGAAGTTGCTGCTTGTCACCCCGTCACCGGCTATAAGGATTTAGCTCACAACCACATTTTTACTGAGGGATTGTCATTTAACGAGTTTCCCTCTCCCAGGGAATCTGCATTCTAAGACCCCAAAGGCCGGCGAGGGTCGTTGTGCTGGGCTGGACAGCAGAGAGAGGCTCGGCCTTGGCCCTCAGCCCTGCAGCACACAGGGCACCCGCGCAGAGAGCGTGGCCTGCGAATGGCTCTGCTGCCTCTCCCGGCCTGGGGCCGATTAGACCGGTCAGAGCATCTGTAAAGTACAAGGGGCCCCTAGGGAGTGCAGGCCAGGGCAGCTGGGGCAGGGAGGCGGGGTCCGCCCCATGGCATCGCGGTTTCTCTGGAAGGGGTGATGGGCTTTCTCAGAACCACCTTTAGTTTCTGTACCGTAATCGGCCAAAAAGGCGCAGGCGCTGCTGCTCCTGGCAGCTGCGTAACAGGCTCTCAGAGGAGGACGCGGTTCCGGGCTGCGGCGGGCGTGGTCCGGGGCTGTTCTGGGCGTGGTCTTTGGCTGTGATGGGCGTGGCCTTGGGCTATGGAGGGCGTGGTCCCAGGGCTGCGATGATGGTGGTCCGGGGCTGTGGTGGGCGTGGCCCCGGGCTGCGGCGGGCGTGGTCCCCGGGCTGCGGCGGACGTGGTCAGGGGCGGTTCTGGGCGTGGTCCCTGGGCTGCGGTGGACGTGGTCTCGGGCTGTGACGAGCATGGTCCCTGGGCAGCAGTGGACGTGGTCTCACACCCAGAGTCTGAAATTTCTGCCTCTTCCTGGCCCTAAAAATATCCTGCCTGTTCCCACGCGGCTCCTGCCTTCTGGAGCAGTCTGCCAGGCCGGCGGTGGGTGTTGGGCAGGGGTCTCAGGCTGCCAGCAGCCAAGTGCAGCCCGTTCTGCAGTGATGACAGGGATCTGTGGGCAGAGGGGACCGAGCCTCGGAGGATGCTGTAGGTGGGAGAGCTAACATTGACTCAGCATTTACTTCAGGCTATGCACTGTGCTGAGTCCCTTACCTCTGGGCTTCCGCAACGTTTCCCTGAGGTCAGTGTGGTTGGCATTCGTGTTTCACAGATAAGGAAACTGGAACAAAGCTTTTCAAGGCCACGCAGCCAACACCTCGAGAGAGCGGGAGAGCTTGTTCACTTGAACTGGATCCCCAAACACCAACAGCCACCCTGGCCACTGGCTCTGACTGAGCTCACCCCACCCCCGACAAGCCAGGTGCCTGGGGAACCTGCCTTCCATTCCTCCCCACTAGCTCCTATGAGGTCTCTGCCTGCCAGGCCTCCTCCTCCCCAGAGGAAGGGACGTTTCTACCACACAGCGACCCCACAAGTCAGCTGAGATTTTGGGGGCACCGAATACTCACATGGAGCCCTGAGTGGAAGGGGTGTAGGAGTCACACTCACACGCATGCACAGGGTCACCCTGAGCTGGAGACCATACCCAAGGCTCTGTGAGGAAATGTGAGTGCGCCCAGGCCCCTCCAGCCTGGTCCAATTTGCTGAGCCTCTAGCTCGACAGAGGTCAGACCAGGTCTACAGCCCAGCGATCCTAGTTCCAGACAGCTGCTCCTTCCTTTCTAGGAGGGCAGCCCGGAATATAATCCAGTGTGGTGAGAATCCATTGCACACTCCCTGTGAGCCAAGCAGACAGGTTTGGGGGCCACTGAGATAGGGGACACTTCTGGAGGGGTCAGTGACTGCAAAATGGTGGCAGTGGGATGATCTGTTATGTCTACCCACGCACATGCAGCTGCACAGTTGCAGAGATGTGAATGCAGGAAGCCAGGTGTGAGTCTGAATTCACATTGGTTTTTTTATCTTTATTAAGCAGTCATTCCTAAGGCCTGCCCGAGCCTGGCATCTCTACAGAGGAGTGGTGCCATCAGGACCCCTGTGGGGCAGATCAACACTCAAGGCAGGTGCAGAATCAACAACCTGTGACAAAGCCAGCCATCCCTGCCAGGAAGCATGGGGGATGAGCTGGCACCTTGCCCTGTGGGCACTACAGCTTGGCCGGCCCTGATCCAGCTCATCAGCAAGACACCCTGCATGCCCCAAGCAGCCAGCAACACTTCCTTGGGCCTGGGGGACCTCAGGGTGCCCAGCTCCATGCTGTACTGGCTTTTCCTTCCCTCAAGCCTGCTGGCTGCAGCCACACTGGCTGTCAGCCCCCTGCTGCTGGTGACCATCCTGCGGAACCAACGGCTGCGACAGGAGCCCCACTACCTGCTCCCGGCTAACATCCTGCTCTCAGACCTGGCCTACATTCTCCTCCACATGCTCATCTCCTCCAGCAGCCTGGGTGGCTGGGAGCTGGGCCGCATGGCCTGTGGCATTCTCACTGATGCTGTCTTCGCCGCCTGCACCAGCACCATCCTGTCCTTCACCGCCATTGTGCTGCACACCTACCTGGCAGTCATCCATCCACTGCGCTACCTCTCCTTCATGTCCCATGGGGCTGCCTGGAAGGCAGTGGCCCTCATCTGGCTGGTGGCCTGCTGCTTCCCCACATTCCTTATTTGGCTCAGCAAGTGGCAGGATGCCCAGCTGGAGGAGCAAGGAGCTTCATACATCCTACCACCAAGCATGGGCACCCAGCCGGGATGTGGCCTCCTGGTCATTGTTACCTACACCTCCATTCTGTGCGTTCTGTTCCTCTGCACAGCTCTCATTGCCAACTGTTTCTGGAGGATCTATGCAGAGGCCAAGACTTCAGGCATCTGGGGGCAGGGCTATTCCCGGGCCAGGGGCACCCTGCTGATCCACTCAGTGCTGATCACATTGTACGTGAGCACAGGGGTGGTGTTCTCCCTGGACATGGTGCTGACCAGGTACCACCACATTGACTCTGGGACTCACACATGGCTCCTGGCAGCTAACAGTGAGGTACTCATGATGCTTCCCCGTGCCATGCTCACATACCTGTACCTGCTCCGCTACCGGCAGCTGTTGGGCATGGTCCGGGGCCACCTCCCATCCAGGAGGCACCAGGCCATCTTTACCATTTCCTAGAGTTCTTGAGTCCACAGTCTGGCAAGCTGAGGTTAAAAATCATATGTTGAATGCAGCAGTGTCCACTTATGACTAACTTCTTAGAACAGCACAATATAATAGTGGAATTGGGCCTTTCAGAAGACCTCAACTGATGATTTTCACCATTTTGACAGTTTTTAAGTAGAGAAAGCTCTCTTATGACACTGAAATCCTACTTGGAAACGGAAGCAAGTAAAGGCAATCAAGCAGGGCTCTGGTCTAAGTCAAGCCTTGATCTGCGTCCCTCCAATGGCTTGCTGCACACCCTCCCTGGCCACTGTGGATGCATCCTTGCTGACCAACACACAGAAGCCAAAATGTTGCTGACAGTGAGAACCACAGAGGTAAGCAAGCAGAGCTGCTGAGTCCTGGGACCATGAGCTCTATCTGAGCAGCCGCTCAGGATGTGGGAGGGAGGAAAGGAAGCCAACGATCCACAGCAGTGGAGAGTGTCATGGAGATACCACTATAAAGCTGGAGTGTGCAAGGGTTACACTCTCACAATAAAGGTAAATGATAACCTAACCTTACAGAAGGGGTCAGCAAGGGAGTTTGCCTGCCTTGACTTTCGTGCTGTGTAGAAGAAGAAAATTCCTCGAGAATTCTTAAGTAGAAGCCACTCTTCAGACAGTTTTAGAGCTAGGCTTCAAATTATGTTAGTGGTAAAAAGACCTCAGTCTGTGGTTGGTGTGGTTCTCCTGGACGATCTGAGCTTCACCTTAGGCTGCAGAGAATTTCCAGAGTCAAAGAACCTCAAATAATGGAGTTGCACATGGTCAAATCTCACAAAACCACATAGGGAGATAAGGCACCATGAATGAGAGCAAGAAGAAACAAGAAGACAGCAGCGTCATACCACAGCTCCTTGAATTATCAACACTGGGTTAATATAAAAATGTTCAAGATGTTTTAAGACATTAATAATGACATGAAAATATGAGCAGGGATAATACTTTTTTTTAAATAACCAAGAAAATTTGGAAAATATTTAAATAGAACTTCTTGAAACAAAAATATTAGAATTATGAGTTGAATTTAATATGGATTAAAGAGCATGTTAGACACAACTGGAAACAGACTCTGCAAATTGTGAGAGAGGTCCAGATAAATTACCTAAAATGCAGCCCAGAGGGACAAAGAGACAACCATATAAAAGAGAGATTAAGAGACATTGAGGTTGGGATGGAAAAGACTAACATACATTTAATTTGGGAACACAATACAGAAAATGTAGGAGGGGAAATATTTGAAGCGATAACAGCTGAGGATTTTTTCAGATTTGTTTAAAGATATCAAACTTCAGATCCGAGAAATCTAACCAATCATAAATAAGATAAATGACCAATAACCCACGTTGAAGCACATGATGCGAAACTGCAAACAGCTAAATACAAAGACAAGATATTTAAAGCAGGCAGAGATAAAAGACAAAAGAACATCAATTAAACTCACCTTGACTTCTCAAACAATGGAAGAGACCAGCCTGACCAACATGGTGAAACCCCGTCTCTACTAAAAATACAAAAAAAATTAGCCGGGCTTGGTGGCGGGCGCCTGTAGTCCCAGCTACTCCAGAGGCTGAGGCAGGAGAATGGCGTGAACCCGGGAGACGGAGCTTTCAGTGAGCCGCGATCACGCCACTGCACTCCAGCCTGGGCGACAGAGCAAGACTCCGTCTCAAAAAAAAAAAAAAAATAATAATTAGCCAGGCCTGGTGGCATGTGCTGTCAGCTACTTAGGAGGCTGAGGCAGGAGAATCGCTTGAACCCGGGAGGCGGAGGTTGCAGTGAGCCGAGATCACACCACTGCACTCCAGCCTGGGCGACAGAGCGAGACCCCATCTCAAAAAACAAACAAACAAACAAAAAACATGGAAGCCTTGGCAACTGGAATAATGTTGCCAATGTGCTGAGAAAATAACTGTCTTCCTAGAATTTTATATACAGAAAAACCTTTCCAGACCTTGATAGAACACAAAAGCTGAAAGACAGTATTCCTAGCAATACACATTAAGAAAACTTCAAGGGATGTATTTGTTGCAGAAGAAAAATTATTCCAGGTGGAAGGTTTGAGATGTATGAAGAAATAGAAAAGTCACTGGAGACTATGCACATAAATAGGAATAGTTATTGTCTAGTTGCCTACATAAAAGCAATAAAAATGTCTAATTTCGGCCCGGCATGGTGGCTCAATGCCTGTGATCCCAGCACTTTGGGAGGCCGGGGCGGGGCCCATCACCTGAGGTCGGGAGCTCAAGACCAGCCTGACCAACATGGAGAAACCCCGTTTCTACTAAAAATACAAAATTTTGTATTGGGATGGTGGCGCATGCCTGTAATCCCAGCTACTCGGGAAGCTGAGGCAGGAGACTCACTTGAACCCCGGAGGCGGAGGTTGCGGTGAGCCAAGGTTGTGCCATTGCACTCCAGCCTGGGCAACAGGAGTGAAACTCTGTCTCCAAAAAAAAAGTCTAATTTAACGGTTTAGAAAAAATGGAAAAAAAGAATTACATAACAGTGGTATATGTGTCAGAAAGGTGTAATTGTACTTAAAGCATTCTAAAGTCTAGCAGTCTTCAGGAGGAAGGTAGAGATATTAATCTAAGACTTTGTTAGGCATGCAAGTTGAAATGAGGTAACCACTAACAGACTAGACAAAACGAGGATCACTCTCTAAATAATCTAAGGAACAAATGAAATGAGTAAGAGAAAAGATCACTCAGCCAAAAGAAGGCAAGAAAAAATATATAGAAAAGTCAGGACAAATAGAAAGCATAAAGTAATATGATAGAATCCAAACAACTAATTCAAATCTACTAAAACAATAAATTTAAATGACTAAAATTTGATGGTGGGGAAACAATATTGTCCATTTACTTTTAAATTGGATATATGTTATTTATAAGAGATTATGCTAAACAAACAACAGAGAATGGGTGGAAGTAAAGCAATAGTTGGGAGTATAGAAAAAGACAGAAAGCCTTTCCTGGATCCTCCAATCAAAACTTAACTCAGGCTGGGTGCAGAGGCTCAAGCCTGCAATCCCAGCACTTTAGGAGGCAGAGGCGAGAGGATTACCTGAGGTTGGGAGTTCGAGACCAGACTGGCCAACATGGTGAAATCCCGTCTCTTCTAAAAATACAAAAATTAGCCAGGCATGGTAGAGGGCACCTATAATCCCAGCTACTCAGGAGGCTGAGGCAGAATTGCTTGAACCCGGAAGGTGGAGGTTGCAGTGAGCTGAGATCGCGACATTGTACTCCAGCCCAGGTGACACAGCGAGACTCCATCTCAAAAAAAAAGATAGAAACTCGCTAAATGAAAGCCAATAGAAGAGACAAAGCTGAATTTAAAGCAAAACAGCCTTACTAAAGAGGGTGACTACATGATAAGTTCCAATTTATCAAAGGAGATAAAATTAACATAATAAGATAATGAAAATTTATAAAGCAAACATTGACAAAATTTTGAGGGGAAATTAACAAACCAACTTTCATAGAGAAGTTTAAGAGTGCTCTCTCCCTAACTGGTAGAGCAAACAGACAAAATAAATAAGGATATTGAATATTGAACAACACAATTGACAAGTTTGACTTAGTGAATAAATTTAAAATATGGCACTTGACTATTGGAAAATACATAATATATATAAGTATGCCTGGAATTATTAAGAAAATTGACCACATGCGGAAGGCCGCAGGGTCCTCTGCCTAGGAAAACCAGAGACCTTTGTTCACTTGTTTGTCTGCTGACCTTCCCTCCACTATTGTCCTATGACCCTGCCAAATCCCCCTCTGCGAGAAACACCCAAGAATGATCAATTAAAAAAAAAAAGAAAACAAAAAAAAAAAAAAAGAAAATTGACCACATGCTACCCCCATAAAGCAAATCTAAGTAAGATTTCAAAGACCTGATTCCAATGCAGACTATATCATCTGGGTCCAGTGTAATTAAGTTAGAAATAAGTAACAAAAAGATAATTGAATAAAATATGCTTGGAAATGTAAAAGTCACATTCTAAGCAATTCATAGATCAAAGACTAATTAATTAAAAGCAGAAATCAGAAAATTGTTTAGAACTGGGTGATAATAAAACTAGTACACATGGAAATGCATGAGATGCAGCCAGCAACATTTAGAGGCAAATGTACACTCACGTGTGTTCTACCCAAAATGAAAAAGGCTCAAAATTAATGAGCTAGGATCCAAATTAAGAAACTGGAAGAACAGCAGATATGTGTTAGTTAGCTCTGACTGTGCCCCACAGGGGCTTTACAGATATGACTGAGTGAAGGATCCTGAAAGGAGGGTTATCCTGGACTATCAGGTGAAATGATGCAACCCCAAGGGCCCTTGCAAGGGAAAGAAGGAGGCAGGAGGGTGGGAGAGATATGTGATAATGATGGCAGCCAGGTCAGAGACCAGGAGAGATGGGAAGATGCTGTGCCGCTGGCTTTGAAGATGGAGAAGGGGCCACCACCCTAAGAATGTGAGCAGCCTCTAGAAAAGGCAAGGAGGTGGATTCTCCCTTTGAGCCTCTGGAAGAACACAGTCCTGCCTGCACTGATTTTAACTCAGTAAGACCCATTTTTAACTTCTTATCTTTAGAACTGCAAGATAATACATTTGTATTGTTTCAAACCACAGATTTTTGGTATTTTGTTACAGCAGCAACAAGAAACTCATCCAGTGGCCTTGGCTTGGATGCTCTTCTCTGCTTCCCAATGTTGTCACTGCCAGCAGGTTAACCCAGGCTCGTTCACAGGCTTCCAAGAGAGGTTCACTGGTTTCCAAGAGAGCAGACGTGCCAGAAGCTTAAAAGCAGCACGCCATGACTTTGCTGCACTCTGCTCGACAAAGCACCACACAGCACAGCACAGCACCAGGCTCATGAAAGAAACAGTAGACACTATCTCCCATAAAGGGAGTTCCAAGGCCACTCAGCAAGGGATAAGGATACGGGGAAGGGGAATACTAAGGCTATTGTCGTAATCTTCAACCACAAATACAGCAAAGTTGAGGATGCCCTTACTTTAGCAATTACGTTCCCACATATATTCCCTAGAGAAACACTTGTTCATTTACTCCATGTTCACAGAAGCACTATTAGCTAAAAATGAGAAACAACCCAAACAACCATCAATTAAAGAATGGGTCAATGCATATGGAAGAGTCATGCGATGGAATACTATACAGCATTGAAAAATAAACAGTTGTACACATCAGTATGGATGAATCTCATAAGTATATGGTTTTTGGAAAAAGGCAAGTCCCAGAAGAATACATACTAATATGACTGTATTTGGAGATAGGGCCTGTAGGGAGTTAAGTAAGTTAAAAGAGGTCATGAGGGTGGGGTCCTAATCTGATAGGATTGGTGGCCTTAAAAGAAGACAGATATCTCTCCCTTCTACAGTGAAAAAGACAGCCACCTGCAAGCTGGGAAGAGAGGCTTCGCTGGGAACTAGTGCCGCCTGCACCTTGATCTCAGACTTCTGAAGCCTCCAGCACTTCGAGAAAGTACACTTCTGTTGTTTAAGCCACCCAGTGTGTGGTATTTTGTTACGGCAGCCTGAGTAGGCTAATATAGTGGGAAAGTACAAAAAAAAATTAAAAAAAGATAATAGTGAACACAAAATTCAGTACAATGTCTATTGATATGTGGTGGGGAGGACAATGGGGAGTTCTAAACTGTGGTTCATATATTTCTTCAGCGGGGTGATGGGCATACAGCATCTGTTCCTTTGTTATATTTAAAATTGCATAAAGAGGCCAGGCACAGCGGCTCACACCTGTCATCCCAGCACTTTGGGAGGCCGAGGAGGGAGGATCACGCAGTCAGGAGATCGAGACCATCCTGGCTAACACCGTGAAACCCCGTCTCTACTAAAAATACAAAAAATTAGCCGGGCATGGTGGCAGGCACCTGTAGTCCCAGCTACTCCCCCCTCAGTAGCTGGAGGAGTCCCAGCTACTGAGGCAGGAGAATGGCGTGAACCCGGGAGGTGGAGCTTACAGTGAGCCGAGATCGCACCACTGCACTCCAGCCTAAGCGACAGAGAAAGACTCCATCTCAAAAAAAAAAAAAAAATTAGCCAGGCATGGGGCACATGCCTGTAATCTCAGCTACTCGGGAGGCTGAGGCAGGAGAATCGCTTGAACTCGGGAGGCAGAGGTTGCAGTGAGCCGAGATGGCACCACTGCACTCCAGCCTAGGCGACAGAGTGAGACTTCATCTCAAAAAATAAATAAATAAATAAAATAAAATATGAAATAAAATTGCATAAAGAGTTTATATACACCATTTAATGTATGATGCGTACCAAATAAAATAATTAAACCACATAGCCTACAGCCTCCCCCCAGCCCTCCCACTTTCCCTCTCCCCTGTGCACGGGAGAAAATAAGACCCAGGAGGGACAGAACGTGCCCAACGTCATGGGCTGCTCATGAAGAGGCCAGCCTGCCAGCTCCTGGCCATGTGCCTTGCCAGCTTACAGCCAGCAGCAAGCTGCTGTGGCGTGGTGGCACTGTGATCATCCCCAGGCTCACCCTGCTCAGAAGCCAGCTCGGATTGATTTGTTAAATACCCCACAAAATTCTGTCAATGTTTGCTTTATAAATTTTCATTCTCTTATTATGTGTTAATTTTATCTCCTTTGATATTGGAACTTATCATGTAGTCACCCTCTTTAGTAAGGCTGTTTGGCTTTATTTATTTATTTATTTATTTTTGAGACGAATTCTCGCTCTGTCGCCCAGGCTCGAGTGCAGTGGTGCGATCTTGGCTCACTGCAAGCTCGACCTCCCAGGTTTACGCCATTCTCCTGCCTCAGCCTCCTGAGTAGCTGGGACTACAGGCATCCGCCACCACGCCCAGCTAATTTTTTTTTGTTTTTTTAGTAGAGACGGGGTTTCACCGTGTTAGCCAGGATGGTCTCGATCTCCTGACCTTGTGATCCACCCGCCTCTGCCTCCCAAAGTGCTAGGATTACAGGCTTGAGCCACTGTGCCCGGCCGCTCTTTGGCTTTAAAGTCAGCTTTGTCTCTTCTATCGCTTTCATTTAGTGAGTATTCGCTTTCTTTCTTTTTGAGACACAGTCTCACTCTGTTGCCCAGGCTGGAGTGCAGTGGAGCGATGTCGGCTCACCGCAACCTCCACGTCCTGGGTTCAAGTGATTCTCCCGCCTCAGCCTCCTGAGTAGCTGGGATTAAGGGCTCCCTTTACCATGCCCAGCTAATTTTTGTATTTTTAGTAGAGACAGGATTTAGCCATGTTGGCTAGGCTGGTCTTGAATCCCAACCTCAGGTGATCCATCTGCCTCAGCCTTCCAAAGTGATCAGGAGCCAGCTGGGGATAATGTGAGTGAGCATTTCTCAGGCAACTGTTATTGGTCCAGAGTGGCAAGTACTGTAAGCAGTCCATCGACAGAAGTCTTCTCTCCCATCTGCGGGCTCCGTGGCCTGTGGCTGCCATCTGTGGCCACTAGGACAGCAGAGGTCCCAGCTCTCCTGATAAGAGGCCAGTGAGATGCCTCACCCCAGACCCGGAACCAGGAGCCAGTGATGCCAGAGCCGGGGCAGCCGTCGTGGTCGCTGCAACACCATCCCCCGGGCAGCAGAGCCCCTCTGAGCCCGCCCGTGTGGTCAGCCAGGCAGGCTGCAGCCTCACTGGCCAGCACCAAGGGTGGCACCGTGGCGACTCTGAGACCTACCCAGGATCTCTCGGTACACCTTTCCTTCAGTTAAACCAGCCAGGGTTGGATTGTTGCTTGTGACTAAGAACTTGGATTTATACAGAATTTGATATAGGAAGAGGCAGAGTCATTACATGTTTAAATAATACGGCTTAAATAATAGCAAAAGAAGAAGTGAACTCATGAGAAGCCCTGTCCTGGTGATTCTACATGATAAACAATTCTCCCTAGCAACTTATAAATGTAACATGATCCCAATCCACACTTGAAGCAATATTGCTTTTACAAAAACATGAATGAACAAGGATAGCCAGGAATATCCTGGAAAAGTAACAAGCAGGCACTGGCCTGCCAGCTACAACCATGGGGTACTAGCACAGGATGGAACGGGATGCTCAGAAATTGCTCAAAGACACAGGTCATGCAGGTATCGAGCCATGGTCTTCAGCAGAAGCCCACCCTCTGTACTCCTCCTTGTAGCACTGGGGCTGGGCTCTGCACACCCCGCTTGACCAGCTGTCCTCTGGTTAGGCTCTGCCAATAAGGGTCACAAGAAGCCAGCTGGAGGGGGGTGAGACACTGGGCCTTCCTGTTTTGCCCCGTGTCTGTCTGCATCACCCAACAGCAGCCCTTCCCCTCAGCAGGAACCACTGGTTCCAGCTTCCACCCTTCCAGGTTCTCTCTCACTGTGGCAGCACCCACGGGAGAGCGCCCCTTTCTCTGGCTATGGTAACCACAGCCTCTTCCCTATGTCCCACAGTGCTTGGGGAAGAGCTGCTTCCTAAGGTATTATCTCTGCGTTACTCTCTCAGGGTCCCCTCCCACCCGTTTAAACATGTTCAAACAATTCCCTATGTCTAGTTCTTTTTTTTTTGAGACAGAGTCTCACTCTGTCGCCCAGGCTGGAGTGTAGTGGTGCAATCTCAGCTCACTGCAAGCTCCGCCTCCCGGAGGTTCACACCATTCTCCGGCCTCAGCCTCCCGGGTAGCTGGGATTACAGGTGCCTGCCACCATGCTCGGCTAATTTTTTGGTATTTTTAGTAGAGACGGGGTTTCACCATGTTAGCCAGGATGGTCTCGATCTCCTGACCTCGTGATCCGCCCGCCTTGGCCTCCCAAAGTGCTGGGATTACAGGCGTGAGCCACCGCTCCCGGCCTAGTTCTATTAAAAGAATAGTGTGGTTTTGTTTTTCTGGCTGGTCCCTGACTGATAGAATTAAAGAGATGATAGATACATAGCTTGACAGACACCATTCCATAGCAGTGGGAAATGATGGATTATCCAATCAATCATGTGGAACGCCCAGGAGACCATCCAGACAAAGACAATTTCCAGGCTAATCAAATATTTAAACATCAAAATACAATCATAAAGAGCTAGAAGTTTTTACACTCTTTTTTTTTTTTTTTTTAATGGAGTTGTACTCTATTGCCAGACTGGAGTGCAGTGGCACAATCTTGGCTCACTGCATCCTGTGCCTCCCAAGTTCAAGCGATTCTCCTGTCTCAGCCTCCCGAGTAGCTGGGACTACAGGTGCGAGCCACCACGCCTGGCTAATTTTTTGTATTTATAGTAGAGATGGGGTTTCACCGTGTTGGCCAGGATAGTCTCAATCTCCTGACCTCATGATCCACCCACCTCGGCCTCCCAAAGTGTTGGGATTACAGGCGTGAGCCACTGTGCCCAGCCAGTTGTTACACTCTCACAGTATGGAAGGTTTCTCAGTACAATAAAGAATACTGAAGTGTTATAAGGAAATATTAACTGATTTTCCCATAGAATACTAGAGAGTTCTGCAGAAGGGAAAAATGCCGTAAGTGAAGTAAAAAGGCAAATCAAAAATTGTGACAAAACATTTACTACTGATATGCAAAAGGGCCAGTTTTCAAAAATATATAAATTCAATAAGTTTAAGATGAATAAGCCAATTAAAATTGTCAAAGAACACACACACAGTCCACATAAAGAGAAATGGCCATGGCCCATAAATATATGAAAAGATGATTGGCCTCACTCATACAAGAGACGTGGAAAATAAGGCCACATGGACATGCCATTTCTCACCTCTTGGTTTGGTAAAGACTTAGTAAATTTAAGAATATTTTCCATTGACAAGTGTGATAAGTCTGGCTTGTGAGAATGTAAACTGTTTAAACTCTTAGGGAGGGCAATGTGCAATAACTAACAATATTTTAAATATGTATAATAATGATCCTATGCGATAGATACCATATCGCTTCTCATTTTACAGATTAGGAAACTGAGGCACACAGAGGGTTAGTATCTTCCCCAGGGCCATAGATCTAATAAACAGTAGAACTGGAATTCAAGTTCAGGCAGTCTGGCACTGAATACAATATGCAAGAACAGTCCACCACACGAGTGATCCACTCATGTGACCCAGGGGTTCCACTCTTAGGTCTTTATCCTACATCTCTCATTGCACATGTACAAACTAAATATGTTCAAAGATATTCACTGTAGCAGAATACTGGGAAATAACCTATTTCGCTCCTAGAGATATGTTCATATAATTATACTGCATCCATAAAATGGAATACAATACAGTCATTACATAACTGAAGCTTATACCAAAAAAAACAGACAAACTGTTGAGTGTGAAAAACAAGGAGCAGAGGGGTTCCAGTTCTGGCAGCAATGGCGCGGCCTCTCCAGGTCTCCCCCTCACACCATATGATTGATAAAAGCTGGACAAATCCCTTGAAACCATAGTATGCATTACAAAGAGCAACCAAAGCAGCCGAGACAAGGGTCTGAAATCCTTGAATGAAAGGAAACTCATGAGTTGCGTTCCATATCTAGTCTGGCTCTTCCCCTGGAAGTTATTCCGCGGCCCACAGGGAACAGAGCCCAAGCACAGCACAACAGCATAACTGCCCTGAGGGTAGAAGGGCCAGCAGCACAGACAGAGGGGAGCTAGGGAGAGGGAACCCCAAAGCCTGCATGCGCATTCTCTTCAAGGTGTGCAGCGGCAGGGCTGAACTCCAAGAAACTAGGCAAAAAGCAACCACTGGGAGGAAAAGAGCTGGTGGGAAGTTGTTGCCGACACGGTGCAGGGGAAACAGAAGCTGGAGTCAAGTCCGGCCGTGGGGGAGAAGAGTTGCGAACATCCCAGGCTCTCTGTGGCATGCCCGAGGAGGGAGGCCATGCAAGAGGTCAGGTAAATTACAGCGGCCTGTCCCAGTGGACAGTAGAACATATTCAGACTGAAGCGCAGTGAGAAGGATAGCAAATGCAGAAAGGGCACGGGAGAGATATGGGATGTGGCAAAAAAAAAAACCGGAATATATCTATATCTGGAATCCCAGAAATAAGAGATTGGGAGAGAAGCAATATCTAAAGAAACACTAAGTGGCCGGGAGCAGTGGCTCACACCTGTAATCCCAGCACTTTGGGAGGCCGAGGCAGGTGGATCATGAGGTCAGGAGATCAAGACCATCCTGGCTAACACAGTGAAACCCTGTCTCTACTAAAAATACAAAAAATTAGCCAGGCGTAGTGGCGGGCGCCTATAGTCCCAGCTACTCGGGAGGCTGAGGCAGGAGAACGGCGCGAACCCGGGAGGTGGAGCTTGTCATGAGCCCAGATCATGCCACTGCACTCCAGCCTGGGAGACAGAGCGAGACTCCATCTCAAAAAAAAAAAAAAAAAAAGAAACACTAAGCAACAATTTTCAAAATCAATAAAAGATGCCAAACCACAGATTAAAGAAGCCCTGTGAACACCAAAGGGGATAAATACAAGGAAAACCACACATTATACTAAAACTGCTAAAAATAAAGGATAGACAAAATATAAAAGTAACCACAGAAAAAAAGACATGTTACTTTAAAAGGAGCAAAAAGAAGACTGGCATATCTGAGAAATAATGGAAGCCAGAAAAAAATGAAGTAATATCTCAAAGCTCTGAAAGAAGAAAAAGACTGCAAACCTCAAACTTTATACCTGAGGAAAATATGCTCCAAAATTAAAAGTGGAATAAAGCATATTTTGTTTTTTAAAAAAATAATAAAATTGTTCAACAAACCTGAACAAGTAACGAACAAAAATGTCATCTTGAACAAAGGGCCCTTCAGGATGCACAGAGCACAGAAACGAACAAAGGAAACCGGAAAAGAAAAGTTAGCAGTAAATGCACTGACTGCCTACAACAACAATAATAAAAGTATCTTTAGGGCTTAAAATACACACGGGAAAAAGACAATAGTCGTTACACGAAGAGTCTTTAACTATGACTATTTAAAGTCATTTCCACAGTTAATTGCTTAATTCTGATGCAGTTTCTGGTAACTTCACAAGCACACAAAAATCCTATAATATATGGTTTCTTTTAGGAGTTCCATAAAAGGATGGAATAAAATAAAAACATATTTTCAGACTGGATAAAAAAATATAAAGTCAACTACACGTTAAAAAAAACACACATGAAATGGAGAAACACAGAAAGACTGAGCAGCTGGACCCAATCGAGGGTGAGGAAAGTAAGGTCTCAGATCCCTCAGGGGTGAAGCTCTGGGCCACCTCTACCTGCAAGGCTGAAAGGATCTAGAATGGGTGACAGGGCAGGGAGATGATTAATACTGTCTACAATCTTGGGACCAGCTAAAACCCTAGGATTATAGCTCTTGTTTGGTCTTGCTGCTTTCTTCAAGTTACTTATTTATCATTTGTTATTATTATTATTGTTTTTTGAGATGGAGTCTCACTCACTCTGTTGCCCAGACTGGAGTGTAGTGGCATGATCTCCACTCACTGCAACCCTGCCTCCCAGGTTTAAGCAATTCTCCTGTCTCAGCCTCCGGAGTAGCTGGGATTACAGGCACCCGCCACCATGACTGGCTAATTTTTGTATTTTTAGTAGAGACAGGGTTTCATCATGTTGGCAAAGCTAGTGTTGAACGCCTGACCTCAGGTGATCCACCCGCCTCAGCCTCCCAAAGTGCTGGGATTACAGGCATGAGCCACCACGCTGGGCCTATTTATTTATTTATTTATTTATTTGTTAATGACAGGATCTGGCTCTGTGGCCCAGGCTGGAGTGCAGTGGCATGATCATGGCTCACTGAAGCCCCGACCTCCTGGGCTCAAGCGATCCTCCCATCTCAGGCTCCTGAGTAGCTGGGACCACAGGCATGCACTATGTCCCACGAATGTATTTTTTATTATTTTTAGTAGAGATGGGGTCTCCCTGTGTTGCCCAGTCTGGTCCCAAACTTTGGAGCACAGGAGATCCGCCCACCTCGACCTCTCAAAGTGCTGGGATTACAGGTGTGAGCTACCGTGCCCAGCCTGGTTCTGCTTTTTTTAACTCCCCTTGTTGATTCTCTTCAGAGACCATCGCTTTCCACTCCGTGACAGGGGCTCTGTGGCTTGCTGGATTTGTCTCTTCGCCGTCAGGGAAGAAATGACATTGTGTTCCCAGATCAATGCAGTGTAGCCACCGTCAATGACTGGACAGAATGAGAGGGCATGAGCCAGCCAGGCAGTTTCAGAGAGGCCTGCAGGAGACACAGCCTAGCTGCCACCACGGCTCCCCAGGGTCCTTGGACGCCTGCTGGTCCCCACTGGGCTACAAGCAGCTTTGTGAGAGACATGGGGGCGGGAGGATCCACTGGCTTGGTACCTCTGCAGCCTGGAAATGGAGATGTTAATGTTCTGTGGGTTCTTCCCCTGTGAGATGCGGCAGTTCACAGGTCTTTCAGAAAATGAAAGGTGAAATGGGAGCTTAAACACAGTATGCATGTCCTACCACGCAGCCGCCAGCTCTTTGGGGCACAATTCCGGTCGCTTTCCTTGCTTGTCTGACTCATTCTCCTTTTCTTTTCTCCTGCTTCCCTGGAACTGCGTTCTTCAAAAGATATAGCATATATATTTTATCTGAGACTCTGCTTTCTGAGGAACCCCATGTAAGCAAAGGTCAAAGAGGAAAATCCAGACCGCTGTTCTGAGAGTCCAAATATCCCTATGTTTTACCTCTTGAATAGAAAAAACATCTGAAGAGGAAGTCAAATCAATCTCTGAAAATGTAGTTGCATGTAAAGGTAAAACTCTTGGCTCCAATGGGTTATATGTATAAGATGCCATTCCAGGAGAGAGGCCATGCTCTACACACTGTTGACATAAAAAATAATGTTTAACCTTCTTCAGGTTATATTTTAGTAAATGTTAACATATGATCCAAAATTCTATGGGATTTCTAAAATTCTAATATGCCTGAGTATATGCTATCAATCATAATTATGGTTATGTTGTTATTGCAGACCACAGAAATAACCAAATTTCCTTGTCAACTGTGTCTTTAACTAAGACTATTTAAAGTCATTTCCACAGTTAATTGCTTAATTCTGATGCAGTTTCTGAAAACTTCACAAACACGCAAAAATCCTAGAATATATAGTGTATTTTAGGAGTTTCATAAAAGGATGGAAAGAACCCTGAAAAGCACTCATGAACAAAGTCCAGGAGCAATCCAGGGAGCCCAGGCCCAGACGCGGCAGGCAAGAGGCAAGGCTGCAGCAAGCAACTCTGCAGGAAGGACGACCTGCGCATGCCACCACCTACTGACTCCCCAGCACAGACGCGGCTTCCCCTCCACCTTGGCATAGGTGGCAGGGGCCCAGGATCCCTTCCAGGGAAAAGGTGTTCCCTTGGAAGGTGCAGAGGCAGGAGAAACAATCCCTCCCTTGACTGGCTCCAGGGGCCAAAGTCCTCTGAGAGCTCTTTGTGCTTCCCTGACAACCCCCCATGGCTGTCCTGTCGCCAGAGCCCTACGGAGCAGCAGATGGTTGTGCGCTTGATCAAACACAGGCAGAGATAAGACAGTGTCTGGGATTGCTCCAGAGGTGCCATGGCTGGCAGGAGTCAAAGGACACTTGAGACAGTGATGTGCTCTCGCAGAATCTATTGAGCTGAGCTGACTGAGCGGTCTGTTTTTCCTCCCGAGGCCAGCAGGCCAGCATGGAGACTGAGAGGAGAAGAGCACTTAGCCTAGGGCGGCCGGGGAGCAGCAGGCCCACCGCCCTTCCCGAGAGGCTTAGCTGGGGCGGGGGTGAGGCCAGGGCCCAGTCCGCTCTCCAGGCTGCCAGGAGCTGAGGCTTCATCCCAAAGGGCATGAACCTGAGGATCCGTCTCCAGAGAAGCTGAGTGGGCCCAGACTCTGAGTGTGTGGGGGTGTCAGCAAGCAACGGGCTGCACACACCACCAGTGGCGCCCCCGCAGGGCTCCTCACCCACCATCCATGGGGGAAGCCTCCAAAGCGAAATGCACAGATCAAAGCAAACACAAGAGAGGATGGAACACAGAGGAAAAATGCAATGCAAGGGCAAAAGGAAACTGGACTCTACAGAAAGGAAATTATAGGAAATAGGGAATCCGGGACTCCAGGAAGAGGGGCTCTGAGAAAAGGAACAACCGGGGCCCCAGAACACTTCTAACATCTGCCAGGAGCTCTTAGAAATAAAAAATTATGCGCGAGAAATGAAAAGCTCAAATAGAATAGGAACATGAATTTGAGAAAATCTATTAGGAAGTAGAGAAAATAATAAAATCAAAGGATCAACCCAGGAAGTCCAACTTATAAATACTAGGAGTTCAGAAGGAAAGAAGAGGAAAGGAATTACAAAGATATTCAAGAAAATTTCCCGGCCGGGCGCGGTGGCTCACGCCTGTAATCCCAGCACTTTGGGAGGCCGAGGCGGGTGGATCATGAGGTCAGGAGATCGAGACCATCCTGGCTAACAAGGTGAAACCCCGTCTCTACTAAAAATACAAAAAATTAGCCGGGCGCGGTGGCGGGCGCCTGTAGTCCCAGCTACTCGGGAGGCTGAGGCAGGAGAATGGCGTGAACCCGGGAAGCGGAGCTTGCAGTGAGCCGAGATTGCGCCACTGCAGTCCGCAGTCCGGCCTGGGCGATAGAGCGAGACTCCGTCTCAAAAAAAAAAAAAAAAAAAGAAAGAAAATTTCCCAAAGTTTGGTTTTCAGATTTAAAGAGCCCACTGAGTTTTCAGCATAATAAATGGAAAAAAAAAATCCCACCAAGTTATATTACCAGCACATTTCAGAACAGCAGGAATAATGCTAAAAGTTTCCAGAGAGAAATGGGGCAAATAGGTGACAGATATATATATATATATATTTTTAATGGAAGAAAGAAGATCAATTCCTTTATAATTCTGAGGGAAAGTTATTCCCAGCCTAGAATTTAGCACTCAGTCAAATCTAAGAGTAGAATAATCTCAGATATACAAAGTCTCAAAAAATTTACCTAAGGAAGATACTAGAATACAGATTACAGCAAAACCAGTGAATTAGCCAAGAAGTAGGAAAATGACCCATTCCAGGAAAGCAGCCAGAATCCCCCAGGTGGTGAAAAGAAATCCTTGGGCTGGGGCTGTGCAGCTGGTCCCACAGGAGTAGGAGAGGCAGTGCCAGGGAGGAGATATTCACAAAGAAGAAGTGAAAGAAATTGATAGATGAGGAATGCGTTTGACCATGTGAGAAATATAGTTTATTTACAGAGTTGTTGAAGAGTTTGAGCAGCCACAGATATATGCCCGGCTAATTTTTGTATTTTTAGTAGAGACAGGGTTTCACCATGTTGGCCAGGCTGGTCTCGAACTCGTGACCTCAAGTGATCTACCCGCCTCAGCCTCCCAAACAAAAGCTAGGATTACAGGCATGAGCTACCGCATCTGGCCCCTCACGTTTTTAATTTGTGTTTCTCTAGTGACCCAAGATAGATACCTCTACACATGTATAAAAAAGACTGAGGTTTTGGTTGTTGTTTTGTTTTTTGGCCTAACTGAAGAGAATCTGCTCATCCTTAATCTTAAAGACCTGCTGGACCATAGAAGGGTCCCTTGGATTCCTATAGTTCAGCTGAGCCTAAACTAAAATTTTAAAATAACCCTGACAAAAGGAAGTGATCATAGCCGAACTACAGCACTGGATGTGGTATCGGGAGCTCATTTCTGTTCAGCCTGACGTGCAGTGCTGCTCCTGAGAGCTGACTGTGAGCGAGGAAAGAGGTTCTGGGAAAAGCAAGTGTGCATCCCCCCCATCTCTGAGAGATGGCAGCAAACACTTTAAGCCACCCTCCTCTTGAAAATAGTTTACATAGCAAGATTCAATATTGAAAATGCACCTTAAATAAGTCATCTATCAAGACCAAAAATGAAGAGAAACATGGATTCCTGGAAAGTCATTATCAGTTTTGCCCTAAGGGCATCTGCAAAACCTCAAGGTCTAACCACTGAGAGGGGCTTGGAGAGGGGACACAGGGTCCCAGAGTGAGAAGTCTGGGAGGAGGCATTGGCAGAGAGCTGGAAGACTGTCTTAGATCATTCTCGCTGCTAGAGCAACAAACCACAGCCTGGGCAAGGTATATGGAATAGAAATTTATTTCTCACAGTTCTGGAGGCTCAGAAGTCTAAAATGAGGGCACCAGCAGGTATGATGTCTGGTGAGGACCCAGTCTCTCCGTGTCCTCACACAGCCAAAAGGACAGAATGACAAAGGGGGTCACATGCTGAGGGAGGCCTCCTTGATAAAGGCCATCTTCCCACCCACAGTGAAGGGGCCCTCACGACCTAATCATCTCCCCAGGGACCCACCTCTCCATACTGTTGCGCTGGAGATTATATCATTTCAAGAGGAATTTGAGAGGGAACACAAACATTCAAACCTTAGCAGAACCTAAGTGTGAAACAGGACGTAAGCCTTGGGAATTGAAGGAGTCCGCAAAGGCACCTTCCTGTGTTGAACAGTGGCTGGAGGAGAAACTCAGCTGAGACTTCATGAGCGTAAGTCAGTCACTGTGTGGATTTGCACCCCAAAGCAGAAAAAACCCTCAATCATAATTTGATTTTTTTTTTTTTTAGACGGAGTTTCGTTCTTGTTGCCCAGGCTGGAGTGCAATGGCACGATCTCAGCTCACTACAACCTCTGCCTCCCAGGCTCAAGCGATCCTCCTGCCCTAGCCTCCTGAGTAGCTGGGATTACAGGCATGCACCACCAGGCCCAGCTACTTTTTGTATTTGTAGTAGACATGGGGTTTCACCATGTTGACCAGGCTGGTCTCAAACTCCTGACCTCAGGTGATCCTCCTGCCTCGGCCTCCCAAAGTGCTGGGATTACAGGCGTGAGCCACTGCGCCCAGTGGATAAATTTTAAATTTAAAAAGTGATGCCAGATGGGTAGAGCCCCTAGAAGACTAGAAGAAATGAATTCAAATGAAGGAAGTCATAAAGCTTCAAGAAATTCCAACAGATAAAGTTCAAGGAAATTGGTCAGCTTACTGTGAAAAAAATGTCAAAACTCACAAGGAAATAATATGACAGAGAACCAAGAGAAAAGGCAGAATCAGACCCAGACTTCGGATCAGACACAGAATGTGAAGTAAGTTTAAAGGGTTTAAAGAAATAAAAGAGAGACTTAGAAATATGAACAATTAAAAAGACACTATAAAAATTAACAGGCAGACTTGAAGGGGGAACAGATAGACGAACAACCCTTCTAAAAATGAATTATATAGTAATTGAAGTTAAAAACTCAATGGACAGCAGAAAAGCTGCCACAAAAAAATAACTGAGGAAATATAAGATATATCTGAAGAAATTATGCAGAATCCAACCAAACAATAAATCAAAAAGATTTAAAAATATATTTTGAAGAGGGAGAGTCATGGAAGGGAGATTGAGAAGATTTAACATAACTAGATTCCAAGAAGGAATAATAGGGAAATGAAGAAAAAGCAAAATTTGAAGAGATAAAGCCTGAGATATTCTACAATTATTTGAAGGTGCTAAGCCTCAGATCCAGGAGGCAGTTGGCCCTAAAAAGGGATAAATAAAAAGAAATCTGCAATAGACATGTTACCAGGGAAGTTGGAAGCAACAGAAAGAAAAGATCAACCATTTACAAAAGATCAGCAAATAACCGATGACAGGTATGTATTTTTCAGAAGACGAGCAAACCACCCAGTGACCTTTCACGTTGTTAGGGGTCTCTCCTAAGACCTTTTTCTGGGCATTGCAGCATCCTCAGTTCATTCTCAGGATAGGCCAGGAGTGCGTGACACTTACAGCCTCTGAAAGCAGCCCTCGGCCCATGATGAATGTTAAATATATGGCCCAACTTCCTTTCCCCAGGTGTGGATAACTCAGGAATGCTCTAGATAGCCTCTTGGAGCCTCACAGGGAGACTGAAGGCCACCCCTGATAGGAGCAAATGGCCTAATAGTGTCCCCATCCGCTGCCTCAGCCCCACTCACTGCTAGCGCTTCCTGCCATCACATCCCAAACTAGTAAGCACCCACATCATCACGGCCGGCTTCTGGGGGAATCCAAACAGGACAGGCTCTAGCACAGTGGCGTTCTGCACCCCTCATCCTCTCAGCAGGCCACTTTTCCTAAGGAAGCCCTCCTTCCACCTCAGTCTTTTTTTCTTTTTTTTTTTTTTTGACAGAGTATTGCTGTTGTTGCCCAGGCTTGAGTGCAGCGGCATGATCTCGGCTCACTGCAACCTCCGCCTTCCGGATTCAAGCAGTTCTCCTGTCTCAGCCTCCCGAGTCGTTGGGACTACAGGCATGTGACACCACACCCAGCTAATTTTTTGTATTTTTAGTAGAGACGGGGTTTCACCATGTTGGCCAGGCTGGTCTCGAACTCTTGACCTTTAAACTGGATCACTTTAATCACTTTAAAGTTGACTTTTAAAGTGGATCACTTGCCTAGGCCTCCCAAAGTGCCGGGATTACAGGCGTGAGCCACCTCACCCAGCCCCCCTCATTCTTTAGAGTCATGGCCTGGCCGTGACACCAGCCCCCAAAGGCATGGTGGCCAGGTCTGTACACATCCAGCCCATTCCCTGCATAGAGACCCCAGGAAAAGGTGTCCCCACTAGTGCCTTCTTCTGAGGAAAACAGTCATGCAGGGTGAGAGCTTAACTAAGGACATTAGGGATCCGCTCAGCCAGTAGGGCTCTGGGCAGTTGGGGCAGGCGTCTGCCTCTTCTTTCAGTGAGCTGCAGGGGCCCAGTGAGATGATGCGTATGGACATGCTCAGACTTTCCAGGAGTGTATGCTCCTTCACACATGAGCCAATGCTGGCTGCACATCCACTATGCACACAACACTGTTGAGAAGAAAGAAGAGCAGTCATTTGACCCAAAGCAGAAGCAGATGACAATGATCGTGACAATTATTACAGCAATTATGAGAGTAGAGAAAAGCAAATTGTAATTAAAATCATAGGTAAAAACTACATGGAATACGTCGGGAAGGGCTGGAAGGAAGTTAATGTATGTGAAGGCATTTGCGCTTTCAGGAAGGGGGAGGGTATATTATACCTCCTAGCCATCAGGAGATAGGAATTTTTCAGCTCCATTATAATCTTATGGGACTAAGTCTGTCATTGACCAAAATGCCATTATTATATAGCATATGATTCTGTGTGTGTGTGTGTGTGTGTGTGTGTGTGTGTGTGTGTGTACTGTACATGTGTTTTTAGGTTTTTTATATTAACCATGTTGGTTTATAAAAACTTAGAAAAAAATCACAAGGCCGCTATAATTCCACCACCTGAATACAATCTTTTAAATATTTTAGTATACATTTTCAAGTTGTTTTGTTAAATATATTTATTTTACAGAATTAAAACAAGATTATATGTATTCTTCTATGCTGCCATTTATTTAGAAACATTTCATGAATATCATTTCATTTCCCAGGTTAAAAAATATGGTGTCCAACGTATTTTCAATGGCTGCATAATTCCCCACTATATGGATGTAACCAAAACTTATTTAACCATTATCAGTTTGGGGGCCAGAAAGCTATATTCTGTTTTAGACTGCATTATAAGCAAGGCCATCATAAGCATCCTCAAGGTTTTGTGTCTAATGGTTTCCCAGCCTCTTAGCGACCTTATTTTTCTCCATAACTAACCAACCATCTTGCTTATAACCAACTTACCATACATTTATTTTACTTATTGTCCATCTCCCTCAATCAAAATCTAAGCCCCTTGAAAGCAGAGCTTTTTATCTGATTTATTCCCAATGCCAAGTACAGTGCCTCGGATGTCATAGTCACCAAATAAATACTTGTTGGATGTGGATGGATGCATGAATGGATGGATGGATAGACACAGGGATGACATCAGAGAAATACAGAATATGATAAAATCCTGGAAAAATGGGCCAACAGAGCCAAATGTTTTGATGGAGGGATTAGGGAGAGGCAGGAGTTTGTGTGAGTTCTCTTGGTGACAGGAAACAGTTTATACTTGTGGATGCCAAGTGTGGGTGGGGTTGGGAATCTATGCTCGTTGGCCAGGGGCTCTTTCAGGCCCCTCCCCCACCCTTGTTGGAGTAGACAACCCCCAGGTCCAACCAGTTTCAGAACCTATCATTTTGCTAACCCAAGCCTTTTTTTTAAGACAGAGTTTTGCTCTTGTTGACCAGGCTGGAGTGCAATGGCGCGATCAGCTTGCTGCAACCTCCACCTCCCAGGTTCAAGCAACTCTCCGGTCTCAGCCTCCTGAGTAGCTGGAATTACAGGTGCATGCCACCACACCCGGGTAATTTTTGTGTTTTTAGTAGAGACAGGGTTTCACCATATTGGTCAGGCTGGTCTCGAACTCCTGACCTCAGGTGATCCACCCGCCCTCAGCCTCCCAAAGTGCTGGGATTACAGGTGTGAGCCACCGCACCTGGCCCCCAAGCACTTTTATAGGTTAAATGAGATTGTGCCAAATAAACTGTATTTCATTATTTTTTTCCCAGTGTTTAAGGGCATGGTTGTTAATAAGAGTGATAAAAACAAGAAACATAGCTAAGCCAGAGAACCTCCACATAAAATTTTAAAATAAAAGGGTTAGGGCCCGGTGCAGTGGCTCACACCTGTAATCCCAGCACTTTGGGAGGCCGAGGCAGGCGGATCACGAGGTCAAGAGCTCGAGATCATCTTGGCTAACTCAGTGAAAACCCCATCTCTACTAAAAATACAAGTGGCGGGCACCTGTAATCCCAGCTACTCGGGAGGCTGAGGCAGGAGAATGGCGTGAAACAGGGAGGCGGAGCTGGCAGTGAGCCGAGACTGCACCACTGCACTCCAGCCTGGGTGACAGAGCGAGACTCCATCTTAAATAAATAAATAAATAAATAAATAAATAAATAAATGGGTTTGAATGCTTACAAAAGTAGACTGGGACAAAGCTACAGTAATCGAAACAGTGTGGTACAAAGACAGACATACAGACCGATAAAATAGGATAGAGAGCCCAGAAACAAATCCTCAGGTATTTAGTCAAATGATTTTCAACAAGGATGCCAAGACCATTCAATGGAGAAAGGACAGTCTTTTCAACAAATTATGCTGGGAAAACTGAATAGTCACATCAAAAAATGAAACTGGACTCTTACCTTCTGCCATATACAAAAATTAACTAAAAATTGATCGAAGAGCTAAAAGTATAAAACTTTTACAAGAAAACCTAGAAAATCTTTGTGACATTGGATTTTGCAATGATTTATTTGATATGACACCAAAAGTTCAAGAAATAATACACAAAATAAATAACCTGGACTTTATCAAAATTAATGAAAACCACTCATCAAGAGTGACAAGGCAATCCACAGAATGAGAAAAAATATTTGCAAATCATCTACTGGGTAGGGGATTAACATCCAGAATATATAAACAACTCCTAGAACTCAACAATAAAGACAAACAATCTAATTAAAAATGGAGAAAGGACTTGAATAGATACTTCTCCAAAGAATATATACAAATGGCCAATAAGCATATGAAAAGATGCTCAATATCACTAATCATTAGGAAAATACAAATCAAAACCACAATGATATACGACTTCACAGCCATCCTAATGGATGGCTACTATTTATAAACAAATAACAAACAAACAAAAACACACAGAAAACAACATGTTGGCGAGGATATGGAAAAATGCTCTACATTGCTGGTGGGATGTCAAATTGTACACAGTGGAGAACAGTATGATAGTTCCTCAGAAAATTAAACATAGAAACCATTATGACTCCAATATGGCACTTCTGTGGTTTATATTCCAAAGAACCAAAAGCAGGAACCTAAACAGGTATTTGTACATTGCTGCTTATAATAGCATTATTCACAATAGCCAAAGGTGGTGCAACCCAAACGGTCCATTGACAGATGAATGGATAAACAAAATGTGGTCTCTACACACAATGGAATAATATCCACTCTTAAAAAGGAAGGATATTCTGATACATGCTGCAACACGGATACACCCTCAAAACATTATGCTAAGTGAAATAAGCCAGCCACAAAAAGACAGATACTGTATGATTCCACTTCTATGAGGTACCTAGAGTGGTCAAAATCAGAGAAAAGTAGAATAGTGGTTCCCAGCAGCTACGGGGAGAGGAGAATGGAGTTTTAGTGCTTAATGGGTACAGAATTTCTGTTGGGGTCAGGAACGTGTTTTGGCAATAGACTGTGGTGATGGTTGCACAACAGTGTGAGTGTAAATGCCACTGAACTGTACACTTAAAAAGGGGTAAATGGTAAATTTCATATTATGTATATTTTACCACAATAAAGAAAAAGAAACCGGCCGGGCGTGGTGGCTCACGCCTGTAATCCCAGCACTTTGGGAGGCGAGGAGGGCAGATCACCTGAGATTGGGAGTTTGAGGCCAGCCTGACCAACATGGAGAAACCCTGTCTTTACTAAAAATACAAAATTAGCCAGGCGTGGTGCTGCATGCCTGTAATCCCAGCTACTCAGGAGGCTGAGGCAGGAGAATCACTTGAACCCGGGAGGTGGAGGTTGCAGTGAGCCAAGATCACACCATTGAACTCCAGCCTGGGCAAGAAGAGTGAAACTCCATCTCAAAAAATAAGATAAAAATTTTTTTAAGAAAAAGAAACCAACTGTTCACTGTTTGGAAATATGAAATAAAAAAGTTTTTAAATATTGAAAATTTTAAAAGAAAAAGAAACAGCTCAAAGCAGTAGGTCTGATGGTACCCCACAAATGCAGCTGACGTGACTGGCACAGTGGATGGCCGACTCATTTGTGCCCACAGTCAACTCTTTGGCCTGCCAAGAAAGCAAGGGGTGGTGTGGCCAGAAGGTCTGAGACCCTGGGGACAACCAAGTGACCAGAAAGCTAGTTCCAGGAAAGAAAAGGTTTACAGCCACTGCTCAAAAACACAGATGAGAAATCTAAGTCAGTGTTTTGTGTGTGTTTTTTTGTTTGTTTTTTTTTTTTTTTTGAGACAGAGTCTCGCTCTGTCACCCAGGCTGGAGTGCAGTGGCACAATCTCGGCTCACTGCAAGCTCCACCTCCTGGGTTCACGCCATTCTCCTGCCTCAGCCTCCTGAGTAGCTGGGACTACAGGCGCCCACCACCATGCCTGGCTAATTTTTTTTGTACTTTTAGTAGAGAGGGGGTTTTGCCATGTTAGCCAGGATGGTCTTGATCTCCTGACCTTGTGATCCGCCCGTCTGGACCTCCCAAAGTGCTGGGATTACAGGCGTGTAAGTCAGTGTATTGTAAAAATAAAATGTAAGTTCACATTAGAATAATATTTAAGAAAAATCATTCAGTGGTATCTGAACTGGGTAGCCTAGTGTAAAAGATTTTTCCAGGAGTCCCTGGGGAAGACCTGATCCCACATCTTGGGGAAATAAAAAATTTGAAATATATATTTTCATGTTACCCAAAAGTTAGGGGTGTTTGAAAACTGTCTGAAATGACAAAGTAGAAGGGTTGGAACAGTTTGCAGTGGCCGAACGATGACCATGTGAGCATCGAAAATGAGCAATTGTCACTCACTGGAAGAAGCTGAATCTGTAATTATCCTCACAATTACATGATTTTATAAGACACATTAAAAAATCCTTAAATGCAAAAGCGGGGAGAGCCTAATAAGGAAGGCTAATGCTTACTAATTTTAACAAGAGGAGGACTGTGGGGTCTGCGGGAGTCCTACCCCTGACTTGGGGTGTATGTGGCAACGAGGCAGAAACTGCCTTCTGTCCTACCTAAGAGAAAGACAGGGAACTCCCACAGCCAGGATCTGCCAAAAAAGGTCAAGACTACCAGCAACATGGGCGAGGGGGCCTCTGGGGTCACGTTGAGTTAGTCGCTGCATAGAAAGAGGGCTCAAATCTAAAAAATGCAAGAGGGTAGGTCACCCAAGGGTGGGGAAGGTCTTGGCTGGAGGATGAAGGGGCCTCTTGTCTCTGGGGCGAGGCGATGTCAAGGGGAATGACAAACCAAACCAGTCCAAAGCAAGGGGACTCTGTGTCCTGGGTTCTCAGACAAGGTGACCGGGAGGGAGCCCACCAAGCTCAGGGAAAGGCCTGGCCTCCGTCATCCACCTGAGCTCTGCCTTCCCTTCAGCCTTAGCCTCAGCGTGGACCCGGGACTCCTGCATCCTCCCGTCCTGCCCCGCCTGGGCACACCACGGCCGAGAGCCTCCTGTTGGCATCAGCCTCTCCCCAGCACCGACTGTGCGCTCCCGCTCCCCCCTCCTCCCCACAACCCCGCCCCACACTACTGGCACTGCTGCCTGAGCCTTCCTGGAGTTACTTAATCCACCCCAGCCCCAGGCACTGAACCACGCGTGCAGACCCCTCGTCCTCAGTTCTGCGGAGACAGAGTCCCCACAGCATTTCTGCTCCTCCCTCAAGACTGCGGCAGAGCACAGCACCAGTAGACCCCACACAGTGAGTACCTGTAGGGCAAGTGCCTCTTTCGTTCTCTTAATAATAGAGTCAGGTCCCTTCTCCAAGGGAAGACCCTGCCTTGCAGCCCCAGCCTGGCCTGCCCCTTCTTGCAGGCCCGCTCCGAACCCTGGGTAAGACTCGTGACGAGGCTCCGGGTGGCCGAGCCCTTCCGAGAGTGCTGCGGTCGGCAGGGCTGGGCTGGCTCTCTGGGCTGAGGGGGAGGGGCTCCCACACCTGTGCGCTCCCGGAAGAGGGGACAGCGGCGGGGGCGCCGTGCGCACGGGGGCGAGGGGAGACGACTGCACCTGAGGGAGGCGCAGCCGCAACCGGGTGGGAGGCAGAGACACCCAGAAACAGAGACGGGGCGATACGAACAGACAAAGCCGGCTCGAGCGCGGCCCGAGCGGCGGCGCAGGGAGGCGGCAGCCTGGCGGAGCAGCCCCCACCGCGGCCGGCGCGCCCCCTCGCCACCCCTGCGCGCCAGCGCCGGCCCGCCCCTCCCGCTGGCCTCTGGCGGCTTAACCCTCGCCTGCCCGACCCCGCGGGGCCCCTGGAGCCGCGGTGGGTGGGTGCGGGCGCCGGGCCTCCCCCTCCCGGCCGCGGCGCGCGGCGCCGGGAGCTGACCGTGGTGCTGAGCGCGGCTCGCGCTCCGACGCGGTGCCCGAGCCTGTCGCGGCCGCGCCCTGCTGCACTGCGGGCCCCCAGCGGTAAGTCGCCAAGGCCCCGAGAGGCTGCGTTGGTCCTGCCCCGCGGATGTGGACCCCCGGGGAGGGCAAGGATTGGGGAATTTGGTGCATTCTCTGGCGCGATGGACGGGCTGAGGGCAGGAAGCAGGGTCGACACCCTCCACCCAGCGGTTCCCGGCGCAGTCAGGGGCCTGGGAGCGGTGACCCTTTTAGGTCTGGGCTAGGGAAGCGGAGAAACCCTCCGCCGGCGGATGCAGGAGCTGAGGGAGAGCCAATATCGCTGTGAGGCCCATCTCCTTGCCCCTGGGCAGGCCAGGACCGCCCAGAGGCGCCCTCCAAGGAGGTGGGCCAGGACCTTCCCTCCCCAGAGGGCCCTTTGTCTCCCCAGTGTGGGGGTTGGGTGGCTTGGTGGTGCTCTCACCGCAGATTCTATTTCTGTTTTATTCCCCATTCCCACCCCCACCCCAGAGCACGGTCGCTTTCCCTCCGCACAGTGGCCCTCACTCCAGCCCTCCCATGACAAGGCAGCCTACTACTGAGAACGCTATTGCCCCATAGCTCTACCGCCAGCCCAGTTTCCAGAGGTCCCTGGGCCTGCGCTTTTTTATCACCATACACTCCTTTGTATCACACTGCTGTGACTTTCCTGCATACCGGGGAAGGCATAGAAAATACCAAAACTATTAGCCAAACGTTTTTTTGTCTCAAGGCGTTTCTGTGGCATGTGTATTCCTCCAGGGTTTTTATTTTGCTCCATGAAATCAAACACCGGGACACTTTCAGGTTAAGAAAGGAAAAAAAAAGCCACGGAATTACCTTCTCAAAGGAAAAAGAAAAAGCTGGGCAGCTAAGCCTGAGTTGGTCATGTAGAAAAGCAACCAGTAGAATAACTTCATTTGCCCAATTTGCAATAAATCCATGTCTGTGTGTGCCGTGTAAAACACTGTGATGGGAGGTGCACAGACAGAGGAGTCTCTGCCACCACCTTCTCTCCCCTAAACCCTGCTTGGGCTCCTAACTCGCCTCTGTGTCTCCGCTGTCCATTTTCACCTGCATCTTTGAAAGTGAGAATTGGCCCGTCACTTGCCCTGGAAGGTTGGCTCCCTGTGGCTTGCAGATAAAAGCACGGCCCTCGCTGAGACCTCAGGCCGGGTGTGGTGTGTACAGCCCATCTCCAGGCCTCATCCCTCTGGCTTGCTGCTCTGGTCACTTGAGCTGCTTTCAGATCCTTAAATATTCTACTTCTCTTGCTCCTCGGGGCCTTTCTGAAGGGTGTTCTCTCTGCCTGGAATATGTGTCCAATGTCTTTTGCCTGGCTGTCCTCTTCTGTCTTTTAAGTTTGGTTTAAATATCACATCCCTGTAACAGAATTAATTAAGTAAATACATTGTGTGGTCCCTGTTCCCATGGAACTTGCAAGTTCGTCTTAGAGATGAAAGACTCAGCCCAGGGTCCTGGTGTCAATGCTGTCTTAAAAAATGATGCACATAGGCCGGGAGCGGTGGCTTACGCCTGTAATCCTGGTACTTTGGGAGGCCTAGGTGGGAGGATCACAAGGTCAAGAGATCAAGACCATCCTGGCTAACACGGTGAAACCCCGTCTCTACTAAAAGTACAAAAAAAATTAGCCGGGCATGGTGGCGGGTGCCTGTAGTCCCAGCTACTCAGGAGGCTGAGGCAGGAGAATGGTGTGAACCCGCGAGGTGGAGCTTGCAGTGAGCCAAGATCACGCCACTGCACTCCAGCCTGGGCGACAGAGCGAGATTCCATCAAAAAAACAAAACAAAACAAAAAACCCACCATCCTGGCCAACATGATGAAACCCCATCTCTACTAAAATTAAGAAAAAAAAAATTAACTGGGCGTGGTGGTGCGTGCCTGTAGTCCCAGCTATTCAGGAGGCTGAAGCAGGGGAATCGCTTGAACCCAGGAGACGGAGGTTGCAGTGAGCCTTGATCACACCACTGCACTCAAGCCTGGGCAACAGAGGGAGAAAAGAAAGAAGGAAAGAAGGAAAGAGAGAGAGAGAGAAAGGAAAGGAAGGAAGGAAGGAAGGAGAAAGAAAGAAGGAGGGAGGGAAGGAAGGAAAGAAGGAAGGAAGGAAGGAGAGAAGAAAATGATCCACATAAACTGTATCACAGAATTAAAATCTCAGACTCTGCATCCTGTTTAGGGAACTTAGGTGTAAACATTTGACTAAGATATCTCAAATATAAAATAGTTCATTTAACTAAGTAATAGCTCACCGCCTACTATAGTTGGAGTCCTGGACCTTAAAGAATTTTCAATCTCGTTGGGGAGTGCAATCAAGCACCAGAATGAATAGTTGGTGGTTGCTGAGCCCTGCAGACAAGAAGGCACCCGAAGGGTAGGGACGGGTCTGAACCCTCCTTGGGGGAGGGATGTGGCACTTGTGGGAGTGGACCTGTCATGTTTCTTGCTGGGGTTCCACTGACGGGTCTATAGCCACAGGGTTACAAAACAGTGTGCATTTTTGCAACTGAGAACCTGGACACATTTGGCCTCTGCCCTCAGGCAGTGACAAGGCCAGCATCTGGCTGTCCACATAAATCCCATTCTGCCCCAGAGAATTGTCACAGAAGTTGACTTCTCAGTCTGCCTCCAGCCAGGCAGTGGGCCCTCCAACCACCCAGGGAGTTCCCACCCCCATCATAGGTCACACATTTCCAAAGAGACAGGTTCCGATAAAACATTTTAATATGGATTTGGACTGGACCGAACACAGACTAGAGTTCATGGGATGCTCCAGTATTGCTAAGCCTCTGGTTCCTCATTCTGTATCCTACACTTATTGTCCTGTCTCTATGCAAAGTGCTCAATAAACTCAGGAGATGGGCTTGGCATTGTTAGTGTCACTGAGTCCAGCCATCTATAGCAATGACAGTTATTTTAAAGGATCATTTTTCAAGTTCAGAGTGGAGTGAAATTTCCAACTGTTCATGATTTTAAATCAGTTGACTGTTATGAGAACTGAGAAACTGGTAGTTTTATTTATAGACATCTATATCAAATAAAACATTTTTGTTCTTGCAGTTGCAAAATTCTGCACAAGGTGAAATAATCCTTGCTGTGCCTGGCTGAAGTTATATCCAACAGAATGTCAATCAAAAGATTTTTCCAAAACATAGAAAAGAATAAGGGAAATAGAGATCTCATAATGAATATTTCCAAAATTTCCTGCCATAGGAATTATTATTACCTTCAATTATAATTTTTCTAAATCTGTGTGAGCTACCCTTCTTGCTTTTAATCTTCACTTTCATTGTGTTTTACAATATTTTTCATGAAAACACATTTATTATTCTACTTTTAGATTTCCCACAAAAGAGTCTGAGCTGTCGGTTTATAGACTGTCAGGTTCAGAATCAGATAGACCTGGGTTCAGATCCCAACTCTGTCACTTAACACCTGTGTGACTTGGGTCAGTTCATTGACTTTTCTGAATCTGAATTTATCCTTTGTAAAATGGGGGTTACAGTAGTTTGCCCCTCATACAGTTATGGGCCAAGCTGTCTGCCTGGTTAGGTGGGTGTAACCAAGACTCCAGCCAGGGTCATCTGAGCCACAGCTTGGAGAGTAAGCCCTGTGCTGTGTGCAGCAAAGCCCAGCAGAGCTTCGGAGGCCTTATCACGGCTGCAAAGGATTGTGCAGAGTAGAAAGTCTGCAGGTGCAGGGTGGGAAAGACTTAGGCATACACCATCTGGCATGAGGCAGAAAAGCCAGTGTGGCTGCTCAGGGCAGTCTCCCTCTGTCCAGGGTGCCACTAGCAACAGCTGAGCTGCAGCTGGAGCCCAGCCCAGGTTCTGTGGCTCTCCTGGCATGGTGCCTACTTCTTCTCATCCTCCAACCAAAAGTCTGAGGTGCTTCCGAGGAAGCACTTCCCTTGGGTGGGAGCGGGTGGAGCCTGGTCAGCTTGCCCCTGCCAGCCCCTGCAGTGTCAGCTCTTCCACCCCTTCCCATTTTCTTGGCCTCAACGTGCCCACTGGGCTATGAGGCAGTCCCTCGCCCCCCTGGGTCCTCATGAAGAAGCATTTCAGGGTCTCTGGCAGGTAGCTGCAAAGCTTACTTGGGGTGGGGTGTGAAAGGCACACCGGCTGATGGAGCCCCAGGTCATGTTCATGCCTGCTGCAGGCTTCCTCACAGCCAGGAGCTGGGGGATGAGTGCAGGGTTGCCTCCGTGTAGTCCTTATGGAGAGGCGAAGGAGCCAGCCGCAGTCTCTTCCTGGCCAGACTGACAGAGTACTGACTGTCAGGCCACTCACTACCAAGAAAGGTGGAGACCCTGGCAGACAGAGGTATTTTGGGTGATAGGAGCAGGCTGAGTCCAGGGCCTGAGGACATGGTGAGGGGAACAGAGGGGAGGGACTCAGTCTGCCCTCTCTTCCTGGGTACTGAAGGTCTCCACAACACACCCCAAGGCAGCATGTTTAAAAACTAAACCCTAGCTCTTCTTTCACCTTGGCTCAGCTCCCTCCTCCTTCGCTCATTTCCCTCCTCGAGCTGTCCCACGCTGTTGGTGTAGATCCAAGCCTTGGCCTTCAGAACTCCCTGCCTGCTTCTCTATCCCTGCTGTCGGTGAGCCCTGGCATTCTTCCCTTTGGAAGACCCTACATTACCCCTGCAGCCGCCATCTGCCTTGCTCCCCATCCTCAGTCCATTGGGACTGCCTCTGGCAAGTCCTCTCTGCTCACAATTCATTTTTTCTGTCCTCCACTCGGAGGTCAGGTGCGTGGCCCTAGACCGCCAACTTCATTAAAGTCCCTGCTCCTACCCACCCACAGGAAGATGGCTGTAGCTCCCCACTGATCTCAGTGTAGGGCCGGATGCCCTAACTGGGCCGGGACAGTCAATTGGCTAGCACTGCTGCCATCTGTCCACCTCCATGCCCAGGGCAGATCCCAGGACCCTTTCCCATTGAACTCAGACCAGGCATCAGAAACCTTCTCTGCATGGCACTGCAGGCATCAGTATGCCTCGGTGATGTGTGCACAAAAGGTGGTGGCTGCCTACCCTTGCAGCTCTGCCTGCCCACCCTGTGTCCCATGCTCACCTCCCACCACGATGCTCTGGTTCCTCTGTGTCCATGCTCTTGCACCATGAAGTTCTGGGCTGTGTCTTGCCTGATGGCATCTGTAGATAGAGTCTTGCCTCCCTGCACAGGCACACAGTCCTGGAGTCTGCAATATGCACACCCCCATAGCCCCAGCTGAGGGCCAGCTGCCTTCAGCCCAGGAAGCAGGCAGGTGTGGGTGTCCCTTTAGCTGCCTGATGAAGGAGGCCACTGCCCTAATTGGATCCTCCGCCCATCCACTCAGAAGGGCCATGACACCCACTCCTAAGGACCTGCTACGGATACACTAAGGAGCTGTTTGTAGAACGCTGGGCACTCTACACAGAACACGGAGTCTGAATGGGCCAAATGAGCTAAAAGGGGGATTGGGAGAGTCAAGCACTCATGGGTGCAGCAGTCACCAGGCCCCAGGCAGCTCTCATTTTGGCTCCTACTGTGTGCTGTTAGGGCTGCTCCCATCTTTCTCCCCCACCTGCAAGGAGGATCTCCTGGGACAGAGGCCCCTGCAGAGAGTGAGCTGTGTGAGAGGGGTAGGCAGGGTCTTCCAGAGCCCAGGGCCCTCCCGTCTATGATACTGAGTGCCTCCTGCTTTCCTCCACAGCAGCTGGGGCACTGGCAGCATGGAGCTGAAGAGAGGAAAGACCTTCATCAAGTCCAGCCTGCAGGTTTCCCACGAGAAACCCCCAGACCCAGCAGCCGTGGCTGCAGCCAGGGAGGGGACAGGCCCCTGGTCAGTCCTTCCAGGAGGGCAACAGAGGCCCCACAGTGAGAAGGGCCCCCAAGCCAGCCCCAGTGCCCAAGAATACGACAGATGCCCCAACAAAGGGGCGCAGCTGGACCCCAAAGGGGGACCCGCAGCCCTCTGTGGAGCCACCTTCAAACCGGTGCGAAAGTGCAAGACTCACGACAGCATGTCTGGGGCAGGCAGGGCCACGGCTGCCACAGGGCAGCTGGTGGGCAGTGCAAGCTTCCCGGGCTCCCCGGGCAGCCGGCGCATGATCGACTACCGCCACTTTGTGCCCCAGATGCCCTTTGTGCCAGCTGTGGCCAAGAGCATCCCGAGGAAGAGGATTTCCCTGAAGAGGCCCAAGAAGTGCTTTCGGAACCTATTCCACATTCGGAGAAACAAGACTGAGGACTTGGCCTCGCTGGCGGCCGAGGGGAAAAGCCTGCCCTCCCCAGGGGACCCGTCAGACCCTGGGGGGCGGCGAAGCAAAGCCTTCCTCCCCCCGGGTGAGGGGCCGGGGCTGGACGGCCTGTGCCAGGACCTGTTGGACAGCGAGCTCCTGGCCGATGCATCCTTTGGTCTCTGCAGGGCCCTGTGTGAGGACGTGGCCTCACTCCAGAGCTTCGACTCGCTCACGGGTTGTGGGGAGGTGTTCGCAGATGAGAGCTCGGTGCCATCTCTGGAGCTGAACGAGGGCCCGGAGAGCCCAACCCAGGCTGCTCAGGGCCTGGAGAGCAAGGTTCCCAGGGGCCCTCTCCAGGGCAGTGTGGAGCAGCTGGCCTCGCCCGCCCAGAATGAAGCCTCTGACTTCACCAGGTTCTGGGACAGTGTGAATCGCTCAGTGCGTCAGCAGCAGCGTGCCCTCCTAGGCCCGTGGCTTTCAGGCCCCCAGGGGACAGACAGGGACCAATCCCGGCTGGACACAGCTGGGCTCGCTGAGCTGCCCCTCTGCCCCTGCAGGGACCCTCGCAGCGGCTCCAAAGCCAGCTCCATCGACACAGGCACCCCCAAGAGCGAGCAGCCCGAATCCGTGTCCACAAGTGACGAGGGCTACTATGATTCCTTCTCGCCAGGACTTGAGGAGGACAAGAAGGAAGCTGAGAGCCCAGGCACTCCTGCCGCCACCTTCCCACGGGACAGCTACAGTGGGGACGCCCTCTACGAGCTCTTCCACGACCCCAGCGAGGGTCCTCTTGGCCCCAGCCCAGATGATGACCTGTGCGTGTCTGAGAGTCTGTCAGGGCCGGCCCTGGGGACGCCACTGTCCATATGCAGCTTCCGAGTGGGGGCCGAGGAGAACTTGGCCCCAGCACCAGGCCCTGACCTGCTCAGCCAGGGCTTCCTACAGAGCTCCTGGAAGGGCAAGGAGTGCCTGCTGAAGCTGTGTGACACTGAGCTCGCCATCACCATGGGCATCGTCAGCTGGCTGCGCCGAGGCCCCACGCCCCGTGCCCCACCCACCCCTGGGCAGCCTGCAGCTCCACCTGGTTCCCAGGGAGCCCCTAGGGCACCCACAGAGAAGCTGGGGGGCAGGGAGGGCCTGGCCTCAGATGCAGGGGGGGCGACAGTTTGCTCAGCACCCAGCAGGCAGGAGCTGTGGGCACACCCGGGCACCACAGGCCTGCTCGCCGGAGAGAGCAAGGCCCTCGGAGGGGCCACACAAGGGACTGGCACACTGTCCAGGGATGCCTCTCGAGAGGAAGAGACACGAGGTCACTCTGAAGGCTTGTTCTCCTCTATGGAGTCTGCAGCCACTTCGACAACAGATACTTCCGGTAAAAATAAGGCCCCAGTTCCTTCTACCTGGCCCTGCTCCCAGAAGGAGCCTGGGCCACCAGGGGTCCTGGGGTGTTTCCGAGGCCCCTGGAGGCCAGGTCACGGAGGTGACACTCTGGATGCAGAGCCCATGCTGGCAGGCTGTGTGGCCCGTGTGGCAGCCCTGAAGATCAGCTCAAACGAACAGCCCCCGGCCGCATGGCCTCCAAGGCAAGACATGGGCAGTGGGCTCTTTGGGCAGCGCTGGGCCAGGGGCCCTGACATGCTGGAGCAGAAACAGTCCAGCAGCTCCCCCAGCATGACCACCATCCATGGCCTACCCTACTCAGCCAGCACACAGGACCAGAGGTGTCGAGATCGTGTCCAGGACCTGAGCTGGCTCAGGGTGGAGCCCACCGGGCTAGGTGTCCAGGCCTGGGCCTCTGTGGAGGACCAGCCCTTGCAGCTCAGCACAGAGGCTGTGGAGCAGGTGGCACACGGCAGCCAGCTGGACTCTGAGCCCCGCTCAGCCCCTGCTGCCCGGTGGAGTTCCCAGGGCCACCATCCAGAAAGCCTGGGCCTCACTTTGAACAGCCAGCAGGAAGGGGGGGTCTCTGCAAGTGCCCCAGAATGCCGCTGCAGCCTCCTGGCCCGTGAGGGCCTCCTCTGTGGCCAGCCAGAAGTGGGGGCCTCTGGGCCAGCCATGGCTGAGCCCCATCTGTAGGACAGGCTCACATGCACCAGGAACTGCATGTGTCTTCATGACCACTTTCAGGAGAGCCTAGGACTCAAATCTCTATCTTTTGTCCCTGATGTGGGGACTGTGTTGGGGGTGGGGGGTGGCAGGACTCAGGCATGCAGAGGGTAGCATGTTCATGTGGAGGCATCCTTGCCTGAACCCACCAGCTCAGGCAGCCCACCGCCAAAGACAGCGCGAAGCTGCAACCACCTAGCTGCTCCTCATGCAGGGGCTGGAGAGAGGGGCTAGGGCTTGAAACTGAGGGGGAGAAAGAGCTGCACATTGTAAATGGGAAGCAGAGAGCCAATGAGTCTGCCTGGGATGTGTGTGAATCCCAAAAGACGCAATCCCAAATGCCATAGTCCCAAGTGTTGAGAATCCAAAATATTAAAATTACTATACTCTAAAATCCGAAAATCACAATCCCAAAAGATCTAAATCCTGGAAATATAATTCTGGGAAAATTTTTTTTTAATTTTTTAAAAGATACTTACATTTTAAAAGGATTTATTTGAGAAACATAAAAACACAACAGAACACATCAGCCACTTCACACAATAAAATAGGCAATAATACATATTTTTGGAAGCATAAACAGGTATACAGACAGTTACACCGGTGTGAGTTATTAGCAGACAAACTATATTCATGAAGAAATAGGTCAAAATGGGAAATGTATACATGCATGTCACTATGCTTGGTAATTGTGTGCACCTCGCTTTATACTTGCAGTCATATCATGACCAACAACCTAAGTCTTTTGACGAAGTCAATCTATGATGCGTCACCACCACACACACAGTTGCCCAAAGAGCGGAGATGGCAAGAACTTTCATCTCTCACAATTGCAGATGTACAAAAATTACATCTCTTCATTTATTGAGGAAGTTTTGACGTTTTTATACACACGCACAATGCTTACACACACAGTCAACCTGGGATGCCGGCAGGGTGGCTCAGGACGAAAGCCTCAGGACCCAGGAGGGCCATGGGTGTAAGTTCCAGAGTCCAAAGGCCAGCGAGCCTGAAGCTCTGATGTCAAGGCAGTGGAAGAAAAGCCTGTCCCAGCTCTGAGAGAGAGACCAGTTTGCCTTCTTTATTTGTTCTCCCTGGGCCTCAGCAGATTGAATGCTGCCCACCAACATTGAGGGTGGATCTTCCACACCTAGGCCCCTCAGATTCACACACTAATCTCTGGAAACACCTCACAGACATGCCCAGAATAATGATCTCCCAGGTCTCTAGGTATCCCTTAACCCAGTCGAGTTCACACCCAAAATGAAGTCCACAGGTCCACCCCTTGTCAACTTGGCATCCATCCGCATCCCCTTAAACCATTTTCAGTCTCCAAATAAAGCCCCAAGCAAGGCAGTAGCTCCACCTAACATGATGCAACTATCCCGGGATTGTGATTTTTAAGACTTTAGATGTTAGGGATTTGAAACTTTAGAGATTTGCGTCTTTCAGTATTTCAATGTTGGGGACCAGTGTTTGGGATTATGTCTTTTAGAATAATGATCCAAACTTGTGTGAGGACTGTGAGGCTCAGGGTGGGAGACGGGTGGGGGAGCCGACCTTAGGAGGGCCCACTGAACCGGCCTCAATCTGGCCCCAGTCTGGCCTACTCGCTGCCCCAGGACAGGTGGCTACAACATGCTGAGGGCCTGAAGGGCGTCCCCTCAGGAACATTGTATTACTGTTTTGTGTTGCTATAAAGGATAACTGTGACCAGATCATTTATAAAGTAAAGAAGTTTATTTGGCTTGTAATTCTGCAGGTGTAGAGGCATGGCACCAGCATCTGCTGCTGCTTTTTTTTTTTTTTTTTTTTTTTTTGAGACAGGGTCTCACTTTGTTGCCCAGGTGGGAATGGGAGTGCAGTGGCACAGTCTTGGCTCACTGCAGCCTCTACCTCCTGGGCTCAAGCAGTCCTCCCACCTCAGCCTCCCAAGTAGCTGGGACTACAGGCGTGCGCCACCTTGCCTGGCTAATTTTTCTATTTTTTTGTAGAGACGGGTTTTCGCCATGTTGCCTCAGCTAAAATGTCTCAAAATCTCCTCAACTAAAATGTCTCAAAATCTCAGCCTCCCACAGTGCTGGATGACAGGAGTGAGCCAGCCAGCATCATGCATCCCTGTGCGCCCTGCCAGGGCTGGCGGGACCCTCCCACCCTTGTTGATGGGCAGTGCTAGATTATTTGTCACGAATCATCCCCTACAAACAATGATTTCCCTCCGCTTGCACTCTCTAACTAGAGCCATGGATGGCCAAATGCTTTTTGGGAAGAAGCCAATGGATTCTCCTCGGCTCTGCCTGCAAGTAACAAAGGCTTTTGACTCCACTCCCTCCACGCTGTCAGATCGCCATTCCCCTTCAGGAAAACTTCGAATGGGGCTGTGGACCTCACTCCCCAAAATGTCACAACACATGTGCAGCACCCCGACATTCAGAACCATGAAGGGAGAAGGTGGCTGGTGTCTGTAGGAGGGACAGGTGTCCGTCCTGGGCCAGTGTCAGGCCAGCAGGTGCAGGGACAGATGGGCCATCCACATTCTCCAAGATTAGCTTCTACCTCAACCAGCACACCTCAGCAAGATGCCAGGATTGGGCTCCACAGGCAGCCATGAAATGGGTTTCTGGAGGAAAGATCAGCACAGGAAAAGGGGTCAGTCAGGTCGCAGGCAAAGTGCTAGGGAAATCCCATCTCATGCAGAGCTCCCACCAAGAGGAGCGTGAGTTGTGCTGTCCTGGCTCGAGAAGAAGGCAGCACAGGATCTGTAGCTGAGGGTGGCCCTCCCACCAGGGGACGCTGGTCAGTGCCTCTCCTGACTGCCTGACGCTTGGTCTCCGGTGGCCCTCTCTCACCAGGGCTCCCTGAGGCCTGCTGCAAGCAGGACACAGGCTGCACATCACAGGTTCCAAAGTGTGCAGCAAGGCTTCTGACCAGGCCCGTCCAGATCTGGAGCCCCTGTGGAGCCACATCTGAGCCCTCCTCCCAAGACTCACACACAGGACCACAGCAGCATCACTGAGCCGAGCTGGGGGCAAGTTTCACCAGATTCGCTTACCTGATCCTTGCATCAACCTCAATGCAGTTGTCAGCCCCATTTTTCAGACCTGGACACGGAGGCACAGGGTGCTGGTGTGACTTGCCCACAGTTATTAGTGTGTGAGGTGATGGGTTTTGTCCCGTCCCAGCTCCAAAGGCCCTGCTCTTCCTCAAGCTCCAGAACCTCTCACTGAGCTCCTGCAGTGAAGTCCCCCCTCAGAGCCCTCAGCCCTTCCTGCTTTCAGGCTCCAGATGTCAGAGCACCCTTGGGTGCCAGCCACAAGTGGCCCTCCAGCAGGCTGAGCACCCAGGGGGAGGCTGCCCTGACTCAACCCCAGCCTGGGGCTTTGTGCTGCACCTGAGGGAGTAGCCGCTCTGTAAATCCTTGTTGAAAGAATGAAGTGTCAAAAGGTTGTGCGTGCTTTTCTGATTTCTTGTTGACCATAAGCCTTGTGTCTGGAGGGCGACTCTGGCCTGAGTGCCAGCCGCCTCCCCGCTGGCAGAGACAGAACACTCCCTTGTGCCATGCTGTGATGCGGTGACTCGTGGTGATGGAGAGCCCAGCCAGGCCCAACGGCGCTGGGAAGGGCAGGAATCCAGGCGGTCAGGGAGTGGTCAGGAGGGCCTAGGGTCCAGAGAGGAGCAAAGGGTGCCCAGGACCCGGGCCATGTGGAGGCGTGGTCTACAGTGACCCGGCTGCAGGGCCATGCCTCCTGGGAGGACCCACTGGCCTCGGCTCTCCACTTGGGGGCACTATAGACAACCTCAGAACCCCAGATTCGAATTCAGCATCTGGGCCTGGGGTCCCAGGAGTGGCCTGCTAGGCACCCTGCTGGGGGATGGAGGGGGCAGCGTGAGCTCCCTCAGGGTGATCTCTCTCTGTCTGCACCCCACCCTCAGCCTGTTTTTCCCTGCAGGCCTCAGGGTGACCCACTGTGGATAAAGAAGGGAACTTCAAGCCCAGCTCCCGGGACACGTGCCTAGCCCAGTGCCGGGAGCAGAAGAGGCTGGCTGGGCATGTTCAGACCTCCCTGGTCATTTCCAGCCCTCTCATCCACACATGGATGGCTGTAGAGGTGACAGCAGATTTCCCCACGTGAAATAAAATCCTGAGAAGTCAGTCCAGTTGCCCTAAGCTCACAGCTGTCCCACAGAGCTTGAGTGGCTCGCCCAGGCTCCCAGAGTCCCACAGGTTGTGGAAAAGGGGTTTGCCCAGGGGCCGTGCACTGGGGCTTCCAACCTGCCACTGCCACGTTGTGCTGGGAAGCTGGGAACATTGGGTAGGGCCAGGAGGGAGAGAGGGAAGAGGACAGGGAGGACGGGCAGGAAGCGCTGAAGAAGAGAAGGGGCGAAGGCCAGCACAGGCAGGGAGAGACTGCAGACCACATCCCAGGATGCTTCATGTCTTTCTTGGTTTCCTATTTTATTTTATTTTCTGGAATGGGAATAAATACACAGGATACAAAACTCAGAAGGCACAGCAGGGAAACAGTGAAAGTCGAATCTCCATCCTTCCTTCCTCAGCCCTCTGTTGTTACAAAATTAATCCACTCTGACAGAAGACAAAGTTGCAACAAATTTCATTACAGATCTAATTGGCTTTTATTTGTGATTGGTGAATGCGGCAGCCTCCATTCTACAAAACAGAATGAGAGCTGCTCCAGGCAATGACGGAACACTGAGTTTTGTAAGGTGGGGGCAAAAAAACAGTAACAGGAAAGAAGCTGATCAGTTAACAACAGGCTACTTCAGGTGACTTCATTGTAAGGGCTGAAGCAGAGGGGCTTGCTTATCACACGGACTCCAGGACACTGGAATCTCTCATTTCCAGGAAAAACTGGTCTGTTTTGGAATCTATCTGCTTAAAGTTTCAGTTTGGTGATGTGGCATTTAGCACAAGTGACTGCATTGGGGTTTGGTCTGGTCTGTTGGGATCTGGGGCAGGAGCTCAGTCCAGAGCCAGGGCCACCTGGGATTGTGTTTTCACAACAGTGACTACACCCAATCCAAACAGCCCCAGTGCACAGGCCCCTTCCCTCCTTTTCTCCAGCCCTGGTGGGAGACGTCAGACTCTTTGCATTCCCGTGACATACATACTGTTAACGGAGAAATCATATTCTGTGGAATATCTTCAAGAGGCTTACCCTGAGCCAATATGAGTGACTGCGGGCCCAGGAAAACACAAACCCAAGAAGTCCGGAGTCAGTGGGCCTGAAGCAGTCGGATTACAGTTTGGTTTTATGCATTTTAGGGAGGCAGTGATTACAGGCAAAGACATAAATCATACTTGCCTGAAAAATCTACCTAAAATAATAAAACATGAAAAAAAGGGGGGGGGGAGATATAAATCAATCAGGGAAGTATACATTGGTCCAGCCCAAAAAGGTGGGATGTCTTGAAGTGGGAGGGAGGGCTTACAGGTTATAGGTGGCTTTAGAGATTCTTTAATTTGCAATTGGTGAAAGGAGGCAGGCTCTGTGTAAAACTTTGAGACAGCAGAAAGGAAAGTTTTCAGTTCAAGTAAGAATGCTATCTATGTAGCAAGATTGCTGGCCTGCAGGCTGACTTAACCCTGGCCTTGCATGGCCTTAGGTCTTGCTTATAATTTGGCATCTTATTGCCCCAAAGAGTCTGTTTTGGCTGGTGCAGTGGTTCACACCTGTAATTCTAGCATTTTGTGAGGCCAAGGCAGGAAGATTGCTTGAGTCCAGGAGTTTGAGACCAGCCTGGACAATATGGCAAAACCCCATCTCTACAAAAAATACAAAAATTAGCTGGGCATAGTGGCTCTCACCTGTGGTCCCAGCTACTTGGGAGGCTGAGGTGGGAGGATCACTTGAGCCCAGGAAGTTGAGGCTGCAATGAGCCATGATCATGCCACTGCACTCCAGCCTAGGGGACAGAGTGAGACCCTGTCTCAAAAAAAAAAAAAAAGTCTCTTCTGTCAGTTTTATGGTTTCTGTTTCAACATTAATGCTGGTCAGTTGTACCGAAACTCCAAAAGGGAGGGGGTATAAAGAGGTGTGTCTGCCCTCCCTTCTTATCATGGCTGATAATTTAGATTTTATGGGTTTTCTGGGGTCCCCTTGGCCAAGCAGATTCCGTTCAGTCAGTGGGGGGCTTAGGATTTTATTTTTAGTTTACAACACGTGAACTTTAATGAATTTTTACTGCCCAGGACATCCTCCCTAGCTTAGCAGGCACCGCAGTGGGCAGCTCCCCCATCCTTCTGCACAGCTGCTCTCCTGGAGGGAGCGGTTAATTTAAACATTCCCCTGTTGATGGACATTCAAGTTACTTCCCATTTGCTGTTAAAATAATGCTGCACTCACTCCTTCATTCCTGGAGTGTTTACCACTAAAGTCCTCTTCGAGATTGTAAAAATGAAACTGACTTGTCGAAGAAAAGATGCATTTTTTTTTTTTTTTAATGAAGAGCGCCTCTTGCCTCCGCCTCCCACCCACTGACCACTGTTTTGGGGCCCTGGCGTAGATGCCTGGACCGCAGGCCTATACGAACATCACACACCCTGCCTTTGGGAGCGGAGATGTTTTTTATTATTACATGTAAAGGCTTTGGAAGTGGCCATTCTCATCCTTCAACAAGAAAAAGCTGGACACACCAGCTTTTTTTCTTGACCCCTCTGAAAAATGAAGTCCCAGGGCAAACAACCTTCCAGAAACCTGGAGAGACAGACCATCCAGAGAAATTCAACAACCAAGGCCTGTGGTTGGGAGCAAAAGTCTCCAGATACCCAAAGCTGGTAGAAACACTGAAATTACAATGTTGACACATTGTTGCAGGCTGAAGAAGCTGGGGGATGGGCAGTAAAAGGCAGTAAGAAGCTGGGGGATGGGCAGTGTCAGAGGCTTTTCCTCCAGGAACCACTCCACATTTTCAGTGAGGATCAAACAAAGACCCTTCCTTCCACCCCTACCCCTGCAAGGGGAGGTGGGGGAACAGGGTCCTCTTTTTTTTTTTTTTTTTTTTGAGATGGAGTCTCGCTTTGTCGCCCAGGCTGGAGTGCAATGGCGTGATCTCGGCTCACTGCAAGCTCCACCTCCCGGGTTCACGCCATTCTACTGCCTCAGCCTCCCGAGTAGCTGGGACTACAGGCGCCCGCCACCACACCCAGCTAATTTTTGTATTTTTAGTAGAGATGGGCTTTCACCTTGTTAGCCAGGATGGTCTCGATCTCCTGACCTCGTGATCCACCTGCCTCGGCCTCCCAGAGTGCTGGGATTACAGGCGTGAGCCACTGCGCCCGGCCGAAGAGGATACTCCAAACTTCTCCTTAACAAAGTCTTCCCTGAGGGCTATTCTGAAACCTTTTCAAGCTAAAGGGTTTCTACCCCACTCCAGTCCTCTCCATCCTTCAGGTCTCAACTAAGGGAAAATAAAGCGATAGTCAACAAGGGAGAGGACTTCAAGAAAGCAAGCAGGAAACACTGGCCAGGGAAGGGACCAGGGCTATGAAGGATTAGCCCCACCCTGAGGCCGAGGCACAGAAACTAAAAGAATGAGGCCTGATTGGAGGTTAGAAGACAAGGGAGGCTGGGCGTAGTGGCTCACACCTGTAATCCCAGCACTTTGGGAGGCCGAGGCGGGCGGATCACGAGGTCAGGAGATCGAGACTATCCTGGCTAACACGGTGAAACCCCGTCTCTACTAAAAATACAAAAAGCCGGGCATTGTGGCGGGCACCTGTAGTCCCAGCTACTCAGGAGGCTGAGGCAGGAGAATGGCGTGAACCCAGGAGGCGGAGTTTGCAGTGAGCCGAGATGGCTCCACTGCACTCCAGCCTGGGCGATACAGCAAGACTCCATCTCAAAAAAAAAAAAAAGAAGACAAGGGAACACCCCTCTCCCCACTTGCCAGCACATGGTGCCACCACACTAACAAGGCGCCAGTAATAACAGTGGGTCACAGCTAACAGAGCTAAGAGACAAACTCTCTCTCTGAGGACCAGAATGAAAGGAAGCCACAGAGACAAGAAAGAAGAAAAAGTAAGCCCATTAGAATGATTTGAAGCAGCTGGTGGCCTAAAGCTATGACAAATATTACAACTCCTAGCCAGATTAATAAACCCTAACATTGAAAGCCTATTGACCTCAGTGCCTATGGCCCAATATGTACAACATGTCTGGCTTTAGACAAAAAAATTACAAAGCCTGTTAAAAGCAAGAAAAACCAAAGCCTAAAGAGACAAATCATTAGAAGCTGATTCATATATGACACAGATGTTGGAATTATTAGATGGAATATAAAATAACTATCATTAATATGGTACAAGCTTTAATGGAAAAAGTAGACAAGTTACAAGAACAGATGGGTAATGTAAGCTGACAGAATTCCAAGAAAAATAAAAAGGAAATGTTAGAAATCCAAAGCACTGTCTTAGGAATGAGTAATTACTTTGATGGGCTCATCAGTACCCATGACATGGGTGAGTAAGGGACCAGTGAGCTTTATTAAAAATGCCTTGAAATGAATGAAAATGAAAACACAACATACCAAAACCTGGGAGGCAGACAAAGCACTGTTAGGAGGGAAATTCATAGCCGTAATGCATACATTAAAAAAAGAAGAAATCTCAAATTAATAACCCAACTTTACACCCTAAGGAACTAGAAAAAGAAAACTAACCCAAAGCCAGCAGAGGAAAAAAAATAATAAGAATTAAAGTGGAGATAAATAAGATAGAGAATAGAAAAACAATAGAGAAAATCTTCAAAACCAAAAGTTGGTACTTTGAAAAGACTAAATTGACAAACCTTCAGCTAGATTGACTCAGAATAAAAGAAGACTCAAATCACTAAAATTAGAAATAGTGGAGACATTAACACCAATTTTACCAAAATAAAATGAATTATAGAAGAATGTTACAAACATTTATATGCCAACGAATTGGATAACTTGATGGAATGGACAGATTCTTAGAACGCACATCTATCAAAAGTGACTCATGAGCCAGGCGTGGTGGCTCATGCCTGTAATCCCAGCACTTTGGGAGACCGAGGCAGGCAGATCACTTGAGCCCAGGAGATTGAGACCAACCTGGGCGACATGGCGAAACCCCATCTCTACTAAAAACTACAAAAATTAGCCAGCCATGGTGGTGCGCACCTGTAATCCCAGCTGCTTGGGAGACTGAGGCAGGAGAATTGCTTGAACCCAGGAAGTGGAAGTTGCAGTGAGCTGAGATTGTGCCACTGCACTCCAGCCTGGGCAACAGAGTGAGACTCTGTCTCAAAAACAAAAACAAAAACAAAAACAAAAACAAAAACAAAAGAAAAGGAATAATGATAAAATCGAAAATCTGAATAAACGTATAATGAGTAAGGAGACTAGATCAGTAATCCAGTCTCCCAACAAAGAAAGCCCAGGGCAAGATGAGTTCACTGGTGAATTCCACCAAACCTTTAAAGATTTAGCAGCAATTCTTCTCAATCTCTCCAAAAAAAATTAAAGAGGAATACTTCCTAATTCATTTCATGAGACCAGAATTACCCTGATACCAAAGCCAGACAAAACCACTACAAGAAAACTACACACTAATATTCCTTAAGAATACGTAGATTCAGGCCAGGCATGGTGGCTCACGCTTGTAATCCCAGCATTTTGGGAGGCCGAGGTGGGCAGATCACGAGGACAAAAGTTCGAGACCAGTCTGACCAATATGGTGAAACCCTGTCTCTACTAAAAAAAATTAGCTGGGCATGGTGGTGGGCACCTGTAATCCCAGCTACTCAGGAGGCTGAGGCAGGAGACTCGCTTGAACCCAGGAGGCAGAGGTTGCAGTGAGCCGAGATCACGCCACTGCACTCCAACCTGAGCAAGAAAGTGAAACTCCGTATCAAAAAAAAAAAAAAAGAGTATGTAGATGCAAAAATCATCAACAAAATACCAGCAAAGCATACTCAGCAATATATTAAAAGGATTACACACCACGACCAAGTGAGTTTTATTCTTGAAGTGCAAGGATGATTCAACATCCAAAAATCAAACTATGTAATACATCACTCCAATAGGATGAAGGAGCAAAATCACATGATTATTTCAAAAGCAGAAAAACATTTGACAAAGTCTAACACCCTTTCATGATTAAAAAAAATAACGTACCAGGAATAGAAGTAAACTTCTTCACCATGATAAAAGGAATTTCTGAAAAATCCACAGCTAACATCACTCTCAACAGTGAAAGACTGAAAGCTATTCCCTAAGATAAGGCATAAAACAAGAATGCCCACATTCACTACTTACACTCGACATAGTATTGGAAGAGCCAGAGCAAAGAGGCAAAAGAAAGAAATACAATACATCTAAATCAGAAAGGAAGAAGTAAACCTATTTCTGTTCTCAGATGACATGATTTTATACGTAGAAAACCCTAAAGACTCCCCAAAAAACTATTAGAGCTAATAAATTAGTTTAATGGAATTGCAAGATACAAAATCAACACTCAAAAATCATTTGCATTTCTATACACTAGCAATGAATGATACAAAAAGGAAATTAACAAATACATTCCATTTATAATAGCGTTAAAAAGTACTTAGGAATAAATTTAACCAAACAGGTGAAATAATTGTACACTAAAAACTATAAAACATGGGCTGGGTGCGGTGGCTCATGCCTGTAATCCCAGCACTTTGGGAGGCCGAGGCGGGCGGATCACGAGGTCAGGAAATCGAGACCATCCTAGCTAACACAGTGAAACCCCGTCTCTACTAAAAATACAAAAAGTTAGCCGGGCGTTGTGGCGGGGGCCTGTAGTCCCAGCTACTCAGGAGGCTGAGGCAGGAGAATGGCCTGAATCTGGGAGGTGGAGCTTGCAATGAGCCGAGATGGCGCCACTGCACTCCAGCCTGGGCGACAGAGCGAGACTCCGTCTCAAAAACACAAAAGAAAACAGAACTATGAAACAGGCGAGGCGCGGTGGCTCACGCCTATAATCCCAGCACTTCCGGAGGCTGAGGCGGGCGGATCACCCGAAGCAGGAGTTTGAGACCAGCCTGACCAACATGGAGAAACCCGGTCTCTACTAAAAATACAAAAATTAGCTAGGCGTGGTGGTATGGGGCATGCCTATAATCCCAGCAATTTGGGAGGCTGAGACAAGAAAATCGTTTGAACCCGGGAGGCGGAGGTTGCAGCGAACTGAAATCACACCATTGAACTCCAGCCTGGGCAACAAGAGCGAAACTCCATCTCAAACAAACAAACAAACAAAAAACTATAAAGCATTGCTAAAAGAAATTTCTTTTTTTTTTTTTTTTTTTTTTTGAGATGGAGTCGCGCTCTGTCGCCCAGACTGGAGTGCAGTGGCGCCATCTCGGCTCACTGCAAGCTCCGCCTCCCGGGTTCACGCCATTCTCCTGCCTCAGCCTCCTGAGTAGCTGGGACTACAGGCGCCCGCCACCACGCCCGGCTAATTTTTTGTATTTTTAGTGGAGACCGGGTTTCCCCGTGTTAGCCAGGATGTTCTCCATCTCCTGACCTCGTGATCCGCCCGCCTGGGCCTCCCAAAGTGCCGGGATTACAGGCGTGAGCCACCGTGCCTGGCCTGCTAAAAGAAATTTAAGACATAAATAAGTGAAAGATATCCCACATTCATGTACTGGAAGACTAATATTGTTAAATAACAACGCTAACTAAAGTGATTGAATGCAATCCCCATAAAAGTCCCAATGGATTTTTTATCCAGAAATAGAAAAACTCATCCCAAAATTCATATGGAATCTCAAGGGATCCCAAATAGCCAAAATGACCACAAGTGTGGACAAAGCTGGAGGACTCACACTTGCGGATGTGAAAACTTACTATAAAGCTATGTAATCACAACAAGGTGCTATTAAGAGAAGCATTAGCCAGCTTCCAAGCGGGAATCTTCATAGTGTGAGTGATAAAGGAGAGAATTTAACAGGAGTAACGTAGTAAAAGGCAAGAAGATTTTGTTCACAAGGGTACCCAGTGCCACACTGTGGAAAAAAGAGGCAAGCACAGACTGGGCCAGAACTCCATGGGCTCTGGGCAGCAGCCAGGTCAGGCCATTGGATCCCCTTACACAGACGCCAACAGAACACAGCATCACCTGGGGAGAGGAGACACCGGTGGAGTATTTGAAGAATCCAGAGAATTACATCCTTGGAACAAAAACAGTCTTCACTGGCATTAACAAGAAGGTAGAAAGAACAGACTTGATAACTTATCTCAAAAAAGCCACTAATGAGTAATAATTGGCCACTGCCTTTATTTATTACAAAACAAAGGTCTCATAACTTCATGTGCACCAAAATTTAATTGATCTCATACACCAGAATTTAGATCATGAATGAGTGGCAGACCTTTTTTGTTGGACAGTCCTGATTTAAGTCACACTAGCTTGTGGTTAAATGAATATGACTGTTTTTTTGAACTTTGATAGTAATTTCAATTCAGTAAATGTTATCACTGTTTTCCCCTTCTGAAGATATGATTGGACTTCATTAGTAACGTTCAACTTTTCATAAAGGTGGTGAATGCCGTCTCAAAACATATTGGGGATTGGTTTTATATTTAGAGTTCTATAACTGTCTTTATGAATATATTTAAATACTGTCTCAGAACCAAGCAAGACTCACCTATGTTTTAATTTGTGTTCATTACCCTGTAAAAGGCAAGGGCTGAAGATAAGACAGCAATGTCTACTTTATATTTTTGGTCTTAACTATGCCAATCCAATTAGAATTCCCTGGATCTAAAATGCTGCCTTTTACTAATTGAAATGCATTTTATGTGTAATATCAAATAAAGAATAGTTAAAACACTTCTCAAATTTTATAGATGATCTATAAAGTCAGATGCTTCTGAAAATCAGTGTAACAAGAAATAGTAGTAAGGTAAAATTTACTTTTGAATTCTTTGCTATCTAAATCTGACTAAGTTATAATTTAGGATTGCCTTTAAATGATTCAAGCACGTAAAACTGTAGAAGTACTGTGTACGTGTGATTGGTAATGGTGCTTTTGTCAATGTATTAGAAGGATTAAAGTGGAGAAGATATACATTAATTTAGAAATTGTGTGTGATCATAAGACTTTGATAATTATAAACAAAATGACAGATTATAACAAAACCAGGGTGTTACTGGCATAAGGACAGACATAGTGGCCCTCAATTTATAGTCAGTTGATGTTTGACAAGGTTGCCAAAACCATTGAATGGGGAAAGGGCCATCTTTTCAACAAATGATGCTGGGAAAATTGGATATCTGCATGAAAAGTATGAAGTTGGACCCTTAATTTATGCCATATACAAAAATTAACTCAAAATGGAACTAAGACTTAAACATAAGAACCAAAACTATAAATATCTTAGAAGACAACAGAGAGGGAAATCTTTATGATGTTGGATTTTGCCATGATTTTTTGTATATGACACCAAAAATATAAGCAACAGTAAAACAAAACAGTTATTGAATTTCATCAAGATTAAAAACTTTTGTGCATCAAAGGACACTATCAAGAAGGTGAAAAGACAACCTAAAGGATGGGAAAAAATATTTGCACTTCACGAATCTCATAAGAAATTAATATTCAGGATATGTAAAGAATTACTGCAACTCAACAACAAAAAGACGAATAATTCAACTTTAAAAAATAGACAAAAGCCTTGAATAGACATTTCTTCAAAGGAGACACACAAATGCCAAATAAGCACATGAAAACATGCATATTTGCTTATCCCTGATTACTAGGGAAATGCAAATCAAAACCACAATGAGGGCCGGGCGCGGTGTCTCACGCCTGTAATCCCAGCACTTTGGGAGGCCGAGGTGGGCAGATCACAAGGTCAGGAGTTCGAGACCAGCCTGGCAAATATGGTGAAACTGTCTCTACTAAAAATACAAAAATTAGCCAGGCGTGGTGGTGCACGCCTGTAGTCCCAGCTACTCGGGAGGCTGAGGCAGAAGAATTGCTTGAACCCAGCAGGCGGAGGTTGCAGTGAGCAGAGATCATGCCATTGCACTCCAGCCTGGGCGACAGAGTGAGACTCCTTCTCAAAAAACAAACAAACAAAACCCACAATGAGGTACCACTTCACACCCAGTAGGATGACTGTTGGAATAAAAAATGGAAAATAATTGTTGGCAAGGATATGGGAAGATAGGAACGCTTGTTCATTCCTGTTGGGAAGGTAAAATGGTGCAGCCACTGTGGAAATCAGCTTAGCAGTTTCTCAAAAATGAAACATAGAAATTATCATAATCAGCCGGGCGCGGTGGCTCATGCCTGTAATCCTGTCACTTTGGGAGGCCGAGGCGATTGCCTGAGCTCAGGAGTTCGAGACCAGCCTGGGCAACATGGTGAAACCCTGTCTCTATTAAAATACAAAAAAAAAAAAAAAATTAGCGAGGTGTGGTGGCATGCGCCTATAGTCCCAGCTATTTGGGAGGCTGAGGCAGAATTGCTTGAACCTGGGAGGCGGAGGTTGCAGTGAGCCAAGATGGTGCCACTGCACTCTAGCCTGGTCAACAGAGCGAGACTCTGTCTCAAAAAAAAAAAAAAAAGAAAGAAATTACCATAATCTTGGACATAGAAAATACACAATACTATACCATAAACATAGAAAAAACCTCATCTATTCTATCCCTAAGTATATTCTTAAAAGAAATGAAAGTGGAGACTCAACAAAGATATTTATACTCCATTCTTCACTGCAGCATTAATCACAATAGATAAAAGGTGGAAACAACCCAAATGGTCTTCGACACAAAAAAGGGTAAATAAAATGTGATATAAGCACTCAATGGAATAAAAAAGAATGCAATTCTGATATATGCTAGAACATGGTTGAACCTTGAAGATGTTATGCTAGGCATTAAAGGACAAATGCATGATTCCATTTACATGAGGTACCTAGAATAGGCAACTTCATACAGACAGAAAGTAGAATAGTGGTTACCAGAGGCTAGTGGGGAGGGCAGAATAGAGTGACTTTTTAATGGGTATAGAGTTTCTGTTTGGGGTGATGAAAAAGTTCTGGAACTGGATAGTGGTGATAGTTTGACAATATTGCAATCACCCACAGGTTCATCTTGTCCACTGCCTGGAAAAGCTAATGCACTGAGAACAGCAAGGTTTTGCAGCAAAAATAAAATAAATAATTTAAAAAAGAGTTTAATTAACACAGGGCTAGCCAATTGGAAGATGGAGTTTATTACTCAAATCAACCTCCCTGAGAATTCAGAGGCTAGAGTTTTTATGGATAAATTGTCAGGCAGGGGGCTAGGGAATGGATGATGCTGACTGGGGATGAAGTCATAGGGATGTGGAAAATGGTCCTCATGTGCTAAGTCAACTTCTGGGTGGGGGCCACAGGACCTGTTGAGTCAGGAATCACGGGTCCAGGTGGAGTCAGTTGGTCACCAGAATGCAGAAGTCTGAAAAACAGTACCAAAGGCCAATCTTAGGCTCTACAATAATGATGTTATCTATAGGAGCAATTGGGAACATTATAAATCTTGTGACCTCCAGCACAGTAAATGACTATAGAAAGGCAAGTTATGCCTACATCTTAGCAGAATTCAGGCTGCTCTCATAATCTTAATCTTGTGGTCTCTTTCAATAGTCATAAAAAGGTGGTTTTAGATCCCTGAGCAAAGAGAAGGTTAGTTTTAGGGAGGGACTGTTATCATCCTTGCTTCAAAGTTAAACTATAAATTAAATTCTTCCTACGGTTAGCCTGGCCTACACCCAGAAATGAGTAAGGACAGCCAGCCTGTGAGGCTAGAAGCAAGATGGAGTCAGCCATGCTAGACTTCTTGTGCTCTCATAATCTTTGCAAATTCAGCTTCAATATTGTGAATGTACCTAATGCCACTCAATTGTACACATATAAGTGACTAAAATGGTAAATTTTATGTCATGTATATTACACCACAATAAAAAAGAAAGCAAAAAAAATCAGTGAGTATGAAGACAGAGAATTGAAACTTCCAAAATTGAAATGCGAAGAGAAAATTAACTGGGTAGGTGGGTGCAGGGAAGAGCAGAGAAGAATACAGCATCCAAACTGTGAGACAGATCAAAAAGTGTAACATATATGCAATTACCAGAAGGAGCAGAAAGAGAAAATGGGACTGTATTAGTCTATTCTCACATTGCTATAAAGAACTACCTAAGACTGGCCGGGCACGGTGGCTCACGCCTGTAATCCCAGCACTTTGGGAGGCTGAGGCGGGCAGATCACCAGGTCAGGAGATCAAGACCATCCTGGCTAACAAGGTGAAACCTCATCTCTACTAAAAATACAAAAATTAGCCAGGCGCGGTGGCGGGTGCCTGCAGTCCCAGCTACTCGGGAGGCTGAGGCAGGAGAATGGCATGAACCCGGGAGGCAGAGCTTGCAGTGAGCTGAGATCACGCCACTGCACTCCAGCCTGGGCAACAGAGGGAGACTCCGTCTCAAACAAACAAACAAAAGCTACCTAAGACTGGGTAATTTACAAGGAAAAGAGGTTTAATTGACTCACACTTCTACAGGGTTGGGAGGCTTCAGGAAACTTACAGCCACGGCAGAAGGCAAAGGGAAAGCAGGCACATCTTATATGGCAGCAGGAGAGAGAGAAAGAGGGAAGAGTGAAGAGCCACCCACTTATCAAACAAGCAGAATGTGAGAACTCTATTGACGGGAACAGCACGGGGGAAACTGCCCCCATGATCCAATCACCTCCCACCAGGCCCTCCCCTGTCATGTGGGGATTACAATTTGAGATGAGATTTGTGTGGGGCCACAAAGCCAAACTATATTAGGCATATAAAGAGTTTTGGGCTGGGTGGGGTCTCTCACGCCTGTAATCCCAGCACTTTGGGAGGCCGAGGCAGGCGGATCACAAAGTCAGGAGATCGAGACCATCCTAGCTAACACGTTGAAACCCCGTCTCTACTAAAAATACAAAAAATTAGCCGGGCATGGTGGCGGGCGCCTGTAGTCCCAGCTACTCGGGAGGCTGAGGCAGGAGAATGGCGTGAACCCAGGAGGCAGAGCTTGCAGTGAGGCGAGATCTCGCCACTGCACTCCAGCCTGGGCGACACAGCAAGACTCCATCTCCAAAAAAAAAAAAAAAAAAAGAGTTTTGAAGAAATAATGGCTGAGAACTTTCCAAAATTAATGATAGGCAAAAAACCACGGATCTAAGAACTTCAGAGAACATCAAACACCCCCCACCCACACACACACCCTGGACGTGTGTGTGGGATTCTGGATTCGGTAATATCCAAATTGCAGAAACCAAAGACAGAAAATTTTAAAGAAAGCCAGAAGTTATTGAGGGTGGACACTTTAACCACAAAAGATCAAGAATAAGAATTATAATAAACTTCTCATCAGAAACCATGAAAGAAATATTAAAATGAAGCTGGGCGCAGTGGCTCATGCCTGTAATCCCAATACTTTGGGAGGCTGAGGTGGGTAGATCACTTGAGGTCAGGAGTTTGAGACCAGCCTGGCCAACATGGTGAAACCCCATTTCCACTAAAAATACAAAAATTAGCCTGGTGTGGTGGCGTGCACCTGTCATCCCAGCTACTCAGGAGGGTGAGGCAGAAGAATTGCTTGAACCAGGGAGACGGATATTGCAGTGAGCTGAGATCATGCCACTGCACTCTGGTTTGGGTGACAGAATGAGATTCCATCTCAAAAAAAGAGAAATATTAAAATGAGTTATTTAGACAGAAGAAAAATAATATAAGGTCATATACTTGGATCTACATAAAGAAAGATGGAGCCCAAGAAAAGGAATAAATTAGGGTAAAATAAATAGTTTTATTTTTATTATTCTTTACTGATCTAAAAGATAATTGTCTGCTTAAAACAACAATAGTAACAATGTGTTGGTTTATAGCCCATGGATAAGTGACACGAATAACTGTAATGTCATCAGGCACAGGAGGGAAGAATTGGACAACCCTGCTGTAAAGTAGCTGCAATCCACAGATAATGTGGTTTGAAGGTGGTCGTAGACAATTTTAAAATGTATGTTGTCAATCCTAGGGAAACCACTAAAAAACATTTTTAAGGAGTGTTAATGATGTGTTAAGATAGAGCTAAAATGTAATCATATAAGATACTTAAAACCAGAGAAGGCAGAAAAGAGAAGGAAAGGCTACAAAGAGCAAATGCAATGAATATATATACTTAACAAAATGGTAGATTTACTCCAACTATATCAACAATTACTTTAAATGTGAACACCCGATAAAAGAAAGTCATATGTGATTGGATTTTTTTAAATGTAAAAGACCCATCTACATGCTGTCTATAAGAAACACACATGAAATATCCTGACACAGACATGTGAAAAGTAAAAGTACAGCGAAAGATATACAATGCTAACACTAAGCAAGAGAAAATGGAGTAGCTATATTAATTTCAGACAAAGTTGACTTCTTTTATTTTTGAGACAGAGTCTCAGTCTGTCGCCCAGCCTGGAGTGCAGTGGTGCGATCTCAGCTCACTACAACCTCCTCCTTGCGGGTTCAAGCAATTCTCCTGCCTCAGCCTCCCGAGTACCTGGGACTACAGGCATGCACCACTATGCCTGGCTAATTTTTGTATTTTTAGTAGAGACAAAGTTTCACCATGTTGGCCAGGCTGGTCTTGAACTCCTGACCTCAGGTGATCCACCCACCTAGGGCTCCCAAGTGCTGGGATTATTGGCATGAGCCAATGCGCCCAGCCTAAAGCTGACTTTAGAACAAGGAAGATTATGAAAGATAAAAAGGACCATTAGATAATTATAAAATAGTAGGGCATCAAAATATGTCAGGTAAAAACTGATAAAACTGAAAAGAGAATTAGGTAAACCCACTATTATAATCGAAGCCTTCAACAGTCCTTTGTCAATAATTGATAGATCAAACAGGCAGCAAATAAGTAAGAATATAGATAATCTGAACAACACTGTCAATCAACTTGGTCTAATTGAGTTTATAACATACTCCAGTCAACAGTGGCAGAATACATGTTTTTCTCAAGCACACATGGAGCATTCACAAAAACAGACCCACACCTGGACCATGAAATACACATTAAAAATTGAAAATAATAATAATCATGCAAAGTATGTTCCTGTGGGGGCACAAACTAACAATTCTGAACTCACTGTACTTGCATACTGGGATTGAATTTTGGATTAACTAGTAAAGGGATGGTGGTATGGCAGATGCGGGAGCCAGGTTTCTCACTGCTGAAGGTGGAGGTCGCAGATAAACAAGAAGGGAAGGCTACAGTGAAACATTTGGCCATGGATTAGAATCAGAGACAGCAGAATGAACTCATGTTTAGCTTAATGTACTGATGGGTAAATGTGGAAGTAGTTATAGGTATATGTGTATATTTGGGTCAGTGTACATACATCTATTTCCTAGCTCAGTCTACTAAAACAGCCTAGAAGCAGTGACACCCTGTAGCAATAAGCACACCCAGCCTCCAGATCTCTTGTAAAAGGAATAAGGGTCTTTGGAGATATGGCTGATTGTAGAATATATGAGATGAGCCTGGAGCATATGGTAATGCCAGGAATTAAGAAAGTGCTAAACACACACACACAATAATGAGAGTATGTTAAAGGGACACAGGCGCCGACTGAAAGAGCGTCCAATGGCCAAATGAATGGCTGGAGCGATTTAAGCAGCAACAGAAAATAATGTGATATTGAGTTATGCCCAAAGGGTGTCTGGGCTGTACTTGGTTACTTTCTTCTAGAGTACAGTGAGGAAAGGGGATAAAAAGTAGTTTTACCATAGATAAACCTGGCAAAGATGACCTCAGCTGGGCGAACAGGGCCAACATTAACAGTGATTGAGTCATGTTGAGCTATCCTTGATATGATGTGGGGAGAATGGTACCTCACCTCTATGGTCTTCCTCCCAAAACCTGTAAGCCCAGTCTAACTACAAGAAAAAAACTATAAGAAAAATGTCAAACCAACCCAAATTGAGGGGCATTCTATAAAATGTCTAGCCAGTACTTCTCGAAACTGTCAAACTCATCAAAACATCATTTTAGGCTGAGAAAATGTCACAGCCCAAAAGAGAATAAGGAGATATGACCACTAAATGGAATGTGGTCATTTGGATAAGATCTTGAAACAGAAAAGGGACATTAAGGAAAAACTAAGGAAATGTGAACAAAGTATGGAGTTGAGTTACTAATAATGATGTATCAATACTGGTGAATTAGTCATGACAAATGTACCATAGTAGTATGAGATGTTAATAGCAAGAGAAATGCCTGAGGAGTGTGGGCAAACTCTGTGCTATACTCTTAAGCTCTTTTGGAAACTTTTCTATAAATCTAAAACTTCTAAAGTAAAAAAAGTATTTATACATATATGTGTGTGTGTGTGTGTGTGTGTGTGTGTGTGTGTGTGTGTGTGTATATATATATATATATATATATATATTTTTTTTTTTTTTTTTTTTTTTGAGACAAAGTCTTGCTCTGTCGCCCAGGCTGGAGTGCAGTGGCACGATCTTGGCTCACTGCAACCTCCGCCTCCCAGGTTCAAGCTATTTTCCTGCCTCAGCCTCCTGAGTACAGGCGCCCACCACCACACACGGCTAATTTTTTGTATTTTTAGTAGAGATGGGGTTTCACCATGTTAGCCAGGATGGTCTCGATCTCCTGACCTCGTGATCCGCCCGCCTCAGCCTTCCAAAATGTTGGGATTACAGGCATGAGACACTGCGCCTGGCCTATATATGTATTTTTAAGTCAGCACTGGTGCCACCCCCACCCACCCACCCAAAAATGACAACCAAGAACAGCTTTGCGACACTGCTCACCTCTCCTTATGGCTCCGTACGTCTCACCGGTGCTCCAGGCAGGTTGGGCGTGATCCCTGTGGCTGGTGTGGGCAGCTGCTGGGAAGCACAGGCAGGAGCTCAGCCGAATGTGTCAGCACAGCCTCCTCCTCCATCGCCATCTGTCCAGTTAGGTCAGTCAAGAAGGCCCCAGTTTTCCACAATGACAGTCAGCTCAAGGTTGGCGTTCACCCTGAGTGCTAAGGGAGATTGTTTTCTTTTTGGCTTGATTACACTTCTCTGAAACAAATGGTTCACTTCTCATGGCTTCAGTGTGCTTGTTGGCCAAACTCCAGTGGCTGTGCTAGTTCACTCCAGCTGCCATAACAACATACTACAGACTGGGAGGCTTAAACAACAGAAATGTATTTCTCACAGCTCTGGAGGCTGCAGGTTCACAATGAAGGTGCCGGCAGAGTCGGTTCCCCCGAGGTCTCCCTCTGTGGCTTGCAGATGGTCACCTTCTCGTGGCCTTTCTTCTGTGCACACACAGCCTGTGGTCCTGTGTCTTTCTGAATGCCCAAACATTGTCTTCTTTTCAGGACCCCAGTCACACTGAATGGAGGGCTCACCCTGAAGGCCTCGATGTAACTGAGTCACCTCTCTAAAGGCCCTACCTCCAAACACAGCCCCATTCTGAGGTACTGAGGCTAGGGCTTCAACATGTGAGTTGGGGGACATACAATTCCAATCATAATGGTGGCATTTACAGCTAGTGAGCAGGTCGCTGTGTGGTCCCTGTGCTTGTTGGCTGGTGGCATTCACATGCCACCCTTGATTGGCCAGGCAGGCAAGGGGCCACCTGGGCTGCTGCGGCCAGCGCACTCCTCACATCTTCAGTGAACAGCGACCTTGGGAAGAAACAGAGCCCAGATCTTCTTTTAAAATAATCGACAATACTGTCTTATTCACGGGAGTTATTGAACAGACATAGAGGGCTCTTAGGACTGAAGACTATTGTATTAGTCCATTCTTGCACTTCTATAAGGAAATACCTGAGACTGGGTAATTTATAAAGAAGAGGGCCTGGGCCAGGCACAGTGGCTCACGCCTGTAATCCCAGCACTTTGGGAGGCCGAGGCGGGCAGATCATCTGAGATCAGGAGTTTGAGACCCGCCTGGCCAACATGGTGAAACCCCGTCTCTACAAAAATACAAAAATTAGCTAGGTGCAGTGGTGGGCACCTGTAGTCCCAGCTACTTGGGAGGCTGAGGCAGGAGAACCACTTGAACCCGGGAGGCGAAGGTTGCAGTGAGCCGAGATCGCGCCACTGCGCTCCAGCCTAGGTGACGGAGGGAGACTCTGTCCCAGAAAGAAAGAAAGGAAGGAAGAAAGGAAGGAAGGAAGTAAGGAAGGAAGGAAGGAAGGAAGGAAGGAAGGAAGGAAGGAAGGAAGGAAGGGAAGGAAGGAGAAAGAAGGAAGGAAGGAAAGAAGGAAAGAAAGAAAAGAAAAGAAAAGAAAAGAAAAGAGACTATTGGCTCAGGGTTGTGCAGGCTGTACAGGAAGCATGACCCCTTCTGTTTCTGGGGACGCCTTAGGGAGCTTCAATCATGGCAGAAGGCAAAGGGGGAGCAGGAGCAGCACATGGCTGGAGCAGCAAGAGTGTGGGCGAAGGTGCTGCACACTTTTAAACAACCACAGATCTCGTGAGAACTGTATCATGAGAATAGCATCAATGTGGATGGTACTGAACCATTCATGAGAAATCACCCCTGTGATCAAATCACCTCCTACCAGGCCCCACCTCCAACACTGGGGATTACAATTAGACATGAGGTTTGGTCAGGAACACAGACCCAAACCATGTCAGCTATCCACAAAGGTTGCCTTTTCTACTAGTCTAAGAAGTCAGCGACTCAGGCAGGGTGCTGCCCTGAGCTCCCGTCTACACTGCCTCCCAGGTGCAGGCCACTGTTGAGCACTAAGCACCTGCTGACTGCACTGCCCTCCACTGCACTGGATTCACAGCGGCCTCTCCATCTTCAACCCCGGCCCATTTGTTTTGAAAATCTATATAGTCCCCTGAACATTTTTAAACAGCAGCCCCAACTTCCTTTTATCTCAAGAATGTCTAAATGGTTGTAAAGGATATACTCACCCGTGTATCCTAAAAATTAATATTTTAAAACAAAAAGTGAATATCATGCTTCTAAATTTATTCAACAGAATCGAAGCACCATAGCACTTTGGTGGCCATTGTCCGATTCTAAAAAGCAAGCAAACAAGCACTTGTTTCCTTTTTCATTGTTTCTTTTTCTTCCTCCACTTCCTTGACAAGACTCTATTATAAAGTCATATCTTCTAATTGCTCTCCGTCTCACAGGCATTCTCAGGCAGTTTTAGAGTAGAGACCCATGGAGACTGACCGCCTGGGCCCACCCCGGGGAGGTGTGCATTGGTTGGTACTGGTCAGCATCCGGCAGGTGGCTGCAAGCCCAGGCGACAGAAAAGTCTGGTCAGGACTCCCCGCGGTGAGGTTAAGGCAAAGAACCAGAAGAAAAGGCACCGTGGTGCGGGGAGGCGGTGTGCCAGGCGCGGTGGCTTGCACCTGTAATGCCAGCACTTTGGGAGGCCGAGGTGGGTAGATCACGAGGTCAGGAGATCGAGACCATCCCGGCCAACATGGTGAAACTCTGCCTCTCCTAAAAATACAAAAATTTAGCCGGGCATGGTGGCGCGTGCCCGTAATCCCAGCTACTCAGGAGGCTGAGGCAGGAAAATCACTTGAACCCAGTAGGCAGAGGCTGCAGTGAGCCAAGATCGCGCCACTGCACTCCAGTCTGGGTGACAGAGGGAGACTCTGTCCCAAAATAAATAAATAAACAAACAAACAAACATTAAAAAAATAAAAGAAAAAGAAAAGGCACGGTGGGGGGCACTAGTTTCAGGCAGAAATAAACTTGGAGAGGAGGGCAGAGAAGGACTGGCACAGGGGTGGTGCTCCTGCCATGGGCAGAAGACAGCATCATGGGAGAGGACGGGAAGAGCCAGCCTCAGGATGCTGGTAGAAAACGGACAGAAGGAAGCCTAGTTCTAAACGGCATCTTGTCTGGGGCACCCCGTGGCTGTGTTCGCATGTGTGTTTCTGTGCTCACGGAGAATGAAGATAGAGATGGTGCTGCGCTTTTACAGTGAATATCTGGTAACTGGGGAGAAAAACCTGAAGGTATATTTCCCAAGAAGCAAGAGTATTTAAGCAATTTAAATTTAGAAGGAGGAAATGATAACAAGAACACGAGGTGATGGTCAGTGGGTTAATTACAATATAGGCGCTGAGCAAATTCAATTTCTGGAGGCAAACAGTTGCTGCCTTGGAGGGAGCTGACAAATATTCTATAGCAAACAGTGACAAATAAATTTCATGTAACAATCATGCAGGGTTTCATGGATACAAGTTAGAGGCCATGGAACCTGAGTATACATGTAATAATAATCGTTATTACCAGGGACTTCCCCATCCTTCCAGCAAGACATCCGGCCTGTATATCAACTTTACGATGGCAGGATGGGAAAAACATTAAAATTGATGTCAAATAGGTCCTTCACCCCACGAATTAATACTTGTACATTTCTTAAAATAGTGCCTAACTTATAATAAATACTGTATAAGAGTTTGTTAAATAAGACACAATTATACGATAAAATATTTAAAGGATAAACTTTTTATCCCTGTGCCTTTATAGCAACTAATCAATATTCCCCACCCTGTACTTATTAAAGAGGGCTGGTGATTTGGGCTGAATTGTGTTCCCCCAAAATCATAGGTGGAAGCCCTAACTCCCAATGTGACTGTATTTGGGTTGTTTTGTTTTGTTTTGTTTTTGAGACAGAGTCTCGCTCTGTCACCCAGACTGGAGAGCAGTGGCCCGATCTCGGCTCACTGCAAGCTCTGCCTCCTGGGTTCACGCCATTCTCCTGCCTTAGCCTCCCAAGTAGCTGGGACTATAGGCGCCCACCACCATGCCCAGCTAATTTTTTTGTATTTTTTTAGTACAGACGGGGTTTCACCGTGTTAGCCAGGATGGTCTCGATCTCCTGACCTCATAATCTGCTCCCCTTGGCCTCCCAAAGTGCTCAGATTACAGGCATGAGCCACTGTGCCCGGTCTGTTTATAGCTGTTTGTATATAGCCGTTCATAGCTGGTCACTTTTTTTTTTTTTTTTAAGACAAGGTCTCACCTTGTCACCCACACTGGAGTGCAGTGGTATAATCACAGCTCATTGCAGCCTCGACTTCCTGGGCTCAGCTGATTCTCCCACCTCAGCCTCCCAAGTAGCTGGGACCACAGGTGCACACCACCATGCCTGGGTAATTTTTGTATTTTTTGTAGCGATGGGGTTTTGCCATATTGCCCAAGCTGGTCTCAAACTCCTGGGCTCAAGTGATCCACCCACCTCAACCTCCCAAGCTGGTCACATTCTGTGACACATGATTATTATGTATTATTGTGTGTACATACCTATGAGCTCCCTGGGAGAAAGGTAAGTGTCCTAAAACTCCTGGCATATTGCATCAGGCTGAGATGCTGCCCAAGAAATGGATGCTGGATGTCTGCACAGGTGGATGGATAGGTGGATGGATGGATGGATGAGTGGATGTATGGATGGATAGATGGGTAGGTGGGTAAATGGATGGATAGATGGATGGGTGAATGGATGGATGAGTGAGTGGATGGATGAATGAATGGGTGGATGAGTGGGTGGGTGGATGGATGGATGGATGGATAGTATTAGAGAAATCTAACTTGAGTTCCTTGGGTATGCCCATCAGAAGCACAACTAGAGGATCCCAGCCCAATCCTCAAGGGGAATCCCTGGCACTTTGCTCATACATCTTTTTCTCCCATCAATAAGATGGAACAGGTTTTTCTGGCCTTCTGGAAGCCCTAAGCCATTGTAAGGGGCCTCCCTCAATTCCTGCCATCCTCAGGCTTGAGTAACGACAGCAGTGACTCAGGGTCAGGGTGACAGGGAGAGGGTATAGGAAGTAAATCATCTCATAAGTTACTGTCTACACTTGCACACAGATCCCTAGGTTTCTCTGAGGACAGCATAAACTTCATTAATAAAGGCTGATCATCCACACCCACTGCTACGATCCAGGGATGAATGATCAAGTATCAAACAATATGGAAAGGGGCTGGTGCTGAGGGAGGGAAGAGAGCTCCTAAGGGTTCCAGGAACTTCCCGGCCAGAAGCACAAGTGCAAAAGACCTCAAGGCTCATTGGACAGAGCAGGCCCTTGGAGCCTGGAGCAGGGCCTGCCTTCTCTGACTCTGACTTTCTTTACACACTGAGCTTGGCCTGAAAGCAGAGAAGATGAGAAGAAAAGGGTGAGAAGAATAAGGAGCTGTGTTTTATGGAAACTCTCATCTAGGAATAACTACCACTCCCTCTTTTACTGAGCATCACGTGCCTGGCCCAGAGCATGCACTTGCTGTCTCTTAGCAACTGCCTTGCAAGGTAGCTGTTCTTAGCTCCATTTTGGGCTCAGAGATTGTGGAACATAGCTCACTGACATGCTCCAACATCTGACTCTTCCTCCAGCCAAGGAACATGCCAGCTGGTCACCCGGCCACAGTGGATGCTTCAGCCCCAGCCTGATACCACAGGAATTAGGTGGAGGCCTGGATCCACCTCTGCCTGTACTTAGGTAACAGGGAAGAAAAAGTCCTCACATGAGTCCATGGTCAACCTCTGGGAGCACTGAGGAGGCAAGCCTGCGGTGTGTCTTCCCTGGTGCCTCACACTGGTTCCTCTGCGTCCCTCCGGCTCCCGTGCGTGCATTCTCCCATACGTGCAGTCTCTCTGACATGCTGAGTCCTCACAGCTTCCCCTCAGGCTCAAAGTGGTAGAGTGTCAGGCTTCATAAATGCTCAGCGCCACTGCCCAGGGTGGCACATGCCACTCAGGAGGCAGGTGACACTTGTCCCCTCATGGTGAATGGCCAGCAAACAGCACACTGAGAGGGAAGCTGGACAACAAGCTCTGACCACCAATCAAGACAAGAGTTGTTCCTGGGGAATTCCCAAGACACAGAATTGGCAGCGAATGCCTGTTTACTGCCACTTGGACTCCTTAACAGTCACCTCTGGCCATGTGGAACTTGTTTACTAAGTGGGCTTACCAGGTAAAAGCAAGCAAGCCCTGCAGTGGAGGAGGTGCTCATCACCCAACTGTCACGTGGACCTCAGGAGGGCCTGCTGACTCCGGGGCTGCTCAGAGAGGATGTTATGTTCCTCAAAAGTACGGGTCATGTGTGGGAGCCTGTCTCAGCCAGACACAGCAGTCAGCAGGCCTGTGGCCAGGCCACAGGAACCCCTGCACCTGCCCCATGCTCTCCTGGGCTGCTGCACAGGCAGCTAATATTTTAATAATAGTTTTATTGAGATATAATTTACATGTCATACAATTCACCCCTTTTTAAAAATTAGCATCCTCTTGAATACCAAAAAAATCACCCTTTTAAAGTGGATAATTTAATGGCTTTAGTCTAGCCACAGAATTGAGCATCCCTCCCAGTTAGTTCTTTTATGTAATTTTAGAACATTTTCATCCCCTCTAAAAAAAACAAAAACAAAAACAAAACACCCATACTCCCCATTCTTTCTTCCCCCAGCCTCTAGCAACCACTAATCTATTTTCTGCCTCTATAGATTTGCCTATTCTGAGCATTTCATACAAATGGAATTATACAATAGATACTCTTTTGTGACCATCTTCCTTCAGCGAGTGTAATATTTTCAAGATTCACCTATGTTGCATGTGTCGCTAATTCATTATGTTTTATGGCTGGATAATATTCTACTTTATAGACATGTCACACTTTATTTATCCATTCATAAACTGATGGACATTTGAGTTGTTTCCACTTTTTGACTATTATGTATCATGCTGCTATGAATATTCATGTATAAGTTTTTGTGCGAACATATGCTTTCATTTCTCTTGGCTTTATACATATAAGTGGAATCACTAGGCCAAATGGTAACTCTTTAATATTTTCAGGAACTGCTGAAGTGTTTTCTAAAACAGCCACAGCATTGTACTTTTCCACCAGCAGTGTACGAAGTTTCCAATTTCTTTAAATCCTCTCAAACACTTATGCTGGCCATGCTGGTGGGTGTGAAATGCTATCTCATTGGGATTTTGATTTGTATTTCCCTAATGACTATGGTGTTGTGCGTATTGACCACTTGAAGAAATGCTTATTCAAACCTTTGCCTGGTTTTTCACTGAGAATTTTGTCTTCTTACTGCTGAATTTTAAGAGTTTTTAAAAATATGTGTTGGTTACTAGACTCTCATCAGATACATATTTTGCAAATATTTTTCTCATTTTGTGGGTTATCTTTTCACTTTATTGATGGTGTTCTTTGATGAACAAAAACTTTCGATTTGATGACATTCAGTGTATCTGTTTTTTTCTTTTGTTGCCTATGCTTTGGGTGCCATATATAAGAAACCATTGCTTAACCCAAGTTCATGAAGATTTACTCCTATATTTTCTAAGAGTTTGATAGTTTTAGGTCTCGCATTGATGTCTATGATCCATTTAGAGGGAATTTTTGTATATGGTCTGAGGTAGGGTATGACATTATTCTTTTGCTTGTGGACATCCATTGTCCCAGCACCATTTATTGAAAAGAATATTCTTTCCTTCATTGAATTGTCTTTGCCCACTTGTCAAAAATTACTTTACCATAATTGTGAAGGTTTCTATTTGAACCTTTGGTTCCATTTGATTCCATTTATCTTGTGTCTCTCCCTATACCATTAACACACTATCTTGATTACTACAGCTTTGTAGTAGGTTTGTAATAGGGAGGTATGAATTTTCTTTCAAAATTGTTTTGGCTATTCTGGGTCCCTAACTTTCCACATGAACTTCATGTTCAACTTGTCAATTTCTTCGAAAAAGCTAGCAGAGATTTTGATAGGGATTGTGATGAATCTATAGATCAGTTTGGAGAGTATTTCCATCTTAACAACATTAAGTGTTCCAATTCACGAACATAAGATGTCCTTCCATTTATTTCTCTTTAATTTCTTCCAACCATGTTTTAGAGTTGTCAGTGTACAAGTGTTGCACTTCTTTTATTAATTTATCTTTAAATATTTTCTTCTTTTTGATGCTGGGCAGTACATTTTTAAGGAAAAGAAGTAGTAGACACTGGGACTGAAGGCTGTAAGGAAGCACTTCACTCCATTGCCAAGCTGCTCTCCTCTTCCAGGTGATGGACAGAGAACAGGGCTTTGCACATTGTCAGATACTCTCCACTGGAGCCATTTAGAGGGTGTCAAATAATATGTTATTATGGTTTCACTTGGCATTTCTCTGTGACTAATGAGGCAAAGCATCTTTTTAGGTACTTCCTGCCCATCCACACTTCCTCATCTGTGAAATGCTTTTTCATGTCTTTGATCCATTTTTTTAATATTCTTATTGATTTTTGTAAATTCTTTATGCATTCTGGATACTAATTTACTATTTTCTTCCTATCTATGGGTTTTCTTTTTGTTTTTGTTTGTTTGTTTTGTTTTGTTTTGAGACAGTCTCGCTCTGTCACCAGGCTGGAGTGCAGTGGCACGATCTTGGCTCACTGCAACCTCTGACTCCCTGGTTCAGGTGATTCTCCTGCCTCAGCCTCCCAAGTAGCTGGGATTACAGGCATGCATCACTATGCCCAGCTAATTTTTTTTTTTTTTTTTTTTTTGAGACGGAGTCTCGCTCTGTAGCCCAGGCTGGAGTGCAGTGGCGCGATCTCGGCTCACCGGAAGGTCTACCTCCTAGGTTCATGCCATTCTCCTGCCTCAGCCTCCCAAGTAGCTGGGAATACAGGCGCCCGCCACCACGCCCGGCTAATTTTTTGTATTTTCAGTAGAGATGGGGTTTCACAGTGGTAGCTAGGATGGTCTCGATCTCCTGACCTCATGATCCACCCACCTCTGCCTCCCAAAGTGCTGGGATTACAAGCATGAGCCACCACGTCCGGCCCGCCCAGCTAATTTTTGTATTTTTAGTAGACACAGGGTGTTGGCCAGGATGGTCTCGATCTCCTGACCTCGTGATTCGCCCACCTCAGCCTCTCAAAGTGCTGGGATTACAGGCGTGAGCCACTGCGTCCGGCCATCTTTTTGTTTTTTCATCAATATTTTTGTATATGATTTGTGCTTTTGTGTCTTGCTAATGAAATCCTTACTCACTGCAAATTTATAAATATAGCCTCCTACCATTTCTTCCGGCAGTTTCAAATGTGGTTTGTTACACTTAGGTCTTTAACCCACATGCAATTTATTTTTGTTCATGATTTAAAGCAAAGATCCAACTCTACTTGATTTTCTAAATGGATAACCAATTGTTCCAGAAAATTGATTTACCGGCCCATACTTTCCCCATGGATCTGCAAGCTCTGTCACAAACCAAGTCTCACTATGTGGGAGGGGCTGCTACTGGGATTTGGTTCCTTGGTCAGTTTTTTCCCTGTGCCAGTACATTCTGCCTTAATTATGACATCTTGAATATCTGTTGGGCAATGCTTACCATCTTGTTCTTTATTTTTATAATGGTCATAGCTCATCACTCTTCCATATAAATTATAGAATCAGTTTGACAAGTCTCCCCCTAAAAGCTGCTCAGATTTTAGTAGAATTGCAGGAAAGTGCATGAATTTGAAGATAATTGACATTTTTTCACATATATTGCTCCATTTATATAAACTTTCTTTAATGGCTTTCTTTTCAGTTTTGCCATTTTCTCTATGAAGGACTGCATCCATTTTACTTTTTATTCATAGAAACCTTATGTATTTCATTGCTATTATAAGTGAAATTTTGAAAATACATATTCTAAGTTTTTCTTGCTAGGGCATTTTCATTTTAGGAGGGCTCAAACCCCACAGTGTGGAAGAGAACCACTGGCTTGTGTGGTCTGGCAGCTCTGCCTCCCACTGCACTGGGAGCCCCACGGTCAGGCTATCCTCAACCCAGCAACTCCCTGTCCTTGCCTGCTTAGCAGCCAGGGGCCATCTCAGAACAGCCTGACTGCTGGCTCATCTGACTGTGGCTGGTTACACTTCCTGTTGGGTCATTGATTCAGTGTGAGGACAACAGCTCCAAGAGGCCTCTGGGTGCTATAAACTGACCAGGAGGTGAATGGCAGGGTTTCCTGACAGCAGGAGAGATTCGGGAAAGACAGTGTGGTCAGAGCCACCCAGGAGTAACCTACAGGCCAAGGGACAGAGCAAGTGTGCCATGGGGCCAAGTGTCTATGACAGCATGCCCTCCTTCCTTCTCTGAGCAGGGGGCTAGGGTCACCAAATCAGCTGCCCAGGACTGAGAAGTTTATCCAGATGAAGGACTTACAGGGCTAAAATTGGGAAATCCCAGGCAAACTGGGACCTGCTGATAACCCCACAACAAACATGAGCTGAACAAGATGAGTCCACAGAACCAGCTACAAAATTTGTGCAAAGCCTCACATACTGGGACCATTTGTGATAACCCAGGCCCCATCCTATGCAGCCAGCCGGTCCCACCTGTCCCTGCTCTCCAGAAGTGTGACAGCTCATGGGCATGGGTGGGAACAGTGTAAGCCCCACATCCAGATGAAAGGAAGGAGGACTGCTAGAAGAGCAGTTCCCCATAGAGATGGCCCATCGATTCCTGCAGCATGTCCTGCTGGAACCTCCGCTGGCTCCCATTCCCTCAGTCTCTGAATTGGTCTACCCTTTCTTCCAAGTCCTTCCCTCCAGGGCCCAGGCCCATCTCTCCATTGTGTAGGCCAGTGGTTCTCACACTTAACAAAAGCACCAGAAGAATATATGACAGAGGCTGTATGCAGTGACTCAACACCATTGCAGTCCCACCCCAGAGCGTGGGGAGAGCCAGGCTGCAGGGTGCAAAGCCCCAGGCCACTTCCTGCTGACTGTGGCTGCCAGACCACTCAAAGCCCTCGGCCTTCCACAGCCTTCTCCTCTGTCACCTCTGCAGGTGTGCTTGCCTCTGTCCCCCTCCCACTCTGCATTCCTGAGCTCTGCAGGGCCCTGTATCCTCTTACAAGGGAGTCATGCATGGGAAATAGACCCTTCCAGCCTCCAGGGCCCTGAGAGCCATGCGTTTTCTTTCTTTCTTTTCTTTTTTTCTTTCTTTTTTTTTTTTTTTTTTTTTTTTTGAGACGGAGTCTCGCTCTGTCACCCAGGCTGGAGTGCAATGGCACTATCTTGGCTCACTGTAAGCTCCGCCTCCCGGGTTCACGCCATTCTCCTGCCTCAGCCTTCCGAGTAGCTGGGACTACAGGCGCCCGCCACCACGCCCGGCTAATTTTTTTGTATTTTTTAGTAGAAACGGGGTTTCACCATGTTAGCCAGGATGGTCTCGATTTCCTGACCTCGTGACCCTCCCGTCTCGGCCTCCCAAAGTGCTGGGATTACAGGCGTGAGCCACTGCACTTGGCCCATTTTCATTGATTAACTGTCTGCTGGGGACCCTGGCTAGACCCGACTCTGGGGGCTTTTTCTTTCTTTTTCCTTTTTCCAGACAGAGTTTTGCTCTTGTCGCCCAGGCTGGAGTGCAGTGGCTCGATCTCGGCTCACTGCAACCTCCGCCTCCCGAGTTCACGCGATTCTCCTGTCTCAGCCTCCGGAGTAGCTGGGATTACAGGCGCACGCCACCACACCCAGCAAATTTTCGTATTTTTAGTAGAGACGGGGTTTCACCATGTTGGCCAGGCTGGTCTCGAACTCCTGACCTCAGGTGATCTGCCTGCCTCAGCCTCCCAAAGTGCTTGGATTACGGGCTTGAGCCACCGCGCGGGGCCTCTTTGGGGGCTTTTCATAAGGGTGTGTAGAATGTCAGTAAGAGGCTGCTTCTTCAGAGCCCTCTTCGTGCTACATAAGCCGGGCAGGGTGGATAGAAGTGGGTCTCTTGCTGCCTGTGGCCCTGAAACCCAGCCACGGGGCGGGGCCTGACTTCTTAGCGCAGTCCCCCTGCCGCGTGGAGGACCCTGCTCTCCGGCCCAGCATAGAGCGACTCCCTCCTGCCAGCAGGGGGCGCGCGGAGCTGTCTCTCCGGAGGCTCCCGGCGGCTCAGTCTCGGAACCCGCAGCCGGGAGCGCAGGGCGGGCCACACAGGGCGCCAGCACCTCCCACGAGCTCCGCGGGCCTCGCATCCGGAAGACGCCCCGGCTGACCGCGCGAATGGCTCGCGCTGCCGCGGACACCCGCCTGCCAGGGACGGGGCCTCTCTCCTGGGCCGTTTCATCTCACCGAGAGCGAGATCCGCTTTCCTAGAGGCTGGGAGGACCAGGCCCGGGCACAGGACTGGCTTCGCACCACTGGCCCCGCAGTCGGGTCCCCGGGGACGCGCCACGGGTCACTGCTGCCTGCTAAAGCGACACAAGGCGCCTTCATTCCTCAGGCCGAGGCGGCCGAACGCCTTGGCTCTGGCCGACAGTGAGCACCCACTGCGAGTCCGCACACACTGCAGCGCCCCCGGGCACGCCCCGCAGTCCGCCCAGCGTCCCCCGGGGCGGGGCACAGCCAGAGGACGGCCCGAGAGCCCTGCTGTCCCCGTCAGCGCCGCAGGAGGGCGCGACTTCCCCGCTGGGCCGAGGCCTTTGCCGGGCCCTCTACTGTACGCCGGTCCTAGGGCTGGGACCGCCGTCCTGGACCGACCTCAGCCCACTGTTCTGCGGAGGCCGCGTGTTGGGCGACAGCAGCCACCCAGCCCGGAAGCAGCCGTTCCGAGCGCAGGGGCGCCAAGAGCCCCGCGCCCCGCCTGTGCGCCGGCCCTGAGACTTGGAACGATGGTGCAGGCAGGAGGGGTCACCGGTAGGGATGCCACTGGAGGGACTGGGCCGTCCACACGGACCAGCTGACACACTAAGTGCTGGGTACACAGCAGGACAATGGCAAGGGCTGCTCAGACTGCGTTTTTAAAATCGCCTCACCACGAAAGACAGAAAGTAGGGAAGGGTACCTTGCTGTGGCCAAGGCCGCCCTCGCTGAGTCAGCTGGCATTCCCACGACTCCACGAGTCCCCAAAGGGCTTGTCAGAGCCCAGCGGCACCCTCGCCCTGGAAGTGCCCTGCGTCCTCCTCAAGAGCCTTATTTGGGACAGAGATCAGATCAACCGCGCCACCACCCTCCCACCCACCTTCCACATGTGATAGGGTCGCAGGAATGGGGAGCCTCGCAGAGGCGCGGCGGCAGCTCTCGCCTGCCAGTGACAGCCCACCTCCCACTTTAAAACAGGACGTTCCGAGTCCTGGTTCCACATGTTCAAAAGGCCGTGGCATGGGGGAGTGGGCCTACACCTGAGCTTTGGCTGCGAAAACACTCATTTCAAGGATAGCTGCTAGGCGCTGCCTTCCCCCATCCCCCTGCTGTTGGCCCCCATCCAAGCATCTCCAGCCTCTGCCAGGCCCTGCCCCCTTCCCCGCCCTCTATGGCCCTGAAGTGGGAGCCGGCTCAGGGCTGCAGGCTGCCTGCTCAGCGCCGGCACTCGCAGGCCCATCCCTGCTGTGAGCAAACAGACCAGTAGCATCCCTGAGACAGAGATGGACACCACTCCTGGGTAGGAGGGCAGGCTATGGACATCCGTTGCTGGAAAAGCTGGGAAGAGGGCTGGCAGTGGAGACGCTTCAGGTGCACCGTGTGGACAGACAAGGTTGCAAGTGATGCTGGTCCTCAAGGTATCAGGTGTGAGTCATCCCAAAAGGACCCTGCCTAAGAGGGTGGCCTGTCAAGAGGAGCCTTCTGGGGGCACAGCAGGGCCAGGAGTTGAGACATAGGAGGTTGCCCAGAAAGTGTGGGATGCAGCTTAGGCAAAGTGCAGAGGGTGAGCCCCATATCTCCCAAAAGAAGACCACAGATGCCCTAGCCTCTCTCCCCCACGCCCTGTCAGGGCCACCATGAGGGATGACCCTCTGTAGCCACAGGGTTGAAACTGCTGAAAATCAAACACAAGTCCTCACCATGTGACTGGCTGAATTACAGCAAAAGCTGAACTCCCAGCCTCCCAGGATGTCTACTATTAAAGTGAGGGTATTGATTGGGAGAGGATGACAACCTGTAAATTGGGATGGGGGTGTATGGGAATATCCTGATGAAACTGGGAGACATTGAGCTCCTAAATTCTGATGAATTCTCTTTGCCCACGGGAGTTGTCTTCCCATCCACAGCAAAACTAGCCTCCCCATCCCCAGGGGAAGCAGCCTTCACACCCTTCGTGGTGTTGGCCTTGGCCTGAGGAGATTAACCCTGCATTGCTGGAGGAAATGATAAAGACCTCCCCTGAGGCAGTTGTCATGCAAGACAATGCTGAGTTTCCTTAGGACCCACCTGTCTTTACTAGACCTATAACTAGACTCAAGGCCCAGCAGGCCCCCAAAGGTGAGGACATAGCAGGACCCAGGAGGAGGTGTGCCACAATCCAAAAGAACTACTTGAGTTTTCTAATTCATACAGGCAGAAATCCAGTAAATGTGTGGAAATGGATCTTAAGGATCCATTAAACATGCAGGATAATGGTGGAAAGACCATAAAGTCGGATCAGGCCAAATGTATTGATGTGGGCCCACTAAGCAGAGATTCTGCACTGAATGCTGCAGCCCTGGGCGTGTAAAAAAGACCTAATAGTTTAGTTGGTTAGGGGAAACAGATTAAAAGGCGGCCTACAATGAGCAAGTTGGAGGTGCCAGATATCCCTTGTTTTAATGTAGAGGAAGGGAATTGAAGAGATTGGAATTAGAGTAGATTTGCCATTTTAGACATACTTACCCACACTAGTCCAGACACACCTTTCACCAATATTGTAAGAAATGGGTTTGTGAGGGGAGCCCCAGCATCCTTCAAGAGCTGTTTCATTGCTTTTCTCTCTGGGCAGACCTTACAGTGGGAACCACAGTCACTCAATTGGAAAATTAAATGCAATGACAGCAACTGATCTCAGGGTGGGAGGAGCCAAGAGGGGAACTCAACCACCTAAGACAAGGTGGGTGTGACTACCATAATGGACAGAAGAGACAAAGTAACAATCAGAATAGTCTGACTTGTGTGAATATGTGATGTTGGATAGTTGATTATGGCGTTCCTAGAAGTGAAATAGATAGGAAGCTTGTACTGAAGTCAACATTAAAAGGTAGAGACAAATCTCTAAATATAACATTTTATTTGGGATATAAGAATTGCAATTTGGGTCATACACACAGACCAGGTGTTTTTCAGTATGTCCAAAGAACAAAGAGCAGGTTGGGGATTTTATAGAATAGAGGAATGTTGCTCGTGGTCTTGAGAGAAAGTTTATTTGTATTAGTAAAGCTTTGGGACTAGCAAGCTGATTGGTGAACGATAGCAGTGGACACAATGAGCCCTACATTGGCGGCAAGATATTCCACAAGCTATAGACAAAACTGGTCTCAGGTTACAATAGACAGTTTTGGCTGCTGGACTTGCAGAAAATTGCATTTCTGAAGCGATGTTATAAATCCTGAGTGTTTTTCCCTCCTTGGCCCTCAACTCAGATTTAATTGGGTGTGACAAGAATCACACATTTATGATCAACTTTCATACCTATTAAATTCTTAATCTGTATAAGCAGAAAACTTCCAGGTCGAGTTAACAAAAATCTTACTTGAATCATGAAAATAGAACATCATGGTCCATGCAGGGGAAGCACAGTCCCCTCCAGAAAGGATCCTGTATGCTATCAAAAACCTCTACTGTTAATCTTTCTCTCAGCCTTCCCTAGAGAGACCTTTGACCTTTTACCAGGGTCATTGTGTACTAGGAAAAAGAAAATAATCAGACCTCTCAGGCACTCTGGGACACTGGCTCTGAACTGACATTCATTCCAGAAGACCAGAAGCATCCCTGTGGCCCTCCAGGGGCTTACGGAGGTCAGGTGGTCAAGGGAGTTTTAGCTCAGGTCCATCTCACAGTGGGCCCATTGGGTCCCCAGGCTCAGTCTATGCGGTTATTTCCTAAGTTCCAGAATGCATAATTGGAACATACTGTCATGTGTCACTCACCGAACGGTGGGGATACAGTCTGAGAAGTGCATCATTAGGTAATTTAGTCTTTGTACAAGCATCATAGAGCATACTTACACAAATCTAGATGGTATAGCCTCCTCCATACTAGGCTATATAGGATAGCCTATTGCTCCTAGGCTATAAACCTATATAGCAGGTTACTGTACTAAATACTGTAGGCAACTGTAGCACAATGGTATTTGTGTATCTAAACATAGAAAAGGTACAGCAGGCCGGGCGCGGTGGCTCGTGCCTGTAATCCCAGCACTTTGAGAGGCCGAGGCAGGTGGATCACCTGAGATCAGGAGTTCGAGACCAGTCTGGCCAATATGGTGAAATCCTATCTCTACTAAAAATACAAAAATTATCTGGGCGTGGTGGGTGGTGGGTGCCCGTAGTCCCAGCTACTCAGAAGACTGAAGCAGGGGAATCACTTGAACCCAGGAGGTAGAGTTTGCAGTGAGCCAAGATTGCGCCACTGCACTCCAGCCTGGGCGACAGAGTGAGACCCCATCTCAAAAAAAAAGGAAAGAAAAAAGAAAAGGTAGAGCAAAAGTATGGTATTATAATCTTATGGGACCACCATCATATATGCTATCCACCATTGAGCGAAATGTTATGTGATACGTGGCTGTACTTAGTAGCTAGCAGAGTACCATGTTGGTTCCCTGAGGACTCTTCTGATAGGCAAATCCAAATGAAAGCCACTGAAGCTGCCTTTGCCTAAGAAAACCAAAAGCATTGCTGCATTCTAGAGAGACTGCAGAGATTCGGAGATTAGCACCAGCATCAAGGACTTAAAAGATACAGGAGTGGTGATTCCCACCACATCCCCATTCAACCCTCCTATCTGGCCTGTGCTAAAGAGAGATAGATCTCAGACAATGACAGTGGCTTCTTGTAAGCTTAACCAAGTGGTGACTCCTATTGCAATTGTTGTACCAGCTGTGGTTTCACTGCTTCAGCAAATTAACACAGTAAGCAGCTATTGATCTGACAAATGCCTTTTTCTCCATGTCTTTCTGTAAGGTTCACCAGAAGCAGTTTGCTTTCAGCTGGCAAGGCCAGCACTACCCCTCCACTGTCCTACCTCAGAAGTATGTCAACTCTACAACCCTATGTTATAAATTAGATTGCAGGGATCTCAATTTCTTTTCCCTCCTGCAAGATAGCACACTGGTCTATCATGACACTGATGACCTAGTGCTGACTGGACCATAAGTGAGAAATAGCAACTACTCTTAACTTACTGGTGAGATATTTGTGTGTCAGAGGCTGAGAGAGAACTCTAACTGAAATTCAGGGATCTTCTACCTCAGTGAAATTTCTGGGGGTCCAGAAAATGTTGAAAATATCCTTTTTCTCTTTTTTAAAACTATCTGGAGATATGAAATATCCTTTCTAAGGTGAAGAAAGAATACATGATTGCATGTGGCCCCTCTTACAAACTAGAAAAAGACACAATTACTAGCGGGCCTACTTGGATTTTGGAGGCAACATATTCCTCATTTGGGTGTGTTACTACAGCCCATTTATTGAGTGACCTGAAAAGCGGCTAGTTCTGAGTGGGGCCCAGAACAGGAGAAGGCGCTGCAACAGGTCCAAGCTGCTGTGCAGGCTGCTTTGCCACTTGAGCCATGTGACCCAGCAGATCTAGTGGTGCTCAAGGTGGCAGTGGCAGACAGGGATGCTATTTGGAGCCCCCATAGGTGACCCAAAGTGCAAGCTCTTAGAATTTTAAAGCAAAATCCTGCCATCCTCTGTGGATCTTTTTGAGAGACAGCTCTTGGCCTGCTACCGGGCCTTAGCAGACACTAAACACTTAATCATGGGTAAACCAGTCACCATGTGAGCTGAGATGCCCGTTATGAACTGGGTGTTATGTGATCCAACAAGCCATACAGTTGAGCAGGCATAGCAACACTCCATTATCAAGTGGAAGTGGTCTATACATGACTGGGCCTGAGCAGGCTCTGAAGACACAAGCAAGTTACATGAAAAAGTGGCTGAAGTGCACATGGTCCCCCTGCCTGCTGCACTGCCTTTTCTCTCTCAGTCTTCACCTATGGCCTCATGGACGTTCACATGCAAAATAATGAAATCAGGCCCTCTCCTTACACTAGATACAAAAATAACCCAAAATGGATTAAATACCTAAATGCAAAGTATTTACTTTAAGGCTGGGTGCAGTGGCTCACGCCTGTAATCACAGCACTTTGGGAGGCCAAGGTGGGCAGATTACCTGAGGTCAGGAGTTCAAGACCAGCCTGGTCAATATGGTAATACCCCATCTCTACTAAAGATACAAAAATTAGCTGGGCATGGTGGCACAAGCCTGTAGTTCCAGCTACTCAGGAAGCTGAGGCAGAAGAATCACTTGAACCCGGGAGGCAGAGATTGCAGTGAGCCAAGATCGTGCCATTGCATTCCAGCCTGGGCAACAGAGAGAGACTCTCTCTCAAAAAAAAAAAAAAAAAGTATTTACCTTAGAACTATAAAACTCCTAGAAGAAAATATAGGGAAAAATCTTTATGACATTGGATTTGGCAATGATTTCTTAGATATGATACCAAAAGCCCAGGCAACAAAAGAAACAGATAATAAATCAATTGAACTTTATCAAAATTAAAAACTTTTATGGCTGGGCACGGTGGTTCACGCCTGTAATCCCAGCACTTTGGGAGGCCGAGGTGGGTGGATCATGAGGTCAAGAGATCAAGACCATCCTGGCTAACACAGTGAAACCCCGTCTCTACTAACAATACAAAAAATTAGCTGGGCATGGTGGCGGGCACCTGTAGTCCCAGCTGCTCGGGAGGCTGAGGCAGGAGAATGGCGTGAACCTCCGGGAGGCGGAGCTTGCAGTGAGCCGAGATTGCGCCACTGCACTCCAGCCTGGGTGACAGAGAGAGAGCAAGACTCCGTCTCAAAAAAAAAAAAAAAAAAAAACAACTTTTATGTATCAAAGTACACTATCAATAGGATAAAAAGGTAACTCATAGAATAGGAGAAAATATTTGCAAATCATATATCTGATAAGGGGTTATTATCCAGAATATATATTTTTAAAACTCCTACATTTCAACAATAAAAAAAAAGGTCAAGCCAGCTCAAAAATGGACAAAGGAGGCCAGGTGCGGTGGCTCACGCCTGTAATCCTAGCACTTTGGGAGGCTGAGGGGGTCGGATCACCTGGGCTCAGGAGTTCAAGACCAGCTTGGCCAACATGGTGAAACCCCATCTCTACTAAAAATACAAAAATTAGCTGGGCGTGGTGGCAGGTGCCTGTAGTCCCAGCAACTTGGGAGGCTGAGGCAGGAAAATTGCTTGAACCCGGGAGGCAGAGGTTGCAGTGAGCCAAGATTGTACCACTGTACTCTAGTCTGGGCGACAGAGCAAGACTCTGTCTCAAGAAGAAAAATGGACAAAGGACTGGAATAGACATTTCTCTAAAAATATATGCAAATGACATATAAGCATATGAAAAGATGCTCAACATCACTTACAGAAATACAAATCAAAATCACAATGAGATACCATTTCACACCCATTAGGATAGTTACTATCAAAATTGTGTAGCCACTATGGGAAATAGCATGGAGGGTTCCTCAAAAAAGTAAAAGTAGAATTACCATATGATCCAGCAAACTCACTTCTGGGTATACATCCAAAAGAACTGAAAACAAGATCTCAAAGCGATATCTACACACCCACGTTCATTGCAATGCTATTCACAATACCCAGGGGGTGGAGGCAACTCAGTGTTTTTCAACAGATAAATGGATAAAGTAGACAGAGAGAGAGAGACAGATGGAGAGAGTGTGTGTGTGTGTGTGTGTGTGTTATTCAGTTTTGTTGTTGTTGTTGTTTTGTTTTTTGTTTTTTTAAGATGGAGTCTCGCTCTGTCGCCCAGGCCTGGAGTGCAGTGGTGCCATCTCAGCTTACTGCAACCTCCGCCTCCCGGGTTCAAGCAATTCTCCTGCCTCAGCCTCCCGAGTAGTTGGGATTACAGGCACATGCCACCACGCCCAGCTAATTTTTGCATTTTTAGTAGAGATGGAGTTTCACCATGTTGGCCAGGCTGGTCTGGAACTCCTGAACTAGGTAGGTGGATCACCTACCTAGGCCTCCCAAAGTGCTGGGATTACAGACGTGAGCGCCACTGTGCCCAGTCATATTATTCAGTTTTTAAAAAGAAGGATGTCACACACTACAGCATGGGTAAACCTTGAGGACAGTAGGCTACTTGAAACAAGCCAATCATGAAATGACAAATACAGTATGATTTCATTCATATGAAGTCCCTACAGTCACCAAATTCATAGAGACAAAAAGAATGATGATAACCAAGGGACACGGGGAGGAGAAAGGGGAGTTGTTCAATGGGTACAGAGTTTCAATTTTGCAAGATGAAAATGTTCTGGAGATGTTCTACAACAGTGTGGATACAGTTACCACTACTGAACTGCACACCTAAAAATAGTTCAGATGATAAACTTTATGTTAAGAATTTTTTTACCTTAATTTAAAATTTTTAAAAGACCACATATTGAATTATTCCACTTATATGAAATGTCCAGAATTGGGCAAATCCATGAAGACAGAAAGTGGATTGGTGATTTCCTAGGGCTGGGGAAAAGGGGAAGTTTGGGGTGATTCCTAATGAGCATGAAGGTTTTTGGGAGGAGATTAAAATATTCTAAAATTGGATTATGGTGATGGTTGTATAAGCCTGAATAGATTAGAAACCATCGACGTACACAATGTTTTAAAAGGTGAATTGTGTGGTATGTTAATTAAGTCTCTATGAAACCCCTTAATAAGGGGTAGGATGTGGGCAGTGAGCCCAGGAAATGGAAGCCAGAGGAAGCAGAGGGGTGCCGGCAGCCACAGCCAGGCAGGTGCCAGAGAGAGCTTGGAGTTGATTAGCAGGGACATGGACACATCTTGCTTTTTCTGTGTGGTATAACCTACTGTTCTGCTTCCTCACCAACACTTCAGTGAAGTCCACATTGCTTGCAAATGCTTTGAGTTGCTACTGTGCTTGCGTTTCAGATGGACCCCTACTGAGTCTGATCCCACTGAGACCCTGTGACCTTCTGGGTCTCCATGCCTCCTGCTGGGTCTGGCACTTGCAGGCGCTCGGCAATGTTACTCCATTGGAAGCGTGAATAAATGAGTGAACAAACAAAGAAAAAGACAGATTGCCATTTCTTTTTTTTTTTTTTTTTTTTTTTGAGATGGAGTCTCGCTCTGTCTCTCAGGCTGGAGTGCAGTGGCGCGATCTCGGCTCACTGCAAGCTCCGCCTCCCGGGTTCACGCCATCCTCCTGCCTCAGCCTCCCGAGTAGCTGGGACTACAGGCGCCCACCACCACGCCCAGCTAATTTTTTGTATTTTTAGTAGAGATGGGGTTTCACCATGTTAGCCAGGATGGTCTCGATCTCCTGACCTCGTGATCCACCCACCTCGGCCTCCCAAAGTGCTGGGATTACAGGCGTGAGCCACTGTGCCCGGCCCAGATTACCATTTCTTAACTTTTCCCATTTCTCCTCCAGAGTCTGCCTGGAGGCTGAGGTCACCTTTCCCAGGGGCTTGGCACTCCAGTGAGAAGGGAATACCTGGCCATCAAGCACCCACCTGTGCTAGACATCTTGCTAGCTGCTTTACCTATTTTTTCATTTAATACTCACAACAATAAATTATGCAAGATGGTCACTCTTATCACCTCATGTACAAATTGAGAGAGTTTAAGTGACTTGCCTAGAGCCACATAGCAAGGAAGTGGCTATCCATGAACAACTGAGACCACTCTGCTCCAGAGCTTTCCACCCCACTCCAGTGTGACCTCAAGCCCCTCAAACCTTCACGTATAAGTCTCTAACAGTGGAAGTTTAGGCCCTGGTGGGGATGAGAGTGTATGAGACAATACCTCTCTCTGCCTGGAAACCCATCTCATCTTGTGTTCCATCGTGAAGACTAGGGAAGTGCTGGGAGCATTCTTCCAGTGCTAAAGTGGGTGGAAGAAAGGGCTGCCTTCTCTGCTGAGGACAGGTCTAGTCAGGATCTCAGAGGAGCCAAGAGGACACTCCCAGACACAATCACCCTCAGCCTGCACTGGCTGGCAGCCAGGAGAGGCTATGGCTGACTGCACCAAGGCTGGCCTCACCCAGGCAGGCCTAGCCAGGAGGGAGGGTCCCTGCAAGCACCCACAGCCTGGCCCTGGGAGGAACTGGGCTCTCTTGGTTGGGGCACAGGGAATCCACTCCCCTATAGCTCCCAGAATTATCCCCATTTCTAGACAAGCCCCGCCCCCCAACTGACACACACGTGAGACCCTGCTGAAAGCATGCACTGCCACACCCATATTTTATGTAACACACTCGTCACATGTGCAGCGCATATGCGGCCACTGTCTTACGCATGGACCGAGAGCTGCATTTAAAACTCAACTCAAACTATTGCAAGAAAAGTAAGGCTTTGGTGGAAACTGAATGTGATGGTGCCTGACAGACAGCCCCAGTTTGCACTAGCCCCCACCTGCAAAAGAACTGGGCTGGGCTCTGGGTTGGGAAAGAGGAGTAAAGCAGAAGAGAGCCAGGAGGAGGTGGCAGGAGGCACACGCTTCCCCCACGTCGCACTTGGGAGAGGAGTGCTCTGGCGCCTCTGGGAAGAAACTCCTCGGTGCTCCCCAGGGAAGCCTCCCCTGGGTCGAGAGTGCCCTGGGGAGGAGGATGGGCCTCCCCAGGGTGTTCTCTGCCTGTTCCCCGCTCTCCCAGCACATTCCCAAGATCCACACACCCACCTCTCTTCTCTGCACCCTGAGGATGCACTGATAGCCACAGCGAGCCTGTTTCTAGTGGGAACAGAGAGCTGAAGGTGGAAAAGAAAGAGAAGCATAACCCAGCCTTCCCCGCAGTGTTCCGAAAGGTTCTGGAGCAGGTTTTCTTCCTGGTGTCCTGGCTCACAGACTTGTTTTGTCTTGTTTTCCCCATGGGTTTATCCTGGCAGCCTCTGCTGGTCTTGAACTTGTCCCCGATCCCTGCTGCCTCCTGGCTGCTGGCCAGCCCTTCTGCGGTTCGTAGCCCACCACAAACTCAGTTCAGAACCACTCTGCCTCTGCAGATCACTCCTGGATAAGACATTGGCACTTCCTCAAAATGCTAAACACAGATACCATATGGCCAGCAATCCTACTCTGGGTATATCCAAGAAAAATGAAAATATGTCCATGCAAAACCCGGTACACAAATGCTCATAACAGTATTAGTCATAATAGCCAAAAGGTGGAAACAGCCCAAATGTCCATCAAGTGATGAATGGATAAACAAAATGCGGTATGTCCAAACAATGGAATATTATTCAGCAATTAAAACAAATCAAGTCCTGACACATACTTCTCACTGGAGGCAAAGTCTAAAGGCCTTGCAATGCCTACAGTTCCTTGCGTGATCTCTTACAAGCACTTGTCTGCGTCTCAGGCCCAGGCCCCTGGCTTACTCCCTTGTAGCCAAACTGGACATGGCAGGCAATTGCGACACCAGGTTTCTCACGCTGGCTATCCCTCTTCCTGGAATGTTCTTCCCCTAGGACCTTTATGACTCACTCTCTCACCTACTACTTGCCGAAAAATAAAGCTGACCTTCCCTTCCCTCCTATGTAGGGAGGTGCTCTCCAGCTAGCAAAAAATACAGACAGCAAGCAATGTCTTCAGAGCACAAATTTGTAATGTCAGAAATTGAAAAATACAACTAGAGTAAATCAGTCCCCTAGTGTACTGAGTCCCCGTGTACCTCACCAAATTTATTTTTGTAAATCTACAAACCTTTTCTATGCATCTAAAGAGAATATATTTTAAATACATGACAGCAGCTACCCTTGAGCTGAGGGAATAGGGATGGGTATTCAGGATAAAAGGGAAAGTAATACATAAAATAATTTAAAATAAAATAATTCATAATAATTTGTTGTTGTTGTTGTTGTTTGAGACGGAGTCTCGCTCTGTGGCCAGTCTGGAGTGCAATGGCGCTATCTCGGCTCACTGCAACCTCCGCCTCCCAGATTCAAGCAATTCTCCTGCCTCAGCCTCCCGAGTAGCTGGGACTACAGGCATGCACCACCACATCCAGCTAATTTTTTTTTTTTTTTTGAGACGGAGTTTTGCTCTTGTTGCCCAGGCTGGAGTGCAATGGTGCAATCTTGGCTCACTGCAACCTCTGCATCCTAGGTTCAAGTGATTCTCCTGCCTCAGCCTCCTAAGTTCATGGGATTACAAGCACCCGCCAACACGCCCAGCTAATTTGTATGTGTGTGTGTGTTTATTTTTAGTAGAGACGGGGTTTCACCATGTTGGCCAGGCTAGTCTTGAACTCCTGACCTCACGTGATCCACCTGCCTTGGCCTCTCAGAGTGCTGGGATTACAGGCGTGAGCCACTGCATCCGGCCAATTTTTGTATTTTTTTAGTAGAGACGGGGTTTCACCATGTTAGCCAGGATGGTCTCGATCTCTTTACCTCATGATCTGCCCGCCTCGGCCTCCCAAAATGCTGGGATTACAGGAGTGAGCCACCGTGCCTTGCCAATTCATAATAATTTAAATTAAATGGAGAAAAAAATAAGAGAGGGTTCTCGTCACATTGATGGTAGTAGTCTGTGCCCCTGAACTGAGAAGTGTGAATAATTCAACTCCCTGCATCCCAAGTGCCCCGCCTCCGCCCCCCGCCAATAAAAAGATGAACAAGGAACAGGAAAGACACTGCTGAACATCAAATTACTCCTAAAGGAAGGATTTAAGATACAGATGAAAACGACGGAAAAAAATCTTTCCAAACTAATCTATGCTCTCATTACAGCATCCATAGTTACCAAGCTATAATGAGTGCCTAGGACATACATTCACTTGGAGTGGCAGGAGTTAAGGAGAGAGAAAATGGGCCTGGCCTCTCCAGGTCTGGATCACTGCGCCGCCAGGAGCTCCCCACCTTTGTCCCCCGCTGTTGCCACACGGGAGCCCCCGAGGCAGTGCTCTGCCAGGTGAGAGGACAGACAGAGAATGTGTGAGAAGGGGTGAGAGGGGAGTAAGAAGGGCAGCCTGGGGTTTCACTATGTCGGCCAGGCTTGACAGCAGAGAAGGTAGCCCTTTCTTCCACCCACTTCTCTCCTGTTAATAGTCGCCATTCTGACTGGCATGAGATGGTATCTCATTGTGGTTTTGATTTGCATTTCTCTAATGATCAGTGATGTTGAGCCTTTTTTCATGCTGGCCAAATGAATGTCTTCTTTTGAGAAGTGTCTGTTTATGTTGTTTGCCCACTTTCTAATGGGGTTGTTTTTTTTCTTGTAAATTTGTTTAAGTTCCTTGTAGATTCTGGATATTAGACCTTTGCCAGATGGATAGATTGCAAAAAATTTCTCCCATTCTGTAGGATGTCTGTTCACTCTGATGATAGTTTCTTTTGCTGTGCAGAAGCTGTTTAGTTTAATTAGACCCCATTTGTCAATTTTTGCTTTTGTTGTAATTGCTTTTGACGTTTTCATCGTGAAATTTTTGCCTGTGCCTATGTCCTGAATGGTACTGCCTAGATTTTCTTCTAGGGTTTTTATAGTTTTGGCTTTTACATTTAAGTCTTTAATCCATCTTGAGTTAATTTTTGTATAAGGTGTAAAGAAGGGGTCCAGTTTCAATCTCCTACATATAGCTAGCCAGTTCTCCCAGCACCATTTATTAAATAGGGAATCCATTCCCTGTTGCTTGTTTTTGTCAGGTATGTCAAAGATCAGATGGTTGTAGATATGTGATCTTATTTCTGAGTTCTCTATTCTGTTCCATTGGTGTATGTGTCTGTTTTTGTACCGGTACCATGCTGTTTTGGTTACTGTAGCCTTGTAGTTCATGGCACAGCCTGGGAGTTCATTCATGATTTGGCTCTCTGTTGGTCTCTTACTGGTGTATAGGAATGCTTGTGACTTTTGCACATTGATTTTGTATCCTGAGACTTTGCTGAAGTTGCTTATAAGCTTAAGAAGCTTTGGGGCTGAGAGGATGGGGTTTTCTAGAGATAGGATCATGTCACCTGCAAACAGAGACAGTTTGACTTCCTCTCTTTCCTATTTGAATACCATTTATTTCTTTCTCTTGCTTGATTGCCCTGGCCAGAACTTCCAATACCATGTTGAATAGGACTGGTGAGAGAGGGCAGCCTTGTCTTGTGCTGGTTTCAAGGGGAATGCTTCCAGCTTTTGCCCATTCAGTATGCTATTGGCTGTGGGTTTGCCATAAATGGCTCTCATTATTTTGAGGTATGTTCTTTCAATACCTAGTTTATTGAGAATTTTTAACATGAAGGGATGTTGAATTTTATCAAAGGCCTTTTCTGTGTCTATTGAGATAATCATGTGGGTTTTGTCTTTAGTTCTGTTTACGTGCTGAATTACATTTATTGATTTGCATATGTTGAACCAGCCTTACATCCTGGGGATGAAGCCGATTTGATCATGGTGGATAAGCTTTTTTTTGCTTGTTTGTTTTGTTTTGTTATTATACTTTAATTTCTGGGATACATGTGCACAATGTGCAGGTTTGTTACATATGTATACATGTGCCATGTTGGTTTGCTGCACCCATCAACTCATCATTTACATTAGGTATTTCTCCTAATGCTATCCGTCCCCCAGCCCCCCAGGCCCCAACAGGCCCTGGTGTGTGATGTCCCCCGCCCTGTGTCCCAGTGTTCTCATTGTTCACTTCCCACCTATGAGTGAGAACATGCGGTGTTTGGTTTTCTGTCCTTGAGATAGTTTGCTTAGAATGATGGTTTCTAGCTTCATCCAGGTCCCTGCAAAGGACCTGAACTCATCCTTTTTTATGGCTGCATAGTATTCCATGGTGTATATGTGCCACATTTTCTTAATCCAGTCTATCACTGATAAGCTTTTTTTTTTGAACGGAGTCTTATTCTGTCACCCAGGCTGGAGTGCAATGGCGCCATCTCGGCTCACTGCAAACAAATTCTGCCTGCCAGGCTCAAGTGATTCTCCTGCCTCAGCCTCCCGAGTAGCAAGTAGCAGTGATTACAGGCATGTGCCACCACTCCCAGCTAATTTTTGTATTTTTAGTAGAGACAGGTTTCACCATGTTGGCCAGGTTGGTCTCGAACTCCTGACTTCAGGTGATCCACCTGCCTCAGCCTCCCAAAGTCCTCAGATTATAGGCATGAGCCACCACACCCAGCTGGGTAAGCTTTTTGCTGTGCCGCTGGATTTGGTTTGCCAGTATTTTATTGAGGATTTTTGCATCAGTGTTCATCAGAGAGTAATTGGCCTGAAGTTTTATTTTTTTGTTGTAGCTGTACCCAGGCTTTTCTTTTCTCTCTTTCTTTTTTTTTTTTTTTTAAGGAGACAGGGTCTCACTCTGTCACCCAGGCTGGAGTGCAGTGGTGTGAGATTACAGGCCCGGTCTTTTTTTAAATTATTTTTAGTAGACACGGGGTGTTGCTATGTCACCCAGGCTGGTCTCAAATGCCTGGGCTGAAGCGATCCTCCCACTCTGGCCTCCCAAAATGCTGGGATTGCAGGCATGAGCCACTGTGTCCCACTGCTTATTTCTTGGTAAAAGGGAAGCATTGGCCGGGCACAGTGGCTCACGCCTGTAATCCCAGCACTTCAGGAGGCCGAGGCGGGCGGATCACGAGGTCAGAAGATCGAGACCATCCTGGCTAACACCATAAAACCCCATCTCTACTAAAAATACAAAAAAAAAAAATTAGCCGGGCGTTGTGGCGGGCGCCTGTAGTCCCAGCTACTCAGGAGGCTGAGGCAGGAGAATGGCATGAACCTGGGAGGCAGAGTTTGCAGTGAGCGGAGATCGCACCGCCGCACTCCAGCCTGGGTGATAGAGCGAGACCCCAGCTCAAAAAAAAAAAAAAAAAGGGAAGCATTAACTTCTCCAAGACTGGTTCCCTGAAGGCTGATCTCCCTGGAAGGCTGGACCAGAGCTCAGTCATCTGGCCATACACCATGCTAAGACCCCCGACTCTGATCACATTAGGGGAGAGCCTGGCACCCTACGTCATGACCTTAGTGGACAAGAGGACTGCACATCAGGCTCTGCCATGTTTCGCTGCACTTGTAGCATGTTTTTGATGTTATGTTTCTAGCTCAGGATCATGCCAGGGAAGAGGTTGGGGCATCTTCAATCCTGAAGCTTGAGGGCTAGAGTCGGACATCTGCTAGAGCTGTGAGTGACACCCTGAAATGCACGGGTCAGCGAGGCTCACATGACTGTTTCTGGAGGCCAGTGTCTTTCCCAGGAGCGCTGATCCGGCAGGCCCACTGTGGGTGTGGTCAGCCAAATGTCACTCAGCAAACAAGTTTGCAGATCAGTTTGTGTATCCTTCAGTGGATCACCCTTCCCTCCACTCTTTCTCCCACAGTGAGCCTGGCTGCAGTCTCACCTTTCATACCCCAAACCCTGCAGGAATCAAAGTGCCACCTTCTGCCTGGGCCTCCAGTAAGGCTGAGATGTTAGCCCAGCTCACTAGATTCCAGTCCTGCTTCTTTGCTGATCTCAGAGACATTTTCCTAACTTTTGAGGCTGGCCATGATTTTCTGATTTTGTCCTTTTAATATTTTGTGAAGCATTTCTCTGTGTTTGGCACAGAGGTGATTGCCGAGGCTGAGCTCCCTGCACTGTGCACTCCTGAGCACATCCTGCTTTGCTGGGCCTGGCCCCTGGACAGAGGGGCTGGTCCCACCTGGCCTGCGGGGCCCAGGGCAGCCCCAGTGCTCACTCCTATGTTTGGCTCACTTGTTTTTTGTTGCTCTTTGTTTCTGGCCTCTTGGACGGTGTTCCTTATGGCCTTGCGCTTCCAGGAGTGCATTTGAAAGCATGTTTGTGAATTTAATCCAGCATTTCTTTCCTTTTTTTTTTTTTTTTTTTTGACAGAGTTTCGCTCTTGTTGCCCAGGCTGGAGTGCAATGGTGTGACCTCGGCTTATAGCAACCTCGGCCTTCCGGGTTCAAGCCATTCTCCTGCCTCAGCCTCCAGAGTAACTGGGATTACAGGCATGCGCCACCATGCCTGGCTAATTTTGTATTTTTAGTAGAGACAGTTGGTCAGGCTGGTCTCAAACTCCTGACCTCAGGTGATCCGCCGGCCTTGGCCTCCCAAAGTGCTGGGATTACAGGCGTGAGCCACCGCGCCCAGCCTAATCCAGCATTTCTATGTGCTCTGTGGTGGAAAATGTTTCCAATTAAGTAGACCTGCCATATTGCTGGAATCGGAAGTCCCGGTTTTTGTTTGTAAGCCTAGAACGTGATTCTGGGAGAGAACAGCCCTGCCTGCAGCATGCCAGTCCCTGTGCCTGCTGAGTGAATGTCTGATTTGAGGACACAGGGTATATGTCACAGTGCTTGGGGCAAGAGAGCATGTGGGAGATGTTCTGGAAAGGCCTGCAGCTCGCGGTCAGGAAACCTAGGTCCAAGCACCTCCAGTCTCTGCTGACAGCTGAGTGCCCAGGTGTTGTCCCTGTGCTGTTCTGTCACCTGCAGCAGGTCCTAGGAGGTGTCCCTCCCGGTCCGTGCTTCACAGAGAAGGGAGTGAGACCAGATGTGAAGCGGGCCTTGGAGTCAACGGCCTGGTGACTTCTGGACTGGCCCTTAGGTCTCGATGTTGCAGCCTGGAGTCTTCCTCTGTCCCTGGGTGTGTTTTGAGCAGTAGAGGAGGGGGGACACGGGAGCACCTGTTGCAGAGTTGCTCTTACGGATGATCGTCATGGTATGAACAGCACAGGAACGAACAGCACTCTGGAGTCAGGAAGCGGCACTCCCTGGGGCCGGGGAGGCAGGAGGAAGCTCCGCACCTGAGTTGGGTGGTGTCCAGCGGGCTGGGGAGCCTATGCCCAGGGCCTGGTGTGTGGAGATGGGCTGAGCCTGCTGTGTGGGAGGTGGTGAGGGCTGGGGTCTGAGGCCATGGGGATGGGGGCAGTAAACCTTGGGGGAACAGAGCTCAGCAGCCAAGCATGCTTGTGAGTGACCCCAAATGTTCTGGTCAAGTTCAGTCCCCAGAATCTCAAAGAAGGTCCCTTTGCAGAGGAGGAGAAAGATTTGGGGTCCAGACACTTAGAGCTGTGTGTCCCAAGGATGGCTCTTTTCACTGGCAGACTGAGAAGGCAGGCCTGAAGTCTTGTCCAGGCCGACGTGGGCTCAGATGCTGGGGAGGCAAGCGCTTGGATCCACCTCTGTCCAGAGGAGCTTCTAGGCTGGTGTGGGGGGATCCAAGCACCCCATAGTGTCCAGCTGCCCTGGCAGAGAGCTGGCCAGGGGCAGTGGGCTCAGGGAAAGAGACAAAAGAAAGCTTAACATATTCCTAAGAATTGGAGTCATACAGGCCAGATCCTCCAATGGCAGTAGGATAAGTATGAACTCAACAATAAAACATCAGTCAAAAAACCTGTGTAGAGATTTTTAAAGATGCTAAAAATCCAAAGATAAGGAGGAAACATTTCAAAATGGAAATTTTGAAATTTTAAGAACTGAGAACAATGCAAGGATGACCTATCAAACTATGCGAAATTCAGGTAAACCTGTTCTTACAGGTAAATACAAACCCTAAATGCATTTGCTAAAAAGAGGATAAAAGGCCAGGTGTGGTGGTGCATGTCTGTAGTCCCAGCACTTTGGGAGGTCGAGGCAGCTGGATCTCTTGAGCCCAGGAGGAGTTCCTCACCAGCCTCGGCAACATGGCGAAACCCCATCTCTGAAAAAAAAAAAAAATTAGCCAGATATGGTGGCCCACACATGTAGTCTCAACTACTCAGGAGGCTGAGGTGGGAGGATCACTTGAGTCCAGGAAGTCGAGGCTGCAGTGAGCTGTGATCACACCAAAAAAAAAAAAAAAAAAAAAGATAAAAGAAATGTGTAATCAAAAACTCATGGGAGAACGAGAGAATACTATGATTAACATTAGCAGCAACAATTTTTTTTTTTTTTGAGATGGAGTCTTGCTCTGTTGCCCAGGCTGGAGTGCAGTGGTGCTATCTCAGCTCACTGCAAGCTCCGCCTCCCAGGTTCACTCCATTCTCCTGCCTCAGCCTCTCAAGTAGCTAGGACTGCAGGCGCCCGCCACCACGCCTGGCTAATTTTTTTGTGTTTTTAGTAAAGACGGGGTTTCACTGTGTTAGCCAAGATGGTCTCAATCTCCTGACCTCGTGATCCGCCCGCCTCGGCCTCCCAAAGTGCTGGGGTTACAGGTGTGAGCCACCATGCCTGGCCTAGCAGCAACAATTTTATAAAGGTAGATGACATGGATCATTGTTTAGAAATATTAAAATTACCAAAATTGAGTCAAGAAGAAAGAGAAAACAAGCTGCAAACTGCGAGTACATATTTGCAATACAAAAAACTGGCAGTGAAGTTATCCATAATATATAATGGCTATAAATTAATCAGGAAAACAAACACTCCACTAGAACATTGTGCAAAAATGAAACTAGACTGGCTAAGAAACACAGTAAACATGATTAACCCACTAGTAACCCTGCAAATGCAAATTTAACAGAATGCCACGTAGCATCTGTCTGCAGGGCAAATATTAAAAAGCATTCCATTTGAACTGAGGTCTACAGCAATTGTGGAGCAACAGGGCCTCTCATTTGCCACTCCTGGGACTGGAATTGGTCACCATCACTTAGATGAGCAATTTGGTAACAACAGTAAATTTTAAAACATACATAAACATGATTAGTAATTTCACTAATAGATCTTTTTCCAGACTAAATCTCACATAGAAGGAAATAACAAATAAGCAATGTTTGTGGACCAAACAGTTAGAAACAGTGTAAATTTCTATCAGTGGGAGGAAAGATAAACCAAGTATGATATGTCACTGAAATAAAATGTTATAGGATAGCAAAAATTAAGTGAGCTAGAGCTATAATCATCCACCTGAATGAATCTCAAACACAAAATATTGAGTAAAAACCTAAGTGGCAGAATTATAATTAGAGAATGAAATTGTGTATATATTTTAAAACACCTACAAAACAACGCTATGCCTTTCTATGGACTAAGTATGTCCATAGGAATACACTTATGAATGCCTTACACCTCATACATGCATTTCCACTCAGCTCGGACAACCACCAAGTTGGGCAATTTTACTCCCAGCTCACAGAAGAGGAATGGAAATAACAGAGCAAAATTCAGAATGTGTTTACTTCTGCAGGGAAAAGAATGGGAGGGAGAGAAATAAGATTAGGAAGGGGTCCATGGTGGGCAGGGACTTAATTCATCTCTATTCATGTTTTCTTTCTTTCTCTCTTTCTCTCTTTCTTTCTTTCTTTCTTTCAGTGAAGTCTCACTCTGTCACCTGGGCTGGAGTGCAATGGTGCGACCTCAGCTCACTGCAACCTCCACCTCCTGGGTTCAAGCGATTCTCCTGTCTCAGCCTCCCAAGTAGTTGGGATTACAGGCACGCGCCACCACACCCGGCTAATTTTTGTACTTTTTTTTTAGTAGAGATGGAGTTTCACCATGTTGGCCAGGCTGGTCTCAAACTCCTGACCTCAGGTGATCCACCCACGTTGGCCTCCCAAAGTGCTGGGATTACAGGCATGAGCCACTGTGCCTGGACTTTCTTCCTTTCTTTTCTTTTCTTTTTTCCTTTTTTTTTTTTTTTTTTTTTTTGTGAGACAGAGTCTCACTCTGTCGCCCAGGCTGGAGTGCGGCGGTGTGTCCTCAGCTCACTGCAACCTCTGCCTCTCAGGCTCAAGTGAGTCTCATGCCTCAGCCTCCTGAGTACCTAGGACTACAGGCTCACACCTCCACGTCTGGCTAATTTTTTATATTTTAGCAGAGACGGGGTTTCACCATGTTGCCCAAGGTGGTCTCAAACTCCTGAGCTCAGGTGATCCACCAGCCTCGGTCCCCCAAAGTGCTGGGATTACAGGCGTGAGCCACCACGCTTGGCCCATGTTTTATTTCTTTAAAGAAAAACCTCTGAAGCAAAGAGGGCAAATGACACAAAGATTTGACAAAGCCAGGTGATGGGTAAGTGGGTGTTTGTTATATTAATAGCATTAATTATACTTTGCAGGCTGCTTGAAATAGTACAAATATATGGATAATTCCAGATACTGCTAAGAGCTGTGTAGAAAAATAGTGTGTTGTGATAGAGAAGGACAAAGACAATGGAGGTGGGGCTTAGACAGGGTGTCCAGGGAAGGCCCAGGCCATTTGAGTTGGGTCCTGAATGGCAAGAAGGAGACAGCCCTGCAGTGATTTGAGGGAAGATCATTCAGCAGAAGGAACAGCAGGTGCAAAGGCCCTGAGGCAGGAACCAACGTGGCTGTAGCACGGGAGGATGTGGAGAGGAGAGTGCATGGGGAAGGACGCATTTCCTCTGAGTCAGTCCTGTGCAGGGCCGACCCTGGTGAAGGTCTGAGTGCCTCATGCCGCCCAGAGCCCTTCTGGGACTGGGGTGTGTGCACAGCCCTATGATGTCTCCTGAGCTGGCAGCAGCTGCTGGGAGTGGAGTGCCCTGAGCCAAGGATCAGGGTTGAAGACAGTGGACCCCCACTCTAGTTCTAAGCCTGTTCCTGTGGAGACAGCACAGCTGGCTTTTGTTGGGGGCCATGAGAGGCCCTACTGGCCTTGGCCTTCCTGGGTGTTGGCCTGAAAATGAGGGGGAAGGGGTCCCGTCTGTGAGGGTTCCAGTGAGCGCAGCTCACGTCCCAGCTGAGAACTCTAGGAAAAGAGACACTATTGGGAAACCAGGGCAGTGCCGGGGAGGCTGCCGACCCCGGAGCCTTTCCTCCACCTCACCAGTGTGACCCACCCGCTGTCGGCCCAGGCCTGCTGCCCCGCCTGGCCCCCTTTTGAGCGCCCTCTGAGTGAACAGAGCTGCTGGGCGCCACCTCCCCCGTGCTTGCCTCCTCTAGGCCAGGTCTCCCCAGCTGTGCCGGGGCTGAGCAGAGTACAGATGGGAATCACGCAGACACAGACCTTGCCAGGATTTCAAGTGCCTGACCCCCTCTTCTGTAAGTGAGAGTAAACCTGCCCAACTTGGAGGCTGTCTGGGCTGAGTGGAAATGCACGTATGAGGGGGAAGGTTTTCGTGGGTCCTTAAGATGTGGTTGGCTGCTTCCCTCCTCCTAGACTCAGTCCTTGCCAACAGGGCCCTGGCCCGGCTCTTCTGTCTGCCTGCCCTCTGGTGGTCCTCACAATGCTTTCCACAGGCTGTAAACAAGTACTCGTGGACAGCATGCAGAGGGAGATGGAGAGAAATAACTCACGAGAGTGTACGACTGGCCCAGAAACAATGGGCGTCCACTGCATGCAAAATACGTGGAAGCCCTCATGGTTGGGTGACTGGGTCTCTGCCCACAAGGCCATAGGAGAGCTAAGGGTTAAGCACCAGCCAGAGCAAGGAGGCTGCCTGTGGCTCCACCTCCTTCCGCCACCCGAGCCCGCCAGCCCCAGGCCCAGCTGGGATAGCAGCTTCTCCCTACTCTGGCAGACACAGACCAGAGCTGGAGGGAGGGTGTGGGGGCCCATGAGCACAGAGCCAGGAGATCTGGGCACCCCTGACACCTGGCCAGCCGTAAGAGGCCAGGCCCACCCACTGTCCCAGGCTGGGGTTGGTCTTCAGCCTCCCAGTGGGTCACAGCAGTGTGGCATGGGAGTGGGCCTCCAGCTAGGGTGTTCTGACCATCTCCGTGTGCTGCTCCTGACAGAGGGCGGGTTCATGCCTAGCACCTCCGGCTGCTGTGAGCTGATGCCTGTAAGAGGCGTTCAGGCCCCACCTGCAGTGCTCAGTTGGGTAAAATGCTGAGGAAACCGAATCACAGCTAGACTAGGGGAGTGAAATCATCGTGTCCCTTTCCTCTGTGCACTCACAGAAACACGCACCCCACGCAGAAAATACAATGTTCCTCCTAGAGCTGCAGAATGAACAGGCTGTGCTGGGTAAAAGAAAACACCCCAGTTGGATGCCAACTTTCCTTAGCAGGAGAAGGAATGTGGCCTGGGGCCACCGCTGGTGATGACAAATTTGCTTCCAGAGCCCTCAGACAAAGCCCTTCCAGCGTGGGGCCCAGCATGAGTCCTCAGAAGCTGGGGAGGCACCTCCTCTGCGGCACGGGGAAGGCGCTCCCCAAGGAGGCATAGCGGGGCCGGGGTGGCTTCTTAAGGCAGACCTGCACCTGGGGCCCATGATTATATTTAGGTATATGTATCTCCATCCCAGCCCTTGGAGAGAGCCGCCGGAGCGATTTGGGGGTCCATCTGAGCGTGCAGTGGGTAGCACAGCGGCCGGGAACTAGGGAAGAGACTGTCGTATCAGATGAAATTGAGCGACAGTGCGGTCAGCACGGGTAGGGCTTTTTCTCCCAGCTCAACTGAGGTGTAATTCATCAATAAAAGTGTGTCATTTAAGATGTATGATGTGATTATTTGATCCACACATACACTGGGAAATAATGACCACAATCAAGACAATGAACATGTCCACCGCCTCACAGGCACCTTTTTTTTTGTGTTGAGAACATGTAAGATCTGTCCTCTTAGTCCATTTCAAGTAAACAGTAAATTGTCATTAGCTGGAGTCACCATGCTATACCTTACATCCCCAGAACTTACTCATCCTATGACTGCAAGTTTGTAGCTCTGACAAACATCTCCCCATGTCCCCCACCCCAGCCCCTAGAAACCACCGTTCTACTCTCTGCTACTATGAGATTGATTTTTAAGATTCTGCATGGAACTTGTACTTTAAATTCATTGTCTGTTTTAGCCCTCACAACAGCCCTATAAGGTAGGTATTGCTATTATTCCTATTTCACAGGTGAGGCAGCTGAAGCTCAGAGAGGTTAAGCAATTTACTCCAGATCATACAGCAAATATATGTCAGAGCTGGACTTTGATTTATGATATGATATGATATGATATGATATGGTATCATATGAAGAGTCCAAGCTCTTAAGATCACCAAGTGAAGTGAAACGACAATTAACAAATGGAGAGAAATGAAATGCCTGACTCTTGAGGGCCTCACACTGGACCAGGTAAAACAGACTCTTGCTTGTAAAAGAACTGACTTTCAATTCAGTGGCAGTTTCCTTCCCCAGAATGGGTTATTAAAGGCCTGTGGCTCTCAGAGTTGAAACATGAGGCCTGATGCACAAGGTGAAGTCCAGGATAAATGTGAGCTTCCCAACACCCACTGGCCGAGAAGACAGCTGTTCTCCTGAACAACTGTTCTCTGCAACTGGAAATGCTGCCCTGAGAAGCCACAGTTTCTTAGGTGTGTGGCCATTGCCCTGAACCCAGGGCTTTTGCTACCTGGGGCTGAGCCCTGGGTTCTGGCAGCCATGGGTTAAATCAACAAGGGGGAGTGGTGGGGAAACTAGAGCATACAGAGGAAGGGTTCCGGGGAGTGTGCATGAGGAGGGCCAGGAGAGAGGCCAGCTGTTGCTAGGGCAGACACACCCGCACTGCCCCCAAACCCCAGTAGGGCAGCCCCCGGGTAGGCTGACCCGTGGACATGGGTTACCTGCTAACAGGTGACTGTTAGCCAAGCGGGGTTACCATCAAGCGCAAGGCTGGTGTCTTCGCCCTCCTTGAGCTGGGGCCTCAAGTCAGCAGGGAAGAATGTTAGCCAAGCGGGGTTACCATCAAGCGCAAGGCTGGTGTCTTCGCCCTCCTTGAGCTGGGGCCTCAAGTCAGCAGGGAAGAATGTTAGCCAAGCGGGGTTACCATCAAGCGCAAGGCTGGTGTCTTCGCCCTCCTTGAGCTGGGGCCTCAAGTCAGCAGGGAAGAATGTTAGCCAAGCGGGGTTACCATCAAGCGCAAGGCTGGTGTCTTCGCCCTCCTTGAGCTGGGGCCTCAAGTCAGCAGGGAAGAAGGGAGAGAGGGAGAGCAGTGGGAAGGAATTCCCCTGCTATTGTTGGAAAACTAAATGTCCTAGATCACTGTTGAGATTATTTGTTAACTAAGAGTTAACAGATGCCAAGAGAAGGTCTATAAGCGGGGGCCAGGCACCCTGGTCCCAGCACACTCAGTTGGCATCTGAGGTCCCAGTGTAATAACTTGCACCTTCCACAGTGTCCTGGGTTCAGGTGATGAGGCGTGTGCACCCCTGCCTGTGAGTGTGTGCGCACTCTAATGCAGCCCACCCATCTGAGCAGGGCCCCGCCCTTGGCAAGCCCTGGCTTCCAGTGGTGGCTCAGACTCCAACTGGAGGAAAGCCATCTACACCGAGGGGTCTCAGCCACAGCCATGGGTGCCCTCGGCCTGCATGCCCTGCTGGTCTGTCAGCGTCCAGGCCCCAGTGGGATGCCAGCTGACACTGTAGGACCCTGACCTACCTGGGCTGTGTTGCTCTGAGGAGCAGCCTCCGCTCCACCCCAGGGCAGCTTTCTTCTTCCTCCGGCACCTTCAGGCCTCAGCTCAGGGTGGGCCTGGCCCACCTGCCTATCCAAGGAGATGAAGATGTGTCCTCCCGGCTGGACGGTGTTCTTGGGTGTCTGCCCCGTGAGGCACTGCTGGACCTGTGGGGCAGGCACGCAGAGTTTGGGGGTGGGATTGAGGAAGGGATTTACTCTCAGGGGCAGGGAGAGGCTAGGAAGGGATGGCCAATCTGGCTCCTGTGGACAGTTGGTACCCTTGGAATCTGTCTGCTGGGGAGGGTGTGGAATCCCTGGAGGCTGCAGCTGCCAATGAGGATGAGAGTAGCAGGTGGCTGTGGGGCAGCCCTGAAAGCCACCAGCCAACACTTGGGCAGGATTTGCTGACAGACAGCCTGGGGCAGGCTTTGGGTGGACAGACCACTAGGGCTGCCCTCCCCTGGAAGACACTGGGGTCTGGCTGCGAGGGAGCAGAGAAAACCCCCTTGGTGGCCCCTCTGGCTCTGAGCTTCCTGTGCAGGGGCCAGAATTCCTCCTGCTGGGTCATGGAGTTGTCACCACATTTCCAGGTGACATCTGTGTGGGGAGCTAGGCCGGCCTCTCCTTAGCTCTGTCTTCCTTTGCCAGGTCTGTGCCGCCTGCCTCTCACTGTGATGCTCCCAGTGCCTGAGCTGGTGTCACTCCCCTTGGTCTCTAGCACCACATTATGAGCCTTTGGGGTCACCCTGGGCCCGGGGAAGTCCTGGCTCTGCCATTTCCTGGATTTGCGGACTTAATACACCTGGGACGGTACATCTGGGGAGGATGGCCAAGAGAGCAGCCAGCGCTGTCAGGCCCGGAGTCCCTGCTTCACGTTTGCTCACTCACAACGCCCATTCAATCCCCCCGTTCCCCAAGGGACCTTCTGAGACCATGTGGGAGGCCTGTGGTCCCAGATCCCAGGTGAGGGGGACTTACAGTCACAACCACAGGCTGGCCCTGGCCCTGCAGTCCCCGCCTGCCCAGCATGTTCCTGTAGTCGGGCGGGGACATGCCCTGGGCCTTTCCTCCAACCACTCAGTCCCAGCTGCACTCCCCCATGGCCACACACAGCCACACTGGGCCTCAGTGACCTGGCTGACCCCCAAGAGATCCCCATGACTGCCCCCTCTTGGATTCAGCAAACACCTCTCTTCATGCAGTTTGAATCCTGACACTTTGGAGGGGGTAATTTCTGAGCCTCTGTGGCCTCATCTGTGAAATGGGCCACTGAAGCAGGTGAAGTGCTACTCCGTCCCTGGCCTACAGTGGGAACCCACGCATCTGGGCCCCTGGAGAGCAGCCGTCACAGGGTCAGCCAGCGCCTAGCTGTCCCAGCTCAGTGCACTCTGCGGCCAGCACCCCACGCTGCCCAAAGGGCCTGCACACACACATAGAACAGGACATCCCAGGCAGCTACAGCCCATCCACCAGGACTGTTTCTTCAGTGAAAACCAAAGGTTCTTGTGAACTCACACACATCTGCTAAACTGCTTCCTATTTTGAAAATTGTGATGTTTCATGTGGAAGATAATTGATTCACAATGACGTAAACACACACTGTGGGGAAACCCCTGAATCTCTTTTGTTTCCTGCTGCCTGTGGGAGATGAGTCACCAAGAGGCAAAGGCTCTCAAGTGCCCCTCGTGGGATGGGTCTCATTCAGTCTTTTTGTTTTGCTTGAGCTCTGAGGTTTTGTATGTAAGCAGGAGTGATTCACACACACACACACACACACACACACACACACATGCATGCATGCACTGTGCCCTCTGTAAAGGCGTCTCACACAGGCACACAATCGCAGTGGCCAGGAGCCAGGCACCGCGGGTCTGCGAACTGATTTCTCCCTGCATATCCCATTGTTCAGAGCTTCCTTGGCCTGGGTCCCAAGCACAGGGACCCAGTGTCCATCCCACAGGCTGGCATAGGTCACAGGATGAAGCTTCTCCGGGTGCAATGTTCAGGGGTCACCTTGTGGTGGGTGGGCCATGCTGCAGGGCTGCCTGCCCATCCCCTGCCCAGGTTTTGCACCAAAGCACTGAGCTCTGGCTCAGCCTGCAGCCTATCCTACAAGGGAGATGGGGCTGGGACCCCCATCCCACAAAGGCTGGCCCAGCACAAGCCTTTCGCTGGGGTCTGAGAGAAATCCTGGAGGTTTCTGAGGGGTCCTCACCTCCTCCCCACAGGCAGGCTCCTCAGCCCCTTTTTCAGAAAGCGGGTATGTGTGGGCACCAGGCCTAGCATGCAGGACACTGCCCCGCTGCAGTGTCCCCCTCAAAAGACGCCCTCCCTCATGCTGTCTGCCCATCAAAGGAGCCCTCGCCCACCCCGAGTGGCCTCACCTTGAAACACAGACAGGTGGGGCCAGGGTCAGGCAGGGCCACCCCCCGAGAACCAATGCTCCCCTTCAGAGCCAGGCCTGCCCCTGAGATGGGACACAGAATTCACAGAATCCACAGCCTGGGCAGGCCCACAGTGCAGGGTGAGTCTGCAGCTCAGAGAACTGGGCTTCTGGCTCTGAATCACTCTTCCTTCGACTACACCTGGCCGTCTCCTGCCTCTCACCCAGGAGGGAGAAGGTCCTGCCGTGGGAACAAGGCTGCAGGCCTGCAAACCTGTTCCACCCCAATGGGGTGCTTCTCTCAGGCCCCAGAGCCCCCAGTCAGTCCCCTATTCAGAGCGTGCAGCCCCTGGCCTAGGCCTGGGGTAAAAGCCATTTGTTGCCTAGTGAGGGTGCAAGGCGGGCATCCCTGCCATGTTTTATGGTCCTTTCTTTCCTGCTGCCCGCTCCTGCCTCCACCCCTTTCTCCCCTGGGAACACACTCCCCCCATCTGCTGCACACAAAAGCCCATTCTGGCCTCTTGCTTTGAGACCAGCGTCACCCTGGAGACTGGCGCCTTCCGGCCCAGCCATCCTCTCCCCGCCCCAGCCTGGCCCTGGCTCCCAGGCTGGCCTGCTGCCCCCGTGTCCCCCTTTAGGGTCCTCTCCCGTGAGCCGGGAGTCTGAGGTGCTCTCGGTCTCTCCTCGGGGGCCCTGCCCCACGGGTCAGGCTCCACTTCTGTTGCTGCCGCACCCTGGAAGCCCCCAGGACCGCTCCACACTCGCCATCACCCTGGCTTTGTGTCACAACCTGCGTGGCGCAGGTGCAGGATGCACCAGCATGGATGACATGTCACTCTCCCTGGAGGAACCCGCTTGGCAGGGGTAGCTGATAACTTAGGGCCAGCGCAGACACAGAACTGTGCGAAATGACGCTGATGTCGCAGTGATGCGAGCCGCATGTTCCTCGCCTCACCTGCTCACTTTCTGAGCCTCACTGCAGCGACAGGAGGCAGGAAGCACCCCCAACCCCCGGTTTTAATAAATCCTCCTGCCATTATCACGCCCATCGGAGGGCTGCTGGGCGAGGCCAAGGATTCTGGATGGGAAGAAGATGGTGGAGCAGGTCCCTGGGAGAAGCCCAGGGCCAGTCATGAGCTGGGACGATCCCGCATGGTCAGCAGCAGGTCCCACTTCCTCGTACTGGTGCCACTTATCATTAAAGCAATAATGAGTGAATGCAGACACACAAAGGTGTGTGCAGGGAAGAGCCTCTCCCCAGAGGTGGCCACTGGCAGCAAGTTGGGTGTCAAAGCTGACTGTCTTCCGTGATCAGACGAGATCGGTCGTGTTCAGGGTGGTATGGTCGTAGACAAAGCTGACTGCCATTAACTCTTTCATCAACACTCACTCCGGCCAGGCCGTGAGGAGGGGCTGAATTGGGCCACTGCAGCTCCTGCCGCAGCCCCCACACACGTTCACCTGGTTGGGCTCACAGCAGCCCAGAAGGCAGGTACATGGCTGCCCTGTTTTACAGGTGAGTAAACAGAGGCACAGAAGGGTCAGTCACTTTCCTTGAGCCCCACAGCCAGCTCTGGCCAGGCCTCAGAGCCCACATCCCTTAGTGCCCCTGTGGCCAGCTCCTTTCTGCACCCAAGGGACCCCACACCTGAGGGACCCCACCCAGCCGGGGAGTCCTGCTGTCACTGACTCCTCCTCATGTGCAGACCTTGACTCAAAGGCTAGCTCCCAGGAACACATCCTCACCTGTCCACCCTTGGCTGTGGTCCTCTCTCCTTGCTAAAAGTCACCTTTGACCCAGACATCCCGCAGCAGCCCCTGCTCCAGGAGCTGGGGCAGAAAGCAGGGTATTCCCAGCCTGACTGATCAGTAGGAGGGGCAGGGAAGGCTGAGGGAAAGGGTCCTGCACACCAGACTACTGCAGACCCCATCTCCCACCCGCCGCAGGCAGCCCCCAAAGAGGCACATCTCCCTCAGCTGAGCCCCCAGGGTCCTTCCTGCAGCCCTGGCACGCCCACAACCCTTCCCTACCAGGCCTGTGCTTGTCCTTCGTGGCTCCTCCTCCACTGTCCTGACCCCCGATGACTTCTCTGGGTAGGGGATAAGGGTGGAGGCAAAGATGTGGGGGCTCCCTGAGATGCCCCCGCTCTGCTCCTCGCTGGGGGCTTCCCACAGCAAAGACAGAAAAGAAGGTCCCCATTGTTCCCAAATAAAGACTCTGCTGGTTCTTTCTTTTTCCTCCTTTCTTCTTTTGCATTCCTTTTTTTCTTTCCCTTTGAACAGTCTGCGGTGTTGGCCAGAGACTTCGGATGCTTTTCTTTTCCCTGCCCCGAGCATGGTTCGTGAGTCATGACCTCAGGGAGCTGCATAGAGGCTGGTTTGAGGTTTTTTCAGGCTTGGGGAGAGGTGGGAGAGGAATGTGTATTAATGCGCCGAGCTGGTTGTGCTGGTGCTGAGTCCTCTACTTCTCTGGGTTCAAGATGCCCAACTTCACCCTCCTTGCAGCCAGCCCTGCCCAAGGGAGCTAGAGCATGGCCTCCTCTGGACATGGCTTCCCAGCCCTTTGGGAAGTGCGGTCGTCCCTGCTGCAGGGCCCCAGTGACCGTGTCTGTGTGGGTGTGGCACGGTTGGTGCTCTCCTGCCCAAAACCCCTGAGCCTGCAATTCTACCCAGAGCCACATTCCCGGGGGGCAGGCACTGCTCCTGTGCTCTCAAATGTGACCTCCTGCCCAGAAGGAAGACACACCAAGTTCCTCAGCAGAAGCAAGTTTGACCGAAGGTGGGTGTGTGAAGGCCTCAGAGGCAGAGCTTCCAGCTGCCCATCACCAGGATGCCTTGGAGGCTCGGAGCTGGATTGGCTCAGGATGCACAGAGCCATCACTTCCTAGAAATCTGGAAATGCCAAGTGTGCAGGCCAGGCAGTTGGGGAAGGGGGTATGTCCTGCACGTGTGTGCACACTGTGTGCATCTGTGTCACTTCGAGCATCTGTGGGGGCAGGCCACCTCCTCTAGAAAGGCCTCTGGGCCCCTGCAGGGTGTTTGCCTCCCGTTTGACCGGGAGCCCTCTGAGGGAACAGCAGATGTGGCTCCTGTTTATTCAGGGGTTGGCTTGAATATTTGTCCGCCAAAGGGCCTGATTCAGAACATGTCTGATAATGGAGTGGGAGGCCTCCATTGTGCCAGGGGAGGTGCCCAGGCCCAGGGAGCTCAGCCTGTCATTTGGGTGTGTTTTCAGACAATGACGCCCACCTGGGGGTCAGGTGATGGATGATTCAGAGTCCAGAGTGCTAGCCATTGCACCATGGGACCCCTTCTGGTCAGGTGATGATTGAGGCAGCGGGGGCTGGGATCTGTGCAGGGCTGATGGGGCAGTGTGGGAGTTGGCTGCTGCTGCTGCAGGCCTCTGTGCCTCGGTGGGTCAGGTTGAGGGGCTTGTTCAGCTGTCTGCATCCAAAAGACACGTTCCTAGGCAGCACTTGTAAGACACTTTCAAAGAGCACTTGCAAGATGGATTCAAGTGTTTCTCTGATGCAGCTCCTTCCACCTCCTGGCACCAGCCTTCCCCGTGCCCATGGTGGCACCTGCTCCTCCTAAACCTGGTTTCTGAGGACTTGTGAGCTCTGAGGCCTCCTCTGTGGCAGGTGGGGCCTCATTTCAGATGGCCTTGCTTATTGCAGGAGCGAGAGTGCGGCTCCTGGTGCTCCCTGACGTCAGCGTCCACCTGCCCTGCAGCCTCGGGCCAGGGACAGACGCGGGGCCTGCACATCCATGACTCAGGCCTATCCCACACCCAGGAAGCCCAGCCCTTTGAGAGGCAGCTGAGTCAGTGCAGGGTGGGGTGCAGGGCTCTTGTGGACCAAAACAGAGGGTCCCTCCTCAGGGCAGGCAAAGCCCCATCTGGGGGCGGGGCCTAGAGCTGAGCCTGGAGGCTGAGCAGGGGCTTGCTTTGACACAGCGGAGCAGGGGTGGGAGGGGGCAAACAACATTCCAGGAGCAGAGAACAGTGAGGTCAGTGTGGCATCCCACAGCAGTGAGTACCGTCAGAGGGGCAAGAATCGGGGCCATGTGCATGGGGCATGTCAGTCCGGAGGGGACCCCAAGGCTCCTAAGGCCTAGCTCACATCAAATCCTCCTGTGTGCTCTGCCTGGACACAGGGCGAGGCTCACAGGCCTTCCACACAGCCACCGGGCCCCCAGCCCCACACACTTCCTGATCCCTATCCCCAATCTGCCCAGCAGACTGCAAGCTCCATGAGGGCAGAGTGCCTGCTCTCGTGCCCTCTGAGTCCCCTGGGACTGGACACAGCATAGGCACCCCAAACTTCACATGTCCAAAACCGAGTTCTTGTCCCCATGCCACCCAAGAGCACCTTCCCCAGGGTTCCTTCCATCTACCTGCACTACCACCCCTCTACTGAATCAGAAAAAAAACCAGGCCGGGCGCGGTGGCTCACGCCTGTAATCCCAGCACTTTAGGAGGCTGAGGCAGGCGGATCCTGAGGTCAGGAGCTCGAGACCAGCCTGGCCAACATGTTGAAACCCTGTCTCTACTAAAAATAAAAAATTAGCCGGGCATGGTGGCACACGCCTGTAGTCCCAGCTACTTGGGAGGCTAAGGCAGGAGAATCACTTGAACCTGGGAGGCGAAGTTGCAGTGAGCCGAGAATCGCGCCACTGCACTCCAGCCTGGGTGACAGAGTAAGACTCTGTCTCAAAAAAAAAAAAGAAAAGAAAAAACAAAAACAAAAACAGAGTCCTCCCTTTCCCCAACCCTACACCCAATCCACCAGCATTTCCTGTTAAAGGGACCTCTTCCAAAATGCACCTCAGTCCTGCGGCCACTCTACCACCGCCCTCTCTCCTGGGGCCTCCCGACAGGTCTCAAAAGTTCTGCTTCCTGGCTGGGTGTGGTGGCTCATGCCTGTAATCCCAGCATTTTGGGAGTCCAAGGCAGGCGGATCACAAGGTCAGGAGCTCGAGACCATCCTGGCTAACATGGTGAAACCCCGTCTCTGCTAAAAAAATACAAAAAAATTAGCCAGGCGTGGTGGCGGGTTCCTGTAGTCCCAGCTACTCAGGAGGCTGAGGCAGGAGAATGGCGTGAACCCGGGAGGCAGAGCTTGCAGTGAGCCGAGATCGTGCCACTGCACTCCAGCCTGGGCGACAGCGAGACTCATCTCAAAAAAAAAAAAATTTTCTGCTTCCTCCCCTGCCAGCTCAGCTTAGGGTCCTTCACATTCCTCCCCTGCTTCCAGGGCCCTCTTGCTGTGCCCCACCCTAGCTTCTACTCCATCTCCCCCATCTTCATCTGTGCTCCCTAAAGTGTAGCCATGTATGTGAGTTTTCTGCCTCTCTAAATGTGCTGTGGCCCCAGGGCCTTTGCACTTACCCCCTACAAGGACCCTCTTTCCCTGAACCTCCCCATGCCTCTCAGCCTCCAGGGTTCAGTGGGGACTTCCGTGGCCACTCAGGTCATTCTTCCCTCTCTCGACCCTGAATGTTTTACCTTAATAGCACTTAACTTATCTTGTAATTTTCTGTTTGTTGATTTATTTCCAAGAGTCCTCTGAGGGCAGGCAAAGCAGACTGTTCTCAATGACTGAAACATTTTTCAAATGAATGCTGTATTGAGTTGATTGGAAATAACTATACACTGTAGATGAATCAATGAAAGCAGCCCTTGAGGCCATGCAGCCTGGTGAGGCCCCCTCAACAGGTGCCCACAAGGAGTCCTGCCTGCCTGTCCCACCTTCCCTTCCTAAACGAGAGGGCTCACATCTGTTTTCTCGGCTGCACGCTGGCCACACTCATGCCCCTCACAGTCACCATGGGAGGGGAGAATCATTATCCCAAAAGTGCTGATAAACATACCTGGCCATCTCATTGAGGTCACGTATGAGTGGGCTTCACGACCATGACACTGAAAGCCAAGGGTGAAGACAACAGCTCTGAGAGCTGGCACTATCATCAGCCCCCTTCACAAATGAGAACACTGAGGCTAGGCGGGTCAGGTGACTTGCTCCAGCATTAGGCAGCAGAGCCAGGCTCCGGGGCTCTGGGACCTTCCACCTTCTCCCAGCCTGGAGCCTCCACAGTCCTTACAGAGGGCAACCTCAGTCCTGTCCACGTTCAGACGTGGGGAGCAGGGGCACAAGGAGGCAGGGGTCCTTGCCCTTGCCGCAGCACGGGCCCTGGGGGTGGTCCTGGTCATAGGAGGACCCTCCTGCCTCTTCCCCTGCCTCCCCTGTGTTCAGGTTGAGTGATGTAGGACAGGCTTCTCAGACCAGGCAGAAGTAGGTCAGCTAGTGTGCTGGGGGGGCCCCTTCCAGGTCACCCTGCCAGGAATACACTCCAGTCAGGGAATGAGGGCAGTGCATGGGCTCTGGGCTTGAATCCTGCCTCTGTCTTCACCCTGTCTGTGACTTGGGGAAGAAGCAGGGGGTACTTGAATCTCAGTGGCACCAATAGCTTCTGAGGCCAGCTCTGCCAATCCCTGGGCTGCCCTGCCCTTCTCTGGCTCTCACTCCTTGTGCCCCCAAGCCCCTTCCAGTCAATGTGTCCCCAGCAGCTCCAGGCCCCAGAGGTGTGATTGAGGGTGAGAGGTAACAGGTATACAGCAGAGCTCCCTAAAGGCATCCACACGGGATCCCCATTAGACGTTCCTCGCTCTGCTGCCTCCAGGGTGGAGCCTGGCCACGGTCCTGCGGGTGAGGGTGGGGCGGGGGGGTCAGTGAACATCCCCTCCCCACACCCCAGGTCTGCATAAGAGCCCTCCTCCCCCACCTCCTCCCTTCTCCTCCTCAAATCCTGGCTCCTTTCAATGCCCCTCTGTGCAGCATCTCAGAGACCTTGGGCCTCTGGCTCACCTCACACTGCTTGGCCATCCCAGGTCCTGACCGCACCCCACATTCTTGGCTCCCCTGTCCTTGACCCAACTGTGCCAGTCCTCCTAGAGGCCTGGCCCCTCCTGCTTCACCCCTGGGGCCAACACACAAGGTGCTTTACCCCTTTGAACCCCAATTTCCTCAGGTGGTGAGAGAAATACAGGTAACTCTGCTCACCTCCGGCTCCCTGTCTGTTCCGTGTGAGTTTCCGTGTGCTGCCAAAAAATGCCTGTGTGCTGCCAGTTGTTGTTTTTAATGGCTCTCCAGGTCTCCCACGGCCCTAGACAGCCTGGATGCTGGGCCACGCAGGAAGTAAGATGGAAAGATGGAAAGAGGGGCAGCAGATGGTAACAGCATGGTGCCCGCACCTCGTCTGGAGTGGGCTACTCTGATCCTCTGGTCCTTTTGGGGACAGCTGGCAGGCAGTGGGGCAAGGGGCACAAACAGTTCTCCTGGAACCGCAGAGCCATAGGCTCTGCTTGCAGCAAGTCCAACTCTCCTGGGGGCTCTGCTGAGACCTTCACGGGCCTGTGGCCCCTGCCTGGCTCCACCTCTTCGGCAGCTCTTCTGTCTATCCTGGCAGGGGAGCCTTCCTTATGTCAAGGCACAAGGTGCCCCTGCCCTGGCTCTGGCGGCTCTTAAAGGAAGCCCATGCCTCTCCCACACGCCATCATTTCAGGATCACCAGTCAGTCTGCAAGTGTGGTGGATGCATTTCCGATTGTCCCAAGTCCCCATGAAAATGTAACTCAAGGCCAGGCACGGTGGCTCACATGTATAATCCCAGCACTTTGGGAGGCCGAGGCGGGCAGATCACTTGAGGTCTGGAGTTCAAAACCAGCTTGGCCAACGTGGTGAAACTCCATCTCTGTTAAAAATACAAAAAAATTAGCTGGGCGTGGTGGTCGATGCCTGTAATCCCAGCTACTCGGGAGGCTGAGGCAGAAGAATTGCTTGAACCTGGGAAATGGAGGTGGCAGTGAGGTGAGATGGTGCCGCTGCACTCCAGCCTGGGCAACAGAGTGAGGCTCCAACAAAAGAAAGAAAGGAAGAAAGGAAGAAAAGAAAGAAACAAAAAGAAGGAAGGAAGGAAGGAAGGAAGGAAGGAAGGAAGGAAGGAAGGAAGGAAGGAAAGAAAGAAAGAAAAGAAAAGAAAAGAAAAGAAAAGAAAAGAAAAGAAAAGAAAAGAAAAGAAAAGAAAAGAAAAGAAAAGAAAAGAAAAGGAGGGAGGGAGGGAATGTAACTTGAAGAGTTGGGGACGAGGCAGTGAAGCCTCTCTCCTGGGCATTGCCTCCTCCTGGGCCCAGCCTAGAGGGAACACCAGTGTCCCTGCGCCTTTCTGTGGCTGACCGCCAGCCACTGCCCCTCGCTGACTGTCGGAGCTGGCTATCTGCAGGCCCTGCCCGCGTGTCAGGGGTCACTTGGTCTGAACTCGGCGCTACATATTCACCCCGGAGAATGCCATCATTAGGGTCAGCCCAGCTTTCTGACCTGAGGAGCTCTTTTAAGATTCTGTTTCCGCCGGGTGTGGTGGCTCATGCCTGTAATCCCAGCACTTTGGGAGGCCGAGGCAGGCGGATCACGAGGTCAGGAGATTGAGACCATCCTGGCTAACACGGTGAAACCCCGTCTCTACTAAAAATTCAAAAAAAAAAATCAGCTGGAGGTGGTGGCGGGCGCCTGTAGTCCCAGCTACTCTGGAGGCTGAGGCAGGAGAATGGCAGGAACCTGGGAGGTGGAGCTTGCAGTGAACCAAGATCATGCCACTGCACTCCAGCCTGGGTGACAGAGGGAGACTCCGTCTCAAAAAAAAAAAAAAAAAAGATTCTGTTTCCAACGTGTCCCTGATTTCTGTCCCCCACCTATGACAGCTGTACAAGCAGGCCGGCTTCCCACCAGGCTAGCTGAAGGCTCATGCCCTCCTCACAACGGCTCCCCTGACTCACCAGCAGTCAGACAGCAACACGTGGGTGGTCCTGGACTTTACATCTTTGGAGCTGGTCAAGGACCAGGGACGCAGGGATCGTCGGCAGAGATTACAGGAGGCCAGAGTCTAGGAGCAAAGCTGCAGGGAGAGGCACCAGCCCCAGCCTCCCTAGTGGGCAGTCTGTCTGGTGAGCTCTGGCTGCTGCCGCTGCCGTAGCCGGCTGGCTGCCTGTTTCCCAGGTCAGCACACCTCCCCCTGCCTATGCCTTACTCCATATTCTTGCAAAAATCCCTTTCCTGCTAGAGTAGCCAGGGGAAGTTTCTGTCTTTTGTGACTCAGGCCCCAGCTGGTAGTGTAGGTCTGTCTATATGTAAGCCTGTGGTCTCTGGGCCAGAGAAGTAAAGCAAGTGGCCCAGGCTGCCCAGCGAGGAAAGCACAAGCCCCTGTAAGTTCCATCGGTCCACCCCGTGCCCACGCTCTCTCTGCCACTTGGAATCTGCTGCGATGTTTTCTGTCCTACCACTCACTTCACTCCCCTATGCTGCTGAACCTGTTTAATTGCCATATGTGACAGACAGGAAGTCGGGGTCATATTTAAACATGGGACGCTCCACTGACTAGAAACTCTATTGTACAAATCCTTCAGCGACTCAAACAGGCCTGCCTTTCTTATTTTTAATAACGGCAAAAGAGAGAGCACACCACAGTGCAGTCAAGTCCTCCTAAAACCATGTTCACCAGAAGGAAAAGACAGACATAAACTACCTTTGATTTATTTCCCCTCGAGCATTGGATGTCACTTCTCTAGGGAGGCTGCGCTGTGGCAGGGATCTGGGCGTGCGGGGACACAGCAGGTGCCTGATGAATGGAGCCATCATGACGGTTATGCTCCAACCTGGGGTCTGATCCTCTGCTAGACGGCGAGCCTGGCCCAGGCCCCATAGCCTGAACCAGGGGTTCTCTAAGTGTGGTCCCAGGGCCAGCAGCTTCAGGGTCACTTGGAAACATGTTAAAATGCAAATTCCCAGGCCCCACCCCAGATCCTGTGAGAGGGGGGCAGCGGTGAGGGGCAGCAGCCTAAGCTCTATGGTGTCCTCCACGTGGTTCTGACTCAGGTCTGAGAACCCAGGTCCAGGGCTGTCCACTGGTCAGAGGAGTCCAGACAACAATGGAACCTGTGGCCAGGGGTTGTGTATTTTCACTGGACCTCCCCCCTCGCCAGGGGATTAGCACTTTAAGCCTTCAGAGAAGAGCGAATTAACTTTTGCTAAGCACCTGTGAGGTTTAATTTCTCACGTACTCTCCATGGCAACCCCACCAGGCGGTCATTCCTCTCGAATGTTAAAGATACGTGTTTAGAGCAGATGATCATGATTACACAACTGGTGTGCAGCACAGCCAGGTGCCCAGATCCGAATCCCACACCCTCCTCCCACCACCATGGGCCTCAGGGACATGCTTCTAGCACAGTCATGGACCCTGAGTGACATAAAGGCTGTGACAGGGGACGCAGGATCTTCAGATGGCCCCACAGTGCCTCCTCTGAGTATCTATCTCCCAAGCTTCTCGCCTGGCCTGGTTGCTGTGAGGGCCTGGGGAGAGGCAGAGACAGGTTGGGTGTACGGAAAATGCACACTCTGCCAGGCACCCCTGACACGCACTGCTGACCAGGCATAGCGTTCAGTGGGGCTAGGACTTGGACGAGGGTGCAGGCTTGAGCAGGGGTGCAAAAAGCCAGTCTGGGCAGATGCTCTCCCTCTGTGGGGCGCCGATCTCAGAAATGGTGGACAGAGCAGGGCTGCAGTATGGTGCACATGGGCCTTGGGGTCTTAGCTTTCGTGGGCCTCTTCCTGCATAAAATAAAATAGTTAAAATTAGAGTTTACAACTGCATTCATATAAAGATGAATATACTCCAGGCTAGATTCATTATTATTTTATTATACTCAGTTTTTTTCTTCTGATTTAAAATAGTGCGGTCCTAGGGCTGGTTAGAGTGTTTCCTGGCAGGCCCTGTCTCCTTAAACCCCTGCAAAGAAAGCAGCGAGGACTTCCCTTTGCCCCTTAGCAGAAAGCTGCGCTCCTTAATGGTTACGGGTGTGACCATTCACTTACATCCTATCTGCAGGACATACCTGGAAAGGTAAGTGGGAGGCAAGAGGGAGCTGGAGGCCAAGACTTCGGTCCCAGATATCCTAGTCCACATTTGTCCCCACCAGGTGTGTGAGTGCCGGCGCGCTGCACAGCCTCCCTGGGCCTCCGTTTCCTCAACTGGTAAACAAGAACGCTGGGCGGACTGAACTCTGAAAGTTCTGGGAGCTTGACAATCAGAACTCTCAGCAGAGAGGCCGCCCCTGCTCTCAGGAGGGCGGAGGCACCTGAGTCTCCAGTGCGGAGGACAGGCCGAAGCGCTGCGTTGGAGATGTGCAAATGCGCAAGAAGCGTGCTGCTTTCTCTCTGAGAAAACACTCCTAGGCTTCAAGGGGGCCCAAGAGCTCGACTGGGCGGGATGATCCCGGCGGCCCCTGGGCCGGGTCTGTGGACGGCTCTGCTGTGTGCCTGTGCGTGCCCAGTCCCGCGGGTGACCAAAGCCCAGGGGCGGGCAGGGCAGGAGCCTGGACCTCACGTGCCTCCAGTGGCCAGGTTTGCGGGGGCGGAGCGTCCGGGCGAGGGCGCGGGGGCGGACCCTAGGGCGGGGCGCGGGGTGGCGTCGGTGGAGCCGGCTCGGCGGCGCGGCTCGTAGTGCTGCGGCCGGGCTCCGGGCGTCCCGGCGGCCACCATGCTCAGCGTCGTGCACTTCCTCCGGAGCTTCTTCAAGGTGAGAGCCGGCGTCCGGGACTTGCGGTCGGGCTCCCGGCGCCCTGCGCGGGTGGGGAGGAGCACAGCCCGCGCTGGCTGCTGCGCCCCGGGCCGTCCCCTGGGCACCCGGTGGGTGGGGACACCCTCGTGGCTCCCCGCCGCTCCCAACTTTCCGACGTGCAGACCGGAGGCGGCGTCCTGCAAAGTGGGGCCGTCTCGAGCGCGGGGAAGGACGGGGCTCCGTTGGGGGCGGTAGGGACGGCGGCCCGGGGCGAGCCCCTGAGAGGGCAAGGGCGAGCGCCTGAGCCGGCCTCCCCGCACCTGGACCGTCCTGGGCGCGCGGGGCACTCGGAGCCGCTGCCTGGACCGGCCTGGGCGCGCAGGGCACTCGGAGCCTCTGCCGCTTGGCGCAGTACCAGCTGTTTTGGGAAGGAGGGCTGGTGCCGGCCCGGTGGGTACGGGAGAAGTGGTTGCTGTTGTTATTCCCCAGGCTGAGAGTACGCGAGGGCGCAGCAGCGGCAAGGGGCTGGAACTGGGGTCGGGGCTGTTGGGCTCCTGCTCGGGGTGCCCCCTCTCTGGCCCGATTTCCGGGCCCGCTCACCATCCGGGACCCACTCAGTTGGGACGCCTCCACCTCGCTGCCCCCACAGGAACCCCAAGATGGGCCGGGGGCTCCGGGGCACTGTCAGGGGTGGCCGGCCACAGGTTGCCAAGCCCGACCTCCCCAGGTGAGCCAGCGGGAGGGCGGTTGCGACGCTGGGTGGTGCTGAGCTCCGATGGGCTCCTACTCCGGGAGCAACTGCATGAAAGGAGAGGCGGGGAAGAGCCACCAGCTGTCAGCTGCAGGTCCAGGGGGAGGCAGACCTGTGTGGGGCTGTCGGGGCGGGAGGGCGGGAGGGCGCCCTACTTGGCTGTGCAGCCATCTTCTCCCGGAGTTGAAGACGGGAGGTTGAGGTCGGAGTTCTGTGGCCCTGAGAGCTCTAGTGAAAGGGGCAGGAAGCCAGGTGACCCAGGGCAGACCTGCAGGAGCCCTGCCCTCAGCCTATCCGCTGGCCTGGCATCAGCTCCCACCCCCAGCGATAACGAAGTGATCGCTGGCATCAAGAGTGGAGAGGGCCGGACAGCCGGGAAGGCAGCCTTTCAGGAACCTGTGCTGGTGAGTGTAGGAGATGGCTTGGAAGAGCTCAGACCCCCTTCAAATGCCGACTCTGTCATTGAGGAGGTGTACAATCTTGGGACAATCACATAACCACCTGGGTCTTTGTTTTGAAAAATGTGGGTGATGTTTCCATGCCCTCCACACCTTTCAGGGTTAGTGTGAAGGTCTTATTAGAAAATGTGAGTGTGGCCCGGCGCGGTGGCTCATGCCTGTAATCTCAGCACTTTGGGAGGCCGAGTGGGGGGGGCGGATCGCCTGAGGTCACGAGTTCGAGACCAGCCTGGCCAACATGTCAAAACCCCGTCTCTACTAAAAATACAAAAATCAGCCGGGCGCGGTAGTGGGCGCCTGTAATCCCAGCTACTTGGGAGTCTGAGGCAGGAGAATTGCTTGAACCCGGGAGACAGAGGTTGCAGTGAGCCAAGATAGCACCACTGCACTCCAGCATGGGTGATAGAGCGAGACTCCGTCTCAAAAAAAAGAAAAAGAAAAGAAGGAAGGAAGGAAGGAAAGGAAGGAAGGAAGGAGGGAGGGAAGGAAGGAAAGAAACGTGAGTGTGTTTATGAAGTGGTGAGCCCTGGACCTTGGTTCTGCTGCACCCACAGCAAGGGTGGCAAGGAGTTGCCCAGGTGAGGGGAAGATGGCCGGACAGAATCCAAGATGCCTGGGCAGAATCTGAGTCACCCAGCTGGCCCCAGAAGCTCCAGGAGCAGGTGGAGTGTGGCTGGAGGAGAGACCACTGGACATCTCTGGGCAGCCACCTTGCCTGCTGCTGCCTGGGAGGCTCCTGGGATTTGGCCTTTGTGAAAGTATTCCTGACACACACGGTCCTCCAGTTCCCCATCTATTCAGAGAGGCCTTTCCATACTTTCTGCCTCAGGTCCCTGTAGGTCCTGAGACACCTGAGGCCTCCCCATGCACACCACAGGAAGCATCACCTGTGCCCCTCAGAGGGTCTCCTTTCTGCTGTCCACATGGGAGGGGCTCTGACTGCCACAGCAGTCCACTTCTGGCTGTGTGAGTGTGTCTTGCCGAGCCACCGACAACGTAGTTCATACTTGTTCCTCTCAGACACTGGTCGTAAGGAATACCCCGTGAGGACACAGGTTGTGGGGTGGGCAGAGGAGCTACGTGCTTCAGTCACCGCCTGGTGCCTCCTGGTGTCCCCAGGGATTGGTCCTATGAGGTACCCCTGATGATGGGTGCTGGACTGGGCCAGAAAAGGCCACTTCATTCTGGGAACCTCAGATTGTCTGGGTCTCCCAGTCAGACTCTGTTAGCCAAGATGCAGCTAGTCTCCACCAAGCCCAGGAGGAGGACCCCAAGGCCCCAGGTGTGCCTTCTGGTGGCACTTGGTACAGACTCTGTACAGCACACAGATCTGCTTGGGCACGTTGGGCACCGTGGGATCCATGGGGCATGACAGTCGTGTGGCAGAGTCCCTCCCCGTGCAGGCAGACCAGTCGGAGAGCCTGCACCTGCCAGGGGCCCACACAGGTGCGCCGCCTTGGGGGTCACCCAGCAAATGAGTCAGAGGAGCAGCACACCCAAAAGGAAAATATGTTGTCTCAAAAATCCAGAGGCCCTCCCAGCATCGTGTGTGGGCCAAGCATGACTTTTGATTTCGAGGGTGTATTTCAAAATGTTCCAGACAGCTGGACCCCCTGCTGCCTGCCTGGAGCCGTCACTGAAGTGGCAGGTCCCTGTATTTTCATGGAATGTATGTCCTACTCTCTGGTACATGTATGTCCTAACACTTAGGGTACTTTGCTACTTGGTTTCCTCCAAGACCTATTAGTGTGCAGAAGACCCACATGAGGTCATCAGGAGAGAAAGGTCAAGGTCTTTGTTGGCTAAACCATGGCACAGAATCAGTAAGCCAAGACAAGTCGTGAAGGTGGGATGCTGTGCCCCATGACAGGGAAGCCAACCTACTTCCGTGAATTCCTGAGTACTGCAGCAGGAAGCACACACATAGGCACACACACACAGGCATACATAGGTATACATATGGGCACACACACACACAGGCATACACACTTGGGACACACAGGCACACACACAGACACACAGGTGTACACACAGGTGCACACACACACATAGACCGAGTTTTCATCCAATCAGTGGCTCTATACTATGCCAAGGATTGTGACAGCTTCAGTCCGGTAGGGAGGTCATAAGTGGGACAGCACAGCTGATGAGAGAATCCACTTGATTGAACCCAGATCTGTCCACCGCATTTTCAGGTCCCCATGTCTCCTGCACAAGCCTACCTGGCAGGTTAAGGGGGGATGCAGCAGCGTCTTCTGCCTTGGGTGCTGGTGGTTTCTCAGTCTCCAGGGATGAGGTGTTGCTAATGAGCCACTATTTTGGAGGGGAGGGAGTTGTAGATCCATCCAGGTAGTCTTTCCCACCACAGAAGCCTCCACACCATGGCTCAGGAAGCCAGGATGAAGTTCCTGCCACGTACTGGCATGTGTTTGTCACCTGAGCACTCAGGAACTAGGGAAATTGCCATAGGACAGGTTTGGGATCCCAGTGGGCTGCCACGAGGTGGATGCAGGGCACAGCTCTCGTCATGGCCTGCATGCGCCACTGCCTCTGGCAAGCGTCACTCCTGGTGGCAGGCTGTGGAGACATCCTGGGCTACCAGGAACAGTGTCAGCTCAGAACCAGCCCTCAATGGTGCCGGGAGGTCCAGGTACTTCTCTGTCCAGGAGGCTCTGGAAGATTCACGGCATATACCTGTGCTGTTACGCAGGTGACCAGCCTCCCTACAACTCAAGGAGTTTTGGGTCTATTGAGAGATCTGGGAATTGGGCAAGAGGCAATGTAGTTTATTCAGCAAATATTGGTTGAACACCTACTATGCGCCAGATGTTGTTCTAGGCACTCATGGTAGACTCCTGCCTACCAGACCTAGTTTTAAAAAGTGGTTGTTTGTTTGTTTGAGACAGAGTCTCGCTTTGTCACCCAGGCTGGAATGCAGTGGCGCGATTTCAGCTCACTGCAACCTCCGTCTTCTGAGTTCAAGCAGTTCTCCTACCTCAGCCTCCCAACTAGGTGGGATTACAGGCACGCACCACCATGCCTGACTAATTTTTTGTATTTTTAGTAGAGATGGGATTTCGCTATGCTGGCCAGGCTGGTCTCGAACTCCTGACCTCGTGATTCGTCCGCCTTAGTCTCCCAAAGTGCTGGGATTACAAGCATGAGCCACCGCGCCAGGCCTAGAAAGCTTTTTTTTTTTTTTTTTTACATTTCTATTAATACTACACACATCAGATAGGACCCTATTGGCATTACCTGTTGATTTCAGTCCTAGCAGTGCCATGGGTGAGTCGTCAGTGCCAAGGAGTCTCAGCATGAGAACATCTTGGTGCCCCTCTGGCTGCCGGCACCTGAATGCTTCCTCCCATCCTCTGTCGTGCCAGCCTCACCGTTCTCATCTGTAGAATTTCCACCAACGGGAAGGTCTTCCGTCATCATCTCCAGCTGATAGAGAACGATGTCTGTGGCAATATTCCAAGCTGTTGGTGTTCTCCTTCCTAAATGTTTCTTGGTGCTTCCGGCTGGGGCAGGTCCTTTTGGCTCCCCTGGAGACATGGTTAGGGATGTTGTACAGGTTGCTCTTGATCGGTCTCCACCAACACTGTATCCCTTCAGATGTCTGGATTCCTTCAAGGGATTTTGGCTTTTCAGTTTCACTTTGTGGAGCCACTATCAAGCTGAGGTCAGGGAACCAACAGCTCACCTGCCGGCTCTTGGACTCCAGCATGGGGGGCGCACCTGCAGCAGTACATTGCCCTGGCCTGGGTTGATGCTCTTCCCCCAGGGTCGGGGACACTCCAAATCCGTTCTCACCATTCTCCCTGGTTTTTGCTGGTGTATGTTGGCACAGTCCTTGTTCTCTGAAGTATGTGTCTTTTCCTTGATGGTTTCACTTGTAATTGGTTCCCTTGGCTATGCTGGGATCTGACTCTGCTCTTTGGCCTGGAGGCAGGGAAAGGGGCCAGGGTGGGCATGAGCAGAACAGGGTGACTTGCTGGGGAGGGCATAACAGCCTGAAGCAGCCAGAGAGAGGAGCAAGGGTTCAGTGGGGTTGTGAGCCCCCAGTGCATCCCCACTCCTAAGGTGAGGGTTCCACTCTTTCCCAAACCATACCCTGACTGTCACTCAAGGAGCAAGGAAACAACACATCCTTCTGGCTGTATAATGCGCCAGTCTGCAGATTGGTGGAGTCAGACTGCTTTTGGTTCTGGGATATCTCAGGCCTGTGGCTGCAGAAGAGAAGAGATACTCGTACTTTATGTAGAGTGGTAGAGAGGCCCTGTGAGGACAGAGTGTGTTATTACCTCACTTTAAGCTGTACAGGGCAGTTAGAAGTAGCAAGCGCACCCGGCAGTCCTTGGATTCTTCATGCCTTTCATTTGGATTTTGTAGCAAGAGCTGTTTCTCCCACAAAGCACCCAGTAGTCACTTGGCCACCATTGATAATTTATTTAGGGGCTGGCCATGCAGGCAGTGAGATACTGGAGTTCCACATCTTCCACGTGGTAATGTATTTCCACGGCTTTTGGCTTCAACTAGGTGAAATCCGCAGTCCCAGCTCTCCTCCCCACCTTCCTGCAGATCTCTTACCCGCAGGGATCCTGGTACCAGTTTCTTTACTAGTGAAGGATCTTGATTGCCAAAGACAGTAAAGGGCTCCAGTTAAGTGAAAAAAGAGTGACGTCTTGGCAGGTTGGGGGTAGCTCATTGGCCCAGCTTGTGCAGGGATGAAGGGGGCGACGTGCAGCTGGGCCTGTGGGGCTGCCCCGGGTGTGGGCTCCACTGCTCTGCTGACAACACCCTCTAGTGTCTCTTGTAGGCGGTGAGGTCTGTCCTCAAGAGCCAGGGTCCTGGCTGGGTCTTAGCTGAGCTGCCAGAGGGTGGGACGAGAGGATATCTGCCTCCTTTCTATTTTCAAGATAGATGGGGCCAGATTTTCGGTTATATTGGGATCTCCTCCTCTCCCCAGTCCCAGCAGCTGTTCAGCACGGGGCAGCCAATACCCACTCATGGTGTATGACTGAGAAATTTTCCAGGACTCACTTGGCCCCTCCACATTTGTGGCGGAAGGAGGGTCTAAACTCCAGGTTCCTGGGGCCTCTGCCAGGGAGCCACCTACATCCTTGAACTCTTCTGGGTGAAGGTCGCAGCAGGAACCCAAGGCTGGAGACCCTGAGCTGAGGCGGGCTGCCCTCTTGAACCCTACAGAGGCTGGTCTCCTGCATGGTGGAGTGGGTGGGGCAGACCCGGCAGGGGAGCCAGCTGTCTGCCAGCAGGCCTTCCGTGCCTCCCCTGGGCTGTGCCTCCTGCTAACCTGGACTTGCCAGCCTTGGCTGCGTTGCTGCTCAGAGGCACCAGTGCTTCCTCGTGCTATAGGCCTCCTCTCCCCCACTGCTCTTCCAAGGGGGGGCACGGTTCCCACCTGTGCTTTTCCTCCAGACCCTGCCTCTGCCCCGTTGGGCTCTCCCCTGACCTCACCAGATGGTCTTTCTGTACAACACAAGTTCTCAAGCACCCCCTGCTTGTTGGGACATAATTGGCATCTCCAAAGGTTGTTCTCTCCCTCTGGGCTGTCGGCTCTGAGGGCAGGGCCAGGGTTTGGAGCACAGCGTATCCTCGGGAAATGCGCTGAGTCTGTGTGTGGCCAGGTCAGAGCCCCAGGGGGGCCCTGAATCCAGAGGGCCCCAGATTGATGTTTCTAGAGACATGAACTCCTGAAACCTTCTCTCCAAACTTGGGTGGAGCACAGCCCTGCTCTCCAGGTATGGGCTGGGCACAGCCTGCCCCACCTCTGTGTCCCTGTCCTCCCACTGGCTTCAGTCAGGTGTCCTCAGCCCTTCCTGAGACTCCAGCCACTGTTTATAACCTGGGAAGGTACCAGACCCTGCAGAGGGTTTGAATTCACTCTGGGTCTCCTGTAGGAGTCGCTGACCCCATACGTTTTGTTTGCTTCTCCCGCTGAGCGCAACTAGCTCCCTGGCTCAGGAGAAGTGCTGTGTCTTTCTGGATCCCATATGTGATTTCCTCATCTCTGCAATGGGCTGCCCCTCACCTTCTGCCAGTTATAAGGTGGTGAGGTTTAAACGATATTGCCCATTGGCCCATCCCTGGCTCCGGGACCCTCCACAGACGGGGATGGTGCTGCCTGTGAGGCCCTCCGGCCCTCACGTTGCCCTGTTGTAAAGGAGGCGGGGCGCCCTGCCTGGTGGGCACAGCCCTGTTGGCCAGATGCAAACCCCGGCAGTAAACCCCTAGAGACCCTGTCCCACCCTGGCTAGCTTGAAATGCCTTGGGTATCAGCCACGTTTGTACCACAGGGGTCGATTTGTCTCTCTTCCACAGCTTTTTTGCCTGTGAACTAAAGATTGCCCATGCTCGAGAAGAGGTCTCCTTGGAGCACTCCTTGGAAGCTGCCCCTCTTCCCAGGGTCCCTTTGTGATGGTGATGGCCCCTAGGTGGGTCCACTCTCCCATAGAGCTCTGTGCCCTGGGGCACCTTCATGTAACCCCTTCACTCTCAGGGGCATGTGAAAATTTAAATAAGAAAACCAAGGGAAAGCATGTGGAGAGAGCACCCAACAACTATTAGCTATCCCCCGCCAACCTCTATTTTTGTCTTCCCCAAACAAATATATATATATGTATATATATATATTTGAGACAGAATCTCATACTCTTGTCACCCAGGCTGGAGTGTAATGGCGCGATCTCATCTCATTGCAACCTCCACCTCCGGGTTCAAGTGATTCTCCTACCTCAGTCTCTAAAGTAGCTGGGATTACAGGCGTCCACCACCACACCCAGCTAATTTTTGTATTTTTAGTAGAGACTGAGTTTCACCGTGTTGGCCAGGCTGGTCTCGAACTCCTGACCTCATGATCCGCCCTCCTCAGCCTCCCAAAGTGCTGGGATTACAGGCGTGAGCCACCCGGCCCGCTATATTTTACTTATAACCAGTGGGGTTGAATGGAAACCCATCTCTGAAACTTGGCCAAGTGTGATGCTGCCTGATGTTGCTGGCCGAAGTTCCTGCTCTAGGTAGAAAGTGAGTTTTTGGCCGGGCACGGTGGCTCACACCTGTAATCCCAGCACTTTGGGAGGCCATTTGAGCCCAGGAGTTCCAGACCAGCCTGGGCAACATAGGGAGACCCCGTCTCTACAAAAATGTTTTTAAAAAAATTAACGTGGCATGGTGCACACACCTGTAGTCCCAGCTGCTTGGGAGGTTGAGGCAGGAGGATCATGGGAGCCCAGTACAGGCACCCGCCACCACACCCGGCTAATTTTTGTATTTTTAGTAGAGATGGGGTTTCACCATGTTGGCTAGGCTGGTCTCGATCTCTTGACCTTGTGATCTGCCCACCTCGGCCTCCCAAAGTGCTGGGATTACAGGCTTGAGCCACTGCACCCAGCCTAGAAAGTGTGTTTTTACAGAGGCATGCTGACTATGAGAACATCCTCCTCAGAGCATAGTGGGTGTGGCTGGTGGGAGAAGCTGGGTCAAGTGGTACAGTCTGCCTCTGTGTGAGGACTCAAGCTTGTGAGAAGACCTGGAAGCGACTCACAGGGTGGCACATCCACAGAGCAGCACTAGGAGGGAGGGAACTGCTGCCATACACATCAGGCCGGATGGGCCTCCAGGGAACCAGGCCCAGTGGCAGAAGCCAGACCTACGGTGTGATCCCAAATGCGAACCTACAGTGACAGAAAGCACACAAGTGGCTGCCTGGGGACAGGTGAGCGTGGGCGGAAGCCAGAGGGCAGATGAGGAAGGACAGAGGCAGTGGAGATTTGCTGCTGACTGTGCACCGGTCGAAACCCTCAGGTTGTGCTTCCAGTGTGTGAGTTTATTGTGCGTCAGTTACACCTCGATCAAGCCAGGCCCACCTCGGCCAGAAGGCAGCCATCTCTCTGCAGGCCTGGCTCAAGGTCTGTTGCCCAGGTCCTTCTCTGAGAGCTCAAACAAGCCCCTTGCTTCCTGTATCCACTCTCTGTGTGCCCAGTGGTTAGGCCTTCCTCGGCTGAGTGCTCAGCTCAAACTAAAACTGTCATCAGTGCTGTGTCCTTGCTGGCTGGTGCCGCCAGGGCCTAGGGCCTGGGAACTGTCAGCCTGGGGTGACTGGTCATCTGAGACCCCCACAACCCAAGAGTCACCTCTTCTCGGGTGCTGGGATCCCAGGAGCCACCCACACCGACTGCCAGGCAGGACCAGGCTGCTGGCCCTACGCCAGCCTCCCTGCCCCGCTTGGCTGTGTAGCATAAGCCAGTCCTCCCTCTCAGCACCCCCAGGCCAGCGCCCTCACTCCAGGACCCTCAGGAACCTGCCTGCGGGGGCTGTGACCCCTGCCGTGGGGAGGTGCACATGGGGAGAGCGATATGGGACGGCGAGAGAGAAGGGACTTAGGGCAGGATTCGGGCCCAGTGAGAGGGGCTTGAGGAAGCTGGACTTTGCTTGGATGGATGCCCTCAGGAGGTGCGGGGGCAGCTCTAGGGTCAGGGGTCTTTCTTTAGCAGAAGGAGGAAGGAAGCCAGGCCAGAGCTGGACAGCCAGGCAGCTGGGACACTCAGGCAGCTGGTGCAGGGCATTGATGGGGCTTCTGTGGTCAGGGCAATGCACGTTTGTCTGTGCTCAGACATGAGTCCGGAGAGTCTTGTTCTTCTGATTCATCGTGAGGTGGAAGTTGTGGGCCCCGGGGGTCGAGTTATGTGACACGGGTACGTTTAGCAGGAGAATCAGGGCCTGCCGGATGGCAGATACACAGAGTGTGTTTCCACTGTATCCACAGACATGTGCCAAGCCCTCCAAGCCCCAGATTTGATTCTCCAGAGGAGGCCTGAGCAGGTCTTTAGGGAAAGCCTGGGTGTAATTCTGATGTGCGCGGGCTAAGAGCCCTGTGTGGATTCCTGACGCACTGGGTCCAGTCAAGGCGACCCTGAGGGCCTTTCCCAGCCTTGCCCCTGCCGGACACCTGGCCCCAAAGCCGGCTGCACCCTCCAGAAGCAGGCTACCCTTCCCCTCCCAGGAATCTGGCCTTTCCGGACACTGCTCAGTGCCTGAGCTGAATCTGACAAACTGGGTGATATTAGTGACCAGGGGCGTCTCCTGCTTCCTCTTGAATCGCTTTTCACCTGGAGTATGAGTGCCTCAATGCAGAGGAGGCCGGGGGAAATTATTGAGCCCTCATGGGCACCCAGAGGCATCTGGAAGACAGGAGGTTTCAGTCACCACGTTGGACTTGGAGGCACCAAAAGATCATAACTGTGCACATTTGGTGTGACTTAATCATTCATCCCTCAGTCTTCATATCTGTAAAACGAGGATAATGGTTCCTCTCTGTAAGGTGGCTGTGACAGTCACATGTGCTGACGTTTGTGGAATGTTCCTTTTTACCTGCAAACCTTGAGTGCTCAATGCTGTGGCCCCAGCTGCTTTTCCACCCCAACGCTTGGCTCCGAGGGCCTGACCCCCTGAAGCAGGGGCACATTTGGTGTCCTGTCCTTCCCTGGGTCCACCCAGGTCCCCTTTCTCTCTGTGAGTTCTAGAGTTTAGAAAACATCAGGCGAGGCTTCACAGGAACAGTGCTGGCTTAGAGAAGGTGAGGCCTCCACCTGGGGGTGAGTCAGGCATGGAAGGCGGCCTTGAAGGCCCATCCGTGTGCTGGCTCCACTGCCCCTGGCATGAGGGCCTGCGTGCCCTGACCCTCCCCACAGCCCCTCTGAGAGGCTAGGTCTGAGCCTCAGGAGTGTGTGGGATTGGAGCTGGGCCGCTGGGCTGGGGTCTGTCTGTGGGCGAAGCTGACCTGCTGAGTGGAGGCCACGGGTGTGAGGGAGCCACGTGGTTGCAGGGGCTCTTCCAGAGGAGAGGAAGGAAAGTCATCTGAGGACATGGGGCCTCTGCCCAGGTGGGCAGGGAGGGTGGGCTGTGGCTAGTCTCCAGGGTGGGAGCAGGCCATCTGCACAGGATGGGTGACTTTGGCCTGAAGGGTGAGGCTTCCCGACCTCAGAGGGGCTGCAGCAGGCCTGTGGGGAGAGGCGGTCTGGGCTGCTCCCGCCCACCCTGTGGGGCAGCAGGGCCTCAGGCCAGGATCGCGTCTGAACCACCTTGTGCGCTGCCCCAGCATACCGACTCGACCCCAAGGCCAGTGTTTTCATCCCCACGCACAGCATTTAACTAGTCTTGTTAGAGTCCAGGCCCGTGCTGGGTGCCAGGGAGGTCAGGCCATGAGCAAGACATACATGCAGGCCCTGGACAGGGGCTTCCGAGCCCTCTGGGTAGTAAAGGTTGGCAGCCTTGTGAGAATTCAACGAAGGCTCTGAGCACTGGCACTGGAAGCCCTCCCCACATGGGTGTGCAGGCACCTCCTGCGTGGCATTCCCAGGGCCCAGGGACCAGTGGACGGCAGGGAGGCTCCTGCTCTGAATCCCCAGCTCCTGAGGACAGCGCTTGAGTGATCCTGTCTCTTCCTCCCTCCAGTGCCGGGCTTGGAGCTGTGAGTGGAGCTGGGGCCCTGTGCATGTTTTAGTGAGGGTTCCAGTCACATGACACTTGCCTCCCGGTCTGCAGGGAGACCAGGCCCCGAGGGGACATGCTTGGTTGTCAGTGTGAGTGGGACAGGGATACAGGGCACAGGAGACAGGCCTGGGTGGCGCAGTGAGGCTCAGGGGTGATGGGCCCTGAAGAGGAGGTGCCAGGCACCAGCCCCCATTCTGGAGCTGGAGGGTGGTGGGCAGAATGGGAGCTGCGCCTTGGAGAGGCTAAGCGGGCCCTGGGCACCTCGGATCCTCCATCCCAGCCATGCTAGTTGGGGGCACTGCCCACCTGTGCACCCCCCAGTGGCAGAGGAGGAGAGGACAGCTGTGGGGACTCCCCTGCTGCCCCCCTCCTCCTTGGGTCCCCATCCCCAGCCAAGAGCACCTCTTCCCACCCTCCCTTGGGATCTGGGGCCTTGGTTCTGGCTCCGTGACCCCTCTCAGTGTCCCAACTTTAGTTTGTTTCTCAGTGTGCCCACCTCCCGGAGCTCCCCAAAGAGTAACGGGAGAGTGATGAAAAAGCTGGGGAGCGTTGGGGCAAGAACACCGTTTTGTTGGGTGCATATTGTCATGCCAGGGGGCAGAGAGATGCAGGCAGGGCTGGGGAGGCTTTAGGATGCAGGGGAATTTTCTGTGCCCTATAGGGAGGGTCACCCCCTTTGCTGCCCTTAGAGACAACCTTGCCTGGGGCCCCAGTGCCCTGGCCTGTGAGGTGGGATGGCAGCCATTTTGCTCCTGGGGGCACCCCACAGGCTGTCCCAGGCTGCCTGTCTGCCCTGGAACTTGAAGGAGGAGACCCTCAATCTCTAAGCAGAGGGACCACTATCACACACCTCCTTTCCATGATCTAGGATACTTTTTTTTTTTTTTTTCTGAGACGGAGTCTTGCTCTGTCACCCAGGCTGGAGTGCAGTGGCGCGATCTCAGCTCACTGCAACCTCCTCCTCCCAGGTTCAAGTATTCTCCTGCCTCAATCTCCTGAGTAGCTGGAATTACAGGTGCACACCACCACGTCCAGCTAATTTTTGTATTTTTAGTAGAGACAGTGTTTCACCACGTCCAGTCTGGTCTCAAACTTGTGACCTCAAGTGATCCACCCACCTCAGCCTCCCAAAGTGCTGGGATTACAGGCTTGAGCCACCTTACCCAGCCTAGGATACACTTTTTAAAAAACGGTATAATACTTGTGAAATGAAAATGCATTTGTAATTGATGTGTACATTTAACATAGTGATTTTTCCTTCTTCCTCAAAAGCTCTCCTTGACTTAGTGGCATCTTTGTAAGCAGGAAACAGGACGCTGTAACTGCACATGTGGTCTGGGGCCAGTGTGTGGCATCCCAGGGAGGTCCCAAGCCCTCACCCCACCGGGAGCCTCCCCTACTGCTGGGTCAACCTCCTGGCCCCATGGGGGTTCTCAAAGCAGCCCACGTTTCTAGGGCATCCTCAGAGGGACTCACAGGAGCAGTTGGGCCAGTGCCCCAGGGAGGGGGCAGCCTCTCTAGGGGCCTCTTGGGAAGTGTGTGGGATCAGGCCTGTCTGTACCTGAGGAAGGAGGAGCCACTGGCCACTGCCTGCTGTGTCCCTGGTACCCCTCATATGGAGAGGTCTCCTCTCAGGACACCATGGAGAGCTGTTGTTTCTGATGATACCCGTGTCCCAAGTCTGCCTAGGCAGCTGCTGCTGCCTGTGGCCAGAGGCTTTCTGGGAGCTGGCTCTGCTCTGCTCCCTCCATGAGCCCAGTCCTGGGAGCCTCTCCAGCTGTCCATCATCCACAGCCAGCATCCAAACGGCTGCTGCTCAGACTTCCAATTCCGAATTGCCCAACACCTCCCCCCTGCAAGGACACAGGTTCCCCCAGGTGGGCTGTCTGCGTCCACAAGGTGGGCACATAGCCCATGGGAAGTAGGGCAGATTGTGGGGGCTACAGTGCCCCAAGCAGGGGTGCAGTGGGCCACAGGGTGGTATCCCTACCCCATGTCCCTACCTTCAGATGCCCTCGTGATGGGGCCTCCCTCGGTAGACAGGGGACTGAGGTGCATGTAGAGGTGAGCAGAGCCACACGGGAAGGGGAAGCAGGAGTCAGCGTCAAATCCCCTGCCACTGTACAGTCTTTCCAACAAGACCCCCTCAGATGGCAGCTGAGGCTGCTGGGCCTCTGTCATGCATGCGCTTCTGTGGGGCATTGTCAGAGGGAGAGGCTTCTGTCCCATGCAGGCCTGAGGGGCTTCAGGCCCTCGGTATAGCCTGGGCAGCCCCCGAGTTCCGACTTTGGGCCGTTCACTCAGCTCCTTGGAATGGGTTCATTCTGCTGCACAACCAAAAAAACCAGCCTGCTGGGTCCCCTTGCAGAGCTGTGGGAGCGCAGGCAGGACATGAGTCCGCCAGCTTTCTGTGCTGTGAACACCGGCGTCCTGACCGCTGTGGAGCGGAGAAGTGCCTGCACTTTGAGAAGGGTGGTTGGGATAGGACCTGCCAGAGGCCAGCATGTGCCTTTCCTGCCCTGGCAGCCAGGCAGCTGTGACCTGGGAATGCAGGGCAGAGAGGACACTAATCTGGATGCATCTGTTGGTGGCGCCAACTGTCAGGAGGGTGCTGGCGCCAGCTCCGCAGCCAGCCCTGGTTCGCATCCATCAACCATGCAGTGCTGGTGCTCACACTGTTGTGTCTTCTCAGAGGAAGGAAGCTCACATCTTCCCATGAGACAGGCAGCTGGGAGTGGGGTGAGAATGTGCTCTCAGCCAGAACCGGGTGCGGTTCATGCGGGTTGGGGAGTTTGCTGCACTGCCGAGGCCTGCCCTTCGCCCACCGTGCAGGTGCTCCGGGCCTGAGTGGGCGGCTGCACATGGTCTCTATCCGAGAGGGTGGAGTGGACGGGCTGGGGGGGCTCCAGTCTGTCTGCAAAGCAGCAGGGCAGAGCTCGACACTATGTGGGTCACATGAAGAAGAAGGGTAATGACATGGCTCTTGGCCACTGTGATCCTTCTGACTGCTGCTGTCCTCAGCTCATCCGTGAGCTGGAACAAGGTCCCAACCCTCCCGGGGCCTCCATGGACACAGCCAGCAGGAAATGCAGGGTTGTTGACCTGCTCTGCCAGTCTCTCCGGGCTTGTGTAAGGCCCAAATGAGACATCGTGAGTGAATGTTTGTAGAAGCTGGAGACCTGGTCCAAATTCAAATGCTGCCACCTGCCAGGTTGGTGCTTAACTGTCCTGAACTTCAGTTTCCTTACCTGGAGAATACAGACAATCAGAATTGCCTCATGTTAGGATTAAATAATGTCTAAAAGGCACAGGGCACGTGGCAGCACTTTATCCGTAGCTATTTTATTATTACAGGTGTTATTTTTACAGTGGGGGAGATGAGCCATTCCAACTTCACAGCTTTTATTCTTTCAAGAGTTGGCTGAGCGCCTGCTCCACGGCACACCCTGCGCTGGGGCTGGGGATGCAGAGGCTCAGGCAGGCCCTCCCTTCTGACGAGCTCATGGGTCTAGTGGTGGAGACAGGTGGGCTGGCCCACAGCGACAGCGTCACCTGTGCAGTGGGAGATATGACCAGGGCATGGCTGGTGTGGGGAGCCCAGGAAAGGAAACTCTCAACCCTGTCAAAGGGGAAAGGAGAGTCTTGGGGAGCCGAGAGGATGGACAGGTGATAGCAGACCACAGTGTGGTGTCAGGCAGGACACAGGCACAAGGCACAACATCGGGGTGCCGTTCTGCCTCCAGGACCTCCAAGGAGGCTGCACAGATGAAGCGATGCCTTGATGAGACTGACTGTGGGGAGTGGGGAGCCATCGGGCCAGACTGTGAGCTGGTGGGGGTGGGGGGGACTGTGAGCCGGGTAAGTCCCCGGGCAAGACTGACTGTGGGGTGGGTTGGGGGAGCCTGGCCCATAAGGTGGGACGCCCTGCACGGAGGCGAGCGAGCACGATGTGCAGAACTCCAAGAGTCTCAGGAGGAGACCGCAGGATGGGAGAGAGATCTGAAAGCCGAGCAGGACTGAGGTGGGCCTGAGCCCCGTCGCCTCCTGCGGGCGGTGGAGAGCTGCAGTGGGGAGACAGTGAGATGCAGCTTGTGCTGAGTCTCAAGCCAGCACGCACAGGAGGCACCACTCCTCAGGGTTGTGCTCTGTGAGCCCAGAGCCCAGGAGCAGACAGAAAAGGGCTGAGCGACACAAGGGCAGCCTTGGCAGCTGGGAGCTCAGCAGCAGCCGGCTGCCCCATCTGGAGGCTCAGAGCAGACTGATCGCCCTGGGTGGGGCCTGCCACCTGGGCAGCTGGGAAGAACCTCCTTCCAGCAGCCTGATGCTCCCATCGAGGGTCAGCAGGGCATGTCCAGCACCAAGGCCATGCATGTTTTGTGCTTTGGGTCCCAGGGGGCTGTTTCTCAAATGTCCTGCTTGGCCTTCATATGGCACCATGAGGGACCCCGGAATCCCCACACCTATCCCAAGGCCCAACTTGGGGTCTGCCAGAGGATCTGCATGATGATTCACAGTGCGGGTTAGCTACTGTGCACGTGGCCAGTGATGGATCCTGATGGTAGAAAATTCAGAGTAGCTGGTGGAGGAGGGAGCCCTGAGCCTGAGGTAGGAGAGCCTCTCTGGGCACACGGCTTGGCTGGTCTCTGCCTTCTTTCCTGGAACATCCTGCCGGCTTCACAGAGTTGTTTTTCAGACTTCCTGAGTCCAGGTGAGGTCTAGACAAGGCATCTCGTGCAGCCACCTCTCCCTTCCTTTCTGAACCTCAATCATGTGCTACTCTGCAAAGCACACGGCCAGTCTTCACCTGCCTGTTTCACAGGTGTTGTGAGGGAGGGGCATGTCTTCGCTCAGCAGGCCTGGGCCTCCTGTGTGTCCCCTGGGGATGAGCTGCTGAGCCAGGTGTGGGCTGTCCGTGGTCCTGGTGCCTGTGCACATCGGTGTCCAGGAAGAGCAACGTCTCCCGTTGTCTTTGGCTCTCCTAGGGGCCTATGGTGCGGTCTGCCCCTCTCCAGTGGGAGTCAGCACAGCACCAGGACACAGCATGTGAGCAGCAGCCTTGCTTGTGTCCAGTGTTGTGGGAAAACCACACAAGCCCTGCCGTCATCCCAGGAATGGTGGGCCCTACTGTGTGGCTCAGGAGGTGAGCCGGAGGATGCAGGCCACAGAGATATTGTAGTGAGCTTAGTTAGCCTTGAAGGATGGACAGTCATACCTACAGGCTAGTCTCAGCCTTGCCCATACCTTGCTGTGAGATTCTGGGCAGGTTTCTTAGCCTGTAGGAGAGAGGTCTTAGTCCTCTTGTCTGTCAAATGGGAATGTCCTGCCCTGCTCACCTCATAGGGTCACTGTAAGGATAAAATCTGATGTGTGTGGAAATAACTTGGGAAGCCAAGAAACATGACCAATAAAAGAGAAACGGTAAATAAAAAAATTATAGCATACCTGCACAAAATGGTTCATAAAATCCACAGAATGATTAATTACATCATAGCTGTAAGGAACATTCAAGTGTTAAAATTATAGGCCAAACCCTGTCCTTGGTGCTTGGGGATCAGCAGTGGCACAGTCTGGGACCCCTGTCCTGGAGCTCATGCTTTGGCAGGGAGGACAAATAACACACATTTATTCTTTGGAGTCTGGCTCTATAAATCTGAGGTCATCACGCCCCACCTCTTCCTAGGAAGCGGGGTGGGCACACCCTGGGGAAGCTCTACCCCAGCAGGTATGGCCAAGAAGACGGGGCTGTCACTCCTGTCCTCTGATAGGCTGGTGCTTTGGCTGCACCCCAGGAGGGTCAGGCTGCTGGCATTCTCATCCTCAGCCCCATGTTGCAGAAGCTCTGTTTCTGGCAAGTGCTGCTGAGAAGTCTGGGGATCACTTCCACACCCAACCCACGCTATAGGGTGGAGGCCTGCTCCAAGCACAGCAGGCTGGCCCCAGTGCCCCCATCTCATCTCACTCACAGGATGGAGGTTCCACACCAGGAGGGGCGAGACAGGAAGACCAGGGACTGCCAGGCAACCAGTGCCAGCTGGTAGAATGGGGATGTCATCAGGAAAAGCAGGCCCCCACCCCCAGCTCTGTGTTCTGATGCAGGGCTTCTGCCCAGGGGGAAAGGCAGGGCGTGCAGCTTTGCTGGAGGAGTCTGACTTTTATTTATTTATTTATTTATTTATTTATTTATTTATTTATTTTCGAGACAGAGTCTCACTCTGTCGCCGAGGCTGGAGTGCAGTGGCGCAATCTCGGCTCACTGCAAGTTCTGCCTCCTGGGTTCACGCCATTCTCCCACCTAAGCCTCCCGAGTAGCTGGGACAACAGGCGCCCGCGACCACGCCCGGCAAATTTTTTTTTTTGTATTTTTAGTAGAGACGGGGTTTCACCATTCATAGGATGGCCTCAATCTCCTGACCTTGTGATCCGCCTGCCTCGGCCTCCCAAAGTGCTGGGATTACAGACGTGAGCTACCGCGCCCGGCCGGAGGAGTCTTTTTACTTGAAACAAAAAGTTGGAGAACCCATGCCTTAAGGGTACTGCCAAAAACAGTGCAGCTCTTAGTGGGGAGCAACTAAGAGGAAGCTGGTAGGTTCATGAGTCAGGGGTCACCAAGACCACTGTGAGGCTTGACAATCCACTGGGACTCACAGGACCATGAGTGTAACTCTGAAAAGCTGTTATACTCATGGTTATGGTTTATTACAGTGAAAAGATACAGATTTAAGTCAGCAGAGGGAAGAGGTACAGAAGGTGGAGTCCAGGAGAGACCAGCTGCAAGCTTCCAGGTGTCCCCTCCTAGGAAGTGGCATGCAGTGCTTAATCTTCAGCAACAATGTGTGACAACCCACGTGAAGTGTTACAACCAGGAAGCTCCCCTGAGCCTTGGTGCCCAGGTTTTTATTGGGGTCAGTCATACAGGCATGCATACTTGCATGACTGAACTTAACTATTCAGACTCCAGTCCCCTAGGGCCTCAGGCAGACCAAAGAAGGCAGGATATCCTAAGACCTCAGAGATGATCTCTCAGGAGCCAATCAATAGCCAGTGTTTTCTATGAAATGTGCAGTTTGAATAATCTAAGCCGGCTAAGTCGTTATTGCTTACTTCAAGAAAAAACAAAAGGCAGGGCAACCAGAAGTTTAAACAAATAAACAATTGACCAATCAAACAACAACCATAACAATATCAACAACCCACAGGACAAGTATTAGTATCAGAATTGCTATAATGTTATCTGAAATGTCCAGTTTTCAACAACAAAACAAAAAATAAAAGACAGGCAAAGAAATAGGAAAGTGTGACCCATATACAGGGCAGAAAGCGAGCCATAGAAATATCTTTTTGAAGGGGTGTCATTGGTGGCCTCAGGAGACTAAGACTTCAAAGCAGCTATTATAACTCAGTTCAAATAACTAAAGGAAGCCATGAATAAAGAATTCAAGGAAGGTGTGATAGCAGTGTCTCTTCAAATACATAATATTGTTAAAGATATGGAAAATATAACGACCAAATAGAAATTAACCAAATGAAAAATTCACCAGAGGGGCTGAACAGTAGATTTGAGCTGGTAGAAGAATCCATGAACTTAATGAATAGAGATTATGTAATTTGAAGAACAGATGTGAAAAAGAATGAAGAAAAATGAACAAAGACTCGGAAATGTTGGACACTATTAAGTGCACCAACATATATGGGGATAAAAGGAGAGGAGAAGGTAGAATAAAATAATTCCCAGATATAAAAAAATGGAAATAATTTGTTGCTAGCAGATTTGCCTTGCAAGAAATACTAAAGGAAATTCCTCAGGCTGAGAGCAAGTGACACCAGAGAATAATTCAAATCCACATGAATAAATCGAGATTGCCAGTAAAAGTGATTATTTAGGTAATTATAAGAGATAGAGCAATTGCATATTTTTTCTTCTTAACTGTTTAGAAAGTGATTGCGGAAAATAATCCATGTATCATTGTATTGGTGGACCTATAGCATATAGGAGATATACCTAATGTTAAATGACGAGTTAATGGGTGCAGCACACCAACATGGCGCATGTATACATATGTAACTAACCTGCACGTTGTGCACATGTACCCTAAAACTTAAAGTATATTAAAAAAAAAGAAATGTAATATGCTTCACAGTAAAAGCACAGAGGTGATTGGGAACAAAGCTGCAGTGGAGCTTAGCAGGTGGCAACCCAAATCCATAGAAGGAAATGAAGAGAATGGGAAATTTAAAAGTTAACATAGGCTGGGTGCAGTGGCTCACGCCTGTAATCCCAGCACTTTGGGAGGCCGAGGCGGGTGGATCACGAGGTCAGGAGATCAAGACCATCCTGGCTAACATGGTGAAACCCCGTCTCTACTAAAAAAAAATAATAATACAAAAAATTAGCTGGGCGTGGTGGCGGGTGCCTGTAGTCCCAGCTACTTGGGAGGCTGAGGCAGAAGAATGGCATGAACCCGGGAGGCGAAGCTTGCGGTGAGCCGAGATCGCGTCACTGCACTCCAGCCTGGGCGACAGAGCGAGACTCCATCTCAAAAAAATAAAAAAATAAAAAAGTTAACATAATAAACTCTATAAATATGTACTTGCCTCTCCACTCCTTAAAAAAGACATAAGATTATATGAAGCAGTGTATTGATCTGTTTGTAACATATGGAAACACAATATGTGCAACATTAGTAATGCACACATACACACAAAGAAGAGAGTAGCGCTATGTAAGAGTAAAGTTTCTATATCTGACTAGAATTAAGTAGTATAAATCTGAAGTAGATTTTACAAGCTAAGATGAATATTGTAAGCCCTAGAGCAAGCACTAAGAAAAGAACTTACATAGTAAAAAAAAAAAAAAAAAAAAAGCATTAAAAAGATTAAACTGTCACACTAGAACATATTCACTAAATGCAAAAGGAAGAACCGAGGTACAAAAAGACAAAACACATAAAAAATAACAAAAATCAAAATGGCAGATATAAATGTAACCATACCAATTAAACAACCCAAACTAAGGCAGAGACTGTCAGAATGAATTTTTTCTTAAAAAGAAAAACAAGATCCAGCTATATCTTTTTATAGGAGGTACTTTATTTTTTAAATTTATTTTATTTATTTATTTATTTGAGATGGAGTTTTGCTCTTGTTGCCCAGGCTGGAGTGCGATGGTGCAATCTTGCTCACTGCAACCTCCGCCTCCCGGGTTCAAGTGATTCTCCTGCCTCAGCCTCCCGAGTAGCTGAGATTACAGGCATTCACCACCACGCCCGGCTAATTTTGTATTTTTCTTTTTTAGTAGAGATGGGGTTTCTCCGTGTTGGTCAGGCTGGTCTTGAACCCCGACCTCAGGTGATCCACCCACCTCGGCCTCCCAAAGTTCTGGGATTACAGGTGTGACCCACCACGCCTGGCCAGGAGATACCTTAGATTCAAAGATGCAAATACGTTGAAAGTTAAGGGTGGAAAAACATACCATCATAACTGCATGAGCTGGGGTAGCTATATAAATATCAGCCTACATAGATTTTAAAACAGAAGTTTTACCACAGATAAAGAGGGACATTTTATAATGATAAAAGTTTAGATCTATCCAGACAATAAAACAGTTATAAACATATGCGCACCTACTAACAGGACCCAAAATACATGAAGCTGAAACAGGCAGAATTGATGGGAGAAGCAAACAATGTAACAACAATAGTTGGAGATCACCCTTTCATTCGTTGATAGAGCAACTAGGCAGAAAATCAGAAGACTTGAACAGCACTACAAATCATTAGACCTAACAGACATCTATAGGATGCTCCACCAAACAGAAGTAGGACACACATTTTTCTCAATTGCATATGAAATATAGTCCAAGGGCCAGGGGCAGTGGCTCATGCCTGTAATCCCAGCACTTCGGGAGGCCGAGGCAGGCGGATCACAAGGTCGGGAGATTGAGACCATCCTGGCCAACGTGGTGAAACCCCATCTCTACTAAAAATACAAAAAATTAGCTGGACGTGGTGGTATGTGCCTGTAATCCCAGGTACTCGGGAGGCTGAGGCGGGTGGATCACCTGAGGTCAGGAGTTTGAGACCAGCCTGGCCAACATGGTGAAACCCCGTCTCTATGAAAAATACAAAAATTAGCTGGGCATGGTGGCAGGTACCTGTAACCCCAGCTACTTGGGAGGCTGAGGCAGGAGAATCACTTGAACCCAGGAGGTGGAGGATGCAGTGAGCTGAGATCACGCCACTGCACTATAGCCTGGGGGATAGAGCAAGACTCTGTCTCCAAATAAATAAACAAATAAATATAAAAAGAACAAAGTTACAGAAGAAAACATAAGAGTAAATCTTTGCATCTTGGGTTAGGCAATGGTTTCTTAGATACAAGAAAAGCAGAAATGACAAAAGAAAAATTATGTAAATCCGGGCCAGGCACAGTGGCTCACGCCTGTAATCCCAGCACTTTGGGAGGCCAAAGCGGGCAGATCATGAGGTCACGAGATCAAGACCAGCCTGACCAACACGGTGAAACCCCCTCTCTACTAAAAATACAAAAATTAGCTGGGCATGATGGCATGCACCTGTAATCCCAGCTACTTGGGAGGCTGAGGCAGAATTGCTTGAACTCAGGAAGCGGAGGTTGCAGTGAGCCATGATCGTGCCACTGTACTGCAGCCTGGGAAACAGGGCAAGAGTCCATCTCAAAAAAAAAAAAAATTTCAAATCAAATTGTGTATCTGATAAAGAATTTGTATCCAGAATATACATAAACAGTCCTTACAGGCCGAGTGTGGTGGCTCATGCTTGTAATCCCAGTACTTAGAGAGGCCAAGGCAGGAGGGTTACTTGAGCCTATGAGTTTGAGACCAGCCTGGGCAACCTAGCAAGACTCCAACTCAAAAAAAAAAAAAAAGTAAAAACAAAAATCTGTACAACTCAATAGTAAAAACACAAATACCTCAATTTAAAAGTAGGCAAAGAAAGGCGTAAGAATGGTATGAGGGACTTTACGGACACGGGAAAGGGTGGGAGAGGGCTAAGGGGTAAAAGACTACAAATGTGTACAGTGTACCCTGCTCGGGTGATGGGTGCACCCAAATCTCAGAAGTCACCACTAAAGAACTTATGTATGTAACCAAATACCACCTGTTCCCCCAAAACCTATGGAAATAAAAAATAAAAATAAATAAAAAATAAAAGTAGGCCAAGGATTATGCAACCTCATGAGAGAACCTGAAAACAATGAATAAAAATTAAAAATAGAAAAGGATTTCAACAGACACTTCTCCAGTGAAGGTATACAAATGGCCAATAAGCACATACAAATTTCTTCCGCATCTTCATCATTAGGGAAATGCAAATGAAAAGCACAGTGAGCTACCACTTCACCCCCATCAACACGACTAATAAAATATACAGCAAGTGTTGTCAAGTATATGGAGAAGTTGAGACCTTCATACATTCCTGGCAGGATTGTAAAGTGGTGCATCTGCTTTGAATTTGGTAGTCCTTCAAAATGTTAAACGTAGAGTTACCACATGACCCAGCAATTCCTCTCCTATGCATTTATCCAAGAGAAATGAAAGCACACATCCACACAAAGACTTGGACACAAATGCACAAAGCAACCTCATAACGGTTCAAAATCGTGAACAACTCAAATCTCCATCAGCAATTGAGAGGATGAACAAATTCTGGCATATCCATAGGGTGGAATACTGCTCAACAACAAGAGTGAGTTAGGCGGGGCACAGTGGCTCACGCCTGTAATCCCAGCACTTTGGGAGGCCGAGGCAGGCAGATCACGAGGTCAGGAGATCGAGACCATCCTGGCAAACACGGTGAAACCCCGTCTCTACTAAAAATACAAAAAAAATTAGCTGGGCATGGTGGCGGGCGCCTGTAGTCCCAGCTACTCGGGAGGCCGAGGCAGAAGAATGGTGTGAACCCGGGAGGCGAAGCTTGCGGTGAGCCGAGATCGCGTCACTGCACTCCAGCCTGGGCGACAGAGCGAGACTCCATCTCAAAAAAATAAAAAAATAAAAAAGTTAACATAATAAACTCTATAAATATGTACTTGCCTCTCCACTCCTTAAAAAAGACATAAGATTATATGAAGCAGTGTATTGATCTGTTTGTAACATATGGAAACACAATATGTGCAACATTAGTAATGCACACATACACACAAAGAAGAGAGTAGCGCTATGTAAGAGTAAAGTTTCTATATCTGACTAGAATTAAGTAGTATAAATCTGAAGTAGATTTTACAAGCTAAGATGAATATTGTAAGCCCTAGAGCAAGCACTAAGAAAAGAACTTACATAGTAAAAAAAAAAAAAAAAAAAAGCATTAAAAAGATTAAACTGTCACACTAGAACATATTCACTAAATGCAAAAGGAAGAACCGAGGTACAAAAAGACAAAACACATAAAAAATAACAAAAATCAAAATGGCAGATATAAATGTAACCATACCAATTAAACAACCCAAACTAAGGCAGAGACTGTCAGAATGAATTTTTTCTTAAAAAGAAAAACAAGATCCAGCTATATCTTTTTATAGGAGGTACTTTATTTTTTAAATTTATTTTATTTATTTATTTATTTGAGATGGAGTTTTGCTCTTGTTGCCCAGGCTGGAGTGCGATGGTGCAATCTTGCTCACTGCAACCTCCGCCTCCCGGGTTCAAGTGATTCTCCTGCCTCAGCCTCCCGAGTAGCTGAGATTACAGGCATTCACCACCACGCCCGGCTAATTTTGTATTTTTCTTTTTTAGTAGAGATGGGGTTTCTCCGTGTTGGTCAGGCTGGTCTTGAACCCCGACCTCAGGTGATCCACCCACCTCGGCCTCCCAAAGTTCTGGGATTACAGGTGTGACCCACCACGCCTGGCCAGGAGATACCTTAGATTCAAAGATGCAAATACGTTGAAAGTTAAGGGTGGAAAAACATACCATCATAACTGCATGAGCTGGGGTAGCTATATAAATATCAGCCTACATAGATTTTAAAACAGAAGTTTTACCACAGATAAAGAGGGACATTTTATAATGATAAAAGTTTAGATCTATCCAGACAATAAAACAGTTATAAACATATGCGCACCTACTAACAGGACCCAAAATACATGAAGCTGAAACAGGCAGAATTGATGGGAGAAGCAAACAATGTAACAACAATAGTTGGAGATCACCCTTTCATTCGTTGATAGAGCAACTAGGCAGAAAATCAGAAGACTTGAACAGCACTACAAATCATTAGACCTAACAGACATCTATAGGATGCTCCACCAAACAGAAGTAGGACACACATTTTTCTCAATTGCATATGAAATATAGTCCAAGGGCCAGGGGCAGTGGCTCATGCCTGTAATCCCAGCACTTCGGGAGGCCGAGGCAGGCGGATCACAAGGTCGGGAGATTGAGACCATCCTGGCCAACGTGGTGAAACCCCATCTCTACTAAAAATACAAAAAATTAGCTGGACGTGGTGGTATGTGCCTGTAATCCCAGGTACTCGGGAGGCTGAGGCGGGTGGATCACCTGAGGTCAGGAGTTTGAGACCAGCCTGGCCAACATGGTGAAACCCCGTCTCTATGAAAAATACAAAAATTAGCTGGGCATGGTGGCAGGTACCTGTAACCCCAGCTACTTGGGAGGCTGAGGCAGGAGAATCACTTGAACCCAGGAGGTGGAGGATGCAGTGAGCTGAGATCACGCCACTGCACTATAGCCTGGGGGATAGAGCAAGACTCTGTCTCCAAATAAATAAACAAATAAATATAAAAAGAACAAAGTTACAGAAGAAAACATAAGAGTAAATCTTTGCATCTTGGGTTAGGCAATGGTTTCTTAGATACAAGAAAAGCAGAAATGACAAAAGAAAAATTATGTAAATCCGGGCCAGGCACAGTGGCTCACGCCTGTAATCCCAGCACTTTGGGAGGCCAAAGCGGGCAGATCATGAGGTCACGAGATCAAGACCAGCCTGACCAACACGGTGAAACCCCCTCTCTACTAAAAATACAAAAATTAGCTGGGCATGATGGCATGCACCTGTAATCCCAGCTACTTGGGAGGCTGAGGCAGAATTGCTTGAACTCAGGAAGCGGAGGTTGCAGTGAGCCATGATCGTGCCACTGTACTGCAGCCTGGGAAACAGGGCAAGAGTCCATCTCAAAAAAAAAAAAATTTCAAATCAAATTGTGTATCTGATAAAGAATTTGTATCCAGAATATACATAAACAGTCCTTACAGGCCGAGTGTGGTGGCTCATGCTTGTAATCCCAGTACTTAGAGAGGCCAAGGCAGGAGGGTTACTTGAGCCTATGAGTTTGAGACCAGCCTGGGCAACCTAGCAAGACTCCAACTCAAAAAAAAAAAAAAAGTAAAAACAAAAATCTGTACAACTCAATAGTAAAAACACAAATACCTCAATTTAAAAGTAGGCAAAGAAAGGCGTAAGAATGGTATGAGGGACTTTACGGACACGGGAAAGGGTGGGAGAGGGCTAAGGGGTAAAAGACTACAAATGTGTACAGTGTACCCTGCTCGGGTGATGGGTGCACCCAAATCTCAGAAGTCACCACTAAAGAACTTATGTATGTAACCAAATACCACCTGTTCCCCCAAAACCTATGGAAATAAAAAATAAAAATAAATAAAAAATAAAAGTAGGCCAAGGATTATGCAACCTCATGAGAGAACCTGAAAACAATGAATAAAAATTAAAAATAGAAAAGGATTTCAACAGACACTTCTCCAGTGAAGGTATACAAATGGCCAATAAGCACATACAAATTTCTTCCGCATCTTCATCATTAGGGAAATGCAAATGAAAAGCACAGTGAGCTACCACTTCACCCCCATCAACACGACTAATAAAATATACAGCAAGTGTTGTCAAGTATATGGAGAAGTTGAGACCTTCATACATTCCTGGCAGGATTGTAAAGTGGTGCATCTGCTTTGAATTTGGTAGTCCTTCAAAATGTTAAACGTAGAGTTACCACATGACCCAGCAATTCCTCTCCTATGCATTTATCCAAGAGAAATGAAAGCACACATCCACACAAAGACTTGGACACAAATGCACAAAGCAACCTCATAACGGTTCAAAATCGTGAACAACTCAAATCTCCATCAGCAATTGAGAGGATGAACAAATTCTGGCATATCCATAGGGTGGAATACTGCTCAACAACAAGAGTGAGTTAGGCGGGGCACAGTGGCTCACGCCTGTAATCCCAGCACTTTGGGAGGCCGAGGCAGGCAGATCACGAGGTCAGGAGATCGAGACCATCCTGGCAAACACGGTGAAACCCCGTCTCTACTAAAAATACAAAAAAAATTAGCTGGGCATGGTGGCGGGCGCCTGTAGTCCCAGCTACTCGGGAGGCCGAGGCAGAAGAATGGTGTGAACCCGGGAGGCGGAGCTTGCAGTGAGCCGAGATTGCACCACTGCTCTCCAGCCTGGGCGACAGAGACTCTGTCTCAAAGAAAGAAAGAAAGAAAGAAAAAAAAAAAAAGGAGTGAGTTACTGACACATTCAGCAACATAGATGAATCTCAAAATAATTACGCCTAGTCACAGGAGCCAGTCACAAAGAACTATATTGCATGATTCCATTTATAGGAAATACCCAGGATCAGCAGGTCTATAGAGATAGAAAGTCAATTAGTAGTTGCCTGGGGCTGGAGTGAGGGGTGAAGTGTTGAAGGGGAGTGGGGAGTGAATGTTAAGGAGTATGGCGTTTTGGCCAGGCACGCTGGCTCACGCCTATAATCCCAGCACTTTGGGAGGCCGAGGCAGGCGAATCACTAGAGGTCAGGAGTTCAAGACCAACCTGGCCAACATGGGAAATCCCTTCTCTACTGAAATACAAAAAATTAGCCAGATGTGGTGGTGCACCCCTGTAATCTCAGCTACTCAGGAAACTGAGGCAGGACAATTGCTGGAACCCAGGAGGCGGAAGTTGTAGTGAGCCGAGATCATGCCACTGCACTCCAATCTGGGCGACAGAGCCAGACTCTGTCTCAAAACAAAAACAAAAACAAAAAATACAGCAAGTATTAGTACAAACATGTTCTAAGAGTAGATTATGGTGATGGTTGCACAACTCTGAATTTATTTAAAAACATTCAATTGTCTACTTTAAGTGGGTAATTGGTATGGTATGTGAATTATAGCTCAACAAATCCTTTTTAAACAGCGTGTGAGTGATGGCAGCTGTCTGAAGCACCTTTCCTTTGATGGAGACGCACATGGCTGTGTGTTCTGGGAGCAGAGCCAGCCAACCAGCCAGTACTTCCTGAACGTTTTTGTTGTATGCAAAGCCGATAAGGTGATGCAAGTGAGAGGTCATACTCCCTGTCCTCAGAGGAGGGACTTGCTACGTAAGCAAGGATTTGATTATGAAATCTACAACCACAGTTCAAAATTTTAAAGCATTTAGGGAGGGTTGGAGTAGTCAAAACAGGCATCTCAGAAGAGAGAGGAAATTGCCCTGGGCCTTCTAAGACAGGCAGACCAATGACAGGGATTTAGAGAACTGTGCATATGAGGGACTATGGCAGCATCGTGTCCGGTATTTACCAAGTGCTCCCCTTTACAGCCTCCTCGAGTGCCTTCTGGGGTAACCCAGGAGATGTTGTACAGTCCAGTTGCTGGAAAGTCATGCCTTGTATTAAATGGAAATCTCTCTCCTGTTAATAATACTCTTAGCACTGACGGTGCAGTTATTGTTTCCAGAACGGTGCTGAGCCTCGGAAATATCCTCTCAGGTCGTTCCTCCCACGTGAGGCAGGTTGTGTCACCTCCTCCTCCTAGTCATCATGGTTATTTTCCAGATGGAAGGACCTGGCCATTAGGTATAAAGTGATCTGCCACAATCACATTCCAAATCACACACTCAGGACCCCCTGCGGTGCTGTCGACTGCTGATCTTTCTCTTTTCTGATCCTCGCGGAAAAAGTCTAGTTTCCTTTCCATGTGATGGTGAATAAAGTCAAAGATAGGTTTTGTTTGTTTGTTTGTTTGTTTGTTTTGCCTCCAGTCATCTTTTCTTTTCCCTTGGGGTCAAACAAGCTCAGTTCTTAAATCATTCTGCATCCAGCTGGCTCTTGATCTCAGGCTGTGATCAAGTCCGTCAGTCCTTTACTTGAGTGTGGGCCTTAGACTGAGGGGGGATCTCTGGTGCCTGACCAGCCCAGAGGAGCAGTAGACTCACACCCCATTCTCCTGAGGGATGCATGTCAGTTGAGGCATTCCATGACAGAATTAGCTCTTTTGACTGCCACATTCCACTGTGGACTCAAATCCTGGGTCTTTTCTTCATGTGCTGCTAAGTTAGGTCCAGGGACCTGAAGAGGAAAACTTTAGGGTCGAATAAAAACATTGATCTGGCTGGGCTCAGTTGCTCACACCTGTAATCCCAGTACTTTGGGAGTCTGAGGTGGAAGGATTGCTTAAGGCCAAGAGTATGAGACAGATCTGGGCAGCACAGCAAGGCCACATCTCTAGAGACCAAAAAAAAATTTGTTTTAATAAAATAGCTAGGTGTGGTGGCATGCATCTGTAATCCAGCTACTCGGGAGACTGAGGCAGGAGAATTGCTTGAACCCGGGAAGCAGAGGTTGCAGTGAGCCAAGTTTGTGCCACTGCACTCCAGCCTGGGTGACAAGAGCGAAACTCCGTCTGGAAAAAAAAGAAGAAGGTGGGTATGGCAGGCAGGATTTTGGCCCACATGACCTTAGTCCTCTGGTGCTACTTCCATGCTATGTTATGTGGCAAAGGGACTTCTCACTAGGATGCATGATGTTAGCCGTGGGTTTCGTGTAGATGTTCTTTATCAAGGTAAGGACGTCTCTCCTTGTATCCTTAGCTTGCTGAGGGTTTTTATCACATAGGTATGTTGAATTCTGCCAGATACTCTTTCTGCATCTATTGATTGGTCTATGATTTCTCTTTTCTAGCCTGTTGATATGATGGATTATGTTAATTGATTTTTGAACCAGCCTTGCGTACCTGGGATAAATTCCACTTGGTCATGGTGTACAATTCTTTTGATACATTGGTGGATTCCATCTGCTAGAATTCTGTTGAGGATTTTTGCATCTGTGTTTATGAGAGCAGTTGGTGTGTAGTTTTTCTTTCTTGTAATATCCTTTTTTGATTTTGTAATGCTGGCCTCCTGGGATGAGTTAGGAAGTGTTCTCTCTACTTCTGTTTTCTGGAAGAGACTGCAAATAAACGGTATCATTTGTTCCTTCAATGTTTGGTAGAATTCATTTGTGAAACCATCTGGGCCTAGTGCTTTCAGTTTTTGAATGCTAATTATTGATTCAATTCCTTTAATAGATATAGGCCTTCCTGAATTATATGTGTCTCCTTTGTGAATAGGTACCAGTTCTGTACCCTTGTGTCTTTCAAGGAATTGATCCTTTTTGTCTACATTTTCAAACTGGGGGGTATAGAGCTGTTGGTAATGTCCCTGCTATCTTCCAAAAGTCCATGGTATCTATAATGATGGCTCCTTTTAATATATTATTATTATTATTTTTTTTTTTTAATGAGACGGAGTCTCACTCTATCACCAGGCTGGAGTGCAGTGGTGCGATCTCGGCTCACTGCAACCTCCGTCTCCCGGGTTCAAGTGATTCTCCTGCCTCAGCCTCTTGAGTACTGGGATTACAGGTGCGTGCCACTGCGCCTGGCTAATTTTTGTATTTTTAGTAGAGAGGGGGTTTCACCATGTTGGCCAGGCTGGTCTCGAACTCCTGACCTCGTGATCTGCCCGCCTTAGCCTCCCAAAGTGCTGGGATTACAGATGTGAGACACCATGCCTGGCCAATATATTGTATTTTCATTTTCATTCAGTTCAAAATATTTTCTAATTTCAGTTGTGGCTTTCCTTGGGACATAAGAGAATGGAGAAAAGGAAATAAATCAACAGGCAATTTCTCCCACTTTCTGAGTGTCATGAGTCCCTTTTCCTCCTCTTTCAGCCTGTACTAAGTCTTCCCCAGGGCTTTCTCATCTGTGCCCTCATGCCCACTTCCAGATCAGGAGCTACCAGAGATAAGATGAGGAACTTGCCTCAGCATCCTTCACGTTCCAGCCTTCTCCCCGGTCCCACTGCTGCTGTTTCCTCTGCAGAGTCCTCAGGCAGCCGCCCCCTGCGCCATGTTTTGGCTTCAACGCTGCGTGTGGTGGGAGCAAGGTGGATGTGTTTTTTTCTTTTTTTTTTTTCTTTTTTTTTTTTTTTTGGAGACAGAGTCACCCAGGCTGGAGTGCAGTGGTGCCATCTCGGCTCACTGCAAGCTCCGCCTCCCAGATTCAGGCCATTCTCCTGCCTCAGCCTCCTGAGTAGCTGGGACTACAGGCGCCCGCCACCACGCCTGGCTAATTTTTTGTATTTTTAGTAGAGATGGGGTTTCACCATGTTAGCCAGGATCGTCTCGATCTCCCGACGTCGTGATCCGCCCGCCCCGGCCTCCCAGAGTGCTGGGATTACAGGAGTGAGCCACCACACCCGGCCAAGGGTGGATGTGCTTTTACTGCATCTGGACCTGGGACTGGAGTCTCCTGGACGTCTTTTCCTTATGGAATAATTTCTTACAAGGCTGTGGTCAAGATGAGCCTAAGTAACCTGGAAGCAGCAGACAGTCACCCAGCTGGACATGGGGGTTGGCGCTGATGGCAGAAAAGGGAAAGGAGAGAACACTTCCCAGGGAAGCTGAAACCTGGCTGACTCTTGGCTGGGTGTGGGAGGGTGGGGTGGGGCGGGGCAGGTGTTCCAGGTGCAGAGACCAGCTGCGGTCTGAGGCGGGAGAAAGCGTGGTGTCTTTAGGGAATACAAGCTAAGGATTTCATACTGTCGTGGCACTGTGTGCAGCAGAACATCCAAGGAAAAGGCGAAATCAGGGAGAGGCCAGGTCAGGCAGGAAGTAGGACTTTGCAAACATTCTAGGGTGGTCAGATTTTGTTGCAATTTTATGGGGAAAGTATGACTTTCCTGTAGCTGCTGCAACAAGCTAGTACAAATATTATGACTTAAAATGCAGCCAGTGCATTACAGCTGAAGGACCGAAGCCCAAAGCCAGCCGCACTGGGCTGAAGCCAAGGTGCCTGTGGGCTGGTTCGTTCTGGAAGCTTCAGAGGGTCGGCTTCCTGCCTTTTCCAGCTTCCAGTGGCCGCCTACATTCCTTGGCTTATGGCACCCCCGTCCTTAAAGGCATCACTTCATTCTCTGGTTCCAGCATCACATCACCTTCCGGTGATCATATCGGGACCACCTGGATAATCTGGGTTATCTCCCCATCTCATGCACTTCATTACCTCAGCCCCATCCCTTTTGCCCTAAAAGGCAACAGTCACAGGTTCTTGGGCTTAGGACACAGACATCTTGGGGGTCCCTACTCAGCCTACCAAGAGGGCATTTCACAGATTTTGATTGGAGGGAGTGATGTGATACAGCTGTCATATTTGAGGCTTAGAAAGATCTGTCTGGCCACAGAGAGAGTAGGAGGAGTAAGGGTGGAGGCCTGCAGAGTGGTTGGGAAGCTGAGAAGTAATCTGTGCCGGTGATGGAAGGTACAGCAGAGGCAGTGGTGTGAGGATAGGAAAGAACACTCAGGAGCTGTAACCCACAGAACTTGGAGCCGGATAGATGTGGAATGGGTGAGGGAGGAAGTCTCGCAGGGCTCCGGGTCTCTGCCTTCATCAGCTGGGTCACTGGTGGTGTCACTGACTGAAGAGGGAGTTACCCCTGAGATAAGCAGGGAATCTTGGTGAGCAGTGAGGCCCCTGAGTCTGGGAAGGCAGCTGGCAGTAGCTATTTGATTGTGCCCAGCACATAGGCAGTGCTTGAATCTGTGATGGCACGAGATGACTCAGGGACTGTGTCTAGAATTCGAAGGAGTGTAGAAGCTGCTGGGGAACAATGACCTCTGCAGTTAGAGAGAAGAGAGGGTATGAAAGGAAGCTAGTGAGGCAGGGGAATGCCAGGCAGCAGTCACGGGCAGCCCGGCCAGAGCGGGGAGCTGACATATCCGCATTCAGACCAAGTCGTCCCTCAGCTAGGGAACGGCCGCCTCTTACTGAGGCCACCTGAAACCCTGAAAGGAAAAGGTGGAGAATGGTTTTGTGTTTTCGGTGTTAAGCTTGGGGGCCAGAGGCTCAGACTGGGAGCAGAGCTGTTTCTTGGACCCTCACTGTGTGCACACATGGGGTGCTGAACAAGGCCCCCTCCGTGGAACCCGGTGTGGCCAGCGGGACCCGCTGAGCTCTCAGGCTGGCTCTGGCAACAGCTGAAAAGCTCCATTATTTGCCTTTCTGGGTACATCTGCTGAAGAGGCTCAGCGTTTTGGGGCAGTGTGAACGTCTCCCTGCCACTGAGAACAATATTCGCCCTCTGCTGTCAACCCCTGCAGGGCCTCAGAGAAAGACGCTGCTGGAGGGTGGGAGGCCTGCCCACTGTTTCTTCCATGGGTATTGTTGCTTTTCCCTCTTGTGGCACCTCCTCCCCAGCCCAGGGTAGGCTGAAGGGGCAAGGACAACGCTGAACAGACGAGATGGGACCTAGCCCCCGGGAGCAGGGTAGGCCCTTTGGTAGGACTGGATGTCACGAGTGGGATGTGTTTCAGATGGAGCAACGGGCATGCTGAGATGGAAAAGCAGGAATGGGCATGAAGTGTACAGGGGCAGGGCTGGGGATGGCTCAGCTGAGGGGAGCCCTCCAGGGTCCCTAGCTGCCAGGACACTGCCCAGGAGAGGGGGCAGGAAGGGGCCCTCAGCCCTGTTCCTTCCCTTTGAGGCTTTGTGTTTGTGCGGCCCTCATTTTCCTGCACCCAATCTCATATGACCTTCTCAGAACCATGCACCTTGAAGTGAGTGAGGGTCAAAGAATGAAACAACTGCCCCAGTTACCAACAGTCAGGGATGAAGCCAGGGTGGAAACCAAGGTCTTCCATCCCTGGGGAGGGGAAGGGAACTCACTTTGGGGGTGCTCCTTATGTGCCAGGTATCTAATTTCTTACAAGGCTATGGTCAAGATGAGCCAGAGTAACCTGGAAGCAGCAGACGGTCACCCAGCGAGACATGGGGGTTGGCGGTGGTGGCAGAGAAGGGAAAGCAGGGAAGGCTTCCCAGGGGAGCTCGAAGCTGGCTGACTCTTGGCTAGGTGCAGGGTAGGGTGGGGCAGGTGTTCCAGGTCTCCTGCCTCCTCAGCTCTCCTAGATCTAAGTGCTGTCAGCCCAGGAACTGAGGTTTGCGGAGGAAGTGGCTGGTGCTAGGTAAGCCGTGGTGAACATCAGAGTGTGCTCAGGGGCTCCCTAGAAGCATATCTGCAGTCATGGGTGTCAGTGGGAGACGAGCTCCAACAGTCACTTCACTTTACCCATGAAAGCCTCTGGGGGGCATAAAGGGGCCCCGCCTGTGGGTTGCTGAGCTGGGGCACAGGTCAGCTCTCTCAACCCCACAATGGCCTGGATAAAGGATTTTTCTAAACCTCAGCTTCCTACACCTAGAGCTTTAAAATGCTCATTAATATACAAAGGCTTTCAAAGAGGCTGGGCGCAGTGGCTCACACCTGTAATCCCAGCACTTTGGGAGGCCGAGGTGGGCGGATCACCTGAGGTCAGAAGTTCGAGACTAGCCTGGCCAACATGGTGAAACCTTGTCTCTACTAAAAATACAAAAATTAGCCAGGCTTGGTGGTGGGCACCTGTGATCCCAGCTACTCGGGAGACTGAGGCAGGAGAATTGCTTGAACCCGGGAGGCAGAGGTTGCGGTAAGCCAAGATCGAGTCATTGTACTCCAGCCTGGGCGGCAAGAGCAAAACTCCGTCTCAAAAAAATATATATATATACATATATATATACACATATATACATACATATATATATGCATACACACACACACACACCTGCTTTCAGAAATTTTTAGGAAAAAAAATCTAACTTTATAGCATTTCCAAAATCATCTGATCACTCATCCCTTCATTTGTTGTCTTCCAAATCCTGTGGACACTATTTCAGGGGATGCTTCATGCCAGCAACCTGGGAAACTCAGGTCCACTCTCCCCTACACTGGAGACCTTTTGAACCCTCATTAATGAAAAATCAAGCACTTTTTCTTAACTCTTGCCAGTGGAGAAGGAAAAATGGAGAGACCTTATCTCCCTGGTTTTGAGGTTAATTCTTCCCCCCAAATAAAGATCCATGGAACAGGGTGGGTGTGGGAGCCTATCCAGCGTCATGATGATCTTGGCACATGCCTATCAGCTGTGAGCCTCAGGTGAGCACTCAGCCTAGCAGAACACCAGCTGTGCATCTGCAAAATGGAGCAACAGGGCCTCGCAGCACCGCAGCGCGGTTCAGGTCAGGGCAGGCAATCGGCCCAGCTGGGAATAAACTGTTAGCTCCTTCCTCTGCTGGAAATAGGCTTAGCCTTATAAAAATGAGTTAAAGCCTATTTCTAGCAGTTGGCCATGTTGATAAAGTGGATTAGCTCTTCCTCTGCTTGTTATCAAAACACAGGGCTCAAGCTTCAGGGAGCTGGCAGAGAGGGTGTGTGAGCGACATGGGCCCAGCATCAGGCGTGACCCTATCCTGATCCCTGTTGCAAAGCCTACCCTGACTCCAGAAGGCACCAGGAGCATGCGACTGACGGCAGATGAACGTTTGAAATTGAGGCTGTCTTGGGAAACCCAGCCCTGGTGGCTCCTGCAGCCCCAGGTACTTCTATCCAAAGCAGGGTCCCCCCAGGCCCCCTGCCCAGGCCCCTTTCCGGGACTTAGGTTCCTGCCATCCCCAGCCCTCCTCCGCACCTCCTCGTTTGAGCTGAATCACGCCAATTGTGTGTCCCGTCCCCGTGACCACTGGGTACAATCGCAAATCTTACTGCTGGCAAGTTCTTTTGTCTGACTTCTGCAAGTCTTTTAATGGGGTTTCTAAAGAAGTCACTGGAAAGGAGACTGTTTTCCTGCCAGATCCTCAGCAGAGGGAAGAATTTCCCTGTTGTTTCGGGATTATGGGTTGCAAGGGAGGCGATACAAAGGAGCAGAGGAGAAGAATGGGCCAGGACACAAACTCCGTATGTGTCAGCTGGGAGCAGCAGCACCTCACGGGGCCTTGGTGCACTTTGGGGGCTGAGGTCAGGTCTCGTGGTCACCTGCCTGTGTGGAGCCAGCCCTGAGCCCTGCCTGCAGCTGGCCCAGCACACACATGCCTGCACCATCCACATGCCTACCTGGGGCATGCATGCAGAGGCTTGGGGTGTTCGCCTGTGGAGCACACCTTTAGAGGCTGCAAGGCAGCAAGCCTCTGAGTCAGGCAGCCAAGGCAGGGCTGTGGGCACTCGTGCTCTTTTGCTGCCTTCCCCAGTCTCCAGGGGAATGGGCACACACAGGCTCTGGAGCCAAAGTGCCCGGATTCAAACCCTCCACTCCCTAGCTGGTGTGACTGGGAAAAGCCACTTGATCTGTCTGTGCTGTGTCTTCATTATCTGTCAAATGGCGATACAGTGCACACCTCATATGGTTGTCATAAGGCTGGCCTGTGGCAAAGGTTCAACAAATACTGTCATCAGCATTACTCCCATCTTATGAAGGAAGAAAATAGGCCGGGCACGGTGGCCACGCCTGTAATCCTAGCACTTTGGGAGGCCGAGGCGGGTGGATCACCTGAGATCAGGAGTTCGAGACCAGCCTGGCCAACGTGGTGAAACCTCTTCTCTACTAAAAATACAAAAATTAGCTGGGCATGGTGGCGGGCACCTGTAATCCTAGCTACTCGGGAGGCTGAGGCAGGAGAATCACTTGAACCTGGGAAGCAGGTTGCAGTGAGCCGAGACTGCGCCATTGCACTCCAGCCTGGGAGACAGGAGTGAAACTCCATCTCAAAAAAAAAAAAAAGGAAAAGAAAAGAAGACCCACTTTTTACTTAGCTAACTAATGACAGAACTAAGTAGGACATCTGTCTAATTCCAGTTAGTGGCTAGCGGCTTCTTTTTAGAATACCAAGCTGCCTTTCAGAAGCCAGATCGAGTGATCCTGGGGCTAGGTGGGTGATGAACACTTTGGAGGGGTGGGGTTTGGTGCAGGCCATACTGTCTTGGATTTCCAGGTACCCCTAAGTTCCCTGGTCCATCTGATTTCATCCAGGCCGCTTTGCAGGAAGTGACAGCTGTTTGGGGTTCCTTGGTGCCCCCTGCCGGATAGATTGCATCTAACGTTTTCCTGGGTTGATGAAAGCCCTGGGTGCTTTGAAACTGGCTGGCTCTCCAGATTCAGGAGGGATGTGGATGTTTTTGTCTGCCTCTGCCTTAGCCATCCTGGGCCCAGCAGCTCAATTCCTCAATTCAACCCTGGTTTTTCTTTCACTAATTAAAAGAAGTAGCTTTTAACTCTCCTTTTTACGAGCAGCTTACCAACTGTTCTGCCCCAGCGACTCACCCCACGCTGGGGGATCTCCCTATCAGCAAAAACGGAGGCTCAGTCCCTGCAGATGTTTGGTGGTTCTGTTGCATTCTGTTCTTTCTCCTTTTCAGTAGACAAACTACAAGGCGGCTGTACCAACAGTTTATCCTCTTGTTTCTTCCTCATGTGTTGGGAAAACAGGTCCCAGGAATCCTGGTGGAAGCACATTGGTGGGGAGCTGAGGAGCCTTCTGTTCCCAAGTCATTCTGCTGACATGGCCAGGCCCTCCTCAGGCCCACAAGGTGTGTGCTCAGCACGCCTCTGTCTGTGTGGCCTTGGAGGGATCATGTCTCTGCACCTTTTCTTTCTTACATGACAAATAAACAAAGTCTGCTCAAAATTCCTTAAAGGGTACTCTGAGGACTCAGCTAGTGAGTGGGAATACGACTGCTTTCATAATTAAGTTAAACTTTTTAAGGAGATAATTATAGACTCACATGCAGTTCTAAGAAATAATACAGAGATCTATCATGTACCCTTTACTGTTCCCCCCACTGGTAGCATCTTGCAAAATTTAGCACAGTCTCACACCCAGAATCTTGACAGGGACAGCCACATGGAACATTGCCATCACCACAGCATTGGTCATGCCCTTCTTTCATAACCACTGCCACCTCCCCATCTTTCACCGCTGACAACCCACAGATCTGCGGTCCATTTCTATAATTTTTTCATTTCAAGAATAGTATAAAATGGATCCATATAGTATGTACCATTTTGGGTTTGAATTTCTTTGCTCAGCATTATTCTCTAGAGACTCATCCAAGTTGTGCATATGGCATGTAATTGCCATAAGCTTTGGTTGTTTTCCAGGTCTCCTACAAAGTTGGTTCTGGCAACTCTGGTTCGTTTTTTGATGTTTCTGTTGGAGTTCTCTAGTCTGCTATTTTGCTGACATCATTCCTCTGGAAGATGACTTTAAAATTAGAAAATATTCTGATTTTCCTTCTCCCTTGTTCCCTTTGTATTCTTTTTCTCTCATGAGCTCTATTTCTTCTGTCTTGTGGCTGTCCCTTAGGGCTTTTCCATCAGCCTTATTCTCTTGTTCCTCCACATACAAACTCTAGATTAGCGCATTGCTTGGCTTTATCTACAGATCGATGGCCCCACATCAGTCTCCAGCCCCGATATCACTCTTTTCCATCTGACCACCTCCTGGATACCTACTGTCTGAGTCAGTTTTCTGTTGCTATAACTGAATACCTGAGACTGGGTAATCTTTAAAAAGGTTTATTTTGGTTGATGGTTCTGGAGGCTGGGAAGTGCAAGATCAGACAGCCACGTCTGCTTGGCTTCAGATGAGAGCCCCTTTCTGCATCAACAGCTGGTGGAGAAGTGGAAGGGAAAGCAGGCAATTGTGAAAGTGTGGCCCCACTTTCTAACAACCAGCTCTCATGGCAACTAATTCAGTCCTGCAAGAACTCACTCACTCCCAGGAGAATTAACCTAGTCCCTCTAGAGCAGCATTAATCCCCCCGATGATCAAATCACCTCTTAGATTTCGCCACCTCCCAACACTGCCATGCTGGGGATCAAATTTCCAAGGCATGAATTCTGAGGGACACACTTAACCCATAGCTCCTACCAAGATATTCCGCAAGTGGATCAAACTCAGTCTCATTTCTCTCCCTCCCGGCTCCCACACTTGCTTCTGGGCAGCCTCCTAACATATTTTGTGGTCTCCAGTCATGCCCACTCTAGTTATGTCTCCATATGGAAGCCAGTCTTTAACACCAATCCAGCTTCCCTAGTGTGGCAGACAAGACCATTTAACTTCAGCCCATTCTTCTTTGGCTCTCTTTCTCTTTCTGTAACTCCCATCACGCCGCTTCACTGCGTGGCACATGCCTCCAGCCTTTCCCTAACATGTCACCTCTACCTGGAATGTCAGCTTTTTCTCCAGCCAGGAACCTTACCTTCTAGTTGGTTCAGCCGCTCATAGGGTAGGCTTTCCCCATGTCCTCACCCCGCAGGTGATTCCCTCCATGTGTCACCCTGGATTGCCATGGCTTGTTTGCTGTCTGTCTTGCTCTACAGCCTCCTGGGGGCACAGGCGGCCTAGGGTTTGGAGGGGCTGCATCACAGGACGCTGCCTGACAGGCAGTAGGAGCACCGCATGAATGCTGCCGAGTGGATGGAGGACTCAGGTCCTAGCTTATGGAAATGCCAGCACTTAGAGAACGCTTTCTGTGGGACTGACTGTGTGCTAGGTACTTTGTATGAGCATCTTTTTTTTGTTTGTTTCTTTGAGACAGAGTCTCTGTCACCCAGGCTGGAGTGCAGTGGCGCGATCTCGGCTCACTGCAAGCTCCGCCTCCTCGGTTCACGCCATTCTCCTGCCTCAGCCTCCTGAGTAGCTGGGACTACAGGGGCCCGCCAACATACTCGGCTAATTTTTTTGTATTTTTAGTAGAGACGGGGTTTCACCATGTTAGCCAGGATGGTCTCGATCTCCTGACCTTGTGATCCGCCCGCCTCGGCCTCCCAAAGTGCTGGTATTACAGGCTTGAGCCACCGCGCCCAGCCATGATCATCTTTTCAAAGAGATAGGTATTATTAGCTCCCACTCAAAGATGAGCAAACAAAATCTAAGAGAGTTAAAGTAACTTGCCCAGCTAACTAGAGGGGAAGGTGGGATGTGGACCCAGTTCTGGATGATCCCAAAGCCTGTGTGATCTTTCAGGGTTGTCCTTTCTCCTGAAGTAAAGGCTCAGCAGCTCTTACAAATATATGGATCTTATTTGTCGTTTTTAGATATGTGTGAATATATGCAGTCATGTGTGTCAGGGCAGAGAATTAGTATGTATTTGATAGAGTAAAATAAAAGGGTCTAGGTACAGTGATTCCTAACTTGGGGCTTTTAGTGCCAAAGTAAGATTATGAGGAAGCCCTCCATGGTGGCGATGGGGTCCTCAGAACACACAGGCTCCAACCCGCTCTCCGTGCATGCCCTCCAGCTCACAGGGAGCTGCGTAGAAGCGGTGCTCCCAGGGTAAGGGGGACGCAGGGGTTCTAGAATAGGCCCAGCTCAAATGAGTACATAGCTTAGAGAACCATGGGGCAGAAAGTGGAGAGGGGATGTGCTTTTTTAAAAAAAATCATTTATTTTAAGATTTATTATTTTAATTAACGAATAAATATGGTATATATTTAGTGTACACAACATGTTTTGAAATGTGCATGTGTTGTGGAAAGCCTAACTTGAGCTAATTCACACATGCATTGCTTCACATAGTTATCATGGGATGTGCTTTTCATTCACTTCTCCAGAGTGCCAGACTTCTAAGGCTTAGCGATCCCAAACAGGCATTGGCTTGCCCAGTCATGCCTCCTGGAGCCGTGCGTGGTGGTGCACATGCCTCTAGTTCCAGCTGCTTGGGGGGCTGAGGTGGAAGGATTGCTTGAACCCAGTAGGCCAAGGCTGCAGTGAGCTATGATGGCACCACTGCAATGCAGCCTGGGTGACAGACCGAGACTCTGTCTCAAAAGAATAAATATATAAATAATCATGCCACCTTCTCAGGGGTCCTTCTCTGTCTTGCATAAAATATGAGCCACCCCTATCCACCCCAACCAACCAAACCTTGGAACAACATATCTCCCTTATTCTTTTTTGTTTTCTCCACACCTTTCACCACTATCTGACATGTAATTATTTATCATTCATCACTTCTGTTAGAATGTCAGCGCCATGGGGTTGGGGATTTTGACTGTTTGCTTTAACCAGTGTATCACCAGTTCCTGAAACAGCACCAGGCACTGAATCTGTGTTGAATAAATTAAGGGGTGCTTTAGTCTTGTTTGAGCCTTGTACGGTATCCAGCCCTGTGCTTGGTACTATGGAAACGTTAGGAGGAGATGATGGCACTCCTCCTCTCAGGAAGTTAAATGGAGAGTTGGATTGTCAGAGACTCAGATTACCTTTACTTTCCTTAAAAGATAATAAAGGGTTGGCAAAAATTTAAGAGCGAAATCATAAATACTTTAGGGTTTGTAGGCAGTATAGGGTCTCTGTCATATATTCTTTATCTTTTTTTTACAACCCATTCAAAACACAAAAATCATTCTTAGCTCACAGGCTGTACAAAAATAGATCATGGGCTAGATTTGGTCCACGAATTGTAGTTTGCTGGCCTTTGAGATAGTAAATTATCCTGTCACTGTTTCATGGATGCTGTCAGAAGACATGAGATTCCTGGGTCAGAAACAAAGGATTTTATTACTCACAGGCCAGAAAGAGCATCCTATTTGTGACAGTTTCTGCCTTCTGTAGGACAGAGAGCCAGAGCCAGCACAGAGGGCCCAAGTGGATGCTGTGTGAGCAGTGGGTTTGTATCACAGCTGAGGACAGTCCCTTCCTTTATGGCAAGCCTGCTCTTTGTTCTGGAAGGAGACATTACCTCATCCCTCATAGTTGCTTGCTGCAAACACGACCCTGAGCAATGAGTAGGGATGGAACCAGGCTGTGTATTCTTGGCTTTCCCAGCACATATGTGCAGGGATACTCAGGGCCACGGTGATTGCCTCTCTCAACGTTGGCTTCATTCCTTTGCATTTTCAATCGAATTAAATGGAGTTCAGTGCATTCCAGGAAACACAGTTGGGACTAATGACACAAAGATAAATGAAATATGGTCCCCATCCTCCAGATATTGACGGGTTCTTTGCAGCTGTAATGTATTGTGTTCACAACAGAGGCATACACATTACTCTGGCAGTACAAAGAGGTGCCTGGCCATTTTTTGGGCATCATGGGGACACATAAGAGAGGAAGTAGTTTTTGGATTGGTCATTAATGGATGCCCAGGCAAGGCAACATGGGAGAGGAAAGGATGTCCAGGTAGAGGCTACGGCTCAGGCAGAGGCTCAGAGGCATGTTGGAGCACCACGGAAGAGCAAAGAAGCAGGCATGGCTGAGCACAGCACAGGTGGGAGGGGCCCATGGTAATGAGTCCAGGAGGGAGGGAGTGAGAGAAGAAGCTACATTTTCCAGGAACTGGTTGCTTAGGGACACTAACTTATCTTCATATTCTGTCAGGCAACTTATTGAGCAAATATTGTGTGCAGATCTTTTTAATTATGTATTAATTTGGAATTCTTCTGTATGGAAGATATGTCTCTTTTACAGGAGATTTTTTTCTTTACTTTAAAAATTGACAGATAAAAATCATATATATTTATGGTGTACAACATGATGTTTTGATATATGTATACATTGTGGAATGGCGAAATCAAGCCACCTAACATATGCATTACCTCTCATAACTTGCTTTTTTGATGAGAACTGTCAAAATCTACCCTTTTAGTAATTTTCAAGTATAATATATCATTATTAACTATAGTCACCATGGTATACAATAGATCTCTTGAACTTATTCCTCCTGTCTAACTGAAATTTTGTGTCTTTTGACCAACACTTTCCCAATGCCCACACCCCAGCCCCTGGTCACCATCGTTTCACTCCTTGTTTCTATGAGGTGAATTTTTTAACTTCCATATCTGAGTGTGATCATGTAGTATTTGTCTTGCCACATCTGCTTTATTTTACTTGCGTAATGGCCTCCAAGTTCATCCATGTTGTTGCAAATGACAGGATTTTCTTCTTTATTTTTTTATTTTTTTTATTTTTTTAAGACAAGGTCTCGCTCTGTCTCCCAGACTGGAGTGCAGTGGCACAACCTGAGCTCGCCGCAGCCTTGAACATCTAGGCTCAAGGGCTTCTCCTGCCTCAGCCTCCTGAGTAGCTGGGACTACAGATGACGTCCTTCCTTTTTAAGGCTGAATAATATTCCATGTGTGTATATACCACGTTTTCTCTCTTTGTTTGCCACTGATGGCCCTTCCTTGGGTCGAGTCCATGTCTTGGCATTGTGAACCACGCTCACACAGAGCTTGGAGGCTGTAAGCACGCGATGCCATTTACTCCTCTCAACAGCCTGTGCAGCCTCTCGGCAGGTGGGAAGCCTGAGACTTACTGATTTGCCCAGGGTCACAGCTGGCGGAGATCTGGGACTTGGGTCCAGGCGGGCTGATCCCATGGCCTGTGCTCTTCTGCACGACCCCCTGCTGCCTCAGAAGTGGAGGCTGAGGAAGGTGGTGTCATTACCGATGTTACCCAGCTGACTGATGGTGGAACAGGGATTTGTACCCATGTCCATCTGCCTGAAAAACCAGCTCTGCCTTCCCAGAGGATAGGGGTCCTCATATGCCCACAGCTTCAACATAATCAAAGTTGTTAACTAATAATAGAAGGAGTAGCTTGAATTGGAGATGTGGAAGGAGACCTGGGACAGGGATAGAAGTGTAGAGGAATTCCCAGCCCCTCTTTCCCATTTGTCTTAGCTGTCCTCAGCTCCTTCCACAAAAGGTAGGTTTTCGTTTTTGTTTGAAAAAGGGCTTCGGTCCGTCACAGAGGCTGCAGTGCAGTGGCAAGATCATAGCTCAGTGCAGCCTTGAGCTCCTGGACTCAAATGATCCTCCTGCCCCAGCCCCCTGATTAGTTGGGACTATAGGTGTGTGCCACTGCATCCAGCTAATTTTTAAATTTTTTGTGGAGACAAGGTTTCACTATGCTGCCCAGGCTGATCTTGAACTCCTGGGCTTAAGCAGTCATCCTGCCTCAACCTCCCAAAGTGCTGGGATTACAGGTGTGAGCACCCGGCCAAATTTTTTTTTTTTTTTTAAATAATGGAAGGCAACACAGCACAGGAGTCAAGAACATAGACTCATAATATGAGCAGCGTGGTTTGAATCCTAGCTTTACAGCTAAATAACAGTATGGTATTCAGCAAATTGCATATTTTCTGTAAATCTCTTTCCTTCTTTGAGAGATGGATTCTTGTGAAGATTAAATGAAACATTATTTTTGTTGTTGTTGTTGTTGTTGAGACAGAGTCTTGCTCTGTTGCCCAGGCTGGGGTACAGTGGCACCATCTCGGCTCACTACAACCTCTGCCTCCCGAGTTCAAATGATTCTCCTGTCTCTGCCGCCCAGTAGCTGGGACTACGTGCACCACCATGCCTGGCTAATTTTTGTATCTTTAGTAAAGATGGGTTTCACCATGTTGGTCAGGCTGTCTCAAACACCTGACCTTAGGTGATCCACTCCAAAGTGCTGGGATTACAGGCATGAGCCACCGCGCCCTGCAAATGAGACATTATTTGTAAAGCACTCAACGCAGAGCTTGAGACAAAGAACTATCTGGCAGGATGTTGAAATTGCCAAGGTTTAGGGTAAGATTAGTGTTGGGGGAGAGATGACAGTGAGTCAGAAACTAAAATCTTCAAGGGCTAAGGAGTGTGATCCAGGGCTCAGTACATAGCTGTAGTAAGAGCGGTTGTAGATGGCACAGTCCAAATATATGACATTCAAGGGCCAAGTGACTTGAGACCTTGGGCTTCTGCCCTTGCTGGTGGGAGTTCATCACTAAGAGACTACAGCTGTGCGTGAGCTGTTTCTGAGGCCATCCTCCGCAGACGTACAAGGTTTTGCTATAGTGAATGCTTCGGGAGATGTAAGGAGGGAGCGCTCACTGTGGCTCAGAAGTGCTGGAGGACCATCCTGGAGGGCGGCCCTTGCGTGGGCGAGATGGCGATCCAGAGCAGATGGTGATGCCACGTGCAGCCAGTGAGGACCACAGGCTGGTGTACTGGGCGGGGAGTGACTGGTCTGGTTGCAGCAGGTGTGTACGAGAACCACCTTGGCCAAAAGGGCGTGGTTGGAGGCCCACGCCAAGCTGGCTGGCAAAACAGGTACCCCCTCTCTAGTCTGGGTGGTTGACACAGAGCCTCAGGCAGCGCTTGGGGTAATCAAGAGGGGCTGGGGTGCAGCAGTCAAAACACCAGTGTGAACAGGACATTGAGAATGGCCGGACAGGAAGCGAGCCTGGGCACTGACAGCCTCAAGCAGGGATAGACCTGCAAAGAAATCCCCAAGCCCGCTTTCCCAATTGTCTTAGCTATTCTCAGCTCCTTTCACAAAAGGTAGGGGCTGTTTGTTTGTTCGTCTTTGAGAAAGGGTCTCAACAGGTCCTGGACAGAGAGGAAATCATTTAGGAAGCAACAGGTGTGGTTGCCCATGGCTAGGCTGGGCCCAGGAGGGCCTGTTCCTTCCTGTTTCCAGCCCTCAGGCCTTGTCTGAGTCAGCTTGGGCTGGCTGGGTGGGTGGCTTACACAGCAGACATCTATTTCCCCCAGGTCTAAAGGCTGGACGCCCGTGGTCAGGTTCCAGGGAGGGCTCCCTTCCAGGTTGCAGAAGGCCACCTTCTCACTGTGTCCCCACGTGGTGGGAGGGGTGAGTGAGCTTTCCGGTGGCTTTTTGCATAAAGGCACTAATCCCACTCATGAGGGCGACACCCTCATGACCTAACCACCTCCCAACAGTCTCCTCTCAATACCCTCACCTTGGAAGTTAGGATTTCAACATATGAACTTGGGGGAAGGACAGAGGCCTTCAGTCCTTTGCAAGCCTGAAGTCCAAACCCTGTTTCTGCTCACTGAGGTTACTGACTAAAGCAAAGTGCCACAAACTAGTGCGAACACAGACGCAGGGGACTTCACCCGTACCCTCTCTCGGAGATTTTTCTCATTTAAAAGAAGCAGAAAATGAAATGTCTGTGGGTGCAGGCAGGAGGGCCAGGGTGGGGGTCTCAGTTTGCACCCCGTCAAGCAGATCCTCCCCATCCACAATGGGCTGAGTCCCCCGAGGGACAGGGACATAGGGCTGGACATCTTGTCTAGGTTGTTTGCTTTTTTGTCATTTTAGCTCCTGTTTTTATTTTGATTTCTTTTCTGTCTGTTTAAAAAGACTTCTGGCTCCCCTTTCTGCCTGAGGTTTCATAGCTGACTGCCCCTCCTCACCTTTGGTGGTGATGCATCTCCTGTCCCCTTTCTACCTCTAACCCCTATGAGTTATTTTCCAGGATACCATTGAGAAATTGAGGGTTTTTCAAGGAGCGAGATGCCAGAACCTCTGTGCCCTCTCTGACGGTACTCGGATGTAGTGGGCAGACAGTGAGGATTTGTTGAACTGACTGGGTGGACCCACAGCATCTTCTCACACCAGACTTAAGAGGGTGGCCAGTGGGCATGGGGCCTCTCTGCCAGGCCGTTTTCCTGCTTCCCTGCTGAGACCGAGTGTGCTGGGTGAGCAGCCCCTTCCTGAATGATGGCAGGGCCCTGAGGTCCCTGGGGTGCCAGAGCTCCCTCTTCTGTGGAATGCCGGAGCAGTGTGCTCACCGTTCCCTGTGTGTATAAGCTCAGAATTTTTTTCAGAATAAAAAAGCACAACTCAAAAACAGATCGACTTCTCAGATGTCTCTTCTCTTCATCTTTCTTTTCCTTCCCTTCCCCACTAAAAATACTGTGTTCTGTTATTTACAACACTTTTCTAAATGTCTTGCATGGTGTTGACTTAGTAGCTGGGACCTGGGAAACCAGAGGCAGGAATGGAGTCGCCTGGACCTGGCCCAGTCACAGAGCCAGGGGCAGGGCCCACGCATGTCTGCAGGGGCAGTGGGTGGGACAGGCAGAGCTGCAGTGAATGATGGCACGTGGGTTGAGTGCCCTCTGATGCAGCCGTGGGCACACTGGTCTTCCAAGAGGCCTTAGGAAACCAGTGTCCTGCCTCCTGGTGTCTGCAGGCAGATGGCCTAGGCTGGAAACTGGGGTCTGTCACTATCTGTGTGACTGTGTGTGAATTCCTCAGCCTCCTGAGCTTCAGCCTCCTCATCTATAAAATATGGAATAATAGGTATCTTTTCAGGGTACTTGAGCATTAAATGAGTGAATTTATGTAAAGTTCATGGAATAATGAAGTGCTCCATTAATATTAACTATCGTCATCACCAACATCATCGTCAACATTATATATCCTCCTACTGATTTTATGCAAAGTTATTTTATGTTGTGATGGCAAGAAGTGTGTGGAAATTCCAAAAAGGGTGTAATGATTTCACCAAATAGTTTGGAAGGCTTTTGAAGGAGGCAGGAAATGAGCTGAGCCTGGAGATGTTATCAGTAACAGTATCTGAATAGGCAGGAGAGCATTCACAGAAACTCAATTTATACACACACACACGCATACACATGCACACACACGTGCACACATGCATGCACACAGACACACATAGGCACGTGCACACACACACACACACCCACACTATAGTTTAATGGTTAAAGAGTACAGACCCTGGAAGCAGATTATACTTGTTAGATGACTAGTTTTGCCATTTTCTAGCTATGTAACATTGTCGAAGCTGCTTAAATTCTCTATGTCTCAGTGTATTGTTTTGTAAGATGAAGATGATTATAATGCCTATCTCAGAGGACTGTAATTACAATAAAAAGCTCTCAACAGTGGTAGCTGGCATTATTAGCAGCAGCGCACCTGATATATGGTGGCTGGCATGATTTTTAATACTTTGAGGGCTAAAGGGCAAGTTGCAACACCTGTTCTGAGCGTTCATCCTCTGCTGGACGAAGTAAAACATTTAGAAAGCGATAACAAGTAACCATGATACAAAGCAATATATGGAACTGCCCCTGAGTGGCAGCAGAGTTAGAGAAATACTGTTGAAGGGCCAGGCCCTCATTATTTTGTTTCCAGGGCCAGCAGAATGTTGCTGGTGGCCCTTGAGGCCGGACCCTGCTGCCTCCTGGAATCATACGCCATAGAACAGTGATGATTACAAGCTGAGGACTCTTCAGGATCTGTGCTAACCAGGAAGAGGCTCGGCCTCTCTAGGCCCCTCCAGCTTCTTCATCAATAAATGAAGACAAAATCTGTTACCTTACAGGGCTATAGGAGAGAATGAAAAGAGGTACCATATTTGAAAGTACGTAGTTTGAAGGCATTCAAGTTTATGATGCCATTACTAATCTACTCCATACTTCCACCTTTCTCCCTGGTATACATCACTTCTGTTTAATGCATGTCAGCTCTCAAATACTGTTAGCCTTTCTACTGTCTCATCTCCCTTCACTGGAGTGGCTCTGAGTTTGGGCATATGTCAGATGTTTGAAGGCACTGTAATCATGTTTACTTGTGCATTACAGCCTGCTCTGAGGGACAGTCTTGTCCAACGTTAAGAGGAAAGTCAACAGGGTTGAATACAGGATTGCATAACCTATGGTGATATGAATTGAACAGGAAGCAAAGGACAAAAGAACTAACATGTTTTTAGCTTAGTATGTGCTGGGATTACAGGCGTGAGCCACCGCGCCCGGCCTACATAATAGCATTAATTCATTCAAGAGGAAAGAACCCTCGTGGCCCAATCACATCTTAAAGGTCTCATCGTAATACTGTTACAATGGCAACTAAGTTTCCCACACATGCTTTTTGTAGTGGAGGGGGGTGAGGGCATATTCAAACCATAGCACTCTCTTTTTTCTTATTCTTTTTTTTTTTTTTTTTTTTTTTTAGATGGAGTCTCCCTCTGTCGCCCAGTCTGGAATGCAGTTGTGCAATCTCGGCTCACTGCAACCTCTGCCTCCTGGGTTCAAGCGATTCTCCTGCCTCAGCCTCCCGAGCAGCTGGGACTACAGGCGCCCGCCACCATGCCTGGCTAATTTTTTTGTATTTTTAGTAGAGATGGGGTTTCACCATGTTGGCCAGGCTGGTCCAGAACTCCTGACCTAGTGATCCACCCATCTCGGCCTCCCAAAGTAATGGGACTACAGGTGTGAGCCACCATGCCCGGCCTTTTCTTCTTTTATTTTGTAATTTAATATACTCATAACTTCATGAGACATGTAGAGTTTAACAGAGTTACAAAGCAAATACCCACATAATCACACTGTGAATCAAGAGACTGTTCACACCCAGCACTCTAGAAGCCTCTGGAAACCCCTTCCCAGTCTGTTGTGATCACATGTTTAATTTTATCAAGGCTCTTCTTTCTGGACTGCTTGGTGTGCTCAGATATCTTTTAAATCTGTGACTGTGGGAAATTATATTCATTGGTTTTCTTGTATTTAATCAACTTTGCCTCCTTGGTGCTTACCCAATTTGGCCCTTATTTATTTTATTCTTACTATGTTGATGGATTTGATTTGATGATGCTTTGTTTTAGATTTCTGTATCTGATGAGATTAGTCTGTAATTTTTCTTTCTCATTGCTGTTTTTTTTTGCCAGGTTTTAAGATCAAGGAGGTATTAACCTTATAAAATGAATCAAGTGTTACTTTCTGAAAAAAAATTCTGAAAGATTTTTATAAGATTGGATGATTTGGCCGGGCATGGTGGCTCATGCCTGTAATCCCAGCACTTTGGGAGGCTGAGGTGGGCGGATCATGAGGTCAGGAGATCGAGACTATCCTGGCTAACATGGTGAAACCCCTTCTCTACTAAAAATACAAAAAAAATTAGCCAGGCATGGTGGCGGGCACCTGTAGTCCCAGCTACTTGGAAGGCTGAGTCAGGAGAATGGCGGGAACCCGGGAGGTGGAGCTTGCAGTGAGCCGAGATCGCGCCACTGCACTCCAGCCTGGGTGGCAGACCGAGACTCTGTCTCAAAAAAAAAAAAAAAGGTTGGATGATTTATCCCTTCAATATCTGGTAAAATTTGCTAACGAAGTTTCCTTTGGGGAAAAAAAATTAGTAATAATTCAATTCCTTTAATGGTTGTTGAAGTAGTCACAATTTCTATTTCTTCTTGAGTCACTTTTGGTAATTTTTTTTTTTGTAGATGGATATACAGTGTGTCCAGCAGCATTTGTTGAAAAGACTGTCCTTTCCCCAGTGATGACTGTGGCACCAACAAAGCAATCTATTTGTAGGCTCATGTGGATTAATTTCTGGTCTCTATTTGGCTCCATTAATCTAGTTAGTATCCTTACACCAATGTCACACTATCTTGATTACTGTCACTTTATAGTCTTAAAAGTCTTGAAATCAGGCAGTGTAGTTTCCCAATGTTGTTTTTCTTTTTAAAGGTTGTTTTAGCTAGTCTTAAGATATTTGCATTTCTATATAAATTTTAGAATCACATTAGAATTTCTACAAAAAGCCTGCTGGAGCTGGGCATGGTGGCATGTGTCTGTAGTCCCAGCTACTTGGGAGGCTGAGGCAGGAGGATGGTGTGAGCCCAGGAGGTCAAGGCTACAATGAGCCATGATCATGCCCTTGCACTCCAGCCTGGGTGATAGAACAAGACCCTGTCTCCAAAAAAAAAACAAAAAGGCTGCTGGAATTTTGATTATACCAAATCTGCAGATCAGATATGAGGAGAACTGGCACTTAACAATATTAAGCCTAGTTTTGTTAAATTATAATTTTGTGAGAATTTGTCCATGTCATCTAACTGCTCACATTAATTGACCTATTTTTATCATAAACCCTTTTATTAGTGTCTTTTAATGTCTGCAACATTCATCATGATACCGACTTTTTTTCATTCCTCTACTAGTTACGTATGTGTTTGCTTTTTCCTTGATCAATCTTTTGAGGTTTGTAAATTTATTCGTTAAGGAGTTCTTGGTTTCTGAAAACAACAACAAAATGACAAAAGTGTCCATTTTAGCAGTTTATTTCTCTGAATGAGCCTTTATAATCAGCAGTAGCTTTCCTCCAAGTGACAGTTCAGGAACCCAGGCCATTTCTGTGGTTGGCCCGGCTGTCCTCACCATGTGGTCTCCAGGACGGCGTCCTTTGCCTCCACTGTGCTGGGAAGGAGGATGGAGGACCACGCCGGCAGGGTTTCATGGGCTGGGGCCGAATGTCACTCTTGCTCACATTTCATAGACTAGACCTGAGTCCAGGGACATGGTCTGTCAGGGAGAGCTGGACCAGCATCATGCTGTGTGCCTGGAAATGGGAGGAGGCAGGTGTGTGCAGCTTCCCAGGGTCTTCTACCATAATTTTTATTCATCTTTTAAAAACCTATTGGCTTTGTTGATCCTCTCTGTTATATATTGAATTTCTTTTGTATTAATGTTGCTGTTAGCTTTGCCGTATTCCTTTTTACTTGGTTTGGCTTTATTTTCTATTTTTCTATCTTCTAACTTCTTTAAAAAAATGCTTAGCAGGCCAGGCGCAGTGGCTCACGCCTGTAATCCTAGCACTTTGGGAGGCCAAGGCGGGTGGATCACCTGAGATCAGTTCAAGACCAGCCTGGCCAATGTGGTGAAACCCCGTCTCTACTAAAATACAAAAATTAGCCGGGCATGATGGCAGGTGCCTGTAATCCCAGCTACTGGAGAGTCTGAGGCAGGAGAATCACCTGAACACCGGAGTTGGTGGTTGCAGTGAACCGAGATCACACCATTGCACTCCAGCCTGGCTGAGCGAGACTCTGTCCCAAAAAAAAAAAGTGCTTAACTTATTAATGCTGAGGCTTTCTAGTCTAGTATTTCAGGCTATAAATTGTTCCCCTAAGTAATGTTTCATCTGCATCCCACTAATTTTCGGTTGTGGTATTTTTAAAGTCATTTAGTTGAAACTATTACCTGTTTTCCACTGATCTTCCTTCTTCAGTCTATTGGTTATTGTAAAGTGTTCTTTTGTTTCCAGATACTTAGGGATGATCCTCTGCTACTGATTTCTAGCTTAACTGCATTGGATCAGACAACATATTCTGAATGATTTCAATCCTTTAAATTTGGTAAACATTACAATATTTTCCTCTACTTGTTTAGAAATTATATGTCTGTCGGCCAGGCGCAGTGGCTCACGCCTGTAATCCCAGCACTCTGGGAGGCTGAGGCAGGTGGATCACCTGAGGTCAGGAGCTCGAGAGCAGCCTGGCCAACATGGTGAAACCCCGTCTCTACTAAAAATACAAAAAAAAATTAGCCGGGCATGGTGGTAGGCATCTGTAATCCCAGCTACTCGGGAGGCTGAGGCTGGAGAAGTGCTTGAACCTGGGAGGCGGAGGTTGCAGTGAGCGGAGATCATGCCATTGCACTCCGGCCTGGGCAACAAGAACAAAACTCCATCTCAAAAAAAAAAAAAGAAAGAAAGAAATTATACGTCTGTCTCTATTTGTTAATATTGTCCGAGACTTACAATACACGTATTTAACTTACCAAATTATACAGTGAATAAACTCCTTTACCTTTCTCATGGGTAATATAATGATCTCAGAACATTTTAACCTCAGACTTTTACTGACTTCTGCAGTACTCTTGTCTTGTATTTCTCATCTGTGTTTTCTTTTTTAAATGGTCCTAGATGTTAATTGTTATTTTATATAGCCCATGTGCATATTTATTTAGTCACTTATTAACTGCTTCCCTTGCTATTCATTCTTTCTTCCGTCTAAGATTGCTCTCCTTCTGTCTGAAATTCATCCTTTAGATTTGCCTTAGTGAGAGGCTACTGTGGGTGAATTTTCTCAGCTTTTTGTTTCTTAAATGTACTTACAGGCTGGGCGTGGTGGCTCAAACCTGTAATCCCAGCACTTTGGGAGGCCAAGGCAGGTGAATCATGAGGTTGTGAGTTCGAGACCAGCCTGGCCAACATGGTGAAACCCCATCTCTACTAAAAATACAAAAAATTAGCTGGGTGTAGTGGCGGGCATCTGTAATCCCAGCTACTCGGGAGGCTGAGGCAGGAGAATCACTTGAACCTGGGAGGCGGAGGTTGCAGTGAGCCAAGATCGAGCCACTGCACGCCAGCCCAGGTGACAGAGTGAGACTCCGTCTCAAAAAAAAAAAAAAAAAAAAAGTACTTGCTATTGAACGGTATTTTCACTGCAAATATGCAATTCTGGTTTGGCTGCTACTTCCTTTTAGCGTATTGAGATTTCATTCTACTGTTTTCTGGCTCCTATTGATGCTCTTATCAGTCTAACTCTTTGTAAGTTAGACTGATAATAGCATTTTTTCCTCCTCTGGCTGAATTTAAGATACCTCCACACCCTTCTTTGGAGTTTTTTGGTTTCACTGGTTTGTTTAGGGGTGGATTTCCCACTTTCCTTATTCAGCTTGAGATTTGTTGGACTTAAAAATATATGAATGTCTTCTTTACAAAATTGTCAGCCATTAATTCTTCAGATACTGTGTCTTTGTCATCTTCTCTCCTTCTCCTTTGAGAACTCCAGTTTAAGCTGATATTAAACCATCTCACTTTATATCCTTCCTGTCTCTTCTCTTACACAATTTTCATCATTTTGCCTGGGCATGGTGGCTCACACCTGTAATCCCAGCACTTTGGGAAGCCAAGGCAGGTGGATCACTTGAGATCAGGAATTCAAGACCAGCCTGACCAACATGGTGAAACCATGTCTCTACTAAAAATACAAAAATTAACCAGGTGTGGTGGCGGGTGCCTGTAGTCCCAGGTACTTGGGAGGCTGAGGCAGGAGAATTGCTTGAAACCGGGAGGCTATGGTTGCAGTGAGCCAAGATCACGCAACTGCACTCCAGCCTGGGTGATAGAGCGAGACTCCGTTTAAAAAAAAAAAAAAAATTCCATCATTTTACCTCTCTGTGGTATATTTTGTAAATTTCTTTTAACCTATCTTATAATTCACTAAATTTCTCTTTGGCTGTGTCTGATTTGCCGTTAAAGCTATCTATTGAGTTTCTAAGCCTTTTATCGGAGTTTAAATTTTTAGGAATTTTAATTTTTAGGAGTTCTGTCTAGTTTCCTGTTCCCTATAGATACTTAAGCTTGTCTTTTGTTTTTTTAAACATAGTAAACATACTTGTTTTCGTTTGAGGCACTTTGCATTTATTATCTCCTTTAATCCTCAGGGCCATGCGGTATCATGTCTCTCGAAGAGATAAGAACACAGAGATGCTTGTCTGTGGGTCTCTTACTTCTTTTCTACCATCTTCCTTCAATTCAGCTTGAAGTAGAAGCTCTGAGAAACTGAGACCTCTGAGGCAGAGAGAGGCTTTGATCCTTGCTTAGAATCTATAGTGAGTGTATCTCTGCCTCACAGAGCCCTCTCCACAGCACACAATGTAGACAAGAGGCAGACTCATTGATTGTGGAACAGGAAGCTTTTATGGAACTAAGATTTAAGTCTCTGACTCACTGTGAGCTCCTCGAGGGCAGGGGCTGTCTCTGATACATCCCTGTGACTATAGTGACTAGGACAAGATTAAGCAGATATTTAGTGACTGCATGATTCACTGTTCTGGGTATACAGCTGGGGTGCAAATATACATGTATATTAATAATTAATAATTGGCTAAAATAGCAATACAATTAAACTCACTTGTGCTGTATTTGCCTGTTGAATGTTTACCAATATCTAGCTATGAACATTTAGATCACAGGTTGGCAAACTTCGGTGAAGGGCCAGATAATAAGTACCTTAGGCTCTGCTGACTGTGTGGCTATTCACAGCTACTCTACTCTGCCATTGTAGCCTGTCTTAGTCAGCTCAGCTGCCATAACAACTAAATACCACAAACTGGGTGGTGTAAATAACAGAAATTTATTTGCTCACAGTTCTGAAAGCTGGAAATCCAAGATCTGCCGGCAGGGCTGGTTTCTAGTGAGGGCCCTCTTCTTGGCTTGCAGACGGCCGCCTTCTGATTGCATCCTCACATGATGTTGCTTCTGTGCATGCACGTCCCTGGCGTCTCTTCTTACCAGGACACCAGTTCCATCAGATGAGGGCCTCATGCTTATGATCTCATACAACCTTCATTACCTCCTTAAAGGCTCTGTCTCCAAATGCAGTCACATTGGGTACTGGGGCTTTGACACAGGAGTTGGAGGAGGGGGTACAATTCAGTCCATCACAGAACCCAAAGCAGCCATCGATAATACACAGATGAAGGAGCATGGCTGTGTTCCAGTAAAACTTTGCTTACAGAAACAGGTGGCAACTGGATTTGGCTCATGGAATGCAGTTTGCCAACTGCTTATGTTTTTTCTTTTTCTCATTTTTAAAAAATTTTATAGAGACAGGGTTTTGCTGTGTTTCCTGGGTGCAAGTGCTCCTCCTACCTCAGCTGGGATTACAGGCATGAGCTGCCGCACCAGCCTTATGTTAATATCTAAAGAGAATTGATGTAAATGTGACAATGCTTATTTGAATACTGTCTCTTCAGAGCACTCAGCCTTGACCTAGTGGTCTTGAGGCTCAGTAGGAAGAGTGTTTGTGTCTTGCAGCTCTGACAGAGCACAAAGAGCACTTCTGCGACCAGATGTGGAGAGTTTCCCTCACACAAGCAGTTCTCCAGTAGACGTCGACTGGGTGTCCTGCAGTTTAACTCATTTCTGACCCAACCTACCTGTAGTTAGCATCACATCTTACAAGTTAAAGAGCCCATCCCACAAGACTGCCCCCACTTCAGACCCAATCACAAGCCCTAGATTGTGACCTGCGCTTCTTACCAACTGGTTATAAATCAGGGTCCCATGACCTCCCTTCCTGGGTTCAACAGTTTGCTAGGATGGCTGTGACTCAGGCCTCACCAAGCCTGCGCCTGAAGTGTAAAACAAAGGTCACTGACCACAGCCCTTTCTAGTTCATTTGCTTAAGACCCCTTGCCCAAGGGCACAGAGCCTACTGGCAGGCTGAGGACTACAGCCAGGGTGGAGCCCACAGCCAGGGTGGAGCCCATTCCAGAGCCAGGTTAGCCCTCCTGGCCCCCAGCAAACCACACACAGACCCCTGCTCACCCCTGCATGTCTGTCCCTGGGCCCCTCTCCTGGACTCCCAGCTCCTTCTCTTGGTGGCTATGCAGGGTCTGCTGCCATTCAGGGTGCAGCTTGGGGCACCCCTCCAGCAGCCACTCTCCCACGCCTGGGGTCCACAAGGGCTTCCCTGTCCCCACCTTCTGAATGTCTGTTTCCACACTCCCACCAGAGGAGGCTCTCCCTCAGAAAGGCGTTGGTTTACTTTCCTGTTTACGGGACAGTGGCATCCTAGGCAGTGGCTTGCAGGTTGAGGCCAGACCGCTGAGTGTGGCGTGCAAAGCCCCTGCACCTGGTTACTGCCTGCCTGTCAAGACTTAATCTCACCTTTCCTGGTCATTCCCAGGACACCGTCCACCTGTGGTTTCACGCTAGGTTTCTCTTGCGAGCACGTGCTTAATTAGCACCATGTATTCTGTCCACTGTACCTTCTCTTTCTGCTCATCTTCCCAAGTTCAGTTCCCCGCCTCCCTGTCTCTAGAGAGCCTCTCCTGCCTGCCCTGGCTCACCTGGGAGGGGAGTTCCCTGAAACTGTGTTACTCTCTGCCTCCTTGTCTGAGCCCCGTCCTGTGCTGCTGTCTCTGGGGCCTTTTTTCTCCATATCCTCATTACCTAGCACAGCACCTGGCACACAGTAGGTGTCCCATGAACAATGTTTGAATGAATCTTTGAATTATGGAGAATGAGTAAATGCCACCTGACTGTCAACTGCCTTGGCCTGTTTTCCAGTCCTTGATCCTGTGCCTGCCATGACTCTTTTCTGCTTTGTTGGGGCACGGTGCTGGGAGCCGAGCATGGCTGCAGGTGCCGGGATGCTGAGGTGGTCTGAGCTGCTCCGTGTGCCTCAGTCACGTGGCCGGGCAGGGTGGGAGGCAGGCAAGAAACTCTTCCCTACTTTGCCTTCAGGACAGTCCACAGAGCAAGAATGGAGTTGAACAAGGAGGAGAGCCTGAGCCTCTGTTTTGATCGATCAGATGTGGTCCCAGTCCCCTGCCCCTTGAATCAGCCCAGCCAGAAGGGGCCTAAGGAGGCTCTTGTCACTGCATATGCCCAGGGGCCCTCTCCAAACTTAGCAGGCGAGAAGAGCCACAAGGATTTCTAAGATGGCAGGCTGGTCTTGTGCCTGGGAAGAGACAAGACCTGGTGAGACCTAGATGGAGAGTGAATTTGGAGTTGAGATTGTCCTATTATGCGTCTAAGGAGCCTGCAGGCTGGCCTGCCCTTCCCCCAGGGTCTGAAGGAGATGGGCCAGCCGTCGCCCTGATGGGGTCGAGGCAGGCACCGGCACATCATCTGTGGGTACAGCTATCAGTGGGTACAGTTTCAGAATTTTGAACCTGAGTCTGTGGGTTTCACGTGGTGGACATAGCCCCAGTTTGCCATGGACATGATTGCTTTCTGTAGAAGCTGTTTATTGACCTTAACTAAGTTTTCACTGAACTAAACAGAAGCACAGAAGGAAGGGTGAAGATATTCTGGATGCGCTCACCCATGTTCATGGGCCTCACCACTGCCTGACCACAGCCACTGCCTGCTGTTCATAAATATATGGTCAGGAGGGGGATGTTCACTACTGACAGGGGCCCGGGAGAACCTTTGATTTGAGGTTTCGTCAAGAAGACAAGGACTGTTGAAGAGTTCAGAGCCCCTGGGTTGCTGACTAAATCCAGTAGTCGCTTTGGGCCCTTTCTCAGTAAACAAGCACGGAGACACCTGGACAGGAATCCTGCCAAATGGGAGCAGTGCAGGCGAGGGTGTGGTCCTGCCACGGAGGCAGGACTGGGGCAGGGAAGGGTGGAGAGGAGATTTCACTGTTATTTCATATCCTTCTGCATTTTTGTTTGCTTGCATAACAAAACATCTATTGCCTTTCTACTTTTTTAAAAAAGCAACTTTTTTTTTTGGAAAGGAAGAACTAGTGAGGCTCCTTAACAATACTATGAGTCAGGATTTTTCTGCTCCTTCTTCCTCTGTCCCTGGTCTGTGGCTCCTGTCATGGCCTCTCCTCCTGTGGCGGGAGGTTGGGCAGTCCCCATCCTCTAGGCAGTCTAGGCATGGCCAGGCTTATGCAGTTGTTCAGGGGACATGCCCTCCCCCATTAGTTTCTTTTGTGGCTCCTCTCCTGGTTATCTTATGGAGATTACATCAGGGATATTTTTTTCCTTATTGGCTTTACGTAGATTGAATTTACATACAGCAAAATTCACTTTGAACTGAACAGTTTGATGAGTTTGACACATGTTCACAATTGCATAACTATCCCCACAATCATCAAAAGAACTTTTCTATTATTTAAAAAAGCCCTTGCCCTGCTCCCTACCTGGTCAGTCTCCCTCCCTGCCCAATGCCCATTGCTCCGCCACTCACCGCTCTAGGTTTCCCTTGGTTCTGGAGCCCTATGGAAATAAGATCGTGCAGTGTGTGGCCTTTGGTGTGTGGCTGCTTTCACGTAGCACCATGCCTTGAGACCTCACCATGCTGTTGTGAGTGTGAGCAGCCCACTCCTTTTCCATGGCTGAGGGGTGGCCCGTGGTTCCTTGCCATGTGTTTATCATACACCAACCATGGGCATTTGGGTTGTGGCCAGTTTGTCTATCATGACTGCCTCTGCTATGAGCATCTGCTTACAAATCTTTGTGTGAACATAGGTTTCACTTTTTTGGGTAAACATCTAGGAGCAGAATTGCTGGGTCACATGGTAGTATGTTCCCACCAGCTGAGTGCAGGGCTCCAGTCACTCTGTGTCCTGCCTCACTTGGTATCCTCAGCTTTTTGGGTTTTGGCAATTCTCATTGTGGTTTTCATGTATATTTCCCTAATGACTAGTGATTCTGAGCATCACTTCATGTGCTTATTTGCCATCTGTATATCTTTTTTGTTTAAGTGTTGGCTCAAAATTTTGCATATGCTTTTTTTGGGTTGTTCATCTTCTTATTACTGAGTGTAAGAGTTTGTTACATAGTCTAGATATGATTCCCTGGCAGATACATATTTTTTCAAATCCTTTCTCCCAACCTGTGGCTTGCTTTTTCCTTAACAGTGTTTTTTAAACAGGAAGAGCCTTTAATTTGTATGAAGTTCAGTTTTCACTTTTTTCTTTTATGGTTTGAGCTTTTTGAATCTTATTTGTTTAATCCAATATCATGGAGATTTTCTTATATATTTATTTCTATGAGTGTTATGGTTTAGTCCTAGCACTTAGCTATATGATATATTTTGAGTTAATTTTATGTATGGTGTGATGTGGGGGTTTTGGGGATTTGGTGGGGTTTATTTATTTATTTATTTATTTAGGTATTTTGTAGCTTTTGCATATGGTTACAGTTCCAGTATTATTTGTTGAAAAGACTATTATTCTTTTTCCATTAAATTGCCAGGTCTTGATTTTTATATAGTCTTTTTGATTTTTTAATCTAAGGCACTGTACAATATGTGGAACCTCTTACATAAATGTTAATACATGAACTTTTGTTCTTTCTGTTGTTCTAGAATACTTGTAATGCCATATTCTTGTAAGTACTTATGTTGTCTTGGAGGCATCCATGCTGGTGAATGGGAGGGTTTCTGTGTAGGGTAGACAGGGAGAGCCTCCTATTTGTTGTGGTCCAAGTGGAAACCATTCTGGCAGCAATGGCTCAGGGCTGCCATGCCATGTAACTGTTCTGAGCCCACAGCATGTGGACTGCCTGCAGACATGGGAAGGACATCGCAGTTCACTGCAGTAGTCCACTATGTTCCGGGCGCCTAGTTGAACCCTCCCAACCGCAATATGAGATGAGAATGGCTATCCCATTTTGCAGATGAAACATGTGAGGCCCAGAGAGGATGGCTAACTGTACAACAGTGAATAAGCTGCAGAGAGTGGAGCTGAGCCCATTTTCTTTCTATTTCCTCTACCAGTAATTTTCACATTTCTTGCTATATTAGTAATATTTCAGAACCACTGTCACTTATATTTGGCAAACAAAGAGGACCAGGGCTGGCCTAGAAGGGCCAGGAAGAAGTAGGCCTCTGAGACCTGGGCTGCAGACACCCTGAAGAGCAGGGTCCGTGTCTCAGAGCAGCAGGGCCACACTGCTCACATTGGGGGCTCTCCAATGGTTTTATGGCAGCTGAGTCTGCATGGGAATAGTGAGCATCATCATCCAGGGGTGAGGATTAAATAAGGTAAAATGCCAGGCATGTGGTCGCTACTAAGTTATTGTTAGTCTGCCCAGCTGGATCACCAGGCTGGGGAAGGGAGGGGAACTAGTTCCTGCGAGGTTCAGTGAAAGAGGAATCTTAGGTCCCAGGCACCTGCAGTGAAAGCGTAAATGCTAGTTCCTGGTCCCCTAATGCTAGCAGAATAGTAACATTCCCCTTGCAGCGCACTCCCTGTCTGTCAGTGGATGTGGCTTTGTTTTTTAACCAACAGCGCACACAGTAAAATGTACGTGCCCTCACCTCCCATGAAACAAAGGACAAGCAGCATGTGGATAAGTGAACAGCCAGTCCCGGAAAGGCTGGAGCTGTTGGCTGCAGCTCTGGAAATGTTAGCGCCTCCTGGGAGACGCATGGTGGGCCTGTGGATTCTGGGGTCTTGAGAGAGAATCCATGCAACTGTGGCAGGCCCTGTGCTTCCGCGGAGCTGAGAGGATTCGTAGGTGCTTCCCATGCGCAGTCTAGTCTGCCAGCGGTGAGCACTGCCCTATCAACACCAAGGACTGGCTTCCGGGGGTAATGTGGGGCCTGGCGGGACACCAGGGCCAACCTGGAGCAGCGTGAGGGCCACAAGCCCTGAGGCAGAAGGCGTGGGTTTGAGTTCTGACCACTTCAGTTTGTGAGTTTGAAACTAAAAGAGGAAAGGATCCGGTATTTGTTGAGTGCCCACTACTTGCCGGCATTTTACTCCTGCTGTTTGGTTGAACTCATAGAGACACATAAAATACCGTGTGCTCTCTTCCATCTCAAGATGAGGAAGCTGAGGTTCAGGCAGGTCAGGTCCCTGACTCACAGACACACGGCTGGGTGGCGACTCTTCCAGAAAAGTCTTTTCATTTTTCTAAAATACCATGTTGCTACTGATTCAGCACTGGGGGTGAGGGTAATACACAAAGCAATTGGGAAGATCAAAAGAGGTAATGAACGTGAAGGCTGCAGATTGGCAAATACCGGGCGACAGAAACTATTTTAGCTGCATTTGCTTTTTAGGTTTAAGCAACAAAACAAACCTTCATATAACACATGGTGAGTGTGCCAGAAGAAATTTACAAGTACAGGCAGAATACAGGGTTATGCATGTGTGTGCTGAGATTAATATTTAAATTTGTAAATAGGGAAATGCATTTTCTTTTATATGTAGAGCAGTTGTTTCATGTTATCCACATTTCCTCCCTGTGCCTTGAGCACAAAGATGCCCCCAGGCTAGAGCCCTCTCTGGGCAGGAGCACGACAGACCTGAATCTATCCAGAGTGTGAGGGTGGGATGGTTGCAGCCAACCTTGTGCAGCTGGCTGACAATGTGCCGGGCACCGCTGCGTTCACAGGCACCATTTCAAATCCTGCACTCAGGCCTGGTGGTGAAGAAGCGGGGAGCCTTCCACAGGGAGTATCAGGGTAAGCGGTTATGTCGCTTCTCCAGGTCAGTGTGCCCCTATGGAGATGCGATTGGACGCTGCATCTTTCTTCATGTCCCTAGTGCCAAGCACAGGGCCTGGCATGGAGCAGAGACTCAGCATGAGGCAGTGAACGAGTAAATTTTACAGTGTAGAAAGGAGTACATCATAGTGGATCTGGACTGAGAGGGCTTCCTGAGGCAGCAGCACTGCTAGGTTGCCCAGAGGATGAGAGAGAAAGGAAGGCCTGGGTTCCCAGGGGCCATGAAGTGCTCTGGGCAGACACACATTCAGGGTCCTCTGAGCAGCCAGGATGCACCTGTGAGGAGAAGGCAGTGGGTGCGAACACAACAATGACAGGCAGATGAGAAGGCAGACTAAGCCCACACATTTCTCAGGACTAAGCCAGAGTCACAAGCACTGGAAAGGAAGGCCCTGCAGCTCACACACTCGCACAGCTGATGGAGCCAGTGACAGACAGATTGTAGTCTCTGTGGGCAGCATTTGACGGCCTGGCTGCAGTGCACCAGGGGTTCAGTTTGATAGGGGGCCCCAGGAAGATCCCCAGCCCACTCCCAAACACACGCATGCAGCTCATATTCCCAGCTTCTTGCCCGAGCGTGGAATTCTCTATTGTAGCATCAGTTGTGCATGTAGCCCCTCCAGCTCACAGCCAGCAAGGAAGCATCAGCCCTTTGACACCTGGGAATCCCTGGCTTCTGCCACATCTCACTGCCTTCCTCTTCTGCTTCTAAGCATGTGATTACATCCAGCCCAGCCAGGGTACTCTCTTTATTTTAAGGTCAACCGATTAGTAACCTTAATTGCATTTGCAGTTTTCTTTGCTTCATAACATAACATATTCATGGGCATGATACCAGGAGGGTGAAGGTTATGGAGGCCAAAATTCTGCCCACCTCAGTGCCCGTGCCTTCAAGGATCATGGGGGAATGATAATTGATCACAGGCAATTATAACCCAGCCTAATGAATGCCGCAGAAGAGTGAACACACAGCACTGTGCAGCACTCAGGAGGCCTCCCTCGCTGAAGCCAGGGCAGTTCCCTGGAGGAAGAATATCTAAGTTGAGCCTGAAATGATGAGCAGGACTGGGAAGGGGGATGGCCCGGGCAGGAGGGACAGCATGTGTGTCTGCTGTGCAGTGGTTCAATACTCTTGACCTGTGGACTTCAGGGAGCCAGAGGGACAAAGCACACTGGAAGGCAGACGGGAGAGCCGCCAAAGACTCTAAGCAGGTGAGAGGGAGCCTTTGGGAAGCTCATCTGATGGTGCTCTGGGGATGGAGAGGACTGTGGCTAGAGGAGGCTGGCACACTGCTTAGGAGGTGGAAGAGGGTGATGGCTTGAAACGCAGAAGCAGCAGTGGGACAGAGAGGTGAGTGTGATTTGATTGGAATCCAAGGGGGTGGGAGGGCGATGGGTTACAAGGGAGACCCAAGGGCTTGGCTTGGATGACTGTTCACAGAGACTGGAGGACTGAGCAGTGGAGAAGCTTAGGTTTGCAGATGTATGATCATGTAGGTGGCTTTAGCTTTTCATATGCTGCATTTTAATTTTCATTCAATTCTGTGTATTTTTAAAACTTTCCTTGAGACTTCCTCTTTGAACTATGGAAAATATGTTATTTAATTTCCAACTGTTAGAGCATTTTCTTGTTGTTTTTCTGTTGTTGATTTCCTGTTTGATTCTAATACAATCAGAGAACATACTCTGTATGATATCAATTGTGTTAAATTTGTTGAGGTTTGTTTTGTGACCCAGGAGGTTTATTTCGGTGAATGTTTCATGGACATTAAAAAAAATGTATATTCTGCTGATGTTGAGTGGGCTGTTCTATAAATGTCAATTAGATCCACTTAGATTACGTTATTTAGTTGTTCTTTATTTTTGCTAATAATCTGTCTAGTAGTCCTATCTATTGCTGATAGTCCTCAACTATAACCGTGGGTTTTTCTATTTCTTTTTTGAGCTCCATCCATTTTTGTTTTATGTAGTTTGAAGGTCTTGTTTGGTGTATACATATTTTAAGGTTGTTAGATCTTAAATTATTGGCTTGTCCTTAAGGTCACTGATTCTGTCTTCTATGCCCTCCATTCTGCTGTCAAATCCATTCATTCAGTTTTGTTTCCATCACCATACTTTTCAGTTCTATGATTTGTATTTGCTTCCTTTTTATAATGTCTTTTTTGAAGCTTTATCTTTTTTCATTTGTTTCAAGGATATTGATAATTACTTATTGAAGCAGTTTTCTGGTGGCTGCTTCAAAATCTTTGTTGGGTTGTTCTGTCTGGTTCTTCTCAGTGTTGGGATCAATGGATTGTTTTCTCTCATTCAGGTTGTGATTTTGATGATTCTGGTTGTGACGAGTGATTTTTAATTATAGTGTAGACATTCTGGATCTTATGTTAAAAGACTCTTGACCCTATTTAGATCTTCTATTGTAGCAAGCATTTGCCCTATTTAGATTTAGCATATAGCTCTAGCCTATTTTGTTGGCTACAGTTCTAGTGACAGTTTAGTTTTCTGAGCATTTGCAATGCTATCCTGGTTGGCTTCTCGCTTCTGCTTGGGCCTTCTTTTGATCTCTGTTGGTGATGTCAGCAGGTCAGCAGGGAATCCTGACCCACAGGATAGAGAGCACTTTCCCTGGCCTGTTCTCCAAGTACCCAGTGCTGGTGGGCTTCCCACTCTGTCTCTGCCTCTGCCACTGCCACTGGGGGAGAGAAGCAGCTGTCTTGGCCACCTTCTGCCCCTGGAAAGGGCCTGGAGCTGCAGAGTCTGGGTGGAGACTTCTCCACTGTTGGGTGGAGGATTGGGAGACCCTAGCTGCAGGCTGATTTCTGCTGCTGGGTGGAGGGCCAGGAGACACACAGGCTGCTGACATAGCCTGAGCCTGGCAGGTGGGCGTTGGCTTGCCTGAGTTGTACTCTGAGCAGATCACCCTGCTGGGCTGGTGTGGCCTCCCTGGGATCTGTTGTTGTCGCTGACCAGGCCACTGCTGCCATTGGGTGTGCATAGCCCTTGTTGGGCTTTCCTCTTGCTGGAACTTTGGCCAAAGAGAGTCTGTTTGGCATCCATTCGTCATAGGGCCAAATTAATGGCCAATGTTGTTCACATCTCCCCTGCGATCCAGAGCCCATATTCTTTTTTTTTTTTTTGAGACAGAGTTTCGCTCTTGTTGCCCAGGCTGGAGTGCAATCACGCAGTCTCAGCTCACTGCAACCTCTGCCTCCCGGGTTCAAGTGATTCTCTTGCCTTAGCCTCCCAAGCAGCTGGGACTACAGGCGCCTGCCACCACACCCGGCTAATTTTTGTATTTTTAGTAGAGATGGGGTTTCGCCATGTTGGCCAGGCTGGTCACGTACTCCTGACCTCAGGTGATCTGCCTGCCCCGGCCTCCCAAAGTGCTGAGATTACAGGCCTGAGCCACCGTGCCCGGCCTGAGTCCGTGTTCTGAAAGAACCTCCTTAAACTCTCACACACAAAGCCAACGGTCTCCCTGTCCTAAATCAGCCCAGGGCCAGATACCAGACAACAAGGACAGCCCTTATGCCTCAAAGCCCACCAGAGTTATTCATGCCAGCTGGTTTTAAGTGGTTTACCCTGCCTTCCTTGTCTTTTCACTCAGAAACCCCAAGAATGGTTCTGGACTCGGTTTCCCCTCTGCCTCCAGAGCAACACCGGTGCTTCTTCATGTGGTCTCATGCGGCCTGGTGTGTCCCTTCTCTTGGAAATTTTAAGTAATAAAAATCCTTTCAATGGCATTAGCCTCTCCATTTTGTCACTTAGTCACCTCTATAAATTAAAATTCTGTGGGTACAAATGAAACAGAGAGCAAGCTTTTAACCCTCCCTCCCTCCCTCTCTCCTTCCCTCCCTCCTTCCTTTCTGTCTCTTGACAGAACTGCGGGTTCTCTGGTTCCCAGGCCAGGATACAAGGGAAGTAAAAAGAAAGCCCAAAGCTGGGCACTTTGGGAGGCGAAGGTGGGCAGATCACTTGAGGTCAGGAGCTTGAGAACAGCCTGGCTAACATGGTAAAACCCTGTCTCTACTAAAAATACAAAAATTAGTTGGGCATGGTGGCAGGTGCCTGTAATCCCAGCTACTCGGGAGGCTGTGGTGGGAGAATCGCTTGAACCTGGGAGGCGGAGGTTGCAGTGAGCCGAGATAGCGCCACTGCACTCCAGCCTGAGCGACAGAGCGAGACTCCATCTCAAAAATGAAAGGAAAGAAAAGAAGAAAAGAGAAGAAAAAAGGAAAAGAAAAGAAAAGAGAACCAAGCATGTTGTAGTTGGTAGCACGCAAGCCCTGCATATGTAATCCTCTCGGCACATTATGTTGACATTTTCCCAGCGTGAGTGCATGCAGAGGCCTCCGTCCTGTCGGGTCCGTACCATCCTTCAGTTATCGTTTATTTGCCCTAAATACTTCCTCTACATATTTTGAGAACTACATCTGACATTCTTATAATTTCTGCTTCAATTTCTAAAACCCAAGAAGAGATGGAAAACCTGTTATCCTGGGATAGCCCCACAGGGGCTCTGTTTTTTTGTTCTTTTTTCAGTGTCTTATCTCTGGTGCCCAGATTGTGTAATTTCCATTGTTCCATTTTCAAGTTCTCTGATTCCGTCCTCTGCCTTTTCTATATTGCTTTAGAACTCATTCATCGAGGTTTTTTTATTTGTTATTATAGTTTGCAGTTATAAAATTTCCCTCTGCTGTTCTTTATATCTTCTGCTTATTTTTTTTTTTGAGTCTTTCCGTTTCTTCATTTAGAATTTTTATGGTGCCTGTTTTGAAATCCTTGTCAGATAATGCTAACATCTCTGCTGGTTTTGTTTTGTTTTGTTTTTTCCTGTTTATCTTGACTTTTTTTTTTCTTTTTTCTTTTTTTTTTCCCCAAGACAGAGTCTCGCTGTCACCAGGCTAGAGTGCAGTGGCGTGATCTCGGCTTACTGAAACCTCTCCCTCCCGGGGTTCAAGTGATTCTCCTGCCTCAGCCTCCCGCATAGCTGGGATTACAGGCACGTGCCACCACACCCAGCTAATTTTTGTATTTTTAGTAGAGATGGGGTTTCACCATGTTGGCCATGATGGTCTCGATCTCTTGACCTCATGATCCACCAATCTTGGCCTCCCAAAGTGATGGGATTACAGGCGTGAGCCACCGCACCTGACTGACATTTTTTTAAGATCCAAGCTGTACATGTACAGGTTGGTTACATGTTGCATGACGCTGAGGTTTGGGCTTCTACTGATTCTCTTGCCCAAGTAGTGAACATGGTACCCAATAGGTAGTTTTCAACCCTTGCTCCTCTCCCCCAAATGTTTATTATTCTCGTGATTGTGCCTGTGTGTACCTAGTGTTTAGCTCCCACTTACAAGTGAGAACATGGAATATTCAGTTTTCTGTTTCTGCATTAATTCACTTAGGATGGTGGCCTCTAGCTCCATCCATTTACACAAAGGATTTGATTTTGTTCTTTTTTATGGCTGCATAGTTCTCCATGGCATATATGTACCACATTTTCTTTATCCAGCCCACCACTGATGGGCACCTAAGTTGATTCCATGTCTTTGCTATTGTGAATAGCACTACATAGAAGTGCAGGTGTCTCTTTGATATAATGATTTCTTTTCCTTTGGGTAGATAACCTGTAGTGAGATAGTTGGGTCAAATGGTGGTTCTATTTTTAGTTGTTTGAGAAATCTCCAAACTGCTCTCCACAGGGGCTGTGCTTATTTGCATTCCCACCACAGTGTGTAAGAGCTCCCTTTTCTCCACAGCCCCACCAGCAAGTGTTATTCCTGGCTTCTTTAGGAACAGCCATCCTGACTGGTGCATCTCTCTGCTGTCTTGGTGTTGGCCTCTGTTGATTGCCTTGTCCCATCCAAATAGAGATTTTTCTGCTTCTTGATATGAGGAGTAATTTTTTATTTATTCTGCACAGTTTGGGTGTTATATTATGGGCCTTGGGACCTTATTTAAGTATTGGGACTTAGTGGGCCTCTTCTGACCCTGCTCTGGGGGGAGGGGAGCACAGCCTCATTACTGCCAGGTTTGGCTAGAAGTGCAGTTCCCCACTGATGAAATAGAAGTTGCCACCTGAAGAGAAAAAAGACTCCATCCATTTGATATAACAGCTAGGAATATTGACAGTCAGGATCCAAACATTGAGATTCTTCTGTATGTCAGAACTTGCACCTAAACATTGTACGGACTACAAAGAAGTGATTGCCATGGCCCCTTCTGGAGCTGGTGGTTTGTTGGAATTCCTGACAGAATGACCTATGATTTACATGTATATAAAAGGAAGCCCAACTTTTTTGCAAATATTTTTAAATTATGAAGATAATTTAACTGTTTTATGTGGCAATTAGAGGAGAGGAACAATTTTCACTATAAAAAAAAAACACTGGCCAGGCTTGGTGGCTCATGCCTGTAATCCCAGCACTTTGTGGGGCCAAGGTGGGTGCATCACTTGAAGCCAAGAATTTGAGACCAGCCTGGCCAACATGGCGAAACCCTGTCTCTACTAAAAATACAAACATTAGCCAGGCGTGGTGGCACTTGCCTGTAATCCCAGCTATTGGGGAGGCTGAGGCACGAGAATCGCTTGAACATCGGAGGCAGAGGTTGCAGTGAGCTAAGATCAGGCCACTGCACTCCAGCCTAGGCGACAGAGTGAGACTCTGTCTCAGACAAACAAACAAATAAAAAGTATTATTTATTTTTTTTTATTTCAATGTTTTTTAATATTGCTGTAAATGCTCTTTAATTATAGAATACACAAAATTATCGCACATTCTCTATTTTCTTTTCTAAGTAGCCCTTATAAATTAAGTTTTTAATGGCTGTTTAATTTTCCATTTTGTGTATATAGCTTAATTTGCTGAATCATTTTCCGAGTGTTGAGCACAAGTCATTTATCCTTTTTTTTTCTTGCAAAGAACACTTCAATGAACATGTCACATTGCTGAATCTTTCCTTAAGTTAGAATCTCTCAAGTGAAATTACGTAGTCAGTGTATGACCTTTTAATGACTCTTTATCATAATTTAGCATTCATTAGTACATCTTCCCTACAGGAACTCTTACTGTGGAGTTCTCATGGTGATTCTCTATTTCCCCCAGTTTTTCAGTATTTTATTAACTGGAATTCTTCTGTAAGGAAGAGTTTTCTTTTCTCCCCCATTTTGCATTTAAAGCAGCCCCCCCAACTTATCCACCATTTTATTTTCTGCAGTTTCAGTCACCCAAGGTCAACCCTGGTCCTAAAACAGATGAGTATAATACAGTTCGATATTTTGAGAGGGAGAGAAAGAGACCACAGTCACATAATTGTTATCACAGTATATTGTTATAATTACTCTTTTTATCACTAGTTATTTTATTAATCTCTTACTGTACCTAATTTATAAATTAAACTTTATCATAGGTATATATGTATGTACAGGAAATATCATAGTGTATATAGGGTTCAATACTATCTGCAGTTTCAGGCACTCACTGGGGGTCTTGGAATGTATCCCCCACAGATAAGGGGGAACTACTGTATCCAGTCACTTATTTGTATCAGTATGGGTTTATGGACAATTACTTTATTCTTTGGATTATAATCCAGTCCTACGGTTATTTATGCTGTTACCCAGACTGTTCCCTTACTAGCTGTCAAGAGCTCTTTTCAGTTGGCTTCTGTGCCCTTCAGGAGCTCCCATCCTTATTTTTAATTCTTGAGCAATTCCATATTTTTTGGCACCACAATGTGCTCCAGGTTCACCTTCTATTTGCCCTTGCCCAGTCCTGGCATCAACCACTTCTTCAAGAAGAACCTGGCTTCTTGTATTATAGAATGGTATTTAGAAACCAAGATTTGGGTTTGAAGTGTGTTCATAGCCACTGTGGTGACACTGATTTTAGCTCTCCCAGCAGACAGGGCAGATAAACATACGTTGTATATATTAACCCATATATACACACATATTTATGTTGTTTCATTATCTGCCTATTGATCTGTGTGTGTGAAAGCATTTGTGCATGGATTAGTATACAAATATAAAAATGTACGTACTTTTAAGTGTAAGTTACCTGATATCTGATATCTCCAACTCCAACCCAGCACCACAGGATTCATTCTAGCCTTAAGCTTTTGTTTGTAACTTCTTTTTCTGATGGTAAGAAACCTGGTTCTCATTATCCACAAGGTATTTAGAGACCAGCCTGGCCAACATGGCGAACCAGCCCTCGTATACATGTAAAATAGTTTCAGATTGCTAACCCATAACTCTGTGAGAAATGTTGCAACTAAAGTACAGCGTTCAAAGTTCTTTTTGTCTTTAGCCTCTCAGTATCCAGTCGACACGTCATTCTCTAAAGTTCCTTAGGTCAGCTCCTTTATTTCCTACCCCTGTCAGCATGGCTATATCATTAATTTGGAGTGCAGCTAGAGTCATTTGTCAGTCTATAGTCCATCTTGGGTTTCCCCAATGTTCTGGTGTGGGTGTGGGTATGGGTGGGTTTAATTTGTATAGAGTAAAATGTACTCCTGGTGGTATGTAGTTTGGTAGATTTTGGCAAATTTATATCACAGAGCGGTTCGATCACTTAAAAATTTCCCTCGTGTTGCCCTTTAGTAGTAAAATCATTCTCTAGTCCCCAGTCCCCAGCCCTTGGAAACCCTTGATCTGTTTACCATCCCTGTAGCTTTGCCTTTTCCAAAATGCCGTATAAATGGATCATACAATATGCAGTCTTTTGAGTTTGGCTTCTTTCACTTAGCAAAATGCACTTATGGTCCTTCCAAGTTACTGTGTAATTGATAGTTTGTCCCTTTTTTTTTTTTTTTTTTTTTTGAGACAGAGTCTCGCTCTGGAGACTGGAGGCTGGAGTGCAGTGGCACGATCTGGGCTCACTGCAAGCTCCGCCTCCTGGGTTCACGCCATTCTCCTGCCTCAGCCTCCTGAGTAGCTGGGACTACAGGCGCCTGCCACCATGCTCAACTAATATTTTTTTGTATTTTTTAGTAGAGACGGGTTTCACCATGTTAGCCAGGATGGTCTCGATCTCCTGACCTCGTGATCCGCCCACCTCAGCGTCCCAAAGTGCTGGGATTACAGGCATGAGCCACCATGCCCAGTCAGTTTGTCCCTTTTTATTGCTGAGTTGTATTATTGTATGGATATGGATGCATGGTTAATTTGTTTATCCATTCAACTGCTGAAGGACATCTGGGTTGTTTTCTGATTGTGGAGATTATGACTGGTATGTTCTAGCTATAAAATTTTGTATATTGAGTCCAGGTGCGGTGGCCCACGCCTGTAATCCCAGCACTTTGGGAGGCCAAGGCAGGCAGATCACGAAGTCAGGAGATCGAGACGATCCTGGCTAATAACATGGTGAAACCCCATCTCTACTAAACGTACAAAAAATTAGCCAGGCGTGGTGGCATGCACCTATAGTCCCAGCTACTCGGGAGGCTGAGGCAGGAGAATTGCTTGAAACTGGGAGGGCGGAGGTTGCAGTGAGCCGAGATCACACCACTGCACTCCAGCCTGGGAGACAAAGCAAGACTCTGTCTCAAAAAAAAAAAAAAATTTACATACTGGCTTTCGTGTGAGTATAATTTTTCCATTCACTTTGGTAAGTATCTAAAAGTGGATTTGCTTGGTCATATGTTTAGTTTTATGATAAACTTCCTATCCATGAGCATGGAATGTTTTTCCATTTGTTTGTGTCATCTCTGATTTTTTTCAGCAGTATTTTGTAATTCTCACTGTAGAGATCTTTTGGCTCCCAGGTTAGCTGTATTCCTAGATATTATATTCTTTTTGTGGTGTTTTGAAAGGGATCACATTATTGACTTGACTCTCAGTTTAGACATTGTCAGTGTATAGAAATGCTACTGGTTTTTCTACATTGATTTTGCATCCTGAAACTTTGCTGAAGTTGTTTATCAGTTCTAAGAGCCTTTGGGCAGAGACTGTGGGATTTTTCTAGGCATAAGAACCATGTCTTCTGGCCAGGCGTGGTGGCTCACGCCTGTAATCCCAGCACTTTGGGAGGCCGAGGCGGGTGGATCACGAGGTCAGGAGTTCAAGACCAGCCTGGCCAACATAGTGAAACCTTGTCTCTACTAGAAATATGAAAAATTAGCTGGGCATGGTGGCGGGAGCCTGTCATCCCAGCTACTTGGGAGGCTGAGGCAGGAGAATCACTTGAACCCGGGAGGTGGACGTTGGAGTGAGCTGAGATTGCGCCATTGCACTCCAGCCCAGGCGACAGTGCGAGCTCCATCTAAAAAAATAGTAATAATAAAATTTAAAAAAAAAAGTTTTACTCTTTAAAAGGCCTTGGTAATAAAATGAAAAGGCAAGCCACAGACTGGAAGAAACTGTTTGGAAAACATATATCTGACAAAAGACTTATATATAAGGTATACAAAGAATCCTTACAACTCAATAGTAAGAACACAATCCAGTTTTTAAACATGGGCAAAAGACTTGAAGACACGTCACCAGAAAAGATGTACAGATGGAAAAAACATGAGAAGATGCTCAACATCATATGCCCTGAGGGAAACACAAATCCAGATTGCAAGGAGATACCGCTTCACAGACACTGGGAGGATTAACATGAACAAGGCTGGTGGTACCAGGTGCTGGGGAGGTTGTGGAGCAGCAGGACCTCATACATTGTGGGGAGTGAGGAAGGGAATGGAGAGCAGGTTCTTGAGCAGTTGAACGCATGCCCCTACCCTGTGTATCTGATACAGCGTCATCCCACTCCTCGGTATTTATCCAGGACAAATGAAAGCACATGTCCATATAAAGACCTGTACATGGATGTTCACTGCAGCTTTATGTGAGAAGCCGGAAACTGGGAACAACCCAAATGTCCATCAGCAGGTGAATAGATAACAAATTGCCTTATAGCTGCACTGTGGAACACGGGTCAGCAATAGAAGGAATGAATTCCTGTCACATGCAACAAAACATGGGTGCATTTCAAAATAATCATGCTAAGTGGGAAAGACCAGATAAAAAGAAGACATACCGCATGGTTCCATTTATATGAAATTCTAGAAAAGGCAAAAAGCAGATAAAGGTTGCCTGGGGAAGGAGAGGGTGTTGAGGGAGGAGTGAGGAGAGGCAGAAGGGAAAGAGATCAACGGTCATCATATTGATGGTGGTCATGGTTTCACAGATGTGTGTCAAAACTTTGACTGTACACTTGAAATATGTGTGGCTTTTTTATGACAATTATACATCAATAAAGTTGTAAAAAAAAAAAGTAAATAGCAGTAATACAAAGAAAATAAAACAAAGACCCTTGCATTTGGCAGTGTCACAGGCGCCTCTGCTGGCTGATTCAGGGCTGGGCGGGGTGGCAGCCAGACCCTGGGAGCAGTGTCCAGAACTTCTGATTCCAGAATCACGGCCCACTACACATTTCCCGAAAAGCTCCTCATAACAAAAGCTAAACCTAGAAGTAAAACATATCATCCTAAACAATCTTTAGTTGAGTTCACACACACAAAAGAAATTCCCAGGACAAAAAAAGAAGGAAGAGTTCAAAAAGTATGGAATTCAGTGGGAGGTAGAACCCCAGAGAGAGCAGTGATCACAGAAACACTCATGAGCCACACGCTGGTTAAAAGTGACTGAAAGCAGGGCCTGTCTGGGGGTGGGGTTAGGGGAGGGATAGCATTAGGAGAAATACCTAATGTAGGTGACGGGTTGATGGGTGCAGCAAACCACCATGGTACGTAATTACCTATGTAACAAACCTGCACATTCTGCACATGTACCCCAGAACTTAAGGTATAATAATAAAAAAAAGTGCCTGAAAGATTCAATTTGGAAAGTCCAGCTATATGTTGGTTATGAAAAGCACACCTAAAGAACATTGAAAGATTGAAAATAAAAGGATGGAAAAAATACATGGTTGGCAAATACTAACCAAAAGAATGCTGGTGTGGGTATATTAATATCAGAGGATGGCCTTTAAAGGAAAAGTCTTTCTTAGGGATAAGAAAGTAAAAAAGCCTTTATTACCACTGGTAATAAAGGAGCCACTCATAGGAAGATGTAACAGTTCTGAACTTGTTTATGCACCTGCTCACATAAGGCTGAACTGTAACAGAATTAAAAGAGGAAACTGACAAATCCACTAGGACAGTGGGAGGTTTCCACATGCTTCTCCTAATCACAGAGGAAAAACTAGTAAGACTTCCGAGGATTTAAACAGTCAACAAGGCTGATCTAATGAGCCCTTGTTAACACTGCACCGACCCATTAGAGAATGCACTATCCTTTCAAACGCCCATGGGACATCTCCAAAGTAGGACCTTGTACTATGTCATAAAGCCAGTTTCAACTAACTTCAAAAAATCAGTATCACACAGATGACTCTTTGATGACAGTGTCATTAAATAGAAATCAGAAACAGATAACTAACACATACTTCTAATAAGTCACAGGTCAAAAAGGAAATTATAATGAGCTTATTTTAAAAATTAGGATTGCCAAGATAATGGACATACCACAGATTAAAACTAGTGGTTTTTAGAAGGGACACTGTGTCCTCACATACTAATATTCTCTAAAAAGTGAATGACACATAGGAAAGTGTGCATATTAAATGTAAACTGTGTTATTGAGGAGTTTGCAGAGGGCAGAGGAGAGGTGGGGAGAGGCTAGCTCCACTGAAGGTTTCGGCCAACGTCGGGGCAGCGGGCAGGGAAGCGGTGAGGTCAGGAGGAGGAGGTGGGATGTGGGGCCTGCCGGTCAACACCATCCTCCCCTCCTGATGGGCTGGTAGTCAGCAGTTCACCCTGCTGTGGAACACTCACTGCAGCTGTTTCTTACAGGAGACAGGCTCAGCATCTTGCCCTAAAGCCTCATCTAGTTATAGAATAAGACAGTTGGGAAGTGCCAGGCCTGTGGCAAAATGGAGCCTGCCTGCTTCAGACTTTCAAATTTAACCCACTCCCACCCCTGTAAAAACCCTGAGCCTCCGCAGAAAGAATACTTGTTTGGTCTAGATTCCAGCCCCAGGCCATTCCCAGGACATAACCCTGGACTTACATCACTTTATGCTGAGAAATTATTTGGGGATCGCTCCTGAATCAACTCAGGAAGAAAGTCTTTATAAGATTAGAATCCAATATTCAATCAAATCAAATGTTGTTTTTGATGTACTCATTGAATTTCAGTATCTGTACACTGCAATCAGTCAAACCTGCTCTTCCAGTGCAGCTGCGCAGACTACACCAGCTTTGTTACCTGGAAGAGTCATCTTAGATTTTTTTTCCCCCAAAGGCTTTTGTTTTCATTGAGACTGAGGGAGGCCTCTTGCCAAAATAACCTGGAACTCAGACAAAGGCTGGACCCCTCCCCCCAGCAAGACGCCAGCCCCTGCCTCACAGGTAGTGCCCTGGGCAGCGATGCTGGGCAGGGAGGGCAGAAACGAGCCCACTGGCATTCTAGTCACCAGGGTCCTGATCGTTAGTCATTTGGAACTTGGGACTTGGGATTCTCTGTGTCTGCTCATGTAAGCAATGATGCCTGCGTGAGTCTGGAAGGTGACATCAAGCTATGTCAATGCTGAGAGGATGGCTCCAGTGTCCCTTAGATCAGTTCTTGGTGTCTAAGACGGGTTGGTGAGATGAGGGGCTGCAAGCGCCCTGCAGGGCAGGCGTCACTGAGCTGAGCACCCTGCCCGGCCTTAGCAGCCCTCTCAGTTCACTGGTTAATGACAGCAACCACTTGCAGTTGCACAGTTCTCTGTGCTTGTCCGGGCGTGCTCATGTCCATGTCTCACTGGTCCTCTCCTTGCCGTGGGAGGTAGGCACGCTGAAGGCGTCTGGCCCTGCCGTACAGTCAGGGCGCCTGGCCCCACGGAGGCAGCGGCCGGAGACAGTTCCTGCAGCAGACCCCTGGTTCCTTCACTTCTCTCCTCTGGGACGTCCTGTAACAACCACACAGCCCTCCTTCCCAAATGGTTTGGTTTTTAATGTTTGCTTTTCTATTCCGAACGCCTTCTGCTTTGCAACTTACTTGAAACTGCAGGATCATGTTATTCCTCATGTTCTACCCTGCACCTTAAGAGCACTGGCTTTGGTGTGTGTTTGTTTTCCTTCTCTCAGTTAAGAATTAAAAGCAATTTTACTTTGAGAAAGCTCTTATGACAAGTCCTGGGAAACCATGCCTGGGAGGGGCCGGTGGGGTGAATGGCTTCAGTACAAAGCTTGTGTCAAGGAGCCTTCGTGAGCAATGGGGCTGAGTGCTTGGCCAGCTCTGGGCCTGGGGGAGCTTTGGGGAGTTTGAGCATCGACTGCTGTGCACAGCAGTTTGTCAGAGTTCAAGTCATTGTATGTACTGAGACACGCTACAGCCATGATGCCTAAGGGAAGGAAGCCACACCCAAAAGAACATTCAATAGTCCCCCCTTATGCAAAGTTTCAGTTACCTGAGGTCTACTGCAGTCAGAAAATAGGTGAGTACAGTGCAATAAGATATTTTGAGAGAGAGAGAGACCACTTCACATAACTTTTGTTACAGTCTATTGTTATAATTGTTCTATTTTGTTAATATTGTTAATTTTTTACTGTGCCTAATTTGTAGCTTACACTTTGTCATAGGTATGCATGTATAGGAAGAAACAATATATATAGGGTTCGGTACTGGGGGGGAGTGGTTCAGGCATCGGCTGGGGGTCTTGGAACATATCCCCTGTGGATAAGGGTGGCTACTGTATAATTTGTTTATCTGAAACTCCAGAAAAGACAAAGCAAGACTGTGTGGCAGAAAGCAGGTCATTGTGGAGTTGGAGGGAAGCAGGGATTGACCGGGGAGGGGCAGGGCCTTTTTGGGGAAATGGAAACAGTCTAGATTTTTATCATGGTGGTAGTTACAGGAATGTACTCAGTTTTCAAATATCATAGATCTGTGCATTTTAAATGGATGCTTGAAAATGTATATCTCAATAAGTAGTTTAAGAAATGTGTAACGAGAGAAGGAAATACTTGCACAGTTCTGTATTTTTCTTCTTGTCTTCAAAGCTTTATAACATCCCAAAATGTGTTTGCAACTTCGATCATTCTCATTTTTGTTGTTGCTGTACTTTTTGTGTTTTTTTGTTGTTGTTGTTGTTGTTTTGCTCTAGCAAACCAAACTCAGAAAACACTTCTTAAATGCAAGGGCATTGACTTTAAACCAGTTGGTTACATAGGAACAAACAACGCAAACATATTGATTTGTTCCTTCTTGCTGAAAACGTTAGGCAGAGATATGCTTTTCGCCATGACTCATGCAACATTTTTATACTTATGTAAACGCACATGTGCGTTGGTCCGGTTCTGATTTTTAATGGGGTTGTTTTAAGGATGTGCTGCCTTTTCTCCCTACTGATTGGGTTTGGCTTCATCACTTGTTTTCCATGTTGATAAAAGGCAGCCCTTCATACTTACCTCCCTTCCTAGGGGTACATGGGGAACTAATGAGCCATTTCTGAGCCTTCCTCCTTCTGGCAAAGGCAGGCACGGTGTAAACATGTGCACAGATGTACTCAGGCCTTGTCTCTGACTCCTCTCTTCTTGCCCTCCCAGACTCCAGAGCCAGGTGCACACCTGCCAGGTGAAGGTGAGATTGAAGATAACCAGCTCCCCACATCCCCTGCAGAACAAGTGGAGCAGGGATGGAACCAGCAAACAGACCGCGATGATTCTGAAACGCTGTCCCAGCAGAGTGAAAGTGGATCAGACACAAAAACTGACCCCTTTGAAAGTGCCTCTGACACAGAGTCCTTGTCTGGGTACCTCCCGAGGGGAGTCTTCCACCCTCTAAGAGGTACTCCCGTAGATATAGAAGCACCTTGGGAATACCCTGATGTCTCAGCAACTGGACCCCCTCAGGAGCAGCATTTGACCAGTGTTCCTGGGCTTCATGCAAAGGAAGAACTCGATTTGTCCCCTAGCTTAGAGGATGACTCTTGCAAAAATGGGTGGCGAGCCTTTGCCACAGTTGCTGGAGAACAGGAGGCAGGACACCTCTGGGACTGCGCGACCAGCCTGGAGCGAGAGTCTTTGCTGGCAGGGGTTCCCCGACACACAGGGTGCTGCTTACAGAGGGCCACAGACAGCAGTGGTCCTGAGCCAGTACAGGGGGTGGCTGTTCAAGACCTCAGAGGGCTCTCCAGTGTTTCTCTTCAGAAATCCAGGTCTGAGAGCTATCTGGGCATCCCAGTGGTCTGGCCCTTCCTTCTCTGGTGCTGTGAACTGGGTCGGAGTTGGCCACATATCCACAACAGGGCCAGGGCACTGGTGCTACCTAGCAGAGGCCCACTGGACAACACAGCCCCTCTGGGGACCAGGACAAAGAAGGAAAGTACTCTAGGCCCTGCAGGGGACACAGAATTGCTCTGGTCCCAGCCCCACTCGGATGTCCCCTGCCAGCCTCCTTTGAGGACATCTTGCCTCCTACGCACCAACCGTCACCATAGTGCCCCAGAAACTACTGGTGACAAGAACAGGGCATCCCCCAGACTCAACTGTGGGCACATGAGGGCACTGGTCAGGGCCCATTCCATAGCAGGGTTTTCACCAGAGTGCCCCGAGGATCCCGTGGGACAGAATGTTGTGAAGTCTGGGACCCATGTGAAGGAAGGGGCCAAAAATGAACGAGATCCAAGAATACAAAACATCCCTTCCCCTGCACCCACCCAGCTGTCTGGCCCGATTCCTGCTTTTCAGAGTGGGGCTCCCCATCTGCAGGGTCCCTGCAAGCCTGGTGGGTTTCGCTTGCAAAGGGCCTCTCAGGACACTCCTTCTGCAGGTCTCCTGGGGGAAAACCAGTTAAGACAGGATTCCAGGTCATGTCTGGTGGCTTCATGCCTCACCTCAGAGTTAGTGAAGCTCAGTGCAGAGGAAGTGCCTGAGCCCGCTGAGTGCAAGTCAGAGCAAAGCCCAGAAAGCAGAACCCAGGAACCCCAAGGCACCCAACTCGCACCAAGAGCTGCTGATGAGAGAGAGACACAGAAGCACCTCTGGGGCATTTCTGTCCAGGCAGGAAACCAAACCAGTAATTACACATCAAAGTATGTGCTCAGCGAGGAAAGCAAGTCACCTACCAGGGCCAAGTTCCCACGGCAGCCTAGCAGTGAGGGGACCCAGGTGTGGAGTGGAGACTTGATGGGCTGCTTGGAAGTGAGTGACAGTTCAGATGCCCCTGAGACCACCCAGAAATCAAGCGCAATAGACACTTCAAAGGCAGCCGAAGAAGCCATGGTTCTAGACCCCAACTACAGGGAACAGGCTTTGCAAGGTCTTTCAGAATTCAAGGCAGCCACGGTGTCTCACTGCGGCCCCGGGGCTGAGGAGGGTGAACAGGGGCCTGGGGGTGCCGGGGGCCGGCAGCTGGAGCCCAAAGCAGGCGGCGAGGCCTCGAGGGGCAGGGGCGCCCTCATCATTGTAGCTGTGGAGCAGAAAGGTCTTCAGGCCAGCAGGAGCAATGCGGGGCCTGTTCCAGAAACACTGCCCCGTGACTTTCCTAAGGAAAGACCAGAATCTCCCTTGAGCACTGGCGAGACCCCCTGTGAGTCTCCCACTAGGGGGAAAACACCAGCCGGTAATGAGTGTGAGTTGCCAGCAGCCCCCATACAGGGAGCTGGCGATGGGGCTCTTCAGCGGGTGGCCCAGGCCGCAGAGCTTGGGAGAGTGCTGGTCCCCCAAGCTGCTTCGGAAGAGACGCCGAGCACAGAGGAGCCCCCGGGAGAGAGACTGCGTGGGGAGAGCCGGAGCTCCGGGTCAGGGGAGCGTGGCCCGGAGGAGGCCCCCGAAGGCGGTGCTGCAGCAGCCCGGGGCCAGCGCCCCCGCGTCCCCGCCTTGGAGCCGCCCCAGCCGCCACGCGGGCTCCGCAAGGGCGCGCAGGAGCCTGGGAAGCGCCCGACGTTTTCCAAGGTGACCTCCTTCAGGAAGGGCAGGCCCTTGGCCACTGAGAGCCCAGGAGGGGTCCCGGCCCCGACCACCGAGGGTCGCCGCTGGGGCTCTTCAGGCCCCGAGGGGCTCCCCAGGGAGAATCCGCCCGCTGCGGCCGGTCGGGACGCACCGCCTCTGCACCACGGGGACGCCAGCGCCTGGCCCGAGTTTGTCCCGCAGGCTGCAGGCGACAGGACTGCAGGGCCGGCAGGAGCGGGGCACACGGGGACCTCAGGGGATCTTGGTAGCCGAGGGCCTTCCTCTGAGAGCTGCAACGCAAAGAGACTCAAAACAACGGAGAAAAAACTCAGGGCAAGGTTGGCCTTGGCTCATAAGACCTTTTCAAACTTTATTGAGTCAATAGTTCTAGAGAAAGAGAACACCCATGAACGTTCCCCAAGTTCTCCCAAGGGCGAGAAGGAGAAGAGCAGGCTGCGCCAGGGTTCCTGGCGGGCGTTTCTGAAAAGCAAAGATGCCGGAAGCCCCAAAAAGCCCACCCTAGTGAGTCTGCCTCTAGGACCCGAAGTTCTCTCCCCAGCAGAGACCGACAGCCACTGTGAGGAACGGGCGGAGGACAAAGAGGGCTATGTTTTTAGCGATCACTGGGCACCCCCACTTGCCTCCACACCTTTGTCCTCCAGTTTAGTTTCTCCAGAACACAGGAGGAAAAGTGAACCGACCATCAAGTGCACAGCCACCCAGGAAGGCGGTAGGTACCTACCTTCAGGTATCTTTCCGGAAAAGTCCTGGCTGGCGTCCCCCGGCAGCCCTCGGGCCCAGCAGGCTGGAATCGCACACACCCTGCCTTCCAGCTCTGCCTGCTGCCTGGCATATGAAAACCCCGGGACGCCCTGCAGACCCACGAGCCCCAAGCCCCTGAGTCCCAGGCCTAGTGCTCAGCGGATGGGTCTCCACTACCCCGGGAGGGGTAGCGCCATCTCCATGGTTTCTCTTGGAAGCTACAGCTACGTGGACAGCAGTTCAGGGGACCCTGAAAGACCCAAGATTCCCAAGGGCCAGACCAGTTTCCTGCTTTCTCTGCAGACGCTAAACCAAGATGAGCAGAAGGAAGAGAGCAGGGAAGGAGGCCAGGGTCCGCGCGGCTTGGGCACAGTGCCCTGGCTCAGGGACCTTCCTGGGAGTGAGGTGAGTATCTGAATCGCACCAAGCCTTTCCTGACCTCTGCAGGCAAGAGAAGGAGGGGAGCAGGCGGGAATCTTCCTGAGGGGAGAGGTAAAATAGGAAGGCCAGGCCAAAATTGCCCCCGTTACACTCCCAGCCGCCCCCCCTCCCCCAGTGAACACAGCGGGTGACCAACTTCTTGAACGTTACCAAGCTAACAAGCCAGAATTGGCATTTCATGATCATTTCGTGTTTTTCTTTAATTTCAAGCCATTTGAATTTTCTTTTGTATGAACTGCCTGCTCCCTGGGCACTGCCCATTTTCTTTTCTTTTCTTTTTCTTTTTTTCTTTTTTTTTTTTTTTTTGAGACGGAGTCTCGCTCTGTCGCCCAGGCTGGAGTGCAGTCGCTCCATCTCGGCTCACCGCAACCTCTGCCTCCCGGATTCAGGCAATTCTCTGCCTCAGCCTCACGAGTAGATTGGATTACAGGCACCCGCCACCACGCCTGGCTAATTTTTGTTATTTTAGTAGAGACGGGGTTTCACCATGTTGGCCAGGCTGGTCTTGAACTCCTGACCTCGTGATCCACCCGCCTCGGCCGGCACTGCCCATTTTCTATTGAACGGTCTGTGCAGGCTTTTGTGTTAAACCTAGTTCTTCTCCACTGTGGCATTTAAAAAAATTCCTCATGTTGTCTTCTAGTACTTTAATGGCTTCTACTTTATCGTATTTAGAATTTGATCCAGCTGGACTTACTTCGTATAAAGAGACAGGAAATGTTGGTGCTTCTGAAATGTTTAGTGCAGTAAGATGGTCTCTCCCACAAAGTGACCGCTTCTGTCCAGGATAGGTTAGCAGGGTCAGGCACAGAACGGAGCAGAGAAGGGTTGGATTTCTCATCCCAGCTGCCCTTGGAAGGAGAGAGCTTTTCTGGAAATTGCAGAGCGTGCCCTGGAGACTGCGAAAAGTAAAAAGTAAGGCTCCCTCAGCTTCTTTAGACCAAGCGATGCCGAGTCTTCCGCGCGCCCAGAGCCGGGGAGCGCAGGCCACAGCCACCCCACGCGGTGGCCTCTCGGGCGCTCCCCTCCGCCTGCAGGCAGATGTCAGCCACACCTGGGCTCACGGGCTGCGCAGCTGGGAGGGCGGCAGATAAGGTGCTGGCAGAGCGCCTCCAGGCCAGGTGGGCTGCTAAGAGGGGCGGAGCTGGGCGAGAAGGGGTTTCCCAGCAGAGCATCCCACAAGGCCGAGTGGACAGCATACATTGAAATAGGATCACTACCAGCAGGAAATGGCTTCACCTCCTCAGTCTGTTTGTGTATCTCTACGCAGTTAAACACTAAAGGTTTTTTGTTGTTTTGGGGGGAGGGTTACTTTTTTTCGTTACTGTTACTACTGAAGTTTAAAAACAAAGCCAAACAATACAGATGTAGAAAGGAAAAGGCCTCTCCCCAAAACCGTCTAATCCCACTCCATGCAAGGAAACACTGCCCTATACTAAGGTGTCTCATCTTTCATTGTGTTCTCACACAGGGCTTATGGGGCAGTTTGGGGAGAGGGAATTACACCGCGGGGTCAGACATACACATTGCTCTGCATCTTTCTTGCTTGCTTAATACAGCAGGTAAAGCCCTCCAGCGCCTCATGTTCATGGCTCTGTTTAGAAGTTCCATAATAGTTCAGAGTATGGCCATGCTGTATTTCCTTTCACGGTTCTTCTACTGATTGGCATTGAGGTAATCTCTAGTTTGGGGTCTTTATAAATAACGCTTCAGCAGCACCCTTGAGCATGCGTCCTTAGATATCGATGCTTTTATTTATGTCTGTTGGATATAAAAGTGGGATTGCACAAAGGGCAGGGGTATTTTAATAGCTTTCAGATTACTTCTGAAATGATTGGCAATCAACACTCAACAGCAGTATCTGAGTGCCCATTTCCTCACACCCCTCCAACTTAGTTGCTTATTGCCCTTTTGTGTTTCTGATCACCTGAAAATACATAGAGAACTTGATTTACAAGTAAAAAGACATTTTAGTGTTAGGCAACTCAGAGTTAAATCAAGTAGTCAAAAAAAGATTTTACAGTATTTGAATTAACAAGCCTGATTTAATAGTGATATAGGCCATGCGTGGTGGTTCACACCTGTAATCCCAGCACTTTGGGAGGCCGAAGCGGGCGGATCACCTGAGGTCAGAAGTTCGAGACCAGCCTGGCCAACATGGTGAAACCCCGTCTCTACTAAAAATATAAAAATTAGCTGGGCCTGGTGGTGGGCGCCTGTAATCCCAGCTACTTGGGAGGCTGAGGCAGGAGAATCACTTGAATCCGGGAGGCAAAGGTTGCAGTGAGCCAAGATCACACCACTGCACTCCAACCTGGGCGACAGAGTGAGACTCCCTCTCAAAAAAAAAAAAAGTGATATATACATATCTGTCTCTATGTGTCTGTGTATACACACACATGCACACACATACATGGTGCAGAAGCACATACTGGAAGGCAGATATTCCTGGAAGTGGTCCCTGTGCTCACGTTGTGCATGGGATGGAGCAGGTGCTTTGGGCCTCAGGCACACACCTGGACAGCCTGCTTGGTTTGTTGGGGTTTTTTTTTGTGTGTGTGTCTTTCTGTTTGTTTTTTGTTTATTTTGTTTGATTCAGCGTCTTGCTCTGTCTCCCAGACTGGAATGTGGTGGCGAGATCACGGTTCACTGCAGCCTGGATCTCCCAGGCTCAAGCAATCCTCTTGCCTCAGCCTCCCAAGTTGCTGAGCCCCCAGGCATGCGCCACCACACCCAGATAATTTTTTAATTTTTTGTAGTGACAGAGTCTCACCTTGTTGCCCCAGTTGGAGTCTGCATGGGTTTTAACAAATAGTAAGTGAGATGATGATTATAAAGTATACAGCAAAGGGCCAGGCATGAAGCGGGTGCCAGATAAATGTGAGTTCGTATTCCTCTTTATGTTTCATTCCTTACTGGAGAAGAGGAAGGCCTAGTACACTGCGCCATCAGACCACAGACAGGAGAACAGCAGGTACATAGGGAACGGGAAGGGAAGCAAAGCTCAGAAAGGTTCCCTCTGTCTGGTAGAACCCTGGATGGTGCTGGAATGTGAAACTCCCCTTGGAGAAATGACTGCGCCATCTTGTGGGCATTCCTGGGAGAGCAGGCTCTGATGGTGAGAGTAATTTGCAAGGAATTCAGTCAGTTATTCCCACTTCGTATTAAGGAGCAGCAGTTCTCTTATCCCAATCTTTTAAAACAACCATTCTTAATATTTTGTTGTTTACTTCTAGATTTCTTCCACAGACAAGTTTTATATATGTAACATAGCTGTGATAATATCGTGTATAGAGATCTTAATTTTCTGTGACTTTACATCCTGCAGTTTCTTTAAAGCTTTTCAAAGTCAAGAAATAGAGAAGACTTACAGAACAGCATAATACATAAATGTGTAGACATATATTGTCAACAGACACTGGATGACCTCCACCAGGTCATGAAACACCACATCCCCCACCCTGCCCCCTTCCTGCCACCTCCCTTCCTCCTCCCTGCCCTACCCACTATGCCCCATCTCATGGTGTTCACTTGCATTTCATTATCGTGTTACTACTTTATTACTATGGGTGTGGGGGTGGCCTGTTTTGAGGTTTATATAAACAAAATCTTACACATTGCTTTAAACTTTACTCAGTCTATTTTGTGTCTGCCTTCCCCTGCTCTAATTAAGAATCATCCTGTGGACTGGGTGCGGTGGCTCACGCCTGTAATCCTAGCACTTTGGGAGGCAGGGGCGGGCGGATCACGAGGTCAGGAGATCTCTCATCAGCATGTTGAATTGCTCCGAATCATCATAACACATTGTATTTCTCAGTGAGCTGCTGATGGACTTGGGGGTTGTGCCCGTTTGGGGCTGCTGTGAACATTTGGGTCAGGGGCCTACTGCACGTGCATGTATATTTCTGTGGGTTGCATTTTAGGGGTGTCCTTGGGGGATGCATATCTTTAGTCATACTAAATACTGTCAAATTATTTTTCCAAAGTGATTGCATCAAATTACACTCTCTCATTAGGAGTATCCTTTGCTCTCTGTTCTCATTCACATTTGGTTGATACTGTCAGCCTTTTTAATTTTAGCCATTCTGCTAGGTGTGTAGCAGTATCTCACTGTGATTTTAGTTTTCATTTTCCTGATGTCTGAAGAGGCTAAGGAACTTTTGTTTTTGTTTTTTGAGACCAAGTCCCCCTCTGTCACCCAGGCTGGAGTGCAGTGGTGCGATCTCAGCTCACTGCAACCTCTGCCTCCTGGGTTCAAGCAATTCTCCTGCCTCAGCCTCCCAAGTAGCTGGGACTATAGGCGCCTGCCACCACGCTCAGCTGATTTTTGTATTTTTAATAGAGATGGGGTTTCACCATGTTGGCCAGGCTGGTCTCAAACTCCTGAGGTCAAGTAATCCACCTGCCTTGGCCTCCCAAAGTGCTGGGATTACAGGCATGAGCCACTGCACCTGGCCTAAGGAACTTTTTATGTGCTTTTCAACACTCTGGATACCCTTGTCAAACTAAAATAATCAAAAAGGTCAGAATCTAGTTTAAAAAGAGTTTATTCAGGCCGGGCGCAGTGGCTCAAGCCTGTAATCTCAGCACTTTGGGAGGCCGAGGCAGCAGGATCACCTGAGGTTAGGGGTTCGAGACCAGCCTGACCAACATGGAGAAACCCTGTCTCTACTAAAAACCACAAAAATTAGCCGGGCATGGTGGCGCATGCATATAATCGCAGCTAGTTGGGAGGCTGAGGCAGGAGAATCGCTTGAACCCAGGAGGTGGAGGTTGCGGCGAGCCGAGATTGCACCGTTGCACTCCAGCCTGGGCAACAAGAGTGAAACTCTGTCTCAAAAAAAAAAAAAGAGTTTATTCAGCACAGAAGTCGAGGACTGCAGCCTGGGACACACTTCCAAGTTGCCTTGGAGAGTGCTCCAGAGAACAAAAGAGAGGCTCAAATTTTTTAAAGAAAAAAAGGAGGAATCAGGAGAGGGAGTGAGTACAAATGTTGTTTATCAGGAATTCTCATTGGTTTATGGAAGTAACACCGGTTGGTGATTGGCTATACCTTGTTGAGCTATAAGGTATGTGGCATTTTATGACTCCTCAGAGTGAGTTAGTCTAGAGTCCGCATAGCAAGTGGCTCCAAGAGGTAGCTATTTAGCTGAGGGGGAGTGAGATATTATGTCTTAAATGCCTTTTGGGTTTGGGCCTGATAATTTAAAGGGCTCACATTCCTCAGATTTTTTTTTTTCACTCTCTTGTGGGACATGTCTCTCCTAGTCTGTCATCCATTTGTTTTGGGGTTGTCTTTCTCTTACTGATTCTTGATAGAATTGCATTGTGGGTAAATGTGCCACAGATATTTCCTATTTTGTGTGGCTTGTCTTTTCCCTCTTTAATGATATATATATATATATATTTTGTTTGAGATGGAGTCTTGCTCCGTCACCCAGGCTGGAGTGCAGTGGCACAATCTTGGCTCAGTGCAACTTCCGCTTCCCGGGTTCAAGCAATTCTCCTGCCTCAGCCTCCCAAGTAGCTGGGACTACAGGCGCGAGCCACAACACCCAGCTAATTTTTGTATTTTTAGTAGAGATGGGTTTCGCCATATTGGCTAGGGTGGTCTCGAACTCATGAGCTCAAGTGATCCACCCACCTCAGCCTCCCAAAGTGCTGGGATTACAGGCGTGAGCCATCGCGCCTGGGCATAATGATATCTTTTGATGAACAGAAATTCTCAATTTTAATGTTGTCAAGTGTATCCATCTTTTCTCTACCCCAAGGTCATGAAAAGAATCCCTTAAATTACCTTCTTAAAAACTTTCACGGCCTTGCTTATTACATGTAGGTCTCTGAGATGCCTGTAACTGGCATTTGTGTTCCATTCATCTGTTTGTCCGTCCTTCTGACACAGTATCTTAATCACTGTAGCTGTACAGTAAGCATTACTGACCAGTCTACCAGTTCCTCTCACGTGGTCATCAAGTCGATAAACTGAGCTCGCTGAGTGCCACTTGTGGGCGGGCAATGTTCTAGATGCAGCGGACACTGTACTGAATAATACAGCAGGATGTCCGTCCTCACAGCAGGACAGCATGCAGCAGTCAATAAATTAGTGAGCGAGTAAGATCATTTCAGATAAAAGGAAATGAGAAAGAGAGTTGAGAGGTTTGACGGTGGGGCACCCTTGGCTTGGAGATTTTGGGTCTGACATGTGAACCAAGTCTCAACTGATGAGGAAGCCATAGAGCCCTGGAAGGTCCAGCCTCATATGTTAGTAATGTGGAGGAATCCCCTCAGTCTTGCCATCGCCATTGGTGCCTGATGCTTTAGCTGCAGTCTTTCTTTTATTCTTTTCTTTTCTTTTTTTTTTTTTGAGACGGAGTCTTGCTGTGTCGCCCAGGCTGGAGTGCAGTGGCACGATCTCGGCTCACTGCAAGCTCCGCCTCCCGGGTTCATGCCATTCTCCTGCCTCAGCCTCCCGAGTAGCTGGGACTACAGGCACCCGCCAACACACTCGGCTAATTTTTTTGTGCTTTTAGTAGATACGGGGTTTCACCGTGTTAGCCAGGATGGTCTCGATCTCCTGACCTCGTGATCCACCTACCTCGGCCTCCCAAAGTGCTGGGATTACAGGCTTGAGCCACCGCTCCCGGCCTAGCTGCAGTCTTGATAGGATTGTTTTCCTCACCTGTGGATTGCTGTAGAATTTAACCCTCACAGTTTCACCTCCCACCTGTGAGACCGTGGCATAGTTCCTTTTTTTTTTTTTGAGACCGAGTCTCACACTGTCACGGGCAGTGGCATGATCTCGGCTCACTGCAACTTCCGTCTCCCGGGTTCGAATTATTCTCCTGCCTCAGCCTCCCAAGCAGCTGGGATTACAGGCACCCGCCACCACACCCAGCTAATTTTTTATAATTTTAGTAGAGACGGGGTTTCACTCTGTTGGCCAGGCTGGTCTCGAACTCCTGACCTTGTGATCCGCCCAGACCGTGGAGTATTTCTGCGTGTGTGTATGATGCAGACCAGCACGAGGCAGTCCTCTGGTGTGAAAGGTGCTGTTTGCATTTAGAGATTTCTTTCCTCTGGGATTTCAGGTTTGGGGGCAGAGAGCCTTTGATTCCAGGGGAAGCAGGCTCCAGCGTCTGCTGAAGGCATGCATACAGGATCATGCCCCTGGCTGGAGGGGCTTAGGAAGGACACCAAGACCGAGAGAGAGCAGGACAGAAATAGCTGTGGCTGGGCAAGAGGAATGAGAGGAGACTGGAAATTCAAAACTCCTGTGAGTGTTTTAATACCCACTCTGACCTGACGGTGAGCCTTGGGTTAAGACCACACTGAGACCCAGTTTCCTTGTCTATCAAGGATTGGACCAAGTGATTTCCTAGGTCTCTGCTGGGTGTAATATCCACTTTATGGAATGAATGCTGGATAGCTTTCCTGTCTACCAGCCACAGTTCTAACTTTGGTGGCAAGATTCCAACATACTGTTTCTGCTTAGGAGTTCTAAGTGTGTGTGTGTGTGTGTGTGTGTGTGTGTGTGTGTGTGTGTGTGCGTCTGAGAGAGAGAGAGAGAGAGAATGAACATTTTCTAGCCTTTAAAATGTTTATAATCTAAAATTTGTATGGAGAGATACATACCCTAAAATAGTTAAAACAATTTTGAGAAAGAAAAATCAAGTGAGGGGAATCAATAATTGATATTAATTCATGCTTATTACATAAAGTAATCAAGACCATGTAGTACTGGGGGAGGGAAAATTACATAGAGTAATGGGAAAGAAGAGAGAACACAGAAATAGACCCACACAAATATACCCACCAATTTTTAGGTGCAAAAGCAATTCAATGGATAGTCTTTTCGAGAAACAATGCTGGAGCATTTGGACATCCAAAGCAAAAAAAGAAAAACTTCGACCTAAATCTCACAGTTTATTTAAAAATTAATGCAAGAACTTCCTTTAGCCATTATTTAAGGGTAGATCTGCAGGCAATAAATTCTCTCATTCTTCCTTTCTTTGAGAATGTCTCAATTTTCCCTTCATTACTGAAGAATATTTTCACTGGATAAAAGATTCTAAGTTAATAGTTATTTTCTTGAAAAGTGACACTTGAAAAGTTTTATGTCACTTCCTTCTGGCCTCCAGGTGTCTGATGCCTTTTAAAATGTTTTTCTCTTATAAGGAAGGTGTCTTTTTACCCTCTCACTGCTCTCAATATTTTTTATTTGTCCTTAGATTTCAGAAGTTTGCTTATGTTTCTTCTTCATGTGGATTTCTTTGGATTTATACTATGTGGACTTTGCACAGCTTCTTAAATCTATGGGTTTATATCTTTGGCCAAATTTAGGAAATTCTGAGCATTATTTCTTTAAATACTTTTTCACCCCAACCCACTTTGTCCTCTCTCTTTTGGACTCCAGTTATCTAGTGTTTGATCTTTCTTTGCAGTCTCACAGGTCCATGATGCTCTATTTGTTTGGTTTTCTCTCTTTCTTTCTTTCTTTCTTTCTTTCTTTCTTTCTCTTTCTTTCTTTCTTTCTTTCTTTCTTTGGTCTGTTTTCTCTCTGTTGTTCAGATTGTATAATTCTGTCTCTTCCATCTACAAGTTCACTGATCCTCTTATCCTCTCCATTCTCCTGTAAGCTGATCAACTGAACGTTTTATTTCAGTTACTATATTTTTCAATTCTATAATTTCCAGTTAGATATTCTTTATATATTCTATTTCTTTGCTAAGATTTTCCATTTTCTGAGCTGTTCTATTTTTCATTTGTTTCATGAGTATTTGTATTGCTTTTTGAAGCATTTTTATGATGGCTGCTTTAAAATCTTTGTTTGATAATTCCTGCACCTCTGTCTTCTCAGTGCTGGTGTCTGTTGACTCTCTTTTTTATTCAAGTTGAGATTTTCCCTGTTCTTGTTATGATTAATGAGTTTCTATTTTATTCTGGATATTTTGGGGAGTGGAGTCTTTGTATCTTATTTAAATCTTGTTTTGGAAAACCACCTCTGACTCCACTTTGGTGTGGGAAGGTGGGCACTACCTCATTATTTCCAGGTTTGGGTGAAACCCTACATTCCTTTATTGGCCTCTATTGACACCTTATGCAAGGATGGGTGTTTCATTTACTAATAGGCAGGGATGAGAGTTAAGATTTTACAACAAGCTTGCACCGATAGCTTGGTGTAAGAGTTAAAGAAAGAGGAAAGAAACACAAAAAGTGGCTCAACAGTCAAAGACAGGTTTATTTTGGAAAATAAACCTGAGAGGGACTTCTGGCTGATTTTTTTTTTTTTTTTTTTTTTTTTTTTGGTCAGGAGCACTCTTACAGACTAAGAGTATGTATTGGTGAGAGAGCTTATTACAGGCTTGGAATATTTCTGTTGGGGGGAGAAGTTTATGGTGGGGTTGGAATGTCTCTGGTTGGAGGGGAGGTTATCTTGGGGCTGACATCTCTCTGGCTGAAGGAGAGGTTATCTTGGGGTTGGCATGTCTCTGGTTGGGGAGGGGTTTGGAATGTTTCTGGTCAGAGACGTTATTTGTGGTTTATGGTCATGTTGATCTTAGCCATTAGGTTGATGCCCTTTAGATTTAGGCAGTTTTTGATCAAGGTGGACTTTAGAATGGCAGTGGGTGCTTGTCCAAGATGGTGATACTCCTGCTCTGTCAGTGGGATCAGGAGGCCTTGTGAATGCTAGCTGGTGGTGAAGGTGCTGGCTCTCTAGCAGGCCTTCTCCTGCATTACCCCAGCAGGTCAGGGGAGGAATGCCTCACTGACACCAGGAAGAGGATGGAAGACTGGCCTCACACATTGTCTTCACAGACAGCATGGTGGAGGGCCTCACTAACACTGGCAGGGGAAGAAAGTTCAAGCTTTCCCATCAGCCTTCTCTCACACCACTTGGCTCGGGGACATATGTGACCCATGACAGGTGAGGTTGGGAGTTCTTCACTCAGGCTTTGCTGGGGTGTGAGGGAGACAGGGGTGTGTTGCATGGTTTTTACCTAATGTTTGGCTTGAGTAGAGCATTTGTCTAAAAGTTTTCTGTCTTGCTAGGCTGGTCCTTTAGCTAGAGAATGCAGATTTCTGTTGGAGCTTTTCTGTCTGGACCTAGTGACAGCTCCAGCAAGACTGTTCAGCATCCATATAGGAAGCATGTATGAGTGGTATATATGCGGCAAAAGAAAACCTAGGGAACTACCTGGTGTTGTTCCTTGTATTTTATGATCCCTAGCTGGTCTACTTTCTTCTCGCCACCATTCAGATGTCTTTGTTTTCGTATCTTTGTTTTATACATAATGTCTTAGGTTTTTAGCGGTGCTTAGTGAAACAAACAGGAAGTGTGTCTATGCCATCTTGTCCAGAATTGGAAGTTTCCTGTTTTGTTTTTTCATAGCATACTGTTCTTGTTTAATGATTTCAGTGTCTTCCTTTTTCTTCTTCAGGTTATTAATTTTAGTTATTTTGAAGTTTTCTTCTATCCTTTACATTTTCTCTTTCCTAGTTTTTTTCCCTATTTGTTTATTTTGGTCATTTTAGTGTGTTGAAGGTTTTTCCTAAATGCCTAGCAATCTTTGGGTGAATTTCATATTTATTTCAGAGTAAGACACCAAATATCTGTTTAGATATTATGTGGGCATTTGTGGAGCTAATTGGCTAGTGTGCTTTCCTATCAAGTGACTTTAAAAGAGAAGTTGCTTATTTTATAAGTCAATGTTTAGAGGTCTCTTCTCTGAGGTGGGTCAGTTTCTCCAGAGCGGTATCCTCCAGTCATTTATTGAGAAGATACAGGATTATACCGGGAAAGAATGAAGCAGGGTGCTGAGTCGCTCCCTGTTCACCATGCAGGTTTTCTTGTTATGCTGTTTTCATCCCAAACCTCTCCACTGCTTTCACCAGTTAAGTCCGTGGTCCCCACAAGCTGGAGATTCTTGTTCAATTATTCAGGACCACAAGTCTCTCGTGTTTGATCTTGGCTGGCAGTTTGAGGGAAGGAGAAATGGAAAGGGGAGTATACACAGTCACGTGGCTGACTGTGCTGGGACCTTAACTGAGGGTCACACTTACAAACTTTAAACCAGAACCTCTGCCTGCTTCCTTCCCTGTGAACTCCAAGTCATCTGCATTTCTTTAGATAGCTTCCTGTGCTCTGCAGCACCATCTACCCCTCCTACATCTACTTTACCCTTTCCAGATTTTCTTGAACTTTCTCATCTACCATCGTCTCATCATTTCTTAATGCTGCTCTTTTGGGAATACAACGAAGGACAAAAGTTCCTTTAGTCAAACTCAGATTATCCCACCCCAAAGTCTGCTTTCTGGCCCCCTCCCCTGGACACATGAGGACCACCAGGACAGCCTGAGCTACCTTGCCTCTCTCTATTCTATCTGTCTGTCTAGTACAGTAATTCTCAGACTAGCTTTGCCTCAGAATTCCCTGGAGGGCATTTTAGACACAAATTGCCAACCATTCCCTCAGGGCTCAGAAATCCATTTTTCACCCATTCCCAGGAGTATGGTCTATCTGTTGCTGCATAGCCCAGAGGATCCAGCTGGGTGCCTCTGGGCAAGGACTTGCTCTGAGGCAAGTCGCTTAAGTTCTCTGAGTTTCTAAGGGAGAAGAAACCAGCTGTTTCTGATCCACAAGGTACTTGGGGAGAAATAACTAGCTGAAAATAGTTTTTAAATGTAGAGCAATATTTGGGAGCTCAAATAAACACATTAGATCAGTGGTTTGCAACCTTGGACATACCTGGAGAGCTAGAAAAAGTCTTACTTCCCAGGCTGTACCCCAAAACCATTATGTAATAATTATCCAGCCATCCAGTTTCTCTTCCTCCATCTCTCTCTCTTTCACTGTAAACATATGCATATGTATACATTTTTAATTTTAGAATACCTCAGATTAAGCAGAGAATCTATAATTAAATCCTAATCTTGTAGAAAATTCTTATGCAAAATACTGTAATCTCCCAAGTACATCTAATCACTTCCAGAATAAGGACCCCCTACAATTTCTACCATAAAAATAAACTCTATCGAGGAGCTTTATTTAAAATAAGAACTTCATTTTCCATGTACTTACCTACAAAATAAGCATCATATTCTGTTCAGCAAGAGATATTTAAGAGGCAAAACCCAAGATCCAATATTAAGTAAGCATACCCACTTTTCTCCAACTGATATATCAGTAAGAAATTATAGCAAAAACAGTCTCCTGTACAACTGGAGTAGAGTGTTGGGTAGAACAGTCAGCCGTGTGAGTCTCCAGGGCTGCTCTTGCCAACCCTTTTTTCTAGGAGCAATGTATCAGCAAAATCTTGCCTCATCAGACCCAGCCTCCTTAGTCCTCCAGTATAGATACTTTTTCATTTTTTTTTTTGAGACCGAGTCTCGCTTTGTTGCCCAGGATGGAGTGCTGTGGCGCAATCTCGGCTCACTGCAAGCTCTGCCTCCCGGGGTTCCCGCCATTCTCCTGCCTCAGCCTCCCGAGTAGCTGGGACTACAGGGCCCACCACCACACCTGGCTAAGTTTTTTGTATTTTTAGTAGAGACGAGGTTTCACTGTGTTAGCCAGGATAGTTTCAATCTCCTGACCTCGTGATCTGCCCGCCTCGGCCTCCCAACAGCATAGATACATTTTTAAGGCAGACTTGAAATACTTAAAAGAAATTTCACCTTAGTTTTTAGCAAACAGTACACACAGAGTGCTTGGGGATGCCATTCCACAGAGGTTGCTGCTACAAAGTAGGTGTTCATGGGGTGGGCATAGGGGATCGTTAGACTTGGACAACATGTGTGAAGAAAAGGGTTTCTTCTCCCAGTGGCAAATTCCAAACAACAGAGATGCTGGTGATGCCAACACAGGCCTAACTATTCTGCTAGTGGGGGCATATTTTATTTTGAAATCCTTAAGGTGCCTGGTGCGTAACGGCAACCAGGGATGGTGGTGGCAATGTGGGTGAGGTGGAGTCTTGCCTGCATTTCAGTGAGCATCAGAGTCAAGCTAGAAGAGGTACTGGGCTCTGGAAGAGTGCTTCTGCTTCAGTTTTGTTCATAAGGGAATGTTGTTTAAACGGGAACTTTTACCCCAGTTGCTGGCCTTTAAAAAGTATTTCTAATGAGCATGCCAAGTTCAGTAATTACTTTCAAGGCCTAATTCTTTGATCAAAATAGAAGGCTAGATTTTTTAAAAAATACTCTTGAAAGTAGACATTTTAACAGAGACAAGATTTGTTTTGTTCCTAATCTTCACATTTTCCAAAATGACTGTGAACAAAGTATTTCACTGGACTCTGTACTTTGAAAATTAACCAAAACATAGTGTTATACCCAAAAGGAACTAGGCAGAGGAAGGACAGCGTGTTCCCAGTTGATATGTCCTTTGACCTCTGACCCCTGACCCGTTCTCTCTGCTCTCCAGAACCACATGCCCTGGGAAGAACCAGCAGGTGAGAAGCCCAGTTGCTCTCACAGTCAGAAGGCGTTCCACATGGAGCCTGCCCAGAAGCCCTGCTTCACCACTGACATGGTGACATGGGCCCTCCTCTGCATCTCTGCAGAGACTGTGCGTGGGGAGGCTCCTTCACAGCCTAGGGGCATCCCTCACCGCTCGCCCGTCAGTGTGGATGACCTGTGGCTGGAGAAGACACAGAGAAAGAAGTTGCAGAAGCAGGCCCACGTCGAAAGGAGGCTGCACATAGGGGCAGTGCACAAAGATGGAGTCAAGGTAAGCCACTCCCGGCCAGGAGTCCTCAGACTTGGTCTGGTATCCCCTTCTCTCTGCAGCTGCCTGTTGCTTCCTGAGCTTTTGCCTGACTCTCCTGAGATGTAACTTGTCACCCTGGGCCCCCTTGGATTACAGCATGCTGCCTGGGCCACACTCAGTACTGCAGTCGAGGGCCTGCAAGAGAGACACTTTGAGCAGTGCATTCCCCAGAGCCACAGAAGCCAGGGCCCCCTCTTCCTTCTCTGTAGTATGTCTCTGCCTGTGGCCAGCTCCATGCAAGGTAGTAGTGCAGAGAAGACTGCCATTTAATGAGTGCCTGCTGTGTGCCCGACATGATTAGACACTGCCCTAGCATTGGCTCTGCCACTCACAGAGGCACAGAACATTTCAATAAGACAATCTTAACCAAATTAACTAAAGTCATTATGTTGTCCATTCAATTTTGTCTCTAGGACACTTTGACAACATGATTTTTTGCATGAAACCGACAGCCTACTAAAAAGTAAATTAATGGTGTAGACATCATGCCATTTACCCAATCTCTGACAAGAGTTTCTTGTTTTTTCCCTTTATAAATAGCAATATTTAATATCAAGTGTTTGTGAAGTACACATCTCTGAGTCTCACCTCATCCTTGAAGACTCACTTTTTAAAACTGAGGTGAAATTCACATAATGTAGAATTAACCATGTTAAAGTGAAGAATTCATTGGCATTTAGTATATTCATTCACTATATTTTGCGACCACCACCTCTGTCCAGCTCCAAGGCATTTTCATCACCCCTAAAGGAAACCCTATTCCCCATTTCCCCTCCCCAGACCCTGGAAATACTCATCTGCTTCCTGTCTCTATGGGTCTTCCTATTCTGGATTTTTCATATAAATGTAATTACATGATACGTGACCTTTTGTGACTGGCGTTTTTCACTTAGCGTCGTGTTTTATCCATGTCATAGCACATATCAATACTTCATTTCTTTGTATGGCTAAGTAACATTTCGTTATGTGATTATACAGTACTTGTCTCACTTTGTTCATCCATACATCCATTCCTGAGTAGCTCTTCATCCATTTCTGAGTAGCTGGGATTACAGGTGCCTGCCACCATGCCCACCTAATTTTTGTATTTTTAGTAAAGATGGAGTTTCACCATGTTGGCCAGGCTGGTCTCGAACTCCTGGCCTCAAGTGATCCACTGGCCTTGGCCTCCCAAAGTGCTGGGATTACAGGCATGAGCCACCGCGCCTGGCCTGGAATCCTTTACATATTCTGAATGTAAGACCATTATAAGATATGTCATTTGCAAATATTTTCTCCCATCTGTAGAGTGCCTTTCACTTTTTTGATAGTACCCATTGATGCATAAGTACTTAATTTTGATGAAATCTACTTTATCTATTTTTTTTTGTTGCTTGTGCATTTGATGTCATACCTAAGAATCTATTGCCAAATCCAAGTAATGAAATTTACCTCTGTTTTTTTCTAAGAGTTTTATACCTTTCGCTTTTAAATTTAGGTCTTTGATCCATTTTGATTTAATTTTTGTATGGTATGAGATAGAGGTCCAATTTTAATATTTTCCATGCGGATATGTAGTTACCCAAACACCATGTGTTGAAGAGACTATTCTGTCCCTTACTGAATGGTCTTGGCATCCTTGTCAAAAACCAACTTACCCGCCAGGCGCAATGGCTCACATCTGTAATCCCAGCACTTGGGGAAGCCGAGGCGGTGGATCACTTAAGGCCAGAAGTTCGACGTCAGCCTGGACAACATGGTGAAACCCTGTTTCTACTAAAAATACAAAAATTAGCCAGTGTGGTAGCACGCACCTGTACTCCCAGCTACTCGGGAGGTTGAGGTGGGAGAATCACTTGAACCTGGGAGGCAGAGGTCACAGTGAGCCAAGACTGCACCACTGCACTCCAGCCTGGGTGACAGAGTGAGACCCTGTCTCAAAAAAAAAAAAAAAAGTCAAATTACCTTAGATGTGTGGGTGTATTTTTGACTCTCAATTCTATCCTATTAACTTATATGTCTGTCTTTATGTCAGTACCACATTGTTTTGATTATCATAGTTTTATAATAAGTTTTGAAATTGGAATGTGAGAGTCTTCTTTGTTCTTTTTCAAAATTGTTTTGGCTTTTTGTTGGACCTTGCAATTTCATATGAATCTTATAATTTCCAATTCTGCAAAAAAATAAAGGCCCTTGGGATTTCCATAGGATTGCATTCGATCTGTAGATCACTTGGGAGAGTAGTGCCATATTAATAATATTAAGTCTTCAAATCCATGAACACTGGGTGTCTTTCCGTTTTTGGGAGGTGTTCTTGAATTGCTTTCAGCAGTGTTTTGTAGTTTTCACTGTAAAAAGTCTTGCACATCCTTGGTTAAAATGTTTCCTAAGTATTTTGTTCTTTTTGATGACATCATAAATGGAAATTTTTAAAAGCTTCATTTTGGGATTATCCATTGCTAGAGCATAAAAATACAATTGATTTTTGTTTATTGATCCTATATCCTGAAACGTTGCTGAATTCATTTATTAGCTATAATAATATTTTTGTGGATTCTTTGGAAATTTCTATGTATAAGATTACATCATTTATAAAAATAGATTACTTTACTTCTTCCATTCCAGTTTAGATGCCTTTGATTTCTCTTTTATCCCTTACTTGCTCTGGGTAGAACTTACATAACAATGTTGAGCAGAAGTGGTGAAATGGGGTGTCGTTGTCTTCTTGGTTTTAGGATTAAAGCTTTCAGTCTTTCACTATTGTGTATGATGTTAGCTGTGTGTTTTTCACAAATGCCGTTTTATCATGTTAAGGAAGTTCGTTTCTATTTCTAGTGTTTTTATCATGAAAGGGTGCTGGATTTTTTAAGTGCATGATCAATTTTGATGACGGTTTTTCTGCATCAACTGAGATAATCATGCATGTTTTCTTTGACCTATTAATGTGGTATATTACATTGAATATGTATTCATCTGCAGTTTTCTTTTCTTGTGATGTTTTTCTCTGGCTTTGGTATCAGAGTGATTCTGGTCTTATAGAATGAGTTAGGAAGTGCTCTCTCCTCTTCTATTTTTTGAAAGCATTTGAGAAAGATTCTTCTTTAAATATCTTGTATAGTTCACCAGTGAAGCTTTCTGGTCCTGGGCTTTTCTTTGTTGTGGGGTTTCTGATTACTGATTCAATTCTTTTTTCTTTTCTTTTAGTGTCAGGTTGGTGAAAAAACAATTCTTTACTTGTCATAGACCTGTTAAGAGTTTATATTTCTTCTTGTTTTGTTTTGTTTTGAGATGGAGTCTCACTCTGTTACCCAGGCTAGAGTGCAGCAGCATGATCTTGACTCACTGCAACCTCCACCTCCTGGGTTCAGGTGATTCTCCTGCTTCAGCCTCCTGAGTACCTGGGACTCCAGGCATGCACTGCCATGCATGGTTAATTTTTGTATTTTTTGATAGAGACAGGGTTTCACCATGTTGGCCAGGCTGGTCTCGAACTCTTGACTTCAAGTGATCTGCCCGCCTCAGCCTCCCAAAGTGCTGGGATAACAGGCATGAGCCACTGTACCCGGCCAAAGTTTGTATTTCTTATTGAGTCATTTGGCTTGTGTTTTTCTTAAGAATTTCTCCATTTTATCTACATTATCTAATCTGTTGATATACAATTGTCCATAGTGTTTTCTTATAATCCTTTTAAATTTCTGTAACATCAGTAGTAATGCCTCCACTCTCATTTCTAATTTTAGTAATTTGTATTTTCTCTCTTTTTTTCCTCAGTGTAGCTAAATGCTTATCAATTTTATTAGTCTTTTCATAGAATCTGTTTTTGGTTGTCTTGATTTTCTCTATTATTTTTCTTATTTTTATCCCATTTTTAATTTTTTATCTATTTATTCATTTATTTATTTATTTAGAGACTGAGTTATGGGACTGGTATTTGGTATTTTTGGTAGAAACAGGGTTTCACCATGTTGCCCAGGCTGGTCTCCAACTCCTGGGCTCAAGTGGTTTGCCCACCTCAGCCTCCCAAAGTGCTGGGATTACAGGCATGAGCCACTGCACCTGGCCTCTATTGTTTTTCTATTACTATATTTAATGTGTCTCTACTTTCATCTTTATTATTTTCTTCCATCTATTAGCTTTGGGGTTAGTTTGTGCTTCTTTTTCTTGTTAAATTAGACTAAAAATGTAAAATTGGACTATTGATTTGAGAAATTCTTTTTTAATTTAGGCTTTTACAACTAGAAAGTTCCCTCTCAGCATAGCGTTCACTGCATCCATAAGCATTGATAGGTTGTGTTTTTGTTTTCATTCATCTCACAGTATTTTCTAATTTTGTGATTTCTTCTTTTCTTTCTTGTGAAATCTTATGATTTCTTCTTTGACTCACTGGCTGTTTAATATTGTATTAATTTCCATATATTTGTGAATTTTCCATTCTCCTATTGACATCTAGTGTCATTACATTGCAATCAGAAAAGATACTTCATATGAATTCAGTCTTTTAAAATTTACTGGCCAGGCATGGTGGCCATGCACGTAATCCCAGCACTTTGGGAGGCTAAGGCAGGTAGATCACTTGAGGTCAGGAGTTCGAGACCAGCCTGACCAACCTGGTGAAACCCAGTCTCTACTAAAATACAAAATCAGCTGGGCGTGGTGGTGCATGCCTATAATCCCAGCTACTGGGGAGGCTAAGGCAGGAGAATTGCTTGAAACCGGGAGGCAGAGGTTGCAGTGAGCCAAGATCATGCCATTGCATTCCAGCCTGGGCAACGAGAGTGAAACTCCACCTCAAAAAAAAAAATCTACTGAAACTTGTTTTCTGTAAAAGACTTATGGTCTTTTCTGGAGAATGTTCCATGTGTACTGGAGAAGAATGTGTATTCTGTTGTTGTTTGGTTTAGTGTTCTGTATATGTCTGTTAGTTTTAATTGGTTTATAGTATTATTCAAGACCTCTATTTCCTCACTGACCTTATGTCCGTTTATTATTGGAAGGGTGTTGAAGTCTCCAACTATTATTGCAGAACTATTTCTCACATGATTTCTGTCGATTTTTGTTGCTCAGTTTGTAGGTACGTATGTTTGTAATTGTTATATCTTCTTGATGAACTGACTTTTTAATCAATCTATAATGTATTTCTTTGTCTTTATAGCAGTTTTCAACTTAAAATCTATTTTGTCTGGTGCTGGTCTAGACATTCCAGCTCTCTTTTGGTTATTAGTTGCATGGGATAATTTTTCCATTCATTTTTGAAGTACAGTTTTCCCAGATATATAACTTCTGCTGAACCTTTTTTTTCTTTCCCTCTTTTTATATGTGTCATCCCACTGCCTCTGGCCTCCTTGGTTTCTGAGGAGAAATCAGCTGTTAATCTTATTCAGAATCCCTTGTACATGGTGAATTACTTCTCTATTGCTGATTTCAAGATTCACTTTTTGTCTTTGGCTTTCAGCTATTTTGTTCCAATGTGTCTCAGTGTAAGTCTTTATGTTTATCCATCATTGAGTTCACTGAGCTTCTTGGATGTGTAGATTCATGTACTTTACCAAATTTAGGAATTTTCCACAATTATTTCTTCAGAAGTCTTTCTGATCATTTTCTCTCTTTCTTTCTTTTTTTTTTCTTTTTTCTTTTTTTTTTTTTTTTTTTGAGATGGAGTTTCACTCTTGTTGCCCAGGCTGGAGCACGATGGTGCAATCTTGGCTCACCGCAACCACCACCTCCTAAGTTCAAGCAATTCTCCTGCCTCAGCCTCCCAAGTAGCTGGGATTACAGGCATGCACCACCAGGCCTGGCTAATTTTTTTTCTATTTTTAGTAGAGATGGGGTTTCTCCATGTTGGTCAGGCTGGTCTTGAACTTCTGACCTCAGGTGATCTTCCCCCCTCGGCCTCCCAAAGTGCTGGGATTACAGGTGTGAGCCACTGTGTCTGGGCTTTCTCTCTTTCTTTTGAGATTCCATTATAGGTATGTTGGTGTGCTTGATGGTGCCCTAGGTTCTGTTAATTTTCTTCATGCTTCTCAGGTTCTGTTAATTTTCTCCATGCTGCTTTCCTTCATATTGGAAAATCTCAATTGGCCATCTTCAAATCCACTGATTCTTTTTTCTGCCTACTCAGACATGTTACATTGAATTTTAATTATTGTACTTTTCAACTCCAGAACTTTTACCTGTTTTTTTAATACTTTCTCTTTATTGGTATTCCATTTGATGAGACATCATTCTTTTGGTTCCTTTAGTGGTTTTTGTTTCACTTAGCTCTTTAAGCATATTTAAAACAGTTGATTAGAGTCTTTGTCTAGTAAGAAGACCCTGTGCTTTCTCAGGGATGGTTCTTGTTCATTTCTTTTCTTTCCCTGAGTGGGCCATACTTTCTTGTGTCTTTGTATCATAATTTTTTTTTTTTTTTTGAGACAGAATGTCGCTCTGTCACCCAGACGGGAGTGCAGTGGTGCGATCTCGGCTCACTGCAAGCTCTGCCTCCCGGGTTCACACCATTCTCCTGCCTCAGCCTCACAAGTTGCTGGGACTACAGGCACTCGCCACCATGCCCGGCTAATTTTTTGTATTTTTAGTAGAGATGGGGTTTCACCGTGTTAGCCAGGATGGTCTCGATCTCCTGACCTCGTGATCTGGCCGCCTCGGCCTCCCAAAGTGCTGGGATTACAGGCATAAGCCACTGCACCCGGCCTTTGTATCATAATTTTTTGTTGAAAACTGGGCATCTTGAATATTATAATGTGGCAACAAAGTGGCTGCATGTATGTTGCTGACAGTATTCCGTGGCCTGGACCTACAACAACTTGTTTAATCATTCACCTATTCGAAGACATCTAGATTGTTTCCAGGTTTGGGCTATTATAAATAATATGTTTAATAACATATGTTTTCATTTCTCTAGGGTAAATGCCCAAGAGTACAATTGTTGGGTCATATGATAGTTGTCTGTTTAGTTTGATAAGAATCTTCCACATTATTTTCGAGAGGGCTGTACCATTTTACATTCCCACCAGTAATGTTTGCATGATCCAGCTTCTCAGCATTCTTATCAGCATTTGTTTTTTTGCTACTTTTAAATTTTTACCATAATAGTAATAGTGGTGTAGTGATAACTCATTTTGGAAATGGTTGGGTTCTAAGGCGCCATAATGTAGAAAATATTTTCGTGTGCATATTTGCCATTGGTACAACAGTTTAGGTGAAATGTCTTTTCTGTTCTTTTATCCACTTTCTAACTGGATAGCCTTTTCATTCTCTCCCCTCAAACAATTGAGAGGTAAGGCAAGGCATTTTTTTAATGTTGGTCTTTGAGAGACAGAGTGTATATGTGTCTGTGTATTATATATATTCATATTCCAGATATTAGTCCTTTGTTGAATTTGTGGTTTACAAACATTATCACCTAGTCTGTAGCTTGTTTTTTCATCTTCTTACCAGGGTCTTCACAGAACAAATTTTTAAATGTTGTTGAAGTCTACTTAATCAATTTTTTTCGTTTATGGATGTGCTTTTGGCATCATGTCTAAAAACTCTTCAGTGACCCCTAAGTCTCAAAGATTTTCTTCTGTTTTTTCTAAAGTTTCATCATTGTACTTTTCACATTTAAGTTTGTGATTGATTTCCAGTTAATTTTTTGACTTTCATTTTAGGTTCAGGGGTACATGGGCAGGTTTGTTATATAGGTAAATTGCGTGTTGCAAGGGTTTGGTGTACAGATTTTGTCACCAAGGTAATAAGTATAGTACTGGATGGGTAGTTTTTCAGTCCTCACCCTCCTCCTGCCCTCCACCCTCAAGTAGGCCTCAGAATCTGTTGTTGTCTTCTTTGTGTCCATATGTACTCAATGTTTAGCTCCCACTTATGAGTGAGAACATGTGGTATTTGGTTGTCTGTTCCTGTGTCAGTTTCCCTAGGATAATGGCCTCCAGTTGCAACCATGTTGCTGCAAAAGGAAATGATCTCATTCTTTCTTATGGCTGCATAAGTTGTGGGATTTAGGTGAAGTTTCTTTTCTTCTTTTCTTTTTTTCTTTTTTTGCCTGTGGATACTGTTGGACCACTTGTTGAAAAGAGTTATTATTCCTCACTGAATCACTTTTGCACCTTTGCCAGAAATCAGTTGGATATACTTATGCCTGTTTCTAGGCTCTCTGTTTGGTACTGTCGATCCATGTGTCTATGCTTCCACCAGTGCCACACTGTCTTGATCTTCAAAGCTATGTACTGAGCCTTCATGTTGATTAGATGGAGTCCTTCCACTATATTTCTTTTTTTTCAACATTGTTTTACACGTTCCATGGCTAGTTCCTTCCAATAATAAATATGAAAATAAGTTTGTCTTGTCTACAAATGCTTTGCTGAGAATCTGATGAGACTGCAGAAAACCTATAAATTAATTTATGGGAAACAGTCATCTTCATTATGTTTTGTCTCCCAACACAAGAATACAGGTATATCTTTTCATTTATTTAGGTTTTCTTTAACTTCTTTTGTCAGAATTTTGTAATTTTCTGCATACAGATCCTCTGCATTTTTAAAATGTATACTTTTGTATTTAATTTTCCTAGGAACTATTACAAATATTGTGTTTTAAATTTCATTTTCCACAAGTTGATTTTTAGTATATGGAAATGCGATTGATTTTTATGTGTTGATATTGTATCCTGTGACTCTGCTGAATTCATTTGTTAGTTCAAATGTAGTTGTTTTTTATAGATTACTGGAAACTATCTATGTAAGCAACCATATCACCTTAAAATGGGGGGCAGGGGGTATTTCTTCCTTTCTAGTGTGTATTCTTTTTATTTCTTTTCTTCCAGCCTCTGCCTACTGCCCAATTCCAAAGTCACTTCCAAATTTGTAGGTGTTTGTTATAGCTGTATCCCACTTCCAGGTACTAAGATTTGTATAGTAATTATACAACAATACAGGTGCTACAGTGATATCAACAAAATACTGTTAACAGAGAGGAGGAGGTGGGTAATTCTGTGTAGATGGAACATAAGGAAATATTTTGCATAAAAGGAGACACTTTCCTAAGAATGGATAAAGTTTCAGCAGGGAAGCGTAGTTCAAATAGAGGGGATAGCAACATCACTGCAACCTCTGCCTCCCAGGTTCGCGACATTCTCCTGCCTCAGCCTCCCGAATAGCTGGGACTACAGGTGCCTGCCACCATGCCCGACTAATTTTTTGTATTTTTAGTAGAGACGGGATTTCACCATGTTAGCCAGGATGGTCTCGATCTCCTGACCTCGGATGGTAGTATGAAAATTCATGGAGTAGGCCGGGCGCGGTGGCTCACGCTTGTAATCCCAGCACTTTGGGAGGCCGAGGCGGGTGGATCACGAGGTCAGGAGATCGAGACCACGGTGAAACCCCGTCTCTACTAAAAATAAAAAAAAAAATTAGCCGGGCGTGGTGGCGGGCGCCTGTAGTCCCAGCTACTCGGAGAGGCTGAGGCAGGAGAATGGCATGAACCCGGGAGGCAGAGCTTGCAGTGAGCCGAGACTGCGCCACTGCACTCTAGCCTGGGTGACAGAGCGAGACTCCGTCTCAAAAAAAAAAAAAAAAAGAAAAAAAAAAAGAAAATTCATGGAGTATCAGGGAAGTAGTGAGCAGGTGCCTGGTGGTAGAGAGATGGATGGCAAGAGTTGTTACAGTAGTCAGAAAACAGTATTCGAGGAACTCTGGGTTCCATGCCAATAGATCTTTACTTTATTCTATAAGCAGGAGGCAGCCTTTTATGATTTTTAACATAAAAATGGCATGATAAATTTGCTGTAGAACAAGAAGGGAAGACTTAGAGAATGTTTAAGTAACCCATATGAGAAATGACCTGAGAAAACGTTTTGTCAAACGGATATTCAGTTGGCCCTTAAACCATGCAGGGGTTAGGGGTACCAACCACCCACACAGCCGAAAATCCATTTATAATTTTTTTTTTTTTTGAGATGGAGTCTTGCTCTGTTCCCCAGGCTGGAGTGCAGTGGCGTGATCTCAGCCCACTTCAACCTCCACCTCCTGGGTTCAAGCAATTCTGCCTCAGCCTCCCGAGTAGCTAGGATTACGGGTGCATGCCACCACGCCTGGCTAATTTTTGTATTTTTAGTAGAGACAGGATTTTACCATGTTCGCCAGGCTGGTCTCAAACTCCTGAGCTCAGGTGATCTGCCTGCCTCGGCCTCCAAAAGTTCTAGGATTACAGGTGTGAGCCACCATACTCAGCTCCATGTATAATTTTTGTCTCCTGAAAAATTTAACTATTAATAGCCTACTGTTGACCAGAAGCCTTGTTGATAATATAAACAGTCTAACACTTATTTTGTATGTTGTAAGATATTATAAGTAGTATATATAGTATTGTTGCAATAAAGTAAGCCAGAGAAAGAGAAAATGTTAAGAAAATCAGAGGGAAGAGAAAATATATTTACTATTTACTCACTGGAAGCGGGTTGTCATAAAGGTCTTCATCCTCATCATCTTCACATTCCATAGGCTAAGGAGGAGGAAGGAGAGGAGCAGTTGGTCTTGTCTCAGAAGTGGCAGAAGTGGAAGAAAATCCATGTATAAGTAAACCCGTGCAGTTCAAACCCATGTTGTTCAAGAGTCAACTGTAGTCACAAGCTTAAGTGACTATTTAAAAAAATAAAATGTAATGTGGCCTGCATGAATATGTGTACAGGGTCCAGTTTCCCTTTAAGCAGGATTAAAGTAGATTTTGAGAGGATTCCAAGCCTAAGATTCTTTGATTGTAAAAGGTTTGGAGGCCTAGAGATAATTCCTGATAATTTAATAGAAAATAGAGATTATATACTAGTTGAGTATATTTGACTAGTTGAGTCAAATATGGTTTGGTAGTTTTTTTTTTCTTTTTTCTTTTTTTTTTTTTTTGAGACGGAGTCTTGCTTTGTCACTCAGGCTGGAGTGCAGTGGTGTGATACCAGCTCATTGCAACCTCCTCCTCCCGGGTTCATGCCATTCTCCTGCCTCAGCCTCCTGAGTAGCTGGGACTACAGGAACCCGCCACCACGCCCGGCTAATTTTTTGTATTTTTAGTAGAGACAGGGTTTCACCGTGTTAGCCAGGATGGTCTCGATCTCCTGACCTCGTGATCCACCCACCTCAGCCTCCCAAAGTGCTGGGATTACAGGCATGAGCCACCACGCCTGGCTGGTTTGGTAGTTTCTACTAGTTTCAACTACTCAGATATACATAAATCATATTTTTGTGTAAACACAAAAAGATCAACTGCAGGTATAATTCTGAAAAAAGTATGAAAAGAAGCAAGTAATAATATGGTGTAACATACAAGGGTTAGAACAGCAGGAATAATAACGCATACGTTGAGTGAATCAGAGCACTAGATCACTGTTTTCAAAGCAGTCACTGGAACTATGGTGCAGTTTTTATTTTGGAAGTGTGTTAATTTCTAAATAGATTAGGATTTCGTTTTTAAGAAAAATAATAGAATTACCTTTCTATTACTGATTTATAGTTTAATTCCATTGTGATAGAGAAACATACTTTGTATGATTTCATACTTTCAAACTTTTTTAAAATTTCATTATTATGATTATCACCAAGGATATAGCCTCTCTTGGTGAATGTTCCATGTGCACTTGAAAATAATGGGTATTCTGCTATTGTTGGATGGCTATTCTACAAATGTCAATTAGTTCCAGTTGGTTGATGGTGTTGCTCACTTTGTCTATTACCTTGTTTTTGTTTATTACCTTGTTTTTGTCTATTTCTTCTATTGATTACTGTGATAAAAGTGCTGAAGTTTCCAATCAGAAATGAATCATTGCAAATTTTCCATTTTTCCTTTAAATTTTTGCTTCATATATTTTGAATGTCTGTGGTTAGATGCATGGACATCTAGGATTATATGTCTTTTTGGTGAATTCACTCTTATGATGTTATGTTCTTCTGTGTCCTTGGTAATTTTCCTTGCTCTGAAATTGGTTTTGTCTGATATTAATATAGCCATTCACATTTTCTTTTTGATTAGTACTTGTGTGGCATCGTTTTTCACCCTTTTACTTTCTACCTGCCTTTATCATTATTTTGAAAGTAGGTTTCTTGTAGATAACATATTGTTAGATGTTCTTTCCTTAATTATTTTAATATTTGTTTTTCTGATTATGTGCTTTGAGTATTCAAACTTAATGTATTTATTGATGGTTTGGATTTAGGTTTACCATGTTATCATTCATTTTCTGTTCTCTGATTTGCATTGCTCTGTTTCCTTTTGGATTATTTGGGTATTTTTTAGTTCTCCATTTTAACTTAGTTATTGAGCTTTTAAATATATTTCTTTGTATAGGTTTTTTTAGTAACTCTAGGAATTAACATACATTCTTAACATTTCCGTCTAGTTAGAATTAGTATTTTCCCACTTCGAGTGGAAGGAATGTAGACATCTTCCATCCCATAGGTTCCTTTAACCTCCTCCTTTATGTTGTTGTTGTCATGTATATTAAATCTGCATACATTGAAAACTGCATTAGATAATATTATAATTTTGTGTTTAACTGTCAAATATTTTTTAAAACTTAAGAGGAGAAAAATGGTGTGTTATATTTACCCAGCTATTTATTATTTCTGTTGCTCTTCCTTCATTTCTGAAGTTCAAAGTTTCCCTCTGGTATCATTTTCCTTTTGTATAAAGATCTTCCTTTAACATTGCTTTAGAATAGGTATACTGGCTATGACTTCTCTTAGTTTTTCTCCATGTGATAATGTTCTTATTTTACCTTCATTCCTGAACATACTTTTGCTGGATATAGATTTTTGGGTTGACAGTGATTTAGCACTTTACAAATATTATTCCACTTCTTTCTGGCCTCCATGAAAAATCTGCAGTCATGCAAATGAATGTTCCCCTCTGTGTGATCTGTTGTGGTTTCTGGCTGCTTTAAGATTTTTTTCATTGTCTCTAATTTTCAGCAGTTTATGATGTCTCTAGGCATTGATTTCCTTGGATTTTTCAGCTTGCAGTTTGCTGGGCTCTTGTGTCTGTAAGTTAATGTTTTGAATCATATTTGGGATGTTTTCAGAAATTATTCTTGATATTGTTCTGCACTGCACTCCCTTCTCCTTCTGGAACTCTGATTGACAGAGTATTAGACCTTTGTTGTTGTCACACAGGTCCCTAAAGTTCTATTGGGATTTTTTCCCCCCAACCTTTTCTCTCTGTTCTTCAATTGGATAATTTCTGTTGAGCTGTTTACATGCTTACTGATTCTTTCCTTTTTCATCTCATTTTATAATTGTACTCTGCCACTGGATTTTATTTTAGTTATTTTATATTTTTCATTACTAACATCTCCACTTTATTTTTTATCTATTTATCTGCTATTATTTTTCATTTATGTCAAAAGTGTTCACCCTTACTTCTTAGAGCATGGTGATATAAGAGCTGCTTTAAAGTCTTTTTCTGATAATTCCAACAACTGTGTCTTCTTGGTGTTGCCATTGTTGACTATCTTTTCCCTTAAAAGTTATTGAGATCTCATAGTTCTTTGTGTGTCAGGTAATTTTCGATTGTATTCTGGGCATCTTAAATGTTATGTTATGAGACTCTGGGCCTTGTTTAGTTCCTATGGATAATAATGATTATTAAATTTTTTAAGCAGTTGACCCAGTTAAGTTCAGGCTGCAAGCTCTTACTGGCCTTCAGGGGCTGTTTCTTATGTCAGTTTGTCAGTTCAGGTTTTAAGATGTTTGCAGTGCCACTTGGATAATGTGGATCACCCAGTGGCCCCTGTGGGACCTGAAATATGTTCTACCCCATGGTTCAGTTCCCAAAAGACTCTTATATGCTGTTCAGGGTCAGATCCACTCATACAGCTTGGGGGTAAGTGCGGGAACTCATACACAACATTATGGGATCTTCTGCTTGAGACCCCTCCTCTTGGCATTCTCCCAGGCACTTCCTGGTGTCTAGGAGCCCTCCTTTCCTAGTTTTCTTGATGGAAAGCTGGGGCTTTCATTTTCCCTCTGCCATACACTTCCTGCAACTGTGTCTGCCTCTGAAACCAAGTGGCAGGGAGACAGAGATAGAAAAAAGAAACAAGGATTCTCTCCCATGCCCTTGGGACCACAGTTCCTCTGGTCAGAGAGGATTCCTGTCCCTCAGAATTTTAGATGTCTGCACGACCACCACTGCCATTACCATAATGAGGTTGCCTAGGGGAATAGGGTGGGAGAAATCATCACTCAAATACACATCCCTCATTCCCTCATACCCTTAAGGACCCTTTTCCCTCTCTTCAGATCTGAGAGGGCTTCTTTTGGAGTCCTTTATGTCCATGCCCAGTTTCAAGCTGGTATTGAGTTCAGACCAGGGCACACCACAGGAACAACAAAACAAGAAACTCACCACAGGATCAGTGTTACTTCGAATTCTGGTTTCCTTCCCCAGTCTACCTGCTGCTGTTTCCCTCTAGAGTCCTCAAACGGCTGATCTATACACTCTCCCCAAGGTTTTTAGTTGTGTTCAAATGGATGGGGTGAAGTGTGCAACTCCGTCTTTATCATTGTTTGTATATTGATGTTTCTGGAAATCACTAAAAGAATTTTCTAAGCACTGTTTGCTTAATAGTATGAGGAATAAAAAAGCAAAAAGTAAGGGAAGAAGCATTTATTTGAATACATACCACAATTTTTAAGTTAATACAATAACTTCATAAGGTAGAAAAAAATCAAGAGGGGCCAGGTTTATCTCTGGACAATGGGATGATACAGAAAAGGCTTATATCCCTGGTCATCCCAAAGCCACAGCCAACAGTGGTCCTTACTGTCTGAAGGGCAGTGTCTGCTTCATAATTAGGAGATGTCACGGATTTCGTGAGTTGTGTTTTAATGAAGCATTCCAAAAAGACTATGCCTTAGCTAAAACTAATAGTCTTGCTTTCGGGGAGATATCAGGCTGTGTGGCTCACCAGCTTGGGGAGAGTTGGGAGTCTGAAGACCTTCTCCACAGTCCTGACTTCATCCATGGAATGACAGCCTATCCATGTGGCCAGATAGGTTGCCCACTGCAGACTCCAGGTGAAGTTTTTCTTGTGAGTTTTGATGTGAAAGGCATCCCCTGGAGCTGTGCATATTTTGGTTGTGTGCTCTGTTCACAATGAAAAGTCCTCAGCAATTAGAAAGACTGCAGGGTGGCAATGACAGCCTGTCATTTCTTTTCTTCATTTGCCCTCTGTCTCTTTCCTCCTCTTCCAGTGCTGGAGAAAGACGATCATTACCTCTCCAGAGTCTTTGAATCTCCCTAGAAGAAGCCATCCACTCTCCCAGAGTGCTCCAACGGGACTGAACCACATGGGCTGGCCAGAGCACACACCAGGCACTGGTGAGTTACGCGCCTCTCTCTTTTGCTATGTACTCTGGATCCTGGCATGAAGGACAAGAAGCTAGTGCTGTTGGCAGCTGTATCCACTTGCCTGGTAGAAGTAGCTTGAAGGTGAGAGAGATAAACAATTGTCCTCTTCCTTCAGTTAGGGAGGAGTGCCTACTACCCAAAGAAAGGGAATTATTGGCTGGGCACAGTGGCTCATGCCTGTAATCCCAGCACTTTGAGAGGCTGAAGCAGGCGGATCACTTGAGGTCAGGAGCTCAAGACCAGCCTGGGCAACATGGTGAAACCCCATCTCTACTAAAAATACAGGCCGGGTGCGGTGGCTCATGCTATAATCCCAGCACTTTGGGAGGCCAAGGTGGGCGGATCATATGAGGTCGGGAGTTCGAGACCAGCCTGACCAGCATGGAGAAACCCCATCTCTACTAAAAATACAAAATTAGCTGGGCATGGTGGCACATGCCTGTAATCTCAGCTACTCGGGAGGCTGAGGCAGGAGAATTGCTTGAACCTGGGAGTCAGAGGTTGCGGTGAGCCAAGATCACGCCATTGCACTCCAGCCTGGGCAATAAGAGCAAAACTCCGTCTCAAAAAAAAAAAAAATTATCTCCATATGGTGGTGCATGCCTGTAATCTCAGCTACTCAGAGGGATGAGGCAGGAGAATCACTTGAATCTGAGAGGCAGAGGTTGTAGTGAGCTGAGATTGTGCCACTGCATTCCACCCTGGGCGACAGAGTGATACTCCGTCTCAAGAAAAAATAAAAAAAGGAATTCCTAGAGTCCCCCAGCTTGGCTCCATTAGTTAATTTTGAGCAGAACTACTGACTGTCCCTTCGTCTCGTAGTAGGATGTATAACTTCCAGGAGACAGAATCATGTAGGGAGCTGTCTCTAATCAGCTGATGGAACTTGGGTGTTTTCCGTTCTGAGGAATAATGGCCTCTTCCTTGAGTTTTATGGCAGCCTGTATGAGTCCTTTCTCCAAACTATAGCAAATAGCATCACATCACATATCTGTCCATAAAAGGCCTGGCTTTCTGTGTTAGAAGGGAATTGGGCCGCAGGTGAGAGCCAGGATGGGGCCTCTTTATGTAGAACAACCACCTTCCTCACACCCAACCCAGCAGGGCTGGACACGCTAAGTGAGGCTCAAGGCAGATCTGTCTTCTGGTGGAAGGACAGATGTGGGGTCTCAGGTCTTGAGCAGGTGCAGATTGTGTTAGGTGGTGACCTTACAGTCTAAAAGCTCATGGCTGCTGGAGGGAGGGGCCAAATCTGGTGTTGAAGAAAGATGAACAAGGGTAAAGCCCTAAGAGTTAGAAAAACAAAACAGCCACACCTGTCAAATGCGTGCTTTGTCCAGGCTTGGGAGGAGCGAGCTGGCAGTGGAGGCTGTTGGTAGTCAGGTCCTGTCGGTGCCGAAGACCCATAGAAAGCCAGTGTGGTGAGGCAGAGGATGACGGTGCATGATGGTTGGCCCTGAATGCTGGAGTTTGGCATGTGCCTTGCTAAGGAATCAGCTCTGATGCAGACTCTGAGTTGAGCTCTGAATCTGACTCAGCACATTCGAGGTGCTGGTCCTGAGGGAGCTGGCTGCTCAGATTAGCTGGTGGATGTGGTGGTTGTCCATCAGCAGATGGATGTATTTAGGCTGCACTGTGAAGTGGAGTTTTATTCTTTCCCACATAAAGTTGTGATCTTAAACTCACAAGCAAAGTTATGAAAAGGTGTTTGACAAGTGTTGAAGAAACTTTCCCAATTTCTTGCATGAGCCCTTCATTAAGTCATAGAGTTATTTAGAGTCTTGTGGAAGGGACAGTAACCAGGGAGAGGAATCTTTCCAGAGAGAATCCTCAAAGCTGATTTTGGCCTTTCAAGTCAGTACCTCCTTACAATTCAGAGCTTCATAATCATATTTTCCTATTATTTCAGTGTCACTTGAAATAATTGGCAGATGAGTTCATTGCAGAGGAAATTTTAAAACCTTCATGCCACCAGTGACATCCAGCATGTATGCATACCAAGGGCAATGCTCTGGAAGTCAGAGGTCAGGGCTCTAGCCACACTTCACCCTAGGGTGAGAAATTGGGCACATCCCTCCATTTCCCTATATGTCAGGTTCCTTTTTTCTTTTTTTCTCAGAAATTCTGCAAGAAAGTAATCAGATTCCTTTTTCTTCAAAAAAGGAGTGAAAGCTCCTGTTTTCCTATTTTGTAAGGATAATGGGAGAGACTAGCCTGGACTATCCTGGAGTTTAGCTTAGGAAAGCTTTCTTTTCTTTTCTTAATTACTGCTTCCACTTCCAACTGATCTGTTCCTGACTTTGTAGAATTTCTACTTTGTAGAGATTATATTTCTAGTTTCTATCCCTGGAATCTGTCATCATTCTCATTTGAATTCTCATTCAAATTTGATCCATTTTCTGCCCAGTTCTGGGAGAATTTCTGTTTCATCTTCTGCTTTGTTTTCCTGTTTTGTTTTGTTTTTTTCTCACCTGTGTTCACTGCCTTCACTGGCAGTTTGTGATGCAGTGATCATGTTTTTAATCTGCAACAATCTTTCCAATGTCCTTTTGAAGCCATTAAGAACAGAAAATTGGGATTTTTGTAAAATTTTCTTGTTATTTCCAAATTTCAGTTCATTTCCAAATTCATCTGCTCTTCTTTCGAGGTTTTCTGTTTGTTTGTTTGTTTTTTATTTACTTTATTTTATTTATTTATTTATTTTTTGAGACGGAGTCTCGCTCTGTCACCCAAGCTGGAGTGCAGTGGTGCGATCTCGGCTCACTGCAAACTCCACCTCCTGGGTTCACGCCATTCTCCTGCCTCAGCCTCCCAAGTAGCTGGGACTACAGGGGCCCGCCACCACGCCTGGCTAATTTTTTCTATTTTTTAGTAGAGACAGGGTTTCACTGTGATAGCCAGGGTGGTCTCGATCTCCTGACCTCGTGATCCGCCTGTCTTGGCCTCCCAAAGTGCTGGGATTACAGGCATGAGCCACCATGCCCGGCCTGTTTGTTTTTCGATGGGGTCTCGCTCTGTCGCCCAGGCTGCAGTGCAGTGGTGCGATCGATCTCGGCTCACTGCAGCCTCCACTTCCTGGGTTCAAGCAATTCTCCTGCCTCAGCCCCCAAGTAGCTGGGGTTACAGGTCCCCACCACCATGCCCAGCTAATTGTTGTATTTTTAGTAGAGACAGGGTTTTGCCATGTTGGCCAGGCTGGTCTCGAACTCCTGACCTCAGGTGATCTGTTTGCCTCAGTTTCCCAAAGTGCTGGAATTACAGGCGTGAGCCACCACACATGGCCTCTTTTGAGGCTTTTTATTAATAGGTGAAATTTCTTTATTTGCTCGTCTGTGAGGACAGCAGTCTTCCCCCAGCAGTGGTGTGTTGTTAAGTAGCACTGGAAGTGACGTTCTTTCAGAGATTGTTATGGGTTCCTGTTAACATCCTTCAAACACAGCTGAAGGAGGATGAGGAAGGCAAGGCTTTCTTGTGATGAATGCCATGAGTCAGCGCCTAGAGGCTTGTGGGGAGCTGTCAGTAGTCCTGGCAGGGAGCTCCTCCCCCTCACTAGAATTTCTTCTCCACGTTTGGAAGGGTGGCCAAGAATCAGCCTGATGTGGGAGCAGGCCACCTCTCCCTGGCAAATCGGTGTCCAAGATAAACCCCCACCACACCCGCCCCTCTCTCAGTGGAGCTGGCAGGGCCAGGTACATCTCTGAGAGTCCCTGATGCCTCCAGAGTTCGTGCCTGTGGCTTTGGAAGGGTTGGCTGGGTTTTACCAGGACTACCTGGTAGTATGGTTATTTCACAAGCTGTAGGTCACCTCTTTCTTCAAACCACTTTGTTGTATCTTGTGGCTAACACCCTTCATCAGTCTCTAGTTACTAGTAAAGGATGCTTTCTATTTTTTAAACAGCTTTGTTGAGCTATAGTCATATACAGTTCGGTGGCAGGATATTCACAGATACGTGCGGTCATCACCAGTCCATTTTAGAACATTGTCAGCACCTCATAAGAAGCTCTGTACCTTTAGCTATTACCCCCCACCACCACCCGAAGGAACCACTTATCTACTTCCTGTCTCTGTAAATTCCCTACCCTGGATTTGCCTATGGATGGAATCATGTAGGAACTGGTTTTGTGACTGGCTTCTCTCACTTATAATAATGTTTTCAAGGTTCTTCCACATGTCACATGTACTTCAGTACTTCATTTCTTTCTTTGGCCAAATAATATTCCATTGTATGGATACACCACAGTTTGCTTATTTATTCATCCACTGATGAGCAATTGGATTACTTCTACTACCTTGCACTTCAGTGCTAGGGAGATGGCTTCTGTCCTTAAATCTCAGGAACCAACCTCTGCTAGGTTTAGACTTTTCTTTTACAGCTTCCTCACTTCTCTCAGCCTTCATACAATTGGAAAAAGTTAAGGCCTTGCTCTGGATTAGGCCTTAGCTTAAAGGAGTGTTGTGGCTGATTTGATCTTCTATCTAGACCACTAAAACTTTCTTCCTATTGCAATCAGGCTGTTTCACTTTCTTATTCATGTGCTAACTGGAGTAGCACTTTTCATTTCCTACAAGAACTGCTCCTTCACTTTCAGAACTTGGCTGTTTGGCTTGAGAGGCCTAGCTTCTGGGCCATCTTGGCTTTGACATGCCTTCCTTACTAAGCTGAATCATTTCTAGCTTTTGATTTAAAGTTAGAGATATGTGACTCTTCCTTTCACTTGAAAACTTAAAGGCCATTACTGGGTTATTAATTGGCCTAATTTCCATATTGTGTCTCATGAATAGGGAAGCCCAAGGAGAGGGAGAGAGACAGAGGAATGGATGGTCGGTGGAGCAGTTGGAACACACAACATTTATTGATTAAATTTGCCATCTTCTATGGGCACAGTTCATGGCATGTCTTCACTTCTTGTTTTCCCTGTCTCATCTTTTTATTGTTCTATTCCTTCTTTACTGTTTTCTTTTTCACTGAGTGAATATTTTCTAATGTAGTATTTTAATTTTATTAATGATTCTTTCACTGTATTTTTTGAGATTTGTTTTTAATGGTAGCTTTAGCGTTTCATGTATATATATATAACTTACCAGCATCAACTTCAGATTTATACTAGCTTAATTCCAGTAATATATAGAACTATTACTCCTTTATAGCTCTATTCCCTTCCCCCTTTTTGTGTGGTATGATTGTTATGCATATTATACTTATCAATGTTATAAAGCCAGCAGCACATTAGTAAAATGATTACTCTACCATGTGTCACCATTTTCTTAGCCTATTACAGCTTTTCTCTCATCTACCTCCTTTATGCTGTTATTGACATATATTACATTTCTATATTATATGCTCAATAATACATTATATACATTATTTTATACAGTTGCATGTTAAGAGAAGAAAGGAGAAAATAAGAATAGTGTTTTTTATAATTACATCATTACCTTTTCTAGTACTCTTTTTGTATTCATGTGGATTTACATTATCATCTGGGGTCACTTGCTTTCAGTCTAAAGAATGCCCTTTAGTATTTCTTATAAGTTAGGTCTACTAGCAACAAATTTTCTCAGTTTTGTTTATCTGGGAAAATCCTTATTTAGTCTTCATTTTTGAAAGGTTAGCTTTCTGCATAAAGGATTCTTAGTTGCCAAGATTTCTTTTTTAAAAAAAATCTTTTTAGCAGGCCTTTGACAGAATTCAACAGCCCTTCATGCTAAAAACTCTCAATAAACTAGGTATTGATGGAACGTATCACAAAATAATAAGAGCTATTTATGACAAACCCACAGCCAATATCATACTGAATGGGCAAAAACTGGAAGCATTCCCTTTGACAACTGGCACAAGATAGGGATGCCCTATCTCGCCACTCCTATTCAACATAGTGTTGGAAGTTCTGGCCAGGGCAATCAGGCAAGAGAAAGCAATAAAGGATATTCAGTTAAGAAAAGAGAAAGTCAAATTGTCCCTGTTTGCAAATGACATGATTGTATATTTAGAAAACCCCATCGTTTCAGCCCAAAATCTCCTTAAGCTGATAAGCAACTTCAGCAAAGTCTCAGGGTACAAAATCAATGTGCAAAAATCACAAGCATTCCTATACACTAATAACAGACAGCCAAATCATGAGTGAACTCCCATTCACAATTGTTACAAAGAGAATAAAATACCTAGGAATCCAACTTACAAGGGATGTGAAGGACCTCTTCAAGGAGAACTACAAACCACTGCTCAATGAAATAAAAGAGGATACAAACAAATGGAAGAACATTCCATGCTCATGGATAGGAAGAATCAATATCATGAAAATGGCCATACTGCCCAAGATAATTTATAGATTCAATGCCATCCCCATCAAGCTACCAATGACTTTCTTCACAGAATTGGAAAAAATTACTTTAAAGTTCATATGGAATCAAAAAAAAAGCCCGCATTGCCAAGACAATCCTAAGCAAAAAGAACAAAACTGGAGGCATCATGCTACCTGACTTCAAAGTATACTACAAGTCTACAGTAACCAAAACAGCATGGTACTGGTACCAAAACAGAGATATAGACCAATGGAACAGAACAGAGGCCTCAGAAATAACACCACACATCTACAACCATCTGATCTTTGACAAACCTGACAAAAACAAGAAATGGGGAAAGGATTCCCTATTTAATAAATGGTGTTGGGAAAACTGGCTAGCCATATGTAGAAAGCTGAAACTGGATCCTTTCCTTGCACCTTATACAATAATTAATTCAAGGTGGATTAAAACTTAAATGTTAGACCTAAAATCGTAAAAGCCCTAGAAGAAAACCTAAGCAATACCATTCAGGACATAGGCATGGGCGAGGACTTCATGACTAAAACACCAAAAGTAATGGCAACAAAAGCCAAAATAGACAAATGGGATCTAATTAAACTAAAGAGCTTCTGCACAGCAAAAGAAACTACCATTAGAGTGAACAGACAACCTACAGAATGGGAGAAAATTTTTGCAATCTACCCATCTGACAAAGGGCTAACATCCAGAATCTGCAAAGAACTTAAACAAATTTACAAGAAAAAAACAACCCTGTCAAAAAGTGGGCAAAGGATATGAACAGACACTTCTCAAAAGAAGACATTTATGCAGCCAACAGACACATGAAAAAATGTTCATCATCACTGGTCATCAGAGAAATGCAAATCAAAACCACAATGAGATACCATCTCACACCAGTTAGAATGGCAATCATTAAAAAGTCAGGAAACAACAGGTGTTGGAGAGAATGTGGAGAAATAGGAATGCTCTTACACTGTTGGTGGGAGTGTAAACTAGTTCAACCATTGTGGAAGACAGTGTGACGATTCCTCAAGGATCTAGAACTAGAAATACCATTTGACCCAGCCATCCCATTACTGGGTATGTACCCAAAGGATTATAAATCATGCTGCTATAAAGACACGTGCACATGTATGTTTATTGCAGCACTGTTCACAATAGCAAAGACTTGGAACCGACCCAAATGTCTGTCAGTAATAGACTGGATTAAGAAAATGTGGCATATATACACCGTGGAATACTATGGAGCCATAAAAAAGGATGAGTTCCTGTCCTTTGCAGGGTCATGGATGAAGCTGGAAACCATCATTCTGAGCAAACTATCACAAGAACAGAAAACCAAACACTGCATGTTCTCACTCATAGGTGGGAAGTGAACAATGAGAACACTTGGACACAGGGCGGGGAACATCACACAGGGAGGCTTGCCATGGGGTGGCAGGGGGAGGGATAGCATTAGGAGAAATACCTAATGTAAATGATGAGTTAATGGGTGCAGCACACCAATGTGGCACATGTATACATATGTAACAAACCTGCACGTTGTGCACATGTACCTTAGAACTTAAAGTATAATTAAAAAAATAATAACAAATATTAAAAAATCCTTTTAGCACATTTAACACACTATCCCACTGTCTTCTGGCTTCTGGAGTTTCTGCTAAGAAATCAATTGTTAATCATATTGAAGAAGGCTTGATGAGTTATATGTTGTTTGCTGCTATTCTCTTTTAGGATATTCCCCCTTGTCTTTTACTTTCAGCATTTTTACTATGATGTGTCTGTCTGTGGATCTCTGGAATTATTTTACTTGGAAATAACTGAGTTTCCTGGGTGTGTAGGTTATTGTTTTTCAATAAATTTGGAAAGTTTTCAGCCATTATTTCTTTGAATATTTTCCCCTTCCCCTTTTTCTCTCTCTTTCTGATATTCCCATTACACATATGTTGGTGCACTTAATAGTGTCCTACACTTCTCTGAGGCTTTGTTCATTTTTTTTTCATGGTTTTCCCTTTGTTCTTTGGCTTATGTAATTTCTATTGATCTATCTTCAAGTTTGCTAATTATTTCTTCCATCTATTCAAACCAGCTGTTGAGCCCTTCTAGTGAACTTTTTATTTCAGTTATTGTACTTTTCAACTCCAGAATTTCCTTTTTTAAAAGATTTGAATGCGTTCATTGATATTCTCTGTTTGGTGAGACACTGTCATCACATCTTTTGTCTTTTAATCATGTTTCCTTTAGTTCTGTGAACATGTTTATAATTACTACCTTGGACTTGATAAATCTGATATGTAGTCATTCTCACAGGCAGTTTCTATTGCCAGCTTTTTTCCCCATTGTATGGGTCAAACTTTCCTGTTCCTTTGCATATGTCATAATTTTTGGTTGGAAACTGGGCATTTTAGATAATATTATAGCCACTCTGAGAACCGCTCCCCCACTAGATTTGCTATTATTATTTGCTTATTTATTAACTACATGAACTGTTTTATTTTAGTGAAGTCTATTTCCCTTCCCGTGGGGTTAAGCTTCTGATGTTGCTCCTAAAGGAGATACAGCACTGGGTATGCCCACAGTCACCCATGGATGGCAGTGGCTTTACTAGGGCTCTCTTCTATATTTCTCTGACCACACCACACTGTTAAGCTCCACTCATTGGTTGCTGATTGCTCTGTTATTTTCAATATTGTCCTGGGGCATAAATTGCTTTACAAGCTATCAAATGCTGGCACACCTCAGAAAGGATCACTTTCTGAGGTCAGTGTTTGGTATTTCTTCTGATCCTAGAAGGGCTCCTCCCAGCTACCTTATTCTCTGTTCTCTCATGCAAACTAGTGGGGTTACAGTCCAGGCTATATGTCCATTAGAGCCACAGATTTCCTCTTAATTCCTTCACTGCAACCTCCACTGTTCTTGAAAGCACCTTTAGGTTGCAGCTTCTCCATGCTCTGTTACAAACTGAGCCCAGTTCCTTTAGGAAGAGATCAGGAGCTATCTGTTTTACAACCTGCTTCCCCCAGGCAAAATCTTTGAGCCAGAGCTCAAGCTCTGTGGAGCCCTTGGGGAGGGAGAGCAGTAGCCTAATGTCCTCTCAGCTTGCCTCTCCTGGCATGGAACCACCACCTTAGAAGCAGGGGTAGTTTCTTTTGCTATCAGTCTGCCCCTACTGGGGGGTACCTCAAAGGATATGAACAGACACTTCTCAAAAGAAGACATTTATGCAGCCAAAAGACACATGAAAAAATGCTCATCATCACTGGCCATCAGAGAAATGCAAATCAAAACCACAATGAGATACCATCTCACACCAGTTAGAATGGCAATCATTAAATAGTCAGGAAACAACAGGTGCTGGAGAGGATGTGGAGAAATAGGAACACTTTTACACTGTTGGTGGGACTGTAAACTAGTTCAACCATTGTGGAAGTCAGTGTGGCGACTCCTCAGGGATCTAGAACTAGAAATACCATTTGACCCAGCCATCCCATTACTGGGTATACACCCAAAGGACTATAAATCATGCTGCTATAAAGACACATGCACACGTATGTTTATTGCGGCACTATTCACAATAGCAAAGACTTGGAACCAACCCAAATGTCCAACAATGATAGACTGGATTAAGAAAATGTGGCACATATACACCATGGAATACTATGCAGCCATAAAAAATGATGAGTTCATGTCCTTTGTAGGGACGTGGATGAAATTGGAAATCATCATTCTCAGTAAACTATCACAAGGACAAAAAACCAAACACCACGTTCTCACTCATAGATGGAAATTGAACAATGAGAACACATGGACACAGGAAGGGGAACATCACACTCAGGGGACTGTCGTGGGGTGGGGGGAGGGGGGAGGGATAGCATTAGGAGATAGACCTAATGCCAAATCACGAGTCTGCAGCACACCAGCATGGCACATGTATACATATGGAACTAACCTGCACATTGTGCACATGTACCCTAAAACTTAAAGTATAATTTTAAAAAAAGCCAATAAATAAATAAATATATAAATACATAAAAAATAAAGTGTTGTACCCTAAGAAAAAAGTTAAACCAAAAATAGATAAGCCTTTTCAGGGATTACAGGCTCTTCTCAATTCCTTTACATACCATAAAACTTACCCTTTTAAAGTGTGCAATTTAATAGTTTTTTGTTTTTTACATTTTAAAGGATTGTTAACAAATAAAATAAAATAAAAAGACTAATTCTTCACAAACTCTTCCAAAAAGTAGAAGAGGAGGGAACACTTCCCAACTCATTCTTTTTTTTTTTTGTATGTCATTACAATGGAATTCAGTTCAGCAATTAAAGGAATAAACTTCTGATACATGCTGCGACATAGATGAACTTCAAAACATTATTCTAAGTGAAAGAAGCCAGGCTCAAAAGATCATATATTATATGATTACATTTATATGAAATTCTTGAAAGACAAATTTATAGAGACAATAATCAGAACAGTTGTTGCATAAAGTGAGAATCGGGATTAACTATAAATAGGCATGAAGGAACATTTTGGGTGGGGGTGTTGAGAATGTTCTAAAATTGGATTGTAATGATTGTTGATAACTGCAAATATACTAAAATTGTTAAATTGTACACTCGTGGGCTGGATGTTTGTGTTCCTCCAAAAATTCATGTGTCGAAATCCTATACCCCGATATGATGGTATTGGGAGGTAAGGCCTTTGGGAGGTAATTAGATCATGAAGGTGGATCCTTCATGAATGGGATTAGTTCCCTTATAAAAGAACCCCAGAAAACTCTCTAGCCCTCTTTCCCACCGTGTGAGGATACAATGTGAAATCGGTAGTCTGCAACCTGGAAGAGGGCCCTCACTGGAACTTGGCCAGGCTGGCACCCTGATATCAGACGTCCAGCTTCCCTAACTGTGAGAAATAAATTCCTATTTTTTTTATAAGCCACTCAGTCTGTAGTATCCAATTATAGCAGCCTGAACTAAGGCATTTTACAATGGGTAGATTTTAATGGTATGTAATTTATATTCAATAAAGTTTTTAAAAGGAACAAAAAAAAAAAAGAAAGAAGCAGGGGTAAAGGCTCCCCAAGGCTCAGTATGCTCAGCTTGCCAAAGAAGGAAGTCACCCCGGCTCACCACTCTCATCAGTAACAGACGGCTTCCTGACTAAGCCTCAGCAACAGGTGGCTGGGGGCAGGATGAGAAATACCACTGTCCTCCTCTTCCAGGGAAGAAAGATCCCTGGCTGAGAGGTGTAGGGAGAAGGAGCCCTGTGTTTTTGGCTGTAGTCTGAAGTGGAGTCTCTGCCTCAGTGAGCTGTAAAGGGGGAGAGGGGAATGATCTTGGTTAAAACCCTACAGATTCTCACCTTTCTTACTGAATTGTCATTGATTTTCTTGAATGGATGTTTCTTTTTTTTTGAGATGGAGTCTTTTTTTTTTTGCTGGGGAGGCGGTGGGAGGCAACGCAGTCTTGCTCTGTTGCCCAGGCTGGAGTGTAGTGGCACAATCTCAGCTCACTGCAACCTCCGCCCCCCCGATCCGAGCGATTCTCCCACCTCAACCTCCCAAGTAGCTGGGATTACAGGTGTGTGCCACCATGCCTGGCTAATTTTTGTACTTTTAGTAGAGACGGGGTTTCACCATGTTGGCCAGGCTGGTCTTGAATTCCTGACCTCAAGTGATCTGCCCAACTCAGCCTCCCAAAGTGCTGGGATTACAGGCATGAGGCACCACTCCCGGCCTTGAATAGATGTTTCTTTATTTGCTGTTTACTCTTCAGGACCATTCCAGAGGTTTTAAATGGTTGTTTTTAAAACAGTGTTCACCAGTTTCACTGAGGATCAGGTCAATGGAGTTCCTCTCACTGTCCTGCAAAAGTCAATCTCATTTTCTCTAGTATTGGTCATTTCAGTGAGAGTCTTAGAGCAGATGTTGAATGGCTGTGCTCATGGCATATCTAGATACATTTCTTTTCTTTCTTTTTTTTTTTTTGAGATGAGGTCTTACTCTGTTGCCCAGGCTGGAGTGCAGTGGCATGATCTTGGCTCACTGCAACCTCTGCCTCCTGAGTTCAAGTGATTCTCCTGCCTCAGCCTCCCGAGTAGCTGGGACTACAGGCGCACCCCACCACACCAGGCTAATTTTTGTATTTTTAGTAGAGATGGGGTTTCTCCATGTTGGCCAGGCTGGTCTCGAACTCCTGACCTCAGGTGATCTGCCTGCCTCGGCCTCCCAAAGTGCTAGGATTACAGGCATGAGCCACCACGCCCAGCCTAGATACATTTCTTAAACTTCCTTCTTTTATTGCCAGCAGCTAGCATGATGTTCTGCACATAGAAGGTTTACAGTGTCATTTGCCAAGGACATTGATGGTATTCCAACACAAAGTGTCTGGGGAATCCTCTGAATGGGGAGAAAGGGAATTAACGGTTGCACAGTGGTTCAAAGCATGAGTGGCGAGCACTGGAACCAATTCCACCACTTCTGAGCGTATAATCTTGGATTATTCTGAGCCTCAGTTAATTTCAGTGGTAAAATGGGGCTAAAATAGTAGCTATCAGATAAAGTTGTAGATATTAAATAGTATATGCAAAGTACCTCACATCTGGTATATGCTTAATAAATACCAGCTAATATTTCAGACATTGCTAGGTGTGACTGCATATCTACACATCATTCACTTAATCCTCACAATAATCCTGCAAAAGTAGTTGTCAGTATTCCTATTTGTGGATAAGGAGAGAATGACACAGGAAGATTAAGTAATTTGCCCAAGGTCACAACTAGGAAGAGACAGAACTGAACCCAGGATTGAACCCACATCACTCTGGCCTTTGGCTTCTTTCCATCCAGCACTGTTGTGGAAACTGAAGTGCAGGGTTAATTAGGAGAGACAGAGCAGAAGCCTGTCTCTAGACTTAGACAAGCTTTGATCCCATTCTGTTTCTGTTTTTTTGTGTACAGTAGAATTTCATTGACCACCTTCACATCATCAAGCCAGTCTCAAAAAACACTGAACCTTCTGTGCTGGCCTTTCTGATAAAGACACTGCATTATTAATTCATACATACATAATCACGTTGCATGCATATACACACAATATATATACAGTCATGTGCCATATAATGGCATTTTGGTCAGTTACAGATTGCATATACAATGGTGGTCCCCTAAGATTATAATGGAGCTAAAAAAAAATCATCAGGTGATGAGTGAATGTGAAGGCCTAGGATATTACTGTACACTATGTAGACTTTATAAACATTACAGAACAAATTCCAGTCCTGCAAGCTGTATTCATGTTAAGTCCCTTATACAAGTGTACCATTACGATGTTAATATTTTATACTATATTTTTACTGTGCCTTTCCTATGTTTTGATTTGTTTAGATATAAGAATACTTACCATTGTGTTATCACCCTACAGTATTCAGTACAGTAACATGCTGTACAGGTTTGCAGCCTAGGAGCAGTAGGCTCTACCATATAGCCTAGGTGTGCAGTAGGCTATACATTTAGGTTTGTATAAGTTATGCTCTATGATGTTCACACAAGAAAATCACCTAACAACACATTTCTCAGGACATATCCTTGTTCAGCAACTCATGACTGTATATGAGCAATATATGTAAATGTACCTAAATGATTATTTATGATTATAAACCTACCATATGATGGTAAAGGGATCACCCATCTCTTTTAATAGTATCAGAAGTGGGCCTGTAAGCTTTATGGGGACGGAATCTTCCCCTGGTGAAGGCAGCTAAGTCTCCCTGCACCAGTCTTTGTCCCCAGAGATCCCCAGCACCTTTGATGGTAAGTGTTAATTTCAGCTGTCCTCACCCCCAGGGTCTTAGGAAACATAGATCCCCTTTTCACACTGGAGCTCAAATGGGGACACTCTACCCTTACCCACAAGACAGCTAGGAGCAGGAGACCTGATTCAAAATTACTGAGGTCTCCGGAAGATTAAAAAGGGAAATGGACTCAGTAAAAGCATGGGGCTCGGCTGTCTGGCTGACACAGTGGCTCACACAGGCTCCTTCTGCTCAGGCCACAGCCATCTTTAGGCACTGGCATGGCACCCTCCACTTAGCAACACACCTCAGGCCCCTGAAAGTCCTGACCCCAGACAGCGAGAATCCTCCCTCTCCTTCCCAGCTGACCATTGGGTCCAGCCCCCTCATTCCTCCACGGGCTGCTTGCCCAGCATGGAGCCTGCAGCAGGTGCGCTGTACTCCCTGGACACAGTGATGGGTAATGCCCCTTTGCCCTCATGGCACACCTGGTCTGCAGGGAGCAGACGGGAGAAGCAGCAAGCCACTGACAGATGGAATAAGTGCTGAGAAGGAATCAGTGAAGCCTCACTGAGGGGGGACATTCACTGAGATCTGAAGACCAAGAAGGAGCCAAGCCATGAAAAGCCAAGAGAAGAGCATCCCAGGTGAAAGGGACAGTAAGTGCCAGGCCCTGAGGCAAGAAGGAACAGCAGCAAGGTGGCGGCTGTGGCAGAAGTGCAGGGAGCATGGGACAGAGAGGGACAGGAGGAGGAAGAGAAATCAGGCAGAACATGCAGCATCCCCCAGGTCTTACGAAGTGTGAAGGGAAGCCTCTGAAGATAATGATGCAGGAAACGAGCAAGATGTGATTTATGTGTATTTTAGAGCTCCCTTGGGCTGCTCAGTGGGTGACACTGACGCTGTCGCCAAGCACGGTATGGCGGTGGTAGCAATGGAGTAAGAGAGAAACGGACAACTTGGACATTTATTTTGAAGGTAGACCCCACAAGACTTGCTGATGGCCTGGGAGGGGTAGTGGGCTCTGGCAGTGGCCATCCCTTCCCCAGCACTTCTCCCCACCCACCAGGGCTAAGCTTGCAGCCTTCAGAGGACAGCTGTAGGACACAGATGGTGACCCCATGCAGAAGAGCCTGCATGAGGGCTGAGGAGTGGGAGAACTGCTCTTCCCAAGGACAAGAAAGACTGGAAGCAGGCCGGGCGCGGTGGCTCATGCCTGTAATCCCAGCACTTTGGGAGGCCGAGGCGGGCGGATCACGAGGTCAGGAGATCAAGACCATCCTGGCCAACATGGTAAAACCCTGTCTCTACTAAAAATACAAAAATTAGCTGGGCATGGTGGCGCGTGCCTGTAATCCCAGCTACGTGGGAGGCTGAGGCAGGAGAATCGCTTAAACCAGCGAGTCGTAGGTTGCAGTGAGCTGAGATCGCGCCACTGCACTCCAGCCTGGCGACAGAGCAAGTTTCCGTTTCAAAAAAAAAAAAAAAAAGGAAGCAGAGGCTGGAAGGTTGCGTGCTGGCTACAGAGTGACCAGGAAAGGCACTCTTTCCTGGAGGAACTGAGGAGGGGGCTTTGATGTGATGATCTGGCTGAGTCATCCCCCAATTCTCATCAAATTAAATACCCAGCAACACCAGTTATTACCTTAAGCATGTATGGAGCTTCCAGTCTACCTAAGCCTGTGGTGGCCCACTGCCCCAGCCCCCTGGGTTGTTAGGTCAAATAATCATATACTCATGATAGACAAGATACTAGAGGTCTCACAAGGAGAGGAGAAAGCGTCTATGAAGCTGCAGGGCCTCTTATGGTACAGAGCTTGGAGCACATATAGCTTCCGGATGGAGATGGGCCACAGGAAATGGACCCCAGTGGAGGGCAGGGCACCAAATGCCCAGTTTTCTAGCACCCACCCTATACTAGCTGGTGTGCTGGAGCAAGGCATGCACCTCTCATTTCATCCTCTCCCTCTCAATACTTCTGCTGCTTACACTAGAAGCAGCCCCCAAGGGCTTTGGGGGAATGATAATGCTGTGTACATGGGGTCGGGGCGGGGAGGGGGGCAGTAAGGGGAAGGCCATCAGCAGCCCTGATTAGCCGCTATCACGACTGCCCCTCAACCTCCAAAGGGAGACCAAGTCTCCCACAGTTTTTCACCTCCTGGAATTTGCATTTGCATTTCATATCCTGACTTGTCACCTTGTGTGGAGCTTCTGGGTGGACTCTAAGAACCTAGAAGAACCTGTGTGTGTCTGGGAGGGGCAGATGAAATAGTAATGCCCTTCCTTATCCACCCCCTACCTCGCACACACACTCCGAAAAAAATAAAACTCCTGGCTCCTTGCAGTGGGCCTCGTGGCCCCAATCTTCGTGTGTGAACTCTTGCACTGTAAAACCCGGTCACTGAACTCTTCCACACGCTTTCTAAAATCGTTTGGCATGGACTTTCCTCGGCCCCTTAATCACCACAGGGTGTGTCCTGCCCGGGCTGTCAGGAGGGTCGCAGGCGCCCGGTGGTCCACGCTCACCGTGCGCCTGGCTGAGCGCAGATGAGGGTCGTGTCCCGTCTGAGCGCGCTCCCCCCGCCGGCGCGCACGCCTGCCCGCCGGGTCTCTGCCCTGGGCCGAGCGGGGCCACCTGCTTGCGTCCTCGCCCTGGATGGCGTGGGAGGCGCCGCCAACCGTCTGAGCTGGAATCCTTGCGGTGAAAAAGTGGGCGCCCACCAGCCCTCCTCACCACCGCGGCTGCGACGAGCCTGGGCGTCGCCTCCTAAGGATGGCCCTGTCCTAACACACGCGTGCGGACACAGGTGGCGGCGGCGCGGCCCTGCGGCACCGAGGACGACCCGGAGCCCCGCGCCCGCGCCCGCCGCCGCAGCCGCTCCAGGCCTGCGTGCGCGCGTGCGTGAGCGCGTGCCGACCGGGCCCGCGACCCGCACTGGGGTCGCCGTTGAGGCTCAGCGCCCGCCGGGCGGCCGGTAGTGGGCAGCGAGCTGACGCGCTGCGCTCTGCCGGGAGGGCGCCTGGCCTCGCTCCGAGCCGCGCGCGCCCCGCGCCTGCCAAGGGTCCCAGCTGCCGCGGCCACAGAGCCCGAGCGGGGGGTCGGCTGAGAGCCTCCTTAACGGAGCCCCATGATGTCAGCCGGCCCGCACGCCCCTCGCCCTCCGACTGCGACCCCGGCCCGGGCTCGCGCGCCCCGTCCCCCGGCAGCCCCGCGGCCGCCGCACCGCCGCCCCCGGCCCAGCCTTCCCCGAGCCTGTGGCTGGAGCTCGGGCCCGCCTGCGTGCGGGCGCAGCAATGCCCCAGCGAGTCAAGCGGGCAGACGAGTGGCGATCTCGGCACTAGCAGCAGCAGCAGCGCCGGGCTGTCCCCGGGCTCCGACTCGGACAGCAGCGGCGTGGTGTGTGGCGGCCGCGGAGGCAACGGGGGCATGCGCGGCGCCGTGTCCCGCTCCTGGAGCCTGGAGAGCCTGCGCTCGGCCACCGCCGGTAAGGACGCCGCCATCCCCGCGCCGCACGCGCCCTCCGCGCCCGGGTCTGTGCTCTTGGGACCCCCCGCCCCCCTCCTGCCTTTCCTTCTCCTCCCTCACTTTCTGCCTGTCGTTTCCATCTCCTGGTCCCTTCCTTCCCATTGCTTCGCCCTGCTATTCCTTTTCTTTTTCTGGTTTCCTTCTGATTCCCACTGCCTGTCTCTCTGATCCACGTCTACCGGTGGGCCACCTGTTACAGCCGGGACCTTGTTGGCCCCCATACCAGAGCGCGCTGTCAACTGGGAAACTGATTAAGGTGAGACTAGAATTTGGTGCCCGATGCGCTGTGTTCCTTTCCCCAAACTGTTCTTGACCAGTTGCACCTGTCTGGCTTTACCTACCGCAGCTGCTTAGCCTCTGTAAAGCCAGGAGGATGGAAGGGGGCCGCTGGCCGAGGGTGGAACGGATTGCGCCACCTGGCTGTGAGTGCGCTTGGTCCTGACCGCAGGACTGCAGCTCCCAGCGGAGGCAGCTGGTCCTGGACCCCTCTGAACAAGACTGCGCTTTACCGACCTGGCATTGCTCTGGTGTTTCCTGGGACCGTGTGATCCCTGTAGTGCTCCCGAATCTACCTGGAGGGCCTAATTTGGGTTACTGGTTGAGAGGAAGATTTTGTCCCTAAATATTAATGGAGCAAGGAAGTCAAGAGTGGTTTTATGAATGGTGATCACCTTACCCTTGGTTATTTGCTGACAGAATTATTTATATTTCACTTCTTGCAAACATTCTCAAATATTGTAGCTTCTGCAGTGGGGTTTGTCAAGGGCAACAGTTGCTGCCTGGAAATGAGAGAGTTATACACCCACTATGCTTCTGCATGGGGCTGGAGGTGCAGCCTGTGAAAGCTGCAGGGCCTCACGTAGGTGTGGAATGAGACTCAGAGCATCAAAGCCAGAGGAGCAGAGGGCCATAGGGATGGCAGAATGTGGAGCACAGGCCTTGTTGGGCAGATATAGAGCAAGGTCGGCTCTGGCTGGGTTGAGAGCACCTGGAATGACAGATTCAGAGTTTGGACTTTGCAGTCAGCGAGTTTGGGAGAGAGAAGTGAAGGACATGCAGACCTCTGCATTGAGCACTCCATGACTCATCTGCCCGTTCCCAAAACACACGCATGAAATTCAGAAAAGTTGAATAATCCAGCTGTTGATGTTTCCTTCAACGGAGAGTTTTCCATTGTTCTGCAGCTCTGATTCCATCACATCCCTGTTCCCTTGAAACTGTCCTTTCCCTCCTCTCTGGAGCTTAAATAGAACCCATTTTGGGAACCCCAAGCTAGATCATACCCTAAGTGGGGCCTGAAGCAAACTGGCAGAGGACTCCTGCCCCTTTCCTTATTCAGACGGCTTTCCTTCCTTTCCAGAGGCCTCAGTCCTCCTGGGGACACCTCCTCCTTTCTTTCTTCCTTCTGTCCCAGGGTAAGTGCGCCAGTGAGACAGATGGAAATGGCAGAGACCCTAGTTTATTAGGCAGCCCAGAGATCCAGGGACTCCCTGGTTTATTAGGCAGCCCAGGGACACAGAGGCAGCCTGGATAATTTTCCGAGATAACAGCGATGCTTGCATGAAGATCTGGAGAGAGAGAGAGTTGGGAGCAGGGGGTGGGGAAGGAGGACAGGGTAAAAGCTGAGGCCTAGGAAGTTGCTCTTTGAGGGGCCCAGGGCTGCCCGGCAATGGCAGGGCAGGGTTTAAAACAACATGATGTAGTCAGAGTTGATGTGAGACCCAGAAACGAATGTTGTGCCCCTCACAGACACTGCACCACTAAGGGTAGGCTCTGGGTATCTCTAGGTCCACAGGCAGCACACTACCCGGGGAGTGCTGGTCAGTAACCAGCCACAGAGGCACTGAGGAAGACATTTAAAGTCACCTCTTCATCCTCTCTGCCCCCACTTCCTGCCTTGTTTGGTAGGACCTGCATCAGCAGTGACCAATGCTCGATGTGTAAAAAGACACTCCCGTGTATGCCTTAGAGCCAGTTGAATCTGTGAAGCCGTCTGTCCTTCTCAACTGGTCAGAATTAACTGTGCCTAAGACTCGCCTCTCTTCTTCTACAACGGAACTAGCTATTTCCTGTCCCTGGGAGGAATTGCGGAAACAGGCACTCAAATAATCCTGTTTGAATATGGTTGGAAAAGGCTGGTAAGGGAGGAGAACTTGAAGGGAGGAGAGAAGGGAGGTTACCTTTTGAGCACTCTCTACATGCCAGGCACAATATTCCCTGCTAATCTGGATTTGAAACAGGCTCAGAGGTGTGGTAACTTATCCAAGGTTACCTGGTGAGGCTGCGTCTGAGCAGAGCTTCAGGCCCGGCTGGATGTAACGTGATGAGGCTCTTTGCTGGGTTTTCAGCCAGTCTGTGCCAGCGAGGACGGGCAGCATGCCGGTCCGGTGGTGCGTTGGAATAGTCCTGACTGCTCACACACTCGCTGATGTTACTGTTTTCATTCAACAATCATGGCTTTTTCCTGGATGCCAGCTTTCCTATTTGCAAAGCAAAGAAATTAAAAGCAAAGGTCTGACCTCTTTGCTAATCACCTCTAAAATGCCATGACTCTAGTCAGGGGTATTGATCTGGGGGGTGCGCCCCACTGAGTCGCCATTGATTGCACATTGTGTTTCTGTTTGACTAGTCTAACGGCTGAGACAAAGGACACATGTGTTTAACTGAACTGCATTTCTCTCTTAAGGAAGATTAAGAGTTCCCAGTAAGGGATCGTCAGCACAGCTTGATTGTGGTGTGATTTTTGTGGTGGGGCCTGTCGCTAAACATTTTTGGAGTTCCCAGCAAGCATCTGAAAAGTGAGTGCTTGTGACTGGATAGCAGCTTCCTCACAGGGCGCACAGCAGTAGACAAGGAATCCAGGCAGGGCCTCTAGACTCGCCTTGCTTTCAAAAGACTCCTTGAATTTTAAATGCTCTGTGTTGGCATTTCCACTGAAATGTCGTTCATCTGGCTGTGGAGAGGACTTCCCTTTGAGGCATAATCCGAACACGAAATATAGCTGACAGGGTGGAATTTCCATGGCCCTTCTTTCTGCCCCGCTGTTCTCATCTCCCCTCGGGCCCCTGGAGCCTCCAGCCCATCAGCTGTGCTGCCACACTGCTGGTACTCAGCTGAAGCTTTCACAATTTCTGTTCTGGATGTGTCATCTGACAAGCCGAATTCTCTCTTCGGGCTTCTGGGGCTGACAGTTTTCATGTTCACCTCCTTTTCCATGGTCAGTGTCATGGGATCTCTTCTTGGTGGAGAAGCCATGCTGCTTCCACATTCCCCCGCAGGCTTCTGCAGCATGCATCCGCAGGCAAGGCCTCTCCTGCAGCCACACATTTATTTAACACCTGTTGTGTTCCAGGCACAGTGCTAGGCTCTAGAGGTGGTAGATGAATCATACACATTTCTTGCCCTTAAAGAAATCACAGCACAGGGAGACAGACAGTGATGCCCCATTATGTGTGCTAAGCACGCTGACAGAAGCTCAAAAACATGGTTATACCAGAGGTTCTGAGTTATTCCAGTGTTAGGGTACAGACTGAAGTCAACAAAGGCAAAGAGCACTTAGAGCAGAGGCCAGGAGATACCAGGCACCAGCTTCCAGGTGTCCCCTCCTGTGGAATCACATGGACGATGCTTCAGTCACTCTGCCTCAATATGTGACACCTGTGAAATATTGCCAACCAGATAAGTTCCCCAAGCCTTGGTGTTCAGGGTGGAGGTCAGTTATTTAGGCAGGCAGCACCCACAAGACTGACCTTAGTTGCTCAGTCTCTAGCCCCTCCAAAGGTCAGACTAATACAGTGTAGTTCAAGCCCCCACCCCCCAACCATAAATCACATTGTTGGGGGAAATTATCTGGCATGGCCCAAGGCCCTAGATACACAAAGTGACTCTGATCAGTCAGGATATTCCTAGGGCTTAAAGGTGATCTTGTAGGAGCCGGTCAAGGGCCAGTTCTCCCTTTGGAATTTGTAGTGTTTAAACATCCCCAAGCCTTAACTGCACAGATGAGGAAGCTTAAAGTAGGACCCAACCTATAATGTGGGGCAGGCCAGGAAGGAAATGGTTCAGAGAAACCATTCAGAAGGAGGCTCTCCCTGAGGCCTAAGACCTGCAAGTTAGCCTTGGTAAGGAACAGTTTGGTAAGAGCTTTTGGGAGAGAGGACTAACATAAACAAATGCAGAAGGATGTAGGAAGGAAGGGAACCTGTGTGCCCTGAGCCCCTGTTCTGGGTACTGCATTGGATGCTTTCAGTCTGCAGCAATTGCAAATAGTATGAAATGAAGAGCACTGCAAGAAATGAGGCTAGAGACAGGCCGGCTGCAGCTCCCTGCTAAGAAATATGAACTATTGGCCAGGCACAGTGACTCATGCCTGTAATCCAAGCACTTTGGGAGGCCAAGGCGGGCAGATCACAAGGCCAGAAGTTTGAGACCAGCCCGGCCAAAATAGTGAAACCCCGTCTCTACTAAAAATACAAAAATTAGCCGGGTGTGGTGGCACGCGCCTGTAGTCCCAGCTACTTGGGAGACTGAGGCAGGAGAATTGTTTGAACCCAGGAGGCAGAGGTTGCAGTGAGCCGAGACTGCGCCACTGCACTCCAGCCTGGGCAACAGAGCAAGTCTCAGTCTCAAAAAATAAAATTAAATTAAAAATAAAGAAATATGAACTATCCATTATACTTGGAGCTGTGGAGAGGTTTTAAGCAGAAAGTTTTTGTGGCTACTTTGCTTGCTTGCCTGCTCTCCCCTCTTAGAGATGATCATAAGTAGAAAATGCATTTAGTACGCCTAACCTACTGAACATCATAGCTTAGCCCAGCCTACCTTAAATGTGCTCAGAACACTTACATTAGCCTGAAGCTGGGAAAATCATCTGACATAAAGCTGATTTTATAATAAAGTGTTGAATATCACATGTAATATTGTACTAAAAGTGGAAAAACAGAATGGTTGTGTGGGTACTTGAAGTACAGTTTTTACTGATATGTACCACTTTTGCACCGTCGTAAAGTCAAAAAATCATATGTCAGCCGGGTGCGTTGGGTCACACCTGTAACCCCAGCACTTTGGGAGGCCGAGGCAGGTGGATCACAAGATCAGGAGAGCGAGACCATCCTGGCTAACATGGTGAAACCCCGTCTCTACTAAAAATACAAAAAAAATTAGCCGGGCATGGTGGTGGGTGCCTGTAGTCCCAGCTACTCGGGAGGCTGAGGCAGGAGAATGGCATGAATCCGGGAGGTGGAGCTTGCAGTGAGCCGAGATCGCGCCACTGCACTCCAGCCTGGGTGACAGAGTGAGACTCCGTCTCAAAAAAAAAAAAATCATATGTCAAACTATCGTTATGTCAGAGGCCATCTGTATTTATTTTTAAAGTTATATACAGTAAAAGGCACACTTTTTGGTGTACAATTCTTAGAGTTTGACAGACACATGCAGGTAACTACCCACCATAATAAAAATATAGAAGAGTTTTATTGCCCCAGAACATGAGTGAGGCCCTTTGTGGTCCATTCATTCCCCAACTCCAGTGCCTCGCTGATCTAGACTCCATCCCTAGGGATTTGTCTCTTCCATGATGCCGTAGAAATGGAGTCATATCATGTTGCCTTTTGACTGGCTTCTTTAACCTCATGTGTTGCGTTTGAGATTCATCCTCATGTTGTTGCATTTATCCTTAGGTTTTTTCCTCTTAGTTGCTAAATAGTATTTCAGCAAATGGATGTATCACAGTTTGTCAACCATTCACTAGCTGAAGGATACTCAGATTGTTCCTACTTTTAGGGTGTTACAAATAAAGCTGCTGTGAACATTAGTATGTGAGTCTTTGTATGTACGTAAGTTTTCATTTCTCTTGGGTAAATACCTAGGAGTGCATTGCTGGGTTATATGGTAAGTGCGTGTTTCACTGTATAAGAAACTGTCAACTCTTTCAAAGTAGCTTTACCATTTTACAGTTCCTCTTGATATATATTCTCACCAACACTTAGTATTGCCAGGTTTTTTAAAAGCCATTCTAGGTTGGGCATGGTGGCTCATGCCTGTAATCCCAGCATTTTGGGAGGCTGAGGCAGGTGGATCACCTGAGGTCAGGCGTTCGAGACCAGCCTGACCAACATGGTAAAATCCCATCTCTACTAAAAATACAAAAATTAGCCGGGCATGGTGGTGCACACCTGTAATCCCAGCCACTCGGCAGGCTGAGGCAGGAGAATCGCTTGAACCCGGGAGGCGGAGGTTGCAGTGAGCCAAGATCACATCATTGCACTTCTGCCTGGGCAACAAGAGTGAAACTCCATCAAAAAAAAAAAAAAAAAAAAAGAAAAGCCATCTATTAGGTATGTAGTATCTCATTTGGTTTTCATTTGCATTTTCCTAGCAACTCCTAATGCTGAGCATCTTTTCATGTGGGTGTTTGGCATATGCATATCTTCTTTGTTGAAGCATCCAGACCCACATAATTTTTATTGGATTGTTTGTTTTCTTATTGTTGTATTTGGAGAGTTCTTTATATATTCTGAGTGCAAGTACTTTGTTAGATATGTGATTTGCAAATATTTATTCTAGTCTGTGGCTTGTGTTTTACTTGCTAATAGTGTCTTTTGCTGAACAAAAGTTTGTAATTTTGACGGAATCCAATTTTTCATCTCTCTGTCTTATAAAACATACTTTTGGTGTACATCTCAGAAATCTTTATGTAACCTGAGGTCACAGAGAGTTTCTTTTATGTTTGTTTCCTTCTAGAAGGTTTTACAGTTTTATATTTTGTACTTAGATCTATGATCTATTTTGAGTTAATTTTTTAAGGTTCAAGATAAGAGTGAAGGTTCATTTTTTTGCATATGCATGTCCAATTTTTATAGCACCATTTGTTAAAAAGACTTTTTTTCTCCATTAATTTCCTTTGTACCTTTGTCAAAAAACAACAGTCTATATTTGTGTTGGTCTATTTCTAGCTCTGTTCTGTTCCATGCTGTAGTTTTAAGTCAGTTATGTGAGTCCTCCAATTTTGTTCTTCTTTTTCAACATTGTTTTAATTCTTCTTCTTTTTTGCCTTTTCATATACATTTTAGAACCAACTTGTCAATATCAGTTAGGTGCAGTGGCTCACGCCTGTAATCCCAGCCTTTGGGAGGCTCAGGCGGGCAGATCACGAGGTCAGGAGTTTGAGACCAGCCTGACCAACATGGTGAAACCCCGTCTCTACTAAAAATACAAAAATTAGCCAGGCGTGGTGGCGGGCGCCTGTAATCCCAGCTACTCAGGAGGCTGAGGCAGGAGAATTGGTTGAACTTGTGAGGTGGAGGTTGCAGTGAACCGAGATTGTGCCATTGCACTCCAGCCTGGGCAACAGTGGGAGACTGTCTCAAAAAAAAAAAAAAAAAAAAAGAATCAACTTGTCAGTATCTACAGAATATCCTCTTGAGTTTTGATATGGATTGTGTTGAATCTGTAGATCAGTTTTGGGAGGATTGAAATCTTAACAGTATGGAGTCAGTTTAGAAACATCATACATCTGAGGCGAGGCGGCCACGCCAAGAGCTCTCCACCAGACCTCACTGCAGTGCCTATACATTTTGGTGAATTCTTCTCTTCTCGACGTTTCCAATATATTTTCAAGTTCCTGGGTCTGCCAGACAGTGACTTTCCTAAGTAAAATCTATAGTGCTGGGGGCCCCATAAGCCAGGTACTAGGCCAGTTTTTCCAACAGGCCTTTATAAGCATTGGCTCCATAAAGTCAACCTTAGCTTTTTAAAAGTGTCTGGTTATGTTTAATTAAATGAACATCATTCTCAAATAAGTCATTCCAGGCAAGGCCTCGGGTTGTATAACTAATGTTTCTAATAAATGTCCTGTTAACAAGGAAGACAGATTCTTACTGAACCTATGAAATAATTATATTGCCGCGAAAATAAGAATACTCAGTAAGAATTTCCAAATTCTGAGGGCTTGGGCAGGAGAAAAATATATCACTTACAAATGTTTCATTTCAGTTTATAAGAGCATAGTCTACTAAAGGCCTACTAATGAGTTAAAGATACCTTGAAAGAAAAGAAAAAGGAGATCCTTATATTCCAGAAAATAGAACATTAAAATATCAGCAATGCTCCTAATAATAAGAGCCACAGTCACCTTCTTGAGTTCATTTGGGTTTATGTGATTAATCCTTGCTCCACTCTCTCTTGGGTTTGCAGTTTCTTGAACCTGCATTCAGAACTAGAGTTCTGGAAATCCTGACTCAGTCCTCTGTTGTGGTCTCAAAGTTGTTGACATAACATCATCAGAAGCCTGCACCCAAGAGTTCTTGGCAGGGCCCTTTCCAAAGAAGAGACAGACTTCTTTGTTGAAGAAGCACTCAGGCTAGTAGCTGAAACTTCAGAACAAAACAAAAACCTATCTGTAAACTATCAGCGAAAGACTTAAAGTGGTTGTGGTTAATGTGTTACTGATAATTTTCAAAAGTGAAAGATCTGCTGAGAGCTCATACTAAGGATAGTGCAACTGACAAGGAAATGTGATTGTTTCCGCAATATACAAAACAAGATAAAATCAATAAACAAATATGAGACAACAAAATTATATAATGATTAAGCTTACTTTCAAAGAAGATAGTTAACATTACACCTAACTATAGAAATGGATGAACATAATCTTTAATATCTTCAGATACAACATATTATAATCCTGACAAAATTATATCATGAAAATACTAAGCATACAGTTGGAATATACAAAGATTATACCAAGAATATCTATAAAGAGATTCAGTAAGTCTAGAGCAAGCTCTAAACATCTGTATATTAATAAACCTCCACAGGTAAGTGATGTGAACCCCCAATTAAAACTGCTGGCCTACAGGAAGGATGCAAATAAAAGAAGTAAAGTTGCAATCAAGTTAACATTTAAAAAATAAATGAGGCCGAATGAGGTGGCTCATGCCTGTAATCCCATCACTTTGGGAGGCTGAGGCAGGCAGATCACGTAAGGCCAGGAACTCAAGACCAGCCTGGCCAACACAGTGAAAGGCTGTCTCTACTGAAAATACAAAAATTAGCTGGGCATGGTGGTGCAAGCCTGTAATCCCAGCTACTTGGGAAGCTGAAGCAGGAGGATTACTTGAACCTGGGAGGTGGAGGCTACAGTGAGCCAAGATCATCCCACTGCACTCCAGCCTGAGTGGCAGAGCAAGACTGTGTCTCCAAATAGTAAATAAATAAATAAAATAAATGAAATTATGACTGCTGGCCCCATACTAGCACTTCTTGCAAGTTACTCTTTGATACCAGGCAGAGGAGCACCAGGGCTCTGATAAGTGGATACCCATCATGGACAGTGAAGCTCCAGGAGCTTCCCATACAGCATAACATTTCCAAAATATTTACCATTTTACCCATGCATATCTGACCTAGAGAAGGCTCAGCATCTCTTCCAATTCGACAGCTCTTCCCATTCAGCTAATCAGCAGTAACATATCCAACATTACATATCAAAACTTAAATATTCCTAGCACTTGTTTTGTCTGCAAGGTGAGAGAATAGATGATTTATACTTTCCAGGGGCCTACTGGGAAATCTCAAAGATAATTTTAGGTACAAAAGTTATCATTTAGTGTTTGATTTTGGAAAGGCAAAATATCAAAGTTGTCTGTTGTCTGTTATCAGAAGTCATCTGATTTAAACACTGATTAAGATAGAATCTTGCTGGGTGCAGTGGCTCATGCCTGTAATCCCAGCACTTTGGGAGGCTGAGTAGGACAGATCCCTTGAGTTCAGGAGTTCAAGACCAGCCTGGGCAACATGGCAAAACCTTGTCTCTACTAAAAAAAAAAAAAAATTAGCCAGGCATGATGGCACACACCTGTCGTCCCAGCCACTTGGGAGGCTGAGGTGGGAGGATTGCTTGACCCTGGGAGATTGAGGCTACAGTGAGCCGAGATCACACCACTGCACTCCAGATGGGGCAACAGAGTGAGATCTTGTCTGGAAAAAAAAAAAAAAGATAGAAACATGGGCTATCAAGAACAATACTTGGCTAACTATTTGACCAAAGTGACAATAATTTTTTTTCCTTATCAACCTTGCCCTACAGGTTTTATTTTATTAAAAATAAAATATATTTAAATGAACATAACTGTAAAGAATCCTAGCTCTTTTTGTTTGTTGTTTTTATTTTTTGAGACAGTGTCTGGCTCTGTCTGCCAGGCTGGAGTGCAATAGCATGATCTTGGCTCACTGCAGCCTCCACACTTTCTAGGCTCAAGCGATCCTCCCACCTCAGCCTCCTGAGTAGCTAGGACTACAGTAGGCACACGCCACCACACCCAGCTATTTTTTTTTTTTTTTTTGTATTTTTTGTAGAGACAGGGTTTCGCTATGTTGCTCAGGCTGGTCCCAAGCTCCTGAGCTCAAGCAATCCACCCGCCTTGGCCTCCCAAAATGCTGGGATTACAAGTGTGAGCTACTGCACCCGGCAACTTTTTTGAGTAAGAAATTTTTGTTTTCTGAAATACTCAAGGGCATGACAAACTTAACATAAAACACAAGAATTGATTCTGATAATACACAGAATCTCTGCCATCTGAGTAGATTCCACAGAAAGCAACAGATAACCTTCTACAGCCTCTTGACCTATAATCCAAGAATTGTTTAACAGAGACTCAATTTTTTGCATCAGTATATTATTTGATACTAAAGTTCTTTTTCCTTTTCCTTTAAAAAAAAATAAGTTAGTCTCAGGTGTAAAGCTCTTTTTTAAGAGCAGCGTCTGTGACCCCCAGGGGTTGCCTTGGGTACATGGACGGATGGACGTGCTGTCTGAGGGCCGCAGTCCAGGACAAATAGATTTGGATGAGGGAAATGCTGAATTAAGTTCTGGACACGTGGACAACTTGGACTTAGCAGTGAGGATCGCATCCTCTCCTTCCAAGTGTCTAAGGAGCTAATTGTGTGAATCATTTTTAAATTTTCTGTATTTCCTGATGCTTTGACATCTTGGGGCCTTCCAGACCCTGGAGACTGCCCCTCGGAGGGCTAGCTAATTCCTAGAGACAGCAGACACCCACCTGAGAGCATGCTCTTCAGATGCAAACCACCAGGCCACAGCCCTTACTCTCAAAACCTCCTCTGCTGGGCTCTAACCTGCTGAGCCACTGGGCCCCTACCTTAGTCATCCCAGGCCCAGGTACCAAAAAACTCGGGACAGCCCTCACTCCAGAGCCTCTGGAAATTATTCAGACCCAGCCCATCTTATGCCTGCCTGCCCCACTTTGCCTTGCCTTTCCCATGGAAGTGACTCTTGTCCCCATTGCCCTGCTCCCTGCCTCCAGTCCCACCTGTGCCGCCCAGAAGGCTGCACGTGGCATGCCCTGCACCCCACTTCTACAGAACTGTAAGTAAAACTGGAAGAACTGTAATGGCTTCCTTGACAGCCATTTCCATGTCTGTGTATCTTACCACACATGACTAAAACAAATCCCTGGCACATTTTAAAACATGAACTGCTCTGAGAGTCATTGCTTGGCATCCAGGCCTGGCACTGAGGCGTCACTGTCCCATCACAGTGCTCTGGGCGGTCAGAGGCGGAGGACTGCTGAGGGAGGTGGGCAAGGAGAAAGGACGGGCGCTCAGGAGGGTTCCACTCCATTCTCACTGCAGTTGTTTCTTAGGTAAGAAAGATGGGGGCTCCCGGAGGCTAAATAACTGTCCCATGGGGGTCCGTCACAGGCTGGCTGCTGGAGTAGCCCAGGGTCGACCTCAGGTCTATCCGAATCCCGTGTTTACTCTGCTCGGACTGCCTCCAGTCTCTGTGAAACAAGTGAGGGAATGGACACATGGAGAGGTTGTGCAAGGTGATGAGTGTGAAGAAGAAGCTCAGCCATGTCCTGGAACATCCCAGGGTGTGTGGCCCAGGGCATTGGTCTTGAGGGATAAGAGGGAAAAGGGATCCATGAGTCAGATATGTTGGAGAGTGTGGTTAAACATCGCAGAGCCTAGGACGTTCCTGTTTGCATCTAGAGCTCTCAAAACTCATTCGGCCCCAGAATCGTGTGTGTGTGTGTGTCTGTGTGTGTGTGTGTGTGTGTACACATCTGTACAACTAGTTTCCTGAGGATCATACTTGGAAAGTGCTTTAGTTTCCTGCTTGCACCTGCACGCAGACGCTGCACACCTTTCCTGAGCTCTGAGCATGGGAAGAGAATAGTTAGGCAGTCGGGAGGCCTTTCAAGCAGCCTTCTGAATTTCGGTCACTAAAGTCAGCCAATAACTGTGCCAGCCAGTGATTCACAGGGAGGAGACAGGGAAATAGGAAGGCAGGTGTGAAAAGCCTCACTCCACGAAATTTCAGAAATAAATACGAGTCCTAAAATCTCAACCAAAAACTCGACGTGTAGGATGTGGTGGAGAAGGAAAAGGTGGGGTCTCAGACTGGGGGCAAGAGCTGGCAGATGGCAGGTGCTGGCTCCCGCAGAAGAGGGCCCATCAGAAAGCCAAGCACAGCCTCGCCTGCAGAGAGCCCAGAGGGAGGCAGTGATGTGTGTGTGCATTGTGTATGTTTGGCGTGTTTGTGGTGTGTGTCTGGTGTATGTGAGCATGGTGTGTGTGTGGTATGCATTAGTGTGTGGTGTGTATGGTGTGTTAGTATGTGTGGTGTGTGTGATGTATGTGTGGTGTGTTAGTGTGCATGGTGTGTTTGTAGTGTATATTACTGTGTCTGGCATGTGTTTGCAGTGTGTGTTAAGTGTGAATGGTGTGTGTGTTGGTGTGTGGTGTGTTTTGTATGTGTGTTACTGTGTGGTGTGTGTGGTGTGTTAGTGTGTGTGGTGTATGTGATGTGTTTGTGTGATGTCTGTGTATGTTAGTGTGTAGCGTGTTGTGCTTCTGTGTATTGTGTGTTGTGTTTGTGGTGTGATATGGGTGGTTTTTGTGCGGTGTGCGTGTGATGTGTGTGGTGTATGCTGTGCATGTGTAGTGTGTGGTATGTGCTAGTGTGGTGTGTCAGTGTTAGTATGCATAGTGTGTGTTTGTGTTTGTAGTTGGTGCGTTAAGTATGTGGTGTGTGTAGAGTATGGTGCCTATATTGTGTTGCGTATGTTGTGTGTGTTGTGTGATGTGTTTTTTGTGTATGGGGTGTGTTTGTGTTTTCTATGTGGTGTATGTTGCGTGTGTGTGTAGTGTTTATGTTGTGTGTGCTTTGTGTGTATAGTGGTTTTATGATGTGTATGTATGTTGTGCATGTGTGGTATACATTGTGTGTATGTTCTGGGTTTTGTGTGTTGGGCATGTTACATGTATGTTGTGTATGTGTGGTGCATATGCGTTGCATATGTATGGTGTGTGCTGTGTGTGTTTTGTGTTTTGCATGTGTCGTGTATGTATGGTGTGTGTGTGTGCGCTGTGTGCATTGTGCAAACGTGTTTTTTTTGCATCTTGTGCGTGTGTGGTGTTTCATGTGTATGTGTGTATGTTGTGTGAGTTGTGCATGCATGGTGAGTTGTGTATGTGTCACCAGGGGTTTGGTCTAGGTTCTGCTGCCCACCACACAGAAAGCCAATCACTGAGACAACAAGTATTGCCAAGGAAGAAGGCTTTAATCAGGTGCAGCAGCCAAGGAGGTGGGAGCTCAGGCTCAAATCCATCTCCCTGACCAACTAAAACTAGGGCTTTATGTAGGAGGGAAGAAATGTAACAGTGTGTGAGAAAATAGGGCCTAGGGAGGGGCAAGGAGGCATCTGATGTGGTGATCTGGTGAGTTTCACTCCTTTGACACTTCCTGAGATCCCTTTTCTGAGGAAGGAACTCATATCAAACAAATACAAGTTTCAAGCTTTAACAGCAGAAGGATCCATTTCTATGTTTATCCAAAAGCAACTGTCTATGGGACCCTCGGGCTGGTTTCAGTCCCCCCTTTCTATTTATCAGTTCCACAATCATGAGGAATCTCGTCATTGATCTTTCTGGCTGCTTCATGCTGAGGAGGGGTGTCGTGGGCAGCTCCATACCATGGCTGACCATGTAGCCACCCAGGAATCGAAGGTTAATCTAATATAGAGTTTTCTTCTGACATACAATATTTCTCCCTGGTCCACACTTCTGCCAAAGACAAATCACAGCAGGACCAACCTAGCTGCATAATAAGTGTCAGTCCCATATTCTTGGCCTGATTACTCACACAAAGTGCAACAAGAATCACTGTCCATATAGATTCCCAAGTTGGCTTTGCTGGAACATCTCACAAGACTATTTCAGTCAAAGCCCTGAGAAAATAACCAGTCCCTTCAATTGTGTCGCATTACAAAAGAAAACATGGTCTTTGTGCAAAGAATTACACATTGCCATGAATGAAGAATATTCACGAATAGTTTACAAATTCTGGAGAAATTAGGCAGAGAAATATGACTCAAATTCTGTTTACAAAAGTATACTCAATACACTTAAAGTATATTTCAAGGCTATAAATAGCTCCAAAAAAAAAAAAATTCTCCAGACTCTGAAAAACAAAACAAAAAGAATCAGCAATATTTCAAACAACAAAAGCCATAAAAAAAATTATTTCTGTCCTGCAGTAGTTCAGTCCATGCAGTCACCTCCTGCTCTGCTTCATATTGGGTTAGCAATCTTCAGGAACACATCAGCCTTTCAATTTGTGCAGTGGAAGTTCTCCCTCTAATCCAATGGCACAATCTCCAAAGTTATCAGAAACCTGCACTCACGAGTCCTTTTCAAGAACTCCTCCAAAGAAGTAAGCCTTGGACTGTAGCTAATTCTAAGCCAGTTTTTTTTGAGAAGGATCAAAGTAAAACATCAATTGTGGATGACAAAAGTCTTAAGACAGCCATAGTTAATGACACCGTTGACAGGAAAATTTGGTTATTTCTGTGGCATACAACAATTTAACGTGACAATCATAACTATTACTGACAACATATATTAAGGCATATCAGAATTTTAGGAATCTCATATAATCCTAGAACCCATGTTAGCAACACATCTATATAAATATAACTTGAAGGAAGCTAAACACCACCTCAGATTTGACAATGCTTCCTGCATAGTTCTAATATAACAAGCCTAATAATCCCAACCATGTCTCTCTTGAACTTCAGGGAACCTAATATCCAAAAAGTTTAGTTTGAGGACAAAAAGACTGAATTTAAAACTTGAAATTGGCCAGGCGTGATGGCTCATGCCTGTAATCCCAGCACTTTGGGAGGCCGAGGTGGGCAGATCACCTGAGGTCAGGAATTCAAGAGCAGCCTGGTCAACATGGTGAAACCCCATGTCTACTAAAACTACAAAAATTAGATGGGCTTGGTAGCGGGAGCCTGTAATCCCAGCTACTCGGGAGGCTGAGTCAGGAGAATGGCTTGAACCCAGGAGGTGGAGGTTGCAGTGAGCCAAGATTGTGCCGCTGCATTCCAGCCTCGGTGACAAAGCAAGACTCCATCTAAAAAAAAAAAAAAAAAAAAAACCTGAAATTTTGCTGTTAGAAAATCTGTCAGATTTCAAAGGTTTCAGACAGACACCCAATATCACAAAATAGGATCACAAGTTTCTATAAAATAGTCATTCAGGTAGCGAAAATTATAATATAAAATGTTTACGCTTTGATAGAGAGGAAACTTTCTCAAACAATAAGACCTAATACTTAACTATCATTCTCTCTAACATGTTACAAATTAAAACAATGTAATTGGTGTTTAGAAGTTACTGCCAGCAACACTTCAAACCACTGTATTAAAGTAGTTAGGTTACTCATCACATATGTCTAATTGCTAGTATTCTAGTAACATAACTGTAAACAAAAACATAAAAAACGTTGTAAGTCTGGATGGGCATGGTGGCTCATGCTTGTATCCCCAGCAATTTGGGATGCCGAGGCAGGTGGATCACTTGAGCTCAGGAGTTTGAGACCAGCTTGGCCAACATGGTGAAACCCCATCTCTACTAAAAATACAAAAATTAGCTGAGCATGGTGGTGGGTGCCTGTGGTCCCAGCTACTTGGGAGGCTGAGGCAGGAGAATCACTTGAGCCCAGTGGCAGAGGTTGCAGTGAGCCAAGATCATGCCATCCACCCTGTGTGACAGAGTATGACCATGTCTCAAAAAAAAAAAAAAATTATAAGTCCTATGCCAGACTTAGCAAAATAAGACTAACTAACATTTTTTCTTTATCATTAAAAAATGATAAATGCAAATATCAGTTTTGGAAATTTAGTATGAGAAGTAATCTTTCACTTAAATACTATACAACGAAACAGGGAGAAAGTAAGAATAAGCACACAGCAATTTCTTTTCAGCTATTTTGAAAACACATCAACACACATTTCTAAGATTGGTTTCTAGATACAGTACTGACGACTGGTTAGGCAACCTTCACCACTCAAATCTGTAAACCAGTGCAGCATGTGCACATAATTTGTTTTCAGGTACATACATGAAGGCCCATCAGTGATAAACAGCTTGAGATCACAAATCACCAGGAAGTCTCACCTTTTTTAAAATTACTAATTAATCCAAGTGAATGTCACTTTAAATTAGTTTGAGAGAAATTCTACTCAATATAATTTCCTTAAGGATAAGGCCAATCTTTCCTGAATATTAAAACCATGTACCCATATCACAGTTTTTCTTCACCACCTAAAGGAAAAGATCTGAAACCAACTCAAATTGTTGATTGAATTGAGTTACCTTGAATATAAACACCATTGAAACATTTCTGTTCTCACCTACTTTTGCCAAATTACAAAATTTGTAATATGCTATTTCTGTTCAGAACTTAAGTCTTTTATTATTTCATTTTTTTGTGGCTGGGAACCTTAAAACTCTCATAGCTCTGTAGATCATTAGAGGCAAGCAAATCCAACCAAATTTCAAATGGCTGTTGTGCTCCATCCATTCCTGAAGACCAAACAAAGATAGCCTGGGAATTCTAGATAAATAGAACAAATAATGACTTGCTAGAAATGCATAGGAAACAAAATAATTATTCACAGAACCAAATAAATGCCTTCTACTAAAAACTAAAAAACATCAGTTTTATATCTACGCATACACAAGAAAAACCCAAAGGAGAACAAACAGCAACAAATAAAAACTAGAAGTGAAAATAGGCCTGTAATCCCAGCACTTTGGGAGGCCAAGGCAGGCGGATCCCAAGGTCGGGGGATCGAGACCAGCTTGGCCAATATGGTGAAACCCCGTTTCTACAAAAAATACAAAAGTTAGCCAGGTGTGGTGGCAGGCGCCTGTAGTCCCAGCTACTCAGGAGGCTGAGGCAGGAAAATAGCTGGAACCTGGGAGGTGGAGGTTGCAGTGAGCAAGATTGCACCACTGCACTCCAGCCTGGGTGACAAAGCGAGACTCCATCTCAAAAAAAAAAAAAAAGAAAAAAAAGAAGTAAAAACAAACAGGAAACAGACCCCCCATTCTTTTCCCCACTCAGTTACCCTGGAGGCTGCAGTGTTACCCAGAGTCAAGAAAACCCCACATAATGAATATTTTATTCCTGATCACACAAGTCAGTATCCTTAAGTCCACCAATATTACCATACATCCTGTGCAATCAAGAAATTCATTCTAGGCACATGGCCAGTAAGTACTCTAGTGCCAGCACTATCCATGCAAAACAACAAACATAGTGTGAAGCAATACAAACATGTACACTAAATCTGGCTTCATGCTTAACTACAGTAAAAAAGAATTGCCAAACTGCCAATACATTTTTTTTTGAGATGGAGTCCTACTCTGTCACCGAGGCTGGAGTGCAGTGGCATTGTGTTGGCTCACTGCAACCTCCATCTCCTGGGTTCAAGCAATTCCCCTGCCTCAGCCTCCCTAGTCGCTGGGATTACAGGCACCCACCACCACGCCCTGCTAGTTTTCATATTTTCAGTAGAGACAGGGTTTCACCATGTTGGCCAGGCTAATCTCGAACTCCTGACCTCAGGTGCCTCAGCCTCCCAAAGTGCTGGGATAACAGGCATGAGCCACCATGCCCGGCCTGCGTTTTTTTATAATATTTATTTTATTTTAATCAGGACTGAGAGCTTTAACTATGAAAATGTTAATTAGCCAAATTTCTCCAATTGTCTATCAGGTTTTAAAGAATGCTTTACTATCTAAACTTTTTCAACTTTCTATTTTGTCTGTATGTGCATGAAGATAGACACACAGAGAAACAGAAAAAAATTACATGTGACTTACACAGATTATCCATGACATGCCTGGGCTTTCTGTTCAGTCCCAGATTTTTTCTTCCTTCTTTTTTCGCCTCCTCCTCCTCCCCCTTCTCCTCCCCCTCCTCCTCCTTTCCCTCCTCCTCCTCCTTTCTTCTTTTCTTTCTTACCATTTTACTGTAGGCCAAAAGAATTTACCATACAAGATTCTTTCTCATACAAAATTAGCTTTTCTTTATAACCTTCCTTACCAAAAATACATCTTCATATATATAACTTTTTTCACATCTCTCTCCCTTACTTACTGATTCCTACTGCCTTGTTTCATAAATAATCTTTTTAAAGGTGTAATTTGAACTAACTTTTAGATAACTTCTGAATTAGACAAAATTACTGTTTTTCTAATACATCTTTTGGCACATTTATATACAGAATTACTATTAACTATAATTCTTATCCTTAGTAACCTTAAATTTTAGTGAAACCCTAAAAAGCAAGAAATCCTGAACTATCAGATATGAACATTTTATATAGTTAAGAACAGTTCCACAATTTTCAGAAACATATTTTCCTATATCACAAAGCTTTTTTAATTGGAAGCAACCTGCATATCTAATGAGCATCAAAAATAATTTCCAGATTTTAAATTACACAAAAAGTTTACCTAAAACATCCCATTTACATGTACTCAATTCTTTCATTTTTAGCAGTTTATCTAGATTACTTCTGAAAACTGAGAGATTAAACACCATCATTTAAAGTTAGTAATTTCCTTCTTAACAATTTTATAATCTGTGAATATCAGATGTTCACTGAAATAAGAACCTTAAAGTTAACTACATGGGCATTGTCACTAATAACTCAGAAGATTCAGCTGTTTTCATTAAACCAATAACAGTCTGACTTATCAAAAAATTTGCATGAAGATCATTTTGTTTTGGCCAGCTTTATAGTTTTATAACCTTCCATGCCAAACCCTGACATCTCAAAATATCTCCCAGAGACAAATATAAAAACCAGACAAAAATATATGCTGACAATTCTGAAGACATTCCTGTTTTCATTTTACCAACCATTTTAAAGCAAGCTAGTAAAGATTTACTTAAGTCACATGAACTTGAAAATAGCTTGGACTTAATTTACTTAATGTATGAGTGCTCTTTTATTTATTTTTATTTTATTTTATTTATTTAATTTTTTTTTTGAGATGGAGTCTTGCTCTGTTGCCCAGGCTGGAGTACAGTGGCGCCATCTCAGCTCACTGCAAGCTCCGCCTCCCGGGTTCATGCCATTCTCCTGCCTCAGCCGCCTGAATAGCTGGGACTACAGGCGTCCGCCACCACACCCGGCTAATTTTTTGTATTTTTAGTAGAGACGGGGTTTCACCATGTTAGCCAGGATGGTCTTGATCTCCTGACCTTGTGATCTGCCCGCTTCGGCCTCCCAAAGTGCTGGGATTACAGGCATGAGCCACAATGCCCGGCCTGAGTGCTCTTTTATTTATAAGCCAATTTGGTAGACACAACATATAACAATAAGTGTACATACAAATAAACACATATAGATATGCGTACACACACAAAGATCCAATAGCTTTTACCTTAGAGCTCTAGCAATGAGATAGCAATACAAACATACTGGTTTTACATGGTTACACTTCTTTTGCCCCAGTAGGTAATCTGGTGAAGGCTGTGAACCAAAATTTTGGGTAGTTTCCATAGCAGTTTGATTTTCAAAGGCCCAACCTCCCCAGACTCCAAAGAACATTGTGGCCAAACAGCACCAAAGGAGAGCACCACATACTAAGCAGGCTCAACCCTGCTTAGAACAGCAGCACAGAAACCTGGATACATGCAACTCCAACCCACTTTCCCATTTAACAGCAAACTCCACATTCCAAACGATATTGTGGCCAAACGGTATTGCAAAAGAATATCAAGTTTATGGCCAGGCGCAGTGGCTCACACCTGTAATCCCAGCACTTTGGGAGGCCAAGGTGGGTGGATCACCTGAGGTCAGGAGTTCAAGACCAGCCTGGCAAACATGGTGAAACCCTGTCTCTACTAAAAATACAAAAATTGCCGGGTGTAGTGGCTGCGCCTGTAATCCCAGCTACTCGGGAGGCTGAGGCAGGAGAATCGCTTGAACCCGGGAGGCAGAGGTTGCAGTGAGACAAGATTGTGCCACTGCACTCCAGCCTAGTTGACAGAGCAAGGCTCTGTCTTAAAAAAAAAAAAAAAAATCAAGTTTACCAAATTCTAATTTCCCATGACTATATCAGACACACACACACAATCGCCAGAACACAATCCAGTTGCTGCTGCAACAAACAAGCCCCAAGTGTCCAAACTGAAACAGTTGGGGTGCTTCCTTTCTCCATCGGTTAGGCTTTTGGTTTTTGCAAACAAAAATTCCTTAGGAATTTCCCAAATTGAGAGGAGCTGATCCTGCTGTCTGGTACCTACAAAAGACATGCACTTGCCCGCACACCACACAATTACAAACAAGCCCCCAAGAGTATCCATACTGAAACAACAGTCAGGGTGCTCCCCCATCAAGCTCTTTGCAGGGCTTGTTCAACCTGCAAATGGAAATTCCTTTAAAATTTTCCCAAACTGAGAGGAGCAGATCCTGCTATATGGGCCCAAAAAGGACATGCACCTCTTTGGATGTAGAGGTGCTTCTAGGAAGGGGCTTCTTCCAAGGCAATCAGGAATGCAGTCGGGGCCAGCTAAGGCAAAGCCAAAGAGAGATGGAAACTCGCTTCCAGCCAAAAGTGGGCAGGCAGCTTAGGAGGGCTTCTGAGACCCCAGGTCCAAGGCAGCGGAACCACAAACAACACATTCCTGGTCAGGGAACCAAAATCTGTTACCAAAACACCAGGGGTTTGGTGTAGGTTCTGCTGCTCACCACACAGAAAACCAATCACTGAGACAAGTATTGCTACAGAAAAAGGCTATAATCGGGTGCTGCAGCCGAGGAAATGGGAGCTCAGTCTCAAATCCATCTCCCTGACTGACTAAAACTAGGGGTTTATACAGCAGGGAAGAAAAGTAACAGTGTGTGGGAAAACAGGAACTAGGGAGGGGCAAGGAGGCATCTGGGGGGGTGATGTGATGAGTTTCAGTTCTTTGATACTTCCTGAAAGTCCTTTCCTGAGGAAGGAACTTGCATCAAGCAAATACAAGTTTCAGACTTCAACAGCAGAAGGATCCATTTCTATGTTTATGCAAAAACAACTGTCTGTGGCACTATTGGGTAGGTTTCAAGTGTCTTGTGTGTGTGGTGTGTGTTGTGTGTGTTTTGCATGCATGATATGTGTTTTGTGTTGTGTGTGCATGTTTTTTGTTGTGTATATGTTGTGTGTGTTGTACGTGCATGGTGTGTTTTGTATATGTTGTGTGTGCGTGGTGTGTATTGTATATGTTGTGTGCATTGTGAGTGATGTGCGTGCGTAGGGTGTGTTGCATGTGTGTGTTGAGTGTTGTGTGTGTGTGGTGTGCACTGAATGCATATGTTGTGTGTGGTATGTGTTGAACATGTATGATGTGTGTTGTGCGTGCATGTTTTGTGTGTTATGTATAGTATATGTTATGTGTGTAGTGTGCATGACGTGTTTTGTGTGTGTTGTGTCTATTGTGTGTGCATGTAGTGCATGGTGCATGTGTATATTGTTTGTGTGCATGGTGTGTGTTGCATGTGTATGTTGTGTTGCACGTGCATGTGTGTGCATAGGGTGTGTTGCATGTGTGCATCGTGTGTGGTTTCACTGCCTTTCTCTGCATCAGCGTCCCTCTTTGTGGGCTCTGGCTGGAATGGGCAGCCCAGGGCCCCAGGTTGCATGTGGCAGTGTGTTCACATGGAGAGGCCTAGTGTCTGCACTAAGGGAGGATTCTGGCTGCCCTGGCCTGGAGGCACAGGCTGAGTCCCCACTGAGCCAGACAGACGTTCTGGGAGGCCTCCTTGTGGAGCTGCTAGTCTGGTTAAAAAGATGCCATTTATACAAGTGCAGCAGAGGACTCAGATTGCTAGAAAGCAGCTCAGAGGGCGCTGGGGCCTTCAGCAGGGAAGAGGCCCTGTGCTGGCCAGGTGGAAAGGGATCTGCGCCGCCTGGTGTGAGAGTGCAGCTGTTCTGTACACAGGAGGCCATGAGGGGCAGCCAGGGTGACCACCGGACGGTCTTGGGACCCTCCACCAGCAGCAACTTGGGCCCAGCGGGAAGAATGAAGAGTCGCCCTAAGCAAGCAGGATTTTGAAGGAGCTAGATGTGAGACAACAGAAATAATAATTTGGGGGAAATTAGTCACTTCATAATTGTCTGCAAGTCCCTGCTCTCCCAATAGTTCCCTTTCTCTGGCTGCCTTCTTTCTCCTGCTTTTGGCAGGACATTAGCAGGCTCTGAAGCTGCCTAGGCCCGCAGGAGAGCCTTGGGTCACACAATCCTAGGTGGTTTGCACCAGGAGGTGAAGGCGGAGGACCACAATCTCGCCCTGAAAATCTGCAGGGAATTGAGAATCCTTACACAGCAAGCCAACGCTGGCTCTTCTGTGCATCCCCCCGTGGTCCTGCAGCAGCCTCTTGAGTGCTGGGAAGCACAGCTGTGCTGGACCCCCACAGTGGGGAGGAGCCACTGCAGGCAGAGGCCTGGCCTGCTGCAGGGCCAGGGAGCAGAGCTGTGGGCAGCACTGCACTGCCTGGTACCACACACCATCTGGGCAGGTCGTGGGGAGCTGGCTCTGGAAGGAGGAAGGCTGCCCTGCCTTCCCAGATTCCAGAAGGACTCCCCAAGTGCTAGAGACAGTGGTGGACTTTGTTCAGCTTTCTCCCTGGGGTCCTGGTGTGTCTGGAGTTGGTTCCCGCCCGGTGGGTTTGTGGTCTTGCTGACTTCAAGAATGAAGCCACAGACTTTTGCGGTGAGTGTTACAGCACTTAAAGATGGCACGGGTGAGCGGTAGCAAAAGAGCGAAAGGACAATGCTTCCACAGCATGGAACAGGACCCAAGGGGGTTGCAGCTTCTGGTTGCTGGTGGCCAGCTTTTATTCCCTTATTGTCCCCGCCCATGTTCTGTTTCTGTCCTATCGGAGTGCCCTTTTTTCAATCCTCCCCATTATTGGCTACTTTTAGAATCCTGCTGATTGGTGCGTTTTACAGAGCACTGATTAGTGCATTTTACAATCCTCTTGTAAGACAGGAAAGTTCCCCAAGTCCGCACTCGACCCAGGAAGTCCAGCTGGCATCACCTCTCACTGGCTGAGAGCCTGCAGACCCCCAGCAGTGAGCACTGTGAGCTAGGCCAAGGCCAGGGTGGCTGTGGGATTGTCATGGAAAAATAATGTGAATGTAGTGAGAGATATGGATTAATGCTCTAAGCATCAGAAATGATCTTTGAATTTATTTTAAGAGACGTCTTGGGAGCTGTTGGAGTACTGTAAGGGAAGCTGGGCTTGGGAGCCACACAGACGCTGGGCTTGGACCCCAGCTGTACCACTCACTGTGACAGACTGACAGGTGACCTAATTCTCTGCGGCAGACTTCTCATCCGTAAAATCAGGAAGATAACATGATTCCAAGGGCGTTCATGAGGATTAAAGGAAGTCATGCTCCTAATTTACTGCCTGGCACACAGACAGTAAAATGCTCAATACATTTATGGAAGGAATGAAGGACTCTGGCAGAAAAACAGGTCAGATGTGTCTGCTGTGGACAGGTGGCTCTGTCGGTGCCCGGTGAGTGCCCTGGGAGTCTGGCAGTCACCTCCTCCGCAGCCGTGTCCCCAGGCTCACAGGAGCCACCTCAGGTGGGAAGCTCTCTGCCAGCCTTGGAAGACCAGACTCACAGCTCCAAGCCACGTGTGAGCAGGAGTGCTGCATCCCAGAAAGTGTCTGCCTCAGCAGGCTGGAGATTGGGATCCCCTATGAAATGGTGGTGTGTGGGCACTAAGAAAGGAGATTGGCTCTGTTTCAGAGACTTTTAAAATTCACTGTTACTGGTTTTTATTATTACCAAAGTAATGTATGCTGATTATAGAAATTTTACCAAAAAAATCATTCCAAATCTCCAACCCAGAAACAATTGCTATGAACATTTTGGTGTGTATTGGCTAGCTTTGGTTCTGTGTATATGCTTTTTTTATGAATGAAGTAGAGCTCACAGTGTACGCTTTATTTCATGACCTGTTTTCCCCCACTTAATAATATATTGTGGGATTCACTGGATGTCACTAAATATTTCTCAACAATATTATTTTCATGGCTACATGTTAGTCCATCATACAGATATGTCATACTATTTGTAATCAATATACTATTGTTGACCATCTAGGTTGTTTTTAATTTTCTAGTATTTTAAGCCACATTGTAATGAGTATTCTTCTCCACATATATTTGTGTGTGTGTGTGTGTGTGTGTGTATATATATATATATATATATATATATATAGAGAGAGAGAGAGAGAGAGAGAGAGAGAGAGAGAAAGATTCCAAAAATATAATTATTTTCTTTTTTCTTTTTTTTTGAGATGGAGTTTCGCTCTTGTTGCCCAGGCTGGAGTGCAATGGCACGATCTTGGCTCACTGCAACCTCCACCTCCTGGGTTCAAGTGATTCTCCTGCCTTAGCCTCCTGAGTAGCTGGGACTACAGGCATGCACCACCATGCACGGCTAATTTTGTATTTTTGGTAGAGATGGGGTTACTCCATGTTGGTCAGGCTGGTCTCGAACTCCTAACCTCAGGTGATCTGCCCACCTCTGCCTCCCAAAGTGCTGTGATTACAGGCGTGAGCCACCGCACCCAGCCTCCATAATTATTTTCTGAAGACAAACTTCCAGAAATGGGTTTGGTGTATCAAAGTGTATATAAATTTGAAGGTTTCTGATATAAATTTGAATGAGATTTTGACTGTAGTTTTTTTAACCATGTGCTTTGAATCCCTAAAACAGGATTATCTTCTATTTTCAATCACTTATTAGAGCTGTTGTGTTTATGTTAGGAAAATATACAATATCATAAATAACATACCTTACAAAACAATAGAAGCATTTCATATTTTTAGCATTGCACATGACTATGACTTTGAAAAGAAAAAAGAACAAGTGTCAAAACGGAATAGGAAAAGATTACCCATCACCTCTCTTCCCAGTTAGATCAATTTGTAACATTTTAGCATACTGTATTTCCTTCCAGATTTTTGTTTTCTGTGCATTTAGTCATAGCTGGGATCACCCTGTAGCCTCCCTTCCATATTTCTGCTGGTATGATTTGTGAGTGGGGTGAAGTGCTAGGCTTGTCTCTGTCAACTTTATGACGGCGGGGCCTGTGTTTGACCCTCCTTATGTCTGACATCGGATTAGCACTGGCCTGAGCAGGTTATCTAATCTGGAGCCTGAGTTTTCTCACCTCTAAAATGGGACTAATGATACTCTGTGAATGGAGATATTGAATGGACAGCTTCTAGTCCAGTATTTGGCACATAGTGAATACTTAATCCATGTTTAATCTTTCTCCAGCTTCCGCTAAGGACCATCACTGATGGTTATGATGTAAGGCTGAGGTCACCATTCCAAATATCAAGAACTGGTCAGGAACTGTGAGGGTGGAAAAGGTACAGGAAATTAGCCCACTTAAGTAATGATCCCTGGATAGTAACTGAAGTTTTTGAACAAATTCTTAATAGCACTTTTATTATTTTTACTTTTTTAATGAAAATGGACAGTGTACAAAATTTAAGCTTCTTTCTGCTGAACTCAATTCCATTTCTCTTTTTAAATCTCTGTAGCTGAGGGGAAAATATGTCTTACAAACAGTTTGAAGAGATGTGTTAAAGCATTTGTGCATAGAAGTGTTTTGGGCATTGGTAAAAAAGAAAAAAGAATTGAAAAGTTCACCAGTCTGACACTTAACACAGCAAGATTCCATTATTTGTCTGTTAAAATAGATTTATTATTATTATTATTAGCTTCTTGGTGAGTTTTAGAACCCTAGAAGGTGCAATCCAGCTAGCATTTTGTGCACTGGGAAAGAACTTCCCAGTTCTGCAGGATGGTGAGCTGACTTGAAAAACTCTTGCTATAAAACCCTAGTTATGCTGAATAAAAAACAACAAAAGTTACCTTAAATGTACAGCTAAACTCGTAGGAATCAAAGTGGGAGGCCCTGAAGAGGAGAGTTGAGGATCCCACAGTGATTCTGCAACCGGTAGGGAGGAGATGGAGATTCAGCCTGGGAAACACAGCAGCTGGAGTCATTATCCACTTGGGAACAGATTGGGACCCATGCAAGGCTTAGCGATGGAGCTAAAGACCTTACTCAAACCTGAGACCCTCCGAGAACTCAGTGGAAGAGTGGGTTGTTTTTTCCCTTAATTCTTACTATCTTTGAATTATTGGTAAAGGAAAAATTCTCCCCTTGAGAATTTGAAATCTTAGACATGTACCTCACACAGATATAGGGTTCAGATTTACATCAACTCACACAGTCTGCAAATTGGGAAATTTACAAATTGAGAAATAATCTAAAATTTGGTTCCTATTTAGTGATACAGGGCATTTGAGAAAGTTATATATCCAGCAGGTGTTCAAAAAGGAGAAAATAGACTAAGACAATATTTGAAAAATGAATGGATACAGATTTTCCAAAATGAAGGAGAGATGTGAATCTTCAACAATAACAGTGTGCCACTCATGATGGTGTGGAACACCAAAGACCAAGTAGACAATATTTAAAGCAATGAGAGAGATGTATGGGTGGGGGCAGATGACCCACCAAAGGATACTAGACCGAAAACCTGCTTATTAGCAGTATTGAGAGGTGACAGAGTGCTGGCAGTCCTCACAGCCCTCGCTCGCTCTTGGCGCCTCCTCTGCGTGGGCTCCCATTTTGGCGGCACTTGAGGAGGCCTTCAGCCCACCACTGCGGTGTGGGAGCCCCTTTCTGGGCTGGCCAAGGCCGGAGCCCACTCCCTCAGCTTGCAGGGAGGTGTGGAGGGAGAGGCGCGAGCGGGAACCAGGGCTGTGTGCGGCGCTTGCGGGCCAGCTGGAGTTCGGTGGGCGTGGGCTTGGCGGGCCCGGCACTCGGAGCAGCCGGCCGGCCCTGCCGGCCCCGGGCAATGAGGGAATTAGCACCCGGGCCAGCGGCTGCAGAGGGTGTACTGGGTTCCCCAGCAGTGCCAGCCCACCCGCGCTGCACTAGATTTCTCACTGGGCCTTAGCTGCCTTCCCGCGGGGCAGGCCTCGGGACTGCAGCCCGCCATGCCTGAGCCTTCCCCCGCCTCCATGGATTCCTGTGCAGCCCGAGCCTCCCAGATGAGCGCCACCCCGTGCTCCACAGCGCCCAGTCCCATCGACCACCCAAGGGCTGAGGAGTGCGAGCACATGGCGCGGGACTGGCAGGCAGCTCCACCTGCAGCCCCGGTGCGGGATCCACTGGGTGAAGCCAGCTGGGCTCCCGAGTCTGGTGGGGACGTGGAGAATCTTTATGTCTAGCTCAGGGATTGTAAATACACCAATCAGCACTCTGTATCTAGCTCAAGGTTTGTAAACACACCAGTCAGCACCCTGTGTCTAGCTCAGGGTTTGTGAGTGCACCAATCGACACTCTGTATCTAGCTGCTCTGGTGGGGCCTTGGAGAACCTTTGTGTCCATACTCTGCATCTAACTAATCTGATGGGGACGAGGCGAACCTTTGTATCTAGCTCAGGGATTGTAAACGCACCAATCAGCGCCCTGTCAAAACAGGCCACTGGGCTCTACCAATCAGCAGGATGTGGGTGGGGCCAGATAAGAGAATAAAAGCAGGCTGCCTGCGCTAGCACTGGCAACCTGCTTGGGTCCCCTTCCACACTGTGGAAGCTTTATTCTTTCGCTCTTTGCAATAAATCTTGCTACTGCTCACTCTTTGGGTCCATGCTGCTTTTAAGAGCTGTAACGCTCACCGCGAAGGTCTGTAGCTTCACTCCTGAAGCCAGCGAGACCACGAGCCCACCGGGAGGAACAAACAACTCCAGATGCGCTGCCTTAAGAGCTGTAACACTCACGGGGAAGGTCTGCAGCTTCACTCCTGAGCCAGCGAGACCACGAACCGGGCGGGAACACCAGAAGGAAGAAACTCCGAACCTATCCGACCATCAGAAGGAACAAACTCCAGACGCGCCACCTTAAGAGCTGTAACACTCACCGCGAGGGTCTGCGGCTTCATTCTTAAAGTCAGTGAGACCAAGAACCCACCAATTCTGGACACAGTATCAGTGCAAGCCAGGAGAGAATGCAACAACTTTAAAGTATTAAGGATTATTTAGCTGAATAAAGTATTATTCAAGAGTGAGGTTAAAGTACAGACATCGGCCAGGTTCAGTACATCACACCTGTAATCCCAGCACTTTGGGAGGCTGAGGTGGGTAGATAACATGAGGCCAGGGATTCGAGACCAGCCTGGCCAGCATGGCAAAACGCCGTCTCTACTAAAAATGCAAAAATAAGGCAGGCGTGATTGTGCACATCTGTAATCCCAACTATTCGGGAGGCTGAGGCAGGGGAATCGTTTGAATCCTGGAGGCGGAGGTTGCAGTGAGCTGAGATAGCGTCAGTGCACTCCAGTCTGGGCAACAGAGCAAGACTGTTCAAAAACAAAACAAAACAAAAATAGACATCAAGGCTGCTCTCTTTTCCAGTACAAGCCTAAGGCTATATATTTTCCTCCAAGCAGTTCAAGTTGCATTCTAACAGTTTTTTAATCATTTTAATTATCATTCAGTTTGAATATTTTCTAATTTTAATTGAAATTTCTTTTTGACCCATGAGTTATTGAGAAGTGTATTAATTTTCAAATATACACAGATATTCTAATCAACTTTTTAAAAAATTTCTGGCATATTTGTATTAGGATATAGAAAAATTTTGTATGATTTCAACCCTTTGAAACCTTTTGAAACTGCATTGACTTTCACAATAATTTTAGTGTTTCATATGTACTTAAAAAGAATGTGTATTTTCTTCTTGTTGGGTGCAGAATTTCATTTAGGTCAAATCTCTCTGTCTTTGTCTGCTTGTTTTATCAGTTGCTAAGGAAAGTATGCCTAAATCTTTCAGTAGGATTTTTATTTTTTTCTATTTGCTTTATGTATTTAGAGGCTATCTTAATAGAAGCATACAAATTTAGATTTTGTTATCTTATGTATTAGCCTTTATCATTATTAAATGTTTTTCTTTTTCTCTGGTAATGCATTTTGTCTTAAAGTCTACTTTGACATAAATTCAGCTATTCTAGCTTTGTTTTGGCTAGAGTCTGTAGGACATATCTTTTTTGGTTCTTTTATTTTTTAATTTTTTGTTGGTTTGTTTTTGAGATGGAGTCTTGCTGTTACCCAGGCTGGAGTGCAATGGTGTGATCTTGGCTGTCACTGCAGCCTCTGCCTCCCAGGTTCAAGCAATTCTCCTGCCTCATCCCCCTGAGTAGATGGGACTATAGGCACCACCGCACCTGGCTAATTTTTGTATTTTTAGTAGAGATGGGGTTTCACCATGTTGGCCAGGCTGGTGTTGAACTCGTGACCTCAGGTGATCCACCTGCCTCTGGCTCCCAAAGTGCTGGGATACAGGCATGAGCCACCACGCTTGGCCTGTTCTTTTATATTTAACCTTTCTGTGGCTTTAGATATGTCTCATAAACAGCAAGTGAGTGAATTTTTTAATCCAAGATAATAACCTTTGTCTTTTAATTGGAATATTTAGTTCATTTATGTGCAACACAACTAGTAATATATTTGGGTTTAAATCTTCCATCTTAATAATCTTTACATTTGTCCCCCATATTTTGAATTGCTTTTTTATTCCTTTTTCACTTTTCCTGGCTTGGCCATTTTATATTTTTCCATTTTTAAGTCTTTTGTTAGCTTGAAATGTATACACTCTTATTATTATTTTAGTGTTTATCTTAGAAATTAAATCATGTGGGCAGACCTATCTTATAAAAGCCAAATATAAATCAATATAAATCAGGACTTTTAACATCTTCCCAGACCATGCATTTACCCCTTCCTGACTTATAGGCCATTGTTTTCATAGATTTAATTCTCTACATTTTTTTCACCATATATTTTTTGGTCCAATAAGACGTTGTTTTGTAAAGTTCATGTTCATTTATGTTTTCCCATATACTTGCATCTTCATCGCTCTTCATTGCTTCCTGAATCTCCACCTTCCTGTCGGGGATCCTTCTCTTTTCTGCCAGGATAAAGAAACCTAGTGTTTTCCTTAAGGAGATTGATTCTTTCTGGAGTGTTTTCCTTCTGGAGATGGATTCTTTCAGTGTTTGTTTTTGTTTTCTTCTTATCTGAAAATGCCTTTTTAAATCTTAATTCCTTGCATTTTGTGTATAGAAGTGGACTCTTTATAGATGCCATTACATTGTGTTCTGATTTCCATTGCTTCTGTTGAAACATCAGCTGTTCTAACTTCTGCACTTCAGAGTCAGCCTGACTCCTCCTCGGACTCCACACAGCATTTTATCTGTGTCTGGTGTTTCAGCAGTCTTAAAGATGTGCCCAGATGTGGTTATTTGAAATTTTACTCAGCTTACAGTCCATAGGGATTCTTGGATTCATGGCTTGATGTCTGTCACTTATTTTGGAAAATTCTCAGCCATTCTTTTCAAACATTGCTTCCAGCATTCCCTCTGTCTCATCTTTTGGGACTGTAATTACATGGAAACTTCCCTGTGAATGAATGTGCAGCATCTCTCGCCTTCTCCTCTGTGCTTGCTGTCCTTTTGTCTCTGTCTGTTTTTCTCTGAATCTTTCTGTCTGACCTCTCTTCTTTATTCAGCTGTACCTAATATGTTGTTAAACATATTCATTGAGTTTGTTTCCAGTTATTGAATACTTTGACTCAAGAGCTTCCGTTTGTTTCTTTCCTGGAGTTTTTACTTCTCCATTGAGATAGTCAACCTTGCCTTCTACCTCCGTGAGCCCGCGAGTATATTAGTGCTAACGTTTGTGTTTAGCGACGCCATCATCTGGACCTCTTGTGGATCTGCAGCTATTGAAGTTACCTCCTGTTGTGCATGTTGCCTCTCCTCCACATGTGCCTGGTTATATTTTATTTGGTTATGAATAAAGTATCTGCAGAATACTTTATGACAATAATTTTTGGCTTATGATGATATTATCTTTCTCCAGAGAGGATTTATATTTGCTTCTGCCAAGGAACTCTGAGAACTAGCAATTAAGGTTACTTCGGTCCAATTTCTAATTATTTAGAGCTGAGCCACGTCCTGCAGGGGCCTCTCCATGTAGAACTCGCCCATGCTTCTAGCTTACAGCCATGCGTAGTCCCACCACAAAGTGAGATCTCCACTGTCACCCCTTGGGGCACTCTTGCATCCAGTTGCTCTCACCCCAGCCCCTTGAAGTTATTAAAAGTATTATTCACCTTTTTTTTTTTTTTTTTTGAGACAGAGTCTTGCTGTGTTCGCCCAGGCTGGAGTGCAGTGGCGCGATCTCGGCTTACTGCAACCTCCGCCTCCCAGGTTCAAGCAATTCTCCTGCCTCAGCCTCCTGAGTAGCTGGGATTACAGGCGCCCGCCACCATGCCCAGCTAATTTTTGTATTTTTAGTAGAGACGGGGTTTCACCATGTTGGTTAGGCTGGTCTCGAACCCCTGACCTCATGATCCACCTGCCTCGGCCTCCCAAAGTGCTGGGATTACAGGCATGAGCCACCACGCCCAGCCTATTCAGCCTTTCAACCATACTTCTGTTTCATCAGGAATGGGCACCCTGGCTCCCCAGGCAAGGCAGCCCTGCACACTCGGCTTACCTGCCTGTGCCCGTTCCCTCTGTGTCCTAACCTGGCTGTTCTTCGCATTTTAGTAGCCGTCTCGTGTCTTGAAGTGCATGTGTTTTATATTTTGTCTAGTTTTTCTAACTGTTCTCCACTAGTGAATTTTTTGAATTATAGACTGCCATTACCAAAAGCAGAAGTCACTTATCGTTATATTTTTAAGACCTCTGTTGCTGTGTATATTTTCAGTCCTTTGATTCTCTCTGTAGTCCATGATGTGCATCTCCCACATTTTATCAATTATTCCAGTGATAAATACCTGGATTGCCTTCAACTGTCTACTGGCACAATCAGTATCACAAAAAATCTAGTGTTGTAAATGTCCCATTGTAAACTGTGTCAGAATTTTGGTGGATGCCTATCCAGGAAGAGACTGCTGGGCCTTAGAGAATACCTGCATTTGTTTTAATTAAATGCTACCCAGTGACTTTTTCAGAGTGTGCGCACCAGTATACTCTCCACCAACAGCATGAGACGTCCTGCATCCCCCATACCACCACCAAAACCCAGAATCTTCCAACTTTGTAATTTTCTTCAAGTCTATTGGATGTAAAGTGACAAGTCATCATTTTAATTTGCATTTCTCCAATTACAATCTTTCTGTTTGGGTTTCTGTCTTTTTCTTGTTGATTTGCAAGAGCTCCTTTTATATTTTGAATATATTATTCTTTGTTGGATATAAATATTGCAAATATATTCTCACAGTCTGTCAGCTAACTGCCATCTTATCTTTTACTGCATAAAAATCGAGCAATCACTATTGCTGGTTTATGGCTTCTGCCTTGTGCTATTACTAAAGAAGTCACTGCCCTTATTTATCTTATATTATGAACTTTTAATTTTATACATTTCTATTCATGTACAAGGCTTTAGGTCAAGTGGAGCCCCCTTTTGTGTGTGTTGATGGGGATCCAGCTTCCCTTTCCCCACAAGGCTTTTATTGTTCAGCTCGTTTTGCTATTATGAATACAACCTTCTAGCAGGTTGTTATTGCTGGTGTAATTTAAAAAATACTTTAAAGCATCTATCTGAACTCTCTTACTAGTTCTCATAGTTTGATGCTTTTGTTATGTATTTTTTTTCTTGGTAGATGATTAGGTCATTTCTAAATTGTGACTTCTTTTTCTCCTATAATCCAGTGCCTTTTGTTTCTTGTGCTTCACTTACAGCATAAGCAAGATCTCTGGCTTCCTGGTAAACAGCAGCAGGCATCACGTGCATTCTTCTCTGGTTTTCTGTCTTGAAGCAAACCCATCTTAACTTTCTCCATTACATAGAGTGTGCGCCGCGGATTTTGGCAATAACCTTTGTGAAGTTAAGATAGTTTCTATGTTGAGCAGTTCTAATCCTAATTCTGCAAGGTTGAAGCTGGTAATGAGTGCATAGACTGTATTTTCTGCCTTCGTATATGGCCTGTTCTGCTTTAATGCTTGTTTTGAAAACTCAAATTTGTTCCAAAATGATTGATGTGTTAGGGAACCGTTTGAGTATAATGCAAATTTCATGTTAGCTTATGTGCAATTTCATCCACTAGAAACACCAGGTGAATGCAGAATACTGCCCCCACTTAATGCAGAATATTGCCCCCCATGTGCCCCAAGAGTGGAGCTGCATAGGAACACACAGACGCACACCTCCCCCAGGAGCAGAGCTTCGTAGGAACACACAGACGCACACCTGGGATAGTGTCCAGCTATACATGGATTCACTCTGTGTGTCATGAGCCACACCACCACTTCTGGAGTCACAGCTTGCCTCTGACCTCAGAGACCCCTTCTTTCACCACTTCCCACTAACTCATAAGCTCTTGATGCCCACTTCTACATGCAAATCACAAGTCTTTTTCACATAGTGCCATACTTATTGTAGTATTTATATATTTCCTAACCTTTTAGCATGTGTAAAATTGTGCTATCATTGTTAACATGAATGGACTTTATTTTTTCAAGCAGTTTTAGGTTTATAGAAAAATGAAGCAGAGAGTACAGAGTGTTCCTATAAACCCCTCACCCTGTCACCAGTTATTAACATCTTGGTTAGTCTGGTGTGTTGGTTAGGGTTCACTTTGTGTGTTTATATCCTATGAGATTTGACAAATGTGTAATGACAGGTGTCTACCATCCAGTACCATACAGAGAAATTTCAGTGCCCTAATGATCCCCTGCACTCCACCTATTCTCCCCGCACCTTTGGCCACTGATAATTTTTTCCCTTCTTCGTGGTTTTGCCTCTTCTGTAATGTCATGTAGTTGAAATCCCACAGTGCACAGCGTTTTCAGATGGGCTTCTTTCACTTACCAGTATGCATTTGGGTTTCCTCTGTGTCTTTTATGGCTTCATAGCTCCATAGCTCCTTTTTCTCTCTTGCTGAATAATTTGTCGTTGTGTATATGTATCACAGTTTGTTTATCCATTCACCTACTGTAGGACATCTTGGTTGCTTTCAAGTTTGTCAGTAATGAATAAAGCTGCTATAAACATTTGTGTACACGTTTTGTGTGAACATGTTTTCGACTCGTTTGGGTAAATACCAAGGAGTGTGATTGCTGGATCATATGGTAAGACTAGATTTAGTTTCATAAGAAACTGACAAACTGTGTTCCAAAGTGGCTGCACCATTTTGCATTCCCGCAAGCCATGGATGAGAGCTCCTGTTGTTCCACATCCTCATCAGCAATTGGGGTTGTCTGTGTTTTGGATGTAACCATTCTAATAGATGTGTAGTGGTGGCTCTTTATTATTTTAACTTCCAATTCCCTAATGACATACCTGTATATCTTCTTTGGTGAGATGTTTGTTCAGACCTTTGGCTCATTTTTTAATTGAGTTGTTTTCTTATAATTGAGGGTTTTTTTGTTTTTTCTTTTTTTTTTTTTTTTGAGACGGAGTCTCGCTCTGTTGCCCTGGCTGGAGTGCAGTGGCGCGATCTTGGCTCACTGCAATTCTCCTGGGTTCACGCCCATTCTCCTGACTCAGCCTTCCAACTAGCTGGGACTACAGGCGCCCGCCACCACGCCTGGCTAATTTTTTTTGTATTTTTAGTAGAGACGGGGTTTTACCATGTTAGCCAGGATGGTCTCGATCTCCTGACCTTGTGATCCGCCCGCCTTGGCCTCCCAAAGTGCTGGGATTACAGGCATGAGCCACTGTGCCCGGCCATAATCGAGTTTTAAGAGTCGTGTATTTTTGATACCAGGTCTTTATCATACATGTTTTGTAAATCTTCTCTTTCAGTCTGTGGCTTTTCTTTTCATTCTCTTAATGTGCTAACATTTTGAATAAACTCCTATCTTTTTGTAGATGTGTTACTAACCAAGTTTTTGAGTGTTGTTTCCCTAACCCATTTTTCCTAAATCTTGCATTTTTTGTTGCATGATTTTACATGGCATGGTGCTTTTTTGTTTTGTTTTGTTTTGTTTTTTGAGATGGAGTTTTGCTCTTGTCGCCCAGGCTGGAGTGCAGTGGCACGATCTTGGCTCACTGCAACCTCTGCCTTTTGGGTTCAAGCGATTCCCCTGCCTCAGCCTCCTGAGTAGCTGGGACCACAGGTGCACACCACCACACCTACCACACCTGGCTAATGTTTGTATTTTTAGTAGAGGCAGGGTTTCACCATGTTGGCCAGGCTGGTCTTGAACTCTTGACCTCAGGTGATCCACCTGCCTCGGCCTCCCAAAATGGGATTACAGGCGTAAGCCACCACTCCCAGCCAGCATAGTGCTTTTTAAGATCATATTTATTCTGTTACAGCAGAACTACCTGTATTTAGGAATTTCCATAATAAAATGTTTTCAGTGTTTTAAATAAAAAGATAAAAAAGAAGAAAGTTCTTTTTTGCTAGAAGGTGTTTCTTGTAATGAAGGATTAAACTTTTTAAAGTGCTTTTTCAGCCTTCATTATAATGTCTTATAATTTATTTCCTCTTTTGTCTATTATTGTGGTGAACTTCACTGATCTCATGGGGACCAACCTTGTATTTCTGGATAAACCCCTATTTAAGTATGATACATTATTTTCAATGCACTGTTGTATTTGATTAGCTAATATTTTGTTCGGGATTTTGTATCTATTTTCATAAGTGAGATGGGAATCTGACTTTTTTTGTTGTGTTTCTTTTGTCTTATTTTGGAATCAAGATTGCACTAGCCTCAAGTTGGGCATTGTTTTGTTCTTTTTCTATTTTCTGAAGCAACTTGTAAAGATGTGAATGAATGATTCTTTCAAAGATTGATGGCCTTCTGTACAAAACCATCTGAGCCAAGAGATTTAGGAAGGGAAGGGTTTTTCTTTTTTTAACTACCATTTTAATTTCTTAAGTCTTTGTTCACTCAGATTTTCTCTTATGCCAATTTTACCATTATGTGTACATTTTTAGGAGTTGACGTATTTTATCTAGGTTTTCAGATTTAGAATTGAATGAGAAACTGAAGCAAGCCACAGTCATAATTCAAGGGAAATGTATAAACCTTAAAATATATAAGCTTTAAAATAAGTAGAGAAAGGCAAAGCCAAAAAAAAGCCTATTATAAAGGAAAAGATTAATAAATTTGATAACATTAAAATGTAAACCTGTGCTTCAAAAAATTTTCCAAACAGTGTGCCTTCTCACAGACTGGGGAGTAGTGGCGGACTTAGTAGACTAAGTCACAGACTAGGAAATATATTTAAAATATCTTACGAGTGACAAAGGATTGATGTAAAGAACATATTAAGAACTGAAGATGGGGCCAGGCACAGTGGCTCACACCTGTGATCCCAGCACTTTGGGAGGCTGAGGCGGTGGCTCACTTGGGGTCAGGAGTATGAGACCAGCCTTGCCAACATGACGAAACCCCATCTCTACAAAAATACAAACTTTAGCCGGGCGTGGCAGTGCATGCCTGTAATCCCAGCTACTCGGGAGGCTGAGGCAAGAGAATATCTTGAACCTAGGAGGCGGAAGTTGCAGTGAGCTGAGATTGCACCACTGCACTCCAGCCTGGGCGACAGAGTGAGACTGTGTCTCAAAAAAAAAAAAAAAAAAAAAAAAAACAGAAAGAGCTGAAGATGGATAACGGGAAGACGGATAACATAACACTGGGCATGTGATGCAAATGGGCAGTTCTTAGAAGAGGAACCTGAATAATCAATGAATATGTGAACAAATGTTCAACCTAACTGCCAATCGAGAAGCAACAAGAGAAACCATTCCATACCCTTCACATTGGCAGATGCGTTGTGTGAATGCCAAGTATTGGTGAGGATGTACAGGGTCCAGAATTCTTATAAATGGTGAGTAAATGTAAATTTATACAGATACTTCAGAGGTTAGTTTGGCAGTATCTAGTAAAGTCGAACATGATTCTCTATGTATCCTAGATAAACTCTTCCATGTATGCATAGCAGGCAGCTGTGTGCTGAGGCTTCGAGGTTATACCCAAGAAACATGGAAACGGCAGACTTCAGAAGGATACATGTAGGACGATCATATTTGTGTAAATCTACAAGACACAAATAATAGTACATAACAGTACACCTTAGGATATGTGCATATTTAGTAAGATTATAGAAAATGCATGAGAATAGTACAGAACAATTTAAGCACAGAGATTTGCCTCTGGAGAGGAAGCTAGGGAGGTAACATGAGGGGCAAGGCTTCAGCTCCACTGGTAATATTTTGGGAGATAAGCAATAAATATGCCAAAATGCTGGCATTTGTTTAATCTCTGGGATGGCTACGTCGGAATACTTTCTTTTCTATTTTCTGTACTTTTTTGTATGTTTAGTTTACGTTTATTGAACAAATACTTACTGAGAATCTACTGGCTGCAGGGCTCTGTTCTGGATGCTTGGAGTACAGTGGTAAACAAGGTGCACGCAATGCCCTGTCTTCATGGAGCTTGCCGACTTTAAAATGTTTAAAAATTTAAAAGCTTTAATGCTCAAAATAATTTTTGAAAAGATTAATATGTAGCTAATCTCTTTACTCCTGGAATTAGACACTTAAAAAGCTGTGAGGGGCCGGGCGCGGTGGCTCATGCCTGTAATCCCAGCACTTTGGGAGGCCGAGGCAGGCAGATCACGAGGTCAGGAGATCGAGACCATCCTGGCTAACACGGTGAAACCCCATCTACTAAAAATACAAAAAAATTAGCTGGGCGTAGTGGCTCACGCCTGTAATTCCAGCACTTTGGGAGGCCGAGGCGGGCGGATCACGAGGTCAGGAGATCGAGACCGTCCTGGCTAACACAGTGAAACCCCATCTCTACTAAAAATACAAAAAATTAGCTGGGCGTGTTGGCAGGCACCTGTAGTCCTAGCTACTTCAGAGGCTGAAGCAGGAGAATGTCGTGAACCCGGGAGGCGGAGCTTGCAGTGAGCCGAGATCGCACCACTGCACTCCAGCCTGGGCGACAGAGCGAGACTCCGTCTCAAAAAAAAAAAAAAAAAAAAAAAAAAAAAAAAGGGTTGTGGGGGCTGGGGGTGAAGGAGAGCTCACTGCTCTTTGTAAAATCAGCCTCCGCTGCTGGAACGGACAGTCTGAATGAACTGTTGGTCGGCTTCCTATATTAGTTTTTCAACATTGTTGGTTTACACTTCTGAGTTCATAGAATGAGCACCCTAGCCCTATGGTTTTGTAAGTAGTCACCTAAAGGGAACTGTTTTAATGAATAAACAGGGATGGCTTTTAATTACTACATTTGCTGAATAGATATTTTTGCACCCCAACTTTGTGCAAGACACTAGGATAGGGACTGTTCGGACAAGAGGGCAACAAGCAAAGATCCCTGCTCTGGGAGGTCCCGCAGTGCCTCTGGTATGAACAGCGTTAGTAACAGTGACCTTGACGATGGGGCATTCGCTGTTCTACCTCAGGCATCAACTCTCTAAAGCACTGAGCCATGACGAGGCCAGGGGAATGGAGGACCATCCCGCACGCACTCTGTACCCAGAGGTCCAGGTCATGCCGTAAGACACACCCCCTCTGCACCTCAGTTCCTGATTTATAAAACAATGGCCATTCCTGTTCCACACTGTTTCTGTATGAAGTGAAATGATCTACATGAATGCTCCTGGCACATGATGACCACTCAGTGGATTCCAGTTTCTTCCTTCTTGATCGTGACACGCATCTCTCGTCATTTCTGCAGTATTCCCTGAAGCTTCTTTAAGCAGAGTTCTGGCCAAGGCAGAGACCCTTAGTAAGCACCAGTTGATGGGAAGGCACAATTCACTGGGTCCCTAGATGCACCAGGCTGAGTTGCCTGTGGACAGGTGGGTGAAAATCTGGAAGCTTCTCTGTCCATACTTGCCTGTCAATGAGGAAGAAGATGGCCCCGCAGTACGTGAGGTCAGCCTGAGTGACACTCCTGTTAAGATAGGGATAATCCTTTCTGATCTCTCATTTAGTCTGCCTTGCTTTGGATAGTATGTGATGGCAGTTGCTAGACCGAGCCTGAAATGCAGAAATGCCAGGGCAAAGATGACATCTGACAACATAGCCTAGATATGTCAGTCAGCTAATGACTTCAGATCAGTCTTCTGGGAAGTAGGCTTTTCTGAAATCGATGGGCTTAATTAGAAAGAACTTAACTAGGGTAACTGGGTAATAACGACCTGGAAATATTTATACAGGGACCCTTCACAAGTTTTCACCGAAACAGGACTTTTAAAAAAATCCTAAGCCTTCAGCAGCCAAAGGAGCATCTTTGGTTGGGAGAGATGGGGATAGGAGGATCTTCACTCCCTACATAGAGCCCCTGCACACCCTGGGGACACCAGACCCACCTCTGGGAAAGATAAGAAAGGGAGGAAGCTGGGCCAGTGTGGTGCAGGCCTTCCATATGCCTATGGAATCAAGGAATCTCTGTTAGTTGGTGTGTTTTGTTTTGTTTTGGGGTTTTTTTGAGACGGAGTCTCACTCTGTCGCTCGGGCTGGAGTGCAATGGCACGATCTCGACTCACTGCAAGCTCCACCTCCAGGGTTCATGCCATTCTCCTGCCTCAGCTTCCCGAGTAGCTGGGACTACAGGCCCCCGCCACCATGCTTGTCTAATTTTTTGTATTTTTAGTAGAGACGGGGTTTAACCGTGTTAGCCAGGATGGTCTCAATCACCTGACTTCATGATCCCCCTGCCTTGGCCTCCCAAAGTGCTGGGATTACAGGCGTGAGCCACCGCACCCAGCCCTCTCTGTTTTTTAAACCACATTCGGAAGTATTTCACTCCCTAATTGTCTTTTCCTCAAAGTAAGGAGACAGCCACTGGGAGGTGAATGGGTGGCCAAGCCCACTTGGTGGCAGAGTGCGGCCCTCCTTGTCACACAGCCCGGCCTCGATGGTCCTTCCAGGCCTGACCCGGCCGTGAGCGCCTGCCATCCTCAGCCCTCTTTCTAGGGTGTGGTGTCTCTGTCCCACCCCGGCCTCACAGAACTCAGGTCCAGATCTCTGTGAATGATGGAGAGGATGAAGAATAGTCTGCCCTGGGGACACAACACACTTTGGCTGAACCCTTCTGGCAACCACATCTCTGCTGTTTTATTTACTCCAGTGTCTGGTGTGGGCAAATAGCTTGCAGGTGGCTTTGTGGCTGCCCCATGGCAGGTACAGGAGCAACCCCATTCCCTCCTCCAAAGTTTGGTTTGGATGTGGAGAAGGATAACACCACACACACACCAGGAGGGTGGGGAAAGCTTGTGGTTGGTGCCCTGGGGCTTTCTGTGAGAGCAGGGCAGACTGCAGCCCAGCTGGAACAGCTGCAGCAAAGGGGGCCCTGGGTGGCTGAGTATGGCTGAGGGCTGTATGGTGGTGAGGAGGGAGCCAGGGTGAGAGTCCTGCCACCCCTCGCCTGGGGTTTGCATTGATTTTGCAGTTATGGGGCAAGAGAGGAAGAGGATGGGGCTGGAAGCCATCCGCAGTCAGCAGTGGGCTGATATCTGTCACGCTCTGGGGGCAGAGCTGACTTGACTGTGTCCTGTGAGGGACACAGCAGCAGCCTGAAGAGGGCTCGGCCTCATTCCTCACATCCAGGTAGAAATCGGGAAGTGCAGCCAGGGTAAGCCCTCCCCGGTGAGCTACCGATGACATGGGGTGTCCCACACAGGGCTGCCCTCCAGCAGCAGGGCCCTCCCACAACAGCCACTCCCTGCCGTCCTCAGGCTCCCATGGGGCTCCAAGTCCCAGCTTTCTCCTGACATGGGAGACTGCCCAGTCCTGTTCTGTGTTGAAGTGCGCCTCTGGGGGTCATTTACTTGCATCTGAGATCTGTGAGTGAGATTTCTATATGTTAAGAAAAGCTGGGACCCTGGAGATGCTTCCCAGGCTGCCCTAGTCTTCCCAGTCCCAGGGGCTTGGCCACGTACCCCGCAGCGTGCAGAAGATGCAGGGGAGCTGGCCTGTGTCCTCAGGTGGGAGGGGAGGGGCGGGAGTGCCCAGCGCCCCAGGGGCCAGGCTGTGTGGGCACTGGGGGGAGATGCGCCGTGGACCACAGGGACCCGTGGTGCTGGGCAGCTTCCCGGCAAAAGGTCTGGAAGGTGTGTCTGTAGTAGACAGAATTCTCAGGATGCTCCCAAAACCTCTGCCCACTGGTTAGCCAGACACAAATCTAGGAACTTCCTGCAAGGGACTTTGCAGATAGGACTGAGGTTGCTAATGAGCTGACCTTAACATAGGGAGATAGTTCTGGATTATCTGGGTAGGTCCAGCATAATCATATGAGCCCTTAAAAGCAGCCGAAGAAGCCAGGAGAGGAGCTAAGAGAGATTGAAAGAGAAGGAACTCAACCCACCATTGTGGGGAGGAGACCTGTTCCCCGCCATTGGTCATCCTTGGAAGATGGTAATAGCCCCTGGGCATCACAAGGCAATTCAGCCACCCAGGGACCTCAGTCCGACAGCACTCTGGAACTACATCTGCCTGTAATCTGAATGAGACTGCGAGTTGATTCAGCCGCAGAGCCTCCAGAAAGGGACACAGCCGCGATGACACCTTAATTTAGGCTCTCTGTGACTCCAAGCAGAGAACCCACTGAGCCACACTGTGCCCAGCCCTTTGACCTACAGAAACAGATAACAAATGTATGTGCTGTTAAGCCTCTAAATGCAGGGTAATTTGTTTCAGCAGCAATAGGAAAATAATACATGCATCCCTGCCCGTGGGAGTCACATGGCCCAGGGCCTTAGCAGCGGCCCAGGAGCTGGCTGGCTGTCAGTCACTGAGAAGATGATGAGGGACTGTCAGCCATTAGGGAATGCCATCCAGGAGCCGTTTGTCTACTATTCACTAGTTAGGGAATGGGGAGCTAATTTGCATTTTAATGCTAGATTCTCACCATTTTCCCAAACAGGAAATCCTTCCAGAGTAGAATCTTAGCACTTACCTAGGCATCTTTTATGCTTTTGGGGTTCTGTGCCCTATCCCTCTGGTCTTGCCTGGACTGGGGAGTGGGACTGTTAAGCAAAGAGCAGATTAGGTGAGGCCACCCACCAAAGTACCAACACCTAGGTGCGGGGAGTTGGTCTGAAGAGAGGCTGAAAGACCAAGTCCAAGTCATGAAGGGAAGCAAAAGGCCAAGTCATTGGCTAAGTCCGAAGGATAAAATGGGGCCAAAAGTAGGCCAGGTGGTCCTGCTGAACACAGTTGGGTACTTGTAAGGGATTGGGAGGTGGACTGTAGGTAAAATTGGTCACCCTGTGGCTTAAGATTGAGGCAAGGCTGTCACAATGACATACATCTTCCACCAAAATACAAGGCATAGGGTGTAGGAAATTACAGTGAAATTGCAGAAGAAATTCTAATTGAAGGGATCCAGCAAAGAGTAAAGGCGTTTGTCATGGAGACTGCTGTGACATTAATTTATGGACCTACTATGTTCTCAGTCCTCTATGTGGAAGATGTCTTCACTCTAGATGGTGGGCACCATTATGATCCCTGACTGTCCCCAGCCTCTGTGTCTATTCCAAGGAGCCTCCAGCTTCTCTATCCTTGTGACTGGAGTCAGCCAGTGCTTAAGGGGAAAGTGGCCCAAATGCTGAATTTATGTCCCTGTCCTCTCCTCTCCTCCATCATAGCCCTGCAGTTTCCTCTTTCTTTAATATCTTTCTGGTACCTTCAAATAGATAGTTATTACTTTTTCACTCAAGTTTTTAAGCTCTCCTTACTTTTTATAGGCTAGGGTATTTTCCTCTTTTTTATTCATTCTTCACAGATATTATTTTAAAATATAAACGTGTTTGTTGCTTTTTCTGATTGTGAAGCTAATATATTCATCTTGGCAAATCCAACATAACAGAAAATAATTAGAGTTAAATTCACCTGAAATCCTACCATCCAAAAATAGATACTGTTAACTATTTCGTATGCAACCTTTTGTATATCTATGCCTTTTCATTGTTTGTCTTTTTATTATTTTTTCATAAATAAGATCACACTCTATATACTGGTTTGTAAGCTACTTTTTAATTTAATAATATGCTTTTAGTGACTTTAGTTTTGATAAATATAAAGCTAAATTATTCTTTTCTTTTCTTTTTTTTTTTTTTTTTTTTTTTTTTTTGGAGACAGAGTCTCGCCCTATCCCCCGGGCTGGAGTGCAATGGCACGATCTCAGCTCACTGCAACCTCCGCTTCCCAGGTTCAAGTGATTCTCATTGCCTCAGCCTCCCAAGTAGCTGTGATTACAGGCACCCACCACCCCGCCCAGCTAATTTTTGTATTTTTAGTAGAGACAGGGTTTCGCCATGTTGGCCAGGCTAGTCTCGAACTCCTGACCTCAGGTAATCCACCAGCCTCAGGCTCCCAAAGTGTCAAGATTACACGCATGAGCCACCACACCTGGCCCCTAAATTATTCTTTTGAATTGGCTACATGGTGTTTCATTATATAAATGTACCTTAATTTATTTTAGTAGTCCCCTAATAATGTTCAATTTGTTTGTCTGTAATATTTTTCTATTAGAATCAATGCTGGAATCAATATACTTGTAAATACATACTTGTGTGCTTTTCTGAGTACTTGTTTTCTTAGGATAAAACCCTAAAAATAGAACAATTGGATCAACATATTTGTTCTTTGTAAAACTTTTCTTGAAGTATAATACACATGCATAAAAGTGCACCAATAATAAATGTATGTTTTGATGAATTTTCACAAAGTAGATATTCTCATGCAACCAACATCCAGATCAAGAAATAGAACATTACCATCACAACAGTCTCTTTCTTTTAAATGGAGTATTTAGTCCATTAACTTTTAATGTGATTATTGATATAGTTGGGCTTACATTGGTCATTTTCCTCTTTTTTTGTCACATGTTCTTTGTGTTACTCCTTTTCTCCTTTTCTGTTTTGTTTTGGATTAATTGGATCTTTTTTAAAAAAATCCTATCTTTATTATTGGCTTATCACTATTCCTTTATGTTATTTTATAATGGTTGCTCTGAAGATTATTTTATATATACATGTGTATATATATATCTTTTCATAGTCTACTAAAAGTAATATTTACCACTTTATATAAAATGTAAGAATCTTGCATATGTATAATTTCATTTATCCCTTTCCTGTTTTATGGATAGAGCTGTCATTTATATGCTCATCTACATGTACTATAAGCCCCACAATATAATGTTATGATTTTTGCTTTAAATTGCTATGTATTTTTAAAGAAATTAATTTTAAAATAGTGTGTTGTACATACCCACAGTTTAACACTTCTGGTGCTTATCATTTTATCTTGAAGATCAGAATTTCCATTTGTCATCATTCTCACTTTTGCCTGAGCAACTTCACTTAATGTTTCTTGTAGTAATCATTTGCTGGTCAATGATTCTCTTAGCTTTCATTTTTCTTTTTTTGGACAGCAGACATTGTGGTGGTGTCCTGTGGGTCACCACCAGGGACACGCACCTCCTTCTTTCATTTTTCTGAAGATGTATTTATTTCACTTTTATTATTGCAAAATATTTTTGTTGTTGTAGAATTCTGAGTTGACAGTTTTTTTCTTTCAGCAATTCAAAGATGTTGTTACAGTATCTCTGTCTTTCATTACAGTCAACTGTCATTCAACAAAGGTCTGTCTTGTTATGTTTCTCTGTATTCTGCTTGGGATTCAGTGATCTCCTTGAATCTGTACATTTATTCTTTCACCAGATTTGTGAAACTGTTGGTCATTATGTCTTCAGAATTGTTTCTGCTTCATTCACTCTCTCCTCATGTATGTTAGACCATAGTATTTTCCCAAGTCACTAAGTTGCTGTTCATTATTTTCCAACATTTTTTTCTCTTTTTCAAATTGGATCATTTCTATTCGTCTGTCTTCAAGCTGCTATTTCTTTCAGTATTTCCAATCTTCAGTTCAGCCTATTCAGTAAATATTTTTATTTTGATACTGTATTCTCCAGTTCTGGAATTTCTATTTGATTCTTTGTTATAATGTCCATTTCTTTGCCATTTCCTATTTCTTCATGCTTTAGAAGTATGTGCTTCTGTATATTTTTGAGCATTATTATAATAGTTTATCTGTTGCTTCAGACACCTGCATCGCCTAAGTGCTGGTTTACACTGACTTTTCTCTTGGGAACCAATCACATTTTCCTTTTCTTCATATGTCTAGTAAATTTCGATTGTATGTTGGCTATTGAATAGTTTACAGTCTTTGGATTCTGTTGTTTCTCTGAAGAGGTTTTTGTTTTGTTTTGTTTTGTTTTTTCCGACCTTTTAGCAGGAAGTTAATGTGGTTGAATTAAAACTTCACATTCTACGTTCAGGTTTTGTAGCCTCTACTAGGCTGCTTGGAGTATTCCCCATACCTTCAGAATTCAGGGGTCAGCCAGAGATTTGGGCAGAGCTCCACACAGAGCTCTGTAGCTCGCCTCTGCAGCTCTTTGTTCTGAGATTGTCCTCCTTATTGATGCTTCTAAGATCACCTTAAAATCTTTGTTCTAACTGTTCAATCAGTGACACTGTGACTGCAGGTTTCTCTCTGTGTTTTAGCCACCCCTTGGTGCCTGCCTGCAAGCAGAAAGCTGTAAGGGCAGGAAACTCAGCCAGGGGTATTCCTGTGGTTTCTGCCTGCTTTAGGTCATTCTCCAGTGCCATCAGATAGCCGTTTTGTTGTGCTTTTTTCCCAGTAGGTATAATTATCTGCACAGAGTTTGTCTGATAGTAGCCATTCCACTATTATTAGAAACCCTTAAGAGAAAATAAATATTTTATTCATTGAGTGATTGAGAGGGATATTTTTTTACATTCTCTGACGTGAAATTAGGTTTTGGATGACGCTAATGGCCTCTGTCGAAGAGCAAGCATGTGCTTCTGTATCAGCCACTTTGGACAGCATTGCATGCTACTAATGTCCACATTGGTGGTTCCTGGTAGCTTCCCTCAAAACTGGTTAACTTAGATTGGTCAGGAGCCCACCAGAGCTGAGGGGGTGGGGTAGAGAGAAGAAACGAAGTTAGGTGGGCAGCAAGCTTTGATGCTGTGGGTGAGGCAGAGCAAGTGTCTCTGTTGTGGCTGGGGTTACTTTGTTGTGCACTTGGGACATAATGGAGGGAAGCTAAAGCCACATCCTGACAGAGTTCTACATCTTAGCGTTGCAGAGGCATTTCCACTTTAGAAATCAAACTCGTGTTTATGTGTTTAAAGCAGATCCAGAATGGATGGTATTTTCAAGTTAATGTCTTTAGAAAAAAAGAGGTAGGCAATTATTAGAGCAGAGGTGTGTGTGTTGGAAACTACACAGGTTTGAAGCCACAGGACTTAGGGTTGTGTCTGAATTCTGCTGCCATTTTCTCTCTGAGCTGGTAAAGCCTTTCCACACTGCAGAATTTCTCTTATGTGAAGTGAAGTCAAATAACACAGTTCCACAACAGAGGAGTAAACAAAAATGTTTGTTGAACCTGAATCCAAAAGGTTTAGATTACATTTTCTTGATAGTAAAACAAAATAGTCCAGGCATTTTAGCACACCTGACCTTTTCAGCCTCATTTATCCCAACCTTAGCCCCTTCACCCACCCTTAGATTATCCGAAGTTTCACCAGTGTTCAAGCCCATGCCTAGGAATTTTATGGGAAATATTTGACAAAGGGATAAAAGTAGCCTTTAGCAAATTTGTTTTATCTGTCTTAAAGTATGCATTCATTTGAATAGACAGTGTCAGGGTTGGTAGGAAAAAGGATGGTAGCAGAAGAGAAAAAAAATGCAATTTCTGGGAAGTCTGCATGTTTCCAGCAATATTTAGGACTTAAGCTCCCGTGAATATCAGGACCTCAAGCATGTGCTTCCATATCAGCCACTTTGGACAGCATTTCATGCTATTAATCCCCCCATTGGTCGTTCCTGGTAGCTTCTCTCAAAACTGGTTAACTGAGATTGGTCAAGAGCCCATCGGAGCTGATGGGGGTGGGGTAGAGAGAGGAAATGAGGCCAGATGGGCAGCAAGCTTTGGATGCTGTGGTAAGGAGTTTTGACTGTCACTCTGAAGCAGCTCTCAGGCAGAGGAATGATGTGATTTATTGTAGTTTACCAAGGACCGCTCAGGGTATTGTGCAGAGGGAAGACCAGCTGGAGGTTCTTGTGTCACTCCGTGAAGTGTGGGGGCGGCGGAGGGGCAGAGATGGGACCTGCACTGGAGGTACGTGGTGGACAGATGAAAAATGGTTGGATTCTGGATAATAAAGTAAAGGTAGGGCTAGCTGATGGACTTGATGATAAATATGGATGTGAACTGAAAGAAAGACAGGCGTCAGGATAACCAAAATTATCCTTGCCAAGATTTTTGTTCTGAGCTACTGAAAGAATGCAGTTGTCTGCTACTGAGATCAGGACGCCTGTGGCTGAGCAGTTTTGGGTGGGTGGTCAGGAGTTCTCCTTGGAGGGAGGGTAGGGGCAGCAAGGGGGTCCTCCTCGTGTAGGCAGAACAGCTAGAGACCCAGGGCAGGAGAGGTGTGGAGAGGGTTGGGCATTGAGAGACAGGGAGCAGTTTTCCCCTCCAAGGAGAACCTTGAGATGCATATCAGGCATCTCAGCAGAGGGGCCTAGGAGGCACTTAGAGTGGCACGGGGCAGGTGTCACTTCTTTGCCTAGAGCTTCCTTTGACCACCCATAAGAAGCCTTTACAATGACTACAGTGCAGAAATGTGCAAATACCCAAAAGTGAACGCAAGCCTGGCTGTGTCAGACAAAAGATACTGAAGTTGCAAAGCCACAGGCCTCAGAGTGGGGATGCCTTTCACTGTGAAATCCCATATTTCTAGAGCAAGAACCAAGGCATTTTTGCCAGGACTTTTGTGTGTGTGTGTGTTGGGGGGTGGGGGAGGGGTGTGATACAGAGCCTTGCTCTTCTGCCCAGGCTGAAGTGCAGTGGTGTAAACTTGGCTCACTGCAACCTCCGCCTCCTGGGTCCCAGTGATTCTCATGCCTCAGCCTCCTGAGCAGCCGGGATTACAGGCACATGCCAGCAACCCCAGCCAGTTTTTGTATTTTTAGTAGAAATGGGGTTCTGCCATGTTCGCCAGGCTGGTCTTGAACTCCTGACCTCAGGTGATCCGCCCACCTTGGCCTCCCAAAATGCTGGGATTAGAGGCGTGAGCCACCGCGCCTGGCTATGTGCCAGGACATTCAGCAGTTGACTGTGGAGAGCACAGTGGAAAGGAAGTCTACCAATATTTTCTTTACACGTACAAAATGAGAGATTTATGTAAAAACCACACCTTCAAGATCCAGGAAAAACTATTCTGGTTCAAGAAACCCTAATCACTGTGAAAAGATTCACCTCGGCAGTTACCTAGGACTAATGACAACTGTGACATCTTCAGATATTACGTGCCGAGACCAAAGAACTGCCAGCTTCAGAGGAGGAAGCACAGGGCACGCCGCAGTGTGGATAGAGGCCTGGTTGTCAGGAGCAGATTCAACCTAAGGTGCCCAGCTCTCACCAGCCTGGCAATAGATTTATTTGTATTTGTACTTAAAAGGTGTAATTATCTATTAGGCATTTCTTTAAAATAATATGCTGAAGAAAGTCTGCATGAATTTTAATCCAAACTGAAGAGAAGTACAGGTCTACCAACAAAGTGGTCAGCTAGAGTGTGCACTGGATATCGAGACCAGCCAGCATAAAAGGCCGAATGGTGTGCTGAAGGCCTGATGATGCTTGGATGGTTACTTCAACCTAAAACTAATATCCACATGCCCAACCCCTGTAAGCTCAAACGTTAGAGTTTCTCATGCATGATTGTCCTGATCCATTTCCCTTAAGTGGCTTGCACAGCAGAAGGGGGAAATTGTACCATTTTAGAAGTCTAATTTGTTTGTTTGATTGATTGATTGATTGATTGATTTTGAGACGGAGTCTTGCTCTGTTGCCCAGACTGGAGTGCAGTGGTGCGATCTTGGCTCACTGCAACCTCCACCTCCTAGATTAAAGCAATTCTCCCACCTCAGCCTTCCAAGCAGCTGGGATTACAGGCGCATGCCGCCACACCCGGCTAATTTTTGTATTTTTAGTAGATACGGGATTTCACCATGTTGGCCAGACTGGTCTCAAACTCCTGAGATCAAGTGACCCACCCGCCTCTGCCTCCCAAAGTGCTGAGATTACAGGCGTGAGCCACCACACCCGGCCTAATTTGTTTTAAATAACTAGCTCAGCTATAATCTACCATGAACAATGATGGTGTTTTATTTGGTATTTAAATAATTTTTGTAATGAAAATTGTTAATCATGACATGATTTATTTTATTGCAGAGCATTAGGGTGAAAATAATGAAAATTTTCATTAAAGGAATATGTGACATAACTTCATTATATTATATACAGTGTTGTATTGATTTGCCAAAACTTGTAATTTGGTAACGATATTGCATTCCTTGGGTTTGTACTCCAAAAGTCTGTGATCTAAAATGTTGAGTTACAGGCTGGTTCTGTTCAGTGAAAAATGAAAATGATTACCTGAATTTTGCAGCAACCTAAACTTAGAGGAACAGCTGTTCACATCCCTGGCATTTCACATTTGCCTAACATAACACTACCATGTGTCAGAAACCATGCTTCACTTACTGCTAAATCATGACACAGCCATGTTTTATGTAATTACTTTTTAAAGTAATTGTGACCACAAAGTCTTGTTTGTACATGAAGACCTGACCTTTGACTGATTTCCCAGGTTAGAAAAAGTCCTGCTGGAATTTTGATAGGAATTGCATTAAACCTATGCATCCATTTGGAAGCAACTGAAATCTTTATCCAGTTGAGCCCTCCAATCCATGAACACAGAATGTCTCTCCATATTTAGATCCTCTTTGATTTCTTTCAGTGCTCCATTATTTTAAAGCAAGTCCCAGACATCATGTAATTTGATCTGTAAATAGCATAGTATATGTCTTAAAACATAAGGTCTCTTTCTCTCTGTGCCACACTTTCTTCTCTGGCATTTTAAAAGCAGTGGTCTCCCTGAGGTGGGGATTGAAACAGATTTCTTGTAGGAGTCACTGCTTTTCTTGGCTAAAGGCTCCTCTTACCTTCAGTGAGATGGCACGACAGCACCAAATAGCCAGGGGTCCTTGGAGGGAGAGTAGGGGCAGCAAGGGGGTCCTCCTTGTGTAGGCAGAACGGCTAGAGACCCAGGGCAGGAGAGGTGTGGAGAGCGATGGGCACTGAGAGACGGGGAGCAGTTTTCCCCTGCCCTGGCTGCGGGTTGCCTGAGGGACCTCAGCATGTCTCACCTGTGTGTGAGCTGCGGGGCCTAGATCTGTGCGGCGCACCTAATGATACCTGCCTCACAGGTAGGCTGGAGTCACACACACAGCAGAAGGAGGGTTGTATGTTCTCAGAAAAAGTTATTTTCCCCCCACCAGGAAGAGAACTGGGAGACGAAGGAGCCTGAGAGAAGTTCAGTTTCTCCCAGGAGGGCCCAGACGCAGGTCTCTGCAGCAGAGCGCATTCCCACTTGGGACTGTAGATGGCTCAGGGTTTCTGTTGCCAAAGGAACAAAGCTCTCCAAATCTGAGGTTTTCAGTGAGCCGTTTGTACAACCTAAAAATTAAAAATCTGGAGCTGAGATGACTAAATGTAGTATTGGATCCTGAAACAGAAAAAGGCCATTTGGGAGAACCTGAGGAAATCTGAACAAAATCTGGACATCAGTGACTATCAGAGTCAGTGTTACTCCGTTCGCATGACAAATGTGCCATGCTAGTGTGAGACCTTATGGTCGGGGAGCCCTGGTGTGGGTGCCTGGGAACTCTGTGCTGGTTGACCGGTTGTTCTGTACATCTAAAACTGTTCTTTAAAAGTCTATCAAAAATAATCTTTTTAAAAAACAAAAGCTAGTCTGGGTGCAAGTGGCTCACGCTTGGAATCCCAGCACTTTGGGAAGCCAAGGGCGGATCACCTGAGGTCAGGAGTTCAAGACCAGCCTAGCGAACATGGCAAAACCCCATCTCTACTAAAAATAGAAACAAACTCAGTCCAGTGCAGAGAGCCCAGTGACCTGGCTGGCCGGCAAGCTTTGGCCCCTTGTGAGCGTGTGAAGAAACTTCACCTCTCTGGGCCCCAGCTTCCTCATCTGTAGAATGGACACATCATTTCGCCTTCCTTGTTCATGTCGCAAGGATGAAGTGAGAGGCCCCTGTAGGGCCACACCCGGACACGTATCCCAGTCCCGCAGCGCAGAGCCACTGGGGAGCCTGCACCTGCCGTTTTGCCCGGGCAGGGACCACATGCATGCCAGGGCTCCCCGGGAGCCTCACCTCTCACCCTCCTTCTTGCTTCTCACTCTACTCCAGCCACTCTGCAGTTCTTCCATGACCAGCAGCAACCCCACCCTCTTGCTTCTGGGACTAGATGCTGTCCCTGTTGCCTGGAACACTCTTCACCCCCCTTGCTACCCTGACACCTCCCAACGTGCCCCACCAGGATCTCCCAGGCCTGGTTGGGCCTCCTGTGCCTGTGGTTTCCCAGCATCATCACGCAACATTATTTGTTTAACTCCCTTATTTCCTGCCAGACCCCCATCACCTTCACATTGCATCCTCAGAACCCTGCGTGTGTCTGTGGCGCATACCCAATGGGCTCTGGATAAATACATTTGAGTGAATTCAGAAAGCAGTGAACCAATGCGCAGACGTGAACTGGAAGCACCTGGCTGTTTGGTGCTGGATGAACAGCCAGGCCGCCTGCACCCTGCCCAGTGCCCCCCATGCCCAGATTCCTGTTTCTACTCCAAGACTGTATGCCAGACTCTTTAGAGAAGTTTCTCAAAGGGCCCCAAGGCCATGTCAAAGACTGCATTGCCTGCATTTGCTGGAGCAGAGCTCAGTAAGTCAGTACTCACTTTGTTAATGGCTTTTGATGGACAGCAGTGGATCTCAAATTTGAGCATGCACCAGAGTCATCCAGAGGGCTATGCAGACACAACCTGGGGGCCCCACCCCAGAGTTTCTGATTCAGTGGGTCTGGGGACGGGTCTCAAGGATTTGCATCTCTACCAAGTTCCCTAAGTGCTGCTGCTGGTCTGGGGACCACACTTTGAGAACCACTGACTTGCAGGGCAGTAGGTCAGCATGGGAAAGAGATGCATAAGGAGGACATTCCTCCACCTCTCTCCCTGGGTGGGCAGAGCTACCTGCCTTCCCTTGTAAGGGGAAGCAGAAAATTGTTTGGCTGCTGTTCACCAGAGGCAAAGGCACCCTCACTGAGCATTTATCTAGAATCTAGAGCTCTTAGCTGCTGTGCTGTCTAAACACTGTTGGAATTTCAGAATGAATCAGAGACTGCTGACTTGTCTTCCTATAAAAAATTTAAAATCCAAAATCAAGACTGGCCTTTGTGTTGCTGGGCCATGTTGTTTTTGTTCATTTATTCACCTGCATACACCGTGGGGCACATGGTCCCATCCTTTAACGCTTTCCTATGAATTAGCTGTGTGAGACCCACAGTAGCTTTGTAAGAGAGTTTGAGCCCAGTCTAAGCAGACAAGTGACTGGCTCTCCCACTGGCTGTTTGCACAGAGCCTGGATCTCCTGGCTTCAGTCCCGGAGTCCTTCCCCCACCTTCACCTTCACTCCCTCTCCCACGAATGCCTGCTCAACCTTCCGTTCATGCAGTTGTGAAACCCTCAGGAAACACCTCCTCAATCCCACACCCTGTGCTGGGAGCTGGAATGTAAAATGATGAGTAAAAGTACTGGGAGACTCATGTTGAAACTCGCTTTTCTTTTCTCCCAGGCTGCAAATTTGCTAGATGAACAATCATTTTGTGAACTGCTGAGACCCCAGCTGGGACTACTGAAAAGCCAAGAAAAGTAGTGACTCCTACAAGAAATCTGTTTTATTCCCCTCGAGAGACCATTGCTTTTAAAATACCCCAGAAAAGAAAGTGTAGCAGCAAGACAGAGAGGGAGAGCAAGGGAAAGAGATGCCTTGCCTTTTAAGACATATACTATGCTATTCACGGATCAAATTATGTGATGTCTGGGACTTGTTTAAAATAGCAGAGAACTGAAAGAAATCAAAGAGGATCTAAATATGGAGAGAGATTCTGTGTTCATGGATGGGAGGGCTCAACAGAGTAAAGATTTCAGTTGTCTCCGAGTTGATACATAGGTTTAATGTAATTCCTATCAAAATCTCAGCAGGATTTTTTTCTAGCTATAGACAAGATTATTCTAAAATTTATATGGAAAGGCAAAGGAACAGGAATAGCTAAAACAGGAGGCCAGGGGAGGAAACAAAAAAGAATAGCTAAAACATTTCTGAAAAGAGGAATTAAGTAAGATGAACCACTCTACCAAATTTCAAGAATTATTTTATACCCACAGAAAACAAGACTATTTGGTATGAGAGGTGGATGAACACATTGATCAATGGGACAGAATAGAAAATCCAGAAATAGTGCCAAACAAGTACAGCCAACCAGTTGTTTAAACAATTGTGGTATAATCCACATGCCATTGTTATTTTCATATTTTGTTATTCTTGTTGTTTTTGTAATGACCATACTAAGGATGAACTGGCATACCGCTGTGATTTTTATTTGCATTTCCCTAATGATTAGTGATGTCGTATGTCCTTATTTATATGCTATTGACCATTCGTATGTCTTCTTTGAAGAAATGTCTATTCAAATCCTTTGCCTATTTTTGAGTTGGGCTAGTTTTTGAGTTTTTTGTTTGTTTTGTTTTTTGAGTTGTGGGAGTTTTTCAAAAATGTATTCTGGATGTTATTCCCTTATCAGATATATGATTTGCAGATATTTTCTTCCATTCTATGGGTTGCCTTTTCTCTCTTGATACTGTCCTTTAATGCACAAAAGATTTAAATTTTGATACAGTTCAATTTACCTATTTTTTTCCTGTTGCCTGTGCTTTTGGTCTTATATCCAAGAAATTATTTACAGATTCACTGCTGTAAAGCTTTCCCCTGTTTTCTTCTAAGAGTATTATAGTTTTAACTTTTATATTTAGGACTTTGTCCATTTTGAGTTAATTTTTATGTGTGTTAGGTAAGGGTTTAACTTCATTATTTTGCATTTGGATATCCAGCTTCCCAACACTGTTCGCTGTAAAGACTGTCTTTTCCCTCACAGTGTTAGCACCTTTGTCGAAAATCAATTGACCACATATGGGAGGGTTTATTTCTGGATCCTCTATTCAGTTCTATTGGTCTATATATCTATCCTTATGCCATTTCCACATTATTTGATTATTGTGACTTTGTAGTAAGTTTTGAAATCAGGAAATGCGGGTCCTCCAACTTTGTTTTTTTCAAAATAATTTTGGCTAGTCAGGACCCCTTGAGATTCCATGTGAATTTTAATGATGAATTTTTCTATGTGTGTAAAAAAATGCCACTGGGGCTGGGCGCAGTGGCTCATGCCTGTAATCTCAGCATTTTGGGAGGCTGAGGTGGGTGGATCACCTGAGGTTGGGAGTTCGAGACCAGCCTGACCAACATGGAGAAACCCTGTCTATACTAAAAATACAAGATTATCTCGGTGTGGTGTCACATGCCTGTAATCCCAGCTACCTGGGAGGCTGAGGCATGAGAATCGCTTGAACCCGGGAGGCGGAGGTTGCCGTGAGCTGAGATCGTGCCATTGCACTGCAGCCTGGGCAACAAGAGTGAAACTCTGTCTCAAAAAAAAAAAGTCATTGGATTTTTATAGGAATGCATTGAATACACAGATTGCTTTAGGTGGTATTGTCATCTTAAATATATTAAGACTTTCAATTTATGAACATGGGACGTCTTTCTTTGCTTTTTTTTTTTTCCAGCAATGTTTTGTAGCTTTTATTCTACACATCTTTGGCCTCCTTGGTTAAGTTTATTCCTAAGTATTTTATTCTTTGGTTTTTGTTTTTGTTTTTGTTTTTTTGAGATGGAGTCTCGCTCTGTCGCCCAGGCTGGAGTGCAGTGGCGCGATCTCGGCTCACTGCAAGCTCCGCCTCCCGGGTTCATGCCATTCTCCTGCCTCAGCCTCCTGAATAGCTGGGACTACAGGCGCCTGCCACCACGGCCGGCTAATTTTTTTGTATTTTTAGTAAAGACGGGGTTTCACTGTGTTAGCCAGGATGGTCTCGATTTCCTGACCTCGTGATCCGCCCGCCTCGGCCTCCCAAAGTGCTGGGATTACAGGCGTGAGCCACCATGCCTGGCCAGTATTTTATTCTTTTTAATGCTATTGTAATGAAATTTTCAAAAGTTTCCTTTTCAGATTACTCATTGCAAATATACAGAAATAAAACTGATTTTTGTGTGTTAATTTATATTCTGTAGCCTTGCTGAATTTTAGTAGCTTTAATAATTTTATTGTGGATTCTTTAAGGTATGCTACATGTAAGAAGATGTCATCTGCAAACAGATAATTTTATTTTTCCTTTTCAATGTGGATGTCCTTTATTCTTTTTCTTTATTTTATTTTATTTATTATACTTTAAGTTTTAGGGTACATGTGCACAATGTGCAGGTTTGTTACATATGTATACATGTGCCATGTTGGTGTGCTGCACCCATTAACTCTTCATTTAACATTAGGTATATCTCCTAATGCTATCCCTCCCCCCTCCCCCCACCCCACAACAGGCCCCAGTGTGTGATGTTCCCCTTCCTGTGTCCATGTGTTCTCATTGTTCAATTCCCACCTATGAGTGAGAATATGCGGTGTTCGGTTTTTTGTCCTTGCGATAGTTTGCTGAGAATGATGGTTTCCAGCTTCATCCATGTCCCTTTACAAAGGACATGAACTCATCCTTTTTTATGGATGCATAGTATTTCATGGTGTATATGTGCCACATTTTCTTAATCCAGTCTGTCGTTGTTGGACATTTGGGTTGGTTCCAAGTCTTTGCTATTGTGAATAGTGCTGCAATAAACTTACCTGTGCATGTGTCTTTATAGCAGCATGTTTTATAATCCTTTGAGTATATACCCAGTAATGGGATGGCTGGGTCAAATGGTATTTCTAGTTCTAGATCCCTGAGGAATCGCCACACTGACTTCCACAATGGTTAAACTAGTTTACAGTCCCACCAACAGTGTAAAAGTGTTCCTATTTCTCCACATCCTCTCCAGCACCTGTTGTTTCCTGACTTTTTAATGATCGCCATTCTAACTGGTGTGAGATGGTATCTCATTGTTTTGATTTGCATTTCTCTGATGGCCAGTGATGATGAGCATTTTTTCATGTGTCTTTTGGCTGCATAAATGTCTTCGTTTGAGAAGTGTCTGTTCATATCCTCTGCCCACTTTTTGATGGGGTTGTTTTTTTTCTTGTAAATTTGTTTGAGTTCATTGTAGATTCTGGATATTAGCCCTTTGTCAGATAAGTAGGTTGCAAAAATGTTCTCCCATTCTGTAGGTTGCCTGTTCACTCTGATGGTAGTTTCTTTTGCTGTGCAGAATCCTAAGCCAAAAGAACAAAGCAGGAGGCATCATGCTACCTGACTTCAAACTATACTACAAGGCTACAGTAACCAAAACAGCATGGTATTGGTACCAAAACAGAGATATAGACCAATGGAACAGAACAGAGCCCTCAGAAATAATGCCCCATATCTACAACTATCTGATCTTTGACAAACCTGACAAAAACAAGAAATGGGGAAAGGATTCCCCATTTAATAAATGGTGCTGGGAAAACTGGCTAGCCATATGTAGAAAGCTGAAACTGGATCCCTTCCTTACACCTTATACAAAAATTAATTCAAGATGGATTAAAGACTTAAATGTTAGACTTAAAACCATAAAAACCCTAGAAGAAAACCTAGGCATTACCATTCAGGACATAGGCATGGGCAAGGACTTCATGACTAAAACACCAAAAGCAATGGCAACAAAAGCCAAAATTGACAAATGGGATCTAATTAAACTAAAGAGCTTCTTTATTTCTTTTTCTTGACTGGTCTCACCAGGACTTACAGTACTATGTTGAATAGAAGTGGAGAAAGCAGGCATCCTTGTCTCGTTCCTCATCTTAGTGATACAGCTTTCCGTCTTCCATCGCTGAGTATGATGTTGGCTGTGAGATTTTCATATGTGGCCTTTATCACATTGAGGACTTTTCCTTCTATTTCTAGTTTATTGAATGTTTTATCGTAAAAACTTGGTCAATGCTTTTTCTGCATAGATTGAGATAATCATGTATTTTTCCTTCATTCTGTTAATTTAGTGTATTATATTGATTTGCTCTCCTATGTTGACCCCTCCTTGTATTCCAGAAATAAATTCCATTTGGTCCTGATATATAATCCTTTCAATATGCTGCTGAATTCCATTTCCTAGTATTTTGTTGAGGATTTTTGCATCTATATTCATAAGGGATATTAGTCTGTAGTCTTCTTGTAGTTTCTTTGTCTGGGTTTATTATCAAAGCAATAGTGATGTTATAGAATGAGTTGGGAAGTATTCCTTCCTCTTCAATATTTTTGGAAGAATTTGAGAAGAATTGGTGTTGATTATACTTTAAATATTTGGTAGAATTCACTACCAGATGGTAGAAGCCATCTGGCCCTGGGCTTTTCTTTATTGGAAGTTTTTTTTATTACTCTTCAATTTCCCTACCAATTATAGATCTATTCTGATTTCCTATTTCTTCTTGAGTCAGTTTTGGTAGATTATGTGTTTCTAGAAATTTTCCATTTCATCTAGTTTATTTAATTTGCTATTGTACAACAGTTCATGGTATTCTCATAATCATTTTTATTTCTGTAAAATAGGTAGTCATGTCTTACTTTGCTCATCAAAACTTTTGATTTTTTACAAAGGTACAAAAGCAATTCGGTGGAGAAATGATATTCTTTTCACAAATGATGCCAGAAATAATACCATTAGACCATCCATAGGTGATGAAAATGAACCTTGACTTAAGCTTCACACATTATACAAAAAAAAAAAAAACAAAAACCCCACACACAAAATGAATTGTAGATTTCCATGTAAAACTTTTAGAAGAAAACATTAAGAGAAAATCCTTGAGAACTAGGGTTTGGCAAAGAGTTCTTAGACATGACACCAAAAGCATGACTCATAAAAGGAAAATTTGAGAAATTGAACATTATAACAATTTTAAACTTTGGCACTATGAAAACCCTTTTTAAGGCAATGAAAAGATAAGCTACAGACTGAGAGAAAATACTCGCAAACCTCTTATCTGACAAATAACTCAAATATATAAAGAACTCTCTGAGCCAGCTGTGGTAGCACAAGCCTGTGATCCCAGCTACTTGGGAACTGAGGTGGGAGGATCACTTGAGCCCAGGAGTTCAAGACCAGCCTGGGCAACATGGTGAAACCCTGTCTCAAAAAAAAAAAAAAAAAAAAAGAACTTTCAAAGTTCAACATTAAAACACCAATTATTAAATAGGCAAAAGAGGGCAAGGCATGATGGTTTACACTTGTAATCTCAGCACTTTGGGAGGCTGAGGCAGGAGGATCACTTGAGGCCAGGAGCTCATGACTAGCCTGGGCAACATAGCGAGACACCATCTCTACGAAAGTTTTTCCAGAAAATTAGGCAAGTGTGGTGGTGTGAGCCTGTAATACCAGCTACTCAGGAGGTTGAGGTGAGAGGATCCCTTGAGCTCAGGAGTTTGAGGCTGCAGTGAGCCATGATCATGCCCCTGCACTCCAGCCTAGGCAACAAAGCAAGACCTCATCTTAAAAAAAATAGGCAAAAGACATAAAGAGATATATCACCAAAGAGGATATATGGCAAGTAAGCACATGAAAAGATGTTCAACATCGTCAGCCTTTCAGGAAATGAAAATTGACACCATGATGAGATATCACTATACACCTATCAGAATACCTAAAATATAAAATAGTGACAATACCAAATGCTGCTGAAGATTCAGAGAAAGTGATCTCTGAGACATTGAGAGTAATAGGAACGTAAAATAGCACAACCACTCTGGAAAATAGTTTGGCAGTTTCTTAAAAGCTAAGTAGTCAACTACCATCTGACCCAGTAATTACACTCCTGGGCATTTATCTCAGAGAAATGAAAACTTATGTTCACACAAACCCCTGCTGGTGAATTATCATAGCAGCTGTATTCATAATAGGAATAGTTGGAAACAATCCACATATCCTTAAACAGGTGAATGGTTAAACCAACAGTGGCATGGAATGCCATGGAATTCCATGGAATGACATGGAATATGACTCAACAGTAAAAAGGAATGGAGTATTAATACACATAGCAGCTGGGATAGAGTGCAGGACATTTGGCTGAGTGAAAAAGCCAACCTCAAAAGCCTACATACAGGTTGCTCTGGTGGCTGTGCAGATCTGCACTGGTGATACAGTGCCATACGCCTATACACACACATTGTACTAAAGTCAGGTTCTTGGCTATGAGATCATACTGGACTTATGAAAGCTAGACCATTGACGGAAACTGGATGGAGGGTGCACAGTGCCGTCTGTACTATAGTGGTATGCCCTGTGACTCTACAGTCATTTCACAATAAAACATCTTTTGTTTTGTTTTGTTTTGTTTTTTGGGCGGGGGGTGTTTTGAGACAGAATCTTGCTCCATCGCCCAGGTTGGAGTGCAGTGGAGCGATCTCAGCTCACTGCAACCTCCGCCTGCTGGGTTCAAGCAGTTCTCCTGCCTCAGCCTCCTGAGTAGCTAGGACTACAGGTGTGTGCCACCATGCCCGCCTAATTTTCTGTATTTTTAGTAGAGACAGGATTTCACCATGCTGGCCAGGCTGGTCTTGATCTCCTGACCTTATGATCTGCCTGCCTCAGCCTCCCAAAGTGCTGGGATTGCAGGCGTGAGCCACCGCACCTGCCAATAAAAACATATTTTAAGACCCTAGGGGAGAAGGTATGGCAATTTGACAACTTTTGGTGGATTGCAGTTTGTTTTAGATGTGTATCGTGGTTATGTTTTTTAAAGAAAGAGAGATGGGATCCTTACGTTTCAGAAACATATGCTCTGGTGTTTACAGATGAAATTATATTGTATCTTAGATTTGCCCTAAAAACCATCCAGTCGGGAGGGGAATTAGATGATGAAACAAAAGTGGCCACATGTTGAGAACTGTTGAAGCTGGACAATGAATATACAACGTTCCTTATACTATTTTCTCTCCTTTTGTGTACTTTTGAAACTTTCCATAATAGAAGTTTTTAAACATAAATGAAATAAAAATCATGAGTGTTCCTAGGGACTTGTAGCTGTGTACAAGGTTAGCAGAAGGCCCTTGGCTCCTGCTTGCAAGCTGGGTTCTGGCCACTGCCTCCAGGTCGGAGACAGAGTGTATTAGTCCATTCTCACAGTCCTATAAAAAAATACCTGAGACTGGGTAATTTATGAAGGAAAGAGGTTTAATTGGCTCACAGTTCCACAGGCTTCACAGGACGCATGACAGGGAGGCCTCAGGAAACTTAGATCACAGCGGAAGGTGAAGGGGAAGCAAGTACCTTCACCACATGGCAGCAGGAGAGAGAGTGAGCAAAGGGGGAAGTGCTGCATACTTTTAAACGATCAGATCTCATGAGAACTCATTCACTATCACGAGAACAGCAAGGGGGAAATCCGCCCCCATGATCCAATCACCTTCCACCAGGCCACACCTTTAATTCAACATGAGATTTGGGCAGGGTCACAAATCCAAACCATATCCCTGAGGGTTTCCCAGGTCAGTTCTGGGGACACATGTGGAGCTTTAACTGTTCCTGATGTTGGCTCTGCCAGGCCTTTGGGCTCCACTTTTAAGGAACTTGCCATTTGCCACCCCAGTCATCCTCCCAGCTTCCATCTGTTCAAGTGTTCATCCTTCCATTGGTTTCTTCATCTGTTTCATCACCATTTATGTGTTTCTTCCATCCATCTGTTTACTCATTTATTTACTTAACATTTCCTAAACGTCGACATTACGACATTAACAAATAAGTCATGGCTCCTGCCTTCAAGGAGCTCAGAGTCTATCTGGTTGGGGGGAGTCAGACCAACATAGTGTACAGGGATGCGTTTCCTTCTGTGAGAGTTGCCTGTTCAAGCTCCCTGAGAGTAAGATAAGAGTCATGGATGGGACTCTCACAGACGAGAAAATGTCTGAAAAGAGTCTTCAAAGTTCATATTTTCACCTATGTTGGGCCCATGTGGATAATCCAAGATAATCTTCCTATTTTGAGGTCAGCTGATTAGCAGCCCTGGTTTCATCTGCAACCTTAATTCCTCTTTAATTCCTCACGTAACATAACATATTCACAGGCTCTGGAGATGCCATCTTTTCATCTTTTGGAGACCATTATTGTGCCTCCTGCAAGAAGAGAGTCCAGATGCAGACCCAGCTATCTAGAATCTCAACTCAAGGACAGAGCAGACATTGTAGGTCCATGGGAAAGGACTGCCCATTCCATGAATGGTGCCAAGACCATTTATTATCCTTACAGAAGAAAGAAATTGGTTTCCAACCTCACTCTATACCACAAAAATCATTTCCAGGTGGATTAACAGCATACATATCAAAAGAAAAGTTATAAAACATTAAAGGATAACAGAGAAGAATATCATTATGACTGAGGTTGGAAAGAATTTCCTAGACACAGAAAACATACACCAAATAGGACTAGATTGACAGATTTGTCTATATTAAAATTAAGGACTTCCGTTCTTCAAAAGGCACCTTAAAAATAGTAACAAGCCACAAACTGGGAGGAGATAGTTGTGGCACATCTGAGTGACGGAGGTATCTAGAAGTGAGGAAAGGAATGTGTGTGTATACATACATACATGAATACATACATATTTTTATGTCAATGATATGTTAAAGATAAGCAATTCAATAGACAAATGGGTAAAACTCATAAACACTTCACATTAAAGGAAAATATAAATGGCCCATAGATAAAAGGTCAACTCATTAGTAATCTAAAATGTCAATTAAAATCACAGTAAGATACCATTTCATACCCATTAGACTCAAGAATTTAAATGTCTCGTAATGCCAATCACAAGAGCTGGCTGGGATGTGGAGGGATGGAACATTCTTGCGCCGCTTTCAGGTTCTGGGAAACTATTTGGTGTGCCTAGGACCCAGCAGGGCCACACACACCTAGGCGTCTACACTCAGCAGTGTGAATTCACACCAGGGGTGGTGATTTTCCCCAACTGGACAAATATCTTAGCTATTATGATGGTTTATGGCTCTCCAGAATGCCACATTGCGTAAGCAATACACAATACATTTGTGGTATTGATTTCATAGGGGCAGGAAAGGATTAGGAAAACAACGTGCTCCTTAGTGGGGCCGTCATGAAAGCAGGGTTGAGAAACAATGTCCTAGAGAAACCCTCCAACGCATGCCCAGGAGGCATGCAGACACTGTCCAGCAGCACCACCACAGCAGCACAGGGAATGACCCACCCTGCTCCAGCAGTACAGCCAACACACAAAATGTGAAAGACTCGTACAACACAAGACTGTGTGGCAGTGAAAATGAAACAATCACAGCTACACACACAGTTGAGTGAAAAGAGCCAGCCAGAGAAGAGTGGATTTGCTGGATCCCTTTAGACAAGGTCAAAACTTAGCATAACTGACAGAACTAAATGCTAAGACAAAGGCATGAGAATGATTTATTACAAGTTCTAACTCTTGAATATCTCTACAGGAGGGAGATGGGAATGGGACTGGAATGGAGTATACAAGATATGGAAGGTCAAGTTTCTGGTGTTTTTCTTAAGTAGAGTGATGGGTATCAGGACTGTTCATTGTATTAAATTTCAAACCATATTTGCATGTATGTAACTATGTTTTCTTTGAATACACACATATATATTGCATAACAAAATGTTAACATTTTTCCTAAGGGCCTATACTATAGCCAACACAATGGAAAATGGTTTGTCACTGAATACAACCTAAGGGGCTCTCGAGCTGTGTGATGGTGAATACTTATGTTTCCTTGTCAGCCAAGTTGCTGTAGACTGGGTGATGGGTGACTAATGGTGGTGGTGTGAGTGAGTTGGTGCATTCTTTCACCCAGGCCACATGTTTGTGGCAAGGATGGTTTGAGAACCTAGCCCTGCAACCTGCACGCTCCCCCTGCAGAAGAAGCATTTGTCCTGAACCCACTGGGCTCCTTCTCCACGTGTTCTCCCCTCAGCCCTTCCCAGCCCAGCCCCCTTTGCCCAGCTGCTGTCTCTCCTTCCAGCCATGCCTGATGGAGCTCTGGACACAGCTGTCTGCGCTGACGAAGTGGGGAGCGAGGAGGACCTGTATGATGACCTGCACAGCTCCAGCCACCACTACAGCCACCCTGGAGGGGGTGGGGAGCAGCTGGCTATCAATGAGGTAGGGTCAGGGCTGCACGGGCAGAGGGAGGGACAGGCTGGGGCTACAGGCTAGATTCCAGCACGCTAATGCAGGCCAGATGCCCACAGTCCACGTTCCATGTGGCTGCTGGTGGTGCTGGCCATACACAGCGCAGTTTCAGCCTGCAGTCCTCATTTGGGATGTGGTGTCAAGAGCACGGTTTGTCCAACACAGGACTCCCTGTGCCCTCCTGAGGCCCACAGAGCAGATGCAATGCCAGCGTGCTGGTCCACCTTATGGGGCTGTCCTAGTGAGCAGCTGTCAAGAGCCATCCCAGCTGGAGGAGTCCTACTTAGTAGAAGGGAGGCTAGGGCTTCTCCAGTCACTCCAGCCCCTGACCCCCCAACCAGCCATCTGGGCAGGCTGGGAACAAGTTGAGGGAAAAACCATTTTCTCTCCTGACAACAGGAGTTCAGAAGTATTGCTGTTGCTATGACAACTGCGTGCAAGTTGCTGTGTTTTTGCTATTCCTACTGAAGCAGAAGAAATCCATGAGAATCCTCATCCAGGCAAAACTGGTTCCCATCTGAGTTCTCCCTTTGCATTCCCAATAAGAGAGGAATCGTGATGCTTTAACGCCCCTCTCTTTCTCACTCACCCTCCTACTTTCTCAGCCTCTTTTACTTAACTGGAGGGTGTTGTTGAACGTCATGGAAGTGTAACCAGTTGACCAGCACAAGCACATGCCCATAGCAAATGCCATGTTCTCTAGTCAGGAGGTACTGGTGTGTTTCTGCTTCATTAAAACTGGACTCTGACAACCCAGGATCTTATAGCACACAGGTTTTTCCTTAAGAAGAGATCAATTTTGGAAGAGTTAGACTTTTCTGTGAATGAATGAGTTGGGGGGCTTCTCAGAAGCCAGTGAGGAGGGTGGCGTCCTCCTTACCCACTGGACAGAGGAGTGGAATCAAAGGCCCATGAACTCCTCCTAGAGGCCCAGCTCTAGATGATGATTTAAAACAGTCATTAAGGGCGGGCATGGTGGCTCACGCCTATAATCTCAGCACTTTGGGAGGCTGAGACGGGTGTATCACCTGAGATCAGGAGTTCAAGACCAGCCTGGCCAACACTGAAACCCCATCTCTACTAAAAATACAAAAATTAGCCAGGCATGGTGGCGGGCACCTGTAATCCCAGCTACTCGAGAGGCTGAGGCAGGAGAATAGCTTAAACCTGGGAGGCAGAGGTTGCAGTGAGCCAAGATCGTGCCACTGCACTACAGCCTGGGCAACAGAGTGAAACTCCATCTCAAAAATAAAAATAAAACAGTCGTTAAATAATGCGCTACTCAAAATCCATGGTGCATAAAAAATAAACATGTAAATAAGCTTTCCCAACAAAACCTTTCTTTTTAAGTGCCTCTTCGTAAGCTACTTGGGATGGAAGGTGTTCTGAAATGATGCCACCTGAAGCAGAATTCACAAGGAATGGTTGTGCTTTTCCTTTTTTTTTTTTTTTTGAGATGGAGTCTCACTCTTGTCGCCCAGGCTGGAGTGCATTGGCACAGTGGTCTCGGCTAACTGCCACCTCCGCCTCCCAGGTTCAAGTGATTCTCCTGCCTCAGCCTCCCAAGTAGCTGGGATTACAGGCGCCCGCCACCACACCTGGCTAATTTTTGTACTTTTAGTAGAGACAGGGTTTCACCATGTTCGCCAGGCTAGTCTCAAACTCTTGAACTCAGGTGATCTGCCCGCCTCAGCCTCCCAAAGTGCTGGGATTACAAGCGTAAGCCACCACACTCGGCCAGTTGTACTTTCTCTGGAAGACTCAGGCTGCCTCCTCCATCTTGGGGCTCGGTCCAGCAGGGGGACCCCGAGGGGGCCTGTCAGATGTGGGGCATGGAGCACTGAGCAGTGACCGTTTGAGCTGGTTCACATGGCTGTGACACCAGATGGTGTGAGGCTGTGCAGGGCTGATGGTAACTGACTGCACACACCCAGCAGGGTGAGCTCTCAGTACATCTCCAACCACGAGGGTGATCATCCCAACCAAAGCCCTCAGGACTCCGGAGAGGTGGGGGTTCCATGGCTGGCCTTATGGCTGCGTTGATCTTGTGTCTGCATTTCATAGTTGTGTGTCTCCTACCTGAGGATAAAATTATGGATTGTCACATCTTGCTGCTGGCGAAGAGGTGTTTTTTTGGGCTCTGAGTTCCTTGACAAGTTGTTCATTCTAAGATGCTTTGGCCGAGAAAGGCCAAGAGCCAGGACTTCTCTGAAAAAATAACCCAAAAAATGAGGCTCTGTCATCTTTCTGAGGGAAAGGCAGGCAATTTAGATTTGGATTGTGTAAGCGCCTGTTTGGTCCTGTTTGGTTCAGAGGTCTCTCCTGGCATTGGAGGTTGCTGAGCAGACGGAGTGTTGCTGCTTTGCCTTAACGTTTAGGGCGCGTGTCCCCAGGGAGAAGGACACACACATCACAGAGGAGAGCAGGAAGTCAGGCAGAGGGAGCCCGTCTCCTGCGATGCTGCAGGCTGGTGCTGGGGAGGCTGGCTCCTGTCCCAGATGGCATCCACGCGCCTCATGAAGGCTACCAGTGCTTCCAGATCCTCATGTAGAAAGGCTGTCCTGAGAGAGGCAGTAAGAAGGGCAGGCCTGGGCTTGGAGGCCTCTCTGGGTCCAGCACAGCGCTGCAGCAAGGCCATCTCTGTGTTTTGTGGGTGGATGTGACACCGGAGCCCTCACTGTGCCTAGCTTGCACTGCAGACTCAGGAAAGGTGGTGCCTGCCTGTTAGGAGCCGCCAGAAGCATTAAGTGGACTCACTCATCAGAAACTGAAAAGATAAGAAGTGATTGTCCTGCGACAGGCCAGTTCCCGGGCCTTCAGGGCAGCACTCCCACGGGCTCAGCCAGAAGCTTTGCTGGGGGTTAGCGTGACTTTAATATCTAGAGATGAGCAAAGCAACAGGTGTCAGAAAAAAGTCCTTACTAAATAATATTTGGCTTGCCCTAAAATCACACATTCACTTCTATTTTCTAAGAATATGTAGGGGCTAAATTGTGGCCCTTTCTTATCTTTTTGAGCTCTCAGTTCCTTGACAAGTTGTTCATTCTAAGATGCTTTGGCCAAGGAATATCTAAGATGTTTGACATCAACATGAACAAGAAAGGGTCACAATTTAGCCAGATGCCTCCCTCAGAAGGGGAAACCACCTTGCAATTTCCTAAGCAGAACGAATGCAAACCCTCTGGCCTGGAGAGCGGCCCACTCGGGGCAGAGCCGCGAGGCAGTTTGCATTCCAGGTACATGAGGAGTGATTTTTATGCTTGCACACAGATGTGTGTGCACGTGCTGTACATAAAGGGTGTGGGTGTGTGTTGCATACATGTAACGTGTGTAGTGAGTACTTGCGTCAGGGACGCACCAGGTCCTAGGATGCAGCTGTGCAGAAGCCATAGTCCTGCCTGCAGGGAGCTGCCCACAGGCCGTGTCTGTGTGGGCCCCTGCATTGTCCCATATGGGCCTGAGGAACGTGCAAACAGGCACAATGTCTCGTTCCTTCTGCATTCCTTGAGTTCCCTGTGCCCTGCCCCTCGTGAGTGTCCAGTCCCTGCCAGGCAAATTAAGGAATGCAGACGCTGAGTGTTTTCAGTGCCCAGGAGTGTACTCTCTTCTTCCAGCACTGGCCCCTCTAGGGCCTACCCCCAAGGCCATGGCCCAGGCCTGGGCCTGTCTGCCCAGTTCCTCGCCCTCCCCCTTGACTCTCTTGGGCTGCACTGTGCCCCTGCAGTCAGGCCTGAGGCCACCCTAAGCCCCCTGGACTTTTTCTGAAGCTAAAGCCAGAAGCGCCTGTCAGTGAGAGTGACCACCCAGCTCCCTCCCCACCACCACCACCGTGTGGGCAGTGCTGCCAGTGCGAGCCATGATGTGACCAGGGGAGAGGACGGCCTGGCTCCTGCTGGGGAGGTCTAGGGTCTCCCATTGCCCACTGGCACCTGTGAACAGCAGCCTGTCCCCTGCCTCATGTCTTGCAGCATCCTGTGAGCTGCTTCTGCCCCACCTCATGGAGTGCCTAAGCCCAGCTCGTCTTCCAGCCTGGTGAGGATGAGCACGAGGTGTCTGGCGCACTGATAGGCATCAGGCTCCTCTGTGGGGCCGAGGAGGGGGAACAAGAGCCAGGTCCGGCCTGGGGACAGATGTCCCCAGGGCAGGGTCACTGCCCTTGCTCTCCTGGCATTCTCCATGAGACAACCCGAGGATGCTATAGGACATGAGGCCAGCTCTTGGTCACCCCTCATGGAGTCACTCTGACTCGCTCCAGGTGTTTTTGTCTTCCCTGAGTTCCCGTGCCGCTGGACATCCCTCCCCAGTCCTGACCTGGCTCTTATTCCCCCTCCTCAGCCCCAGGGAGGAGCCTGATGGCTGTCAGTGCTGCAGATACCTTGTACTCATCCTCATTAGGCTGGACAGCAAGCTGGGCTTAGGTGCTCCATGAGGCGGGGCAGGAGCAGCTCACAGTCCCTTGGGGCCACTGCTGCCACTTTTGCGCAGGGCTGCAAGGTCACCTGGTGGCCAGCCCCTCCAAAGTGGCTTTCCTCTTCCCTTTGTCCTCCCAAAGCCACAGCACTGGGGGCTCACCCCTCATCTGCCCCAGACACCTATGTCTCCCTTCTGCTTGCACCTCAGTCCTGCCACCAGCCTAGTTGGGCCACTCCCCTCCCTGGTGGGAGCTGTCTGTCCAACCCCTCAAGGGCCTAGGCCTTTGCCTTCAAGCTTTCTTTTCTTTTCTTTTCTTTTTTCTTTTTTTTTTTTTTTTTTTTTTGAGACGGGGTCTCACTCTGTCACCCAGGCTGGAGTACAGAAGCATAATCTTGGCTCATTGCAACCTCCACCTCCCAGGCTCAAGTGATCCTCCCACCTCAGTCTTTCTCGTAGCTGGGACTACAGGCACATGCCGCCACTCCTGGCTAATATGTGTATCTTTTGTAGAGATGGAGTTTCACTATGTTGCCCAGGCTGGTCTCGAACTCCTGAGCTCAAGCGATCTGCCCGCCTTGGCTTCGCAAAGTGCTGGGATTACAGGTTGTGAGCCACCACACCCTGTCTGCCTTCAAGCTTTTCTGTTAGGTTTTTGGTCATGAAACTCACATAGGAAAGCTGTTACCACTGCCGTTCCTGCCATAAACCCAGCTCTCTGGGATATAGAGGCTGGGGGCCCCTAGGCAGGGAGAAGGACCCTGCTCAGTCCTCAGTCAGGGGTGCTTCAGCCACCTTCAGTCCTCCCCAGGCTGCCCTGCTGTGCATGGGGCAGAGGATGTGCGCAGCACTCAGCTGGGGCTGAAGAACCAACCCCTGCCTGCCCAGGCCTGGCCCAGTGGCCGAGCAGGCTGCTGTAGACCCTCCAGCACTCAGTGCCTTTGCCGGCCATCCAGCTCACCGACCCACTGTACCCAGGGCCCAGAGGACATGTACCCTTCTGGGTGGCCAGCTGTTCAGAGGCCACAGGTGCACAATGAAGCATCCACACGTCAGGGGTTCGAAGCCACACCCCATGAGAGGACACATCACCATCTTACTAGAGGACTGCTGGGATTTGGGGGTACCAGCGAGACTTTAGATGTCTTCTGATCCCCCCAATTCTCCTGACAGCTTGGGGGAGCAAACCTGCAGACCAGCGTTTTCTAAAGAACTGGGCATGAGCAGTACACCAGGCGGATGGGCCCAGGCTGAACCTTCAGATGTGAGGGAGGCACACAGCCTCTCTGGACACATCCCTGACACTTCTCTGCACACACACACGGGCACCCACATGTTGTACATAGGCACATGCATGGAAACCCCACCCACATACACACAGGTACCCATATGTATATACACACAGAGGTATCCCCTTACACAGAGGTGCCTATGCCCATGCACACACAGGTACCCCTTGTGTACACACATGCACACACATGTGGCATCCACTCTGCTTTACAGTCAACAGGATGGTGACATTCAGGGTACACTCACCTATCTTTGCAAGGGGTGGCCAAGAGCTGGCCACACACAGAGAGATCAGAGCATACAAAGTCACTCCCATGGGAACACCCAGTCTGCACACATTCCCTCTGTGCGCCCCTCCCTGCCCTCCAGGAACTCTTCTTGCTCCAGGATTCAAAGCACTGAGCTTGTTGCCCAGAAATCTCTGCCCATGCCTGAGCGGAGTGTTTAGCCCTCTCCCCTGCAGTCTTCTTATCTCTCAGAAGGACACACTGACTGTACCTGGGCTGTCATTCTTAAGGATAGAATGAGAGCTCTTGCACAAGAGCTTTGAAACCTACAGGGTTAAGGTTGCAGGCTGTGTCGAGTGGAGGCAGAGGAAGCCCTGGACGCCTGGCTTTTCCAAAGGAACACAATGCTGCTCGGACGCTGCGGTCAGTGAAGAGGGGCCCCTCAGGGTGGATCGCTCCCACCGGAGTTTAAATCCTGCCTCCGCCATCCCTGCATTCCTGCGCGATTTTATGACTGAGCAGAATCCCTAACCTTTCAGAGCCACGTTTACTCATCTGTGAAGTGGGGGCCTGCGGCCAGTCCTTGTAAGGAATCAGAGTCCCTGGCCCATCCCTCCCCAAAGCGCCGGTGCCAGGCGTTTTGGCCTCTGTATCTCTGAAACGAGGAGGTCCCGGGGCATCCCCGAGCGCCCCCGTGGCCATCTGTGCCACTGGCCAGCCCAGGGCCAGGACTGCTGTGCCGGCGTGGAGATTCCCGACCCTTTCCAAGGAGGTGCCAAGGGCGCAGCGCAGCGCACGCCCGAGCCGCCGCGGTCCCTCTGAGCCTCTCCAGCCCGCCGCCGCCGCCGCCCCCGCCCGCACAGCCGGCTTGGTTGCCAGGGTTGCCAGGGCTTGGGGCCTGGGAGGCGCCGCGCGCACGGCGCCGGCTTCGCGGGAGGAGCCCCAGGCCCGCGAGCGCAGGCGCCCCGCCTCTCCCCGGGCGCTGCGGGCCACCGGCTCGGCCCTGTGCGGCGGGATCTCGGGGCCGCACGGAGCGGGAGGCCGGGCGCCATGGCGAGGGCCCCGCAGCCCCGGCGCGGCCCCGCGGCGCCCGGGAACGCCCTGCGCGCCCTGCTGCGCTGCAACCTGCCCCCCGGCGCCCAGCGCGTGGTGGTCTCCGCCGTGCTGGCGCTCCTGGTTCTCATCAACGTCGTACTGATCTTCCTGCTGGCCTTCCGCTGAGCGGCCGCGCAGGGCGCCGCGCCGGGGTGAGTGGCGCGGGCGACGGCACTCCAGCCGTTGCCACCCGCGGCCTCCGCACTGGTCGCGGAGGGAAGGCCTCCTTCCACCCCATGTGCTCACTACCAGGGCCTGGTCCGGGGGTGTCGCCGAGCGGGTGCCTGAGGGGCGTGGTGGCACGTGTGTCACAGGGTCCTTCTGTCCTCTGTGCCCTGTGGGGAGTGGGGGCTGCGGGGGCGAGGGGGGAGGCCAAAATGGCGCGTCTCTGCGAGTAACCGAGGATGCGGATTCAGCTGGGGCTCCCCGGCTGCTTGTCTGGAAACGGAGTGCATGTGACCGCTGGGTGAGCGACCCGCGCTTGCATCTGTGTAGGTTGAGTCAGGTGTGTGGAAGACCCCCGGGCACCGCTGCGCATGTTACCTGCAGTTGTTTTTCCCGTTTTAGGCCTTAAAATACGTGGTGTCAGTCTTCCCACGGGCAGAGCCCCTCTGCCCCCCTTGCACGTGGGCCCTCTGAAGCCCCCACCCCTGCTGCACAAACTGCGGGTGTTCACAGCTGCCCCCACCCTGCACGTCTGGTAGGTGGGCAGGGTGGGGAGGGCAGTGGCGGTCACAGGGAGTAGCTGGAGGCAGAGCCTGGCAGCGTTGCCCTTCTGGAGGCTGTCAGAACCTCAGAGGCACAGGAGGGGATCCCGCTCCCTGCCCTGGGCTATTTGAGTCTCAAATGTGCACCTCCATTGGGACCTTCTCCCACAATAGAACAGCCAGTTTCACAGCCCTGCTGTGTCTCAAGAGTCAGTCTCCGCTCCCTGCAGGCAGAGAGGCAGCCTGGACTCCTTGCCCCTTGGGCCTGCCTGGCTTGTGTCTTGGCTCAGGTGCAGCTGTGCCTACGAGCACCAAAAAGGGCCTCTGCCCAGAAACGCACCCAGCGCAATAGCATCGGAGGTGGAGCATGACTCTGATGTCCTACGAAACTGTCTCTGACCTCACAGAGCCACATTTTGTCTTGGTGACAACACAAACAGTTCACATTTCTCCTAACTCTAAATTAGAGTACCTCCCGAGTGGGAGGCTGTGCAGAAGGGGCTGACATCCTTACATTGGTGGGAGACACAGGAGGAGAGCTTGCTCACGGCACGTGTCCCTCTGCCAGGGTGCGACAAAGGCAATTAACACCTCCTCCCCTCCTCCCCAAGGTCTTCCAGCTGACTGGGCAGGACAAGTGTGGGGCTTGTCCCTAATGGTGCCTGGAAGCTGGCCTCTCTGTGAAGCCCTCCTCTTGCCCGACACCTGGTGACCTTCCCTGGCAGCTATGTGGGGGGCCACCTATGCCGGACCCAGTCCCACCTGCAGGGACAGGCAGCATAAAGGAAAGGGGAATGGGGGCACCAGGCTTCTGCTCAGGGCTCATTTAAGGGAACCTAGAGACAGAGGGTGACACCTCACCTGGTTAATATCAGGCAGGAACCTCCTGAGAAGGGAAGCAGTGGGAAAATGAGCCATGTTGAGTGTGTCGGGTCACCTCCTGACAGCCTGTGTCACAGACCCCAGGTCAGGGCCATGTCACCTACAGCTCACGCTCTCACTGGTGTCCCCAGACCGCCATGTCTGCTTCCTTCTTTCCCTGGAGCCTCATTCTTCAGGGCCTCAGCGGGGTGAGCCAGCTCCCCACTGTGGCTGGTGGGCTCCTACCATATGGTCGCCTGAGCCCTCCTGTCTCATCTCATCTGAGTGGCAGCAGCAGCTCATGATCTGGAGGCCACCTGCAGAAGGTCTTTGTGGCTGGGAATGAGAGCAGTGGCCCCCTGTGGAAGCCTGCTGCCCCCAGGAATAACCCAGGGCTCTGTGCCTGGGACCCCGTGGAGGCCTCTGGAGGTCTGCAGCCCCCGCGTGGCTGCCGCGCTGTGAGGGTTCCTGGGCTCACAGGCTCATGTGTCACTCTGAGGAGAGCGTCCATCAGGACTGGAGCAGGTTTTACCCCCAGGAAAGAGAAGGTTTGTCCTTCCCTGAACTTGCTTGCTCAGGACCCCTGGAGGAAAGCACCATCCCAAGCAGGCTCTGGAGCTTCAGTGCTCCAGTGGCCAGCCCCAGCCCTCACCCTGCCCATTCAGGCAGAGGCCTCTTAGCTGGAACACAGGACTGGCCCCACTCTTGGTTTCCATGTTGAGGTGAGGATTCACACAGTGCTTAGGGAGTACCCAGTGAAGTGAAAGGAGGGCTCCTGGGATGGGAGCTCAGAGGAGGGCCTGTTTGTGACATTCCCATCCTTGACCGCCCCCACAGCTGTGACAGCCAGTGCCAACACCTGGTCCTAGCAGGGAGGGTCGTGGACCTCACCTCCTGTGCAGCCCCAGCCCACTCCTCCTCTCCTGCCCTAAGGCCCTAGAACTGCTCATCATTCAGGGAGCAGAAACAGATCCCATGTTAGGAGAAAGCAGGGGTCAGCCCCATGGCGTACAAGGGCTGCCTGGGAGAGGCAGGGGAGCGTCCAGTGTCTTAGTCCACACCACTCTGGAGCAAGGCACTCTGCTGGTTATTTGAGCAGAGAGAAGCATGTGAAGAATGGTCGGCTAGGTATAATGTGGTTGACTGGGTAACACTGCATAAGAGCAGTCCTGAAGTGCCTGTCACAGAGGTAGCAGCTGCAAAACGTTTCTGCTTCTCCTAGAACTTGGGAAATGAAGAGAAGAGGTTGGACTAACTCAAACTTAGGATCACAGGGCTTGGGACCTAGAGCTCTAAGAAGGGGCATTGCTCAGCTGGTGCTGGCATCTCTGGGGCTTGGGATGGGAGCAGGGGTGCCATGAGGTTGGTTCTGCAAGTGTTGAAAAACACACAGTAAACAAGCTCCAATCACTCCAATGGCAGGGCACTGTCTACCTGGATGAAGGGGCATTGTGGTTGGTGGCTGACCTTACAGGCAATGCTCATCCACAAGAAGCCCACAGGAGGGCACCAGCCCCCAGCCCCTCCCTCCTGCAGCCTTGCAGCCCAGCCTCTCCCTCCTGCAGCCTTGCAGCCCTCAGCCTCTCCTTCCTGCAGCCTTGCAGCGCCCAGCCCCTCCCTCCTGCAGCCTTGCAGCCCCCAGGCCCTCCCTCCTGCAGCCTTGCAGCCCAGCCTCTCCCTCCTGCAGCCTTGCAGCCCTCAGCCTCTCCCTCCTGCAGCCTTGCAGCGCCCAGCCTCTCCCTCCTGCAGCCTTGCAGCCCAGCCTCTCCCTCCTGCAGCCTTGCAGCCCTCAGCCCCTCCCTCCTGCAGCCTTGCAGTGCCCAGCCCCTCCCTCCTGCAGCCTTGCAGCCCCCAGGAATTCTGGATTGGGAATGCTAACAGGGAGCAGTTGGCAGTCCCAGTGACAGGATCAGATTCTGTGGTCAGTTCACTTCCGGCTCCATCACTGAGCCTTGATAATCTAGACATGCCCAGAACATAGCCCCTGCCCCAGGAAAGCCCTGCTCCTGTCAGAGGCAGCCTTGTCAGCTCCTCTGTAAAGAAGTCAGGATCCCCTCTTCCCAGGGCTGCTGAGGGAGTGGAGACAGAGAGCAGGGAGGCCCAGGCAGCCTCCCCCACTGACCCGCCTGCCCGTGGCTCTCTCGGCAGCTCATCAGCGATGGCAGTGTGGTCTGCGCTGAAGCACTCTGGGACCATGTCACCATGGACGACCAGGAGCTGGGCTTCAAAGCTGGGGACGTCATCGAAGTGATGGATGCCACCAACAGAGAGTGGTGGTGGGGCCGGGTCGCCGATGGCGAGGGCTGGTTTCCAGCCAGCTTCGTTCGGGTATGGTTCCAAGCCCCAGCTTCTCCCAAGTTGGGCCCATAAAAAGCTACCTGGTTCTGCAGAGAAATCCAAGCCCAAAACAGCTCTGGCATCCTAGGTGCAGAGCACTGGGTGGTGGGTGTCGGGGCGCAGTGTCACAGCCTTCCTCCTCCTGGAGAGCCACTACTCCTGCTCCCATTCCTCTTCTGGTGAGCCCTCGGGGGCCAGAGAGGAGAGCAGTCGAGAAATGAGTGTGTGCAGACACTAGGCACCCCTCTGCGATACCCCCGCAACTCCAGGCGCTAGACATTTCCCAAGCCCTGAAGAGCACTGATAGGGGACTGCTCACCTCACACACAGCCCCGGGAGTGGGAACCATGACTTACACCTGAAGAAGTTGAGGCACGGTCAAGTTATTAGCCCTGGAGATAGCAGAGAGGGGACCTGGATTCCATCTAAGGGGGTCTCCAGTCTTCAAGGAAGGAATCCAGGTGCAGTCTCCAAAAGGCCTGGCTCAGGGCGTCCAAGCTGAGGGCCGTCCGGCGGGGAGGTCCCAGGCCCTGGTGTTCAGATGCTCCTCCTGCCCCAGATCCCCTGGGAAACTGTCCACTCCGCACCCTAAGCCTTTCCCCAAGTTGCATGTTAGCCAGCGGGCGCGCCACCCATCCCCCTGCTTCTGCCCGCTGGGGCTGGCAGGAGCAGGCACTGGTTCAGGAACTGCAGCAAGCGCTCCAGCCTCTGTGCCGGGCACAAGCAGGGTCTAGGAAGGAGGCCAAATCGGTATTCGGATCACACTGACGGCGGCTGCGGGCGTCGGAGTCGTCATTCCTCGGTCCAGGACTTGCGTGGGTGGCGTGGTGGGGGGAGCTGGCCGGCCAGTCCTCAGCCCTGCGCCCCGTACACCCTGCGGGGCCTCCGAGGCCCGGTTCCCGCCGCTGCGGCGCAGGGCGCGGGGCGTTGCTCCGAGGGATGCGGGGCACTGACCGGCCACGCATGGCCTGCAGCTGAGGGTGAATCAGGACGAGCCCGCGGATGACGACGCCCCTCTGGCCGGGAACAGCGGAGCGGAGGACGGCGGGGCGGAGGCGCAGAGCAGCAAGGACCAGATGCGGACCAACGTCATCAACGAGATCCTCAGCACTGAGCGGGACTACATCAAGCACCTGCGCGACATCTGCGAGGTGAGGCCCGGCCGGCGGGCGGTGACTGGGGACCCGGTCGGGGGAGGCCTAACCACGTCCGCCCGCAGGGCTACGTCCGGCAGTGCCGCAAGCGCGCAGACATGTTCAGCGAGGAGCAGCTGCGTACCATCTTCGGGAACATCGAGGACATCTACCGCTGCCAGAAGGCCTTCGTGAAGGCCCTGGAGCAGAGGTTCAACCGCGAGCGCCCACACCTGAGCGAGCTGGGTGCCTGCTTCCTGGAGCATGTGAGCGCGCGGCCCCCGGCCCCTACCTGGGCGCTGCGTTCACAGAGGCTGCCGCGGGCGCCAGCGCGGACAGCGGGTGGCTGGTCCCAAAACCTTCCACAACGCCTGGGCCCCAGCTCCAGCCCTCTATCTGCCCCGCTGCCCGCACCCTTCAGGACAGTTTTAGGATGGTCTCTGCTTCTGTGTGGCGAAACCAAGTCAGGGAACGCTCCTGGGAGCAGAGGGCTGGGGCGTCCCCCAGGAAGGACTTGCTTTGACAGATAGGAGGGCAGAGGCCTGCCGAGCGCCGCAGGGGCTGTTCAGAGTGAGCTCTGGGGTTTCTCACACAGGGAGAATTTACAGCCTGCTTAGGCGGCAGATGCCGGCTGGCATTTACCAAGGTTCACTGGGCCGCTCTAAGTGGACACCTCCTAGCCTCACCTGGTAGAGAAGGGCCTTGTTTTGGCCCTCTTGGGCAGTCGAGCGAGGGTGAGCAGAGGATGCCTGTCCCACCCAACCCCCTACCACCGCCGCTTTTGGCATTGTTATCCCGTCCTTGTTATCATGGATTTCACCCAGAAGGCTAGCGTGCAGCCGGGACACCTGCTCATATTCTCACCATTCCCACCCCTGTGTGTGACTCCATGTAGCTTATGCCCCAGGGAAATAGGTACACACAGCCTGGGTCTCCCCTAGCCCCCAGCCCAGCTCCTGAAGGAAATGTAGAGGCTCTTGCCCTTCCCACACATGCAGCTGGATTGCCTGTGGGAGCAGCAGAGAGCTCTGCTAACCTCCAGCTGTGCCCCTTAGCAAGCCGACTTCCAGATCTACTCGGAGTACTGCAATAACCACCCCAACGCCTGCGTGGAGCTCTCCCGGCTCACCAAGCTCAGCAAGTACGTGTACTTCTTCGAGGCCTGCCGGCTGCTGCAGAAGATGATTGACATCTCCCTGGATGGCTTCCTGCTGACTCCGGTGCAGAAGATCTGCAAGTACCCTCTGCAGCTGGCCGAGCTGCTCAAATACACGCACCCCCAGCACAGGTAGGAGGGCACTGAGGCAGGGAGGCAGCCCACGCCTCTGCATGCCTCCAGTCAGCCAGTTTGAGCATTAGCAGTGTGCTGGGCACTGCTGCAGCCCTGGGGCAACACACAGAAAACTAGCCCTGTCCTGATGAGCTCCTTGCAATGGGGGAAGAGGATGCCAACAGGATATTAAGCTCTGCTCTGTGCTTGCCATTTATGGAGAAGAGAGGGGCTGTGCATCTGATAGTGAGGATGTGGTCAAAGGGCACAGCCCCAGAGGAAAGCAGCTCCACACGTGGGGGCTGCAGGGGATCCTCACCCTTTCTCTGTCTCCAGCCTGCAGCAGCCTTCCATCTCTGTTCTGCCCCAGGGACTTCAAGGATGTTGAAGCCGCCTTGCATGCCATGAAGAACGTGGCCCAGCTCATCAACGAGCGGAAGCGGAGACTTGAGAACATCGACAAGATTGCTCAGTGGCAGAGCTCCATAGAGGACTGGGAGGTGAGGGCCTGGGGGCACAGAAAATTCCAGGAGGTCTTGGCCCCTCGCTTTAAAATCATGCTTGCCCCTGAAAAATCTAGAAGGGAGCTGAAGCAGGGAGCTGCGCTCCTGGGAGCTAGCAACAGATGCTCATGGTGTGAAAGCCTGTCCCCAGCGTGGGCTCTGGACCTTTGCTGCTGCCTACCGTAGCAGGCTTTGGCACCTGGTGGCCTCTTTTCTATGTGAAACTCCTCCCATGAGCAGCCAGCCAGCCCAGGAGAAGCCCTCAACAGAGGAAGTGTGTTCCTCAGCTGTGTTCTGTTCCTCTGCCTTCAGGGGACAGGCCAGATCCCTGTTTTAGTTCACTTCTGGGACTCCTAACAGAAGGCTGCAGGCCCAACACAGCATGACCAAAAATGCATCGCCACCCATCAGAGCCTCCTGGTTCTGTTTGTCTGACTTGCACATTTCCCTTTGCATCTGCCAATCTTGCCTTAGAACTAATGACGATGTTCCTGTCCCCCTCCACCCACCCCCACTTGCATCTGCCAATCTGCCACCTCCTGATCTGTTCCCGAAGGCTCCCTACCCACATGGGTGCTGCCACCACCATGCACCAGCTGTCAGCGAGAGAAATGGCCTGGAAATCAATCAGTATCAGCCACAGAACATTATGAAAATACAGATTCCAGGGCCCCACCCTAGACACAGTGAATCAGAAGCCCTGGGGCGGGGCTGAGGAATAGGGGCAGTCAGCTGTGAGGCGGGGCTGAGCAATAGGGGCAGTTGTGAGGCCCAGCCCTGGCTCAGGGCCCTCCAGAGTCACTCATCCCAAACAGGCCACCGCCAACCACTCCCAGCTGGGGTTTGCATTTTCAAGGTAGAATGAGACCAGGGCAGGGCTTAGTCTAAAAGTATGAAGCCCAAGGGTGGATGATGGACCTTCAGGTACTCAGTGCACTTAGCTGGGAAGAGGGCCTCCTTAGAGATCTCAAAGGTTGGCCTCAGAGGTGAATCCCAGACAGGCCTAATTCTTCTCTAGGGCAGCACTGTCCAATCAAACTAGTATGTGAGCCACATATGGAATCGTATGCTATGCAGTAGCCATCTTTAAAAAGGGAAAAAAACAAGTGAATTTAATTTTAATAATGTTTCATTTAACTCCAAAATAGCATTTCAACTTGTGATCAACTATCATTAATGAAATATTTTACATTATTTCATATGAAGTCTTCAAAATCAATATGTATCTTACACTGACATCACATCTAATTAATATGGATTAGCCACACTTCCAGTGCCCAACAGCCACCAGAGGCCACTGGTGACAGGGGGCTCCTATTTTGCAAGGACAGCCAACTCACAGGCCAGACGTGCCACCTCTTCCTCCCCCTCCCACCATGGCCTGGCCAGGTGGGCGCTGCAGGCAAGGCCAGGGGGAGGTGCGCCACCCACCCATGATGGGGGCAGGAAGTGGAGCCCACGGTTGGGTATGCGAGGCTCATGGTTCTCCTTGGGATCTTCCCAGGGAGAAGATCTCTTGGTCAGGAGCTCAGAACTCATCTACTCGGGGGAGCTGACTCGAGTTACACAGCCTCAAGCCAAAAGCCAGCAGCGAATGTTCTTTCTCTTTGACCACCAGCTCATCTACTGTAAGAAGGTACCAGAGCTGCTCTGCCCTGCTGCCCCAAGTTGAGCAAGTGGAGGGAGGGGAGCTGAGGGCTGGGAGCAGCTGCCCAGAAGACAGGTGCCAGCCAGACCATACCCGGGGAGCCTGGCCAGACCCTTGGGGCTGGGATGGGGTGGCTCTCTGCAGGTGAGCCTGGTGGCCCAGGAGCAGCAGGCGGCTTTCACAGTCTGACCAGGCCGGGTGCTGTTGAGAGCATGATCTTTCCTGACCTGGCCGCTGCTTGCTCCTCAAGCTACCTCTTCTCTCCCTGCAAACCTCCACATCCCCTCTCTCCAACCCCGGAGTCCCCTGCTCTAGCCACCTCCCAGCTTCCTCTACGCTGCCGGCTTCTGCTCCTCTTTCAAAACATGGCCCAGTGGCCTCATGTCCATGAAGCCCTCCTTGTCCACGGGTGATCTTTCCTACGTGTGGTGTGAGCCACTGTCTTAGTCTCCCCACCTCAAAGACAGGGCCAACCCCGGGCTAGTCAGTACCTGCAAAATAAAGGAGCAAGGCCTCTCCACTCATGGCTCAGCATGTCTGTGGGCTGCAGAAGGCATGCTCTGCCCTCAGGATCTCACTGTCTGCTGGGGAGGTGGAGGCATCACCAGCAGCCCCTCCTATGGCTGGGGAGAGGAGGTGGGAGCAGCCAGGAAATGGTCAGGGGAGCGGTTCAGCAGCCAGGGCTGAGGCCAGCATCTGGCAGGACCTGCTCCGCCGCGACGTGTTGTACTACAAGGGCCGGCTGGACATGGACGGCCTGGAGGTGGTGGACCTGGAGGACGGGAAGGACAGAGACCTCCATGTGAGCATCAAGAACGCCTTCCGGCTGCACCGTGGCGCCACAGGGGACAGCCACCTGCTGTGCACCAGGAAGCCCGAGCAGAAGCAGCGCTGGCTCAAGGCCTTTGCCAGGGAGAGGGAGCAGGTGCAGCTGGACCAGGAGACAGGTTCGAGACCCTGCTGGGCCTTGCCCCGCCCCCAGGGCCCACCCGGCGCTCCCGCCTGCCTGGCCGCCTGCCGGTCAGGAGAGCGCCGCTCAGCCCTCTCAGGTTGCAGGGTGTAGCAAGGCTCCAGGCACCTCTAGGTCCCAGTCATGAGCATAAGGCTTTGCCTTCATCACCTCAATGGCAGGGTTACCTGACCGCATCCCATGATACAGTTTCGCAGAGTTCAGCCCCAAGGCATGGGTCTGCTGGCTTTTGGGGAGTTGTTTCACTACACGCGCTCACATGTGCACACACTCCATAGGACGGGGTCCTCTGCGCAGTGCCCTGGGTTGCTGGGACCTGCGGGACCCCTTTCCAGCCAGCAAAAGCCCTGGGAGAGCCTTGGAGTGGGCTGTGGGTACTGGCCTCAGAAGCCTCCCCTGCCCCATGCACGCAGACATCTCCCCACTACACCTTCCCTCCTGTCCACGGGCCCCCACATTACCCGCCACAGTGACCAGGTCGGCTCTTGGTCTGGGAAGGAGCCTCCACTGCAGTGGAAAAGACACTAGACATGGAGTGAAGGTGAGAGATGGGTGGGCAGAGGAAGGACTCGGGGATCTTCATTTTCTGCCAGGAGCCCCAGGACAGGACACCAGAGCATGCCCTCTGCCCTGGTTGGCCAAGGCAGGCTGACTGTGCAGAATGGGCAACAGTCCCCGCTGTGGCCAGTACTGAGTCCCCAGTACATGATGAGACCCTGGGCACCAGGAAGGTGCAGGTGTGCAGGGAACTGCACCTGGGGCCACGAAGTGGGGCAGCGCCCTCACCTGTGCCCCTTCCTCAGGCTTCTCCATCACTGAACTGCAGAGGAAGCAGGCCATGCTGAATGCCAGCAAGCAGCAGGTCACAGGGAAGCCCAAAGGTAGGCGGACAGCAGCCCCACCTCCTCGGCTGCCCGGTCCTTACCCTGCTGACATCATTCCCTTCTCTGAACCACAAAGCCAAGCCAGCTAGCCACCAGGCCTGAGGGGGGCCCACTGCCCTTTGCAGCTGTTTGTTCCCAAAGGTTGGTAATAAGGGGCCACTGGGGAAGCCTGGGTCAGTATATGGTTGACATTCTTACTCTCAACACCTTGGCTCCCCCAGATCAGGGCCATTGGTGACAATGCTTGTTTCCCCAGGGTTCCTTCCTGACAGGCATCTGGGGTTGGTGTAGGGATGGAGCTGCTTTCCCCATTTCTACAGAGAGCCATGCCCCTGAAACATCACATGCCTTTGCACAGGCCACCCCCCTCTTCAGGCTGCTGCAGGAGGCCAGGCCCAGGCCAGAGACCCCAGGCAGCCTGAGCTCTTGGATGTGGTCAGCTCTCCAGGAGCAAGTCCTGTGTGGCAAAACTGCCTCCTACGGCGGCTCTGAAGCAGAGCCCTGGGACGGACCCCATGCTGTCCCCAACAGCTGGGGTGGCACTCTGCCCTGGGCACCCATGACCCTCTGCTGTCTCTCCCTGTTCAGCTGTTGGCCGGCCCTGCTACCTGACGCGCCAGAAGCACCCAGCCCTGCCCAGCAACCGGCCCCAGCAGCAGGTCCTGGTGCTGGCGGAGCCCAGGCGCAAGCCATCTACCTTCTGGCACAGCATCAGCCGGCTGGCACCCTTCCGCAAGTGAACTGGTCCCTGCCTGACAGCACCTGCTGGGCCTTCCTGCCAGTGGCCCCCAGTTTTTCTTCCCCGAGGCCCACTCGGCCTGGCCTTCCTCTGCCTGCAAGTGAGCAGGGATGGGCTGGGGAGTTGCTTGTGCCACCAAGACGTGCCAGGTCTGTACTCCTGTTGTCTTTTTCCCTGCTCCTGGTGCCCTGAAGAGACCAGCAAGGGGGCAGACCCCGCACTCGCCACACCGCCGCTGCAGCTTGGGCCCCATCCGCCCTCTGGACCTGTGTAGGGCCTCACTGCTGGAGCGGGGAAACCGCAGCTCAGCCCAGGCCCAGCTGGGGAGAAGGCGCTACCTGCGTGGGACCCTCTTCTCTGGAAACCTAATCCTCCTTTCATTTCCTCTGGGCAGGACTCTCTGGCCTTCTGTGGCCTGCAATGCCAGGCCATGTGCCCCTCTGCCCTCTAGTTCTCCAAGTCCCCAGCCCGGCCAGTGGTGCCAGGCAGCTTGCCACTTGGGAGGGCAGAAGCCAGGAATTCCACACCCTTGTGTTGCGCCCGGAGCCCGCCCTTCGCCTCCCAGCCCCTCAAGACACCGCTGGCTGCTGGACACCCTCTTCACTTGTGTGTGTGTGTGTAGCGGAAAAGGACAAGACGGTGCAGTCGGCTGCATACTCCCAGTCGGGAGTGTGGTCAGTCTGCCTGCTGCTGTGCGGTAGCTCCAGAACCACCTCGTTCCTGGTTTTGTTTGGATTTTGGCATCTTGTTTTTCTAACAACAAACAATGGAGAAAAAGAATTGATTCTTAGTGACACAGAAGATTGCCTTACGCTCGTGAGCGTGAGAAGCCATAAGAGAGAGACCGAATTCTGTGGCTCAGCACACAGGACTGACCCACAGCCCAGGCAGCGGGTGTGTGGAGATGGCGCCCTGTCCTGCCAAGGGGCGCCAGGAGCAGAGCCAGGGCCTGGCGAGCTGGCGTGGAGCCCACAGGATTCAGCAGCATGGACAGTCACTCTTGCACTATTCCTTCTCCAAGCCAGAAACCACATTTAATTTCATAAATAAATTTATGAAAAGTAACCTGGCTGCTAGCCCGTTTTCTGTGGGTGTGCGTGCATTTTCCTGTGGCCAGCAGCCTCTAAAGGTGGGGTGGGGGCTCACCTGTCGCAGATCACACCCTCGGGGATTTAGTGGAGATGATAGGCTGAGGCGGGGCTGGCTGCAGTTGTTCGCCTAAGGCGAGCAGGGCCAGGCCATGCTGGTTGCTGATGGGGAATACAGGTAGCTCTGCCCTCCCTTGCACTCAAGACCCAGAAACCAGTGCTTCCCTGTGTTTGTTTGACTGGAGCTGGCCCACGTGAGTTTGGTGGGTGAGTAGTCAGTAATCTTTCTGGGCCTCAGCATCCCTGGTGAAATGAGGAAGAACGTGTCTTCCCAGGGTCTTCTGACCCTGGCCACAGAAGCCAGAAGGGGAGCATGGTGCTGCTTCCCTCCCTGTCCCACTTGGGAAAATGGTCCCCTGCAACCTGCTGCCTCCACCACACTCCAGCACTGCCAAGGTCACTGGGGCTGGACGCCATGGTGGTCTTCTTCTCAAAACCCCTGGCAATCTCCCAACTTGAGAGAAGCCCCAGCACCTCCCAGTCAGGCCATGCTACCTCTAGACAAAAACCCATATGGAGAAATCATGAAAACCACAATATGCAACACAAGTCAATCTTTATTGAAAACTGCAGTATTAATACATAACAATTCTTGTTACAATAAACGTGCTTTTGAGATTTTTAAATCTGAGCTCATCTCATCAGATTGCATAAAAAATTAAAATAGTATCAATTGACACCTAACTGAACTGGCTCAGGATGGAAATTCCATTCCTTGGCATGGATACGTAAGTTCAATGCAGAGGTGAGGGATGCCTTTAACACTGGAAGACAATGCTGACTTAGCTTAAAAAAAGTACCGAGAGAACGGTGTAAAAAACGGTATTTAAAAATCATTTTTAAAAAAACAAAAAGGAACCGTTTCTTCTTTAGTTACAATCCATGAGGCTCTCTAGGGCCTCTCCGTGTGGCCAGCACAGCAACCCTGCTAGGAGCACAAACGGCTGGCCTGAGATCTGGCCCAGCTGCCTTGCCCACTGGTCTGCACAGGGACTCATGGGCACAGCCTGTGGTGAGGAGGAGACACCTGTCATGCCAGTCCTGGGAGCACACCACCCTTCTGCAGGCCCGGGGGGGGGTCCCTACACAGACGCCGCTCATCCTCTGTCTCCCCTTCCCAAGTGACTTCACTTCAGTCCTGTGGACCAAGATAAGGCTATCCCCACAGGCTCTCTCTTCTTCAAATAATGAGTAGGAAAAAGAGACAAACTTTCTGAAACATGCAGTTTCCGACCCAAATAGGCCACATACCCCAACTTCTGTGTTACTTGGTCAGTTGAGCCCCTGGAGCCCTCAGGACCTACTGATAAAGCATGTCCTCTGCAGTATACTCAAGAGTCTGCTGCCCTTCAGAAAGCCAGAGGGAACACTCACAAATGCAGAGGTACTAGAGGGGAGAAATACGTGCTCTGCCTTCCCCCAGGCCAACCACACTCTGCTTTAGAGACCCTCTCAGAAAGCACCAGAGAGGAGGACCAGACGCTGCCACCCACCTCAAGCCACACCCCTGCCACCTGCTGCTGCGCCCAATGGAGGTCCTGTCCTGTCCGGGCAACAGCCAAACTGGCGACAATGGACACATCCAACAGTCAGCTGTCGGATAAGGTGAAGGTGGCCCAACTGCTCAGAGTAACACTGTTCTCAAATGTTTAAAAAGGACAGGTGAAGTCTGGGTCTCCTTTTTTAAAGCAGACACCAATACTTACATAACTAGTACATGTTGGCCTTTCACCAGCACTCACTGGCACTCACAGGTGCCTTACATACCTTACGGGGGCCAACACTGACAGGTATTAGTACGTCGCAAGTTGCTGTAATAATGTATTTCCTCTCGTTACTGTTGTGTCCCCCAAGACACATGCAAATTATTTCCTAGACCTCATTCATCACAGCCAGATGATGCCACCAGAAAGAGCAAGGTACTGTATGCCCAGCTGGGGAAGGGCAAGACACTCACTGACCAGGTGCCCACCCCAAGGCTCAGGACCACCCCCATTGCCTGTGAACACATTTGCATAGCACTCAAGAAGGTTTCCCAGAATAGCGACAGGTAGGCCTACAAACCACACCAAGAAGAACGTTCTTAACAGATGGCTCACGAGAGACATAAAAGGTTCTGGAAGTGCCTTCAGGCCCATTACCATGACTGGCCCTGACTCTGGCCCTCACAGAGCGGCAAGTTCATGGGTCACTGGCTCACACTAAATGCTCAGCCGCCAGCACAGATCCAAACAAGACCTCCATGAGCAGAGAAACTGCAGCGGCTGAACACACTCCCCAAGCCTCAGGGGAGAAGGTGTAGAACAAATATTTTTTAAATAGCCATCATGATGTCCATGTTTACATGAACTAGGTCCTTTGCTTACCTGCTGTCTCAACTTCTAAAAGAATAGTAATTCAGCTGAAGGACTCCCAAATTAGGAATGTCAAACACACAAAAAGCAAATTTCTCAGAATGCTCCACCATATGCTTCGGGACAAATTATGAAGCTTTGTAACAGAATTTTGACCCAAGTTCTATTTCTTAATTGACTTTAATTTTACTAGAAGCGAATGTTGATAAAATTACAACCTATGACAGTTTTGTGACTATTTCCTAAGTCCAGATTCTTACCTGATATCTACCTTTCGTATCTGACAGCTGACGTCCTAAAAATTTCAAAGTCAGAAAGATTTCTGCACGGATGTGCAATGCAAACTTATTTCATAAAGCCTCTCAACTTCATAAAAGGGAAAAAAGGTTAAGTTACAGGGAGGAAGAAAAGTGTTTATGAAGCTGATGTAAATGGCGTGTGGGGGGTGCAGCCCACTCTTTAAAACACCATCCTGTGTGTGCCAAGTACCAAGCAAGCCTGAAGAGATGCCTGTAACTTCTAACCTCCTCCTGAACCCCAAGACTCCAGCCCTCACAGGAGTTGTACATGTATGTTTCCATTTTGTTGTGTGGGGCTTTTTAAAAGCATACACTAACATTGTGAGTATTTTATCCTAATCTATTAGCACTCAATTGGGAAAAAAGACTTCTCTGCTACTTGGTCAGCTGAACCCCTGGAACCGTTAGAACCTACTAATCCTGCCAACCATCCACTAAACAGATGGAATTACCAACAGAGACTTGAAGAAAGGGGCACAAACTGTGTGCCTGCGGTAAATGTCTGCCCCCACACATAGACACTAAGATGGATTAAGTGCTCATGAAGCAATTTAAAGTACTTATCAGTAAACATTCTATGTTAATAGACATCAGGAATAAAGAATCTGCTGTTTACAATGATCCATGCAAAAATATTCCTAAACTTCTTATAAAATAAGATGTGAAAAAGAAAATTATAAGAAGTACTTACTATAAAAAATAAGGTTACCAAAGGCTCAGTGGTCAGGTGTCCCCCCACCAACCAACTGGGGCAGAATGCTAGTGGGCATCCTCACTGGGCGCCAGTGCCCTGACCCAGCTACCAGCAAATGAAGAGGAGCAGAGCCCCCTCCCCACCAGAGCCCACAGCACTCAAACCACCACTGCACTGGGAAGAAGACGCACGCTCCTGCCCTAGAGGCCGCTGAAAGGGACCCAGGCCTTACATCCCCCACCCCCACTCTGACCCTCACTGAGAACCGACATGCACTCTCATGGATACAGGACGGGCATATTTTGGGGGCGGGGTGGAGGGAAGCCTTTTCATTTCTTATGTACAAGATTCAGATCCTAAACTCAAATTCCTCTCCCACAATAAACCCTGCCAGCAAACGCACTCCAGCACTGCCTGGCCCTCTCTGCTGTCTGTGCTTGCTTTGTGCCAAGTGCCCTCAGCTGCAAAAGAGATGGCAGGAGAGGCTCGCAGACAACAGACACTGGCCTCCCCCTCGCCCCATCTCTAAGCGTCCCCTCCAGCCGGCCTCAGCAGACAAGTCACCACCATCAGGTGGGTGATCCCAGAAGCAGCTACAGGTTTCTACATTTCCAGACATATCCACGGCCCTGCCTTTCTACAAGAAATTGGAGGAATTTTAAATAAAGTTTTGTTCCCTTTTAACTCATTCTTAAATATACCACTTTCTTCATAACATACAGCTGAAACCTTTGCCCTTCTTTGTTGGGGAAAAACAGCAATGCCTACCTGTTTTCAGCTGATTCAAACATTTCTCCAGGAAAAAAAAAAAAAAAGGAATGATTTTCTAAGCTAAATAAAGCAGAGGACAATACCTCCTGCAAGCATGGCTGTTTCTCTTTCACATTTCTTCCATCCCAGGAAAATAATTTAGTTTTACATAGGACTTTTCCAATAAAGACATATAAAAACATCATCTCTCTAAGAGAACTGTAATGAAAATTTAGATAGCAGAGAAACTGCTTTGCTGACACATAAACCACCCCCCTCGCCCCAAATTTCACTGGCCACACTACCATAATCTTTCATGATGAGCTTTAAGCATGTCCCTGTTCCACTGACTCCACCAAGCCTAAACTCAAAGGGATGTCCATGAACCAGCTGCACCCAAGCAGCTGTGGCTTCCCTACTCTCTCCCAAACCTCGCAACTCCCTCCCAGGACAGTCAGTGCCAAAGAAACAGGTCGCTGAAAACTAAAATGTCCACATCCCTAACTGGCAACCCACATCAACCCCAAAAGGTTGAAGAATCATCTAAGATATTTCAGATGCTCTATGAAGAAATTCACTTTAACACTTATAACTGTAAGACTTTGCATACATTACAACAGTGCATTAGTGATACAAGTTGTAAAATACGTTTCCATTCCTTTGGATTTTGCATATGATGGTTTTGCATCAGTCACTGCAGGTAGATTGAGCAAGCTTTTTGTGTTTGTTTTTTTAAACATGCATTCAACTAGATATGATTCAGAATAGATTAATACTCCCTTTTTATCATTACAGTTAGCTAAAAAATTGCCAGGCAGTCCACAAAACAGAATTTGCTTTAAGACCAACCCACAGAGTCAGCTGGAGACTAACGGCGCTGGGGCCTGCTGGGCCGGGATATAGTCGTGTTTAGCTAAGTGTCGAGAGCATTAAGAAGAAAGTCCTGGTTGGAGGCGCAAGGCCTGCAGCACCAGCTGTGGAATCCCCAATAATGTGACTGCACAGCTCCGTCCTCAAACCTGCAGAAAGGAAGACAGACACTCAGTCACACAGAGCTCTTCCGGCACCGCTATTCCAAAATCTCAAGTAGGATGAGGCCCAGCAGGGTCGGAAAGGGCAGCAATGGGCAAAACTGCTGGACCTGGTTCTCACTTCCTTCCTAGAGACCCCCAATTGCAACTGGAGCCCTATTTCCTGTAGCAGGCAGGTGGGGGGTTAGAGCACATTCCAGGCAAGGCTCAAGATGGACAGTGTCAACAGTAGGTATTCAATGGTTCCTTCCTTCCTTCTACTCTGTAATGTCTCAATAAAAACAAAAAATTTAAACACTACATTGCCTCTGGATCCAGGGTCAGGCACACTTTCCTCGTTAGTGCTTAAATATGTGGTAAATTTGCCACTGTCCCATGGAAATGCCCTTTCATCAAAGGCTAGCCCAGCCTTCCCTGGTCACTTACATTTGCAGGTGATCACCACTGAGGGGGCACATAGCTGTAAGTGGGCGTTCCTGGGGCCCGGTACGTGGGCACAGTGACCGGGTGGGGGGCGACAGGAGTTGGGGAGTGAGCAGTCAGCAGGGTACCTGGAAGAAAGAGCAGCACATGACATGAGGCTGACCTCCTGCACAGCTCCACACTGCCTGATACGCACACAAGCCTGGCCTCTTTGCAAGGAGGAGGGTATACAGGAAGAGGGATAGTCTTGACCCAGATACTGTCAGAACTCTGATTAGATAATCCCCCACACCCAAAAGTTGTCTCCACACAGCAAGCTCCACAGACAATATGTTCGTAAAAGCCTTTTGTGTGTCCCCTTCATAAAGCACACCCAATAATTTTTATAGGTCAGATGATAAACAAATGAGTATGCTTCAGCCTTAACAAGGAAGGAGATTCTGACACATGCTACAATATAGATGAACCTTAAGAACATAATTCTGAAAGAAAGAAGCCAGTCACTAAAAGACAAATACTTAATGATTCCACTTAGATGAAGTACCTGGAGTAGTCAAATTCAGAGACAGAAAGAAAGTAGAACAGGGAATTAGCGTTAATGAGTACAGGAGTTCAGATTTGCAGGATAAAGACGTTCTGGAGCTCTGTTTCACAACAATGTGAATATACTTAACACTACTGAACCGTACTTAAAAAGGGTTAAGATGGGCTGGGCACAGGGGCTCATGTCTGTAATCCCAACACTCTGGGAGGCTGGGGTGGGAGGATAGCTTAAGTTCAGGAGCTTGAGATGCGCCTGGGCAACATAGTGAGATCCCAGCTCTACAAAAAGTTTTAAAATTAGCCAGGTGTGGTAGCATACTTATAGTCCCAGCTACTCAGGAAGCTAAGGTGGGAGGATGGCTTGAGCCCATGAGTTCCAGACTACAGTGAACTGTGATCGCACCACTGCACTCAAGCCTGGGCAAAAGGGCAAGACCCTGTCTCAACAAAAAAAAGTTAAGATGGTAAAAACAAATAAATAAAAAACAAGAGGCTGGCAACAGTGACTCACGCCTGTAAGCCCAGCACTCTGGGAGGCCGAGGCAGGTGGATCACCTGAGGTCAGGAGTTCGAGACCAGCCTGGCCAACATGGTGAAATCCCATCTCTACCAAAAGGTACAAAAAAATATTAGGCAGGCATGGTGGCAGGCGCCTGTAGTCCCAGCTACTGGGAAGGATGAGGTGGGAAAATCACTTGAACCTAGGAGGCAGAGGTTGCAGTAAGCTGAGATCACACCACTGCACTCCATCTTGGCTGACAGGATGAGACCCTGTCTTAAAAAAAAATATTAAAAATTTTAAAATTAAAAAAAAAAAAAAGAAATGAGGATTCTAAACTACATGAGCTTCTGAGTTCTTTAAGAGAAATCTATTTTTCCTACAACTGCAGAAACTCAACAACTACTTGAGTCCCTTTATGGACCAGCACCACCTCCAACACAGTGGCACCCAACCTGGTGCCTGCTGCCCTCCCTCCCTGTGCCTCAAACCAGCAGTTTCTGTCTATGCCCAGTTTCCTGTTCCTTGACAGATAAGTATGGGGAAAACCAAATCAGAGTCTACATTGAAGCACACATAATAACCCGGAATGCTTTTCTCTCTGGCATAATTTCCTTACACTGAAGTCAAGTCCAGAAAAACAAGGAGGGAACAGTACGCTTTTGTGTGGGCATGACCTAAAGGTGGTCATATTGACCCAGAGACCAGGAGGTGAATCCACATGGGTGGTCATACAGATTGGGTGGTCACCCAATCCCTAGACATCAGATCAAACCCCCAGGGCTTCCGCGGAGATGTGCCCATCCCAGCCAGGGGCCTCATCTTTCCATGGTTTATTTTCCTTAGAGGAGGCCTTGCAAAGTAAAGTACGGTAGATGAATGCCAAAGGATTTCTACAGGCAGCTGTTTCTTCTATCAACGCAAGACCAGCTCTCCTAGATGCATGAAAACATCCCGATGAAGACAACTGACCTGCAAAGACAAGCTCCCCTCAAGGGAAAGGAAGAAGGCCAGAGCAACCCCGGTACACAAAGTGTCCTCCTTCTACTCAAGTCTTACATGGTCATAGGGGGTGGGAGGAGAGGGGGCACATCCTGCATTGCCAAATGGCTCAGTTCACCAACAAAGCGAGTCCATCAGATTCAGAGAGGCCTCCACAAGGGGTCACTCAGGTAGGCAAAATAAAAGATAACCTGCTGTTTCTTCCCCAAAGAATTTTCTGTCCTTCCACACAACTACAGCTATGAAAACCTAGAGCCAAGGGTCAGAGGATTCGTGAGCTCTCCCCTCCCCCAGCTCTAGGGTACACCATAGGACAGACACCGCAGGAACGAGGACTTACCTGCTGACATGGCCATGGTGGTCCCAGCCACCATGCCCATGGTGACCCCGTTGCCTCTAGGAGGGGGGATGGGAGCAGGGTACACCGTTGCAGGCATGCCGTTGGGCTGCACCACCGTGGTGTGGTGGATGACGTGAGGAGGTGCTGCATACAGCGGCTGTGTGTAGTACGTGCCTTGCTGTGGGGAGAAGAGAGACAACTGACACAGGGTCCCAGGGCCAAAGGATGAACGCCCAGGTGGTATCACCCCTTCCCACACAGCAGTGTGTACCCAAGCATACCTGTGCATACGGGCTCTGCTGGGGGTAGGCACTTCGCACAGGGTACACGGCAGTCTGGTAGGGGTTCGGGGAGGAGGAGTACGGTGGCACAGCCCCGCTGGTGGGGGAACAGGACACTTTGTAAGGTGTGCCAGGAGTGTAACCTGGAACAAAGAAGGCAATGGCCTGAGTTCACCCAAGCCGGTCCAGGCGCAGGGAGAGGACACAGGCAGGGAGGAGCTAAGCTGCGTGTCAGCCCCACGCAACTCGCCAGACCTGCTGCCACTGCCGCCCCCACTCTCCTCCACTAAGATCTGACTTCATTCTTACTTTGTGTACGTGTGTGCATGCACGTGTGTGTGGTGGCAGGGTGTTGGGGAGGAGGAAAAAATACCAAAAGAGAACGTTCTACAGATGGAATGCTCACACAAGGACAGGAAATAAAAACTGTCTTGTCCTGCTGGAATTTAAATTGGTATGGCATTCCTGGGGCTAAACTTGGCATCTAAAGTATATATGCCTTTTAATCCCACAATTCCACTTCTAGAAGTCTGTCTTAAAGCAATACACATGGATCTATACACACACAGAGACTTAACTGTAAGCATGCTCATCATAGTGTTGTTTGTTACAGCAAAAACAGGAGAAACTTGCCCAGCACCAGGACTGGCTAAGCACTCTATGGTAAAAAGCCCTCTGGGTTAAGGGAGAAAGCTGAACACACATACTTGCTTTTGTCCCCACACAAAATGACATGAAAATGACAATAAAGCAGATTAAGAGAAAAAAGACATAAAACTCACCAAGAATGGAAGAGAAGACAGCATGTTGAAGCCTGGCAAGCTGAAGTGGAGGATGATTGAGCAGACTCGAGAAGAAGGCACTCAGCCAGCAGCGAGGAGCAGCTGGCACCAAGAGAGCCGTTCCCCAAAGCCCTGCAAACTGCTGGCCACCAACCCGTCTCCAGAAGCAGATAAAGAGACCCCATCTAGTAGAGTGGTTGAGTTTGCTGAATAAGCAGTTAGGTGTCCCTTCCTGACCCCAACAGAGAAGAGGGGTTTGGTCTCAGGGGAGGGAGAGGGTCTCTGGACAGCTATGTTCACAGCAGCTATATTCACAATGATCAAAAGCTGGCAATGGCCCAGATGCCCACCAGGAGACAAATGGGTAAACACACTGTGGTGCATCCATACAAATCCTACTGAGCAAGCCAAAGGGACAAACTGCTGATCCATACAAGCACATGAATGAATCACAAAGCCACACCATGTCAAAGGAGCCAGATACAAGGACACATGCTGGATGCATGTACTGACAGAAGCTCTAGGAAAGACCAACCTAATCCAGAGTCATCAAAACCCCAGCAATGGTGCCAGGGGCCAGAGGGGCATGCGAGAACCTTTCCAAAGAGTGCATTCACTCAAATGTGGTGACGGTCATACAGCTGTGTATGACTGTCCAAACATACCAAACTGTACACTGAGAAGGATTAACTTATAATATGTAAATCAGACCTCCATACAAGTGCTTATGGCATCTCACATTCCCATGGGTGAGAGCAGGAGGGGTGGAGCACTCACACACTGTCCGTGTCAGACAGTGCAACTTTGCAAGCCAGAGACACATCCCGCAACATCCAGCAATCCACTCCCAAAACTTCCCCTAGAAAAATGAAAACACAGGTCCACGAAAGACTTGTAAAAAGTGTTCAATCTTATTCCTAGTAGCCAAAAATGGGAACTAATCCAAATCTTCATCAACTGGAGAAAGGATAAATCATGATATGTCTCTATAAACATTACTCAGCAATCAAAAGGAAAAAACATGGATGAATCTCACAACATGCTGAGCTTTCCAAAGAAGCTGGAAACAGAACAGCACATAGAGCAATGATCCCGTTTATTCCCTAACAACAAAGAAATTTACCTACGGTGACGGAAATCAGAGGGGAGAGGGCGAAGAAAGCGTTCTGGGATGATCAAAGTATTCCATGTTTTATTTGGAGTGGTGGTTCCATGGGCATGTACAACTGTCAAAACCCACCCAGTTGAGCACTTAATATGTGGGTGTTTTGTGCATAAATTATACCTCAAGTTTGAAAAAATGAGCTGAGTATAAAGAATTTTGGATCACCTGAGCCGGAGGTCAACGCTGCAGTGAGCTGTAATTATGCCTCTGCATTCTGCCTGGGCGACAAAGTAAGACGCTGTCTCAGAAAAATAGTAATAATAATTAAAGTTAATTTTTAAAAAATTTTACACAACTGGGCTGTTAGCAATATGTACGTGTGTGTATTTTTTTTTTATTTTTATTTTTTGAGATGGAGTCTTGCTCTATTCCCTAGGCTGGAGTGTAGTGGTGCAATCTCAGCTCACTGCAGCCTCCGCCTCCTGGGTTCAAGCAATTCTCATGCCCCAGCCACCCGAGTAGCTGGGATTGCAGGCATGTGCCACCACATCCAGCTAATTTTTGTAATTTTTAGTATAGACGGGATTTTGCCATGTTGGCCAGGATAGTCTGGAACTCCTGGCCTCAAATGATCCTCCTGCCTCAGCCTCCCAAAGTAGTAGGATTACAGGTGTGAGCCTGTATATATATATGTGCCTGGTCCATATATTTTGTTTTAATTTGAAAGGGAAAGAGAATGATTGGCCCCCTGGGAAATTCACTAGTCTGGGGCCTTTTGTTTGGGGTGCCAGTGCAATTCTGTGACATGGATATATTGCACAGTGGTGAAGTCTGGGCTTTTTCACCTAAATACTGCACACTGTATCAATTAAGCAACACGAAGCCTTCAACATCAGCCTTCTCATACTCCCCTGCATGCCCTTTCATGGTCTCACGGTGGGAGGTGCTGTGGCTGAGATCTGCAGCAGACCAAACAACAGGTGGTCCTGTCCTATGCAGCAAAGCGGGTGCTCACACCCAGATTTGTCTGCATCCAGAGTCCTGACCCTTCTACCCAAACCAAGCAACTCCCAACCTCAGCTAGTCTCCATTTGAAGAAAGAAAAGATTCCTCCAGGGCTCCCTGTATTTTGAAATTCGCTCACCGCTATGTTAACCGTAAATAGAAACACTGCCAAAATTTGAATACAACAACTTTTTAATACTGGTGCTTGGCCAAAGGAAAGCAGAATACGCAGATTTTCCATTAGGATTTGGAAAAGCAAGTTTCAAGACAAGAGCAGTTACAGAGTTTCCTTCTCTGGCTGCTCATCTCCTCGTCTTTAAGAAGGCTAAAAAAGGAAAGTGAAAAGGAAAGCTTCACAGGTGTACACAGGTTAAAACTCATCAAACTGAAGCTTTAAATCTGTACACTTAGTTGTATGCCAATTACGCCACAACGAGGTTGTATAACATTTTCTTTAATTATAAAGAAAAAGGTAGTGTGAATGCCATCAAAGAATTATAAAGGAAAAGGTAGTGTGTCCGGCCATGTACTGATACTCCCAGGAGACCCGGGACAGTCCAATTCCCCCTAAGTGACTAGCTAACTCAGGGAAGAAATGCAAAAAGGAAGCATGGTGTGTGGCGGGCACACATGTGACTAGTGAATGGTGACTGGGGCATTGTACCAACACAGAGAGGCTATTCACCATCAACATGGGGCCATGCCCTGTCACAGCGGAGATGATCAGGACAGATCCAGCCCTCTCCATAAGGTGCTTGGCTTCAGGGGGAAAAGAAATCACAGGAAAACAAACCACCAACATAGCAGCATTTTATGCAGTCTTGGCAAGCAATGAGGAGTCAGCTCAGAGAGGGGCAGGTGGGGCAAGGATGTCTCAAATGAAAGAAACTGTGGGGATGAGGGACGTCAAGGGTCATCTTGGATAGCTCCCTTCTCCCCAGCCACACCACCTCTTTCATTTCCCACCACCATGCAGCAGCCAGACACCAGCGGGTACCTTCAGCTGTACCTAAAGGAGACACTGCCGAATGGGATCCCCACTGTACGGCTTAATCCCAGTTTTCTGCCTCATATTTCCACTAGCCTGAAAAGAGATCCTCCCAGGAGTCACCAAACTCTTATCTGACCAAGATGATATTTTTTTTATAAAAATGTCAAAACATAGAGCTACCCTCTGTGTGTCACATCCTGAGAACAGATGCTAGACTTCAAAGTTGGGAATCTCATTCCAAACTTCCAACAGTTTAAACAAACAAACCCACAGGGTTCCCTTTCTTCATACAATTAAAAACATTCATGACAGATAACTGGAAATATGAACACTGATTACAATCTCAGTAGTGATAAAAAAAATTTTTAGGTGTGACAATGACACAGTTCTAATTTATCTTTTAAAGATAATATTTAAAAAGCTGATGAATATAATGTCTGAGATTTGCTTCAAAATAATACAGAGGAAAGTGGCAGGGGCCCAGATGAAAAAGATCAGCCATAAGGTGGTAACTGCTAAAGCCAGGTGATGTGTAGGTGGGAAGTATATTCCCATGTACTTGTGCTTAAGCCAGGTGATGTGTGAGCAGGAATTTTTTTTTTTGGATGGAGTCTCGCTGTCTCGCTCTGTCACCCAGGCTGGAGTGCTGACACCATCTTGGCTCACTGCAACCTCCACCTCCCAGGTTTAAGAGATTCTTCTGCCTCAGCCTCTCAAGTAGCTGGGACTACAGGCGTGCACCACCACACCCAGCTAATTTTTGTATTTTTAGTAGAGATGGGGTTTCACCATATTGGCCAGGCTGGTGTCGAACTCCCAACCTCGTGATCCGCCTGCCTTGGCCTCCCAAAGTGCTGGGATTACAAGCGTGAGCCACCGCGCCCGGCCGTGAGTAGGAATATTCCCATGTACTTGTGCTAAAGCAAGGCAATGTGTGAGTGGGAATTATGTTCCCATGTATTTCTGTAAATATCTGAAACGTTTCCTAATCACTCTTTTGAAGTCAAAGTATTAAAAAATACAAGGAAGACTGCTACAGATTGAAAGAGATAAGAGACATAAATTCAACTTTATAAAAAATTCACTATGTGATGCTGAGTACATTATTCTGATTCCAAACGTTTTTTAAAACTTAGGGGGTAACTGGGCAAATGTAAATAGGAGCTACTTTTAAAATTAGAGACCTGCTGTTTCTAAGTGTGGACAGGCAAAAGCACACCTCACTCATGTTAGGGAGGGCTACACTCAAGTCCATTGGACAAGACACAAAGGATTCTGAATTGATTCCACAAGAATAAAAGAAAAACCACACAACACTCATCCTTACATAAGGTAAATATGGGGAAAGATCACTGGGGAATCTAAGTGGTGGGTACTATGGACATCCACTGTATTGTCCGCTCAACTTTTCTGTATACGTAATTTTTTTTTTTTGAGACGGAGTCTCGCTCAGTTGCCTAGGCTGGAGTGCAGTGGCGCAATCTCAGCTCACTGCAAACTCCGCCTCCCGGGTTCACGCCATTCTCCTGCCTCAGTCTCCTGAGTAGCTGGGACTACAGGCGCCCACCACCAAGCCTGGCTAATTTTTTTTTTTTTTGGTAGAGACGGGGTTTCACCGTGTTAGCCAGGATGGTCTTGATCTCCTGACCTTGTGATCCACCCACCTTGGCCTCCCAAAGTGCTGGGATGACAGGCGTGAGCCACCGCGCCTGGCCCAATTTTTTTAATAAGGTGGAAGGCCGGGCGTGGTGGCTCACGCCTGTCATCCCAGCACTTTGGGAGGCCAAGGTGGGCAGATCACATGAGCCCAGGAGTTGAGACGAGCCTAGCCAAGCTGGCAAAACCTCGCCTCCAAAATTTAAAAAAAAAAAAAAAGTAAAAATAAGCAAGGTGAAAAGTATACAGTACTTTCAGATGCTGACACACAACTGAGAGCGTGTACGCTAGCCAGAAAATCTCCATGGAAACAACAGTCATGCATGAGGTAAAAGAACAAGCAAGGAAGTTAGCTGAAAGGGCCCACGGATCACCACACCCAAACGCACCCCTAGAAGATGAATTATAGTCAGGCGCAGTGGCTCATGCCTGTAATCCCAGCACTTTGGGAGGCTGAGGCAGGCGGATCACCTGAGGTCAGGAATTTGAAACCAGCCTGGCCAACACGGTGAAACCCCATCGCTACTAAAAATACAAAAGTTAGCCAGGCTTGGTGGCCACACGACTGTAGTCCCAGCCACTCGGGAAGCTGAGGTGGGAGAATCAGCTGAACCTGGGAGGTGGAGGTTGCAGTGAGCAGAGACTGCGGCAATGCACTCCAGCCTGGGCGACAGAGGGAGACCCTGTCTCGAAAAAAAAAAAAAAGAAGAAGAAGATGAATACAAAATTTTGCCAAGCCTTTAAAAAGGCCATCAGCAGGAAGGATTCTATAGCAGTCTGAAAGATGCTGATCTGGAAGATGGCCTGGCAGTTAGGCATAGGCTGGAAAAAAAGTTAAACTATGCCACTGGACATGTTCAATATATACAGCCAATGTGCAACAAGAAGTTACAGTTCTATCTGATAAACTGATTCACTAAAGAAAGAATGAGAAGAAAAAGGAAAAGCTGTTAAAAGAAGTCAAAACAAGCAATAAACCCACGACCCACATCCATCAACATTGCTAATAAGAAAGTCCTTGACCTTTTTATCACTCTTCAAACTGCAGAAAGAGCTCAGAGTGAAGAGAAGATGCAAGCTGCCAACCCAAACAAACCTCTAATACAGAGTATAAAACCAAAGTGAGGAAAATCTGAGAACACCTCTCTCCAAAGAGGGAGTCTCTCAGCCACAAGTGCTCATCTGGCCCACCACAGCCACTGAAAAAAGGTGAAGTCCTTTTTCATGCCTCATTTCCTTAGGATACACAGTCGAGGGGCCCACCTACGATGTCTTCCTTTTCTTCTACTGGAAGCCTCCCACTGCAGAAATCCCTGCAGCTAGCCCTAGGTTTCCCAATCCAATCACCCAAGGTGTCTTTTTTGTTTTTGTTTTGAGACGGAGTCTCGCTCTGTTGCCCAGGTTGGAGTGCAGCGGTGCTATCTCAGCTCACTGCAACCTCTGCCTCCCGGGTTCAAGCGATTCTTCTACCTCAGCCTCCCGAGTAGCTGGGATTACAAGCGTGCACCACCATGCTTAGCTAATTTTTGTATTTTTAGTAGAGACTGGATTCACCTATGTTGGCCAGGCTGGTCTCGAAGTCCTGATCTCAAGTGATCCACCCACCTCGGCCTCCCAAAGTGCTGGGATTACAGGTATGAGCCGCCGCGTCCGGCCTACCCAAGGTGTCTTACAACACCTACTTTACAGGTAGGCGTTGCTGAAGCAAAAGGAGCGACTGCTCCAAGGAAGCATGCATATGCAACTCAGCATGCAATGCATGGGATGCTAAACTTGTGCATTTCACACATGCACATTTTACTTAAAAACAAAACCAAAAAGGAACTAAACAAATAATGATGTGCATGCTCAAGTTATTGAGGTAAGATATACTGAGGACCACAACTTACTCTGAAATGAAACCCATCAAAAAATAAGATGGACTGAAGGATGGATGGAGTAATGTGTATGTGATACAAGTAAAATGTTACTTGTAAAAGTTGACGTTAAAAAGTTTAATCGTAGAATCTTAGCAGTCCATATATAGGTGATCACTGTGAAGTTTCTGCAACTTTTCTGTGACATCTGAAATTTTTTAAATTTAAAAAATTTAATCGTAGAATCTTAGCAGTCCATATATAGGTGATCACTGTGAAATTTCTGCAACTTTTCTGTGACATCTGAAATTTTTTACAATAAAATGTTGAAAAAAGTCACCAACGATTTCTAATCACAACAATGGTTTTTAATATATATTATCTTACTGTTTATTCTTATGACTGTGAGGCTACGTTCTAATGCTCACCAGAAAACTTTTGGTCTTTGGTTTAGGCATGAATATTACACCATTTTCTAGCCAGCACTTAAGACAAGTGCATTTCAAGTAAGGCAAACAGGTCTCCCTATCAATTTAAGACTTAGTGTGGGGCCAAGAGCTATGGTGCACACCTGTAATCCCAACACTTTAGAAGGCCAAGATGGGAGGATAACTTGATTCCAAGAGTTCTGAGACTGGCCTGAGCAGCATAGCGAGACCTTGTCTCTACAAAATAAAAATTAGCAAGGCATGGTGGGGTGTACCTGTAGTCTCAGCGATTTAGGAGGCCAAGGCAGGAGGATCGCTCATTGAGCACAGCAATTCTGGGTTACAGTGAGCTATGATTGTGCAACCACACTCCAGCCTGGGCGACTGAGCAAGACCCTGTCTCTAAAAACTAATAATAATAATTTTAAAAATTTAAAACACTAAGTAAAAAAATTTTTTTAATTAAAAATAGACAGTGTGTGCTTGCCACCTTTTTTTTTTCATTCAGCACTAAGTCCACCATATCCCTCCATAGTAACTCAACAGGAACTTCACAAACTTTAAATAAATACACACAATTACCTCATCGTACCCAAAAATATACACTGCCTCCCTGAAATATCAAATTCATTCAGTGCTAGGTCTTTCCAAAACAACAGCTTTTCAGATTCTCCCTCCCCAGGAAGCCCATCTGTACTGATGCAACCCAGGCGGCGCAGACAACAGACGCTCCCTCCTTCCACTTCACCAGACCTGTGAGTGACCCTGGCTGTGCCCTCAGGGAAGAGGACATGCACAGGGTCACTGATTTTAGAATGCCAACTGTTCGGGAACCAGAAACTTTTTATTTAAATAGGTCATTTTTTTTTTCAAAAGTACTGTGTACCACGCGGATTTTTTTATAATAATTTTTTGAGTAAAAAAAGACATTTATTTAGAAAATTTAAAAAATTCAGAAGCCTGAAGTACATGTGAGGAGAGAAGATCTGTGCCAAAACACAGCATCATGAAATTTCTGAACACTGGAGGCAAAAATCCTACAGAATAGCAAAGAAAAACCAAGGTTACACTCAATCAGGCACCAACAAGGTACCCCAATTCTCAGCAACAGTGGTGGAAGCTGGAAAGCCATTGAGCAAACACCCGAATATTCTGGGGGGAAATAACTGCTCTCTAGAATTCTGTATCCAGACAACCATCAACGAAGTGTGCGTGCAGAATAAAATGTTTTCAGACATGGAAAATCTCAAAATTGTGACTTTTCCATACTCTCCCAGGTGGTTACTGAAGAAAATCCCCCGCCAAAACCAGAGTAAACGAGGAAAAAAGAAAAGAACTCAGGCAGAAGGGAAAGGCAAAAGCAAGCCCTGGGATGATGAGAACAGTGACCCCCCCAGGGTCTGGCCCAGAGGACAACCAGTCCAGATAAGAGAGAGGAAGGGAGGGCTTCAGAGATCACCAGGAAAACAACACACAAGTATCTGAAATTGCTAAGAAGAGATCTCAACACATCGGGGGTAGCTGGAGGTTTAATTAATGCTATGGTCACAGAAACCTAATCAAAGACACCAGATAAGTACAGTATTAATTCCAGGGACACCGCAGTAGATGCAGAAGAAACTGCAACAGGGCACAGGACAACAGGATCGCCGCACAGAAGACACAGCCGTGAACAGTGCTGATGCGGCCACAATAATAGAACTGTGAAGGAAGGTCGGGGCAGCAAAGTGAGAAGTCAGTAAAGCAGTGCCACTTTACAAAAACAAACAAAAAAAGAAGCAGGGAACAGCAGAAACATGTCATGTGGAAGCACGGAAGGCACGAGCAAAAGCAGCTTTAAAGAGTTAAAGAGCTGGAGTTTGCCCATGGGGAGTGAAATGTGGGGGCTCCCACAAGGGAGCAGGCAACTGCTATTGTTCATTTTTAAAAGCCTTGTGGAGCACTGCAATCTTTTACCTCTATGAATGTAAACCTTTAAGAGGGAAAGAAACAGGCTCCACAAGACCTCACAGACTATTAATATTCCAAAGGCTATTCTCTCCCCCTCGGCTGCCATGCATGAAGTTTAATTTTTAAACAAACCAAGGGTTTCATTTTATGGCTATAATTCTGAGTTCAAAAAGAAAAGAAACGCCGGGCATGGGGGCTCATGTCTGTAATCCCAGCACTTTGGGAGGCTTAGGTGGGCGGGATCGCCTGAGGTCAGGAGTTCAAGACCAGCCTGACACACATGGAGAAACCCCGTCTCTACTAACAATACAAAAATTAGCCGGCGTGGTGGAGAGCGCCTGTAATTCCAGCTTCTCAGGAGGCTGAGGCAGGAGAATCGCTTGAACCCAGGTGGCAAGGCTTGCAGTGAGCTGAGATCGCACTACTGCACTCCAGCCTGGGCAACAGAGCGAGACTCCAGCTCAAAAAAAAAAGAAAAAAAGAAAAAAAAAAAAAAGAAAAGAAAGCTCTACTGTAAACCATTTTCACTTATCATTAAATATTCTCCATAAACAAGTACCAAAACCAGATAAACACTGTGTGATAAACAGTTTAATTAAACCATCACTTCGTAATTAAATGCATGTGTACCTGTACATAAATGTTTGCACATCCAATTATTGCCCTTAGAATACATTCCTAGAAGTGGGTCGAAAGGGTTCATTTTTAAGCTTCTAACATACACTACCAAACTGCCCTCCAAAGAAGTTTCTCCAATTTACCCTCCACCCAGCCATACACACCAATGACCATGGAAGCTATTTCATCACTCCATCACTCTTTGCAACATTTGTATCTTTTTTTTTTTTTTTTTGAGACTGAGTGGAGTCTCGCTCTGTCGCCCAGGCTGGAGTGCAGTGGTGCGATCTCGATCTCGACTCACTCACTGCAAGCTCCGCCTCCCAGGTTCATGCCATTCTTCTGCCTCAACCTCCCGAGTAGCTGGGACTACAGGCGCCCACCACCACACCCGGCTAATTTTCTGTATTTTTAGTAGAGACGGGGTTTCACCGTGTTAGCCAGGATGGTCTCGATCTCCTGACCTCGTGATCCGTCCGCCTCGGCCTCCCAAAGTGCTGGGATTACAGGCATGAGCCATTGCACCCGGCCTAAATTTGTACCTTTTAAAAATAAGTGCTAATGTAATAAATATCTAAACAACCTTGTGTGTAGAGCTTATTACAAAGAACAGACTGTTTTGACAATTTCAGATCATCATTACCAATATTAGTTACAGGTACTTGTGACTCTAAGTAGGACCAGAACAGAGGCCTCAATGTGCTGGCCCAGCTGACATCTATGCCTGATCGTAGGCTTGGGGCTGAAATCCTCCCATAAGAAATCAAGGAGTTATTTATTCATTATTCCAATGCCAAGGGTGAAGTTAAACAACTTTCCCAGGGAGTGACACAGTCAGGAGTATAATCCACATCTAGCTAACTCCACAATTCAAAGCTCTGATTCCAAAAATGGACAGCCCAGTTGTATTAGTTCATTCTCATACTACTAATAAAGAAATACCCGAGACTGGGTAATTTATAAAGGAAAGAGGTTTAATGGACTCACAGTTACACATGGCTGGGGAGGCCTCACAATCATGGTGGAAGGCAAAGGAAGAGCAAACGTGTGCAGGGGAACTGCCCTTTATAAAACCATCAGATCTCGTGAGACTTATTCACTATCATGGGAACAGCACAGGAAAAATCCACCCCCATGATTCAATTACCTCCCACCAGGTCCCTCCAGTGACATGTGGGGATTACAGGAGCTACAATTCAAGATGAGATTTGGGTGGGGACACAGCCAAACCATATCACCACCACTCTTGATGTGTGCATACACAGCCTTGTTCAGGAGGACAAAATGAATGACACCTTCTCCATTCCCAGATTCTGAAAAACAGAATTCTTCAGCAAAAGACATCTCATCACAAGGGTCTCGGAATCCTCTTATATCACAATTGGAAGAGGGCTAAGAAATACGTGGCATTTGGATTACAAAAGTGCTCTGGAAGTCAGACTCCGCATATACAGCGTTGAAACCACAAGTCAGCATTGGGTGCAAACTGAACGGCAAGATCAAGAAAGCAGCAGGGGCTGGGTGTAGTGGCTCACTCCTGTAATCCCAACACTTTGAGAGGTCAAGATGAGAGGACTGCTTGTGCTCAGGAATTTGAAACCAGCTTGGGCAATACAGTGAGACCCCATCTCTACAAAAATTTTTAAAAAATAATCTAGGTGTGGTGACTTGTGCCTAAGGTTCCAGGTACTTGGGAAGCTGAGGCAGGATTGCTTGGCAGTGAGCCAAGTTCATGCCACTGCACTCCAGCCTAGGCAACAAAGTGAGATCCTATCACACTCACACACACACACACACATACACACCCACCTCCACACACCTTCAGAGAAAGACAGAGAAAAAGCAGCAGGAAGGGAGAAAAACTTCTCTTTTAAATTTTTTATACTGATAATTTTGGCTTGCTCATCAGAAAAAGGGAAAGGCTCACTGAAAAGGGAGTTATAAAATTCAAAACATGAAGCTGGGTGTGGTGGTTTATGCCTGTAATCCCAACGCTTTGGGATGCTGCGTTGGGAAAATCCCTTGAACTCAGCAGAAAAAGGCTGTAACTGTACCACTGGACTTTACCCTGGGTGAAACCACAAGACCCCCATCTCTTAAAAACAAACACCCAAGACATGAAAACAGAGAGGATACCAGAAAAAGATGGGCACACAGCTGTGGTCCAGACTCAGGTTAGATGGACAACAGCACTTGTGGGACATCAGAAAGACTTTTTCTTTTTTCTTTTTTTGAGACAGAGTCTCGCTCTGTCACACAGGCTGCAGTGCAGTGGTGCGATTTTGGCTCACTGCAACCTCTGCCTCCCAGGTTCAAGTGATTCTCCTGCCTCAGCCTCCTGAACAGCTGGGACTACAAGTGTGTGCCACCACACTCGGCTCATTTTTGTATTTTTAGTAGAGATGGGGTCTCACTGTATTGGCCAGGCTGGTCTTGAATTCCTGGCCTCAAGTGATCTGCCCACCTTGGCAACCCAAAGTGCTAGGATTACAGGAATGAAAACCACCGTGCCCGGCTGCCTTATATTTTTCATTCACCAATTTCACAGCTTCTCCTACAAGACCAGAAGATCTGGCACTGGTGAGCCAGCAGTCTGGCACCTAACAACTGCCTGGCACCCGTCAGCAGATGCCCCTCTAAACAAGGTAGGCCGTTTGGGCAGCTGCAGTTGCTACCTGCCTGTCCCAGCTTCTGGATTACAGGAACAATTTGAGAGCAGTCTTGGAAAAGGGACAACACAGGCCTTACCTCCCTATGAGAAAGGAGAGATGTTCGAGAAGATGGGTGACAAGCTGGGCATGGTAGCTCACGGCTATAATCCCAGCACTTTGGAAGGCTGAGGCAGGAGGATCACTTAAGCCCAGGAGTTTGCGACCAGCCTAGACAACATAGTGAAACCCATCTCTACAAAAAAATAGAAAAATTAGCCGAGTGTGGTGGTGTGCACCTGTAATCCCAGCTACTCGGGAGGCTGAGGTGGGAGCATTGCTTGAGCCTGAAAAGTCGAGGCTGCAGTGAGGCGTGATTGCACCACTGCACTGCAGCCTGGGCGACAGAGCAAGACCCTGTCTCAAAATAATAATGAGATGGGTGGCCCATGTTCCACAGGGTGGCCCCCACAGGCACCCAAGGGGGGAAGGTGTCAGCAGCACTCAGTCTCCACCCTGCCTCTGCTAGGCAGTGCTGCACATTTTTGGCAAGAACAGCTCTCAGCCTGAAATTAACTCAAGGTTCTTCTTGTAAAATAAAAAAGTTGAAAGTTTTAAGTACATTTTCACACTGATTTGTGCTCCATGAAGAAATGAGTAAAAGTGGGCTACCTCTGAAAATCCTAGAAGAGTAACTTACGTTATGGTGGTCTACGGCATGATCATCACATGCCACATTGATACGTATGCCAAAGATATAAACTTCAATCCATTCCTACCATCATACACAAAAATTAACTGCAAATGGGTCACAGACATAAATGTAAAACCTACAAGTGTAAAACTTCTACAAGAAAAAAGAAGAAAATCTTTGTGAAGTTAGGTTACACAGGTTTCTTTCTCTTTTGTTTTTTTTTTTGGGGACGGAGTCCTGCTCTGTCGCTCAGGCTGGAGTGCAGTGGCGCAATCTCGGCTCACTGCAAGCTCCGCCTTCCAGGTTCTGGCCATTCTCCTGCCTCAGCCTCTGGAGTAGCTGGGACTACAGGAGCCCGCCACCATGACCAGCTAATTTTTTGTATTTTTAGTAGAGAGGGGGTTTCACCGCGTTAGCCAGGATGGTCTCGATCTCCTGACCTCATGATCCACCCACCCCGGCCTCCCAAAGTGCTGGGACGACAGGCGTGAGCCACTGCGCCCAGCCAAGTTACACAGGTTTATTAAGTATGGTACCAAAAGCATGATCCATAAAACGACTAACCCTCATCAAACTTTTTTTTTTTTGGTTGAGACGGAGTCTCACCCTGTCGCCCAGGCTGGAATGCTATGGCACGATCTCGGCTCACTGCAACCTCTGTCTCCTGGGTTCAAGTGATTCTCCTGCCTCAGCCTCCCTAGTAGCCGGGATTACCGGAGTGCGCCTCCAAGCCCAGCTAATTTTTGTATTTTTAGTAGAGACGGGGTTTCACCACGTTGGCCAGGCTGGTCTCGAACTCCTGACCTCATGATCCACCCGCCTCAGCCTCCCAAATTGCTGGGATTACAGACGTGAGCCACCGCGCCCAGCCTAAACTTTTAAAACCCCTGCTCTTTAAAAGACGTTGTTAAAAGAATGAAAAAGCCACAGACTGGGAGAAAACACGCATATATCTGATAAGAACTCTCAAAAACTCAACGATAAGAAAACAATAACTGACATACAGTAAAAGCAAATTCTTCACCAAAGACATACAGAAGGCAAATACGCACATGAAAAGATACTGCTACACATTCACTAGAATGGCTAGAATTAAAAAGACTGACCACACCAAGTGTTGTTAAGGATGTGGAGGAACGACAACTCACAAACACTGCTGGTAGGAATGTAAAATGGTACCACCACTTTGGAAGACAGTTTGGCAGTTTCTCACAAAGTTAAATATACACTTGCCATAATAACCAGCCACTCAAATCCTCTGTATTTATTTACTCAAGAGAAATCAAAGTGTATGTTCACACAATAACCTGCATATAAATATTAATAGCATTTTCATTTGTAATAGCCCAAAATTGCAAATAACCCAAATGTTCATCACATGGTAAATGGATAAGCAAACTGAAGTATTTATTTCCATACAACAAAATACTACCTAACAATAAAAAGGAATGAACTGCTAATATACACTACGAGATGGATGGTTCTTTCAAGGCAAAACACAAAAGGAAAACCACTCTAAAGGGAAAAAATGGGCCAATATGGCAAACAGCTAGGGACTGAAAGTCGAGACTCTAGGCATAACTGTGTCTCACAGTCATGGGAAACCACTGAGAAAAATTCATCTGGGAGCATCGCTCTGGTTTAAATGGGAAGAACACTAACCCGGGGAAAGAAAGCTTGGGAGCAGGAAGACCAAGTCAAGAACGTTTTTCTCAGGGTGTGAACTACGGTCTGAACAAGGGTGGTCATATAGGGTCATAGTGGAAGTGGAAATGGAAACGAAGAGATGGATGTAAGGACAGAATATAAAGGCAGAATTTTATGATTAACAAAACAGGAAGAATCTGGGGAAAGGACACTGCTGTTGTCTCCTCCTCTGTCAAAGTTAACTGTGTGAAGCTACTGTTGAGGGATAAAGTTGCCCCAGCAGTCCCAGGATTAAGGCCAAACCACAGCCTCAGATCAGAGTGTGCACCACCACTGCTGCGGCAGAAAGGCAAAGCCCCGTGTGGGTGAAAAAAGTCCAAAAGGAACCAACACCAGAGAGTGCAGGCTCCTAGCAGGAAATCCCACTAAATAACCAATCTCCTCAAGATTCAGACCCAAACCAATTCCACTTTTAATATTAACAGTGATTTCCAAAATCTAAAAATATTCATCTATACATTACATGGAAAATAATACTTTTTTAAAAAATATTATCAGAGTGCTAAAGTAGTCTAACCAAAAATTATCTCTAAAAACATTAACATGGAAATTCCACCTGTTGGCATGGCAAGAAATTCTTCAATTTCTAGTAGGTGATACTATTTCATGAACAGATGCTCTGGCAGAGTTAACAACCTAGTGATTACAGATTTGCCTTGTGGGAGGACATGAGAAACACAGTATATAAAGCTTCAGTGCAGTAAGAATTAAGCTTTTGTTGCACTTATCAACAGGCTAACTTAATGAACTTGAGAAATCGACTCAACCAAGTCCTAATTCTATACCCACCCCTCTCAAAATCCACCCCTTCACCTTTCTCTCCCAGCTGTACGTACAAAGCATTTTACCACCCAGCACATACCTGTTTGGAAGGTAGGATTCGCTCCAGGATACATGTTAGGAGAATAGGCAGGAGCTGCTGCTGCATAGCCCATGGGAAAACCAGCTGAAGAAAAATAAAGAACAATCTCATGTCATCAACTGAAGTAGCGACAATCACTAGAGCTCCTGCAAAGCCATCGCTCTTACCTTCTTCCCCAGAACTCCACAGACTTAAGCAGCCCCAAGAGCACTATGTGTGGCCAACAGCATGTCTCTAGTTGTCTTCTTCCCGCAGAACTTTGTTTTTTTTATCGTTGTCGTCTTTTGAGACAGAGTTTCACTTTCATCGCCCAGGCTGGAGTGCAATGGCATGATCTTGGCTCACTGCAACCTCTGCCTCCCAGGTTCAAGCGATTCTCCTGCCTCAGCCTTCCGAAGAGCTGGGATTACAGGTGTGTGTCACCACACCTGGCTAATTTTTCTATTTTTAGTAGAGACGGGGTTTCATCACGTTAGCCAGGCTGGTCTTGAACTCCTGATTTCAGTTGATCCACCCGCCTCGGCCTCCCAAAGTGCTGGGATTATAGGTGTGAGCCACCACGCCTGGCTTTCCCTCAGAATTTTGATAGGTAACAATTATATATTTTATTTTTATTTATTTTTTGGAGGGGGACAGAGTTTCACTCTTGTTGCCCAGGCTAGAGTGCAGTGGCGCGACCTCGGCTCACTGCAACCTCCGTTTCAAGCGATTCTCCTGCCTCAGCCTTCCGAGTAGCTGGGATTACAGGCATCTACCACCACGCCCAGCTAATTTTTGTATTTTTAGTAGAGACAAGGTTTCACCATGGTGACCAGGCTGGTCTCGAACTCCTGACCTCATGATCCACCCACCTCAGCCTCCCGAAGTGCTGGGATTACAGGCATAAGCCACCGCGCCAAGCCTCAATTATAACATTTCTGGAAGTTTCATTCCAAACTCTAATCACATAATTACTTAGCAAGAGTAGTAAGAGTGCTAAGGGTATCACACGCTAGGTCCTGTTACCCTCATCTGACTTCACTGCACAAAGTCTGGAAGAATCAGAATTCAAGTCTAGCTTGGACTCAAGGGCCTATTTTTGCTGCTACCAGTGAACAGCTAAGCCTATGTAAAGGTCACTCATTTTCACTGAATTCCGACATTTCCTACATTACATATTTTGACTTAAAAGCTATTATTTTTTGTTGTAAGAAACTGTTTTAAACTTCTAAATTCATTTCAGGTTTTTTCACATTCTGATGTTCTTTTTTTTTTCTAAGACAGAGTCTTGCTCTGTTGCCTACGCTGGAGTGCAGTGGTGAGATCTCGGCTCACTGCAACCTCCGCCTCCTGGGTTCAAGCATTTCTCCTGCCTCAGTCTCCCTAGTAGCTGGGACTACAGGCGTGCACCACCACGCCCAGCTAATTTTTGTATTTTTAGTAGAGATGGGGTTTTGCCATGCTGGCCAGGCTGGTCTCGAACTCCTGACCTCAGGTGATCCACCTGCCTCGGCCTCCCAAAGTGCGGGTATTACCGGCATGAGTTACCACGCCTTGCCATATTTTGATGTTCTGATCCCCAACTTCTCCAGCATGACCAGCTAATATGTTTTCATATGTCCTCTCCAAAGCTCACGTTAAAATTTGTCATTTTAACAGCACTGAGAGGTGGGACATTTAATAGGTGACGGCTTTATTATGAAAGTGGGTTCCTGATAAAAAGGACAAGTTCAGCCCCCTTTCTCTCTGACGCACTCGCTGCCCTTCCACCATCCATCACAAGAGGATAGAGCCCAAAAGCCCTCACGAGATGCCATCGCCATGCTCTTGGACTTCCCTAACCTCCAGAACCAAGAGCCTAATAAATTTCTGTTCATTATCCAGCTTGATATTCTGCTAAAGCAGCAGAAAACAAATTAAGACACCAGTCATAAACCCAGGCTGTGTCTTACTTAAGCTTCAGTCTTCTTACAGAAGGAGCTCTAACTGGGAATGCATACACACAGAAATGGGAAAAATCCAACTACAGTCCACGTGCAAATAAGCTGACCTTTATTAATACAAATGAGGAATCTTATTAAGACTAAACCATGACCTAGTAATTCATAATATGAACGAAACAGAAACATCAAATAAGACATTGAGTGCTACAGTCAGAATCCTGGCCCCAAGGTGCAACCAACAGAGGGGGCCTCAGGCATCTGCCCTTTTCGATAAGGCCTCCCTTCCCTTTGGGCTGACCCCTCTGGCTCACAGTACAGGAGGCATCACTTGTGACAGCTGAGGTATTAGAAAGTATTCTCTCTTTTTTTTTGAGACAGAGTCTCGCTCTGTTGCCAGGCTGGAGTGCAATGGCGTGATCTCGGCTCACTGCAACCTCTACCTCCCTGGTTCAAGCGATTCTCCTGCCTCATCCTCCCAAGTAGCTGGGATTTCGGGCACACGCCACCATGTCCAGCTAATGTTTGTATTTTTAGTAGAGACGGGGTTTCACCATGTTGGCCAGGATGGTCTCCATCTCCTGACCTCATAATCCGCCCTCCTCGGCCTCCCAAAGTGCTGGGATTACAGGTGTGAGCCACTGCACCTGGCCAGAAAGCGTTCTTTCTATTTGGGGCACACAGCCAACAAGATGACTCAGGTTTCCTAGCCTTGATTACTGTTCCCACTAGCTGTGAGAAGCTGTAACTTCTCTACTGCACACTTCCTTCACCTGTAAATAAAGTTGAAAGAGAAGAGCAGTCTTCAAAAGAAACTGTGTTGAGGAGGCCTGGAGAAAGGTGTCTCTTACAGCACTTGGACTGGGATTTTTAAGGTGTTACGATCCCTTAGGAACAAATCATGGTGCTAACAGTAACCAAAGCAAGGAAGCCCTAAGGTTGAGGTAAAAACAGGGGGGATCTGAGTGGAATGCCAAAAGGAAAATCTTTGTAGGTGGGACAGAAAGTTCTGAATACAGCTCCTCACGTGCCTCCCTTCGGCCCCCTCAGCCTGGATCCCTTGCTCTATTGCCCTGCATCCCTAAGCCATCTTGCAGGTTTCTGTGGGAACAGGAGGCATCAGTGTCACCAAGCCCTAGCCCCAGAATCCCTCCAAGTGCCCAGTTCTCATCTTTATCCTTGCTTCAAAGTTGCTTTCCTCACTTCAAACTGATCCCCCTCTACCTCAGCAGAAGCCATTCCGGGTTTCCCTCCTGGACTCTCACCCTCCCGTTTGCCCTCTCTAATTAGTCAGAGAACAGAGTGTGGTGGACGTCAAGGGCAGATTCAACTTCAAAGAGACCCACAATGGCCACTGGAAAGACCAGGACAGCAGTTCTGGGGATGCTGAGAGACTCCTCAGAAGCCCAATTGTGAGCACAGGAAGACCAAGAAAGGTCTGGAACTGCCCTCAGAGACCAGGGAACCAGCAAGATTTTTTTTTCCAATGGTTTCCTTCTTTTAAAAAAAAAAAAAAAGTTTCAACTACCACTGACCTAGATCATATCCTGTAGGCCTCTGCAATAATTTCCAGAAATTCCAAATTCCTCATCTCTCCCTAAAACTCTACCAATATATTCTCATGGGAAGAGGGCTGCTCTGGATTTGTTTGCTGAAGATTGTGTTTAACGGTCCCTGAAAAACTACTGTCTTCTTTGCTTAGTCCTTCCCATCCCCACTTTCTTTCTTTTTTTTTTTTTGAGACGGAGTCTTGCTCTGTCGCCCAGGCTGGAATGCAGTGGCGTGATCTCGGCTTACTGCAAGCTCCGCCTCCTGGGTTCACGCCATTCTCCTACCTCAGCCTCCTGAGTGGCTAGGACTACAGGGGCCCGTGCCCGGCTAATTTTTTGTATTTTTAGTAGAGACAGGGTTTCACCATGTTAGCCAGGATGGTCTCGATCTACATACCTCGTGATCCGCCCACCCCGGCCTCCCAAAGTGCTGGGATTACAGGCACGAGCCACCGCGCCCGGCCCCCCAGTTTCTAACAAGAAGTTAACACATCCTATAATGAAACAGCAAACACACACGATAGTATTTAAGATGGCATCACTAGCCACCAGCAACAAGATGCACTACATACCTGGTCTCTGGTATGGGGATCAAAGACTCCCAATCTCCTAGACAGCCTCTGCTGCTTCCGTGCTCCCATCGCCTCATCCCATCAGCCACATCCCACTTGCTCTGTCACCACTCTGACCCAAGCCGCAGCGTGGCTCCCCTCACTATCTCCAATGGTTTCTACCTGGACTGCACAAAACCCACAGGGGCAGCTTTGGGAGGACCCCCAACACTGCTTTAGCTGGTCTCGGGTGCACCAGCCTCTTTTTTCTCATTCTCTCCAGACAGTGAATCTGCAGGGTTCCAAGCAATGGAGTTAAGAATCACTGTTTCTTCCTATTCCTGATCTTTCTGGGTACCCCAACCCCCAGCAGACACAGAGACCGTCTCCTTCAGCATCTATTCTAGCCCTCTTCTGGCATGGTAGGCTGGAAAGGCCAGACTCCCTACATCAAGGCACCAGAGCGATCCCAAACCTGAATCATTTCTACAAGACTGATCACCTTGGCCGGGCGCAGTGGCTCACGCCTGTAATCCCAGCACTTTGGGAGGCCGAGGCAGGTGGATCACGAGGTCAGGAGATTGAGACCACGATGAAACCCCATCTCTAATAAAAGTACAAAAAAAAAATTAGCCGGGTGCAGTGGCGGGCTCCTGTAGTCCCAGCTACTCAGGAGGCTGAGGCAGGAGAATGGCGTGAACCTGGGAGGCGCAGCTTGCAGTGAGCCGAGATCGCGCCACTGCACTCCAGCCTGGGCAACAGAGCAAGACTCCGTCTTAAAAAAAAAAAAAAAAAAAGACTGATCACCTTACAAAAGTAAAAGCTTCAGAACAGCAAAAAATACCATAGTTAAGCAAAAGGACAAATTCAGATAAAGTATCTAAATTATTTAGACAAAGGGCTAGTACACTTAATACGTAAGTAACTTTTAAAACCACAAAAACAAACATCCCGCCCCACCCCCACCACTCAAATCAATAGACACAGATACACAGAATTGCAAACTACAACTACGCTGACTAACTTCCGACTAGCAGAAATCCAGAAGCTGGAAAACACATTCTGTTAGCCAGGCTGTGGGGAAATCGTCTCACACTGCTGATAAGAACTCAGCAGTATCCTAACAATCACATGTGCATTTGCTCTCTGACCCAGCAACCCCAGCTCTAGGAACCCACCCTGAGGAGAATTCCCAGAGTCACACAAACATAGGGCTGTTCACAGAATCATTACTAAAATAGCACACACTTCAAACAACTCCAATGCCCATCACAAGGAAACTGGCTCAATCAACTATGGAAGCCCACAAGATGGAGTGTATGTAACGCTATTACATTTAAAAAAAAAAAAAAAAAAAAGAACAAGGCAAACTTCTGTGAACTGTTATGGAGTGATTCCTTACAAAGCGAAGTGAGCAACGCCGCCTGCATCTCTTTTCCAGAAAGAACCTACTGTTCAGCCAGGAGAAGTATGTGGGTCAACAGTCTCAGGAGCAGGACCAGGCCGCTGGTGCCTCATGTCGGCCTCCAACTGCTAACCCTTGCCCCAGAGCACCCGTGGGCTGGCCATGAGTTCGGCAAATGTGCCTCACAGTCTGAGGCTCTCCCTAATTCTACTTCCTCCCTGCTGGATTTTCCTATGTGATAGCCCCCCCAAAATGTTTATGTTCCTAACTCCATCCCAGTGTCCACTACCATTTGTGGAACAAAGGAGAAATTAGGATCTACAGCCTTGTTGACCTGGGCGGTGCTTGTCAATTCTCAGCATGGGCAAGAGGCCAAGTCTAGGTTCTCCCTGGACAGAAGGCCGTGGCTGGAGGACAGAGAAACATGGGTTTTGGTGATCTTGAAGGGCTGTAGTGATAAAATTGGACCTCAGATGAGCTTCAAAACCAGTTAAAGTCTGCTTTAAGACATATGTCAAATTCTAAAGCTACCCCAGCAGACAGCAAAAACCAAAAATCTCTGAAACGCAGAGTTTTCCTTACTCCCCTGGTGTAAGAGACAAAGATCAGGGTACGGATCCACAAGAGGGATGGACTGTGCAGAGCATGTCAGGCTTATGGAAACCCTGCGCTCCAGAATAAGGGCAGAACAAAGGGAGACCAAGCCTTGCCAAAACTGAAATGCATCTAAGCCCAGCTCCAAGTGGATTAAGAAGACCATTCAGCATGCTACCTTCCCAGCAAAAGAAGACATCATCAGTGAAACCACCCATAATTTCTAATACACTGCGTGAGACAGTTAATGAAAAACACCAGGCATGCCAAGACAGGACCATGTGACGGAAAAACAAAAGAACAGAACAAATGGACAATAAAAACTGACGCACAGGTGATCCAGAGACTGCAGTTAGCAAACAGTTTTTAAAATAACTCAGTAGTATGTTGGAAAAAACAGAAGATGGAGAAAATACATAAAAAGACTTGATTCAATACATGAATTATAGCAAATTAGAGCAGAATTAGCAGGACAAATGGAAGCAGATCAGTATAAACTATCTGTATTAAAGCTCATGGAGAAAAAAACAGAAACTATAAAACAGGGTGCAAGAGACAGAAAGGACAGACTGAAATGGTCTAAAACACTTATAGATGGAGTTCCAGGAGAGGAGAGAAAGGGACAAAAACAATATTTGAAGAGCTACTGCTACTGCTGGAAGAAATCAACTCAGAGTCAAGAGGTTCTCTGAACACTATGCAAGGTAAATACAAATAAAATCGCATCTAGTTACATCATGGTAAAAGCAAAGATATTTTCAAAGTAGCAAGGTACACGGGTTGGGGGAAATGTAGAGAAGAAACATGATTTCAAAGAGGCAAAAATTATTCTAGGCCGGGCACAGTGGCTCAGGCCTGTACTCCCAGTACTTTGGGAGGCTGAGGTGGGATGAGCACAGGAGTTTGAGATCAGCCTGGGCAACACAGTGAGACCCGATCTCTACAAAAATTAAAATTAAAAAATTATTCAGGCATGGTAGCGCACACCTGTAGTCCCAGCTACTTGGGAGGCTGAGGCAGGAGGATCCCTTGAGTCCAAGGAGTTTGAGGCTGCAGTGAGCCGTGACTACACCACTGCACTGGGGCCTGAATGACAGAGCAAGACCCTTTCACAAAAAAAAAAAAAAAAATTATTTTGACAGAAACCAGATGACAAATTTTATCTTTAAAGTGCTGAGAGGAAATAATGTGACATTATTCGGGAAAATAATCTTCACAGATGTGATTAAGTGAAGGATCTTGAGATGAGGTCATTCTGGAATCCTGGACTGCCCAGGCTGGCTCTAAATCCAATGACAAGTGTCCTTATAAAAAACACACAGGGCCGGGCACGGTGGCTCAGGCCTGTAATCCCAGCACTTTGGGAGGCCAATCACCTGAGGTCAGGAGTTTAAGACCAGCCTGGCCAACATGGTGAAACCCTATCTCTACTAAAAATACAAAAATTAGTCGGGCGTGGTGGCACGCACCACATACCTGTAATCCCAGCTGCTCAGGAGGCTGAGGCAGGAGAATCACTTGAACTTGGGAGGCAGATGTTGCAGAGAGCCAAGATCACGCCACTGCACTCCAGCCTGGGTGACAAGAGTGAGACTTCGTCTCAAAACAAACACACAAAAGACACACAGGAGAGGATGTGACCATGGAGGCAGAAATGGGAGTGATGCAGCCACAAAGCCACATGCTAAAGACTGCAGACAGCCACCAGAAACTAGAAGATGCAAGGAATGGATTTTCCTCTGGGCCTGCACTAGGAGTACAGACCTGCCAACGCCTTGATTTCGAACCTCTGGGACTACATCTCTATGGCTTTAACCCACCAAGTTTGTGGTTACCTGTTATAGCAGCCACAAAAAAAACAAACACACCCGGCAAAAGAATGCCTCAAAAGAAAAGCAAAATAAAGACAATTTCACAAAACAAAATTCACTAACAGACTTGTGGTTTAAAAAAAAAAATGTGGCTCGGAGCAGTGGCTCACGCTTGTAATCCCAACACTTTGGGAGGCCGAGGTGGGAGGATCACCTGAGGTCAGGAGTTCTTGATCAGCCTGGCCAATATGGCAAAAACCCATCTCTACTAAAAATACAAACATTAGCTGGGCATGGTGGCAGGCGCCTGTAATCCCAGCAACTCAGGAGGCTGAGGCAGGAGAATCACCTGAACGCGGGAGGCAGAGGTTGCAGTGAGCCAAGATCACGCCATTGCACTCCAGCCTGGGCAACAAGAGTGAAACTCTGTCTCAGAAAAAAAAAAAATGTTGAGAGTTGTTCAGATAAAGGTCAATGACTCCAGAGAGAAACATGTAAATAGAGAAAGCAATGAAGAGCACCAAAAACAGTAAATGTGTGAATAAATATAAATGGCTGTTGATTGCACAAAATTAAAACAGTAACGTCTTTTTTTTTTTTTGAGACAGAGTCTCGCTCTGTCACCAGGCTGGAGTACTGTGACACAAGTAATATCTTAAGGTAAGGCAACAACAGAAAAAGAGGGGCTCACGCTTATAATCACAGCACTTTGGGAGGCTCAGGAGAGCGGATCACTTGAGGTCTGCAGTTCGAGACCAGCCTGGCTCACACAGTGAACAAAAAATTAGCTGGGCATGGTGGCATGCATCTGTAATCCCAGTTACTCGGGAGGCTGAGGCTGGAGAATCGCTTGAACCCGGGAGATGGAGGTTGTAGTGAGCTGAGATCGTGCCACTGCACTCCAGCCTGGGCAACAGGGCAAGACGGTCTCAAAAAAATAAAAATAAAAGAGGTATAATCTTTATAATAAGCACTAAAAGAATAGTAAAAGAATTTTTTTTTTGAGACAGAGTCTTGCTCTGTCGCCCAGGCTGGAGTGCAGTGGCACGATCTCAGCTCACTGCAAGCTCCACCTCCCGGGTTCACGCCATTCTCCTGCCTCAGCATCCTAAGTAGCTGGAGATACAGGCGCCCGCCACCATGCCTGGCTAATTTTTTTTTGTATTTTTAGTAGAGACGGGGTTTCAGTGTTAGCCAGGATGGTCTCGATCTCCTGAACTCATGATCTGCCTGCCTCGGCCTCCCAAAGTGCTGGGATTACAGGCATGAGCCACTACACCCAGCCTGTCACTCCTTTTCTTACAGTTTCTCTACTCAGCCCTTCTGGAGAAGAGCTCCAGATGTTTCTTTACTGTTCTGTTTTCCTCCCTTTCCTTATGTTGCATTCTGGTTCTCTCTTAACCAGTGTCTTGTCTTGATATTAACCTGAAATTTGTTCATATGCCATTTTGTTTCATTTCTTAAAGTTCCAGCTAGTTCTTTTTTCTCAGCATCTTGTTCCCCTCTTATGTTTCTGATTCTTTCTTTTATATCTGCAATTCTTCTAAACTTGGCTATGTGACATAGCATCTACCTGATGGTTCTTCTCCTGCAGTCTGTCATGGCTGGTGCCTCTTACTTGATGGGAGGCATCCCATGCTAGCAGGCAGAACTTTGCCTGCAGGAAGCCCACGCAACCTGGGTTGTGAACATATGCCCCCACAGCAGTTCTGCATTCGCTGCTGTCAGGAGCCCCAGGAGTAACCAAGCCTGGAGACTATTTTTACGTTAATTTCTCAACTTCTGAACCCCTGGGGAGTATAATACAAGCTAGAGCCCCAAACATCTCTGAATGCTTACAAAGTCTTAGTAAAGATCTCCCGCTTCTCAGAGCCCAAGCATATAAACTTCCTTATGGGGCCACTGGACGACTAGACTGTTTAGTCTATCTCTTTGCTGAGAGTATCACCCTCCAGAGGGACGAGAATGACTGATAAGAAGTCTCACTCTCATTCCCTGTCGCAAGGGTCCTAATACTCAATCTCTATCCCCATGTGGGTTGTTAAAACCCACAAATAGCACATGTGCCCAGGACAGGCACGACATTAGTTCAAAGGCCAAGTTAGCTGGGTTTAACATGGCCTTCACATTTGACCCCAGATATCTCTCTTACCTCCTGCAAGTTCAGTTATACATTTGTAAAATGTTTTATTTCACTTTCTGAGAGTCTTAGCAACAAAGTTTTGGGGTTATCTCTTCTACCATATTATCAAAACCCAAAATGAAACTGTATCATTATAAATAACTACTCCTTGTGCAAAGTCACCGAAGGGAACAACCATTTGCTATTTTTGACCAACCAGCTCCTATCCCCTCAATATCCATTTCGCTGCAACCCTCACTTGCAGTCCATATTTGACTAGCTGACTCCACTAAAGGGATGTGGATCAGGCCTAAGTCAATCAGCAGACTCCCCTTTGTGGCCCAGGGATGGATGCTGAGTTTAATCAGAACAAAGCCCAGGACTGGTTTGAATAGAGAACAAGCAGTCCCATCAGGCTTTCCTGTAGAGTGGAGGTAAAGAGGCTCTTAGTGAGGGACTACTGGGAGGGGCCTGAACTTCAGAGACCACAATGAGAAGGAGTGGGACCTGTGACCAACACTAAGTTAATACTGAGGAAGCGAAGCTGAGACCAGGAGGTAGAGAAACTAGATCCTGGTCCCAACTGCTGGAGCCACTAGATCAAGTTTTGACCAAATCCAGTCCTATCATTTGATTTTTCACTTCCAGGTATTTTCTTTCTTGTCTAAGCCACTTTGAGCTGCGTTTGTCAATAGAAAGCATTCTTAGTGACATGAAAATATACCAAGTATTCAAAGTTCAAAAATGAAAACAAAATTTTACTTACTTACCTGGATAACCAATTCCTTTGGCATTTGCATAGGGAACCCCAGAAGATCCAGGACTATAAACAGGATTCATGATTTCAAAAACTAAAAGAAAAAAAAGGGAATTTAGCCAAGCACTTTTGCTCTCAGATTTTTCTCCAGTACCAGTCCCCAAAAAGCAGGTAGCTAGAGTCCTTTCTCTAGGCTGCTATAAAACAATGCATTTCATGCTGCCCCCAACCAGCGAAGAACAGAAAAGGGACACTCGATGTCCTAATGGGTGCCAAACCAGGGCATGATAAACTTTTTTTCACAATTCTCCTCAGTCCATCAGAAGCTAAGGAGTAAAAATTGTTAGCTATATGTCCACTAAAAGCAAGGGGAAAGGCCAGGTACGGTGGTGCACTCCTGTAATCCCAGCACTTTGGGAGGCCGAGGTGGGCAGATCACCTGAGGTCAGGAGTTTGAGACCAGCCTGGCCAACATGGTGAAACCCCATCTCTACTAAAAATACAAAAATTGGCCAGGCATGGTGGCTCGTGCCTGTAATCTTAGCACTTCGGGAGGCTGAGGTGGAGGAATCATGAGGTCAGGAGACCAAGACCATCCTGGCCAACATGGTCAAACTCCGTCTCTACTAAAAATACAAAAATTAGCTGGGTGTGGTGGCGCGTGCCTGTAATCCCAGCTACTCAGAACGCTAAGGCAGGAGAATCGCTTGAACCAGGTAGTCGGAGGTTGCAGTGAGCCAATATTGCACCACTGCACTCCAGCCTGGCGACAGAGCGAGACTCCGTCTCAAAAAAACAAAACAAAACAAAACAAAAACAAACAAAAATTAGCCAAGTGTGGTGACGCACACCTGTAATCCCAGCTACTTGGGAGGCTGAGGCACAAGAATCACTTGAATCCAGGAGGTGGAGATTAGCAGTGAGCCAAGCTCATGCCATTGCACTCCAACCTGGACAACAGAGCGAGACTTTGTCGCAAAAAAAACATGGGGAAAACCCTACAAGTAACCAAAATGTTCTTCTAACAGAGGATAGTTAAGTTAACCAAGACATATCCAGAACATGAAATATCACGCAGCTGCTTTTCAAGAAATGTTTAAAAACAGAATAATACAATGTTAAGTGAAAACAAAGTAGAGTATTATACTGCATCCTGCATTACACAGTATGATCCCATATAAACACCTATGTGTATAAAAATGTGCATCCCTGGCACAAACAGAAAAAAAGTCTGAAAAGAAATATATAAAAATATGAACAGTGATTGACTCTAGATGGGAGTGGATTTAGTGGTCCTTTTGCAATTTCCTGTATTTATTTATTTATTTATTTATTTATTTATTTATTTATTTATTTTCCCAGACGGAGTCTCGCTCTGTCGCTAGGCTGGAGTGCAGTGGCATGATCTCAGCTCACTGCAACTTTGCCTCCCAGGTTTAAGTGATTCTCCTGCCTCAGCCTCCCGCATAGCAGGGACTACAGGCGTGCGCCACCACACCCAGCTAATTTTTGTATTTTTAGTAGAGACGGGGTTTCACCATGTTGGCCAGGATGGTCTCATCTCTTGACCTCGTGATCCGCCCACCTCAGCCTCTCAAAGTGCTGGGACTGTATTTCTCCCCTCCGCCCCCCCCACCCCACCCCAAGACAGGGTCTTGCTCTGTTGCCCAGGCTGGAGTGCAGTGGCACAATCTCAGCTCACTGCAACCTTGACCTCCTGGGTTCAAGTGATTATCCCACCTCAGCCTCCCTAGGAGCTGGGACTACAGGTGTGGTGCCACCACATCTGGCTAAGTTTTGTATTTTTTTTTTTTTAAATAGAGATGAGGTTCCATCATGTTGCCCAGGCTGGTTTCAGACTGCTGGGCTCAAGATATCCACCCACCTCAGCTTCCCGAGTAGATGGGACTACAGGTGTGTGCCACCATGCCACTCTAGTTTCCTGTATTTCTTCAAAAACTTGTTAAGTTTTTTTTCCTAAGAAAGACTAACTGGTTACAGCCCAGCACCTCTATGAATCCATTCAATGTTTTATCATCCATGGATCTTTCTTTTTCCTGACAAGTTCAAGAACTTGCACAGCCACAACCAGGACTCTACCCCTCCCCAACAGAAGTACTGTTGGGAACTGATTCCCATTCAGCTCTCTAGTAAGCTCCTCTGAATCTTATCCAGGGTATTATTTACTTTTATTTATTTTTTAGACGTGGTCTCGCTCTGCCAGTCATAGCTCACTGCAGACTTGATCACCCAAGCTTAAGTGATCTTCCCACCTCAGCCTCCAGAGTAGCCAGGACTACAGGTGTGCATCGCCACGTCTGGCTCATTTTTAGTAGAGACAGAGTTTCACTACGTCACTCAGTTTGGTCTTGAACTCCTGAGTTCAAGTGATCCTCCCGCCTTGGCCTCCTAAAATGCAGTGTATTAAAGTGTAAGCTTTCACTATTCCTCATCTGGTAAATCACTCACTGACGTATGTGGTTATAAAGATTAAGGTGATCTTTAAGATTAAAACAGCATGTGTGGGGGTAGGGGGGTATATGGGAACTCTCTGTACCTTCTGCTCAATTTTGCTGTGAACCTAAAACTGCTAGACCTAAAAAAAAGTCTATTTTTAGGCTGAGTACAATGGCTCATGCCTGTATTCCCAGCACTGTGGGAGGATCGCTTGAGGCCAGGAGTTCAAGACCAGCCTGGGCAATATAATAAGGTTCCATCTCTGAAAAACATGTAATAAGTAACAAAACACAAAATGTGCATTTTATGTCTGTCTTCCCCACATCCCCATTTAGAATGTAGCCAAAACAAGCAGGGAACAGTTGCACTTGGTTCTGTTTAAAGGCAATATCTCCAGCATCAATAACAACATCTGGTACAAAATAGCTGCAACTACCTACCGACTTTCTAAAAAACAAATGCCTTTCAGAACACTCTAGGTGTCAAAATCCATTACGAAGACAAAATACAAAAAGAAACCACTTCAAATTTTCAGCTCATTTGTCTCATTTAGAATATTCACAACCAAGCAATCCTGTAGTAAGAAGAAAATATTAGGTCACATCCTTAGCCTCTGTAACAGGAAGTTCTGGATTAAATCAGGAATAAACTGGCAACTTTAGTAACTAAAACATTCATTACCTGAACTGTCTAATTTTTTTAAACTTCTAAACCAAATCCAAATGCCAGATTTGTCATGCCATTCACAACTACAGCTACGTGATAGGTCTTGACCAGCACTGACCAACAAAACTTTGTACAATGACCACATCCTTCTCCATCTGTGCTGTCCCCTACAGCAGCCGCCTGCCAAGAGTGCTGAGCATCTGAAAAGTAAGGCTAAATGAGGCTACTGTGAGATTGATCTTTTAGCTTTATTTAACTTCAACATAAGTAGTCACATGTGGCTAGTGGTTACTATACTGGACAGTGCAGGCCTACAGTTCAGAGTAGGGAGGAAACAAGTATACAAAGGCATAGCAGGTAGGCAGGAGAATCAATTGTGTGTCTTACCCTACAGTTTAGGAATAAACATACTAGCAACTGCCAATCCCTAGTCCCCTGTACTTTTAACCCATGCTTGGCGGATCTGCAACCAAGAAATTGTGGGGGTCTGCAAATACTTCACCTACTTCTCTGGTTCAACTATCATCTCTCAAGAAGCAAATATTTCCCAAATGTTATTTCTTTCTTCTGTGCCAGGAGCTACTAATTTTTATTTCTTAATTGAATTCCAGATAAGCAAAGCACTACACAAAGGCCACAGAGAAAACAAAATGGCAAGTCACAATCTCTTCTGAGTTTTACAATCTGGAAAAGCGCTGTCCAACAGAACTGTTCACAAAGATGGAAACGAGCCCTGGCAATATGGCAAGACCCTGTCTCTACAAAAAGTAAAAAGATCAGCTGGATGCGGTGGTGCACACCTGTGGTCCCAGCTACTTGAGATCAATTGAGTCCAGGAGTTCGAGGCTGCAGTGAGCTATGATCGTTATCACTGCAGTCCAGCCTAGACAATGGAGCAAGACCCTATCTCAAAAACAAAGATGAAAGCCTGTCTGTACTATCCAAATATGGTAAGTGAATTTTTAGTTTAATTAACTTCAACAGTCCTATGTAGGTGACAGCCATCGTATTGGACAGTGCAAACATATACATAATAAGATTAAAAGTATGAATACTTTCTGATACAAGGCAACAAGTGTTAAGAGTCACAAGAGAAAGGCCGGGCGCGGTGGCTCACGCCTGTAATCCCAGCACTTTGGGAGGCCGAGGCGGGCGGATCACGAGGTCAGGAGATCGAGACCATCCTGGCTAACACGGTGAAACCCCGTCTCTACTAAAAATACAAAAAATTAGCCGGGCGAGGTGGCGGGCGCCTGTAGTCCCAGCTACTCGGGAGGCTGAGGCAGGAGAATGGTGTGAACCCCAGGGGGCGGAGCCTGCAGTGAGCCGAGATTGCGCCACTGCACTCCAGCCTGGGCGACAGCGAGACTCCGTCTCAAAAAAAAAAAAAAAAAAAAAAGAGTCACAAGAGAATAAAGTGTTCTGAGGGCTGAGAGGGGAGAGCAAAAATTCTGTGGAGGAGGGAAGAAATAGGAAAAACTTGATTAAAGGGCAGCGTTAGGCCAGGCACAGCGGCTCATGCCTGTAATCCCAGTACTTTTGGAGGCCAAGGTGGGAGGATCACTTGAGGTCAGGAGTTGGAGACCAGCCTAGCCAACATGGTGAAACCCCATCTCTACTAAAAATACAACAAAAATTAGCCAGGTGTGTTGGCAGGCACCTGTAATCCCAGCTACACAGGAGGCTGACGCAGGAGAATCACTTGAATCTGGGAGGCAGAGGTTGCAGTGAGCTGAGATCGTGCCACTGCACTCCAGCCTGGGCAACAGAGCAAGACTCCGTCTCAAAAAATAGTAATAATAATAATTAAAGGGCAGCATTTCCAATAAACAATGGATAGGATCAAATCAGCCTCAGAAATGAGAACAAGCAAGATGCATTTTAAGAACATTAAGCAACTGAGTTTGTTTGGAGCTTAGGCTCTATGTAGGGAATCAGTAATAGATGATTGTGGAGACACAGCTTAGGTACAACCACCAAGTGGAGACCCTTAAATACAGGCCTGAGTGGAGATGTCCTCTGGTAGGCAAAGAAGCTCCTGAGCAACTCTGAGGTAAACAGAGTTACCACATGACCCCACAATTCCACTCCTAGGTACATACCCAAGAGAAGTGAAAACACATGCTACACCTACAGTTGGACATGAACATTTGTAACAGCATTATTCCTAACAGCCAAAAACTGCAAATTCAAATGAAGTACTGAAGGATGTTAGGAGGCTCTCCTTCCATAATGACCTGACTTATAGCCTAGACCAATAATAATAAAACTCTACTTGGCTGGTTGCAGTGGCTCATCCCTGTAATCCCAGCACTTTGGGAGGCCGATGAGGGCGGATCACTTGAGACCACGCGTTCGAGACCAGCCTGGGCAACATGGTGAAACCCAGTCTCTGCTAAAAATACAAAAATTAGCTGGGCGTGGTGGCACACACCTGTAATCCCAGCTACTCGGGAGGCTAAGGCATGAGAACCGCTTCAACCTGGGAGGTAGAGGCTGCAGTGAGCTGAAATCGCACCACTGCACTCCAGATGGGGCAACAGAGCAAGACTCTGTCTGGGGGGAAAAAAAAATCAAATGGAGCCTTTACATCTAACTTCCAGTTTACAAGAAACGCAGGAGTAGGAGGGAATATGCTGAATGACACCATGAAACAATCAGACAAACCCCAAAAGTGGGACATTCCAGAGGACAAATGACCCAGTTTCTTCAATAAGGCAATGGTGGGGGGAAAAGGGGGCGGGAGAGGAGGAAGGCCAGATAATTCTAAATTAAAATAGATATAGACATAAAAGCAATAGCTGAATTTTGTTTGGACTCGATTTAGACTGAAACAACTGTAAACAGAGTTTAAAGATATCTGGGACACGACTGAATACTGGGTATCAGCTGGTATGAAACAATTATGTTTAATCCTGGTAACAGTACTGTGATTATGTATAGTTACATAAATTTGTAAAGATACAATAAAGTATATAAAGTCGAAAATGATACATCTATACTTTAAAATATTTCTACAAAAAGAGCAAATAATCTCTACATCAAGTAGAAATTATGTAAATGCTAATAATCTTTACATCAAGATGTTGCATATAAGGTTATGCACTGTACTGCCGCATTTTCAATTCTGCATAATGCAAAACTAAAGAAAAAACACACCATCACCAATCTACCTGAAATGTTAGTGCTACTAAAATCTCCCTGCAACCACCAACTTTCCAGTCTAATTTGCTGTGGACTAAGAAACCCAAACCCAAGGCTGGATCTAGAGCGTACCACTTTTTTTTTTTTTTTTTGAGACAGAGTTTTCACTTTTGTTGCCCAGGCTGGAGTGCAATGGCGCGATCTCAGCTCACCGCAACTTCTGACTCCCAGGTTCAAGCGATTCTCCTGTCTCAGCCTCCTGAGTAGCTGGGATTACAGGCATGTGCCACCACACCCAGCTAATTTTGTATTTTTAGTAGAGACGGGGTTTCTCCACGTTGGTCAGGTTGGTCTCGAACTTCCGACCTCAGGTGATCCGCCAGTCTTGGCCTCCCAAAGTGCTGGGATTACAGGCGTGAGCCACTGCACCGGGCCGAGCTTACCACATTTTTAGTTTCCCATTTGAAATGACTCAACTGTCAGAATTCTTATGGGTGGTTTGACACCTGCATTAGAATAGACAAATGTCAGATTACCTTTAAAAAGATGACAGCAAAAATTCCTAACTTGAAAATCAAATCATAATCAGAAGAAAACTCTATCTTTAAAATGAAAGACCTGGCCAGGCGCAGTGGCTCACGCCTGTAATCCCAGCACTTTGGGAGGCCAAGGCGGGTGGATCACAAGGTCAGGAGATCGAGACCATCCTGGCTAACACGGTGAAACCTGTCTCTACTAAAAAAAAATACAAAAAGAAAATTAGCCACTCACAACTACTTGGGGAGGCTGAGGCAGGAGAATGGTGTGAACCCGGAAGGCGGAGCTTGCAATGAGCCGAGATGGCGCCACTGCACTCCAGTCTGGGCAACAGAGCGAGACTCCATCTCAAAAAAAAAAAAAAGAAAGAAAAAAGAAAGACCTGGCTGGGCATGGTGGCTCACGCCTGTAATCCCAGCACTTTGGGAGGCCAAGGTGGGCAGATCACGAGGTCAGGAATTCCAGACCAGCCTGGCCAACATGGTGAAACCCCGTCTCTACTAAAAATACAAAAATTAGCCAGCGGTGGTGGTGCACACCTGTAGTCCCAGCTACTTGGGAGGCCGAGGCAGGAGAATCACTTGAACCCAGGAGGCAGAGGTTTCAGTGAGCCGAGATCATACCACTGCACTCCAGCCTGGGCGACATGGACGCTCCATCTCAAAAAAAGAGGCCGGCGCAGTGGCTCACGCCTGTAATCCCAGCACTTCGGGAGGCCGACGAGGGCGGATCACGAGGTCAGGAGATCGAGACCACAGTGAAACCCCGTCTCTACCAAAAATACAAAAAAAAAAAAAAAAAAAATTATCCAGGCACGGTGGCAGGCGCCTGTACCCAGCTACTCAGGAGGCTGAGGCTGGAGAATGGCGTGAACCCAGGAGGCTGAGCTTGCAATGAGCCCAGACCGTGCCACTGCACTCCAGCCTGGGCGACAAAGCGAGACTCTTGTCTCAAAAAAAAAAAAAAAAAAAAGAAAGAAAGACCTATCACTATATACTATTGTTTCCTGGTTTGGAAACATACCATCTCTAAACAAAGTTCCACACAGAGCACTAAGTATGAAATACTATAACACGAGGCCTTTAAAATTTTATATCAACAAATCTAATTTTAAGAGGTTTAGATTCACTCTCAGAAACACCAATATACAAGATACAATACTCAGAAAAATCAACATTGGAAATTCTCAGTAATGTCTGGCAACATCAACAAGAGCTTGTAGACTTGGTGGCAAGTGCCTGTAACACCAGTGCTTTGGGAGGCTGGGGCAGGAGGACTGCTTGAGCCCAGAAGTTTGAGATCAGCCTGGGCGATATAGTGAGACTCCCATCTCTACAAAATGAACATATATATGTATAATATATACAAATTTTTTGTTTGAGATGGAGTCTCGCTTTGTTGCCCAGGCTGGAGGGCAGTGGCACAATCTCGGCTCACTGCAAGCTCCACCTCCCGGGTTCACACCATTCTCCTGCCTCAGCCTCCCCCAGTGGCTGGGACTACAGTTGCCTGCCACCATGCCCGGCTAATATTTTGGTATTTTTAGTAGAGATGGGGTTTCACCATGTTATCCAGGATGGTTTTGATCACCTGACCTCGTGATATGCCAGCCTCAGCCTCCCAAAGTGCAGGCATTACAGGCGTGAGCCACCACACCTGGACAAAAATATATTTTTAAAAAAGAAGCTGGATACGGTGGCTCACGCCTGTAATCCCAGCACTCTGGGAGGCCAACGCGGGTGGATCACTTGAGGTCAAGAGTTCGAGACCAGCCTGGCCAACATAGTGAGATGAGACCCCATCTCTACTAAAAACACAAACATTACCTGGGCAGGGTGGCATGTGCCTGTAATCTCAGCTACTCCGGAGGCTGAGGCAGGAGAATCACTTGAACCCGGGAGGAGGAGGTTGCAGTGAGCCGAGATCACTCCACTGCACTCCAGCCTGGGCGACAGAACAAAACTGTCTCAAAAAAATAAATGAATAAATAAAAAATAAAGCATATAGGCCGAGCGCGGTGGTGTCTCCAGCACTTTGGGAGGCCGACGTAGGTGGACCACCTGAGGTCAGGAGTTCAAGACCAGACTGGGCAACATGGTAAAACCCCGTCTCTACTAAAAATACAAAAAATTAGCTGGGCGCAGTGGTGTGTGCCTGTAATCCCAGCTACTCGGGAGGCTGAGACAGGAGAATCCCTTGAGCCCGGGAGGCGGAGGTTGCAGTGAGCCGAGATCACGCCATTGCACTCCAGCCTGGGCGACAGAGCGACACTCCGTCTCACAAAAAAAAAAAAGAAAAAAGAAAAGAAGTTCTCTCCCCCAAACTTTACCTTCATTACCAAGGTTTGGGTTTGCATTTTACTGGGAGGAATTCATGTATTTCTGCACAGTACAATCAGACAGACTTAACAGACTGGACACAAGGCATGAAAAAACTATTACTCTATTACGCTGGTGTACTGTTCTTTTAAAATTGTGCTCGGCCAGGCGCGGTGGCTCACGTCTGTAATCCCAGCACTTTGGAAGGTCGAGGCGGGCGGATCACGAGGTCAGGAGATTGGGACCATCCTGGCTAACACGGTGAAACCTCGTCTCTACTAAAAAAAAAAAAAAACAAATACAAAAAAATTAGCCAGGCGTGGTGGCGGGCGCCTGCAGTCCCAGCTACTTGGGAGGCTGAGGCAAAAGACTGACGTGAATCCGGGAGGCGGAGCTTGCAGTGAGCCGAGATGGCGCCACTGCACTCCAGTCTGGGAAACAGAGGGAGACTCCGTCTCAAAAAAAAAAAAAAAAGTGCTCAATTGATCCAGGAAAAGAAACTGTCTAAGACAACTTGGGTATAATTTCCCTTTAAACTACGGAACTCCACCAAAGTAAGCCTGCTTTGTAAAGACAAAGAGAAGCAAGATCTTCACAATTTCTGCAACACTAGCTTCAAAATTAGAATAGCCTTACACTGCTCAAATCTTGGCTGTCAAAGCAAAAATAACCCACTCCTTCATCTACAAGAGCTTAAAAATGTGTCCTGTTTTTGCCAAAACCAAAAAGTTTTATTTAATCTAGAATCTTTCATCCATAGTATTTGAGAAAAGTGATCTCAAATTACACAAGGATGACCTGAAAGTTTAAGGAGTGGAAACTATATAAACCTTTTTATTTATAAAGCTTCCTTGCATGCGAAAACACTGCAAAATATTCTTGTTTGACTTTAATGATTAAACATTAACTCAAACAGCCCATGAGATGCACACTTCATGTTCACATACACTATAAAACAGAAATACCCTTATTTGTGGACGTCGTAAAGGCGCACTGCACTCTTTTTTCAAAGTTAACCCAGGCTAGGCCACGAAACGTCCTTTCTGAAGGAAATCTTAAAAATCTGTAATTTAAATCGTGCCTTTTCAAGCTGGAAGGAGAACGCTCAGATTCCGCCAAGCAAAAAAATAAAAATAAAAATTATCTTTACTTCGTGGGTAGACAAAGTGAGCAGTTACACATTGGAAATGACTATTGTCACAAAGCTCTGCCCCCGGGTTTCACGCTCGCATTCCTGACGGCTGTGACCCCGACCTTTAGGAGAACGCCCCGCGCCGCGAAGCCACCTCGGCCACCTAGGCGGCAGGCCCGCGCCGCCCGGACCGCACCTGCACGCGTACGTGTCCGGCCGAGCTCCGCCCCCGGCCCCCGCCCGGCCTTGCCCGCGGCACAAAGCGCAGCCCAGGCCGGTCCAGACGCCCAGCGACCCCGAGCCGCGGGCCGACCTTGGCGCCGCCCCGAGCCGGCCGCACAAAGCGCCGCACTTCCGGCCTGGACGCGCAGTCGCCCGCTGCCCGCCCCCACTCACCGCGCCGCGGCGGCGACCTGGGCCTCAGTGACCAGCGCACGCCGGCCCGCGGCGGGCTTGGCCGTGGGGCGAAACAAGGGGGGCGTGCCGAGGAGACCTGCTACGATAAGAGGCTGACCCTCCGAGCCCCGCGTCTCCGCCGCCTCCCGGACGCCGCGCTCCCGCTCGCTCGGCTCCGCTTGGCCCGGCCCGCCTCTCCGCAGCCCGCGCTCCCCGCCGACGCTGCGCAGCCACCGGAGCCGCCGACCTCACTTCCGCCTGAGCGCGCCGCGACGGGGGCGCGCCGGGCACGTGACTGCGCAGCGTGCTCGCTCCCGCCGGCGCCCTCGAGACGCCCGGATGGACGAGCGCGAGCGCGAGCGCGGAGTGGGCCGGTCCCAGTTGGCGAAAGGGCCGGGTGTAGCTGTAGTTTTTTTATTAACTGTCTGTGAAAAAAGTATTTAATTTATATTTTGAGATAGTCCCGCGCCGCAGAAACCTTTGTGTGTGCCCAGACGCCAGGGCGCGGATCCTCAGGCCGCACCCGGGAGTCGAGCACACCCCGGGTGACCGCCACTACGGGGTCGGAGCGGGGCGGAGCTCAGCTCACAGATTCTTTGCCAGTGCGGAGGCTGCGGGCGCCCGCTCAGGAGTGCAGATTTTAGAGAATGCAAGTCAGCGTTTCAAGTGTAGAAGTGCGGGATCATTTCTATAGACAAGAGTTCAGGGAAGTGTACTAGAATGTTAGGGGGTTTTTTGGTTTTTTTTTGAGACGGAGTTTCGCTCTTGTCACCCAGGCTGGAGTACAATGGCGCGATCTTGGCTCACTGCAACCTCCGCTTCCCGGGTTCAAGCGATTCTCCTGCCTCAGCCTCCTGAGTAATTGAGATTCCAGGCGCCCGCCACCACACCTGGCTAATTTTTGTGTTAGTAGAGACGGGGGTTTCACCATGTTGGTCAGGCTAGTCTCGAACCCGTGACCTCAGGTGATCCACCCACGTTGGCCTCCCAAAGTGCTGGGATTACAAGTGTGAGCCACCGCACCCGGCCAAATGTTAGTATTTTTATGTAAGGCTTAGTGTATAGTTACAATGATTTGGTTAGTTCAGGGTGTCTCTCTGGGGGAGGTATGTTTATTATTTCGTATTAAAGAGGTGCGTGTCTTGGTGTTTGTGTTTGGGGTGTCGTCTGGTCTGAGCTAGGTACAGGACGACAAAGGAGGGAGTTATTGCAATAAAGATTAGTGATGGAAGGGAGGAGGCCTGGCTCTGGTCTTTTTTCAGTCGTTTATGAAATAAAAACAGATGGGCGCGGTGTCTCACGCCTTTAATCCCGGCACTTATAGGAGGCCGAGGCGGGCAGATCACGAGGTCAGGAGTTCAAGACCAGCCTGGCCAACATAGTGAAACCGCGTCTCTACTAAAAATACAAAAATTAGCTGCGCGTGGTGGCGCACATCTGTAACCTTAGCTGCTCTGGAGGCTGAGGCAGGAGAATCTCTTGAACCCGGGAGGCGGAGGTTGCAGTGAGCCGAGATCGGGCCACTGCACTCCAGCCTGGGCGACAGAGGAAGACTCCGTCTCAAAAAAAAAAATAAAAATAAAATATAAATGTGATAAAAGGACAAGAAGAAAACATGGGGAAATTCCTTTTTAGTATTGGAGTAAAGAAGGCTTTTCTACATTATTACTTGAAATCCAGAAGTCATGACTATGAAAAGCTTTGGTCGGCAAAAAGCACCATAAGCAAAGTCAAAAGATAAATGATTAACAAGGAAGAAATAGTCCCAACACATGTAATAGACAAAGCTAATCTCTTTAATATTCCAAAAGCTTCCAGAAGTCAACAATAAAAAGCCCTACCACCCAATAGAAAAAGGAGAGTTCACAGCAAAGGACTAAGTCTGGCTGTTAGTCATATGAAAAATATCCAATCTCACTTCTATAAAGAAAAATGCAAGTTAAAACTCTTTGAGGTAGCAGTTTTCACTGTGATTGGCAAACATCCAAAAAATTGACAATGCTATTGGTAAGGCTGCCAGGAAGCTCGCACTCTCAGACATTGCTGGATGGGAAAGGGGATCGTCTGATGATGTGTGTCAAAATAAACGCACAAACAATGTTTCATTCAACAGCTGCACTTCTGGGAGTTTGCCTACAGAGATACTTATAGATGTGTGAAATAAAATGAGTTCACACCTATTAATTGCAGCATTGTGCATAGTAGCAAAATACTGGAAACAAACCCTAGTGTCCACACCTAGGGAAATGACTGAGTAAACTCTGGTTCATCATGCAGTGAAATAGCCTATAACTTGAAAAAGAAATGGGGAAACTTTGTATGTACTGAAATGAAAATATCTCCAAGGTAGACTATTCAATGAAAAAAAACCAAGGTATGGAACTCTGTGTAAGAATAGTATGTAAAGCCGGGCACGGTGGCTCACGCCTGTAATCCCAGCACTTTAGGAGGCCGAGGCGGGTGGATCACCTGAGGTCAGGAGTTCGAGACCAGCCTCAACATGGGAAAACCCCGTCTCTACTAAAAATACAAAATTAGCCAGGCGTGGTGGTACATGCCTGTAATCCCAGCTACTCGGGAGGCTGAGGCAGAAGAATTGCTTGAACCCAGGAGGCGGAGGTTGCAGTGAGCCGAGATTGCCCCATTGCACTCCAGCCTGGGCAACGAGAGCGAAACTCCGTCTCAAAAAATAAAAAATAAAAAAAAAGAATGTTATGTAAAAAGGTAGAAATGAAAAAATATATCTGTATTTACTTACATTTACAGAATATTGTCATATTTACAGAAATACCAAAAAATAGCCAAAAATCTACCAGCAATGATTATCTGTGGTGAGACTGGGAAAAAGTGGGCTCTGAGCAGATAGGGGACAGAGGTGAGAAAGATAATTTTCATGTTTGGGTTTTTTTTTTTTTTTAATTTTTGAACCACGTGAATACATTACCTACTCTAAAATTAAATTAAAAATAAATAAAAATCTTGGCCAGGCGTGGTGGCTCACGCCTGTAATCCCAGCACTTTGGGAGATTGAGGCAGGCTGATCACGAGGTCAGGAGATCAAGACCATCCTGGCTAACATGGTGAACCCGTCTCTACTAAAAATACAAAAAAATTAGCCAGGCATGATGGCACGTGCCTATAGTCCCAGCTACTGGGGAGGCTGAGGCAGGAGAATTGCTTGAACCCGGGAGGCGGAGGTTGCAGTGAGCCGAGATCACACTACTGCACTCCAGCCTGGGTGACAGAGCGAGACTCTGGCTCAAAAAAAAAAAAAAAGAGATTGTGACCATCCTGGCCAACATGGTGAAACCTCGTCTCTACTAAAAATACAAAAATTAGCTGGACGTGGTGGGGCGCGCCTGCAGTCCCAGCTACTGGGGAGGCTGAGGCAGGAGAATCGCTTAAACCCAGGAGGCGGAGGTTGCAGTGAGCCAAGATCGCACCACTGCACTCCAGCCTGGCAACAGAGTGGGACTCCGTCTCAAAAAATAGTAATAATTTAAAATATATATATTTCTGATGGGAGTACAAAATGGTATAATCACTTTGGATAAAGTTCTAATCATTTCTTGTGAAACTAAACATCTGGCCTGGTGTGGTTGCTGAAGCCTGTAATCCTAGCAGTTTGGGAGGCTGAGGCATGCAGATCACTTGAGGTCAGGAGTTCCAGACCAGCCTGGCCAACATGGTGAAACCTCGTCTCTACTAAAAATACAAAAATTAGCCGGGCGTTGTGGTGGGCACCTGTAATCCCAGTTACTCAGGAGGCTGAGGCAGGAGCATTGCTTGAACCCGGGAGGCAGAGGTTGTAGTGAGCCGAGATCACGCCACTGCACTCCAGCCTGGGTGACAGAGGGAGACTGTCTCAAAACAAATAAATAAACAAACAAGCAAACATCAGCCAGGTGCAGTGTCTTATGCCTGTAAGCCTATAATTCCAACACTTTGGGAGACCAAGGCGGGTGGATTGTTTGAGCCCAAGAGTTCAAGATCACCTTGGGTAATATATCAAGAGCCCCTTTTCTACAAAAAAAAAAAAAAAAAAAAAAAAACATATATATACACACACACACACACACACACACACACACACACACAGGCCGGGTGCGGCGGCTCACAACTATAATTCCAGCACTTTGGGAGGCGGAGGTGGGTGGATCACCTGAGGTCAGGAGTTCAAGACCAGCCTGGCCAACATGGTGAAACCCGTCTCTACTAATAATACAAAAATTAGCCAGGCATGGTGGCGGGTGCCTGTAGTCCCCACTACTGGGGAGGCTGAGGCAGAAGAATCGCTCGAATCTGAGAGGGAGAGGTTGCAGTGAGCCGAGATCACACCACTGCACTCTAGCCTGGGCGACACAGAACAGCAAGACTCCGTCTCAAAAAAACAAAACAAAAATTAGCTGGATGTGGTGGTGCACTCTGCAGTCCCAGCTACTGGCAGGGGGCAAGTAAGGTGAGAGGATTGTCAAGCCCAGGGGTTGGAGACTGCAGTGAGCTATGATGATGCTACTGCACTCCAGCCTGGGTGACAAAGCAAGTCTCTGTCTTAAAACACAGGTCAAGAATTCGAGACCAGCCTGGCCAATATGGTGAATCCCCATCTCTGATAAAAATACAAAAATTAGCTGGGCATGGTGGTGGGCACCTGTAATCCCAGTTACTCGGGAGGCTGAGGGTGGAGAATCGATTGTATCTGGGAGACAGAGGTGGCAGTGAGCCGAGATCATGCCACTCCACTCCAGCCTGGGCAGCAGAGTGAGACTCCATCTCAAAAAACAAAACAAAACAAAACCAAAAACAAACAACAAAAAACTACACATCTATCTCATCACTCAGCAAATTGTACCAAAGAGAATTGCAATCATATATCCATGCAAAGACTTGTACAGAAATGTTCATTACAATTTTATTGATAATAACCTCAAACAGGAAAGCATTCATGCATCTATCATCAAAAGAACAGCTAAACAAGCTCAGGGATATGCTGGGGCCACTAGTGTAAGCCAAAGGACAAATTTCCAGGAATTCTGTAAGCCATCTGTGAAACGCAGCCAATATTAAAAATTATACTGTGTAAATTTAATATTAAAAACAAAGGGAATATATGATCAAAATGCATTCCTGCCGGGTGCGGTGGCTCACGCCTGTAATCCCAGTACTTTGGGAGGCCGAGGTGGGCAGATCACAAGGTCAGCAGTTCGAGACCAGCCTGGCCAACATGGTGAAACCCGATCTCTACTAAAAATACAAAAAATTAGGCGTGGTGGCAGGTGCCTGTAATCTCAGCTACTCCGGAGGCTGAGGCAGGAGAATCCCTTGAAGCCGGGAGGCGGAGCTTGCAGTCAGACAAGATCGCGCCATTGCACTCCAGCCTGGGCAACAGGGCGAGACTCTGTCTCAAAAAACAAACAAACAAACAAAACTACAACGACAAAAACAAAATGCAGGCCGGGCACGGTGGCTCACTCCTGTAATCCCAGCACTTTGGGAGGCCGAGGCGGGCGGCTCATGAGGTCAGGAGATCGAGACCATCCTGGCTAACACGGTGAAACCCCGTCTCTACTAAAAATACAAAAAAATTAGCTGGGCGTGGTGGTGGGTGCCTGTAGTCCCAGCTACTTGGGAGGCTGAGGCAGGAGAATAGCGTGAACCCGGGAGGTGGAGCTTGCAGTGAGCCGAGATCGCACCACTGCACTCCAGCCTGAGCGACAGAGCGAGGCTTGTCTCAAACAAACAACAACAAAAAAACCCAAAATGCATTCCTTCCTAATGACTTTATTATGTGCCCTTGAGGCTCCTTGCATCTATTATACCTGCCTGTGGACATGCTGTATAGCACCATGCTGCTGGCCTTCCTGGCTCTCTCCCTTCAGTTAGTTTGAGACCAACCTGGGCAATATATGGAGACCCCCCCACCAATCATCTCTACAAAAAATAAAAAAATTAGTTGAGGGCTGAGTGTGGTGGCTCATGCCTGTAATCCCAGCACCTTGGGAGGCCGAGGCAGGAGGATCACTTGAGTCCAGGAGTTGAAGACCAGCCTGAGCAATATAATGAGACCGTGTCTCTATTTAAAAAAATTAAAATTACTAGGCCGCGCGCAGTGGCTCACGCCTATAATCCCAGCACTTTGGGAGGCCAAGGCGGGTGGAACACGAGGTCAGGAGATCAAAACCATCCTGGCTAACACAGTGAAACCCCGTCTCTGCTTAAAATACAAAAAATTAGCCGGGCGTGGTGGCGGGCGCCTGTAGTCGCAGCTACTCCGGAGGCTGAGGCAGGAGAATGGCGTGAACCCGGAAGGCGGAGCTTACAGTGAGCCAATATCGTGCCACTGCACTCTAGCCTGGGCGACAGAGTGAGACTCTGTCTCAAAAAAAAAAAAAAAAAGTTAAAATTAAATTTAAAAACAATTAGTTGGGTGTGGTGGCACACACTGTAGTCCCAGCTACTCTGGAGACTGAGGTAAGAGGATCACTTGAGCCCTGGAGTTCAAGGCTGCAGTGAGCTGTGGTCATGCCACCGCACCCTAGCTTGTGCAACAGAGTGAGACCGTGTCTCAAGAAATAAAAAACAGAAAGGCCAGGCGCAGTGGCTCACGCCTGTAATTCCAACACATTAGGAGGCTGAGGCAGGCAGATCACAAGGTCAGTAGTTTGAGACCAGCCTGGACAATATGGTGAAACCCCATCTCTACCAAAAAATACAAAAATTAGCCAGGTGTGGTGGCGTGTGCCTGTAGTCTCAGCTACTCAGGAGGCTGAGGCAGGAGAATTGCTGGAACCTGGGAGGCGGAGGTTTCAGTGAGCCGAGATCACTCCACTACACTGCAGCCTGGGTGACAGAGCGAGACTCCATCTCAAAAGCAAACAAACAAACAAACAAACAAACAAAAAACAAAGTATTTGGGGTTGAGGGCTTCGGATTCAAAATGGGAGGCCAAGAACTCATTTTGTCCCTCCATAGATGCCTGTGAAATAGGTGACAGATGTTCAACAGTAAACAAGAAACACTCCAAACTGAAGTAGCAGTAGAGGCTCAGGTGGGCTGGAGGAGAAAGGGCACTCACTTTCCTGTGGATGGTTGAAATAGGCAGAAAAGGCTGCAATCCAAAGCAGGGAGTGAAGGGGGAGAGAAACAGACCTGTAAACAAGGACATTAACTGCAAGGCTGCCTGTACCACAGCTGTGCCCCTTTTTATTTCTCCATTCTTGTGTACATGGGCAGCTTCCTGTTTATAGTGGGCAAAACCCCAACTACTATCCTCAAAAGAAATGGATTCCACTGTCTTTGGCCGGGCGTGGTGGCTCATGCCTGTAATTCCAGCACTTTGGGAGGCCGGGGCAGGCGGATCACCTGAGGTTGGGAGTTCGAGACCAGCCTGACCAACCTGGAGAAACCCCGTCTCTACTAAAAATACAAAATTAGTCGGGTGTCGTGGTGGGTGCTTGTAGTATCAGCTGCTTGGGAGGCCGAGGCAGGAGAATCGCTTGAACCTGGGAGGCGGAGGTTGTGGTGAGCCAAGATCGAGCCATTGCACTCCAGCCTGGGCAACAAGAGTGAAACTCCGTCTCAAAAAAATAAAAAAAAGAAAGAAAGAAATGGATTCCACTGTCTGAAGAAAGCCATGGCTTCTTAGTAGATGTTGAGGGCAAAATGAAGTAAAATTTAGGCATGCAAAAACTCATTGTTTCCCACCCCAAAAAGCAGTTACAAAGTTTCCGTATAGGAGAAGCAAAGGTGCAGCCAGCATGCTGGAACGGCTTCCTGCGCTGCACTCTGCATTGCTTGCCCCTGCTCTTCTCCCTAGTGCTGTGTGTCTGTTTGGGATGGACCTGGGTGTTGGTAAACATTGTGGGGCAGCTGAAATCCTACTGTTCCACCCTGGCTACTTTTATACATATAAAAAATTTCGGCCGGGCGCTGTGGCTCACGCCTGTAATCACAGCAATTTGGGAGGCTGAGGCGGGCGGATCACGAGGTCAGGAGATGGAGACCATCCTGGCTAACATGGTGAAACTCCGTCTCTACTAAAAATACAAAAAATTAGCCGGGCGTGGTGGCGGGTGCCTGTAGTCCCAGCTACTTGGGAGGCTGAGGCAGGAGAATGGCGTGATCCTGGGAGGTGGGGCTTGCAGTGAGCCGAGATCCCGCCACTGCCCTCCAGCCTGGGCGACAGAGCGAGACTCCGTCTCAAAAAAAAAAAAAAAAAACACAAAGAAAGAAAAAGTAAAGGAAGAGTGCCTGTTATCTCCTATTCCTTGGAAGCTCCACATTCCCAATTATGTGGGGTGTAGCAGGGGAGACATGGTATTTTACTTCATGTTCTATTTGGAGTTTTTTTTTTAAATTTACTTATGTTTTTGTATATTTTGTTTTACTATGTTGTCCAGGTTGGTCTTGAACTTTTGGCCTCAAGTGATCCTCCTGCCTCGGCCTTCCAAATGTTGGGATTTCAGGTGTGAGCTAATGTGCCTGGCCTGGAATTTCTTTTTTAACCACCAGAACTTCTCACTTTATTTTCTTCAATAAAGAAACGCATACTAGTAACTGGGCAAGAAATGGAGTGGGGCTTAGCAGCAGGTAATTTGGTTTGAGCCAGTTGAGGGCCACAGAGACAGGTGACTGATGGGTACAGAGTCCCAATGCAACTCTTTGAACTCTTGGACTTCTCCCTCTCAGTTTCAGACAAGAGGCTGCACATTCAGATAGGGGGCTGGAAAGCAGGCGTCCTCACCTGCACCCAGCCTTCTTTCCCCTGGCCTCTTCTCAATAAACATGAACAGGAAGCCAGTTTTTCTTTTCTTTCTTTTTTTTTTTTTTTTTTCTGAGTTGGAGTTTCACTCAGTCGCCCAGGCTGGAGTGCAGTGGCACAATCTCAGCTCACTGCAACCTCCGCCTCCTGGGTTCAAGCTATTCTCCTGCCTCAGCCTCCCAAGTAGCTGGGATTACAGGTGCCCGCCACCACGCCTGGCTAATTATTTTGTATTTTTAGTAGAGATGGGGTTTCACCACGTTGGCCAGGCTGGTCTCGAACTCTGGACCTCGAGCGATCTGCATGCCTCGACCTCCCAAAGTGCTAGGATTACAGGCGTGAGCCACCACGCCCAGCCCAGAAAGCCAGTTTTACTGAATCAGAAAACTTGTTATGGGACACTCCCTCCTCCAGGTACTGGAACGCCTACTTAAACTGAACTTTATTAAAATATTACTTTTTTTTTGTCTGGGTGCAGTGGCTTACGCCTGTAATCCCAGCATTTTGGGAGGCCGAGGCAGGTGGATCACGAGGTCGGGAGTTTGAGACCAGCCTGGCCAACATGATGAAACCCTGTCTCTACTAAAAATACAAAATAAATAGCTGGGTGTGGGGGCGCACACCTGTATTCCCAGCTACTCAGGAGGCTGAGGCAGAATAATTGCTTGAACCCAGGAGGCGGAGGTTGCAGTGAGCCTAGATGGTGCCACTGTCCACCAGCCTGGGTGACAGTGAGACTCCATCTCAAAAAAAAAATTATTATTATTTTGAGGCAGGGTCTCATTCTTTTGCTCAACCTGGAGTGCAGTGACACAATCATGGCTCACTGCACCCTTGACCTCCCGGATTCTAGTGAAGCTTCCCTCTCAGCCTCTCAAGTAGCTGGGACTACAGATGCATGCCACCATGCCAGTCTAATTTTTTTATTTTTATTTTTTTGTAGAGAAAGTGTCCCACTGTGTTGCCCAAGCTGGTCTTGAACTCCTGGGCTCAAGTAATTCTCCTGTCTTGGCCTCCCAAAGTGCTGGGATTATAGACGTGAGCCATCACACCCAGCCTTAAATATTACTTTTTCCTGTTGTTGAAGTGATACATATTCATGAAAGAAAACTTGGAAAATGCAGAAAAGTAGAAAAAAGAAATGTCATCCACAGTCCCATCACTCAGAGAGAATGTGTTAGTGTATTTTTGGATACTCCAAACTCAGACCCTGAAAGGTCCCTAAGACTGACCCTGAAGGTGGTCAGGGCTAGTATAGCCTTAATGAGGGCTGGTCAAGAAGCTTGTTGATGTCAGGCAATTTACCCGAGCTCATCCAGAAGCAGCGGAACCAGGAAGAACCCCATGTCACACAAATCTCTGAACTCTTGTGTTGACTAAGCTATAATATCTTGCAAAAGATGGGATTGCAGGCATCATAGGACTCCCTACCCTGCATTTTTTAAATTTTCCCCAGAGAGGAGCTGGGTTAAGACAGGGGCCCTGATTGGCAGAGTTTGGGGTTTTGAAGACCAATAATAATAGGGCTCTTCCAATATTTTTTTTAAGAGTTTTTCCCTTTTAAATTTAGATATAATTTATACACAGAAAAATGTACAAATCTTTTTTTTTTTTTTTTTTTTTTTTAGATGGAGTCTCTCTGTCGCCTAGGCTGGAGTGCAGTGGCGTGATCTCGGCTCAGTGCAACGTCTGCCTCCCGGGTTCACACCATTTTCCTGCCTCAGCCTCCCAAGTAGCTGGGACTACCGGCGCCCGCCACCACGCCTGGCTAATTTTTGTATTTTTAGTCTCTGAGTATCTGGGATTACAAGCGCACCACCAGGCCTGACTAATTTTTTTTTGTATTTTTAGTATGGACGGTGTTTCACCACGTTGGTCAGGCTGGTCTCAAACTCCTGACCTCGTGATCTGCCTGCCTCGGCCTCCCAAAGTGCTGGGATTACAGGCGTGAGCCACTGTGCCCGGCCAAAAATGTACAAATGTTAAGTATAGTGTTCAGCTTGATAAAGTTTTACTTACACACACGTACCCACCACTCAGATCAATGTATAGAACATTTTCAGCACCCTAGGAGTGGGGTTGCCAGGAGGCTCTCTCAAGCCTCTTTCCAGGCAGTACCCCTACACCACCCCCCAACCCCTGCTAGGCTGGAACGCAGTGGCTTGATTGCAGGTCAAACTTCTGGGCTCAAGCAATCCTCCTGCCTCTGGCTCGCAAAGCTCTGGGATTACTGGCATGAACCATCTCACCTGGCTAACATTTATTTTCCCTCTATTGTCTTCAGAAAACCCCCAACTTTTCATCTGGAATAATTTTAGACTACAAAAAAGTTATAAAGCTAGTATACCCTTCACACAATTTCTCCTAATGTTAACATCTTACATAACCATTATACATTTCTTATAACTAAAAACTACTATTACCTAAACTTAAATTTTATTTTAAGTTTATAGCCTAGCTACATCACCATGTTGCATATGACAGTGTCTCAGTTTTTTTCTTGCTTTTGATTACCTTGATAGTTTGAGGAGTACTGGTGAGGTGTTTTGAGGAATATCCCACAAACGAGATTTGTCTGATGTTTATCTTTCAGTTAGACTGAGGTCACGGTTTTTTTTTTAATCACATGTCAAGGGCAAGTGCAGTGACTAATCACTTTGATTTTCACGTGGAGTGGCTCTACAGCCCTCTTTCCACACTGTACTCTTGGAAAGGTCGTCCCCAGGCATAGGCCACACTCAGGGTGGGTGTGGACGGATTACCACACCCCTCTGGATGAGGTATTATTAGAATTCCTCTGCAAGGAAGATTATCCCTTCTCCCTCATTTATTTAATCACGTATTTATAGCAGCACGGGCTCTGGGCTGTTTTATACTTTAGGTTATAACTTAATGCAATGTACTTTATATTGCTGCTCAAATTGTCCCAGGCGCGGCCCCCGGAAGCTCTCTGGGTAGATCCCTGCGCCCTTGGACGCCCGGTCCTTCAGTTTTTTGAGCACCTCAAGCTTCTGGCCTACAAAACGCTCCCGGCTCAGCTGGAGCTTTCTGCGCCCGGGTCCTAGAGTCGCCCATTTCTCTAAGGCGCCTTGGCCCTATTTTTAGAGAGCGGTATTTAGAAACCAAGATTAGGGTGCTAACAATTTTTTTTTAAATTTTTATATTTTTAAGACAGGATCTCACTTTGTAACACTTCCTTTTAGTGGAAGCGCCGACCTCCTGGGAGACCCACGCCCCCTGCCGCCTTCCGTCCCGTTTCTCAGAAAACCACCCAGACACCCCGCCCCACCGGCCGGGGCCCGCCGCGCATGCGCGCCGAGGCGTGACGTCAGAACGGCGGCCAGGACGCCGGACGTGCGGCAGTTGCAGGCGAGCAGGCGAGGAATCGCCGTGGCGTCTTGGTGTTCTCCACGCTGGTTCGCAGGTGAGTGTCCCTGTTTAGTCCGGACGACCCTAGCTCCTTTCCCCTCTGGCCCGCGCCTCTCCAGATTCTCCTCTAGAGCTGCCCAGCCTCGCGCCCCTCTGAGGGGACCCCGCACCGCGCCACCTCCGCGGTGTCCCCACTCCCTAATTTTCCCTGAGGCTCCTGGCCACGGGTCCGCCCACCTCCCTGGACCACCCTGACCTTCCCCAGGTCCGCCCTCTCAGTCTCCCCTAGAGCAGCCCATTCGAGAGCCCTCCCAGTGGGCCCCCCCGGCCTCTCAGACCCCTTCCCATCGCTTCCCCGGCGTCCGCCTCCGGTCCTTTCCCCGAGCCCCTCCTCTCCGGCCCCGCGGACCCTCCTCCTTTCCCGACTGCAGCCTCCGCCTTGCATCCTTTCTGGCCGCTCGGGAGTGTCCCACATGTCTGACTGCCGGGACCTGCTGCGGCCCGCCGCCTGGGGTCTCCCGGCGTCCGATCTCTACCCCTGCTGCTCCCTCTGCTCCAGGGAACTTGCCTTCTCAGTTCTCCTGCCCAGAGGTCTCCCCTCCTTAAGTCCCGGGGGGCGTTGAGGCTTTACCCTCGCGGTGCGGTCCGCCCCCGCTGCATTTCACCTGCTCTTGGCCTTGCAATGTCTTTAGTCATAAGTGCTTGGTGTACCTTATCTTACATATCTCTCTTCATGTTTGATTCTGTTACTCAACTAGATTGAAAACTCCGGAGGTCAGGGATTTGCATAGGGATCCCCGCCCCGCCACCCCGCTTAAATCTCAAATGTAGACCGGTTCAGGGTGGGTGGAGGAAAGGAATGAGGTGGAGTGGTCACTGTAAAAAATTAAAGGAACATGGTTAATTCAAAATAATACTGACTCATGGTCTCAGCCTTTAAATTTTTAGTGCTTAGGAAAGGGTGGAACCACCACCGAGGGAGGAGGGCTGACAGCTGAGGGGAGGAATATTCCAAGGTCTTCTGTGGCCTTTGGTATGAACCAGTACCAATTCAGGAAGTGACTTGTCCGAAGTCACATGAGGAATTAGGACCCGAGCTGGCACTGGTAACTGCCTGTTTAGTGTGGCCCTCAGTATTTGTTGACTAAACTAATGACCAAAACATGTATGCACAGACACAGCTGTGCGTCTGTGCCCATGCAGTGGGTGTGTCTGCCTAAGGACCTGTGGGGGTGTGGGAATACTGCTGTGACGGTTCAATTGTGGTGCTCAGGAGTGTTCCCTAGGTTCAGAAAGTTCCTAACCCTGGGCTGGTTGGCTGGATATTGATAGGACTGGAGCTTGTCTGGGCTTCCTTTGTGCCTGGTGTTTACTCTCTGTGGTGGTGATCTCTTTACTCGACTCTTCCCTATTCGTACTGATCTCCCTGAGGACAGGAATCAAACTGTGTTGCAGGGTTTCCCTAATAAACAGCATAGTGTTTGGCACTTTGTAGGTGGTCAGTAAATGCTTATTGAAGAAGGCTGCAGAAAAGAACTCAGAACCTGACAGCGGTTCTTTGCTAGCATTATATTTTAAAGGCGGTGGTACATTCTGTAAGTAAATTTCCTGCTATTCTCAAGGACTGAGTTGATTAAATGTGTACAGCAGTGGTATAGAGAGGACAGATACTCTTGTGGTGTTACTCCTTGGGAAGGTGGAGGTTTCTCTCAGCTCTTTCTGAAAGCTTTGCTTATGCTTTTCAGCTTGCATTAATATTTTTGTTTCTCCTTTCCTCTGCCTGCCTTCTTACTGTTTGTCTAAAGAAATTAAAGAATTACCTTATTAATAACAGTAACTACCAAAAACTGCAAAACACACTGTTAAAAATGCTCCCAAAGTGGGGGCTAATTGACCCAGTTGTTTTGTTAGTTATATATTTGCTTCCACAGTGGATCATGGAAACGGAAAGTTGGACTTCCTTGCCTCTTTGCTTTCTTTGCCTGTCTGCCCTTTGATGGTGCTTGTATTAGGCTTGTTGTTAAGAAGTGGTTCCCAACTGGAAATGGCCAATGCCACGTGGGAACTGACCTCTACATGTTGATGGGTCACCCAACCTTCTTTCCCTTCTGTTTCAGAATGTACCTGTGACATCTCTTTGACTCTCCACTGTTGCCCTTGAAGAACAGAGATGAGTTTTCTTCCTTTTTCATAAGGAAGCCACTTTTATAGCGAAAGAGAGCTGGAGAACTGGGATATCATGAGGAGTTGTAGACAGTTAAACCTGAATTCTAGCTTTTGGAACAAAATAGTAATGTAATTGTAGCAGTTCTCACTTTTTTATTTTTTATTTTTTTGAGACGGAGTTTCACTCCTGTTGCTTAGGCTGGAGTGCGATGGCGCAGTCTCGGCTCACTGCAACCTCCGCTTCCCGGGTTCAAGGGAGTCCCCTGCCTCTGCCCCCCAAATAGCTGGGATTACAGGCGTGCGCCACCATGCTCGGCTAATTTTTTGTATTTTTAATAGAGATGGGGTTTCACTATGTTGGTCAGGCTGGTCTCGAACTCCTGACCTCAGGTGATCCGCCTGCCTTGGCCTCCCAAAGTGTTGGGATTATAGGCGTGAGCCAACGCGCCTGGCCAATTCTCACTTTTGGACCATCTACTACAGGGCTGTTTGGACATACCTCCTTTAATTGTCACAGTAACCCCATGACGTAATTGGTTGTGCCTGGTCATACAGGTAAGAAAACTGAGGCTTAGAGAGGTTTAGAATTTTGCTGAAGGTCATACTAGTGAGTAGAAGGCAAAGTAGGCTTCAGGCTTAGAACTGTCAGATTCCAAAGGCAGTATTTTTTGTCCATCTGTTGTCTGTTTCGATTCAATGCTTTCAAAGAGATACAAATTCAAATTTAAAATAATTTAAATTGTTGAATATGGCTTACATTTTAAAGCTTTGCATAGGTTTTATTGGCATAAAAATAATGTTCTTTTGCAGCTAGTTTGCTGGTGTTTTATTCTCTAGAGACCAACAGCTAGGGCTTAGTGTTTATCTGATGAGTTTTAGTTTATGCATTCAGTTTTGCTCCAGGATATAAATAGTGAAATGTTGAATTAAGTTATGGAGTGGTGTGAAATTCAGCATGCTAAGGCAATCAAACAGAAGTCTTCTGAGCCATTTGAGAAGCAGCTTGATGTCCTTGTTCTTAGAACAGGGCTGTCCAATCTTTAGACTTTCTTGGGCCACATTGGAAGAAGGCCATACATAAAATACACTAACCCTAATGATAGCTGATGCACTAAAAAATAAAATTGCAAAAAAATCTCATAACGTTTTAAGAAAGTTTACAAATTTGTGTTGGGCTGCATTCAAAGCTGACCTGGGCTGGGGCCATGAGTTGGACAAGCTTGTTCTAGAATATTTTCGGCAAATTTTGGTAAGGGGGAAAATAAGTAATAGTAATAATAGTAGTAAATAGTAATAATTGCTGTCAAAGCAGCTACCATTTATCGAGTTCTAGTAACTGTGAGGCACCATGCCAACTACTTACATATTATTTCACCCAATTTTCCGAACATCCTGTCAAGTAGGTGGTGGGAATTTTCGTTTTATAGATCAGGCTTGGAAACGTGACTTGTCCGATTGAGTCAGGATCTGAACATAGGTCTTTTAACTCTAAAGCTTATACCCAAACACTGGGTTCTGTGAAATTTCAAAAGCATATGATAGGCTGACTGCAGTGGCTCATACCTGTAATCCCAGAACTTTGGGAGGCTGAGATGGAAGAATCCCTTGAGCCCAGGAGTTCGAGACCAGCTTGGGCAACATAGTGAAACCTCGTCTCTACAAAAACAAAACAAAATGTGATCAAAATCATACTTCATGATTTTTGGTTTCTAAAGATACTCTCTAAATTTCTCTCCCCAATTTAAAAACGAAAGCAGAGCACTGTTGGAAGGTTCAAATAGGTAGATTAATTTAGGTTGGTTTTTTTGTTTTGGTATAGTTGAAGATAATTCAGGTTATTGTTTACATGTTTACATTTATCAAAATAATACATGTACATAGATTGAAAGACCAAATAGGCTGAGCGTGGTGGCTCAAGCTTTTGGAGGCCAGCACTTTTGGAGGCTGAGGCGGGTGGATCCCCTGAGGTCAGGAGTTTGAGACCAGCCTGACCAACGTGGTAAAATCCCGTCTGTACTAAAAGTACAAAAATCAGCTGTGCGTGGTGGTGGGCGCCTGTAATCCCAGCTACTTGGGAGGCTGAGGCAGGAGAATCGCTTGAACCTGGAAGGCGATGGGTGCAGTGAGCCAAGATCGCGCCACTATACTCCAGCCTGGGCAACAAGAGCGAAACTCTGTCTCAAAACAAACAAACAAAAAAAACAACCAAATAGTGCTTTAAACCTTAGAATAAAAAAAAATATATCAATCTCTTGTCCACCCCCTTTTTAAACTATAGACAACTATTTTCACCTTTTTTTGGCACTTTTTAAAATAGTATTTTGGCTGGGTGTGGTGGCTCACACCTGTAATTCCAGCACTTTGGGATGCCAAGGCAAGTGGATCATGAGGTCAGGAGATCGAGACCATCCTGGCTGACACGGTGAAACCCTGTCTCTACTAAAAATACAAAAAAATTACCTGGGTGTGGTGGCGGTTGCCTGTAGTCCCAGCTATTCGGGAGGCTGAGGCAGGAGAATGGCATGAACCTGGGAGGTGGAGGTTGCAGAGAGCTGAGATCGCGCCACTGCCCTCCAGCCTGGGTGACAGAGTGAGACTCCGTCTCAAAAAAAAAAAATAGTATTTTATCTTTGTGGATATGGTAAAATTGCTATTGATTTACATGTAATCTTTTGACTTTTGATCATAGAAGACTTTTGCTGCCTTGTAAAACTCTTCAATCCACCAGTGAGTCAAAAACTTGTAGGAAATTTGTCAGTTACTTTTTTTCCTCCCCTGTAGTACTCGGTCCTGCTCCAGTCTGGACTGTTTTTTTTTTTTTTTTTCCTCCCCAGTCCTTCTGCACAGCTGCCTTTCTGGGAATTTCCTCCCCTGCCAGTTGAAGACCGAATCCTACTCTGTCGCCCAGGCTGGAGTGCAGTGACATGATCATTCATGGCTTACTGTGCTTCTACCTTCTGGGCTCAAGCGATCTTCCTACCTCAGTCTCCCGAGTAGGTGGGACTACAGGCGTGCACCACTATGTGCAGCTAACTTCTTATTTTTTTGTTGAGAATGTCTCACTGTGTTGCTGGGTTGGTCTCAAACTCCTGGGCTGAAGCGATTCTCCCACCTTGGCTTCCCAAAGTGTTGGGATTATGCTCAAGAGCCACCATGCCTGGCCTTGATTAATGATTTGACTGGGTGTGGAATTCTGGCTTGGAAATAATTTTCCGTTAGCATTTTGAAGGTATTGCTCTAGATGTCCTGTGTCTTGCTGATTGTTGATCCTTTATATATGCTTTTTTCTTTGGGAAGTTTTTAGGTTCTCTTCTTTGTCCTTGATGTTATGAAATTTCAGTCATCCTACCTATGGAGAATCTTTTAAAATTCATCATGCTGGACAGTCATTGGATCTTTTGAATCTAGAAATGTGTTATCCTGTTGCAGGAAATGGTTTTATAGTATTATTTCTCTGCTCTTTTCTCTGTGGTTTATTTATGAAATTCTCCTATAAGCAGAATTTTTTTTTTTGAGACGGAGTCTCGCTGTGATGCCCAGGCTGGAATGCAGTGGTGGGATCTCAGCTCACTGCAACCTCCGTCTCCCGGGTTCAAGTGATTCTCCTGCCTCAGCCTGCTCAGTAGCTGGGACTACAAGTGCGTGCCACCATGCCTGGCTAATTTTTGTATTTTTAGTAGAGATGGGGTTTCACCATACTGGCCAGGCTCGTCTTGAACTCCTGACCCCAAGTGATCTACCCACCTCAGCCTCCCAAAGTGCTGTGATTAACAGGTATGAGCCACTGTGCCCAGCCAGCAGAATATTTTATATTCCAGGCTCATCCTCTAATTTTTTTCCATCTCTTGGTCTTTTTTTTTTTTTTTTTTAGCTCTTCATTTCAGAGAGATTTCTTCCATCTTGATCTTTCCAACTCTTGTATTGAATTTTTAATTTTGGTTATTATTTTTAATTGAGAGCTCTGAATATTTCTTTTTATTCTTGTTTTTTTTTTTTTTGAGATGGAGTCTCACTCCAGTCACCCAGGCTGGAGTGCAGTGGCACTATCTCGGCTCACTGCAAGCTCCGCCTCCCGGGTTCACGCCATTCTCCTGCCTCAGCCTCCTGAGTAGCTGGGACTACAGGAGCCTGCCACCACGCCCAACTAATTTTTGTATTTTTAGTAGAGACGGGGTTTCACCATGTTGGCCAGGCTGGTCTCGAACTCCTGACCTCAAGTGATCTACTCTCCTCGGCCTCCTAAAGTGTTGGGATTATAGGCGTGAGCCACTGTGGCCAGCTGTAAAGTAATATTTTTAAAGTTTTCTTTTGTACCCAGCATTGTCTCTGATTCTTGAGGTTTTTTTCTTGAAAATTTTATTTTCTTTAATCTCTATCTTTTATGGTCTAGATTTTTCTCCAGTGTCTGATTGTGGTACTGTGAAATGTTTATTTTGTCTTTGACCTCATTTCCTGCCTTACAACTCCTATTTAATACAATCCTTAAAAATCTCCAAAATGATGTCTTTTTGTATGCTAATGATTGATTGATGGCCTGCAGACTCCCTTCAGGATGGGAGCTGGTCATCTGAAACACCTATGCGACTTTAGAGGGTTGGAACTTTCATGTCTGCCCCCCAACCTTCCAGGAAGGAGAGAGGGGTTCAAGGTGATGTTGATCACCAGTGGCTGTTGGTTTAATCAATCATGCTAATGTAATGAGGCCTCCATAAAAACCCAAAAGGATTGGGTTTGGGGAGCCTCCAGAATAGCCGAACACCTGGAGGTTCCTGGAGGGAGGGTGGTGTGCCTGGAGAGGCCTGAACACTAACACCTTGCCCTATACATCTCTTCATCTGTGTCCTTTGTAATACCCTTTATAATAAACTGGTAAATATAAGTCATTGTTTACCTGAATTTTGTGAGCTGCTCTAGCAAATTAATCAAACACAGGGAGATGGGGGAATTCTAATAGACCTAAAGAAAGAAACTAAAGCAAAAATTACTATAAATAGAGAGTTTATTTAGGCCAGATTTGAGGACAGCAACCTGGGAAGCATAGATTCAAGTTGCTCTGAATATATGCTTTGAGTAGCAACAGTTAGAAGTGGGATTTTAAAGGGCAAAAATAGGGGCAGTTTCTAAGTTGAACATAAACTATTGGTTGGCTGTATATTGTTCTTTGTACCACACATTCCAGGAACATGAAGAAAATGATTGAGGGTCACATTGTGTAACTTGTAGTAACAGTCTTGGTAATTTATCAGCTTGTCTGGAAACTACAGGAAAGGGAAGATTAAAAAAACCCCAAGTCCCTTTAAACAGTTAACCCTGAGCGTGGCTGGGGCTGTGGTAACTAAAGACCCATTTTCTAAATTTTGCCGGCTTTATGTTCTTCAGATTGCTCTGAGCTACTTTTCTTTCTCACTGACTTAAAGCTAGTTGATCACATGTTCCAGAGGCCCTGACTTGTGGCTGGTGTCTGAAGGGTGGGCAGTCTTGTGGGACTGAGCCCTCAACCTGTGGGATCTGATGCTATCTCCAGGTAGATAGTGTGACAGTTGAATTGCAGGACACCTAGTTGGTGTTCGCTGAAGAATTTTTTTTTTTTTTTGAGACCGGGTCTCACTCCTGCCCAGGTTGGAATGTAGTGGTGTGATCACGGCTCACTGCAACCTCCCCATCCCAGGCTCAAGTGGTCCTCTTACCTCAGCCCCCCAGTAGCTGGGACTACAGGTGTGTGCCACCATGCCCCGCTGATTTTTGTATGGATGAGGTTTCACCATGTTGCCTAGGCTAGTCTCAAACTCCTGAGCTCAAGTGGTCCCCTGACCTTCTCCTCCTAAAATGTTGGGATTACAGATGCGCAACACTGTGCATGGGCCTGCTGCATAATTGATTTCTTGCTTGGTATGTGGGGAGAAACCCTCACACATTTGGTCACAGAAGTCTTCTATGTTGATTGTTGTGACGTGAGAGCAGAGGAAAAACAGTATTTTTTTCTACTCAGACTGATGATACTTGCTCTGTATTCCTATTTAAGAGAGGTACTGAAAAGCTGATTGGAAGTCTGTGTGTTTGCTTCAAGTCTGTCTCTTGGTGAGCTTCTCTGGAGGGTGTTAGGCAAAGTTTGGCTTTTTCATTACAGAACACCCAGTTGTCAGTATCAGTGAGCCTTTCCTCTTGGGACTATGCCTTTGCTCTGAGCTAGAGTCTGAGAAGTAAGGAAGAAGATGGAGAATTTGACTTTCACGGACTATATTCTTCTAAGTGTGGCCTGCGACTTTAAGCTGTGTGTAGTGTGGCCACGCCCAGTCTCCAGAGGCATCATCTTCAGGATCAGGGAGGGTCCCTGTCTGCTTGGGTAGGGTGCCTAGTGACCCCTTTGAAGACTTTCCATTAATTCTTCTGATTTCTCCCCACCTCTAGAATTCTCTCTTACCCCCAATTTCTGAGTCTGTTTTTATGTGGCAGGAGTTGGCTTGCTGTGTTTTGGCTTCTGTTAGCACATAACAAAGTAGAGGTGGCCATATTTTATGTTAGTTGACACTTGTCTGTTTGTCTTAGAACTTTCAAAATGTTGTGTCTCGTCTGCTTTTGTCTGCTGCTGTTCTCTGTGGATTTATGCCTTGTTTTCTCCTTAACTCTCATTTTAGTTGCATTTCAGGAGGGAGTGGCCCAGGCTGGAGTGCAGTGGCGTGATCTCAGCTCACTGCAAGCTCCGCCTCCTGGGTTCGCACCATTCTCCTGCCTCAGCCTCCCGAGTAGCTGGGACTACAGGCGCCCGCCCCCACGCCCGGCTAATTTTTGTATTTTTAGTAGAGACGGGGTTTCATCGTGTTAGCCAGGATGGTCTCCATCTCCTGACCTCGTGATCCACCCTCCTCAGCCTCCCAAAGTGCTGGGATTACAGGCGTGAGCCATGGCCCATCCCTGCCCTGGAGACATTTTGCCCATTGTCTTGGTGATTAACATTGGACTTCTTGTTACTTATGCAAATTTCTGCAGCAGGCTTGAATTTCTCCCCAGAAAATGGGTTTTTCTTTTCTGTTGCATCATCAGTTGGCAAATTTTCCAAACTTTTATGCTCTGCTTCTTCTTGAAGGCTTTGCTGCTTAGAAATTTCTTTTACTAGATACCCTAAATCATCTCTCTCAAGTTCAAACTTCCACAGATCTCTAGGACAGGGACAAAATACCACCAGTCTCTTTACATAACAATAGTGACCTTTACTCCAGTTCCCAACTAGTTCCTCATCTCCATCTGAGACCAGTGCAGCCTGGACCTTATTGTCCATATCACTATCAGCATTTTGGTCAAAGCCACTCAGCAAGTCTCTAGGAAGTTCCAAACTTTCCCACATCTTTCTGTCTTCTTCTGAGCCCTCCAAACTGTTCCAACCTCTGCCTTTTACCTGTTTCCAAAGTTGCTTCCACATTTTCAGTTATCTTTTCAGTAGCATTCCGCTGTACTGGTACCAGTTTACTGTATTAGTCTGTTCTCACGCTGCTAATAAAGATATACCCAAGACTGGGTGATTTATAAAGGAAGGAGGTTTAGTTGACTCACAGTTCCACATGGCTGGGGAGTTCTCACAATCATGGTGGAAGGCAAATGAGGAACAAAGTCATGTCTTACATGGTGGCAGGCAAGAGAACTTGTGCGGGGAACTCCCATTTATAAAACTGTCAGATCTTGTGAGACTTATTCACTACCATGAGAACAGTATGGGGGAAACTGTCCCCATGATTCAGTTATCTCCACCTGGCCTCACTGTTGACATGTGGGGATTATTACAATTCAAGGTGAGATTTGGGTAGGAATAAAGCCAAACCATTATCAGAAAGTATGTCTTTTTTTTTTTTTTTTTTTTTTTTTTTTTTTGAGATGGAGTCTGGCTCTTTTGCCAGGCTAGAGTGCAGTGGCATGATCTTGACTCACTGCAGTCTCCGCCTCCCGGGATCAAGTGATTCTTCTGCCTCAGCCTCCCGAGTAGCTGGGACTACAGGCATGCGCCACCATGCCCAGCTAATTTTTAATATTTTTAGTAGAGACGGGGTTTCACCATATTGGCCAGGATGGTCTCGATCTCTTGATCTCGTGATCCACCTGCCTCAGTCTCCCAAAATGCCGGGATTACAGGCGTGAGCTACTGCGCCCTCCAGAAGGTATGTCTTTTCTTTAACACATTCTACTGTAATATATCTCATTTTAATCATCTTATACCCAGGGTACCTTTCAGCCTTAGTTGGTTGTAATAGACTGTAATTTTTACTTTGAATTTTACACTTGTGTCACAATTTAGCCATTAGATTCTCTTTCTTCAGCTGAGTGGCTTCTTGATGCTTTCTGAAGGCACTCTTGAAAGCATCTGTGCTTTTTGATAATAAGATATCCTGCCCCTAAACTGTAACTAGCTCATTTTCAAAGAGTACTGGCTTGTTTTAGAGGAGACTAGTGGTAGAGATAAAAATCTGCTCTGGGAGGTACATGAGATTGTTCCACAGAATGAGGAGAGGTAGACAGGATGACATAAGATAAGAAGCTACTTGAGTCAGCAGAGGAATTACTCTTTTAAAAAGTGAAGAGTTTCTGTTGCTAATTCCAGTTTAAGTTCTTTTCTGTCTCATAATCTGATTTCCCCTTTCTCTAATAGTTTTATTTTATATAGGCACATGAAAGATACGTTTATAATGTCCTCTAGATGTAGACATTTCCATTTCTTTTTTCTTTTTGAATCTTACTCAAGTGGCCCGAGTTGTTTCCCAAGTCTGCTGTTCAGTTTCTCCTTGTTGCCATCCCTTGAGACTCAACTGCCTGAAAAGTAAGAGAAACCCAGGCTAACCTCAAGGAAACACCAGAGAAAACATAGGCACAACATTCGTTGTATTAGTCTGTTCTCATACTCCTTTAAAGAACTACCTGAGACCGGGTAATTTATGAAGAAAAGAGGTTTAGTCGACTCAAGAGTTCTGCAGACTGTACAGGAGGCATGGCTGTGGAGGCCTCAGAAAGCTTACAATCATGGCAGAAGGCAAAGGGGAAGCAGGCATGTCTTCATGTGGCAGTAGGAAAGAGTGAACACACTTATAAACAAGTAGATCTCCTGAGAACTCTATCACAAGACCAGCAACAGGGATAGTTGCCACCGTGATCCAGTCACCTCCCACCAGGCCCCTCTGCCAACACTGGGGATTACAATTCCACATGAGATTTTGGGTGGGGACACAGAGCCAAACCATATCATCTGGCAAATCAGATGTTCACCCACACAATTAGTACATAATACTCCAAGATATCAGGAAATCTCAGGATCCTTAAGGTTTTACCTAAAAGTCTCTTTTAACTCTTTATCGGCCAGGCACAGTGGCTCATGCCTGTAATCCCAGCACTTTGGGATGCCAAAGCAGGCAGATCACTTGAGGTCAGGAGTTTGAGACCATCCTGGCCAACATGGTGAAAGCCTGTCTCCACTAAAAATATAAAAATTAGCTGGGTGTGGTGACACCTGTAATCGCAGCTGCTTGGGAGGCTGAGGCATGAGAATTGCTTGAACCTCAGAGGCGGAGGTTGCAGTGAGCCTAGATAGTGCCATTGCACTCCAGTCTGAGTGACAGCTAAACTCCGTCCAAAAAAAAAGATAGCAAATGTAGCCAAATTAATATCAAGAACCATTAGAAGGCTGGGCATGGTGGCTCACACCTGTAATCCCAGCACTTTGAGAAGCTGAGGCGGGTGGATTGCCTGGCCAACGTGGCGAAATCCTGTCTCTACTTAAAATACAAAAAATTAGCTGGGTGTGATGGCACACGCCCGTAATTCTAGCTACTTGGGAGGCTGAGGCAGGAGAATTGCTTGAACCTGGGAGGTGGAGGCTGCAGCGAGCGGAGATCATTGCACTCCAGCCTGGGCGATGGCACAAACAAAGAAACAAACAAACCCATTAGAAATGTAAAGAAATTGACCACAGAAGTTCAGGAGACTCCTGTTACTCCACGTTTTTATATTCACTGTGTCCTGTAACCGCCTGCGAAGTTGCATGGCTGTGTTTCAGTCAGGTTTTGTATTTGTCATGACTACGTAGTTCTCAGTACCTTTTCTAGTAATTTTTAGCCTGTTCTCATTTTTTTTTGTATGAAATATACTGGGAATTCACATTATGGATGCAGGAAGCTGTAGTATGAATATAAATATCTAGGATTTGACGTGAATGCGTACGTGCTTTGCCCTCTCATTTTTTTGTGTTCTGGGTTAATAACCCCACTGCACAGATGTGATACTGTCTACAACATTCCTTCCTTTTTGTTTCGCCTGTTTCTTCTGCTGTACTAAGCTACATGAGAGTAGCATTTTGGCTTGGTCACTGCTGTATCCTTAGTGTCTAGGACAAGGCTGGACACAAGTAAGGTGTTCTAAGAATATTTAATGAAAATATGATGCTGGTAGTTCTCTGCTTCAAATCCTTTTGGAAGTAAAATGATTGTTTTAGGATATTTTAGGCTGTAAGTTGCAGGAAACCAAATTCAACCATCTTAAGTGATAAACCCATCATGCTGCTTAGTAGAAAGTCTTGGGTAAGGGTGGGTTTGGGGGTTGGTGAAGTAAGTGGCTCAGCAGTGTGAGCTCTGCTGTCTCTGCGTCAGCTGCCCCCAGCCGGTTCCTCATGGTCAGAAGGTGGCTGCCAGCACAGTGAGCAGCAGTGTGCTTCCCTGTTAACATCATCTTAGAGACAGGGAGACTGGCTTTTGTTTGCTGGGGATTGTATGTTTGAGAACCTAAATGTGGTAGAGAAAGATTGGGGAAAAATGAAAAACATTTCGTTTCTTGGTAAGGACAGATAGCATGAATTGAAAAAAACTGCAAAGAGAGCAAGAAGCTTCAGCGTGCATGATTTTGGAGATGCCGGAGTATGGGGTGACTGAGGCTTGTGGCACTCTTTTTAAAGGTTTGGAGAAAGATGAGAAGTCAACCATGCTTAGATATGGGGAAGGAGCTACATTAGAGACTCATTTGTTCTTCTGAGGTGCCCACTTGCGCTTGTGCTAACCTTACCAACCTTAGTGCCTTAAAGAAATAGCTAAAAAAGCTAAAGCAAGGCCAGGCGCGGTGGCTCATGCCTGTAATCCCAGCACTTTGGGAGACCGAGGTGGGCATATCACGAGGTCAGGAGATCGAGACCATCCTGGCTAACATGGTGAAACCCCGTCTTTACTGAAAATACAAGAAAAAATTAGCCGGGCGTGGTGGCGGGCACCTGTAGTCCCAGCTACTTGGGAGGCTGACGCAGGAGAATGGCGTGAACCCAGGAGGCGGAGCTTGCAGTGAGCCGAGATTGCGCCACTGCACTCCAGCCTGGGTGACAGAGCAAGATTCCGTCTCAAAAAAAAAAAAAAAAAAAAAAAAAAAAAAAGCTAAAGCAGAAAACAAAAGTGGCCCATGGTCTCAGCTTCCAGATAATAACTATTGATTTCAAAAAATAAAATGGCCTGGGTGCGGTGGCTCATGCCTGTAATCCCAGCACTTTGGGAGGCCGAGGCAGGTGGGTCACCTGAGGTCAGGAGTTCGAGACCAGCCTGACCAATATGGTGAAACCCCGTCTTTGCTAAAAATACAAAAATCAGCCGGGCATGGTGGCATGCTCCTGTAGTCCCAGCTACTCGGGGAGGCTGAGACAGGAAAATTGCTTGAACGTGGAAGGTGGAGGTTGCAGTGAGCTGAGATCGCGCCACTGCACTCCAGCCTGGACATCGCAGCAAGAATCCATCTCACAAAAAAAAAAGCATGCAAGTTGTTAACTGTTTCAAACAGTACAGAAAGGGGTAATGGGACCAATCACCCTCTTTGTTCTGTGACACACACAGAATCGCCTCATTTTGTTTCCAGAGACACATCTTTCAAAGGTTTTAGGATTCCTCCCAGGAGGCAGCCTGCAGCACATGCTGCTCCGCCTTGCCTGCCTGGTGATCTGTCCTGTGTGGAGGTACCCGCTCAGCAGTCCTCCGTCGTGGGGCATGTTGGCGCGCTTCTGCAGTATGTGTGATGTTGCCGCGAGTGTTTATATATATATCTGTGTTGGTGAACCTCTGCACATATCTCAGTGAGGCAAATTCCTAGTCATGGTGAGATTGCTGGGGCAAAGTATATGAACTATTAAAGTTTCAATAGATTTTGTCAAATTTCCCTTTGGAAAGGTTGCATCAGTTTTCTTTCTGCCATTGTGCTTTCTCCTTGCTGGGTGTCTTGGAGGTTTTCATTTGTGCCCACCTGAGAGGTACAGTAGTTTACTGTACAGTTGGAATTGTATCTGTTGAATTGAGTGGGAAATTCAGTGTCTTTTTACGAGTTTGTTGTTCTTTTTTCTGTGTGTTCTTTTTTCTGTGAACTGCTAAATTATTGCCTTTTCTGTATGATATGTGTGAACTTTGTAAGTGAAGGAAATAAGCTCCTTGCTGCCATATGGTTATGAATATTTCTTCTTCTTCTTTTTTTTTTTTTTTTGAGACAGAGTCTTACTCTGTTGCCCAGGCTGGAGTGCAGTGGTGCAATCTCGGCTCACCGCATCCTCTGCCTCCTGGGTTCAAGCAGTTCTCCTGCCTCAGCCTCCTGAGTAGCTGGGATTAGGCACGGACCACCACACCTGGCTAATTTTTATATTTTTAGTAGAGACGGGGTTTCACCATGTTGGTCAGGCTGGTCTCAAACTCCTGACCTCCTGATCCGCCCACCTCGGCCTCCCAAAGTGCTGGGATTACAGGCATGAGCTGCTGCGCCCGGCCAATTTTTGTATTTTTAGTAGAGATGAGGTTTCACCATGTTGGCCAGGCTGGTCTCGAATTCCTGACCTCAGGTGATCCACCCTCCTCGGCCTGAGCCACCGTGCCCAGCCGTGACTGTTTCTTCTAATTTATCACTTTTAAAGTCTCATTTAACTTTTTTTCCATACAGAAGATTTAAATTTTTATGGAGTTGACTTTATGAACCTTTTTCTTGATGACTTTTGTTTTTTTGCCCTGACCTGGCCACTCCACGTCACTCACTGCTGACACCAGTGCAGCACCCCTGCCTGGGCCATGTGGACCCCACTGGGAACGCCAAATGTAGGCACCTCAGGGCTCCAGCAAGCCACGAGAATCCCCCATGTCCTTGACAGAGCTAAATCCTGTGTCCCTGGGGCTGCTTTATGTTTGTTGAGTGGTGTTAGACTCGGTCAGGTGGGCTGGGTGGTGAGGCTGAAGGCGAGTGTGGGAGGAAGGGAGGGGGTACAGAGTGCGGGGCACATGAACCCCAATGAGGAGGTGTTTGTTAAATGCCAGGGGGGCACTGAGCTAAAATGGCCTTGGGCCCTTCCTCAGCTGATGCTGAAGGGGATAAGGATAGAGACTCGGGCCGGACAGGCTATTCTCTTTCTGGGTATGATTTTGAACCTGCCTGTTTTTGTTCTGTAGGTGAAGAGATGGCGTTTGTGAAGAGTGGCTGGTTGCTGCGACAGAGTGAGTACAGGATGTGCGGTCTGCGATCGGCATTGCCGAAGGGCAGTCTCTATTTCTGTTTGCTTAAAGTTGATCATATTTAAAAGCAAATAACAAAGTTTTATGAGTGCTATGGCCTTGAGTTTCCCCTTGGACATTCCTAGATCTCTGTGAACTGTCTTGCACACCACGGAGCTCCTCCTTGGTTGCTGAGTTGACAGGAACCAGGAAATGATGGCAGTCCCTGCTGCTTTCGCTCTCCTCACTAGCATGCTTTACTTTTTAATTTTAATTTATTTTATTTATTTATTTTTTGAGGCAGAGTTTCACTCTTGTTGTGGAGTGCAGTGGCGCGATCTCGGCTCACCGCAGCCTCCGCTTCCTGGGTTCAAGTGATTCTCCTGCCTCAGCCTCCCGAGTAGCTGGGATCACAGGCACACACCACCATGCCCGGCTAATTTTGTATTTTTAGTAGAGAAGGGGTTTCTCCCTGTTGGCCAGGCTGGTCTCAAACTCCCGACCTCAGGTGATCTGCCCACCTGGGTTCCCAAAGTGTTGGGATTACAAGCGTGAGCCACCGTGCCCAGCTGCGTGCTTTATTATTAATGATGGATCTGGGACTGCCTGGATCTAACTGAGCCCAGCTGAGATACTGGAACAGAGGTGCTGGTCTCTCTGCCTGTCTTATCTGGGGATTGAGCAGTGACTCAGATTCTCAAATATTGGAGTCTTTGTAATTATGTGGCTGAAGAGTTGATCTGAGGCAATGAGTTCATCTAAAACCAAAACTTTTGTGTCTCCAAAAGGACTAGAGAAGAGACTCAGTTCTTTTTTTATGGGATTGAGATCCACTTTCCTAGGCTTATCTCTGCAAACCTGTCTTTCATACACTGTCTGCTTATCTCTGAGGCTGTCACTCCAGGTGGGATTCATACTGTGTTTTATTTTTATTTATTTATTTATTTATTTTTTGAGATGGAATTTTGCTCTTGTTGCCCAGGCGCGATCTTGGCTCACTGCAACCTCCGCCTCCCAGGTTCAAGTAATTCTCCTGCCTCAGCCTCCCGAGTAGCTGGGATTACAGGCGCACGCCACCATGCCTGGCTAATTTTGTATTTTTAGTAGAGACGGAGTTTCTCCATGTTGAGCCTGGTCTCGAACTCCTGACCTCAGGTGGTCTGCCCGCCTCGGCCTCCCAAAGTGCTGGGATTACAGGCAAAGTGCTGGGATTACAGGCGTGAGCCACCGCGCCCGGCCTCATACTGTGTTTTAAAGTGGGAAGAACCAGTCTTATTTATTAAAAAATGCAAGCAGAATATTCTGCTATACTAGAAAGAGTGAAGTTAAGGGAAAAGTGACTACCATGTCATTTATGATTCTAGTCAAAAACTGAGCTGTATCACATACCATTGATTGTTCAGAGACTTGAGTTTATCTATGAGGGTTACTTTCAGAAATTTAGCTAAAGTCAAGTCTACCAGTAAGAATTGATGGCATACCTGAGATGGTTTATCAAAACTATTGTTTACGAATTGTTTGTGTTCCTGTTAAATAGATTTTATGTATATATTCTTAATTCTCACAACAGCTGTATGAGAGGTAAGTGGTATTATTTCCAGTTGAAGAAATTGAGATTCAGTGAGGTTAGGTACTTGTCTAAGTGTGAACTGTGGGTGACAAACCTACATTCAAAGTCAGGACTGTGTGATTTCAACACTGACATTATATGCACCCAGAGACCGGTCTTCAGCCTGTGTGTCTGTGACTAGTTCCATGTTCCCAACCTGGAGCTGAACTGTATGTCCCCTTGTCTGTTAGTCCTGTAGTCTTAGAATAGACAAAGGTGTCGTAATGTTAGCTTCACAAAGAAAGTCCTGGCTTGTTGAAGTCTAGCCCAAGTTTCCTAGTCTTGGGTTTTGCGGTCTCAACGTCCCCATGGTCAGGGGACATGGGGACCCTTGCTCAGACCTTGAGGGTGTGCCCTCCTTTGGCCCTTTGGATGTCCTTTGCCACACCCTTGTTTGAGGGCAAGCTTTCCCTTTTCCACCACAACTTGAAGTAAGTGCTCTGTCAACATAGTGATCAGTGACTCTTTTGACAATTTTGTCCTCCCCATCACGCCTAGCATGGTGATGTACACAAAATAGATGTACTTTAAATAAGTCACATAGACTTTTCCAGTGTTCTGGTCCATGGGTGTTTCAGAAGTGTGTATTCAGACGATTTACTCTGTATATAACCCCATCCCCATATGTATGGGTTAATTTTCCTTCTTTCCTGAAAGTAGAAGTATCAATGCCAGTAAAACGAGGTGAGATACATTATATTCACGGGGTTGTAGAGCAGCAGAGATACACATGTGATGTGGTCACAGGTAGGCAAAGCCAGCCTTGGGACTTATTTTCCTGCCATTGCCACATGTACTGTTGGGACCCAGTCCTGGCCTCTGGAGGACAGCCTGACTTGGGAGTCTGCAGCCAGGGCTTTGATGGCAGGTGAGATACTTGGGCAGAACTCCCTGACCCAGTGGTTCCACCTGTCTCTGTGTTTCTGTGGCTCTATTTAGTAGGGCTTTTTGTTTGTTTGAGACAGAGTCTTGCTTTGTCGCCCAGGCTGGAGTGCAATGGCATGATCTCAACTTACTGCAACCTCTGCCTCCTGGCTTCAAGCAATTTTCCTGCTTCAGCCTCCTGAGTAGCTGGGATTACAGGTGTGCGCCACCATGCCAGGCTAATTTTTATATCTTTAGTAGAGATGGGATTTCACCATGTTGGCCTTGCTGGTCTTGAACTTCTGACCTCCTGGTCCACCCCCCCCACCCCCCCCCCCGCCCCCCGCCCTCGGCCTCCCAAAGTGCTAGGATTACAGGCATGAGCCACTGTGCCTGGCTTTTTTTTTTTTTTCTTTTTAAGACAGGGTCTTGCTCTGTTGCCTAGGCTGGAGTGCAGTGGCGTGATAACTGCTCACTACAGCCTTGATCTTCCAGGTTCAGGTGGTCCTCCTGACTCAGACTCCCAAGTAGCTGGGACTGCTGGCTTGTGTTAGCATGTCTGGCTATTTTTCTCTTTGTAGAGACGGGATCTTGCTTTGTAGTCCAGGCTGGTCTCAAACTCCTGGGCTCAGGTGATCCTTCCACTTCAGCCTCCCAAAGTGCTGGAATTACAGATATGAGCCATTGCGCCCAGCCTATTTGGTAGTTTCTGCACAGCTCAGGTAGTCAAGTGGATGCTTGGGTATCACTTAGTGGTCAGTTAGGCAAGTGCAGTGGACACCCCTCCTGGTGAGGAGAGTGCCTGATACTACTGGCAGGAAAGCCGAATGGCGCATATCTGGTTGACACCAGTTGCAGGCACGGCAACATAAAGGGAAGTACACGAAATGGGATTGTGTGTGTTGGCCAAGAATGGGATGAGATGTACAGGAACAGAAGGTGTAGTGGGCAGTGAATGGATGTGAGGAAGGTAAAGAGATGACCGGAGCTACAACTGGCCTTTAAGTCCACTGCAGGGGTTTTCCCTTCATGCAGTCAAGGAAATTACTGTTTTATATACCAAGTTAAAGGAAATTACTGTTTTATATACCACGTTAAATACCTGGTCCAAGATCACAAATGAAAGGTTGAATTTGCTCAAGCTGACAGAAGTACGTGAGGTAGTAGGATGTGCACAGCATGGGAGGCCAGGCAGGGCCTGGTCTATATCCTGCTGTGCTCATTTATCCAGTGTATGCATCAGGAAGGGGGGAGCCTTCCACACTGTGGGCTTCTGTGGGAAATGGTAGGAAAGAGTATCTGTGAAAACTCTTAAGGACAAAGAAAAAAAACGTGTTTTTTCTTTTTTTTTTTTGGAGACGGAGTGTTGCTCTGTCCCCCAGGTTGGAGGGCAGTGGTGCGATCTTGGCTCACTGCAACCTCCACCTCCTGCGTTCAAGCGATTCTCCTGCCTCAGCCTCCCTAGTAGCTGGGATTACAGGTACGAGCCACCACGCCCAGCTAATTTTTTGTATTTTTAGAGATGGGATTTCACCATCGTGGCCAGGCTGGTCTCGAACTCCTGGCCTCAAGTGATCCATCTGCCTCGGCCTCCCAAAGTGCTGGGATTACACGCGTGAACCACCGTGCCTGGCCAAAATGTGTTTTTTCAAAAGAGAAAGATATTATTTTTATTTGCGTATAGAGACTTCACAGTCCAGCATTTTCTGATCAATCTGGCAATTTAGACAATATTTGGAAATTTAGAAAGTTGAAAAGTTTGAGAGGTTTAAAGTTTAGTACTGTATGAGGAATTAAATGTTAGATATGTTTCATTTGCTGAAAAGCAAGCTTTTTAATAGAAACCCTAACCGGAAAGTGTTGGAACTTCTAAGTTGGTTGGCAGCATTCTCTGTTGACAGTGTGTGCTGCATGCAGCCTGTTAAAGCACCAGTTGGCGGGCCCTGTGCTCTGCTTTCCCTTTCATTGTGAGGGACTGCTTTGGGTAATTCTATACAGGTGTAATTAAGGGGCCAGGGGAAGAGTTCTTTTTGTTTCTGCTGTGAATTAGAGGACTATGTCCTTGCTCTTTTGGCGCAAAGCCAACCTTTCAGATTTCTAAATTTTGAAGGCTGAGCATGGTGGCATGTGCCTGTAGTCGCAGCTAAACGGGAGGCTGAAATGGGAGGATTGCTTGAGCCCAGGAGTTCAAGGCTGCAGTGACCTATGATCATGTTTGTGAATAGCCACTGCATTCCAACTTGGGCGAAATAGTAAGACTGTCTCTAAAAAAAAAAAAACAACCGTACTATTTTTTTTTTCCAGGTACTATTTTGAAGCGCTGGAAGAAGAACTGGTTTGATCTGTGGTCGGATGGTCACCTGATCTATTATGATGACCAGACTCGGCAGAATATCGAGGATAAGGTCCACATGCCAATGGACTGCATCAACATCCGCACGGGGCAGGAATGTCGGGGTAAGCTGGCCTGTCTTGGCCAACTTCTGTCTTCTGCTCTTCCTCTGTCTTGCTGGGAGCTTGGTCCTCTTCCTTCCCTGTTCTGCTTTCATTAACAGATTGAAGAAGGGCTCCATCTCAGAGGGGCGACCACAGTGGGGCCCCAGGCACTTAGATTATGAACCACATGGTCGGGAAATATCAGTGTTCTCAGTCCACGTCCCTCGTTCTCGTGGAGAGGGAGCCAGAGCTCTGGGAACCTCAGGAAGCACAGGCCACCCTAGACTACGTTGATTTTGTACTCAGAAACTGGCTTCTGTTTGATGGTGACTCCAGTCAATTGCTTAAAATCTGGGATGTTGGCCAGGCATGGTGGCTCATGCCTGTAATCCCAGCACTTTGGGAGGCCGAGGTGGGTGGATCACGAGGGCAGGAGTTCAAGACCACCCTGGCCAAGATGGTGAAACCCCAACTCTACTAAAAATACAAAAAAATTAGCCAGGTGTGGTGGCAGGTGCCTGTAATCTGGCTACTCAGGAGGCTGAGGTAGAGAATTGCTTGAACCCGGGAGTCAGAGGTTGCAGTGAGCCGAATATATTTTGTGGACGTCATCTTGGCAGCTGGTCTTGTCAGTCAGCCTAGCTATGTTCTTTCTGCATTCTTGGAAAGGCAGAGGGTTCTTTCATAGATGTAGCACTTGATTTATTGTCTAGTCCTTTGCTTCTCTGAGCTGGTAGTTCTTAGAAAATGTAAGAAGAAATCCTGAAAAAAGTTCCTTTATTCTGCTTATTTTTCATAGATACTCAGCCCCCGGATGGAAAGTCAAAAGACTGCATGCTCCAGATTGTTTGTCGAGATGGGAAAACAATTAGTCTTTGTGCAGAAAGCACAGATGATTGCTTGTAAGTTTTGCTTTCTTATGTGTTTAATTTAAAAAGTATTTTCTATTTTAACTTCTGATTACCAAAAAATGAAAAGAAAGGGCGTGGAGTTTTCTTTCAGGCATCAGAATAAGGGACTCAGTGGATGTATGAGAGAAATGCAAGAGTCGCTTTTCCAATTCTAGTTTCTGCCTCTCTCAGACTGCCTAGGCCGATCCCATTGTGGTGAAAATGGCAGAAAGGAATAGCAGTCTCATCATGCTGTCTTTCATTATTAGATTCACAGTGGGTAACGGGCATAGTTGAAATAAAATGACCAGAAAAGCAAGAAAGTAAAGAGTAAGGAAACTGTCAGTTCCTAGGGCTGCTGTCACAAATTGCTGAACACTGAGTGACGGAAATGGCAGAAATTCATTGTCTCATAGTTCTGGAGGCTGGAAGTCTGGAATCAGTGTGTCAGCAGATCCTTGCTCCCTCTGAGATGCTGGGTAGGATCCTTTCTTGCCTCTTCCTAGCTTCTGGTGGTTGCTGGTAGTCCTTGGTGTTCTTTGGCTGACAGCCACATCACTCCGGTCTCTGCCTCTGTTGTCACATGGCCTTCTTCGGCTGTGTCTGTGTCCAGAATTCTCTTTTCTTATAAAGGACACCAATCATAATGGATTAAGGACCCACCTTAATTCACTATGACCTTATCTTAATTTGATTCCATATGCAAATATCCTATTTCCACATAAGGTCCCATTTGAGGGTACTGGGGATTAGGATTTATACATATCTTTTTCATGAGGACACAATTGAACCCATAATAGAGACTTTTGAGAAAGATGGTGAAATGGATTAGAGATCATCTTCCCTGAGGGGAAAACATTTCAATGGTGCAACCAAATAAAGAAGTTTGATCTCAAGCACAAACTACAAACAGTTAAAGAAAGAAATAGATGATTCTACTGAGATGTTCTTCAATCCTACCCGAATCCCAGAAGCAGTGACAAGATGAGTTAATTAAATCTTGCAAATTTTCAGTATTACCCTGTAATCTGGAGTGATGCTGATTAAGTGTAAGTTACTTTTTGGAAAAGCTAGGGAAAAAATCCTTAAGAATGTGATGTCCTTGGGGCCTCAGCAGAGGCTGGACGGTTCTCCCAGGACTCATCATTGCAGGGCAGTGAAAGGCACTGAAGCTCACAGGAGTTGGGTAATTTTCTGTCTGGTGAAGTGAGCCCTAGCATGGGACATTCAAAGGAATATGCTCAGAAGAGAGTGTAGGACCCAGAGTTTTCAGAAAAGACTTACTCGGTCTCAGAAGAAATGTCCTTCTCTTCTAGCCCTGTGCCCTCAGATTACAGAATGTTGATTGTGAGGGTAACACCTAGCCATCAAACTGTTGCTGGGCTGGACTGAGGTAGAACAGGGTGGAACTACCAGTTGATACCAGATTAGGTAGGAAGCGTGTCAAGGAGAAATAACTCATACTTTATGAGAGCAAACAGCAGTTTTAGATATCACTTCCCATGTTAAACGTGAGCAGGATGTAAAGAAGTGGCTTGGCAACTATGCAGATATACCATGAAGGAAAAATAAGAAAAGGAAAATGCAAGCCTCAGGAAAAGCTCCTAGAGTGGAGGAAAATAAAACCCAAGAAACAGGAGCAGAGTCTTCAGGAATGCTTTCCTGGCCACCATATTTAAAATTGTATCTCCCTGTCCCCATACACACTCACCATCTATCAACTATTTATCTTGTTCATCATCTGCTTTCATTAGAATATATGCTGTGTGAGGGCAGAGATTTATGTTTCTTTTCTGCTCTTTTGTGTCTGTAACTTAGAAGGTCTGTTGCTGTCAAGAGGGTGCCATTCACGTTATAATCTGAAGAAAGTGGTCTTCCCTTCAATACAACCCCAAATGAAAAGTGAATCATTGGCATGGAAGAAAAGACTGGAGATACTCTCAGTGACAGGAAAAAGATGAAAAGATCAGAGATATGTTAGACTAAAAAAAGTTCAGAAAGATTATTGATGTCCATAAAGTGTACAACCCAAAAGAGAGAATTACAAATCTAAGGCAAGAAAAATGTTCTGAAATAATCGAACTGAATTGGCAGACCAAAGTCCCTACTAGACTCTTCCACCTGATATGACAACAAAATCTATATAAGATATATGAATAATCCAGTATGATACCCTTTAGCAAAGTGAATGACAATGGTATGCCACATACAAAATCAGTTGGGGAATTTTGCAACTTAACTGCATTCCTTAGAAAGCTAGAACACTTGGGCTGGGTGTGGTGGCTCAAGCTTGTAATCCCAGCACTTTGGGAGGTCAAGGCGGATGGATCACCTGAGGTCAGGAGTTCGAGACCAGCCTGGCCAACATGGTGAAACCTCGTCTCTACTAAAAATACAAAAATTAGCCAGGCGTGGTGGCAGGCACCTGTAATCCCAGCTACTTGGGAGGCTGAGGCAGGAGAATGGCGTGAACCTGGGAGGTGGAGGTTGCGGTGAGCCAAGATCACACCACTGTACTCCAGCCTGGACAACAGAGTGAGACTCCATCTCAAAAAAAAAAAAAAAAAAAAAAAAAAAAGAAAGCCAGAACACTTGAAAATAAGTGAATGAATCTTTCAACTCAGGGAGATAGTAAAATGAGAATAAAACATAAAAGGAATTGATGAAGATAAGAGGGATAGGGTCAGTAAGAAAAGTAAGGGGTAAAGGAGTGAGGGAGTGCACAAGAGAACACTATTTTGTTTTTTGAGATGGAGTTTCGCTCTTGTTGCCCAGGCTAGAGTGCAATGGTATAATCTCCGCTCATTGCAACCTCTGCCTCCCGGGTTCAAGCACTTCTCCTGCCTCAGCCTCTGGAGTAGCTGAAATTACAGGCATGTGCCACCACGCCCAGCTAATTTTGTGTTTTTAGTAGAAGCTTGGTTTTACCATGTTGGCCAGGCTGGTCTCGAACTCCTGACCTCAGGTGATCACCTACCTTGACCTCCCGAAGTGCTGGGATTACAGGCGTGAGAGACTGCTTTTTGCCTATGAATTAAGAAAGCTCTTGTGATACTTAAGGTTCAGATATCTAGTTTTTTTTGACAATATAGTGTAAAGTTGGTAGGTATAGAGATTGTTAGAATCGTTTTGCAGGGCATTTTGGCAATACCTGCTGAAATAAATTATGTTTTTATCCTTTGATGTGGTATTTTCAGTCTTTGGAATTTGCCCTGTGGAGATGTTTACATAAGAGTGTAAGGGTAATAGGGATGTTAATAGCATTCTTTTCTTCTTTTTTTTTTCTTGAGATAGAGCCCCTCTCTCTCATCCAGGCTAGAGTGCAGTGGTGTGATCTTGGCTCACTACAGCCTCGACCTCCCAGGCGCAAGCTATTCTCCCACCTCAGCCTCCCAAGTAGCTTGGACTGCAGGCATGCGCCACCATGCCCGGCTAATGTTTATATTTTTTGTAGAGCTAGGATTTCACTATGTTGCCCAGGCTGGTCTTGAACTCCTGGGCTCAAGTGATCCCCCTGCCTTGGCCTCCCATAGTGCTGGGATTACAGGTATGAGGCACTACATCCGGTCCCCAGCATTCTTTTTAATGTTGAAAAATTGCTAATCTAAATTTTTTACTCATATCGTGGAATATTATATAGCTGGTAAAAAGGAAGTAGATCTGTGTGTATGCCATGAACTGACAAAGCAAGTGGCAGTACATTTCACATTTATTAAAAAGTAAAGTAAAAAGTATAGTATAGATTATGTTTTAAATATTACATATCTATTATGTATGTAATTTTTAAAAATATATATTCCTAGTGCATGTCTCAAGTGGTTTGGGGCAAAGCCTGAAGACTTGTTTTTTAAACAGATCTTTTCAGGAATTCTGATGCCAGCCCAGGTTTCAGAATCATTGCAATGTTGGATTGCCTTAAATAAAGTACCCTTTTTCTTTTCTCCAGGGCCTGGAAATTTACACTCCAAGATTCTAGGACAAACACAGTAAGTTGCTAATGGCAATCACCAATAATTTTTTTTTTTTTTGACAAGGTGTCACTCTCACTCAGGCTTGAGTGCAGTGGTGCTGTCTCACCTCACTGCAGCCTCTACCTCTCGGGCTCAAGTAGTCCTCCCACCTCAGCCTCCCCTTCCCAGTAGCTGGGACTATAGGCCCATGCTACCACGCCCAGCTTATTTGAAAAAATTTTTTTGTAGAGACGAAGTCTCACTATATTACCCATGCTGGTATCCAACTTCTGGGCTCAAGTGATCCTCCCACTTTCGCCTCCCAAAGTGCTGGGATTACAGGCATGAGCCACCACACCCGGCCACCAGTAATGTTTTCACATGGTCTTGTGTAACAATTGGAGAATGGGGAAAACGGGTTTCTTGACCATCTGGCCACGAATGGGCAGGTAGTGCTGGGCAGGGCGCCTTTTGCCAACAGTGAGCAAGCTGGGTTTGTCAAATGTTTGGCAGGAGGCACCCTGCTCTTACAGGCATGCTTGTTCCAGTGTTGCTTTCTAGAAATGCTTGTATTTCTCAAAGTTCTGCAACACTTTGAATTGTGCTGTGGTTTGCAGTAAAGGCTTAGAAAGAACTGCAGGATCCTTTTCACGCATGGGAGCTCAGCCTGTGAAACAAACATTTTTGTGACTTGTACTTGTCTCTCGTCCTGTTTCTGGCCTTAGGAGGTCACTGAGACAGTGAACCTCATTTGTAGAGCCTCGTAATGCTGTCTTTATCTGTCAGTGATCAAGGGAGTGTGTTACTCTGGTCAGAGTTTTCATTCTTTAGATGGGATTTTTCTCTCCTTTATTAATCTGTAAGAAAAGAAGAAGGTGGATCAAGCTTACAGAAGAATGTGTGCATGTGGGAGAAGAAAGTAAAAGGCTTAATATCCTAATAGCGTCAGTGTTCTCTTCCTTTGTTAGCACACAACAACTTCATTCTAAGCTTACTCTACAGCCGCAGTTACCTTTTCTTCATGAAAATCCCCCTTTTTTTTTTTTTTTTTGGGTAAAATTAGCATTAACAATCCATACAGTTAAGGGCAAGCTCCCCAAATGATTCTTTGTGTGGATTTTTTTTTTTTGAGACAGTCTCACTCTGTCGCCCAGGCCAGAGTGCAGTGGAGCGATCTCGGCTCACTGCAACCTCTGCCTCCTGGGTTCAAGCAGTTCTCCTGCCTCAGAATCCTGAATAGCTGGGATTACAGGCACGTGCCACCACGCCCAGCTAATTTTTGTATTTTTAGTAGAGATGGGGTTTCATCATGTTGGTCAGGCTGGTCTCAACTCCTGACCTAGTGATCTGCCTGCCTTGGCCTCCCAAAATGCTGTGATTAAAGGCATGAGCCATTGCGCCTGGCCACTTTTTCTTTTTTTTTAAAGAGCTAACATGTTTTTCTTTAAATTATACTGGGGAGTAATTTAATGAAGAATTTTGTTTTTTAAGGTAAAAAACAGACTTATGTATAGGACATATCTCTTGATACATTTTAGATTGTAGAGTTTTTATTTGTGAATAAAGGACTGTTGAGAGTGCTGTAACATCTTTATTTTTTTGGAGACAGTCTCGCCTTGTTGCCTGGGCTGGAGTGCAGTGACTTGATCTTGGCTCACTGCAGTCTCGAGCTCCTGGGCTCGAGTGATCCTTGAGACTTAGCCTTCTGAGTAGCTGGGGCCATAAGCACCATGCCCAGTTAATTTCTTGTTTTTTGTAGAGATGAGCTCTCCCTCTGTTGCCTAGGCTGGCCTTGGAACTCCTGGGCTCTAGTGATCCTCTCACCCAGCCTCCCCAAAGTGTTGGGATTATAGGTGTGAGCCATTGCACCTGGCCTGATGTAACATCTTTTAAAAGGCATTGGGTAACAGTGGGGCCTCTGAGTGCCTTCCTGGCTGTGAGAGCTGTAGTCCTGTTAGGGGCCGAGTGAGGACCACTTTGCTCTTGCATTTAGAGGATACCAGAATAGGGGTGGGGGCCCCCACTGGACTGGGGGAGTTTTTCCTGTTTTGCAGAGAGCTATGTATCTTTTTGTTTTTTTAAATTTTTAATTTGCTAAATAAAAGGGACAATGCACAGCATCGAGCACACAGCTGCTGGGAAGCTGTCCTGTCCTCACCCTCTCCTGTCTCCCGCAGGCGTATGTGGGCTCTGCAGTCATGACCGATGAGACATCCGTGGTTTCCTCACCTCCACCATACACGGCCTATGCTGCACCGGCCCCTGAGGTAGGGAGAACCCTGAGCCTCCAGGTGAGGGAAGTTTGGGGTCTCTGCTGCTGTCCTGCTTTGTTTTGTTTTTTTAAATGAAATTAGAAATGTACTCTAAACCTTTTCTTCTTAAAACAGATGATTTCTTATCAACGTTTGTTTTCATGAAATGAAGCAACTATTTTATATAGTTCAGCACATTATAATGTGCTGTATTAATGTGTAACACGTTTTTAAGATAGATCTAAAAATGCATCATGTTAATGATAGTTGCCTTGGGTAATGAGATTTTGATGATCTGTAGTTTATATGGAATGAATTATTTGAATTCTCCTTATAGTCAGAAAAAAATGCTATATTTTAGGGAAAATAACCTTAAAAAATCATGTCAAATACATTGGGATGTCCTCTTGTTGGGGTGCTGACTGAGCTAGTGGAACGTATGTAAGTCTGTTGTGTGGAACACGCAGCTTTTAAAAAAATTGAATTTTGAAATAATTATAGATTCACAAGAAGTTGCAAAGATAGCTTTGAGAGTCTCATGTGCTTTTTATGTGTTTTCCCCATTTGTTAATATTCGATCAAATTAAACCCAGGAATTTGGAATTGGTGTGGTATTTAAGAGTAATCCTGTGTCATTTTCTCATACGTGTAGATTGTGTAGCTACCACCTCAATCAAGATAAAGAATTCTTCACAAAATCTTCCTGCTGTGACACCCTTTAATAGTCATGCCATCCCTCTGCTTCCCTAAACCCTGTCAATCACTGAACTGTTCTCCAGCTCTATAGTTTTATCATTTCAACAATGTCATATAAATGAAATCATATAGCACGTGGTCTTGGGAGTTTAACGTTTTTCACTCAGTATTTGCCCTTGAGATCTGTCCAAGTTGCTCTTTGTCAATAATCCTTTTTATTGCTGAGTGGTTTTTTTTTTTTTTTTGGGATGGAGTCTTGCTCTATCGCCCAGGCTGGAGTGCAGTGGCTCGATCTCGGCTCACTAAAAGCTCCGCCTCCTGGGTTCTCGGCATTCTCCTGCCTCAGCCTCCCGAGTAGCTGGGACTACAGGCGCCCGCCACCACGCCCGGCTAATTTTTTGTATTTTTAGTAGAGACGGGGTTTCACTGTGTTAGCCAGGATGGTCTCAATCTCCTGACCTCATGATCCGCCCACCTCGGCCTCCCAAAGTGCTGGGATTACAGGTGTCAGCCACTGCACCCGGCCCTTTTGAGATGGAGTTTCGCTTTTGTTGCCTATACTGGAGTGCAGTGGCACGATCTCGGCTCACCACAACCTCCACCTCCCGGGTTCAAGCGGTTCTCCTGCCTCAGCTTCCCAAAGAGCTAGGATTACAGGCATGAGCTGATTTATTGGCTTTTCCTTTTCTCGGTTGTGCTTTTGCTGTCAGGTTAAAACTTAACATGACAAACCTAGCCCAAGTTTCCTAAGATTTTCTCCTACATTATTTTCTGAAAGTTTTATAGTGAGGTTTTATAATTATTCTGTATTAATTTTGAATTAATTTTTTATAAGATAGATGTCTTTTTCAGGGCTCTGTTGAGTGTATCTCTTTCTGAGGTCTGTGGTCTGCTCCATTGTTCTGTATTGTTACCTTCCTTTGATCCCACACAGTCTTAATTATTGCAGCTATTATAAAAAGTCTTGGAACTGGGTGGACTGATCAACACCCTCTTTGTTCCTTTTTGGAAATGTTTTAGCTATTCTGGTTCCATTAGCTTTCCATATACATTAGAATAAATTTGTTTATATCTACAATGAAATCTTGCAAGGCTTTTGCAGGAATTGCCTTAAACCTGTGTCATATTTATTTGGAGAGTAATGACATCTTTATTGAATGTTGAATCTTCCAGTTATAAACATGGACTGCATGTGTATTTAGATCCTCTTTGATTTTTTTCATCAGCATTTTGAGGTTTTCAGTATAAAAATCCCATACATGTTTTGTTAGATTTATAAGTGTTTCAGTTTTTTTAGTGATTGCATATGGTATTACATTTTTAGTTTTAGTTTCCTTTGTTTACTGCCAGTATAGAGAAATAGAATTGATTTTTGTAGGTTGATCTTGCAGCTTGTAAACTTTCTCTTTTTTTTTTGAGACAGAGTGTCTCTCTTATTGCCCAGGCTGGAGTGCAGTGGCGCGATCTTGGCTGACTGCACCCTCCGCCTCCTGGGTTCAAGCGATTCTCCTGCCTCAGCCTCCTGAGTAGCCGGGATTACAGGCACGTGCCACCACACTAATTTTTTGTATTTTTAGTAGAGATGGGGTTTCACCATGATGGCCAGGCTAGTTTCAAACTCCTGACCACAGGTGATCCACCTGCCTTGGCCTTCAAAGTGCTGGGATTACAGGCATGAGCCATGGTGCCTGGTCGGCGCCTGTAAACTTTCTAAGCTCACTTACTCTATTTCCTTTTTCTGTAGATTCTTTGGGATATACTACATAGGCAATCATGTCATCTACAAATAGGAATCTGTTTTCTTTGTAACCTTTATGCCTTCTGTTTCCTTACCTTGCCTTGTTGCCTTGGTTAGACCTTCAAATATTATGTAGAATAGCAGTAGTGAGAGAAGACATCCTTGCCTTGTTCCTGATTTTAGGGGGGATGTATTCAGTGTTTTTTTTTGAGATGGAGTCTCGCTCTGTCACCCAGGCTCTGGAGTGCAGTGGCGAGATCTCGGCTCACTGCAAGCTCCGCCTCCCGGGTTCACACCATTCTGCCTCAGCCTCTCTAGTAGTTGTGACTACAGGCACCTGCCACCATGCCCGGCTAATTTTTTTATTTTTTTTATTTTTAGTAGAGACGGGGTTTCACCATGTTAGCCAGGATGGTCTCGATCTCCTGACCTTGTGATCCACCCACCTTGGCCTACCAGAGTGCTAGGAATACAGGCGTGAGCCACCGCGCCCGGCCAGTGTATTCAGTTTTAAGTATGCATTCATTTATTATGAATGTACTGTTTAATTCAGTATTTAATTAGTACTGAATTCAGTATTTAGTTTTACATATGCATATATTTAGTATTTAATGCATTCATTAAGTATGCTGTTAGCTGGAGGTTTTTTATATTTATTCTTTATCAGGTTTAGAAATTCCCTTTTTCTAGTTTCCAGGAGTGTTTATCATGACTGGTTGTCAGTTGCTTGCCTGCCTGTCTTCCTGCCTCCTCCCTCCCTCCCTCCCTCCCTCTCTCCTTTCCCCCGCCCGTCCCCTCTCCTCCTCTCCTCTCCTCTCTCCCCTGACCCCCTGAGAGATGAGGTCTCACTCTCTTGCCCAGGATGGAGTGCAGTGGTACTATCATTAGCTCACTTCAGCCTGGAATTCCTGGGCTGAGGCAATCCTCTTGCCTCAGCCTCCTGAGCCACCATGGCTGCAAAAAAATTTTTTTTTTTTGTTGTAGAGACAGGGTCTTGTTCTGTTGCCCAGGGTGGTCTTGAACTCCTGGCCTCAAACAATCCTCCTGCCTGGGCCTCCCAAAGTGATTTTGTTAAATACTTTTTCTACAGTAATTAATATGATCATGAGATTTTTCTTTTCTTTTTAGCCTGCTAATATGGTGGATTATAGTGTTTGGTTTTCACATACTGAACCAGCCTTGCATTCCCTGGAATAAAGCCTACTTGGTCATGGTGTATGATTCTTTTTATTTATTGCTGAATTCAGTTTGCTAATATTTGTTAAGGATTTTTGCGTCTATATTTATGAGGGATATTGGTCTATAGTTTTCTTTTTTTGTACTTTGTTTTGTTTTATCAAGGCAATACTGACCTTATAGAATAAATTGGAAAGTGTTTTCTGCTCTTTTCTTTTCTGGGAGAAATTGTGTAGAATTGGCATTAATTCTTCTTTAAAATTTGGTAGAAATCTCCAGTGAAACTGTCAGGGCTTGGAGATTTCTTTTTTGGGAGATTTTAAGTGACAACATCTTTTTTCTTTTTTTCTTTCTTTTCTTTCTTTTTTTTTTTTTTTGAGACGGAGTCTCACTCTTGTCGCCCAGGCTGGAGTGCAGTGGCGTGATCTCGGCTCACTGCAAGCTCCGCCTCCCGTGTTCACGCCATTCTTCTGCCTCAGCCTCCTGAGTAGCGGGGACTACAGGCGCCTGCCACCACACCCGGCTAATTTTTTTGTATTTTTAGTAGAGACGGGGTTTCACTGTGTTAGCCAGGACGGTCTCGATCTCCTGACCTCGTGATCTGCCCGCCTCGGCCTCCCAGAGTGCTGGGATTACAGGCGTGAGCCACTGTGCCCGGCCTCTTTTTACTTTTTTTGGCCTAACCAACACACATCTATTTGTCACAGTTCTGGAGGCTGAAAGCCCAAGGTCAAGGTGTTGGGCAGCATTGGTTCTCCTGAGGCCCCTCCTGCGCTTGCACATGGCCTCCTCCTCCCTGTATCCTCACATGACCTTTCTTCTGGGTCCACCGCAGATACAGCTTTCTTATTAGTGACTGGTCTACTCAAATTCTCTAGTTTGTATGGAGTAGGTTTTGACAGTTTGTAGTTTTTGTGGAATTGTTCCTTTTCTTATAGGTTGTCTGACTTAGATGTGTAGAGTTCTTTATGGTGTTTTCTTATTATCCTTGTGATGTCTGCAGAGTCTATAGTAAAAATCCTCCAGTTCATTCATTCCTGATACTGGTAATTTGTCTTTGCTCTTTTTGATAGTTTACTAAAGGTTTTATTAATTTTATGAATAGTTTCAAAGAAATAGCTTTTCGTTTTATTCACTTTTTCTGTCTCTCAATTTCATTGATTCTATTCTTTTATTTCTTTCCTTCTGCTTGCTCTGTGGACTTTGGTTTTCAAAAGTTTGACTATAATGTGTATTTGTGTGGATTTCTTTGGGATTATCCTGTTTGGTATTCATTCAGCTTCTTGAATATATAGGCTTGGGGTTTTGCTAAATTTGGGAAATTTTAAATCATTATTCTTGAGTGCTTTTCCAACCTCAGCCACTTTCTACTCTCCTTCTGGCACTCTGATAACATCCCTGTTAGTCTCATGTGTCCCAGAGATGCTCATTTTTTTTTTTTTTTTTTTTTACTTCAATCTATTGTTCCTCTGTTGTGCTCTGATTGGGTAATTTCTACCCTTTATATTCATGTTTATGGATTCTTTCCTTTGTCATCTCCATTATGTTGTTGGGCCCATTCATTGAACTATTTAAATTGGTTATTGTATTTATTAGTTCTGAAATTTTTATTTGGTTATTCTTTATATCTTGATATATAAAAAATTGAATGTATGTCTTTATATACTTTTTACTGAGATTTTTCTGTTTTATGGTAGATACTTTAAATTTTTTATTTATTTCAAGTGTGTTCATAATTGCTTGTTGAAAGGTTTTTATGATAGCTGCTTTAAAAATCTTTGTCATCTTTGTGTTAGTGTGTTTTGTTGTTGTCTTTTCTCATTTAGTTGAGGTCTTCCTGGTTCTTGGTATAAATGGCTTTTGATCAAAAGCTGGACATTTTAAGTACTGTAAGACTCTGAATCTTATTTAAATCTCATGTTTTAGCAGACCTCCTTCTGGGGAGCTGCTTTATTGCTGCCAGGTAGAGGTGGAAGTCCGGGCTCGCCTTGAGCCTCAGTTGACACCCATGGGCCAGGTTTCTTGTCACTGCAGAGGGGGTTGTGAATTTAGGTTCTGACTAGATCTCCACTGAGCCCACCCTGTCTGAGAAGAGGAAAGGCTCTTTCTTATTGCTTCCCCCGTAGCCTCCACTGATACCATGATTGCCACTGAGAGGTCCTGAAAGGACTCACTTTCCACTTGGTCTCTGCTGATCCCATCTCAGTGGAATAGGGAGGACACCTTATTTCTGCTGGGTGGGAGTGGGGTTCTGGCTCCCCACATGGTCTTCATGGACACCACCCAGCAGGATGGGGGTGTTTTGTTTCCATCTGGTGGGGAAGAAATTCTCAGCCCCCCACTCAGTCTTATTTGACGGTGTTCTGAAGGCCCGGCAGTGCCTTGCTATTTGGCCTGCTGAGCATGGAAATTCAGGCTCTTCACACTTGGCGTTTGCTGATGTGAGGCTGAAGGCTTTTATGTGGTGGTTCCCTGGAGTAGAGAGGTTATTGTCTAAAAATGTTCTGTCTTGCTAGGTTGCCCCTTTCCTTCTTAGATTCTTTGTTAAAGAGAGCAGCTCTTCTCAGGGTCTTTTTGGTCTGCACTGATCGGCACTTCCAGCTTGCCACCTTCCCCATTATCTAGTTTGGGATGTGTGAAGCAAAAAGGAAACCCAGGTCCTCCCTCAGGTGCTAAAGTTCCTCTCCCGTCTGTCTTCTCTCTCTTCAGTCTTCTTGTGTTTGCTTTGTATATAATGACCAGAGATTGTAGCTGTACTTAGCAGGAGGACTACAAGAAAGAATGTCTACTCCATCTTCTAGAAGTGGGAGTCTTGTCTCCTGCTTTTGTAAGATAACAGGTTTAGATCTACACACATGTTTGCCTGGCTACAACTCTGTTCTCCCTTATCAGAGCACTTGTCACAGAACGACATTAGTTGTGCAAGTATGTCTGATCTCCTCTCAACCTGTGAGTATGCAAGGAAGGCCAGTCTTTGATTTCAGTATTTCTCAGCACACAGTGGTCATTCACTGCCAGTGGAGGTGGGTCTGCTGCATGTTTCTCGCCATGTCTTTTCATAGGTGTGTGCAGCCAGAACACCATCAGTCACCTGCCCAGGTGCCACACCTCAGGGCACCCTCATCTTCCATATTGTGCCTGGAATTGCTGAATTTGGGCCAGAGAGGGTTCCGCTTCTAGGCTGGCTTTGCCTGCAGAATAGTGGTTTTGGTGAATCTCATTATCACCTGGTCCAACCTTATCATTTTACAGATGGGCAAAGGAAGGCCCAGGTGACTTACTGAAGGTCAGGTTAACAGCACAGCTGAATTGAAATCCAAATCTCATGCAAGTCCAGTTCTCTTCTTTTGTTGTGTTTTTCTGCCTTCTTCATTCTGTAGCCTGAAAGTGGACTCCAATTGTAGCTTTTGTTTGTTTTTTAGTAATTTTAAAACGGGGGGCCTAACCACACTGTTTCATGTTTTGTTTTGTTTTTTTTAATTGACTGTTGAATTTTATTGATTGCAACCTGGAGACCACAATTTTAATACATTACCAGAGGTTTCACAATTGTATTTCTAATGGGCCTGTTTCTTTTCAGCAGGCTTATGGCTATGGGCCATACGGTGGTGCGTACCCGCCAGGAACTCAAGTTGTCTACGCTGCGAATGGGCAGGCGTATGCCGTGCCCTACCAGTACCCATATGCAGGTAACTCACGCCGGCCTTTCATTCCTCATTTCTCTCCATTTGCTGAGTAGACCAGAGAGACCTGTAAACGTTTTTATTTTTCAGTTTAAGGTTACATGAGCTATATTTTCTGGTTGTAGACTACAAATCACTCTGTTACTATGCTTTAAGAAAGCCTTTGGTAGTTTCATACTGCTCTGCAAAGCTACCGTAGGCTTGATTTTTAGAACTTGGCTTTTGTGTGTAGATTAGTTCTCAGAGAATTTTGTACTTATTGGGATTCACTTACATTAAGAAGCAACCAAAGTAAGAGGCCTATTTTAAGGGATGAGAGGTGACCTTTCAGCTGTTCTCCTTCTGGTGATGTCCTTGGAAAGTTGTCACTACTGAGGTGATGTTCTGTTTCACAGTGGAGTACAGGCCTGGAAGGGCTTGTATTTATTCTGGGCTTGGAGTCTGTTCTTTCTGTTCTTCACCTCACATGAAACACTTGGCAGGCATGAGTAACTGGTGTAGAGGTATCATGTCCAGGTCTCCTGGGCAAGGGGGTTGGCAGGGTGGAGGTGTGGGACAATGCTGGCCACTGCTGGAACTGCAGTGAGGGTGGGGAGGGCAGAGCTGTGGCCGATGGCCACTGTGAAGTGAGGCTGGGCAGGCGCAGTGGGCACAGCACCATAGTGCAGGATGCACAGGTGGGTGGGCTGGAGCCAGAGGCTGAGCTCAGGAGAGACAGGAATGTGGGGGTTTGCAGGAGGAGGAGTAGTCCCGGGCTGTGAGCAAAACTAGCATGGTGTCTCAGCGCAGAGGCAGTGGGAGACGAGCTGGTACCAGAAACGTGGGTCACTAATAGTGGTGCCCAGAGAAGTCAAGGAGGCCTCTGGGTTACAATCTTAGATGGTGTCCTTGTAGTTGTTGGTGGTTGCTTTGGCTTTTGATGCATTTAGCACTTAAAATGGATTCTGGAGTAGAAATAGAGAAATCTCATACTCCTGTGTTCTGGGAATCTGAGGCACATTCACTCAACTAGCACGGACTTTGGAGGATCCTGCTTTGCTTGACTTTTTTTCATGTCAAGTTGAAAACCATTAAAATGATAATAAGTAGTCCGGGCACGGTGGCTCACGCCTGTAATCCCAGCACTTTGGGAGGCTGAGGCGGGTGGATCATGAGGTCAGGAGATCGAGACCATCCTGGCTAACACAGTGAAACCCCATCTCTACTAAAAATACAAAAAAATTAGCTGGGCATGGTGGCGGGCACCTATAGTTCCAGCTACTCGGGAGGCTGAGGCTGCAGGATGGCATGAACCCGGGAGGCGGAGCTTGCAGTGAGCCGACATCGTGTCACTGAACTCCAGCCTGGGCGACAGAACGAGACTCCGTCTCAAAAAAAAAAAAAAAAAAAAAGTAATTATGACAGATTAAATATTTGTCCATTGTCTTGTGAGCCTAGCACAAATACATTTGTTTGAATTACAGTAAGTCCTCACTTAACATCAACAGTAGATTCTTGGAAACTGTTACTTTCCATGAAACAACATATGATGAAACCAATTTTATGGTAGACTAATTGGTATAAACAAGAGTTAAGTTTCTGTTGCTTATTTCTGGTCACAAAAACATCACCACTTCTAATATTAACCATTGAAATTAATGTGAGCCATACATACATGTAAGATTAATAAAGACAAGTAAAATAATTACCTAGTTATTTCAGTTCATGGCCCATGGGTGGCTGGACCCTCTCCCAGCAGCTCAGGGCTTAAGGTGGGAATCCACCATGGATAGGATGCTATCTCATTGCAGGGCACACTCACCCACACCCCCTCTCACTCTGGGACAGTTTAGATACGCCGATTCACCTAAGGGGCACATCTTTGGGATGGGAAGGAACTGAACTATCCCAAGAAAACCATGCAAACATGGAAAAAACCTTCACACTCCACACAGGCGGTGCCCCAGAGGGGAATCCATTCTTTTCTTCTTATCAATGTTATAATGAAACTACATTAAATGAAACAGTGTTATTTGAGGACCTCCTGTACTTCCTCCATATAAAATATTTTCTCCTTATAATCATGCATTGTATTTCTAGTCTTGTTTTTAAATTATATGTATTGAATCCCAAGTGCTATGTAATACTCCTAAGTATTTTTAGTAATTGCCTATTATCATATTGGGTGATGTATTATTAAACCTTCCAGTATTGGCTGTTTTTTTCCTCTCTTTTTTTTTGCTATTGTAGATACTTCTTTGAACATCTTTAATCATTTTCCTTTTTGTTCTTATTGAATATGCATTAGAATATGTTTCTTTTTTTTTCTTTTTTTTTTTTGAGATGGAGTTTCACTCTTGTTGCCCAGGCTGTTGTGCAATGTCATGATCTTGGCTCACTGCAACCTCTGCCTCCTGGGTTCAAGAGATTCTCCTGCTTCAGCCTCCCAAGTAGCATGTGCCACCACACCTGGCTAACTTTGTATTTTTAGTAGAGATGGTTTCACCCTGTTGGCCAGGCTGGTCTCAAACTCATGACCTCAGGTGATCCATCTGCCTTGACCTCCCAAAGTGCTGGGATTACAGGTGTGAGCCACCGTGCCTGGCCTAGAATCTAGTTCTTTTTTTCTCCCCCCCAACTAGACTCTATCTCTATATGCAGGCAGGCCCCAACTCAGGATGGTTTGACTTAATGATTTTTTGACTTTCCGATGGTGCGAAAACAATGTACATTTAGTAGAAACCGTACTTCAGGTACTCCTACCCCCATTCTGTTTTTCACTTTCAGTATAGTACTCATTCAGTTACATGAGATCTTCAACACTTGATTATAATAGGCTTTGTGTTAGTTGATTTTCCCAGCTGCAGACTAATGTTAGTGCTCTGAGCAGTTGAAGGTAGGCTATGCTAAGCTATGATGTTCGGTAGGTTAGGCGTATTAAATGCATTTTGACTATGATGTTTTCAACTTATGATGGGTTTATTGGGAGGTAACCCCATTGTAAGTTGAGGAGCATCTCTGTTAACATGTCAGAAGGCATAGACATTTTTGACGGTTTTTTGGGATATGATTTAAAAATGTAAACGTTTTCAAACATAAAAAATAGGGATGATGGTATAATGAACTATCATATGTCCATCACTGGCTTCAGCAGTTAACCATATCATGTCTAATCTTTTATCTCTACCTCAGCCTCCTTTCTCTACCTCTGGATTAGTTTAAGGGACATCCCAGATTTTTAATCATTTCATCTGTTAATATTACATTAAATCTGGATAGCATTTTGCCAAGTTGATCCCAGAATGGTTTACCAACTTATAATGCCACTAGCAGTTACTGATGCAGTGGTTTATCTGTGATCCCATAAAGATGGCCTGTTGTGCTCTAAAAGTTTTGATAGCTTCAGTAGGTCTCAAGTGGAATCATCGAGTTGCTTTAGTTTATATCACCTTTTATGAATAATTTTCCTTTGCACATTTTTCTGTTGGGATCCCATGGGATGGAGAGTTTTAAGCCCTAGCCTTGCCACATGAGAGCCAGCCTCTTTCTCAGCTTCCAGCCCACAGAATAGGGCTGTTGCCGCTGTTTCTTACTGTATAGAGAGCACAGATATTGCAGACGTGGTTGTTTAGGGCACTTCTGGAAATGAGTCCATCCTTGCCCTTGGCTCTCGTCAGTAGAGTAGAAGTAGCACTCTCACAGGCAGTACTCGGAATGCTTGCCGCCCACATAAGGGGCTGAGTCAGTAGGCATTATGGCCAGCCTGCCTCAGAGTGGTGACCAGGCAGCCCCCAGACTTGCTTGCTGTGGAAGGGTCAAATGGGTTTGTGGTCGATACACAGCAGCTTGTGTTGACAACCAGATGGGTGCTTTGCCACCTCCATGCCATCCTGTCTGCCAGGGTCTCACTGCCTAGAGCTAGTCCACAAGAACCCTCCTAGTCATGCACAGAGCTGGTTAAGGCTCTCTCTTCAGTGTGATTGGGACCAGTGGTTGGTCAGCCAATTGAGAAAGTACAGAGTACTGTAGACGTATTGTAAACATTGTGCTGTGATTTAACCCGCTAGTGGGTGTTCGTTCGGCTCTCCTATAATGTGGGGTTGAGGTGTTTGCTTTGAGTTGGCTCCTTTGGTTGGAGTCTTCTATTTCTGTCTTGTAGAGACCATCCTCATGACACGTCATTGCACTGCAGTTTCCAGGGGTAAGTCCAAGAGCAGACTTCTAGATTTGGGGACTATAGTCCTCCCATCCTCCCATCTTTTATAGTTTTCTTAATTCCCTGATTTGATGGTAATTTGTAAAAGTAACCTTCCTTTATTTAGTTTTTCCTGTAGTATCTTAGTTGCCATAGAAACTGTGTCTGCCTTTTTCTCATTCACATTTTGACCATTTATGTAATATTAGTTAAATTAGGCAATTATAATAAGTGTGACCTGGAAGCATCCACAGCTGACTCTGGCAAGGACTGAGCTCAATGCAGGAGCAGAGCTCAGCAGGAGCCACAAGAGAGTGGCCTGGTCCTGCAGCCAGGGGACCTCAGCATGACTTGCAGGGGCATCAGAATGTAGATTTTCCATGGGACCTTTTCATTAGGTCAGCTCACAAGTTCTATTGTGTTACATTTGGCTAGTTGGAGTTAACATTACTGAGCATTTTAAAATGTCAGGGCTGTGAAAGTAAATGCCGTAATTCCCTAGTTTTGAAATTTAAACATTGCAAAAATAATCACTTGCTTCCAGTACTGTTACCTGTACCAGATCAGCCCTTAGATTTACGATGGTTTCATTGTACTACTCTGTGCCTTTTGAGTTTTGTCATTCATCATCCTCTGTTGTATTTGAGGCATTAGTGGGTATAAATGCATACTGTAGCCAGAGTGCCTGGGTTTGTGTGCCCTTACTGTCCTTAACTGCTGTGTGCCTCAGTTTGCCCATCTGCAAAATAGGGATAAAAGTGCACTCAGTTGAGTAAGAGCATTCCAATGTATGTAGTGCTGTAAGTGGCTGGAAATGTTCACCTTTGTTACCACTGCGGGTTTCACTTCTGCTCTTCATCCACATGTGCACATCACTAGTGACTAGTTTTTTTTCTTTTCTTTTTTTGTGTGTTTGAGACAGAGTTGCACTCTGTTGCCCAGACTGGATTGCAGTGACAGGATCTCAACTCACTGCAGCCCCCGCCTCCCAGGTTCAAGCAATTTTCATGCCTCAGTATGGGATTACAGGCATGCGCCACTACCCCTGGCTAATTTTTTTTTGGTAATTTTTTAAGAGACAGGGTTTCACTGTGTTGGCCAGGCTGGTCTAAAACTTCCGGCCTCAAGTGATCCACCTGCCTCAGCCTCCCAAAGTGCTGGCATTACAGGTGTGAGCCATCAAGCCTGGCCAGCCAGCCTTTGAACCATTAAAGGAATAGAGGATCAAGGAGGAAAGTTAACGCTATTAATACCTGAGCAGTTTGAAAGCTACTTAGCTACTAGGCATTATAGCTGTGAAGCATGGAAGAGAGCAAACAGTATATTTCCAGTTGTAAATTTTAATCTTGCAAATTAAATACTAAATTTGTCTGTGGTTTGTTTTTTTGAAGTTTTCACCTCTAACATAAATATTTATTTTTTCTCTATAAAGACATGCAGTAAAAAAGAGTAGGCCGGGCCGGGCGTGGTGGCTCATGCCTGTAATCTCAGCACTTTGGGAGGCCGACGCGGGTGGATTACGAGGTCAGGAGATCGAGACCATCCTGGCTAACACGGTGAAACCCCGTCTCTACTAAAAATACAAAAAATTAGCCAGGCGTGGTGGTGGGCGCCTATAGTCCCAGTTACTCAGGAAACTGAGGTGGGAGAATAGCTTGAACCTGGGCGGTGGAAGTTGCAGTGAGCTGAGATCATGCCACTGCACTCCAGCCTGGGGACAGAGCAAGACTCCTTCTCAAAAAAAAAAAAAAGTTATATGTGCAGATTTAAGGCTTAATTTAAAAATTGGTTTGCGTGCATACTAAGAAGCTCATTTGCTTTAAGTGAGCATTTCCTTTTTGGGCTTTTGTTGGGCACTGTGTGTCTCCCATGTTCCCCATTTGTCTGCCACCCAATAAGCATGGTGTCGAGGGCTGAAGTAGAAATCAGAGGCTAGAATCTGAAAGCTTCATTAGGGTTCTGCTTTTTGCAGATTAGGGACTTTGGCCCTTAGTGAGCTGAGGATCTTGGTTTCCTCCCAGTGTGCGGTTTCAGGGATGTCGGCCACATGATGTGCCTGTTGTGGAGGAGGGCTGGGTCGCCAGTGTGACAGGAGACAGCAGATCCCTTTTGTGAAAGGAGAACTGGTACTTTGCGTGATGTTAAACTTCACAAACCGCTGCTCAGAAATCTGCTATTTTCCTTCTCTTTTAGGACTTTATGGACAGCAGCCTGCTAACCAAGTCATCATTCGAGAGCGCTATCGAGACAACGACAGCGACCTGGCACTGGGCATGCTGGCAGGAGCAGCCACGGGCATGGCCTTAGGGTCTCTATTTTGGGTCTTCTAGGGGCCTCAAGGTCTTGATGTGCATAGCTTCTGATAACCCTGTGTGCAATAATATGATTTGCAGGGCATTTCTGTTTGTGACAAAAGTTTTTAATAATAGTTTTAATCATTCCTTTGAAAGTAGTGATGTCATAATTGTACTAATCCACATAAGTACCACAGAGAAGGGTTTGAACTGTGCTATTTTGTTCAAATGTTGACTCTCCGGGGGCACTGGCTCATTCCAAGACTGTTCTTGTGCAACTCTCAGAATACCTTATTTGAGCATACCTGTTTTGAAAGGCATTTTCTTTTTAGAGTTAGGTGTAGTGCTTAAGGGTTAATTTATTTTCATGTTATGCCAGTAATATAGTGTTGTATGCCTATTGAGTGATTGTGGCAAGAAAAGCTACAGCTTCTTTGCGTTTAACTTTTTCAAACCACAGACCAGAACTGGTTGCATGTTACTTTAGGAGTTGTGGGTTGGTAAGCTCCCAGGTACTTCCCGAGGCTATGGTGTGAGAGCCCCCGTCCTGCCCTCTGGGGCTCCACAGGCCCCTGGCAAGGCCGATGGCTCAGGATGATGGGGCACAGCCCGCCTTTGAACAATCATGCTTCAGAAATCTGCCTGACCCTAGCTGCTGCTGCTGCTCACTTTATTCTTGTATGGCTTTGGTAGGCATACTTGGAGAACATATCCCACATTAGGAATTGATTTAAGCCTGAGAGTTTGAGGGCTTTAATCCTTTAAAACTTGGAGAAGCTGGCTGGGCGCGGTGGCTCACGCCTGTAATCCCAGCACTTTGAGAGACCGAGGCGGGCGGATCACGAGGTCAGGAGATCGAGACCATCCTGGCTAACACGGTGAAACCCCATCTCTACTAAAAATACAAAAAATTAGCTGGGCGTGGTGGCAGGCGCCTGTGGTCCCAGCTACTCGGGAGGCTGAGGCAGGAGAATAGTGTGAACCCAGGAGGCGGAGCTTGCAGTGAGCCAAGATAGTGCCACTGCACTTCAGCCTGGGTGACAGAGTGAGACTCTGTCTCAAAAAAAAAAAAAAAATCCTGGAGAAGCCAGAACAATATACAAACAAGTATGTGGAGGCAGATTTGCTTTATTCCAAGAGGCTGTTTGAGTGTGTGTCTGCCTAAGCCTCCTTATAGCCTATTTTTCTACTTGCTGAGAGAGTAATATTAAAGGAACAGTGAGGGAGTGGAAGGAGAGCCTTAGTTAGAGCGTTCCCATTTCTGGCCTTTGGGGGTTTGCACTGTGCGGGAGATGCTCTCTCATCACTCTGAAGGCCCATCCTGTGCAGAAGTGGGACTCTGTGGCTGTTCACTGAGCACCAGGGCAGACTGTAGCTGAGCAGACTTGGGTTATGGATGGGATATGGGGCCCAGGGACCCTCAGGACACAGGGACCGGCTCAAGGTACCACTCAGCCTGGCCAGGACCCCCAGCTTTGCTTTTGTTCTTGATCTCTTTGTGATAGAGAAGCTTAGAACATTGAATTTGGAACCCCAAAATGTGTGAGTCTTTGGAAAACCCATTCCAGCCTTTCTTCAAATGCTCTTATTTTCAGTATATGAAGTGTGTATTTGAAATATTCATATTTCTGTTATTTCTTGTTTTCAAGCTCTGAATTATTGCAGTTTTCTGTCCTGCATGCTTTCAACAGTGTGCTTTTACAGTGGCAGTTTAGCACAGCGAATGTCCCTGCCCCACACTCCATATGGTCCTGTTTTCCTGAAAATACACTCCAGGTAGCACAGACTTGTTATTTTGCCTGGCTGGTTACACACATGCTGTCTTGCTTTGCTGCTCAGCCACCTCCCTCTGAGGCCAACTTAGGCCAACCTACATAGGACTCCATCTTTAGCGAGACACCAGAGACACCTAGTGATGACCACGGGTCTGCTTTTCTCTCTGATCCTAGGGGACTTGTTGACATGGGAGTGTCTGTTTCCACATGGAAGGATGTCTGTTTATCTCTCATCTCTGAATAGATGTATGACAACTCTAGTGTCCATGGTTTAAAATGTTGCTTTGAGGATTTTCCATCCTGTATAAGAAGAATGGCTTTCTTCAGATTATAATCGTTATTAAAGCTGTATGTACACTTTACTTAAAAACTATTAACAGTTTTTCATGTTGCACTGGTGGTAATTTTGAACTTGGAATTACTGGGTGGGAATTCCAGGAACCACAGAGTATTGATTTTTGCTGCCAAAATGCTCTTGAAGCAGATGTCCCTGTGCTCCCCTGGCTGCTTCTGGCTGAAGGGGGGAGGTGTAGACTGAAGCTTGGGCACTCATGTGTGTCCCCTCCCCAGTCCCCATCCTAGTGGGGCCAGTCTCATTAGGCAGCCATAGATAAGCCTGGAACTTGGCTGTCATTAGTGACTTGATCCTGGTATGAAATGCATACTGGGTATAAGGTTGCTCAGGTATTTTATTTCCTTGGCCACAACTCCCATAGATGCCAATGTTTTGATAGCCTCAGTTTCTCAACGATGTCTTTTGTTTACAGTGCTACACTTAGTGTGAGTCAAGAAGTGCTTGAGTTACAAGAAACTTCTTATTCAGGTTTGAGTAAGCATTTTACTTCCATGTGTACTTTTAAATAATCCATACCTTGAAGAAGTTGGCCAATGATATTATATACATGCTGATCTGATTGTTCTTTTCATTCCTTGAGTCAACTTCAGGGTCTTGGATACTAAAGAGAAGGAGAACTGTGGTTAATGTTTTGGATCATCATTTGTGAACAAGGCCAGACTTTGCCCATTTTAGGCTATCCAGGACTTAAGGTAGCCATCTGGATCATAAGAAGGTCCTGCAGTTGAGACAAAATGACCCAAGTGTATTTTCCACAAGTTTTGATCCTGTGTAATATTTCTTTTTCCTTCCCTAGTGTATGTAGATACAAGGCATGGAATGCAGTTCCACTTTCTCCCCAGAGTTGATCTTTTTGTGATTGCTTTCCCGTCTCTAGTAGTATTCTGTTGTGTCTAGAGAACTGATTTTTTCCTACATACGCAAATTGTACATTTGTAAGTGAAAATGTCAATACATTAAAGCATTAACCTTAAAGCATGTTTCATTGTGACTTCTGTTGTCTTTAAAAAATTACTTTGTAGTAACATACTCTCAGCTTTTTCTGCTGTCCTGGATCATAAGAATGCCATTTATTGAGGACCTACCAAATGCTAGTATATTGTCACATTAGAGACAACTCACTGAATTCTTAGTGACTCTGTAAGGGAGGTATTATCCAAGTTCCACTGGAGGGACCGAGGCTCAGAAGTTAAATAATTTACTCAGGAGCGTGCAGGTAGTAGGTCTCCACATCTGATGTTAAAACGCCTTGTTGTTCCCTGTGCCGTGTGCATATGAGAATTTGATTTCCACAAACAGCAGTGGCCCGTGCAGTCACACTCTTGGGATGGCTGTGAGAAAACGGACACTATTTTTCCCAACCAGATCCCTCTGGCAGTGTGTGTCCAATAACTTCTCCAGCATCTTTGGATATATGACTTTTTTGTTTTATTTATTTATTTATTTATTTATTTATTTATTTAGAGACGGAGTCTCACTCTGTTGCCCATGCTGGAGTGCAGTGGCGTCATCTCGGCTCATTGCAAGCTCTGCCTCCTGGGTTCACGCCATTCTTCTGCCTCAGCCTCCCAAGTAGCTGGGATTACAGGTGCCCGCCACCACACCTGGCTAATTTTTTGTATTTTTAGTAGAGATGGGGTTTCACCATGTTAGCCAGGCTGGTCTCAATCTCCCGACCTCATGATCCGCCCGCCTTGGCCTCCCAAAGTATTGGGATTACAGGAGTGAGCCACCACGCTCGACCGAAAAGCTCTATTTCTTGTTCAAGTCGCAGTCCATTGTGGGTTCATAAGGGATGAGAGGCTTCTGCTCCAGGCTGTCATTCAGGGACCAAAACTGCTTTTATCTCTTTGCCTTGGAATCTGCTGTGGGAACTTATACAACCTGCTGGAAGAAAAGACAGTGAAGACACACCCATCCTCAGCTCTGGAGTGGCGCTCCCCTTCCAGTGGTGAGGGCTAATCATGTGGCCTGGGCTCAGTGCTTGAGGTCTGGGAAGTATCGTCTGAACCCAGGAAGAAATGGCCCTCGCCTCAGCTGCTGATAACAGGCCGTAGTTAATGACAGATCATGATCATCAAGTATCGCCAATTCTCGGTGGAAGTTGGGTTTGTATTTACTTTGTACAGTTTTTACTGATTAATAAAGCCAGTGGTTGCAAATTACAAGCAAATTGTTAGTTCACACAACACAAATGTCATTTGGTCACTGATATTTTCGTTGCTGTTAAATCGTTTCTTTCCCCACTTACCAACTGTTGTGGATGGGCCTAGAGAAGATATTCACCCTTTCCAGCAAGGAATATAGTTCCTCCATCCATTTGTCCTTTATTACATTACAGTCATGCTGAGGATGACTGCGTTATTGCCCCTGGTTGTCCTGCTCCCCCTTCCCTGTGAGCGGCCTATAAGTTCCTGCCTGGTGCTGAGAGCCTGCCCATGCCATCTTGCCCACCGGAGGAACAGAGTCCAAGCCTAGCGGGTGGTGTGCCATGCCTGGGGGAAGGGGGTGTGAGTGTGTCATGTTTGAGCAGGTGCTGTAGGAAGCAGAGGGGGCTTCTCCAGCCTTCTCATCCTTTTCACCACTGCAGGAGCTGTCCCTCCTCTGTGGTCCCAGATAAGACTCATGGGGCAGAGCCTTCACAGCTGCCCCTCAGGGGCTCCATGTCACGGAAGGCAGGGGGAGCATTGTTTGCCGTACAGTAAAGCTGACCAGGATGAGCTGCCGCTGGGTGCTGTGCCAGGTGAGGGGGCACAGCAGTCAGCGAGACCATACTTGGGGAGGGGGACAGTGCTCCCACTGCCCAGGCCTCACCAGAGCAAGGGGTCCAGATAACACCACACCACGTGGGGTCCCAGGGTCGGGGCTTGCCCTTCTGAGCCTTTTCATGTCTGTGAATGGCTGGAGGGAAGGGGGTGATACCAAGCCCACAGGGCTGGTAGAGGACTAAGTGACCTGAGTGTGCAGGAAGGCCGAGCACGGTGCTGGGCACACTGAGTCCTCTGCAGATTTGACCCTCTGTTCCTCTTTTCCTGAGCTTCTCTTCTGTTATTTGTAAAACTGGGTGACAGTTCGTGTCTCCATTGCCCTCAAAGGTGAGACCACTCACTTCTTGTTCTCATGGCCAAGGAAGGCCCTGCCACGCCTGAGCTTTGCAGGTGGGAAGGGCTTCCTCTGCCCCTCCAGGGAATGTAAACATGGAGTCTTGGCATTTCTGTGTTCCCCGGACCTTTTATTAGTCTTTGCATAATCCCCCACTTTTACTCTTCTTGCAGAACTTTCTCCCTTCAACCACTAACCTAAGCTGGTGGAGGTGGGGGTAATGAGGCATGGTGGCAGTGATGCCTGGCCTGAGCCATCACCGGGCATTTACCAGCTGCATGCTCTGGGGGGCGGCTCGCCGCTGCGTTTCCCCTTTTGTTTACGACAGGTACAGTAGGAGCACCCTGAAGGACTGTGATGTGCATTCACTGAGTCAGCACAGATGGGAGGCATGGAGAGTGGTGCTGGGAACCTTTGTAACTACTGACAATAAATGTTTCTTATGATGCAGGCTTACAGATGAGGGACAGATGTGGTGTACCCTGAGGCACCTGGGTAGGCCTGAGGTCCTGCCTGGCTTGGTGGCTGGCTCTGGGACCTGTGGGACCCCAGCAGGCAGGGAGGAGGCAGTGTGGGCTGGGCTGGGGCAGAGGCTACTCTGCCACCTTGCTCTCATTTTACCTGGTATTGGGGGCACAAGTTGGCCACCTTGCCAAGGTCTTGGGAATCCTGAGGTCCAAACTCCAGTGGACAGGAGCAGGTTAGAAATGCATATTCCTGGTCGGGCGCAGTGGCTCACAGCTGTAATCCCAGCATTTTAGAAGGCCGAGGTGGGCGGATCACAAGGTCAGGAGACAGAGACCATCCTGGCTAACACAGTGAAACCCCGTCTCTACTAAAACTACAAAAAATTAGCCGGGCACGGTGGTGGGCGCCTGTAGTCCCAGCTACTCAACGAGGCTGAGGCAGGAGAATGGCGTGAACCTGGGAGGCGGAGTTTGCAGTGAGCTGAGATTGCGACACTACAGCCTGGGCGATAGAGCAAGACTCCATCTAAAAAAAAAAAAAAAAAAAAAAAAAAAGAAATGCATATTCCTGGGACTTAAAGCCACAACGTCCTGAGGGGGTCTCGGGTGGCCCGAGTCTGCATTTCCACCTGCCCTCAGGTGATTCTGTGCAGCCTTGACTCCCCTGGTCTTGGCCTCCAAGGCCTGCCCTTTCTGAGGCCTCTGCCTTCCTCTCTCCTCTCCCTCCCTGCTCAACTCACTGATGTCCACTGAGCTGCTGGACAGGCGTCCCCTCCTCTAGGAGGCCTCCTGGCCTTCCCTCCAGCTCAGCACGATGCTGAGGAGCGACACTGGACAGTACGGCCTCCTCCCCTCCTGTGGTGCTGCTGAGTCCAGGGACAGTCACTGGCCAGTGGGAGGCAGGAAGGGGCCCAGCACTGGCTTTGCATGGCTCTCTGGGCGTGCCCCTGCCTGGGAAGTGGGAATCAGGTGAGAGGCACCTCCTCCTGGGCCCCAGGAGAGCTGGCAGCTCCATCAGACCCTCCACTGCTATGTCATCAGAATGACATTTCTCAAACAGGGTCACCTCCAAAGGGCAGTGAGCTAGGTGCTCCTAGGTAGCACCCCAGGCAGGCCCTGCCCAGTTCTTTCACTAACCTGTCAGAGGCCAGGTGAGCAGCTTGTGTGTTCCTGGTTCAGTCCCCTGGCAGGCGTGCTAGGCAGGGCCCATTCTCAGGAGCCGTCTTGCCTACCTGGTGCAGACACACCCAGGCTATGACCTGCTCAACAGATGTGCAGCAGGGACCCCTAGGGAGGACTCTGGGGCTGCACTGAATTCAAATCTTTATCACTTCTGTGGGCATGGATGTGGATAGCGTGGGAACGTGGCCTCTCTAGCCTCAGTGGCCTCCTTTATAAGGAAGGTATAGTAATAACAGTACCACCCAGTAGGCACCCAGTAGGAGCAGAGACATCCCTCCATTCCTTTCCCAGACCCATGGCTTGGTCCCAGACCAGCAGCACAGCAGCCTCTGGGAGCCTCTTAGAAATGCTGATTTTCCAGCAGTTCTGGATCTCCCAAGTCAGTGACAGCCCTCAGGGTGATGCCATTACAGGTTCAAATTTGAGGACCACTGGTCTAGAATGGACTCCCTCTCTCCCACTCCCCCTTTCTCTCTCCCCCTTCCTGCGCTCACTCCTGCTCAACGGCACTTCCTCTGTGCAGCTGCTAGTTCTGAGGGCTGCCACCAGGTGTCAGGGCAGCCTCAGGAATGTTCCGGCTGCCACACCTCCCTCGCCAGCCTGGCCCCTGCTACATCTCAGGAGAGGTCCTGAGAGGGTAAAGGGCTTCTGAGCTTCTCACAGGATGAATGCTTCCCTGTGCTTTTCTGACTGCTCAGGGTGAGTCATCTGGGCCCGAAGGTGGCAGATATGTCAGCGTCCTGTGTGGTGGGGACAGGGACAGCCCCACAGCACCTAGTGGGATGTTGTGAGATTTGCGGGGCACGCCCAACTCCTCCTCTACTACTGCCGAGTCCTCACTGTCTTATTCTGCCCTAGGAGGCTTCTCCAACCACCCTGCTCTGTCCCCATTGTGACTCCTGGCCACGGCCTCTGACCCTCCACCCAGTCCCGTCGTCACGGTGGGGCCTCCGAAGGCCTGTCCTGCTGTGCCAATGCTGAGGCCGACTTTGGGCTATTGGTCCAGGCCCTGCCCGGCCCTGTAACTACACGTCCCTAACCGCCACCACAGGCTTGGTGGACCAAAAGCCTCCTACTGAACACAGCCCAGCAGGCTTTGCCCACAGTCCCCTCCCAGCTTGCCCACTCCAGCTCCCCTGAGTTCAAGGCCAGCCCACACCCCCGGACGCACTGGACACCCTCCCGGGCGCCGGTGGAGGAGGCTGAGTAGGGCAGGCAAGGTCTCTGCCTGCAGCCACACCAACCCAGCCGCTATCCTCCCAGCGGGGCTGGGCAGAGCATCGGGAGGACTGCCCGGGTCGCGGAAGGGCGTGCGCTGGATTCCAGGCGAGGAGCTGCTGTGCGAGGCCCGCAGGCGGGCTCAGGCGGGAGTGGCTATGGGCCGTGGGCTGCGAGGGCAGAGAACTTTGGAAAGCGATTTGGGGATGGCAGCTGTGTGGCCACACCGCGGGAGCCCTTGAGATGGCTGGCTGCAGGGCGGCTATCGGGTGGGGGGAAGTGATTTCTGGCAGAGCTCCTGGGCCTTGTGCGGGGGTGCTCGTAGGTGATGCTGTGGGGCAGAGACTTAGGAGTGTGGTTGTGAAGGGCGAGATTTCTGCTGAACATCCGAGTGGGAATGTCCGGAGGTCAGTTCAGAGGCCTGGGCACAGTAGCAACAGAGGGCGCGGGGGCAAGGCGGGTTGGGCACGTGGAGGGCATCGGTGTCCCTGCCACGTTTCAGTGGAAAGCCGAGTGAACTGGAGTTGGGGATGGGGGAGGCCGTGAGTCCAGTTCCCTGCACCTTCTGGAGCCTCCCTCCCCAGACCCCTCCTGACAGGGGCTGGGCCTCTCCCAGGGGGCCTCGCGCAGCTCCGGCCCTGAGCATAGGCGCGGTGGAGGCTGAGGGTCCAGCCCCTCGAGGTCCGCGCCCGCTACTTCCGCTCTCTGCGGGGCTGTCCTTCCCTCATCGGTGTCCGCTGCGGCCCTGCGGCCGGCCCGGCAGCACGAGGGAGCCAGGGGGCACGGTCCTGCCCTCAGGAGGCTCCACGTGGACACTGCGCAGCTGGCCTTGAGGCACGCGCGTGCGTGTTCATGTGTGCGTGCGTGCATGTGCGTGCTTGTTCATGTGTGCGTGCGTGTGCGCGTGCGCGCGCTCTTTGCCCCCACACCGTCACTCCTGCACCCTGCATCTAATGTCCAGAGAGGTGATTATCATCTCCACTCCCAATTCACACCTGGCCCTGAGTCAGCTACATGAGTGGTCCAGGCCTGGCTGTCCTGGGTCTTGTGTGCCACGTGGCACAACACCGGGTCTGTAAGAGAAGCCGTGCCACCAGCCTTGGGAGGCAGCGCCTGCTGGGTGGGGTCTCCAGAGGAGAGCTCCAGAGAGAGAAAGGCCGAGCTGCCTCCACCTCCCCCAAAATCCTCCCTGAACCTCAGCAATCACGTCTGTAAATGGGACAATGACAGCGTCAGCCTTAGAGAGTTGCTGGAGTGAGGAACGAACACACACGGGACCACTTAGAAGACTGTTGGGCGCAGAGCTCTCAGGGCTGCTCTGAGGACCACGTTTACAGATGAGGACTCAGAGCGGGAGATGCCAGTACAGCAGGGGCTCTCAGCCACCCTCTCCCAGAGGCAGGTCCCAACGGACCTTGGTGCCAGCTTGGACGCTACGCTCAGCAGTTGTGGAGTTGATTAATAACATTCTGTCCCACATTCGCGGATTGGAAAGTAATGCCTGATTAAGACCCTAAGCATGTCACTTGTGGCAAACACTCAGGCTATCTTCGAGGGGGCAGCATTGACTTCAGGGCTGAAGTCTTGGCTGGTTTTCCTGGGACACACCTTGAAGGCAGCAGAAGCCCTGCTACCATGAAACAGGAAAGGCCAAGGAGTTTGTGCTGGTCCTCAGGCCCTCAGCCCCTAGGAGGCTGGAGGTGGAGACTGGCCCTTAGGCGGTGGCACCATGCCTGAGCATGAGGGGACACCTGGGGCACCCTGTGAGGTGGGGGCAGAAGGGTGGAAGGCTGCGGGGAGGTGGGGGTGGACCGGCTGCAGACAGAAGAGCTACACTTTCAGTTTCTGTTTCCTCCAAATTACTGATCAAACCCCCTGGGGTGCTGTGGCCGCACCATGCTCCAAGCCCTGTCCTGGAGGGTTTCCTTCAGTGGGCCTGGGCCATGGGTTTCAGCAGAATGTGAGGATGAGCTGAGCTAGGAGTGGGTGTGGGCACCAGGCTGGCCTTGTTCTGCCATGTGCACCGGCCGTTCTCTCTCAGCAGCCCCAGGCCACACAGCAGGGACGGCAGGAGCGGGGTTTTCTGAGGCCGGTGTAACTCCAGAGCCTGCCCTCCTCACCTCATGCAGCCGGTGGACATGAGGCCAGCCCTCTGCTGGCCAGGCCCGGGCCTGCTGGATGGGCACAGCACCCCTGGGGAGGTTGGGGGTGGGGACATTCATTCACTTTAGCCATGGAAGGGAGACCTGCCTTAGCGGTCCTTGTGTTGTGTGGAGGCTGTGACCAAAAGTAAAGTGAGGGCCTCTTTGTGCAGGGTCTTAGGGCATTCTGCATTCATTCATTCCCTTAGTCCCTCATCAAACATGCCCTGAGCAACTAACTGCTCCACACCTGGTCCTGGGCTGGGCATGGCCAGGCTCTAGGAGCTTGTCTGGTAGCTGTGCATGAGTCAGAAAATGGAGCCCCTTCCTCTAGTGAATCTCCTTGTGCCGGGTGATGGGCTGGAAGCAGAGTGCACCTGGACTGACCCCATCCCCGCTGGACCTCTGCCAGGCATTTTTGCTCCCTAAACAACGCCACAGCCACATGAGGCACCGCGGGCAGTCGGGCCTCCTATAGCCAGGCCCTTGGCTGTGGCCTGTCATCTAGGGGCTGTCCCATCCCCTAGTAGGATCCACACTTAGGGACTCTGCTCCATCGTGCTCAGGAGCTCCCACCACCACGTGGCCCAGCCGCCCACACCTCCACCTGTGCTCCATTCTTTCCACCTCCTTTATCAACCCCCTGCCCACCTATTGCTTGTGGTTAAGCCCTGCCCTCTTCCTGGCCACATGATGTGCCTGCTCTTGGCCACCCCATGGGCTCCTTGGTGACTGTGCCAGTTCAGTGCCCCTCCTGGATCTCCTGGCCCAGGAACTCCCCATTGAATGTGCCTTCACAGCTTTCCGTCAGTCCAGCCTTGCTCTGCTCAGGGATTGTGAATGCAGAGATCTGGGCCAGTTTTGAGGGTGTAGTGTGGTGGACACCTCCCACACTGCCATCTATCGGGAGGGCAGCTTGACAGTATGTATTGAAATCCTTAAAAATGTGCATACTCTGACCATGTCCTTATGGGTATCCATCTCAAAAAAGATAACCCCAAAAGGGAAAAATGTCTCCTACACAAAGTTGCTCATCATGCATACCTAGCTGAAAATTGTTAACATCTTAAATGTCCAATAATGGGAATAAAGTAAATCATGGCACAAAGAATCATTTCAGAACTAATGGAAGTAAATGAAGACCATGAAGATCATAACGGCTGAGTGAAAAACAATCAGGTGAGTGGTGCTATGCATATTAGCATAAGGAGCTGAATGCTCCCCGGGGAAGCTCCAAGAAGGATGCGGCACTGCTCACACTGTGATCGCTCACCTCCACAGCTGTAAATAGTAAATAAATGTGTTGTTTTAAGGCACTACATTTGTGATAATTTGCCACAGCAGTAACAGGGAACTAATGCATTAGGTAAGAGTCAATTTATTGGCAGGCCAAGGTGGACTGATTGCTTGAGCTCAAGAATTGGAGACCAGCCTGGGAACATGGCAAAACCCCATCTCTACAACAAATACAAAAAATTAGCCAGGTGTGGCGGCGCATGCCTGCGGTCCCAACTACTACAGATGGAGGCTGAGGTGGGAGGATTGCTTGAACCCAGGAGGCGCAGCCTGCAGTGAGCTCAGATCGCACCACTGAACTCCAGCCTGGGTGACAGGGTGAGACCCTTCCCCCTGCTCCAAAAAAGTGTTCAATTTCTTTAATGGTTCTAGGACCATTCAGATTGATTATTTTATCATGGTTTGAGTTTGGTCATTTGTGGTTTTAGAGGAATTGGTCCATCCCTTTTAAGTTGTCGAATTTGTGAGTGTAAAGTTGTTCCAGATATTCCCTTATTAGCTGTTCAGTGGCGGCGGGAGCAGCAGTCATGGCTCGGCTTCATTCCTGACATGGGTAATTTGTGTCTTTTCTCTTTTGTCAGCTTTTAATAAAGATTTGTTAATTGCTTTTTTCTTTTTTAACTTTTCTTTACTAGAACAGTAGAAACAAACACAAAGCAAGCATGGGAGGGAAATAATGAAGAGGAGAAAATGGGAAATAATGAAGAGGAGAAATCAGTAAGATGAAAATTTCTCCTCTTCATTATTTCCCTCCCATGTTTATTTTGTTTTCCTTTTCCTAGTTTCTTGAGTAGGGACTTTGATTGTTGACTGGACACCTTTCCTCTTTAATTAATGTAAGCATTCAGTGACATAAAAATCTCAACACTGCTTTTGGTATATCCCACATATTTTGATATGTTCTATTTTAATTTTCACTCAGCTCCATGTATTTTTAATTTCCTTTGAGATTTCCCTTTCCACCTATGGATTATTTAGAAGTATGTTGCTTACTTTTTACATGATTAGTTTTTCTGTTTTCTGTCATGGATTTATGGTTTTACTCCATTGTGGTCAGGGAATGTACTCTGCAGTACTCTGTACTTTAAATTTTGTTGAGACTTGTTTTACGGCACAGGACAATGTCGGCCTTGGTGGATGTTTCATAGATGTTTGAAAATAACTTGTAGCTTGCTATTGTTGCATGCAGTGGTTCTGTTGGTTGATTGTGTTGCTCTGATGTCCTCTCCTTGCTGATTTTCTGCGTCAGTTGCTGAGAATAGGATTAACTCAAAATGGATCAAAGACCTAAATTTAAGTGTAAATTTCAATTTATTTTAAAGTGTAGAATTCAGTGGCATTAAGTACATTCAAATGTGGTGCACCTATCACCACTATTCCTGGAACTTTTTCATAACCTCAAACAGTAGCTCTGTATTCATTAAGCACTAAACCCTATTCTATGCTCTCCCCATCCCTAGGTAGCCTCTATTCTACTTTCTGTTTCTATGAATTTGCCTATTCTAGATACCTCATATAAATGGAATCATGCAATATTTGTCCTTTTGTGATTGGCTTATTTCACTTAACCTAATGCCTTCAAGATTCATCCGTAGCAATGTGTCAGAATTTCTTCCTTTTTATGGCTATACCACATTTCGTTTACCCATTCATCTGTTGATAGACATTTGGGTTGTTTCTATCTCTTAGCTATCGTGAATAATGCTGCTATGAACATTGGTGTACAAGTATCTTCTTCAGTTTTTTCTTTTTCTTTTTTTTTTTTTTTGAGACGGAGTTTCACTCTTGTTGCCCAGGCCGGAGTGCAATGGCACGATCTCTGCTCACTACAACCTCCACCTCCCAGGTTCAAGCGATTCTCCTGCCTCAGCCTCCCTAGTAGCTGGGATTACAGGCATGCACCACCACGCCCGGCTATTTTGTATTTTTAGTAGAGACAGGGTTTCTCCATGTTGGTCAGGCTGGTCTTGAACCCCCTACCTCAGGTGATCCGCCCGCCTGGGCCTCCCAAAGTGCTGGGATTACAGGCCTGAGTCACTGCGCCTGGTCTTTTTTCTTTTTTTTTTTTTCTTTTTTTTTTTAGAGATAGGGTCTCATTATATTGCCCAGGCTGGTCTCAAACTCCTGGGCTCAAGCCATCCTCCTGTCTCAGCCTCCTGAGTAGCTGAGATTACAGGTATGTGTCACCACATCCAACTTAGTTCTTTTGAGTACATACCTAGAGGTGAGATTTCTGGGTCACAGAGTAATTCTATGTTCAGCTTTTTAAGGAATGGCCAAACTATTTTCCACAGTGGCTGCACCATTTTAAACTTCTATCAACGTTGCATGCAGGTTCCAATTTCTCCATGTCCTCGCCAACACTGTTATCTTGTTATTTTCCTTTTCCCATTATTTTAATTTTTGTAATAGCCATCCCAGTGAATATGAAGTGGTAACTCAGTGTGATTTAGGTTTGTATTTCCCTAGTGACTGATGAGGTTGGGCATCTTTTCATGTGCTTGTTGTCTATTTGTATATCTTCTTTGGAGAAACGTCTATGCAAATCCCTTGCCCAGTGTTAATTTGGTTGAATTTTTTTGTTCAGCTGTAGGAATTTTTGTATATTCCAGATATTAATCACTTATCAGATACATGATTTGAAACTTTCTGCCATTCTGTGAATTATCTTTTTACTCTGTTGATACTGTAGTTTCCTTTTATGCATAATGTTTTAATTTTGATGGAATCTGATTTATCTATTTTTTCTTTTGCTGCCATGCTTTTGTGGTCATGTTTAAGCAATTATTGCCAAATTCAAGTCATGGGGATTCTTTCCTATTTTTTCCTAAGAATTTTGTAGTTTTAGCTTTTACGTTTAGGTCTTTGATACATTTTGAGTTGATATTTGTATGTGAGGTAAGGTAAGGGTCCAATTTCATTTTTTTGCATATGGATATCTAGTTTTCTCAGTACCATTTGTTAGTAAGACTGTTCCCATTGAATGGTCTTGACAGTATAGTAGAAAATCAATTGAAAATCAATGTGAGGGTTTATTGCTGGGCTTTGTATTCTATTTCATTGGTCTATATTTCTGTCCTTATGCCAGTACCACACTTTTGATTACTGTAGTTTTGTAGTAAGTTTTGAAATCAAGAAATGTGGATCCTCCAAGTTTTCCAAGATTGTTTTAGCTAAATCAGGGTCCTTTGAAATTCCAAATAAATTTCAGAATGGATTTTTCTTTTCTTTTTTTTTTTTTGAGACGGAGGAGTCTTGCTCTGTCGCCCAGGCTGGAGTGCAGTGGCAGGATCTCGGCTTACTGCAAGTTCTGCCCCCTGGGTTCACGCCATTCTCCTGCCTCAGCCTCCTGAGTAGCTGGGACTACAGGCACCCGCCACCATGCCTGGCTAATTTTTTGTATTTTTAGTAGAGACAGGGTTTCACTGTATTAGCCAGGATGGTCTCGATCTCCTGACCTTGTGATCCACCCACCTCAGCCTCCCAAAATGCTGGGATTACAGGCGTGAGCCACCACGCCCGGCCTAGAATGGATTTTTCTAAGCTGCAAAGAAATGCCATTAAGATTTGGATAGAGATTACACAGAATTTTTAGATCACTTTGGGTAGTATTGTCATCTTAACTATATCGAGTTTTCCCATCCGTGAACACAGAATATCTTTCCATTCATTCAAGTCTTCTCTCATTTCTTTCAGCACTCTTTTGTACTTTTCAGAGTACCAGTCTTCTGCCTCCTTGGTTTAATTTATTCCTATTTTAACTTTTGTGGTGTTACTGTAAATGAAATTGTTTTTTAAATTTCCTTTTCAGATTGCTTATTGCTAGTGTGTAGAAATACAACTCATTTATGGGTGTTGGTTTTGCTGATTTAGTTTACTTAGCCCTGTGTGTGTGTGCGCGCTCATGTGAAAGTAATTCTAGGGTTTTCTACATATGTCATCTGTGAAGAGAGATACTTTTACTTCTTCCCTGACAAATTGGTTATCTTTTATTTCCCTTTTTCCCCTAATTGCTCTAGCCGTAACTTTCAGGACTATGTTGAATAGAAGTGGCGAAAGTGGGTTTCATTGTCCTCATCCTGATTGTACAGGGAAATTTTTTGGTCTTTCACCATTAAGTATGATGTTAACTGTTTTTTGTATGTGGACTTTATGTTGCGGACATTCCTTTCTGTTCCTAATTTAATGTTTTTTTTTTATCACGAAAGGGAGTTGGATTTTTTTTCAAATGCTTTTTTTCTGCATTCTGTTCATGGTCCTCTGCTTTATCCTGTTAATATGGGAGTGATTGCTTGATTTTCACATACTGGGCCGCCTTTTCATTCCAGGGATAAATTCCATTTTGTCATGGTGTTTAATCCTTTTATTATGCTGCTGAATTTGCTAGCATTTTGTTGAGGATTTTTGCATCAAAGTTCCTAAAAGACATTGGTCTGTAGTTTTCATTTCATTCATGTCTCCACAGTCAGACAGTATAGTGTCTCTGTCTGACTGTGGTATTAAGATAATGCTGGCTTCATAAGATGAGTTTGGAAATGTTCCCTCCTTTTCATTGTTTTGAAAGATTGTGAGAAGGACTGGTGTTGATTCTCACATAAATGTTTGGTATAATTTAAAAGTAAAGCCATTTCTCCTGGGCTTCTCTTTATTGGGAGGTTTTTGACTTACTGATTCAACCTCCTTACTTTTTATAGGTCTATTCACATTTTCTAACTCTTTTCACATTGGTTTTGGTAGATTTGTACATTTCTAGGAATTTGCCTATTTCACTGGGTTATCCAGTGTGTAGGCATGCAGTTGTTCATTATATTCTCTTATAATCTATCAATTTCTGTATAATCAGTAACAATGTCTCTTCTTTCGTTTATGATTTCAGTAATTTATCCTATTTTTTTCTTAGTAAATATAGCTACAGATTTGCCAATTTTGTTGATCTTTTCAAATAACCAACTTTTGGCTTCATTAATTTTTTTCTATTGTTTTTCTATTCACTATTTCATTAATCTTCACTCTAATCTTTTTTTTTTTTTGCGACAGAGTCTCGCTCTGTTGCCCAGGTTGGAATGCAGTGGCACCATCTCAGCTCACTGCAAGCTCCGCCTCCCGGGTTCACGCCATTCTCCTGCCTCTGCCTCCTGAGTAGCTGGGACTACAGGTGCCCGCCACCAAGCCTGGCTAATTTTTTGTATTTTTAGTGGAGACGGGGTTTCACCATGTTAGCCAGGATGGTCTCGATCTCCTGACCTTGTGATCCACCCGCCTCGGCCTCCCAAAGTGCTGGGTGCGTGAGCCACCGCGCCCGGCCCACTCTAATCTTTTTTATTTCCTTCCTTCTGCTTGGGTTTAGTTTGTTTTCTTTTTTTTTAATTTCTTAAAGTATATAATTAGATTACTGATTTGTAATCCTTCTTCTTTCGTAATGTAGGCATTTACAGCTGTACATTTCCCTCTTAGCCCTGCTTTCATTACATCCCAGAAGTTTTGGTACTTTGTGTTTTCTTTTTCATTAGTATTGAGGGGTTTTCTAATTTCTGTAGTGACTTTTTCTTTGACCCATTGGTTGTTTAAGAATATGTTGTTTAATTTCCACATATTTGTGAGTTTTCCTTCTAAGAATGAGTTCTAGTTTCATTCCACTGTGATCAGACTAAATACTTTATGATTTCAATGTTTTAAAATTTATTATCTTTTTGTGGCTTGTTCTGTAGAATTCACATGAGAAAAAATGTATATTCTGCTATTGTTGAGTGGCGTGTTCTGTCTAATCGATTAGAATGTTGTCAGGCCTCTGTTTCTGTATTGATCTTCTCTCTAGTTGTGCTATCCATTATTTTAAATGAGGTATTGAAGTCTCCAACTATTATAGCATTGTCTTTTTTTCCTTCAATTCTGTTAATTTTTGGTTCATATATTTTGGGGCTCTGCTGCTAGGTGTTTATATTTTATAACTATATCTTTTTGGTGGGTTGAAACTTTTATCAAATGAGTCTTTGTGTCTTGTAACCTTTTTGATTTAAAATCTATTTTTTCTGATTACAGTATGGCCACGCAGCTTTTTCTTTCTAGTTGTGCTATCCATTATTTTAAATGAGGTATTGAAGTCTCCAACTATTATAGCATTGTCTTTTTTTCCTTCAATTCTGTTAATTTTTGGTTCATATATTTTGGGGCTCTGCTGCTAGGTGTTTATATTTTATATCTTTTTGGTGGGTTGAAACTTTTATCAAATGAGTCTTTGTGTCTTGTAACCTTTTTGATTTAAAATCTATTTTTTCTGATTACAGTATGGCCACGCAGCTTTTTCTTTCTTTTTTGAGACTGAGTCTCGCTCTGTCACCCAGGTTGGAGAGCAGTGGCATGATCTCAGCTCACTGCAACCTCCGCCTCCCGGATTCAAGCAATTCCCCTGCCTCAGCCTCCTGAGTAGCTGGGATTACAAGTGTGTGCCACCATGCCCTGCTAAGTTTTGTATTTTTAGTAGAGATGGGGTTTCTTCATGTTGGCCAGGCTGGTCTTGAACTCCTGACCTCAGGTGATCCGGCCGCCTCAGCCTCCCAAAGTGCTGGGATTACAGGAATGAGCCACCGCGCCCGGCCTACTCAGCTTTTTCTATCAGCTCTCTTTTTCCATTGTTTACCTTTGTATTATCTTTTTCCATCATTTTACTTTGAATGTCTTTGTATCTAAATGTTTTATAGGCAGCATATAGATGGATCATGTTTTTATTTATTTATTTTGAGGTGGAGTCTTGCTCTGTTGCCCAGGCTGGAGTGCAGTGGCACAATCTTGGCTCAATGCAACTTCTGCCTTCTGGGTTCAAGCAATTGTCCTGCCTCAGCCTCCTGAGTAGCTGGGATTACAGGTGCCCACCACTACTCCTGGCTAATTTTTTCTATATTTTTAGCAGAGGTGGGGTTTCACCATGTTGGCAAGGCCGGTCTTGAACTCATGACCTCAAGTGATCTGCCTGCAACGATTTCCCAAAGTGCTGGGATTACAGGCATGACCCACCGTCTGCATCATGTTTTTTTAAAAAAATCGAATCTGGGCTGGGTGCAGTGGCTTACGTTTGTAATACCAGCACTTTGGGAGGCTGGGGCGGGCCGATCATGAGGTCAGGAGTTCGAGAGCAGCCTGGCCAACACATTGAAACCCCGTCTCTACTAAAAAAACAAAAATTAGCTGGGCGCAGTGGCAGGCGCCTGTAATCCCAGCTTCTAAGGAGGCTGAGGCAGAAGAATCGCTTGAACCAGGGAGGTGGAGGTTGCAGTGAGCTACGATTGCACCACTGCACTCCAGCCTGGGTGACAGAACTAGAGTCTGTCCAAAAAAAATAAAAAATCTAATCTGTCAATTTTTGTCTTCTAATAGGAGAGTTTAATCTACCTACACTTAAAGTAATTATTTAACCTTCTTTCATTTAGCTATGTGTTTTCAGTATGTCTTATATATTTTTTGTTTCTCAGTTCTTCCATTACTGCTTTATTTATTTATTTATTTATTTATTTATTTATTTATTTTGAGACAGAGTCTCACTCTGTCACCCAGACTGGAGTGCAATGGCACCATCTCGGCTCACTGCAACCTCCACCTCCCGGGCTCAAGCGATTCTCCTGCCTCAACCTCCCGAGTAGCTGGGATTACAGGCATCTGCCACCACACCTGGCTAATGTTTCGTGGTTTTAGTAGAGACGGGGTTTCACCATGTTGGCCAGGCTGGTCTTGAACTCCTGACTTTGGGATCTGCCTGCCTCAGCCTCCCAAAGTGCTGGGACTACAGGCGCCTGCCACCATGCCCAGCTAATTTTTTTTTTTTTTTTTTTTGTATTTTTAGTAGAGACGGGATTTCACTGCATTAGCCAGGATGGTCTCAATATCCTGACCTTGTGATCTGCCCGCCTCAGACTCCCAAAGTGCTGGGATTACAGGCATGAGCCACCGCGCCCGGCCGAGTTTAGTCTTATAATATTTTTTTTCAGTTATTTTTTCCAGTGGTTACTTTGGAAATTGCAATTAGCATCTTACATTTACATCTTGTATGTGAATAATACCAACGTAGTGTTGATCATACAAACACTGCTGTGTAGTTTCCATCCCTCACCCTTTGTGTTGTTATTGTCACGGATGCATCCTTATACCTTGTTTCCCCACAGACACACATTTAGAATTATTGCTTTACGTAATTTCCTTTTAAATCATAGGAAAGAAAGCAAAGTTACAAACCTGAAGTACAATAATACTGACTTTTATATTCACCAGCATGCTTACCTTTGCCAGAGTTGTGTATTTCTTCCCATGCCTTGGAGTTGCTACCCAGTGGCTTTTCACTTCAGCCTGAAAGCCTGCCTTAGCAATTTTTGTGGGCAGGTCTGCTGGTAATCAACTCCTTCAGCTTTTGCTTACCTGGAAATATTGTAATTTCTCTTTCATCCCCCACTCCAGCTTTATTGAGGTATCACTGACAGATAAACATTTTCCATACAAACACACTTCATTTTATTCTACTTCACATTACTGCACTTTACAGCTTTTTTTTTTTTTTTTTTAACAAATCGAAGGTTTACGGGAATCCTACATCCAAGTCGTCTCTTGGTGCCATTTTCTTTTTAAACAATTTTTGGCAGCCACATTTATTAGATAAAATTATCTGAACATATTTTGACATAGAATACCTAAAATATTATCATTTCAACATGTAGTCAACATAAGAAATTATTAAGGAGCTTCTTTTTAAACATTTTTATAGTGTCTTTGGAATTCAGTATGCATTTTACTTTTTTTGGTCTCACTGCAATTTAATTATTTATTTTTATTTATGTATTTTTTATTTTACCTTAAGTTCTGGGATACATGTGCAGAATGTGCAGGTTTGTTACATAGGTATACATGTGCCATGGTGGTTTGCTGCACCCATCGACCTGTCATCTCGGTTTTAAGCCCCGCGTGCATTAGATATTTGTCCTAATGCTCTCCCTCCACTTGCCCCCCACCCCGACAGGCCCCGGTATGGGATGTTCCCCCCCGTGTCCATGTGTTCTCACTGTTCAACTCCCACTTATGAGTGAGAGCATGCGGTGTTTGGTTTTCTGCTTTTGTGTTAGTCTGCTGAGAATGACGGCTTCCAGCTTCATCCATGTCCCTGCAAAGGACATAAAATCATTCTTTTTTATGGCAGCATAGTATTCCATGGTGTATATGTGCCCATGTTTCTTTTTTGAGACGGAGTCTCGCTCTGTTGCCCAGGCTGGAGTGCAGTGATGCGATCTGGGCTCACTGCAACCTCCACCTCCCGGGTTCAAGTGATTCTCCTGCCTTAGCCTCCTGAGTAGCTGCGATTACAGGCGCCTGCCACCATGGCTGGCTAATTTTTGTATTTTTAGTAGAGATGGGGTTTCACCATGTTGGCCAGGCTGGTCTTGAACTCCTGACCTCGAGTGATCTGGCCTCCCAAAGTGTTGGGATTACAGTCGTGAGCCACTGCGCCCAGCGAGTGCCACATTTTCTTTATCCAGTCTATCACTGATGGGCATTTGGGTTGGTTCCAAGTCTTTGCTATTGTAAACAGTGCTTCTTGGTGCCATATTTTTAACGGCACATACTCACTTTGTGTCACATTTTGGTAATTCTCACAATATTTCAAACTTTTTCAGTATCATCATGTCTGTTGTGGTATCTGTGATCAGTGATGTTACTACTCGAATTGCTTTGGGGTGCCACAAACCACACCCATATAAGACAGTGAACACAGTAAGTGTGTCTGTTCTGACTGCTCTACCCACCAGCTATTTCCCCATCTCTCTTTCCCTGAGACACAGCGATGTGGAAAGTAAGTCAGTTAGTAACCCTACAGTGGCTCTCAGTGTTCAAGTGAAAGGAAGAGTTTCGCCTCTCTCACTTTAAATAAAAAAGGTAGAAATAATTAAGCTTAGTGAGCAAAGCATTTCAAAAGCCAAGCTTGGCCAAAAACTAGACATTTTATTCCAAATGGCCAAGTTGTGAATGCAAAGGGAAAGTTCTTTTCTTTTCTTTCTTTCCCTCCCTCCTTCCCTCCCCCCGCCCTTCCCTCTTTTTCGTTTTTTGACAGGGTCTTAGTCTGTCACCCAGGCTGGATTGCAGTGGCGTGGTCATGACTTACTGTAGCCTCAACCTCTCAGACTCAAGTGATCCTCCCACCTCAGCCTTCCAAGTAGCTGGGACTACAGGCACACACCACCATGCCCAGTTAACTTTTTATTTTTTGTAGAGACAGAATCTTGCTATGTTGCCCATGCTGGTTTCAAACTCCTAGACACAAGCGATCCTTCTGCCTCAGCCTCCTAAAGTGCTAGGATTACAGGCGCATGCCATCTCATCTGGCCCAAAGGAAAACTTCTTGAAGGAAACTAAGGTGCTACTCCAGTAAACACACAAACGATAAGAAAGTGAAACAGCCTTATTGCTGATATGGAGTAAGTTTTAGTGGCCTGGATAAAAGATCAAACCAGCTATAGCATTCCCTTAAGTCAAAGATTAATCCAGTGTGAGGTCCTACGTAACTCTTTAATTCTATGAAGGCTGAGCCAGGTGAGGAAGCTGCAGAAGAAAAGTCTGAAGCCAGCGGAGGTTAGTCAGCAGAGGTTAGTTCATGAAGTTTAATGAAAGAAGTCATCTCTTAACATAAGATGGCAAGGAGAAGCTGCAGTAATTTGTTTAGAAGATCTAGCTAAGATAATTGATGCAGGAGGCTACACTGAACAACATTTTTTTTTTTTTGGGGGGGGACAGAGTCTGGCTGTTACCAGGCTGTAGTACAGTGGCGCGATCTCAGCTCACTGCAACCTCTGACTCCTGGGTTCAAGCAATTCTCATACCTCAGCCTCCCAGGTAGCTGGGATTACAGGCATGCACCACCACATGCAGCTAGTTTTTGTATTTTTAGTAGAGACGGGGTTTCACCATGTTGTCCAGGAAGGTCTCGATCTCCTGACCTCATGATCCGCCTGCCTTGGCCTTCCAAGTGCCGGGATTACAGGCGTGAGCCACTGTGCCCGGCCTGAACAACAGATTTGTAATGTAGATAAAATAGTTTTATATTGGAAGAAAATGCCATCTAGGACTTATGGAGAGAAGTCAATCCCTGGCTCCAAAGCTTCAAAGGACAGGCTGACTCTTATTAGGGGTTAAAGCAACTGGTAACTTTAAGTTGAAGCCAATGTTCATTTGCCATTCCAAAAATCCTAGGGCCCTTAGGAATTATGCGAAATATACTCTGCCTGTGCTGTATAAATGGAACAACAAAGCCTGGATGACAGCACATGTGTTTATAGCATGGATTATGGAATATCTAAAACCCACTGTTAAGACCTACTGCACAGATAAGATTTCTTTCAAAATATTGCTGCTTATTGACAATGCACCTGCTCACCCAAGTGCTCTGGTGGAGATGTACGAGGAAGTTACTGTTGTTTTTGTGCTTACTAACACAACTTCCATTCTGCAGCCCATGGATCAAAGAGTAATTTTGAATTTCAAGTCTTATTATTTAAGAAATACATTTCATGAGACTATAGCTACCATAGATAGTGATTCTTTTGATGGATCTGGGCAAAGTAAGTTGAAAACCTTCTGGAAAGCATTCGCCATTCTAGATGTCATTAAGAACATCTGTGATTCATGGGAGGTGGTAAAAACATCAACAGTAACTGGAGGTTGGAGGAAGTTGATTCCAACGCTCACAGAAGACTTTGAGGGATTAAAGACTTCAGTGAAGGAAGTACCTGCAAGTGTGGTGGGAACAGCAAGAGGACTAGAATTAGAAGTGGAGCCTGAAGATGAGACTGAATTGCTGTAATTTCATGATGAACCTGAATGGATGAGATGTTGCTTCTCATGGATGAGCAAATAAAGTGGTTTTTTGAGATGGACCCTACTCCTGGTGAAGATGCTGTGAACGCTGTTGAGATGATAACAAAGTATTTAGACTATTTCATAAACTTAGTTGATAAATCATGGCAGGGTTTGACAAGATTGACTCCAATTTTACAAGTTCTACTGTGGGCAAAATGCTATTAAACAACATTGTATTGCCATGGAGAAATCTTTCAAGAAAGGCAGAGTCACTCGATGGGGCAAACTTCATTGTTGTCTCATTTTAAGAAATTACCATAGCCACCCCAACCTTCAGCACAACCACCCTGATCAGCCAGCAGCCATCAACATCCAGGCAAGATCCTTTACCAGCAGAAAGATTACAACTCTCTGAGGGCTCAGATACTCCATCCTGTTTTCCAGAATGGAAACTTACATTCCTACCAGCAGTGTGTAAGGGTTTCCTTTTCTCCACATTCTCCCCAACACTTACCTTTCATCTTTTTGACAACTGCCATTCCAACAGGTGTGAGGTGATATCTCATTGTGGTTTTGATTTGCATTTCCCTGATGATTATAATGTTGATCACCTTTTCTTTTCTTTCCTTCCTTCCTTCCTTCCCTCCCTCTCTCCCTCCTTCCTTTCTTTCTTTTTTGAGACAGAGTCTTGCTCAGCTGCTCAGGATGGAGTGCAGTGGTGTGATCTCAGCTCACTGCGACCAGTGTCTCCCGGGTTCGAGTGATTCTCCTGTCTCAGCCCCCTGAGTAGCTGGGATTACAGGCACCCACTATCATGCCCAGCTAATTTTTGTATTTTAGTAGAGACGGGGTTTCACCATGTTGGCCAGTGGCTGGCCAGCCTCAGGTGATCTGCCTGACTTGACTTCCCAAAGTGCTAGGATTACAGGTGTGAGCCACTGTGCCCGGCCTGAGCATCTTTTCATACACCTGTTGGCCATTTGTATGTTAGCATTTTTTATTTTTATTTATTTATTTATTTATTTTTTTGAGACGGAGTCTCACTCTGTCACCCAGGCTGGAGTGCAGTGGCGCAATCTCAGCTCACTGCAAGCTCCACCTCCCGGGTTCATGCCATTCTCCTGCCTCAGCCTCCTGAGTAGCTGGGACTACAGGCACCCGCCACCACGCCCGGCGAATTTTTTTTGTATTTTTAGTGGAGTTGGGGTTTCACCGTGTAAGCCAGGATAGTCTTGATCTCCTGACCTCGTGATCTGCCCGCCTCGGCCTCTGAAAGTGCTGGGATTACAGGCGTGAGCCAATGCGCCTGGCCCAGTATTTTTAGAAATAAAGTATTTTTTAAAAATTAAGCTATATACATTGTGCTTTTAGACAACATGCTCTTTCATACTTACTAGTCTATAGTATAGTGTATATATACACTTTCTTTTTAAAATTTTTTTAGGGACATCATCTCACTCTGTTGCCCAGGCTGGAGTACAACAGAACAATTATAGTTCTCTGCAGCCTCAAATTCTTGGCCTCAAGTGGTCTTGGCCTCAAGCCTCCACCTTGGCCTCCCTAAATGCTGGGATTATAGGTACATGCCACCATGTCCCACCATGTATACATAACTTTTATATGCATTAGGAAACCAAACAATTTTTGTGACTCTCTTTATTGCAATTCTAGCTTGATTGTAGTGGTAGAATAGAACCTGTAATATCTCCAAGGTATGCCTGTATTTAAGGCACCATTGATTACCACAATCAAGCTAATTATGATATCCATCACCTCACACACTTACCTTTATTTTTGGTGTGTGTGTGTGGTGAGAATACTTAAGATGTACTCTCTTAACAAATCTCAAATATACGAAATATATATATATATATGTATATATATATATATATGTATATACTATATATACATACAGGCACCCACCACCACGCCCGGCTAATTTTTTGTATTTTTTCTAGTAGAGATGGGGTTTCACCGCATTAGCCAGGATGGTCTCGATCTCCTGACCTCGTGATCTGCCCCGCCTCGGCCTCCCAAAGTGCTGGGATTACAGGCGTGAGCCACCGCACCCGGCCCCCCTTTTTTTTTTTTGAGAGGATGTCTCGCTCTGTTGCCCAGGCTGGAGTGCAGCAGTGCAATCTTGGCTCACTGCAAGCTCTGCCCCCAGGTTCACGCTATTCTCCTGCCTCAGCCTCCCGAGTAGCTGGGACTACAGACACCTGCCACCACGCCCAGCTATTTTTTTTTTTTTTTTGTATTTTTAGTAGAGACGGGGTTTTACTGTGTTAGCCAGGATGGTCTCGATCTCCTGACCTTGTGATCCGCCCACCTCAGCCTCCCAAAGTGGTGGGATGTATACGATATATTTTTATTAACTATAGTCATTTGCTCTACCTTAGATCTCTAGAACTTATAGCTGAAAGTTTCTACCCTTAGACTAACAACTTCCCACTTCCCCCACTCCCTGCCCTCTGGTAACCACCCTTCCACTCTGTTTCTATGAATTCTACTTTTTCAGATTCCACAGAGAAGTGAGATCACATGATATTTGTCTTTCTGTGTCTGATTTATTTCACTTAGCAAATGTCCTCCAGGTTCATCCACATTGTCATAAATGGCAGGATTTCCTTCTTTTGAAAGTTGAATAGTATTCCATTGCATATATATACCACATTTTATTCATCCATCTGTAGACAGTTTGCTTCCATATATGTATTTTTTTTTTTGAGACAGAGTTTCGCTTTTGTTGCCTAGGCTGGAGTGCAATGATGCCATCTCGGCTCACTGCAACCTCCGCCTCCCAGGTTCAAGCTATTCTCCTGCCTCAGCCTCCCAAGTAGCTGGGATTACAGGCATGCGCCACCACACCAGGCTAATTTTGTATTTTTAGTAGAGATGGCATTTTCTCCATGTTGGTCAGGCTGGTCTCGAACTCCCGATCTCAGGTGATCTGCCCGCCTCGGCCTCCCAAAGGGCTGGGATTACAGGCGTGAGCCACTGCGCCTGGCACTCATGAATATTCTTAATGGAATCTAGAATGGTGACTCCTTTCCACAAGGCTTTCTTTCCATTTACTTTGCACAGGTCCATCAGAAGAATCACTATCTATGGCAACTTTAGCCTTATAAAATGTATTTCTTAACTAATAAGACTTGAAAGTCAAAATCACTCCTTGAACCGCGGGCTTCAGAACGGATATTGTATTGGCAGGCATGAAAACAATATTCCTCTGCTTGTACACCTCCATTAGAGCTCTTGAGGAACTAGGTGCGTTGTCAAAAAGAAATAATAATTTTGAAAGAATTCTTTTTTTTTCTGAGCAGTGTGTCTCCACAGTGGGCTTAAAATATTCAGCAAAACACACTGTAAACAGATGTCTTCCAGGCTTTGTTGTTAAATTGACAGAGCACAGGCAGAGTAGACTGAACGTAATTCTTAAGGGCTCTAGCATTTCTGGGATGATAAACAAACAACAGCTTTAATTTAAAGTCACCAGCTGTGTTAGCCCCTAAGAAGAGAGTCAGTTGTCCTTTGAAGCTTTGAAGCCAGGCAGTGACTTCTCTCTAGGAGGAACGTCCTAAATGGCATCTTCTTCCACCAAAAAGCTGTTTCTTCTACATTGAACGTCTGTTGCTTAGTGGAGCCATCTTTATCAATGATCTTAGCTAGATCTTCTGGATAACTTGTTGCAACTTCTACATCAGCACTTGCTGCTTCACCTTGCACTTTTTTGTTTGTTTGTTTGTTTGTTTTGAGACGAAGTCTCACTCTGTCGCCCAAGCTGGAGTGCAGTGGTGTGATCTCAAATCACTGCACCTCCGCCACCCAGATTCCGGTGATTCTCCTGCCTCAGCCTCCCGAGTAGCTAGGATTACAGGCATGCCACTACGCCCAGTTTACTTACTTAATTAATTAATTATTATTATTTTTTGAGACAGAGTCTTGCTCTGTTGCCCAGGCTGGAGTGCAATGGTACAATCTCAGCTCACTGCAACCTCTGCTTCCCAAGTTCAAGCGATTCAACTGTCTTGGCCTCCTGAGTAGCTGGGATTATATGCACGTGCCACTGTGCCCAGCTAATTTTTGTATTTTTAGTAGAGACAGGGTTTCACCATGGTGCCCAGGCTGGTCTTGAACTCCTGACCTCAGCCTCCCAAAGTGATCCACCTGCCTCAGCCTCCCAAAGTGCTGGGATTACAGGCGTGAGCCACCGTGCCTGGCCCAATTTTTGTATTTTTAGTAGGGATGGGGTTTCACCATGTTGGCCAGGCTGGTCTTGAGCTCTCAACTTTGTGATCCACCCGCCTCGGCCTCCTAAAGTGCTGGGATTACAGGCGTGAGCCACTGCGCCCGGCCAACCTTGCATTTTCATATTATAGAGATGACTTCTTTCCTTAAACCCCATGAACTAACTAACCTCTGTTAGCTTCAAACTTTTCTTCAGCAGCAGTTTCCTCACCTCCCTCAGCTTTCACAGAACTGAAGCAAGCTAGGGGCTTGCCCTGGATTAGGCTTTGCCTTAAGGGGATGTTGTGGGTGATTTGATGTTCTAACCAGCACTAAAACTTTTTCCATATCAGCAACAAGGCTGTTTTGCATTCTTATCATTTGTGTATTCACTGGAGAAGCACTTTTAATTTCCTTCAAGAACTTTTCCTTTGCTTTCACAACTTGGCTAATGGGCACAAGAGGCCTAGCTTTCAGCTTAGGTCGGCTTTCGGTACGCTTTCTGCACTAAAGGTAGTCGCTTCTGCCTTTTGATTGAAAGTGAGATTCATGCAGTTCTTCTTTCCACTTGAACATGTACAGGGCACTGCACGGTTATTAATTAGCCTAATTTCAATACTGTTGTGTATCAGGTAATAGAGAGGCCTGAGAAGAAGGAGAGAGCTGGGAATGGATGGTGGACAGAGCAGTCAGAACACATGTAACTGGCAGGGTGCGGTGGCTCATGCCTATAATCCAGCACTTTGGGAGGCCGAGGTGGGAGGATTGCTTGAGTCCAGGAGTTGGAGACTAGCTTGGACAATATAATGAGACCTCATCTCTACAAAAAATTTACAAATTAGCTGAGTGTGGTGGCACATGCCTGCTGTAGTTATTTGGGAGGCTGAGGTGGGAGGATCGCTTGAGCCCAGAAGGTGAAGTTTGCAGTGAGCTGAGATCATGCCACCGCACTCCAGCCCGGGTGAAAGAGAAAGACTCTGTCTCAAAACAAAACAAAACGACACATACACAACATTGATTAAGTTCACCCTCTCATATCAATGAGTTTGTAAACAATTACAATAGCAACATTAAAGATCACTGATCACCATAACAAACATGATAATGAAAACATCTGAAATATTGTGAGAATCAGCGAAACGTAACACAGATACAGAAAGTGAGCATATGCTGTTAGAAACACGGCACCGCAAGACTTGCTTGACACAGGGTTGCCGCAAACATTCAATAGGTAAAAAACAGTATCTGCAAAGTGCAATAAAGCAAAAACACTATAAAACTTAGTGGGCCCGTACATGAGACTTCTCTGCATTATTTCTTTTTTTTCTTTGTGGAGATGGGGTCTCTCTGTCATCCAGGCTGGAATGCAGTGGCACCATCACAGCTCACTGCATCTTTCAACTCCTGGGCTTCAAGGGATCCTCCTGCCTCAGCCTCCCAAGTAACTGGAATCACAGCATGGGCCACCACACTGCGCCCAGCCTGTCTTTTCATTCTTAACAGTGTCTCTGGCACAGCAGACATGTTTCACTTTAATGAAGTCCATCTTGTCCATTTTTTCTTTTGTAGATGGTGTTTTTGTGTTGCATCTAGAAACTCATTGCCAAACCCAAGGTCACCTAGATTTTCTCCTGTGTTATTAAACTTACAGAAGTTTGCTAGTTTTGTGTTACATTTAGGTCTATGATCTGTATTGTGTTAATTGTTGGGAAAGGTGTAAGGTCAGTGGCTATATTCATTATTCCACATGTGGATGTCTAGTTGTTTCCAGCACCATTTGTTGTAAAGACAATCTTTTCTCCATTAAGTTGCATTTGCTCCTCTGTCAAAGATGAGCGGACTCTATTTGTATGGGTCTATTTCTGGGGTGCTTATTCTGTTCCACTGATCTATTTACCTATTCTTTTTCCAATACTTCACTGTCTTAATACATACAGAAGACAACATATACAAAGTAGGAAGTCAACTACAAATGAGAACAAAGTTCTTGTATTTTTCCCCCAAAGTATTTTAACCAAACATTTTGCAAAAAATCAAAATGCAGAAATGTAAGAATGTCAACAAATTTGCTCAACTATAACAGAAAAAGAAAGCTTACAAGAGAATGTAGAGCTCAGAGTTTCTATTTACTGTTCGTTAGATAAATGGTTTAAATGAACTGAAAATCCTGAAAAACTGCTCAAATTATAAAGAATCTATGAAATACTACGGAAGCATTTTCTAACCTGTTTCTGAAACCTCTGAAAAAAACTCATCATGTATCAATACAAGCTAACTTGCTTTACAGAAATAAAAGGAAAACTATATATTTCATTACCTGTGTACATGTGTCTTTCACATACTTGTAACTCAGAAAACCATGCTTTCACAAATATAATAATAGAAATACGATAATATTAGCAATCATAACATTCGTGAAACTATAAAGAACAAACTGGCCAGATGCTCTCTCTTACACCCTAGAACCCAGGTTCTGGTCAGGGCTTCTCTTGGTTGTATGAACTCACCTCATGGAACTGTCGTAAGACTCAAAAGAGATAGTGTAAACAAAAGCATCTTGAAAACTGTATTAGCCTGTAGATATGTGGTTCATGTACATCCAGGCACTTTAACGGCTGACAGCTGCCCTGGCAGAACCGCTTCTCTCGATTTTTTTTTTTTTTTTTTTACAGGGAAACTAAAGAATTCTTTTATTCTGTTAAACAGAATAAAAAGGAAAAAAGAATACAGACATCACAGTGATGAACTTTCACAAAGCTAATAGATTTGAACTACAGAGCAATGGAATATTTATAAGCAAGTTGTCATGGTATTAATGACCAAATGGCATCCAACTAGGTTTTCTAAGCTCAAAAACATTTAAAATCTCAGACTTAAAATTTAAATCTAGACACGACAATTGTAAGCACACCACTCAGTCATTTAAAACTATTCAGTGAGTGCTACTCCTGCGTAAATATTTTTTTCTTCTCATTTTTTTTCTCCCAAGATTTAGAATGTCACATCTCATGTTCCTACTAGTAATCGCACACAGGATTAAAAGCCCAACCAACCAAGAAAGTATTCTTTTTATAATGTGTTCTTAAAAGAAGAAAGAAAAATTAAATGTGAACATTTTGTACAACAGTTGCTGAAGAAGAGCAACACCAATTCTGAAATATCATGTGGACTATACAAAAAGGCATGGCTCATGGAACCAAGTATATAACGCTACAGCATTTGAACATCAGTCTCTAAAAGTTGGTGATATTACATCCTGTACACAGCTCTGTGTCTCTCTACCCGGCTAGCGCATGCCCAGGATCTGGCTGCTTTTTAGTTGATAATTTTTCTCAATATCTGACAGGGCTTGAGCCCGCAGCTGGGCAGCATGAAGCATGAAGCAAGGACCTTCAGGTCCTTGCACTTGGACTTAGATGTGAGCTGACTCTCAGAATTCTCACTCCTCATGACATTCTCTTTACTTTCCCCACTGAAATGACCTTTCTTCTTAATTACTGAGGATGGAAGACTAAGAAGTTCTGGACTACTTGCCAGAGACAGGAACTTCTTTAGCAAGCTGTAATTCTTCAACAGATTTTCTGCTCTAGCCAGTCTGTCCTCTGCTAGTCTCTCACGGACACAAAACTCCTGTTCTTTCTGCTCCAATCTTTCTTCTCTTGCTTTGAGAGCTCGCTCTCGCTCCTCTAACTGAATTTCCTTTAGTTTCAGCTCACTCAATACAGGGCTGGAATCCTGCAATTTTTCTGGCTCTCCTAATTGTCGCCCTCTTCTCTCAAGATTTCTTCTTCGTTCTTCTGCAACCAAATCTGCTATTAAAGGGTTCTCGAGAATTTCTTCAACAGAAGGTCGATGGTAATCCTTTAACATCCTCATAATAATTTCATTCAATTCGTCAGAGTCACGGTATAGAATTTGCCTGAATTTGCCTTCTCTGATTTTCCCAGCAAGTTCTTTCTGGCTAAAAGCTGTAAATGGAGGCATTAATGCACCTAACTCATACAGCAAACGGCCCAATGACCAGATATCTGGTTTCTCATTGTAGGACATGTGATTCGTTTGTTCAGGAGACATGTAATAAGGTGTGCCAACAAATGTTTTTGCAAAACTCGTGTCGTGGTTTAATATTCTGGCTAGCCCCAAATCTCCAAGCTTGACGTTTTGCTTGCCATCCAGGAAAACACTGGCTGGTTTCAGATCCCGACGCACTACAGTATGATCACCATCACTTCGTCTGTGGCATTACTTCAGGGCCAGAGTCAACTGAGTCGTCACTCGAAGAACAAACTCTTCATCTAAGTATTGCCTTTCCTTGGTTCCCTTTGTAATTACACTAGCCAGGTCTCCTTCTTCACAATATTCCATTACAATGTACAGTGTTGTGTTGGTCCGGTCAATAATACGATCATAGTAATGAACGATGTTTGGATTTTTCAGTTCACAAAGCAAATTCACTTCAGAAACAAGCATCTGTTTCTCAGCTTCTGTCATGGAGCCATAATGAAGTTCTTTCCAAACTAGTATCTTGCCGTCACTCTTCCTCTGGATCTTCTGGCAGCGGCCACAGGAGCCTGTGCCAATGGTGTACAACACTTCATAGTTCTCAGCCCGGGACGGCATGGCCAGCCAGTCGCCAGAGTCGCGCTGCCTCATGCAAGTTGTGCCCCCAAGTGCAGAGCTCCAGGGACCGGGAGCTCCAGGGACCTGGACGGAGAAGCCCCCGAGCAGCACTGACCTGCCACCCCTGCCTTCGGCCCTGTTTCTCTCTCGATTCTTAACTTATATTTCCAAGTCCAGTTCAAAAGTTGTATTCTTGGAAGCCTCCGCATCCCACCTGTCCATCCAGGCAGAACTAATCCATCTACACTCTAGCATTATGCTCTCATAACTCTTGGCTCTTCACCAATTCATTCAAGGGTGTAATGAGCATTTAAAATATGTCAGGCATCAGGCTATGCACTGGAGAAAAAAATCCTAAATGTGTAAAACTTCCAAAGTTTTCTCACACACATTATCTCATTTCATACTTTAAAAAAATATCCCATAGGATGATAATTTTTTGTTAACAATTTCTCCAACCAGAATGAATTCCCAGGGGGTAGAAACTAAGTGTGATTCATCCTTGACTCCCCAGAGTCTAGTGCAGTGCCTAGCACACCGAAGACACTCATTAAATGCTTGATAAAGGAGTAACAGACACTTGTTTAATTACTAAAATATCAATCAGGGTTAACACTGAAATAATCTTTCCACAAAGTTTCCATAGGGGAAAGGGGAAAATACATTATATGAACACATCTGTGGAGCGAAAATTCCTCCCTATGACAGAGCATCTCCAACTCAAGTTTAACTGTTTAACAAAGCCATGTAGCAACTGAAGATGGATTTGATTTCACTATTAGAGTAATAAGCTCTAACTGAAAAACAGTGAGTTCTGCACAAAAGCTCCTATGCAGATCATTCTGCTTGGCAAAACTGGACGTTATTGCACAAACATTAAAATAAACATTTAAACTTGGCCGGGCGTAGGTGGCTCACGCCTATAATCACAGCACTTTGGGAAGCTGAGGCGGGTGGATCACAAGGTCAGGAGATCTAGACCATCCTGGCAAACACGGTGAAACCCTGTCTCTACTAAAAATACAAAGAATTAGTTGGAAGTGGTGGCACGTGCCTGTAGTCCCAGCTACTTGGGAGGCTGAGGCAGGAGAATCGCTTGAACCCGGGAGGCAGAGGTTGCAGTGAGCCGAGATCGTGCCACTGCACTCCAGCCTGGTGACAGAACGAGACTCTGTCTCAAAAAAAAAAAAAAAAAAATTAAAAATAGTTAAATTGACAGACTATATAAACGGGTTTACCATCCTTTTCTCCTTTAGTATTTACTTTTCTTAATCTCACGTCAAGTTCTGCTTTACATAAAAAAGCCTCACAGTTTACAAAGCTCTTTCCCATATATGGTCTTAGAAATCCTGTAGATACCATCAAAAGCATCTTGGAGAGGTAGTGCAGTACTGGAGAAGCAACACAATGAGAAGACCTGGGCTTGAATCCTAGCTTTTACTAGCTGTATGACCTTAGGGATATGTAGCTAAAACTGCAGAAGAAATAAAAATGAATATGTGTCTAAAATTATAGAAGAAATAAAAAATGAAAATATTTTTAATGTTTTTAAAATGCCTACAACTTTGGATCACACAAATGACCAAGCTGATAAACCTTAAAAATTCAAAATATCGGCTGGGTGTGGTGGCTCTTGCCTGTAATCCCAGGACTTTGGGATTCACCTGGCTAACGTGGTGAAACCCCATTTCTACTAAAAATACAAAAAATTAGCCAGGCGTGGTGGCACATGCCTGTAATCTCAGTTACTTGGGAGGCTGAGACAGGAGAATCTATTGAACCTGGCAGGTGGAGGTTGCAGTGACCTGAGATCGCGCCACTGCACTCTGGCTTGGGCAACAACATTTTTTCTGGCAGCCGTAATCCCATGCCTCAGCTTCTTGAGTGGCTGAGATTATAGATGTGCGCCCCCACGCCCTACTATTTTGTATTTTTAGTAGAGATGGGGTTTTGCCATGTTCCAGGCTGGTCTCGAACTCCTGATCTCAAGTGATCCACCCGCTTTGGCCTCCCAAAGTGCTGGGAGCCACCATGCCTGGCTGATCCCACTTTCTGACTTTGGCCACTGCACTGAGGGGGATATTCTGGCAGTGTCGTTATCACTGGGGAAACGAAGGCCAGGGAGCATTGCCTTATGGGCTGTGACTGTTTCTTCAGCTGCTTTCACATAAGCTTTGACAGCCTGCCCCCTGAGCAGGAAGGACAGGGATGGCTGTCACCGGCAGGCCCAGGCCCAGCCCCTCAGCCAGGTAGGGTGGCCGGAGGATGCCAGGCAGCACTGGCTCCCCAGCCTGGGGCTCACCGCTCTCGTCCAGGTCCTCCAGGCGCACTGTCTGGTGGGGCACGGGGCCATCCACAACTCGCTCCAGGATGCCTTGGACCAGGGCTGGCTGGTTGCCTGGGCAAACCCTGAGGTGCTCCCCACCGCAGGTAGTTCAGGCCTTGGCTGTCCTCACAGGAGAGTTCCACCAGGATGGTGATGCGGCTTGGGAAGGAAAAAGAAGCCTCAGGTGGGCTGGGCACTGTGGCTCACACCTATAATCCGAGCACTTTGGGAGGCTGAGGTGAGCGGATCACCTGAGGTCAGGAGTTCAAGACCATTCTGGCCAACATGGTGAAACCCCGTCTCTGCTAAAAATTACAAAAAATTAGCTGGGTGTGGTGGTGGCTGTAATCCCAGCTACTTGGCAGGCTGAGGCACATACTGGTCATAGGGACACCAGAAATCAACTGGCTGGCCAGCACCTAACATTAAAGGTCCTGCCAAGCAGAGATATTTTTTAGCTGAATCATATTTTCTTTCTGGAATTTTAGACATGCAAGTACTGAGATAACGAAGGGGTTACTATCTGGGGCAAAAGCTGAAAGGATACAGAAAGATGAAAATCATGAGGAAGAGCTGAACACAAAACCAAGAGACAGTCAAAGAGCGTAGCCAGTTCCAGAACCCACAGCCATCTAGTTCTGGGTAGGCTCTGCTCTAATTCACGCTTTTCCTAAGATCCTTGAGAAAATACAAATGACTGCTTTGCAATAAAAGCCTAACTAAAACAACTTAAATTGATTGCCCAGGCTCTCACAGGTAAAACCAAGATTTGGTGACTAACAATGAGGAAGATAAAAGAAATAAGAGGAGGGGGGAGGAGGGAGGGATAGCATTAGGAGATATACCTAATGCTAAATGATGAGTTAATGGGTGCAGCACAGCAACATGACACATGTATGCATATGTAACAAATCTGCACGTTGTGCACATGTACCCTAAAACTTAAAGTATACTAATAATAAAATTAAAGAAAAAAAGAGACTCCCACACCACTTGTGCACCCCAATCAGAAGCCTGATACCCATCCCCACATGGACAGCTGCACAGGCCCTTGGGCTCCACATGCTTGTGAACACACATGTACTCTCAAGTAAGGACACGGGTTCTTGGGCATCAAGTGGTATGTGGACAGGCTCCTTTGCCCATGACTGGGTATTTCTGGCAGTTTCCTGTTGTTATTCTCTTTGATCTTGTAATGGCTTTTGGGACCCCCACTTCTCCAGTCCCAGGGCTCAGAAGCCCACCAGGCTTTCCGATGCTCTCACTAAGTGTTGGCTTCTTGAGCAAGAAGGGCTAGGTCAGGGGGTGGGGTCTGGTTTTACTCATCTCTGAGTCTAGCCTCTAACCCACTGCTTGACGCAGAAAAGGTACCTGGTGAAAATCTATTAAAATCAATGACTGATTTCGCCCAATTTGGAGTGAGACATGCCTGTACAGTCTCAATGTCTGGAGAGCTTTACAAACCCCAGGGGACACCAGGAAAAAAAAAAAAGAAGAGGAAACAATTTAAAATGATTAGGGTTTCTAGATGGGGAACTAGAAGAGATGATGATGCTACTGAGGAAGAGAAATATGGTGTGAAGAGGAGGTTGATTTGAAGAGATACTGAATTAAGTTTTGGACATTTCAAGTCTGAAACGTCTGCGTACTATCTATGAGGAGATTGGAAAATCCGCAATTCAAAAAGCATCACTTAATACATGGTAGTCTAAGCCGCAGAAACACAGGAGTATCAAAAGACAAGTCAAACCCAAGTGCTCTTTGACAAAGCTGATGGCATATAGACAGACAAGACCTTCATAATGGAGTAAATGGACGCTCTGCCCTGATGTACTGTGTACTCATCTGTCCTGGAGCTAGGCTTCCCACCAGGCGAAAATGAAGGCCAGGAAGAACTCCAGTAGGTCTAAGTAAGAAACTAAAAGGATTGAAAATCTGAAACTGACAGTGCCATATCCCCCAGAAAGAGAACGAAAGAAAAAAAGAAAATCTCAGATTTACTCCTTACACAACTTTATAGGTCACAAAACATTTTATAGGAGAGGTAGACAGTTTTCATAAGCACACACCCCAGCTTTAACATATGAAGCAACAGATTTGGAAAAATAAACTTATCTAAGATTATGCAGCTAAAGCCAGGTGTCGTGGCTCACACCTGTAATCCCAGCACTTTGAGAAGCTGAGGCAGGCAGATCACCTGAGGTCAGGAGTTCGAGACCAGCCTGGCCAACATGGTGAAACCCTGTCTCTACTAATAATGTAAAATTAGCTGGATGTGGTGGTGCATGCCTGTAATCCCAGCTACTCAGGAGGCTGAGGCAGGAGAATCACCTGAATCCAGGAGGTGGAGGTTGCAGTGAGCCAAGATCGTGCCACTGCACTCCAGCCTGGGCGACAAGAGTGAAACTCCATCTCAAAAAAAAAAAAAAGAAAAGAAAAAAAAGAATATGCAGCTAATAAGCAGCAGAGCTGAGAATCCTTAGCACTCTCAAGCCACAAGACTCAACAGGTTTCATGGAAACCAAACTGATTGCATCTCACTGAAGTATCTACAGCAGGTCCAATCTGCTTTCCTTTAGCTTTTTCTAGATCACCACAGAGAAGGAATACAAATATAACAGTTTCTGATCCTGAAAAAAAACCAACCCAACTTTGTTTTCCAGAAATCTTTGCTATTTGTAAACTAGTCAGATTTTAGACTGGGCATGGTGGCTCATGCCTGTAATCCCAGCACTTTGGGAGGCCGAGGCAGGTGGATCACGAGGTCAGGAGATAGAGACCAACCTGGCAAACACAGTGAAACCCTGTCTCTATTAAAAATACAAAAAATTAGCTGGGTATGGTAGTGTGCACCTGTAGTCCCAGCTGCTAGGGAGGCTGAGGCAGGAGAATGGCGTGAACCCGGGAGGCGGAGCTTGTAGTTAGCCAAGATTGAGCCACTGCACTCCAGCCTGGACGATAGAGCGAGACTCTGTCTCAAAAAAAAAAAAAAATTTAAAGAGGAGGGGACACACATCTTCTACCTTCCTCACCAATGTTTGCTTTTTACTTACACAAAAAAGGGAAAGTAAAAACATCCTGGTTGTATTAAAGGTTGGGGTTAGAATGCAAATATGGTTCATCTCAAGTACAAAAGAAAATTAAAAAATACAAACTACCATCAGAGAATACTATAAACACCTTTATGCAGATAAACTAGAAAATCTAGAAGAAATGGATAAATTCCTCGACACATACACCCTCCGAAGACTAAACCAGGAAGAATTTGAATCTCTGAATAGACAAATAACAGGCTCCGAAATTGAGGCAATAATCAATAGCTTACCAACCAAAAAAAGCCCAGGACCAGATGGATTCACAGCCGAATTCTACCAGAGGTACAAGGAGGAGCTGGTACCATTCCTTCTGAAACTATTCCAAAAAGAGGGAATCCTCCCTAACTCATTTTATGAGGCCAGCATCATCCTGATACCAAAGCCTGGCAGAGACACAACAAAAAAAGAGAATTTTAGACCAATATCCCTGATGAACATTGATGCAAAAATCCTCAATAAAATACTGGCAAACTGAATCCAGCAGCACATCAAAAAGCTTATCCACCATGATCAAGTGGGCTTCATCCCTGGGATGCAAGGCTGGTTCAACATATGCAAATCAATAAACGTAATCCAGCATATAAACAGAACCAAAGACAAAAACCACATGATTATCTCAACAGATGCAGAAAAGGCCTTTGACAAAATTCAACAACACTTCATGCTAAAAACTCTCAATAAATTAGGTATTGATGGGACGTATCTCAAAATACTAAGAGCTATCTATGACAAACCCACAGCCAATATCATACTGAATGGGCAAAAACTGGTAGCATTCTCTTTGAAAACTGGCACGAGACAGGGATGCCCTCTCTCACCACTCCTATTCAACATAGTGTTGGAAGTTCTGGCCAGGGCAATCAGGCAGGAGAAGGAAATAAAGGGTATTCAATTAGGAAAAGAGGAAGTCAAGTTGTCCCTGTTTACAGATGACATGATTGTATATCTAGAAAACCCCATCATCTCAGCCCAAAATCTCCTTAAGATGATAAGCAACTTCAGCAAAGTCTCAGGATATAAAATCAATGTGCAAAAATCACAAGCATTCTTATACACCAATAACAGACAAACAGAGAGCCAAATCATGAGTGAACTCCCATTCACAACTGCTTCAAAGAGAATAAAATACCTAGGAATCCAACTTAGAAGGGACGTGAAGGACCTCTTCAAGGAGAACTACAAACCACTGCTCAATGAAATAAAAGAGGATACAAACAAATGGAAGAACATTCCATACTCATGGGTAGGAAGAATCAATATCGTGAAAATGGCCATACTGCCCAAGGTAATTTATAGATTCAGTGCCATCCCCATCAAGCTACCAGTGACTTTCTTCACAGAATTGGAAAAAACTACTTTAAAGTTCATATGGAACCAAAAAAGAGCCCGCATTGCCAAGTCAATCCTGAGCCAAAAGAACAAAGCTGGAGGCATCACACTACCTGACTTCAAACTATACTACAAGGCAACAGTAACCAAAACAGCATGGTACTGGTACCAAAACAGAAATATAGACCAATGGAACAGAACAGAGCCCTCAGAAATAATGCCACATATCTACAACTATCTGATCTTTGACAAACCTGACAAAATCAAGCAATGGGGAAAGGATTCCCTATTTAATAAATGGTGCTGGGAAAACTGGCTAGCCATATGTAGAAAGCTGAAACTGGATCCCTTCCTTACACCTAATACAAAAATTAATTCAAGATGGATTAAATACTTAAATGTTAGACTTATAACTGTAAAAACCCCAGAAGAAAACCTAGGCAATACCATTCAGGACATAGGCATGGGCAAGGACTTCATGTCTAAAACACCAAAAGCAACGGCAACAAAAGCCAAAATTGACAAATGGGATCTAATTAAACTAAAGAGCTTCTGCTCAGCAAAAGAAACTACTATCAGAGTGAACAGGCAACCTACAGAATGGAAGAAAATTTTTGCAATCTACTCATCTGACAAAGGGCTAATATCCAGAATCTACAATGAACTCAAACAAATTTCCAAGAAAAAAAACAAACAACCCCATCGACAAGTGGGCGAAGGACATGAACAGACACTTCTCAAAAGAAGACATTTATGCAGCCAGAAGACACATGAAAAAATGCTCATCCTCACTGGCCATCAGAGAAATGCAAATCACAACCACAATGAGGTAGCATCTCACACCAGTTAGAATGGTGAGCATTAAAAAGTCAGGAAAGAACAGGTGCTGGAGAGGATGTGGAGAAATAGGAACACTTTTACACTGTTAGTGGGACTGTAAACTAGTTCAACCATTGTGGAAGTCAATGTGGCGATTCCTCAGGGATCTAGAACTAGAAATACCATTTGACCCAGCCATCCCATTACTGGGTATGTACCCAAAGGATTATAAAACATGTTGCTATAAAGACACATGCACACGTATATTTATTGCGGCACTATTCACAATAGCAGAGACTTGGAACCAACCCAAATGTCCAACAATGATAGACTGGATTAAGAAAATGTGGCACATAGACACCATGGAATACTATGCAGCCATAAAAATGATGAGTTCATGTCCTTTGTAAGGACATGGATGAATCTGGAAACCATCATTCTCAGCAAACTATCACAAGAACAAAAAATCCAAACACTGCATGTTCTCACTCATAGGTGGGAATTGAACAATGAGAACACATGGACACAGGAAGGGGAACATCACACACCGGGGCCTGTTGTGGGGTGGAGGCAGGGGGTAGGGATAGCATTAGGAGATACACCTAATGTTAAATGACGAGTTAATGGATGCAGCACACCAACATGGCACATGTATACATATGTAACAAACCTGCACGTTGTGCACATGTACCCTAAAACTTAAAGTATAATAATAAAAAAAATTAGAATGCTAAAATCCCAAAAAAAAAAAAGAAAATTAAAATTATCTTAGGCAATTTAGAAATAGCAACTGAGATGAGAGCTGGAGAGAGGCCTTTCATGGGAAGGTGAGAAGGGGTTACTTAGAATTGCTAAAGGGCGGGGGAAGGGGAGGTTCAACACAATTTTCTTATTTTCTTGATTCCCTAATGCTCCAGTCCTTTGGACTTCTTGGTCTTAAGGCTATCTGAAGGACCTAATTAGACAAGTTTCCCATCTTCCACTGATTCTTCACCGCCTCTCCACTATTTCTCAACCTCAGTTTGTTTCCTACACACTGCCACCTGTGGCCAGCAAATTGACTAACAATGTATGTCTACTAACTTAATGGTCATGGATGTTAAACACTGTTAAATCCAGGAAACTGGTAAAGATTAAGTCTATAGCTAATGAGTGGCAGAACTAAGTCTAAACATGATCCTTGAGATTCCAAAATCAGTGGTCTCTATACGTATCATGTTGTCTCTAAGGCTCAATGACCATGAATGTATGTTATGGTAAATGGGACCAAATAATGTCACAGAAGAGTTTTCAAAAGGAAGGTAAAATGAGGCAAGAAAAAAAGACAATGATAGGGAAGGCAATGCAAGCATCATATCTATTATTAAGGAAGAGCTCACAACATTTCCAGAAAGGCTTTCTAGGAACCAGCCTCGACTGAGGGCAGCACGAACAAGCACCATTTTCCAGGCCACCCCTTGCACCATCTTCATGATTTCCCACCACCCCTTTGAATTATTTTCTAAATCACCCTGATGCTGTCTTACACAGCATATTTTTAAAAGTTCTCAGAAACAGGCTCTTACAGTTTTATTTCTTCTTTTAAAAAAAGTTCCCGCTTATCATGTTGTACTATTTAATCAGAATATACTTGAAAACAAAAGATGCTTTGTGGTTTTTTGACTCTTGGTAATTAATCCATTGTAGGCAGTATTTAAAAAAATGATGTAGGACAGGGAAACCCCTATGAAATGGGTAGTCTGAAAAGCAGTTACTAGATACTGACCATCATTTTAGGAAAGGCAGGCTATTTAAACCCACTGTATGCTCCCAGGTAAACTTGTCTTCAATTCTTGTTAAGTCAAATATGAAAAACCAAACTTGCCGTCTCTATAATTGCTATCATTGAAAAAATTCTGTTGAGAGGAGACACCAAACATAGTATTTCTTACCCCGTGCAGCATAATAAAAAATAGGATTCCCAGCTTTGGAAGCCCCAGCTTGGTAGAAAATACTTAACGTTTTCAAAGCCTTGATGTCTTCTTTTTCATGTACCTGATGCCTAAAAGAAAAAGAACAGAGTACCTCTGAGGCTTTATGTTGTCTACTGAGTATGTAAAATAGTCTATAATTGGATAAACAATAAAATACTAAAATAAAAAATATTTTAAAAGCAACAGGCATTCTAAAGGGTAATCTGACAACATGCACCAAAAATTTCAAGGTATTGCTCTTTGAGCCACAAAAGCACTTCTATGACTATTCTAAGAGAACTATTGGATGAGGATATTAACCATAGGATTGTTTTTACTCATGACATTTTTGTCCCAGACAGAAGTTTATGATTTTTGAATGAATTCATTTTATCAATCTTTTCCTTTCTAGCTTATGGATTTTGAATGGATGAAAAAGGCCTTGCTTTGCCATGCTGTTTTGATTGATGGGAGTTTATCCTCACAAATGGTATGAAGATATTTTTCCAGATCATTACTCAGTTTTATCAACACCATTTATTGAAAGTCCAACCTAATCTCCTTGATTTCAAATACTCAACATGTACAGATTTTTCTTTGTTGTTATTCCTTAAACAATATGGTATAACAACTATTTATATAACATTTATATTGTATTAGATATTATAAGTAATCTAAAAATATTTAAAATATATGGGAGGATGTGCATAGTTTATATGCAAATACTATGACATTTTGTATCAGGGACTTGAGTCTGTGGATTTTAGTGTTCATGGGAGTGAGATGTGGGCAGGAGTTTGGGGGGTGGTTCCTGGAACCAATCCCTGACAGATACTGAGAGACGACCGTATTATAAAGCTCGGCTTTGTCAAAGAAACATATGTAAATGCTTATTATACAGTCCATAGTGTTTAATCACTTTCTGATATGTGTCAATAAGTATTTATCATTAAAGTAGACTTAATTACTTCCTTTTTTTGTCTATCTCTGGTGTTTGAATCAGGAAATCAATTGTTTCTTAGACTCAACACAATGAGTTTCTCAAATAATACCTTTATCTATCTAATCATAACATAAATGCAATCTGAGGCTTTATGTATCTTATTTCCCAATAACTGTAGACTATTCTTCATAAACTGACAGCAATAACTTCCCAAACATACCGCTCTCGCACATTTATTTTTCCTGAAAGTCTATCGGTCAAGAAAAAGTAGTAATAAAGATTAGTGTCTTTACATATTTTGAACACAAAAGTTTTACATCTAAAAAGTTTAAATACACATAAAATACAAGTATAAAGCTGTAATGAAGTAGTTACAATTCTCACAGTAAAACCCACTAATATTGGAAAGTCATTTTTTTTTACCTTGTAAGACATTTTACATCATCATCTGCTGCTTGGTTTGATGTTCCCATAACCCAGTCTGTCAGGTATTCCACCATCTTATTCCTATAGAATGGTGGAGAAAAGAGAAACAGCAAACAATTTTTTTGAAGTCACACCTCACCCCCACACACACACCTTTAGTCATGTAAGATTACTTACAGTGCAAATAATTTGGCAGATAACCCAGGTGACATGACGACTTTATAAAAGAGATACTGCTATCATAGATGTAAAAGCCAGAAGGAACAAGCAACGTGGATATTTATCCTCCATCATGGCCCTTAGTTATGCTATCAGATTGGAAACAGAATCAAATTCTTAGCTCAAGTACAGCAGAGTTTTAGAAAAAGGGAGGCTTGCCACAGGCACAAAGCTTAGGGAAATCTGAGGAGAGACATAGAGAAAAACAAACATGTAAACTGCTCTCTTTTTATGTCTTCCTTTCTACCAGTAACCAGATATCTACTCTATTTCTGTACTTCATTGAACAAACTAAGATTTACAAGACCCTACATTGCTCTTTTGAGAACTCACCTAAATTTTATCTCTTGGCAAAATGAGAGGTCATCTCTCGGCAAAATGAGAGGTCATCTCTCCTTGCCATCGTTACTTCAACCAACTGACACAGTTTCGTTTTTATTTGAATTGCATGGACCATATTCCCAAGCACACAAACGTACCTATACAGACATAGAGACAATAAAAAAATTATCAGATACAGACATAAGATAAGGCATTCAAAATACTTTAATCATCAAATAAAACGAACTAAATGTAAGTTTGAAAACAGTAAGATATTTATTTGTAGGAGAGCATACACAATTTCTGGTTACCTTATTTTCACACCGTTTGTGTGCAGTAAAGAATGGCAAATTATTTTATCAATTACTATCAATATCAATGTGTGAGAGGTTTTTCTTGTCTCTTAAATCTTAAAGTATGTTTCTGCTACATTTCAGTAGAAGGCTTACCTGACCAGATTTAACATCATTGTTTCAATGCTAGCTTGCTCTAGATGTTCAGGGCTGCCTTCAGTATGATTATCTAGCAAGTTCTTCATTATATCTAGGGTTTGCTCTACAAATTGAGTATTGGTATCAGTCAATAAAACCTATAGAGAGAACAAATATATTAATGATTTGCCATCAATGCCCAGAAGACAGATCCCTAGAGAGATGAAACTGACTGATCTAAACACACAAATAGAGACATGCACCCACAGGCACGCAGTCAAACAGGCACACAGATATACACAGACACTCATACCCATATACAAGGCACGTATACCCTCAGGCACACATACACATCAGAGTTCCTAGAAGCAAGCTGACCATTCATTGAGATGATTCTTCTTTCTACAATTTTTTGACAATTTTTAAAAACTGTGAGTACCTAATTTAAATACTCTGAAAGAAACAGCCTTCATTATTTCAAACAAGTCACTCTATTCATAGGGAAAGGTGAAAAATAAAAAAGAGCACACTTTACCTGTCCTTAGGAGTCAAAAAACTTGCTGATGGGTCTTCTTCAATTTGTTAAATAGCATCAGATAAAGAGCAGGACTCAATTCTAGACCCACCAGGTCCTTATCATTGGTCGGTATTTGAAGTCCCACTTTCTCAAGGTTACACACCATTAACGACAAGAGCTGATCCATATATTTGCTGACAGGTGTATCTGCGTTTCCCTCTGAGGACATCACTGAAATCATGGAACCCTTATGTTCACTGACCGGACCCACGGGTGGGCTATAGGTTGGCAGGCCAGAATTACTTCTCTGCTGGAGGCACACTCCCCCAAGGGCACAAAGGAAGCCAGTCATGTTGATCCATGCCTGTAGGGAGTCTGTGTCAGACAGATCTATGGGTCCTCCTCCACTCACATGGGACATTCGCCTCTTAACAATGGTCTTGTGAAGCTTTCAACAGCCTAAACACAAAATTTTTGTGCAAAGCATGAATTAAACCTAAATTAGTTGAGACTTGACAAATTACTCGTTATCCAACATTTCGTCCGTGACAAAAGTACAAAAAAATGTAAAAAATACATTAAAATCAACCCCCTAAATTACCATATACATTTTTAAAGAGCCACTGATTTATTTTTGTCATACAGTAATATAATTGCCCAAGTATCAAATTTCTTTTAAAAAGCTTTGATTTCACATGGATGAACCTTGGGAACATTATGCTAAGTGAAAGAAGCTAATCATAAAAGCCCACATATTCTAAAACTCCATTTACAGAAAATATCCAGAATAGGCAAATCTATAGAGACAAAGTAGACTCCTGGTTGCCCAGGGTTGGAGAGGCGGGGGGAAGTGAGACAAGAAAGTGGGGGAGTTGTTAGAGGCAGAGATAGCTAAAGGATACAGAGTTTTTTTTCTCAATTGATGAAATTGTTCTGAAACTGATGGTGGTGATGGTTGCACAACTCTGTGAATATGCTAACAACAGTCACTGAATTGGACACTTTGAATGGGTGAATTGTATGGTATGTAATTATATATTATAGTAACAGTTATCCCCCAAAAGCTTTCATTCTAAAGCTACATGTCCCCTCCAAATAAAGGTATTAGGTACACAATTTTGCTTCACTAAAATATAACTTTTTTCTTATTGTAATTAAGCATGACAGAAAAATAACATGGGGGAAGAGCCAGTTTTTATAAATCTCCTAATAATGAGAGCAATATGAGCATTATAAATCATATACACACAAACACCAACTCATCAATTTCCAAAGCAACAGATAATACAGTCAATAGTAATAGTTGAATGAACTGTCCACATTTTAAAATTTCATTTAATCTATGGGCTCAATCTTCTGCCCAAGACATTCCTTAATTAGAATACCTAACAAAATGGCAAAATGAATTGTTCCCATGTTAATTTTTCTCTACCTCTGTTGCTCCTTTTCTGAAAATTCTGTGAAACACCCTGATGAAGGGAGAAAGAGCAAGAAAAGATAAAGAAATGGTCTCTGCAACAAACAGTCTCTAGCAGTGCTGCCCAGTATTTCTGTGATGATGGAAATACTTTCTCTCTCTGCTGTCTAACAGAGTAAGTAATTGTCATATGTGGCTACCGGGTACTTGCAATGTGGCTACTATATGACTGAGGAACTAAATTGTATTTAATTTTAATTATGTTAAAATTTAAGTTAAATAGTCACACGTAGCTAGTGGCTATCATATTACAAAGTACAGGTCTAGACAAACCACAACTAAATAACAGTCTTCAGACAACTATATGCTTATTTTACTGAGTGACTCGTGAAAGATTACCAAAGTGAAGTACATATATTTAGATCAGTTAATAGACAAAAGGCAACTTTACAAACTTACCTGGCCATCTTCCACTTGGGCTTTTGGATAGCTAAGGATTAGTTTTGTTGCTTGTTCCCATTTTGCATGTGTATCTTCCCAAGCCTAAAATGAAGACAGTTATCACTTGAAAGCAACTTTAAGTCTAGAGCTAAACATCAATCAGCAACAGCCAAGCTTGAAACTTGATATATATTAAGTACTCAGATATTGTACTTGCGATATGCACATATCTTGGATTTACTTCAAAAGCTATTCCTCATCACACATATGTAACAAGAGGCTTCCAAAATTGAGGGTGGGCGCCTGAGAGGGGTGTTTCTGTTGCTAAGGGCACACCTCAGTGTTTCCTGCAGTGGGATGCTCAGTGCGCCTCAGCAGTGCCATCACTCTTTCTGAAGTGCTGCTGTTCCTAAGCAACTACAACAGCCAATCAAGTCACTGCACTTAGAGCCCTGCCTGCCAATGGAGAACCTGATAAGCCCCACCCAAAAGGCAGAGTAGGAGGAGCAGAGCAAATGCCTCAAGTGATAAAGCCAAAAACTTCGTTCACTAACCTCACAGGAAAGGTACTTATCTTAGACTCTACAATGTCCACAGCACAAAATAGCCATTCCCACCTATAATTTACTCATGGAGTTATCCATAACTCCATATGTAAATTACATAGTCATAACTGATAGTAACATATACTGCCAGTTAGTTTTAAAATGTATAGCATATTAAAAACTCAGTGGGAGACTCACAATTTATTTCAAATGCTTTTTATTTTCATCCTACTTTGTTCAGAAAAGGATTTCAAGTAAGCTACTTGAATTTCCCCTGTAAACTTACAGAATAGTAACCTTAAATACATTCTCACAATCAGATGCCATGTGCTTCAGGCAGGTTGAGTAAAAAAACCACTATTCCCATTTACCTGTTGACATCACATTGCTGACAGGCAAACTCCATGAATGTGTTAGAGTTGGGCAAGAGGTTATGCACTGACACTTCATCCACCCCACACTGGGTATCTGCTTCCTCACAGAGGTGGCAGAAACAGGACATGGCAACCAGAACAGCTTCAGTGTCAGGGTTCTGCAGAAACATGTACAGGGCCACTTCTAGACTGGTCTGCGCTTGTCGGCAAGTCGGGGGGCTCCGCTGCATCCTGCTGCACTATCCTGAGAGTCAAGGGTGGTAGACGTATATTTGCAACTTGGGTAGTTTCATGTAAAAAACCCAATGACGCAATAAACTGTGTATGCGTGTGTGTGTGTGTGTGTGTCCATATATATCTCAGCATACAATAACTCGCAAGAGCTTTCTCCTTTAATCATTATAGGAATTTTTCAAACCCCAAAATATCTTGTCCAAATGAGAAATGAGATTTTCTGGACCAACATAAAGCTACTATCTGTCCAATTTCAAATCAAATAGGTATGATCCTATTCCAGATTCCAGAAATATAAACTGATTCTAACATGGATGGGTAAAACACCATAACATAAATCTACTGCAGTAATGATATAATGTACTTCCCAGTCAATTACAAATGACAAAAACAGAGGAAGTAACAGGAAATTCTATCTACTTGCTATAGGAAAGTAATAAAATAAGTACACTGCGGCACTCATTGAAACAAGGGCATAAACAAGAACTAAATATTGCTGTAGAAGATAGACTTGATTCTGAATTACCTATTCCCCAAACATGAAATGGAGAAAATAATTGACAAAATAAATGCAAATTCTACAAGTAAAACAGACAATAATAAATAGCATACTGCTTAGATGTTTTTTTCTTTAACAAGGTTATATTAAAAATTAGGGATGAAAAACATTTTGGTTTGGAAAATAAACTCTTCTCTAATGATCTGATATTTTCACTTGAAATATGATTTATATTTAAAGGAAATAATACACACTAACGCAAATCACAGAAACACTTATCTTTAACATGAAGCAAAATACTTTGTTTTTATCCTTTTACATCTGTACCTTTGTTAGCTGGTACAAATTCTATACTTCTATGGTATGAATGGGTTTTCATGAGGTGGAGGTTATCAGATACAGCTTTTAAGTGTCAAGTGCTATATATACCTTTTTTTTTTTTTTTTTTTTTGAGACGGAGTCTCGCTCTTTCACCCAGGCTGGAGTGCAGTGGCACTATCTCGGCTCACTGCAAGCTCTGCCTCCCGGGTTCACTCCATTCTCCTGCCTCAGCCTCCTGAGTAGCTGGGACTATGGGCGCCTGCCACCGCGCCCGGCTAATTAGACATTTTTTTATTTAACCCTTACAACAACTCTGGAGCAGGAATTATTATTGTCCCCATTTTAAAACTGAGGAATTGAGGAACAAGGGTGTTAAGAATTTGCCCAAAGTTCCATAAAGAGCAGTGATAGAACTAGAGTCTAAGCAGTTTTTCACTATTACACTATATTACCTGGATGAAATTTACCAAAGTTCATTCAGAAAACAAATAGAGCACACGAGATGATACAGGAAAATTACAAAAGAAGCTGACCATAGAGGAGTTCCCTTTTCCCTTCTGGAGAGAGGCTCAGGAGTATGCAGTGACACTTCAAGACCCACGGACATTTGACTGGTATTTCCACTAGAAGGAGTATCACATCCTACTCCATAAAAAAGGAGAAAGTGACAGGAATTTCTATCTGCCTGCTAGAAAAAAGAAAGAAATAAGCTTTACTGATGCACTGACAACCAAGAGGAATAAACACTTATATGGGTGGTCTTCCTGTTTGAGACTCTCCTAGAAAACCTCTCCCCTCAATCTCTATGCCCCATCTTGAAGGAAATTCACTAGAAACCCATTAGAACAAATAATGTTCACTTAATGTCTTTAAAATTTCTTTCAGTTTCAATCATTCTCTAAATAATCAGAAACAGTAGATTCTACAAATATAAATTAAGTCTAACATAAACATAAGTAAAACATCAACAATGTAAATCCACTGTATGAAAACTATAATTTGATCTCAATGACAAAGATTTTTTTTCCACAAGATTTTATCCTGTGCCATGTTGGCATAACTAGAAATTGACTCTGAGATTAAGTTCTTCTGGACCAGTAATTAACCCTGGTATATACACCAAGTATGTCACAAGAGTGACTGTGCTGACCAGGGCACTACGAATTCATTACTGGATTCCTCATACTCATATTCTGGAGATTATACCATAGGCAAGGGCACGAAAGTCTGAAGTCTAATCTCTTTCCATATGTTTGGAATAATGCCAAATTCTGCTATATTAACACATCAAATAAGCCAGATGTGAATAAATCCACTTCACCATTAGTCTATTTCTAAACAGAGACAATTTATTAATAACAAGCTGTATAATATTGAAAAGGATATGAGTTTCATACATTTAAGGTTTTTCACAGCTATGCTTCTAGTACCAGATAAAAACTCATTAAATCAAGTATTCCTAAAACTAGGCCATAATAGAATTCCTAAATTGTTTAACTATAGAAACTATACGTTAAAAGAAATGTAAGACTCTTTTCTATCCTCCACAACCTCACCATGTTTCAATAGTTCAGAATCAAAAAATTTCACTCCACCCCAAGAAGTGTTGTGAAATTTTCAAGATGTGAAACTCTTATTGGAGGAATAGAAATAAACCTAGATTGAGGACCCTCAACCTTTTCCCTTTTGCTTCTTGATAGATAATTCTCTGGACTAGTCTAGCCACAACATCTAGGCCTTTACGATTTCTCAGAGCTATGATTCTAGAACTGGACAAAAAACTCATTAAATCAAGTACTCCCAAATCTATGCCATAATAGAATTCTTAGATTAATTATAGAAGCTATATGTTAAAATAAATTTTATGTATGAATTATATCTATGTGTGAACTTGAGAGTAAAGATAGAATATGCTCCTCAAGCTACTTTGGTTACGGCAGTCACCACTTTTCCTAGGCCTGTCCCATAGACACCTATTTACTCAACTAGAACTAGAATTCATCAACAGTGTGGTTTTAAGGCCAAAGTTTCAGAATAATTTTTAAAGTGCTAATTTGCCAGCCCTTGTCCTCTGCACATATGTATCCTTTTGAGAACCTTGGGGGGAAGGAGGAGCTGAAATAGAAACTAATTTGGCTATAAAACACTTTCTTAATCTCTCCCCATCACCATTCCAAATATTCTCCCATTTTTTAAAGATGTCATTTTGCTTACCTTATTTTAAAGAAGAAATTTATTCCTGCAGGTCAAAATTTCCTGCAACCACTTGAGAATTTCTGTGCTACTAAGCATTTGACGACTAGTTAATTTCTTGCAGATGTAAAAATACATTTGTGAGCTGCAGTAACATAAAGTTCATTGTTACTAGCATCAATAATAACCTAATGCAGATATAACCAGACATAAGAATGGCATTCTCCCATAATGAATACAAGTTTGGAGAAGCTTAGTTATGTTAAGCATGTTAGTTGAATGACAGGGAAATTAAGAAGAAAGAGAAATGTTAAGAAATGGTAAGGGCAATTAAGAATCTGATCTAATTATATCAGTATTCATTATACATTAGGATTCTTAGAGACGTCTTAGTTTTCAGTTATGATCAGAAAGGATCAGTAAGTGCTCTTGAGCTAAAAATTACCCTCAAGGTCTTGGTGTTTCAGTCAAACCAAATGAACTTAGTGTGGTAATTTTGAGACATTTCATAAAAAAACACTTACACAAAGCAAGAGCTTTGGATCTGCATGAATTAGTTTCACCATGGACAAGAGAAGATACTTACAGCTCCTGGTCTCCAGGTCTGTAGGTTTTTCTTTAAATTTAAGGCTTGTTACTTTTTCTTTAAATGTAAGAGTCTAAAAACCAAACAAAAACATGGTATCAGACATAAGACTCAGGATAATAGCTATCCAACCTTTTAAAAGAAATTTATTATGAAAAAACTTTGAAAAAAGCTATTCTTATACTACCAAATGTGTGGTATAGGTAGAAACACTCAATAGTAAGCATAAGGTCAGTATTATTAAGCTTAAAAAAATGGAAATTGTTTTTGCATCATTTATATTACTTTTTAATCAATCTAATAAAACAATGAAAATCTATTACAATACTAAAAGCTTAATATCAGGTTGTAAAAAACCTCCTGTGTAAAAAACGATTTTCCAAAATGTAAAAATATAAGGGAAAAGACATTTGGTCTCTAGTTCTCACAAATCTCCACACTGGGTAACTCATTAACAAACATTCCCCACACACATACACACAAGTATTTCACAGACTCTACAGTATTGTCCGTTGTAAGATGCAGCATTATTTGATGTCCCAAAAGGAATGAAAACCCGCTGTCAATTGTAAGACACCATCTAAAATAAGATACACTCCCAATTTCAGAGAAGAGTAAAAATAAGTGCTTCTTAGAATTAATGAAATATATTATCTAGGCAATCTCTGTATTTACTAGTTTAATTGTAAAATTTGCTTTTTCCTTCGATGGCACTCCATCTCTTTCAAGTTACAGAATGCACGCATTTTGCCTGAAGAACATTCATAAAACAGGAAGAATTCTGAGAAAGGTAAACTTATGGAAAACATGTTTTCATTACAGAGACATAGGATGAATTAAAATAATCATAGATGTTTTTCAACCAAAAATCCAACAATTATATTCTAGATCTAGTATCACCTATTATTATAACATATTTTCCTTTTCTTCTTTAAAAGAACACAAAACTATCTGATTTTGACATGAATGCCTTTATGTAAACATATATATAACATAGAAATAGTAGACTGTGTACCAACTCTGGACCCATAATACAAATGTCCAAGTAAACAGGCTGCCTTTCAAAGTTAAAAAGCGGACATGCATATCTACAACACAAATGAACCGTCTTCAGTGTTTAAGTGAAACATGCATTTGTTATTATACCCAAGAATACTGAAGGGCTGTAGTCCTCAGAAGGGAAGAATAGCTATTTAAATGCACACGCTTATACTCAAGAATGTCACTACAGAAGAGAAATAGCAAAACTTACTAATAGTTTGCTTTTATATTTATAACTGCCCCTTAACCCCTAGGCAAATGTTTTACTAAATGATTTAACAAATTCTGGTTTTACTGTTTGGTCTCTTTCAACTGTATTTTTTCCTCACTCTAAGTTGAGGTGTTTCACCTTAGATCAAGCTGAAACTTTGGTTAAACAGATGTATTTACTTTGACGTAACTAAGTGTAACTATCAAACGACTCTTCTCTGATGCAGCCATTGCACAGAAACATAAGATCAGGGAACAAGTAGTAAATGGCAGAATTTTTCCTTATTTAAGAATAATTTCCAAAAAAGTAAATAGAGTCTTATGCCACATAACAACATTTCAGTCAATGATAGACAATATGTAACACAGCTGAAAAACTCCTATCGCCTAGTGACATAGCCATCATAATGTCCAAGCACAATGCATTACTTTTTGTTTGCAGCGATGCTGGTGTAAACAAACTTTCACTTCTAGTCATATAAAACAAGTATAGCACATTCAATTATGTATAATATACAGTACTTGATAATGAGAATAAATAACTGTTACTGGTTTATGTATTTACTATAATACACTTTTTTTCTAAGATGGAGTCTCACTCTGTTGCCCAGGCTGGAGTGCAGTGGCGTGATCTCGGCTCACTGCAACCTCCGCCTCCTGGGTTCAAGCAATTCTCCTGCCTCAGCCTCCCGAGTAGCTGGGACTACAGCTGCAAGCCACTACGCCTGACTTATTTTTTTGTATTTTTAGTAGAGAAGGGCTTTTGCCATGTTGGCCAGGCTGGTCTCAACTCCTGACCTCAGGTGATCCACTCGCCTTGGCCTCCCAAAGTGCTGAGACTACAGGCGTCAGCCACCAGGCCCAGTCTACTATGGTATACATTTTATTGTTATTTTAGAGTATACTCCTACTTAAAGATAAAAAGTTAACTATGAAACACAGCCTCAGAAGGTCCTTCAGGAGGTACTCCAGAAAAAGGCATTGTTACCACAAGAGATGACAGCTGGATCCACACGTTATTTCCCCTAAAAACCTTCCAATGGGAGCAGATGTGGAGGTGGAAGACAGTAACACTGATGATCTTGACCCCATGTAGGCCTAGGCTAATGTATATGTTTGTGTCAGTTTTTAACAGAGTTTTCAAACTGAAAATTAAAATAGAACATTTCTGAAATAAAAAAAAACTTACAGGCTATAAAGAAATATTTTTATACAGCTAGCTGTACAATGTGTTTTAAGCTGTTATTACAAGAGTCAAAAAGTTAAAAAATTTAAAAGTTCATAAATTTTAAAAGCTACAGAAAAGTTAATTATCGAAGAAAAAATATTTTTTATAAATTTGGTGTAGCTTAAGGGTACAGTGTTTATAAAGTCTACAGTATAGATCCTGAGTATGAGAAAAAAACAAGTATTAAAAGAGGCAGCCTGTGCCCTGCACTCAGGGGCTTCCCTAGGGGGTGCCCCACTTGCCCAAAGCAGCGCAGCCTGAACCCAAAACTGTGAGCAGAGAATCCCATGTGTGTTTGAAGGGTTTCCTATGTCCTCTGTGTTCTCCTATAGAAAGCAGCAGGAGCGTGTCGAGCACACACCGATGCTCTAACAACACCCTGAGCACACCCTCATGCTGCTGAGACTCACCCAGACCCTGGACAGGCCGTGGTGAGAGCAGCCCAAGGATCGTGGCTGGGGACCATGTCTGGCTTCGTGGAGGAAGTCACATGGAGTGCCTTCTCCAAGAAGACGGCCAACGCCCTGCAGGCAGCCCGCTCCACTTTGCCCGTATCAGTCTGTACAAGTGCGGGATTTCATTTGGCAGATCCCCAAGGCAGGAGAGAAAAGGAGGAAAGCTAACCTAACTCCAGGCTCTCCATGGACACCAACACCTAGAAGTGTCTGACAGGAGGCATGCGTCCTTGGCCCCGATGAGGCTGCGGGCCATCCCTGCAGTCCTGGCTATGCAGCTGAGAGGCAGGCCTTGTGGATGCTCCGGGCACAGGTGTTGAGCAAGGTGGTAACCGAGTGCTTGTCTGGGAGCTGTGGCCGCTTGGAGGTCACACAGCGGTGCACTGACCTGAGGAAGGGGTTGGTGCCTGCAACAGAACAGTGGGCATGAGCCTGGGGCAGCCGGCGCTGCACCCACGCCCTGCACACCCGACAGTGCTCTGGGAAGTGGCAGACCCAGGACTGGCTGAAGCACCAGGAGGAGCCCTGCACGCTGCCTGCCTGGCCATCGGCCTCTCCTCCCAGAGCCTCGTCAGTGAAGAACTGAATCTGAACGGGATTTGGAGCCCAAGGCTTTGCCTCTGACAACCTTGGGGACCCAACCCTGTCTCTGCTGTGTGCCAGCTCTGGGCTCAGGGACACTGACCCCTGTCAACATGACTCTCTTTGGAGCCACATCACCCAGATGGGGTCTTGTGTGCCCAAGCTACTGGTAGGACCTGTCAGCCCCGCTGAGCTCCCTAGTGGCCTCTGGGAGAAGTGGGGTCTGTCCTTGAGCCGTAGGCTTTCTCACCCCTCAGCCACTGAACACAGCCACCCTGGACAACTGACCTGACACAAGATGAAGGGGCAAAGGGACACAGAAGAAGAGCAGAGACCCCTATCTCTCAGGTGACCACTGGAAAACCCACTGCTGCCCGCGTAGGGGGAGTCAGAAGAGGGGAGGGACGGGCCTGAGCTGGGAGGGGCTGGAGTGCACAGAGGCTGTCCCTGCAGCACTGGAAGCCTGGTGTTCCAGAATGACCACTGCCTGCCCTGGGCCCCCAGACAGCTCCTCTGGGTCTGCCCACTGTATAGCCACTGCCGGTCCATCCACAGTGGACTCTGGGTAGGGTAGTGGGTGGGCACATGGTGGCACACTTGGGAGGTCCTTGTCGTTTGCAACACACAAGGCTGTACCCGTGACCCAGACAAGCCCTGGCCTGCCCCGCCTCACAGCCCTGCTCCCAAACAGGACTCTTCACACCCCGGGAGGTTCTGGTGAGGCTTGCGGCAAAGCCTGGATGTCTCTCTGACTCTTGGATTTCCAAACCTGAAGCCAGAGTGACCTGCATAGATGGGTGCCCAGAGGTCCTGCCTGCCACCTCCCTAAGGCCCCAGGCAAGCAGAGCCGCATCTGTGTTGGGGAGGTGAGGGTGAGTGGGCTCCGGGGGTGGGGGCAGAGGCATGGCCAGTCTGTCCTGGGCCCAGTGTATGTGAAGACAGAGCAGACAGCCTGCTGGCACGTAAACACAGGATGGGGTCTGGGCACTGTACCCTCTGGCTTGGACAGCAGAGACCTGGGGCTGCGGTCGGGGGTTGCTTTCCTGCACCAGCCTGGCCCTCCTGGACACTCGCCCAGCTTGCAGATCAGGCAGACAGTGCCATTGTTGCTGCAGTGAGAAGGGTCCAGGTTTATCATGCACTTGGGCTCCAGCCTGGCCACCAGGCCCTGGAGCACGCTGGGGATGCTCTGCTGCTCATCGTCCTCAAGCCTGTGCTTCAGGGTGCATACCACTGGGGCCTTGGGGAGGCACCATGGTGACCACACTGGGCACACATGGCCCAGGGCCAGGCAGCCACCCTCCGCGAAGCCCAGCCCAGCTGGATGTACGTGATGGGTGGGCTGTGGATGGCAGTCATGGTTGGAATGATTGTGCGGTACAGGGAATGGTTGAAGAGGGTGAGCGGATGTTGGCCAGGATGGCATCCAGGAGCAGCTGGCATAGGTACTGCTGTTTGGTCGGTGGCACCGGGGGCAGTGGGGGAGTGGGCTGGAGCAGGATGGGCACGGTCAGCAGCCCGGAACCTGAGGGTTCCCCATGTAGGGGGCTTTCCCACCCCAGGCCCGTCCTCACAGCCAGATTCCCGAGGCCTCTCTCTCAGCCTCCACCCTTGTGCAGACAATGTTGGCCGATCCTGGGTATAATCACCACCCCCACAGCCTTGTCCGCCCCAGAGTCCCTGCCCCCTCTGGGCCGGGTGGCAGAGGCACTGATGGGGGCCGCAGATAGAGAGTGACTTCTCCCACGTTCCCACCCAGCACAGCAAACCTGGCCTGGAAGAGGCCTGGTGGGCAGGGTCTCAGGTCAGGCCCAGCCCCTACCCGGCCACCCTAACCTTGAAGGCCCCTCCCAGCAGTGGTCCCAGGAGCTCTTGGGGGAGCCCCAATTCTCCCAGGGATGCCCAGGATCCCACACTCACCACTGCCATGTCAGTTTTGAGTTTTTTTTTTTTTTTTTGAGATGGAGTCTCATTCTGTCACCCAGGCTGGAGTGCAGTGGCGCCATCTCGGCTCACTGCAAGCTCCACCTCCTGGGTTCACGCCATCCTCCTACCTCAGCCTCCCAAGTAGCTGGGACTACAGGCACCCGCCACCACGCCCGGCTAATTTTTTTTTTTTTGTATTTTTAGTAGAGACGGGGTTTCACTGTGTTAGCCAGGATGGTCTCGATCTCCTGACCTCGTGATCCGCCCGCCTCGGCCTCCCATCGTGCTAGGATTACAGGCATGAGCCACCACGCCCAGCCAATATTTTTAAATAAAAAATTACAAAGCTGTTTTTCTTAAAATGTTACAATAAAATTGTATCTGTGTGTAAAATATATCTATTTTATGTGTACGTGTGTGTGTGTGTGTGTGTGAGTGTGTGTGAGAGAGAGAGAGACAGAGAGAGACAGAGAGAGAGAGAGTTATGAATTAGGAAGCATATGTACCAAAACATTAGGAGTAGTTGAGTAATGAGATTATGAATGATTTGCACTTTCTTCTTTATACCTTATCATCATCTCAAAATTTACAATCAGAATTCATTATAAGCTATTGTTTGTTTATTTATTTATTTATATTCGCAGTGGTGTGATCTCAACTCACTGTAACCTTGGCCTCCCAGGGTCAAGCAATCCTCCCACCTGAGCCTCCGGAGTAGCTGGGACAAATCAAAGTTAAGTTTTCTTCAGTTTAAAATAACTTGTTATAATTATGTTGTTTAGCCTCATGGTAACTGGAAAACAAAAATCAATAATAGACACCCTAAAAATGAAAAGCAAGCAATTAAAACACACTACCAGAAAAAATTACCTCACTACAAATAGACAGGAAGGAAGGGAAGGAGGAAAGAAAAGAAAGAAAGAGATCAGAGAGAAGAGAAAGAGGAAGGAAGGGAGAAAGAACAAAAGAAAAAAGAGGGAATAGCAAAACCACCAGAAAACAAGTAAAAAATGGCAGTAGTATGTTTTTACCCGTTAATAATAACCTTGAATATAAATGAATAAAATTCTCCAATTAAGACAGAGTGGCTGAATGGATTAAAAGACAAGACCCAATTATATACTGCCTACAAGAAACTCAGTTCACCTATAAACATACATAGACTGAAAGTGAAGACATGATAAATGATATCCCATACCAGTGGAAACAAAAAAAGCAGGAGTAGCTCTACTTAGATTATATAGACTTTCAGTCAAAAAAAGAAAAATATGAAGATAATTATATAATGAGAAAGAAGTAAACAGCAGAACAATTACAAGTGCATATGCAACCAGCACTCAAGCAACTAAATACAGTAGCAAATATTAACAGATCTTAAAGCGTAGACTGCAATACAGTAACAGAATGCCTCAATGCTCCGCTATAATCAACACCCCACTATCTTCAACGGACAGATCATCCAGACAACAAAACATCATCAGTTAAACTGTACTCTATACCGAATAGACCTAACATTTACACAGCTTTCCATTCCACAACTGCGCAATGCACATTCCACTGAATAGCATACGGATTATTCTCCACAACAGACTATGCGTTAGGCCAAAAAACAAGTCACAACACATTTTTAAAAACTGAAATCATGGCCAGGCGCGGTGGCTCATGCCTGTAATCCCAGCACTTTGAGAGGCTGGGGTGGGGGGCGGATCACAAGGTCAGGAGACAGAGATCATCCTGGCTAACACAGTGAAACCCTGTCTCTACTAAAAATACAAAAATTAGCTGGGCGTGGCGGTGTGCGCCTGTAGTCCTAGCTGCTGGGGAGGCTGAGGCAGTAGAATGCCGTGAACCCGGGAGGTGGAGCTTGCAGTGAGCCAAGATCGCGCCACTGCACTCCAGCCTGGGCGACAGAGCAAGGCTCTGTCTCAAAAAAAAAACAAAAAAAAAAACAAAACCTGAAATCATATCAAGTATCTTTTCTGACCACAGTGGAATAGTACTAGAAATCAATAACAGGAGGAAAAACTGTACAAATATATGGAAATTAAAATACATGCTCATGAACAACCAATAAATAAATGAAAAAAAAGAAAATTAAAAATTTATTGAAAAAATAATAGAAACACAACATAACAAATCCTGTGGGATGCAGCAAAAGCAGTTGTAAGAGGAAAAGGGCATAGCTATAAACACCTACATCAGAGAAGTAGAAAGATCTCAAATAGCCAACCTGACAGTACACCTGAAGTAGTGAGAAAAATGAGAAAAATAAAATGCTAAAATTAGTACAAAAATATCATAAAGATTAGAGAAGAAATTTTAAAAATAGAAACAAAAAATACAAAAAGTCAATGGAACAAAGAGCTGGATTTTTTAGAAAAAAATCAAAACTGACAAGCTTTAACTAGACTAAGGAAAAGAAAAAGAAAAAATCATAGATGAAAAATGAGACATTGCAAGTGATAACACAGAAATATGAAGGATTGTAAGAGATTACTAAAAACACCTATATAAAAACAAGTTGGAAAATCTAGGAGAAGTGATAAATTTCTGGACACATAACAAATTCCCAAGATAGAATGATAAACAAAAAACCGGAACAGATCAATAATGAGTAATATAATTAAAGCAGTAATAAAAAGTCTTCCGTCAAACAAAAACACAAGAATCATGGTTTTACTGCTGAATTCTACCAAACATTTTTAAAAGAGCTAATACCAATTTTACTCAAAATATTCCCCAAAAAGTGAAGAGAAAGGAAGTCTTCGAAACTTGTTCTATGAGGACAGCATGATCCTGGTACAAAAACCAGACCAGGAAACAACACAAAAAGAAAGCCACAGGCATTTTAAATATCCCTGATAAACACAGATGCAAAAAAATCCTCAGCAAAATACTTGAAAATTGCACTTGACAACACAATAAAAAGATGATCTGCCATGATCAAGTGGGATTCATCCCAGGAATATGAGGATGATTCAATAAAACACAAATAAATAAATGTACGACATCACATTCAGCGAATCAGGAACAAAAACCATATAATCATTTCAGTAGATGCTGAAAAAAATAAAAATCAACATTCCTTCATGGCAAAAACTGAACAACATGAGTACAGAAGGAACATAGCGCAATAAAGGCCATATATGATAAACCCACAGCTAACATCATAATCAATGGGGAAAGGTTAAAACTCTTCCTCTAAGGCCTGGAACGAGTGTGGCTACTTTTACACCACTTTTATTCATCATAGTACTGGAAGTCCTAGGTAGCGCAATTAGACAAGAGAATGCAATAAAAGGCATCCAAATTGGAAAAAAGGAAGTCAAACTGTCTCTGTTTGCAGGTGACATGATCATATATATATACATAGAGAAAGAGAGAACCCTAAAGATTCCACAAAATCACCTACAGGAAATAATTTAGTCAAGTTGCAAGATACAATATCAGCACACCCATGCACCAATAGTGAAATACCTAAGAAGGAAATCAAGAAAGCTATTTCATTACCAAAAAAATTATATCTAGGGATAAACTTAACCAAAAAGACAAAAGATCCCACAATGGAAACTCTAAAACACAGATGAAAGCTATTAAAGCAGACACAAGTAAATGGAAAGATATCCCATGTCCATGCACTAGAAGAATATTGTTAAAATGTCTATATCACCCAATGTGATCTAGAGAGTCAATGCAATCCATGTTAAATTACAAAAGACATTCTTCATAGAAATAGGAAAAAAAAATCCTAAAATTCACATGGAAACGCAAAATACCTCAGATAGACAAAAGAATCTGGAATAAAAAGAAAAGCTGGAGGCATCACACCTGACTTCAAAACATACTACAAATCTGTAGTAAGCATGGTAATACCAAAACAGCATAATACTATCAAAAAAAGGGGCGGGGGAGAAACAGAAACGAAGGAATGACAGACATAGACAAGTGAAACAGAATAGAGAAATCAGAAATAAATTCACACATTTATGGCGTACTCATTTTTAACAAAGGCACCAAGAACACACATTCGGGAAGGACAATCTCTTCAATAAACTGCTAGGATAACTCAACACCCACATGTGCAGGAATACATCTAGGCCGTTATCTTACCATATACAAAAATCTGCTCAAAATAAAGATTTAAATGTAGGACCTGAAACTATAAAACTACTAGAGAAGAAAACATAGGATAAATGCTTCATGAAACTGGTTAGGACAAGGAATTTTCAAATAGACATCAAAAGCACAAGCAACAAAAGCAAAGATGTAATTACATTAAACTTGTCAAAAGCACAAGCAACAAAAGCAAAGATGTAATTACATAAAACTTAAAAGCTTCTGCAAAGCACAGGAAGAAATCAGTAGAACGAAGAAACAACCCAGAGAATGGAAGAAAGTATTTGCAAACTATGCATCAGCCAAGGGGCTAATACACAAAATATATAAATAACTACTCAAAAGCAAAAATACAAATAATTTGATTAAAAAAAAATCTACCCCAAATCTTTGTCTCCCACCATTATTTTCCCACCTTCTTTTCCCGACCGCCTTTGGCCTCCTCCCCCTCGCCACCCGTTTTCTTCCTCCATCTACCCCAAAACTTTTTCCCCACCATTTTTCCCTACCGTCATTTCGCAAAGCCTTCTCTGCTCTCTCACTCACCACCCTTTTCCCCATCCACTTACCCACTTTCCCCACTGTTTTTTCCCACCGTCTTTTCCCTTTCTCCCTGGCCACCTTCTTTTCCCCCATCCCACTCTCATCACCCTCTTTTGCTCCTTCATCTAAGCAAAAACATTTTCTCCCGTCTTTTCCCAAACCCTTCTCCTCACTCCTGCTGCTCACCACTTTTTCGCCCTTCATCTACCCGAAAACTGTTTTCCTCATCGTCTTTTCCCCCGCTCCTCCTTGCCACCCTCTTTCCCTTCTCTACCCAAAAACATTTCCCCATAGTCTTTTCGCAAAGCCTTCTCCCCACTCCTGCTCACCTCCCCTTTTCCCCCTCCATCCACCCCCCAGAATATTCCCTACTGTCTTTTCACAGTCTTCCCCCCTTCCCACTCGTCCTCTTCTTTGCCCTATCCTGCTTGCCACTCTCTTTTTTGCCTTCCATCTACCCCAAACTATTTTCCCATTTTTTCCCCAACTCTCTTTCCCTGCTCCCTCTCGTCACCCTCTTTCCTCCTCCTCGTTACCCTCTTTCCCCCCACCATCTACCCAAACACTTTTTACCCACTGTCTTTTCTTTCTCCACCGTCTTTCTTTCCTGCCCACTATCTTTTTGCAAAACCTTGTCTTCCTCCCGCTGGCTACCCTTTTCCCTTCCCCCACCTGTTACCCTCTTTTCCCCCTCTATCTACCCAAAACCTTTTCTCCCCACTGTCTTTTCACAAAACCTTCTCTCTCTACTGCTCAACGCTGTTTCTCCCCCCCACCACCCTCTCTTTCCTCCTCCCTTGCCACCCTCTTTTCCTCCTCCATCTACCCATAAACATTTTACCCACCATCTTTCTGCAAAACCTTCCCTCCCTGCCGCTCCCCACCCCGTTTTTCTCCCTCCATCTACCCAAAAACTTTTTTTCCCACTATCTTTTCCCCACCGCCTTTTTGCAACGCGCTCTCCTGCTCACTATCCTCTCTTCCCTTTGGCACTAACCACCCTCTTTACCCCCTCCATCTATCCCAAAACTCTTTTCCTCCTCTTACCGCTTCCGCCGCACTGCCGTCTCGGTCGCGGTTACCACCAGTCGCAGCGAGGCGAGCCACGGTGTAGCGGCTCCAGCCTCCAGCGTACGGCTGGTGATTACCCATTCCTGGTCCTCTAAGCCGGGCACTGAGCAGCTCCACAGGAAAATACGGGAACGTGGAAGAGCCTGACTTCCCTTCAGCAGCAGGCGTATACCGCGGTTATATACAGGAGGATTCCTGACTGCATGTTCTGATTGGATGAGAAAAACCCTCCAGGGTTACTTGGATTGGACTTTATTATCATGTTCTGATTGGATGAGAGCCAGTCTTAAGACAACCAATCACAGCATGAAAATAAAGTCCAATCAGAGTAGGCCTAGAGGTTTTTCTCTCATCCAATCAGAACATGTAGTCTGGGAACCACATGTGCGTAACCTCAGTACGTAAAGCATGCGGAGGTGGCGTCAGGTCATTTCAGGCTCTTAAGTGTGGGCGTTTGGTAACCGGCATGGCTGCTACCTGTTTCTGGCTGGAGCCTCGGACACTGGCTCACTGCAGTTGGTGGTGTCCACAGAGCGGTAGGAGGGCAACTAGTAGCGGGAGCTTCTCCTGCCAGGCAGGAAGACGAGTAGAAGGGAGCAGCACCGACGCATGCTGGAGGCTGGAGCCTGAGCCCCTGGGGCTCGCCTTGCTGTGTTTGGTGGTGACGTGGGACACTGCAGCTCGGCCAGAGTGGTAGAAATGTCCTGGTGTAGGTGAGTTATCCGGGGATGTACTGCCCGCCTGTGGGGGCAGGGGTTGGGTGTCCTATTGGGGCTCACTGCCCGAGGCTGCACTGCCTGTGTCAGGGGGCTGGTTGGGGGCACTCTCCGAGGTTGCATTGCTGGCGGTGGAGGGGGGCGGTTTTGGCTGGCTGTCCGGGGCTACACTGCCCGTGGTGGCGGGGGTGGTGGGGGGGAGGCAGGTTGTGTGCACTAACGTGTACTGCCGGTGGCGGGGGAGGGGTTAGGGGCACTATTTTCTGCTGCACTGCCCGGGGCAGGGAGTGGTTTGGGTGGTTATTTGGAGCTACAATGCTGGCAGCGGGGGGTGGTTTAGGAGTGTTGTCGGGTGCTGCACTGCCCTTACTCAGGGTGCGCTATCAGGAGCTGCGCTACCTGTGGTGGGGTGGGGGCGGCGATTTTGGGGCACTGTCTTGTGCAGCAACACCTGTGGCTGGGTCAGGTTGTGGGCACTATCGGGTGCTACACTGCCTGTGGAAGGGGTGGTTGGGGGGGGGTATTGGGGTTACACTGCCTGCAACTGGCACAGGGTGTGTTGGGTGTGCTGTCCGGGGGCTACACTGCCGGCGGCAGGGGTCAGGTTAGGGTTGCTATGGGGGCTATACTGCCAGTGGTGTTGGTCGGCTGCAGAGGTGGTGGGGACAGCAACAGCCATGGTCTCCTTGCTCCTTCGGGTAACTCTTCTCTTTTCCAGACTCCAGAGTTCCTGCTCGTGCAATCTTGAGCAGGGCAGGGCCCCCACACCCACTGCGGTTCTCCGGCCTGCACCTCCCGCCCACACCCCATGCTCTGTGTTGGGGAGACCACCTGGGACTACCGGGTGGGGATTAGTGGGCATCGCGGGGGACTGTGGGAACAGGGCACTGTGGGTGGAGGTGTCAGGAACGGGAACCAGCAGTTGAGTGGGGAGGGCTGGCTGGGTCTGAGTTTCTCCTACTCCTGCTCCCCAAGGAGTGCAGCCCTGGTGGGCCCAGCAATTTCTGGCCAGTTGCACCTGGATGGGGGTGGTTTCAGCATAGGCACTCACACCCGCCCCAGTTCCTGGCCACCTTTTGCCAGAAAGAGAGGCTGGACTTCGGTGGGTGGGTGTGAGTGCCTTAGCTGAAGCTGGTCCCTGCCACCCAGTGGCCAGCATGACAAGGTGAGGCTCTAACGTTACCACTCCCTGCATCCCATTCTAGGCTTTTCTGGCTTTGCCGGTCTAGCTGCTCCAAGCCAGGCTGGAGGAGGAGGAGAAGGAATCACCTGTGGTACGCTGGAGCCTGCATGTGGCGTGACTCTGCAGCTCGCCTCGTGTGACTGATGGCAGCCACGGAGACTGCAGCTCGACAGGAGTGGTAGGAGGGTGCCCGCGGGGGCAAGGTGGTAGGAACCTTGTAGGGTGGGCTGCTGCATTGACGGCGACAGCAACTGTATTGGCATTGGTGCTAGTGGTGGTAGTGGCAGAAAGTCTGGGGACTGGGAAGGGGGAGTAGGAGCACTGCAGGGCCCAGTCCGACCTGGGGTGGGGAGGAACCTGCTGGTGCTGTACCATGGGCCTCGGTGGCAGTGGTGGAGGTGCACTTAGGGAAAGGAGTCCTCCCCCTTCTCTTGCAATCTCTGGAGGGTGGCCTCCTTCTGAGCCAGGCATGAGTGGCAGCATTGTCTCATTCTTAACAAAATTTAGGGGGTGACTGTGTGTGTGTGTGTGTGTGGCTTTTTTTTTTTTTTTTTTTTTTTTTTTTGAGACAGAGTCTCGCTCTTTTGCCCAGGCTGGAGTGCAGTGGTGCGATCTCGGCTCACTGCAAGCTCTGCTTCCTGGGTTCACCCCATCCTCCTGCCTCAGCCTCCCTAGTAGCTGGGACTACAGGCGCCTGCCACCACGCCCAGCCAATTTTATTTTTGTATTTTTAGTAGAGATGGGGTTTCACAGTGTTGGCCAGGATGGTCTAGATCACCTGACCTCATGATCCGCCCACCTTGGCCTCCCAAAGTGCTAGGATTATAGGCGTGAGCCACCACTCCCGGTCATTTTTTCCTTCTTTTTTGTTGTGATGGTCTTGGACTTTTTCAAATTTTGTGAATTGGGGAGGGGATAAAAGGTGTCATAATAGGCCTTCTAATTCCTGCACCTGTTCTTTTTGCTTTTTCTAGTCTGTGTATTCTTCTCATCTTCTTGTTCCTCTTCATTTTCTTTTGCTGCTGCTTCTATTTCATGTTTCTATTCTTGTTTCTCCTCCTCTTTTTGTTTTCTTTATGCCAAGCAATGGCCTTAACAAACAACAAGCCAAAATTGTCACTGTGTTGTATTTTTAAAATAACTGGTCCTTTACTATGTTTTAGGGATGAGGAAAAAAATCAGTTGTATAATTAGTTACTTGAATAGCTATGCTTTCATGATTGTGTTAAACCACTTATGCCTAGTGTTCCATTATTGGAATGGTAAGCATGAGGGAGTTAATTACATCCTACTGCTCAAGGTCATTAGAAGGTTTGATTTTTCACTCGTGCAAAAATTCAAAAAATTGCAGCCTCTGGCATAAATGGGCTAATGCGTTATAAGTAGTTATTCAGAGAATCAAAAAATGAAGCATCACATAAAAATATTGGTGGCAAACAGCCATTTCATCTCTCTCACATATTTGGAGCTATGCAGGAGTCACGGGGTAAGTTCTAATTTATGAGATTATTAAGTGAACTGTATTGCCTTCATTTTCTCTGCCACCATTTCCTTTGTTTTCTTTCTTTTTTTTTTTGAGATGGAGTTTTGCTCTTGTTGCCCAGGCTGGAGTGCAATGGGGCGATCTCGGCTCACTGCAACCTCCGCTTCCTGGGTTCAAGCAAGTCTCCTGCCTCAGCCTCCCGAGTAACTGGGATTGCAGGCATGTGCCACCATGCCCAGCTAACTTTGTGTTTTTAATAGAGATGGGTTTTCTCTATGTTGGTCAGGCTGGTCTTGAACTCCCGACTTCAAGTGATCCACCTGTCTCAGCTTCCCAAAGTGCTGGGATTGGAGGTGTGAGCCACCACGCCTGGCTCTCTGCCACCATTTTCAAGAGTATTGCCATCTGCCTGAGCAAACCTGGTTCATCACCACCTCTTTGCAAGAGAAAAAGGAAGTCGGGAGAATTGTGTGTAATTTTTTTTTTTTTGAGATGAAGTCTCGCTCTTGTCCCCCAGGCTGTAGTACGATGGCCCGATCTTGGCTCACTGCAACCCCTGCCTCCTGGGTGAAAGCAGTTCTCCTGCCTTGGCCCCCTGAGTAGCTGGGATTATAGGTGCCTGCCACCACGCCCGGCTAATTTTTGTATTTTTAGTAGAGATGGGGTTTCACCATGTTGGCCAGGCTGGCCTAGAACACCTGACCTCAGGTGATCCACCCACCTCGGTCGGCTGTGTGTATTTTAAGGCAAAGATTCACAACCAAAAACAAGGCTTTATTAACTTTTGTATCTAAGAACCTGCAGTGTCGAGCCCTCTTTTATTCCTAGTATTACTACTTTAGGTGTGAACTTTTTATCTTTATTTTACTGATTCCTCTAGAAGTTTATGCATTTTCTTGACTGCTTTAAAGACAATCTATATTGTATCATTTTTCAAGCCCGTAGAAATGTGTAAGGCCTATAATTTGAACACTTGTTATTTTTAAGGTTATGAGCATGTAATATACCATTGATACATGGAAGAATATGTATAAATACCACTAGATAGGTTATATTGAAGAGATAATATCTAAATTTTTGTCCAGAGTTGATGGGGTGCAGTTTTGTAGGTGTGTTTCTCAATACATTGTGTCCATGTTTTAAAGCATATAGAAATTTGAATACTGTTTAACCTCATATAGTCCTTGTTTATAGGTTTAATATTTCTAAAGACTAAAGACGTCACAGCTCCCTTTAAGATTCAGTAATACTAATAAAATTTGAGATATACAGGGTTAGAGTCCAACAAATTCAAAGGAAAATTGTTGAATTATATAGCCGTAGAGCAGGAATGAAACCCAGGTTCTAAGTTCCAAGGGGGCCATGAGCTACCATACAGGTGCATCAGTGACTGGGCATAGAGTTGGCAAAATTATTTAAGAGAGTGAGCTGTGGATCCTAATTATGTGAACATGAATTTTTGAACTGCATGGTGCCTCAGTTTATCCATCATTACAGTGGGGACAGTAGTAAGTTTTTCTTTTTCTGCTCAGTTGTCTGAATTATTACCCCAGTCTCTCTTGTTGCCACTCTTGATGCCCACATGAGAGGATCTAAGGTAATTTCTGACAACCTGGGACTCCTTAAGGAAAAACAGAAGGTTCCACAAACCCCATTTTAGGAGAAACCTCTGTTTTCCTCATGGAACCCCAAGAACTTTAAGCAGACAGGTCCCTCTCAAAAATCTAAGGCTCTCCTCTGTTTTGCCTTGCGTTGTCTGACCTTTTTGGTTTGGATGGGCATCAGAAATTAGTAGGGGAGAGAGATCTAAAGAAAATTGTGGATATGAAGATGTATTTATTATAAGAAATGTTATGAAGGAAAGAAATGTTATATGAGAGAGGATCTTATATGGCAAATTGTTGTCCTAAAGTAGAATGACTAATTACAAAAGAGGGAAATACAGGACAGGTCAGATAAATTTAATCATGTCGTAGATAGTCTGTGGAAGTTGTGTTATGGTTCATAAAGTGGGAAAGAAAAACTGAACAACTGCTAGATCTTTTCTTGTCTAGAAGTGTTGTGTATGTGATGTATATATAATGGCTCGGCTTAAAAGAAAATGAAAGCTCTTAAATATTTTGTAAGAAAAATAGAAGCTCTAATGCCTTTTATTTCATGTGACTTCAGTAATCTTTGGGAAATAAAGATGGTGTTAAAGTCAGTGGTAAAATAAAAATATCTTCAAAATTTATCCATTTGGTCTAATTTAAGTCAGAGGTTAAGTTTTAGAAGTGCTTTAATGTCATAAATTGATGCTTTGACTTTGGAAAATAGTTTTGTTTACCTGGTTTGGAGCCGTTAGATTTCTAGGTAAGGTCTCCGGACAGGTGGAGTTAGCCATGTCTCCTAGCTATGCTGGAAGGAGTCAGATTTTATCTGCAGTTCTGTCTTGTATCCTAGACTCTGCACCTGGTATGCAATTAAAACTTACTGCTGCTGCTAATCTCTGGGTTCCATTTAAAATCCTTCCATCACATGAATACTATCCCCTGTACTAAATTTTTCCACAATTAAATACTTAGAATCATTTTTGCTGACTTGACCCAACCATTAGTGATATATTTTAAAAATGCTTATAATGTGTCACAATATATTTAGCAAATGTAGGGAATGACATTTTTACTTTCTTCAGCATTTACATAGCATTTATGTAGCAATGCTATCTCAAGTATTTTTAATCATTTAAACGTTAGATAATAGATATGTTTTTGATTCCTTTTTTCTATGTAAATAAATATAATTATGAGATATTTAGTAAATAGTATCAATTGCATATGTCACTTACAGAATATACAATGCAATTAGGATTATTTTTATACACTACATCATATTTACTTGTTGGCTTTACAATAACTTAGAAATAGTATTCTGGATTAACTGTGTGACTCATGAGAGAGGGAGTTTGTGCAATTATAGTCTTTACAAATTTTTACTAGATTTTTCAAGACTTACGCTAGAACTTTGAGAACAAGGTAATAAATAAGCATATCTGTTAATATCACCTTTGGTCAACTCTTGGCTAGACCCAATGATAATGTAGGAATTAACATAATTTTTCTACTAAAGGTGTTGGATTTGTTCCGAGAGACCACAGTTCAAAGTCATTGACAAAGAAAGTTTAAAAATTGTTAGATTAAAACCTTTTAGTGTGTTTGAAATTGTTTTGTAGAAAAATATCCTGGTTTGCATTGATAGGTTTTTTTTTAAATAACAACTAGACCAAGAGAAAGGGAGAGTAGTGATAAATGTCCATGTTTTCGAGTTGAAAAGTAACAATCAGTGTATTACAACAGATGGATTTGATGTCAAATTACAAATGCTGAGAACGTTATATGTAACTGACTTGCCAGAGTAATTATACAAGGCAAAGAAAGGAAAGGCATCTAAATAGGAAGGGAAGGGGTGAGATTGTCTGTGTTTTAGACTCCACAAAAAACCCATTACAGCTGATAAACACTATATTCAATAAAGTTGAGAGTTACAAAATTAACATTGGTTTCCATACACCAATGACAAACTGTTATCTGAAAAATAAGGTAATTCCATTTATAATAGCAACAAAACAAATATATAAGTAAATCAAAGAGCAAGGAGTAATTTTAATGAAGGATGTGAACGATTTGTATACTGAAAATTATAGCACATTGATGAAAGAAATTGAAAGTGACAAATAGAAAAAGTCCTATATTTGTCAACTGAAAAAATTAATATTGTCAAAATTTCAATGCTACTCAAAGCATTCTACAGATTAAATGCAACCGCTGTCAAATTCCAATGTCATTCTTCACAGAAATAGAAAAATTAGTCCTAAAATCTGAATGGAACCACAAAAGATGCTGAAAAACCAAAGCAATCTTTAGCAAAAAGAACAAACCTGGAGGCATCAGACTACCTAATCTTTGACAAAGCAAACAAGAAAATGGGAAAGGACACCCTATTCAACATATGCTGCTGGTATAATTGGCAAGCCACATGCAGAAAAATGAAGCCGTTCTTCAAAGGTTAAATACAGAATTACCACATGACTCAGTAAATTCACTCCTATGTATACACCAAAAATAAATTAAAACAAATGCCTTACACATAAAGGTATTTATAGCAACAAAAAGTAGGAAACAACAGAAATGTCCATGAATTTTGGAGTGGATTAATAAAATGTGGTCTGTCCATAAAATAAAATATTACTTGGCAATGAAAAAGAAAAACATATTAATACATGCTCCAAAAAGGATGAACATTGAAAACATGATAAATGAAAGTAGTAAGTCACACGTAACTATATTATTATGATTCCACTTACATGAAATGTCCAGAATAGGCAAATCCTTCCAGAATAGGCAAATTCTTAGGAAGTAGATGGATGATTGCCTAGGGCTGGGAGAGGTTTAAAGGAAGAATGGGGAAAATAGGGAAAGATTGCTAATGGGTGCAAAGTTTCTTTTAAGGAGCATAAAAATGTTCTAAAATCGTGGTGATTGTTTAACTAGTTAATACACTTAAAAAACTGAATTTTATACTTTAAATGAGTGAATTAAATAATATATAAATTGTATCTCAATGAACCTGTGAAAAAAGTTAAAAAATATGTGGTATGCATAAACAAAAAGTTCTTCATTTTATTTCCTAGGGTTTTGGGGAAAAGGTGGTGTTTGATTATATGAGTAAGTTCTTTAGAGGTGATTCAGGAGATTTTGGTGCACCCAACACCTGTGCAGTATACACTGTATACACTGCACCGGGGCAGGAGCTGGCTGCAATCCTGTGGCCCCAAATGCCCCCTTGCTGATGGCCTCGTGTTCTGGGTGCGGAGCAAAGAGGAGCAGGTGTTGAAGGCACCTCAGGCAGGCCCTGGGCTCGGTGGGCGTCTTGTGCTCCGCGATTTTGAGGCCATTTGCAGCCAGCTCCGTCAGCCCGAGCTCCCAGCTGCAGCTGCTGCCATGCACAACAGCACCGCCAGGAGTGTCCTGGGGGCTTTTTTCAAAGGAGGCTGTCAGCATCCTCAAGTTCCAGACGCTTAGCCCCAGTCCTCCTTTAAGAGGCTTTTTTTTTTTTCACCAGAGGCTTCTCAGTGGCTTGAAAGCTCAGCTGACTCCCACGAAGTTTGCCGGAACTCAAGGCTGTCAGTGACATTCGTGGCGCCAAGACTTAAGCAGGCGCGTTGCATGCATCGGCCAGTGTCTGTGCCACGTGCCCTGACGCCACCTGAGATAAGCACGCCGCACGCCGCACGCCGCACGCGCACGCCGCACGCGCACGCGCACGCCCGGCAGCAGCTTGCTGGCTTGTAACGGCTTGCACGCGCACGCCGCACGCGCATAACGGTTTGGCCGGCCTGTAACGGCTTGCACGCGCACGCCGCACGCGCGTAACGGCTTGGCTGGCCTGTAATGGCTTGCACGCGCATGCTGCACGCGCTTTAACGGCTTGGCTGGCCTGTAGCGGCTTGGCTTGGCTTTGCGTTCTTGGCTTGGCTTGGCGTTGGTAGCTTGGATTGACGTTTCCTGCTTGGATTGACGTTTTCTCTCTCGTGTTCCTTTGCTGGGCTTGACCTTTTCTCTGCTGGGTTTGGCATTCCCTTGGGTGGGCTGGGTGTTTTCTTGGGGGCGGGGGTTGGCCCTTTCTGGGGTTGGCCCTTTCTGGGGTGGGCGTGGGGTCGCCCAGGGGGGGCGTGGGCTTTCCTCGGGTGGGTGTGGGTTTTCCCTGGGTGGGGTGGGCTGGGCTGGAATCCCCTGCTGGGGTTGGCAGGTTTTGGCTGGGATTGACATTTCTCTTCAAACAGATTGGAAACCCGGAGTTACCTGCTAGTTGGTGAAACTGGTTGGTAGACGCGATCTGTTGGCTACTACTGGCTTCTCCTGGCTGTTAAAAGCAGATGGTGGTTGAGGTTGATTCCATGCCGGCTGCCTCTTCTGTGAAGAAGCCATTTGGTCTCAGGAGCAAGATGGGCAAGTGGTGCTGCCGTTGCTTCCCCTGCTACAGGGAGAGCGGCAAGAGCAACGTGGGCACTTCTGGAGACCACGACGACTCTGCTATGAAGACACTCAGGAGCAAGATGGGCAAGTGGTGCCACCACTGCTTCCCCTGCTGCAGGGGGAGTGGCAAGAGCAACGTGGGCGCTTCTGGAGACCACGACGACTCTGCTATGAAGACACTCAGGAACAAGATGGGGAAGTGGTGCTGCCACTGCTTCCCCTGCTGCAGGGGGAGCGGCAAGAGCAAGGTGGGCGCTTGGGGAGACTACGATGACAGCGCCTTCATGGAGCCCAGGTACCACGTCCGTGGAGAAGATCTGGACAAGCTCCACAGAGCTGCCTGGTGGGGTAAAGTCCCCAGAAAGGATCTCATCGTCATGCTCAGGGACACTGACGTGAACAAGAAGGACAAGCAAAAGAGGTAACCAGGCCTGGGCTGGGAGGAGGTGGGACGTGGGGGGATGATGGGGACATACCCTCCTGGCGGGGGAGGAGGGGGACCTGGCTTTCTCGCCTCCGCAGGCCTCACACCACCCTGGATGTGGAAACCTCAGAGAGGTCAGGGTACAGGGCCCTTTATGAACAGCAACACAAAAACAAAACTTTAGCTGATTTCCAATCATAATTTCCCTCATAGAACACTAATAGACTGTTTTAAAGTGATTTAACTTGCAAAATTAATTAAGTCAATGCAGCAGATTATTTTTAATCTACAGATTTTAAAACAATGTTCTATACATTATAGAAAAGTGTATATTGAGAACTAAGAACAAAGCCCCATAACACATCAACTTCAGGGCTAAATATTCTTCAAATAAAATCCAGTATGGATTTTATATCAATGTACAGTATGTAAATATGTTCTTTACTGAGGAACCTTAGAAGGAAACTGAAATGGGAAGATGGTTCCTGTGCTTGAACAGGAAGATTGAATTTTCTTAAGATGTGAGCTTTTTGGCTGGGCGCGGTGGCTCACGCCTGTAATCCCAGCACTTTGGGAGGCGGGCGGATCACGAGGTCAGGAGATCGAGACCATCCTGGCTAACACGGTGAAACCCCGTCTCTACTAAAAAATATAAAAAAAATTAGCTGGGTGCGGTCGTAGACGCCTGTAGTCCCAGCTACTCAGGAGGCTGAGGCAGGAGAATGGCGTGAACCCGGGAGGTGGAGCTTGCAGTGAGCAGAGATAGTGCCACCGCACTCCAGCCTGGGCGACAGAGCGAGACTCCCTTTCAAAAAAAAAAAAAAAAGATGGGAGCTTTTTCTATTTATCACTTTTACCTAAGCCAAATAAAAATAGCAAAGTTTTAGCGTTTTTAAATTACACATGCTGTCTTTTATTATTGTGATAAATTAATTTTTTGTAACAGAATGGAAAAAGTCTGCTTTTCCAGATATCAAAATGTGCATGTTATTTATTTCCACAAATTGTTTACTAACAGCTGAAAAGACATCAATGAATACAACAGAATAGGAAATTTAGAAATACCCAAATATATGTTAAGAATTTAGCGCTTGATAATGGTGGTGTTTTTTATTATTTGAAAAAGATGGATTGTTCATAATTCATGTTTGGAGAAAACTAGCTAGATTTTTATGTCACAAAAATAAGAGTATAGATTAAAAATTTTAAATATACAAAAAGAGAAACATACCAGAAGAGAAACATACAAATGCCTATTTATATATGCAGATATATATTTATATATATACTTTTTTTTGGATGGAGTCTGACTCTGCTGCCCCGGCTGGAGTGCAGTAGTGCGATCTCGGCTCACTGCAACCTCTGCCTCCTAGGTTCAAGCAATTCTCTGCTTCAGCCTACTGAGTAGCTGGGATTACAGGCGCCTGCCACCACGCCTGGCTAATTGCTTTGTATTTTTAGTAGAGATGGGGTTTCACCATCTTGGCCAGGCAGGTCTTGAACTCCTGTCCTCGTGATCCACCCACCTTGGCTTCCCCAAGTGCTGGGGTTACAGGCGTGAGCCACTGTGCCTGGCCTATATTTGCAGACATAATAAAATAAGCTCATTTTAAAATTGGGCAAAGTACTTTTTTTGCATATCTACCAGTGACCTATGCACATAGGAAAAGATAGCGTTCCTGGTAGAAGAAGGAATGTAAGTTAGAAGAGGAATGAAATACTGTTTTCTATTTAAGTTAGAAGAGGAATGAAAGGCCGGGTACAGTGGCTTACGCCCGTTACCCCAGCACTTTAGGAGGCTGAGGCAGGTGGATCATGAAGTCAGGAGTTTGAGACCAGCCTGGCCAGTGTGGTGAAATCCCATCTCTACTAAAAATACAAAAAATTAGTTGGGCATGGTGGCACACACCTGTAATCCCAGCTACTCAGGAGGCTGAAGCAAGAGAATTGCTTGAACCAGGGAGGTGGAGGTTGCAGTGAGCCGAGATCGCGCCACTACATTCCAGCCTGGGTGATAGAGTGAGACTCCATCTCAAAAAAAAAAAAAGAAAAAAAAAAAGGAATGAAATACTGTTTTCTGTCCACAAAGTTTGTGAGGATGAAGAACAGTGGTACTTACGTAGTCATTTAAAGTTTAAATTGCTACAGCTTTTCAAACAAACACTTTAGTGGTAAGAACCACATTTTAAAAATGTTATGCTTTTTACTCATCAATTCCATTATACTGAAATATCTTTACCAAATAGATGTCTGTTTTTCTTAGTATTGATTAAAATAGCAGTGTATTTAGAAGAACCCATATAAAGATTTCATGGACAAATTTCAGTGCATCCATAGGATGGACTAATATGTAACTATTGAGGTTGTCAGTAGATACAGAGATATGTCGACATGCAAAGATGTACTTTGCTATAACAAGTGAGAAAAAAATCAGTTGGTTACACATATACACGAACAGAATCTGCTCGTGTTAGCTGAAAACATGTAGAAAATATAATCAAACTTGTTTCTGGGGATTTGTAAGTGAAGTTTTTCCCTTTCTCTTATCTGTGATTTCTGCAATGAACATCTGAAGTTTTAGTTAAAGTTCATTAGTAATGCAATAATCCTTGGGAAGAGAAGGAATATGCTTCTTGCATAGATGCAAATAATTTGTCACATTCTATTATTTATTTTTCTATCTGTGGTTGGCTATCTTCTGTGAACTTTTACCCTCTTCAGAAGTAGAGGGATTGTGTTTACCTGTTCCTGTAGATTTTATTGTATATACATTTTATTACATAATTATCTTTTCATTAGATATAGATTAACATGTAAAAAGTATGAATTAATCATTTTAGTTGAGTTGTATGTTTATGAAAATTAAAATAGCAAATGTAAGTGATTATTACTATTGCAAATGTATTGCATTACTCGACAGGAGTTTTCTTTGAAAATACTGAACTCCCAAGCTGTGTTCATCCATTCTTTCAATCCATTTAGTCATCAGACATAAGCCAGACACCTATTATGTGGCAGGCATATTCTACTATCTCTCAGGATCCTTCCACCTTTGAAAACTTCATGTTTATCTGCTGGGCTTGAGCAAGCTGAGAGATTTAAAATTGGTGCATTAGGACTTAATCTCAATTGAAGCTTTTCCTCCCTCCTTTCAAACAGAAGCATTTCTGAAGGTAGAAAATAGTAAAAGACAACCCTTAACTGCCCTTTTGAAAATTTATAAGTCTTGGAGAAAGACTGTTTTAGTTGTTTTAAGAACTAAAATGTGGTACATAAACAGCATGGAATACTATGCAGCCATAAAAGAAGGAACGAGAGCATGTCCTTTGCAGGGACATGGATGGTGTTGAAAGCCATTATCCTTAGCAAACTAACAAAGGAAGAGAAAACCAAATACTGCATGTTCTTACTTATAGGTGGGAGCTAAATGGTGAGAACACACAGATACCTAGAGGGAAGCAGCACACACTGGGGCCTATTACAGGGTGAAGGGTGGGAGGAGGGAAGGAAGCAGGAAATAGAATGAATGGGTACTGGGCTTAACACCTGAGTAATGAAATAATCTGTACAACCAACCCCCTTGGTGCACGTGTTTACCTGTGTAACAAACCTGCACATCTGGCACGTGTACCCCTGAATGTAACAGTTGAAAAAAGCTCCACAAATCGTTTCATAAATCCGTTTTAAAAGGAGAAAATTTATAACAGTCTTAAATCCTAATATGAATGATTGGAAATATCTGATGTAGATATATTGTATAAATCTAAGTATTGAAAAAAATGAGCCCATGCTATTCATTTGAATTCCAGGTTTTCTTTGGCTTAAAGTTTATTGAAAACCAAAGTAAGAATTGGTTTATTTTAGAAATTTGTTTTTGTTTTCACCTCAGCTTTCTTATTCCATAGTTCTTTTAAGAACTAAAATTTATCTAAATGCTGGTCATCTGACTGGAACCGCCCCGGACCTGTTATAACATATTCTACTTCATGTAAGACACCAGGGATTGTGTGATGCCCCATTATTTTATGCCTCAATAAGAGAATTATTTAAATGCCGCAAATTATAGTAAATCATGAATTGTAAGTGGTATTTCAGTGGAGACAACATGGAGACAATGATCATCTCAGAATCACTAAAATACAATGTTAGCTGTAATATTTAAAACACACCTGAAAGTGTAGGTATAATTGTATCATCTCAGTTCAAATGTTGTCTTTAGTGGTATTAGTAAAAATTAAAATATCTAACAATTATTGAGCTGTTATTTGTGTTAGGAACTATTCTATATCTTTGGTGCAGAGTCTCATTTAAGCATTAGAGTGGTTTCCTGTGAGAAAGCTACTATTTTCATTCCTATTTTATTGATGAGGAAACTGAGACCCCAAAAGGCTAAGCAACAGCCAGGAAGTGACAGAGCTTCAAGTAGGATTCCAGCCCACGTTGAATGTCATCCAAGGGCTATGCTCTTTATATTTATATAGGCTGCCCTTTCATTAATACAGCGAGCAATGAGAGATAATAAATAGTGTGCTTTTTTCATGGGAAAGTTAAATGTTTGTTTTGAAGGCAGAGTAATAGCAGGCTATTCAGTGTTTGCAGTTACATGAATCATTGCTATGGCTGTAGCTAGTGCACTACAATTTCCTAAAAAGTCTTGTCACTCTCATAGGACTGCTCTACATCTGGCCTCTGCCAATGGGAATTCAGAAGTAGTAAAACTCCTGCTGGACAGACGATGTCAACTTAATGTCCTTGACAACAAAAAGAGGACAGCTCTGATAAAGGTATGCAGTAGCCAACTATATCAGCATGAGGTGGGTTTGATTTCAATACATAGCATAAAAATGAGTTTTCTCCTTTAAATATAACTAGTTGGTGAAAGCTGTGGAATGTTATTTTGAATTCCTAAGATTTGTAATTTGTTTTTGGTCTAATACTGACAGGCCGTACAATGCCAGGAAGATGAATGTGCGTTAATGTTGCTGGAACATGGCACTGATCCAAATATTCCAGATGAGTATGGAAATACCACTCTGCACTACGCTATCTATAATGAAGATAAATTAATGGCCAAAGCACTGCTCTTATATGGTGCTGATATCGAATCAAAAAACAAGGTATAGATCTACCAATTTTATCTTCAAAATACTGAAATGCATTCATTTTAACATTGACCTGTGTAAGGGCCAGTCTTCCATATTTGGAAGCTCAAGCATAACCTGAATGAAAATATTTTGAAATGACCTAATTATCTAAGACTTCATTTTAAATATTGTTACTTTCAAAGAAGCATTAGAGGGTACAGTTTTTTTTTTTTAATGCACTTGTGGTAAATACTTTTTTTGAAAACACTGAATTTGTAAAAGATAATACTTACTATTTTTCAATTTTTCCCTCCTAGGATGTTTTTTCCCTATTGAATGTAAAATGGCAAAATTTGCCCTGAAATAGGTTTTACATGAAAACTCCAAGAAAAGTTAAACATGTTTCAGTGAATAGAGATCCTGCTCCTTTGGCAAGTTCCTAAAAAACAGTAATAGATACGAGGTGATGCGCCTCTCACTGGCAAGGCTTAAGATATTTCTGATTGCTCATGAGCCAGAAGTGGAAAGCAAAAAAGAGAGCAATCAGAAATATCAAGGCCAATTTGGAAATTAGATAATGGAGGGAAAAGACCATGAAGAGGTTGTGTGTGTGTGTGTTGTTGTTGTTGACTGATTTGTTTCCTTTGCATGGTGAGACAAGGTTCTCTTCAATTTTAGAGAATGACAGTTTTCAGTTTGGGAGAGGGAGTTAGTGGGTTGTAAACTACCTAGAGATCAATTTTAGGAGGCCTCTGAGGAACCAGATTGGCAGTGAATAGGTGGTAATGTAAGAGGAAACCCTTGAGCAGAGGGAATATCAAGTAATTAACTGACTTAGTATCCTATTCTGGTAGAAATGGCCAATTAGAGTCTCAGCTCTGCTTTCAAATCTAGAGTGTCTGGATGGGAAGGGGGAAGATAAACAAGTAACAAGATCAAGTTGGATTTTGAGTTGACTAGACCCTGTTCTTCTCTTACCGGGGAAAATCATGTGGTGTTTTCAGCAAATGGGCCTCTCTCCTACTCCTTACTCTTTTTGGCCAAATCTTCAAATGAGAAAGGGAATTGGTCATGTGGGTGAGAAATGAGACTGAAGTAATTGTCTGTTGCACTAGCTTTCAGCTAGAATTGTGCATCCCAGTAACCTGAGGAAAATGTTTAAATAATCAACAAGTCTAGGCTTTTTCTGAATATTTTGATACAGTAAGTCTAATAAAGCCTGGATATGTATATTTGAAAATGTTTCCTTGAAGCCAGGCATGGTGGTACATGGCTGTAGTCCCAGCTGCTAGGGAGGCTGAGGTGGGAGGATTGCTTGAGCTCAGGAGTTCGAGTCTAGCCTGGTCAACATAATGAGACCCTGTCTCTAACAACAACAACAACAACGACAACAACAACAATTTTCTCAAAATCTGGATACACTCCTGCTTAAGAACCACTCAATACTTAAATGTAATATGTAAATTCTTATGTCTCAGAAACTTAAGGTATCTCTAGAAGAGTTGGGGTTGGATATGTGCTGATTTCTTTAAATCTTTCCAATAACATTAATCTGACTTTTTTTTTTTTTTTTTGAGATGGGGTCTCACTCTGTTTCCCAGGCTGGAATGCAGTGGTGTGATCACAGCTCACTGCAGCCTCGACCTCTCCAAGCTCAGATGGTCCTCCAACCTCAGTTTTTTTTTTTTTTTTTCAGTAGAGATGAGGTTTTTGCCATGTTTCTCAGGCTGGTCTTGAACTCCTGGGCTCAAGCGATTCACCCACCTCAGCCTCCCCAAATGCTAGGATTACAGGTGTGAGCCACCATTCCTGACCTAGTCTGACTTTTATCTGTGACTGAGACATTAAAATGAATATTATTGGTAGTATGTATCAGCTTACAGAATAAGACCTTTTCCTTCCTACCATCAGTTATTCACTGCTGTTCAGAAGGTCTTTAGAAATTTGCTGTGAGTAGTCTTTCAATAAGTAGAGGATGGCCCTCTCAGGATTTTGTGTCTCTTTGTTCAGTCATTCAAGTGCTTAGGTCAGTAAGTCGTTAAGAGCAGAGTTTTCTCAATTAGAATTGTAGCAAATTCTAAACCACTTTTTGTCAATTGACGCTGTATTATGGACTATCCAGTGTGTCTCTTAAGTATGTAGAGCTTTGGCATAATCAGCATGGCAGTTTTAAACACTAAAAACCATGGAGTTATTAAGAATACAGATAGGAATTCTGTTAATTTAGTTTCAGTAGTCCTATGAACTGATGGTTTAGTTAACAATCTGGGAAAATTAAATACAAATAGATTTTAAATAAATAAATGTTGGAAAATTTTTTCAAATGGGCAGTATGAGTTTTAATAGCAATTTTTGTTGCATGTTGGAGGTTGAACTTTTGGTAAAACATGAAACTAAAGAAATATTTTACATGCAGATTCTTGCTTTATACACAATTTGTCTTAGGGTTGAGGATATAGAGACAAAAGATACAGCCCCTGCCCTCAAGAAGCTTTTTGTTTAGATGGGAAAAATATTATCATCCAATAACACCATGCCAAATGCTGGTTTAGAAGCAAAGAGCCTTGGAAGCAGTAAATGTTTAAAGTGAGTTTTTGAGATGATTAGAGTTACTGTGGTGAGGCAGAGAAGGGGTGTTTCCAAGGGAAGGAGCAGCGTGTGGGAAAGCACAGAAGAGTGAGAAGGAAGCGAGTACATTTTATTTACTTTCTATGCGTGTAAGTCCATAAGATCTTACATAAAGTTTCCACTTTGGTTGAGGAATATGTACTTTTTTGAATTACATAGGTTTTTGCTTTATATTGTTTTACAGCATGGCCTCACACCACTGTTACTTGGTGTACATGAGCAAAAACAGCAAGTCGTGAAATTTTTAATCAAGAAAAAAGCGAATTTAAATGCACTGGATAGATATGGAAGGTATAGTTCTTTCTTTTAATCTGTGTGTTCTAGATGGACAGCAGTCACTCAAGTCATAAATATTAAATTAATAAGATTAATGTATACTTACTGGGATGTAGTGATCAGTATCAACACAAATCAGTTAGGTAGAAAAACAATTACTTGGGCTGGGCAACATAAAGAACAGTTTTAGTAGGATTCATCTTCTCTTATTATATTGACTGATGTTATTTGTTATGTGACATTTTTGGTTACATGATCTTATGTTAGCTTAAAGGATTTCATATTAATTTTATGAAGTTTGAACTTTAACTTTTAGTTTACTTTATGACTCAGTATTGAACTTCTTAACCCTTTCTAATAGTTTTTAACCTGTGTCTTACATGCTTTTCCATTAAATCTGCTGTATTAAACATAAATAGGGGTTGAAAATCCTTTTGTCTTTTTAATGACTTTGCTTTAAGTTGCTTTCTTTGAAGAATATTAGTGTTAGCTTATCCCTACATGACAATTAATTGCTGTTCCCACATACTGTGGGTTCAACAGCTTTTTTCCTTTTGTTTTTCCAGTGTGTTTTGATGTTTTTATTTTTAATTGGTATGGAGAGAGGGAGTGAAGATAGTTTTAAGTGGATACACTTTTCCTTTAATGAAGACAAGCCGTACGTGGGTGATAAAGAGAAAAGAGCTAGGCTTTGGATTCACACAAGACTGGGTTTAATTAGTAACTTTCTTACTTGCTAGGTGTGTGACCTTGGGGACGTTATTTACCACCAAATATGTTGTCATATATGAAAAGTAGGAGAATATATCCTTCAAAGTTGGCTGTGCATAAGTAAGAAAGATACATGTGGCATTTAATTCAGTGCCTAGCACATGGTTATTGGCACCATTAACTGAAACTCCTATGACTACTATTCTTACCATTATTATTACTGCTTTGAGCATGCAGAGAGCTCTTATTTCTCTTACCCCCTAGCTGATTTTCTATTACAGCATGTCAGTCTAGGGAAGCTGTGACAAAATCTTCACTTAAATCTTTGTCCACCTCAGATAAGTGGCCCTAACATTGTTTCTTGCCCATCAAAGGACTTTAAATTAGTAGCTTCTGCTATGCAATACCCCACTGAGATAAGAGGGTTTTTTTTGGTCCCTTCCTTTTAACCTTGGTGGCATTTTACAAAGATGAACACTTGAGCACTCAAGATGCTTATGTCTTTTAGTGCATGTAAATGTTTGATTCTGCACAGACAGGCAAGATGTTACATTGGTAAAGTATATCAAATTAGCTTTAAAAATAACTTTATTACAGTTCCTATCTCTGTCATTTTAGGACTGCTCTCATACTTGCTGTATGTTGTGGATCAGCAAGTATAGTCAGCCTTCTACTTGAGCAAAATATTGATGTATCTTCTCAAGATCTATCTGGACAGACGGCCAGAGAGTATGCTGTTTCTAGTCATCATCATGTGTAAGTGTTTACATTAAAAGGCTAGTTAATGCTGAATTGAGGTTTAAAATAATTATAACAGTTGCATCTCACATATCAGGTGAGATGTCATAGTTTGGTTCAGGTAGTTTTCGCGTGGCAGTGAGTTAGTCCCCTGCATCAGCCAGAAATCAGACAAAAAGCAAGACAAGTTAGAAGTACCAATGGGTGCGGGATTCTTTATCTCAGGACTTTTAAGATCTTTATCCTTAGAGATCCCAGCATTGTTCATTTGATCCAAGTGTAACACCTATGCAGGGATAAAAAATAGTGTCACATCTTTAATTTTTCTGATTAGTTATTTGGGTCTTGAAATGTCTAGTTTAGCGGAAAGTCTTGTACTGTCTTCTGGGGACTATGTCCTACATACTCCTTGAATTTTTCAAGAACCGAAGGAGTTCACTAAATCCAAGGAAGACAGTCCCTTTTATCAAGTCAGAAGGAGGAGGAAAAAAGACATTGCAATCATTCTGTTGTTTCCGTTGATTTTGTTGCTGCTTTGTGGCCACTCAAACTGGTCCTGCTGCCTTAAGATGAATCAGTAGATTCAGATCCCTCAAGTCTTCATGGCGATTCATACAGTGACTTTGATGTTTTTTAATTCCCATACCTATGCTTATATGCTCAGCCATTGTTCCCAGAGCACCAGCCCCCTGCTCTGGCCGCTGGGCATCTTGACTTTATCCGCACACAAAGTGACCAAATTGACCCTTCCCCACATATTCAGAACCTAATGTGGAACCCACATCTTAGCCAGGAATTAGCTGAGACCTTCATGGTAAGAGATCCTTTGAGGCTGTTGTTGGTCTTTTCTCTGGCAGATGTTAGGTGGGCTTGTTCTAAAGGGTGAGAGGGGTTCAAATAATGTGGCAGAAAGAGGTCAGTGTTTGTTTCCTCTTTGCTACCAGATCTGTACTGTGAGGCACCTTTATATCCTGTATAGAACCCAGTAGAAAGTCCCATATGAACCTTGCCCTGAGCAGTGGCTCCCAGCTGTGGTTGGCCCCTTGAGTGATCTGATTTACATGATAATGAAAATTGTCGGAGCTACTTCCATCTCTAGCTCAAGATTTTAAGATATTTTCAAACTCTAGCTCACAGGAAGCCATTGAAGAGAATTCTCAGAATCTCAAGTAGGTTAGTTGGACTTCACAGAGCCAAGCCTTGTCCATGACGCATCACTAATCATGTGTAAAAGTAGGGCTTTGTGCTTGCTTCGGCGGCACATATCCTAAAATTGGAACAATACGGGGAAAGTTAGCATGGCTTCTGCATAAGGAGGCAGCACAGATCTTTGAAGCATTCCATATTTTGTGCAGTCACTGGAAGGTCATTTGACTATTTGCTGACTAGCTCTGAGGAAATAGTGTGAATCAAAGCAAAATGGGTGCCACCCAAATATTGAAATTGTGATTTGTGCTGCAAAAATAGTCATGTAAGATGGTCTATGAGATGACTTAGACCTGAATAACATGTTCGGTGCAAAATATATTGTTAGTATGTATGTCGAAAATTACAGAATGTCAGCTTGCTACTTCTCTGTGGAAACTAAAAAAAAATAAAAGTAGACTTTTGGTCTCCCATGTCAGCTGGAATTGAACATCAATATAAAGCATTATCCTAACAGACATCTACTGGCTGAGAGTTTGAGTCTGTAGAGAAGGATCGTTGGTCCAAGTCAGGTCTTAACATCCATTGGTTTTTCTGCCCTTGGTGTGATTGATCAACTCCGTAATAGTGGACAATCACATTATCTACTTTAATGAGATATTTATGAATAAATTTAGTTACAAACTATGACATAGTTGAGATGCCCTGAATTATAAGCCATAAAGAGTAGGACAACTAAGAAGCAAAATTAGGACTTAATAACATTTTCTGAAAACTACAACATTTGTATATTAGAACCTATGAACAAAATATGCATTGGGTTTTATTTGGGATTCCAAGATAATTTTAGTCATAAAGTTTAGGAACAGATTATTCCATTGCTTTACTATTTCTCTGAGCATTTAAAAAATGTTATCTCGTTAAACCTTTATAACAACCTAGTGAAATAAGGCAGCAAAGTCCTCACTTTGTTGAAGAAGACATTGAGCCTAAGAGAAGCAAGTTGTCCAAGAACAAATAGCTGTTCATTATGGAGCTAGGACTTATTTAGAGTTGGGACACTTTCTATTATGTCATGCTAATGCTAGCTAATTTACTGGGTCACAGTGCCCTCGATTTATGACTATTTCACCTTACATTTTTTTCTTCTTTAATTAGAAGCTTAAAGAGAAGTTTGTAGAATGTATTCATAAGTGGATGGGATAATACTATTAAGTTCTGTTATTCTGATATTGTTTGAAATACTCTTAATAATTCTACATTTGGTAAGTTTTTTTTATATCAGTATTAAAATAGTAATTTGGTTTATTACATTTTTATACATAGAATTTGCCAGTTACTTTCTGACTACAAAGAAAAACAGATGCTAAAAATCTCTTCTGAAAACAGCAATCCAGGTAAGACTTGTGATAGTGAATTACTTTAGTCAGTTGTCCCCAACCTTTTTGACACCAGGGACCGGTTTTGTGGAAGACAATTTTTCCATGGGCTGGGGGAGGGTGGGGATGGTTTCAGGATTATTCAATCATGTTACATTTATTGTGCTACTTTATATTATTATCACATTGTAATATATAATGAAATAATTATACAACTTACCATAATGTAGAATCCGTGGAAGCTCTGAACTTATTTTTCTGCAACTGGATGGTCTCATCTGGGGGCAAAGTGAGACAGTGACAGATCATCAGGCATTAGATTCTCATACGAAGCACACAACCTAGATCCCTCAGATGGGCAGTTCACAACAGGGTTCATGCTCCAATGAGTATCTAGTGCTATCACTGATCTGACTGGAGGCAGAGTACAGGCGGTAATATGAGCCATAAGGAGTGGCTGTAAATACAGATGAAGCTTCCCTGGCTTGCCTGCTGCTCACCTCCTCCTGTGTGGTGTGGTTCATAATAGTCCATGGACTGGTATGAGTCTGTGGCCTGGGAGTTGAGGACCCCTGCTTTGCGTGGTCCTACCATAGATAAAAAAGTAAAAGTAAGGAATTTTTGATCACAAAAGAACACTGAAGCACAAGTCATGTTACATATGCTTGTCCCAATAAGGTCTCACTATTACTGACTTCATTCCTCCTCATTTGAAGTTGGAAAGAGATATATTTACTTTGTTGGAACAAGATGTGTTCTTCTACCTGCTGGTTAATTGTCATCATAACAGTAATTTTGTTAGAACAAGATGCTCTGCTACCATTTGCCAAAAGATTGTCATAATAAATATACAAATTGCCCAACTCTAGGCTCAGCAGATTATAATAAAAGCAGAAAAACGTTTCACACTAACAAAAACGCTAGTATGCTACCTGGTTGTGGACACCTAATACATTTATAGTCCAAACTGTATGAGGACACCTTTAATTTAGCCATCTATTTATCAAAGAGCTTTTGTAAGTTAGGTTTTATAAGTTGCAGGAGACAAAGATGGAATAGATGTAGTTTTGATCTTTAAGGTGCTCATAATAGAGCTGTCTCCATTTCATTTCTGTGGTTTTTCAACAGAATTTACAAAGAAAACATTTCTATTTATGTTTTCACTTGTCCACTTAACATATAACTATCAAATGTCTTTTAGATAGTAACCATTTTTCTAATGCTATAGACCACAAACAATTAAAAATACAGACAGGAGCTTTTTGTTATCATTGTCATTTTCATTATTTTACTACTTTATTCAGTGCTTACTGTGTGCTAGATGCCCACTGGAAGCTTATAATTATGATTTATTATATATTGATTATGTGCCAGACATATGTGATGAGGAATGAAAGTTTTGGGAAAAAGTAGGTATGATTTAAGGTAAGCATGCAGAGAGAGAAGAATTTTTCTAGGTAAAGAAGCAGAAGAAGAATGTTTGGCAGAAGGAACATGCAGCGAGGTCGTGTGTTTGCCAGAAGGAACATCTAATGAGATTGCCTGTTTGGGAGGAAGAGCAGCAAGTGCAAAAGACAAGATGCTTGAGTGAACATGGCAGGGTTTCTGAGCAGTTCACTTTTGCTAGTACCAAAAGTGTGTGATACGAGAGGTTGGGAATGAGGTGAATACTTAGCTAAGGCAAGTTTATGATAGACTTTTTAATACTATAGAAATGAGTAGGTCTTATCCTGTGTGCCATGGGAAATTTACCGGGTAGAATGCTTTGGACTGCAAATACTAGATGAACAGTGGCTAAAACAGTAGGAACCAGAGTTGTTTTGGTTGTTCATTGATATCCTAGGATCCCACTTTTCCCTCTTTCAGCTGTGCTGTTGACAGTGTTTTATTCACGTCTCCCTTCATGGTTGGCTAATCCGCAGCAGCTCCAAACATCTTGTTCTCACAACACAACATCGCAAGGGCTGCTTTTCTTCACATGTGTCTTTTAAACAGGGAGAAAACTTAGAAGCATGCAAAGGGCTTCCTGTAACATTTCACTGGCTGGGTCACACCACATGCTCATTCCCAAACCAGGCACTGGGAAGGTAAATACCTGATTAGCTTAGAATAATCATTTCTGTTTCTGAGGCTGAGGAGGGGGATTGGGATAATAAATATCCCAATAGACTTGGATTTCTTCTTCAAGAAAGAATAAGGAATGGCTATTGATAGGGAGCCAACAATGTGTGCTGCAGGGGCTCATTGGAGAAATTTGAGCAGGGGAGTCATAAGATTAAATCTGAGTATTAAGGCATTCTGGTTATGGTGTAAAACGGGTTAGCAAGCTTTTTCTGTAAATGGCCAGTTGGGCAATATTTTAGACTATGTGGTCTCTGTCATATCTACTTAACCCTGCTGTTGTCTGCTGTTGTAGTGTGAAAGCCACCATGATTATATGTAAGCAAACAGGCATGACTGAGCTCCTATAAAACTTTATTTACAAAACCATAATGCAGATTGGATTTGGCCTGTGGCCTATAGTTTGCTGGGATTGATGGAAGGTTCTTTACCCTGTAAAGAAACCAGGAGACAAAGGAAGTTTTCGCAGTAGTCAGTTATAGTTTCCTTGTCATACATCCTTGGAGTAGCATCAATGTATTACAAGGTTTTCACCCGTCCTTAGTGAAATACATAAAGTTAGGAATCTCAACTACTTGTTTTAATATGTTGGCCTTTTTTTTTTGGTGTTATGCTTTTTTCATTTGTTTTGCTTAATTTTTTTCATGTAAGAAATAACATTAATAGTTGGCAGGCTTTTTTTTAAATAAAAGCCATTTTGTAAATGTTTGTGTTCCCAGTGGCAGTGGGAATATAAAGCAGAGGCAGAAGAGCGGTATCGTCAATATGATTTAGTGATAATTGAATGAGAAAGGCTTGGGGGACAGAGAGAAATGTCAGATAATTTCCAGGTTTCCAGGTTGTACAGTAGTATTTAACCTGGATGTGAGGACGAAGGAGGAAATTTTCTGGTGAATACAGAAGAGCAAAGAGCAGCAGGTCAGCAGGAATGACTAATGTTTTTCTATGCACGTTTAATGGAAAATTCATGTAGGATATTTTGAGTAGGTAATTGGATAACCAGCATTTATAACTCGCATCCTACTAGTTTGACTCTCACTAATAAGACTTGTCAAAGATCCAAGAATCTGAAAGTTGATGATAAATGTCCATGTGTATCACCATCAATGATCAAAAGTTAGCATCCACAACATAGAATGGGACAGATGAACTTAATGGATAAAGATGAATATCGGAGTTGTTCCTTTTAGGGAATGATACTCTCCATGACCTGTGTGAGTCACAGCTGCCAGAAAAGAGCGAGCAAGGAGCATATGAAGGCAGCACAGCAAATTCAGTCCTAGAGTGCCCTGCTTGACTTCATGTCATAGTTCTGACTTCTAAAAAATCATTTTCTGCAAAATACACTTTGATTTTTTCCCCGCTTGCAGCCTGCAACCAAACAGAATCCCTTTAGCAGGGCATTTTTGTGTTCTTCCTTTAAACAAAGCAATATATAAATAACAAAATGAAAAAAGAGAAAGAGTGTTTTTTGTATAGGCTAGTATTTAACATAAACTTGAGAGTGAGTACCAGGATTATAGTTAGAATTTACGGACTGGGTAGGAAGACTGGATAGAAATCTAAAGATTGCTGACTCAAACACAATGTGGTTTCTTTGCTTTATTGTCACAGCTCTGAATTCACAATTATTAGTTAAATTCATAGGCACTATAACTTTAGAAAGCACCTTCCCAAACCAAGTATTAAGTGATTTATTATAATTTCTCTGACTTCTTATAGAATTGACTTTCCAAGTGTTCATGAGAATTATTGAGAATTTGCTACATAGTATCATCTCAGCTGTGTCCACATGAGCTATCTGTCACCTTGTCTTAATGAATAATTGTTCAGTAGGAATATTGGTTTTGGCATTTAAAGTGATCTATATCTAAATGCAGATAGGATCAGGGACCACTCTTGAACATTAATGTCCAGGCATCTTAAAATTACACATAAGGCTTTCATAATCTGACTTCTGCCCCACTCTCCATCTTTAGGCCTTTTCCCTGTGTGCCCTTTCTCTGGCATTACTGAGCTGCTGGCAATGCCCTACTCACTCATCCTCCTATTGTAGGCAAATACTTTCACTCTTTCAGGCCTCGCTCCCGCTCTTGCTGCTGCGTGGCATGCCGTCACCCTTTCCTGCCCTCTACCCCTTTTAATCTGGCTAGTCTCAATATTTAAGTCTCTGCTTGGGCATGTTTTCTAGAAAAGCCATCCCTGACATGCTTTATTTTAATTGTTTTTAAACCCTAATGCCTAGCATGTATTTAGCAGGACTCAATAAGAAATTTCTGAGTAAAATGTGAGTAAGATGATGCTCAAGACTGTCCTCTGCAGTCTTGGAGCAGACGGGACAGACATGTGGAGGAATAATGTAGAGTTCAGGTGGTAAAGATGCAGTAGAAAAATCAGTGAAGTACTAAGGCAGCCTCAAGGAAGGAGGTACCTGTTTATCTGGGGAAAGACATGCAGAATCAAGGAAGACGTTCTCATAGCATTGTTTTAAAAGATAAAAATAAGGACAAGTGTGGTGGCTCACACCTCTAATCCCAGCATTTTGGGAGGCTGGAGCAGGCAGATCACAAGGTCAAAAGATCAGGACCATCATGGCCAATGGTGAAACCCCGTCTCTACTAAAAACATGAAAATTAGCTGGGCATGATGGTACATGCCTGTAATCCCAGCTTCTCCGGAGACTGAGACAGGAGAATCGCTTGAACCAGGGAGTGTCAGAGGTTGCAGTGAGCTGAGATTGCGCCACTGCACTCCAGCCTGGTGACAGAGCAAGACCCTGGCTCAAAAAAAAAAAAAAAAAAAAAGAAAGAAAAAAGAAAATAAATGTGTCAGAATAGTGGAGGGAAACATTTTAGATATTGGGAAGACATTGTACACTAATAAAGGTGTCAGTAGTAATTTTTGAAATCATTTGTAAGGTACTATTGTTGCAGAAAACAGGAGGCAGGAGAGACCAAGTGGGTGAAACAGGAGGATTTCATTTAGGTTCGCAACAGCTCAGCAGATTTGCATCCGAAAGCTGAGCCCTGAACAAAGACACGGCTTGGCTTGTGTAGGCAAGCTTACAGAAGCAGAACAAAGGCAGTTAATCATATAGTGACAGTTTTGCAACCTCAGCATAGCTTATGACCTTGCAGCTGCATTGAAGGACAACAGGAACTTGCAAATAGTATGCATTTGTAAAAACAGCTCGGAGTGAATGCTGAGGGGAAGGGGAGACAGTAAAGGATTTTGTTTTCTTAACCTTGCTCTGGGATGTCTGGAGCCCATACCTGTGGGCTCTAGCTTCTCAGGCAGGGTCACCACGACCTTTCCTGGGCCCTGCTTGTTACTATCCTTAGAGTCAGACTAGCTAAGTGCGGGAAAACTTGTTTCTCTTTAAAACTAAATTTCCTTTTCTTTACATTTACTGCTTCACTATTAGGAAGTGGAGAACAACATACTGTGTTACCTTACATGCTTCTACTGTATTTTAAAGTTGTGTTTCTGGTGGTTTTGTTCATTTATGTTGGGTGGATGAATTTGTGAGTGAATGACATCAGGTGTCTCCCCAAGTGGTTTGTTGAAGTTTGGGAGAATTATTTCCTAAATAACTATTTCGTGAAAAACTAAACACTCAATTTATGAAATAAAATGTTGTCTTAAATCTATTTTTATAAAGGCAATAGTTTTTAACTGTTCTAAGTGGTTCATTTTAACTGAATATATGGATTTCTCAACAGAACAAGAGTTAAAGCTGACATCAGAGGAAGAGTCACAAAGGTTCAAAGGCAGTGAAAATAGCCAGCCAGAGGCATGGGAAATTTTAAATTTAAATTTTTGATTTAATGTTGTTTTCTTTGCTTTAATAATATTAGATAGTCCAAATGAAATTACCTTTCAGACTAGGTTTTGAGAATCAATAGATTTTTTAAAGAATTTTTTAATAGATTGTTAAAATTTATTTTAATAAATTCAGTAATCTCATTAACAGAAGAATGGATTCTAATTTAACATTTGATATTTAACTTAAAAAACATAACCACTATAAAATTTAAAATACTCTTATAATATTTTTATTTAAAATACTCTCATCTGCCTTTTTGATTAGCTTATAGCTAATCTTTCCTTTTGGAATAGAGGCAAAAACAAATTTCAGAACTTTGTTCTTTTATTTTTACAACACCCGAACATGATGAAGAAGGTACATCAATTATTGGATTATGTTATTAAGCAATAGAATTATGAACAATGTAACTCTGATGGTCCCTGAGCTGGATTCATGGTTAAGGAGTAATCATGGCCAGTGATTGAAAATCTGCAGTTTTATATTGTCAGTCACTGTGATACCAAGGTTAAAAATATATTCTGCCTTATGGTCTCTCGTTGACCTCAGCGTTTCTGTTCAGGGAGGGAACCAGGTCATAAAAGCAACACAGCTGCCTATTACAAGAATCATATCTTGCAGAATGGAACCTTTGGTGTTAGTGCACAAACACAATAACATTCTAATTTATTTCAGTTGCAGAAAATTAGTACATATTATTAAAAAATCTTTATCCACTGTAATTAGTACACATTAGAATATATTAGAACTGGACTTACGCAGATAATCTGGATACATAACACTATCATATGACAGTATATAATCTCAATTAAAATTTGAGAATTTGCATCTCTTTCTGTTTGGTGTTGATTTCGGCTCCTAATAATTTAAATGGTGCCTACAATCCAGTTAGGAATCTTTTAGAAAAGCACTTCAGTGCACTGTAGGGGCTCACTAGTTAGGGTTTCATGAGGTAAACTCTTTTCAAGTGAGGAAGGTTTTGGAACACTACAAATCATCTGCTGATTCATTTTTGGTAGATTTAACACATAACAAATTAAGTTTAGTCCAAACAAATGGTGACCAAATTAAGTTTGCTGGTTCACGTTTTTTTTCTTCCTTGGGCTAAGGTGAATTATTTTTCACATGTTAGTCAGAAGCCAGTAATGTGGCAGTAGCTAAACATAGATTAAAAAGTTAATTCTTAATTTTAATTATTATTTATTTAACAGTTAAATTTTAATTTTAATTATTTTCTAATTTTTCATTGTCCATACTTGATTAGTTAAGAATAAAATTTTTTTAAAACATGCGCTCCAAAAGAGGAGACATCACAGAAACACAACAAGCAAATTAACCTTCTGTTTTTGCCTCTGCAGAAAATGTCTCAAGAACTAGAAATAAATAAGGATGGTGATAGAGAGGTATACCTTCATATTCAAATGTTTCTGTTGAATTAGATTTTTACATTATGTTGTTTAACAAAATGTAGTAAGTGTAGGCATACATGATCCTATCATGTAAGTAGCATAAATCATCAGTGAAAAAGTTAATATTTAACTCAGAAAGAATTCTGTACATTGAGTTTTCAAGAGATACAAAGCCTAGAGATATTCTTTGATTATTATGGAACAATCCTGAATGGTGCTATAAAATGCTAGGTAATGCCACTTTAGGAGCTTTGGACCAATCATTTTATCTTTCTTGGTTTTAGTCTGATTATCAATAGATAATGTGGCTAAAGAAGATAGCTTTTTATTCTGTGTATCTTCCAGCTAGAAAATTGTATGGCTATTCAATGTGAAATTTGGGGAGCATCTCATTTTCTGGAATTCCATGCTTGCACGTCAGCAGTTTCACTCTGCTTCTTGTGTTGTGGCAAACTTTGGCTCCCATTTTCAGTGAGCACCATCATGTTTTTGATATCCCAGCAACCAAATGAAAAAAGAATGCTCAAAGGCAGTGGGGTAGAAGAATATCTTAGCGCAGAAAAGGGCAAACTTCCTTTCTATTCCTGAAGCCGCACAGTGTGTCATCCTCTAAATCTGACTGTTTAATGTAAAATCTAGGTGGTAAAGACGGAAGAGGACACATTTTGCATCTTTGTCTTTTTATTTGTGTGTTCCCATGAATCAAATGGGGTAAATACATACATAAGATTCTGAAGAGTGATTGAGAATAAAAGCACAAAATGAAGGAGGGCCCTTTTTGAATTTTGGAAAATTCTGTTTCATTCATTGAAACAGAAATGAAGCAAACTTTACAAAAATTTCTGTGATATATTAATGAGATGATAATTACATCTTAAAGTTATATGGTAATATTTCTATATATATGATCAAATTTAAGTGTGAAATATTTTTAATGACTAAAATAATGACAAACTGAGTCAATTGATAGAATCAATTAAAAAGGTTCTTTTTATTCAATAAAGTGATAACTATCCTTAATATCCCACTCAAGGTTGAAGAAGAAATGAAGAAGCATGAAAGTAATAATGTGGGATTACTAGAAAACCTGACTAATGGTGTCACTGCTGGCAATGGTGATAATGGATTAATTCCTCAAAGGAAGAGCAGAACACCTGAAAATCAGCAATTTCCTGACAACGAAAGTGAAGAGTATCACAGGTAAGCCTATGGCAACATTGAATAGAAGATAACTATGTGCTGTCAAACTAACCCTAATTTGGGCTAATATTCATGATGAACAAATTTTATAGTTTTACTAGGATATTCAGCCTTGCCCGTTAATCAGAAAAATGAAAATCAGCGAACAATGAGTTACCATTTTTCCAGGCATTAATTTATTTGAAAAATAACCAGTATTGGCAAATGTGAGGGAAAAGGCATTTTCTTTTCTTTTTAGTGAACTTTTCTTTTAGTTTCAGGGGTACATGTGCAGGGTTATTATATAGGTAAAGTGTATCATGGAGATTTGGACTGCAGATTATTTCATCAGCCACATAATAAGCAAAACACCAAAAGTTAGTTTTTTGGTCGTCTCCCTCCCGCGACGCTCCACCTTCAAGTAGACCCTGGTGCCTGTTATTCTCCTCTTTGTGTCCATGAGTTCTCATTATTTAGTTCCCACTAATGAGTAAGAATATGTGGCATTTGATCTTCTGTTCCTGCATTAGTTTGCTTAGGATAATGGCCTCCAGCTCCATCTGTGTTGCTGCAAAAGAAATGGTTTCATTGTAAAAGACATTTCATACACTGCTGGTAAATACATTTTGAACATTAATTTAGTAGCATATTCACAAACACATGTATAACAATAAGGATATATAATATATGTAAAGGATATTTGTGTAGATTTGTTACATATATACTTATGTATAAGGACATTTATTACAGCATTATTATATCAAAAAGATGGATCCTTATCAATAGGAAATTATCATTATCAAAAGTAAATCATTACCAATTGGAAATAGCTCAATTTTCATACCCAGAAATTAATGTAGTATGCAACCATTTTTTACAAGTGAGGTTAGATCTAGAGTATACTGATTATTTCACAATTAAAGTGTATTTAAAGCATCAGTGATGACATCTTAAGAGTTCTTGTTAAAATTCTTGTAATATTTCCTGTGTTGCAAATGGAAGCTACATGCTATATTGACGCTGTACCTTGTTAGCAACAAGATTGCTAGTCATTAAATTTTTATTGTCAGTGCCTGAGTGCTGAAATATTGGACCCTCAATCTGAATATTGCCAAGGGATTGTACATGGGGATCTGTATTTAATATAAACGTTTCAGTATATTGGGTAAAACTTTTATTAAAATATATCAAAGGATCTTTCATCTGCTAAACCAGGAGTTGGCCAGCTTTTTCTGCAAAGAGCCAGTTAGTAAATATTTTAGGCTTTGTGGACTATATAAATTAATTTATTTTTGAGACAGGGTCTCACTCTGTTTCCCAGGCTGGAGTGCAGTTGTGTGATCATGGCTCACTGAAGTCTTGACTTTCTGAGCTCTAGTGATCTTCCCACCTCAGCCTCTCTACTAGTTGGGACCACAGGTGTGCAACATCACACCCAGCTAATTGACACTGTGGACTGTAAAGTGAATAAGCATGGCTGTGTTCCAAAATACTTGACTTACAAAAACAGGCAGTGGGCTGGATTTGGCCCAAGGTGCTAATTTGCTGACCCTTGTGCTAAAAGGAAGGTGCTGCAAGTGAAGTGACTCCTATTTGTAAAAGTGCCCTGCGTGTGTGAAATTATCCTTCCTTTGAGAAAAGGATATATTTCAGTATTCACCTCACCATATTTTTCCACAGTGACTTCATATAATTTTAAAAATTTCATTTATAAAATAAGATTATTTTCTGCATTTCTCCCACTTTATTCCTGTTAATAGAACCCAGTATTTTGCTGTGATGAATTATTTTGTATATTTGATGAGTATCAGTTTTCCTAGAATTGGCTGATTTTATCAAGCAAGAAATACTCTCCTTGAAACTTTTAGTATTTCTTGGTCTTTATGTATAAGCATGAATAAAATGATAATCAGCTTATGTGTAATCTAGAAATGTTCAAGGCGACTTTTAGTTCTATAGTTTTAAGAATTTAACACCTCAGTCTGGCATTTTTAATGCCACATGTGTATAATTTTTATAACCTTTAAAATATATAATTGTTATATAAAATTTGAAAACTACACCTGTTATATAAAACTTGAAACTATTTGTCTATTACTTTTCCATGACTGTGGAAGAAAATTACAACATTCTCAGTCATGACTCCTAAGCATGATGTCCTTAAAAGAACTGTCCACACTCACGAACTCAAATTTTCTTTTCATTCACTCTTAATCTCACACCGGCGTCTTCAATTTCAGCAGTCCTCCAACATTGTTTTTCCTCAAGATTATCACAATTTTTTTCTGTAAATTATGCATTTTTCTTACACCTCATTTTATTTAATCTGTCAGCAATATTTGAGCCAGTGGAGGGCGTCTCCTCCCTAACGGCGTCTTCACTTGGCTTTCAGGTCCTCACTCCCTCAAGCTTTTCCTCCTGCATTTCTAGTCCATTCATCATGGTCTGTTTTGCTTGCTCCTCCTCATCTTTCTCCTTTTGGACATTGTTGTTTCCCAGGGCTCAGTCCTCAGTCTTCTTTCTCCTGACTTTTTCTTTTTCTTTTTTTGAGACGGAGTTTGACTCTGTCCCCCAGGCTGGAGTTCAGTGGTGTGATCTCAGCTCACTACAACTTCTGCCTCTTGGGTTTAAGTGATTCTCCTGCCTCAGCCTCCTGAGTAGCTGGCATTACAGGTGTGTGCCACCATGCCTGGCTAATTTTTGTATTTTTAGTAGAGACAGCATTTCCCCATGTTGGCCAGCCTGGTCTCAAACTCCTGACCTCAGGTGATCTGTCTGCCTTGGCCTCACAAAGTGTTGGGATTACAGGTGTGAGCCACTGCACCCGGCCCCTCATGACTTTTTCTGTTGTGTATATGCTAGTGATTTCCAAATGTATGTCTCCAGCTCAGATCTCTCTCCTTAATTCCAGATTTTTTATATCAGCCTGCCTACTTGACGTCTCTATTTGGTTAGTTATTGGGTATCACACACTTGTCAGATCCAAAATTGGGCTACTGATGTCCTTCCTGAAATCTACACCTCATGTAGTCTTTCCTACTTTGGTTAAGGGCAACTCTTCCAATTGCTCTGCCAAAAATGTCATTGTCATTCTTGACTCATCTGTCCCTCTGACACCTCATATCTAATCTTTCAGTAAATCTTGTCAGGTCTACCTGAAGAATATGACCAGAAGCCAGTCATATCTTGTACATCTGAGCCACTGTCATCTGCAGTCATGAGTGTCATAGACTGGGAATTGATCGTCCTGGCTTTTAAAAACTTCCCTTTTCATCAATTCTTAACTCAGTGGATGTATTTAAAACATAAGTCAAATTGTGTCATTCCTCTTCCCCAGCACTTCTGATTGCCTCCTTTTCACTCTGAGTATGGGTCAAAGTTCCTCCTGATTATCTCCCTTGCTCTGCTTCAGCCACACTGAATTCTTGCCATCCCGTATCTACCCCTAGTGCTTAAAGACTCCAGACACACCTCTGTGCTTGGCAGTTCCCTGTGTCTGGGATGCTTTTCCCCCAGATATCCTCCTAGCTTAACTCTTTCCATTCCTTCAGTTCTTTATTTAAAACCGCCTTTCTAAGAAGAAGAAGACAAAGGGTAAAAAGAAACACATTAAGGAACATCCACTTTCTGAGGAAGAACCGTGTACTACCCAGACGCATCATGCTTAAGATGCAATTGGCAGCATACAAGGAATGCTCTCTAAGGTAATCAAGGCAAGGTTCAATGAAACAAAGTGATTTATCATCTCTAACTTCAAACCTATTTGTATCTTGACATCAACGCTGTTAACCTTATGTCATCGTTTCTTAGAGTCTTTGATATACAAATAAAAGGTTTTTTGTATTAGAAAAAAAAAACCCTTTCTCAGCAGGGACTCTTCTGGCCATCTCAACTTTCCCACCACCCTCCCCATCAAACACATAAACATTTCATTTTCCTGCTTTAGTTTTTCTCCTCTAACATACCGTATATTTTGCCTTATCTGTCTGTTGTTATTGTGTGTTTTTCTCACTGTCATGAATAGGGTTTTTATTTTTCACTACCATATCTTCACTGCTTAGAAAAAGGCTTAGCATATTGGATGTAGCTACCTAATAAATACTTATTAAATAAGTGAATGGAGTTTATCCTGTGTATATTGTTTGATTGATTCTCACTTTAAAAATGTTTGACATGGGTCGGGCATGGTGGCTGACACCTGTAATCAAAGCACTTTGGGAGGCCGAGGCAGGTGGATCATGAGGTCAGGAGGTGGAGACCAGTGAAACCCCGTCTCTACTAAAAATACAAAAAAATTAACCGGGTGTGGCAGCATGCGCCTGTAGTCCCAGCTGCTATGGAGGCTGAGGCAGGAGAATGGCATGAACCCGGGAGGCGGAGCTTGCAGTGAGCCAAGATCGTGCCACTGCACTCCAGCCTGGGTGACAGAGCAAGACTCCGTCTCAAAAAAAAAAAAAAAAAAAAGTTTGACATGGTTCTTAGTCCTAACAGTTTTGCCTGGTAATTGTCTGCATTTTTAAAATCGTTTTGGCTCTTTGTAATAAGCTACATTCTTTATATTAATTTTTTTATTTAGGGAGAAAAGCCCAATATTGTGGTTATTCACTATTTATTCTTTAATAGTAATCATAATTGTCATTATGGTAAACTGAGTCAGAGGAATTGCAAACTTTACTATTTTATTTTATTTTATTTTATTTTTTTGAGATGGAGTCTCGCTGTATCGCCCAGGCTGGAGTGCAGTGGCGCGATCTCAGTTCATTGCAACGTGGGTTCATGCATTTCTCCTGCCTCAGCCTCCCAAGGAGCTGGCCCTTGCATAAGGCGGCCACACAAATTTTTGAAGCATTCTATATTTTGCGCAGTCACTGGAAGGTCATTTGACTGTTTGCTGAGTAGCTTTAAGGAAATGGTGTGAATCAAAGCAGAATGGGTGCCACAAAAACATTGAAATTGTGATTTGCGCAATAAAAATAGTCATGTAAGGTGGTCTGTGAGATGACACCAGAGCCAAATAACGTGTGGGGTGTTGTGTACCAAATATATTGTTAGTATGTATGTTAAAAATTAGAGAATGGCAACTTACAACTTCTTCGTGGAACCTAAAAAAAAATAAAAGTAGGGTTTTCGTCTCCCATGTCAGCTGGAGATGAACATGTATATAAAGCATCATCGTAACAAACATCTGGCTGAGAGTTTGAGTCTGTAGAGAAGGATCATTGGTCCAAGTCAGGTCTTGACATCCATTGGTTTTTCTGCCCTTGGCGTGATTGATCAACTCCGTAATAGTGGACAATCACATTATCTACTTTAATGAGATATTTATGAAAAAATTTAGTTACAAACTATGACATAGTTGAGATGCCCTGAATTAGAAGCCATAAAGAGTAGGACAACTAAGAAGCAAAATTAGGACTTAATAACATTTCCTGAAAACTACAACATTTGCATATTAGAACCTATGAACAAAATTCGCACTGGGTTTTATTTGGGATTCCAAGATAATTTCAGTCATAAAGTTTAGGAACAAATTATTCCATTGTTTTACTATTTCTTTGAGCATTTAAAAAAATGTTATCGTGTTAAATCATTATAACAACCTAGTAAAATAAGGCAGCATAGTCCTCACTTTGTAGAAGACATTGAGCCTAAGAGAAGCAGCTTGTTCAAGAGCAAATAGCTGTTCATTATGGAGCTAGGACTTATTTAGAGTTGGGACACTTTCTATTATGTCAGGCTAATGCAAGTTAATTTACTGGGTCACAGTGCCCTCGATTTATGAGTATTTCATCTTACTTTTTTTTCTTCTTTAATTAGAAGCTTCATGAGAAGTTTGTAGAACGTACGCATAAGTGGATGGGATAATACTGTTAAGTTCTGATATTCTGATATTGTTTGAAATACTCTAAGAATTTTACATTTGGTAAGTTTCCAGATCAGTATTTTAAAACAGTAATTTTATTTGTTATATTTTTATACATAGAATTTGTGAATTACTTTCTGACTACAAAGAAAAGCAGATGCCAAAATACTCTTCTGAAAACAGCAACCCAGGTAAGACTTGTGATAGTGAATTACTTTAGGTCAGTTGTCCACAATCTTTTTGGCACCAGGGACCGGTTTTGTGGAAGACAATCTTTCCATGGGCTGGGGGAAGGTGGGGATGGTTTCAGGATTGTTCAGTCACATTACACTTATTGTGCTACTTTATATTATTATTACATTGTAATATATAATAAAATAATTATACAACTTACCATAATGTAGAATCAGTGGAAGCTCTGAGCTGATTTTTCTGCAACTAGATGGTCCCTTCTGGGGGCAAAGTGAGACAGTGACAGATCATCAGGCATTAGATTCTCATAGGAAGCACACAACCTAGATCCCTCAGATGGGCAGTTCACAACAGGGTTCATGCTCCTATGAGTATCTAATGCTATCACTGATCTGACTGGAGACAGAGTAGAGGCTGTAATATGAATCATAAGGAGTGGCTGTAAATACAGATGAAGCTTCCCTGGCTTGCCTGCTGCGCACCTACTCCTGTGTGGCGTGGTTCCTAACAGACCGTGGACTGGTACCAGTCTGTGGCCGGGGAGTTGTGGAGCCCTGCTCTGGGAGGTCCTACCATAGATTTAAAAAGTAAAAGTAAGGAATTTTTGTTCACAAAAGAACAGTGAAGCACAGGTCATGTTACATATGCTTGTGCCAACAAGGTCTCACTGTTACTGACTTCATTCCTCCTATTTTGAAGTTGAAAGAGATGCATTTACTTTGTTGGAACAAGATGTGTTCTTCCACCGGCTGGTTAATTGTCATGATAACAGTAATTTTGTTAGAAGAAGGTGCTCTGCTACCATTTGCCAAAAGATTGTCATAATGTACAATTTTCCCAATGCAAGGGTCAGCAGATTATAATAAAAATATAAAAATGTTTCACAGTAACAAAAATGCTAGTATGCTACCTGGATGTGGACACCTAATACATGGTACAATCCAAACTGTATGAGGACACCTTTAATTTAGCTACCTATTTGTCAAAGAGCTTCTGTAAGTTAGGTTTTATAAGTTGCAGGAGACAAAGATGGAATAGATGTAGTTTTAATCTTTAAGGTGCTCACAACAGAAGTGTTTCTATTTCATTTCTGTGGTTTTTCAACAGAATTTACAAAGAAAACATTTTTATTTATGTTTTCACTTGTCCACTTAACAAATAACTGTCAAATGTCTTTTAGATACTAAGCAGTTTTTCTAAGGCTACAGAACACAAAAACAGACAGGAGCTTGTTATTATTATCATTGTCATTTTTATTATTTTGCTGCTTTATTCAGTGCTTACTGTGTGCTAGATGCCCACTGGAATCTTATAATTATGATTTATTATATGTGATATTGATTGTGTGCCAGACATATGTGATGAGGAGTGAAAGCTTTAGAAAGAAAGGAGGCAGGATTTAATGTAAGCATGCAGAGTGAGAAGAATTTTTCAGGGAAAGAAGCAGAGGAATGACATTTGGCAGAAGGAACATGGAGTGAGATAGTGTGTTTGCCAGAAGGAACATCTAATGAGATTGCCCGTTTGGGAGGAAGAGCAGCAAGTGCAGAAGACAAGATGCTTGAGTGAACATGGCAGGGTTTCTGAGCAGTTCACTTTTGCTAGTACCAAAAGTGTGAGATACCAGAGGTTGGGAGTGAGGTGAATACTTAGCTAAGGCAAGTTTACGATAGACTTTTTAATACTATAGAAATGAGTAGGTCTTTTCCTGTGGGCCATGGGAAATTTACCAGGTAGAATGCTTTGGACTGCAAATACTAGATGAGCAGTGCCTAAAACACTAGGAACCAGAGTTGTTTTTTTGTTCATTGATATCCTAGGGATCCCACTTGTCCCTCTTTCAGCTGTGCTGTTGACAGTGTTTTATTCACGTCTCCTTTTGTGGTTGGCTAATCTGCAGCAGCTCCAAACATCTTGTTTTCACAACACAACATCGAAAGGGCTGCTTTTCTTCACATGTGTCTTTTAAACAGGGAGAAAACTTAGAAGCATGCAAGGGGCTTCCTGTAACATTTCATTGGCTGGGTCATACCACATGCTCATTCCCAAACCAGGCACTGGGAAGGTAAATATCTGATTAGCTTAGAATAAACATTTCTTTCTGAGGCTGAGGAGGGGGATTGGGATATTAAATATCCCAATAGACTTATGTTTTTTCTGCCAGAAAGAATGAGGAATGGCTATTGATAGGGAGCCAACAATGTGTGCTGGAGGGGGCTCATTGGAGAAATTTGAGCAGGGGAGCCACAAGATTAAATTTGAGTATTAAGGCATTCTGGTTATGGTGTAAAATGGGTTAGCAAGCTTTTTCTTTAAAGGACCAGGTGGGAAATATTTTGGACTATGTGGTCTCTGTCATATCTACTTAACCGTGCTGTTGTCTGCTGTTGTAGTGTGAAAGCCACCATGATTATATGTAAGCAAACAGGCATGACTGAGCTCCTATAAAACTTTATTTACAAAACCATAATGCAGATTGGATTTGGCCTGTGGCCTATAGTTTCCTGGGATTGATGGGAGATAATCATGCAAAGAAACCAGGAGACAAAGGAAGCTTTTGCAGTAGTCAGCTATAGTTTCCATGTCACACATCCTTGGAGTAGCATCAATGTATTACAAGGTTTTCACCCGTCCATGGTGAAATAAATAACGTTAGAAATCTCAGTTACTCATTTTACTATGTTGGCCTTCGTTATGCCCTTTTCACTTGTTTTGCTTAATTTTTTTTCCTGTAAGAAATAACATTAATAGTTGGCAGTTTTCTTTTAAATAGAAGTCATTTTGTAAATGTTTGTGTTCCCAGTGGCAGTGGGAATATAAAACAGAGGCAGAAGAGAGGTATAGTCAATATGATTTAGTGATAATTGAATGAGAAAGGCTTGGGGGACAGAGAGAAATCTCAGATGATGTACAGGTTTCCAGATTGCACACTAGTATTTAACCTGGACATGAGGAAGGAGTAGGAAATTTTCTGGTGAATACAGAAGAGCAAAGAGCAGCAGGTCAGCAGGAATGACTAATGTTTTTCGATGCATGTTTAATGGAATATTCGTGTAGGGTATTTTGAGTAGGTAATTGGATAATCAGCATTTATAACTCGCATCCTACTAGTTTGACTCTAAGTAATAAGACTTGTCAAAGATCCAAGAATCTGAAAGTCAGTAATAAATGTCCATGTGCATCATCGTCCGTGACAGAAAGTCAGCATCCACAGAACACAGAATTGGGACAGATGAACTTAATAGATAAAGATGAATATCGGAGTTGTTCCTCTTAGGGAATGATACTCTCCATGACCTGTGTGAGTCACAGCTGCCAGAAAAGAAAGAGCAAGGAGCGTATGAAGGCAGCACAGCAAATTCGGTCCTAGAGTGCCCTGCTTGGCTTCATGTCATAGTTCTGACTTCTAAATAATCATTTTCTGCAAAATGTGCTTTGTGTTTTTCCCTCTTGCCGCCTGCAGCCAATCAGAATCTTTTTAGCAGGACATAATGAAAAGAAGTAAGAGAAAGAGTGTTTTTTTGTAATGGGATAGTATTTAACGTAAACTTGAGAGTGAGTACCAGGATTATACTTAGAATTTATGGACTGGATGGGAAGACTGGATAGAAATCTAAAGATTGCTGACTCAAACACAATGTGGTTTCTTTGATTTATTTTCACAGCTCTGAATTCACGACTGTTAATTGTATTCATATGCATTATAACTTTACAAAGCATCTTCCGAAACCAAATATTTACTGATTTATTATAATTTGTATGACTTTATTATAGAACTGACTTTCCAAGTGTTCATGAGAATTGTTTAGAATTTGCTACATTGTATCATCTCAGCTGTGTCCACATGAGCTATCTGTCACCTTGTCTTAATGAATAATTGTTCACTAGGAATATTGGTTTTGGCATTGAAATGATCTATATCTAAATGCAGATAGGACCCGGGACCACTTTTGAACATTAATGTTCAAGCATCTTAAAATTACACATAATGCTTTCATAATCTGACTTCTGCCCCACTCTCCATCTTTAGCCCTTTTCCCTGTGTGCCCTGTCTCTGGCATTACTGAACTGCTGGCAGTGCCCTACTCACTCATCCTTCTATTGTAGGCAAATACTTTCACTCTTTCAGGAGTCGCTCCCGCTCTTGCTGCTGCGTGGCATGCCGTCACCCTTTCCTGCCCTCTACACCTTTTAATCTGGCTAGTCTCAATATTTAAGTCTCTGCTTGGGCATGTGTTCTAGAAAAGCCATCTCTGACATGCTTTATTTTAATTCTTTTTAAACCCTAATGCCTAGCATGTATTTAGCAGGACTCAATAAAATATTTCTGAGTAAAACAAAGACTGTTTTTACAAAGATGATGTGCAAGACTCTCCCCTGCAGTCTTGGAGCAGAGGGGACAGACGTGGAGGAATAATGTACAGTTTAGGTGGTCAAGATGCAGTAGAAAAATCAGTAAAGTACTAAGGCAGCCTCAAGGAAGGAGGTACCTGTTTATTTGGGGAAAGACATGCAGAATCAAGGAAAACTTCATATAGCATTGTTTCAAAAGATGAAAATAAGGCCAGGTGTGGTGGCTCACACCTGTAATCCCAGCACTTTCAGAGGGAATCACGAGGTCAGGAGATCGAGACCATCCTGTCCAATGGTGAAACCCCATCTCTACTAAAAATACAAAAATCAGCTGGGTGTGGTGGTGCTTGCCTGTAATCACAGTTACTCAGGAGACTGAAGCAGGAGAATCACTTGAACCAGGGTCGCGGAGGTTGCAGTGAGCTGATCACACCACTGCATTCCAGCCTGGTGACAGAGGAAGACTCTAGCTCATAAAAAAAAAAAAAGAAAAAAGAAAAAAAGAAAATAAATTTGTCAGAATAGTGGAGAGAAACATTTTAGATATTAGGAAGATGTTGTACACTAATAAAGGTGTCAGCAGTGATTTTGGAAATCATTTATAAGGTACTATTAGGAAGTGGAGAACAGTACACTGTGTCACCTTATATGTTTCTACTGTATTTTAAAGCTGTGTTTCTGGTGGTTTTGTTCATGGATGTTGGGTGGATGAATTTGTGAGGGAATTTTTGACATGTTTGTTTGTCTTCAATCTGGTGACATCTGCTATCTCCCCAAGTGGGTTTTTGAAGTTTTTGAGAATTATTTCTTAAATGACAATTTCACAAAAGATGAAACACTCAATTTATGAAATAAAATGAAATGTCTCAAATCTGTTTTTAAAAGGCAATAGTTTTTAACTGTTTTAAGTGGTTGATTTTAACTGAATGTATGGATTTTTCAACAGAACAAGACTTAAAGCTGACATCAGAGGAAGAGTCACAAAGGCTTAAAGGCAGTGAAAATGGCCAGCCAGAGGCATGGAAACTTTTAAATTTAAACTTTTGTTTAATGTTGTGTTTTTTTTGCCTTAATAATATTAGATAGTCCAAATGAAATTACCTTTCAGACTAGGCTTTGAGAATCAGTAGATTGTTTTTTTAAGAATCTTTTGGCCAGGCAAGGTGGCTCACGCCTGTAATCCCAGCACTTTGAGAGGCTGAGGCAGGTGGATCACGAGGTCTGGAGATCGAGACCATCCTGGCTAACATGGTGAAACCCCGTCTCTAGTAAAAATACAAAAACTTAGCTGGGCGTGGTGGTGGGTGCCTGTAGTCCCAGCTACTCGGGAGGCTGAGGCAGGAGAATGGCATGAACCCAGGAGAGGGAGCTTGCAGTGAGCCGACATCCACCACTACACTCCAGCCTGGGTGACAGAGCGAGACTCCATGTGAAAAAAAAAAAAAAAAATTTTAATAGATTCTTAAAATTTATTGTAATAAAATCAGCAACCTTATTAACAGAAGAATCAATAGATTCTAATTTAATATTTGATATTTAACTTCAACATAACCCACTATAAAATTTAAAATACTCTTATTTTAAAATATTCTTATCTGCCTTCTTGATTAGCTTATAGCTAATCTCTCCTTTTGGAATAGAGGCAAAAACAAATTTCAGAACTTTGTTTGTTCTTTTATTTTTACAACACCCTAACATGATAAAGAAAGTAACATCAATGATTGAATCATATTATTAAGCAATAGGAATTATGAACAATGTAACACTGATTCCCTGAGCTGGATTCATGGTTAAAGAGTAATCATGGCCTGTGATTGAAAATCCACAGTTTTATATTGTCAGTCACTGATACCAAGGTTAAGGACATATCCTGCCTTGTGGTCTCTCGTTGACCTCAGTGTTTCTGTTCAGGGAGGGAACCAGGTCATAAAAGCAACCCAACTGCCTATTACAAGAACCATATCTTGCAGAATGGGACCTTTGGTGTTAGTGCACAAACACAATAACATTCTAATTTATTTCAGTTGCAGAAAATCAGTAGAGATTAAAAAATTTTATCTGCTGTCATTAGTACACATTAGAATATATTAGAACTGGACTTACGCAGATAATCTGGATACATAACACTATCATATGACAGTATATAATTTCAATTAAAATGTGAGAATTTGCATTTCTTTCTGTTTGGTGTTGATTTCGGCTCCTAATAGTTTAAAGGGTGCCTACAATCCAGTTAGGAATCTTTTAAAAAAGCACTTCAGTGCACTGTAGGTGCTCACTAGTTAGGGTTTCATGAGGTAAACTCTTTTCAAGTGAGGAAGATTTTGGAACACTACAAATCATCTGCTGATTCATTTTTGGTAGATTTAACACATAACAAATTAAATTTAGTCCAAACAAATAGTGAGAAAGTTAAGTTTGCTGGTTCATGTTTTTCTTCTCCCTTTGTCTAAGGTGAATTATTTTTCACATGTTAGAAGCCAGTGATGTGGCAGTAGCTAAACATAGATTAAAAAGTTAATTCTTAATTTTAATTATTATTTATTTTAACAGTTTAATTTTAATTACTTTCTAATTTTTATTGTCCATACTTGATTACTTCAGAATAAAATTATTTTAAAAACATGCACTCCAAAAGAGGAAATGTCACAGAAATACAGCAAGCAAATTAACCTTCTGTTTTTACATCTGCAGAAAAGATCTCAAGAACCAGAAATAAATAAGGATGGTGATAGAGAGGTATACCTTTATATTCAAACGTTTGTGTTGAATTAGATTTTTACATTATGTTGTTTAACAAAGTGTAGTAAATGTAGGCATACATGATCCTATCATGTAAGTAGCATAAATCATCAGTGAAAAATTAAATAGTTAACTCAGAATTCTGTACATTGAATTTTGAAGAGGTGCAAACCCTAGAGCTATTCTTTCATTATTATGGAATAATCCCGAATGGTGCCATAAAATGCTAGGTAATGCCACTTTAGGAGCTTTAGACCAATTATTTTATCTTTCTTGGTTTTAGTCTGATTATCAATAGATAATGTGCCTAAAGTAGATAATTTCTTATTCTCTGTATTTTCCAGCTAGAAAATTTTATGGCTATCGAAGAAATGAAGAAGCACGGAAGTACTCATGTCGGATTCCCAGAAAACCTGACTAATGGTGCCACTGCTGGCAATGGTGATGATGGATTAATTCCTCCAAGGAAGAGCAGAACACCTGAAAGCCAGCAATTTCCTGACACTGAGAATGAAGAGTATCACAGGTAAGCCTATGGCAACATTGAACAGGAGGTAACTTTGTGCTGCCAAACTAATCCTAATTTGAGCTAATATTCATGATGAACAAATTTTATACTTTTATTAGGATATTGAGCCTTGCCTGTTAATCAGAAAAATGAAAATCAGCAAACAATCAGTTACCGTTTTTTTTCCAGTCATTAATTTATTTGAAAAATAACCAGTATTGGCAAATGTGAGGGAAAAGGCATTTTCTTCTCTTTTCAGTGAACTTTTATTTTAGCTTCGGGGTACGTGTGCAGGTTTATTATATAGGTAAACTGTATCATGGAGGCTTGGGGTACAGATTATTTCACCAGCCACATAGTAAACAAAATACTCGAAAGGTAGTTTTTTGGTCGTCTCCCTCCTGCCATGCTCCTCCCTCAAGTAGGCCCCAGTGTATGTTATTCTCCTCTTTGTGTCCATGAGTTCTCATGTTTAGTTCCCGCTAATGAGTAAGAATATGTGGCATTTGATTTTCTGTTCCTGCATGAGTTTTCTTAGGATAATGGCCTCCAGCTCCATCCGTGTTGCTGCAGGGGAAATGGTTTCATTGAAAAAGACATTTCATATACTGTTGGTAAATACATTTTGAACATTAATTGAGTAGCATATTCACACACACATATATAACAGTAAGCATATATAATACATGTAAAGGATATTTGTATAGATATGTTATATGTATACTTATGTATAAGGACATTTATTATAGTATTATGTAAAAAATTTGGAGCTAGTCTAATTCCTTATCAATAGGAAATAGCTCAATTTCCATATCCCCAAAATAATGTATTATGCAACCATTTTTAAAAAATGAGGTTAGATGTAGGGTATACTGATTATTTCACAATTAAAATGTATTTAAAGCGTTTAGTTTGATGACACATCTTAAGAGTTCTTGTTAAAATTCTTGTAATATCTGCTGTGTTGCAAATGGAAGCTACATGCTACATTGACACTGTACCTTGTTAGCAACAAGATTGCTAGTTACTAAATTTTTGTTGTCAGTGCCTGAGTGCTGAAATATTGGACCCTCAATCTGAATATTGCCAAGCGATTGTACATGGGGATCTATATTTAATATAAACATTTCAGTATATTTGGTAAAACTTTTATTAAAATACATCAAAGAATCTTTGATCTACTAAACCAGGAGTTGGCCAGCTTTTTCTGCAAAGAGCTAGTTAGTAAATATTTTAGGCTTTGTGGACTACATATATTGATTTTCTTGAGACAGGGTCTCACTCTGTTTCCCAGGCTGGAGTGCAGTTGTGTGATCATGGCTGACTGCAGCCTCGACTTTCTGGGCTCTAGTGATCCTCTGACCTCAGTCTCTACTAGCTGAGACCACGGGTGTGCAACATCACACCCAGCTAACTGACACTATGGACTGTAAAGTGAATAAGCATGGCTGTGTTCCAAGATACTTGACTTACAAAAACGGGCAGTGGGCTGGATTTGGCCCACAGGTGCTTATTTGCTGACCCTTGTGCTAAAAGGAAGGTGCTGCTAATGCAGTGACTTTTATTTGTAAAAGTGCCCTGCATGTGTGACATTATCCTCCCTTTGAGAAAAGGATATATTTCAGTATTCACCTCACCATATTTTTCCAGTGACTTCATATGATTTGGAAAACTACATTTATAAAATAAGATTATTTTCTGCATTTCTCCCACTTTATTCCTGTTAATAGAACTCAGTATTTTACTGTGATCAATTACTTCGTATATTTGATGAGTGTCAACTGTCCTAGAATTGGCTGATTTTTATCAAGCAAGAAATATTCTCCTTGAGAGTTTTAGTATTTCTTGGTCTTTATGTATAAGCATGAACAAAATGATAATCAGCTTATGTAATCTAGAAATGTTCAAAGGGCCTTTAAAACCTTGGTCTGACATTTCTAAATGCCATATGTGTATAATTTTTATAACCTTTAGAATATATAATGGTTACATAAAATTTGAAAACTCCACCTGGTATGTAAAATTTGGAAGCTACTATTTCTTGTCTATCACTTTTCCATGACTGTGGATGAAAATTACATCATTCTCAGTCATGAGCGTTAAGTATATTGTCCTTAAAGAACTGTCTACACTCATGAACTCAAATTTTCTTTCCATTCACTCTTGATCTCAATGCCGGTAAGTCTTCAATTTCAGCACTCCTCCAGAACTATTTTTCCTCAAGATTATCACTAATTTTTTTCTGTACTAAATCTAGGCATTTTTCTTACACCTCATTTAATCTGTCAGCAATATTTGAGCCAATGGAGGGCATCTCCTCCCTAATGGCGTCTTCACTTGGCTTTCAGGACCTCACTCCCTCAGGCTTTTCCTCCTGCCTTTCTAGTCCGTTTATCATGGTCTGTTTTGCTTGCTGCTCCTCATCTTTCTCCTTTTGGACATTGTTGTTTCTCATGGCTCAGTCCTCAATCTTCTTTCTCATAGTTTTTTTTTTTTTTTTTTTTTTAAGACAGAGTCTCGCTTTGTCCCCCAGGCTGGAGTTCAGTGGCATGATCTTGGCTCATTGCAACCTCTGCCTCATGAGTTCCAGCACTTCTCCTGCCTCAGCCTCCTGAGTAGCTGGGATTACAGGTGTGCAACACCACGCCTGGCTAATTTTTGTATTTTTAGTAGAGACAGGTTTCCCCATGTTGGCCAGGCTGGTCTCAAACTCCTGACATCAGGTGATCTGCCCGCCTTGGCCTCATGACATGTTGGGATTACAGGCGTGAGCCACCGTGCCTGGCCCCTCGTGACTTTTTCTACTGTGTATATGCTAGTGATTTCCAAATGTATGTCTCCAACTTAGATCTCTTTCCTTAATTCCAGATCTCTATATCATCCCACCTACTTGACATCTCTATTTGATTAGCTGTTGGGTATCACACACTTGTCAGATCCAAAATTGGGCTACTGATGTCCTTCCTGAAATCTACACCTCATGTAGTCTTTCCTACTTTGGTTAACAGCAACTCTTCCAGTTGCTCTGCCAAAAACCTCAGTGTCTGATCTTTCTCTCTCAGTCAAGATCTTCTTGACTGATCTTTCTCTCTGTCCTGACACTTCACATCTAATCTCTCAGTAAATCTTGTCAGGTCTATCTGAAGAATATATCCAGAGGCCAGTCTATCTTGTACATCTGAGCCACCGTCATCTGCAGTTTAGATGAGTGTCATAGACGGGAATTGATAGTCCTGGTTTTTAAAAACTTCCCCTTTCATCAATTCTTATCTCAGTGGATGTATTTAAAACATAAGTCAAATGTTGTCATTCCTCTGCCCCTGCCCTTCTGATTGCCTCCTATTTCACTCTGAGTATGTGGCAGAGTTCCTCCTAATAACTGAAAGGCAGTAAACCATCTGGCATGTTACCTCTCCTGCTGAAACTTCTGTTTCTTATCTCTATTGCTGTGTTTCAGCCACACTGAACTTGTTGCTATTCCTGACCTATCCCTAGTGCTTAAAGACTCCAGGCACACCTCTGCACTTAGCAGTTCCCTGTGTCTGGAATGCTTTTTCCCCAGATATTCTTCTAGCTTACTGTTTCCATTACTTCAGCTCTTTACTTAAAATCCCCTTTCTAAGAAGAAGAAAAAGGGTAAAAAGAAACCCATTAAGGAATAACCACTTCCTGAGGAAGAACCATGTACCAGCACGATTCCTAATCCAGAGAAAATGAAGAAAATGAAAAAAAAGAGAGATAATGAGGACTAACAGAAAGGAATTAGGATTGTATCATCAGGACGCGTCAGGCTTGAGATTCAATTGGGAACATACCAGGGATGCTCTCTAACGTAATTGAGGGAAGGTTCAATGAAACAAAGTGATTTATCATCTTTAACTTCAAACCTGTTTGTGTCTTGACATCAACTCTGTTAACATCATCATTTTTTAGAGTCTTTGATGTACAAATAAAAGTTTCTTTGTATTAAAGAAAAATCCTCTTTCTCAGCAGGGATTTTTCTGGCCATCCCAACTTTCCCACCACCCTTCCCATCAAACACATAAAGATTTCATTTTCCTGCTTTAGTTTTTCTCCTCTAACGTACTGTGTATTTTGCCGTATCTGTCTGTTGTTATTGTGTGTTTATCTCACTCTCATGAATAGGGTTTTTATTGTTCATTACCATATCCTCACTTCCTAGAAAGAGGCCTAGCCTATCAGACGTAGCTACCTAATAAATAGGTATTAAATGAATGAATGGAGTTTATCCCGGGTATATTGTTTGATTGATTCTCACTTAAAAAATGTTTGACAAGGTTCATTTTAACAATTTTGCCTGGTAATTATATGTATTTTAAAAATTCTTTCGGCTTTTTATAATAAGCTACATTCTTTATATTAATATTTTTTCACTTAGGGAGAAAAGCCCAATATTGTGGTTATTCACTATTCTTTTACTGGTAATCATGATAATTGCAATTATGGTAAAATGAGTTAGAGAAATTACAAACTTTACTGGTATTTTATTTATTTAGAGACAGAGTCTCGCTCTGTCACCCAGGCTGCAGTGCAGTGGTGTGACCTCGGCTCACTGCAACCTCTGCCTCCTGGGTTCAAGCGATTCTCCTACCTCAGCCCCCTGAGGAGCTGGGATTACAGGTGCGTGCCATGACACCCGGCTAATTTTTGTATTTTTAGTAGAGACGGGGTTTCATCCTGTTTGTCAGGCTGGTCTTGAACTCCTGACCTCAGGCAGTCCACCCACCTGGGTGGATTACAGGTGTAAGCCACCACATCCGGCCACTAGTATTTTAGTTTTTTTAGGGTGGTAAATGTAATGGACTCACAAATTCTTTCCAAGGGATTATGGACCTTCGGTATTTGAAATAAAAAGACAGTTGGAATTTTTTGCTTCCGATAGTAAGACTATACTGGTCAGGCACTGTCTATTCTGATGGAGCAGCTGTTGCTGCTTGGCTGTCTTTCAGAAGCAAGCTGCTCACACTGATATTGGTTGGTGAGCACAGCCAGTGGTCGGTCATTGATCGATTGACTAGATTTTGAACTGGCTCTGGCTGGCTTCTTGTTACCATGGCTACAGGTCAATTCTTTCCTAAGTTTGAGTCAACTTTAACCAGAAATTTTCTGTTCAAAAGTTGCCTTCCATTAACTATGTTCAAAAAGAAACTTTTTAATATTCCAGAATTGTGGATTTAAAGTTTTGGTTATGATGACTTGGTTAATAATAGCTCTCACGAAGATTTTTTTTTTTTGATACATCATCTTAACCAGAAGTGTTCTCTGTATAATTTATTTCTTAAAAATAAGTGTTTTGTTTTTGTTTTTGGTATTTTTAGAAGCTTTTGCTCAAGTCCTAACATAATCTCCAGTAGGAGATTTTAGTCTCTTTGTCAGTTCATGTATGTATGTGATAGTCATATTCTGTGTTTTTAAATTCCTTTTCTTGTTCACTTTTTTCTCTGTACAATAATAGTGATATTGTTATACATTTTTATCTCATTAAAAAGTTGTTAACAATTTTCTGCTGGCAAATCTAGCTTTTTCTATATTTTGACTGAATAGGTTAAAAATGAAGAAAATTTACGAGATCATTTTATTTTCAAACAAAATCATAAGTAATAAAAATTGCTATTTTGAATTATAAATAATGACATTTAGATATTTTAAAAATAAGGATAACCACCCCCCCCCCCCCCCCGCAATAGTTTGGCTTTGTGTTTCTATGCAAATCTCATGTCAAATTGTAATTCCCAGGTGTTGAGGAAAGACCAGCTGGGAGGTGATTGGCTCATGGGGTCGGTTTCCTCCATGCTGTTCTTGTGATAGTGAGTGAGTCCTCACAAGAGCTGATGGTTTCATAAGGGGCTCTTTGCGCTTCACTTCTCTCTTCTCTCTCTCCTGCCGCCTTATGAAGAAGGTGCCTGCTTCCCCTTCCCCTTCTACCATGGTTGTTAAGTTTCCTGAGGCCTCCCCAGCCATGCGTAACTGTGAATCAATTAATCCTCTTTCCTTTATGAATTACCTAGTCTCAGGTATGTATGTGTGTGAATTACCCAGTCTCAGCTATGTACATATGTATATGTGTGAGTGTATATACACACATACATATATATGATACATGTATGTGATGTGAGATATATATATATGTATATACGTCCATTTTCTTTATTCCACGCATCAGTTGATGGACACTGGTTGATTCCATATCTTTGCATATTGTGAATTGTGCTGCAGTAAACATATGTATGCGGGTGTCCTTTTGAGAGTATGATTTCTTTTATTTTGTGTAGATATCTGGAAATGAGAATGCTGGATAAAATGGTAGGATCTACTTTTAGTTCTTTGAGAAATCTCCATACTGTTTTCCATAGATTTGTATGAAGTTGCATTCCCACCAGCAGTGTATCACTGTTGTCTTTTCACCGCATCCACACCAACATCTGTTGTTTTTTGATTTCTAATAGTGGCCATTCTGGCTGCAGTGAGGTGATATCTCACTGTGGTTTTATTGTACATTTCCCTGATGATTAGAGATATTTAGCGTGTTTTTATATGCTTGTTTACCGTTTGTACATCTTCTTTTGGGAAATGTCTATTCATGTAATTTGGCCACTTTCCAATGGAATTATTTGCGTTTTTCCTGTTGATTTGTTTGAGTTTCTTGTAGGTTATAGATATTAGTCCTTTGTTAGCATCATAATTTTCAAAATTTTCCCATTGTATAAGTTGTTGTTTTACTCTGATGATTATTTCTTTTGCTGTGCTGAAGCTTTTTAGTTTAATTAGGTCTTATTTATTTATTTTCATTTTTGTTGGATTTGCTTTTAGGGTCTTCCTCATAAATCCTTTGCCTAGGCCAATGTTTTCAGGTCTTAGGTTTAGGCCTTTCATCCATCTTGAATTAATTTTTGTATATGGTGAGAGATAGAGATCCAGTTTCATTCTTCCACATGTGGCTATCTTTTTTTCCCAGCACCATTTATTGAATAACCTGTACTTTCTCCAGTGTATGTTTTTGTATCCTTGCTCAGAGATCACTTGGTTGTAGTGGCTTTATTTCTGAGTTGTCTGTTCTGTTCCATTGATCTATGTATCTGTTTTTATACGAGTACCACGCTGTTTCTGTTACTGTGGTCTTAGAGTATCATTTGAAGTCAGGTAATGTGATGCCAACATATTTGTTCCTTTTGCTTGATATGTCTGTTGCTGTTCAGGCTCTTTTGTGGTTCTACATGAATGTCAGCATTTTAAAATAATTCTGTGAAGAATGACATTGGTACTTTGGTAGGTATTGTATAGAATGTGTAGACTGCTTTGGGCACTATGGTCATTTTCACTATATCAGTTCTTTCAGTCCATGAACATAAGATGTATTTTCATTTGTTTGTGTCATCTGTTATTTTCTTTGGTGGTGTTTTCCAGTTATCTTTATATAGATCACTCACTTTTTTCATTAAGTATATTCCTAGGTACTTCACACCTTTTTGAGCCACTGTAAAAGGGATTGGATTGTTGATATGAACTCTCAGCTTGGTTGTAGTTGGTGTATAGTGGTGCTACTGATTGGTATTCATTTATTTTGTAACCTCTGAGACTTTACTGAATTCATGTATCAAATCTAGGAGTGTTTTGTAGGAGTCTTTAGGGTTTTCTAGGTATAGGATAATATCATTGGTGAAGAGATAGTTTGACTTCCTCTTTTCCAATTGGGATGCCCTTTATTTCTCTTGCCCAATTGCTCTGCCTAGGACTTCCCAGTTTTATTCTTAATATGCATGAAATAAAAGTAAAATGGAAAGTGCTTAACGATGAGTTTATTTCACATCTCTCTCTCATACACAGATAAAATTATTTCAAAGTCCTATGTTAAAAACATAATATTAGACCCTGTCTTGTTCTAAAAGGAATTTCTAAGTTGTTTATAAAATACATAGGAATCAAGAATATAAGTAGAAAGTGTTTCCAAACAATAAACATAAAGAGTATGGGTTACAGGACACAGACCATTAGCAGTCCCTGGCCTGTTAGGACCTGGGCCACACAGCAGGAGGTTCGAGGCAGGTGAGCAAGTGAAGCTCCATCTGTTTACAGCCACTCTCTGTCGCTCGCATTACCGCCCGAGCTCCTCCTCCTGTCAGATCAGCGGTGGCATTAGATTGTCCTGAGTGTGACCTGAACCCTGTTGTAAGTTGCTCATGCAGGGGGATATAGGTTGTTCACTCCTTATGAGAATCGAATGCCTTTCTGATCTGTCACCATCTTCCGTCACCCCCAAATGGGACCATCTAGTTGCAGGAAAACAAGCTCAGGGCTCCCACTGATTCTACATTTTGGTGAGATATAATTATTTCATTATATATTAATAATAATAGAAATAAAGTGCACAATGAATGTAATATACTTGAATCATCCTGGAACCATCCCCCACCTCAGGTTCCTGTAAACATTATCTTCCACAAAACCAGTCCCTGGTGCCAGCATGGTTGGGGACACCTGGTTAACAGATGTGAGACCCCTTTGCCTTGTCTTGGAATAATGTGCAGATATGCATTGTGTGAATGACATCTGATGGCGCCATCTTGCCCTGTACATCATTTTAGGGACAGCTCCAGTATTTCATGAAAATTAAAATTTCTTCTAGTGACGAACAAAATGATACTCAGAAGCAATTTTGTGAAGAACAGAACACTGGAATATTACACGATGAGATTCTGATTCATGAAGAAAAGCAGATAGAAGTGGTTGAAAAAATGAATTCTGAGGTATTTTCTTTAGTTATTTTCAAATGTTTTTATATGTGTGTATATTTTAAAGAACTGTATTTTGGAAATATAAAGGATTTTTAAGTCATATATATGTGTGTATATATTCTATATATCCTTTGTCATATATCTATATACGTACGTATAGGATAAAGCCATGTTCTTAATTCACCTTCATTTGCCTGCAACAGTTGAGTAGTGACCTGCACAATGGCCTCAATCCAAAGGAGAAGTATTTGATGTTTTTCATAAGAATTGATGATCTTTCCACATCAGAAATAAGTTTTGCTACTGAAAACAGATTTTCTCGTTTTTGGACATTAGTTTTTTAAAAAATGTTAATAGAGAAGTCAATTGATTATTTTTACTGATAAGAAAGTAGGAAATGTATAGCTGGGTCAGAGGCCACATTGTGGATACCATTATCCTTACTTTTGCAGAGAGGAACAGTTTGCTCCAAGTAGTTTCTCATTTCAGTGTAAAGAGGTTTGAAAACAATGACATGCCATGATACACATTTAGTAATAATTTATTGATAAGTATTTTGTTTCTGGAGAAATAGTTCAGTATATTTCCCCTATTTCACCATTACTACTGTTTCAAACATTATAAAGAGGAAATAAAAGTTACCGCAATGGCAAATAATCTCATGATTTCTAAGAAGATCTCTATAAGTTGTATCTTATTTACCATTCATATTTTGAAACAAAAGGTTTCTTTTGTATTTATATATTTACACCACAGAAGTAAGTGTGGTTTTGTGGAGGATCACTAGAAGTAGCATCAGCAGACCTGGGGAAAATCCTGCATCTGTGTATATTTTTTGACCTCTCCTTTTAAGAATCGCGATCTTAAATGAGTTCAGTATTATATGTAGAAGAGCAATGCCTAGATACAGATGTGTACAGTGTAGAAGGGTACAGTGCTTAGATTTGACAGTTATAAATAAATGTAATTCTTATAACTGAGTATAGAAATATTAGAAATGTAGAATATCGGTAAAACGTTCTTCAGTAAAAGAAACTTAAAGAACTTTGAGAAATTGCTTCTGTCCAAATATATGCATAGCTAAGGCTCTTAGGATGGTGTGGTTGATAGGTTAGATATCAGAGTGTAAACCTAATCTTAAAAATGTAGTCAAATTATTAATCTTATATTTTATGCCTCTGGGTTTTTTGTAACTCAGAAAAAGGCTTTTTTAATTCTGGGATTCTTAAAAATCCTCTAGTGATTTATTTTTCATCGTCTTTAAATAAATATTTAAACTTTTAGGAATTTAGGAGCAGATTCCTAAAAGTTTAAATATTTATTTAAAGACGATGAAAAATAAATCACTGGAGGAATTTACACTCTTATTAGGTTTGAAGTTTTGTCCAATTTTTTTCCAGTTAAATATCCACTATGGGGATTCTTTCATTATACAAATACATGTTATTTTTGAATTTCAGAAGAAATCATGATATGTCAATCTATTGAGTGCTAACTAAAAGTTCTCTTTGTTTACTTAGCTTTCTCTTAGTTGTAAGAAAGAAAAAGACGTCTTGCATGAAAATAGTACGTTGCGGGAAGAAATTGCCATGCTAAGACTGGAGCTAGACACAATGAAACATCAGAGCCAGCTAAGAGAAAAGAAATATTTGGAGGATATTGAAAGTGTGAAAAAAAAGAATGATAATCTTTTAAAGGCTCTACAATTGAATGAGCTCACCATGGATGATGATACCGCCGTGCTCGTCATTGACAACGGCTCTGGCATGTGCAAGGCCGGCTTTGCGGGCGACGATGCCCCCCGGGCTGTCTTCCCTTCCATCGTGGGGCGCCCCAGGCAGCAGGGCATGATGGGGGGCATGCATCAGAAAGAGTCCTATGTGGGCAAGGAGGCCCAGAGCAAGAGAGGCATCCTGACCCTGAAGTACCCCATGGAACACGGCATCATCACCAACTGGGATGACATGGAGAAGATCTGGCACCACACCTTCTACAACGAGCTGCGTGTGGCTCCCGAGGAGCACCCCATCCTGCTGACCGAGGCCCCCCTGAACCCCAAGGCCAACCGCGAGAAGATGACCCAGATCATGTTTGAGACCTTCAACACCCCAGCCATGTACGTGGCCATCCAGGCCGTGCCGTCCCTGTACACCTCTGGCCGTACTACTGGCATCGTGATGGACTCTGGTGACGGGGTCACCCACACTGTGCCCATCTATGAGGGGAATGCCCTCCCCCATGCCACCCTGCGCCTAGACCTGGCTGGGCGGGAACTGCCTGACTACCTCATGAAGATCCTCACCGAGCGTGGCTATAGGTTCACCACCATGGCCGAGCGGGAAATCGTGCGTGACATCAAAGAGAAGCTGTGCTATGTTGCCCTGGACTTCGAGCAGGAGATGGCCACGGCGGCCTCCAGCTCCTCCCTAGAGAAGAGCTACGAGCTGCCCGATGGCCAGGTCATCACCATCGGCAACGAGCGGTTCCGCTGCCCCGAGGCGCTCTTCCAGCCTTGCTTCCTGGGCATGGAATCCTGTGGCATCCATGAAACTACCTTCAACTCCATCATGAAGTCTGATGTGGACATCCGCAAAGACCTGTACACCAACACAGTGCTGTCTGGCGGCACCACCATGTACCCTGGCATGGCCCACAGAATGCAGAAGGAGATCGCTGCCCTGGCGCCTAGCATGATGAAGATCAGGATCATTGCTCCTCCCAAGCGCAAGTACTCCGTGTGGGTCGGTGGCTCCATCCTGGCCTCGCTGTCCACCTTCCAGCAGATGTGGATCAGCAAGCAGGAGTATGATGAGTCAGGCCCCTCCATTGTCCACCGCAAATGCTTCTAGGTGGACTCTGACTTAGTTGCGTTACACCCTTTCTTGACAAAACCAAACTTCTCAGAAAACAACATGAGATTGGCATGGCTTTATTTGTTTTCTTGTTTCATTTTTTGTTTTGTTTTTTATTGGCTTGACTCAGGATTTAAAAACCGGAATGGTGAAGGTGACAGCAGTCGGTTGGAGGAAGCTTCCTCCAAAGTTCTACAATGTTGCCAAGGACTTTGATTGTACATTGTTCTTCTTTTCAATAGTCATTCCAAATATTGTGAGACGCATTGTTTCAGGAAGCCCCTTGCCCTGCTAAAAGCCATCCCACTTCTCTCTAAGGAGAATGGCCCAGTCCTCTCCCTAGTTCACACAGGGGAGGTGATAGCATTGCTTTTGTGCAAATTACATAATGCAAAATTTTTTGAATCTTCGCCTTAATACTTTTTAATTTTGTTTTATTTTGAATGATCAGCCTTCGTGGCCCCCCTCTTTTGTACCCCAACTTGGGGTGTATGAAGGCTTTTGGTCTCCCTGAGAGTGGCTGGAGGCAGCCAGGGCTTACCTGTACTCTGACTTGAGGAGAGTTGGATAAAAGTGCACACCTTAAAAAAAATTGAGGAAGCACAGTATTTCAGTACAGTGGACAGCTTAGCATGTTGACAACTGAGAATAAAATGCTCAGTTCTGAACTGGACAATGTAAGACACAACGAGGAAACACTGGAAATGGAAATTCAATTACGTCATTGTAGACTGGCTGCTGCTCTACATGATTGTGACCAAAGTCAGATAGCTGAAAGAGACTTCTTTCCAGAGAACAAGACATGAACAGGTTTATTTACAGAAGACAATGAATTCTCATTTATCTCACCTAAAAGAGAACAGATTCTTTCTCAACAAGTCTAATGTAGACAGTAAAATCAACAGGCTAAAAATTAAGCTCCACGAAACAAGATAAAACTCTGAGAGAAAAGACGGGGCAGGCCGCCATCTTTCCCGTTCAGGCAACTTAGTCATTCCAGCCTGCGGGCTTTGGAGAGTACAAACCGACGAGGGACAGAAGAGATCCCACAGCACAGCATAGCTGCTTTACCAAATCATGGCCAGACTGCTTCTGTAAGCAGGCCCCTGATCCTGTTCCACCTCACTGGACAGGACCTCCCAACTGGGGCCTCCAGCTACCCCCACCAGCATTCCTTGGCCAATGGAAATGTGAAATGTTCCTGGGACAGAGCTCCCGGAGAGGGGCAGGCCCCCACCTTTGCTCTTTTGGTGACTAGCCATTCTGGCCTGCGGGCTTTGGAGAGCCCAAGCTGACAAGGGGTGGAAGAGGTACCTCAGCACAGCACAGCCACGCTACAAAAACGTGGCCAGACTCTTGTTTACGTCAGTCCCTGACCACATTTCTAGTCAGCGGGTGAAGTCTTTCAACCAGGGTCTCTGGCTACCTTGACTGCTGTTCTCTGGCCGACAGAGGTCTCAGGCCTCCCTGAGTCAGAGCTCCCAGGGGGAGGACCAGATTGTCATCTTTGCTGTTTGGGTGACCCAGCCATTTCAGCCTTAGGGCTTCAGAGTGTCTGAGGTGGACCAGGGGCTGAAGTGAACCCCCAGCACAGCACAGCTGCTCTATAAAAACGTGGCCAGACTTTTTTTTTTGAAGCAAGTCCCTGTTCTTGTTCGTCCTGACTAGGTAAGACTTCTCAACTTGCCTCCAGCCACATCTTATAGGTGTGTTCAGATTGGCAACAGGTTCGTACCTCAGTGGTACAGAGCTTCCAGAGGAAGGGGCAGACTATCATCTTCCCTGGAAAATACAAGGCAATTAGGGACTGGAGGGGACCCCCAGCATACCACAGCAGCCCTACAGAAAAGTGGCCGGGCTCTCTACTTGATGGGCAGATCCTCCTGGCCTGGGTCTCTAGCCAGCCCACCACTGGAGCTATCAAGCCAGTAGCAACTCTGCAGTTCCTGGGACAGAGCTTCCAGGAGCAAATGAAATCCTTTCTGCCACTGCCTCTGCAGTGGAACTGCCCTTGCTACCCTCAGAAGATGCAAGGGAGCAAAGACCCTAAGTGCCCTATCAACACCTCCAATAAGCTGCAGTTGACCCAAAGAACAAGCCAGTCCATCTCCCACGGGTACCACACACCCTCCACTACTCATCACCAGACAGGGAACCCTGGCTTGGGCTCACAGCACAGACCCTCCATCCTGGGCTGATTACACTAAGTGATTGCTAACTCACATGTCTCTGGGATGGAGCACCCAGGAAACAAGCAAAGTGGTGGAGCAGCAAGTCAGGTGATGTGGAGCCCAGAGGTCAGGGATGGCTATCTCTCTAGGGTCCACTTGCCCTTGTGAGACACTTTGTCCCAGCACTTTAGGAATGCTGAGGTCATACCAGCCACATCTTATATGCAAGATTGCCCAGCAGAGATCAGGTCCGAGAGTTCCCTTTTTAAAAAAAGGAGACTTGCTTAATAAAAGAAGTCTAGCCATGTTTGTGTAGAGCAGCTGTGCTGTGCTGGGGGTTCACTTTTGAGAGAGTTCTCCTCTGAGACCTGATCTCTGGAGGCTGGGCAGTCTTGCACTTGAGATGGGGCTGGTCTGATCTCAGCACTCCTTAGTCTGCTCGCCTCTCCCATGGCCCCAGCCTGGCCACACCTGCTTACGGGGCACTCTTAGATGCCCACACCATAGCTTCCATGCTAGTGGACTGTACCATATCAGTGGAGAGCTGCAGCAAGGTGGCCCCTAGAGCCACGCACCAGCCTGCACATTGCCTCTCCATACGGCAGCCCTTTATTTGGAAACTTCCTAAATCACTTTGCTGTGTGTGTTTACACGGGTGGGTTTTGCTTTACTTGCCCTGAGAGCACACGGGAGTGCAGCACACACCCCAACCCACATCAGCTGCCATTAAAGAAAAGAAATTTCAGCCCAGAATTTCATGTCCAGCAAAATTAAGCATCATAAGTGAAGGAGAAATAAGATCCTTTTCAGACAAGCAAATGCTGAGGGAATTTGGTATCACCAGATCTACCTTACGAGAGCTCCTGAAGGAAGCACTAAATATGGAAAGAAAAGATCATCACCTACTACTACAAAAACACTGAAGTACACAGTCCAATGATGCTAAAAACCAAGCACATATGTAAGTCTGCAAAATAACCAGCTGACAGCATGACGACAGGATAAAATCCACACATACCATTACTAACCTTAAATGTAAATGGGCTAAATGCTCCCATTGAAAGACACGGGGCAAGCTGGGTAAAGAACCAAGACCCACTGGAGTATGCCGTCTTCAAGCAACCCATCTCACGTGCAGTGCCATACATAGGCTCAAAATAAAGGAATGGAGAAAAATATTTCAAGCAAATGGAAAACAGAAAAAAGGTGTTGCACTCCCAGTTTCTGACAAAACAGACTCTACCAATAAAGATAAAAAAAGAGAAGGACATTACAAAGGTGGTCCTGACCTTTGATAAATCTCATTATTGCTTGATACCAACCTGGGCTATTTGTATTGCCCAAACCAATAGGATAATTTGCTGAGGTTGTGGAGCTTCTCCCCTTCACAGAGTCCCTGATCTCCGAAAATTTGGTTGAGATGTAAGGTTGATTTTGCTGTACAACTCCTTTTTTGAAGTTTTACTCATTTCCAACAAGGAAGGCAAGTTTTCCTGCTTCCATTGACAAAGGAGAGCAGGCACCTCCTTTCCTGAGTTTCAGCTTGCTTCTGACAGGGAAGGTGAGTGTAAGTTTTTCCAGCTTCTAAGATGGCAGAGAATGATCACCCAGTCTGAGCCTTATTTCCAGGTAAGTAGCAGAATTAGAGTTTTGTCTTAAAATTTTTGTTTAATGACTAAAATTTAAGATTACCCATCAGCTGCTTTTAATTCCTCCTTACCATTAGAACACTCAGTTAATCATATGAATTGTGCATTTGTTTGTTTTGCTTAACTCTTTTTGTTTATGTTTGGGGTTTTATTGTTGTTTCACTTTTCTCCCATCTCTTCCTGACTTGGTCAAATCCAAAGGAATGTTCCAAATTGTGGGGAGCAAGGCATCTGAATTGGCTAAAACTCCTGTGGCTGCAAAACAAAAACAAAAACAAAACAAAAAAAAAACATAAAAAACAAAAAAATCCAGTTGGAAATTTTTTAAAACTTTTTTTTAATTTTTAAATTTTATTATTATACTTTAAGTTTTAGGGTACATGTGCACAATGTGCAGGTTTGTTACATATGTATACATGTGCCATGTTGGTGTGCTGCACCCATTAACTCATCATTTAACATTAGGTATATCTCCTAATGCTATCCCTCCCTCCTCCCCCACCCCACAACAGTTCTCGGTGTGTTATGTTACCCTTCTGTGTCCACGTGTTCTCATTGTTCAGTTCCCACCTACGAGTGAGAACATGAGGTGTTTGGTTTTCTGTTCTTGTGTTAGTTTGCTGAGAGTGATGATTTCCAGCTTCATCGATGTCCCTGCAAAGGACATGAACTCATCCTTTTTTATGGGTGCATAGCATTCCATAGTGTATATATGCCACATTATCCAGTCTATCATTGATGGGCATTTGGGTTGGTTCCAAGTGTTTGCTGTTGTGAACTGTGCCGCAGTAAACATACGTGTGCATGTGTCTTTATATTAGAATGATTTATTATTTTTTCAGTATATACCCAGTAATGGGATTGCTGGGTTAAATGTATTTCTAGTTGTAGATCCTTGAGGAATTGTCACACTGTCTTCCACAATGGATGAACTAATTTATACTACCACCAAGAGTGTAAAAGCGTTCCTATTTCTCCACGTCCTCTCCAACATCTGTTGTTTCCTTATCTTTTAATGTTGGCCATTCTAAGTGGTGTGAGATTGTATCTCATTGTGGTTTTGATTTCCATTTCTCTAATGACCAGTGATGATGTGGTTTGCTTCACATGTTCTTTAGCTGCATAAATGTCTTATTTGGGAAGTGTCTGTTCATATGTTTTGCCCATTTTTTGATGGGGTTGTTTTTTTTCTTGTAAATTTGTTTAAGTTCTTTGTAGATTCTGCATATTAGCTGTTTGTCAGATGGATAGATTGCAAAAATTTTCTCCCATTCTGTGGGTTGCCTGTTCACTCTGATGATAGTTTCTTTTGCTCTGCAGACACTCTTTAGCTTAATTAGGTCCCATTTGTCAATTTTGGCTTTTGTTGCCATTGCTTTTGGTGTTGTAGTGATGAAGTCTCTGCCCATGCCTATGTCCTGAATGGTATTGCCTAACACAAGGACATTTCTGTGCCTGAGTGCCATACCACCCAAAGTGATTTATAGATTCAGTGCTATCCCCATCAAGCTACCATTGACTTTCTTCACAAAATTAGAAAAACTACTTTAAATTTCATATGGAACCAAAAAAGAGTCTACATAGCCAAGACAATCCTAAGCAAAAAGATCAAAGCTGGAGGCATCACAGTACCTGACTTCAAACTATTCTACAAGGCCACAGTAACGGAAACAGCATGGTACTGGTACCAAACCAGGTATATAGACCAATGGAATGGAACAGAGGCCACAGAAATGACACCACACATGTAAAACCACCAGATCTTTGACAAAACTGACAAAGGTAAGCACTGGGGAAAGGATTGCCTGTTTAATAAATGGTGTTAGGAAAACTGGCTAGCCATATGCAGCAAACTGAAACTGGGCCCCTTCCTTACACTTTATACAAAAATTAACTTAAGAAGGATAAAAGAGTTAAACGTAAGACCTAAAAGCAAAAAACCTAGAAGAAAATGTAGGCCACCAACCTCAGGGGAAATGTACTTGTAGTGAAATGCATGGTACAAACACGCATTCCCTACTTCCTTGAGTGGGTGAGGTTGGTGGCTGGTCCATCTGCTCCAAGTGGACCCTTACAGATGTGGCTGGTTGCTCTTTGAGCCAGCTTGGCCTTGCCCGGCATGCACAAGCATCAGTGAATAACTGTGCTATAAATGGAGCCACATAGAGGAAATGAGCAGCAGGCTCAAGACCATGGTGTGCACTGCCTTTGGCGCTCCAGTCCGTGCCTCAGGGATGGTATGGCACTGCGAGCTTCTTGTTTGCCAAGAGGCAGACCACAGGCCATCTTGAGGAGGACTTTATGTTCAAGTGCAGAAAACAGCCAGGATTACCACCCAGGGGACTTGGCCTTCTGTGGCCGTGGCCAGACTTAGAATTTGTGTCAGGGCAGGGCAAGCTCACTCGGAGCAGCGTGTCGGTACCTGGGGCCTGTGCATGCCAGGGAAGGCCAAGCTGGCTCAAAGAGCAACCAGCCACCTCTGCAAGGGTGCGCCTGGACCAGTTGGACTAGCCACCAACCTCACCCACAGAAGGAAGCAGGGATGACCAGGTTACAGGAGCCTGAGTAGCTGCCACCTGAGGGCTGATGGAGCAGAGGCCTGAGGAAAATCAGATGACATGTTTAACTGTTTAATGGATCTTGTTAATTTTTCTATAAAGCAGATGTCACCAGTCCATGCCTCAGAGCTCGTATGGCACTGCAGACCACAGAAGGCCGAGTCCCCTGGGTGGCAATCTTGGCTGCTTTCTGCACTTGAACATAAAGTCCTCCTCAAGACGGCCTGTGGTCTGCCTCTTGGCCCTACCTTTAGGGTAGAAGAACCGATGTACCATGTTCGGCAGCAAGTGAGGTTGGTGGCTGGTCCGGTTGCTCCTGGCAAACCCTTGCAGAGGTGGCTGGTTGCTCTTTGAGCCAGCTTGGCCTTGCTCGGCATGCACAAGCCTCAGTGCGACTACTGTGCCACAAATGGAGCCACAGAGAGGAAATGAGCAGCAGGCTCAGCAGCAGGGTGTGCGCTGTCTTTGGGGCTCCAGTCCATGCCTCAGGGCTCGTATGGCATTGCAGGCTTCTTGGTTGCCAAGAGGCAGACCACAGGCCGTCTTGAGGAGGACTTTATGTTCAAGTGCAGAAAGCAGCCATGATTACCACCCAGGGGACTTGGCCTTCTGTGGCCCTGTCCAGACTTAGAATTTGTGTCAAGGCAGGAGAAGCTCACTCGGAGCAGCGTGTTAGTACCTGGGGCCTGTGCATGCCAGGCAAGGCCAAGCTGGCTCAAAGACCAACCAGCCACCTCTCCAAGGGTGTGCCAGGACCAGGTGGACCATCCAGCAACCTCAGCTACTCAAGGAAGCTGGGATGGCCAGTTTCCAACAGCGTGAGTGGCTGCGTCCTGATGGATGATGGAGCAGAGGCCTTAGGAAAAGCAGATGGCCCTGTGGCCCTACCTTTAGGGTAGAAGTACTGATGTGCCATGTGTGGCAGCAAGTGAGGTTGGTGGCTGGTGCACCGGCTCCTGGCACACCCTCGCAGAGGTGACTGGTTGCTCTTTGAGCCAGCTTGGCCTTGCCCGGCATGCACAAGCCTCAGTGCAACAACTGTGCTACAAATGGAGCCACAGAGAGAAAAGGAGCAGCAGGCTCAGGAGCAGCATGTGCACTGCCTTTGGGCCTGCACTCCATGCCTCGGGTCATATAGCACTGCGGGCTTCTTGCTTGCCTAGAGGCGGACCACAGGCCATCTTGAGGAGGACTTTATGTTCAAGTGCAGAAAGCAGCCAGGATTACCATCCAGGGGACTCGGCCTTCTGTAGCCCTGGCCAGACCTTGCAGAGGTGGCTGGTTGCTCTTTGAGCCAGCTTGGCCTCCCTGGCATGCACAGGCCCCAGGTAGTAACACGCTGCTCCGAGTGAGCTTGTCCTGCCTTGGCTGCCACCTAATTGCTGATGGAGCAGAGGCATTAGGAAAAGCAGATGGCACTGCGGCCCACCTTTAGGGTAGAAGAACTGATGTACCATGTCCGGCCGCTAGTGGGTGAGTGGTGCACCTGCTCCTGGCACACCCTTGCAGAGGTGGCTGGTTGCTCTTTGAGCCAGCTTGGCCTTCCCCGGCATGCACAAGCCTCAGTGCAACAACTGTGCTACAAATGGAGCCACAGAGAGGAAACGAGCAGTAGGCTCAGGAGTCGGGTGTGTGCTGCCTTTGGGGCTCCAGTCCATGCCTCGGGTCGTATGGCACTGTGGGCTTCTTGGTTGCCAAGAGGCAGACCACAGGCTGTCTTGAGGAAGACTTTATGTTCAAGTGCAGAAAGCAGCCATGATTGCCACGCAGGGGACTCGGCCTTTTGTGGCTCTGGCGAGACTTAGAATTTGTGTGAAGGCAGGAGAAGCTCACTCAGAGCAGCGTGTTACTACCTGGGGCCTGTGCGTGTCCGGGAAGGCCAAGCTGGCTCAAAGAGCAACCAGCCACCTCTACAAGGGTGCACCTGGACCAGTTGGACCAGCCACCAACCTCACCCACTGAAGGAAGCAGTGATGGCCAGGTTCCCACAGCCTGAGTGGCTGCCACCTGAGGGCTGATGGAGCAGAGGCCTGAGTAAAATCAGATGGCATGTTTAACTCTTTAATAGATCTTAGGTTAATATTTCTATAAAGCAGATGTCACTAGTCCATGTCTCAGAGCTTGTATGGCAGTGTAGACCACAGAAGGCTGAGTCCCCTTGGTGGCAATCCTGGCTGCTTTCTGCACTTGAACATAAAGTCCTCCTCAAGACGGCCTGTGGTCTGCCTCTTGGCCCTACCTTTAGGGTAGAAGAACCAATGTACCATGTCCCGCAGCGAGTGAGGTTGGTGGCTGGTCTGGCTGCTCCTGGCACACACTTGCAGAGGTGGCTGGTTGCTGTTTGAGCCAGCTTGGCCTTGCCTGGCATGCACAAGTCTCAGTGCAACAACTGTGCTACAAATGGAGCCACAGAGAGGAAATGAGCGGCAGAGTTAGGAGCAGGATGTGCGCTGCCTTTGGGGCTCCAGTCCATGCCTCGGGTCGTATGGCACTGCAGGCTTCTTGGTTGCCAAGAGGCAGACCACAGGCCCTCTTGAGGAGGACTTCATGTTCAAGTGCAGAAAGCAGCCAGGATTACCATCCAAGGGACTCGGCCTTCTGTGGCCCTGGCCAGACTCAGAATTTGTGCCAAGGCAGGACAAGCTCACTCGGAGCAGCGTGTCAGTAGCTGGGGCCTATGCATGCCAGGCAAGGCCAAGCTGGCTCAAAGAGCAACCAGCCACCTCTGCAAGGGTGTGCCAGGAGCAGGTGGACCATCCAGCAACCTCAGCTACTCAAGGAAGCTGGGATGGCCAGGTTCCAACAGCCTGAGTGGCTGCCTCCTGATGGCTGATGGAGCAGAGGCCTTAGGAAAAGCAGATGGTCCTGTGGCCCTACCTTTGGGGTAGAAGTACTGATGTGCCATGTCCGGTAGCAAGTGAGGTTGGTGGCTGGTGCACCGGCTCCTGGCACACCCTCGCAGAGGTGGCTGGTTGCTCTTTGAGCCAGCTTGGCCTTGCCCGGCATGAACAAGCCTCAGTGCAACCTCTCTGCTACATATGGAGCCACAGAGAGGAAACGAGCAGCAGGCTCAGGAGCAGGCTGTGCGCTGCCTTTGGGGCTCCAGTCCAAGCCTCGAGTCGTATAGCACTGCGGGCTTCTTGCTTGCCTAGAGGCAGAAAACAGGCCGTCTTGCGGAGGACTTTATGTTCAAGTGCAGAAAGCAGCTAGGATTACCATCCAGGGGACTCAGCCTTCTGTGGCCCCGGCCAGACCTTGCAGAGGTGGCTGGTTGCTCTTTGAGCCAGCTTGGCCTCCCTGGCATGCACAGGCCCCAGGTAGTAACACGCTGCTCTGAGTGAGCTTGTCCTGCCTTGGCTGCCACCTAATTGCTGATGGAGCCAGAGGCATTAGGAAAAGCAGATGGCACTGCGGCCCACCTTTAGGGTAGAAGAACTGATGTACCATGTCCGGCCGCTAGTGGGTGAGTGGTGCACCTGCTCCTGGCACACCCTTGCAGAGGTGGCTGGTTGCTCTTTGAGCCAGCTTGGCCTTCCCCGGCATGCACAAGCCTCAGTGCAACAACTGTGCTACAAATGGAGCCACAGAGAGGAAACGAGCAGTAGGCTCAGGAGTCGGGTGTGTGCTGCCTTTGGGGCTCCAGTCCATGCCTCGGGTCGTATGGCACTGTGGGCTTCTTGGTTGCCAAGAGGCAGACCACAGGCTGTCTTGAGGAAGACTTTATGTTCAAGTGCAGAAAGCAGCCATGATTGCCACGCAGGGGACTCGGCCTTTTGTGGCTCTGGCGAGACTTAGAATTTGTGTGAAGGCAGGAGAAGCTCACTCAGAGCAGCGTGTTACTACCTGGGGCCTGTGCGTGTCCGGGAAGGCCAAGCTGGCTCAAAGAGCAACCAGCCACCTCTACAAGGGTGCACCTGGACCAGTTGGACCAGCCACCAACCTCACCCACTGAAGGAAGCAGTGATGGCCAGGTTCCCACAGCCTGAGTGGCTGCCACCTGAGGGCTGATGGAGCAGAGGCCTGAGTAAAATCAGATGGCATGTTTAACTCTTTAATAGATCTTAGGTTAATATTTCTATAAAGCAGATGTCACTAGTCCATGTCTCAGAGCTTGTATGGCAGTGTAGACCACAGAAGGCTGAGTCCCCTTGGTGGCAATCCTGGCTGCTTTCTGCACTTGAACATAAAGTCCTCCTCAAGACGGCCTGTGGTCTGCCTCTTGGCCCTACCTTTAGGGTAGAAGAACCAATGTACCATGTCCCGCAGCGAGTGAGGTTGGTGGCTGGTCTGGCTGCTCCTGGCACACACTTGCAGAGGTGGCTGGTTGCTGTTTGAGCCAGCTTGGCCTTGCCTGGCATGCACAAGTCTCAGTGCAACAACTGTGCTACAAATGGAGCCACAGAGAGGAAATGAGCGGCAGAGTTAGGAGCAGGATGTGCGCTGCCTTTGGGGCTCCAGTCCATGCCTCGGGTCGTATGGCACTGCAGGCTTCTTGGTTGCCAAGAGGCAGACCACAGGCCCTCTTGAGGAGGACTTCATGTTCAAGTGCAGAAAGCAGCCAGGATTACCATCCAAGGGACTCGGCCTTCTGTGGCCCTGGCCAGACTCAGAATTTGTGCCAAGGCAGGACAAGCTCACTCGGAGCAGCGTGTCAGTAGCTGGGGCCTATGCATGCCAGGCAAGGCCAAGCTGGCTCAAAGAGCAACCAGCCACCTCTGCAAGGGTGTGCCAGGAGCAGGTGGACCATCCAGCAACCTCAGCTACTCAAGGAAGCTGGGATGGCCAGGTTCCAACAGCCTGAGTGGCTGCCTCCTGATGGCTGATGGAGCAGAGGCCTTAGGAAAAGCAGATGGTCCTGTGGCCCTACCTTTGGGGTAGAAGTACTGATGTGCCATGTCCGGTAGCAAGTGAGGTTGGTGGCTGGTGCACCGGCTCCTGGCACACCCTCGCAGAGGTGACTGGTTGCTCTTTGAGCCAGCTTGGCCTTGCCCGGCATGAACAAGCCTCAGTGCAACCTCTCTGCTACATATGGAGCCACAGAGAGGAAACGAGCAGCAGGCTCAGGAGCAGGCTGTGCGCTGCCTTTGGGGCTCCAGTCCAAGCCTCGAGTCGTATAGCACTGCGGGCTTCTTGCTTGCCTAGAGGCAGAAAACAGGCCGTCTTGCGGAGGACTTTATGTTCAAGTGCAGAAAGCAGCCAGGATTACCATCCAGGGGACTCAGCCTTCTGTGGCCCCGGCCAGACCTTGCAGAGGTGGCTGGTTGCTCTTTGAGCCAGCTTGGCCTTCCTGGCATGCACAGGCCCCAGATACTAACACGCTGCTCCGAGTGAGCTTGTCCTGCCTTGGCTGCCACCTAATTGCTGATGGAACAGAGGCCTTAGGGAAAGCAGATGGCACTGTGGTCCACCTTTAGGGTAGAAGAACTGATGTACCATGTCCGGCCGCTAGTGGGTGAGTGGTGCACCTGCTCCTGGCACACCCTTGCAGAGGTGGCTGGTTGCTCTTTGAGCCAGCTTGGCCTTCCCTGGCATGCACAAGCCTCAGTGCAACAACTGTGCTACAAATGGAGCCACAGAGAGGAAACAAGCCGCAGGGTCAGGAGCAGGGTGTGCGCTGCCTTTGGGCCTCCAGTCCATGCCTCAGAACTCGTATGGCACTGCAGGCTTCTTGGTTGCCAAGAGGCAGACAACAGGCTCTCTTGAGGAGGACTTTATGTTCAAGTGCAGAAAGCAGCCCGGATAACCATCCAGGGGACTTGGCCTTCTGTGACCCTGGCCAGACTCAGAATTTGTGCCAATGCAGGACAAGCTCACTTGGAGCAGTGTGTCAGTAGCTGGGGCCTATGCATGCCAGGCAGGGCCAAGCTGGCTCAAAGAGCTACCAGCCACCTCTGCAAAGGTGTGCCAGGAGCAGGTGGACCAGCCACCAACTTCAGCCACTGAAGGAAGCACGGATGGCCAGGTTCCAACAGCCTGAGTGGCTATCTTCTGATGGCTGATGGAGCAGAGGCCTTAGGAAAAGCAGATGGCCCTGTGGCCCTACCTTTATGGTAGAAGTACTGATGTGCCATGTCCGGTAGCAAGTGAGGTTGGTAGCTGGTGCACCGGCTCCTGGCACACCGTTGCAGAAGTGACTGGTTGCTCTTTGAGCCAGCTTGGCCTTGCCTGGCATGCACAAGCCTCAGTGCAACAACAGTGCTACAAATGGAGCGACAGAGAGGAAACGAGTGGCAGACTTAGGAGCAGGGTGTGCGCTGCCTTTGGGGCTCCAGTCCATGCCTCGGGTCCTATGGCACTGCGGGCTTCATGGTTGCCAAGAGGCAGACCACAGGCCGTCTTGAGGAAGACTTTATGTTGAAGTGCAGAAAGCAGCCAGGATTACCACTCAGGGGACTTGGCCTTCTGTGGCCCTGGCCAGACTCAGAATTTGTGTCACGGCAGGACAAGCTCACTCGGAGCAGCGTGTTAGTACCTGGGGCCTGTGCATGCCAGGAAAGGCCAAGCTGGCTCAAAGCGTAATCAGCCACCTCTACAAGGGTGCGCCTGGACCTGTTGGACCAGCCACCAGCTTCACCCACTGAAGGAAGCCGGGATGGCCAGGTTCCAGCAGCCTGAGTGGCTGTCTCCTGATGGCTGATGGAGCAGAGTCCTTAGGAAAAGCAGATGGCCTTGTGGCCCTACCTTTAGGGTAGAAGTACTGATGTGCCATGTCTGGCAGCAAGTGAGGTTGGTGGCTGGTGCACCGGCTCCTGGCGCACCCTTGCAGAGGTGACTGGTTGCTCTTTGAGCCAGCTTGGCCTTGCCCGGCATGCACAAGCCTCAGTGCAACAACTGTGCTACAAATGGAGCCACAGAGAAGAAATGAGCAGCAGGCTCAGGAGCAGGGTGTTCGCTGCCTTTGGGGCCGCAGTCCATGCCTCAGGCATCATATGGCACTGCGGGCTTCTTGGTTGCCAAGAGGCAGACCACAGGCCATCTTGAGGAGGACTTCATGTTCAAGTGCAGAAAGCAGCCAGGATTAGCATCTAGGGGACTCGGCCTTCTGTGGCCCTGGCCACACTTAGAATTTGTGTCAAGGCAGGACAAGCTCACTCGGAGCAGCATGTTGCTACCTGGGGCCTGTGTATGCCAGGCAAGGCCAAGCTGGCTCAAAGAGCAACCAGTCACCTCTGCAAGGATGCGCCTGTCGTCTGGAGGTTGGTGGCTCCCTGTGTTAGTCCTCCAAGCCCATATTTTCCTTCTGCACTGCCCTCGCAGAGGTTTCTGAAGAGGCTCTGCCTCTGCAGCATGCTTCTGCCTGGAAACAGTGGGAGGTAGTTTTGCAGGGTGGAAGCCTTCACCAGTGGTTAAGCACCATCTTCATGATGCTGACCTCGTGATAGTTCTCATGAGATCTGCTTGTATAACATGATGTGGCACCTCTTTCCTCTCTGTCTTGCTCCTTCTCCTGCTGTATGAAACATCTCCTTGCCCCTTGGTCTTCTAGTATGATTGGGAGGCACCTGAGTCCTCCCAGAAGCAGAAGCCACTGTGCTTCCTTTGCAGCCTGCAGAACTGTGAGCCAATGAAACCTCTTTTCTTTTTGATCATACAGAAGGTTAGTACTGTGAAGTGAAGCTATGAAATTCCTTCAAGGCCTTTTCCCTATGAAATGCCTTCAAGGCCTTTTCCCCATTGTCTTGGCAAGCAGCACTCAGCTTCTTTTCATGCAAATATCTGAAGCCTGTGTGAATTTTTTCCCTGAAAATGGACTTTTCTTCTTTTACCACATTGCCAGGCTGTGACACAGAGAGCTGATAATGTAGAAGCAGGTTCAGTAGTGGGTAAAAGACAGAGGTCGGGAGAGTTGGGAAAGCTTAAAAGACAGCAAGATGAGGAAAAGCTTGGACCCCTGTAGAGAATTGTTAAATACTTGTGATCAGAAGGCTGACAGAAGGATGGACAGTGAAGGCCAGACTTAAAAGTTCTCGGATAAAAATCAGGAATTTCCTGTGAATAGGAGCCAAAGCTACATTTGATTTGCCCAACAGAGGCTGCACAGTGACCTTGCCCTGGAGATCTGTGAAACTATGAACTTGGGGGTGATGATTTAGGATGTATCTTGTGGAATGAACATCTAAGCAGCATAGCTCAAGAGGTGTCCTGTCTGCGTCGAGCAGCCTGTGTTATGTATGAGCTAAGAAAGGACCTCAAGTTGGAACTTCTACTTAGAAGCGGAGCTCAAAAGTTTGGAAAATTTGCAGCCTAGTCAAGTGGTCAAAAAGAAAAGCTGATTTTCAGGGCGAAAATTCAATAAGGCTTAGAGTATTTGCATAAAAAGGAGGTTAGTGCAAGTGTCCAAGACAAAGGGTAAAAGGCCTTGAAGGCATTTCAGAGACCTTTGCAGTAGCCTTTGCTCTCACAGGCCCTGGGGCCTAGCAGAGAAGAATGGTTTCCTGGGCCAGTTCCATGGCCCTACTGCTGTGTGCATCCTCAGGACACTGCTGCCTGCATCCCTGCAGCCCCAGCTCCAGCCATGGCTGAATGATGCACAGGTACAGCTTGGGTCACTACTTCACATGTGGCTCCAAGCCTTGATGGCTTCCACATAGTGTTAAGGCAGCAGGTGAAGAGAGCAAGAGACTAGAGGCTTTGGAGCCTCTTGTCTGGACTCCAGAGGATGTAGAGAAAAGCCTGGGTGTCCAGGCAGTAGCCTTTCCAAGAGGCTCATGGAAAACCTCTGCTAGGGCAGCAAAGAAGGGCCATGTAGTGTTGAAGCCCCCTCACAGGGAGGCTCCATTCTCCAAACCCCAGATTCATAGACCCACCAACATCTTGCACCCTCAGTGTGGAAAAGCTACAGGCATTCAAAACAGCCCTGTCCATGAGAGGCAGCTGTGGGTGCTGAACGCTGCAAAGCCACAGGTGCAGATCTGCCCAAGGCCTTGGGAGCCCGGCCCTCAGCCCTGTGCCATGGATGTGGGACGAGGATTCAAAAAGGATGATTTTGGAGCTGTCGGATTGAATGACTGGCCTGCTGGGTTTTGGATGTTCATGTATCCTGTGAGTCCCATCTGTGTTTTGTTTTTCTTTCTGGCATTTTTTTTCTACTGGCTGGGAATGCTTACCCATTGCATGTACAATTATTGTACCTTGGAATTAGTTAACTTGCTTTATAATTCAGAAACTCAGGGGCAGATCGGACTGTAGCCTTGTCTCAGACGAGACTTTGGGCTTTGGACATTTGAGTAAATGCTGGAATTATTTAAGATTTGGGGGCCTGTGGGGAAGGTATCATTGTATTCTGCAATGTAAGAAGCAGGAGATTTGGGGGACCAGGGACAGAATAATATAATTTGGCTCTGTGTCCCTACCAAAGCTCGTGGAATTGTAATGGGCAAAGTTAAAGGTGGGGACTGGTGGAAGGTGATTTAATCATGGTGGAGAGTGGAGTTTGGAAGGTGGGGGTGGTTGGGAGCATTGGGGGGGATTGTGTTGGGGTTGTGGGGAAAGGCAGAGGTGGGGGGCAGATTCTTCACAAATGGTTAAACACCATCTTTGTAATGCTGTCCTTCTGACAGTGAGTTTGCTTCATGGTTTAGGAGCTTTGAGATTTGAATACTGGCCTGCTGGGTTTTGGATGTGCATTGGGCCTGTGGTCCCATTTGTGTTATTTTTCTGGGAAATTTCTTCCCTTTGGAGTGAGAAAGCTTACCCAATGCCTGTACCATCATCGTACCTTAAAAGAACTCCATTTTAAGTTCAGGGACTCATTGGCAGAAGAGACCGTAGCCTTGTATCAGATAAGACTTTGAACTTCTTACATTTGGGTTAACGCTGGAATGAGTTAAGGCTTTTGTAAACATTTGAAAAGGCATGACTGTATTTTACTCTGTGAGAATGACATGAGATTCGGGGGAGGGGGTCAAGGTCAGAATAATATGGTTTGGCTGTGTTTCCCTAGAAAAACTCATGTGGAATTGCAGTCCCGAATGTTGGAGGTGGAGCCTGGTGGGAGGTGATTTAATCATGGATGGGGGGTGGGTGGGGTTGGAGGGAAAAAGAGGTGGGTAGCGTGGTGAGGAGTAAGCTCGCTGTAGGGTGGTGGGAGGGTGGGGGTAGTAGGAAGGAGGAGTAGCCTGCTGCAGAGGCAGAGGCTGGTGGAAAACCTCTGCTAGGACTGTGCACCTGTGGCTTTGCAGGGTGTAGCCCCCGTGGCTGCTCTCATGGGCTGGGCTGGTGTTGAGTGCCGGTAGCTTTTCCATACTGAAGGTGCGAGCTGTTGATGGGTCTATGAATCTGGGGTCTGGAGGATGGTGGCCTCCTGCATAGGGGCTCCAAGCCCATATTTTTCTTCTGCACTGCCATAGTACAGGTTTTCCAAGAGGCTCAGGCTCTGCCTCAGGCTTCTGTCCAGAAACAGTAGGGGGTGGAGGTGGGTTGGGGGCGGATCCTTCACTAATGATTAAGCACCATCTTCTTGATGCTGACCTCGTGATAGTGAGTTCTCATGAACTTCCTCATAGTGTTAAGCCACTGGTTGGATGGAGCATGAGCCTAGGGGCTTGGGAGGCTCTGTATAGATTTTGGAGGATGTATGGAAATGTCTGGGTGTCCAGGCAAAAGCCTTCCTAAAGGGCAGAACCTCATAAGAAACCTCTACTAGGGCAGTACAGAAGGAAAATATGGGGTTGGAGACCCCACACTGGAGGCCACCATCATGAAGACTGCAGATTAATAGACCCCGCAACAGCTTGTACCGTCAGTGGGTAAAAGCTACAGGCGCTCAACACCAGCCCAGCCCATGAAGACAGCCGTGGGGCATAAACCCTGCAAAGCCACAGGTGCAGAGCTGCCCAAGGCCTTGGGAGCCCAGCCCTTACATCCCTGTGCCCTGGATGTGGGACAAGGTTTCAAAAAGGGTAATTTTGGAGCTGTAGGATTGAATGACTGGCCTTCTGGGTTTGGAGTTTCATGGGGTCTGTAAGTCCTTTCTGTGTTTTGTTCTTTCTGGCAAAATTATTCCTTTTGGCTGGGAATGCTTACCCATTGCCTGTATAAGCATTGTACCTTGGAAGTAGTTAACTTTCTTTATATTTCAGAGGCTCATGAGCCTAAGGGTCTGCAGCCTTGTGTTAGATGAGACTTTAAGCTTTGAATATTTGTATAAATGATGAAATGATATAAGACTTTGGGGGACTGTAGGGAAGCTATCATTGTAGTTTGCAATGTGAGAAGGACATGAGATTTGGGGAGCCAGGGACAGAATAATAAAATTTAGCTCTGTGTCCCTACCAAAATTCGTGTGGAATTGTAATGGGGAATGTTAAAGTTGGGGCCTGGTGGAAGGTGATTTAATCATGGTGGAGTGTGGGGGTTGGGAGGTGGGGGATAGGGAGAATGGGGAGATTATGTTGGGGGTGAGGGGTGAAAAGTGATGGTGGCTCCTTCACAAATGATTAGACACAATCTCTTTATTTCTGTACTTGTGATGGTGAGTTCTCTTCATGATTTTGGAGCAGTGAGATTGAATGGATACTGGTCTCCTGGGTTTTGGACTTGCATTGGTCCTGTGGTCCCATCTGTGTTATTTTGCTGGGAAATTTCTTCCCGTTGGACTGAGAAAGCTTACCCAATGGGTGTACCATCATTGTGTCTTAAAAGAACACCCTTTTAAATTCAGGGACTTATAGGCAAAAGGGACTGTAGGCTTGTCTCAGATGAGACGTTGAACCTTTTACATTTGAGTTAATGCTGGAATGAGTTAAGACTTTTGGCAACTTTTGAAAAGGTGTGATTGTATTTTGCTCTGTGAGAAGGACATGAGATTCGGAGGGGTCAGGGTCAGAATAACATGGTTTGGCTGTGTTTCCCTACAGAAACTCATGTGAATTGTAATCTTGAATGTTGGAGATGGGGCCTGGTGGAAGGTGATTTAACCATGGATGGGAGGGGGTTGGAGTTGGAAGGAAATAAAGTGGACAGTGTTGGGAGGAGTGGGTTGTCAGTAGGGTGGTGAGAGGATGGTGGGTATTAGGAAGCGGGAGTAGCCTGCTGCAGAGTCACATCCTCATGGAAAACCTCTGCTAGGGCAGTGCTCCTGTGGCTTTGCAGGCTTTAGCCCCCATGGCTGCTCTCATGGGCTGGGCTGGTGTTGAGTGCTTTTGCATACTGAGGGTGCGGGCTGTTGGTGGGCTTATGAATCTGGGGTCTGGAGGATGGTGGCCTCCTGTGTGGGGGCTCCAAGCCCATATTTCCCTTCTGCACTGCCATAGTGGAAGTTTCCCAAGAGGCTCTGCCTCTGCAGGAGGCTTCTGCCTGGAAACAGTAGGCGGTGGTGTGTGTGGTGGATCCTTCACCAGTGGTTAATTTTGATGCTGATCTGATAGTGAGTTCTCATGTGATCTGGTTGTATAATGGGCTGTGGCACCTCTTTTCTCTCTGTGTCTTGCTTCTATTTCTGCCATATGAAACATCTGATTGCCACTTGGCCTTCTGATGTGGTTAGGAGGGGCCTGATCAGTGTGGGCCTGCTCAGTGGACCTAGTCAGTTGGGACTTGGTCAGTGAGGCCTGTTTAGTGGGAGCCTGGCCAGCAGGGGTCTGCTTAGGGAGGGTCTCATTAGGGGGATCCAGTAGTGGGGGTTTTGGCGAGTGGGGACCTATTGGCAGCCAGTTGTTTGGTGTCTGGTCAGTGCAGACCTGGGCTGTGGGGCTTGACCAGTGGCGACCTGGTCAGCTGGGCTTAGTGGTGGCCTGGTCAGCATGGGCTGGGTCACTGGTGACCAGGTCAAGGGCTGCTATTCAGTGGAGGACTGGTCACATGGGACCTAGTCAGCAGGGCCTGGTGGGCGTGTCCTCATCAGTGAGTCCCTTGTCAGTGGGGACCTGATCAGGGCAGCCTGGTCATTGGAACCTCATCAGTGGGGGCCTGGTCAGTGATGACTTGGTCAGTGGTGGCTTTTGTAGCACTGGTCTATGGGGTGACCCAGTCAGCGGGGACCTGAGTAGTCGGTGCCTGTTCAGTGGGGCCTACTCACTAGGGTCCCAGTCAGGGGCATCTGGTCACCTCAGGCCTGGTTAGTAGGGGCCTGATCAGTGGCAGCCTGTTCCCTGGAGGCCTGGTCAGTGGGGCCTCATCTGTGGGGCCAGGTAATGGGGTCATGATCAGTGGAATCTGATCAGTGAGGCCTTGTCAGTAATGACCTAGTCAGTGAGGCCTTGTCAGTAAGGACCTGGTCCATGAGGCCTTGCCAGTGAGGCCTTGTCAGTAAGGTCCTGGTCAGTGAGGCCTTGTCAATAAGGACCTTGTCAGTGAGGCCTTGTCAGTGGGGCCTTGTCAGTAAGGACCTGGTCAGTGAGGCCTTGTCAATAAGGTCCTGGTCAGTGAGGTCTTCTCAGTTAGGACCTGGTCCATGAGGCCTTGTCAGTGGGGCCTTGTCAGTAAGGACCTGGTCAGTGAGGCCTTGTCAATAAGGTCCTGGTCAGTGAGGACTTGTCAGTAAGGACCTGGTCCGTGAGGCCTTGTCAATAAGGTCCTGGTCAGTGAGGAATTGTCAGTAAGGAGCTCATCCATGAGGCCTTGTCAGTGAGGCCTTGTCAATAAGGTCCTGGTCAGTGAGGCCTTGTTAGTAAGGACTTTGTCAGTGAGGCCTTGTCAGTGAGGCCTGGTCAGTAAGGTCCTGTTCAGTGAGGCCTTGTCCGTGAGGCTTTGTCAGTAAGGTCCTGGTCAGTGGAGTCATGGTCATTGTTGGCCTGGAAGCAGGGGTCTTGTTAGTGGGTCCTGGTGATGGGGATCTAATCAGTGAGGGTGTGGTCAGGGAAGACCTGATGTGTGGGGTCTGGTCAGCAGGAACCTGGTCAGTGGGGACTGCTGAGCGCTGCTTGGAGAAGCCAGGTGCATTGCACGTTATCGAGGGCCCTCTGGACAGCTGGGATGGCCCAGTGATGCCCAATGGCCCGGTCAAAAGTAGACAAAGCAGTTGTTTGGATGGACCTGGGAGATGTTGCTCAGAGATTCTGACAGGACAAAGGTGAAGAAAGGGTCAGAGTGTCTGGAGAGATGGTCACAGTCTATGGGCTGCACAGGATGGAGAAAGCCAGGGAACAGGCAGGGTGGGCAGTGGGGTGCAGGGAGAGGCAGGTGCATGGTGGGACGTCAGACCCTGTGAAGGCTGTGAGGGTGTCAGGTGGGTTGGGCTCCAGGTGCACCCTCAGTGCACTGGGTGGGTCTCACCCCAAGCTCCCTGGACCCCAGCCAGGTGATGTGGTCACTCCCTGGGGGACTGCTCTCAGGCCCCGGCTACCTACCCTGGGCAGCGCTGTCCCATCTCAGGACTGGACTTTCTCAGATCCTGTAGAGGGCACAGACTCCACCCAGGAGGGGCAACCGCATGGTGCAGCCTGAGCTCTCCATGGGCCTGGAGCATCCCCTGCCAGCCTTGTGCTCCCCATTCTCCCAGGTCCCACTTTTCCAGTGTCAGCCAGCAGGGATGCCCCGTCCTCCCTTCCCCATGTGTCTCCTAGGCTGAAACTTGTGGCAGATTGGGACAGGGATGGTGCTTCCCTCAGGCCCATTTGGGGAGGGGACTGGCTCCCAGACTGGTGCAGGTCCTCAGCTCTGCCTCGACTGGCTTAGAGTGAGATGGATCAGTCAGTTCCCTGAAGGTGAAGATTAGAGACTGTCCCTGCTGTTGGGAGGCTAGTCTAGGGATGGAGGACTTAACAGGTCCTCCCAGGCTGTCAGGCCTGGGCAGCACTGTCTTGTCTTAGGACTCAGAAAGTCCAGTCCTGAGATGAGACAGTGCTGCCCAGGGCGGGTGTCTGGGACCTGACAACATTCCCCCAGTGATTGACCACATCACACGTCCAGGGTCCAGTGAGCCTGGCCTCAGACGTGCCCAGTACACTGAAGGTGCACCTGGAGCCCACTCCACCTGATGCCTCCACAGCCCTCGCAGGGCCTGACCTCCCAGCATGCACCTGCCTCTCCCTGCACCCCAGCTGTCCACCATGCCTGTTCCCTCACTTCCTCCATCCTGTCCAGCGGGATGGGATGGACATGGGAACAGCCTGTGTGCACATTTCGTGGCGAGTGGGAATGACACACCATCTCTGGGAGGCACCATGGTTCCTGGCAAACCCGATCCCAAGACTTTATCCTTGAGGTGGTTTTACCAAACCCCAAACCCAGAACTGCGGTTGTGGCTCAGGGGTCAGCTCCTGCTAGTGCCAGGACACTACTGGGAGGCTGGGACCCGACCAAAGCCCATGGTGTCTCTGGCCTGAGGACCAGGTGTCTTGGGACCATAAGGCCAGGCCACCAATGGCCATTGGGTCATAGGGGCTCAGCCCCAATCTTTGTCCTTCCCTGGCTCCTTCTGATTCAGTCCCATCAGGGCCCTGGATCCCAAGACTCAGCATCCAAGGTCCCCTCCAGGAATCCTGGCAGCTCAGCATACTTTATCCTGTTTCATCTGAGAGCAAAAATGTAAAATTGGATGCACAGAAAAGTGACTCAAAGTGCTTAATGACTAGAAGAAATCTAGGAGCAGCAAGAAGGTAATGTGGAGGGAGGGACCTCCATGACCGGTGTCTGTAGAGCCAGGGGTACAGGCACCCAGTGCTGTGGCCTGGCACCACCTGCATCTCAGAGGGTGGGTGGCACACTCCTTAACCAGAGGACAGCAGGCCTGGTCACCAGCTTTTCTACCTGTCCCTGTAAGCATCACATTGCTGGAGGAAAATCTCATGCCAGAGCTTGGACCATCCCCTAGCTCAGGGGTTAGGGGTTGTCCCTTGGTGACCTAAATGAAAAAACAGGTCCAGAACAGAGTTCCTGATGCTGGACACTCATTCAGTCTTTGAATCGTGGGAGGGGAGGCCTGGTACTAGGTAGACCTAACCTCTTTGAGGAACCACAGAGCCCAAGGCTGGAAACCTCCAGAATCCTCCACCCCCTTATCCTCCCTGGGGACCCCTGTGGCCTGTCTCACTGAGCACTCTTCCATCTGTAGATGTCTGGGCTGCTGTACAAGGGAGTCCCCTTTCAGGTGTGGTGCTAGACATGGTCACTCCTGCTGGATGTCTAGGTGGTAGAAACCAAGGACCTAGGGAAATACCAGGTACAGCCTTTCCACGCTCATCCAGAGCAGGACAAACAGGCCAGGCGGTGTCAGGAGCCCAGGTCTCCAGCTGGAGGGAACGTCAACCCTGCAGTGGGAGCAGGGGCCCTTTGCACATCCTAGGCACAGATGGTAATGTAGACACCACAGGTAAGCTGGGCTTGGTACCTACCCCTCCCCGGATTCAGAAAGAAACCAAACAAGGAGCTTTGTGTGGAATGAAACCTCCTTTCCTCCCAGAAGCACTGCTGATTGTTTGGTGGTTGCCATTTGTGGCAGTGAGCCCTTGTTTGTTCTGAGGTTGGGCTGGTTTCTCCTCTTGGCCCTGCCCTACAGATCATAAAGGAGAACAGCAAGACGTCCCCAGCAAACATCCACAGATGGCCTTGGAAATAAGTCACCTTGTGAGAAACATGTCATGTTCTGGGAGGGATAAGGCATCAAGTAAGGCCTATGGGGTTGGAGGATCCCTGGGCAGGTGGGGCAATCCTTGGGGTCTTCCCATGGGAATAGGGAGGTCCTGAGGCAGAGGCAGGGGTTCCACAGGAGGAGTCACAGAGCTACCAAGGGCTCTCCTGTGCCAGGAAGCAGTCAACACCATGAACTGAACACCTGCTGGGCTCCAAGCCCTGGTCCAGGCTGGGGCATGTGGGGCCAGGAGGCAGCTCAGAGAGGGAGGCAGAGAGAAGTGTGCTGAGAGGGCACCCATTTCTGGGTGTAATGTGGTCCAGAGATTTTGGCTGGGAAGGGCTTCCAGAGTTTCATATGTGTTACGGAGCTGCTTCCTCTCCCTAGCCTCACCCTGCAGGAATGCCAGTGAACATATTGCTGACATCTTGGAGCTCAGTACCCTCATAGTGTAACGGCGTCAGTAGATCTGCCTGTGCTGGGACTTCCTGTACTACCCATTCCTGAGGGGCGATGCTTCTGCAGGGCCTGTGACTTGGTGCACAACTTCAGACACCATCATCTTGCAGCAGCACCGCACCCTCACTAGCCAGGGTGTTGATGACTTCCTCAAGGCCAAGGCCACATTCAAGGCTTCGGACTTCATTGATGCGCTTGTGCTGAGCAAGGTGGCTTCTCCGGGATCTTAATTCAGGAGGTAGAATGGAGCTTGAGATCAAGTGTCTGATCAAGGTACTTGAACTTGATCTGGAGGGCTCTGGGGAGCCATGGAAGGTGCTGGATAAAGGAGTGACAGTCAGCTATGTTTTCGAGATGACTGTAGAAGGCTGCCTGGAAGGAGTGAACAAGAGCCAGGAGACCAGGGAGGGAGCTTGTGGGGCAGGTCTGGAGATGGCAAAGGAGGGATCCTGCTTGGATGAAAGGTCTTCAGGGACTGTCTCAGGTTACACACAGGTGTCCTCAGAGCTAGTGTGTTCAGAGTCTTGCCTCCAGGATGAAAATGGGAAGGAGTTGTCAGACGAGGACATATAAATGGAGGCTGGCATATTCATGAGTGCTGGTGGTGGTCCCGGTGTGGGACTACTGTGGGAACAGGGGTCTCTCCATCCAGGGATATGATGGATGGACCCTACATCACTCCATTCTGCCCTTCCTTTCCCTCCTCCCATTCTCCCGAAAGCCTCAGTGTATGGGCGCTGTTCATCCTCTGGTGCTGAAGCAGCCAAGAGACCCAAGTCTGCCTGGCTGCCTCTTAGGATATGACAGCAGAGCCAGTGGCCTCTACTAGATCCTGTACAACCTCACAAAACACCCAGACATCGGGAGTGCTGCCAGCCTGTGATGCAAGAGTCCTAATCCTGAAGACATTGAATGGTGGGTGCAGGGCCTCATGGCCTGTTCCCCAGCCCCTCTCATTGGCTCTGCTCCAGGTGGTGAAGGGGGAAAATGTTTTTGTCAATTCTGTCATGATTGCCTAGCAAGAAAAGGAGCAGAACCAAGAAGCAGTAAAATCAGTTAGTAAAATCAGTTTTCTTTTCTGAACTACATTTCTACCATCTCTAATTGAGGGGAATTCCTTCGACTCCACGAGGTTGCTTGGAGAATGACTGACAGTGTATGTAGAGCAGGTGCCAGCCAGCAGGCGTTTGGTGTCCAGACCACTCTGCCCCCTTGATTTTCTGCCTATATTTTCATTTTGTTCCCAAGACCCTCACTCCCCTTAATTTTGCTTTTCCCTCTGATTCCCACCTTATCTTCTATCCCATGGATTCACCAGGATGTAAGTGGGTAACAGTTATCTATGCATGTATGTGTATGTATGTATGTTCTCTGTTGGTGTTGGAGTATGGTGTGTGTGTGTGAGAGAGTGTGTGTGTGTGTGTGTGAGAGAGAGAGAGAATGTGTGTGTGTGTGTGTGTGTGTGTGTGTGTGTGTGTTGGGGTCACTGAGGGACTGAAACTCTCCACACCAGGCTGTGGTCCTGCTCACTGCTGGAGGCGCTGTCAGGGCTCTTGCCATTGACCCTCCAGGTCTCATTCTTGCAGTGCAGGCAGGGCATTCTGGAGGAATCATGTCCTTGGAAGAAGCCCTGAGGAGTGACTGGTGTGTATTGGTGGATAAATAACCCAGCTCCCTTGCTCTGGGTGGGATGACTCTGAGGCACATGTTCTATGCTGTCTCTCAGAGGTACCCGGCAGGGCTGAGTCCTGGCTGCCCACAGTAGAAACTTTCTTGATGAAGGTCCCTTTAACTGCTACATTCCATTCCTGTCTCAGTTCCCCACTCCTCTACTGGTGTTGCCTGCAATTAGTACTCTAAGGAAGAACTGGCAGTAGAATTACTGTCCTGGAGTCATCTCCAGATAAAATTTTTATACTTGAATCTTTGCCTCAGGATCTACTTCCAGGAAACTTAAACTAAGACACACATTTTTCTTTCCTCCAATCTTCATAGACCTGTCGTTGTGCTGTTTTTACCAAAAAGGATCATGAGGATCAGAGAGGAAAAGTCACTTGCCCAAAGTCACACAGCTGAACAGTGGTGGAGTTCAACTTTGACCGTGGGCTGTCTGGCCCCAAGGTGTATGCTTGCTTCTCTCCCAAGAGACTCCTTTCTTATCAGGCTCAAATGAATGAAAGGAGGATGTTAAAGGTAGGATCTCTGAAGCCTGTGCCAGTGGAACCGCAGCTCATGGCTGGCACCTGTGTTCTCATTCTTACCTCATTAAGAGTAAAGTTTATTGAGTTTATTGAATTTAAGTATCTTTAGTGAGATCATATATTATTAGTAAGAACTGGGACCAAACAGATTTTCTGACTCTAAAAGAGAGATTTTCACAGAAACAGATATATACCTATAAGTATACAGACACGCATACACACATTTCTTTACTGCTCATAAAAATTAGTCCTTATTAGAATGTGGGATGTATAAATGTAAGAGAATTTTCATGTTAAAATTGACAGATACATTTTTAAATTGTCCTAAAAGAAATTTAATTATTTTTCTTTTAGAATTTTCCATTATTAATGTTATTTTTATGGGAAACTATATAACTTTATTGATAATACATACGATAACCCTTTGTTTTTCACATTGAAAATACAGTGTATTTTGCAAATAACTAAGTCCTAATTTTGTATTAAAATTTTAAATTTTCAATCTTTTTTTTATTATATTTTAAGTTCTGGGATACATGTGGAGAACGTGCAGGTTTGTTACATAGGTATACACATGACATGGTAGTTTGCTGCACCCATCAACCTCTCATCTACTTTAGGCGCTTATCTACATTCGGTGCTACATTATGATATGGAGAAATAGGAACGCTTTTACACTGCTGGTGGGAGTGTAAATTAGTTCAACCATTGTGGAAGACAGTGTAGTGATTCCTCAAGGATCCAGAACCAGAAATACATTTGACCCAGCAATCCCATTACTGGGTATATACCCAAAGGATTATAAATCATTCTACTATAAAGACACATGCACACATATGTTTATTGCGGCACTGTTCCCAATAGCAAAGACTTGAAACCAACCCAAATCCCCATCAGTGATAGACTGGATAAAGAAAATGTGGCACATATATACCATGGAATACTCTGCAGCCATAAAAAAGGATGAGTTCATGTCCTTTGCAGGAACATAGATTAAGCTGGAAGCCATCATTCTCAGTTAACGAACACAGAAACAGAAAACCAAACACCGCATGTTCACTCATAAGTGGGAGCTGAACAATGAGAACAAATGGACACGGAGGGGAACATCACATACCGGAACCTGTCAGTGGGTGGGGGGCTAGAGGAGTGGGGGAGGGATAGCATTAGGGGATTTAATAATTTTAAAATTCAATTCTGTTGAAATGTTTACTCCAAGAAGCAATGTGTTTTTGAGAGCTAATCCTGATATATTCAAATCTTAACGACTTAAGTTGATGGAGTGGACTTCTTTTAAATTAGTGATTCCCTAATTTACCTGACAGTTGGAATTTCCAGGCCATGTTGAAAATACAGATTATCCAGACTCTTACCTCTGCAGATGTATTTAGTGGTTCTAAAATGGCACCCAGGAGTCTGGATTTTTCCCAGGGGCCTTGTGTAATTCACACTGATGACCAGGCAAGTTTGGGAAATTGTGCCTTAAGGAGATTTTTCATTAAGCAGTCTTCATTTGAAAAGAGGATCATTTATCTTCTAATACCCCATGCTTCCTCTTTCTCCTGCTCTCTTTGTCTCCTGTTGTCTTTCAGTTCCTAGAAGCTTTAATTGAATGAAAGTTCCTAGTAGATCTGTACCTACTAAAAACCACACTTCTGAAGCTACGTGGCCACCAGAAGACACAGCTAGTCTGCCATGTAAAAAAGGAAAGGTGGCGTGTGCCCTGAAGGTGCAGGGGTGAGAGGCAGGGAAATGGAGACCCCCACAGCCAGCATCAGTGGCCCTCATCACAGCCCTCCAGGAGATATCAAAGGAGGTCAGACCTTGGACAGTAGTCTTGACTTCCTGCTATAGAACACATTGTTAACACTGAAAAAGATGATCTGTTCTAGGGGAATGGTGAAAGCTGACTCTAGCACTTGTGCTTTTTGTTTGTTTGTTTGAGATTGAGTCTTGCTCTTGTTTCCCAGGCTGCAGTGCAATGCGTGATCTCAGCTCACTGCAGGCTCTGCCTCCTGGGTTCCAGCTATTGTCCTGCCTCAGCCTCCCGAGTAGCTGGGATTCCAGGTGCCCGCAAGTGTGCCTGGCTAATTTTTATGTTTTTAGTAGAGATGGGATTTCGCCATCTTGGCCAGGCTGTTCTCCACCTCCTGACCTTGGCCAAAGTGTTGGGATTACAGGCATAAGCCATTGTGCCGGACCTGTGTTTTTAATTTCATCATGGCACAGCTTCAAAATGACATCTAAGTAGCTGACATAAAAATGAAAATTCTGTGTACTTTGATATTAGCAGGCTTCAAATACAAACCAGAATATGAGTAAATTGTTTCTTAACCAAACTGAATAATTTTCACATTGGCAGGCCATTGGTAGGCCATTCAGCATCTGGCTCATGTTTGGGCCAAGCTGGGTGCCTCATGAAAGTCTGGAGGGAAATACAGAGGGCAATTCTCCATAAGCATTAGGCTCAGAAATATCCTGCTTCCCAGTGAAAAGTTTAAGTTGACTTTCACGCCACCTTCATCAAACCGAGGTTGGTCAACACTTTTCACCACTGCCACTGGACACTTTGACTTCCAATTTTGCTACCTGCTGTACAAAGGTACCCCCTTCTTTCCTTTCCTGCATTCTCCCTACAACCTTGTCTTTTTTTGAGTACATCCACTCTGTCTCATCATTGTCCATCTCTGCTTCCCAAAACCTTATATAGTACAGAAATTGGCCAATCAAGATTACCATGTGGAAGAGCATCCATTTACTGAATAAGGTAGCTGGCTCCTGGGGGCAGAAAAGTGATTAGACACAGAGATAAAAATCATAATCCCTGCTCTCCTGGACTCACTGTCTAGTGGGCAGACAGACAGATGAACAAATACAACTTGATAACTACAACAATCAAGTGAATTATATAATTTAGACTGGAGAGAGAGAGAGCAAACGTTATCATAAGACAGTGTGTCCACTACTTACTCTCTAACAGATTTCCTCATAAACCACTAGGCTTGCCAACTTGTTGAATGAGAAAATTGGAGGGTCAGGGGAGGGGAAATCCATATGCTTCTTAGTATTTCATTCCATAAATACATAAATAATGAAACCATTAATGATATCATCATGTTGATTCAATAAGTTTGAAAGCAAAATTGATAGTAATCTTTGGAAGAAATTGTATATGTGTCTATGTATGTACATACATAGACATACATATTGCTTTCTGAAATTTTCAATGACTTTATGCTTCTTCTGAAGCAATTCGAGTTTAGTATTTGAGACCCCTGGGTCAAAACATCTTCTTGAGTATACTGAAGAACATTTGGATTAATTTCAGACACGTATTATGGTTTATATAGTTTTTTTATCCATGGTAACTTATTTACTGTTTAAAAACATATTGAGAACAAACAGCAGCAGCAACCCTGAATTGAATGAAAGTCCTGAGAAGGGCTTTGCCCAATCAGTGCATGTGCATGTTTACAGTAATCTGTCTGAACCTAGGAACTGGCTGAATGAGCTAGCAGATGGCCTGTCTGGCTGCATTATAAATGATAATTTATTTTTATTTGTTTTACTCATTCATTCATTTTGAGACAGGGTCTCACTCTGTCATCCAGGCTAGAGTATGGTGACACAATTATGGCTCACTGCAGCCTTCAACTCTCAGGCTCAAGCAATCCTCCTGCCTCAGCCTCCTGAGTAGCTGGGACTACAGGTGCACACCACCATGCCCAGCTAATTTTTAAAACTTTTTTTGTAGAGACTGGGTCTTATTATGTTGCCCAGGGTGGTCTCAAACTCGTGGACTCAAGCGATCCTCCTTCCTTGGCCTCTCAAAGTGCTGGGATTACAGGCTTGAGCTACCACATATGGCCAGAAATGACATTTTAAAACCAACTATTACGTACACAGATATATGATGCTCTCCGATTGTTTTATCTAAAAATAGGAGTGCCTTAGGTTTATTGGCTCATTTTGTTTTATCAAACAGCTTAAATGCAGTTGTGAATATTTTTGTCTACCCTCATAACCTGAGAATTTAGAATGAATATAATTATTGCCATTTTCACAAGTAAAATTGGAACGAGAATATAAAACAGTGGAATACAGGTGCAGCTAAGAGTAGCAGAGGTAAGCCATCTATAGAATATTAAAATTTCTTCCATGTGTGTTGTTAGAAATCTATAAAACCAAAATTTTTTCATGCCTGGAATCCCAGCACTTTGGGAGGCCAAGGCGGGCAGATTACCTGAGGTGAGGGGTTCGAGACTAGCCTGGCCAACATGGTGAAACCCCGTCTCTACTAAAAGTACAAAAATTAGCCAGGTGTGGTGGGCACCTGAAATCCCAGCTACTCAGGAGGCTGAGGCAGGAGAATTGCTTGAACCCGGGGAGTGGAGATTACAGTGAGCCAAGATTGTGCCACTGCACTCCAGCCTGGGCGACAAGAGTAAGACTTCATTTCAAAACAGCAACAACAACAACAACAAACAACAAGAACAACAACAAAACCCAACATTTTCTAATACAAGGAAACTCACTAAGCTTTATAAGGCCCCCATCCCTCCAAGTATTATCCTTTCCGGCTGCCCCAACATTAATGACAGCAACTGGTACTAGCCATCTGACATACAATCCCAGTACATTTTTGGGCTCTGATGTTTTCTAGGAATTTTTTCTTTACAGACTTATTGAAATTAAGCTCTATTCCCTGAAGACCTGGTTTTCATAAACTGTATAGTTTTGCAGTTGAGGGGAAATGGTCTTAGGTCAGTCAATCCACTGTTGACACAGAAATGAAATGAGGTAACGGTAGGATTATTGTTAAGATTGAGAGATGTATGAATCATCCTATGCTCTTTCCCAGCCCCCAGGTGACCATATAATTAAAATATCCTTGATATTTCTATGTAGTTTAAGTTTTTAATTCTAGAACCCCTCAATCTTTCTCTATTCAACTTAAATGAAAAGACATTTAGTATCCAGAAGACACTCAGCACTCAGAAGCAAAGGAAGAAAAATGGAAACATAATGGTCAATGCCCATGTTCTACCCCAGGATCAAATGAGGCATTAATATTGAGAGTTGTGATTCTGAATGAGTCTTAACCTCATGCACATCTTAGTTGTTCAAAAATGTGTCATGTCAGCAAGGTGGTAACAGTGAAGATTTTCTACAATCAAAATAGTATAGTTATGTTCTGTTGTATAAAATAGAAATAAATGGACCACATTGATCAGAAAAATCACCCTAGCATATTCCGACAGCTTAATTTTTAAAAAGCTATGTTATATTAACAATTTAACCACATAGATCTGTCAGCTAGAGTACATGTTGCATATTTAATTGACAATAATTTTTTTTGCTCTCTCAGAGAGTTGTAGATAGATTTTGGGGTTATCAAATGGTTCTGACTTTTTTTTTTTTTTTTTTTTTTTGAGATGGAGTCTTGCTCTGTCACCAGGCTGGAGTGCAGTGGCAAGATCTCAGCTTACTGCAACCTTTGCTCCCTGGTTTAAGTGATTCTCCTGCCTCAGCCTCCTGAATAGCTGGGATTACAGGCGCACGCCACCATGCCCACCTAATTTTTGTATTTTTAGTAGAGACGGGGTTTCACCATGTTGGCCAGGATGGTCTCAATCTCCTGACCTCGTGATCTGCCCGCCATGGCCTCCCAAAATGCTGGGATTACAGGCATGAGTGACTGTGCCCGGCTGGTTCTGACATATTTTTAAGAAAGACTAGGCTGATGCTATGGTAACTCAGTTATTCATGATACATGTCATCTTGTAAGTAGAAGTATTCAATATTCATGGTTTTGAAACAATTTCAGAGTACTATAATCACCACACTTGACAGACTTCAGAATTCATTGAAAATCTCTGGAAATAATTAGCAATTTGTTATCATAGACTCTAAACAGACCTTCAAAATGCATTACATAGATTTGGTAAAACAGATTGTCAGTCTGCCAAAAGTAATCACCTTGGTTTGATTTGCATTGAATGAAAATTTTAAAATGTAAAGCTAAACTCTTCAGGATCACTGCACTGGGTTTCTATAGGACAACACTGAACAGGGCTGCCACTGAAACACCTTGGAGGAGAGCCTCAAACTCCCTGAACACAGCTTCCAGCACACTACTGGGAGAATGATTGGGACTCAAAAATATGTGCAATGAATGTACTTACGAGCTTGTTGGAAAGGAAGTAAAGAGGTTGTATGTAATTACCTCAAATTAATACTGCTACAGATAAAGTAGTAATTAGCACTGACAAAGTAATAGTAGCACTAAAGTAGTATTAATAGCCCTACACTAGTAGTAGTAATAAAGTGGTATCGCTATTGATTCTATCCGTCTACCTACCTACCTGTCTGGATAGGAGGGCATAGGATTTGACTGTAAGATTGGGCTTAGCAGTGAAGACAAAACAGCTCATGCATGCTTTGGACAGGTATGCACTCAATCTTGGTATCATGTGACTGTTCTGAATTCCAGAACCAAGGCTAAAAGGTGGAAGTTTTGTTTGACTGTGTCTCACATTTTCCTTTTGGTCTATTGTCTAACACATGTTGCTAGAATTCTTTTTATTCTGACTACCTTTCATGTATAGACAACGCCATTATTGACGAGATCACTCCCAAGCGGATTGGAGATTGTCCCAATATTTAGACCTATAGCAAGGCCTTGGGAGAAATGGTGGTGCAGCAGGAGAGCAGGAACCTAACCATTGCCATCCTAAGGCCCTCCATTGTGTGGAGCAACGTGGCACCAGCTTTTCCTGGTAAGCCCACTTACCTGGATTCTGTGTTTTGCTTTCAAACTAAGGTTCTTCTAGCCCAATTATTTTCTGATGTCTTTCTTCTTCTTCTTCTCCTCAGGATTTATAGCTAAGTGCAGCCAATCAAATATTAACCCATTATACTAGGGCAAAATTCCACTTTGGGATCATGCGGCTCTTCTGGCAGTTACCCTATCTTAGAGTTGGATGGAGATCTTAAATTAGCTTCTAACTACTCTAGTCTCAAAATTCCCATGGGTGATGTTTTCATATCTTGGCTTTCCCACTGTAGCTTAAACATATCAGAATGTTCTTGATGGCCAAATTGGTAGTATTGCAACTAACTGCCAGGGTTACAAAGCTCACAGAAGGATCTCAGTTTGGGAATACTAATTTTTTTAAACCTCAGTATACTGCTATGTCCTTTTGAAAGTACTTTGAATTATACCATCTTCTTCAAAGCAAGTCCGTGAAGCTTTGGGGGCAGATACATTCCAGCTCCACCACTTACTGGCAATGCAACATTTTTGAGTTGTTCTTTCGGTAGAACAGGACAGATACTACTTTGGAGAGTTGGTTTAATGAAACAATGTATGAGGAGTGCTCAGTCTCTAGTAAAAGGTAGATCCCTACTAAAAGGCTCAACGAATATTATCCCTTCATCTTCTCCTCCCGTATATCTGGTCTCCCATTATATGCATTTCGACTTTTATACTGTAAGGTAAAGAGACGGCTTAGGGCTTAGGAAACAAACTCAAAAAGACATTTCCCTCTAACTACTCTTAAGCATAATCTTTCCTGTAACATCTTTAAGCAAGTCAACACACATTATTACCAATCATGTTTTCAATGTTCTCCTAAGGAGGCTAAAATCAGGAATGAGGTGAAGTATGGTTGGTGAATTGCTTAGCAGATCATGATATAAGGACAAGGTCCATTGTAGCCCTTAAGTTGTCATAAAACACCACAAAACCATTCATGACTCCTGCTACAACAACAATCCTGGCCAAATTTTAATTCTTGCACAAACTGCAGAAAATAGCCAACGCTTTGCCATTGATCTTTGGGATCTTAATCATACTGAATTAGATAGTTCTATCGGCTGGAGTCTCAGTGCCCTTGTTTGAAATTTATTAAGATTAGACGGCAGATGTTCCAAAGATACAACAATTTTCTGAAATGTGTAACCAATGGAAATTTTCTTTCTTTTAGGGTTGGGTTGATAATCTAAATGGATGTAGCCGACTCATTATTGCGGTATGTATAGGGATGAAGAAGTAACTGTAATGTAGTGGAGGAATAGTAAGAAAATTCTTAGTGCTGGCTTAGCTTAATTGATCCAAAAACATAAATGCTACTTTACTATCAATTGAAGCATATTATTTCAATTATTCTGGTTATAATATGGAGGCAGGATGAAATTGTTTTTATTCTTTTAGAATTTTTTTTTATCAGGAAAACAGAGGTAAAGTGCTATCAATTACTATTTAAGAGTTCTATTTTGAAAAGTGAGAATTAAGGATTTTTCTTTTCTTTTTAAAAAAAACTTTTTTAAAAATTAAAAATAAAAGAAGCAAAAGTCTTAGGAAAATGAAGCAAGTAGCCCTGCCACTCTATGTACAGTAATAACAATATCTGTCCCAGTTATTATGTACAATATTATAAAAAATGTCGCAGACAGTACAAATTAAGGCCCTTATTTCTCAAAGGACATCAAGTCTTATGCCCCGTGGGAGGGAAGATGCCACTTAATTATTGCACCATTTTGAAAAACAGAACTCGTCAAGGCGGATAGTGGTCTTTTCCCACCTGGTCTTCAGTCACAGATGGGGGCTGGGGCGGTGGCACCGTCTTCGTCGTCGAGGTAGACCCTATGGAGCCACACCGCCCTGCCGGGTTCTCTGGGTGCAATAAATACCAGTCACAGTTTGGGAGGGGGCCGTGTGCAGGTGGGGAGGCCTCTGGGCTGCATGTGCCGCTTCCTGTGCAGGGCAAGGTGGGCAGAGCGCAAGAAGGCATGGTGGCACCAATGGCCCTGAAATGGCCAGTGGCCCCTGTGCTTGTGGTGGTGGAGCGTTAGCTTGTCTGAGTGAGCACGCTTCCAGCTGCTTCCATCCCAGTGGCAGTGGTCGGGCTTGTCACTTGTGTGCTGCGCAGATGTGCCTGCAGGGGAGAATTCTTGCTGTAGGTCTGGCCGTAGCCACATAGGTATGCCTGGTGTTGCGGTTCCCAGGCCAGGAGCAGCTGTCACGCTTGGGCTTGGCCTCCAGCAGCTCCAGCGGGGACGCCGGTGCCACCACAAGGAGGCCGCGGGCGACTGGGGGTGCCAGGCCCAGGGCTGTGGCGGCGGCGGCCACCGCCTAAGAGACTAAAGACGGGCGTGGAGGGGCGGAGCTGGGCGGGGGGCGCCTCATGAAGGCCGGGCTGGGTGTCCCAAACCAGGGCCACGGAAGGGCAGCGGGAAGGAGGCGTGCGGGCCGTAGGGGCTGAGGGGCAGGTGTTGGGGGCGGAATGGGAGGGACCCGGGACCTCGCATGCATGAAGCTGCAGGCCCGGGGCGCCCTAGTGTTTGAGAGGACGCGCGATCCATACCTGAACCTGGGTGCGTAGCCGCCGCCATCTGCTTCAGGGTGCTGGGCTTTGACCAGGTGGCTGGGCAGCACCAGTTGAAAGCGGTTGAGCAGGCAGGGCGCAGTGGCTCACGCCTGTAATCCCAGCACTTTGGGAGACCAAGGCGGGCCGATCACGGGGTCAGGAGATGGAGACCATCCTGGCTAACAGGGTGAAACCGCGTCTCTACTAAACATACAAAAAAAAAAAAAAAGTAGCCGGGCGTGGTGGCGGACGCCTGTAGTCCCAGCACTTTGGAAGGCTGAGGCGGGCGGATCACGAGGTCAGGAGATGGAGAACATCCTGGCTAACAGGTGAAACCCCGTCTCTACTAAAAGTACAAAATCCAATTAGCCGGGTGCGGTGGCGGGCGCCTGTAGTCCCAGCTACTCCGGAGGCTGAGGCAGGAGAATGGCGTGAACCCAGGAGATGGAGCTTGCAGTGAGCCGAGATCGCGCCACTGCACTCTAGCCTGGGCAACCCAAGGAGACTCCATCTCAAAACAACAACAACAACAACAACAACAACAACAACAACCAGCTGAGCAGCGCGGGCCATCTGGCAGCGGGTCCAGCTCCAGGGCGCCGTAGGGCAGCGGAGTGCAGTGTTCGGGTAATAGGACGCAGACGGCGGGGTCGCCGGGGGCTTCGGGGTGGCCTCAGCCCCAGGCCATCCAGCCCTGTGGACCGAATGGAGTCCCACACGCTGTTGAGGTAGTTGTGGGTTCCCCTGGCCTCGGGCTGGGCGCGGGGTCAGCGCGCCTGCAGGCGGCGCTTGCGGTACGGGCTGGTGAAAGTGGAGACGGACGGCAGGATGGATTCACTTGGCCACATGGCACGAAGCTGGGAAGACGGACACCGGTGAGTGGCTGCCCGGGAGGGCTGGTCGGGGCGCGGACAGGCGGGCATGGTTCTGCCAAGGATTTTGCTTTATTTATCGCAAGACGGGGGGTATTTCCTCCTTTCTTCAGTTTATAATTGCATGAATTAGTGCAGTGAATTGAGGATGCAGTAAAAATATCTTCAAAGATTATTAAATTCGTTATTATAAAACACATAGAAGAGTTTATGTGTGTATATGGAAAGCAGGTATACATCAATAATTCTTAATGAATACAAGAAAGAACTACCAATATTGGGGCAAATTTTTCAAATACAAACATCAGTGAATATAGGCAAGGCCTTTTCTTTTTTATTATTCTATTTTAAGTTCTAGGGTACATGTGCACAACGTGCAGGTTTGTTACATAGGTCGACATGTGCCGGCAACGCCTTTTCAATAATGTCTTACAAGGAGAAACGTGGCTCCTCTAGGTGAGCAGCCCTCAGTGCGCATCTCCCTGAAGTCCACATTGATCCGGCAGAGCTGTGGGGTTCACAGCTCACACTGAGGCATTCAGGGCCTAAACCCCACTTTACTCTTTTGTACAATGAATGGGAAATCAGTGATCTAAATGAGTTTAAATCTTATTAGGGATTCAGCCTGCCCTTCAGACTCTGTCTCTATTCCTCCCAGAGCTGGGTTCAACATGAATTCAAATACAAATATGAGACAATGAATTATGGTAGTGACAAAGACCTTCCTTCGAATTTCGGATTTTTCTAGCAGCCCCTTTCTTTCTGCTTCCCACCTGCCTTCAACTCTTTCTCCTAAAAAAGTTCAGTTGGGGTGAACGTTTGGTGACTTAGAACATCATTATTTTAACGTGATCCCAAAGCGGTTTTCATTATATGCAAAGCTGTATATTTATTTACATTTTTAAAAATGTTCTAAATTGGTTTCTTATGTCCAAAAGAAGGGGAGCTAGTTATAAGAAAAGAGAATTGAGTAACATAAGAAAGTGCTAATCATTTCAAATTAAAGTGGGAAACATGCAAAGCAGAAAGAATCAATTTCATAAACTCAACAAATTATTAACATAAACAATTCCAAACTCTTGTATCTATATAACATCAGTGATCTGTGAGGTGAAATGAGATTCTGAAGAAAAACTAAATAATAAGGCCATTTTTCTAAGCCAAAAAAGTTTTTGTCATTAATTGTGGAATTTCACCAATCAATTTTTTTCTAATAAAAGTTTCTTAAACTTTTAGTGCCTACTATTGCTTGTAGGTTAATAAACCCTAGCAGAAAACAAAATCATTAATGAAATGGAAAACAAACATTAATGGGAAATTTGTGTAACCTTAATTCTTAACGTGTCTTATGAGTTAATTTTTAAAATGTGAAGTTTTATTCTTGGTGTTTGGTAATTAACTAAGTTTATTAATCTCTCACAAATATGAGGAATTTTATTCCCTAAAGGAACGTGAGGAACACGAGTAGTTCAAGAAAATGCTGAAGATGCGCTTGGCTGGGAAGCTAGGATAGGCTGACGAAGTCAGACTTAGTGTGGGAACCTGGTAAGCAGTGGATCGATGTTAGCTGTTTTCACTTATTGCACTAGTATAATCAGTTTGATGATACATACTTCATTCAGCCCCAGCTGTTACTTAAGACCTGGTTTCACATTTTATGTTCTTTTTCCTGTGCAGGCTGGGAAAGGGTTTCTTTTGGCCATAAAAGCTACTCCAATGGCTGTGGGAGACTTAATTCCAATTCCAGGTGATACAGCCGTCAGTCTCCCACTAGCTGTAGGATGGTGTGCTGCAGTTCACAGGTGTGGATGCTCAAGTGGGCTTTCAAAGATGTCATGAGAGGGAGGGGTAATGTATTAGGCACATTTTCCAAATATAGGCATTTCATTGTACAAGACCCCAAATGTGAGAGGGTGTTTGTTTCAGTGTTTTATAGAGTTCCTAATATGCTATCATATATACATTCAGTTGTTTTCAAAATACAGTTTAGTACTTGGCTACTCACAAAGTAATAAAACATTTAAATCACTTAACCATACAATTCTTGATAACCAAAAGGCTTTTCTTTCTATTCAGTAGTTTAACATTCAGCTTTCTTTTTTAGGGTAAAGGAGATAGAAGTGGATGAAATGAGAGAGTATTTTTTTAACTGAACTCTGATTAATGCCAAAAGTGTTCAATCACTATGTGTGGGGAAGCTTCCTGGTACAAAGGAAAAAAAACAGGTTGTTCATACACTTGGCTGTGTTAGTAAGTGGTAAACAGAATTAAACTTTTCTTATGTGAACTCACACATATGTGCTTCATAATATGTCACTCCTATTTAACATCTCTTTCACACACACACATCCCCCCACCTCCACACACACCCTTTTGCTAGTCTTCTTCCATTTTGCTTATTAACCCAAAGAAAGAAAAAAATACAGAAGCCTTCTTGCATAGGTTGCCTTAATCAGATGAATTATTGAAACCACTCTGTCTAAATATTATTTTCCCTTATTTTTCTTTCTTTAGTTTTCCATTCTGTTGTATTTATTTAATTTTTATTTCATTTTCCAGACCTAAGTCAATGTTAGTCTACTACTGTACATCTGGTAACCTCAATCCCTGCAACCGAGGCAAAATGGGTAAGTACTTTAGCCATGTAACTGCATAATTACTAGTGTCTGACACAGAGAAAAAATAGACAAAAAGTGTGTCATGGAGCTTAGAGCCTACATGGGGAGAAGGACAAAAAGTAAGCAAAGAGACAAAACAATGAGAAATTGTAAATGTGTGGTAGTTAACTGGAATGTACTGTGGTTACCAAGGAAAGGAGTCATTGGGAACACATACATGATTGTAAGCAGTAGGGGGTCCATTGGCTGTAGAGATTTTAAAAAACAGTGATGAAATAAAGCAAAAGTTGGCAGTTATAAAGAATCTCAGTGATAAAATACTGAAATACTCCTCCCTACTGGGGCAGCGGGTCCTATACACACCCCTTCCCTTCTTGATATGTCACTGAGAATGGGACGTGATCAATGACCGGTGAGATTTAGAAAAGTCGGGTGATGTTATTCCTTCCTTTTGAGTGTGTAATAGTGATCGCTAATTTATGCAACTTGTTTCTCTTGGGTGTGCATTAACTACTCTACTAGTGATTTGTAAAAATGAATAGGAATCACTATGGGAGAATAAAAAAAACACCCAGATTCCTTGGACCCTGGGATCAAGGTCTTGGGTGATGCTGAGGAAACTATTTTTTTAATAAGCATCTAGATGATTGTTGATGCTTGCGGAGATGCTCTTTGAGAAACCCTGTACTATACAAATGATTAATTTGTCTGAATGTAAGGGATTTAATCTGGTCAATGTACAAAAACCATGGAAATCAATTTGAGTACAACTTAAACATCTAATGATGGTAGAAGATAAAAGTAGGGAGTTTTGCTATTCTGTAGGATTTCTTAGTACCTACTAACTAATGCACGCCTTCTATCCCTGTTACATAGGTACCACTAGCTCTTCATATTCCAATGGTAAGCCATGGTACCACACTGAAAGTTCTATTGCAGGGCAGCTAGACACTGTGGCTCATTTATATATTGTGGCTTTGAATTGAGAAATGCTTTTCCAGGAATGAGAAATACCTGGCCTGCATGTTTCCTCTACCTCTCTCACACCTATAGCAAATACTGTGGGCTGATATGACATTGGTTATCCCTGTGCCAAGGCTCTGTTCTAGATTCCCTTCTAACACAGCATTTCTGGAAGCTATTACTATTAATTTGATGTTGCATTCAAATTAAAGTCATTTGTGTTTCCTATCAGGGACTCTTAGGAGAGATAAAAATGCTGCCTACTGGGAGCAGTAGCCATGTTAACAGGAGGTTGAGCATATATAGTCTCAGGTGATATTACAAGGAGTGATAGACAGCTGGGTGGGTGAACATAGGCTGTCTCTCCATAGAATTGTCTCCTTTAGTGTCCCTTAAGAAGAGTTTTTAATTTCCTGCATATAGGTCTTAAGCATCTTTTATCAGATTTATACCTAGTGCCCAGGTAATTGATGTTTCTTTTTTTTTTTTTTACTAATTTAAATGTCTTTTGTAAAAATATATTTTCTAATTGTGGATGATGTCAAATGCAATTGATTTTTGTATATTGACCTTATATTCAGCTATCTTGCTAAACTTATTATTGCTAGAAATTGTATAAAATTTCCTCATGATTTTCTATGTAGACAGTTAATCTGCAAAAATACCAGTATTATCCCCATTTTTTCAAGCTTTAGGTCTTTATTTTTCTTGTTGATGACACCATCTCAGCTCACTGCAAGCTCTGCCTCCTGGGTTCACACCATTCTCCTGCCTCAGCCTCCCGAGTAGCTGGGACTACAGGCACCTGCCAGCTCGTCTGGCTAATTTTTGTATTTTTAGTAGAGACGGTGTTTCACCATGTTAACCAGGATGGTCTCGATCTCCTGATCTCATGATCCACTTGCCTTGGCCTCTCAAAGTCCTGGGATTACAGGTGTGAGCCACTGCGCCCAGCCTTCTTGTTGAACTTCTACTATAATGGTGAATAAAAATGGCAATAGTAGGTATTATTGTCTTGCTGCTCATTTTAAGCAGAAGACTTCAAATATTAAATTCGCCTGCCATTTTTAGGATAAACCCAACTTGGTCATGCCATGTTATCTTTTCTTATATTTTGTGTAATTCAGTTTGCTAATCATATAGTTCCCTTGTTTTTCTATTCTCTGAAAGTGCTTTTGTAATAGTGGAGTAATCTATTCCTCGAAAACTTGGGAAAAGCACCTTTAAATTATCTGGATTTGTAATTTTTTGTGAGAAGATTTTTTATTGCTTCAGTGTCTTTAATAGTTAAAGAATTTTGCAGCCTTCATTTTCTGCTGGAATCAGTTTTAGTAAATTATATTTGTCTCTTTTTCTAAGATTTTGTCTGTTTTAACATGTGTTTACATTCATTTTTTTATATTAATATTTTTGTCTTAAACTGTATCTGTAATTATGCTTCTTTTTTAATTCATAATATTTTTGTGTCTTCTCTTTTCTTCTCAGCTAGTCTCCAAAGGGTTTATTTTATTTCTTTTTTTCAAAGAACCAACTTCTTCGGGCTTTATTGACTTTTTTCTTTGTTCTTTTTTTTTTTTTTTTTTTTGAGATGGAGTCTCGCTCTTGTTGCCTAGGCTGGAGTACAATGGCATTTTCTTGGCTCACCACAACCTCTGCCTCCCGGGTTGAAGCAGTTCTCCTGCCTCAGCCTCCTGAGTAGAGTAGCTGGGATTACAGACATGCGCCACCACACCTGGCTAATTTTGTGTTTTTGGTAGAGACGGGGTTTCTCCGTGTTGATCAGGCTGGTCTTGAACTCCCGATTACAGGCATGAGCCACCACGCCCAGCCTATTGACTCTTTATTATGCTGCTTTGTTTTCTATTGCATAGATGTATTGCCTTATGTCTTTTTTCCCCTTCCTCCTGTTGTCTTTGATTATGTTTTTCTTCTCTTTAACTTAGAAATATAGCCCATGAATATTTGGCTTGTCTAATACATCATTTATGGCTTTATATTTCCCTCAATGCCACTTTGACTGTATCCCACACATTTTGTTGTATAATGTTTATGTTATCATTACTCTCTAATCCTTCAACATTTTTCATTTGAATTTCTTCTTTGACCTATGAGGATGTAGAGTCCAGTTTTCAACTGCCAAATTACATTTTCTACATGTGCATGAGTTTCTACTTGTCCCTCACATCAGACAGATAGTAGCTTAATGGTTAAAAGTCTTGAGCTTTGAGATGTAATAGACTTGGATTCAAATCATAGCTCATTCACTCACTCCTGTATTCATTAAATAGGCATTATTCTTGGTGCTGAGGATGTATCACTAAACAGAAATCCATGCTCACATAGATCTTATATTCTGGTATGCATCCCACCATTTAGTAGACTCCACTACTTATTAGTTGTATCAGTTGGAAAAAGTCTCTCAGTTTCTCCCTGTAGATCAATTTTTTTTATCTGTCAATGAGAATAATAATTATTCTATTCTAGGGAGCTCTTCGGAGAATGTAGTGAGATAAAGTGCTTAGTACAGTGGTTAGAACAGTGAACATTTTAGTAAATGCTTGCTATTACCATATGGACAGCTTTCTCAGAAAGCCTTTCCTAACCCAGCCCCACCCCTCCCCTTCCTGGCACCCAGACAGAGCTAGATGCTTCTTTTGTGTTCCTCCAGAGCATATTGTACTGGCCTCTAGCAGAATACTCAGGCAAAATATTGTAATCATGAATTGTCCACATGTCCCACCAGACTGCCAGTTCTTTAAAGACAAAGAATATATCGTATGTAATTTTTTTTTACCTCAGCATCTACCACAGTGCCTGGCAAGTGTTAAATGCTAAATAAATATATTTGAAATGACTAAAGGAAGGATTGATACAGATTTAGGAAAAGGAAAGTAAGTGTATGTTGCTGAGATATTTATTGATTCGTTCAGTCAAAAAATGTTTATTAGGCACTGATTACCTGTCAGCCACTTTTCAAGGTACTGTATAGGTTCAAACAAAACAGGCAAAATTTTGTTATGATACTTAAATCTTAGAAAGGAGAAATATACATCAGATATGGTTGAGTGATTGCAGAACAATAAAACAGATTAAAGAAGTAAACAGTATTGTGGGAAGGCTGCTATTTGATATGTGATGGCCAAAGAAAGTCTCTCTGATAAGGTGTCATCTTAGTAGAGACCTGCAAGAAGTGAGAGGGCAAATCAGAGGGACACGTGGATGAAATATTCCAAGTTGAAGAAACAGCAAGTGCTGAAGTTCTTTAATCATATTCAAGGACAGCAAGGAGGCCAGTATGGCTGCAGCAGAAGCACTGAGAGGGAGAGCGGTAAGAGGTGAAGTCAGAGTGGTGGGCAGAGAGAGTGAGGATGCAGAGTGCAAGCCCTTGCAGACCATGGCTTTGCCTCTAAATGAGAAGAGATTCCGTTGAAGGGCTCTGAATGGGGACGTTCCTGTAATACACTCTGAGTTACATTTTACAAGAATCCCTCTGGCTGCTACATGGAGGTCCGACTAGGGTTACAGGGGTAGTGGCAGAGACCACTTAGGACAGTATTGCAACATTCCAGGCTACAGTAGTGGTTTGGATCAGAGAGATAGCAGGTGGAAATTATGATTCTGGGTATTTTTCAAACAGAGAGCTGATAGATTTTGTTCAATTGTGTGTGGGTTGTTAAAGAAAGAGAAGAATCAAGGATAACCCCAAAGTTTTTGGCTGAACTACTAAACAAATTGAATTAGCATTTGGTTAGAGGTAGAAGACTGGTGAAATAGCAAGTTTGTGTATGTATTGGGAGGGGGGTGGTTAGCAGTGGGTGTATCAGGAGGCCCATTTTAGAGCTGTTAAATGTGAATGTCTCTTACACCTCCAGGTGGAAATGTTGAACAAGTATATGGATATATAGTTCAGAACATCAGTGCTGAGATCAGAATCTCTTATGCTATCAACCTGTACATAACTTTCTTATTTACCACCATCTTTTTAAAGTATAAATCCCTATGGACCAGGTGATTCTTGAGAATCTTCTCTGAAGAGGAGTTATATTTTTCAGATAGATTTTTAGCTGGCATTTTTTTAAGTAGGGCAATAATCGTATTACTATAATAACTGACATCATAATTGAATAATGAGCTTAGGCATATGCTTTGCAAAAACCTACATAACTTAATTAAAATTGAATTCAAATGAGTACCTTTTCGAAAGAACTACTGAATTCACAAATGTACATAAAAAGTTCTTAATTAAGCTTAATCTAAGTATTAATATAAAAAGAAAAACACTATTATGAATAAAACCCTGGATACCAGAGTGGACAATTGGGTCTGACATATTCCTGGAGAAATATTTAAAGTAAGCTAAAACAAGAAAATCTTGCCTTTAGAATTTTTTAGTTAAACTTTTAAAAAAGATTCAAATAAAACGTTAAGAAACTTTCTAAATGGTTCTGAAAGTAATGGTCCAGCCAGGGAAATAAAGTTTCTAGCCTGTGTCTTGGGGCTTTCAGAATAGACTAGGTAACCTTAGAATTAAATGTGGATTTATATTTTTCTGAACAGTACCCCCTTTTATTGACTACATGTGCTTCCCCAAGAATTTGTTGTAGAGTAGATGTTTCAAATAAAGGGTCCAATTCTTAACCCATTCACATTGTTTCATTTTGCAGATAACCACTTGCCTAGCATAAAAATCTTTACGTTGTTCTCAGAAATTGATTCTTGACTCTACACAGCAAATCCTTCATCTTTATTGTTGTGACCCATTGTAAATACCTTCCACTATGATGGGCTTATATTCTCCTATTCTCCTCTAGCACTTACTCTCTTTTTTCCCCCAGGATTCCAGGTCTTGGCAACCTTTGAAATTCCAATTCCATTTGCGAGAGCTTTGAGGAGGCCATATGCTGATTTTACCACCAGCAACTTCACAACCCAGTACTGGAATGCCATCAGCCAGCAGGCCCCTGCCATCATCTGTGACTTCTATCTGTGGCTCACTGGAAGGAAACCCAGGTGAGAAGCTGAGTCAATGGCTTTGAGAATGTCACTGCATATGGGAGATTGAGGCCCCAAAGTCTTTAGGGCTTCCTTCAGCCAAGGATTAAAGGAGACAACTGAATCTGACCCATATATACAGATTGAACACACCTACTCTGAAAATGCAAAATCTGAAATTCTCCAAAATCCAAAATGTTTTGAGTACTGACATGATGCCACAAATGGAAAATTCCACACATCTTACCTCATGTGATGGGTCACAGTCAAAACACATTCAAAACTTTGTTTCATGCATAAAATTATTTAAAATATTGTATAAGATTACCTTCAGGTTATGTGTATGTGGCTAAGTGTGTATGAAACATAAGTGAATTTTGTGTTTAGACATGGCTCCCATTCCCAAGATTCCTCATTACATAGAAGCAAATATTCCAAAATCTGAAAACAGTTGAAACCCAACACACTTCTGACCCAAGCATTTCAGATAAAGGATACTCAACCTGTATAAGTTTTGAACAAACAAAGCAGTCATAGTGAGAAGCCACAGAAGCCTCCTACATTAAAAATGCTCCAGCATAATAAAGGAAGGTAAATGTTAAAGCGCCTGCTTGGTGAATTCAGCAAGTGATCATTCACGCAAAAAGAAAAGCAACTGAGACTCTGTCGCTAGGGTTTTTCAAATAGGTAGAGAATCTTAAATATCCAGTAATGATGACAACCTCACTTACTGGGAGCTTACTCGTGGGGCTAAGGAGGATGCATGATGATCCCGTTTTTATTGTCGCAGCTACCGAAGGAAGATACCCTCATCAACCCAATTTTACAAATGGAGAAATAGAAGCTAAGGGAAGAATCTGAAGTAGTCTCAAAGGCAGTGACAGGAAGGATGTGGAGAAAGCTGAGTGTCAAAGTCAGTATTCATGACTAGATTTACTGCTACTTAGAGATGAATGAAGAAATCAGAGGGAACGCAGTGTGCTGATGCTAAAGCAGCTGTCACCACTCAGCTGTGTGACATAGGACATCTTCTTCCTCTGTCTCACTTGAATAATATGATGTGTCAGAGGAGACATGATTGTAATTGCCTAAAGCAATTTTTGTGATCAAGAATCAGAAACATGAACAGTATTGCTGTCTGTGTTAGCCCCTTTATAAGGGAGGAAGTCATCTTCAGCATGTTGAATTGTCATCTTTCTTAGCAGTGCAAATGACTAAAACTTAGCCAATGTAGAGTTTATCCAAATTTGGAGCAAAGTGAAAAGAAACCATTGTGATTATGGGGAAAATATTTGTATGGGACTATTAAATAAAGACACGAAAAGAAGAAAACCCAAATATTATAGGCAGAAATGCTAAAGGTTATAAAATATATCAGGATTGGAAGAAGGCATGGATAAAGAACAAAGTTCAGTTAGGAAAGAGAAACACAGAAGGAAGAGACACAATAAAAGTCATGTATTCTGTGAGAAGTCAGACAGATTTGTGGGGAATGGATTGGTTTGTTGTATGGTATGTATTTTAGCAATAATCTTTATGGCAGAGAAAGCTAAAATCCCTTAGCTTGCATGAATGATCACTTGCTAAATTCCTCAAGGTAGGCATGATGAAGGAGGGTTTAGAGGAGACACAGACACAATGAACTGACCTAGATAGAAAGCCTTAGTATACTCAGCTAGGAATAGTGATTCTGAGGACACACTGTGACATGATTATGTCATTACATGTATGGTAGTGATGGGGATGATAGAAGGAAGAACTTATGGCATATTTTCACCCCCACAAAAATCAGTTAAATATTGGGACACTAACCATCCAGGTCAAGAAAAGTCACATGCCATAGCCATGGTATTGCACATCATTCATCTTGCATTCTTTGAGAATAAGAAGATCAGTAAATAGTTCAGAAGTGGGAAGCTTTGTCCAGGCCTGTGTGTGAACCCAATGTTTTGTTTAGAAATAGAACAAGTAAGTTCATTGCTATAGCATAACACAAAATTTGCATAAGTGGTGGTCAGCAAATCCTTGAATGCTGCTTAATGTGACGAGGTTGGTAAAATCCTTTGTGCAACACTCTTACTCCCTGAATGTTTTGCTGTGCTGGAACTTGTGCGTGCCAGACAAGGCCAAGCTGGGTGAAAGAGCAATCAGCCACCTCTGCAACCTGCCACCTCCTGCTGGCAGGATTTGTTTTTGCATCCTGTGAAGAGCCAAGGAGGCACCAGGGCATAAGTCTACTCACTTATATCTGTTTGTCTGAAACATAACCCATGTTTGTTTTTACAACAAATAAAATTGATCTTGAATAAAAACTGAGTGGTCACTGTCATTAATCTTTGAACCCAGATTAACCTTTTGGTCATACCTAGTCTAAGAGAAAAGAGATACTCTTATCAATAAATACAGAGCCCAGCTATGTCAGTGAAGATCTCAAGTGCATAGACAATAGTATAGGGAAGAGTCAGAGGCCAAAAAGACAGGGATGGCAGACATTGAACAGAGGAGAGTGTGGTGTTTGCCTTTGCATCAACTGAGATTATGGAAGAACACCTGAGGCTTGGGGAGAGCACCTACAAGATACCAATAAAGCATTCTAAGAACATCTATGAAGTGAGAAGATTTGAATTACTGTTGTTCTTGTGATTACGATTGTATTTATGGTTGTTACTTCATTCGTATTAATCACCTATGTGCCCAAGTGTAATCATGAAGTTAGATTTTTCCCAGATTTTTTTATTAGACTCAAGAATTCCCATAGACAAGGGCAATATCACTATCCTATTTATACATTTCTTCTCTCAGTTCTGTAGAGCCAAAATATAGAGTCCAATCTTTTAGATAGGTCATGCAATAAAGGCTGACTTGGATTATCTAACTGGTACATGAGGCCCCGTGTGGTAGTTTACTCCAGAGGAAATTGGCACCTGTATATAATTGTAGTTAAGTTGATCCCTTGATATCAGAAAAGTTTCTGCTATGCAGTCCTTTTTGATGATTTAATAATATACATCCTCATTTTAGACAGTACCAGTGGCCATAGATGCACTTGGCAGCAGAGTATTACAGATGGTAAAGCTTGAATCTGCGTTTTAGTAGCAAGAGCATTTGGAGTCTTGTGCTTCCCTTGTAGACATCTTCTTCACATCTACAGCCTATCTTTCGTCTACTGTTGTTACTGCTACTAGTTCCATAGACATTCTAATTTTCACTTGGGATATACATTTTTGTTATTTGTAAGCTCCCTCTTCTTTTTCATTTTTTCACTCCATTTCAGACTGTTCTAAAATCAGAAAGGAAATTCTCCTCCATGAGCATGTATATGTTTTTGGCTCTTGGAACTTGAGATGGTGCAAGTAAGTACAAGCACATTTTCCAGATAAGTCATGTGAAGTGATTTACATTTCATAATATGATCATTTCTGATTGATCTTATCTATTAAGACCACCCATAGAGATGGCTGTAATGAATTAAGAACATCAAACAATGTCAAGTTGTTCATTGCATGTATTTCAGAACATTGCCAAGATAAAGCCAGGTGGAGTCATTAATTTCACCAGCTGGTTATTTCCTTGCTGCAGTACCAAAGATTGTCATTTTTGAATTAAAGCCTCTGGTTTTTCTAACTCATCTTTCATTGTTGATCATGGCAAGTGAATAATTAATGAATGTATATGTTTAGGTTGTGAGAAATTTAAAACACACCCTAAGAGTTGTAATGTTGATTGCTTTTAAATGTTGTAGTGGTTTTGAGAGTGTCTGCTAATGATTCCTTAATTACATACTTGCTTTTCTTAGAAAATCAACTCATTTCATTGGGATTAATTTTCTCTTAAATATTTAAGTTCATATTTTAATAAATCACTATGCCTGGGATTCCATTATATATTTGAAAAGATCAAGTTTAATTTTTTTACCCAGGTAACATACACAATGGCTCAAGATTTGTGTTCTTTGATCTCACGATTTAAAAAAATATGCATTAAGCACCATGGAAATCCCAGCAACTTCAGCAAGAAAGAGTCTTTGTTCCATAGTTTCTTATGCTTGATAAATATGTGGACTAAAATAAATGGAATATCTTAATTCAGTTTTTGCTTCATGAGACTGGTTGAGTGAACATAGGCCTAGTGCTTTGACAATTGGCCTATTGTAGAAGATTGATATTCTAGTAGCCTAAATAGAATCCATTTCTTATAAGAACATATATATTTTGGAAAATGTGGTATTTCTCAGAAAACTGCTGAAATGAATTATGTATCTTTTCTGTCTTCTATTATTTTCAAAGATCTAAAGCTTTCACTTGAAAATTAGTCTTTTGGAAAAAAAGACATTGAAACTAGTGTTAAATTATATTTCATTGAGGTAATGAATATGAAGATTCATTTGCTGTAATCTCCTTGGGATCTTCTAAAGTAGTTTCTTGTGCTTTTAAAAATAACACTATAATGGTCTATATGTGTATCAGTTTTTACAGTAATTTGTTTAAACTTTAGCTTATACCAGTGTGCATGAAGAACCAAGTGCAGTCTGAATTAGCACAATGCAAATAGAAAACCGACCTTTTATTTTCCTCACAAAATATCTAATATAAACCTTATGTAAAATAAAGAATTTTTAAGTGCTTGTAAATTAATAACAAAATCATACATAATGTCAGTGGAAGAGAAAAGTTAAGGGTTTTATATCGCAGTAAAATGCATTTCTAAATTGATGTAGTATTGTTATAAAACATATTCTTGAATATTGTATCAGAATTTATCATCACTATTGAAGTCAAAATAAAGATGGATCTCTAAAGTATACAATTTATTTGGGAATCACAGAATTGTAGTTCTGAACAAAACTGAAAACCACAGTGGTCTTCTATATGTGTGAAGGACAAAGAGAAGATTGGGGGTTTACTAGCGAGGGAAATGCTACATATTGTTTTGAAAGAAAGCTCACGGACACTAGAGAAGATTTTGGGAGCTGGTCAAACAAGCCTAATGGGAGACAAATCTTTTGAGACTTCCCAGGAGCCCAACTAGAAAATCCCTTAGTCAATTTTAGGTGAAAAAGGCTTAAATTTGAATTTGATTCTGGGGAAGTTTGTCATTTGTTTGGATTCAAAAAGCCTAAAAATATTTAATTAAAGTAGAATTACATATCCTTGAGAGATAATGGTCACTTATTTAATCAGAGTAATAATGGAAAGACTTCAAAAACAAATTCAAAAGTTACATAGTCAAGAGAAAAAAAATACTTAGACCTGTATTAGAGATGTCTTAGTTTTTTCAGGTGGTCAAAACCCGAATAAAGACAGCCCAAACCACAAGAAGCTATCTTAAAACATAAAATATCTGCTTGTTAGGTAGAATACTTAGAGAGAGAGAAAAAAGCCTTTTGTAATATGACCATTGCTCTTGGTATATGCCCTTTTGCATAAACTGGAAATTAAACCCCATGAAAAACTACTTTAATTCAATTAGACACTGGAAGAGTGTGTGTCTAAGGTTATAAGTAAACCATATTATAGAATAATACACACACACACACACACACACACACACACACACGTAGTACCTCCACCAGGGGAAATGGATGGCTTTTAGAAAAAGTAAGGGCATGTGAAATTTCCTGGTTACATAGAACAATTGGGATACAACAGGAAAAGCCAAGAGTACAGAATTAATCTATACTGGAAAAACATTGTTTTTTCCAGTTTTTTTGAGACAAACATTCTCAGTGTCAGGTTATAATACCTGAGTGCAAAGTGGGGAAAAATGCAATAGGAACTGACAAAAAAAAAAAAAAATTGAGACAGTCACCACTTTAGTTAAGCAAAAAGATGTACTGTTTTAAGGAGAGACGTAAGAAGAGCAGAAGGCATTGATGTATTAACTGCAAATTACATGTAGTGAGATGCATAAAAAGCCAAACCTTTGAGATTAAATCTGAAAACCTTTAAGAGGAAAACTCTACCTCCTGAAATGAAGCGATCACTTATTTTTCCTTATTGCTGCTTCTAAAAAGAGGATACGTGTACAGAATGTGCAGGTTTGTTGTATAGGTATACGTGTGCCATGGTGGTTTGCTGCACCTATTGACCCATCCTCTTAAGTTCCCTCTCCTCACCCCATCCCCCAACAGACCATGGTGTATGTTGTTCACCTCGCTGTGTCCATGTGTTCTCAAGGTTCAACTCCCACTGAATGAGAACATGCAGTGTCTGGTTTTCTGTTCTTGTGTTAGTTTGCCAAGGATGATGGCTTCCAGTTTCATCCATGTCCCTGCAAAGGACATGCTCTCATGTCCTGCGTAGTATTCCATAGTGTATATGTAACATATTTTCTTTATCCAGTCTATCATTGATGGGCATTTGGGTTGGTTCCAGTCTTTGCTATTGTACTGCAATAAGTAGAATGATTTATATTCCTTTGGGTATATACCCAGTAATGGGATTGCAGGGTCAAATTGTATTTCTGGTTTTAGATACTTGGGGAATCACCATGCTGTCTTCCACAATGATTAAACTAATGTATATCCTCACCAACAGTGTAAAAGCATTCCTATTTCTCCACAGCCTCGCCAGCATCTGTTGTATCCTGACTCTTCTAAATAATCACCATTCTGACTGGCATGAGATGGTCTCTCATTGTGGTTTTGATTTGCATTTCTCTGATGATCAGTGATGTTGAGCTTGCTTTCATATATTTGTTGGCCAACTTCTTTTGAGAAGTGTCTGTTCATATCCTTTGCCCACTTTTTAATGATATTGCTCATATTAACTTTGAAATGACTGAAAATTCAAAATAAAGACAAGAAAGATAAAATTATATTTTTTAAGTTATAGGTATGAAGTATTTTTGAAAGGAAAGAAATCTCTAGATTATATATATATGTATGCATATATATTTATATGTGTGTATATATAATATATATATTGCTTTCAACAAAAAAATTATTAGAGTCAAAATAGTACCATCTCCAGATGTTTTTATTTAGCTTGGTATCTAAAATCACTTAGGTGACCCATTCCCATATTTGGAGAATTTTTAAAATTTGTTGTCTACATCTGTGATATTCAGTATAGTAGCCACTAGCTACTTAACTTTTAATCAGTTATAATTAAATGAAATTTAAAATTCAGTTCTTCCAACATACTAGCTACATTTCAAGTGCTCAATAGACGCACTTGGCTAGTGGCTACTTTATTGGACAGGGCAGGTACAGAACATTTCCATTATCACAGAATATTTAACCAGACAGTATTGATCTAAATGGTTTTTTTTTTCTTTTTTTAACTGGAGTGCAGTGGTGCAATCTCAGCTCACTGAAACCTCTGCCTCCCAGGTTCAAGCAATTTTCTACCTCAGCCTCTGAAGTAGCTGGGATTATAGGCGCCCACCACCACACCCAGCTAATTTTTAAATTTTTAATAGAGACAGGATTTCACCATCTTGGCCGGGCTGTTCTTGAACTCCTGACCTCATGATCCACCAGCCTTGGCCTCCCAAAGTGCTGGGATTACAGGCATGAGCCATTGCACCAGGCCAAGTATCTTGTAGAGAAAATTTATATTATGATTCAGATTTCCATGTTGCCCATCTTTTTTATTAATCTTATAGACACTTATTGGAGTGCTTATTATGTCTTAAGTGCATGAGAAGTGCAAAGAGTGTAAAGACAAAAAAGATGTAGCCAAATCAAGGGGTGGAGACAGACATTTAAAACATAATTGCAACCCAACATGAATTCTCCAGGGAGAGGAGAGCAAAGGACAATGAAGGCAGAAAGAATCACGCTTGCAAATCCATGAACGGTGTGGTGTGTTTGGGAAACTCTGGGTAATTTATTTAGCCCTAGACAAGTAAAAATAAGGACTAGAAAGGTATGCTGAGGCCAGATCTTGAAAGATTTCAAATAACTGCAGTCAGGTTACACTCCATTGAATGAAAACCCAGTTGAAACTGGTTTAAAACACAAAGGTGGTGTATTGATGTACAATGGAAAAAATCCAGTACTAGAGTGGTGAGCAGCTGTGATTCAACTAGAACTCTGGCTGCCTTGGTTTTTGAATCTCTCAACTCTGCCACTTTGTTCTGGTTTTATCCTCATGATGAATAAGATGTTTGCTGTAGCTTCAAGCTTTGCACACATAATATGGCAATCTTTGGATGAAGAGAGGCTGGCCCTGTTCAAGATTTTCTCCCAAGATTGATGAAACTTGTTTTCTAAAAACCCTCAGCAAATTTCCCTCCCATCGCATCAGCTTAGTTAAGGTTACCTGTCCATTTCTGGCCAGCCCCTGTGGCCTGAGATTATGCCATGTACTAATTTGTTGAGAAACCTCAGACGTAAGCCAATCACTGTCTAGAATGTAAGAGTGCATGGAGATCAATCAGCTTTTCTCTGAAGCTGGGGTTAGATTATGTGTTTCTGAGGCAAGGTCGCTACTGGAGAAGGGTGAATACCTGCGTGATAATTCAGAACTCATCAAGAGATAGAAGACTGGGTGTTAGGGGGTTAGCATTCTGAGTGGAGTGTGGTTTCTGAAGTCAGACCTGAGTTGGTGTCCTTTATCCACCACTGCGTGGTGTAACTTTATGTAACTGAGCCTCAGTTTCCAAATGGAGATTATAATGGTCATTGTCTTTCGTACCGTTGTGAGATGTAAAGGGGTTAACAGGAAAGGCACTTAGAATAGTGCCTGAACCACAGTAAGCACTCAGCAAATACTAGCTTTAAATTCATACTCAAATATGGGAGGGAGTTTGAGCTTTATCTTTTAGAGTCTGACATTCCCATTGAAGGTCTTTTGTATCTTGACAGCTAGAAGATTTCCTACTACTTAAATAATAATAAAACATTAGAACTCAAGTGATGCTGATGATGACAGGAAATGTGAATTAGTTGAGTAGTTGGGACGGAAATCACATGGCCCGCAAAGCTGAGAATATTATCTGGCCCTTTACAGAAGTTTGCCAACTCCTGAAATAGAGGACCAGAAAAATGTCTTCTGATATAAAACACCTAAGCATGTTAAACCTGGTGCAGTGGCTCACCCCTGTAATCCCAGCACTTTGGGAAGCCAAAGTAGCTGAATCCTCCCACCTCAGCCTCCCAAGTAGTTCCATATCAGTCTGGACAACATGGTGAAACCCTGTCTATACTAAAAATGCAAAAATTAGCTGAGCATGGTGGCAGTTGCCTGTAATCCCAGCTACTTGGGAGGATGAGGCAGGAGAATGGTTTGAATCCAGGAGGCAGAGGCTGCAGTGAGCCGAGATCACACCACTGCACTCCAGACTGAGCAACAGAGTGAAGCTCTGTCTGAAAAAGAAAAAAAGATAAAATATGTTTTTATAAAATAGTTTTAATGCATAGCTGAACTTGAGGCAAAATAAGGAAATTCCTAAGTGTCCCGAAATGACAAGAAAGTACACACCTATACACAAACAGAGTGAGAGAAGTTGAACAAGCACACACACAAATATGACAAATGTATATTGAGAGCCAAATATACGTCAGGTACATATTGCTCTGTGCCTGGGGAGCAGGGGCAATAAGGTAGAAAACAAAACAGACATGGGATTAACCTCATAGATCTTAAAGTCCAGTGAGGTAGGCAACTTCTATAAGAAATAAGTGTATATTAAATATTTTGAAAAGTACTGTGAAGAAAAAGAGCAAGACGCTTTGAAAGAGAGTAACAAGTGACACCTGCTTTAGGATTAGGTGCCTTGAAAAGGACTCCAGAAATAGTGCCACTGGAACTCAGGAGGAGTTAATGTGTTCACGGAAATGGGAGAGAGCATTTCTTTTAGGTAGATGCCTAGGCTCTGCCAACTTTGCTTGATTCTATCTGACTCTATTAGACAAGTTATAGAAGTATAATAATGCCTTTGCTACAAAACCAGAAATGGATAAATACTTAAGAAATTTTCACATCTCATCAAATGTGCGTTTTGATGCTATAGTAATTGTTCCAATTTAAAACATTCATTTTTACATATTTTCTTCTTTCCTTTTTTTTTTTTTTTTTGAGACCTGTTCTTACTCCGGTTCCCAGATTGGAGTGCAGTTCTCAATCAGCTCACTGTAACCTCAAATTCTTGGGTTCAAGGGATTCTCTTGTCTCAGCCTCCTGAGTTGCTGGGAATATAGGCATACACAGCCACAGCTGGCTAGTTTTCATATTTTTTGTAGAGATGGGGTCTCACAAAGATGGGGTCTCACCAGCATCTTGCTGATGCTGGTCTTGAACTTGTGGTCTCAAGCAATCCTTCTGCCTCAGCCTCTTAAAAGTGCTAGGATTACAAGTGTGAGCCACCACACCTGGTTTATACATATTTCAATAGTTTTAATATAACAGCAAAGTCCATTTGAGGCAGAGGACAGACTTTTTTAAAAAAATTATAGTAACATCTGTCTTGCTCTTACCACCAAGGCTGGAAGGCAGTGCATGACCATGGTTCACTGCAGCCTCAACCTCCTGGGCTCATGTGATCCTCCTACTTCAGCCTCCCAAGTAGCTGGGACCACAGGTGTGTGACACCATGCCCGGCTAATTTTTTTTTTTTTTTTTTTTTTGTAGACATGGTGGTCTCACTACATTGTAGAGGCTAGTCTTGAACTCCTGGTTTTAAGCAATTTTCTGGTCTCAGCCTCACAAAGTGCTGGGATTACAAGTATGAGCCACCACACCTGGCTAGAGAACAGACTTTTAATAACAAAAGAAAAGTCCTTTTTATTCTAAGGTTGACTTTAGGAGCCTGTTTAAAGGCGGGTAGATGAGACTGCTTACAGAAAAAGCTAGCTTTGTGTGCTGAACTTGATACTGTTAGAGGTTTCTTGAAAGATCTGGGAAAAAAGGTTTAAAATTGCAACTGGAAGATGTTTGCTAGGCTAGAAATGGAGAGTTCTAAGCACTCAGGAATTCAGCAAATGGCTGCTGGTTAGGTTTTTGTTTTTATTTTTTGGGTTTAAGATACCCTCAAACTCTAGTTATTTCTGAATTGAAGATGACCAATTGATGGGTATGTTTGTATTAGTAAAATCAAAAGCTTATTAATTTATATTTCACATTAACAAAACCCATAAAGAAATTATACTTTGCCTTTGTAACCCATATGTCAGCTTGGATATCCCTGCCCTTTAATAAAATGTAATTAATGAATTCCCCAAGAACTGTTGAGGATTCTCAGGTGGCTAATTGTTCATGGTCATCTCTGCTGTTGCTGGGGATGGATCAGTTTTGTTTATGAATCATTTTCATTTCACATAGACTCCATAACAAGTCGATCCAGACCAGGTAAAGGCCTCGTTCTTCATTTGTCATAAATTTAAGATCAAACAACAAAAAGAGAAAACACGTGCCTAGGCCTGCCTAACACTTATAGGACCTGCTTTTACCTACCACACATGGACACCCAATCTTACAATGGGTCATCCTCTACCTTGTTAACTGAAGTTTTCTGTGTTTATTTTTTTCATCTTTTAAATCTTCCATTTACTGTAATTTAGGAGAAAATGAGGTCACTGAGTTAATTCATTTTGCTGAGTTTAGTACACAAATTCTAGGCAACATTTCACAGACCTGGGTCTTTCATGGTGTAATAAATGTGGGCTTTTGCAAACTGTTTTCCTCTTTTTGGTCTCACAGCTATGTTTTGGATGATTAAAGTTGCTAAAGGTCTAAACACTTACTAATAGGTTTTGTTCTTACATCTGCACTGGGTGGTAGCATAGGGCAGTAGAAAGAACACTGAATCTCTAGATACTACCGTCTCCTCAATCAGAGAAGTAGAGCTTGGTTGAGAGACCATAGCCTAGTTAGCTAACCCATATGAGTCTTGTTTTTAGTATGCGTAAAGTGGATCTGATAATAATAGCTATTTCACGGGGATTTGCAAAAATCAAATGTAATCCTATGTATAAAATAATGTCTCATATTGTGCAATATAAATATTAGTTTTGTTATCAGTAACCTCTCATTTCTTTTACCCAGGTATGTTCTTTTGTTCACTATCCCTAAGAAAGACTCTACATTGCCTGTATCAGTTTCACACTCTTATCAAGGATGTATACATTCCTACATTTTCTTTTCTACAGTTAGTCATTTCATTAGAAAGAATTTTAAGTATTCACATTTATATTATAACACTTAATTTGAAAAAAGCTTTTTGCAAGAAAGGAGAGTATAATCAGAAATTCATCTATAAAGTCCTAGGTTTCAGCAGCCTGTGCCACATGTGTTCACAGTCACTCTCCATTCTGCATGAGTTGTACTAATGTGGGAGCTGAAGGAGATAAACCCCCCAAATCAGTAGCTTAATACAAATGAAATGTGATTGTCAATCACAGTAGTTCTAACTGGTAGAAGGCATTGCACTCCACAGTCACTCAAGGATCCATGCTGATGGAAGGTTGCCATCTTCTGCACATGGCTTCTAAGTCATCCAACTCTCTGGATGACAATATCCAGCTGCCAATGGAGTAAAAGGGGCACTGACATCATGTGGAAGGATTTTATGGTCCAGGTCCAGCAGTGCCCATCACATCTGCCCATATTCCACCCTCAGAAGTGTCACTGGGCTACATCTAAGTACAAGGATGGCTGGAAAATACATAGCTGTGTGCCCGGGAAGAAAGGAAAATAGGATTGTTGAACAACTAATGAGGTTCTGCCATGGCCTTCTTTTTAGGTCACCAGATGTCTGCCTTCCTGTCTTTCCCACACATACAAGACACTCATTCCTACCCAAGGGTCTCATACCATTATTGCATCCAGTTCAAAGTCCAAGGTCCAAAGTCCAAAGGGGAATAGACTGTACTCTGTATCAGATTCTGATATGTAAGCTTCTGGTTTGGCATTCTTGAATAAAAAGGCCAATTTTCTGCCTCCCAGGTAGAGGTAAAAATATCTCTGTTCTACCTCTTGTCATGGTAGAACAGTGAAAAGACCACCATAATTGAAGAAAAAAATAAAATTAAATAAATAAACCTGCTATGCAAGAAAGAAGACAGACAGGCAAGCAGCAGTCCCTAGAGTATAACCATAAGGAAATCCAGAGTAGCAAGTAGTGAGAAGCTCCCTACACAGGGCATGGGGAAATTCCTTAAATAGCCCCTGAATCTACTCTCTGGGAGGAACCCTCTTTTCCGTCATTTTTGGTGGTGGCTGCATCCTCTGGAAGGTTCTTATTTCTTATTCCCTGGCTGTCACCTCTGAACTGGCTGTTAAGGAGTGTGCTTTTCTTGAGGTCTTTGGCTTTATAACTCATTCTGCAAGAGTAAAGGTGAAAACCAATGAGTGTTGTATGCCGATCTGTCCTGCAGACTCTGGCCAAGTGATGAATGAAAGGAGTTTGCTGACACAGGTATTTTTCCTGACAGTGCGGCTAGGGGACTGCACCACTCAGTGCTGCTGATGAGAGAGTGCAGCAGCCGAAAGGAGTGCAGCCCCCCTAAGCTGGCCCCGCTTGCGTTTATTTAGTACAGATTTAATGACAAGGGCTTGGAGCAAACACAATTTGTGGGTAATTAACATTGTCAACTCCCCGAGTAGAGAGCAGTCCTGCACATGAATGATCAAAGCATGGTTTCCAGAGATATAAGTAGAACAATTTACCTAGATAAGTTTCTTTACATTCCGTTGTTATCTAACCCTTGCTCTTAAGAGAATTTAACTGCCTTCAGCTAAATTCTCTTTTGAAGCTTTTGCAAAATCTCCCATTCTTCCAAGAAGGTTTGTGTCTTTCCCTATAACCTTTTCTTACAACTTTTCCCACCACCCTGACCAAACTCCTACAGTTTTAGGTTTAAGGTCAGCCATTTGCTGGCTCTGGGGCTGTGGAAGAAAAACTAAATCCCTCAGTTCATGCACACAGTGTGACAGCTTGGCATAAGTAAAAGACATGAACAAAAGGATTAATGAAGGAGTGAAAGAAGGAAGGAGTATGCATTAGGCACAACCATCTAAAAACTAAAAAAAACTGGAATGCATTAAACTCATTCATTCAACAAGTATTGGTTGAGTGCCTACTAAGTGTCAAGTGCTGGGCCCGATGTGGGGGATACAGTGGAGGATACAGTGGCAACACATGGAAAGTAAAGGCAGTGAAAAGGCCATGGATTTAAAAATTAAAGGAAAAAAAGAGGTAATACATTTGTTATTGGTTTTAGCAAATCCAAAAAATGTGAGAAAATAGTGCAGTGTGTGCCAAATCTACAACTCTTTCACCCTCACTGAGTCTCAAATTAAGAATGCACAAAAGCAGAATTACTAGGAAATCAAAAGTTTTATGGGTGTATTCCCTTAAGTAATAGCACTATACTGCAAAATTGGTGGAGGTCGCCTGCACATTTGAAATAACCAACCTGCACCTTTACCCCCTCCCCCAGATTCTAACCAAATAAAGTATGAAATAAGGCAGAACTCGCCATGCTACACCAACTTACCAGGAATGAAGTTGATGCTGATTGGAAAAGTGTCAAGCAATAAAGGAGAGTTTGGATTTATCTTAAACATTATCTTCATGTCACTTGAGACTTTAATCTCAGCCAAATCTACTTCCAAAACCAATTTCTTGTGCAATGATCTTGTCTGGGTCCAGGCCAAGGCTTACTTCTATTGCATAGCTACTCTCACCCTTCTCGATTTTTACTCTGAAGAACTTTCCTATCTGGGTTAGAGTTTCTTCTGCTAGGCATCAGATTCTGCAAATATTTATTATCTCATGTTAATCAAGACCCCCTCTAGATTCTGCTATTTAACTTTAACTATTTTGACATAAACAGAGTGATTTAAAGGCAGTTGTAACTTGTTTCTAAGTAGGGCCTGGTATAGCTTTTAAGCAATGTATCTCTCCAGTCACACACAATAATGAATGGATTCTAACTTACCCTAAGTACTACCATGTTCCTGAAGGTAAATAAACCATGTCAGCTCTGTGAGGCTTAGGAATTTTTCTTTAAAACGTAGTAACCAAAAATGTTACCAGTTTTCCTTTGATTACTACTATATTGCCCAAGAAGTGTGATCAAAAGACATCTGTTTTATGTATCAAAATTCATACATCTGCTTCATTCACTTCCTTTTATGGTATCACCTCTGACTTCCAGTTTCCCTATTGTCAGAGAGAAACAATTAAATGGGAGATGCTTTGGACAACAGGATTTTTAAAAATCCAGTGGCCACAGAGAGTTGGAACTGAAGAATCAGAAGAGAGGATTAATTTTCTTTCCTCTTACCAAGTTTCTTAAGTATTTTCAGAACTCTTAAAGGGACCTATCAATAGCAGGGAAAGTGTCTGAATTAATGGCAGGATTCTTGAGGACTTTCTCACAAAGATAATTAAGGTGGCACTCTAAGAAAACTACCAAAGACATCACAAATAATGTATAGATATTTTTATTGTAGCATTACTTATGGTAAACTTGGATCCAATTTGAATGTTCCACAATAGAGGAATGATTCATTCAACAACAATACATACAAGTGTTAGAAAAGTATTCAGGCATTAAAAATCATGTTTTATCAAATAGTAAATGACACAAAAAGGCTTGTAATATATTCAATGCAAAACCATATTCAGTATAATCTCAACTCTTAGCCCTAAATGTTCATATGATCTTGGATTAATATTTTTTTTTTACATTTTCAAATTTTCAAATTAGAAGTGTGATTATTCTACTTCTATGGTGTGGAAACAATTACCCTCTGAAAAAGTGAAAAAGTAAGAACAGTCATCTTCTACTTTCCACATTTTCCAAATACAATGAACACATTACACGTTTACAGTGGAAGAAAAGAAACACCTATCTTTTAAAATAGTAAATAAATCAGAATAAGAAATTCATCATGAATTTACAAAATTATGTCATCAAGTATAAGTTCAGTTCATGTTTAGTTTTGAAACTGTTTATCAAAATTAAACAGTTTGACTTATTTTTATTAGAAATACGATTCTAAGTATTCAACATTGCTTTTTAAAAAATTATCTTCTAGTTTTTCACAAAATCTGAGGAGCTGCTACGGAAATCACACCAGATCTCATGTGTTTAAATGTGAACATGCTCACCACAGACCAAGGACATTCAACCTTTCAATCCCCAGGATTTCCAAGCCAGGGGTTTCATCTCTTACTTATGGAAAATTTGTCCATTTAATTGTGAACCAATCAGCTTTTCATTGTGTCAAAATCAAATCTAGATAGTGAAATTGGTATTTTATCTTTATTGTTATCTTAAATATATCTTGGCTTAAAGAGACATAAGTGGCTCTTCCCCACTATACCAGATAATGAGTTGCAAATAAATCATTCAGTAGTAAAGTTCAAAGAAAGCTTGAAAGCATTTTGAATTTCCTAGTGTCTTACAGATTTGTTTCTTTTTACAACAACCATGTCCCATGTATATCTATTTAGGACCTTAAGTTGTTAATAATCTACTCTGAATAATTCCTTAAGAAAACATTAAGAGGACAATGTCTATACCTGGGAAATAAAACCCAAAGTAGTAGAAATTGTATTAAAAATCATGTAGTTAATTAAGAATGATTGTGAGCTTAGACACTGAAAAATGTGTCACTGAAAGAATACCAAAAATGGTCAGCCTTTTCCTGTTAAGTTATATTAAGGTATATATTATAAGCACTTAGTACGTAAGAGAAGAGTTAGAATGAGATTGTACCAGGTTCAGAATTCCTTATCTGAGAAGACCAGACAAAATTCAAGGTTTTTAGAGAGGGACTACCCTGAATGATGTCACCAGTAAGTGGGTTTATAAACAAAGACAGAGCTTGGCAGGTTGCACTGGATACTTCAAACCAGTTTCTCTGGAAAAATTTGAGTTACTCAATAAACCCTCAGTTTTCCTGAGGTAAATCAACTTTGAAATACAATGGAGAACTCTGGGTGATAAATCATGCTGGGTTACACACTGGGACTGCAGTTCACAGAACATGATTAGATTTAAGACAATAGAAGATAGGAACATTTTTTGAACTAGTTTATTGAATCCTTTTGAGAATATCACTGTTTGGCAGTTCCTAGAAAGCTTAGACAAACTAATCTTCAAGAGGCAAACAAATTAACTTTGAACTAAAAAAAAAAAAACAAACAACCAAAAACTTTGAATTAGAGAACATCTGCAAAGAAAAGCCCAACAATCTGACATGTTGATTATTACTTTTTAACACTGCAGGAATACAAAGATGATTTTACTGTTCAGACCTTTACACATCGCACAACAGAAAAATCCTTCAGTTGACTAGTTTCCATAAACTTTGTAGCGTTATGGCAAAACGAGTCATCTGTGAAATACACAAATGTTTTGTACTGAGGGATATTTTCACATAACACAGGAGATGATACACTTAAATTTAGACCCCCTCAATCTCATCGTCATGCTGATTATACTGTAAGCAGTGATTGGGGTGCACACATTGCATGTTTTGAAGGTATGGATGTGGCAATTCTAACGTATCAACATTGTTTCTGAAAAGCTAAGGTTTTGTTATTGAACTACTATTAGAAGTCGAATGTGATCCTCTTCCAATGTCTGGCGTTGCCTTCCTGTGGAATTAACACTCTGTGTGATTTAGAGTACGTGTCCCGACTTTCTCAATGCTCATAAATACCTTGTCTGTAGGAAACTTTCTTTAAGGGAAAAGCAGCTTTAGCCTGTCTCCAGTACATGGCCCTGACTTGCTTATACATGTAATCTATTATGAAGGAAAAAGAGCCATCCTCACAAATCTACAAGATTAAAACTCCTAGCACAAACACAGCTTGAATCAGTGCTTCTGTAGCTTGTTTCAGCAAAGGGACCATCGCCAGCACTGTGGCTACAACATATGCCTTGCCATCAGATACAAGAGTTAGGCTTCATATCCACGTCCTGTGCAATAAAAAAGCTTTAAATCTGAATGGAACATCTGTAGAATTAGCTCACAGACAACTCAGAAGCAGGAACACTTTGGTCTGTGTTCAAGTAAAATGAAGGTTGAAATTTCTTTATGCAGCAGCAGAAGTAGGATTCTGTATCTCTCTTTGGAGTCAAGTTGGTCTTTGAAAGAAAACCAATTTGCTTTTAAGAGGTTCTAATCTAGTAGGATACCAGATGATGGCAAGTGTGTTTAAACCAAGTATAGACTAAGGGACTGGTACACTGAAAAACTACCTTCTGTTTCAGCAGAGGGTAATCAGGGTGTCAGCAATGCTGTTGTTACTACTAAGGTCACCAAGGACCTAGACCAAGAAGTTCCATCCAGCAACACCTTATTACAGTGTACAGAGGTCAACAGTAAGAGGTAAAAGAAAAAGATAACCTTTTATCAGACTTTTACATTACATTGCTAATTTTTATTACAGAATATTTTTCATTCTTTTATTTTGATCCACTGATATTTATTTCTGATTCTGACTCTGCCTACTGTTATTCACCCTACTTGTTAATTCTAATCTATTCTTTTTATTTGTAAAAGCATAACTTTTCTGAGGCATAGTTGTGTGTGTATATGTGTATTTAACCTATTCTAGAAACATTAAATTAGAAGAGATAGAGATTACAGATTATAATAGCATGTAAAGAGTTTCATACAGTTAATACCTGAGAGTCTGCACAGTGGGGAACTCTGAAGTAATATGTAAGGTGTCAAGAACAAGCAGGTCAGGACTGTGGCACTCAAAGGGCAGGTAACTAGCTTTTCAGTAACATTTTTAAGTAACAGTTTCACAGATCCTCAGAGAATGCCAGGCAGTAAAGGACGCATCTCAAAATCCATACAGCAGATTTCTGGTTTCCAAATTTCTGGGAGATAGTACTTAATACGGTATTTAAAACTCTGCAATTGCTATGGAAGAGACATTCTGGAGAGTTACGTATTATCCAAAAATAAATTTTTCAGAAGCAGGAAATTTTAAAATGAGAAACCAACCAAAAAAGAATGGCCAACCTTTTAAACCTTTTTTTTTCCATTAATAAGGAGCTACATAGTCTGCTGGTGAAGAACTTGATAGAAATTGACTGTTTTCACTTAGTGGGCTGATCCCCTTGTATCTGTGTCAGATAAAATCATAGCACTTATTATTTGTTACCATGGATACCATGAAGATACTGCCATCCACTAAATAGTAGTAGAGGAAGACAACATAATTTTCTGGAACTAGTCCCGTTTTGCCTTCATAAGTTGCCTTTAACCATCCTGGTTCCACTGATGGGTCCACGCTGGAAAATATCGCTCCTTGTGGGAAGGAAAACTCATGCTGTGCTCTGCTTTACAGGAGTACATGGCTTTGGCTTGGTGCCCAGAAGAAACTGGCTTAGGTGAACCAACATTTTCAAACAGTTGAGCTTTTGCTGCCACTACTGAGCCAGTACGCTGATAGCTATTGCTTGCAGTGGTGTCTAGTCTTAACCTCCTGCACATTTTTGGAGGCAGGTCTGGGTTTGAAGCTTTGGGTGTCTTCTTGGAACCTACAGAAGTTAAGCTTTGAATAGATCCACTGTAGCTGGTGTTTCCTTCAGCTGCAGAGATGGATCTGAGAGAAGAAGCAGAAGCTCTTTTCAGTCCTGAAAGTCCATAAGGCCCTTTCTTGACTAGGTCTATGGGTGGGGGAACATCCCCTGGGCTAGTGACCGAAGCAGCACTCTGGCAATCTGATTCTGCATCTGTCTTGGTTGCATCTTCTCTAGAACTTGATTCAGGACTGGTTGTCCAGAGACCAAGGCTTTTCTGTCCATGGGAAGATGAAAGGGTTGCAATCCAAGGAATCCCTCCAGATTTCTCCCTGGGCTGGCAGGAAGCTGACTTTGTAGTGCTATTTTGTTCCGAGGAAAGAGAAGAGAGTGACTTGATGCTCCCCATGGGGGTGCTGTCTGGGCTGCTGCTATAGGAGTCACTGTCAGGTTCAGCCAGGTATGGAGTACACGTCCCTCTGGGCTTCCTAGAGCCTGTAGAGAGGCAGATTGCTCGTGTCCTTTGGGATCCAGATCGAGACTGAGGCTGAGGAAGAGGAATGCTTGGGTCTGGAGCAGTATGAAAAATCGTTTCATCGTGCTCTGTAAGAATTTCTAACACAATATTCTGAAATTTAATATTCACCATAGCAGCTACAGTTTATTCTTGTGCTCTCATTAGAGTTGGGAGAAATATGACACCAAGATTTGAGACAGTCATGAGATTTTGTTGGCTGTGCAGTGATACTTTGACCAGATGTTTTATTAAGATGTCCAGCATCTCTCTGTTTTTCTCTGGCAATTTGCACACCAATGCATGTACAGCCTCCACCCTGTAGTTTTGGTCATCAGATTTAACAGCAATGATACAAATCTTTGTGTAACTTGTAAGTCATCAGTGGTGCTGCAAAGCACCTGAGGTAGTTTTTCAGCCCACTCATTGTCTTATTGTCCCACAGTTCAATATCAATATCAGGAGGGGATTTAGGAGAAAATATGATATTCACAAGTTTTTGAACTTTGGAGTTCACTCCTCCTATTCAGTAGAGGCCTAAAACGGTGATACCGCTTGTTTCCACAGCTTGAATGCAGTTTCTCACAAAATTGAACCCTGCTTCATTCAAATACCTTTCTTCTTTCTTGCTTATAATGTCAGGCAGAGTATAAATCATTTCCTTCCCATCCATGGCTTCAAGCCAGAGTTTCCTATTAGCGTCTGAGAAGGCCTGTAATGTGATGATCCCATGCCTTTCAACTACTTGTATGTCGAAGCAGAAGTGGTTGTCAATTGAATCTGTCTTTCGTCGGATACAAGTTTTTGAACATTTCCGGTGAGCTAGTAACAAGGCTGTTTAATCCATGTAAAACCAAGCGGTCGTTTCTCCTGGACATACGGATAGCCTTCCATCGTCCACTGGCTGGGTGGTCTGTAGTCCTGGTTGGCAGATTTCATCCTCTGCATCAACCCCTCTACCTCTTGTCGAGTACTTTCAAAATTATTCCTTGTATTCTGCAAGTTGAACTGCAGCTGTTGCTTATGCGGTGCAAATTCCTGGGCAAGTTCATATCCCTCGTGGTAAAAAAGTAAATAAACCCTGAAGAAATGACAAAAGCGGTTCAACAAATTCAAACTTTTTTTCTTGAACCGCTTGAATTTTAAAGACATATTTTTCATTTATTTTTATTTATTTGTTTATTTATTTATTTTGAGACGGAGTTTTGCTCTTGTTTCCCAGGCTGGAGTGCAATGGCGCAGTCTCGGCTCACCGCAACCTCTGCCTCCTGGGTCCAAGCGATTCTCCTGCGTCAGCCTCCCGAGTAGCTGGCTTTACAGGCATGTGCCACCACACCTGGCTAATTTTGTATTTTTAGTGGAGACGGATTTCTCCATGTAGGTCAGTCTGGTCTCGAACTCCCAACCTCAGGTGATCCGCCTGCCTCAGCCTCCCAGAGTGCTGGGATTACAGGCGTGAGCCATTTAAAGACATTCTAATGATGCTTCATAGAAGTTCTGATGTGCTTGATCAATTTGTGTATCTGCCTCTTGCAAATGAGACTCCTTTTTCTTTGCAGATAAATTTAAATGCTTTTCAAGGATAGAGTAATATTTTTCACTCTTTGTCAAACTTCTTTCCATCTTTTACTGCACCTATCTGTTCTTTTTGAAATTTCTCAAGTGGTGCAATTAATACATCATTAGCCTTTTGGATCAGTCTTCACCTTTCTTCTTCTGCTGCAATGAGTAGTCTTGCAAATTCTTTTAGTGACTGACTAATACTAATTTCATCATCTGTTTCAGCATTATCAATACATTCAAATTGGAAATCTTGTAATGACTGGGAAAATTTCTGCACTGCCATAGACAGATCCCCAACCTGGGTAGAGGTGTGTTCCTTTGGAAAGGGTGAAAGGGTAAGGGAACTGGGTAGGCAATCAACATTACCTGTCCTCAACGCCCCAGTGAGCGGAGAGCCCTCCTTAATGAGCTCCTTGATGAACTTGTTGGTTCGCTCCAGTTCAATCTCCTGACACTGCAAGCGCTCCCTGAAATCCGGGCTGTCCAAGTAGGAATCGCTGAACTCCAGAGTAGGCAGCCCCATGGCACAGGCGCTGTCAGCGGCGTCCGCGGGCACGTCTGGGCCGGCGGTCAGGGCAGCAGCTGGCGGCGGCGGCGGCGGGCGCTGGGGACGCGCGATAGCGGGGAAGGCGCTGCTGGGACGCCAGGGGACTGATCGCTGAAAGGAAACGGGCCCGCGCGCTGCAGCCACCTGAGCCGGGCTCAGTCTTCCTCTCCCGGGGCGAGGCAGCGCAGGCCTGGCCTGGCGGAGGGCCTAGGCGCGGGTCCGCTCAGGTTGCTGTCAACGGGAGGCACCGTCGTTCGGAGCGCTGGGACTGCGAGCAACATTGTTGATTATTAAAGAAGCACACAATAGAAGTGCTAATTTTATTTTATGAGTTCCTTGATAATTTTTAGAATCTTTTGTAGGAAAAAAAAGTAGTGTGTTTATGCTTGCCCCAGGCTTCCCTGTGTGAAAGCTGCTTTTTCTCAACTTTCAAAAATGAGTTTCTGATCGACATTAATGATTCTGTTAAACCTCTATATAAGGCAAAGGCAATTGGGAACATCTGGAAAGGCATTTGGAAACTTCCAAAATTATAAATATTTGCATTTAAATTTCCAAAGCCAGTTGTGTTCATTAGTTTTATTTTTTTAATTTTTCCTAAGAAATTATCTCACAAAAAGCAAGAGGCCTCTAGTGTAACTAGTTTTCATTTTTCCTGTTACTGGAGTCAGATCAGCTGAAGCATGTTCAACCTCTCCCCTGTGGGCCAGTTACAGGGGAAGGAAGGAAGGGGGGGAGGGAGGAAGGGAGAAAGGGAGGGAGGGAGGGAGGAAGGGAGGGAAATTTAGTCCTGGGGATACACTAACAGTTCCAGAAACAGAAGCAATTTATTTTCTCAATTTCTTTCTTACCTTCTTTTACACTATCATTCACTAATTAATTCAATCACCAGCATGGTTTTACATGTCCAGCTTCTTTCCTTTTCTTAAAAATCTCTTCCAATCACACCGTCTTTTTCTTAAAAGCTTCAAATTTCCCATAGTTATTTTATTCAAAAGCCACGAGGTTCAACATGATTTTGGCATACACTCTGGATCACAGAATAGAATTAGAAACCTTGGCATGGCCCAACACACACATACACACACACACACGACACAGCTTTCTGATCAGCAGCTTTTGGAAATGGAGTACTGCTGTGGAAGTAGAAAGGGGATTTTCCTATTATTAGGGACCTACAATGTGGTAGGCACTAAGACAAACATCTGACTTCATTACTCTAATCCTCAGAAATCTCTGTAGTGTGCCCATTCCTATATCACAGATGAGATATTAGTTCATGAAAGCTGTCCTCTATCCAAGGTTACGTAATTTGTGCCGAGTTATACAGCAAAATTGGAATGCCGGTCTCTAATCTCTAAAGCCCATACTTTCCCTACTGTAGTTTATTGCCTCTCCTAGGAAATTTCTTCCTCCATGACAATATCATGGAGAAGGGGAAACTATTGCTTGTCACTTCTGAGTTAGTATGAACACTTCTTCCATCCTCGAGCATGAATAATGTAGAGACACCACCAATTCTGTTGGAGAGCAGAAATAAGCTTAAGGTTGTTCAACTTCCTAGCCACCCTAGTTCCTTTCCTGACCAGATGCAAGAAAGAATTATTAAAGAACTCTGTGAAATTGACCTTTGGTGTGGGAAGAAAGCATAACAAGATGGTGAATCAAACATTGTGTTGCATTTAGCATTTATTATAGATTATTATGCAAAGTGAAGTAAAATTTTGTTAAATGCAAAATTGTCTATAAGAACAGCATAACCTGTGCTTAATCCTACTTCTCTGCGATCACGTGATAAGTTAGTCACATGATTGGGATTTTAGACATGATGGTGCAGAGAGGTAAATAACTTGCCCCAGTCACATAGCAAATAAATGGCAGAATCAGAATTCAAATCCAGTCTTTCATGACTCCAAAGGGCCTGAGTTCTTTCCAATACACCAATGGTTCTCAACTTCAGAGTGTATCCGAATTACTAGACAGTGTGTTCAAAGTAAAGCTAGATACCCAAGCTTTGACACTGCTGAATGGGCATTTCCAGGGTCAGGATGTATGTTTGTTTGTTTGTTTGAGCAACTTTCTAGGCAACCCTGCTATATGATGAAGTTTGACGGCCATACTACTATACCATGCTGCCTTATGGAGTTATAGAAATGATCCTAGCTAAAGCATTAAAAACATGTAGACTAATCTTTACATCTTATGGGAGTTACTAGTGAACTAGCAAAAATTTTAACATTTTGTGAATTTTTGTTAATCTGTACATTGGGTACATATATATATATGTATGTAAGCAGGTCTTTGTAGGTTAATGGGACTAAATAATACAGTTATTTTTGAAGAGCAAGACTTAGTAAAGTAATTAAAGACCAAAGATTCTCATGACTTGAAAAGTTTGACTGGAAAAGCTTCAATGAGCCCAATGAAGTAGAGGCCAAATCTCCTGTGGATACTACCAAATGAGGTCATGTGGCTAACGCGTTGATTATAAGAGACCACATTAAAGGCTTCTGAATTGTTTCAAAAGCATTATATAAATTTAATGCCCCCAACCCAATTCCTGCTTCTAATAAAAACACAGTGTTAGTGTCTGACTACAGAAGTCATACATGAGGAGTTTCTATTTTTATTTTTTATTTTATTTACTTAATTTTTTTTGAGATGAAGTCTCACTCTGTTGCCCAAGCTAGAGTGCAGTGGCACAATCGTGGCTCACTGCAACCTCCACCTCCCACACTCTCATTTTTACAGAGTTTTCCTGACTGTTCTCATTGCATATACTTCTTGATTAAATTTAAGATAATCTTGCCAGGTTTTTAAAAATCTTGGGAGTTTGATTGGAATTACTTTATAGATATAGAATACTTTAGAAACATTTAGCATATTTAAAATATTGATTCTTCCTATCCAAGAACAAAGTTTTCCCATTTATTCAATTTTTGTTGTTTTTTGTTATTATATTCATTTATGATTAATTTGTTATATTTTAAATGTCCACATTTGAACTTCTTCCATTGTATTCTCTAATTTTTGTTTATATATAGGCAAGCTAATGGTTTTTTTGTTTTGTTTCATTTTTGTTTTTTTGAGACGGAGTCTTGCTCTGTTGCCCAGGCTGGAGTGCAGTGGCATGATCTCGGCTCACTGCAAGCTCTGCCTCCCGGGTTCATGCCATTCTCCTGCCTCAGCCTCCCAAATAGCTGGGACTACAGGTGCCCGCCACCACGCCCGGCTAATTTTTTTGTATTTTTAGTAGAGACGAGGTTTCACCGTGTTAGCCAGGATGGTCTCGATCTCCTGACCTCGTGATCCGCCTGCCTCAGCCTCCCAAAGTGCTGGGATTAAGGCTTGAGCCACTGCACCCAGCCTTTTTATATAATTTTTAATCAGCGGACACCTTACTGAACTATAGTACACTTTAGCTTTTTAAAAAAGCTGCTTCTGTTTTCCAGGTATGCAATTATATAATCCTATAGTAATTTTTGTGACTGTCTTTTTAATATCTATATTTCTTCATTAATTTTAGTTTTCTTTCTAATTACTTACATGGCTAGGACCTCAGAACAATGTTAAATAGTAGTTGTGACTGTAGGCATTATTTCTAGCCCTGGCTTTACAAGCAGTATTCCTAGCTTTTCACCATTAAGAATGACATTGGCTAGCAAATTTAAATATATATTGTTTAATCATTTTATTCCTATTCTAGTGAATTCATTTAATTAAATTGGAAATGAAAACTAAACATCATCTTAAACTTTTCAAAATACATATAGATTATTAAATAGTTTTTCTCTTTTTGAGTTAAATTAAATTAATAAGTTTCCTGGTATTCAATAAACCATGTATTCATGGAATGAACTACTTCATTGTTATCACATACTGTTTATATAGCTTTGTATTCCAGTAGTTGCAATTTCAGATTTTGACATCAATTTTCATGTCTGGCCTAGACCTTTATAATAACAACTGATATTGCTCATTTAAAAATCCACTGTTGCTCCTCTCCAGTTTATTTATATTTTCCAATTTCTTCAGTTAGCTGCTTAATTTACATGTTTTTGTTCTTTTAATGGCTGCTTATAGAAGCACCTTTGTAAATTCAGAGGATTGTGATTCTTTTTCCAGTTGATTAGAGCCAAGTGACATCTAAATATGCGTACAGTGCATCAGTGAATAGGGTTTATGTACACAGACACATCATCAATACATAAGACATTCCAAGTATCACATAACTGTGCAGCCGTGCCCCATCCTTTTCTTCCTGGTGTTTTGGTGCAGCCACCAAAATCTGATAGGTATGCCGGTTATGGGAGTAGGTGCAGTTATAGCCAGGCATGATGCTGACTTACCTCACTGTATTTCCTTCTGCTTAATCTTCTGTAGACATGCTGTGCAACTTAACATCACTGCCACCCAGCGGCTCTTATGGCTAGTGAGATGCCAAAGCTGGAAGCCTTTATACATATCTCTACTGCCTTTTCAAATGGTAACCTGAAGCACATCGATGAAGTTGTTTATTCGTGCCCTGTGGAGCCAAAAAAAATCTGTGATTCCCTTGAATAATTCGTCAAATAAAGGGATCCAGGTGTGAGTAGAATGTTGCTCTCTTTGATTCTTTGTAGCTATTAATGAGATGATGAAGTGAAACACTTTTGAAGCAAAATGCTTTGAAACACTGCTAGCCTTAGCTACCTTGTCCCTGCTAGCTCCTTCATCCCCTGGTGGGGAATATACTGCTGAAAGAGAAGGGGGATAGAAAATTCTTAAAGAAACATTTTGCTAAACTGTATAGGATTGCATGAGGTACTTGGGAATATTATACATAGAAGTGGTTTCTCACTTCTTAATGAACTTAACATTGTCACTAGATAAAGCAAGTACATTGTATAGTATAAAAGTTCAGAAGAAAAATTTTTGAGTCAGACATGAGTTCGGCATAGCTCCACAACTAACTAGCTGTGTGACTTTGAGAAAGCCCCTTGGCTTCTCTGAACCCCAGGTCCTTCATTTGTAAAATGGGCCCATTTGATTGTTGTGAGGTTGAATAAAGTTATATAAAACACTTATTGCAGTGCTAGGGAGTGTTTAATATCAGTTAATCAAATGATTAGTAAAGAAGAACTAATGAAGAATAAGAATTGCTCCAAGATCTGGCAGAAGGTCTCTTGACTTCTTTGGTTAAGACACCCTTTCCTTACTGTCCTATTATGCAAGAGAAATAGTGTCTAGGATTTTTCTCTTCTTGCCAAACAGCAGAAACCACTTTCATCCTAGGACACAGCTCGGGTCTCAGGATAGGTTTGTTTTCTGTTTCTTTATTCTGCTCCATTTCACTAAGTTTACCTTGTTTTTTGTTCTATTTTTTTTAAAAACTCTACATAAAAATAATTATACCAGAAAAATGGACTCTTTCACAGTAAATTTATTACATTATAATTTTCTATAATATTGTATTTACATTTAATATATACTCTTTAAAAAGCTTTAGCTTAATTAAGAGTTCATTCCCTTCAGGGGAAACATTTTTATCTCCTCCAGCTCTGAGAATAGATATTTTTGTCTGTCATAAAAATGTTCAGGACAGAGAAGAATGAAAGTCATCTAAAGGACCTGGAGGTTACTTAAAGTTGCTAATAAATGGAGGTTTGCTACATTGATACAGAGAAACATTTTAGAGTGCAGAATTTATCAGGATAGTGGGAGAAAAGGCAGGTGTACCCTGAGGCCCAACATCAAGGCAATAAACTATGTTTAAAACCTCAGAGCATTTTCAGGATAGAATTGACTTCTGTCAGTTACCCTCTTATGGTGTTGTCTCTTGGCAAATGTGATGCTTCCATATTTGATATACCAAGGAGAGGGGCAGACTCCTTTTGTTTCCAGGCCATTTCCTGGGACTCTCTCCACTGCTGATCTCTCTAACACCTGACAGGTCGTAGTGCAATTTGAGGCAGCAAGAGTCTGAGGGTTCATCAGAGAAAAGAAGTAGGAGTTCACTGCTAACGAAGGGCTTCTCTATGTACTCCATACCACCATGTCCAGACACTAAATAATGGGTTTCAAAGAAGAATAAACTCACCTCCCAGAGGAAGAGTTGATTTATCTTCAGGCATTCAGCACTTTCCACACTCCCTCAAGTATGTGATATATGAACAAACTGCAATTGACATTTTTACAAAATTTTTAATGTTCATCTGTCATTACTGTTCTCCAAGGATAACAATTATTTAAGCAACTAATTAGAACCAGGAATGAAATTATTTTATCTCAACAGATACCTTTTGCATGCAATTAAGGAATGAAGTTTTTTTAAAAAAACAGAAAAAGTCATACTTATTATTTGTTAATTCAAAATTAATTAGGACATCCAGGAACAGCTGTCGAGGCTCATTTCTCTCAGCCCTCCCCTTACCTTCATGCTGCAGTCACAAGGAAGTAAGGCCTCCTCTCCTCACACTCTGCCTGCCTTTGCGCTCAAAGCTCTCTGTTCCTAGAGCCTATTTCCCTTTCTGCTTCACCTGGTTAATTCTCACTCAGACATCAAGGCTCCCTGTGAAGCTCTCTGGCTTAGGCAGCCTTCCCGAGTGCCCCATAGTACCTAGTGCTCAGCTTTATTATTGCTTGTAACACAGCTCATTCTGAATGTCTGGTTGCTTATCTACATTTTCCATTAGACAATGACCGTCTCAATGGAAGAGAATATTTCTTGCTCCTCTTTGCATCTTCAGCTAGGGACTCAATGCTTGCTGAATGAATGAAAAGTTTTTGGTGGAACTAGATGATTGTTGTTCATGCTGTTCTGACTGTTTTTGTTTGCTTGTTTTGACTGGAACAAGAATTCCATAGCAAGCTAATATTTGGGGATGCAGAAGTCTTATGTACAAAATATCTATTTATATCCCCACATCTTACCCGTTTCTGATTGTTTTTTTCTTCTTAAACTTTGAATGAAACCTATATGTGAAGCTTTGAATAGCACTTTAAACAAAGCCCAGCAACCCCTCTCCACCTATACCATCATCTATGACTATTTCAATAACTCCTATACCAGACGGAAGTTTTGGTAGTTTTAGAATGGCAAATAACGTTAAAAATCATTATGAATAAATATTAATTTACCTAAACACAGGTTTAGTTTTTTGTTTGAAGAAAATACTTTTTCTTTGATGAGTTCTCTATTTAGTAATTGGCCTGTGTTAAAAAAGAATTATTTTCAAAGGTTTTTAGGTTTCTATTTCCCCTGGGAGTTTATCTTTTAGTGAAACGGAGAAATACCTAGGGAAGAGTTTTTTTTTTTTTTTTTTTTTTTTTTTTTCTGAACAGTAACTTCAAGGGGTCTAGCAGCTGTCATTTGCTCTTAGTATTTCAGCCATTCTTAAGGAACCAGGAGTTAGACATCAAGATAATCTTGAAGCTGTACTCTGGGCATTGTGATCTCAAAAACATAGCCATGACAATGTAAAAGGAAACTTTATTTTTCCAGAAAATCTGTTGAATGGGAATTCTAGTTCTGGAAGATAAAGAAGGATTTGCATTTTTGGCCAGGACCTTTCTGACGGCTTGGGCAGAAGTGATACTGCTCAGTGCTGTTAATAAAGTGAATGGGACTGTGAACTTCAACCTCATGCTAACATCCTGGTCCCTACCTTTGCAGGCCTAACGTCTCTCCTCGTTCAGCTCCCCTGATTTTCTATCTGGCCTATATCCTGAGACTGTCAGGCCTGAGCTCCCTTTCTTTAGCACCTATCTAAAAACTTTAGAATTACCTTGGCTCTGAAATATTCCAGAAAGATGAAATTTGATTTTGTTAGCACAAAAACTTTAGCATGTTAGCATAAAAATATTTTCAAATAACTTAAATCAGAAGTTAATGCTTTTAATGAGTAGGACAAGCATGGCCATTAATCAGTGTTAAACAACAATTTTCCTGGCTCTTATACCTGTAGTTGTCTTCTGCCCCTCATCCCAGCCACCAGTTCCCATCCTGACTCATCTCTATCTTCATATTAACAGCTTCTGCCTATTTGGTGTATTTACCTTGGAAATTTATGGGCATAAATGGATCAGGGATTGCCAGTGAAATTCTGGTTTTCCAGAATAACGGTTTACGTAGAACGTTTATTTTTAAAAATGCATATAACTGACCAAGAAAGGCAGAGTTTTATGGTTGGTGCTTTTCTTATGTTTTAGGTCAAGGTAACTCCTCTTAAGGGAACCAGTGTAGAAGAAAAGGGCTTCTGCACCTGTATAAAAACCTGAAATAACTAGAATTAGGAACTAGAAAAATGGAATCACAAATACTTATTGGTTTATTGAACATATGTAAATAAATCTGAAATAAGAAGGGAAGGGAGGAGATGAATCATTATTGAGCAATCACTGTGAGGAAGACACTTTCACAGACATTTATTTCCATAACTTAATATTGTAGGGTTGATTTATCATCACTGCTATGCTAATTAAGGAGCAAAAAGCTCAGGAAGGCTAAGTAACTCCTTGAAAGTCTATCAAGACTTCCAAGAAAGGTATCCATGGCCACTTGATTCTGAAGCTCATGGTCTTTCCAGTCTACTCACATACTCGGCAGTGTTAGAGATTAAAAGGTGCTTTCTTAGCATATAGACTGTGTTCCCAAGGACCTCACATCCCAGACAAATAGAACAGGGCAGAATTAGACACGTGGGGTGGTGGGAAAACAGTACATATTAAGCCTGGTGGAGTGGAGAGAGGCATATGAGGTGACTTGGAAGAGTGGGAAGATTGTGGGTAGGTGAGATGTGCACACGTGCCAGGCAGGGCAACTGGAGCTGGGAAACCCAGGCATGTTTGGGACACAGCCAGAAGTCCCTCTTGGCAGCACATGTGTGTAGGGAAGCAGTTAGAGATCAAGCTGGAGAGGCAGGCTGGGCTGTACTGTGGAGATTTTGCATACCATGCAGAGGAATTGGATTTAATTCTCTAGGCAGTGGAGCCCCATTGAAGGAGGGCCATGTGTGTGTATGTGGTTTTGTGTGTAATTTTTGGTTGTTTGCTCATTTGTTTTTATCATGGAAAGACACTGATGAAAGTGGGCTTCAGTAATATTGATATGGCCAGGGGTTGGGGGAGGCAGTGGATTAGCAATGTGTTTTGGGAAAGAAAACAAAAAAACAATTGGACATGGCTACTGCTTTGCTTATGGAATTACACATACCAAATTAACTCCAGATTAGAACATGCATACTTGCCATGTTTTACATTTCTAGTACCAGGGATTTAATTCTTTTTTTTTTAATAAATGAGAAAGTAGAGTTTATTCAGTTTAAGTAGTTTTAGTAAGATCATATTATTAGTGAGAACTGGGACCAAACAGATTTTCTGACTACAAATAGATATTTCCATTGGAACAGATATACATCTATAAGTATACAGACATGCATACACATATTTCTTTACTGCTCATAAATCAATTCCAATTAGTCCTTATTAGAATGTGGGATGTATAAACGTAAGAGAATTTTCATGTGAAAATTGACAGATACACTTTTTAATTGTCCTAAGATGGATTTAATTATTTTTCTTTAATGTTATTTTTATGAGAAGTGATATAACTTTATTGATAATGTATACAATAACTCGTTGTTTTGCACATTGTTTGGAAATACAATGTATTTTGCAAGTAACTAAAGCCTAATTTAAATTAAAATTTTAAATTTTCAATCATTTTAATTGTCATTATTATTATACTTTAAGTTCTGGGATACATGTGGAGAACGTGCAGGTTTGTTACATAGGTAGACACATGACATGTTAGTTTGCCGCACCCATCAACCTCTCATCTACATTAGGTGCTGGAAATGATGTGGAAAAATAAGAACGCTTTTACACTGTTGGTGGGAGTGTAAACTAGTTCAACCATTGGGGAAGACAGTGTGGCTATTCCTCCATGATCTAGAACCAGAAATACCAATTGACTTCACAATCCCGTTTCTGAGTATATACCCAAAGATTATAAATCATTCTACTATAAAGACACATGCACACACATGTTTATTGCAGCACCGTTCCCAATAGCAAAGACTTGGAACCAACCCAAATGCCCATCAATGATAGACTGGAAAAAAAATATGTGGCACATATACTCCATGGAATACTCTGCAGCCATAAAAAAGGATGAGTTCATGTCCTTTGCAGGGACATGGATGAAGCTGGAAGCCATCATTCTCAGCAAACACAGGAACAGAAAACCAAACACCGCATGTTCTCACTCATAAGTGGGAGTTGAACAATGAAAACACATGGATACAGGGAAGAAAACATCACACACTGGGGCCGGTTGAGGGTTGGCGAGCTAGGGAAGGGATAGCATTGGGGGATTTAATTCTTTTTTTTTTATTATTATACTTTAAGTTTTACGGTACATGTGCACAATGTGCAGGTTTGTTACATATGTGTACATGTGCCATGTTGGTGTGCTGCACTCATTAACTCGTCATTTAGCATTAGGTATATCTCCTAATGCTATCCCTCCCGCATCCCCCACCCCACAACAGTCCCCGGAGTGTGATGTTCCCCTTCCTGTGTCCATATGTTCTCATTGTTCAATTCCCACCTATGAGTGAGAACATGTGGTGTCTGGTTTTTCGTTCTTGTGATAGTTTGCCGAGAATGATGGCTTCCAGTTTCATCCATGTCCCTACAAAGGACATGAACTCTTCATTTTTTATGGCTGCATAGTATTCCATGGTGTATATGTGCCACATTTTCTTAATCCAGTCTATCATTGTTGGACATTTGGGTTGGTTCCAAGTCTTTCCTATTGTGAATAGTGCCTCAATAAACATACGTGTGCATTGTCTTTATAGCAGCGTGATTTATAATCCTTTGGGTGTATACCCAGTAATGGGATGGCTGGGTCAAATGATATTTCTAGTTCTAGATCCCTGAGGAATTGCCACACTGACTTCCACAATGGTTGAACTAGTTTACAGTACCACCAACAGTGTAAAAGTGTTCCTGTCTCTCCACATCTTCTCCAGCACCTGTTGTTTCCTGACTTCTTAATGATCGCTGTTCTAACTGGTGTGAGATGGTATCTCATTGTGGTTTTGATTTGCATTTCTCTGATGGGCAGTGATGATGAACATTTTTTCATGTGTCTTTTGGCTGCATAAATGTCTTCTTTTGAGAAGTGTCTGTTCATATCCTTCGCCCAGTTTTTGATGGGGTTGTTTGTTTTTTTCTTGTAAATTTATTGGAGTTCATTGTAGATTCTGGATATTAGCCCTCTGTCAGATGAGTAGGTTGTGAAAATTTTCTCCCATTCTGTAGGTTGCCTGTTCACTCTGATGGTAGTTTCTTTTGCTGTGCAGAAGCTCTTTAGTTTAATTAGATCCCATTGGTCAATTTTGGCTTTTGTTGCCATTGCTTTTGGTGTTTTAGACATGAAGTCCTTGCCCCTGCCTATGTCCTGAATGGTATTGCCTAGGTTTTCTTCTAGGGTTTTTATGGTTTTAGGTCTAACATGTAAGTCTTTAATCCATCTTGAATTAATTTTTGTATAAGGTGTAAGGAAGGGATCCAGTTTCAGCTTTCTACATATGGCTAGCCAGTTTTCCCAGCACCATTTATTAAATAGGGAATCCTTTCCCCATTGCTTGTTTTTGTCAGGTTTGTCAAATATTAGATGGTTGTAGCTAAGCAGCATTATTTCTGAGGGCTCTGTTCTGTTCCATTGATCTATATCTCTGTTTTGGCACCAGTACCATGCTGTTTTTGTTACTGTAGCCTTGTAGTATAGTTTGAAGTCAGGTAGCATGATGCCTCCTGCTTTGTTCTTTTGGCTCAGGATTGACTTGGCGATGCGGGCTCTTTTTTGGTTTCATATGAACTTTACAGTAGGTTTTTCCAATTCTGTGAAGAAAGTCATTGGCAGCTTGATGGGGATTGTAGTGAATCTATAAATGACCTTGGGCAGTATGGCCATTTTCACGATATTGATTCTTCCTACCCATGAGCATGGAATGTTCTTCCATTTCTTTGTATCCTCTTTTATTTCATTGAGCAGTGGTTTGTAGTTCTCCTTAAAGAGGTCCTTCACAGCCCTTGTAAGTTGGATTCCTAGGTATTTTATTCTCTTTGAAGCAATTGTGAATGGGAGTTCAATCATGATTTGGCTCTCTGTTTATCTGTTATTGGTGTATAAGAATGCTTGTGATTTTTGTACATTGATTTTGTATCCTGAGACTTTGCTGAAGTTGTTTATCAGCTTAGGGAGGTTTTGGACTGAGACAATGGGGTTTTCTAGATATAAAATCTTGTCATCTGCAAACAGGGACAATTTGACTTCCTCTTTTCCTAATTGAATACCCTTTATTTCCTTCTCCTGCCTAATTGCCCTGGCCAAAACTTCCAACACTATGTTGAATAGGAGTGGTGAGAGAGGGCATCCCTGTCTCGTGCCAGTTTTCAAAGGGAATACTTCCAGTTTTTGCCCATTCAGTATGATATTGGCTGTAGGTTTGTCATAGATAGCTCTTAGTATTTTGAGATACGTCCCATCAATACCTAATTTATTGAGAGTTTTTAGCATGAAGCATTGTTGAATTTTGTCAAAGGCCTTTTCTGCATCTATTGAGATAATCATGTGGTTTTTGTCTTTGGTTCTGTTTATATGCTGGATTACATTTATTGATTTGCATATGTTGAACCAGCCTTGCATCCCAGGGATGAAGCCCACTTGATCATGGTGGATAAGCTTTTTGATGTGTTGCTGGATTCAGTTTGCCAGTATTTTATTGAGGATTTTTGCATCAATGTTCATCAAGGATATTGGTCTAAAATTCCCTTTTTTGGTTGTGTCTCTGCCAGGCTTTGGTATCAGGATGATGCTGGCCTCATAAAATGAGTTAGGGAGTATTCCCTCTTTTTCTATTGATTGGAATAGTTTCAGAAGGAATGGTACCAGCTCCTCATTGTACCTCTGGTAGAATTCGGCTGTGAATCCATCTGGTCCTGGACTTTTTTTGGTTGGTAAGCTATTGATTATTGCCACAATTTCAGAGCCTGTTATTGGTCTATTCAGAGATTCAACTTCTTCCTGGTTTAGTCTTGGGAGTGTGTATGTGTCGAGGAATTTATCCATTTCTTCTAGATTTTCTAGTTTATTTGCATAGAGGTGTTTGTAGTATTCTCTGATGGTAGCTTGTACTTCTGTGGGATTGGTGGTGATATCCCCTCTATCATTTTTTATTGCATCTATTTGATTCTTCTCTCTTTTCTTCTTTATTAGTCTTTCTAGTGGTCTATCGATTTTGTTGATCTTTTGAAAAAAACAGCTCCTGGATTCATTAATTTTTTGAAGGGTTTTTTGTGTCTCTATTTTCTTCAGTTCTGCTCTGATTTTAGTTATTTATGGCCTTCTGCTAGCTTTTGAATGTGTTTGCTCTTGCTTTTCTAGTTCTTTTAATTGCAATGCTAGGGTGTCAATTTTGGATTTTTCCTGCTTTCTCTTGTGGGCATTTAGTGCTATAAATTTCCCTCTACACACTGCTTTGAATGCGTCCCAGAGATTCTGGTATGTTGTGTCTTTGTTCTCATTGGTTTCAAAGAACATCTTTATTTCTGCCTTCATTTCATTATGTACCCAGTAGTCATTCAGGAGCAGGTTGTTCAGTTTCCATGTAGTTGAGCGGTTTTGAGTGAGTTTCTTAATCCTGAGTTCTAGTTTGATTGCACTGTGGTCTGAGAGATAGTTTGTTATAATTTCTGTTCTTTTACATTTGCTGAGGAGTGCTTTACTTCCAACTATGTGGTCAATTTTGGAATAGGTGTGGTGTGGTGCTGAAAAAAATGTAGATTCTGTTGATTTGGGGTGGAGAGTTCTATAGATGTCTATTAGGTCCGCTTGGTGCAGAGCTGAGTTCAATTCCTGGGCATCCTTGTTAACTTTCTGTCTCGTTGATCGGACTAATGTTGACAGTGGGGTGTTAAAGCCTCCCATTATTGTTGTGTCAGAGTCTAAGTCTCTTTGTAGGTCACTCAGGACTTGCTTTATGAATCTGGGTGCTCCCGTATTGGGTGCATATATATTTAGGATAGTTAGCTCTTCTTATTGAATTGATCCTTTTACCATTATGTAATGGCCTTCTTTGTCTCTTTTGATCTTTGCTGGTTTAAAGTCTGTTTTATCAAAGACTAGGATTGCAACCCCTGCCTTTTTTTGTTTTCCATTTGTTTGGTACGTCTTCCTCCATCCCTTTATTTTGAGCCTTTGTGTGTCTCTGCACGTGAGATGGGTTTCCTGAATACAGCACACTGATGGGTCTTGAGTCTTTATCCAATTTGCCAGTCTGTGTCTTTTAATTGGAGCATGTAGACCATTTACATTTAAAGTTAATATTGTTATATGTGTATTTGTTCCTGTCATTATGGTGTTAGCTGGTTATTTTGCTCGTTAGTTCATGCATTTTCTTTCTAGCCTGGATGGTCTTTTCAATTTGGCATGTGGCTGGTACCAGTTGTTCCTTTCCATGTTTAGTGCTTCCTTCAGGAGCTCTTTTAGGGCAGGCCTGGTGGTGACAAAATCTCTCAGCATTTGCTTGTCTGTAAAGTATTTTATTTCTCCTTCACTTATGAAGCTTAGTTTGGCTGGATATGAAATTCTGGGTTGAAAATTCTTTAAGAATATTGAATATTGGCCCCCACTCTCTTCTGGCTTGTAGAGTTTCTGCCAAGAGATCCACTGTTAGTCTGATGGGCTTCCCTTTGTGGGTAACCCAACCTTTCTCTCTGGCTGCCCTTAACATTTTTTCCTTCATTTCAACTTTGGTGAATCTGACCAAATCTGTGAATCTGTGACCAAATTGGTGAATCTGTGTCTTGGAGTTGCTCTTCTCGAGGAGTATCTTTGTGGCATTCTCTGTATTTCCTGAATCTGAATGTTGGCCTGCCTTGCTAGATTGGGGAAGTTCTCCTGGATAACATCCTGCAGAGTGTTTTCCAACTTGGTTACATTCTCCCCGTCACTTTCAGGTACAACAATCAGACGTAGATTTGGTCTTTTCACATAGTCCCATATTTCTTGGAGGCTTTGTTCATTTCTTTTTATTCTTTATTCTCTAAACTTCCCTTCTCGCTTCATTTCATTCATTTCATCTTCCATCACTGATACCCTTTCTTCCAGTTGATCGCATCGGCTCCTGAGGCTTCTGCATTCTTCATGTAGTTCTCGAGCCTTGGCTTTCAGCTCCATCAGCTCCTTTAAGGACTTCTGTGTGTTGGTTATTCTAGTTATCTATTCGTCTAATTTTTTTCACAGTTTTTAACTTCTTTGCCATTGGTTTGTATTTCCTCCAGTAGCTTGGAGTAGTTTGATCGTCTGAAGCCTTCTTCTCTCAGCTTGTCAAAGTCATTCTCCTTCCAGCTTTGTTCCATTGCTGGTGAGGAGCTGCGTTCCTTTGTAGGAGGAGAGGTGCTCTGCTTTTTAGAGTTTCCAGTTTTTCTGCTCTGTTTTTTCCCCATCTTTGTGGTTTTATCTACTTTTGGTCTTTGATGATGGTGATGTACAGAAGGGTTTTTGGTGTGGATGTCCTTTCTGTTTGTTAGTTTTCCTTCTAACAGACAGGACCCTCAGCTGCAGGTCTGTTGGAGTTTGCTGGAGGTCCACTTCAGACCCTGTTTGCCTGGATATCAGCAGCGGTGGCTGCAGAACAGTGGTGGCTGTAGAACAGCAGATCTTGGTGAACCGCAAATGCTGCTGCCTGTTTGTTCCTCTGGAAGTTTTGTCTCAGAGGAGAACCCGGCCGTGTGAGGTGTCAGTCTGCCCCTACTGGGGGGTGCCTCCCAGTTAGGCTGCTCGGGGGTCAAGGACCCACTTGAGGAGACAGTCAGCCCGTTCTCAGATCTCCAGCTGTGTGCTGGGAGAACCACTACTCTCTTCAAAGCTGTCAGACAGGGACATTTAAGTCTGCAGAGGTTACTGCTGTCTTTTTGTTTGTCTGTACCCTGCCCCCAGAGGTGGAGCCTACAGAGGCAGGCAGGCCTCCTTGAGCTGTGGTGGGCTCCACCCAGTTCTAGCTTCCCAGCTGCTTTGTTTACCTAATCAAGCCTGGGCAATGGCAGGCACCCCTCCCCCAGCCTCGCTACTGCCTTGCAGTTTGATCTCAGACTGCTGTGCTAGCAGTCAGAGAGACTCCATGGGCATAGGACCCTCCGAGCCAGGTGCCAGATATAATCTCCTGGTGTGCGGTTTTTTAAGCCCACTGGAAAAGCGCAGTATTAGCGTGGGAGTGACCCGATTTTCCAGGTGCCGTCTGTCACCCCTTTCTTTGACTAGGAAAGGGAACTCCCTGACCCCCGGCGCTTCTCGAGTGAGGCAATGCCTCACCCTGCTTCGGCTCATGCACTGTGCGCTGCACCCACTGTCCTGCACCCACTGTCTGGCACTCCCTAGTGAGATGAACCCAGTACCTCAGATGGAAATGCAGAAATCACCCATCTTCTGCGTCGCTCACGCTGGGAGCTGTAGACTGGAGCTGTTCCTATTCGGCCGTCTTCGCTCCACCCTCAGGGGATTTAATTCTTTTAAAATTCAATTCTGTTGAAATGTTTACTTCAAGAAGCAATGCGTTTTTGAGAGCTAGTCCTGATATATTCAAATCTTAATGACTTAAGTTGGTGGAGCGGACTTCTTTAAATTAGTGATTCCCTAATTTGCCTGACTGTTGGAATTTCCAGGGCATATTGAAAATACAGATTATCCAGACTCTTACCTCTGCAGATGTATTTAGTGGTTCTAAAATGGCACCCAGGAGTCTGGATTTTTCCCAGGGGCCTTGTGTAATTCACACTGATGACCAGGCAAGTTTGGGAAATAGTGCCTTAAGGAGATTTTTCATTAAGCAGTCTTCATTTGAAATGAGGATCATTTATCTTCTAATACCCCATGCTTCCTCTTTCTCCTGCCTTCCTCACCTTCTGTTGTCTTTCAGTTCCTAGAAGCTTTAATTGAATGAAAGTTCCTCATGGATCTGTACCTACTAAAAACCACACTTCTGAAGCTACATGGCCACCAGAAGACATAGCTAGTCTGCCATGTAAAAAAGGAAAGGTGGCATGTGCCCTAAGGGTGCAGGGGTGAGAGGCAGGGAAATGGAGACCCCCACAGCCAGCATCAGTGGCCCTCATCACAGCCCTCCAGGAGATAGGAAAGGAGGTCAGACGTTGGACAGTAGCCTTTCCTTCCTGCTATAGAACACATTGTTAACACCAAAAAAGCTGATCTCTTCTAGGGGAATGGTGAAAGCTGACTCTACAACTTGTGCTTTTAATTTCAGGATGGCACAGCTTCTAAATGGCATCTAAGTTGCTGATATAAAAATGAAAATTCTGTGTACTTTGATATTAGCAGGCTTTAAATACAAACCAGAGTAAGATTAAATTGTTTCTTAATCAAATCGAATAATTTTCACATTGGCAGTCCATTTGGCATCTGGCTCATGTTTGGGCTAGGCTGAGTAGTCTGTGAAAGTCTGGAGGGAAATACAGAGACTAATCCTCCATAAGCATTAGGCTCAGAAATACCCTGCTTCCCTGTGACAAGTTTAAATTGATTTGACGCCACCTTCACCAAACCGAGGTTGGTCAACACTTTTCACCACTGCCACTGCACACTTTGACTTCCAATTTTGCTTCCTGTTCTATGAAGATATCCCCTTCCTTCCTTTCTCACATTCTCCCTATAACCTCATCTTCCTTTCATCCACTCTCTCTCATCATTGTCCATCTCTGCTTCCCAAAACCTTATATAGTGCAGAAATTGGCCAATCAGGATTACCATGTGGAAGAGCATCGATTTACTGAATAAGGTAGCTGGCTCCTGGGGGCAGAAAAGTGATTAGACACAGAGATAAAAATCATAATCCCTGTTCTCCTGGACTCACTGTCCAGTGGGGAGACAGACACATAAACAAATACAACTTGACAACTACAACAATCAAGTGAATTATATAATTTAGACTGGAGAAAGAGAGACCAAATGTTATCATAAGACAGTGTATCCACTACTTACTCTCTAACAGATTTCCTCATAAACCACTAGGCTTGCCAACTTGTTGCGTAAGAAAATTGGAGGGTCGGGGAGGGGAAATACATATGCCTCTTGGCATTTCATTCCGTAAATACATAAATAATGTAATTATTAATGATATCATCATGTTCATTCAATAAGTTTGTAACCCCAAAATTGATAGTAATCTTTAGAAGAAATTGTATATGTGTCTATGCATGTACACGCATAGACATATACATATTGCTTTCTGAAATTTTCAATGACTTTATGCTTCTTCTGAAGCAATTCGAGTTTAGAATTTGAGACCCCTGGGTCAAAACATCTTCTTGAGTATACTGAAGAACATTTCGATTAATTTCAGACATGTATTTTGGTTTACATAGTGTTTTTTATCCATGGTAACTTATTTACTGTTTAAAAACATACTGAGGACAAACAACAGCAGCAACCCTGAATTGAGTGAAAGTCCTGAGAAGGGCTTTTCCCAGTCAGTGCATGTGCGTGTTTACACTAATCTCCTGTCTGAACCTAGGAACTGGCTGAATGAGCTAGCAGATGGTCTGTCTGGCTGTATTATTAATGATAATTTATTTTTATTTGTTTCATTAATTCATTCATTCATTCATTCATTTATTTTGAGACAGGGTGTTGCTCTTTCACCTGGGCTGGAGTAGGGTGGCAGAATCACAGCTCACTACAGCCTTCAACTCCCAGGCTCAAGCAATCCTCCTGCCTCAGCCTCCTGAGTAGGACTACAGGTGCATGCCACCATGCCCAGCTAAGTTTTAAAAACTTTTTTTGTAGAGACAGGGCCTTATTATGTTGCTCAGGCTGGTCTCAAACTCCTGGACTCAAGCGATCCTCCTTCCTTGGCCTCTCAAAGTGCTGAGATTATAGGTTCGAGCCACGACACCTGGCCAGAAATGACATTTTACAGCCAACTATTACCTACACAGATGTTTGATGCTCCCTTGTTGTTTTATTTAAAAATAGGAATGCCTTAGGTTTTTGGCTCATTTTGTTTTATCAAAGATCTTAAATGCAGTTGTGAATATTTTTGTTTACCCTCATAATAGCCTGAGAATTTAGAATGAATATAATTATTGCTATTTTCACAAGTAAAATTGGAATGAGAAGATAAAACAGTGGAATACAGGTGTAACTAAGAACAACAGAGGCAAGCCATCTATAGAATATTAAAATTTCTTGCATGTGTATTACCAACATTTTCTCATGCCTGAAATCCCAGCACTTTGGGAGGCCGAGGAGGGTGAATCACCTGTGGTCAGTAGTTCGAGACTAGCCTGGCCAACATGGTGAAACCCTGTGTCTACTAAAAGTACAAAAATTAGCCAGGCGTGGTGGCAGGCACCTATAATCCCAGCTACTCAGAAGGCTGAGGCAGAATTGCTTGAACCTGGGAGGCAGAGGTTGCAGTGAGCCGAGATCACACCATTGCACTCCAGCCTGGGGGAAAAGAGCGAGACTCCTTCTCAAAAAAAAAAAAGCAAAAAAAAAAAAAACCCAAATAAACCAAACGAAACCAAAACAACAACAACCAAAAACAACATTTTCTAAGACAAGCAAACCTACTAAGCTTTATAAGGCCCCCATCCCCCCAAGTATTATCCTTTCCATGTACCCCAACATTAATGACCGCAACTGGTACTAGCCATGTGACATACAATCCCAGCACATTGTTGGGCTCTGATGTTTTCTAGGAATTTTTCTTTACAGCCTTATTGATATTAAGCTCTATTTTCTGAAGACCTGGTTTTTATAAACTGTATATTTTTGCAGTTGAGGGAAAATGATCTCAGGTCAGTCAATCTGCTGTTGACCCACAAATGAAATGAGGTAGGATTATTGTTAAGATGGAGAGGTGTCTGCATCGTCCTACACTTTTTCCCAGCCTCCAGGTGACCATATAATTAAAATATCCTTGATATTACTATGTAGTTTAAGTTGCTTTTAATTCTAGAAGCCCTCAATCTTTCTCTATTCAATTTAAATGAAAAGGCATTTGAGTATCCAGAACACACTCAGCACTCAGAAGCAAAGCAAGAAAAATGGAAACATTATAGTCAATGCCCATGTTCTACCCCAGGATGAAATGAGGCATTAATACTGAGAGTTGTGATTCTGAATAAGTCTTAACCTCATGCACATCTTAGTTGTTCAAAAATGTGTCATGTCAGCAAGGTGGTAACAGTGAAGATTTTCTACAATCAAAATAGTATAGTTATGTTCTGTTGTATAAAATAGAAATAAATGGACCACATTGGTCAGAAAAATCACACTAGCATATTCTGGCAGCTTAATTTTTTTATTATTATACTTTAAGTTCTAGGGCACATGTGCACAACGTGCAGGTTTGTTATATAGGTATACATCTGCCATGTTGGTTTGCTGCACCCATTAACTCGTCATTTACATTAGGTACTTCTAATGCTATCCCTCCCCTAGCCTCCACGCTAGGACAGGCCCCCGTGTGTGATGTTCCCCGCCCTGTGTCCAAGTGTTCTCATTGTTCAATTCCCACCTATGAGTGAGAACATGTGGTGTTTGGTTTTCTGTCCTTATGATAGTTTGCTCAGAATGATGGTTTCCAGCTTCATCCATGTCCCTGCAAAGGACACAAACTCATCCTTTTTTATGGCTGCATAGTATTCCATGGTGTATACGTGCCACATTTTCTTTCTTTTGTTTTGTTTTATGGAATAAAAAGTTCGGCCTTTTTACTGCATGAAACTAAAATTGGGAAAGGTGGGCATGGATGGGGTGGGAGGGGGTTGAGGGGAGCAGGAGATGCCCTCCCCACCAGCTCCTGGATAATGACACCTCACTTCTTGCGTGATTTCTGGCATCTTCCCGCCTGCAATGCCGGCTCTCTCAGCGTCTTGGAGAAGGGGGGATCACACACTCATCGTCGTGCTTGGAGAATCATTGTCATTCTGAAAGGAGTGGAGGAAGTTCCCTCCTAGCTCGCCCTCATCTGGAGGGGTGCCTGGAGGATTGCTAATACTATTTACGTTGTTAGGATAAGTTTTTGGAAGTCATCTATGTCGCCTGACCCTAACAATCCGTTCATGTGGTGTGGCTCCATGCCGCCCATGCTGCCCATCCGACCGTCCGAGCCGGGACCCATCGGGAAGTTGGACCGGCTGCCTCCAGGCGGCACCGGATTAATCGTTGTGTAGATGTCGCTGGAATTTGTTGAATCTGAGGGACTGGGCATAGTGGGTGTTCCTGGAGGGCCGCCACCACCAGGGAGTCCCACATAGGTACCAGGTGATGAGGAGTATGGAATTGAGTTAGCACTGTTAGGATTGGGCCAGGGTCTGCCGGCTCCCGGGCCCATGTTAATCCCGGGCATGGGGGGGCCGAGGGAATTGCGTGGTGGTCTCATGCCGCTGCCATAATTCTGTGGGTTGGGACCCATGGGCCCCATGCCTCGGGGAGGGTTCATTCTCTGCATTGATCCTCCCATGTGGGGGTGGCCTTGTTGTGCGGGATCCATGGAATTGGGCAGCAATGGCTGTGTCCCAGGAACTCCTCCCGGAGGCTGGTTTCCCATTCTGATCGGGGGGCCTGGGGCCGCCTGCGTATCGCGGTGACAAAAAAGGCTGACTGTGGGGTCCCATCATGCTGCTAGGATTGTGAGGTGGAGGCTGTGCGTGCGGCGAGGGCAGTGACCCCGGAGGACCCTGAAAGAAACCTGGGGGGACTCGGCCTCCAGGCATCCCATCCTTGGGGGAATGTTGCCAAGCACGGGGCTTGGGGCAGCTGCTCCACTATAATCATGAAAGGCTTTTGCTTCACTTGAATGTTCACAAGTATCTCTCCTTTTAGGAGCTGCACAGTAAAGGTCCCAAAATACACACCACCACGAGTGCAAAAACCCAGGCGGTTCTCCCAACGCGATGTTTTTTTCCCAGCGAATCTCCGATAAGAAGGTCTGTGCAGATTTCTGTGCTCCTACCTGCAGTAAATATTCGTAGACGTATAAAGCTAACTTTTCCCCAGCCTGCCCGTCCGAGGGCACCAAGGAGCCTTTGCCTTTGGCAAACATGGTTTGCAGGGAAGAGGGCGCCCAGCCTCCCCACAGCCGCCACCGCTCCGGCTCTCCCGAGCTGCCCCTCGCCCCCGGCCCCCTCCCAGGCGCTCCCTCCCTCTCTCGCTGGCTGGCGCTCTCCTAGCAGCGCTCCCCTCCCTCCCGAGCAGGCGCTGGCTCCGCGCTCTTTCCAGCTGTCAAAGCATCAGGCCCGGCCGCGGCCCCATCGCCCTGGAACTCCTCCCGTGCCGGCTTGGCCTGGGGTGCCGCCGCCGCCTCCCGCAAGGCCGCCCGCTCTCCGGTAGCTCGCGTGCTCGCCCGGTTCCGCTTGCGCGGCCCTCTGCGCCCCCAGCACCGCTGCCGCCGCCGCCGGCGCTGGCCTCATGTGTCACATTTTCTTAATCCAGTCTATGGCTGATGGATATTTGGGTTGGTTCCAACTTTTTGCTATTGTGAATAGTGCCGCAATAAACATACGTGTGCATGTGTCTTTATAGTAGCATGATTTATAATCCTTTGGGTATATACCCAGTAATGGAATCGCTGGGTCAAATGGTATTTCTAATTCTAGATCCTTGAGGAATCACCACACTGTCTTCCACAATGGTTGAACTAGTTTACACTCCCACCAACAGTGTAAAATCGTTCCTATGTCAAGCAATGGCAACAAAAGACAAAATAGACAAATGGGATCTAATTAAACTAAAGAGCTTCTGCACAGCAAAAGAAACTACCATCAGAGTGAACAGGCAACCTACAGAATGGGAGAACATTTTTGCAATCTATCCATCTGACAAAAGGCTAATATCCAGAATCTACAAATAACTTAAACAAATTTACAAGAAAAAAACAAACAACCCCATCAAAAAGTGGGCAAAGGATATGAGCAGACACTTCTCAAAAGAAGACATTTACGCAGCCAACAGACACACGAAAAAATGCTCACCATCACTGGCCATCAGAGAAATGCAAATCAAAACCACAATGAGATACCATCTCACATCAGCTAGAATGGCAGCTTAATTTTTAAAATGCTATATCAATAATTTAACCACACAGATCTGTCAGAATAAATGTTACATTTTAATTGACAATAATTTTTTTGTCTCTTAGAGACAGGTAGATAGACTTCGGGTTCATCAAATGGTTCTTTTTTTTTTTTTTTTTTTTTGAGATGGATGGAGTCTCTCTCTGTCACCAGGCTGGTGTGCAGTGGTGCTATCTTGGCTGATTACAACCTCCGACCCCTGGGTTCAAGCGATTCTCCTGCTTCAGCCTCTCAAGTAGCTGGGATTACAGGCGCGTGCCACCACGCCCAGCTAATTTTTGTATTTGTAGTAGAGACGGGGTTTCACCGTGTTGACCAGGATAGTCTCAATTTCCTGACCTCAAGATCTGCCCGCCTCGGCCTCCCAAAGTGCTGGGATTACAGGTGTAAGCCACTCCGCCAGGCCAGTTCTGACATTTTTAAGAAAGATTAGGCTGATGCTATGGTAACTCAGTTATTCATGATACATGTCATATTAGAGATAGGATAATTCAATATTCATGATTTTGAAGCAATTTCAGAGTACTATAATCACCACACTTGACAGACTTCAGAATTCATTGGAAATCTCTGGAAATAATTAGCAAGTTATTAGCACAGATTCCAAACAGACCTTCAAAATGCATTACATAGATTTGGTAAAACAGATTGTCAGTCTGCCAAAAGTAGTCACTTTGGTTTGATTTGCATTGAATGAAATTTTTAAAATGTAAAGCTAAACTCTTCAGGATCACTGCACTGGTTTCTATGGGACAACACTGAACAGGGCTGCCACTGAAACACCTTGGATGAGAGCCTCAAACTCCCTGAACACAGCTTCCAGCACACTACTGGGAGAATGATTGGGAATCAAAAATGCGTGCAATGAATTTACTTATGAGCTTCTTGGAGAGGAAGTAAAGAGGTTGTATGTAATTACCTCAAATTAGCACTACTACAGATAAAGTAATAATATTGATAAAGTAATTGATAAATAGTAGTGCTAAAGTCATACTAATCAAGTAGTACTAATAGCCCTATACTAGTAGTAATAACAAAGTGGTATTGCTATTGATTCTATTGGTCTGTCTACCTACCTATCTCTCTAGATGGGAGGGCATAGGATTTGGCTGATGAGATTGGGCTTAGCAGTGGAGAGCAAAGAGCTCATGCATGCTTTGAACAGGTATGCACTCAAACCTGGTATCGTGTGACTGTTCTGAATTCCAGAACCAAGGCTAAAAGGTGGAAGTTTTGTTTGACTATTTGTGTGTCACATTTTCCTTTTGGTCTATTGTCTAACATATGCTGCTAGAATTCTTTTTACTCTGACTACCTTTTAGGTGGTTAGATGACGCTGTTATTGATGAGATCACACCCAAGCTGATCAGAGATCCGCCCAATTCTTGCACCTACAGCAAGGCCTTGGGAGAAATGGTGGTGCAGCAGGAGAGCAGAAACCTAACCATCGCCATCATAAGGCCCTCCACTGTGGGAGCGACGTGGCACGACCCTTTCCCAGTAAGCCCACTCACCTGGATTCTGTGTTTTGCTTCCAAATTAAAGTTCTTCTAGCCCAATTACTTTCTGATGTCGTTTCTCCCCCTCCTCCTCCTTCTCTTCCTTCTTCTTCTTTCTTCCTCTTCGTCTTCTTCCTCTTCCCCTTCCCCTTCTCCTCCTCCTCCTCTTCCTCCTCCTCAGGATGTATAGCTAAGTGCAGCCAATCAAGTATGAACCCATTGTACTAGGGCAAAATTCCACTTTGGGATCAGGATTTACCCAGCATGCAGCTTCTCTGGCAGTTACCCTGACTGTCCTAGAGTTGAATGGAGATCTTAAATTAGCTTCTAATTACTCTAGCCTCAAAATTCCCATGGGTGATGGTTTCATATCTTGGCTTTCCCACTATAGTTTAAACATACCGAATGTTCTTAATGGTCAAATTGGTAGTATTGCAACTGCCAGGGTAAACAAGGGTTACAAAGTGCACAGAAGGATCTCAGCTTGGGAACACTGTTTTTTCTAACCTCAGTATAGCGCTATGTCCTTTTGAAAGTACTTTGAATTATACTATCTTCTTTTTTTTATTATACTTTAAGTTCTAGGGTACATGTGCACAACGCGCAGGTTTGTTACATATGTATACATGTGCCGTGTTGGTTTGCTGCACCCATTAACTCGTCATTTACATTAGGTATTTCTCCTAATGCTATCCCTCCCCCATCCCCCCACCCCATGACAGGCCCTGGTGTGTGATGTTCCCCGCCTTGTGTCCAAGTGTTCTCATTGTTCAATTCCCAACTATAAGTGAGAACATGCGGTGTTTGGTTTTCTGTCCTTGCAGTAGGTTGCTCAGAATGATGGTTTCCAGTTTCATCCATGTCACTACAAAGGATATGAACTCATCCTTTTTTAAGGCTGCATAGTTCTCCATGGTGTATATGTGCCACATTTTCTTAATCCAGTCTATCGATAGAGATTTGAGTTGGTTCCAGGTCGTTGCTATTGTGAATAGTGCCGCAATAAACATACGTGTGCATGTGTCTTTATAGTAGCATGATTTATAATCCTTTGGGTATATACCCACTAATGGGATCACTGGATCAAATGGTATTTCTAGTTCTAGATCCTTGAGGAATCGCCACACTGTCTTCTACAGTGATTGAACTAGTTTACACACCTACCAACAGTGTAAAACGTTCCTATTTCTCCACATCCTCTCCAGCACCTGTTGTTTCCTGACTTTTTAATGATCGCCATTCTAACTGGTGTGAGATAGAATTAAACCATCTTCTTTAAAGCAAGTCTGTGAAGCTTTGGGGGCAGATAAATTCCAACTCCACCACTTACTGGCAATGCAAAATTTTTGAGTTGTCCCTTCCATAAAACAGGAGGGATACTATTTTGGAGAGCTGGTTTAATGAGACAATGTATGAGGAGTGCTCAGTCTCTAGCAAAAGGCAGGTCCTTACTACAAGGCTCATGGATATTAATCCCTTCATCTTCTCCTCCCGCCTCTCTCCTTTCCCATTATACACAGACATTTTGACTTTTACACTATAAGGTAAAGAGAAATAATAAGGTCAGCTGAATGGCTTAGGGTTTAGGAAACAAACTCAAAAAGACATTTCCCTCTAACTGTTCTTAAACATAATCTTCCCTGTAACATCTTTAAGCAAGTCAACACACACACAGACACACACACACACACACTACATATATATACACACACACACACACATATATATATATGTGTATCTGGCATGGACTCTATAGCTGGTCAAAAATGTCAAGAAATGGGCCATTACTACCAATCATGTCTCCAGTGTTCTCCTAAGGAGGCTAAAATCAGGACTGAAGTGGAGAAGTATGGTTGGTGAATTGCTTAGCAGATCATGATATAAGAACAAGGTTCAATGTAGCCTTTAAGATGTCATAAAACACCACAAAACCATTCATGACTCCTGCTATGAACAACAATCCTGGCCAAATTTTAATTCTTGCACAAAGTGCAGAAAATAGCCAATGCTTTGCCATTGATCTTTGGGATCTTAATAAGACTGAATTAGATAGTTCTATTAGCTGGAGTCTCAGTGCTCTTGTTTGAAATTCATTAAGATGAGACTGCAGATGTTCCAAAGATACAACAATCTTCTGAAATGTGTAACCAATGGAAATCTTCTTTCTTTTAGGGTTGGGTTGATAATCTAAATGGACCTAGCAGACTCATTATTGGGGTATGTTTAAGGGTGAAGAAATAACTCTCTGAAATGTAGTGGAGGAATAGTAATAAAATTCTTAGTGTTGGCTTAGCTTCACTGATCCCAAAACATAAATGTTACTTTACTAACAATTGAAGCATATTATTTCAATTATGCTAATTGTAATATAGAGACAGGAAGAAATTATTTTTATTCTTCGAGGATTTTTATCAGAAAAACCAAGGTAATGTACTATCAATTACCATTTAGGAATTCTTCTTTAAAAAACTTTTTTAAATTAAAAATATTAGTCTTAATTGAGTGTGGATAATAGAAATCCCATAATTATCTTATTTTTATTAGATACCCTCTCAAAGTAGTTTTACATTATTTTATTCTTTTGTAGTTTATAATAAATGTGTCAAAAACAATATGTACAACAGACTGATAAATGGTTCTGTTTAGCTAAGTCTACTCTAGTCTATATCATGAAAGTGTTAGGTCTAAATTTCTAAACATTATAAACAACAATTTTTTGAAGTGCTCTGATTTTCCTAACAATACAATACTCCTGACTCTCTTAAGTTTACACATGTAAATGAGAAGGAACTATATATGAAAATATCATACCTCTTCTGTAGCTATTAGAATTTTTCAGCTGAGGTTTTACATCGTCACCAATTTAGTGTCACTCCTTTGCTCTGCAAACTTCAGCTCTCAATATATAGTTAACACTTTTATTTTCTGGAGATTTTTAGACTTTAAAGAACTCATTCAAGATTGTTTAAGAAACAAAGCATGGGATGAATTGAAGACTTTCATTTTAAAAGTAAGTGCAGCAAAATTATGAAGGTTAAGCCTGATGAATATGAAAGGCAGACAGCATCAAATGCTGATGATGCTGGTAGGAATGCAAATGTTACACCACTTACGAAGACAGTTGGTCAGCTTTTTACAAAACTAAGCAAACTCTTATCATATAATCTAGCATTAATGCTTCTTAGTATTTACCTAAAGAAACTGAAAACTTGTCCACACAAAAACCTGCACAATAATGTTTATAGCAGCTTAATTCATAATTGCCAAACTTGGAAGCCAACAAGATGTCCTTCATTAGGTAAATGGATAAACTGTAATACATCCAAATAATTAAATATTATTCAGCATTAAAAAGAAATGACCTATCAAGCCATAAAAAGACATAAAGGAATCTCAAATACATGTTTCTGAGTGAAGCCAATCAGGAAATGCTACATACTGTATGACTCCAGCTACATGACATTCTGGGAAAGGCAAAACTATGGAGACAGTTAAAAAAAAATCAGTGGTTGCCAGGAGTTATGGGGGACAGAGGGATGAGCAGATGGAGTACAGAGGAATTTTAGGGCAGTGAAACTCTTCTGTATAATACTATAATTATGGATATTATGTTCAGATTTTTAAATAAATAAAACTGAAATTTAAAATAGAATAAGAGGGAATCAGGTTGATTTGTTTCAACTGAAATTCATGATCACAAAGCTCATGTCTTTATGCTTCCCAGAAAAAAATATTCCCTGCTCCATTCATTCTCATCCTTTCCCAGAGTAACAGTTCATATTTATTTTCTCTCCTTCCCATCTTCACTCTTTGCTGATAACTTTATTTTCTATTTCACTTGTAAAAAAAAGTGGTCATTTGACAAGAATTTCAAAATCTCCAGTCTCTACATCTGCTCATCTTCATATATCTATACCTACATTCTGTTATCTCTCCTTTTCATATGGGTGAACTGTCTTTGCTTCTAAATAATGTCCACCCCTCTTACTGTGACTGGGTGCTGTGTCTTGTTGTATTAGGATTCTCTAGAGGGACAGGACTAATAGGATAAATGTATATATAAAATGGGTTATTAAAGAGTGTTGACTCGCACAATCACAAGGTGAAGTTGCACGATAGGCTGTCTGCAAGCTGAGGAGGAAGAAAGCCAGTCTGAGTCCCCAAATCCCAAAAGTAGGGAAGCCACCCGTGCAGCCTTCAGTCTGTGGCTGAAGGCCTGAGAGCCCCTGGCAAACCCCTGGTGTAGGTCCAAGAGTCCAAAAGCTGAAAGAACTTGGAGTTTGACGTTTGAGGGCAGGAAGCAACCAGCACGGGAGAAAGATGGAGCCAGTCGAGCCCTTCCATATTCCTTGCCTGCTTTTATCCTAGATGCGCTGGCAGCTGATTAGAGGGTGACCACCCAGACTGAGGGTGGGTCTGCATCTCCCAGTTCACTGACTCAACTGTTAATCTCCTTTGGTGACACCCTCACAGACACACCCAGGAACAATACTTTGCATCCTTCAGTCCAATCAAGGTGACACTCAGTATTAACCATAACACCTGTTACCTACTCATGCCTGTCATTCCAGCAATTTTCTTGCTTCTTTTTCTGCATCTGAAATTTTAATTTCTCCACCAAATTCTTCACATCAAAAAACAAAAAAAGAAGTTATTTCATTTAACCTGAAAAAAACCAAAAACTCATAAAGAGCTAATGAATAAATTTATCTCAAACATTTGATAACTTTAATTATAACTTTAATATTCATAGCTTATATTTATCAATAGATTGTCTTAGGAAAAGAAAAAGACTTCCCATAAACTAGAAGAAAATGTAAAATATAACCAACATATAAACAGCAATGTGTTAAAGAATTATAAAGAATAATACAAATAACACAATTTAATGAACAAAGGATATAGACATTATACAAAATATGAAAACATGAATAGACAATATATAATGCCTAATATTGGTAATCAGGGAAATGCTATTAAACATAGCATAGCATTGTGTGTGTGGATGTGTGGATGTAAATGGCAGTAAAAGGTAAAAAGGGAAGGTGGTAAAAAGGGAGATGGTCTAATATTTTCAACATTTTTTAATTTTTGTTTTGTGTTTTATTTATATATTTTTGGCAGCAAAATTGTGTTTACTAAAAAAAAATCTGGACTATGAACACACTTCACTGCTTTGAAGAACTCCAAGCCAAATAAAAAGACCAATCAATATTAAAAGCAGTATAACTGCTTACTTTTTAAAAAATACATAAAAAGAATCAAATGCAACAGTGTAGGAAGGCAATCACCCCCATGTCAGAAGTCACAACTTCTTCCAAATAAAGAGTATGACCCATCTGCCACAGTGAATCAATATTTATTTCAGGACATGCCATGTCAAAATAAAACAGAGTCAACCCTTGCCTTTAGCAATTATATTGTATTATAAAAGCACTTTATAACTCCATCCCATCTTTAAGTGTAAGTTACTGGTATGTGGGCTAATGATTATCTGTAAGCATTTCTCTATTCAGATCCATAATCCAAGTGCTCTCTGAATATTACAAGGTGACAATAAGTGGGAAGTGGAGGAGGAAGAGGAAAGAGAGGGGACTAAGGTTCTCCCAGTTTAAGGTTTTGTTGCAATGAGGGGATGAGGAAGTATGAAGATATTTTTGTTGTCTTTTCATCTTTATACTGTGTTAAGTAACGTTTACAACATAAATTCAGCAGGCTTTTCCTGACCTATAACTCGAAGTTTTCTTCCTGCAAACAATGTATTTACAAATGTGTTTATTAGCTTACACAGCAATCTCACAATAACTAGTGAAGATTAAAAGGGCACACTCCTAGTATATTTGTTTGCAGTGTTTCAAGGGAAATACATATTGCCATGGTGAAGCTCTAAATAGATTCAACGAAACATCTAAAAATTGAAAGTTGTTAAAAAAAAAGCAAAGAAATATCACCAAAGAAAAAAGATTAATCGTAGCTTAAATATAAAACTAAATCATTAGTTAATTAAACTATACAGATCTCATACAAACGAAAACCAGCCTGAAAGACCCAACCTTAAAAAAATGCTAAAAAATAAGGCATAAATCTGCATAATATTCAGTTTTATTTCCATTCTCTCCTTTCCCTCTACTATGTATGCTTTACCTGATCTGCCTCTAGGGGCTTACAAGAAAATGGTTTCCGGTTTCCATCTTCAATTTGACCTCAAATGTCCTGAGCAAAGTTTTTGCTCTTCTGCTGAGGGTTCTTTTGTTGGTAAGCTTTAGATATCGTTATTTCTGCTAATTCAGTAGTTTTGATCGTAGTGCCAAATTTAAATTCTTCCACTGGTTCTTCTGTAAGGAATTAAACTTTTATGGTGTCTTGCCTGCATAGTATTATTTTTTAAAAAAAGAAAACCCAAGCAAAATCTATTGCTTAAAGAGGTTTCTTATTTTTTAAACAAACAGAATAACTCTTGACAATTTTAAAACCTTGGGAGAAATAGTTCATTAGAACGTCATTATCTTACCATGAAGAATTAAATACTAAAAACCTGTTCTGAAGCACTTGGTTAATTTTCTCTCCCAGAGTCTAATAAAGCACATGTGAAAGGACCATTTGTTTTAGTCAGAAATACATTTTATGTTCTGCTACTTATAAGTACTCAGTATGTTCTTTAGGACTCATTTTGAAGATGCACCAGGAGGCTTTTCTCATTCAAGCACTGCCTACCGTGATCGCTGAATTCTGACCTCAAAGAGGATCTAAGTAATTTATATCAGTGCTCAAGAATAATTCTGGACATCTTGGTCCACAGCCTACAGCAAGTGGTATCTGTAAAATTAAAGGATAATTCCAGTGGGCTTGGTCGGACTGCTGCTTTGCCATCTCTTGTTTGTTTTGAGGAAGTGGGGGGAGGCTAGGTAAGAACACGGAAATAGGGAACGGGGTAAGGGAGAGGTGAGAAGAGCAAGGAGAGATAAAGCAGGCTGTGAACATACTGCTCGTTAACCAAGCCATACTCATACTGTTGAGATTTCCATCATTTTGAAGTACATTATCATAACATTAAAAAAGAAAAAAAATGTTAAGAAAATGTATCTAATTTTTAAAGTTATCACTGGAATACGCTGAAATAGTTTGGCTTTTTGTAAAATATAAATAATGAAGACGCTGACTTTTTTTGTGCTTGTCAAGCTAATAGATCATCTCCACGAGACAGGCAGCAATGATGAATTGCAAAACGTTATTAATGAAGGGAAAAGGTTCAAGCCAATATTCACACTGCAGTCAATGAAAGAGTAAGGGGGCTTCTGAGGAAGGGTTGAAGATGACATGGGAGAGTAGCAGGAACAACCCCCTTCGCTGACTGTTTGCTCCTGAGGCTTTTCCAGTTTTATGTCACTCATGTCTTCTCTGCTTCCGTCCTGTGTGCTTTCCATTCCCGGCAAAGCTGCTGCTACACGTCGAAAGAGCTGCTTTACATTGTATCCAGCTTTTGCCCTAGTTTCAATAAACGTAACATTCAGCCCTTTGGCTTTCCTCTCTCCCTCCTCAATTGACACTTGCCTCTTGTCAGCAAGATCTGTTTTATTTCCTACTAGCGTGATGATAACATCACTTCCTCCTTCTGTTCTGACATCATCAATCCACTTTGTAGTTTGCTGGAATGAGTTAACATTTGTGATATCGTAAACTACTACAGCTGCAGCAGAATCACGGATGTACCTGGGAATGAGGCTACGGAGACGTTCCTGACCCGCCGTATCCCACAGCCGAAGCCCGATTGTTCCATCCTCCAAGTACATAGTTTTTGATAAAAAGTCAATGCCAATTATTGCCTGATAGGTGTTGTCAAAACTGTCATACCTGAATCTGGTGATCAAAGATGTCTTTGCAACGCTTTGCTCCCCCAGGAACACCAGCTTGAATTTCCTCAGCGGATTCCCGAAGTCTCCGCCCGCGGACATGGTGGAACTAGAGGAGCTGTCGCCGCCTCAGCCCAGAGACCTCCCGGACCGATGCTGCTCCAGCCGGCTGACGAAAAAGGCGAGCGGAAGGGCGGGCGCCGAGCTCTCTGCGCCCCTGCAAGGGCCGGTGGAGGAGCCCGGCTGGAGGGCAGCAGGACTCTCCACAGACTGGCAGCCGCCGCCGCCTCCCGGCAGAGTAGCCGAGCACCGAGCGAGGCCCGCGGCTGGGAAGGGAAGGAGGGCGGTGTCGGCAGGAGCCAGGGGTGTGCTTTGGCTTCCCAAGGCTAGGGCCGTTCCCTTCTTCCTCACCCGGCTCCAAGACCTGCGGGAGAAAGGCGGAGGGTGGCGGAGCCGGAACCGCAGACGTATCTGGGATCTCTCACGCGCGGCGCTTCGGCTTCCCCAGCCGCCGCCGCCGCAGCCCAACCTGCTGAGTGCGCGAGCCTCTGGCGCGGGGCGAGCCAGGGCGCCTCCACACATTTTTTTAAATACACAAAACATATGTACTAAAAACAATGGGGCGGTGAAAACAAAATATTGCAAACTAGAAAAAAGACAAAATTGACATTTTAAAGACTTTATTATGTATTATTAAATATATATTAAACAGAAATGTTATAAAATTTAGCGTCCCTATCTCCCAGTTTCTGTGAGAGGTCAGAAACTTAACTTTCCTAAGCCACAATTAAGCAAACACATCTGGCCTAATCACATGGACCAACCTGTCTCCTAACATCATGCAGGAAGTTTCAGGAGCTCCTGCAAAACTCTCCCGCCTTGCATTTGAACAGATATGTCAACTGATACAATTACACAAGAATTGTATCAAGATATTAGACTGAATCTCACAATCACACTCAGCCTGATTATTAACCCTTCTCCTGCATCTTGCTCACCTAAATGTATCTGCATTTTCTATGAAGTGAATAGCTTAGAAATGTATGTCGTCCATGTATTATAGTGTAAGTTATTGTAGTATAGAAATATGGACTTTCTTTAACTCCCATTTTCTGCCTAGGAAATACCAATTTTTTTAGTATGGCAAGTGTTTCCAAGCATTGAGAAGTGGAGAGTGTAGGATATCCACTGCAGAATGAGGTCTGCTTGTCATCCTCTTAGTCTCCACTGCTATCCCTCCCTCATCTCTCTCTGTTTCATTGATGAGTATAGAAGATCAGTCACTTTTATATGAAATGAAAATTGATGAAACTAAGGTGTTGATTTGATTATCCAACCAACCATTTATTGAGTGTTCATTATAAGTCAAATTGTGTTCTGGAGAACAGCTCAGGAAATGAATGTTTGACATCAATGTACATAACAGAAATACGAACATACCATTAAAAACTCAGACCTCTTATGACAATCCAGATTCTCATGTAAGTTTTGTGAAGCTCTTTCAAGATGACAATGTAACAATTCAAAAAAAATTATTTAAACAAGTCATTCTTGAGACAGAAAAATGGAATTACAAGATCATATATGGCTATTTCACTAGCTGAAATCTTAAGTACTGTTTTTAGTCAATTGACAGCCATATAATTCTTAGTTTTATATACTGATATTCACCAGAAATTAAAAACTTTTAAAAATATTTCTGTCTCATTCTACTAATTTTAAAATTTCATTTATTTGGTTATATTTCTTCATTTTACCTGGCCTTGAATACTTCTTTCCTGCCCAGCATTAAGTTTAATTAATGTCTAATTTGTTTACTTGGTTTAGTTACTTTTGACCATGCTTGGTACACTTGTTGTGGAGCAGGCATGTAGAAATGTTTACAGGTTTATGGTCCTCACTCTTCCAAATCCCTAACGGCGGCACCCAACAGACACATACCACAATGTAAACACATACACACACACACACCTGCACACCCATACTCACCCACCTACACACACACCCGCACACACCCATACTCACCCACCTACACACAGACACACACCGATACTCACCCACCTACACCTAGACACACCTGCACTCACCCACCCACACCCAGACTCACCCACACATACCTGTAGTCCCCAGCTACTCCCAAGGCTGAGGCGAGAGATGCTTGAATCTGGGAGACAGAAGTTGCAGTGAGCCAAGATCATGTCTCTACACTCCAGCCTGCGTGACAGAGCAAAACCCTGTCTCCAAAAAAAAAATAAATAAATAAATAAAAAATTAGACAGTTGTGGTAGCCCATGCCTGTATTCTCAGCTACTTGGGGGAGCTGAGTTGGGGGGATCACTTGAGCCCGGGAAGTCGAGGCTACAGTGAGCTGTGGTCATGCCACTGCACTCCAGCCTGGGTGACAAAGTGAGATCCCTTCTCTACAAAGAAAAAAATAAATAAAGAAGTCATCCACCATGGGCACTGAGTCTGATAACCACATACTTTCCTCAGCATAAATCTCCCAGTAGAGTTGCTTTTAGAAAATAGAAGTCATCCCAGCGCAGTGGCTCATGCTGTAATCCCAGCACTTTGGGAAGCCAAGGTGGGAGAATTGCTCGAGCCCTGGAGTTAGAGACCATCCTGGGCAACGTAGTGAGACCCCATCTCTATATACAATTTTAAAAAGTAGCTCCCTCACCCACAGCTGAGTTTTAACCCCATCCTCCCACTCCCCACCCCTCACCCCACCCTCCAGGACCAGGCCCTGTACTCACCTCTCCCTTTCTGTTCAGGGGAGCCCTGAGGGCCAGGAAGACCCTGATCCCCATTCTCTCCCTGCTCCCCCAGGGGACCCAATCAGTCCAGTGAGACCTGAGTGGCCCCTAGAGAAGGGAGCAGGTGGTCGGGGAACACAGGAGGAGTCACGTGGATGGGGGAGAAAGGCCAAGACACAGAGAATGCCCTGGGCACAGGGTCTGTGGGGGGCCCTCACTGAGCAGGGACCCCGGGGCCTGGTGGCTGGGGGCCTGGAGCAGAGCAGGCCCCTCAGAGTCCCACAGGCTTCAGGGCTGAGGGTGATGGGAGACACACCTGGCCATGTGTCTGTCACTCACCTTCTCTTCCTCAGCTCCAGCATTGCTCCCGAAGCCAGGAAGCCCTGGGGGTCCCTTTGGGGAGACAGAAGTCCCTCTCTCCAGAGAGAGGAGGAAACTCGGTTCTCCCATCGCCTCCCACTTCCTGCAGGGCCTTAGCTGGCTGCCCCAGGGCGCCCACCCTCACCCCTCACCAGCCCCATCCCAGTCACTCACCACAGGACTGGAAGGCCCAGCCTGGCCTGTGGCTCCAGGTTGGCCTTGCTGACCCTGCAGATTTGAGGGGACCCCAGGGACGGGGAGGAGCACCCCACATTGCACTCCTCCCCGGGCTTTTCACCTTCCTCCTCAAGCCCAGCCCTTGCCTGCAGTGACTCACACTGGGCCCCAGAGCCCCTCAGACCATCAGCACCAGCTGGGCCTGTGGGACTCAAGGCACCCACAGCACCTGGAGGCCCAGAAATGCACACAAGGAATGTGTCCGGAAAGGCAGTGGAGGGGATGTGAATTGGAGCAGGAGTTCAAAGTGGAAGGCGTGAGGCAGGGAGGAGGGCCCGAAGCCTGGGAGCCCCAGGGCAGTAATAACTATAGGAAACCCCTGTCCCCAGAAGGGGTCAACATGGGATACGTGGATGGGGGTGGTGGGTAGACATCTGGAGACAGAGGCACCTGAGGGGCAGAAAGGCAGAGGGGAGGCTCCAGCACCCAGGGGCAGCCTCTCTTTCACCTGGGCTTTACTCCTCATCGGCCCTGGGGACCAGGCATGCCAGTGAGACCCTGCAAATGGGACGGAGGGAGAGAACATGAGGCCTGGGCAGCCAGGCGCCACTCTTCCCCTTCCTGTGCTACACACACGCACACACACTGCACACATGCACATACTATAGACACATTGCACACACTGCACACACATGGCACACACACACAGATGCAGAGGTCCTGTTGCGAAAACGCACAGGTGTATGTGCATCTCAGGAAGAGCGAGTCACCCACACCCCACCTGGAGGCCCAGGTTAACCTGTGGCCCAGCAGAAAAGCTGGCCAGTCCCTCCACCAGTGTCCATTGATTGGTCAGTAAACATGACCACTGCTGTTGAGAACATGTTCACCAAACCTCAGGAACAACATACCCAGGACGTCACAGACTCAAACCCATGTGCTCATGCCTCCCGTTGCCATGCACACATCAGGGACAGCACAGATACCAGGCATCTCCCTGCCCGCCCCACCAGCCATTGCCCAATCTCTACCACATGGCCTAGGGACTGCCTCCCAAGGACCCAGAGCCCACCTCACTCACCCACTTGACTAGTGGCCCAGGGGTTCTATTCTCCCCAGCAGGACCAGGGAATGCCTAGGAAGAGAAGAACTGGGATGGGTGTGTGTTTGGCCTCCAGCCAAGGGACCTCTCAGGAGTGGGTATAGAAGAGGGCTAAGGGGCTGAAGGCTGGGGCTCAGTGGGGGTGGTGGGGTCACTGGTCATTCATAGATTGTCCTGGTTTGCCATCCTTGCCACAGTCACCCTTAGCACTGTCCTGGCCCTGCAGGGGTGAAGCAAGGCCAGAGGAGGCCCCAACCTGGCTGGCATCACCCCTAAAATCACCAATCTTCCCATCCCCCTGCCTGTCCTGCCATATCTCCAGCTTCCCAGTACCCAAGCCCATTAGCCACATGGAGGCTCCTCATAGAAGCCCCACCCTCTTTTCCCCTTCCCCCTCCCTAAGACACCCAAGTCACCTTCTCCAGGGGGGTCAGGGTCTCCAGGAAAATCAAGACCCTGATCCAAAGAGAGAACAAGGATCAAGGTCGCAGCCCCTTAAGCCCGCTCAACACAGACTACCACAGGCACATGCCACCCTCTCCCTCTGTACAGACAGTGCCTGCCACCTTGCCGGATCTGTCCCACAGACCCTGGCTGATGGATGAAATGAGTACTCAGACACAGGTATGCAGTGTAAGAGCAGCTAGGTGACTGCCCGGCCCCAGTGGCCAGAGAGCAGCTGTGAGAAGCTGGAGCTGCTTGCTTTTATTCAGTGCAGGCACAATGGTGAAAACCTGGAGCCAACACAACCTGTAGATAATTAACATTTATTGTTCCCCTTTCAGGGAACGTCAGGCGCACGGATGATCAAAGGTCAGTTCCTGGTTGATGTAAGTGAACAATCTTGTTTAAGAAAAATTCCCCCACACTCCCTTGTAGCTACTCCTTGCCCTCTACCTCAGGGTTATAGAACAGCTGCCTTCAGCTATTCTCCTCCTGGGGCTCTGTAGAAACTTCCGACCTTTCAGAAGGTTTGTGTCCTTTCCCTATAGTTTTTCCCACCACTCTGACCAATCCCCCACACCGCCTCCCTAGGAAGAGGGTCTCTTTTATCGGAGTGTGATGAGATTCCTGAGGGGTTATTAGACCCTGTTTCGTGAAGGAATAGAAGGTGGAGAATTGTTAGGGCTATAATGATGAAAGGTAAGATGAAATGGAAGGTGAAGAATCGTGTAAGAGTGGCTTTGTCAACTGAAAATCACCTCAGATTCACTGGGCAAGGTCAGTCCCGACATATGGAGTAGCTGATATTAGGTTTGTGGTTACTGTAGTGCCTCAGAATGGTATTTGGCCTCATGGAAGCACATAGCCTATAAACGCTGTTGCTGTGGTTGTAAGCAAGAGAATAATGCCAGTGTTTCAGGTTTCCAAATATGTGAATGAGCCATAATATAAGCCTCGGCCGACATGTAGGAAGAGGCAGATGAAGAATGTTGAAGTACCGTTAGCGTGAAAAAAGCGGGTAATTCAGCTATAGTTCACATCTCGGTTAATATAGGCGACTGAAGAGAAAGAAATTGAGGTATCTGGTGTGTAATGTATGGCCAGATATAACCCTGTGATGATCTGAAGGATTAAGCAGGTGCCAAGAAGTCAGCCCAAGTTTCATCATATAGAGATATGAGATGGAGTGGGGAGGTCGATGAGTGAATAATTAATGATTTTTATTAGTGGATTTGTTTTATGTATTATGGTCATTAGTGTTCTTATAGTTGAAATACAACAATGGTTTTTCTTATCATTAGTCATGGTTATAATCCGTGTGGGAATAATGACATATGCTTTGTTCCTATTAAGTGTTCTTTTGGTTATGGGATTTGTAGGTTTTTCTTCTAAACCTCCAATTTATGGGGTCTTAGGGTTAATTATTAGTGGTGCTATGGGTTGCGTTATTGTACTAAATTATGGTGGGGCTTTTATGGGATTAATAGTCTTTTTGATTTATTTGTAGGGGATCATGGTTGTTTTTGGCTATACTGCGGCGATGGCTATTGAGGAATATCCAGAGGAGTGAGGATCAAGCATTGAGGTTTTAGGAACGTTATTATTGGGTTTAGCAGTAGAGTTGGTGTTAACTTGATGAATAGCTGAGTATGATGGGCTGGTGGTTCTAGTTAACTTTAATAGTATGGGAAGTTGCGTAATTTTTGAGAGTGACGGGCCAGGGTTGGTTCATGAGGATTCTGTGGGTGCGGGTGCTTTCTGTAATTGTGGGTGTTGATTGGTGGTGGTTGCTGGTTGAATTGTTGGCTGGTGTTGATATTATAATTGAAGTTACTCAGGGCAACAGATTAAATACTTAAGAGTAAAGTCAAAAAGGATGGAACAAAAGAAGAGGAAATAAGATTTAATTAGGCCTTTTTGAGTAGTTATAGTAACAGAGGCTGTGATTTGGGTTTGTGAAATTGTTTTTGGTATGGACTTTTCTAGTCAAATTAGATAATAGAAGTGATGCCAGGTTTTGGCTTATAGATAGGCTTGAGTGAGGGGTTATACAGTGAATTGTGATTGAGTAAAATCCTAATATGTTAGAAAAGTTGAATATTTGTAATGGGTGTTTTATTTTAAGATTATTAATTCTAGAACTCAGTTCTATAGCCAGTAAAAGCCCTAGGATGTTTACACCTAGGGCTGCAAGTTTTAGATGAGGTGCTATTGTTGTTTGTGGGGATGAAGCAGGGGCAATGCTATTGGTAAGGAGAAACCCAGCGAAGATGCTGTCAACTATAAGGTGTTTAATTGGATTTATTAGGGAAGGAATATTTTCATTAATGTTGATTAGGGTTGGGAAGTGGGGTTGTCCTATTAGGGCAAAGGAAATAATTTGCATACTGTAGACACTTGTTAGGGAAGTGGCAATGAAAGTAATAGAGAGGGCTCAGACATTGGTATATGACGTGTTTGTGGTTTCGATGATGAGATCTTTAGAGTAAAAGCCTGTGAGGAAGGGCATACCCGTAAGTGCTAGGCTGCCAATAATAAGGGAGGAGAAAGTAAGGGGTAAAGTCTTAAATAGTCCTGTTTTTCAGATGTCTTGTTCATCGTTGAGGCTGTGGATGATAGATCCTGAACACACAAATAATATAACTTTGAAAAAGACATGGGTGCAGATGTGTAGGAATGCTAGGTGTGGTTGATTAATGCCAATTGTGGTTATTCTAAGGCCCAGTTGACTTGAGGTGGAGAATGCTACGGTTTTTTCAATATTATTTTGTGTTAAAGCACAGATTGCTGTAAAAAAGTGGTAATAGCCCCTAGACATAGTGTAAGGGTTTGGATTAACACATTATTTTCTATTAAGGGGTGGAAATGAATAAGTAGGAACACTCCTGCCACAACTATAGTGCTAGAGTGGAGTAGGGCTGAGACAGGGGCTGGGCCTTCCATGGCAGAAGGAAGTCAGGAGTGGAGGCCAAGTTGGGCTGTTTTTCCTGCTGCTGCTGCTAAGAGAAGGCCAATTAATGGAAGAAGATCGGGGGTAGGATTTAGGATAAATATTTGTTGAGGCTCTCATGTATTGGAGGATGTGAGGAATCAGGCTATAGCTAAAATGAAGCCAATATCGCCAAAGCGATTATGTAGGATCGCTTGCAGGGCTGTTGTATTAGCATCTGCTCAGCCATGTCATCAGCCAGTTAGTAGAAAAGACACAATTCCTACGCCTTCTCATCCAATAAAAAGTTGAAAAAGGTTGTTGGCGGTAACTAGAATTAATATTGTGGTGTGGAAAATAAGTAAATATTTGCAAAACTGATCAATATTAGGATCTAACTTTATATATCATATAGAGAATTCTATAATCAGGTGACAAATAGTGCTACTGGAATAAACATTATGGAGAAGTAGTCTGAAGCTTAATGAGAGTTTAAGGGTTTGGATTGTTATTCAATATCAGTTTGAGATGATGGGTTATTGGTCTGTAGATATAAACATTCTTGTGGGAATGCGGCTAATGGTGAAGGTGCATGCGATAGCTATTTTTACATAATATGGGTACAAGTTCTTCTTGTAAGGGTTGATGAAGGTAATAATAATTGGTAAGGTTAAGGAGATTAAGGTTATTATGGTAATACGTGATTATTATTTTATTTGGAGTTGCACCAATATTTTTGGTTCCTAAGACCAACAGATAGCTCTTATCCTCTAAAAGTTGAGAAAGCCATGTTGTCAGGCATGGGGGCATGAGTCAGCAGTTCTTGCACACTTTCTTGGTAAATAAGAAGAAGCAGACTTCTATTATTAGATCCACAATCTCACGTTTTGATTAAACTGTATTTGTAGGGTATAGACTGTATAATAATTTTAGGGTTTAGAGATAATAGAATAGGTGAAAGGTGTATAAATATTAATATAGTTTTTCATGTAAAGGAGGGCTTAATACTGTTAATATAATAAGTAAGTGTTTGCTGGTGTGTTGTGACAAGGATGTGAAGGAAATAAAGGGCTGTAATTAATATATTACATCCTATAAGCATAATGGTAATATTTGATCAGGAGAGTGAAGCCACTCTTACGAGGAGTTCACCTATTAGATTAGTGGAGGGGGGTAAGGCAGGGTTAGTAAGATTTGCTATAAGCAAAAGGGTATTAGTGGAAATAATATTTGAAGCCCTTGAGAGAGTAATATGATTCGGCTGTGGGTTCGCTTGTAGTTTGAATTTGCTAGGCAGAAAAGTAGGGACGAAGTAAGTCCGTGGGCAATTATGAGGATAATAGCAAGATAAAGCTTCAGGGGATTTGAATAAGGATAGCCATAATAACAAGTGCCATATGGCTTACGGAGGAATATGCAATAAGTGACTTTAGATCAGTTTGTCATAGACAGATAGAGCTTCTCATAACTATACCTCATAAGGATAACATGAGGAAGGGATAGACTATATATTCTGTCAGGGGGCTGAGGATAAGGGTTAAGTCGTATTATGCCATAGCCGCCTAGTTTTAGGAGTCCTGCTGCAAGTACTATTGAACTGGCAATAGGAGTTTCTACATGGGCTTTAGGAAGTCATAGGTGAAGTCCGTATAGGGGTATTTTTAGCATAAAAGCCATTATACACACCATATAAAGTTGTTGGATCAGGAAATTAATAGTTGTTGGGTATTAAATGTTATTATGCTCAGTGAGCCTAGGATATTTTGGGTGTAAGTAAGTATAATAAGTAGGGGGAGAGATCCTACTAGTGTATAAAGTAAGAAATATGTGCTTGCATTGAGGCATTCTAGTTGGTTGCCCCAGCGGGTAATAATAATTAAGGTGGGGATAAGTGTAGTTTCAAAGAGAATATAAAATATAATTAGTTCTGTGGCTGTAAATGCTGTAATTAGAAAAACCTGTAGGGAGATCAATATGGAAATATAGAGCTTTTTCTGTGGGAGGGATTCACTGGAGAGGTGATACTGGCTTGCTGTAATTATAAGAGGTAATGGCCAGGCTGTTAAGATTAGAAGGGGTGATGTTAGGGGATCAGAGGAGAAAGTTGATGAGGAGTTGAATAGATTGTCGTTGAATTGATTAAAGAATAATAGGGCAATAAAGCTGATAATTAGGCTGTGAGTGGTTATATTCATCCAGAGTATAGGATTTTTAGAGAGTCATGTTATTGGTAGCAGTGTGATTGTTAGAATGATAACTTTTAGCTTTGAAGTAAATTTAGGTTATGCACATAGTTTAAGTCATATGTGTTGGAAATTGAAACTAGTAAGGCAAGGCCCACTGCGGCTTTGCCGGCAGCAAATACTAGTAGGGTGATGGGTACTACGGTTGCTAGGGTAAAATGTATATTTAAAGTTATAAGGAGGGGTGGAGCCAAGATGGCCAAATAGGAACAGCTCCGGTCTACAGCTCCCAGCATGAGCGATGCAGAAGACGGGTGATTTCTGCATTTTCATCTGAGCTTTGAAGAGAGCAGTGGTTCTCCCAGCATGCAGCTGGAGATCTGAGAACGGGCAGACTGCCTCCTCAAGTGGGTCCCTGACCCCTGACCCCCGAGCAGCCTAACTGGGAGGCACCCCCAAGTAGGGGCAGACTGACACCTCACACGGCCAGGTACTTCTCTGAGACAAAACTTCCAGAGGAACGATCAGACAGCAGCATTTGCAGTTCATGAAAATCTGCTGTTCTGCAGCCACTGCTGCGGGTACCCAGGCAAACAGGGTCTGGAGTGGACCTCTAGCAAACTCCAACAGACCTGCAGCTGAGGGTCCTATCTGTTAGAAGGAAAACTAACAAACAGAAAGGACATCCACACCAAAAACCCATCTGTACATCACCATCATCAAAGACCAAAAGTAGATAAAACCACAAAGATGGGGAAAAAACAGAGCAGAAAAACTGCAAACTCTAAAAAGCAGAGCGCCTCTCCTCCTCCAAAGGAATGCAGTTCCTCACCAGCAACGGAACAAAGCTGGACGGAGAAGGACTTTGACGAGTTAAGAGAAGAAGGCTTCAGATGATCAAACTACTCTGAGCTACAGGAGGAAATTCAAACCAAAGGCAAAGAAGTTAAAAACTTTGAAAAAAATTTAGACAAATGTATAACTAGAATAACCAATGCACAGAAGTCCTTAAAGGAGCTGATGGAGCTGAAAGCCAAGGATCGAGAAATACGTGAAGAATGCAGAAGCCTCAGGAGCCAATGCAATCAACTGGAATAAAGGGTATCAGTGATGGAAGATGAAATGAATGAAATGAAGTGAAAAGGGAAGTTTAGAGAAAAAGAATAAAAAGAAATGAACAAAGCCTCCAAGAAATATGGGACTATGTGAAAAGACCAAATCTATGTCTGATTGGTGTACCTGAAAGTGACGGGGAGAACAGAACCAAGTTGGAAAACACTCTACAAGATATTATCCAGGAGAACTTCCCCAATCTAGCAAGGCAGGCCAACATTCAAATTCAGGAAATACAGAGAATGCCACAAAGATACTCCTCGAGAAGAGCAACTCCAAGACACATAATTGTCAGATTCACCAAAGTTGAAATGAAGGAAAAAACGTTAAGGGCAGCCAGAGAGAAAGGTCGGGTTACCCACAAAGGGAAGCCCATCAGACTAACAGCAGATCTCTTGGCAGAAACTCTACAAGCCAGAAGAGAGTGGGGGCCAATATTCAACATCCTTAAAGAAAAGAATTTTCAACCCAGAATTTCCTATCCAGCCAAACTAAGCTTCATAAGTGAAGGAGAAATAAAATACTTTACAGACAAGCAAATGCTGAGAGATTTTGTCACCGCCAGGCTTGCCCTAAAAGAGCTCCTGAAGGAAGCACTAAACATGGAAAGGAACAACCGGTACCAGCCACTGCAAAATCATGCCAAATTGTAAAGACCATCCAGGCTAGGAAGAAACTGCATCAACTAACGAGCAAAATAACCAGCTAACATCATAATGACAGGATCAAATTCACACATAACAATATTAACTTTAAATGTAAATGGTCTACATGCTCCAATTAAAAGACACAGACTGGCAAATTGGATAAAGACTCAAGACCCATCAGTGTGCTGTATTCAGGAAACCCATCTCACGTGCAGAGACACACATAGGCTCAAAATAAAGGGATGGAGGAAGATCTACCAAGCAAATGGAAAACAAAAAAAGGCAGGGGTTGCAATCCTACTCTTTGATAAAACAGAGTTTAAACCAGCAAAGATCAAAAGAGACAAAGAAGGCCATTACATAATGGTAAAGGGATCAATTCAACAAGAAGAGCTAACTATCGTAAATATATATGCACCCAATACAGGAGCACCCAGATTCATAAAGCAAGTCCTGAGTGACCTACAAAGAGACTTAGACTCCCACACAATAATAATGGGAGACTTTAACACCCCACTGTCAACATTAGACAGATCAACGAGACAGAAAGTTAACAAGGATACCCAGGAATTGAACTCAGCTCTGCACCAAGCGGACCTAGTAGACATCTATAGAACTCTCCACCCCAAATCAACAGAATCTACATTTTTTCAGCACCACACCACACCTATTCCAAAATTGATCACATAGTTGGAAGTAAAGCCCTCCTCAGCAAATGTAAAAGAACAGAAATTATAACAAACTATCTCTCAGACCACAGTGCAATCAAACTAGAACTCAGGATTAAGAAACTCACTCAAAACCACTCAACTATATGGAAACTGAACAACCTGCTCCTGAATGACTACTGGGTACATAACAAAATGAAGGCAGAAATAAAGATGTTCTTTGAAACCAATGAGAACAAAGACACAACATACCAGAATCTCTGGGACACATTCAAAGCAGTGTGTAGAGGGAAATTTATGGCACTAAATGCCCACAAGAGAAAGCAGGAAAGATCCAAAATTGACACCCTAACATCACAATTAAAAGAACTAGAAAAGCAAGAGCAAACACATTCAAAAGCTAGCAGAAGGCAAGAAATAACTAAAATCAGAGCAGAACTGAAGGAAATAGAGACACAAAAAACCCTTCAAAAAATTAATGAATCCAGGATCTGGTTTTTTGAAAGGATCAACAAAATTGATAGACCGCTAGCAAGACTAATAAAGAAGAAAAGTGAGAAGAATCAAATAGACGCAATAAAAAATGATAAAGGGGATATCACCACCAATCCCACAGAAATACAAACTACCATCAGAGAATATTACAAACACCTCTACGCAAATAAACTAGAAAATCTAGAAGAAATGGATAAATTCCTCGACACATACATCCTCCCAAGACTAAACCAGGAAGAAGTTGAATCTCTGAATAGATCAATAATAGGCTCTGAAATTGTGGCAATAATCAATAGCTTACCAACCAAAAAAAGTCCAGGACCAGATGGATTCACAGCCGAATTCTACCAGAGGTACAACGAGGAGCTGGTACCATTCCTTCTGAAACTATTCCAATCAATAGAAAAAGGAATCCTCCCTAACTCATTTTATGAGGCCAGCATCATCCTGATACCAAAGCTGGGCAGAGACATAACCAAAAAAGGGAATTTTAGACCAATATCCTTGATGAACATTGATGCAAAAATCCTCAATAAAATACTGGCAAACTGAATCCAGCAGCACATCAAAAAGCTTATCCACCATGATCAAGTGGGCTTCATCCCTGGGATGCAAGGCTGGTTCAACATATGCAAATCAATAAATGTAATCCAGCATATAAACAGAACCAAAGACAAAAACCACATGATTATCTCAATAGATGCAGAAAAGGCCTTTGACAAAATTCAACAACCCTTCATGCTAAAAACTCTCAATAAATTAGGTATTGATGGGACGTATCTCAAAATACTAAGAGCTACCTATGACAAACCCACAGCCAATATCACACTGAATGGGCAAAAACTGGTAGCATTCTCTTTGAAAACTGGCATGAGACAGGGATGCCCTCTCTCACCACTCCTATTCAACATAGTGTTGGAAGTTCTGGCCAGGGCAATCAGGCAGGAGAAGGAAATAAAGGGTATTCAATTAGGAAAAGAGGAAGTCAAATTGTCCCTGTTTGCAGATGACATGATTGTATATCTAGAAAACCCCATTGTCTCAGCCCAAAACCTCCTTAAGCTGATAAGCAACTTCAGCAAAGTCTCAGGATACAAAATCAATGTACAAAAATCACAAGCATTCTTATACACCAATAACAGACAAACAGAGAGCCAAATCATGAGTGAACTCCCATTCACAATTGCTTCAAAGAGAATAAAATACCTAGGAATCCAACTTACAAGGGCTGTGAAGGACCTCTTCAAGGAGAACTACAAACCACTGCTCAGTGAAATAAAAGAGGATACAAAGAAATGGAAGAACATTCCATGCTCATGGGTAGGAAGAATCAATATCGTGAAAATGGCCATACTGCCCAAGGTCATTTATAGATTCAATGCCATCCCCATCAAGCTACCAATGACTTTATTCACAGAATTGGAAAAAACTACTTTAAAGTTCATATGAAACCAAAAAAGAGCCCGCATCGCCAAGTCAATCCTGAACCAAAAGAACAAAGCCAGAGGCATCATGCTACGTGACTTCAAACTATACTACAAGGCTACAGTAACCAAAACAGCATGGTACTGGTACCAAAACAGAGATATAGATAAATGGAACAGAACAGAGCCCTCAGAAATAACACCACACATCTACAACCATCTGATCTTTGACAAACCTGGGAAAAACAAGCAATGGGGAAAGGATTCCCTATTTAATAAATGGTGCTGGGAAAACTGGCTAGCCATATGTAGAAAGCTGAAACTGGATCTCTTCCTTACACCTTATACAAAAATTAATTCAAGATGGATTAAAGACTTAAACGTTAGACCTAAAACCATAAAAACCCTGAAACCCAAGAAAACATAGGCATTACCATTCAGGACATAGGCATGGGCAAGGACTTCATGTCTAAAACACCAAAAGCAATGGCAAGAAAAGCCAAAATTGACAAATGGGATGTAATTAAACTAAAGAGCTTCTGCACAGCAAAAGAAACTACCATCAGAGTGAACAGGCAACCTACAAAATGGGAGAAAATTTTCGCAACCCACTCATCTGACAAAGGGCTGATATCCAGAATCTACAATGAACTCAAACAAATTTACAAGAAAAAAACAAACAAGCCCATGAAAAAGTGGGCGAAGGACATGAACAGACACTTCTCAAAAGAAGACATCTATGCAGCCAAAAAACACATGAAAAAATGCTCACCATCACTGGCCATCAGAGAAATGCAAATCAAAACCACAATGAGATACCATCTCACACCAATTAGAATGGCGATCATTAAAAAGTCAGGAAACAACAGGTGCTGGAGAGGATGTGGAGAAATAGGAACACTTTTACACTGTTGGTGGGACTGTAAACCCATTCAACCATTGTGGAAGTCAGTGTGGTGATTCCTCAGGGATCTAGAACTAGAAATACCATTTGACCCAGCCATCCCATTACTGGGTATATACCCAAAGGACAATAAATCATGCTGCTATAAAGACACATGCACACGTATGTTTATTGAGGCACCATTCACAATAGCAAAGACTTGGAGCCAACCCAAATGTCCAACAATGATAGACTGGATTAAGAAAATGTGGCACATATACACCATGGAATACTATGCATCCATAAAAAATGATGAGTTCATGTCCTTTGTAGGGACATGGATGAAATTGGAAATCATCATTCTCAGAAACTATCACAAGGACAAAAAACCAAACACCGCATGTTCTCTCTCATAGGTGGGAATTGAACGATGAGAACACATGGACACAAGAAGGGGAACATCACACTCTGGGGTCTGTTGTGGGGTGGGGGGAGGGGGGAGGGATAGCATTAGGAGATATACCTAATGCTAAATGACGAGTTAATGGGTGCAGCACACCAGCATGGCACATGTATACATATGTAACTAACCTGCACATTGTGCACATGTACCCTAAAACTTAAAGTATAATAATAATAAAATAAATAAATAAATAAGTAAATAAAGTTATAAGGGTATTTATGATGAATAATGATAATATTATTCCTTCTAGGCATAGTAGGAAAAAAGTTGTATTTATATATAGCAATGCTGGCAGCTAGGACTGTGAGAGAAAGGAGTAGAAGAACTGCTGATATTAAGTGGGATTGATAGATTAATAACCCCAGAAGTGATATGGTATATGTGAATATAATATTTATGTAAACAGGGGGCATTTGGTAAACATGTTCTATCATAACTAACGAGTCAAAATCATTTATTTTGGCTTAAACTACTTACCAATTCAGTTCAGTCTAATCCTTTTTGAGTTCATTCATAAGGTAACCCTAGGATTAAAATGATAACTAGCATAAGGGATGTACTAATTATTAGTGTCAGGTTGTTTGAAGGGCTCATGGTAAGGGTAGCAGTAGGGTGATTTCTAAGTCAAATAGGAGGAATGTGATGGCTACTAGAAATGATTTTATGGAGAAAGGAATGCGGGTGGAGGATAACGAGTCAAATCCTCATTCGTAGGGGCTGGATTTTTCTGTATAAATATTAAGTTGTGGGAGCCAGAATGTAATAGCTATAAGTGACAGGGCTAGTAGGGTGTTGATTACTAGGGCTAGTGTTAGGTTAATTACTCTTTTTCAGATACTATCGAAACTAATTGATTGGAAGTCAATGGTACTGTTTATACTAAAAGAGTAAGACCCTCATCAGTAGATAGAAATATACAAGAATAGTCATACTACATCTACATAGTGTCAATATCAGGCGGTGGCTTCAAAGCCAAAATGATGGCTGGATGTAAAGTGGTATTTTAATTGGCGGAGAAGGCAGATAGTAAGGAAAGTTGATCCAATAATGATGTGAAGTCCATAAAAGCCTGTAGCTATAAAAAATGTTGGGCCATAAATTCCATCAGAAAAAGCAAAGGGAGCCTCTAAGTATTCTGAGACTTGTAGGAGGGTGAAGCAAATGCCTAAGATAATTGTGAAAAGTAGTGCTTGAATTACTTGTTTTTGATTATTTTCTATTAGGCTGTGATGGGCTCAAGTAATTGAAATGTGTTCAGGAGGGGTACTTCCAGGGGGTTGAGGGGAGAAATGCTTGTTGGAGATCAGTGTCCTCCTAATTCTGGAGCTGGGGCTAGACTAGAATGGTAGAATGCTCAAAAGAATCCAGCAAAGACAAATACTTCTGAGATAACAAATATGACTATTCCACATCGGAGGCCTTTTTGAACAGTTGTTGTATCATGGCCTGGAAATGTACTTTCTCGGATAATGTCACATCACCATTGATATATAGTCAGTGTATTGGTTAGTAGGCCCAGGGTTAAAAGAGTAATAGAGTTAAAGTGAAGTCATATAGCTAGGGCGGATGTTATTAGGAGAGCTGAGAGAGCCCCTGTTAATGGTCAAGGGCTGGGTTTGACTAAATGATAGGTGTGTGTTTGGTGGGTCATTATGTATTGTCATAGAAATAAAGGCTTACTAAAAGCGTAAAGACATAAGCTTGGATAAGGGCCACAGCAGATTGGAGCATGGTTAATAGAATTAGAATAATAAAGGTGATTGAAGCTGTGGGAAGGTTAGTAGTTGATAATACTAGTGTGGCTCCTCCAATTAAGCGCATGAGTAAGTGACTGGCTGTAATGTTGGCTGTTAGACGTACAGCTAGTGCTGTTGGTTGAATAAATAGACTAATGGTTTCGGTGAATACTGGTATAGGAATAAGTGGTATGCGTGTGCCTTGTGGTAGGAAGTGAGCTAAGGAGTTTTTAGTTTTAAAGCGGAAGCCCGTGATTACTGTGCCTGCTCATAAGGGGATTGCTGTAGCTAGATTTATTGATGGTTGGGTAGTTGGTGTAAATGAGTCTGGTAGGAGTCCAAGGAGATTGGTTAAGGCAATAAAGAGAATTAGAGATATCAGTATAAGGGATCGGGCTTGTCCTTTAATGTTACGTATAATTATTTGTTTTAGGGTAAGTTGAACTAGTCATTGTTGAATAGAAATTAATCAGTTATTGACTAGATAGTTGGAGGTTGGAAGGAGTGTGGAGGGGAACAAGATGATTAGTGCTGCTGTGGGTAACCCTAGGATTGTTGGGGCGATAAATGAGGTGAACAGATTTTTGTTCATTTTAGTTCTCAAGGGTTGTTATGTTTTTGTACTTTATTTTTGGTGAAGGGGGTGTATGGTAGATGAAATTTGATATTTTTAATTGAATAATGGAAAATAAAGTTACGATTATTGATACAATAATAGGTCATGTGGAAGTATCTAGCTGAGGCATTCACTCTAGAGAGGTATGATTTCTCTCGATCTTTAACTTAAAAGGTTAACACTGGGGTAACTACAGTGATATTATGGTGTGGATATAGATCAAGTTTCAAAAGTTTTTAATGGAACTAATTCTAGAACAATAGGTATAACACCGTGATTAGATCCACAGATTTCTGAGCATTGTCTGCAGTAGAGGCCTGGTCGTGTAGTGGTTAAGGTAAATTGGTTTAGGCGTCCAGGGACTGCATCTGTTTTTAAACCTAATGAGGGAATAGTTCATGAGTGCAGGACATCTTCAGATGAGGTTAACATGTGGATGGGAATTTCTATTGGGAGGATTGTTCGGTTATCGACTTCAAGGAGTCTACGTTCTTCTGGTTTTAGGTCTGCTGTTGGAAGCATATAAGAATCGAAGCTTAACTCTTCATAATCTGTACACTAGTAGCTTCAATACCATTGATGTCCAATTGTTTTAACGGTGAGAGAAGGCTTATTGACTTCATCTGTTATAGATAACATACGTAGGGATGGGAGGGCAGTTAAGATTAAGATGATAACAGGCAAGATAATTCAGACAGTCTCTATTTCTTGGGCATCTATGGTGCTATTGTTGGTCAGTTTTGTTGAGTATTACAGAAATAATGTATAGAACCAGGGAACTAATTAGGAAAACAATGACAAGGGTGTGGTCATGGAAGGTAAGTAGTTCTTCTATAATAGGAGATGAAGCATCTTGAAGACCTAATTGAACTGGATGGGCCATTAAGATATATACGGCTTAAACTATAACTTAACTTTGACAAAGTTATGAAATAATTTCACTAATATCTTATTGAGAAGGTCATAGAGGTTATGGGATTGGCTTGAAACCAGTCTCTGGGGGGTTCGATTCCCTCCTTTTTCACTTAGGTCTTCATGTAGGTTGGTTCTTCGAATGTGTGATGGGTTGGTGGACAGCCTTATAGTCATTCTAAGTTGGTAGATGGTTGCTCAACTATTAGAACTTTTCATTTTGAAGTGAAGGCTTCTCAGACCATGAAAATTATTAGTATTACTGCTGTTAGGGAAATAAATGAGCCTACAGATGAAATAATATTTCATGCGGTGTACGTGTCAGGATAACTGGAGTAACATCGAGGCATACCAGATAGGCCAAGGAAGTGCTGTGGGAAAAAAGTTAAATTCACACTTACAAATATAATAGCAAAGTGAGTTTTAGCATAGATTTGATTGAGTATAACCTGAAAATAGAGGGAATCAGTGAACAAAGCCTCCCATAATGGCAAATATGGTTCCTTTTGATAAGGCATAATGGAAATGGGCTACAACATAATATCTATCATGTAGTACAATATCCAGTGATGAATTGGCTAGTACGATGCCGGTTAGGCCTCCTGTTGTAAAAAGGAAAATAAATCCCAGGGCTCAGAGCATTGTGGGGGATCATTTGATACTACTGCTGTGAAGTGTAGCTAGCCAGCTAAAGACTTTGACACCAGTAGGAATAGCAATAATTATAGTAGCAGAGGTGAAATATGCTCGTGTATCTACATCTATTCCTCCTGTAAATATGTGGTGGGCCCATATGATAAACCCTAAGAAGCCAATTGATATTATGGCTCATACTATGCCCATATACCCAAATGGTTCTTTTTTTTCCAGAATAATATGTTACGATATGGGAAATTATCCGAAGCCTGGTAAGATGAGGATATACACTTCAGGGTGACCAAAGAATCAGAATAAATGCTGATATAAGATAGGATCACCTCCACTAACTGGGTCGAAAAAAGTAGTATTCAGATTGCGGTCAGTTAACGATATAGTAATGCCAGCAGCTAGGACTGGGAGAGAAAGGAGTAGAAGAACTGCTGTAATTAAGACTGATCAGATGAAGAGGGGTGTGTGATATTGGGACATGGCTGGGGGTTTATATTAATAATTGTGGTAATAAAGTTAATAGCACCTGCCTCTACTATAGCGGATGCAAATAATAGTAGGAAAGAGGGTGAGAGGAGTCAGAAGCTTCTACTATTTATGCAGGGAAATGCTATATGGGGGGGGTGAATTATCAGAGGAACTAATCAGTTGCCAAAGCCTCCAATTATAATTGGCATTACTATAAAGAAAATTATGACAAATGCATGAGCTGTAATGATGACATTATAAATTTGATCATCTCCTAAAAGAGTACCTGGTTGGCCCAGTTCAGCTTGAATAAGGAGGCTTAAATCTGGACCCACTATCCCTGCTCATGCACTGAATAGTAGATAGAATATCCCGATATCTTTATGGTTGGCTGAGAACAGTCAACAGTTGGTGAACATAAGTGAAGTGAGAAAAAGGTAAAATGGCTGAGTAAGCATTAGACTGTAATCTGAAAACAGAGGTCAAGACCTCTTTTTACCAGCCCCGAGGTGATTTTCATGTTGAATTGCAAATTCAAACAAGCAGCTTCAATCTTGCTAGGGCTTCTCCCTCCTGTCTCCTCCAATAGCAGGAGAAGTAGATTGAAGCCAGTTGATTAGGGTGTTTAGCTGTTAATTAAATTTTCGTGGGTTTAAGTCCCGTCAATCTAGTAAGGGCTTAGCTTAATTAAAGTGATTCATTTGCATTCAATTGATACAGAGTAGAATTTTGCAGTCCTTAGGTTTTTGCAGAACTTCAGTATAATGTACTGGCTAAGAGCTTTGAAGGCTCTTGGTCTTACTTAACCTACATTTCTAGATTATAAATAGTGTCAGTGGAGATATTGGTAGGAGGAAAGTAGAGAAGATGATGAGTGGGGGGAGGAATGATACGGGTTTTGTGTTTTTGAACTGTCATTTTCTTTTTATATTATTGGATGTGGGGAATATTGTCACTGAAGTGGAGTAAATTAAGCATATATAAAAATATAGGTTGAGTAAAGTTATGATGGCTATGATGGTTGGGATAATAAGACTTATTTTTTGTAAACTCTTGGATAATAATTCATTTAGGTAGGAATCCTGCTAATGGGGGTAAACATCCTAGGGATAATAAAATTGATAGGATTATAGATATTAATCATGTTAATTTGTTTCAGGTGTGAGACAGTGATAAGGTTGTGGTGCTTGAACTCAGGTTGAGTACTTGGAATGCAGTAATTGTTGGGATGAAATAGATAATTAGGGTAAAAATGGTAATGTTTAGGTTATACATGAGTACTGCTATTATTCAGTCTATATGAGTGGTTGAGGAGTAGGCTAAAATTTTACATGGTTGTGCTTGGTTGAGTCCTCCTCAACTGCCCACTAAAATAGATAGATAGGAGAATATTCGTATTTATTGATGGGAAAATTTGATTGAATTGAATTGAAATAGGGGCTAGTTTTTGTCATGTGAGGAGAAGTATGCCAGATGTTAGAGAAGTTCCTTGGGTTACTTCTGGAACTCAGAAGTGAAAGGGGGTTATTCCTAATTTTATTACTAAGGCTATTATTATTATTAGGGATGAAAACTGATTTACAGTATTTATTGTTGTTCACTGTCCGGATAACAGATTATTGGAGAGAATACCGATTATGAGGACTCTAGATGCGGTTGCCTGTATAAGGAAATATTTAGTGGCTGCTTCTGTGGAGCAGGGATTTATTTTTTAATTAAGATTGGGATGAGGGCTAGTATATTTATTTCTAAGCCTGTTCAGAGGAAAAATGAGTGTGAGGCTAGCATTGTGATAAGGGTACCTGTAGAAATAGTAAAGTAGATGATAAGCTGAGCTAATAGGTTAATTAGTACAGGAAGGATGTAACCAACATTTTTGGGGTATGGGCCTGACAGCTTATTTAGCTGACCTTACTTTAGGACGTGGTGTGATAGGTAGCACGGAGAATTTTGGATTCTCAGGGATGGGTTCAATTCCTGTAGTTCTAGAAATATGAGGATTTTAACCTCTGTTGTTTACTCTGTCAAAGTAATTCTTTTGTCAGACATATTTCTTACGTTTGGGGTGGGATGCTGGAGATTATGATGGGTACTGAGATATATCATACACAGAATGCTAGTGTAAGTGGTAGAAAGTTTTTTCATAGAAGATGTGTAAGTTAATCATAGCGGAATTGGGGATAGGCTGTTCGAATTCATAAAAATAGGGAGGTTAAGAGGAGGGTCTTGGTAATGAAATACGTAGTATAGAATTCCGGTGAATACATAGAGTATAATTGTACCTAGGAAAATTGTAGTAGTTAGGGAATTTATTATTATAATATCCATGTATTCTGCTATAAAGAAGAGGGCAAATGGACCTGTGGCATATTCGATGTTGAAACCTGAGACTAACTCTGATTCTCCTTCTGTTAGGTCAAAAGGGGCTAGGTTAGTTTCTGCTAATATAGAAATAAATAATATTATGGCTAGGGGTCATGATGGTAAGAGTAGTCAGAGGGATTCTTGTGTTGTGATAAGTATATATAAATTGAATGAGCTGCTTATCAGTAGAACTGATAATAGGCTGATGGCTAGGGTAACTTCATATGAAATTAGGTGATGGTTTGTAACACGCCGATTAGTCATAGTTTGAATAGGTTGCTCATCCTGATCATAAAATAAAGTAGATGGCTATTTTGAGGGGTTGGCTAAGGCGTAATTATCTGGGTCGCTCAGGAGGTCAGGTGAAGATAGTGCTAGCATTATTAAAAGGAGGAGGAGAAAAATTAAACCTAGGATATCTTTGATTGTATAGGAAGAGTGAAAGATGATTTTATCGAAGTGCCCCCTCTCCACTTCATGCACTCACTGCATGCCGTCTGATGCTTCAGGGTATTAGCCACAGGGCCTTTCTCACTTTCTCTTTGGATCCCAGACCCCATGAATCCTCCCAGGAGATCCCATTCCCAGAGCCTCCCTCCCAGGCATCCCCCAACTCCTGGGCTCCCCACACTCCAAGATCCTTGCTCACAGACACCCATAATCCCAGGGCTGTCATTCACAAGGGATGAGGGGCCTCAGCCTCCATGCCCCCAAAATCGCAGTGTTCCCTTTGGGGCTGTCACCTGACCCCAGTGTCCTTTAGGCCCTGGTGGTCCTGCCTCTCCCAGCTGCCCCAAATCTACTGTATTCTCCCCACGCTCCCCACATGGGTGCTGCAGAACAAGTGAAGGGCACAGATGGTCTGGGGGTTCTTGAAGATCAGGGATGCAGCCTCTGCTTCCAAGACACCTTCAGCCACACCCTACTGCCCTCAGGGACAATGTGACAGACACAGAAAGTCCAGCCTATAAGGGGAGACCCTGGTCTCTTTCCCTTGGAGGTAAGAGAGGAAGGGCTTATTGAGAGTATGGTCCAGAGCAGATACTCCTGGCCACAGAGGAGCTCCAGCTCAAAGAGGTCACAGGAAAAGTGGGGTGCAGTGAGGGGGGTGAAAGGGGTTGGAAAGTAGGGCCCTGGAGCTGCCAGTCTCCTTGACACCTGGCTCACCCTGGATCCTTGGAGATCCTGAATGTCCTGGCTCCCCCTGCAAAGAGATTGAGGTCAAAAACCTATTTGCCCCCTCAAAAAATCCTGGTGTTCCCCACATCTCATTCTTTTATGTCTCCCCAGTCAAAATTGGCAGAAAACCAACTTTCATCCCTCAGTTGAAATACTTGTCCATTCACCCCCTTCCCAGTGACCATCTCTCCAGGGGGACTCAGGTTCCCAATGCCTCCTGGGGCGCTTTGTGGGCCCTGAAGGAGGAGCAGAAATAGGCGTCATTGCTTAGGGAGGTGGGCCCATTTCTGGGGCAGAGGCCAGGATAAGTGCTCCAAGGTCACTACAGGGAGACAGTGAAGCCCTCCTGGGGAAAGGGGCTTCTTTTGGCCCCTGAGACAAGACTAGAGTTTATGGCCTGGGGAAAGGGAGGCAGAGGACCAGACACATTAATCAGGAAGACCCTAGGGACAGAGGTGGGCTGAGTCAGGAGAATGGGGGCAGGGGCTGGGGTCCTCACTGGGGTGAGGAAGGAGCTGGCTCACCCAGGCTCCCTGGGAGCATGGAGAGAGAGGACACTCATGCCACACACACCCTGTCTCTGGGGGGCCCATGGAGGCCTTCGCCCCCGATGTTCCCTATGGGGGAAACAGAGTGGGAGGAGCTGCTCCTCAGTTGTCCCCAAGGTCAGGTGGTTGAGGGAGAGCTGGGGCTCAGTGGGCAGGGGTCAGGGGGAGCCCTGCAGAGACCACTGACCTTAGCTCCAGAGTTCCCAGTGGCACCTCGAGGACCCGGCTGACCCTGTGGACCCTAGAGAGGGGAGCGTTGTTGTCAGAAAAACCCAAACCCATTTGGACCTTGAGCCCCCTGTTTCTCTCCCTTGCACTTGCCATGAGGCCCCATTCTCCTCGAGGCCCTGACTTCCTTGACAGGCCCTGGTGGGAATGGAGTGGACATCCCCCGGGGCGTGCCTCCCCACAGAGCCCCCCCCACACCCCTCCAGCCTTTCCCTCCACACCTTCTCCCTGCCCCCAGCTTCCTCAGGCTCCGTTCTCCCCACTGACTCCAGGAAAGCCAGGAAATCCCAGGAGTCCCTGGTGAGGAAGGAGAAGCGGGGAAATTGAGAAGTTATGAGAGGTCAGGCTCGGGAAGGGGCAGAGGGGGCCAGCAGAGGCCATGCAGGCAGCAGCGTGGAGACCTGGATCCTGCCACAAATGAGGTGGCCTGGGACAAACCCCTGCTGCTCTCGGCCTCTCTGTTATCTGTAGACTGGGGGCCGCTAAACACTCTTGAGGGCCCCCCACTGCTCTGCTAGTCTGTGCTCCCTGGAATCGAAGTCAGGGAAGTGAAAAGGAGGAGGGGCACACACCCGGTGTCACCCTGAGTTCCTGGCATCCGGGGTAGCCAGGCAGACCAGGAACACCCAGCTTGCCCTGTGGAGGGACAGGGAGCAATTAGGAGTGAGAGGAGGCCCAGGTGCTACTTTCTGGAGACCCCGACCCTCACATGTGAGGGCCATGCCCCATCCCCCAGTGCACCCACACACCCCAGCTCCTAGCCCCTTCTCTCCTGCCCCATGGCTGCCTTTTGCAGTCTCTCCTTCCAGAGGGCGAATTTTCCCCAACTCTAGTGCTGGGATCCTGCTTTCCTGTGCCTGCAGCCCTGTCAAGTCCTCAGGGTCACTGTGATCCAGCTGCAGCCCACCTGCCGACCTCAGTACCATCTGTCCCAGCACCCACTCCTGCTCCATCCACCAAGACCAGTCACCCTGCAGGACCCCTGCCCTTTGCCCACGTGGCACAACACCCCAACTCCCCAACCTGTCCCCTTCCTCCTGATGCTCCAGGGCTCCTCCTGCCCGGGATGCGGTGGAGCAAGGGTTGAGAGCAGCAATTCTGCAGCCAGACTGCCCTGACTCAGCCCCTGGCCTGTGCATCACTGCCCATGTGATGACCAAGCCTTTCTGTGCCTCTGGAGAGTCTCATCTGCAAAACAGGACCATCCACGCCCACCTCACAGGATGGAGAGGACACCTTAGCACAGTGCCTGCACATGGCGAGGGCTGGGGGGAGTCAGCCCTGGAGACCACAGGTCTCACTGCTGTTGGACACTCCCTTTTCGAAGCTGCCACTGCTCTGAGTCTGGGCATGTTCACTTTGCCTGGGACCTGCAGCCACTCTGTGCCTCATCTCCAATCAACTCTTCACAACAGCGGCTTTTCCTTGACTTTTCCTATAGGCTCCTCAACCCATCAGCAGCCAGAAGGTGCCGTTTATAGAGAGAGGAGCATAATTAATGCATGGCCATCTTCAATTAACTGGCTGATGTTAGCTGCGGGCACCCCCCATGCCCGCCCTGACCTAGTGCCCACATCCCTAGAGGGTCCAGGCACAGACCTCTCTTCCTGTCGTCATCTTGCCTGCGAGCCCTGGGAAGCCCAGGATCTCTAGTCAGTGCATTGTGTTCCTTTTGCTCCTTGGGACCATCCTCTCCTCTGGAACCAGGGCTCCAGCCTCACCGTGAGTGAGAGAGTGGGAGAGGTGAGTTTGGAGGCCTGGGGATGAGGTCTGGGCCCAGAGGGGAAAGGGGCACCAGTGAGGCCGAGTGGGGCTGGCGGATCCCAGGAGCTGTTGCAGGAGAGGGAGCCTGTGGGGTATAGAGAGTGTGGTGATCCAGGGCCAGCGCGATGCAGATCGTGGGTTTGCCGTCCTGCAGGGACCAGGCCCCCAAGGATGCACAGCACTGGAATTGAGGAGCCCGGGACCTCCGGGGAATGAACCGGTGCTTGGGGACTCCAGAGTGGAGAATCATTAGGACATGGAGTTGGGGCCAGTGTGGGGTCTTTACTCAGCCTGACACCTTTCACATCTATGTCACCTTTGAACCTCAGAAAGCCATCCCCTGAGAAAGGTGGAGGTGAGATGACCCCACAGATGACAGAGGGCCGGGGGCTCTAATGGAGGATTCTGAGAACATGGGTGGAAGGGTGGGATCAGGAGCTGGAGGGCAGCCAGGGGCAGGCTGAGGAGCGGCGATGGCAGGAGTGAGGTGCTGGGAAATTCTGCTCACCTTTTCATCTTATGGCCCTTCAGACCCCGATTTCCATCTGCACCCTGAAATTAGAGGATGACAGAGTGGCCAGGGGATGGAGGTGGGTTGGAAGGAGCGAGCCCCTGAGACCCCATCTCGCTCCCTTCAACACAGTCCTTTATCCCCAGCCTGGAGGTCAGTTACCTTGACACCTGGAGGTCCTGGGTATCCTAGAGGGCCCTGAGGTCCAAATGGACCCTGGAAGAAAAAGGCATTTGTTAAGGGTCCCAGGGTGTCACTGAGGGGGGCTTGGGGTGGGAGAAATAAACATCACAGTGCTAGAGTCTGGGTAGGGCTCCAGGGCACAGGAGTTTCACACCACGTGGACCGTCACTTACTCCTCCAGCATTTACTGAGCGCCTCCTGTGTGCTGGTGGGTCCTCAGCGCTGAGGCTGACCCATGGTCTGCAGTGACCGTGCTGTGCCCAGCAGGGATGGCTCCTCCCTGGCCTCCCACTGCCTGGGTGCTGGGGCTCCCCAAGCGTGCACCGTCCTGGGATCCCCCTCCCAGCCCAGTTATGCACCATACTGGGGGTGGAGGTGGCAGCAGTGCAGATGAGATCAGGGTCCCTGTGCTCTGCCCAAGGTTAGTGGGAGGGACTAGGGTGGCCATAGTTGCTAATCAGGGATTCTGAGGGGAGAGCCTGGGCAGTGTCAGATGGTGACAGCCTGGGACAGCTTCTTGTGTGCAGGGTGACAGCAGCCCCTGGGGAATGCTGGGTGGGGAAGGGTGGGGGCTGGTTCATCCTCTGTCCCAGCCTGGGGCGGGGGGACTGCAGCCTCTGTCTGTCCCCTGGTGCTGACCCCCCCAGAGAGTCCCTCTGCATCTGCAGCCCCTGTAACTCATCCCCAGTAGGGGCCCGGCTGGCCTAGGCTCTGTCTCCTGGCTCCTGAGCCTCTGGTGTAGCTGTTGCCAGGGATGCCATGTCTGTCCTTGGGGCCAACAGAACCAGGCCCAGAAGTGTCCCCACCCCACATCCCCCCAGAGCGGGTGTGCCCCTGCACAGCCCAGCCCAGCCTGTCAAGAATGGGTCCCAGCGAACAGGGGCCTCTCACCCTCATCTGCCCAGCCTTGGGGAGCCTGGGCTGGGATGGGTGTTGGGGTCCTTAGGCCTGTGGGCAGCAGACACCAGGTCCCCAGTGACCAGACTGTGGCCAGGTTGGCTGAGTGCTCACTGCAGCCTGGGCCAAGAGTGGCCCTGTCCCACTGCCATACTCACCAGACCCTGTGAGGCCGGTGGGGGGAACCTGGACAGTGCGCCTTGTCCAAGGTCCCAGGAAGGGGAGGCGGTTGATGTCCTTGAAGGAGCATAGAACATCCTCACTCTGGCCACCAGGACGGGAGCAGGGAAGCCCCCGTGTCCACAGTGCACGGCCGGGCACATGGTACTCCCTGCCCTTCCACCTGCCCCGTCATCCAGGCTTGGCCAGGGGCCTGCCCAGTGCTACTCCCCTCCCTCAAGTCCCCGACACCTGCACTGTCCTCACTGACCTGTGAGCCTGTGCCCATTCTCCACTGTGTCCCCCAGTCATGGCCATGAGAGGGACATCTGAACCACGGCAACCATTGGTGAATTTTTGTCAGCCGGGCAGCAGCTGTACCCCCAGGCCAGCTCCCAGTCGCCCACGCTGCACTTGGGGTGCTCCCGATGGGTGTCCAGCCCTGCCTGGGCCAACTCCATGCAGTGGGGTTTTCCAATTCCCTGGCCGTCTGTGGCCACAGCAGAGGGCACCTGAGACTTTAAACTGGGGACTCACCTTGGGGATCCCCTCTGTCTCTTCCCAGGTTCTAGGCACAATGCTGTCCCTCCTGCCTCCTCCTGGCTTCTGGGCCTTGGCACCCACGTCCCCCGACCCTATGCTCCCTGCTGGACCCATCGCCACCCATTCTGCCACCCCAGCGCTGCCACCTTCAGCCCACACACGTTCCTCTGACTCTGAACGCCCGAGTCCAGGGCTGGAACAGTTTCAAACATCACACCCACATCCCAGATATTAGAAAGACAAGGGAAAAGAGAAGGGGCAAACAGCTAAAATCTAGGTCACCTGAGTCTGTCCGGTTTTTCCAGAAGTCTTGTATGTTGGTATCATTCCATTGGCCACAAGGTCTCATGACTAGCTCTAGCCAGAAGGAAACTGAGAAGGCAAATCTTTAGGCTTTACAGCTTCTCCAGCAGGAGTAAAAAGAGGTTATAAATTGATTTTGTGTTGCTAATACACCGTGATGATTACCCAGATGATTTTATCTAAATAATTTTCTAACTGGACAGTATTAATATTAGTAGGTATCGTGATGAATCATGCTGTATCCCCAGGCACTCTGCCAGGTTATTTACATTCATCACTTCATGAAACTTCACTCTGACTGTATTTTGTAGACATTGGTATTATTCCCTTTATGGATCAGGAAAGTGATGGTAATTAACTTGCCTAAGGACACAGAGTTGGTAGATATCAGAGAAGGGATTAAGAACCCAGAACTATTTTACTCGAAAGTTTCTGCTACACATCCACTGCTTCTTCCAGTGTAAAGATGTAGCACTCAACTGTAATGGACATATTAACTGTGATTCATTAATGATGATTAATTAACTCTCCTGTATCCAAACAATGCCAGTTACAGTCAGAAACTCCTATAATCAGATAATAAATCAAATTTACCTACATATCCAGAATGTTTTTTTACATGATAAAATCTGACTTTAAGAAAAAATAAATTTCACCTAATGTGGAATAAAGTAGTGTAGCATTTTAAAAAATGTACCAAAGGCAATCAAATGAAACTGGTGTTATGAGCCATATTTTTGTTGGCAACTGTTATCACCCAAACACACATATTCAGAATAATTTCATCTTATTCAAAGATTCAAGATTCAAAAATATTTGTTAAAACTCATCTGAAAAACTCATCTGCAGCATGAACGTTTTCCTATTTTCCTGTAGTATCCCCACATCTAATTATTTTAAATAGCAATCTCAGTAAAATTATAAAATTAATAAAATTATTTTCTCCTACCATGCTGCAGATTCTTCCATGTTTGCACTGTAAAATCAACTAATCGAAAATTTGAAACACAGGGTTGCCTGTTACTTTTTCTGGGTCTATGAAAATATAAATTGTCATCTTTTCTTGCTGTTATTTTGCTATTCAGTGGGTACACAAATGCACATGACAAAATGAGGATCGCCTTATCTGTAAGACTGAAAATAAGACTTGTGTTTCTCCCAAGTTGTGCTTGCATTTCTCACTGGCTATCAGGTGTCCCATCCCAGCCCCTGCTGTCCGCAGGGACCCCTCTGGGCAGCTGAGTCTTGCTCATTCCAGGACCTGGCAGCTACCCTGGAAAAAAACCATTGGCAAAGCTGTGCAGGCCCTCTTTGGAGACGGGAGGGCTTTCCTGGTGCCCTGCTGGGCCGGCAGCTTCCTCACAAACACCGCACACTGCTGGGGGCAAGCTGCTGGCTTCTCCTGCCTCACACAGGGTCGCTTAGGCCTGGTCCTACCAGGTCATCATCCTTCTGGGCAGCCATCTCCAGAGTGCCTTGCCCAGCCCATGTGGCCCCCATCGCCATAGCCCCAGGTGCCACCATTGTCCTGGGTGGTCAGCTCAGTGCCACCCTCACTGGCAGCCCAACCTCATGTCCCACAGCCCAGATTTCCTGGCATTAAGCTCAGTCTCTTGCTGCTACAGGGAGCAAGAACTGTGCCAGGAAGCTGGGGGGTGAACCAGGTGGAGGAAGAGGACCCTGCATCAGAGGAGAGGTAAGGTCTGGGCATCCAGGGCCAGACTGGTCTCTGCCAGCTCCAAGGCTGACAGCATCCTGAGGGGACAGCGGGCCCCAGATGGACGGAGAAGGGGCCGCTGCAGTGATAAACCCCGGACAAACACAGGAGTGATACAATTGTAAGAATCACGAGGCCGGGCATTGTGGCTCACACCTGTAATCAGCGCTTTGGGAGGTCCAGAGAGGCAGATTGCCTGAGCTCAGTAGTGGAAACCAGCCTGTGTAAGATGGTGAAACCCCGCCTCTACTAAAATACAAAAAATCAGCTGGGCGTGGCGGCCGGCGCCTGTAATCCCAGCTACTCAGGAGGCTGAGGCACGATAAGTGCTTGAACCCAGGAGGCGGGGATTGTAGTGAGCCAAGATCGCGCCATTGCACTCCAGTCTGGACAACAAAGCGAAGCTGTGTCCAAAAAAAAGAGAAAAAGTCACGGATGATGGGGCAGCGCACATTAAAAAGGGGGATCCTGTGGCCAGAGAGCTGCTCTGGGTCCCGAGTGTGGGTAGCAGAGGGAGGCACGGCTCTCCTGCCAGGGCCGCACACTCTGCAGTGGCGCAGAGCGCCCGGGGTGCTCTGAGCGCAGGGCCCCCAGACATCGCGGGGCATCCTGCACAGCAGGGGTGCGGCCCTGACCCGAAAGCGGGGCAGGGGTGCGGAGGACAGGATCTCCGATGTCCCTGCTCCGCGGGCGCCCGCAGTGCTGAGCCGAAGCTCGGCGGGGCTGAGCTCCAGCTGGGGGCGGGTAGCTGACAGCCTCTAGGCCCGGGCTCCCTCCAGAGGCAGCGTTGCACCCTGACCCTAACTTCCGCCTGCGGCGTTCAGATGCGGAAAGCAGGGAGCCTGAACCCAAAGCTGCGATCAGAGAATCGTGTGTGTGAAGGGTTTCTTGTGTCCTCCGTGTTCCCCTGTGGAAGCGAGTGGAGGTGCCTCGAGCCTGCACACAAGATACTCTCAGGAGACCCTGAGCTCCCATTGCGCCTGTGAAAGGAAAATATTTTGGGCCCCCCAAAATCATTAAATTAAACTTAAGCTGGGAGCTGCTTAGGGCAACCCTGCCTCCCATTTTATTTAAAGTCTCTCCCCTGCTCACTGAGATAGATGCGTATTTGATTTGCCTCCTTTGGAAAGGTGTTTGTGCTGGGCAGCACCAAGGCGCGGTGCAGGGAATGGTTCAGGATTCCGAGCAGATGCGGGCCAGGCCGGCTTCCAGGAGCGGCCAGCGCAGGTGCTGCTGCGTGGTCAGCGGCGCCAGGGGCACTCGGGGCGTGGGCACCTCCAGGTCATGCTTGCGTTTCTCCAGGGCGATCTCAGGCTTCCACAGGGTCTCCAGGGGACACCGCTGAGAGCGGACTGTCAGAGCGTCCAGAAGGCTCGTCTTACCGCAGCCCTTTTGATGTCTTGGTTCCCGTGGATCCCGTTGCTCAGGCGGCGCAGGGGCTCCCTGTACTTGGGCAGCGGCTTTAGCTTGTCCAGGCACTGCTGCTGCTCGGCCTGGCTGGAGCCCGCTGGGCTCATGAGTGAGCCGCGTTTCATTGCATTGGTGGCTGCTGTATTGGCACTGGGCCTGCAAAGCCTGTTGCTGCTGCTCCTGTAGCTGCAGCTGTGCCCTGTGCTGCTGCGTCTGTTGCTGGTTTTGATGATTCAATATAACTGGAAATTTTATTGGTCTTTTGTATTTTTTTTAGTCTCCATTTCTGTTTTGATTTTGTTTTGTTTTGTTTTGAGACGGATTCTTGCTTTGTCACCCAGACTGGAGTGCAATGGCACGATCTCAGCCCACTGTAACCTCTGCCTCCCCCGGTTCAAGCGATTCTCCTGCCTCAGCCTCCCAAGTAGCTGGGATTACAGGCACCAGCCACCATGCCTGGCTAATTTTTGTATTTATAGTAGAGACTCGGTTTTGCCATGTTGGCTAGGCTGGTCTCAAACTCTTGACCTCCCAAAGTGCTGGGATTACAGGCGTGAGCCACCACCCTGGCTTCTGCTCTGATCTTTGTTATTTCTTTTCTTCTACTAATTTTGGGTTTGCTTTGCTCTTACTTTGCTATTTCTTTAAGATGCAACATTAGGTTGTTTATTGGAAGTTTTTCTACTTTTTATGTAGGTGTTTATTGCTATAAACTTCCCACTTAGTACTGCTTTTGTTGTATCCCATAGATTTGGTTACATTGTGTTTCCATTTTCATTTGTCTCAAGAAATTTTTTAAACATTTTCTTCTTAACTTCTTCATTGACTCAATGGTCATTCAGAAGCATGTAGTTTAATTTCCATGTGTTTGTATGGTTTTCAAAGTTTCTTTAGTTATTTATTTCTAGTTTTATTCCATATTATTAAATATGTGTTAATATTTAATAAAGCATTAAATAAAACATATTTAATATGTTTTATTAAATATTAAAATATATTTAATGTAATTTCATGTTTTCAAAAAATTTTTTTGAAACGTGTTTGGTGGTCTACCATATGGTCAATCTTTGGGTCTGTTTTATGTGCTGGGGAGAAGGATGTGTATTCTGAAGCTGATGGATGAAATATTCTGTAAATATGTATTAGGTCCATTGAGTCTACAGTACAGATTGTCTGATGATTCTTTGTTAACTTTCTGTTTAGATGATCTGTTCAGTGCTGAAAGTGGGGTGTTAAAGTCCCAGCTATTATTTTATTGGTGTTTGTCTCTCTAACTCTAATAATATTTGCTTTATATATCTGAGTGCTCCAATGCTGGGTACATATATATTTATAATAGTTATATTCTCTTGAAGAATTGATGATTATATAATAAACTTTATTGTCTCTTTTTACAGTTTTTGTCTTGAAATCTATTTTATCTCATATAAGTGTAGCTACTCCTGCTCTTTTTCGGTTTTCACTTCATGGAACGTCTTTTTCAACCCCTTCATTTTCAATCTATATGTGTCTTTATAGGTGAAGTGGATTTCTTGTAGGAAGCCGATAGTTGGCTCTTGTCTTTTAATTGATTGAGCTACTCTGTGTTTTTTGATTGGAGCATTTAGTCCATTTACCTTCAGTGTTATTATTGATAGGTAAGGGCATAGTATTGCAATTTTGCTACTTGTTTTCTAGTTGATTGTTTGGTCCTCTCTTCCTTTCTTTCGTGCTTCCTGTGTTCCTTTGTATAAAAAGTGAGTTGCTCTGGTAGTATGTTTTAACTGCTTGCTTTCTATTTTGTGCATACCTATCATAGGATTTTGGTTTTTGGTTACCATGAAGCTTGTAAAGAACATCTTATAACCAGTTATTTTAATCTAATGACAACTTCTTTTTACTTTCTTCTTCTGCAGAGCTTGAAGGTCAGAGGTGAGAGCTTAGGGTCTTCCTGGGTCATTCCTGATCACGTGCCTGGCCCCGAGCATCCACATTGCCTTCTAGATTCCCAAAACTATTGTCACAGCCCTAAATTCCAAAGGGTGTCCTTTCCAAGTCTTCCTTCCTAGGGTTTTTCAGCAAGACTATTTTTGCCCCAACTGATATCCTTTTCTCAGATGAGTGGGGTCAGCCATTTCCGTTTAAATGTTTTTAACAGGCATTTAATTATTGATTTGAGATTTTTCTGCTTTTTCATTGATGGAATTCTGCTATAAGCTTCCTTCAGAGCATGGTTTTCAATTAATCCTGTAAGTTTTTTTAGGTTTTGTCTACTTTTTCATTTATCTTAAAATACTGTCTTATACTACTTGTGGTTTCTTTTTTGGCCTTTTATTATTTTGGAAAATTTTTGCTAATGTTCACATTTTTAGGAGTTTCCCAGATTTCTTCTTTTCATTGATCCCTAATTTGCTTTTATTATGATGAGAAAATATTCTTTGTATTATTTTAATCCTTCAATTTAATTGATGTTTGTTTTATGGCTTTGCATAGTGTCTTAGAAAATGTTCTGTGTGCATTTGGGAAGAATACAGATTCTGCTGTTGAATGGCGTGTTCCATATGTATCTGTTAGGTGTATTTGGTTTCTAATGTTGTTCATATTTTCTATTTCCTTGTTATCTTGTGTCTAGTTGTTATACCCATTAGTGTAAGTGGGGTATTAAAGTCTCCAACTATCATTGCTGAATTATTTCATTTCTGTCAAGTTTTGCTTCTTGTGTTTCTGTACTCTTTCCCTGAGTGCATACATGTCAATAAGTTTTACATTTTCCCGATTAATTTACCCTTTGTCGTTATAAAATATCCTTATTTCTGTTAATATTTTTGTTGTTGTTTTAAAGTAAGTTTGTCTAATGTTAGACAGTTCCTTTTGTCCCTCTAAGAAACAGTCTATTCAGAAGGTGCCGTGATTGTCCCTGGCAGGGAGGGTTGGTGCCCTGGACTTGGTGGAGAGAGCAGCAATGCTGTGTCCACAGGGCTGAGTGCAGCTGCCTAACAGCAGGGACTCACAGTAACAGTGGCCAGGACACCTTGGGCACATTGGCCACAATGATGCCAGTGAGGAATATAACAGAGTCCAGGATGTGATACTGCAGGGACACTGCCATGATGAAGAAAAAGGTGCTGGTGGAGATGGCCATTCCCGCCACAAACCAACACAGTGCCCCCTCTCAGCGGCAATGGCATCTTCTCATTTCCAACTCCTGAGATCAAGGAGGCAATATGACCAGTGGTGTGCGGTCACCGTGCCAATCACTATGCCGTGGCGATGCCTACCAGGGAAGTAGACATTTTATTCCAGGGATGTTAGCTATGAGGGGCACACAGCCAGCTTGTAGCCTTCCCTCAGCGCTTGCATGATCCATGAGCGTGTAATGTTACGAAGACCAAACATGTGTCATCTAGGCCCTTCAGTTTCATGCTTCCTCTAGGACAAGCTTTGTAACAAGGTGTCACAAAGAACAGACATGAGGCCCCAGAAGGGAGAAGGGGTGTGCGTGGGCATGCAGCCCGAGAGCTAGCAGCCTCACCTCCCAGACAGGTTGGAGAAGAGAAACAGATGTTCTTGTTCCCAAGAGGGTCTCGTGTGCAACTCAGAGGAGCGGGCCTAGGGCTCAGACTCCCCCATGACGGGCGAGTTACCCACCTAGAAGAAATGTGGAAAACAGATCAAAATTAGGCACCTTGTTCCTTGCCTCTTACACTGAGGTAGGGAAAGGTGGAACACCAGCTGCTCTAAGCACAGTCCCCAGGGCTGGTGCCCCTGCCACTTGCCCGACACCCCGTAGAAGGCAGCACCTTGATATCTGCAGAGATCTGGTCTCCTCTTTAGCCTCCACAATGTCCACACCCCAGCTGCTCTGCAGCGATGATCTCCTCAGAATCTGAGATGACAAGAGCTTGCTGCAGAAGAAAGCTGTGACAGGTGCCTCATATCCTAGAAGGACCCCAGCCCTCCTCTCCAATCTGTGCTGCAGCAAACCCCAGCATGGAGGCCTTGGAACCTGAAGCTGTCACATTGGCAAGAATACAACTGAAGATAGTTTGACCTAGGAGCTGAAGACTCTAAGAACTATTCTTTCTTAAGCTCAAAGAGATGTTCTTGGAACCAGAAAAGGCTGCTGTCAGGCAGATCTAACAAAGCAAGAGCCCTGGGCTCATAGAAAGGGAAACAAGGGTGAGCTATACTGGCTGGGCATCTGGGAAGAACACTGAAGGTGTTAATAATCTCGTGAGGGTCAGGGAAATTCTAACAAGGTGATCTCCTGCTTTGAGCTCGGCAGGAGGCATCCTTTGCACCTAGAACCTTCACTCCAGCCAGCAGTTCCCTGAGCCAGGGCCAGCATGGCTTTCCTGCTTCGGACACCTGTCAGGGTTCCTGGGGAGAGGGGAGTGCTAGTTCCCCTGGCTGAGTGCATTTTGGGACTCAGACTGTCTCAGAACAGTCACAGATCAACAATCCCAGGTGGGTCTCCTCTGCTGTTGGTTAAGAAACTCCCTGACCTTCTATAGGCTCTTCCCAGAAACCCCCAGATAACTGTCCACAAATGCTGAGAGCAGGCATAGATGTTGGACAGTGATTCACATTTTCCTGGATGGGAACATGCTTGATCATCAAAATCCTGTGAGGAACAGGGTTCAGAGAGATGTAACTTGCCCAAGCTTTCTCAGACAGGGAAGGGCAGGCTGGAGCTTGAGCAGGGACTCTCGGCTCCTGGGGCCCCAAGCTCCTACTCTCCTGAGGCTTCCTCACCTGGGAGTCACCAGAGACCAGAGGAGCGGTGGCTGGCACCCACCTGAGGATCATCTTGAAAAGATGGACACGATGTCAGTGCTTTTTATCTCTTGCTAACAGGTAAAGATCCCTATCAAAATGACAACTAGGACAAGTACAGAGCCAAGTATACCTGGGTGAGGAGCAGGGGCATCAGCCAGAGAAACAGGCAGCAGCAAGGACCCAAGGCTGGAGGCTGGAGCTCTCTATAGGAGGATGTGATGCTGGCAGCTGTGTCCTGGTGTGATTTACAGGCCACAGCATTCACCTATGTTAAGTGCACCATTTGTTGACTTTTTTGTAAGTTTGCAGAGTTGTCACCATCCTGCACTCCAGCCTCAGCATCTCCATGCTGCCAGCAGATGCCCCCTGCCCTTCTGCAGTACCCTCTGCTCCATCCCCAGCCCCGGCACCACTGATCTGCTTCCTGCCCTGTGGATGTGCCTGTTCTGCACATTTCACATCAATTTAACCCTGCGACACCTTGCTGCCTCTGGTTTCTGTCTGTCAGCGTCATGTGGCGGACTCAATTTTGTGATTTGATTTCCCAGGTCTCATCAGGCACACATGCTCTCCATGTTAAAGGGAAAGGCTAGCTTGGAGGAAACAGAGCCCAAAGATACTACACATGGATGCAGATTTTCTTCCTCTTAAAAATGCAAGGTGCTTCATGTCTGTCTCTCTCTTTTGTAAAATTCATGCACAGACTGCCTGTGAGACATTGGAAACGCAGGTACCATTTCTGTTTTACAGCGGAGGAAATGACTGTTTTTCCCACACCCATGCAGTGACAGCCTCTGTTCTCCCTGTTACTGCCTGAGCAAAACCAGGAGGGGACACTCAGGAGCCTTATATTGTCCAGGGACTGTTGGGAGTGCTGATTCCCACATGCGATCCAGCACAGGAAGGCACCTGTCCATAGGAGGAGGGAGAACCTTCCACCATCTGCTTGAGGAACCTGACAATCTCTGGTGTCTGCTTGGGAGGCATGAGGACATTGGGCTCGTGGTGGGCCAGCAGCTTGGCTGCTCTGGTGCTGGAGAGGCCCTGAGAAGGCCAAGCAAAACACACGCACAAAGAGAAATAGGAAGCAGACATTTCTTCTCCTTCGGGGGTTGGGCTGCATATTTTTGCAGCTTAGGGTTAGGCATCCATGTGCCCAAAGAAGGTCCTGGGAAAAGGGGGCCATGCCTCATCCCTCCAGCTGCCCACCCTTTTTGAAAGAATATGTAATGCTTAATACCAGTCAGGCAATATGCTGTGTATACTTCCTTACTTATTCTTCAAAATAACCCTCCAAGGAAGGGACCATTTGAGGTTATCAGAACTCTCCATTTAGAAAATCATTCTTTACATCCTCTCCAGCACCTATTGTTTCCTGACTTTTTAATGATCGCCATTCTAACTGCTGTGTGATGGTATCTCATTGTGGTTTTGATTTGCATTTCTCTGATGACCAGTGATGATGAGCATTTTTTCATGTGTCTTTTGGCTGCATAAATGTCTTCTTTTGAGAAGTGTCTGTTCATATCCTTTGCCCACTTTTTGATGGGGTTGTTTGTTTTTTTCTTGTAAATTTGTTTGAGTTCATTGTAGATTCTGGATATTAGCCCTTTGTCAGATGAGTAGATTGCAAAAATGTTCTCCCATTCTGTAGGCTGCCTGTTCACTCTTATGGTAGTTTCTTTTGCTGTGCAGAAGCTCTTTAGTTTAATTAGATCCCATTTGTCAATTTTGGCTTTTGTTGCCAAGGGAATTGAACAATGAGAACACTTGGACACAGGAAGGGGAACATCACACACCGGGGCCTGTTGTGGGATGGGGGGAGTTGGGAGGGATAGCATTAGGAGATATACCTAATGTTAAATGACGAGTTAATGGGTGCAGCACACCCACATGGCACATGTATACATAGGTAACAAATCTGCACGTTGTGTACATGTATCTAAAACTTCTACCCTAAAACTTAAAGTATAATAAAAAAAAGAAAATCACTCTTTATATATTTTCAAACAACACATTGGTAAACATGTAATGCTGCTTTTTTCAGCATCTCCGAGTGAATAGCCAGTCTTTCATATACACATTGACAGAGAAATCTCTCAATGAACTCAGAAATTCAGAAATTAGTAAGTATGAAAACTTAGTTGCATAGAGAAAAACAGTAGATAACATAGATAGCTGATAAGAGAAGATTTCATACAGTTACTGTGAGATATTCTTAGAGATTGACTTTTAAAATTTGAATTTATGGTAAGGCATTTTAAACTTTAATCTGGAACAAATTTAAAATTTCTGAATAGAGAAATTTCTGATGACTCAGGAATAGTAAAAATGGGTGGGGATAATGTTTCAAATCAAGGAAGGAACCTCATTTTATTCTGAACATACTAGTTTTGACTGTTTTCACCCTGAAATTTTCACTACTAAATATATTTGAAAGCAAGTCTTTTTTCCTTAACATTTGTTTCATACACAGAGAATAACACTGTGGGTCTGGGATTCAGATTTTGAAATGAAGCGTGGACTCTGAGTGGCCCCTTGTCCTTGTGAAAGTGCACTGGTCTAGAGAGCGGCAGTTGGACCCCAGAGTGTGGCACGTGTTCCTGTGTTCATTTGAATATTCTGTGATGACCTGTCACGGAGGTCATGTGATGATGTATATCCTGCCCTCCATCCCAACTGCCACTGGGTTTCAACTGCCACCTGGGAGACTGCTGGTAAAGATGGGAGGTGGCCTTTGCCGCTTTCCATCTTCTCACTGCAGTTTCTTCACGTGGGCCACTTGTACTTAAAATGTCTTCTTAATTTATTCTTTTTACTTCCCCAGCTCCAATTTGTCTACAGATTTACAAATTTGTTTTATAGTTTTATGACTCAATTTGTATTTTCGGTCCTATGAAGCTTTTTGCCTTAAATATTTTTCTCTGTTTATAAGAATGTGCTGTTTCCTAGGCCAGTTTTGTACACACTCTTCCATAGAATAGATCCAGAAGAAACACAACAATACTGCCTTCATCATATCAGGAGATCTTGATACCAAATACGGTAAGAGACATTCCATGAAAGGGGGATTACAGGCCAAAGTCTTCTGAATAGAGATGTGAAAATCTTAAATCAGATATCGGAACATCTTAAATCCAGAGTTTTTTAAGAAAATAAACAGATTTTCTGATGGGAAACATAATAGCCTAGTTAAGAGGTTTCGAGGGATTGTTTTAAATTAAAGACATTTTTAAAAGATAAATACAATCAGGTGGATATAAAAAGTTACAAAATAGAAAAAATCATTAGAGGTTATAAAAGGTTTATGAAAATCTTACTTTGTAGTCAAAATTGACTAGGGTAAGTGATTTATTTACAAGGTCTTATTAAAATTAGCTACAATATTAAAAATACACTAATACCAAACTAAAATTTTGATTTAAAAAATAAGCTTTTCTTAAGATATTAATTTGTTCTCAATGAAATTACAAGAGGTAATAATTTTTCATTCTGAAATCTATTATTTTTTAAACTTCTCAGATTTATACCTCAGAAGTTCGACTTTTACTGTGTCTCTTTACACGTAATTTACAGGTCCCATATTATTGCCTTTTGTTTCTTTTCTCCTGGAAAAGGTGCATCTTTTCCAGGCTGGGATGATAACTCTCTCCTTCAAATTTTCATCAGCCCCTTTAACTCCACCCCGCCGCCTCCCCCACCGCAGGTTCTAATTCTGCTGCTGTAATACTAAAATGCTTATTTTTAAAGGTCTAAAATACTAATGTTTGTCTCAGAGGCAGCACGATTTTGTGCTCTTGGCTTTTTGATGTCTTAATTGTTTCAGGTGACCAGGAAACCTCCCATGTTGTTCGTTAGAGCCAGGTACCCCCCTGCTCAAGTTACTAGCTCTTCTGCTTACATTTCTTCTATAGTAGAATATTCACTCATGACTGAACACACGCCGTGTCTTGTTAAATTCGAGTGCCCTTCTGATCAGGTGTGACTTTGAAGTTATTCAATAAACTTCATTTAGACACTGCCCACTCTCAGGCAGGCCTTAGTTCAGCCTGCTCAGATCAGTAGTCAGAAGACAGTGGGGGTCACAGATTTAATTCCCTAAATCACTTAAGCACCAGCCTTGATGGCCACATTTCAGTTAACTTCCACACTCGGAAGAGAGAACTGAGGCACAGAAGGGTCTATAGAACTTCTCAGGTTCATGTAGCTTCCCAATAAGGACTTGAGCCAGACCTTTGTGCACCAGGCCGCGTGCTCTTGGTCACTCCCATCTGCCACCTTTCTACCTCGTCTCATCTCAGTACAGGGATTTGCCTACACAGTCGGTCTGCACGGTTTTAAGTGCAACCTACAGTGCAAGTTCTTCCTAACGCCCAACTCAGATTCAGGAGGCTTATTTCTGCAGATGGTGAACAGGGGACAATGGTTCAAACACTGAACTTAGTGGTCCCCAGCCTTTTTGACACTAGGGACTGTTTTCATGGAAGATAATTTTTCAGTGGACCGGGATGGGGTGGAAGGATGCTTTCAGGATGAACCTAGCACATTTATTGTGCACTTTATTTCTATTATTATTACATTGTAATATATGATGAAATAATTATACAACTCTCCTAGGAGGGCAAACCCTACTGCGAGCTGCACAGGCCAGGGATCCAGGCCACGTGCACTTTATGCGAATCTAATGCCATGGCTAATCTGACAGGAGGTGGAGCTCAGACGGTGATGCGAGTGATGAGAGCGGCTGTGAATACAGATGAAGCTTTGCTCCCAGCCGCTGCTCAAGCCTGGTTCCTAACAGGCCACACACCATCGGTGGCCCAGGGTTTGGGAACCCCTGACTTAACCCGTTTCCCATTTAGAAAGTAAAAGTGCAGCTCGCTGGGAGCACAGTGTTCTCGGGGAACACAGGAAATGGGTTAAACTGTGAATAAACGGTGCCTCCTTTCTCTGTGGTCTTCTGCAGCAAGATATCAACAGTTGTCTTTATTTAATCCATTTCCCAGAGTGTTGCCTCCAAGATGCAAGATCCTGAGGGCTCCAAAGAATCCACTGTCCGTCACAAATCGACGGTCCGCCAGCTCAGTTTCAGAGACGTGGTGCTCCGCTGCAGGCCTCATCCTCAGGTGCACCCTGGCAGTCAGCCATCTGAAGGTACTATGGAAATTCAGTTACTCACTCTTGGGAGCAGAAGGATTCCAGACCATTCCTGTGTGCACCCTGGCAGGGAGCCATCTGAAGGTACTGTAGAAATTCAGTTACTCACCCTTGCAAGCATAAGGATTCCAGATTCTTCAGGGTCCCAAACTTCAGATAACTCTAAAATTGCTACACTATATTCTTCTTTATTTCATGTGTGCCAATTTAAATGTACAAGTCAATCACTAGTGCTACAAATGCAGAAGTAAAGATGTATTTCCACTTCAAGTTTGGTTCACTTTTAAGAGTAAAGAACACGTCAATGCAAGGTTTAGATATTAATGCAAGGTTTAGATATAATGTCTAGCTGATTGTTAGACATTAGCTAAAATGGAACTCTTCCTGAGATAGCGTTGCCACATTTTCAAACAAATGGACATCATGTGAAACTTGTAAATTAACTTAAAAATTGCAGTAGTACAGAAAGTTCCCATATACCCTCCCCCCTCAGTATCTTTTTTGTGACCACATCTTACATGAATGTGGTGCATTTGTTATAGTGGTTGAAGCAATAGCGATATCTTCTTCTTAATGAAAGTCTAGAGTTTGCACTAAGGCTCACCCTGTGTTGTTCAGCCTATGGATTTTGACAAACTCGTAATGTCATCCATCACCCAGACAGAAGAGTTTCACACCCAAAACATGACCAATGCTGAACCTATTAATCCCTTTCTTCTTTTCCTAGGACCCCTGACTACTATAGATCATTTATTTTATTGCCTCTATGGATTTTCTTTCCCAAAATTCTATAGAATTGGAATCATAAAGTATGCAGCCACTTAGGACTAACTGATTTCGCTTAGCAACATACATGCAAGATTTCATATCTTTTTGTAGCTTAATGGCTTACAAATTTTTATCAGTGAATCGTATTCCATTGGGTCCATGTAATGGTGTGGGTTGGTGCACTCACCGCCTGAAGAGCATCTCAGCTGCTTCCAGTTCAGGCAATTACGAATACAGCTGCCCTCATTCTTGTGCAGATTTTGCAATGGGTGTAATTTTAAAATTTAACTGGGTAAATGTTTAGAATTTTAATCAGTTTTTTGTATAATAACACTATGTTTTCCTTTGTAAGAATTAGGTAGAATTCAGTAAAATCTACTGGGCATTTTTTAAAAAGTTATTGTTGATTTAATTTCTATAATACATACAAGCCTACTCAGATTATCTGAGTCTCCTTTGGGTAGTTATGGTTTCTGCCTTTGAAGGAATTTTGCTGTCAGATTTGTGAGCATAGATTTATTCTAAGTATTCCTTTATTATCTTCTTCATATTCATGGGATCAGCAGGAATGATTCCTCTTTTTATTTACATTATTTATAAATTGTGTCTTCTATCTTTTCTCTGTGGTTAGCCTGGCTGGAGGTTTATCAATTCTGTTTATCTTTTCTAAGAAGCAGCTTTTGGTTTTGTTTTGTTCTCTGTTTATTTTATTATTTCTATTATAATGAATATATTTTTTTTCTATGTTAATGTTGGGTTTACATTACACAATACTTTTTTCTCTAGTTTCCCAAGGTGGAAGGTAAGAAAACTGAATTAAGATTGTTTTTAGTTTTCTAGATAGCATTGTGAATGGAACTGATGTCACAGAAGTGTGCATTTAATAATCAAAATAATACATATTGTGTATTTTTCACCAAAATAATGATTTAAAATCCAGTAATATAGATGGTAAGTGCAGAAGGAGCATATGTAGATTCAGGAACGTTAAACATTGTAACTTTTTTTAAAAAGAGGATATTTACCAGGCCTCTTTCTGTGAGGAGACCCTGTCCTGGAGTGATGCCGTGCATTTGTGTGCTGCCTGGGTGAACACTGCCTACTTCACAGTGATGAGGGTGGCTTAGACAGAGACCCGAGGCTCTGTCCTCCAGGGCTCTCCTGATGGTCTCCTTTACCTTCCTTCACCACCAAGGAGGGTGGCCCAGCAGCAGCTCAGCCTGTGCTCTCACCCACCTCCTCTGCACACACCAGTCCTCGTCCTCAGCACCCAAGGCTGCCAGAGGTCCTTCAGCAGCTCCCGTGGCTGACAGTGACTCTACGTTTCCTAGATTTCAGGGACCACCTGGAGGGGAGCGGACCAGAGAGACTTCCTCGGAATAGGCTGTGGCTCTTCACAAGGTAAAGTCTTCTTTCTTTGTCTGAGATGGCAATTTTATTTCTTTAGGTTTCTATTTCATTTGAACTAAGATATGCAAATCTTACCATGGACATTGTAGATGAGTTACAGAATTTCTTGGTGGGCAAATGTATGTGAGAGCCCATTACCAAACTGGAACTTGGTCCAGATGGCACTCATAGATGACAGCTTCAGTGACAAACTGCATGGCAGAGAGCATTTTCCTCAGGAGAAATGTGTTCTTGAAAATAGTGTTGACTGTGCAACCAAAATCATTTTGAAAATCTTACACAAACTCTTGGGCCTTTCCACAGGTGTCTTCTATGCTTTATTTGGGAGCCATTGCCTTGAGCGTTATTTCCCAGATGGTTTTCTAATGTCACCAACTGAAGAAAAGACCCATGCACACAGGACACAGCATGATCTGATGCTCACAGCGTTTTCCTTCCTCTCTGAAAACGGACTCAGCGATTCTGGCAAGCGGTACTTACTCTGAGATCACCCGTTTGCTAAGGAAAAATCTTAGTACTGAGAAAGGTGACACTTTCCTCCCTGCTTTTGCTGGAGAGACACTTTGGTTATGAGTTATTTCTAGCATAACACAGTTTATTTCAGAAGTCCAGCTCAATAGCAGACCAAGGCATGAACAACACATGAAAATTTATGTTGGGAAAATATATATTGTATGTCTGCTTGAACTGTGGGTTCTTGATTAATACAAAACTGGTTGATGAAGGTTGTTACCTTCAGGAAAATGCAAATCTAGTGGAGGGACAAAACTCACAGTAACAGTATTTCATCATAGCCACCATGAGGCAGTACATTATGAAGCATGTCAGTGATGAATTACTGGCAGGCTGGTCTGTCATTGAAGCTACACTCTGTTTCTAGCTTCTGTTGCTTCTGCTGTCTCTCTCCTAACATCTGCATATTCCTCCACTTTGTGGTGGAGGAAGCATTAGGGCTGATATAGGGGATTTCCAGTGAGTGTATAATTCAGTGCAGAATTGGCAGGAATATATTCCATGGTTAGGAGCTGGAGAAAGTAAGAAATAAAAATAGACCTTGAAGAATGGGTAGGATTTTCAAAATCAGAGATAAAGACGCAAGAAAGAGAATTCAGTTTTTCAAGTTTCTAAGCAATCATATTTACATGCATAGACATTTTGCTGGTTTCTGTCTTACTAATGTATACTACACTGTGTCTAATCACTCTGAGGGCTGGTATTTCGGGTCTGTTCCAGACACTCAGGAATCATTTGTTCAGCTTGTTCTATATGCTGGAAACTGTTGCAGGGATGGATATATGCAGTCCTTGTCCCAAAGCAGCTTATGACTCCAAGAGCAAGGGATAGAATATGAACATGTGTCTTTGGGTTACTTCTAGGGGTAAGAATGAGTTCTGTGGGCAGATGCATACAGGAAGTGGGGAGAGGGAGAATGAGATACAAACTATCCAGGCAGGAGGCATTGCAGTAATCAAAGTGAACTATGAGAGAAGCCTGGGGTGTTGTAAAAAGAAAGAAACTTTGTCATAAGTGGAATGATCAGACAAGTCTTAGAAGGCTGTATTGCAGCCACAGTTCTGACTGGCTACCAATCAGAAGAAGAGGGAAATGAGAACTCTTCTTGGCTTGAGTACCTGAGTAAAGGATCTAACCATTCCCAGACAGGCGGCCCACAAGAGAGAAGCAGGTTAGAAGGAAATACCACGAGTTGTGTTTTGGTCATGTTAGGTAGAGGACATTTGAATGCAGAGTAAGTCAAACTCTTAGGGCAGGGGAGTCAAGAATGCTCCATTGCAGTGGTGTCAGCAAAATGGCAGGGAAGGCAGCTCTAAGCTCCCATCCTTCCATAGGAATGTTGAATAAACAACCAGACACTGTCAGAACCAACTTTGTGAGAACCGGGAAAATAATCAAAGGTGTACGGCAACTAAAAGAATGCTGGATCAACACAAAGGAAACTTAAAAATGATATGAAAGCTGTGTGGCATTTTTGCTTGTCCCACAAGTCCAGCTTGGTGATAGTCTTGAAGACGGCAGGCTGGATTCCCCAGGCTGGGACCCTTATCCCTGGTTCCAGAGAGGAGAGCAGATCTGATTCACAAATGATTATGCTTGTCTGTTTTAATCTTTCCAGAGGCTGTCTGAAGAAGGTATTCATCATCTCTGTTTTACCTGACCCAGAAACCATTCTGCTAGGAAAAACAGTGGGCATTGCTTGAAAACAGTGTTCTGTGGTTGAAAAACCCACAGTCACCTTGGGCTGGTGGGAATGTAAAATGGCGCCTCTTCTGGATCATCGTTTGGCAGTTTCTCAAAAGGTCAAACGTAGAATCACTATTTGATCCAACAATTCTACTCCTAGGTATATCCCCAAAAGAATTGAAAACAAGGATGCAAACATATGCGTGTACACTAATGTTTATAGAAAAAATATTCACAATAATCAAAAGGCAGAAACAACCCAAGTGTCCAATAACAGAAGAATGAATAAACAGTGTGATATAAACATAAATGGAATATCTAGCCATGAAAAGGAATTAAGTATTGATACATACTGCAACATGGATGAGTCTTGAAAACATTTTGCTAAATGAAACGTCAGACACAGAACACATATTGATGCTTTCACTTATATTAGGTACATAGAACAGGCAATTATAGAGATAAAAAGTAAATAAACAGCTTGGGGCTGAAGGAAGGGTGAAATTATAAGTTATTGCTTAATGAGTATAGAGTTTTAAGTTGATGAAATATTTTGGAGATAGTTTGTGGTGATGGTTGCAAACCACGTAAATGTCATTAATACCATTGATTTGTACACTTAAATTGCTGAAATTGCAAATTTTATACACACAACCCTGACATATTGCCAGGATTAAAAAAATAGTAACAAAAATAGTGAAATAAGGAAGAATGATTTCCTAGACAAGCACGAAAATCCCTTGTAAGCTAAGTCTACAAAGCCCTCTCCAAAATGATGCAAAATTAAGCTACTTTTACATTTTTAAAAGAAAATGCATGTAATCTTAACATCAAAACCCTTAACTAAAGTAAGCATTTCTGATCGGAGTGTAAATTAGTTCAACCATTGTGGAAGACAGTGTGGCAATTCCTCAGAGACCTAGAACCAGAAATATCATTTGACCCAGCAATCCCATTACTGGGTAGATACCCAAAGGAATATAAATCCTTCTATTATAAAGATACATGCAGGTGTATGTTCATGGCAGAACTATTCACAATAGCAAGACGTGGAATCAACCCAAATGCCCATCAGTGACAGATGAGATAAAGAAAATGTGGTACCTATACACCATGGACTACTATGCAGCCATTTGCAGGGACATGGATGGCATTGGAAGCCGTTACCCTTAGCAACTAATGCAGTAACAGAAAACCAAACACCGCATGTTCTCACTTATAAGTGGGAACTGAACGATGAGAACACATGGACATATGCGAGGGGAACAACACACACTGGGGCCTGTCAGGAGATTGGGCAAAGGAGAGCATCAGGAAGAATAGCTAATGGATGCTGGGCTCAATACCTAGGTGATGGGATGATCTGTGCAGCAAACCAACCCGACACACATTGACCTGTGTACCCTGCACATCCTGCACATTTGTACCCCTAAACTTAAAAGTTGAAGAAAACAGGCCGGGCGCGGTGGCTCACGCCTGTAATCCCAGCACTTTGGGAGCCCGAAGCAGGTGGATCACGAGGTCCAGAGATCGAGACCATCCTGGCTAACACGGTGAAACCCCGTCTCTACTAAAAAGAAAAATACAAAAAATTAGCCAGGCGTGGTGGTGTCGGGTGCCTGTAGTTCCAGCTACTCAGGAGGCTGAGGCAGGAGAATGGTGTGAACCCGGGAGGCGGAGCTTGCAGTGAGCCGAGATGGCACCACTACACTCCAGCCTGGGCGACAGAGCGAGACTCCGTCTGAAAAAAAAATTTTTTTTGAAGAAAAAAGTAAGCCTCTAATAAAGCTCTTAAAGAGATATTTTAAAATAAAGGAATTTTTTTAAACAAAATATAACAATAACAGCAAGCTCCCTAATCTCTTTCCTGGGCATCTCTGACCTGAGAGTCCTGCTGAACCCCCAGCTGCTCCCCCAGGCCACCCCACAGCCCCCTTAACACTCCAGCCTGTCCGTCATGTTCAGAAGGAGCTGCTCAATCAGTCCTGGTGTCTTTCTCAGCCCCTTCCAATTCTCTTTCTCACCTTTGGCCTAACCAGCAGTTCTGAATCCTGGAATGAGTTGGGTAGAAAGCTGTGCTTGCTCACAAGTTACTGTTTTTGACCCTGTCACAAATGTTTGTTCATTATGTAAATGTTCTGTGACTGCTTACTTGCTCAATCAGGCTGTCTATAGATAAAGAAAAAGGCCCATCTCCCTGTTCTGATTTGTGTGCAAAACTCCCAATATGGAAACTGGTAACTGCTTACTTAGAGATTAATATACAGCACTGTCATTTATTTTATTATGCAATCTTTATTTTTCTAGAACTTTGAGAAGATAACACATAAGTTCATATTAACATATAATCAAAAGACTTAATGTATATAAATGCACACAACATGCAACAAGATAATTCGGGGAGGAGCATGGAATGTGGAGAAGAAGACAATAGGAGAGATCAAATAAAGCCAGGAGTAGAGTTAAATACAAATGCATATACTGCCTATTTAAAATGGGTCGAAATTTTGACTCTAAACTTTCTTGCAGAAAACTCTGAAAAGCTGGCATATACATTTATATAATTTGCAAGCTGCAGGACAATGCAGGCTGTGTGCCTAACTCCCTGATGGTAAGATAATGCAGATGTCCCCAGTGATAGGAGGTAGTAAGCCAATTTTGTTTTTGTTTTCTCTCTAACGATGTATTCTGAATGACGTTTTCTGCAGTGGCATGCTCTTAAGCCCATAGCTAGAGTAATATGCACTTCCCAGCATGTTAGCTGTGACACCCTCCTTTCCATTCCACTCAGGAGAACGTACTGGATTACAGACGAGTGAGAATAATGTTGAATGATTAACTTTCTTAAGTAATTTCTTAACTCTAACATTAATAAAATTAAGACTTACAGCCGGGTGCAGTGGCTCACTCCTATAATCCCAGCACTTTGAAAGGCCAAGGCAGGCAGATCACCGGAGATCGGGAGTTCGAGACCAGCCTGACCAACATGGAGAAACCTTGTCTCTACTAAAAAAAAAAACAAAATTAGCCGGGCATGGTGGAGGCTGAGGCAGGAGAATCACTTGAACCCAGGAGGCGGAGGTTGCAGTGAGCCAAGATCGCACCATTGCACTCTAGCCTGGGCAACAAGAGCCAAACTCCATCTCAAAAAAAAAAAAAAGACCCACAAACTTTGATCCTTCAGCATTAGTAACAGATTACTCTAATATTTTCATATTCCAACATAATGTTTGAGAAACATAATGTTTGTGAACAGCGTTAAATTATACAAAATCTAGTTATGTACATGGGAGTTATCAGTAAGGATATTTCTCAGTTTTTTTCCAGAATGCATTAAAAAAAAAGTAAATCAATTATTGGCTTCCTTTAGATTGTGTAGAGAAATAAGTACAGTAAATATCTCACTTCCCACACTTCCTTAACCTTCCCTGCTCCTGCAGGCTGAATATTATTATCTGCTGCTTTACATGGCCTGATAGTATTTGGGTATTAACAATATGATTGTGCACTGCTATTGCCTCAAGAGTGGTCCGGCTCTTTGAATGCGTTGGAAAAAACAAACAAAAACTCTCTTGAACGTGATACTGTATTTCACCAGCAGAGGGCAAGCTACACTCAGTTGTGCCTATATGTGACGAATTCTGTACAAAGATTTCGTACACAAGCCATAAAGGCCATTTCTTTCTAATTGAAGTAAGTAGCCAGAAATCTAATAATATCTAAAGAGATCGATCCGATTAAGCTTTAATTTGAGTTCATCTTGGTCTCAAGGGGATTGAATTTAGTGGGTGGAACACAGCAACAAAGAGGCAGACATGCAAGGACTGGGGTTGGCAGTACCTGGAAATATCTTCTTCCCCCTGGGGAAGAAAGATTTTAAAAGGCTGGAAAGTCACCTGGGCCTCAGCTTAGTGGGCTGGTCTTGAAATTTAGCTGGACTTTAGGCAGTAAAATCATGTCCTGGACCATTGTGGCTGAGGCAAGTAAAGACTGAAAAATCAGTGGAAAAACTTGGAGCTTGGGGCTGAGAACTGTCAAGAGATGAGATACCCATTTGGTGGGATGTGGGTCTGAATTCAGGGACAGGCTCAATAAGTAGGCAATGGGACCCCTGTGCAGGAAGCGCCTCTATCCCAACAGCCAAACAGATTAGGAGGATTTTGCTGGGATGAGGTCAATGTCTGCATGAATTCCCCCAGACAGAACAGTCTCTAGTACTGGCTCAGTCATGCACCTTGACCCTAAAGCCAGAGTCTGATGGCCCCACTCAGTCCCTCCAGCCCTGTTCCATGACAGGACACACAAAGCATTCTTGATTCAAGCCTAATGCTCTCCAGCACCTTCCTGGCATGCCCTGTGGAAAATGGACAGATTTTATAAAATATGCTGTCCTCTATTTGCAGCCCTCTAGCTGGACTGTCGTGGCCCCCTTTCTGCACACTGAAGGGGATCTCTGACACTGACACCTGTCGGTACTATGTCTCAACCTGCTGACCCATTGGAAGCTACTTTGGATGACCGCCAAAGTGGGACATTTTATGCTTTCCAAAAAGGGAGAAAATTGACTCAGGAATTGTCCACATGATTTTCAGCTCCTGAAATAATTCAATGACATAATAAATATTTTAAATGATTAGAGTTATTATGAAAATGTTAATGAACTTTAAAAATCCATCAGTTTGAATTAACAATGTTATTTTAGATTTCTTTTGGCACCATGATGAAATTTTATTTATAATACCATTTTTTTGGCTTAAGGTCTTTACATCTTGTTATATTATTCAAGTTCTCATAATTTTATGAAATTTAGAAATAGTTCTCCGATTATGAATCCTCTCTGTTAGCTAAATTTAATTGTTAGTATAGTATATTCTTTTCCCTTTTCTTTTCTTTCTTTCTTTTCTTTCTTTTTTTTTTTTTTTTTTTTTGAGATGGAGTTTTGCTCTTGTTGCCCAGGCTGGAGTGCAATGGCGCGATCTCGGCTCACTGCAACTTCCGCCTCCCAGGTCTGAGTGATTCTCCTGCTTCAGCCTCCTGAGTAGCTGGGATTACAGGTGTGTGCCACAACGCCTGGCTAATTTTTTGTATTTTTAATAAAGACAGGGTTTCTCCATGTTGGCCAGGCTGGTCTTGAACTCCTCACCTCAGGTGATCCACCTTCCTCGGCCTCCCAAAGTGCTGAGATTACAAGAGTGAGCCATTGTGCCTGGCTTCTTTTCCCTTTTCATACTACATCATTAAAGTGAGCCATACTGGCCACTATAAAGTAGTTCTCATTGAGATACTGCAGGTGCATGTTTTGGTTATAAAATTGTTCTCATATAAATATCACAACTAATATATTAGACCTATGCTGTAAAGGCAAAATTATACACTATGGCTTTGTTCTTGCCATTAATTACCTTTTTGAAAATATTTTATTACATTCTAGTGGAAAAAGATTTCTCTCAGGTAGCAGAGCAAATAAATACTGTAAGATCTATAGTGTGATCAACGTATTCTGTCTTCAATAAATTTGAAATAAAAAAGACATGAAAAGGCATGAAGACAAAAGTCCAAGGTTTAGGGATTAAATTGTGTGTGGCTGCCAATTACAGAAATTAACGGAGACATTTTGTTGCTTGACACTACTTTATAGATTGTGCTAGAAAACGTAGTGGTCAAATTTTAATGTTTTTATGATTGTCATACTGTGATGACTGTGAGAATGAGAATCACAACCTCCAACTACAGGACAGGAGCCATAATTGACAAGGGTTCTGTTATATCCCTGCACTCTGAAATTCATTGCCACCTTTGCAGCAAGACCACTCTACCTATGGGTTGCTCCCAGTCAGTGACTGAGCACACCAAGATACTTAGAGCTGCCCCTGGTAGATGAGGGATTCCTTTGACAGATGACTGGCTCAAGACTCCCAAACAGCCTTGCCAAACCTTCTTTGACATTGCGGCAATCCGGAATGCTTCCACCCAGCATTCCTTCTCTCTTCCCTGTCTCCTTCACTCATGGTGGACATCCATTGTGCTCTGATAGCTCTCCCAGCCCTACCCAGATCCGCCCCCCATTCTCTCTCATGGGCATTTTGCACATTTAATTCTGTTTTGGCATTTGCTTCTCCGAGGACCCAGGTGAAAACACATATGATCAAGGGTATAGTTTTCAAGTTAGCATGTCTAAATGACTTTAAACCAAACTACATTCTATATGTATCTCTGATAATATTTTTGTAGTATCTGATAATTATAAAAGCAACACATGTTCATTAGACAAAATACAGAAAACATGTAAGCCTTGCACTTTTTTATGCCAATGTTTTTTATGATCTTGAGTATTCAATAATGGCGGAAATTTATTTGTGTCACAGAAACCTGTCTTACCCTGGCATGTCTTGGGAACCACATTTAAAAGTCGGTTTTCATAAATTATTGGTAAAATAAACTCATACATCTACACTATGCAACTGTGCAATATAAACATACTGTTACGTTTCTTTATATGGAGAAATTTTCATGCTGCCTTACTAAGTTTAAACACTAAAACAGAAAGAAAGCCTGGGAGGATTCACACCAAAATGCTAACTTTGACATTTTGAGTAGCTACTTTGGGATTTGCGGTCTTTTTGTTTTATTTGCTTGCTTATCTCTGTTGTTTGAATAATAAAGGCGGATATTTCATTGCTATCCTAGGCTTAAGCATCTTCTTTAGGGTAGTTTAAAGTAGATACTCTTATCTTGGGTGCTTCATTCATCTGGAGAACATGGCATGCTTCCTTATCAGTTAAGTCACAAATTTGACAATTAACTGATATTGTTGGTTGACATGTCTTTGATTATGATGTAATACATATTTCAGGGAAAAATGCTTTTCAAAAGTATTTTCCATTAGGAAATATCATTAGTATTAGCGTATATCAGACTATAACAAGAAACAGAAATTTCATTATCCCATTGCTCTTTTTATGATGCTAAATAAGTAGTCCCCCTAGCAGCCCAGATTTATGTTACCAAAAAATCAGTACACTTTGGTTTGTCAAATTAAAATTCAGAAGACTCGAGGGCCCAGATCTGTCTCTAACTATGTGCGAGAAGTCAGATGAACTTTCACACAGCCTTTCTCCAACAAGCGAGATTGTAACTTCTGAGGTCTCATTCAACCGTTTCCTTCCATGATTCCAAATAACTATTTTTGCTTTTTGAATTGGTGATAATAGCAGATAGAAACTTGTGGTAAAAATGGGCCCTTCGGCCGGGTGTGGTGGCTTACGCCTGTAATCCCAGCACTTTGGGAGGCCAAGGTGGGCAGATTACAAGATCAGGAGTTCAAGACCAGCCTGGCCAACATGGTGAAACCCCGTCTCTACTAAAAATACAAAACTTAGCTGGGCATGGTGATGCGTGCCTGCAATCCCAGCTACTCAGGAGGCTGAGGCAGGAGAATTGCTTGAACAGGGACCTGGGAGGCAGAGGTTGCGGTGAGCCAAGATTGTGCCACTGTACTCCAGCCTGGGCTACAGAGTGAGACTCTGTCTCAAAAAAAACAAAAAACAAAAAACTGCCCTTCTTTTTCACTCAGGGACAGGTTCCCCCAACAGGAAACACCCTCAAGCTAGTACAAGTCCAGGGGTTTTGTTGTAAGAATAGAATAATTTTATAGGTATCCAAGGAAAGAAACCAAAAGTATGGTCAGTCTGCATTTGTTTAGAACTGGAAAGTAAAAGCTAAGACTATTTCTGTAGGTTCTCATGTATCTTAAAAGGAGGCAAGGCAGAGAAGATCTATTGGCAGCTCTGCTATTAATTCTTCAGTTTCTCTAGTTAACCAGTTACATTATTATTAAGTAATAATAATAATTATTAAGTGTGATTATTATTGTGATTTATATTATTATTAAGTGGGATTATTATTAAGTGTGAGTCATTAAAAAATAGAGGAGGTTGCATAGGCATTTCCGGCAGTTAAGAAATCAATCATCTATCCATCCATCCATTTAGCTATATACTTTGAGATGCTCAAATCACTCATTTTCCCAGCTGCCAGCAGTGTTGGAAGTGCTGAGAATGTTGTTAGCTGATGGCTCACAGATGAAGGGAGGCAGCTTGCCCAAGGTGGTCACCAGTTCCAACTTTAAATGTATAACAAATATGGGGAGGGAGAAACAATCTTAGGGGTTGAAAGTCAGCATTTCCATACACCGATGGTCCAAGCATTCTGGGGCATAATTGACAACATGATGAATAATTTTCCTTGCTGAGCATACTCCTTGGCCCAACAATGCTATTTAAACCAACTTATCCCAAGGCACTAATGAAGGATGTGCACAGATGTTTGGCTATTGAGATGTTTATTCAGTGTGGTCAGTGAAGAAATAAACTAAGTATCCAAGAGCAAAGGGTTTGTTGAGTAATGCCTACTATGGAATATAACACAGCTGTTAGAAATGAGGTGGTATCCACCTTCTTGACATGAAAACTGATCTCAATAAGGACCGAGTGAAGGAGGCAGGTTAGGAAACACATGTATAGTAGGCTCCTAATTTTATTTGTTCAAATCATTTTAGAAGTGCGTAAGAAACACTTGGAGAATTATATGTCAAAATACTAACAGTGATTACCTCTGTGTAGTGGTGAGTGGGATTAGATAGGATTTTAATTCCTCTTGACATTGTGCGTTTATTGAATGCTTTATAGAGAATACATGCTTACTGTGTTAGCAAAAGGCCAATATATATATTTTTTTGAGATGGAGTTTCGCTTGTGTTGCCCAGGCTGGAGTGCAATGGCATGATCTCAGCTCACTGCAACCTCCGCCTCCCGGGTTCAAGTGATTCTCCTGCCTCAGCTCTCCAAGTAGCTGGGATTACAGGTACCCACCACCACACCCGGCTAATTTTGTATTTTTGGTAGAGACGGGGTTTCTCCATGTTGGTCAGGCTGGTCTCGAACTCCTGACCTCAGGTGAGCTGCCTGCCTCGGCCTCCCAAAGTGCTGCGATTACAGGTGTGAGCCACCGCGCCTGGCTGGCTATTCTTATACTTGAGAGTTGGCCGACTAATTAGTACCTGAGTCCTAATGGGACAAAGTCACTTTCTGGTGCTGCTCAAAACGGTGTTGACAAGAAGAATCATGATCATGAAATGAAAGAATGTCTACCATGGCAGGGTAACCAGGAAACAGGAATCCAGACACTTCTGTCTCTCTTTTATTTATTTTTCTTTGTTATTATTTTAGTTTTTAGAGTTTCTGGCTAAAAACAGAGCAGAAATCTTTGTAAAACACACACACACATATACACACAAACACATTATAATTTTCCATATGCTACTTCTCTAGATTTTTCAAAAATCCCCTCTCATCACAAAAATCCTTCTGCAGACCGTAAACACATGAAGATCTTTTAAACATTCATTCCACTGGCTTTCCTCCTTAGAAGCATTATATTTTCCATCACATTTTAAAACACTAACATTGTAACAACAGAATTCAAACAGAAATAAAACATATTGTAAAAAGATAGGTGTTTTGTTTGAAATAATGGTGTTTATTTTACAATGCATATAATTAGGTCAAATTGTAAAAAGCATTTTTTTCCCCACACAAGAGATTTCATAAAGTATGCACACAGGTTATCCAGAATGCAGTAAGCCTTTTCCACCAGTTTTAATGCACCTTTTGTACCAAAGGGCAAACCTATCACTATGGCTTGTGGTGGCTTAGAAAGAAAAACAAGCATAGTATTAAGAGAAATGCTGCAAGATGTGTCTATGAAGAGTACTACAGTGAGTTGTTAGGGCAAGGGGCACGTGGTCTTAACACAGGCTGTCCCAGGAAATGCCCGGCCTCATCCTCTGAGGAGGTCTCCGTTTTGGAAAACAGCTCACGTTCTTTTCGGGTTTGTTCATTCCTGGATACTCCTAGTTTTACTGCGTGGGAGCGGGCGGCTTTCCCTTTGGTTTTAGGGGATTACTACGTCTGGTGCACCCTGCTGTTTTCTTCTTGTCCCGAATTGTTCTCTGCTGTTCCTGCAGCCTCCCTTCCCACTGCTGGAAAGCAATTTGTCAGCATGACTACCAAATCATCTCACCCTTTATGCTGTTCAGCTAATGTGAGAATTAAAGCAAGTTTTTTGCTGTAATATACTAATATCGACAACAATTGTAACAGCTACCCTATGTCAAGCACTTATCATGTACCAGGTGACTTGGAAAGTCCTCAGTATGTGATGAAGCTTTTTTTTTTTCTGTCATTATGCAGCCCTTTCTTCCCATTATTTATTTTTTTTTGCAAATAAGTCATTTTGACCCAAATCCAGCATAAATAGCTTTTCACCAATTCCTAACTTAAGACAACTAAAATTTACAATCATGTGGCAGTATAAATTTTAAAATTACAGTTCGTACACTTTGACAATCAAGATAGTCTGAAGTACAAAAAAGTAAATTGCCCTTTAGCTGAATTACCTTTTTAAAATAGGCCTGCTAGTTAATCTACCAAAAAAAAAACAAGTTTCACGTGTTCTTCAAATTCCTTTTGTAGTTGTCATCTGCTAGTAAACAACATATGCAGGTTCCTAAAAATTTTTTTTCCAGTCTATTCATGACATTCAACAGGGCTTTTTATATGGAAATGTTAAAAACAAGAACTTCTAGGAGATTTATTTACTTTTGAATGGGTGTGTTATTTCCCTTTGTTTCAGATATGAGGCACAAACTTCTGAATTTAAGCTCTGTAAGGCATAGTAGAAACTTCCAATTTACAAATAAGGAATTCTCTGGGGGTTAGAACTGCCATGTCATGCAAAAAGGGAAAAATCATCTGTAAACTGCTACACTGCAATGTGTTAAGTCAGTCATGAAATGGCTGCTTGCCTTGGTATGCAGACGAAAGGTTTCTGTGTTTTATGTTTTTGTTTTTCAATAAGACATGCCCAAGTCACCATAAAACTCACCACAGGCCTCCATTACCTAAGCATCAACAATAGGAGGCCAGTGGCACACGCTTATAACGCCTGCAATCACAATATAATATAAAGCATGAGTAAACTTTGTTTTTATACAAAACTGAAGAGAATCCCATCCCGCCCCTAGCCCCTTCAATAAAACCCCAAAGAAACAAAAAAGAAAATCCTTTAGCTTCGATTGACTGGTGTGGCTAAAATTAGGTTTCTATGCATCACTGCTGCTAGGGTGATCAATTTTGTCCTTCCTCAAGAGAAGGGATCTTGTCATGCACCCTACAGGAACAGTGAAGCCACAAACCTCAATTCTGCATAGCAAATTCCATCCCAATTTCATAATGACCAATATAACAATCTTTCCCTGTTTTGCTCAGCTTCTTCAAGCTTTGAGATCAGGTTTAATTGACTACATCTACTATAGCTCTATTAAATAGAATATCTTGATTCCCTAAAACCGTGACACTTATGATCTTGTGATGAGGTTTTCTCTATACACACTGTAGGCCTTCAAATGTTGTTGTTTAATTTTTTTTTTTTTTTGATGCACCAAATTTAAGAACGCCCTTTCAGGCAAGCAGTGGTCTCTAGCTGTTAAAACATTTCCTTAGTGGATCACAATAGCTTCTAAAACTGCCTTTCTAGTAAAGGCCATCAGAGAGGTAATACTAAACTGTGCATTTGCCAAATAAGAATATGAATTGTATAAAAGCTCATATTCCAATCCTAGATCAAACAGCAAAAGTGCCACTAAGTTGGTTTCCATGTTTGTATAAAAGCTCCGACTGATTTTATGTATTTTGCTATGAAATTACCTTTGGATCTTATAATCAGTATACCTCTACTCAGGAATGTGCAAATGATTTTATACAGCATGACGCTAGTACCGTTCTGTATGACAGTAAGGTTTTTTTTTCTTCTTTTCTAAATAGAAAGAAAATATCCCTAGTCAGAAATAAACTGACAAATTTACATTCTCCTCTCTTAAAAAAGTAAATAAAATAACATTATTCAAAATGTGAATTAGCTATAGACATACAATTACATAGATACATATCGATACAGCACATTCAATCTGCCAAAAAATTAATGATTACAAAGCCAGTATGGATGCTGCAATATCAAGAGAGATGTACGTACAATGATTAGAGCATTTGTAATTGCACTATACCTGCAGGCAGTCTGTTTGTTAAATTACAGGTGCTTTCTGAGCAAGGGGAAAAAAAAGTAACCTGTGTTGTTTGAGGCTGGGAGAATCAAGGATGAGAACATCTCATTACTGTTTGGTGGTTTTGGTACTCATCTAACAGGCCGTGATTTTTCTCCCTCCCCATTTTGTTGTTCCAAAACAGTGATTTATATGGAAGTTTAGACTAGTGCCAAATAGCACTATAGTTAAAATGAGACCAGTATCATGGCCTAATTCTGACGTCCCAGCAGCTTTAAACAATCATGATTTATTTTCTTAAATCAAATTTCAACTCAAGCTGCTTGACAGAAGCTTGTCAATACATGTGCTGTATTTTTTTTGCATTTGTTGAAAAATTGCACATATAGAATTCCAAACATTTCTCTTGGTAGGTTCAGTTACACAAATACATGTTCTATAGAACACTGAGAGGTTACTTTTAAGTCCACAAATCTTCCGTAAGTTCAACCTAATCAGTTACCAGTTCAAGAAGATCTTGAAGGTGGTAAACTAGCAGGAACTTCAGATTTAGGAAATTAAAGGTGTCAGAATAATACTATCAACCAATGTTCCTGGCAGACTTAATTGAACTTAAAGAACCATTGAGAGTAAAACTGGTTTCAAATAAAGAGACATAAACAGATTTCCTGTTAAACCTCACAAGATACTTTTTACATTGCCGGTTTGGACACTGAACATGGGACGTGAACACTAACAACGTCATCTTAAGGACAAAGAAAAGAATGGACCGTGAGAATCAAATTTACAGTTCCAACTGTTTGGCAATTGGCATTTCTGGTTCATTCTCAGCCAGTCATTTTAGGCTTCACAGTCTTACTCTCTTACATTTTAAGATACCAGCTTTTATTTTTTAAGTTCTTATTCATTTTATTTGACAAAAAGCCAGCTTTGGCAACACATACCCATAATAAAAGTCATTTTAAAATTGTGGCCCAAACACTAAGGAAAAAAAAAGAAAGGAAAAGCTCAAACAACAACAATAAAAAATTAAGAACAACCTCTAAAAAGTTTCTGGGTAGCAGCCATTAGGGTAATGTAGTGTGTGTTGGCATCTTTTTTGGCATCTGCAATTGAAAGAGAGGGTAAGAAAAAGAAGCAAAGAAGGGAGGAAAGACAATGGCACGTGGCATTTCAAAAGAAAGGACTCCTGCGTGTCTTTGATCCTGCCTTCTGCATATTTCTCTGAGCAATCAAGCTATGGCTGAAGGTAAACATCTAAAAGAAATGACACTTAACTGTTAGACGGGCATCCATTGTCCCAGTCCAAAGTGAGACAAGACAGTATATTCTATTAAAAAAGAAACCATGTGTGTATCCAGAGCAACACATTTAAAACCATAGTATTAATACATATAATCCTTCAGCAAAAACTACAAACTTATATAAAGCTGATGATGGCTTACATCGAACGATGTGTCCTGACTGTAACATTTGAGAGAAAAACTTGACCAAGAATGGAACTAGGATAAAGGCCATTGTAACATGGGAAAAAAATCAGGAGGGAGGTATGAATTAGGGGGGAAAAAAGGGAAATCAGCTTTGTTTTGCTCCATAGAAAAGAAAAAGAGAGAAAGAGAGAGAGAGAAAGAAACAAGTCTTATCTTTGTGAGTGCATGACTGAGAATTTAAAATACACCGAGTCACAAGGTTTTGCCTAAAAAAAAGATAGAGAGGAAATGTGCTGGGACTGTACTTCAGCATCCTCTGTTTTTCCTCTGAATAGTTTAAATAAAATCATAATGTTTACTACAAACTCTGTGGACACGCTCACACAGAGTCCAGGACGGCAATAAATTAGTATTATGCAAATTGTTTTCCACAGAAATACAGTCCCTCTTGTGTATCTTCAATAGCCCACCATGGAAGGGCAGGGCGGGTGTCTAGGAGGCACAACTAGACCAGATTGTAATCCTTCAGGTTCAACTGGAGGATGGTGTCCTTGACGGCAGCAAACACAAAGCGGATATTCTCGGTGTCTGTGGCGCATGTGAAGTGGGAGTAGATAATTTGGTCACTGGGTTCAGGTCCACGAACATCTTCAGAATGAATTCTCGGGCTGCCTGGGCATCTCTCTGGGGTCCATCATATTCTGGGAAGTAGTCGACTAGATGGGAATACATGATTTTCTCCTCTGGAAGATCTTTCTTGTTTAACAACAGAATAACCGAGGAGTTCTGGAACCAGGGATACGTGATAATTGTACTAAAGAGAGCCTTGCTTTCCTCCATTCGGTTCTCATTGTCTGACTCCACGAGAACTCGATCATATTCACTAAGCGCTACTAGAAACATGATAGAGGTGACATTTTCAAAGCAGTGTATCCATTTTCTTCTCTCTGACCTTTGGCCCCCTACATCGAACATTCTGAAAATGACACTTTGTAAGTCAAAGGGGTATTCGACGATCCCTGTGGTGGGGACTCGAACTCTAAGCACATCTTGTTGCGTAGCCAGGGTCAGCTACGTGGTCCAAGTCATTAAGATAGTATTTGGTAGAGTCAGATAATTGATATTCTCGTCGTCTATCATAGCATTCCTGGATTCCAGGATCATTCCATAAACTCTTTATTGCATCTACATATGGATTCTCAAAAGCAGACCCCTTCTCCACATCAACTTCTCGAACTAATTGTGCATGAGCTCATACTTGTATGTGCTCATACTTGTATGGGATCTTGAGTGAGTCTATGGCTCTGATCATGGCCTGCATGGCCGTGAAGATGTTCCGATACACCAGCTTGGTGAAGCCCCTTTTATCTTCATCAGAGTATCCTGACCCATGGATGATTCTCAGCTGCTTGATAAAGGTACTCTTGCCACTCTCTCCTGTCCGGAGCAGCAGCAGCTTGAGCTCCCGGCGGGCATCCCGCTTGTCCCTGCGGAGCTGCCGCTCGATCTCGTCGTTGATCCGCCGGGCTTCCTTGGCCTCCTCGCTCAGGCAGCACGCCATGATGGACTCCAGAGTCATTCTTCCAGAGTGCCTCCGCTGCAGCCCCGCCGGCACCCCCTGCTCACATCGCGCACACACGCCTTCCCGCCATCGCTCCCCCGAGGCAGCGGTGGCTGCCGAGCCCCCGCCGCCTGGGCGCGCGTCCGGGACGAGCTCCGGGAACCGCCGCGGGGGCGGCGGCCAGGGCCGGGGCCACCAGGTGGGCCGGGGGCGCGGTGGAAGCGGATGGTCTGGGTCGACGGGAGAAGCGAAGCGGGCGCGGGAGGCGGGCGCGGGAGGCGGGCGCGGGAGGCGGGCGCGGGAGGCGGGCGCGGGAGGCGGGCGCGGGAGGCGGGCGCGGGAGGCGGGCGCGGGAGGCGGGCGCGGGAGGCGGGCGCGGGAGGCGGGCGCTGGCTCGGGGGGCGCGTGAGAGAAGCCGCCGCGCCCGGCCTCGCTCAGACGCTCAGACGCCCGCGCCTCGGCCCGCCTCGCTCCCCGAGCCGCCGCCGCCGCCGCCGCCTGCCGAGGCCCCCTACGCCGTGCCCCTGGCAGCGAGAACTCATCCACCGGGGTGTCCCCGCAGCGAGCGGCCGCTGAAGGCTCCCCGCGCCCGCTCCTCGCCGCCGCCTGACACGGCTCCCGGGCGCCCTCGGCCCTGTCCGCGCCCACCGCCCGGCTGGCGCGCAGACCCGGTTCCCCGCCCGCCCGGCAACCCTGTGATGAAGTTTTCACATACGTTCATTTCATTGAAACAAAAGTCTTGTAGGCACCATTGGCAGGGGCAAGAAACAAGCACACAGGTTATTTGCAGAAGACCACAGAACTGGCAAATGACAGCGCCAGGATTCAATTATAAAATGGGGGATTCTTTTTCAAGAAAAATTAAAATGTCTAAAAACTAAATTGAAAACCTTTGATGAGGAGAAAACCAAGTAAGATAAAAGCTGTTTCTAAAACACTTCTGTGATCACATTAGTTGACGGGCATGTACGGGAAGCAGTTGCAATGTGGTCTCTTTTTAGAAGAGCCCTTGGCTTTTGCAGAACTTTCTGATTCTGAAGTGTTAGGTGACCTTTTCTCAGTAGCTGTGGCATCTCTGAGGGCTTGGGGATAATAAAGTGAAGATGTAGACTGGTCTGTCTTGAATGATCTTAGGACATTTTAATAACCTTAAAGTGGACATTAGAATAATGGGAGTAGGCAAAGTGTGACATCTCAAGCCCAGCATAAGCGTATGCTTTTGGCTGGCGCAGTGGCTCATGCTGTAATCCCAGCACTTTGGGAGGCCAAGACAGGTGGATCACCTGAGGTCAGCAATTCAAGACCGGCCTGACCAACATAGCAAAACCCCACCTCTACTAAAAATACAAAAATTAGCTGGGGGTGGTGGCGTGTGCCTGTAGTCCCAGCTACTTGGGAGGCTGAGACAGGAGAAGCGCTTGAACCCAGGAGGCAGAGGTTGCAGTGAGCCAAGATAGTGCCACTGCACTCCAGCCTGGGTGAAAGACTGAGACTCCCTCTCAAAAAAAAAAAAAAAAAAAGTGTGCTTTTATGTTGTTTCTTATAACTTAAACCTCCCTGTACTTAACACCTTTCATAATTTCCTCCCAGAAAGCACACGTTCCTATCACCATAACTGTTGTCACATAAAAAATAACTAATAGTGCTCCAAAGATGTTTAAGATGGATTTCAAAGCTTCTAATATCTTGGCACTGAAGACATTACTTAGATCCATATATGTCTTATCTTTAATACCAACACATACCATGGTGATAGCAATCCTATAACCGTATCTAGCTCAAACTGTCTAACTATATCCCAAGCAGCAAAAAGAGGTGGAGAAAGAAGGGGAGGAGGAGGATGAAAACAAGAGGAAGAAGAGAAGGAAGAGGAGGAGAAAGAAGAGGAAGAAAGAGAAGGAGGAGGAATGGAAGAAGAAAAAAAGAAGAATGTAGGGGAGGAGGAGAAAGCATTTATCAGCATAAATGCTCAGTCCAAAGGGCTGTTGATACATACTGATGAATAAACACGAGAACGGTGTAAGCCACAAGGAAGCAGCACTTTAGAGAATTTCAGTTCAGATGCCTCCCCTTTATGTTTCTCTAAATTAGAGAATTTCCGGACTAACCGTTCTTTCCTGAACCATGAACCATTGGCCCCTCCTATCAGAAACTTAGAGCTGTTCCCTGCCTGTGCATCTCACAGTAGATGCTGCCGTTCAGTGAGAAAGAAAAATAGCCTTAAAGAGAAAGCCTGCTGGTTTGGGGAATAATTTCTCTGCTTTTCAGTTAAATAAATTTAAAATGAGTTTTATTTTGTCTACTCATAACAACTGAAGTTCTGCATTGTGGTATATTCAAGTGTGTAGAAATTGAACCTCAAAGGACTCTTTCAGTTTAACTTTGTATGGAAATTATATTATTATGCAGGTAGTCATTGGATAATAATGGATTATCAAGTAATTTTGAAAGCTGTCAAGTCCATCTTATTCTTTCTAAACCCAATCCTTACCTTCCCAGTTCAGTCATTAGAACTCTGTATTTCCTGAGTCAAGAAAAACAGAAACAGCTTTACTCAGATAATTCAAATAGCTCAGATAATACAAGAACAATAGTCTATTATGGCATTTGCAGTAGATGTTCTGGAATAGAGATAAGTAAAAATTTTCCCCAGACTCCTGCCATATGTAATCATTTAGTACAACCAGTCTGCTCAAAAATAAGTTTGTTGGCTGGGTGCAGTGGCTCACGCCTGTAATCCCAGAACTTTGGGAGTCCTAGGCAGGTGGATCATGAAGTCAGGAGTTTGAGACCAGTCTGGCCAATATGGTGAAGCCCCGTCTCTACTAAAAATACAAAAATTAGCCAGCCGTGGTGGCCCATGTCTGTAATCCCAGCTACTCAGGAGGCTGAGGCAGGAGAATCGCTTGAATCGGGGAGGCGGAGGTTGCAGTGAGCCGAGATGGCGCTGCTGCACTCCAGCCTGAGCGACAGGATGAGACTCCATCTCAAAAAAAAAAAAAAAAAAAAAGTTTGTTAAATTTTCTGTTTAGATGAATCTATGTGTCTCTAGAAGAGTGGAGCAGCAAATCTACTTAACAAAATCAGACATAAATGGGCTAAATTTAGGTGCCCCAAACTTGGAAATAAGATTAACCTCTGTGATTGGAAATATGAGAACAATACCTAATGAATGAGTAAATTAGCGATTTAGAGATATACACCACAGAAAGAGAAGGTCTTCAAGTTTTGGGCTAAACAACTGGAGAAATTATGAAGTCCAATGAAGGCAAGATTGCCATTGAAATGCAGCCTCATCAGTTTCATCAGAATTGGGCAGATGTAAAAAAACACTGGATGTTGTCATTTTGTCCGAAGACAGTGTTTTAGCAGAAGGAAGTTGGTTTACATGGAGTTTAGTTAGGGAATCTAAAACCAAGGATTTGGCAGTGTTTATCTAACTGTGTCCAGGAGAGGAAGATATGGAATCTGGCAGTCACACACAGAATGTTCGGGACAATTAGGAGATCAAAGTGATGTGTTGTTATTTTGGCTGAGATTTAGGAATATTTCATTTCCCTGTCCCTGTCAAGGATCCACAATGGAGCAAGCTCAGGAGACAAAGCAAAGCAAGTCATCACCATTACTAAGCTGGAGCTCTGGCCCCGAGCACTTCTGTGGACCTCTGGTCAATCAGGCTAGACCAAGTGGAGGAAGTGGAGGCCAAAGTAGCCACAGGCCAGAGCAGGTGAAATTACTAGTTCTGTCCATTCTACTGCAAGTCCCAACACAAGTAGGTTTTACCACTCCCAGTTCAGCAAAAGGGCACACAGAGTAGACCCACCAGCAACAGAGGAAAAGGAGCAAGGACAAGGAAGGAAGTTTGTGCCTTGGTGCCCGGAGCTGCCTTCCCCAGACCTTGGCTGGTAGAGCAGTAGCCGATCTGCATGAGAGGAACACCCAACACAAGACAGAGAGATTTAGCCAGGCAGAATCCAATAAACTCAGAATGATCCCTCCAGACTAGGTGGATTTTGTTCTGATTGGAAATTTTACTTCTCAAGTAATTTTTAAATCATAACTGAATATCCAAAATGGCAGATTTAAGTATTCCACTCACTGGAAAGGTTTGAAACACATTGTGAAATAATGCATGGCTTTTCTGGTTTACTTCCCAGTCTCCTAAATTAAATTGCTTAGTGCATGTCAGCCTGTGAGGAAGGCTGTGCCATGTAGTAGAAAGGATGAGGGTTTGAAATCATATGTACCTGAGTTCAAATGTGATTCAATCCCTTATTAGCATTGTGTGACCTTCAAGTCATTTGAACAGTCTATGAGCCTAAGTTTTCTCCACTTCTTACAAACAGGCAGTGTATGGGGGTTGTTAGGGTTAAATGAAACAGCATTTGTAGTGTGTAGCGCACAGCTTTGCAAGCAATAAATGCTCAAAATGTGAGATGCCTTCTACCTCTGGCTTTCCCCTGAGATCCTGACAAATCCTCCATGGACCAACAAAAATCAAACCTGTATGACTGTATGCATCTGCTATGGATTAAAGCTGGGTCCTGGATGCCTACAAAGGCAGTGTCCTCTATGGGCTCCCCTGGACCCATCAGCTGGACCATTCCCTAAGGTGTCTCTGTCTGTTCCTCATTTTTCACACCCATGTGCAGAAACATGCAGCCACCCCTAGCCACACTCAGGCAACATCAGGTATGAGATACATGTAGTTTTTTTAAAAAGCAGTAACTTCCCCTTAGTAAATATACCTGTCATGAGCCCTGGCATTTTGCACTTAACATTTTAAAGACAGAAGAAAATAAAAGTAGTCTCAACCTCAGTCTACATCAATGAGCACTTGTTTTGTGTCAGGTTCTCTCCAGAGTTTTTTTATTCAAGCACAGCAACCACCGTTGAATTAGATAATATCATTATTATGCCCACCTCATAGGTAGAAGACAGAAGTCCATATCAAATGGCCTTGACTTGGAAGGATAATTGATAATTTTCTTTTTTCTTTTTTGAGAGAGTTTCACTCTTGTTGCCCAGGCTGGAGTGCAATGGTGCGATCTCAGCTCATGCAACCTCTGTATCCCGGGTTCAAGTGATTCTCCTGCCTCAGCCTCCCGAGTAGCTGAAATTACAGACATGCACCACCACACCCAACTAATTTTTGTATTTTTAGTAGAGATGGGTTTTCTCCATGTTGGTCATGCTGGTCGATAATTTTCAACTAGGATTTGATTTACTGGGTACATGCTATTTGTGCATTACTTATAGAAGTCATGTTGACTAAGTGAAGAAAAGACTGAGGAATATATTAAAACACATTTCTCTAAAACTGATTTTGAATGCTATGAGATGAGAATAAAACTATTACAGTTTCACCTTTGTTGTATTGCCAGCAATGCCTGTGGGCTTTTAGGCTATGGTGAAACCTTATCTCTACCCAAACTTCATGGTCATACTTCCATTTAAGCACAGAAAAGGTATAAAGTCACAATACATAAAGTTATTTTTTGGCACTGGGAATAAGAAATGCCCATCAGCAGTTTGCCAATCTGTGCAAGAATTATCAGTCACTGGCCATCAAAAGTCATCAACAAGCTCATGACCATTCCAATTCCAGGCTTTGAGAGGTTCCAGGGCATGCAGGAGTAAGGTAGAAAAATGTTGCCACCCACTTCTGCCAAAAGTCTGGCCCATGAATCAGAAAGCCAGCAGTCATCTCCTTTACTGAGAGAGAGTTGTATTCGTGGCAGCTGAAGCCACCCCTTTATCCTCAATTTTCACCCCACTCTTCTTCAACAGCACCTCTTTCCCTGAATCAGTGTCAGATAATACAAATTGTAGCAGCATCCAAGAGTGGAATAGGATAGGTAATGGGGCCATTGTTAACATTTCATGAAGTCTGCAAAAGAGAGAAAAAGATCTGAGGAATGTAGTTTTCAGGCTAAAGAAGTATCGCTGGCTCCAAATGATTAGGAACCGTTTGTTTTTTATAATACTATGGATCTATTTTTTCTTCTTTAAAAACTAAAAGTAGCTTACATTTTACACAAATCTGATAATTAATGACATTAATGAGTAAAATATCTGATTGCTAATTAGATAACCCATTGTATTCATTCAGATTTGTTGAGCATTCATTTATTGAGCATTATTACTGAGGCCCTCCTACATGCAAAACGTTCTTCTAGGCACTGGGGATACAGTCAAGGATACAGTCAAAGTCTTCCCTTCAGGGAGCCTGCATTCTGCTGAGGGGGAGACAGACAACACACAGACAATTTAAAAAACCAGAGAGTGAAAAGAACTACCCAGAGTGGATGGAATGGAGTGAATAAATCGTTCCTTATGATGAGAATAGTCAGGGAAGGCCTTTTTGAGGAGGTGCCTTTTAATTTGAGGTTCCAATATCGGGAAGAAGCTGGTCAGGAGAAGTTCCAATGGGTCACATTTCTAGGTAGAGGGAATAGTTGAAGCGAAGGCTGTGGCTGCAAGGAGTTCATTTTGTTTGAGGAACTGTACAGGCCAAGTAGATGGAGCTTGGTGGCTGAGACCTTCAAAGAGAGCGGATCCAGATGAGGCAAAAGAGACCAGGGAGGGCCAGACCTCACATGCTGGAGTGGCCACAGCGAGTCTGATCTTTTTCTAAGGCCAACGGGAAGTCATTGGAAGGTTTTCAGTGATGACTCACAAGATCGGATTTATATTTTACAAGATCCTCCTGCCTGTTTTGTGGAAATGGATGGTAGGGGTGTGAGAGAGAAAGCGAGAGGTCAGGGTATGTTTGGAAGAAGAGTTGGTGGGACTTGTTGATGGATTAACTGTGGAAGGTGAGGGAGGAAGGAGGAGTTGACGAAATCCAGTCTAGTGTTGGTCATGATGAAATTTACATAATATTCAGAAAACTAGATAACAGTGGCAGGAGGAAACCTCTCAATCTGGTATCTAGTGGACTAATGTGTGTGTGTGTGTTATTAGAACTATGGAGAAAATTTTATTAATTATGAAATAATGTGTATATGTTCATGCTTGTGTCTGTCTGTGATGCTATGTAATAGAATATCAAATAGATTTTTTTCCGTTTTCATGGCTCAAAGCCAAGGAGACCAGCCACATCTTGCTTTTACTGAAAGGCATTAATGAAGATTTGGCTCTACCACTAACTCCTGCATATATCTCCTCCCCCTTCCTATAAGCCAAGGTCCGTGAAGGGAGAAGTCTCACTGGGTGTGCACAGCTTCCAAACAGCAGAACTGCCATCCCTGGCCCACTTTACTCCTGAAACTGAGTATGTTTGTCTGTCTTCTGGCGAGACTAGCATCTTGCTACTCACTTGAGCATCTGCTTAGACAGAAAAAAATTTGAAGATAAATATTTTAAAAATCAATAGTTTCCTAAATACGAGAAATAATTAGAAATAAAACCAAAAAATTCTATTTACACCATCATTAGGAAAACAGAATGTTAGGAATAATCCTTACAAGACATTTGTGAAACCTCTACTTAAAAAAATACATACACTTTATAAATGCACAGCAATATGTAATGATTTTTAACCAATTTTTAAATCTATCTACTAGTTTACAGAAATATGGTTTTTTCAATTGAGTATAAGGGTTAAAAGTATCTAATTCCAATCCCAAAAGGATTTTCTTTGCAATTTGACAAAATAATTTCAAAGTTCATCTGGAGAAAGGAACAGTTGAGATTAGTGGGAAAAAAGGAAGCAGAGCTGTGGACACTCCCTGTGAAACGCTATGTACGAAACGAAGTGTTCATAGAAAGCTGCACAGACTCTACAATTCACAGATAAACCACTGAGCACAATGATCTTAAAACAGAAACATGAATTTAACATTTCATAGCGAAGCATCCTAAAGCCATGTAAGGGATAGGCTTTCTTACCAAAGAGTATGTGGAAAGTCATCTATTTCATTCAGGAAAGAAGTCTAATTGGAGACTTAACTCATACCACACACTGGAATAAGTTGTCATACATTAAACAGATAGATGTAAAAACAATATGAAACCACTCCAGAATTTTTTTAAGGCTGCTAAAATAAAAAGTAGGCAAACATAACCTAATCTTGGTTTGAAAAAATTTAAGAAAAAAGAAAGCATTGAATGAAACCACACAGGAAAAAAGAGAACTGACAATATAAACCTGTCTATATGTACATATACATATAAAAATAAAGGAGATTAAAAACAACTGGAGAAAAATCTTATAATGTATTTCCTACATAACATGACATTTTACTAAGCAATTGAAATATAGCTTATTAAAAAAATAGGTAAAAGATACAAGGAGACATCCATAAAAGAAGACAAAAAGCTAATAAATGGCCAGGTGCGGTGGCTCACACCTGTAATCCCAGCACTTTGGGAGGCCGAGGTGGGTGGATCACGACGTCAGGAGATTGAGACCATCCTGGCTAACACATTGAAACCCCATCTCTACTAAAAATACAAAAAATTATCCGAGTGTGGTGGCGGGAGCCTGTAGTCCCAGCTACTCGGGAGGCTGAGGCAGGAGAATGGCATGAACCTGGAAGGCGGAGCTTGCAGGGAGCTGGGATCATGCCACTGTACTCCAGCCTGGGCGACACAGTGAGACTCCGTCTCAAAAAAAAAAAAAAAAAAAGAATCTGATGGATGCTTTTAGATGAATCTGAATAAAGCACCTCGGTAAATGAGAGAGAAAGCAAGTAACTTTTTACAGGGTCATAATAGGATTTGAGTTGGGAAGGAGTTCGCTGGGCAGAGAACCAAGTTCATGATAATCTAGGAGGAAGAACCAGTGAGTAAATATTCAACCGTATGGAAAAGCTCTGCCCTGTTTGAAATGGCTAACATTTAAGTTCAAACACTGGCAGAGGCATAGGTTGAGGCTAAAATTTTGACTGCGACTGGTTTTTGAAGGGCAGTCCAGTTAATGCTGCTGAGTTTGGCCTTCCTCTTGTATGCAACAACAGGATAATAAAGATTTCTAGAGAGGAAATATTTTTTTGATTTTTTGGAAGGTAATTGTTGCAAGCAATGTACAGAAAAGACTGGAGGGTGGAGAGAACAGTTTCAGGGAGATCAGTTAAGAGGCGGTTGCACTTTTCCAGTAAGAAAAGTTGCAGCCTGAGGAAATAGACTCTGCTAAAAATACTGATACTAATAGAACAGCTGTGGCTCTTTCCACTGTCCTGGCTCAAAGTGAAGTTTTGAACTGTTTTGGTTTTTGTTTTTTGTTTTTCTGAAACCACCCAAGTTGAGCTGCTGGTTCTCTCTGCACTACCCAGTCCTGTCGGGCGTCCACGGTTCTACCCTTCCTTTTAGGGGCCTTAAAAAGTGCTGGGTTATTGAAAAATATTTACAGTAGAGTTGAGATGGGCTGACTGAAACATCAGGATGTATACGGGTCACATTTCTCCTGGGTGCTCATGGAGTGAGGTGCAAGCAGCGATCAGAGGAAGACCTTCACGGGGAGCAATGAAGGCAATGCTAGCAGTTCTCCTGGCGGGACGGGGAACAGCACTCCCCTGAACGGTGGTGGTCAGACTTCAGCGTGGCTTGGTTCCATCACCTGCCCGACTGCCCTTGGTTTGGCTGTATTGGTCTTCTTTAGGGCAGAAACTGAGTTCTTTCCAAGTATGATCTCTACTCTTCTCTGTGTGATCCCTCCAAGCCATGCAGGTCACCCTGACCTCGTTCTTGTCAGGTTCTCTATCATCCTATTGACTCCCTGGAAAACCACAACCTTAATTGTTTATTTGTAGGCTAATTTTATACCTTTATCTTTGAAATCTTTGCCTTTTGATTTTCAAAAATTGTTCTTTCAAAAATCTTGGTTCTTATAAACTAACAGCTTTCCAAACTATCATCTTTTATGTGGACTTCAAAAAATTCACTCTGTTTTTCTTTACTTTTTTTTTTGAGACGGAGTTTTGCACTCATTGCCCAGGCTGGAGTGCAATGGTACGATCTCTGCTCACTGCAACCTCTGCCTCCCAGGTTCAAGCGATTCTCCTGCCTCAGCCTCTCAAGTAGCTGGGATTATAGGCATGAGCCACCTTGCCGGCTAATTTTTGTATTTTTAGTAGAGACGGGGTTTCACTATGTTGGTCAGGCTGGTCTCGAACTTCTCACCTAGTGATCCACCCACCTCGCCTCCCAAAGTGCTGGGATTACAGGCGTGAGCCACTGCGCCCGGCCGACTCTCTTTTTCTTTGTGTTTGACTAAATAAGTTTTAAACCTCTGTTCTCACATTTCCCTTAAAAATCTCTCTTAACAGTTTGCATTCTCTTTGTGTTTGAGCTAAATAAATTTTAAACTTCTGTTCTCTCATTTCTCTTAAACTAAAGATATCACTAGCAGTTTGTATCCCTATATAGGGACATACATGATCAGACAGATACGGAAAAGAAAAGCATACTAAATTATTTTCTAAATATAATTTATTACAATAATTCTTTTAAAAGCTAACTAAAATTATGATATCCTAGGAGGATAAAAATTACTAAAATGGACTCAAGAAGAAACAGAAAAAAGAAAAGGCTAATTCGAATGATAGAAAAAAAGCTGAAAAGGATGTCAGAGTCCTCAACTATTTCATAATAGAGATGCCCAGTTTTGTGCATGTAACCTTTGAGGATTATATGTAATGCCTATGATTATTTTTTAAATTGCTCTGAAGCATTGGTTTTCAAAATATTGGCTGGGCATGGTGGCTCACTCCTGTAATCCCAGCATTTTGGGGGAGGCCAAGGTAGGCAGATTACTTGAGGTCAGGAGTTCGAGACCAACCTGGCCAACGTGGTGAAAACCCATCTCTACTAAAAATACAAAATTCAGCTGGGTGTGGTGGTGCACGTCTGTAGTCTCAGCTACTTGGGACGCTGAGGCACAAGAATTGCTTGAATCTGGAAAGTGGAGGTTGCAGTGAGCTGAGATTGTGCCACTGCACTCCAGCCTGGGCAACAGAGCAAGACTCTGTCTCAAATAAATAAATATATATCTGCACAATAATCACTTGGGGAGTTTATTAAACATATGAATTCCTTTCTCCTCTCTCCCCATCTTCTCTTTGGGACTTTGATATAGTAGTTATGGGATGGGATCTGGGAATTTGAATTTTAAACAAACAGATGCTTACAGAACCATACTGTCCTTAGAGAAACCTGTTCTAAAGCCATAGTCTTTTTAAATACGAAGTTTGCACAAACAATTCATTAGAATGGATTAAAGAAATAGAACTTTAGTTATTTTTCCTAATAAAATAATAATTTTCAGTTTCACTTTAATAGCATTTAACTGCTTGAGCTGGCCTCCTCTCTGAGTTCTTATGTCAAATGGCCAATTCACACGCATGGTCCAACAGATATTCTTTTTTTTTTTTATACTTTAAGTTTTAGGGTACATGTGCACAATGTGCAGGTTAGTTACATATGTATATATGTGCCATGCTGGTGTGCTGCACCCATTAACTCGTCATTTAACATTAGGTATATCTCCTAATGCTATCCCTCCCCCCACCCCCCACCCCACAACAGGCCCTAGTGTGTGATGTTCCCCTTCCTGTATCCATGGGTTCTTATTGTTCAATCCCCACCTATGAGTGAGAACATGTGGTATTTGTTTTTTTCTCCTTGCGATAGTTTGCTGAGAATGATGGTTTCCAGCTTCATCCATGTCCCTACAAAGGACACGAACTCATCATTTTTTATGGCTGCATAGTATTCCATGGTGTATATGTGCCATATTTTCTTAATCCAGTCTATCATTGTTGGACATTTGGCTTGGTTCCAAGTCTTTGCTATTGTGAATAGTGCCACAATAAACATACTTGTACATGTGTCTTTATAGCAGCATGATTTATAATCCTTTGGGTGTATACCCAGTAATGGGATGGCTGGGTCAAATGGTATTTCTAGTTCAAGATCCCTGAGGAATCACCACACTGACTTCCACAATGGTTGAACTAGTTTACAGTCCCACCAACAGTGTAAAAATGTTCCTATTTCTCCACATCCTCTCCAGCACCTGTTGTTTCCTGACTTTTTAATGATCACCATTCTAACTGGTGTGAGATGGTATCTCATTGTGGTTTTGATTTGCATTTCTCTGATGGCCAGTGATGGTGAGCATTTTTTCATGTGTTTTTTGCCTGCATAAATGTCTTCTTTTGAGAAGTGTCTGTTCATATCCTTCACCCACTTTTTGATGGGGCTGTTTTTTTCTTGTAAATTTGTTTGAGTTCATTGTAGATTCTGGATATTAGCCCTTTGTCAGATGAGTTGATTGCAAAAATTTTCTCCCATTCTGTAGGTTGCCTCCAACAGATATTCTTGAAAGAAAGCGTAGGTGCCACCTGGTCCCCTCACCAGTGTGTTTGCTCTTTAAACACTGCATGGCAATTTCTAATTATGTGGGTTATACCATACAGTTGTCACTAAAGGAATCCTCACAAAATGAACAAGTGGCATGATTATATTCCTGAAGAGAAGCCACAGATTGAAGACAGAGCACTACTGGATGATGCTTTTCCTATTTGTAGTTCAAGGAAAAGATTTCATCAATCACATTATGAGTCAAACACAAGGATGATCTAATCAGATATGAAAAGCATTGGCTCAGTAATTTTAAGTGATCAGAAATGTTACTGGAAAATAGAGATCCATACACAGTATCAGCAATAGCAAACCTTATCTTAATTGGATATTGTACCTGTGAATTAAGTAATAAAAGGATGAGGTCGGCCGGGCACGGTGGCTCAGGCCTGTAATCCCAGCACTTTGGTAGGCTGAAGCGGGCGGATCACGAGGTCAGGAGATCGAGACCATCCTGGCTAACACGGTGAAACCCCATCTCTACTGAAAATACAAAAAATTAGCCGGGCGTGGTGGCAGGCACCTGTAGTCCCAGCTACGCGGGAGGCTGAGGCAGGAGAATGGCGTGAACTCGGGAGGCGGAGCTTGCAGTGAGCGGAGATCAGGCCACTGCACTCCAGCCTGGGCGACAGAGCGAGACGCAAGACTCCGTCACAAAAAAAAAAAAAAAAAAAAAAAAGATGAGGTCTTTAATATGCTGAGTACTTAAAATCTAAGCATCCAGAATATTATTAAAATAAATTTAATTAGAGATATCATTTGTAAATAAATGAACATTCACATATTGTGGTAATATTTCAACAGCATTGTTTTTGCTGATAAATGTGCATCATTAAACATATTAAGCGTCTTCTTTCAAGCAGCACTATTCAAAGTGTGGTCCATGGGCTTCTGGTGGTCATGAACTGTTTGTTACAAGTTCATGATAAATATGGCAATGAGAGTCAGCATTTAGAGACTTTTACAACAATTTGGTAGAGTAATTTAGTGTCTATTGAATGTAATCATAAAGAAATTAAACTTTTATTTCGATTGTTTATGGCTTCTTATTTTACTTTTCTACTAATTTCTTTTTGTTTTGTTTTAACCAAAATAGCAGTACATGATGGATGGGAAACTGCAAAAAAGGATTTCACACAGATAATTTGAAAAACATTGTTTTAAAGCATAGAAAACAATCCTAATTTATGTATAACGTATAATATCCTAATTTATTTTATAAATTAGCTTAGTCCTGAAATAAAAACCTGACAAATATCCCACAATAAGAAACCTACAATTACATTATGAGTAAAATATTAGCAAATCCATCCAGTCTCAAATTAAAATACTAATATGCTATGACCAAATTGAATTTTGTTTTTTCTTCTTTAACTTTTAAACTGCAGTGATGGTTTAATTTTTAATAATGTGTTATTTATGTTATAGTATTGGCTTAAAAGAGACAACAATATAATTACACTGCTAAATATTCATGAAAAATTATTTCATCAACAAAACAGGATATTAAGCAGTAATGAGTACAACTTTTCATAATCATATATTTACTTAGTAGAAAAAAATCTGAAATATTATAAACTAAAACATTTACAGTGGCTGTTTTTGTTTTGATTTATATTTTCTTCTTTTGTTTATTGCTAAGTTGTTATGTTCTAAACTTTCAATAATACTTTTTTTTTTTTTTTTTGAGATGGAGTCTCACTCTGTCACCAGGCTGGAGTGCAACGGTGCGATCTCGGCTCACTGCAACCTCCACCTCCCAGGTTCAAGCGATTCTCCTGCCTCAGCCTCCCGAGTAGCTGGGACTACAGGCGTGTGTCACCACGCCCACCTAATTTTTGTATTTTTAGTAGAGATGGGGTTTCACCATGTTGAAGAGGTCAAGAGATCATGAGGTCTCCCAAAGTGCTGGGATTACAGGCTTGAGCCATTGCGCCCAACCAGTACTTTTTTTTTTTTTTTTAAGAGACAGGATCTTGCCCTGTCACCTAGGCTAGAGTACAATGGCATGATTATAGCTAACTGCAACCTTGATGTCCTGGGCTCAAGTGTTCCTCTTATCTCAGCCTCCCAAGTAGCTGGGACTACAGGTGTGTACCACCACTCCTGGCTAATTTATTTATTTATTTGTTGTAGAGATAGGGTCTTGCTATGTTGCCAAGGCTGATCTCAGACTCACAGCCTTAAGCGATCCTTCTGCCTTGACCTCCTAAAGTACTTGGACTAGAAGCGTGAGCCACTGTGCCTGGACTATAACATATATAATTTTATGTAGTAAGTTAAAAAATGTATAGTCATTATCGGTATAAAACATTGTATGTGCCTGGAGTCTAAATTCCTATAAAACATGTAAGGATTTAATATTACTCACTTACAGTTTTACACGTTTTCCACCAGCTTGTTTTGGAAGTAATTTACTCAATGGCTCATTTTCGTTTCATCTTCAGGAATGAGCAATTTGTAATTGACAAAGAAAAGCAATAAAAAAACCCATTAGCCTCTCTCAAACTACTGTGCATTACATGCATTTGCATTAACAAAGACAGATTTTTTGTACTCTGAAAAGTATCAAGTCTTTTTTTCTCCCCGTGCTGTGGCCTTACTTATTTCCTAGGTAACAGGGTCCAGTCTTCTTCCCTTGAAATTTCCCTCCCCTGATGGGTCTGCCTTCTAGATAGTTCCTTTCTTTGTTTATGTGATTACTCTGAACTTCCCACCCTTCTTTACTGCCTACCTGTCGAATGCTTTTTCTAATAGTTCTAGTCATCGATAATCATCCTTGGGTTTGACTCATAATGTGATTAATGAAATCTTTTTTTTGAACTACAAATGGGAAAATCATCATCTTTTTTCTTTGAACACTTAAATCACAATAGCATTATTTATTATAAAATCACTAATACTCTCTAAATGTCTTGCTGAAATAATTTAGTTCAGTAGTCCCTTTCCTTTCATGTGTATTTAGACTAGATTCCTTAAAGAAATCATAATTTCTTTTAGAAGAATACTTGTCACACACACCAAAAAACAACCCAAAGTGATTGTGTTGAGTGAAAAGAACAAGGTGAGAAATTGTGAATGTATTTAATAGTATTGCATCTTCATTCATTCTCTCAAAAGAATATTTGCTGAATATTTACTATGTGACAGTTACTGCCGTAGGAGCTGGTGATATGACAAGGAACATACAAGATGGGATCTTTGCCATCAAGTTGCACGCATGTATACGTACATGCATATGTGCATATGCATAGACATAGAGTAAAACATCAGTCTGCAACAAAACAGATTAAGAGGACAGAGAGTGTATACTGGTTATTCTTCATCATCTATCTAGATCTATTCTCTGCTCTTTGCTGCTTGGCTCTTTGTGGCTCCTGTTTTCTATTGCTCATGAAGAGCGAATGCCCTGTTCTTTAGGAAAACATTGTTGGGCTTTTAGACGGTGGGCCAGGAGGGCAGATCCCATTCTCTGTTATGGGACATTTCATCAGAAGTGAGTGGAGACTTGGAACTAATGGGATTTTTGCAGATTACTGACAGTTCTGGGGACTCAACAAAGATGGCAGTGGTGTGGCATGGTCCACGTTCAGGAGAGGGGTGCCACCTTTTAAACAAAGGAAACAGTCAAGGGAAGCTGAGATTTATGTTCAGTATAGAAGGCTTTCTGAGGAGGTGCCATGCAAATTTCTGATTGAATTGAGAAAGCGAGTCATTCAAATATCTGAGTGAAGTGTTCCAGACAGAGAAAACCACAGTGCAAAGGAAAGTGAGGAGCAGCAAGAAAGCCAATGTGGCTGATGAAGTGACTGAGGGGGTAGTGATAGGAGCTGAGGGTGGAGAGGTAGCCAGAAGCTGGCTACATAGAGTTTTTTAGGCCATATTTTGAAGACTTTAACAAAAAATTATGAGTGAGGTTGGAAGGCATTCAAAGGTTTCAACTTTGCGATTTGAAAGTGACAAACTATGACTTACATTTTAAAAAGATAACTGATGACTGTGTGGCAAATAGACTGTCAAGGGCAGAAGTGAAAGCCAAGAGGCCTATGACACTAGAAGACTAGGTGACTCAGGACAGAAACTTGTACCGGGGTTGCAAGTAGTGAAGGTCGTGACTGGTCGGATTTAGGAAATATTTTGAAGGTAGAGCTTGCAGGACTTGGTGGATTGAATGTAGAATGTGAGAGAAAAGTGCGAAGTTCAGGATGGCTATAATGATTTTGGCCTGAATAACTGGAAAAATGGAGTTGGTATTTATTGACATGGGGACAACTATGGGAAGAATTTGGGTGGGAAATGAAAGTCCCATTTTGGACATATTAAGTTTGAGTGCATTTCATATATTCAGTGCACATGGAGAATAGAGAGTTGAATATTTGAATCTGAAGTAAAATGGAGAGATTGGTGTTGAAGGTAAGATGTGAAGCTTGTTGCTGAATGTGGCATCTAAAGCCAATTGGGTTGGACGAGATCATTTATAGATGAGCACTGAGCAGGTGCTTTGCTGCATTCTGAGGATGGGAACAGGGCTTCATGGGCACAAGATCTTTGTAATCACGCAAGACCTCTTGCTCAGAAGGGCCCCATGCTTTGTTGAGTGCTCTGCTCTCACTATCTTGAAACTTTTAATAATTTTTGAATAAGAGCCCTGCATTTTCATTCTGCACTGCACCCTGCAAATTATGCAACGGGTTCTAGTTGGGAACATAAAGATCCAGCTAAAGAAAGAGCCAATGAAGTAGACCGAAAACCAAGCAAGTGTGAGGAGGTGTCATAAAAGCCAAGGGAGTAAATTGTGTGACATGGACAGCATGACCCACAGACTCAAAAAGATGCTGCAAGGTCAAATTACCTCAGGACTGAACATCAACCATTGGATTTAGCAACTTGGGTGTGCTTGTTGCCCATGTTGGAGTGGGTTGAAGAGAGAAGAAAAGAAAAAATGTTGAATGTGAACAACTTTTTTTTTTTTTTTTACAATGGCCCTGCCTCCCACAGCTTTCTTTCTTTCAGTTTTAGATGCAAAACAAAAAAATTTAAAGGAAAATGTGACTTCAAAGGAAAGGAACAAATTTCCAAAGACTTGGGGGAGGGAATGCAGAGCCTGGTGTGGATGGACAAGGTCTGCAGACGGAGGGCAGAGGTGGTGGAAGGGGCCAGGGACCTGCAGGCCTCCCCCTGGAACTGGGACTGGTCTCCGTCTGCTAACGTCAAGGTCAGCTCCCCCGTGGAGCTGACTTCAACAGCCATGCCAGCCCAGCCTAGCTCTCAGTAGGTTTGGCCGTTCATGCTGAAAAATAAATATTAAAGCCTGTCCCCTGTCTATTGCCTCCCCCAACTGCATAGACGCCAGCCTCTAGGCCTGAGAGGTGGAAACACTGGCCACCAGCCCGGCAGCCCCTACAGGCCCCCCAGATAGGCTGCCTCAGTCCTCCTCTGAGAGCTGTAGATCCTCCAGCTCATCCTCTGGCCCCTGGGCCAGCCGCTGCAGCTCCCCAGGGGCCAGCCCCGCCTCTGCGTCTGGGTCTCCATCCTCCGAGTTGCTGCTGTCCTCCTCGCCCTCCTCCTCGTCCTCTTTATCCTCTTCCACCCCACGCCGAGTGCTCAGGGGCCCCAGTATCCCTCTTTCCAAGAATCCCTCGGTGTCGTCCTCTTCACAGCTGTTCAGGTCAAAGAGGTCTTTAAATTGCTTCCTGTCCTCATCCTTCCTGTCAGCCACCTTCCTTCGTTTGATCTCAGGAAAGTTCAGGTCTTCCAGCCGCTCTTTGCCACTGATCTCCAGCTGGATCTCCCAGTCACGCAGCTTGCACCAGTGGCTGTAGTACAAGGTCAGGGGGGTCCCCTCTTCCAGGGTCAGCTTCTGCCAGGCTTCCACTGCCTGCTGGTCAGAGACGCCGAAGGAAACCCTCTGGCGGCGGCTGCAGATGTGTTCCGAGTTCTCCTGAACCTTCCCAAGCAGCTGCTGCACCTGCCGGCAGTAGTTGGCCACCTTGCACTCCCGGAGGAACGACTTCAGCCGCAGGACCACAGGCAGCGCCAGCTCCGGGAAGCCGATGCAGTGTGCCTGGCTGTGCAGGTACTCCAGGGTGAGGTCGTACAGCTGCTCCACCAGGCCGTCCTGGTACGCCTTCTCCTGCAGGTTGACACTGGACAGCTTCAGGATCACGGAGAAGTTGATGGGCTTGGAGCTCATGCGCCCCGGCTTCCTGCTGAAGTCGACCTGCTGGAACATCTCCAGGATGAAAGGCAGCACTGGGATGAAGGCCCCCGAGCTCCCCGAGAGCAGCGTCAGGGCACGGATGCAGTGCATTCGCAGTGGGTAGAAGCGGGCAGTGGGGATAAGCTTGATACAGCCAATGATGACATGGGCAAGGGAGTAGAACAAGGGTTGGAGGGCTTCGCTGGGGCCCACAGTGCTCAGGACCCGGCACCACAGGAAGAGGCAGTGCACGTACTGCCAGTTGTACACAGACGTTTCCTTCTTGCGGGTGGTCATGGCATTGTGCAGGTGTATGGCGAGCTGGCGGATGTAGAGGAAGGCGTGCTGGTAGGCCACACCCGGCTCCAAGGCCAGCAGCTCCCTCAGGGTCCGCTGCATGAAACTGATGAAGGGGAGGGCACCAGGCGAGGTGAACTTGCAGTTCCTCACATACATGATGTACATTTGCTTGAGGACGGGGCCAAGGAAAGTGTCCTTCTTGTGCCGGCAGACTCTGCTGAGGACCAGGAAAGCCAGCACCCGCAGGGACTCCTCCCCTGTGCTCCATACGACCACCATTCTCTTAAGCAGCATACGGCACTGCTTGGGGAAGGTCAGGAAGCAGGGCACTAGCACGCTGATGTGCCACAGCACGGCCGCCAACACCATCGTCTCTGCCACACAGGACACTAGCTGTATGACCGAGCCCAGGTACGCCTTGATGTCCACATGGAGCTTCCCCCAGAGCCGGCTGCTGGACGGCTGCAGCATCCTGCTGCTGTCCTTTGCCGCCTTTCCAAACAGCAGCTTCTGGAGACAGCCAATAAGGTCTCTGATGCAGAAGGTGACCAGAGCATTGAACACAGCACTGTCCCTGACCTGGAATTTGTTGGCCTCAGCACTTTCCTGGTCCCCTTGGGTGGTGGCCACAGCTGCTCCGAATGCCTGTACCACTTCATGGAACAGCTTTGGAGTGAGGTGTTGCTTTGCTGCCTGCTTCCATCTCTCAACCATGGCGAGGGTCACAGGAACACAATTCTTCCCCTTCAGCCCTCTGGGGACTCTGTCCCCATCTTCCCCCTCCTCCGCTCCATCCTCATCCTCACTGGCTTCCTCCAGCACATCTGGCAGGGAGTTGAACGGCTCCTCTTCCTCCTCAGAGCTGAGTCACTGAAGTTTAGCTGGCTCTGGTCATTCTCCTGCAGGAACTTGTAGAACTCGGGGTCTCTGTCCTTCAGCCGAGAGAGCTGATCTTTGTGCTCAGAGGCACAGCCTTTACGCCGGCTGGCCAAGGAGCTCCCGCCCGGCTCATCCGGACTCCGGGCAGCCTCGCGTGCCTCCCGCGTCTCCGCTTCTGGAGAGTATTCGGACTTAGAGTCAAAGCCCGAAGCTAGGAACTCGTCCACCGTCAGCTCCGCCAGGCGCCTCCTGCGGCGCCGCGCTCCTGCCATGATACCAGCCTGCAGCTTGCGGCCCACTTCCGGCCCCAGAATGCCGCGCGGCTGCACACTTCCGTCGCCCAGGCCCCGCCCCGTTCCCCGCCCCGCCGCGCCATGCCCAGCCGAGTAGCTTTACGGTTCTCCCACCGCAGCGCCCGTGGCCTCCGGGCGGGATGGCGCGTTCGCGTGCTCGGTGCGGGCAGCCCCGGTGGGGCCCAGATGCGCCTCCCGCTCGGCGCCTGGCTTCGTAGGACGCGGCGACGCCGGTGTCCGTCCTGGGGAAGAGAAACCAGGAGTCCCGCCGCGCCCGCAGCCCACCCGGCGTTCCGAGGGCAAGCGCCTGCGAGGATGCCAGGCTGCGATGGCGGGGCCCCTATGCAAAGAGCTCCCACAAATCAACAATAAAAAGCAGAGGGTCCAGTAGAAAGCGCGAATGGCGGTGGGAACCGCACTGATGTTGCCAGCTCGACAGAAGACGGGCGACCCGAGAGCCAGGCTGGCTTTGCCTCCGATCCGCAGAGACCAGGCCAGCGCCACGAACACCACGCAGGGCGCTCCCCGTCCATGGCCCTCTGGGTGCGGACGGCGGCTCTTCCGCGGCCCTTCCCGGGGACGCCGCATGGGGCGAATGCGGTGGGGAGGCCAGCGCCTTCCTTCCTGCTACCAGCCTGACACCCGGGCCCCCGGGCCTGGACAGCCAGACCCCGCGACAGGGTCGCCCCGGGGCGCAGGCGTGGATCCCCCAGACCTGGCGCTGAAGGGGCACGTGAGGCGGACGCAGGCAGAGTGGCCTCAGGGTCCCATTCGGCCTCTTGGTGCTGCGGTGCCCCGTGGCTCCCCAGAGGAGAGCAAGTTAGGGGGTCGGGGGAGCGGGGATGGCTTCCGGGGGAGGAGGAGGGCGAGGCCTAGGGGGCTTCTCGGAGGAGGAGGAGGGCGAGGCTTAGGGGGCTTCCCGGGGGAGGAGGAGGGCGAGGCCTGGGGGGCTTCTCGGAGGAGGAGGAGGGCGAGGCCTGGGGGGGCTTCCTGGAGGAGGAGGAAGGCGAGGCCTAGGTGGGGCTTCTCAGAGGAGAACGGCAAAGGCCTGGGGGGCTTCCCGGAGGAGAAGGCGAGGCCTAGGGGGGCTTCCCGGAGGAGGAGGAGGGCTAGGCCTGAGGGGGGAGCTTCCCGGAGGAGGAGGAGGGCTAGGCCTGGGGGCGGGGCTTCCCAGAGGAAGAGGATGGCGGGGCCAGGGGGGCTTCTCGGAGGAGGAGGCAGACCCGGGGCGCAGCGCTGGAAGGATCCGCGTCCAAGGTCTAGTCCCCGAAGCCTGTCGGGAGGCCGGGCGGGCGGTGCCGAGCCAATGTGAACAACTCTTGCAGTCACTTTTCTTGGAAATGGGAAGCTTAAAATTGGGTAGGAGCTGAGAAAGATACAGGTTCAAGAGAGGGCTTTTTTAAGATGGAGGTATGTGTTATAAATGAGGGATTAAGTACCCCTTGTGGAGTCCTTAAGGAACCTTCCAATAGGCTGTGGAGATGACACTGGGAAGGCATATGAATAAAGGATTTACTGTACTCACAGATTCCAAAGAGGGAGGCACGACATACCTTGTGGGGATCACCTGGGCAGAGCACCAACAAAGCGGGCTCAGCCAAGCAGGTGGGGAGCCAAGGGCAAACAGGTTCCTGTGGACAGTTGCCCTTATTGGGCATCAGGGTGGGGTTCACCAGCAAAGGCAGGAGGGGATATCATGGGTGTGCTTAAATGTCACTAGGCCATGGTCGGGAGAGTAAGAAGGGGGACTTGTGACAGGGACCAGCCTTGTCACATTGGTGTACCTGGTCATCTGGGAAAGGTGCCCACAGCTTGTTTGTGGAGATACTGAGGAATCAGGAAAATGGGAAGTTTTTAGAGGTTGCAATTCAAGATGTTATGGTACATCATTTTTCTTGGCAATGACTCATTAAAAAAGAAGAAAAAACTAATGAGGCAGGAATGGAAATAATTCCAGGAGCAAAGTCCTTTAGGAGGAGTGGGGAACAGGATCCAGTGCAAAGTGGGGGGTTGGCCCTAGGAGCCAGGGAAAGCCGAGTGCATGGAGACAGATGTCTGTGCCTGCTGCATTTTGTAGAATGATCCATTCTGATTTCTCCTGTATCAAAATTGAAGCCTTCAGCTGAGAGTGAGAAGCAGAGAGGAAATGTTGAGGTTTGAAGAAGAGAAGAATACGGAACGGTCATCTAGGAGGATGGGCAAGCAAGGAGACCAGAACTGGCAGGCAGCGCAAGGGCTGCTGAACAGCCCGAGCAGTGAAGTGGCTGAAATAGGAACATCAGGTGTCTCTGGTGATTATTTCTTTTTTGTAGTTTTCTGATTTTCCAGATGTTCCCTAATAGGCATATCTTACTTCCACAGTTATCCTTTTTTAGACTGTTACAGAGGGGTGAAAAATAGAACATATAATGTAGGAGAGAGGACTTAGGATTTGGGGAGGTGAGTGGGGAAACAGAAAGAGATAGAAGACCTCATTCTGTTTGCCTGTAAAAACAATGCCTGCAATAGATGAAAAGTCCAGTTTTCTGCAGACATGTACAAAATGTTTTTGACCTTTTATTCAGGCCAACAGATTTACTCCATTTCTAGGTCTGAGCCACCAATTGGGTTTCTTCGTTGAGTCTGAGTGTTTGATAGGCCAAGTGGTGGAAACTGTTCCCAAGTTCTGAAACTAGGGGAGCCTCCATTCTGGGCTCTGCAGTGGTGAGGTGCACTCTCATCCCTGCCACATTTTAGTGGGAAGCCTGGTGAGGCTCATTCAGGGACTATGAAAACATCTCTTACACCAGAACCTCACTAATCTTGTAAAGTTTGCTTATTTGTTAAAATGATTAAAAGTAAACATTAGAAGTTGAGGTCCTTGATATCTGTTTTCAGAGTGTCTTAGCCACTCTCTATTTGTCTTAATAGATTTGCCTGATTTTTTTTAAAATTTCAAATCAAGGTCACTGTTGTGAAAGGGAATTTCAGAGATAATACATTGTTATGAAGGGCCGGGTGTGGTGGCTTACACCTGCAATCCCAACACTTTGGGAGGCTGAGGTGGGTGGATCATGAGGTCAGGAGTTTGAGACCAGCCTGACCAACATAATGAAACCCCGTCTCTACTAAAAATACAAAATTTAGCTGGGTGTGGTTGTGCACACCTATAATCCCAGCTACTCGGGAGGCTGAGGCAGGAGAAGCGCTTGAACCCCAGAGGTGGAGGTTGCAGTGAGCCGGGATCATGCCACAGCACTTCAGCCTGGGCGACAAAGCCAGACTGTGTCTCAAAAATAAATAAATAAATAAATAAATAAATAAATAAATAAATAAGTTCCTCTGAGTTATTTACCATCTTTCTGTTGAAATCTTTACTGAAATTATAAATCTCAGCTTTCAGAAGAAGATGTGGTAATTAAATCGTATGACTGTTAAAACATACGGAGCTCAGCTGTGTGGACGCAGAGTAACTCTGCGTGGGGTGTGAGGTAGGGTGTGTGTTTAGAACTCTGCAAGTTGAAGATTTCAGAGACAAGGGCAGCTGCAGAAGTCCTGAGTTTTACACTAGGACAAAAGAGAATAGATTTTTCTCTTATGGTGGAAAGAACATTTAACCCCGCAATATGTATTTAGATGATGTCATACTTTCTTCTTGAAATATACAAACCCTTTGATGAATTTCTTTCATCTTTAAACTCTTTCATAATGAATCTCTTAAATAATAAATCTTTCTAATACATTTTTCAGTCTTTGTATTCATACACCAATGTAAATTCTTTTTTTTTTTTTTTTTTTTTTTGAGACAGAGTCTCGCCCTGTCACCCAGGCTGGAGTGCAGTGGCACGATCTTGGCTCACTGCAAGCTCCGCCTCCCCGGTTCAAGCGATTCTCCTGCCTCAGCTTCCTGAGTAGCTGGGACTACAGGTGCCCACCACCATACCTGGATAATTTTTAGTAGAGTCGGGATTTCACCATGTTGGCCAGGATCGTCTCCATCTTCTGACCTCGTGATCCACAGACCTTGGCCTCCCAAAGTGCTGGGATTATAGGCTTGAGCCACCACACCCGACCGTAAATTCTTAAAAAGACAGCATATTTATTAAGTTCATGTGTTATTGCTATTGGAAACAAAGACACAGTAGATAAGGAGTATTGCATGAGCACTGGATCTGAGTTGAAAACTATGGAAGACACTAACAGAACTATCTTCAAGTCCGTTAAAGGGAATTATTTGCAGCCAGGCATTTTTTTCCCTGAAGTAATATCTATGACTTCTTAGTAGATGTTCTGAAGTGGCAAGGTAGGAACTTCAGTTATTGTAGGTGAAAACCTCAAGCTATGGCTGGGCATGGTGGCACATGCCTGTAGCCTGTACTCAGGAGGCTGAGGCGGGAGGATCTCTTGAGTTGAGGAGTTTGACGCTATAGTGCACTATGATCACTCCTGTGAATGGCTGTGGCACTCCAGCCCGGGCAACATAGTGAGACCCCATCTCTAAAAAAAATTGAAAATTAAAAAAACTTTCAGATATGCTTAGAAGCAGATTTTTCAAATCCCATGGGGAAGGGCTTTAAGAAGAGTATGATCAGTAACCAGCGAAACAATGATTAAAGCATTGTCTTTAGAAGATGATGAACTAAAGGAATCTAAATCTTATTGCCTGAAACTCTTTGCAGTCAGGCAGCTTAATTGGGTGTCTTTGAGAAAATTATTGTCTCATTTATCATATTTGTGCAATGAAAATAATACCTACATTGTACGCTTGTGGAATTTAAATAACAAAATATTTTATGTATCTACATATCTCCTGGATATAGTACAAGTTTAAAACATTGTAGTTTATCATCAGTTTCCTGAGAGATGGCACCAATGGCAAAACGGTCACCAAAGCTATTCCTTTAGAATTAGAGGACAGTCCCCACTTCATGGACAACATGTGAGTCTAAGCACCCATAGCGTCCATCAGCCTGTCCTCTCTCCTTTTTTAAAGAGCAAAACAGGAATTCTGTTGTGATTGAAGGACTTTCTGTCTGTCCCTGGAATCCTAGATGCTTTGAGATAACTGCATAGAAGTTGCAGACTTTTTTCAAACACTGATGGAATGAAATACTGTCATTGCCTCTCTTTTTTCATAGCTAGCATAGAAGACTGATCTTTTTGGGGGGGATTGGGTGGGTGGCAACCTCATCCAAGGAGGGGCTACATAAGTCGTAGAAGACCTTGCCAATCCAGGTAGGTTGTAACTTTAGGCTCTGTATGGCTGGTCAGGGAGTCAGTCTCTGGCTTGACTCTGACCTTCCAGGAGCCTGGCAGTTGAAGAGGATCTCAGGGTGATCAGATAGAGAACTGCAGAAGGTGAGAGTCAAGTTAGCCTCTTCCAGACTTATTACAGTCCCCTAAAGCATTAATGACCTTTTTGCCTAAAGCCGATACATGGACATTTTTAGTTCATTGACCTTCAAATAATTGCAGCTGTTTGGAAAGCTATTGGTCATAGAAACTGGTAGTACTTCCAAACTTTTCAGTGATGTTTATCATTTTTTTTTTTTTGAGATGGGGTTTTGCTTTTGTTGCCCAGGCTGGAGTGCAATGGCGCGATCTTGGCTCACCACAACCTCTGCCTCCTGGGTTCAAGCAATTCTCCTGCCTCAGCCTCTGGAGTAGCTGGGATTACAGGCATGTGCCACCACGCCCGGCTAATATTGTATTTTTAGTAGAGACGGGGTTTCTCCATGTTGGTCAGATTGGTCTTGAACTCCCAACATCAGGTGATCCCTCCTGCCTTGGCCTCCCAAAGTGCTGGGATTACAGGCGTGAGCCACCGCACCTGGCTGATGTTTATCATCTTAATAGCATCTGTCCTTTAACCCTGCACACACACTCCAAAAAAGTTAACTAAAAGAGACAATGATTAATTTTATATTCTGATGTTTTCTTATGAACACATTTGTGGCCACTTTAGTGTCCAGCAAAGCATTTCTTTGGCGAGTGATTTAAGGAGGGGTGGAAAGTGGAATGGAAGAAGTCTCTGGAAAGTCTTTAACACTGAGACGTATTTTCTCCCTGTTTGACTCCAAGGAATTTCCACTCATGGAATCTGGCCTATTAGAAAGAACTTTTTCCTTTTGTACTTGATTCAACTTAATAAATTATGTTAACCAGCTATGGTGAATGATGAGCATTCCTCAAACCACAGAACAATAGGCTTCATCGTTGAAGCTCTAAAAGAGCAGGGATCTATCTGTTCCAATTCTCTTCTGCTGGGCACCATCTTCTAGCTCTGCTGCAGTCTCTCATTCATAATTCTTCCCCTAGACCAAGTTCTTCTTTTTTACTGACCTCTAGGACACCTGGCATGCATTCCTCTTCTGACTGCCTTTGTTGGCCTGAATGCTGAAATAACATCACTGAACTAACATCTCCTAAAGAAGACATTTGTCATCAGAGGCAAATCCTCAGTGAGGATTAACCTGTCTTTAAAAGATCATGAGTAACCGGCATATGAGATGGCATGAGACTAAGAAGTGTTCCTTTGAGGCAGACCCGCAATGGTCTGTGTGCTTGCCTCTCCGGTCATATCACCAATTATCAAATCTTGGTGCACCATCGCATCCCATTTGTCACACATCTGATTTTTCTTAAATAATTATACTGTTCCTTTGTGAGGATTAACCCGTCTTTAAAAGATCATGCGTAAATCAGCACAATCTGAAAGATTCAGAGCTTTTTTACCTTTCTCTCTGCTAGGCACAATGATTACCATCTCCAGCCTTATTCTTCACAGCCACTCAATCGTGGTCCTTGCAGTTTTGCTTCACTCCACATACACCATTTCATTTCCCTTCCCACAGTCACTTCCTAGAACAGATACAGAGGGAGGCCCTGCTTTGCATGCTAATGAGGGACCACAGAAATGACTGCAAACAGAAAATGGAACGCGATCTCGTGCATCAAAGGGGAATGTTCTGACTGTTCTGTGACTTTTAAAAATATGTTGTCAAAACATTAAAAACTATTGTAGGTTATAAATGCACAGGAACATTTTCAAAAATACTAAAACTAATATTTAGTATAGTGTAATTTAAAACATCAGAAACACGAATCAATATTTTATTTCTTTGTAAAAATCTTAATGGAGTATAGTTTGAATGAAGCTGGCCCTCCTCTTCTTGTAGTACTTACAGTGCAGAGTGAGCTATACCTTGACAAACTGTCATTCTCCTAAGTTTGAATCAGCTTCCAACTATTTATTGTTTGTGCTTTCAATGTCATGAAATACCTCTGATAATTCCTTTAATGTGAGTTTTGTTTGTTTTGTTTTGTTTTGTTTTGCCATGTCACTTTCTTGGGACATCTTTATCCTAAAATGAATGAACACATCTATTTTCATTTATGTTGTTAAGTCTGCCTTCCCTAAGTTCCTCTGGAATGCCTCAAACAGTGGCAAATTACCTCCAATAGCTATTTCTTCCATAACTCCATTTACACTCAATTTGAATTTCACTTTCAGAGTATATTAGTCAGCGTTCTCCAGAAAACAGTATATGCACACACAGAGGCATAAATATTTATTTCATCTTATATATATGAAGATTTTTAAGATATATAAAGATTTATATAGGTATACATGAAGATTTATTTTATTATGGAAATTGGCTTACACAATTAGAGAGGCTGAGAAGTTCCACCATCTGCATTCTGGAGAACCAAGAAAACCAGTGGAATAATTCAGTCCAAAGTCCAAGTCCAAGGCTGGAGAACCACAGTGCCAGTGTCCAAGTTCTGGAGAAGATGGATGTCCCAGCTCAAACAGGGGGAGTACATTTGCCCTTCCTCCACCTTCTTGTTCTATCAGATGATGCCCACATTGGTGAGGGTGATCTGATCTTTACTCAGTCTACTCATTTACATGGTAATGTCTTCTGCAAACACCCTCACAGACACACCAGAACTAATGTTTTACCAGCTGTCTGGACATCCCTTAGCTTAGCCAAGTTAATGCATAAAATTAACTAGCATTCAGAGTTCTCTATTTTTGTTTATTTGCTGTGCTTTTATCTTTCTGACACTTCACTGTTGGCCAGTTTTCTCTTTTGATTAGCCATTTTTGAAAATGTTATGCAGGCTTATCACTGGAAGAAAAGGAAAAAACACAGCTTCATGGTTTGCTGCCAGTGTGTGAATTGAATAAAAGATGTGGGGCCGGGCGCGGTGGCTCACACCTGTAATGCCAGCACTTTGGGAGGCTGATGTGGGTGGATCACGATGTCAAGAGATCAAGACCATCCTGGCCAACATGGTGAAACTCTGTCTCTACTAAAAATACAAAAATTAGCTGGGCATGGTGGCACCTGCCTGCGGTCCCAGCTACTTGGGAGGCTGAGGCAGGAGAATCACTTGAACCCAGGAGGCAGAGGTTGCAGTGAGCCGAGATTGTGCCACTGCACTCCAGCCTGGTGACAGAGCGAGACACAAGACTCCGTGTCAAAAAAAAAAAAAAAAAGATGTGTGGTGACCAATCACCAATAGATATTGAAAGAAGTGACATGATTGGTCACTGATCATAATGCGCCTCTGGTATACATGCAGCAATTTATGGGTTGAAGGTCTAGCAGTGAAGTTTCTCCTTTATGCAATTATTCACAGTTAATAGACCATAGCAACTGATACCAGAACTGTGTTGTTGGGGGACTGGTGTCATTGGACTAAACTGTGGTAACTGAAATCTGCGTAATATTGGAGCTGTGCTAAGCAAGGATGGACTGGTTATTACTAGGACAACTTTCTGGCTTCTCTTTTTATTTTTAGTGCATCTAATTCATCTGACATTTAATCGATCCAGATTTTCTTCCAGGATGACTAATACCTTAGTCATCTAACCACTCAAGGACCTCACAATATCTTACATGTAGTTTTCACCTAAACTAGGGTATAACAATTATAACCATCTTCCTGGTCATCCTCAGCATGTATACTGCAGTTATATCCTAAGATTTCATCTCTATTAAGCTCCAGGGAGTAATAGGTGTTCTTTAGCCCTCTGCAGGATTAGAGAATTGAGGCTGCTTTGTTACTGTTGTTGTTCACAATAAACTTCCATAGGAAGTGAGTTACAAGACTCTAGACCTTTGTTAATCCTGAACTTTCTGGGCATCTTGTCTGAGTGATATATCTTCAGTAAAGTGTATCCTAAGAGCTGTCCTTTCTGTTTCCTTGGCCTTCTTCACAAGCCTGCTCTCCAAATACCCCCACTCTGGGAGACTGACTAGCTCCCAAGTTGGAACACAGAGTTCTCAAGCTTGTTGCTTTGTAGGTGACACCAACAGAGGAACTTCTGCCTGATGTTCTATCTGCTAACTCCCAAATTAGAGTCTGGAAAGAGTAATCTTGCCTTGCTTATTTAGTCAAGGATACCTCTCTTCTTAGTACTGCTATAGAGGGATGTAAATGCCTCTTCTTCACAGTTGACTTCGGTAGCTGGGAAATACGACAATATCTCTAAATTTTTATTTGTATGTAACACAAAACTCCCGCAAAAGAATAAGAGATAAACAGGCAGAGGCTGTTCTGCCTTTTTATTCTGAGCCCCCAAAGAAAAACCTGTAGTGTCATGCTGGGCAGAATTTTGTAACTATTTTGACCAATAGAGTATAATGGAAGTAATGCCATGGTGCCCTCCAAGCTAGATGGTAAGAACACCTTGCACTTCTGCCTTGCCTACTTAGGACATTTGTTCTTAGAACCCATCTGCTGTACATGCTGTGAGGAGGACAGAATAACCCGTGTGCAGAGGCTGTGCAGAGGCACTTTGGCCAGTAGTCCATCTGAGGTCCCAGCCAATAATCAGCATCAACTACCAGGTATGTGAATGAAGATACACACAGGTGATTCCTGTTCCCAGCTGCTGTCACACCTAAACTTTGAGTCTTCCAAGCAAATGCCCCAGATGTGACATAGCAGACATATAAGCAGTCTGCCCTGTGTCCAGACTAAACTCCTGACCCATAAAATCTGGGAATACAAATGTTGTTATTTTAATACAATTGTATGGCACTGAGATTGGGGTGGTTTGTTATGCAGCAATTATAACTGGAACAAGAACACTTGACCCTGTAAGACACTTGAAATTATATGAGTTATGACATCAGTAAAGTATCTTTTCTTATCTACACTTTCTATCGTAACCACAATGCATATGGATAATTTGTGAAGTGAATAAGGACATGGTGAAGGACTGATTCCAAGTGGCTGGGAGAGGGAAGGGTGTGCTGCATGAATTTCATGTTCTTAGATACTAGTGAGAAGAGGCTGTAACACATTAATCACTCCCCTTCTCTCACTCATACAATGGTAGCACTAGTAGCACATTATCTTTTCTTGTGAAAGTGTTGCATTAAGAAATTTCTTTTGGAGTAGCCCCCAAACTGTAACAGAATGTGACGTGATAATTTCCCACCGTCTTCAAGTACTGCCAAGATGTAGAAGTCTCCTTATTCCTTGTAGACAAATGGTTGCTCCTTGGAGGGGCCTATTTGAATTTTTTTTGTTTTGTTGGTCTTTTTTTTTTTTTTTTTTGAGACAGGGTCTCACTCTGTTGCCCAGGCTGTAGTGCAGTGATGCAACCACAGCTCACTGATGCCTCGGCCTTCCAGGCTCAGATCCTCCCACCTCAGCCTCCTGGGTAGCTGGGAATACAGGCATGCACCACAAAGTCTGGCTAATTTTTTGTAGTTTTTCATAGAGATGAGGTTTCCCCATGTTGCCCAGGCTGGTCTCGAACTCCTGGGCTCAAGCTGTCCACCCACTTCAGCCTCCCAAAGTGAGCCACCTTTCATCTCCCCATCTCATCTTATGACTCTGTGCTTGAACTGGTGTATTTAAAGATTAAGGACCTTTCTGACCAATGTCAAATGAACCATCCAGATGGTTCTGGCTCTCAGAAAGATCAGAGGCAGTCTGAATAGCAAGTAAGGATCAAGTCAACCACCAGTTCACCAAACAAAGCCAAAACATTGGCATCAAGGAATAAGCCAATGGCTGACATAAGTACCTGCTGCCCCAGAAGTTACTTGTTTCAACTATTTGAGTTCAGCACATCATCGCAATTCTAAATACTTAAGTTATCTTCAGCAAGTGAATGCAACTTATAACTTATTCTTCCATCCTTGGGTAGGTGGGGGAACCATTTGCCATTTTCAGAGTAAATTCAACTGAGTTAGAAGGAAGCCCCTATAACATCAACAGAAAGCAAATTCTATAGTCAAGTCTCTCAACCATTAAATTTTAGGATTATATTCTGGTGGTACTTCTTAGAAAAAAGAAAGAAGTAAAGTTTCACCTATGAGATAAATTAGAGGACAAAGTGTTACTTCCTATCTTCTTGCAATCTTGGCCGGGCACCGTGGCTCACGCCTGTAATCCCAGCACTTTGGGAGGCCGAGGCGGGCGGATCACGAGGTCAGGTGATCGACACCATCCTGGCTAACACGGTGAAACCCCGTTTCTACTAAAAATACAAAAAAATTAGCCGGGCGTGGTGGCGGGCGCCTGTAGTCCCAGCTACTCCGGAGGTTGAGGCAGGAGAATGGCGTGAACTCAGGAGGCGGAGCTTGCAGTGAGCCGAGATTGCACCACTGCACTCCAGCCTGGGCGACAGCGAGACTCCGTCTCAAAAATAATAATAATAAAATATAAAAATAAAAAAGTTGTCTTGACCATCTTGGGGTGAAACAGCTGGAGATTAAAGGAAGAAATGGCTGCCGAGCACAGTGGCTCACGCCTGTAATCCCAGCACTTTGCGAGGCCGAGGCGACAGATCCCGAGGTCAGGAGATTGAGACCATCCTGGCCAACATGGTGAAACCCCGTCTCTACTAAAAATACAAAAATTAGCTGGGCATGGTGGCGTGTGCCTGTAATCCTAGCTACTCGGGAGGCTGAGGCAGGAGAATCGCTTGAACTAGGGAGTCAGAGGTTGCCCTGAGCCGAGATCGCACCACTGCACTCCAGCCTGGTGACAGAGCGACACTCCATCTTAAAAAAAAAAAAAAAAAGCGGGGGACGGGGGCGGAGGGGCGTGGGGAAGAAATGGCAAGGCTCTGGGAGGAATAAAAAGAAAAAAAAAAAAACAAAACAAAAGAAAGAAAATAACCAGAATTATATCTTTGTTAAACGAGGGGCCAAAACCAGAAAGCTTTGTACAAGGTTTTGTGTCTTGGCAGCAAGCATTGCCCTTACAACATAGAATGTCATTGCAATCATATGGTATCAGTAACCAATGAATTACGGCCAGAACACCTAGGACCTGTTCTTCTAGACTTTAGATGTGAGTTCTCCTTCTCACAAATCTCAAATGCATGTTCATTCTGAACACTGGCTGGTTTTTTGACCCTTTTTGCTGACCTGAAAGGGCTATGTAGGTAGAGTAAGACTGAAACTATTGCCTGGAACATCCCTCAGAGTGGCCAAAATATTACCTTTATGACCATAAAGCAATTCCAATTCACATTGCTTTCTGTAATAGAGCTTTCCTTTCCTTCCTTCCTTCCTTCCTTCCTTCCTTCCTTCCTTCCTTCCTTTCTTTCTTCCTTTCTTTCTTTGTTGACAGAGTCTCACTCTGTCGACTAGGCTTGAGTACAATGATGCTACCTCGGCTCACTGCAACCTCCGTCTCCCGGGTTCAAGTGATTCTCCTGCCTCAGCCTCCGGAGTAACTGGGATTACAGGTGCATGCTACCATGCCTGGCTTGATTTTGGGGTTTTTAGTAGAGACGGGGTTTCACCATGTTGGCAGGCTGGTCTCGAACTCCTGACCTCAGATGATCCACCTGCCTCAGCCACCCAAAGTTCTGGGATTACAGGCATGAGCCAGGCATAAGCCAGTGCCCAGCCTGTAATAGAGCTTTCTGGACTACTGAGTTCTACAGTATTTTCCTGTATGATTATTTTCAATTTCTGTCTCAAGACTTGAGTTAGGCTCTTTCAATAAGGCCCAAACACACTACCAATTAATAGCATTATGCTGCGCTTTTGATTTCAACTTTGGTCCCAGAACCCAGAAATGGGAGCCTGTGTCTATTATCTATCTCATTTTTAGTGGTCTTTGTGGTCTGCATGGTGAAGATGTAAAAGCTTTAACTAAGATGTAGGAATGGAGAAAAGAAAACCAGGAGAGGACTTGCTTACATTCTAAAAGTGGGTTGTAGGGGAAGAGGAAGCAAAGCTGAGACTTCTGAGTAACTGGACTTACGCTAAGATGCCTAACTGAGGTGGGGGATGATTTAGTTTTGGATGGTTACATGGTAAACTAAAGAAAAAAAGTATTGAAGTAAGACAAACATCTAAAAACTTTATAATATCTTAATTTGATTTTTTAAAAATTATACTTTAAGTTCTGGGATAAATGTGCAGAATGTGCAGGTCTGTTACATAGGTATACATGTGCCATGGTGGTTTGCTGCATCCATCAACCCATCATCTACATTAGGTATTTCTCCTAATGCTATCCCTCCCCTAGCCCCCCAACCCCTGACAGGCCCCAGTGTGTGATGTTCCCCTCCCTGTGTCCATGTGTTCTCATTGTTAACCTCCCAGTTATGAGTGAGAACATGCAGTATTTGGTTTTCTGTTCCTGTGTTAGTTTGCTGAGAATGATGGTTTCCAGCTTCATCCATGTCCCTGTAAAGGACATGAACTCATCCTTTTTAATGGCTGTGTAGTATTCCATGGTGTATATGTGCCACATTTTCTTTATCCAGTCTATCATTGATGAGCATTTGGGTTGGTTCCAAGTCTTTGCTACTGTGAATAGTGCTGCAATGAACAAACATGTGCATGTGTCTTTATAGTAAAATGATTTATAATCCTTTGGAAATGTAAATCCTTATAATCCCAGTAATGGGATTGCTGGGTCAAATGGTATTTCTTGATCTAGATCCTTGAGGAATCACCACACCGTGTTCTACAATGGCTGAACTAATTTACAGCCTCACCAACGGTGTAAAAGTGTTCCTATTTCTCTACATCCTCTCCAACATCTGTTGTTTTCTGACTCTTTAATGATCGCCATTCTAACTGACGTGACATGGTATCTCATTGTGGTTTTGATTTTTTAAAGAATTCTACATTAAACATCTTGATGAATTACTAAAGGAATTTCTGTTGGTAAGAGAAAAAGCATGACTACTTTCACTGAGAGTATTCAGTACTGTTCAGGTTTTATTCCCAGTGCAATATGACAGGAAAAATGAAATATACATATTAGAATGAAACATCAATTACACAGCCACTGATATAATTTTCAGAAAATGAAATTAAAAATTAATAAAAACAATGAGTTAAGAGGACAGATAAAAGATAAAATGAAACTCAAAAGAATTCTCATGAATCAAACTGAATCAAATTGAATTTGTACAAGCAAAAAGTTTCTATTCACATTGAAAACTCTAAAATATCTTGATATACACTTAGAAAAAGTGAGTATTCCCTATGCGGATAAATCTACAGAATGTTACTTGGACTACAAGAGTTAATTAATGGAGAGACATCATCTGACTAGATGAGAATATCCAGCATTATTTATATCTTGATTATCTCAGCCTCCTCCAAACTAAATATGTTTAATAAAATTTTAATCAAATTATTGTTTTTTTTTTTTGGAACGTCAGTGCTTCACTTCAGATTTCTTTTGAAAGAAAAATGTATATGAATACCTTATATTCGATAAGAATGTGAAAAGATTTGCTCTACTATGTATCAAAAAATGTAAAGCTAATCAAAACAAAATTAAGGGAAAAGCTATATTATAAATATTGATTAAAATCATTATAAAAACCTTCTGCAATGGAATAGTAGGCAAAGCATTTCAACAGACAAGTCACAAAAAAAGAGAGAAAAGTAGGCTCTTCAAATGAAAAGCTGCTCAACTTTCTTCCCACAACAAAGATGTGAAACAGATAATTAGGGTTTGATCATTGGTTCTTTTGTTTTGTTTTGTTGGTTTCTCTTTTACACATAAGAGGTTTAACAATTTGAACCCAGTGTCTTTAAGACAGAAATGTCACTTATGTCAGTGTTAATGTAATTTTGGAGGAACAAACATTGGGCTGTATCTATAAAGTGTTCTTAGTTTTTTTGTTTGTTTGAGATGGAGTTTCACTCTTGTTGTCCAGGCTGGAGTGCAATGGCACGATCTCGGCTCACTACAACCTCCGCCTCCCGGGTTCAAGCGATTCTCCTGCCTCAGCCTCCCCAGTAGCTGGGATTATAGGCGCACACCCTGACGCCTGGCTAATTTTTGTATTTTTAGTAGAGACGGTTTCACCATGTTGGCCAGGCTGGTCTCGAACTCCTGACCTCAAGGTGATCTGCCTGCCTCAGCCTCCCAGAGTGCTGGGATTACAGGCGTGAGCCACCGTGCCTGGCCAAAAGTGTTCTTAGTTTTTGACCTAGCAATTCCACCTGTAGAATTTTTTTTATATAAAATAGACATATAAAAAGATAAAAGATAGGCTGGGCACAGTGGCTTATGCCTGTAATCCCAGCAATTTGGGAGGCTGAGGTGGGCGGATCACCTGAGGTCAGGAGTTTGAGACCAGCCTGACCAACATGGAGAAACCCCATCTCTACTAAAAATACCAAATTAGCTGGACGTGGTGGCGCATGCCTGCAATCCCAGCTACTTGGGAGGCTGAGGCAGGAGAATCGCTTGAATCCAGGAGGCGGAGGTTGCGGTGAGCCGAGATTGTGCCATTGCACTCCAGCCTGGACAACAAGAGCGAAACTCCACAAAAAAAAAAAAAAAAAAAAAAAGATGCTTATGATCCGGCGGATCCTCCTGGGTTGGCCAGGCCGGGGAGAGGGCGCGGGCGCCGAGTGGCGGGGGCAGCGGGCGGGCGCGGCGACCGGGGCCGGGGCGGGGATCCTGGCGGCGACCGCGGAGGCGGCAGCGCCCCGGGCCCGCGGCCCCCTCCCCTCCGGCGAGGGGAGCCGCTGGATGGGGCCGGTCGGGGGGCGGCCCTGCGGCGCAGAGCGGCGGCGACGGCGGCGGACCCCCCAGGCGGGCCGGGGCTGAGCCCGGGGCCGGGGCGGGGGCTCCGGGGGGACCATGCCCGGAGGCCGGCGGGCAGCAGCATGGCTCACGGGCCTGGCGCGCTGATGCTCAAGTGCGTGGTGGTCGGCGACGGAGCGGTGGGCAAGACGTGCCCACTCATGAGCTATGCCAACGAAGCCTTCCCGGAGGAGTACCTGCCCACCGTCTTCGACCACTACGTAGTCAGCGTCACCGTGGGGGGCAAGCAGTACCTCCTAGGACTCTATGACACGGCCGGACAGGAAGACTATGACTGTCTGAGGCCTTTATCTTACCCAGTGACCGACGTCTTCCTTATATGCTTCTCGGTGGTAAATCCAGCCTCATTTCAAAATGTGAAAGAGGAGTGGGTACCGGAACTTAAGGAATACGCACCAAATGTACCCTTTTTATTAATAGGAACTCAGATTGATCTCCGAGATGACCCCAAAACTTTAGCAAGACTGAAGGATATGAAAGAAAAACCTATATGTGTGGAACAAGGACAGAAACTAGCAAAAGAGATAGGAGCATGCTGCTATGTGGAATGTTCAGCTTTAACCCAGAAGGGATTGAAGACTGTTTTTGATGAGGCTATCATAGCCATTTTAACTCCAAAGAAACACACTGTAAAAAAAAAGAATAGGATCAAGATGTATAAACTGTTGTTTAATTACGTGAGAAACATCTTCAGTGGCCAAGGAAACTGGCCATTTCTCTGAGAAAGCAAATGAAATGCTACAGCTATACCCAGACCTTTTATAGGTAATGAAGCAGTTCAAAACTTGAAAGAAAACAAAACCTGTCCTCAGAATTCTATAAAGTTTATTAAGAATGTTCCTTAAAGGTTTAAGAAGCAGTAAGCAGTATCTGAAGCCACAATCTATTATAAATACTTTATTTCAACTAGAAGGTACAATCTCTCAGAGGTTTCATAGTTTAAAAAGCTACAATCACATCATGTTGTAACTACATAAAAAACAGAGCTGTAAATGGAACTGCTTGGCTTTGACCATACACATTTCTGCACAGCCCTTACAGAATCTGCACAAAGAAATATCTCCCTTTGTTCCGGTTAATTGTTCTGGTATGTAAGTTGCTTTCTATTCCAGTATATCCAGAGTGGTGAAATAACAAGGCCAGCCACATAGCCAAAGGTCGCTCCAAGCGTACAGGAGATGGGCCATACCTGAGGAGAGAATGTATGAGATCAAAAAAGAACAAATGTTTTATTATTACTTGAGCACAAGTGTAACCTAAATATTTCTATATTAAAGCTTAATGTGCTTTCTTAAAGAATGCCTAAAGTGTAATAAGGTCATAACTGCATTTATCATGAACACTAAAAATGTACACATTTTAGTTAGTGTGTATTAAACTGTAACAAGGCTTCGGGCAATTGTAGATTTAGTTTGACGCTCCCCAAAGTGCATGAGACACATGCTAAAATTACAAATTAAAATTTTGGGTCAGACTTTGCCATAATGCTGGACTCAATTTAGCTCTCTGAACTAGATGGTAATTTTTTTTTAATTCCCACTTTGGCTGTGTACATCAAATGAAATGAGAAGTGTGTATGCTGACCAAACCACAAGAAACTTTCTTTAAGTTGTGTTAAAGAGGAAAGACCTAGAATCCAAGCATGTTACATGAAAATTGTAACAGAGCAGCTGCTTCCACCTTTCAGATATGGATGTTGGAACCACAGCAGAAGTTATAGAGCGACAACTTACATACACACCTAGAATGTAAGTTAAACAAAATACCGGCTTCGGGAGACCCATTTTCTCCAGCCATATTACATTAGGCTAGAAGTAATTAATGTTGATTTATTTCATCTACAAGCAGTTGGTCCCTAAGTGACAGGCTCCGCTTCAAAAAAAAAAGTTGGAGAAAAATTTTCATGTTCTTCTGTGAAGCTTATTTGGTACACTGGAGCCTTTTCTAATCTTTCTCTGGGGGGAACAGGCCGCAGAACTGTGTTAGAGGTGAACCATCTTAATTACTAGTTCTATTACCTAATTCAGCTTCCTTGTTTGGTCTGCTGTGGATCTGCCTTATTGCATATGCCATGCATCAGATAATGGTGTTAGACAAAGCTTCATTGTGAACAACCTAATGCATTTTAGAGAAACAATCTCATCTACACATTTTTTTTCTAGCCTTTCCTACATTTAAACTTGCTGTTGCCTAAATCATAATTTTTTAAATGTCTTTGGTGGGCTTCTGTTAATTCACATGACTTGAGTTTATAGCTGTGTCTACTGCACAGATTGGGTAATGGAACACTAAACTTTTATACTTGAAAATGACAGGCTTAAATGCTCATATCAGTCACAAATCCAGGATGTACTGTCTTGTTGTATGTGAGCTTTGTAGAGATTTTTAAAAATATAAGCATCACCTTCACATTGAAGAGTGGAGAGAGTCTACTGGATGACTGGCCAGGAACTTTCTCTCTGAATCGGACATTTGGATGTCTTCTTTCTTCCAAGAAATGGTGGTTCACATTAAAGTATCATGGCCTTATGTATGCTCAAATGGAATCTTATGTAACTTTCTTATTTAATTTTGGTCTGCTATTTTTAGATAAAATTGAAAGGAATTGTATAAATCAATTAACATATTAGCTAAGTTGTCCAACACATGTTATAAATGAATTACAACAGTAAACTATTATACATTTCCAAAAAATAAAGATATATTGCACAATGTTCACTGCTATATAGTGTACAATATCAAAAATTGGAAACTAACTTGTATGTTATAATTTATGTCAGTTATGAGTGGTAGAAAAACCATTGTAGCTCTTGTCAAAACCTGCATAGGCAGTCTAAGGTAAATATAACACTTGATTTTATCAGGGCCCAGGTTCCTTCTGTCTTGTGGCCACTGTATGAGCCGCAACCCCAAGGTGGAAGATGGCAGTATATGTTTATACACAGCAATGAGGAAGGGAGATAGGAAAGCAAAGTGTGTCCCTTTAGGAAAGATCTTGGAATCTGCCATGCCATATTTCTACTACATCCTGTTACTAAGAACTTAGGAACATGATTGCACCTTTATTGGTAGTCTTTATTCTGGGCAGCCATCTGCCTAGCTTAAAATGTGGAGGGTCCTTACCATAGAGGAAACAGAGAATGAATTTTAGCAAACAACTAGTGGTTTCTGCCACATGACTAAATGACCAACAGGGAAACATATTACAATACATCATACAATTAACCTCTATTCAGTTGTTACAGACTCAAGCAACTCTACATGAATTGGCATGTGAACTTCTTGCAAAACAGGGTGTTTATTATACAGTTTTTTAAAAGTGTGCGAAAAGCCTGCATATGTCCACCGAAAGACATGTAAAAATGCTTATTCCTTTATTATTTGTAATATCCCAAATTTTGAAATGCCACAAATATTCACCAGAAGTACAATGGATAAGTAAAGTGTAGCATATTTATCTAGTAAAATACCATAGGTTATGGGAATGAACAAAGTGTTGCCAGATACAATAATGTGGATGACTCCTAATGTTGCAGCAAAAGAAGACAGGCACAGAACATATAATTTACAACCCCACTTACATAAAGTTTAAAAACAAGTAAAATTAACCTACAGTGCTAGAAAGCAGAATAAAGTCAAGGAATGCTAGTGTCAGGAAAGGAGAAAGCAGCCTCCTGAGGGGCTTCTGAGGGGCTGCTAATGTTCTATTTCTAGAACTGGGTATTGGTTTTTGGGGCATATTCACTGTGTAAAAATTCAGCAAGTTACATGCTGTGATTTGTGCAATTTGTTGTATGGATATTACACTTCAGTATGATTGCAGAAGCCTAGATTATCTAACTGAGGTACTGACAGTAATTCTCAAAATGGAAGGTGGGCTCTCATGCCTGGACAGATGTCCTCACTGCAAGCTGGCATGCAGGGACCAGGTGAGTGGCTTCTGGTCACCAAGGGCAGCTGTGTCACCTGGACATGAGGGCAGACCCCAGGTGAGAGCATCAGTAGGACAACGCTGTCTTACTTCCTGCGGTTCTGTGCTGGCAGCCACAGAAATTGATGCAGACGCTTCCAGCTTCAGTGCTTGTGTTTCTTGCTCACTAGCTCAGCTGGTCTATAATAACAAAGAAATGAATAGTGGGGTGAAGACATATTCCATAGGATTCAGACTCTACTTACAAGTTCTTTATTTAAAAAGTGCACTCTGGGCCGGGCGCGGTGGCTCACGCCTGTAATCCCAGCACTTTCGGAGGCTGAGGCAGGAGGATCACGAGGTCAGGAGATCGAGACCATCCTGGCTAACACGGTGAAACCCCGTCTCTATTTAAAATACAAAAAATTAGCCGGGCATGGTGGCACGTGCCTGTGGTCCTAGCTACTCGGGAAGCTGAGGAAGGAAAATCACTTGAACCTGGGAGGTAGAGTGAGCCAAGACAGCGCCTCTGCACTCCAGCCTGGGCAACAGAGTGAGTCTCTGTCTCAAAAAAAAAGAAAAAGAAAAAAATGCACTCTGTCTGGTCCAGAGGTTCCCGTGGTTCTTACTCCTGGATCCCATCACCCCTCCTGTCTCTACACAGACCCCCACTCCACTCCCAGCTGGCCGCCTACCCAAGCACCACTGCCCTTGGCATCCTTGGCTAAAGTGGTGACTGCATGGGCAGGTGGAGTCTGACAAGTCACAGTGACCACCAGCAGTGGGAGGTCACTTGGCCTCACCTGTAATTCATAGCCCTGACCACACCCTCTGGCATGTGAGTTTATCCACAAGGAACAAAGCTGAGATGAGACAATTTCACTACATAACTTGCTCACGCGGCATCCCGTGGTATGCTAGCATTATTAACACTGGAAGTTCTTTTGAAGATTTTGAAAGTTTAATTGTCATGAGATTTTTCCAAACTAAGTTCATGATATGGATTTTTAAATTGTATCTAATTTAAGTGACATTTCAATTCAAATCTAAATCTAAAACTGATAGACCTAATGATTTCAGGTAATTAATTCTTTTTTGTTTTTGTTTTTGTTTTGTTTTGTTCAAGATGGACTCTTGCTCTGTCACCCAGGCTGGAGTACAGTGGCACAATCTTGGCTCACTGCAACCTCTGCCTCCCAGGTTCAAGTGATTCTCCTGCCTCAGCCTCCTAAGTAGCTGGGACTACAGACACCCACCACCAAGCCTGGCTAATTTTTGTATTTTTAGTAGAGACAAGGTTTCACCATGTTGGCCAGGCTGGTCTCAAACTCCTGACCTCAGGTGATCCACCTGCCTTGGCCTCCCAGAGTGCTGGGATTACAGGGGTGAGCCACCGGGCTGGCCTGATTAGCATCTTTTAACCGAATAAAAACATCCTATTTAAAAGACCAAATATATTACTTCATTTGAAAATTAAAATATAGGGTTGGGCATGGTGGCTCACGCCTGTAATCCCAGCACTATGGGAGGCCGAGCCAGGTGGATCACCCGAGGTCAGGAGTTCTCATGAGATCTGGTTGTTTAAAGGTGTGTAGCATCTCCCCGCTCTCTCTCTTCCTCCTGCTCTGGCCATGTAAGATGTGCCTGCTTCCCCTTCTGCTATGATTGTTAAGTTTCCTGAGGCCTCCCCAGAAACAGAAGCCGGTACAGCCTGCAGAACTGTGAGCCAATTAAACCTGTTGGTTTTTTTTTTTTTTTTTTTAAATAAATTACCCAGTCTCATGTAGTTCTTTTTTTTTTCTGTCACCCAGGCTGGAGTGCAGTAGCGCAATCTCGGCTCGCTGCAACCTCCATCTCCCAGGTTCAAGCAATTCTTCTGCTTCAGCCTCCCGAGTAGCTGGGATTACAGGCGCCCACCACCACGCCTGGTTAATTTTTGTATTTTTAATAGAGACGGGGTTTCACCATGTTGGCCAGGCTGGTGTCAAACTCCTGACCTCAGGTGCTCCACCCGCCTCGGTCTCCCAAACTGCTGAGATTACAGGCGTCGGCCACCGCGCCCGGCCTCAGGTAGTTGTTTATAGCAGTGCGAGAATGGACTAATACACTTGGCTATGAAAATGAAAACAATCACGAAGGCAGGGTCCCTCCCCACCTCTCCATATCCCTGTCTTGTCTGGAGCTGCTTTGGGTAACGCTCAGCCGGGACCAGCACATTACACAAGGCAATGTCCACGTGCCGGGATCAGCAAGGATGAGCTTTCTGTCTGGGGTAAGAGTAAAGACTCTAACCCAGCACCACCTCGAGGGCTTCAGGCTCACTTTCTGTTGCTTGAAGTCCGCGATGTGCTCAGGAAGTCTGCACTCCTTTGAGGCCTCAGCAACAGTGTCCTTGAGCTGAGCTTCCAGCTACGAAACGAAGACACACTTGTCATTAACACAAAGGAAGCACAGCCTTACCAGTTAGATCTTCCCCAAAGGACTTGTAAGAGAGCAAGACCTTAAAGGACCTTTGTATTTTTTCACCCTTTATCAAATCTTATCACAAATTAAAGTTTCAGAAATACACCGCAGGGCTCAGCTGAAGTGGTTGGTTAGTAATAAAACAAGTTTAAATTCGAATTTAAGTTGATATTTTGAGATGAGATTTCAAGAAAGGGTACTGATTTGTGAAAACAAGTACTTCTGATTTCTGTAAAACACTGATTCATTTTTTAAATGGACAATTTCAGACACACACACAGAAGAACAGGAGAGAGTAATGAATCTCCTGTGCCTGGCACCCAGCTTTGACAGTGAGGAGAGGACTTTTTTTTTTTTTTTTTTTTTTTTTTTTTTTAGATAAGAGTCTTACTCTGTCGCCCAGGCTGGAATGCAGTGGTGTGATCTTAGCTCACTGCAACATCCACCTCCTGGGTTCAAGCGATTCTTATGCCTCAGCCTCCAGTTTAGCTGGGATTACAGGCTCACACCACCTCGCCCGGCTAGTTTTTGTATTTTTTTTAGTAGAGATGGGGTTTCACCGTGTTGGCCAGGCTAATCTCAAACTCCACCTCAGGTGATCCGCCCACCTCAGCCTCACCAAGTTGCTGGGATTACAGGCAAGCCACCGTAGTCGGCTGACAGTGAGCAGCTTGAGCTGAGCTTGCTTCATCTCTGCCTACGCACAAACTGCTTGAGAACAAATCCCAGGCAACGTATCACTGCATCCGATGTGGAATGGTAATCCTTAGTTAGGGGTTTCATTAACTTGAGTTGTAACTGGCTGCAACTACAAATATATTTAGGTTGCAAAATAAACTAAGAAGAAAACAAACAGATATCCTGTGGCTAAACAGCAAAGAGCCCTGAACTTGAGCATGTACTTTCAGACCTTCTCATTTGTGGGATTCGTTAAGTAAATTTTAATAGAATTTTTTTGAGACAGATTCTCACTCTGTCGCCCAGGCTGGAGTACAGTGGCACAATCTCGGCTCACTGCAACCTCCACCTCCCAGGCTCAAGTGATCCTCCCACTAAGCCTCCTGAGTACTTCATGTTAGATGTGCATGCCACCACACCCAGCTAACTTTTTGTATTTTTGGTAGAGATGGGGTTTCACTATGTTGCCCAGACTGGTCTTGAACTCCTCAGCTCAATCGATCAGCCCACCTCAGCTTCCCAAAGAGCTAGGATTAGAGGTGTGAGCCACAGCCCCTGGCCTTTAATCGAATTTTAAAGTAAGCATTGCTTAAAACATGTCACTCATCAACAGCAGAACATTCAGAATACCTAGGGCAGCAGTTTTCAAATTGTGGGCTGAGAACCTTGGGATTCTGAGACTTTGTCAGAGAATAAATACCCTCTACTTACTGAAAAGGGAATTTTTAAAACCTAGCACCACAGGAATCTCTTTTAATAATTAATTAGCTATCTGTGGGAACCAGGAGTTCTTCATGTACTTCATCCAGAACAGTGTATCCAAACAGATTGAGTGCACAAACAGACATGAGAACCCGAGCACGTTCTATTAAGCCAGATATTAAAGAAACATTAAAAAATGTAAAAATGCGGCTGGGTGCGGTGGCTCACGCCTGTAATCCCAGGACTTTGGGAGGCTGAGGAGGGCAGATCACCTGAGGTTGGGAGTTCGAGACCAGCCTGGCCAACATGGTGAAACCCCATCTCTACTAAAAATACAAAAATTAGCCGAGAATGGTGGTGCATGTCTGTAATCCCAGCTACTCAAGAGGCTGAGGCACGAGAATCGCCTGAACCCGGGAGGTAGAGGCTGCAGTGAGCGGAGATTGTGCCACTGCACTCCAGCCTGGGTGACAGAGCAAGACTCCATCTTAAAATAAAATAAAAAAAAATGCAAAAATGCCATTCTTCTCACTAGATTTTTAAAGAAATAGTTACTTTTCATTACAAACTTTACGTTAACATGTAATGGGTTTTTGTTGTATTGAAAGAATTCTCAGTTTTAATTTCTGCCGTGGTGCATATTGAGAGCTGTAATCTACCTAAGTAGAAGCTCTTTGGGATCCCCAGTAATTTGCAAGAGTGTAAAGGAGTGCTTAGGCCAAGACGCTTCAGAAGCACTGGTCTAAAGCAAGTGGCTTGAAGCGTCCTAGACTACGATTTGTCTTTCTACTGCCATTGGCTCTTTATGGACTGCAGGTGCTCTTATTCAATTAAGCCGGGCCATATCACAGCTCAGCATAAATACCCTCTACTTACTTAAAAGGGAATTTTAAAAACTTAGGAATAGGAACCTCTTTTAATGATTTCACAAATAGATATTGAGGGATGAACACAAAATAAATGCTTGGCAGATCAACTTACTTGGGTTCACATAAAACTTAAGATGATTTTAAAGTAATTTACATAATGCAGCCCAAGTTTTCAAAGATGTTTTATTAAGGTCATACAAAAGTCCAGTCAATACCATCGCTGAAATATCTAAATAGCTTCCTCCCCCCCTTTTTTTTTTTTGAGACAGAGTTTTGCTCTTGTTGCCCAGGCTGGAGTGCAGTGGCATGATCTTGGCTCACTGCAACCTCCGCCTCCCAGGTTCAAGCAATTCTCCTGCTTCAGCCTCCCAAGTAGCTAGGATTACAGGCACCCAATACCATGCCTGGTTAATTTTTGCATTTTTAATAGAGACAGGGTTTCACCATGTTGGCCAGGCTGGTCTCAAACTCCTGACCTCAGGCCATCCACCCGCCTCGACCTCCCAAAGTGCTGGGATTACAGGCGTGAGCCACCGCATCTGGCTAAACAGCATCCTCTTTCTGAGCTTCTTGGATCTTCAGATCTCCTGCCACATCATGTCAGCTTTCTGCATGGCTACTTCCATCTCCTCCTCCTTGTCCCACACCTTCTGCTTCTGGGAGTAGAGCTCTGCCATGAGCTCATTGAGCTCCAAGAACTCCTGCAGGGCCAGCTTTTGCTGCTGATGGGCATCTTTCAGTTCTTTGGCTTGGGATTTCAATGTCTCTGAAGCTTCAACCAATTGCTGAAAAAAAAATTACAGATGTTTTATGTTTGCTTAACAAAGGTCTGGAAGGCTGGACATTTAGTTTACACTATATTAAAGAGTTACAAGTGACAGCCAATGCTGGTTACAGATTAAAGCCACAGATGGGAGAAATCCCCTGCTTGGAAAAAGCCCTGTGCTCACCTCACCCCAGCCAAACATTCAATGGGAAGACCACCTGGGCTCAGGTGCTGAGCAACAACCCCACACCAAGAAAGACCCTGCAACTGCATGGAGTAACTTACAGCAGGACAGCTGGCTCTGTAATGCCAACCTCTGCCCGAGGTCTTCTACACAATTGCAAAGGTGAATAAAGCATTTGGGCACTCAATATAGTTACTTAAACACAAGAAGAAGCAGAAGCAGAAAAAAATACATAGACAAAGTGCTGAAGATTTAAATCAGGCCAGGCACTCATGCCTGTCATCCCAGCACTTTGGGAGGCTGAGGTGGGAGGATCACTTGAGCCCAGGAGTTCAAGACCAGCGCCTGGGCAAAATAGTGAGACCTCATCTCTTAAAAAAACTAAAAAAGAAAGAAAAGAAAATTAAGAAGAAAGAGATTTAAATCAAAGACTCCCTGGGTGGAGGGCCACAAGTAGGACTTACCACAAGTTCAGCTGCACTGACAACCCAACCTTACCACTTGCTGCACTGATGACCCTGACCTCCCTGCAGCTGATCTGGCCAACAGTCTGGCTGTTTAGTCACTGTCACACTTGCTGGACTAAGACTGGAAGTGACGAGACCTGGAGCAAGCTGGCAGGGCGGCTCCCACATGGGGAGAAAAGGCCTCCCCAGGCCTCTCTGGGTCCAGCTCAGAGTCACTGTGACTGTGTCAAGCAATGAGACGCTGCCCAGCCCACACTGCACTCCCAGACAAGTCATGCAGGGGGATGATACTACAGATTATCTTAAGAAGCAATTTGGGCTTAAAATCTGCCCCATTTTAGAGGACAGATCACAAACTACAGGTCCAAGGACTTCAGTGTATAAATGAATGTATTTTAGAAAACAGAGCCTATGCAGTGAGCTGAGATCGCATGACTGCAGCCTGGTGACAGAGAGAGACTCTGTCTCAAAAAAAAAAAAAAGAAAAAAAGAAAAGAAAAAAGAACCTAATTGTGTTATTACTATACTTAATGGCATTTGAATATAAAGTTCACATATCTTACTAAAAACCAAATTTATAAAGGAGTTATGGGGGAATCAGCCACATTTTAACATATGTCCTCTTTTGCAGTTCCCTGTCCTTACTAAGATGCCCCTTCTAAGAGCAGGGGGCATGGTGTAGAGAGAAGGACGAGGTCACTGGTGTCAGGCGCAGCGTGTCACTGCAGATAACACAGTGCCCTCTGGACATCGTTCCTCATTCAGAATGGGCGGGGCTGGGGGAGTTGCTGCTTACTCCGCGGGGTTGAACTGGAGATGGCAGATGATGACTGTGAAGTGGGTGCCTGCTGCAGGCAGCATGCTGAAAGGCACCCATGGCAGGGAGCCAAGCCCAGCTAGCTGACATGGGCTGTGTAGCAACTGGGCACAGCAGGGGCCCTAGAACCAGGCTTGGCCCTGTTGTCCTGCGTGCAGCAGGGACAGTCCATGAGCAGGAGTCCCAAGGAGGTCTTTAAACATCTGTATGAACAGAATCTTACAAAACTCTGCAAAGCCTCTTAAGCCTTTCTCACCCAGAACCGAACTGCCTACCTTGTGCATGTCCTCCTTCTCCTGCCACACCATGCGGTGCTGCTTCTCTGGCCCCCGTAGCTGCTGTGTGAAATCTTGTTGAGGCGCCGCCTTGTCCTCAAGTTGTCACTCAAGCCTGTTTGAATATGAGCAAAAGAGGAAATAATTTGTGTTACTTTCTGTGTAGCAACTATATGTAAATGTTGTTAGCTGACTTATTGAAATGATTTAATAATTCACAGGACTCTTTTTATTGCTGTATACTAAATAAAATACACAAGGCAGCAATACTTAGGGGCCAGAAACACTGTTTACTACAAGTCAATTATGGAATCATAGCTTACAGTAAAAATGGGCATGTCCAAGGCTCAATTTTTCTTTTGTCATTTACAGTAGAATAAATAGTTTGTTGCTAATTTTCTACACTGTCTACTGGGAATATGTGTTACTTTTATAATCAGAAAAATAAATATTGCAGCCATGTAGCATATAATGATGTTTCGGTCAACAACAGACAGCATATATATAACAGTGGTCCCATAAAGTTATAATACCATATTTTTCCCGTAGCTTTTCTGTGTTTAGATACATAAATCCTTGCTGTACAGGTCTGTAGCCAAGGGGCAATATGCTATACCATGTGGTCTAGGTGTGCAGTAGGCTGCACCACCTTGGTTGGTCTAAGAACACTCTGTGATGTTCTCACATCAACGAAATTACCTGATGATGCATTGTCGAGAACGTATCCCAGCCGCTGAAGGACGCGTGGCTGGACTGAAGAGCACCGTGTGATGTGGGCTACAGCTGAGTTCTGTGCATGATGTGGTTGGAGCCTTGAGGAAGGGGGACTATGGACTGAATGGTGTCCCCCCCCACCAATATTAGACGCTGAAGCTCTAATCCCCAATGTGACTGTAGTTGGGGACAGGGCCTATAAGGAGATGATGAAGGTTAAGTGAGGTCATAAGGGTGGGCCCTGATCCAACAGGATTCGTGTCCTTATAAGAGACCAGAGAGCTTGGGTGCTACCTCCCCATGGGAGGACATGGTGAGAAGGTGGCTGTGTGCAAACCAGGAAGAGAGGCCTCTGGGGCTTTTAGCCTCCAGAACTGTGAGAAAATAAAACCCTGCTGTTTAAGCCACTCAGTCAGTGGTATTTTTTAGGGTGCCTGGGGCTAATACAGAAGGATTCACCCTCCTGGGGAGAAGGGGCCAGTGGCCTCCTCTGATTTTCCCGGCTGTCTGCAGAACTCCGTCCCTGCCCCTCCTCCTTTTGCCAAAGCATCTTGCTAAGGGAAGACCTGATTGCATTGTTCAGAGGTCCCCAAAGGCCACAGAAAAGTCTCAACTCCTGGACCTCATGAGTCCCATCCCACTGGGGGAGCTCCCTCTCTCTTCTCTGCTCTCCTCTCAGGAGGGAAAGTTAAGGGCCTGCTTGGCCACCCTCCAGGGAGATGCCATGGTGGGATGCTGCATCCTGGTGATGAGCTGGGGGTAAGCCAGCATGTCTCCTCCAGGGCTTTTCCCAGAACTGAATACACACTAAGATGATCTTTAGGGATGGAAGAATCAAACTGGGAAGAATCACACACCTGTAGTCCCACCCTACAAGGAAGGCTGAGGCTGGGGGATCACTTGAGCCCAGGAATTTGAGTCCAGCCTGGTCAACATAGTGAGAACCAGTGTCAAAAAATAAATAAATAAAAAGGAAGAATCAGGTGACTGTTCCAAACTCCTCCAAAATGGGTATTGGGTCCCGACTCTGCTCTTCCCGGGACAGGGGTGTGCCTTCCCCTTTCCTGTTGTCCATAAACCCACTCCCTCTCACTAAAGAAATAAGAAAAAGTGTTCACAGCACTTTGAGTTATGCGAGGTGTGCAGAATTTATCAGGCCCAGAGAGACAGGAATATGGACTTCAGTCACACGCCTTGTACTCATGCCCTGGGGTGACTGTTTAAAGGCATTTTGTTCCTGACTAGCTCAACCCATTATCTTCCTGTTCCTGGAATTTGTGATACCAAAGACAATGTAGACAATGTAGAGACAATAAATAGCTTTTTTTTTTTTTGAGACAGAGTCTCGCTGTGTTGCCCAGGCTGGAGTGCAGTGGTGCTATCTCGGCTCACTGCAAGCTCCACCTCCCGGGTTCATGCCATCCTCCTGCCTCGGCATCCAGAGTAGCTGGGACTGCAGGCACCCGCCGCCACGCCCGGCTAATTTTTTGTATTTTTAGTAGAGACGGGGTTTTACCGTGTTAGCCAGGATGGTCTCGATCTCCTGACCTCGTGATCCGCCTGCCTTGGCCTCCCTAAGTGCTGGGATTACAGGCATGAGCCACCGCGCCCAGTCTTCTTCTTCTTTTTTTTTTTTTTTTTTTTTTGAGATGGAGTTTCACTCTATTGCCCAGGCTGGAGTGCAATGGTGTGATCTTGACTCACTGCAAACTCCGCCTCCCGGGTTCAAGTGATTATCCTACCTCAGCCTCCCAAGTAGCTGGGACTATAGGTGCTCACCACCATGCCTGGCTAATTTTTGTATTTTTAGTAGAGGAAGGGTTTCATCATGTTGGCCAGACTGGTCTTGAACTCCTGACCTCAAGTGATCCTCCCACCTTGGCCTCCCAAAGTGCTGGGATTACAGGTGTGAGCCACCACGCCTGACCCAATAAATAGCTTACGTTATTTTCATATAAATTCCTCAGGCTAGGCCAGCCAAGGTGGGAGGATCCCTTCAGGTCAGGAGTTCAAGACTAGCCTGGACAACACAGCAAGACTTCTTCTCTAATTTCAAATTCTTGGTAAACAACTTAGGAACTGCCTCTTCTTTTCCTTTATAAAACCCACTTATAACTGCTGCCAATATATTAAGACAACTTGCATCTCCAGGGTTGCACTTCTCAAACTTGGCCCAAATAAACTCTATTTTTTTTTCAAGATGGAGTTTCGCTCTGTCGCCCAGGCTTGAGTGCAGTGGCGTGATCTCAGCTCACTGCAACCTCTGCCTCCCAGGTTCAAGGGATTCTCCTGCCTCAGCCTCCTGAGTAGCTGGGATTACAGGCATGCGCCACCGTGCCTTGCTAATTTTATTTTATTTTTTTGTATTTTTTGTAAAAACGGGCAAGGTGGGTCTCACCACGTTGCCCAGGCTGGTCTTGAACTCCTGACCTGAAGCAGTCCTCCTGCCATGGCCTCCCAAAGCATTGGAATTACAGGCATGAGCTGGTGTGCCTGACCCAACGTCTCCACTTACGTTAATTTTGCCTCCTTTCTTCCTTTTTTTTTTTTTTTTTTTTTTTTTTGAAACGGAGTATGGCTCTGTTGCCCAGGCTGGAGTGTGCAGTGGCCCAATCTCGGCTCACTGCAACAACTGCCTCCCAGTTTCAAGCGATTCTCCTACCTCAGCCTCCCGTGTAGCTGGGATTACAGGTGCCTACCACCAGCCAGGGTAATTTTTGTATTTTTAGTAGAGACGGGTTTTCACCATATTGGCCAGGCTGGTCTTGGGAACTCTTGACCTCAGGTGATCCACCCGCCTCGGCCTCCCAAAGTGCTGGGATTGCGGGCGTTAGCCATCGCGCCCGGCCCGTTTTCTCCTTTTGGGTCACAAAAGTGATTGAATCCTGCCACTTCCCAGGTGCTGGGTGGGAACAGGGAAGAGGGGGATAATTGCGGTGCTGCTGTGACTTGGGTAGATGGCGGCAAGGCCTCTCAGAGGTGGCCTTGTTTGCAAAGATCTGAATTAGGCAGGGAGAGGGGCAGGCCTGGGGCAATCAGGGAGGGGCAGTGGCACACTGGGAGCAAGGCAATGTTCCGCGACCCACAGAGGCAGCGCAGTAGCTGTTCCAACCCTGGTCAGAAGACACCCCGGAAATGCCTCAGCAACCGCGCAGCCTTTGATGACCCCCGCTGCCTTCCCGCCAATCCTACATCCAATCAGAGAGCGTCCCCAGTACACATGTTGAGCAATGGCCAATCAGAACTGGGATCCGGCCCTCAGCCCGCCTCCCAGGAACTCCGAGCCAATGGCGGCCTGGCACCGGCGGGCCAATCCCGTGCGGCGCGCACAGGCAGGAGGTTGCAGTTGGGCGCTCAGCAGCTGTGGCAGCCGGTTGAGGTCTGGCAGTAGCGTTGGGCTGAAGCAGCGGAGTTCGCCATGGTAAGGCCCGGGTCACTCCCGCCCCGCAGATGCCCAGGCAGACGAAGTTGGCCTCGGGTGGACAGAGGGACGTTGTTGCGGGCCTGGGCGCTGAGAGGAGGCCAGAGAAGGACGCAGGGTCTAGTGCGGGACAGGAGGACACGGGATCGTTTCCTGGATCTTTGGGTCCCAGGGCAGGGACGGCGGCTTTTGTTTTAGATGAAGCTGCCGGCCTTTAGTGAACGGGACCATTGACGGTGTCCCGTCCCCCAGAGAGCAAATAGTGGCGTCGCCTCCTGAAGACGGGAGGGCGCTGCTCCCGCTTCACACGTCTTTGTGCTACTCGAAACAACTGAGGAGCCCCAGGAGCCTTCGGTGACGGGGGTTGGGGCTGTGGACATTGATCAGATGAGGAATTAAGGCTCAGACGCTGCTGCAACATTGCCTTGTTCACCTAAAGGCAACCGTTAGGCCAGGCGCGGCGGCTCACGCCTGGAATCCCAGCCCTTGGGGAGGTGGAGGCGGGCGGATCACCTGATGTCTGGAGTTCAAGATCAGCCCGACCAACATGGCGAAACCCAGTCTCTACAAAAAAATACAAAAATTACCCGGGCATGGTGATGCGAGTCTGTGGTTCCAGCTACTCGGGAGGCTGAGGTGGGAGGATCAGCCGAGCCTGGAACTTTGAGGCTGCAGTGAGTCGTGATGGCGCCAGTGCACTCCAGCCTGGGCCACAGAGACCCTGCCTCAAAGACACAAACAAAAAAAGCAGCCCATTAACATAACAGATTCCCAAGTCCCAAGTCTGAATAGCTGTGGTTTGTCAGTTATCCTTTTTTTCCTTTCTTTTTCTTTCTTTTTTTTTTTTGAGACAGCACTCAACAAATGCTGTGTTGCCCAGGCTGGAGCACAGTTGCAGGATCACGGCTCCCTGCAGCCTTGAACCCCTGGCTTCCAGCAGCCCTCCCACCTCAGCCTTCCGAGTAGCTGGTACTACAGGTGTGTGCCACCACACCTGGCTAATTTGTAGATTTTTCATAGGGACAGGGACTCACTATGTTACCCAGGCTGGTCTCAAACTGGTCCCAAGTGATCCTCTCACCTCAGCCTTCTAAAGTGCTGGGATTATAGGAATGAGCCACCACACCCAGCTTGGCAGGGTTTAAAGAAACCACCAAAGGACAGTGCAGTGTCCCAGCACTAATGACGTCTGGGAGCCATTACAGGCTTCAAGGGGTAGAGAGAGGGAGTGGTTACAAGAAATTGGGAGGGTAGTTTTATGAAGAGGGCAGCCTGCCAAAAGTGTGGCCTTGAGAGGGATTCAGGTCACCCACAGCAGTTGAGCAGGAAGGGGCCAAGGAGGGAGTACCCTGGCACTGCTTTCTCCAGCCCCCCAGTATCCCACTGCTGCCTGCCATTGACCAAACCAGCAAGAAGCCAGAGGGCGAGGAAGGCCTCTGATGCTGTTCTCAAGGGTCAGCCTTCGAGAGCACAGAGCAGGTGGTGAATGATGGACGGGGTAGAACTGGGGGGTAGAGAGAGGACACACACTGAGCACCTGGGCTTGGACCATGGTGACCTGGGACCTACTCTGTATTTCCTTACCCAACCCGACTACCTTATCCTTTGATCAGGACATAATCAAAAACTGCTACATATTCTTCAGAGAATTACTGTGACGGGCTATAATGTGGGGTTGATTATTGACATTACATGGCTTCCAAGTTTTAAAATAACCTAAGTTTTGTGTAGTGGCAAACAGGTTCTAGGGCTACCTCTAGAACTTACTAGCTAGTATGGTTTACAGCAATTAGTTTTCACAGCGATAAAGGGATCAGTCACTAACCCTCCTAGGAAATATCGATTGTGAAAGCGCCAGATACTGAAGCAGTATATAAATATTAAATTAGAATATTTTGCATGCCATATAGTTTCAAGTTGCCTTGAAATGAATGGGTTCACTTTTATGTTCCTGTTCACAGCGCGAGTGTATCTCTATCCACGTGGGGCAGGCGGGTGTCCAGATCGGCAATGCCTGCTGGGAACTGTACTGCCTTGAACATGGAATTCAGCCCGATGGCCAAATGCCAAGTGATAAAACCATTGGTGGCGGGGACGACTCCTTCAACACGTTCTTCAGTGAGACTGGAGCTGGCAAGCACGTGCCCAGAGCAGTGTTTGTGGACCTGGAGCCCACTGTGGTCGGTAGGTGCCTGGGCACTGGATGGCAGCTTTCCTGAGAGGGTGGGAGAGCATTGGTAAAGCCCCGTGTGGGCTCCTTTGAATCCTCCTGCTGAAAGGATGGGATAGACAGGCATATGCCCATGGCATTGTTAGGAGAGAAACTGAAAGGTTCGTGATCAAAGTGTCTGTGAGACTCGGCTCCTAATTTAGGAAAACCTGACCTACAGGGAAAAGCTGCTTTGCCAGCAGTAAGATGGGCTGTGAAGAGATTCCCTCGTGCGTGCCTCAGCCCTGCTCAGGTGGCCCTGCCTGCAGGGTGCAGTGGCATTGGTTCCCTCCCGAATGCTGTGCATTCTCTTATGCTGGTGCACTAGAGTCTTGACCTGCATCTTAGGCATAGAAGGTAAGTACAGAACAGTCATTTGCTTCCTTCAGATTCGCAGCCTGATGTAGTTTCCAAGGAGAGCTACAAAGAGGCAGCACCTTTCAGTGGCCCCCCAGGAGATGACAGCATCACCTGAAAGCCTGTGGGACCCAGGTCATCCAGGGTGCCCTGATGGGACTGCCCTGCAGAAGTCACACTGACCTGGTGACTGCCCAGGTTGTAAGAGTTTCTAACTTACAGCCTTTGATGTAGCTACACGTAGGAAAGAATTATGTACCTGCGTAGGAGTGCCAGAGCTTATTTCCTTTCACTGGGAACTGGTTGTGCTGACATTTATACAACAAGCTGAGTTTAACTTTGTAGAGTCATAAATTGCATATGCAGTTTGGTTATCACACAGAGACATTTTCTACCAGACACTGCCACTGTTGACCTATGACATGTAGGTCATGTACTTTGAACAGCATGTGCTCTGTAGAAGTGAACACTCCTGGAATGTGTCCATCTTGGTGAGTACAGGCCTTAAAAATTCACAGCACACACTGTCTCTTTTGCAGATGAAGTGCGCACAGGGACCTACAGGCAGCTCTTCCACCCGGAGCAGCTGATCACCGGGAAGGAAGATGCAGCCAATAATTACGCCAGGGGCCATTACACCATCGGCAAGGAGATTGTTGACCTAGTCCTGGACCGGATCCGCAAACTGGTAAGAAGAGAAGGTTTCATGTGGCCATTTTCTTGCATGGGAGGGGTAGTTCTTGGAATGTGAAAGGGAAGTCATTTTATCAACACTTAGACCAGCATCTTGGCCGGGCGCGGTGGCTCACACATGTAATCCCAGCACTTTGGGAGGCTAAAGCGGGTGGATTACCTGAGGTCAGGAGTTTGAGACCAGCCTGGCCTACATGGTGAAACTCTATGTCTACTAAAAATACAAAAATTAGCTGGGTGTGGGGGCACACACCTGTACTCCCAGCTACTTGAGAGGCTGAGGCAGGAGAATTGCTTGAACCCGGAAGGCGGAGGTTGCAATGAGCTGAGATTGCACTACTGCACTCTAGCCTGGGAAACAGAGCAAGATTCCGTCTCAAACAAACAAGCAAAAACTTAGACCAGCATCTTGAGTCCTACTGAGTCTGCAGTGGTGATTTGTCCGTAGATCTTTGCTTTTCTTTGCTTCAAAGTGTACTGCATGTTTATTATGGATGATTTGAATCCATATCAACTCTTTAGAGGCAAAGAGAAGCGGCCCTGGCTTGTTGGAGGTTGGTGGTGTGGCTTCCATGGGCATTGGCTCACGTTGTGTGGTTTCTCTCAGGCGGATCTGTGCACAGGACTGCAGGGCTTCCTCATCTTCCACAGCTTTGGGGGCGGCACTGGCTCTGGGTTCGCATCTCTGCTCATGGAGCGGCTCTCAGTGGATTACGGCAAGAAGTCCAAGCTAGAGTTTGCCATTTACCCAGCCCCCCAGGTCTCCACAGCCGTGGTGGAGCCCTACAACTCCATCCTGACCACCCACACGACCCTGGAACATTCTGACTGTGCCTTCATGGTCGACAATGAAGCCATCTATGACATATGTCGGCGCAACCTGGACATTGAACGTCCCACGTACACCAACCTCAATCGCCTGATTGGGCAGATCGTGTCCTCCATCACAGCCTCCCTGCGATTTGATGGGGCCCTGAATGTGGACTTGACGGAATTCCAGACCAACCTAGTGCCGTACCCCCGCATCCACTTCCCCCTGGCCACCTATGCCCCAGTCATCTCAGCTGAGAAGGCCTACCACGAGCAGCTGTCTGTGGCCGAGATCACCAATGCCTGCTTCGAGCCAGCCAATCAAATGGTCAAGTGTGACCCTCGCCACGGCAAGTACATGGCCTGCTGCATGTTGTACAGGGGGGACGTGGTCCCCAAAGACGTCAACGCGGCCATCGCCACCATCAAGACCAAGCGCACCATCCAGTTTGTGGATTGGTGCCCGACTGGATTTAAGGTATGACTGGGTGATGTGGAGGCCTTTCAGCAAGCAGCAGATGCACAAAATAACACTGGCCCTGAAGGCCCACATCCTTTGGGGAGATTATCCCTGTTCCATGGGCTAGGCATGTGGGCATAAATTAGTGAACCAGAGTTGATAATTGATTCAGTGATTTCTTTTTTTTTTTTTGAGACAGTCTTGCTCTGTCAACCAGGCTGGAGTGCAGTGGTGCGATCTCAGCTAACTGCAACCTCTGCCTCCCGGGTTCAAACAATTCTCTGGCCTCACCCTCCCAAGTAGCTGGGATTACAGGTACCCGCTACCACGCCCGGCTAATTTTTGTATTTTTAGTAGAGATGGGGTTTCGCCATGTTGGCCAGGTTGGTCTTGAACTCCTGACCTCAGGTGATCTGCCTGCCTCAGCCTCCCAAAGTGCTGGGATTACAGTCGTGAGCCACTGCACCTAGCTCAGTGATGTCTTTTGAACTCTCTGTCTGAGTCATCACACTATATATCTGTGGTGAGCTTTATTTATTTATTTATTTATTTTTTGAGACAGGGTCTTGCTTTGTCCCCCAGGCTGTAGTATAGTAGTGTGATCTTGGCTCACTGCAACCTCTGCCTCCCAGGCTCCAGCGATTCTCTCACCTCAGCCTCCCAAGCAGCTGGGACCATAGACATGCAACACCATGCCCGGGTAATTTTTTTTTTTTTTTTTTGAGACAGAGTCTTGCTCTGTCGCCCGGGTTGGAATGCAGTGGCGTGATCTTGACTCACTGCAACCTCCACCTCCCGGGCTCAAGCAGTTCTCTGCCTCAGCCTCCCAAGTAGCTGGGATTACAGGCACCTGCCACCACGCCTGGCTAATTTTTGTATTTTTAGTAGAGATGGGATTTTGCCATGTTGGCCAGGCTGGTCTCGAACTCCTGGCCTCAGGTGATCCACCCGCCTTAGCCTCCCAAGTGCTGGATTACAGGCACGAGCCACTGCACCCAGCTAATATTTGTATTTTTAGTAGAGATGGGGTTTCGCCATGTTGGCCAGGCTGGTCTCAAACCCCTGGCCTCACGTGATCTGCCCACCTGTCTCCCAAAGTGCTGGGGTCACAGGCTTGAGCCACCACACCTGGCCTGATGTTGTCATTTATAGAACAAGTTTGCTGATCCCTGCTCTAGTTGACCCTGTGCACTGCGGCCAGGACCTCAGGTCATGTTATGCCCGAGTTCTGAAACTTGGAATGCTTCCCCTTTGGTTACCACCTTGGAATGTCACCCCCTACTTAGGCAGGCACATGGACCACTTCGACCACTTCCTGCTGCTGTGGTAGCAGCATTCATATGACCCTTGACCCATGATCTGCTACCTTTGCATATCCACAGTGGCTTGTTCTGTGGGTCAGAAGTGGGTATGATGTTCCTTGTGATAGCATGGGGAAGAGTTGTGTACTCTGAATCTATCTGGGTGGAAGAAGTTTAGCTACAGAATTTAATTGTAATCTACAAAGAAGACAAGCAGCATACATTTTCAGAGGGAAGACTGTCTTCACCTGGGCACCTATCACATGTCACAGGTACTAGGACACAGCCCTTTAGGTAGCTTGGGATCCCACCAGGGTGGCTACCTCCAAGGTTCCTTTCTCTATTCCTCATCTGGAACTATCACCCTGCCTGGTGCAGAGAAGGGCTTAGTGACGTTTGTGAGGTGAACTGAGCATTCTCCGTGTCACCTACAGGGTGTCTTCTGTTTGAGGAAAAGTAGCTACCATTTCTAGGTTTGATATAAGCTTCATGGACTGCTTTCTTTCCCTTCTCTGGCAGGTGGGCATTAACTACCAGCCCCCCACAGTGGTCCCCGGGGGAGACCTGGCCAAGGTGCAGCGGGCCGTGTGCATGCTGAGCAACACCACGGCCATTGCGGAGGCCTGGGCCCGCCTGGACCATAAGTTCGATCTCATGTATGCCAAGCGGGCCTTTGTGCACTGGTACGTGGGCGAAGGCATGGAAGAGGGAGAGTTCTCTGAGGCCCGCGAGGACCTGGCAGCTCTAGAGAAGGATTATGAAGAGGTGGGCGTGGATTCCGTGGAAGCTGAGGCTGAAGAAGGCGAAGAATACTGAGGGGAGGGTGTGGTGGGTTCTCCCCTGCCACCCCCGGGATGGCTGCTTCCAAGTTGTTTGCAATTAAAGGTTCTGTATAAAACCAAGCCCTCTGTGTGTCGTGCAGCTTAGCTCTGCCTACAGGAGCCGGTGGGACCCTAGAGCCTGCATGGACAGCGGTGGGGTGCCAGCCTGCCCTGCTGCTGGTGTGGGGTTGGGTGCAGCAGGACTGTACATAAGCAGCTGCCACAGAAGTAACCTGACCAGGGGAAAATAGTGTTTCTTCAAAGCCAGGTGTTCAATGTATAGATTTCCTAAATTCTAGGAAAGCAGAGTCAGGGTTTTCAACTGAATCTGTGATTTTTCGGGCTTCTTTATTGATGGGTCATGCTGGCTAAAAGGGAGACTAGAAGTGTTGGAGGTCTGTGGATGGGGCTTGTCCATGAAGTCTCTAAAGCTGTGGGTCAAATGTGTAAGGTCAGGACATTTTAGAGGGGGAAAGAGTATTAACCGAGTTCTGCACAGCATTCGTGACCCACAGAAGGTCACAACACACCCATGCTGACCCCAGTGCTCCACAGTAACCTGGAAGGCAGCGTTCGCCCTCTGTGCGTACACACAGCAACCCTGTCCCTCAGCACTGTCAACTGTCTTGGTAGAAAACCTCCCATGAGGTGGGAGATCGAGACCATCCTAGCTAACATGGTGAAACCCCGTCTCTACTAAAAATACAACAAAACTAGCCGGGTGTGGTGGTGGGCACTGTAGGCCCAGCTACTTGGGAGGCTGAGGCAGGAGAATGGCGCGAACCCAGGAGGCGGAGCTTGTAGTGAGCCAAGATCGCACTACTGCACTCCAGCTTGGGTAACAGAGCAAGACTCCGTTTCAGAAAACAAACAAACAAACAAACAAAAAACCTCCCACATTTCACTCCAAGTGAAGCTTGTTGATGTCTATTTATAAAAGACCTGGCAATCCAGACACCTTTCCTCAGAACCCAAATCAGGTTCAGGAAGTTGACCCATGGTGAAGGGACCTGGTTAGTTCACTGTGGCACAACCAGGACCGGCACAGAAACTTCATTCTAAGTGTGCCTTAATATAAAAAAAAAAAAAAAACAGTAGAGAGCATCTGACCTGGACCCTCTGCATCTCAGAAAGGTTTATTATCAACTGAAGGAGGTAACATGTAGCCTTTGCTGGGGACAAAGATGTGACAAGTCTCTGCCCCATCCTAGGTGCTGCCCTGCGTAGGGCTCTTCCCAGGCCCGCCCCCCTTGGGCAGCCTGGTAGCGCTGGGCTGGCGTGGCATCCTCTGGCTGGATCCCTCGTGGTTGCTGCGTTCCGCCAGGGCCAATACTCCCCCGAGGGCAGCGCTGCCTTTGTCTCTCCCTAAGGAGACACAAAGCACAATGATTAGGAATGGACGCGCCCCATAAATGCAGCACCTGCTGTACTCGTGCTCCTTGGGCAACATTTGTGTCTACACATTTCCATCAAAGTCGCTTCAGCTAGAGGCCCTGCATCAGCCCCAAGTCCTGAGACTCAGAACCACTAAAGACAGGTCACGCCCCAGAAGCCCTTGGCAGTGTGCAGGGGACCCTTTAGGATGTGTCCTAGGAGCGAAGCCACGCAAGGAGCACACTGCCAAGGGAACATTTTGAAAGGACACATGCCACGGGCCCATTTAGGGAAAGGTAGGTGTGGTGGTCCACACCTAGCCTGGTCAGCAAACCTAGTCTGCCCTGATCGTGCCATCAGCGGCAGCAGCAGCAGCAGGGACGCGCTGCCTCATCCTCAAGGTGTGTTCACGCTGGACTGCACATCTGAGCTGCCCCAGATGGTGACAGGCAGGAAGTACTGCAGTCACCAAGTCCTGGAATTGGGTTTCTGATTTTGATTTTGGAAGCTCTTTCATTGTTTCCTACCTACCCGAGTGTTCTGCAGTGGTCAAGCCTCTTGCTTTCGGGTTTAGCTGCCAGATTCCATGACAGGGTTCCTGCCACAGTCTGAACGCTTGAGACTTTCCTTCTGAACACCAGAGGCTCTCTCGGATGAAGACCACAGGTTCAGAGTTTCTTTGATTTGTAATTTGCTTACTTTACTCTTTAAGATAGCCAAGAAAAATCTGCAACCACACTCGGGCCAGAGCTTTATTTTAATGGGATGCATTTCCCTGGGCTCAGGGTGTTGACAGCATCGGCAAGACTGAGAGGACCCTCCAAGGTACAAACGTGCCCGGGTAGCAGGCTTGCCCGTGGGGTCACAGCCCCCCATGCGGAGTGCCTTGGCCAGGGCTCTCCCCTGCTCTGGCCTGGTGGGGTCTGACCCGTGGGCTCTAAACAGGGCGTGTGTCCCCTGCCTGACTCAGTGTTGGGTCCCCCATTTCATCCCCCCAGCATTTCCTTTGTCCTGACTGAGGGAGTGCCTTGACCACTCTGACCTAATCAGCTACATGTTCCCCCTGCAGGCTCAAACCCTGGCTGGGGCTTGCATGTTCCCAGACACTGATACACGTTTAGGTTGTTGCCTGGAACACTGAAAGATCTGACGTGTTGCTAAGCACGTGGAAACTGGTCCCACCCCAGCCAAATTCCTTGCACCCTCATAGAAACTCCACACCCCACCCCCTCAGTGCGGTGTGCCTAGGCACAACCTCTTTCCTGGCTGTCCCTCGTGAGGGCACGCTGCAGCCCCCTCTGTATATAAGCTCCCTAACAAATGCTTTGGACTGACCACCCTGGCATTAAGTGTTTCTTCCTTTGGAATCCCAACTGGCTCTCATCTTGGAAAGGTTTGGGGCAGTCCCGTGTGGGAACTCCCCTGCCATCACTTTTAGGGTGACTCCAGACAAGGGTTCAGCCAACAGAACACCCAGCCTCAATCCTGGTCCTTCCCTGGCCTCTTATCAAGTGTAGTCAAATACCCTGCAAAGGGAAACTGGATTCCTGGAGAAAAGATGCAACCGGGTGTCTAGGGACCCATTAGGTCATTTGTTTCACCATCTGTCACCCTGAACAAGCAGAGACTCCTGTGTCTGAGATGCCGTGGACCCCCGCTCTTCCAGAGGTACCTCCAGCTCCCTTTCTATGCTAATACCACAAAATTCTCCCCATACCCTGCAGGGATAGGACGGCCCTCCTTATGAGTTTCCGGGGAGTTCTTCCTCAGAGAATGAGATCTTTGCTCATTCTTGCCTGGTGGTGGTGAGGGTTACAGCGGTGTCATGCTGGGAACTCTGTCAGCTTGTCACACTTGGCTGAACAAAGATGGAGTCAGGGTTGCCCTGAGCCAAGGAGGAGCGCAGTCAGGAACACGTGGTGGGTGATGATTGGCCACCTCAGCCCAGCAGTGACTAGTGAAAAAGGCACAAAGCAGACAATAGCCACCACGCATCTCTTGTGGTACAAACTGCCATAATTCTAGTCCCCACTGACTGGTCAAGGGGCAAGGATTCTGTCTTCCATGAGCAGACGGGACCCACCACCCTGCAGCAGCTCCCACACTGGGCCAGCATCCTCCTCTGAGGCCACAGTCCCTCTGCAGGCCAGGCCAGACAGTCAGATCTTCTGTAGCCGCAGCCTAATCTGGGTGCTTAGGTGCCCATGCGCTCTCAGCTCCCCACAGCACGCAGCATGGCAGGCCGTGCACCTAGGCCTGACTCAGAGTCGGCTTCCCTTCAGTTTGCCGCCATCTGAGCTTCCTCTCCTCCCCTCAGTAGTGACCCAGTCCCTTCTGGAAACAAGGATGACAGCGAAGCAGAAAAGAGCAAATAATGCTTTTTTTTTTTTTAAGAGTGGTGGGGGAGGGGGGTTTAGAGACTGAGTCTTGCTCTGTCACCTGGTCTAGAGCACAGTGATGCAATCACAGTTCATTGCTGCCCGGAACCCATGGCCTCGAGGGATCTTCCTGCCTCAGCCTCGATGTAGCTGGGACTACAAGCATGGGGCCACACCTGGCTAATAATGCTTATCTTTAAATCTGACAGGGTTGACAAACCCTGGAAATGTGAAACCAACATAACCGTAAGCCATAACTGATATTAAGAAAATCCTGGAAATCTTCAGGAATTGCGTGCTCTCGGGGCTAGTGGGGAGCCCTGTTCAGGCCTCCTCACTTTATGAAGGATGAGAAGGCCCAGAATAGAATGGCCTGCAGTGCCTTGCAGTGGGGAAACCAGCTTTGCTTAGCCCTGCTCCCTCGGGAGGGGCTACTGAGTCAGACGGGCTAGACAGTGGGATTGAACCAAGTGTGGCTGCAGGTTGGGGTGTGAGGGCAGGGTGACTGATGCCCCTACACCTGGTCCCTGGAGGGCCCTCCTAAACGCCAAAAACAGTCAATGACCACTGAATGTTAAAAACAGCCTGGCTCAGCAGGGGTCAGTGGCTCGTGCCTGTAATTCCAGTGCTTTGGGAGGCCAAGGTGGGAGGATCCTTTGAGGCCAGGAGCTAGAGACCAGCTGGGACAACATAGTGAGACCTCCATCTCCACAAAAAATTTAAAAATTAGCCAGGTGTGGTAGTGTGCACCTGTAGTCCCAGCTACTCAAGAGGAGGTGGGAGGATTGCCTGAGCCCACGAGGTTGAGGCTGCAGTGAGCTATGAGTGTGCCACTGCACTCCAGCCTGGGTGACAGAGCAAGACTGTCTCAAAAATAAATAAATAAATAAAAAGTAAAAGAAAATGCACAATTAGCTCAAATACTTTAATTAATCTAAAATATCCAACGTATTATTTCAATATGTAGTCAGTACATAAATTATTCATAAGATGTTGCATTCACCTTTGTTCTTTTTCTTGTTTCTTTGTAGAAATGGGTGGGGTCTTGCTATGTTGCCCAGGCTGGTCTCAAACTCCGAGCTTCAAGTGATGCTCCTGCCTCAGCCTCCAAAAATGTTGGGATTACAGGTGTGAACCAATGCCCAGCCTCATTCACTTTGGGGTTTTTTGTTTATTTTTGAGACAGGGTCTCACTCTCTCACCCAGGCTGGAGTGCAGTGGTGCAGTCACAGCTCACTGCAACCTCAACCTCCCAGGCTCAAGCAATCCTCCAACCTCAGCCTCCCAAGTAGTTGGAACTACAGATGTGTGCCACCATGCCCTGCTAATTTTTGTATGTTTTGTAGAGATTGGGTCTCCCTGTGTTGCCCTGGCTAGTCCTGAACTGCTGAGCTCAAGAGATCCAGCAGCCTCGGCCTCCCAAGGTGTGGTGGGTTTTTTGCATTCCCTTTTGTACCGGTCCTTTGGCATCTGCTGCGCATACCACACGCAGTGCAATGACCACGCCAGCCATGTGTGGCTCGAAGTTCCTGTATCAGGCAGCACAGCTCAGGTGAGACTCACGGCTTCCACACTCCAAACGTCATCTTACACGCATGCTCTGGACAACTTTTAAAACGTATAGTTTCCCTAAACTTAAATATAACGCTTGACTGAATTTATTTTTCCCTCAATGACTCCAGACTCTCACCAAGACAAGCATCGACCCTCTGTGCTTCTGGGGTTTTCTATTTCCCCTTCCCTGTGGGTATGAGTGAATCTGGTGGTGGTTGTTCCCACAGGCCGTCTGCATGGCTGGGGGACAGGCATCCAGAGGACCCAGGGTGCCTGCTGCAGCTCACAGAGGCAAGCTCGAGAGGGCCTGGCCCATAGCCTGGAGAACTCAACACCCGAGTCCTGTGGGAAACCTATGGCCTCCATGCCCCTCCCCCCGGATTACTCCGACAACCCCCCTGCCATATGGGGTGACAGAATCCTCCACCCCAGATTCTGCCATTACCAGGGCAGCTGGAGCTCTGTGTGGTCAGAAGCTGTAATATGTGGGCCTCAGAGAGCTCTCAGCATTCCATCTGTGGCCTCTGCCTCTCACTCAGCAGCACACGTCTGCCCCATTCCCCTCCACCTCCTCCTCAGGTTCCACTCTATCCCCATGGGGCCTCGGTGCCCTCATGTCGTGGCTTTCTGCCACCCAGCCTACAGGACCTGGGCTATGCTTCCAGGACACAGCCCTCGAGAAACAAATGACCCTGAGGGGCCCAGCACTCCAGGCCACTCCTGTCCTCGGGTAAATTCTCTTGGAGCCCCCATTCGCTCACATGGCACCCCCTAATCCTCCTGGCCCCTCTATGCCTGCATTTCCAGTGCCACAACCCCCACATACATCTTGACTGTGCCCCCCCACCTGCCTCCTCCTGCCCTGGGCCTACCAGCACCTGGACAGCGCTCTGCCTCTCCCATGCCCTCCCACTGCCCCAGCTCACACGTGTGGGGCTCTGCTGACCCTTCCTGCTCCACCCTGTGTAACCCTTGCTGCTCTCTGGGCTCTGAAGCCTCCTCCCAACTCCATTGCTAGTGGTTTTTCTTTTCCTTTCTTTTCTTTTTTTTTTTTTGAGACAGGGTCTTGCTCTGTTGCCCAGGCTGGAGTCCAGTCACAAGCTCTTGGCTCACTGCAACATCCCCCTCAGGCTCAGGCAATCCTCCCACCTCAGCCTCCCAAGTAGCTGGGAATACAGATGGGCGCCACCACCACGCCCACCTGGCTAGTTTTTTTTTTTTTTGAGATGGAGTCTCGCTCTGTCACCCAGGCTGGAGTGCAGTGGCGCAATCTTGGCTCACTGTAAGCTCCACCTCCCAGGTTCACGCCATTCTCCTGCCTCAGCCTCCCAAGTAGCTGGGACTAAAGGCACCTGCCACCATGCCTGGCTAATTTTTTTTTTGTATTTTTAGTAGAGATGGGGTTTCACCGTGTTAGCCAGGATGGTCTCGATCTCCTGAGCTCGAGATCCGCCCGCCTCAGCCTCCCAAAGTGCTGGGATTACAGGCGTGAGCCACCGCGCCGGGCCCTGCCTGGCTAGTTTTTGTATTTTTTGTAGAGATGGGGTCTTGCTATGTTGCCCAGGCTGATCTTGAACTCCTGAGCTCAAGGAATCCACCTGCCTTGACTTCCCGAAGTGCTGGGATTACAGGTGTGAGCCAGCACACTGGTCTCACTGGTGGTTTTCCTCACTGCCTCTCACTGGACTGAGTGTGATCATCTCACTTCCCTGCCACGCCCTCTGCCCTGAGAGCTAGGCCTGGCACCCAGAGCCCTGAGTGAGTGCTAAGTGAGCAGCAACATCTCCTGGAGTGACAAGAACTCTGTTCCCAGTTTCTCCCTCCTGCTGGACACTTGCCCCTCAATTGCTCATCTCAGCCTGCAGTCCATACACCCCTACTCCAGGCCTGTCCTTCAGGCCCTCTCCACCCTCTCTTGGGCCTGAGCTCTGGGTGGCAGTGAGGTGGCCGCTGTCAGGAGGCTCATGCAGGAGGCGCGACCAAAGACCCCTGGGCTCTCACAGGCCCCTGATCACACCTGGTGACACCTGGAAAGTGTCCCAACTCAGGAGTGAGGCGGGCAAGGGGGCTGAGTGCTGGAGTGTGGCCATGGGACCAGCACATGGCATCTGTGTGGCACTGCCTGGCAGACTCTGGGAAGGTGGGAGTCTCTGTTTCAGCCTCCAGACTTCCTGTCCAGGTAGGGGACAACTTCTAAGAGGCCGAGGCGTTTGTCACGCCTGGGGCTGTGCTCTCCAGCAGAGCACACTGCACCCGGCTGGCTGTCTTCCCCTGGAGAGGGGCTCTTTACACTCACCACTAGTTCGCCTCTGGGGTGTGGGGATGTTGGTCCTGTCCCCGGATGCCAGCCCGACTGTGGGGTCTAGAGACTGCCACACCATGTCTCTAATAAACCGAGTCAGAAATAGTGCCCTGTGGCTAAGCGGCAGGGCAGCGGTGGCCTGCATGATCCTGCCCTTGCAGCTCAAAGCTGCTTGGGCCTCTTGGGGCCATGCAGTTTCCATGAAAACAAGGAAGAGCACCAACCCCCAGAGATAAGCCAATAAACGCAACCTGCAAAAGGAGAGAACAGGCAGCAAGAGAGGCGGAGGGAACCCGGGGGGCCTGGAGAGAGAGGTGAGTGTGTGGCAGCTGGGCTGTGGAGCATAACCAGAGAGGCCGCAGGCTGCGGGCTGGAGGAAAACGAGGGCCTTGCAGGGGGGCTACTGTTCCTGGCAGAGAGAAAGGAGGCCTCTGGAGGTCAGAGAGAGACACAAAGAGAGCAGACAGAGCGAGGGTCAGTGAAGAGGCCAGCACGCAGGTGCCCGGGCCCTCTTGGGTCAGCGGGCGTGGGTGCCCAGGCCCTGGCACTTCCCCCATGAAGGCAGCCTGCTTTCCACGCCTTCTCATGATGCCTGTGAGGGTCTCCTCCTGCTTCCAGGCAGGGAGCCAGCTCTGGGCCTCCTTCCATTGGCCTGGGAGGTTGTGCTGCATTTCAGAGAGAGCCATCGGGAGCAGAAGCAACATGCGGAGAGGATGAGCAGGGACGGAGGCTCCACCATGACACTCTCAGTCCCAGCATCTCCTCAGCCCAGTCACCACACTGGAGAGGGAGGAGGCCCTTCAGACCCCGCAGGCCTCTGCACCCTGGGAGTTCCGCGTCTAACTCTCTTCCTGCAATCATCAGAGGCAGGAACTGGGCCCAGGTGGGGTAAAGGCAGGAAGACGTCTGCCTGCCCTGCTCCCTGGGCACTTCCCTGGATGCTGTATACCACAGGACAGAGATCGAGACTGTCTTTTGAAAAACATTTAGAGACAGGATCTCACCCTGTCACCCAGACTGGTCTCAAACTCATGGCCTCAAAGGATCCTCCCGCCGTGGGGTCCCAAAGATTATAGGCGTGAGCCACGGCGCCCAGCCCCAAACCGTCTTGATTCCCGACTTTGTAGGATGAAGGCCTGAGTGAAGAGGTGGGGAGGAGCTAAGCGGAGGAGCCCTACCCAGCCTGGACCACCCTGGGGCACGCACTCTGCGTCCACCTGACCTGGACGTGCCTCCTAAGGCTGGCAGCGAAGCCCAGGAGCAGAGCCCACGGATGGGCCCTGCAGGTGCTGGGCCTAGACCGACCGACAGACAGGCCTGGCCACTCAGGGCCACGCCGCCGCTGTGCCGCGCCTGCCCCCTCCCCGCCCGCCACCCCCGCCACTGGGGCAGGGACAGCGGGCCCAGCTCTGACCTCGGGTCTCGGGCACGCTCGACGTGGGCAGAGACACGGCCGCAGGGTCCTGGGGCTCGCTCGCTAGCCTCTGCCCGGCACACATGGACTTGAGCATCTGGAAGACGGCGAGGGGGGCCACGTTCAGCTTCAGCAGGTCCACCAGGATCCTGGCGGGGACAGACGCGGGGCCGGTGAGCCCTCTCCGCCCGGCGCGGCCACCTCCCTGAAGACCGGACAAGGACGGGGGCGGGGGCAGCGGGGGCTCCTCCCGACCAGCGGGCCGGGCGTACCCGGAGAGCAGAGGTCGGGGGTGTCTGGCGAGCATGCGGCCCCCACCCGCCCCGCTCACTTGAACACGTCGGGGTCGATACCGCCGCCCGCCGCCTGAGCCAGCTCGTACAGCTCCATCTCCTCGGTGCTCAGCACCTTCTTGCGCCGCAGCGCCAGCTTCTGCCGGGCCGCCTCCAGCCCCGGGGGCGCCGCCGACCCCGGCCCAGGCCCTACGCCCTGCGCCGCCATCCGCGAGGCCCGCCGAAAGGTGCGCCCCGCCCCGCCGCGCCCCCTAGCGGATGCGCCCACCGCCCTCTCCCTGCAGCGCCAGCGTCTGGCCTCCCGGGCTGCCCTGGCGGGAGCGGCGGGAGCGCGGGGACGGGGCCGCCTCCTCGGCGTCATTGGAGCCCAACAGTTAGTGGGCGCTCACGGTGTGCTGAGCGGCGCGCTAGGCGTCGGGAGTGGCATGGCGGACTGCAGGGGCCAGCTGCTTGGCGGTCAGGGCGTCCCTGATAGACTTGCATTGGTCGTGCTCGCTTAGGTGGCAGCACCCAGCCCAGTGCCAGGCATACATTGGGCGCTCAGTCAATACCTGTTTCAAGAAAGCGTGCAATTTTCTGGTCCGCACCGGTGCACCACTAGGGGTCGCTCTTCGGGGGGGGTGGGGGGCACTAATCAACAACCCTGCTTACGCGCACGCGCATTCCTTGCTAGGGAGAAAGTGCGTGAGCCCTACCTTGGGGCGCCAGAGGCCGCCACAACGCAGGCGCATTCAGCTAAGGACCACTCCCTCCCCCCGCACTCCTGCCTCGCCATTTCCCCTCCCTGGCCGGCCGGCCGGCCTTCTTCGCTTTGCGCACGTACCTTTTGAGGTAACGGCCCAAAGAGGTAGAAGCGCTTTTCCCGCCCGGCCGCGGGGCGTGGCTCTGCGCGCAGCTTGATGACGACGTTTTGGCGCGGTGGCGGAATGGCGGCTTCCACCTCTGAAGCGGGCGACGCTATGGGTCCCACAGGTGAGTGGCGCGGGACGCGCGCGTGAGACGGTCCGACGCCCTGGGGGCTTCCGCGAGCCCCTGCGGAGGCCATCTCCGTTCCTCCGCGAGCCCCAGGACTCGGGCGGCCCGGCGGCTCTGCCCAGGCCGGGCAGGCTGGGGAGTGGAGGGCCCCGGCTGAGTCTTCCTGCCACTCCTCTGGGCCATGCCTTTGTGCCACCTTCCCGCGCCGCTCGTACACTCTGTTCTGGTCCGGTAGGTGTTCGTTGAAGGTTACCCGTCGTTGAAGGAATTGAGGGAAGGAGAGCTTTGTGTTGAAATTGAGCCTTGGGCTCAACAGGCGGTGTGGGAGGAAGAGCCGGGTGTGGGTCCCAGCTCGACCCTTCCCCTGTGCGCTCCACATCTCCGAGCCTTGGTTTCGGAGGCTCCCGAAGCCCAATTCGCAGGAGAGTTGGAAACAAGTGGGCGCGTGCTGTTAAGGGAGGTCTTGGCATGACAGAATTTGCTTGGAATGATTAGCGTTGCCCAAGGGCTGTCGCTGTCAGAAAAACAAAACAAAACGAAACAAAAAAAACAAACGGGTCCGAAGCAGCTCCTGGAGAAAATAGGTGTTGGAGAGTCGCGACGAAGTGGACTCTAGGTGCATGGCACGCAGAGACCTGTGACGGGGGAGGGTGGCCATGGCAGGGTCAGAGAACAGGGGTGTGGGAGACACCTCTTGGGAGTTCTCGGGTTTGAATTTCCTCTCTTGGAAAGTTCCTAGAAATTCCTCTGGGCCTCATTCTTTCAGTCGCTGCCCATGAAAGCTTTTACTGAGCAGAGATGCTCTCCCCTTCATCATCTCTAGAGCTCCGCACTTATCCAGCAGTCCACAGTTTAATGCTGCTTTGATCATTTTGCAGTAGTGCAGTGTTTTCTTGACCAAGTGCATTAGGACTGAGGCGTTTTTCTTTAACACTGCAATTGATAGCTAGGTTAAGAATTGAGGCCGGGCGCGGTGGCTCACGCCTGTAATCCCAGCACTTTGGGAGGCCCAGGCGGGTGGATCACGAGGTCACGAGTTCAAGACCAGCTTGGCCAAGATGGTGAAACCTCGTCTCTAGTAGAAAATACAAAAATTAGCCGGGCGTGGTAGCGGGCGCGTGTAATCCCAGCCACTTGGGAGGCTGAGGCAGAGAATTGCTTGCACCCGGGAGGCGGAGGTTGCAGTGAGCTGAGATGGCGCCACTGCACTCCAGCCTGTGCGACAGAGCGCAGAGCGAGACTCCGTCTCAAAAAAAAAAAAGGAAAAGAGAAAGCTGGCCGGGCGCGGTGGCTCACGCCTGTAATCCCAGCACTTTGGGAGGCTGAGGCGGGCTTATCACGAAGTCAGGATATCTAGACCATCCTGGCTAACATGTGAAACCCACTCTACTAAGTAAATACAAAAGACAATTAGCCGGGCGTGGTGGCCGGCGCCTGTAGTCCCAGCTACTCGGGAGGCTGAGGCAGGAGAATGGCGTGAACCCAAGCGGAGCTTGCAGTGAGCCAAGATAGCACCACTGGACTCCAGCCTGGGCGACAGAGTGAGACTCCGTCTCAAAAAAAAAAAAAAAAAAAATTGAAAAAACTTGGGAGATGTTCCTATTGCCAAGTGGCAGAGAGGCAGAGATTCCTGTCTCCTCTCACTCTACAACTGCCTACATGGCCTCTTTACACCCAGCCTCTCTTCCTCCACAGACTGCCAGGTGCCACCCCAGTGCCGTTACTTGTGCAGTGGGCAGAGCTGGGCCAGGAAAACTGTAACTAGGCCACCAGTGGGACTTGGCAGACTTCCTGTCTGTGAAGTCTAGGTCTGAGCATTTTTTATTTTTGACCTGGGTGAGCTGAGAGGTAGGAATCTGGAAAGCTGATCTTAGTTTTCTTTCCTTTTTTTCTTCCATTTTTTGAGACAGAGTTTCCCTCTGTCACCCCGGCTGGAGTGCAATGGTGTGATCTTTGCTCACTGCAACCTCCACCTCCTGGGCTCAAGCATTTCTCATGCCTCAGCCTCCCGAGTCGCTGGGACTACAGGTGCCCGCCACCACACCCAGCTAATTTTTGTATTTTTAGTAGAGATGGGGTTTTGCCTTGTTGGCTACACTGGTCTCGAACTCCTGGCCTCAAGTGATCTGCCCACCGTGGCCTCCCAAAGTGCTGGGATTACAGGTGTGAGCCATGGCGCCCGGCCTTTGATCCTAGTTTTCTGATGGCTTATTCAAAGGCTCCCTTGGCAGAGCTTGCTCTTCCCCTCCGTTCATTGCATAGTGCACGGGTAATATGGAGGGGATTTGCCCCTGTCTCAGTTTTGTGAGGCGGTCTTTGTATTGGAATCTTGGTTCTGCCACTTACTAGCTGGGTGGGGGTAAGTGAGTTATCCCATTTCTGCCTCTCCTTCATCATCTGTACTGACTTGCAGTCATAGTACATCTGTACCCATCGGGTTGTTGTGAGGTTGGTTTTTCTATTCTTGTATGACAAACTTAGCAGTTTAAACCAGCACCCATTTATTATCTCATAGTTATGTGTGCAGAAGTCCAGGCAAGCTCAGCTGTGCATTACAAGATTAAAACCAAGGTGTTGGCAGCTTTGCTCTTATCTGAAAACTCCAGGGAAGAAGCTGCTTCCAGGTTTATTTAGGTTGCTGGCAGAATCCAGTTCCTTGGAGTTGTAGAACTAAGGTCTTTGTTTCCTTGCTGGCTGTCAGCTGGGGACTACTCTGTAACTTAAGGTCCCCTAACTTAGGACTCTAATTGGATGTGCAAAATGCCATCACAGCAGTACCTAGATGAGTATTTGATTGAACAAACAGGGGTCGGGAATCTCGGGCTGCTATCTTTAGAATTCTGCCTACCACTGAGGATTAAATGAGGAGATATATAGAGAGCATTTAGAGTGAGTCCTGGTATATAACAAATGCTGTACAAGCATTACCAGGGATTCAGTACCACAAACTTGGCTCTGAAGCTGGCCACTATGGGCTGCAGGAGAACAGTGTTTCTTTTTTTTTTTTGAGACAGAGTCTTGCTCAGCCTTCTAGGCTGGAGTGTAGTGGCGTGATCTCAGCTCACTGCAACCACCTTCTCCTGGGTTCAAGTGATTCTCGGGTCTCAGCCTCCTGAGTAGCTGGGATTATAGGCACCCACCATCATGTCCGGCTAATTTTTGTATTTTGGTAGAGACGGGGTTTTACCATGTTGGCCAGGCTGGTCTTGAACTCCTGACCTCAGGTGATCCTCCTGCCTCAGCCTCCCAAACTACTGGGATTACAGGCGGAAGCCACCGTGCCCAGTTGAGAACAGCATTTGTATAAAAGATGGGAATTGCTGGCCGGGCGTGGTGGCTCACGCCTGTAATCCCACATTTTGGGAGGCTGAGGCGGATAGATCGCTTGAGTCTGGGAGTTCAAGAGCAGTCTGAGCAACATGATGAAACCCCCATCTTTACAAAAAGTACAAAAATTAGCTGGGCTTGTTGATGTTTGCCTGTAGTTCCCGCTAGTTGGGAGGCTGATGCAGGAGGATCACTTGAGCTCAGGAGTTTGAGGTTGCAATGAGCTATGATCGCACCACTGTACTGCAGCCTGAGTGAGCAAGCAAGAGCCTGTCTCTAATCAATAAGTAAGACATGAGAATTGGCAATATAATGTGTGTTGCAAATTGGTAATGTAATGTGTGATATTCTCCTGGGCATTGTGAAACTATGTAATATTTTGTTAGGGCCAGGTGCAGTGGCTCACACCTGTAACCCCAACACTTAGGAGGCCAAGGCAGGAAGATCAGTGGAGGCCAGGATCCTGGGCATCACAGCCTGACAAACTAGCCTGGGCAACATAGCAAGACCTTGTCTCTAAAAAAAAAGGAAAATTAGCCAGGCATAGTGGCATGTGCCTGTACTCAGGAGACTGAGGTGGGAGGATTGCTTGAACCCAGGAGTTTGAGGTTGCAGTGAGCTATGATCGTGCTGCCGCATGCCAGCCTGGGCAACAGAACGAGACCCTGTCTCTAAAGAAAAATATAAAAAGATTCTGCTGTGTTGCAGATGTTGAGATTTTGTCTTTGTTTTTCCACAGTGGTTTGCTAAGAAGGCCATTTTCAACTCTCCATTGGAGGCTGCTATGGCGTTCCCTCACCTGCAGCAGCCCAGCTTTCTACTGGTAAATATCAACTGCTTGCATGAGTGTCATTGTGGTCATAGTTCTGTAGCTGTGGGACTTGAGTGTTCTTCCCATTGACTTGAAGAACTCTGTAGTGGTTGTTTTTTAGGGGCATGTGATGGAAACAATGGCAGACTCCTTAACTTGACTGTGCCTCGTTATTACTACAGGACCTTGGGGTTACTCAACCTCTGGGCTCTGGGTTTTCTCATGCAAGACAAGTTCATTCAAATTCTATTTTCTCTACTTCCCAAGGGTATGAGGAGGAGGAGCAAGTGAGAAGGATGTATATCAGAATGTTCATAACTTGTAAATTCTTAAATAGATATGAAGCATTCTAATAATCAGTCATAACTGTCATCAGTGAAAAATGGAGACACTGTTGTGCGGGGGGCTGCTAGGTTGCACTTTAAGTATTAAACATGATGCTGAGAACTGGGTGCAGTGGCTCATGCCTGGAGTTCCAGCTACTGAGGAGACTGAGGCAGGAGGATTACTTGAGCCCAAGAGTTTGAGACCAGCCTGGGCAACATAGTAAAGACTCAAAAAGGAAAAAAAAATGATACTGAGAAGTGAGAAGTTAGATATGAGGCAAGTATTGGTGATGAAAGTTCCTAATTTTAGTTCTTAGGAGGTGTTTTTGTAAACATTTATGTGGAAGGACATTCTTCCTCAGTGCACCCCACTAGAGTCAACAGGTCTGGCCCATGGCCAGACAGCTCAGGTCTCCATCTCTGTCTCAATCACTGTGAAATCCACCCTCGTTTGGAGGTAGACAAGGCCTTAGATATCCTTTGGCAAAGCTCTCTAGGTTGAAATTCTAGCTGTTTCTCCTGATCTTAATCCATTCGCACAGACGCCCTTTTTCTCCTTGTAGTCAGGGTGCTTTCCTCACATCCTACGACTAGGTAGATTTCATTAGTCCTTGTCCTGAGTCTTTTCTGGCCTCTCCATTGCCTTCATGATTAGTGTCTACTTGGCTGAAGCGGTCTGTAATTTTTGTCTGCCCTGTGTTTTAAGATCATTGGTTTAGTAGGTTCAGTGTCTATTGAATAAAGGACAGCTCATTTAAGAGAGCTTCTGCCATAGCCGTGATGTTGTTGGGCGTTCTTACTGATGATCACAACGGTGTAATCACGGTGGTCCATCAGGCTGGAAATTTCCAGTTGATGCGTACAAACTCAGTGGTACTCTGTGGCTTGTGAGGGGTGCCCTTACACAATCAAGATCCTCTTCTGGCTCTGGGGCTGACTCTGGGATCAGCCCCTACTTATGGATTGGTAGAAGTCAATCCTGTTCTGATCATGTGCAGCACTCTGAGGGGGTACTGGGAAACAAGGCTGATAGTTCCTGGTCCAGAGAGCATAGAACTACGGCCTCTCCTAGTAGTACTCTTTGGGCCACTGACACACATGAGGGGCTGGGGAACCAGGCCAGTGGTTATGGGTCTGACTCATAACCTATTGCTTGGATTTCTGTTTGACTCAAGCCAGAGTTTGACTCAAGCCAGAGTATCACTAAAAGCTGCAGAGTGAATGTCCTCGTGACTTTTTCGCTTTGTTCTGTTTTCTAGGCCAGCCTGAAAGCTGACTCTATAAATAAGCCCTTTGCACAGCAGTGCCAAGACTTGATTAAAGTAATTGAGGATTTTCCAGCAAAGGTATAGCTCTGCTAATGTCTCTCTTTGGAGCATGTCTTATACATTCGTTGAAGAACTTTATTATAATTCCTAATTTCCCTCCCCGCCCCAACCCCGAGCACTGCCTGGCACAGAGGCCTGGCCATTATCATGACCATTATGTTTATGGACACATTTAAACATGTGAACTTGTAGATCAGGGGTTCTTAGCCACAGGTGCTCTGTCCCTCAAGGGACACTTGGCAATGTCAGAGACATTTTTGGTTGTCACATCTGGAGGTAGATGGGGAGTGTGTGCTACTGGCATCTAGGAAGTAGAGGCCAGGGTTGCTGGAAACATTCTGCAAAGCACAGGACAGCTCCCTGCAACAAAGAAGTATCTAGCCCAAAATGTCAATAGCACCAAGGTTCAGAAACCCTAACGTAAATACTAAAAATATGTATTTAAATCACACCTGGAATTGTCAAGCCCAGGAAGCTGGCCTAGACAAGGAGTTAATACCAAATGGCAATAGGTCAGTTAGGTTTCAGGGGCTTCACTCTGGAAAGGATGTTGCTTTCCTTTCTGATAGAGCATCCTTCAAGTCAGAAGTTTCCATCTCTTTTTAAAGAATCTTTTTTTGTGGTGGCTCATGCCTGTAATCTCAACACTTTGGGAGGCCGAGGTGGGAGGATCACTTAAGCCCAGGAGCTCAAAACCAGTCTAGGCAACATACTGAGAACTTATCTCTACAAGAAATTTAAAAATTAGCTGAGTGTAGTGGTGTGTGCCTATAGTCCCAGCTACTCAGGAAGCTGAGGTGGGAGGATTGCTCGAGCCCAGGAAGTCAAGGCTGCAGTGAGCCATAATTGCGCCACTGCACTCCAGCCAGGGCAACAGAGTGAGACCCTGTCTCAAAAAATATGTATTTTGTGTATTTTTTTATTTTATATATTTTAATTTTCTTCATTGTTTATGTTTGTTTATTTTTCTTAATTTAGTCTTCTATCACACACAAAAAATGTATTTTGATTGGAGGCTGACTTACTTAGCTGGCCCAAGCCTAAAGCAACACTGCTTGGTATGCCATGTACCCCATTGGAAGAACCCAAAGCTGCTCTTGTCGTTGGCACCATGGCACCAGGGTTCCTTTGGGTGCAGGGCTGATCTCGTAGGTCTCAGCCAGGGAGTGGCCTCCTCAGAAGGAGCTGGGCAGCAGGTGGTGCAGGACTAGAGCCGGGGCAGGAATGGGTGCTGGTCCTGCCCGCGGCCTCACCACACATTGTTTCAGGAGCTGCACACCATCTTCCCATGGCTGGTAGAGAGCATTTTCGGCAGCCTAGACGGTGTCCTCGTTGGCTGGAACCTCCGCTGCTTACAGGGGCGTGTGAATCCTGTGGAGTACAGCATCGTGATGGAATTTCTCGACACTGGGTAGGTAGGTTGGTCACCGGAGAGAGGCTGGGTGATTCCTCATGGTGATTCCACCTTTAAACCACTCTCTGAATTTCTTAAGATTAAGAAACAATCAAAGCAAGATAATTCACAGTTCATTTGCCCTGTTTTTGTTTGTTTGTTCAATTTCATGTTCAGTGGCCCAATGATGAAGTTGGTTTATAAGCTTCAAGCTGAAGACTATAAGTTCGACTTTCCTGTCTCCTACCTGCCTGTAAGTAAACCACAGTGGCGAGAGTGGTGCTCGGGGCAGTGGGCCTTGCACAGCCCTGTGGTGATGGGCAATCTCCTCCAGTCCTCTGAGGGCAAATTGAGGAGCGATTCGTTCCAGGGGTGTGAGAGGCAAAGGAAATGGGTATTGCATGACTGCTACCCTTGCTGTCTGCAGCTTTTTATGAGATGGTAGGAGAAGTTCTAAGCAAAGACTCTTGTTCAGGCACTGCTCAGAGGCAGGGCACTGTCCCCACAGGTGGGTTCTGTGTGTGGGTCTCTTCCCCAGCAGCCTTCCCAAAGTGCTGCTGTGCATGTGGGGTACTGCGTATCGGGCACTACGCACCAGCACCTGCCCGCAAGCCTCACTGCCTCTCTCTGCAGGGTCCTGTGAAGGCGTCCATCCAGGAGTGCATCCTCCCTGACAGTCCTCTGTACCACAACAAGGTCCAGTTCACCCCTACTGGGGGCCTTGGTCTGAACCTGGCCCTGAGTATCCTTTGGTGGCCCTGAGGTAGGGAGGCTGTGGGTGGCCCAGCACTTGACACTTGCGGGGGGTGTGGCTCATCAACCCTGCGTGTTTGCCCCTGACGCTGCTCTCAGATCCATTCGAGTATTACATATTCTTCTTTGCCTTGAGCCTCATCACTCAGAAGGTAAGGAAGGGATGCCTTTTGCTGGGAGAGGTGGGGCCACGGCCCAGGGCTTCCCTGCACTTGTTGGTGCTTGGTGGCCTGGCAGTGTCCAGAGCCCACGCTAACAACTAGCTTGGTTTTCCAGCCACTCCCTGTGTCCCTCCACGTCCGTACTTCAGACTGTGCCTATTTCATCCTGGTGGACAGGTACCTGTCATGGTTCCTGCCCACCGAAGGCAGTGTGCCCTGCCACTCTCCTCCAGCCCAGGGGGGACCAGCCCCTCACCGCCTCCCAGGTAAGGCTGCCCTTTGTTAAGACCTGGCCCTTCCATAAGGGAGTGGCCTGGTCACTTGCATCGCCCACGGGGACAATGTTGCCACCCTTTGTCCACGGTTCCCCAATTTTTCTTATGCCTCATTCCCCACCCCCAGCTGTCTTAGCACAGACTGGAGGGTGGGGTGTGGCGGGCAATCTGTCCTTAGTGTTCAGTGTCTTTGGCCATCACTGAAGCTATCAGGTCCCTGGAGGCCTCCACGGCCTGCATGGGAATGGGCTGTGTTGTGCATGGAGCAGCCCTCCCCACAGGCAGTGTCTGAGGCAGTGAGCAGGGTGGAAAGGTTGTCCTATGAGCAAAAAAAATGGAAATCTCTATGGGCCCCTGGAGCAGGTCTTGAAGGGGAGGCCCTGGGCCAAAGAGCCTGTTTTGCCAGTCCAAACAGGCTGAGCCTGATGCGTGCCTGCACAGGTCGGGAGTGTGAACCAGGGGCTCTCATGCCTGGCTGTCCTGGGTCCTCAGTGGGCACTAACGCAGGGCCTCTTGGCCGACTTCCCAGGAGACCCTCTTGCCCCAGCATCAGCTGCCTGTGCACCTCTGACCCTCCTTAATCTCACTGGCCTATTGCCTTCCCCAGGAAGCTGCATGCAGGCCCCTTCCTGCAAGTGCTGGCCCACCCCAGATCTGCTGTCATGTGTAAGGCAGGCCAGGCCTTTACGTACAATTCACGTGTGGACAGATTCCCCAGAGGGTGGAGGGGAGAAAGGGAGAGGCAGGGAGGAGATGCTGCCCAGGTGGCGGCAGTGATCAGTGACCCTGAAATGTTGCTGATCCTGTGGAGGACTTGGAGGTGAGGCAGATTCACACCCTCTTAGATGCAGAATTCAGCCGCCAAGCAGTTTTTGATGCCTGGTTTTTTTTGTTTGTTTTAACTTTTTGCGTTTTTTATTTTAATTTTTTCTTTTAGAAATCGTATATGTGGGCTGGGAGTGGTGGCTGACGCCTGTAATTCCAGCACTTTGGGAGGCCGAGGTGGAGGGATCGCCTGAGGTCAGGAATTCGAGACCAGCCTGGCCAACATGGTGAAACCTCATCTCTACTAAAAATACAAAAGTTAGCTGGGCATGGTGGTGCACACCTGTAATCCCAGCTACTCGGGAGGCTGAGGCGGGAGAATCGCTTGAACCCAGGAGGCAGAGGTCATGGTGAGCTGAGATCACACCATTGCACGCGCACGCGCACACACACACACACAACACACACGCACACAGAAGAGATCACATACGTATGGTTTGGGTTTATTTATTTATTTTATTTTATTTTATTTATTTATTTTTTGGAGATGGAGTCTCGCTCTTTCGCCCATGCTGGAGTGGTGCAGTGGCACGATCTTGGCTCACCACAACCTCCGCCTCCTGGGTTCAAGCGATTCTCCCACCTCAGCCTCGCAAGTAGCTGGGATTAGAGGCACAGGTCAGTGTGCCCGGCTAATTTTTGTATTTTTAGTAGAAACGGGGTTTCACCATGTTGGCCAGGCTGGCCTCAAACTCCTGACCTCAGGCAATCCATCCACCTCGGCCTCAGCGAAAGTGTTGGGATTACAGGTGTGAGCTACTGCGCCCAGCATTTTTTTTTTTTTTTTTTTTTTTTTTGAGACAGGGCCTGGCTGGGTTGCTCAGCCTGGAGTGCAGTGTTGTGATCACAACTCACAGCAACGTTAACCTCCTGAGCTCAAGTGATCCTCCCACTTCAACCTGCCAAGTAGCTAGTACTATAAGCATGCACCCCTACACCTAGCTTTTATTTTATTTTTTTGTAAGATGGGTCTTGCTGTGTTGCCCAGGCTGCTCTGGAACTCCTGGGCTCCAGCAATCCTCCTGCCTTAGCCTCCCAAAGTTCAGAGATTACAGGCATGAACCACCGTACTGGTCCATTGTGGGCTTTTGTTTTTTTTTTTGACAGGGTCTTACTCTGTTGCCCAGGCTGGAGTGCAGTGGCGCTGTCTCTGCTTCAAGTGATTCTCCTGGCTCAGCCTCCCAAGTAGCTGGGACTACAGGTGCCTGTCACCACACCCAGCTAATTTTTGTATCTTTAATAGAGACAGGGTTTCACCATGTTGGGCAGGCTGGTCTTGAACTCCTGACCACAAGTGATCTGCCCGCCTCGACCCCCTAAAGTGCTGGGATTACAGGTGTGAGCCACCGCTCCTGGCCTAGCCATTATGTATTTTTAAAGACAGTCTTACTCTGTCACACAGGCTGGAGTGCAGTGTCATAATCATCACTTGGTGGCACAATCATCACTCAAGCCAGCCTGTCACCTCAGTGCATCACCACAGCCAGCTAATTTAACTTTTTTTTTTTTTTTTTTTTTTGCAGAGATATGGGGATGCCTCGCTGTGTTGCCCAGGCTGGTCTTGAACTCCTGGCCTCAGCAATCTTCCTGCCTCAGCTTCCCAAGTAGCTGGAATTACAGGTGCAAGCCACCACACCTAACTTTTTATTTTGAAATAACTTCAGACTTACAGATAAGTTTCCACACATAATAAAAATAACTTGTAGGCCGAACACGGTGGCTCACGCCTGTAATCCCAGCACTTTGGGAGGCCAAGGCGGGAGGATTGCTTGGGGCCAGGAATTCGAGACCAGCGTGGGCAACGTTGGGAGACCTCATTTCTACAAAAAAAAAAAAAAAAAAAAAAAAAGCCAGGTGTGATGATGTGCAACTATGGTCCCAGCTACTCAGGAGACTGAGGTGGGAGGATCACTTGTGCCCAGGAGCAATGAGCTGTGAGCTGTGAGTGTGCCACTGCACTCTAGCCTGGGGTAACAGAACAAGATCCTGTCTCAGGGAAAAAAAAAAAAAAGAAACTTTCATAGACCCTTCACCCAGATTTCCAAATTGTTAACACTTTGCTGCATCTGTTGTTTTCCACCTCTATTGTATGTGTTTTTTTTCTCTAAGCCAATAGGAGTAAGCTACAGGATATGACACCCCTTGACCTCTTAATATTTCAGTGTATTTCCTAGAAGCGAATGCATTATCCTATATAGTCACAGTGCCTGTAACCACACCAGGAAGTTAGTATTGCCACCAGGCCTCACACTGTGTGCAGTGATGTTTCACAGGCTCACCCACTGTATATAGTGATATTTCTAGTCCCCTTCAGTCAGGAACGGTCCCTTGCCTTTCTGTCTTTCCTGACCTTGACCCCTCCAGAGCATGTGGCCGCCCCTTAGGCTGTCTGGTATTTGCTGGTGACTAGGCCCAGCATGGGCTTTGTTGGGAGGAGCACCGTAGTGGGACACCTGGTCCTTGCCAGGTGCCCTTTTATCACCGGGTTAAAAAGGTGCCGGTCAGGTTTTTCCATTGTAAAATAATTACTTTGTGCCCAGATTAAATAGTAATGAGGCTGGGCGTGGTGGTTCATGCCTGTAATCCCAGGACTTTGAGAGGCTGAGGTGGGCGGATCACTGGAGCTCAGGAGTGTGAGACCAGCTCAGGCAACATAGCAAAATCCCATCTCTACCAAAAATTTAAAAATAACCAGGTGTGGTGGTGTGTGCCTGTAATCCCAGCTACTTGAGAGGCTGAGGTGGGAGGATTGCTTGCACCCAGGAGGCGGAGGTGGCAGTGAGCCGAGATCATGCCCCTGTACTCCAGCCTAGGCTACAGAGAGAGACCGTATCTCAACCAAAAAAAAAAAAAAAAATTAATAGTGAGTGCCTGGGCAACATAGCATGACCTTGTTTCTACTAAAAAGAAAAACATCAGCCAGGCATGGTGGTGTTGGTCCCAGCTACTTGGGAGGCCTAAGTCTAGGAGGTTGAGGTTGCAGTGAGCTGTGATTGCATCATTGCACTCCAGCCTAGGCAACAGGATACGATCCTGTCTCAAAAAAAAAAAATTGATAATGAGAATTTACCAGGAAGATGTATGGAGACCATGTAATTATCAGTAGTATTAACATCCACTTTTGATTCTCCCCTTTATTCAAATTAATTTTATTTGCAGACAGGGTCTTGTTCTCTTACCCCAGACTGGAGTGCAGTGGTACGATCTCTGCTCACAGCAACCTCAACCTCCTGGGCCCAAGAGATCTTCCCGTCTCAACCCCCCAAGTATCTGGGACTACAGGCAGGCATCACCACACCTGGCTAATTTTTATATTTTTTTTTTGTGGAGACAGGGTTTTGCCCTATTGCCCAGGCTGGAAATTTCTTAATTATTTAGAAACAGGGTCTTGCTCTGTCACCCCAGGATGGAGTGAAGTTGGTACGATCATTTGTCACTATAGCCTCAACTCGTGGGCCCAGGCCATTCTCCCTCCTCAGCCTTCTAAGTAGCTAGTACTACAGGCACATGCCACCAGGCCCAGCTGTTTTATGTTTCAATGTTTTTGTGGAGATGGGTTCTCACTTTGTTGCCCAGGCTGATCTCAAATGCCTGGCCTCAAGTAATCCTCCTGCCTTGGTCTCCCAAGGTGCTGGGATTACAGGTGTGAGCCCCCATGCCCAACCTCACTATTGATTCTTGACCAAATCAGCTATTAATAGGGCGGTTACCAAGTGGTGGTTCTCTAACTTATCCCTCCTTCATTGATTAGTGGGTCAGTGGTCACTCTGCGGTAAGGAAGACTTCTCTCTTTGCTATTTATTTATTCAGGTATATCAGTGTGGATCAGGGGGCTGGGGGGGAGGTATGCATTGTGCTATTGAACAAGTTGTAATCTCTCCCTGCTCTCGTTGATTTTGATATCCAGATTGCCCCTGGCTAGGCCAGCGGGAGCCTGTAAACTCGGGCCTGTTTCTGTGTCTCCCTCAGGACACCAACCATGCCCTTTGCTTCCTATGGCCTCCACCACACTAGCCTCCTGAAGCGACACATCTCTCATCAGACGTCTGTGAATGCAGACCCCGCCTCCCACGAGATCTGGAGGTCAGACACTGCTCCAGGTGAGAGTTGAGCTGGTCAAAAGAAACTGTTCAGCCAGCTGGGCATGGTGGCTCATGCCTATAATCCCCAGCACTTTGTGAGGCCGAGGTGGGCAGATCATCTGAGGTCAGGAGTTTGGGACCAACCTGGCCAACATGGTGAAACCATGTGTCTACTAAAAATACAAAAATGAGCCGGGCACGGTGGCAGGCGCCTGTAATTTCAGCTACTCAGGAGGCTGAGGCAGGAGAATCACTTGAACACAGGAGGTGGAGACAGCAGTAAGCTGAGATAGTGCCATTGCACTCCAGCGTGGGTGACAGAACTGGACTCCATCTCAAAAAAGAAAAGAAAAGAAAAAAGAAACTGTTTAGCCACCTTCCACTATGTGGGGCAGAGTCCCAGAGGCGGCCCCTCAGCCCGGGGCTGATTCTAAATTGTTGGTATTTTCCTGCTGTGACATTTAGAAAACATGAAAGTAAATCTGCCCACCCTTCTAACTTGTATGTCATTGATGGCGTTTTTCATCCCAGGATCCCCTGTCCATGGAAGTTGTTTCGTTTTGCCTGTGGTGAGGCAAAATTGTTGCAGAGGCTTTTGGTTTCCATGACACTGAATGGTGAGGGGTCTGTGCAGCCTCCACAGGCCTTCCATTGATTCAGGGGATCCAAGTAGTAGGTGACAGATTTCCTTGTCTGCCCAGAGGGGCTCCAGCCTGTCAGGATGGTATGGGCTGGCTCACTTCCTGAGTGCTGGTCAGCTCCCAGGTCCTGGCTGTGTCTTCTAGGCACACATCAGAGAGATTCAGCAGGTGCCGCTTCTGACGCTGGATCCTGGGGCTGACTTGGTAGCCACAGCCTTGCTTTTGACAGCCTGACATGTAGATAAGATAGGATTCTATCTCCCATCTTGTATATAACTCCTAGTATTTGGGGTGCTACACTTTTTGAAGCCTCCATACCGTTTCACAGCATCCTCGCAGGGTGGAATGGTAAGAACCGTTGCCCCTGTTCACAGAGGGGACCATGATGCCCAGATGGCTCTTGGCTGTGTAGACCGTGGGCTGTGCTGGCCATGAAGAGGGCAGAAGATCGTGACACAGGGCTTATAGGGCAGAACTGGAAGGTTCTGCTGTTCCCTGGACCAAAGCATTTTTTTTTTTTTTTGAGATGGAGTCTCCCTCTGTTGTCCAGGCTGGAGTGCAGTGGCTTAATCTTGGCTCCGTGCAACCTTCACCTCTCAGGTTCAAGTGATTCTCCCGCCTCAGCCTCCCAAGTAGCTAGGATTACAGGTGCCCACTGCCATGCTCAGCTAATTTTTGCATTTTTAGTAGAGATGGGGTTTCACCATGTCTCCAACTCCTGACCTCAGGTGATCCACCTGCCTTGGCCTCCCAAAGTGTTGGGATTACAGGCGTGAGCCACTGTGCCCAGCCCTTTTTTTTTTTTTTTTTTTAAATCAGAGTCTAACTTTGTTGCCAGGCTAGAGTGCAGTGGTACAGTCTTGGCTCACTGCAGCCTCAAACTCCTGGGCACAAGCAATCCTTCCACCTCAGACTCCCAAGTAGCTGGGATTATAGGTGTGATGCCTCACCACACCCAGCTAATTTTTGTATTTTTTGTAGAGACAGATTTTCACTATGTTGGCCAGGCTGGTCTTGAACTCCCAGCCTCAGGTAATCCACCCACCTTGGCCTCCCAAAGTGCTGGGATGACAGGGTTGAGCCACCATGCCTGTTGGTTGCCTTTTTACTCTATCAATAGTATTTTTTCATGCTCAAGAGTGTTGATTTTAATGAAGTCTAGTTGTCTATTTTTTTTCCTTTTTGTTGCCTGTGCTTTGGGCGTCATATCTAATTAATCATTGTCAAATCTAGTGTTATGAAGTTTTCTCCCATGTTTTCTTCTGAGAGTGTATGGTTTTAGTGCTTATCCTCAGGTTGCTTACCCATTTTGAGTTATTTTTTGGCGATGGTGTGAAGGAAGGGCCCAGCTTCGCTGTTCTGCACATGGAATGAGTTCCCAGCTCTGCTTGTTGGAGACACTGTCCTTTCCCCACTGGATGGTCTGGCACCATTGTCAAGAATGGTTTGACTAGCTAATGCTTTTTTGCAGGTTTTTGTTGAAATGTGGCTTCATCACTATTCGTTGGAGATGTATCAAAAAATGCAGTCCCCTCATGCCAAGGTATGTTTCCACAGTTTTTCTTCCCACCTCCTGCTTCTGACCCTGCTCAGCCTGCTGCTTCTTATCCTGCCTCGGAGTGAGTTTTCACAGGCTGGATGGTGGGAAGCAGAAACCCACCACCCACCTGTCACTCAGAAGCCGAGTAAGAAGTGGGCATCATTCTCTAGTTTCCGGTGGCGGGCAGGGGGCATTGCACACTGACGTGTAGACACTTGAGGCCTGGAAGTCTGGCCTTTCCGGGGCCCTCCCTGTGCAGCTTCCTGAGCCCCCTCCCTGGCAGCGGGAACAGATGAGGTTGTGGTGCTCTTGCTCTGGGGGTGGGGGGAGCTGCAATGCCTCTGGGAGCCACTTTCTCGTCTGTCTCCTTGACCATCAGCAGTCTTTGTGCTTTCCCACGAAGGGGTGGCCTGGAGCCTTCTTTGCCTGCTCCCCCTACTCCCCCACCTCCTCCAGAGCATGAGCAAGCAGCCCTTCTCGTGGCGAGTGGCACCTGGTGCCCCCCTGCATGCAGCCTGGCTTGCCTCCTCTCCCTCCGCCTCGCCTCTCCCCACTCTCTCTCTGGGCAGCCTGCTGCCTTCAGATGCATGGAGGTGGCGGAGGCCCTGGGTTGTTACTGCTGTTGCCGTTCCTGGAGCTAGCACCACCCCTGGACCGGTCAGAGTGAGAAAGCAGCTAGGTGAACCTTAGATCTCCAGTCAGTCATCTCCATGGAGCAGCTTGACTCATGCCCATCCATGCCCTTGCCTGAAGTGGCATCAGCCACGTAGTCTGGTGCCCATGGCGTCTGTGCATCAGTATGCTTGGGAAACTTTGGCTTTGTCACTGACAGAATTATTGAGGGCTTCCTCCAGAATGTGGGTGATGGAGTTAAACTTCAGAAGAGCATCCTGTCACTTTTCCTCTGGTTCTGGCAAAGAGCTGTGGGTCTGCTTCTGCCACAGTCTGCAGCCAGTTCCATGGCCCCATGCTTTGCCATGTGGAGGCTCTCTCAGAGCATAGGGTCCCCCAAATCCTCACCCTCAGAATCACATGGGTGGAGAGTGGGGAAAAGCTGAGGACCCCATCTTGGGCCTCTTGAGTCACGAAGAGCCTGCAGTGCCCTTCCTGCTTCCAGAGCAGACTTGCTGCATGTCCCTGGCTGGTGCCTGGGGGCCTGGTTATTCCCCGGGCCCGCTCCTCCCGCAGGGCTCTGGGACACTCACTCAGCACTCGTGCATGTGGCGTGGCGTGGCCTGGCAGGGGCAGGGGCCACTGCACCGCATTGTGTTCCTGTTGCTCCTTCTGCCTTCTGAGGGAGTGTAGTAAGCACACCTACTTTCAAGAGTCAGCCAGAAAGGCTCTTTTGGGCTGTCACCTGTGAGGATTCTGTGTCCTCACGGGCCAGAGGAAGGGCAGGGGGCTGTCCCTGTGGAGGGCAGGAGGTGCAGTTCCCTTCTTCCCCACATTTGCTTCCTCTTGGCCAGACGTTGGGGTAGGTGGGCCCTGCCCAGAATACCTTGCAGTAGCCGGACCAAGTACCCAGAGACGCTCCACTCTTCGCCTCTTCCAGTTCAGGCAAAACACAAAACGCAAGAAAACTTGGTGGGTGGGAGTCAGAGAAAGGCAGCTGTGGAAGTCTGTGTCTCCCAAGGCTTCTTGTCGCTTGCCCAGGCCTGTGCTACACGTACTGCCATACAGAAATCCCTGCCCGTCCCCACTAGACCTTATTTTCAGATGCAGGAAGTGAGGCTCCTGGGGTCATCCTCCTCACCCTGCTTGAGTCCAGGATGCGTGCTTGCTCCCCAGTGGCCCTGTGGGCAGTAAGGATGGCCATGGCGCTGTAGGCCACTGTGTTCCTGCAAGCAAGGGCAGAGCCACACTGGGGAACTATGTGTCTGATTCCTCCCTGAGCCCCAGGTCTGGCACAGAGGAAGGCTGTGGAGGGCAACACCTTCCTGCCCTGCTCCTTCCCTCCCTGCTCTGCGTGTCATGGCGACTGGCGTGTGTTCTGATTTCTCCTGTGTGGAGCCCAGTGGGTGTGCTGCTTGGGCAGGAGGCATGCTGCTGGCGGGGCAGGATGTGCACCAGGCCGGCTGTGGCTGCACTGGGCTGAAGGGGTGCTTCGGCAGGCCGTGGTGCTGCAGGGCAGCAGCTCGGAGGGTCCTGGCTAGGAGCCAGCTCAGCCTCAGGTTCCTGCTGCCTCTGGGTGTGTGTGGCTGTGGCCAGATCCTCAGGGGCTCCCGCCCTTGGGAACCCACTGTATGTGGAGGGTGGGAGTTTCTGGTGCGGTAGGAGAGGCTGCCTCCAGCAGTCAGAGCTGATGTGCACACCACCTTAGCTGACGTCCAGACTATGAGGGTGGAGGGCAGGGCCTGGTGGCCTGAGCCTGTGCTCCTCGTCTCTGTGCTACCCTTGGGGACCTGTCCTCGCCCTCAGTTCTCAGAGAGCCAGTCATGGAGGGGACATTGATTTGAGTTTTAGACACATAGGAATCAATCATGTCTTATACCAATTTGGTAAATTTCTTAAGACAACCCAGGGAAATCCAGTCAATTCCACATGTGTCTTTTCTGGGCAGAGTCTTCCTCCTGGAACATGCTCCGCTGGTTTCTTTTCTGAGCCTCAGGATCTTGAGGTCTTGGTGGCTGGCAGCGTGTCCCAGTGAGGGCCCTGGGCTCTTGGAGGGCTCTGGGTTGCATGTGCCACACATAGTGTGACTTCAGAGTCACTGGGGAGAGTGGGTCCCATCTTGAAGGGCAGTGAGTTGGGCCCTTCCAAGGAGCTAGAGAGGCCTTTAGGCCCCAGCAATACTGAGGGGCCACCCAGGTGACCTGGAGGCCCCTCTGCCCGGGCCTCCAAAGCGAGGACAGTATGGCCACAGCCCTGGCCTGGCTGCGGAGGCGGGTGCTGCGCTGGCCCGCGGCTGCTGGGACTGCAATTGTTTGGATTTTCACTGACCGTGCTTTGTTTTTGTTTTTTTCTCCTCACTCCTGGGCTCGTTCTCATTGCTTTCTTTCTCTCTCCGCTTCCCCCTCCCGTGTCTGGTCCTATCTCTCCCCTTCCCCACCCGGCCCTCTTGTCCTCTGCTCTTCTGTCTCTTCTGACATCTCTCTGTTCCTTTTCTCAGCTGGAGGTTCTGCACTACCGACTCAGTGTCTCCAGCGCCCTCTACAGCCCCGCCCAACCCAGCCTCCAGGCCCTCCACGCCTACCAAGTACTGGCTCATTCGTTCCCTTCCCCCTGCCCAGAGTGCATGTCCATGCCTGGCAAAGCAAGGGGCCGCCGGGGCCGGCTGCTGGTGACTCAGAGGCTAGTTCCAAGCAGAGCGTAGCCCCTGTGTCGGGGGGAGGCAGGGGTCAGCCTCCAGCCTGGCTTGGCCCCTGGCTTTGTAGACTAGTTTGGTTGGGGGTGGGGGTGGTGGCTTTGTGGCAGAACGAGGCATGTGGGCATGTGGCCCTGGCTGTCCAGGTTCCCGGCCAGTGGAGGTGTCACAAGCTCTCCAGTGTTGGAGGCCCCGTGCTTGGCCCTGGTTTGAAGAGCTGGAGTCCTCAGGCCTCAGCAGTGGCTGGGTTCACTGCACTCTGCAGGGTCTGGCGCTTAGGAAGGAGCTGAAGACGCAGAGGCCTGGGACTTACGGGTGGTGTGGGTTCTGCCTTGTTCAGAACTGTCACCCAGCCTGGAGGTGCTGTGACCCAGAGCCTGCGTGTGAGGCAGGGGGGTGGGAAGGACCTGGGGCTTGACCCTATAGCCCACAGAAGCTGTCAGTCCTTGACAGCCCAGCCAGCACCCGGCCTTCATCCGGGGAGCCCTGGCCACTCATATACACCTCCAGAGGCAGATTAGAGTGGGTGGTGACCTCATAGAGGTTGCAGCTGCCTAGGCAGAAATGACAAGTGTGTGGATGGATTTGAGGTCAGTGAAGCAGAGTTCAGACCTGTAGGGAACTTCAGGGATGACAGAGGAATCTGTGAGAGCCGGGGGAGACGGGCTGTGCTCACAGCCAGTGATCTGTCCCGTTCACCTGGGAAGGAGCACACATGATTGAACAGGAATTTGAGCACAAGATGAGAAAATGTGTTGGCCCCTTAGCGCTGGTGGGCTGGATGGCGGCCACAGCACACGGGGGCACCTCATTCCGCAGGAGCCACTGCAGAGGAGAGGAGGAACCTGAGGGCTTGTGCCAGGGAGGGAGGACAGTGTCCAGAAAGCATCTGGCAAACCCCATGGTGGGAAGGTGACCAGCGAGACCCAGGTGGGGTGAGCTGAGGTGCTGTGAGTCTCAGCCCAGTGGGAAATGTGCGGCTTTGGGGACACATCCTTAAGAAGCAAGCAGGTGACTGTGACCAGGGACTCCATGTGGGAACATGGCCCAGGAGGGGTGCAGAGCTGAGGGAGAAGTTTGGCTCAGCAAACCTATGGGAAAATAGCCTGAGAGGGTTCCATGTGACTGCCGGGGGCAGGGGTGGACAGTGGGCCCTCCAGACCCTTCAGAAGGACCAGGTGGTGTGGGGCAAGTGCACCAGCAGGGAAAGGCAGTTTTCCAGTTCCCATGTGGAGGTCTTCCCCTCCCCTGAGCTGCAGGGAGGATGTTACGGCTCAGAATCCCAGGCCAGGATTGGAGGGAGGGCCTGGGCTGAGACTGGAAGAGGAGAAAGATCCTGGTCTAACTTCCCACCCCACTGGTGCCCTTCTAGTTAGGCAATATAGATACAGGTATTATGTCTCATACTTTTCTCCTTCCGTCTTTTTTTTTTTTTTTTTTGAGACAGAGTCTCACTCCGTTGCCTAGGCTGGAATGCATTGACATGGTCTCCGCTCACTGCAATCTCCACCTCCCAGATTGAAGTGATTCTCCTGCCTCAGCCCCTTGAGTAGCTGGGATTACAGGCATGTGCCACCCACCCGGCTAATTTTTGTATTTTTAGTAGAGACGTAGTTTCACCATGTTGGCCAGGCTGGTCTCAAACTCCTGACCTCAAGTGATCCGCCTGCCTTGGCCTCCCAAAGTGTTGGGATTACAGGTGTGAGCCACTGCACCTGGCCTTTTCTTCCAAAACAATGCAAATTCATTGCCCAAAGACTTAACGATACAGAGAGAAAAATAGCCAGCCACGATGGCTCATGCTTGTAATCCCAGCACTTTGGGAGGTTGAGGCAGGCGGACTGCTTGAGCTCAGGAGTTTGAGACCAGCCTGGGCAACATGGCGAGACCCCTGTCTCTACAAAGAAATACAAAAATTAGCCTGGTGTGGTGGTGTGTGTGCCTGTTTTCCCAGCTACCCAGGAGGCTGAGGTGGGAGGATCCCTTAAGCCCTGGAGGCAGAGGCTGCAGTGAGCCCAGACCACGACACTACACTCCAGCGTGGGTGACAGAGTGAGACCCTGTCTCAAAAAAAAGAATGCCTTCCACCCCATAGCTCCATCTTCAGACTCAGCCACTGATCTCTGGGGTGTGTCACTTGGACCTGTGGGGACAGTTTCCTGACGGGGAGACTTGAGTGGGTAGCAATATGGGCAGTGGCCCGTGTGGGGTCTACAGCATCCCAGGATATACCCAGAGGCTGGGCCCTGCACCAGCCTCAGCAGCACAGATGTGTTAAGGCCCAAAGGGCTAGGGGACAAGTGTGGAGAGGCGAGCGTGTCCACTCAAGACTCAGGGTCCTGCCCTCAGCACCCCCACTTCCCTGCCCTCGTCTACTCTCGATGCTCCCACTTGCCCTCCCAGTGCTAAGCAACCAGAGGAAGCCCATGGCCACCAAAAAGGCTTTCCTCTCCGGCTAGATCTCCAGGATCCTGCTTGTATGTTACAAATCAAAAAGTTTGGCCTAGGCTGGACACAGTGGCTCACACCTGTATTCCCAGCACTTTGGGAGACCTGAGGTCAGGCCCACGTGGTCAAACCCCATCTCTATGAAAAATAAAAATTAGCTGGGCGTGGTGGCACACACTTGTCGTCCCAGCTACTCAGGAGGCTGAGTCAGGAGAATTGCTTGAACCTGGATGCGGAGGTTGCAGTGAGCTGAGATCGCGCCACTGTGCTCCAGCCTGGGCGACAGAAGAAGACCTTGTCTCAAGAAAAAAAAAAAGTTTGGCCTAATATGCCTGACTGTGCTTTTGTCTTGGGGTTTTCCTGACCACAGGTCCCTGGGCAACAGAGGAAGTGACACCCGGGGCTTCTACTGGGCCGAGTTCTCATCTGGCTGTGTCCAGGATGAGGAGCAGGTGGAAGGAATTGGGGAGGAAAGTGAAGCCGTGGGGTTCTTATTTTTGAACCAGGTCTTAACTCTCACCAAGGCTGGAGTGCAGTGGCACGATCCTAGCTCACTGCAGCCTCAAACTCCTGGGCTGAAGAGATCCTCCCACCCTAGCCTCCTGAGTCATTAGGACTATAGGTGTGCACCACGACACCCAGCTAACTTTTAAAAATTTTTTGTAGAGACAGGGTGTCCCTATGTTGTCTAGGCTAATCTCGAACTTCTTAGTGATCTTTCCGCCTTGGCCTCCCAAAGTGCTGGAATTACAGGTCCGAGGCACCACACCTGGGTTCCATGTGCTTTCTGCACACACTTGGGAGGCAGGTGGGAGACCCTGGATCCAGAGCTTGTGGGTGATGCTGGCTTTCTCCTGCCCTGGGGATCAAGACAGGCACCAGTGCCCAAGGGCACAGCCTGTGCCACCCGCTGCGGATTTGCAGCAGTGCAGAAGCAGGCCTGGGAGGCCCTCTGCAGATGTGTCTGTCTTAGTGAGGCCTCCCCCGGGGTGGGCTGTGTGGGCGCTGGGCCAAGCACTTCCATACCACAAGCTGGTCACAGTTCAGACCAAGCAGTGCAAGGCACGTCTGCTGGGTGCCAGGCACAGTGGTGCCCCATGGGGTGGCCCCACTCCCGGCCTGGCTCGTGCCTCCTGTGGGGAAGCAGAGCAACTGGCTCGGTGCGGGATGTGGTCAGACCTGGAGGCCGAGTGCTATGGGTGCCGCGCTCCTTCCCAGGCCCTCACCCCTCCTTCTCCACCCAGGAGTCGTTCACGCCTACTGAGGAGCATGTGTTGGTGGTGCGCCTGCTGCTGAAGCACCTGCACGCCTTTGCCAACAGCCTGAAGCCAGAGCAGGCCTCACCCTCCGCCCACTCCCACGCCACCAGCCCCCTGGAGGAGTTCAAACGGTGGGTGGCCCTTGCGGCTTCCCACCACTGCCGTCTCCCCCACTTTCCCCTCCTAAGGTGTCACCCACAGCGACCTCTCCCCAGGGCATGGAGGGCAGGGTGAGGGGAGTCCCTTTCTGTTCACAGAGCACGTGAGGCCTCTCCAGGCCTAGGCAGGTGTCCTCTCACCCCGCCCAGTTGGCTCCCAGAGCCTCTCTCTCCAGACTGGCCAGAGAGGCCCCATTGTGCTGCCATCTCTTGCATCTCATATTCTTCAACCCTGTCAGAAGAGCTGGGGTGGCCCTGACTGCCAGGGCCAGCGGAGTGGGCTGTTTGTATGGGACTGAGGGTGAGGTGTGTGCAGGAGCTGCACTGACTCGGCCGCCTGCGTGCTGTGTGTCCTTGGGATGTTCCCTAGCCTCTCTGAACCTTGGTTTCTTCCTCTGAAGAATGGGGCTGAACCTCCCGGAGGTGCCCAGTGCTCTCCCACGGTGGAGCCAACCCTCACTAATGGGAGCCCTGGGATCATCTGTGAGCAGGGCCTCCTTACTGGGCAAGCAGCAGGTGACCCTCCCCATCCCCTGCAGGGCCGCTGTCCCGAGGTTCATCCAGCAGAAACTCTACCTCTTCTTGGAGCATTGCTTTGGCCACTGGCCCCTGGACGCATCGTTCAGAGCTGTGAGTGTTGGCCCCGTCACACGTGTGCCTGTGTCCTCTGTGTGCCTTGAGGTGGGAGGTCCTTTGGGGCAGATAAAGGAGGAGAGCAAGTGTTATCACAGAGGCCTTGGCAAGGAGGGGGTCTTGGAGGGCCACATTGTTCTTTCTGTTTGAGTTTCCAAAGCCAACCCTCAGGAAAGCCTTGCCCTGTCCCACCTGTCTGGTGCAGGGCAGGTTCCTACCCTTACCTGACTAGGGAGTACTCTGACCCCTGGGCTGGGAAAAGCCCACCCTGGCTTCTGGAGGGCCAGCAAGAGAGCCAAACCTCACAGGGCTGTGCATGTCTCTCCTGCGCCCTCTGGGGGAAGTGGGAAGAGTCAGTCCCACCCAGCTGCCGCCTGGTATCTGGGCTCCAGGCCACCGGAGGATTTGGCCCCCAGCCACTGAGCCCTCAGCACATACCTCCCCCACAGGTCCTGGAGATGTGGCTGAGCTACCTGCAGCCGTGGCGGTACGCGCCTGACAAGCAGGCTTCAGGCAGCGACTCCCAGCCCCGGTGTGTGTCGGAGAAATGGTGAGCCGCAGCCCCTCTCACAGACATGCCACTGGCTCCCCCAGGTGGATATTGTTCCAGTGGGTGGAGGCCAAGCCAGCGGCCTGTGCTGGGGTCAGCCTGGCCCTGGCCCCCGTGGCCTCCTGAAGTCCTCTCCCAGCCCCTGCCGAGCGGAACACAGACCAGCCTTTCCTAGGCTCAACTTTGCCAGGCCCTAGAATTGGTTTCTCATGGAAGCCGTGGGTGACCCATCCTGCCCTGTCCCCTCTCCCTTCTGTCCCAGACGAGTGTTCAGCCACCCCGAAACTATCCCTTGATCTTCATCAGCACAGAGCAGAGCAGCAGTGATCAAGCAGGGGATGAGGGAAGCCGTCTTCCCCCATCCCCTGCTTGATCCTCACAGCAGACCCCAGGCTTCCGTGGCACCTGGCATGGCCACTGACCCCTCCCCTCCTTGCCCAAGGCATTCCCCTTTGGACCCTCTGGGGGATCCTCCCTCAGCCCCCTCAGGCTCTGGGCTGGCCTCTGCCATGGTGGCTTCCATCCACTTGGAAAGGGGCCTCAGCCTTGCTAAGGATGTGGCGTCCTCAGAGGGCCTGGGTCTTACCTGCCTCTGTCCTGCCCTCCCTGCCTGCCCGTGGCCCCCTGAGCTGTCATCTGTGACAGCTTGTCACCTTGGCTAGGGAGAGTCTGAAAGCCCAAGGGTGAGCAAGGGCATTAGGGGCATGGACCGGCGCAGACCCCGCCTCCAGTTGGAAGGCTGGCGCCAACCTGCCACCTTGGTCCCCAGGGCGCCCTTTGTCCAGGAGAACCTGCTGATGTACACCAAGTTGGTTGTGGGCTTCCTGAACCGCGCACTCCGCACAGACCTGGTTAGCCCCAAGCATGCGCTCCTGGTGTTCTGAGTGGCCAAAGTCTTTGCCCAGCCCAACCTGGCTGAGATGATTCAGAAAGGTAAGTCCTCAGCCTGGGCCAGCCGGGTAGACGTCAACCCAGCCAGACCAGGGCCAGGCCCTTAGCTGGGGGTGGCTGGTCTTTAAGAGGGACCCACACGTCCAGAGTGGGCCCCGGCAAAGGGTGCTGTGGAGACTCCTGGGACACATCTGTGCGGTGAAGTCTGAAACTGGCTGGATCCTGCCTGCCCTGCAGCCACCAGGCACTGGGTGGGGGATCGCAGGTGTGCTCACAGAGCGGGCCGGCACGGTCCAAGCTGCGGCCCCGTGACCCCGCCGTTTAACCCTGGCAACTCGTGGTGGCCGCTTCAGGAGGTGAGCCTGGTCTCTGCCTTGCATTCATCCTGGCTGGGTTGGGCGTTGGTTTCTGTCGATCCTCCTGTTGTTTACCTCCTGCAGACACTGCTAGGGGCTCTGTGAGCCAGCAGCTCCCCCATCCGCCCTCCCCATGTCAGCCACCTACTGTGTGGGAGATGTTGCCAGGCAGGGCCTCAGGAGGACACCCCTGGGTCAGGGCTCCCCAGACACCTCAGAGACACCCCAGAATCCTAAGGGCAGCAGTCGGGTACTCTGCCCCGGGGAAGTGGGTGCCAGTTCGTCTCCTGCCTTCTAGGTGAGCAGCTATTCCTGGAGCCAGAGCTGGTCATCCCCCACCGCCAGCACCGACTCTTCACGGCCCCCACATTCACTGGGAGCTTCCTGTCACCCTGGCCACCAGCGGTCACTGATGCCTCCTTCAAGGTGAAGAGCCACGTCTACAGCCTGGAGGGCCAGGACTGCAAGTACACCCCAATGTTTGGGCCCGAGGCCCGCACCCTGGTGAGTGGATTGGCGGTGCCTGTCCTCAGGGCCCCTGGAGCCATGGGGCTGAGCAGAACCCGGGAAGTGCTGTGATCTGGCAGGAAGGAGGGAGGCTGGGTGTAGATTTGACGCCATATCTCCTTCCCCCATTTTAGTAAAGTCTAATTTTTTCCTGATAACGAAGGCAGTGTTTGTTGGGAAATTTCAAATGTAGAAGATCATCCTTTAGTCTTTAAAAGTCCTCTGGCAGAAGCCACTCCTCCTGACGCTCAGCAGTCTGGCTGTGCATTGCTCTTGGGGCTGCCTGGGTGGCAGCACAGGCCTATCCTGCTGGTGACCTGCCCACGCCTCCCTTGCAGGTCCTGCGCCTCGCTCAGCTCATCACAGAGGCCAAACACACAGCCAAGTCCATCTCCGACCAGTGTGCGGAGAGCCCGGCTGGCCACTCCTTCCTCTCATGGCTGGGCTTTAGCTCCATGGACACCAGTGGCTCCTACACAGCCAACGACCTGGACGAGATGGGGCAAGACAGTGTCCGGAAGACAGATGAATACCTGGAGAAGGCCCTGGAGTACCTGCGCCAGATATTCCGGGTACGAGCTATGGGGCCTGCCCCACCGCCATCAGGGTCCCCTTCCCTGAAGGATCCACTCCACCCAGCCTGTGGTCAGCCACCTACCAGTCCCAGGCCCCACACATATGGACCCAGTGTTGTGGGAGGCAGGCCCACACCCCAAGCGTCATATCTGGGTCCCCTTGTTGCCACTGTTGTAGGCTGGTGGGGTGAAGACTGGTCCCCTCTCTTCATCTTGATGCTGAGGGCAGTGGCATTTCTCTCTGGCAGCTCAGCGAAGCGCAGCTTAGGCAGTTCACACTCGCCTTGGGCATCACCCAGGATGAGAATGGAAAACAGCAGCTCCCCGACTGCGTCGTGGGTGAGAACGGACTCATCCTTACGCCCCTGGGGCGGTACCAGGTGAGAGACCTGTGTCTCAGAGGCACATGGGCTGGGCCCTGACCCGTCCCCAGCTCCCTCCTGCCTCGTGAGCAGAGGCCATCAGGCTTCTCTGAGTTGTGTGCGGGGCTGTGTTTTCTGACCCGACCCCATGGCCTGGCTTTCTAGATCATCAGTGGGCTGCGAAGGTTTGAAATTGAGTACCAGGGGGACCCGGAGCTGCAGCCCATCTGGAGCTATGAGATCGCCAGCTTGGTCCACACGCTCTTCAGGCTGTCGTCTGCCATCAACCACAGAGTGGGCAGGAGGGCAGGCCTGGCCTCTTCAGAGAGGGTTCTAGATGCTCCTGCTTGGGGTGCAGTCCTGGGGTGGCCTGTGAGGGCGGGGTACTGCTGTCCTGAGGCCTGTGGTGCCACCACCCCACACCCTCATGCCTCTGTCTGTGCTTCAGTTCGCAGGACAGATGGCGGCTCTGTGTTCCCGGGATGACTTCCTCGGCAGCTTCTGTCGCTACCACCTCACAGAACCTGGGCTGGCCAGCAGGCACCTGCTGAGTCCTGTGGGGCGGAGGCAGGTGGCCGGCCACACCCGCGGCCCCAGGCTCAGCCTGCGCTTCCTGGGCAGTTACCGGACGCTGGTCTCGCTGCTGCTGGCCTTCTTCGTGGCCTCTCTGTTCTGCGTCGGGCCCCTCCCATGCATGCTGCTGCTCACCCTGGGCTACGTCCTCTACGCCTCTGCCATGATACTGCTGACCGAGCGGGGGAAGCTGCACCAGCCCTGAAGGTGGCAGCTGCCTTCAGAGCAGGCTGGAGGGATTTGCCACACAGCCCCACCCTTGGGCTGAGAGGACCTGGGAAGCCCCTCCAGGAGGGAACACGGTCATCCTCAGGCTTCTGGAGCGGGGTTCCTGCAGCCGCAGAGGCATCTGGAGGAAACACAACCAAGAAAGGAAGGCAGTTGGGCCCCAGCAAAGGAGTGGCTACCAGGGCTCAACAGCCACGCTCTGTGACAGCGCAGAGCTCAGCGCCGGCCTTTCCCTCCCTCTGCCAAGGACTCATGGCCAAGCCAGCTCTCGGGGCCTTTTTTCCAGTGCCCATTTGGCTACTCTGCTGCACCAAGCTTGGGAGCCAGCCTGCCAAGAGCCGCCTGGGCCTGGCCTCCCCACTGGCTGGCCTTGAGGTAGGCAGAGTGGGTTGTGGCGCCTCCTCTCTCTGTGTGGGACCAGGACGGTGGCTTAAGTCTCCACTCCAGGAAAGAATCAAAGTTTCTAGAGTTGTGAGAAAACCAGAGAGTGGCTCTCCTGATTCTTCACTCTGGGGTGCGTTCTTCATGTTCTCCCAGCTGTTCCAAGACTGGGCCGTAGAATTCCATGTTTCAGGAGCCTAAGACCCTCCCAGAGCCCAGGTGCTTCACCGCAGACCGCAAGCCATTGAGCACATCACCCAAAGCAGTGGCCAACATCGCGGACCCCTGTGCCTTGTCACAGATGGGTGCTGGTCCTCAGGCGTTGGGGACACTGCTGGGTCGATGGGGTCGGATTCTGCCAGTTTCTGCTCTGCAGCCAAAGATGGTCAGAAGCATTGTCACTTCAGTAACATCAAGTGCTCAAAGACATGGCAACCGTTCAGTGGTACTTAAGTATTCAAAATATACAACTACAGATTCTCTGACAGAAACCAGCACGGGGTCTTCACCTTCATTCACCCCACAGGCGACATGCGAGGGAGAACAGCATCTCAGTGGTGATTTCCAAACCAAGCCTTTGTTTTCGGTGTGGGGTTTTGGGGGTTTGCTTTAATGTTTTTGAAATTGTAAATGTTGGGCTTTGTATTTTGATGTAAACTGAGAATAATGGCATTTTAGGGCCTGTGACCAAAAATGAAGCTTGTAACGACCATGGATCTGAATAAACATGTCCTTGCTTCTGAGTCTTCTGGCACCTGGGCTCAGTCTCTAGGAGGTTCACCTATACAGAGTCCCTGAGCACACGGGGGCTGCAGAAACAACTGTTGGGCACCCTGTCGGCCCCTCCCCCCAGTGTCCACAGGCCTGGGCCTCTGGCTTCCTATGCTTTCCTCTCTCAGAGGCACAGTAGACTTTGCCCTGTCTTTACAAAAGATTCAAAAAGTTAGGCATGGTGGTTCACATGTGTGGTCCCAGCTACTTGGGACGCTGAGTTTGGAGGATCGTCAGGGTCCAGGAGATCAAGGCTGTAGTGAGCCTTCATCACGCCACTATACTCCAGCCTGGGTGACAGAGTGAGACCCTGTTCTCAAAGAAAAGCTGACCACCGGGAACATGTGCCGCCAAGTCTATGGCTTCCAGAAGCTCCAAGGATTGCGGGAGTTGCTGGGGGCTGAACTGTCTGGCCAGGAGTGGGGGGCAGGCAAAAACGCACTGAGAACCAAGAACAGCAAAGCTGAGTGAGGGGTCAGGGTCCTGGGGGCTGGGACCTGGACAGCGATGGCCACAAGGCCAGCTGGTGCTCAGTGGCTTCTGCCTGGGGAGCAAGGGCAGCAGCGGGCAGCTAGGTTCCAGCCACTTCCAGGTAGCAGGGTAGGGACCTCGCCAATAAAACGGGATTTAAATTTTGCCAAGAACTTTCACTGTAGAGAAAATGGGACTGCTGGGATGAGAGCAAAATGCAGTTGGTGGGGCCCGGCCAGGAGGCACTTGTGAGGGACTTCTGGGGAAAGACTGGAGTTGGAGCAACTCAGGGGAAGCAGTTCTGTCTGGGGCACAAGGAGGAGGGAGGCCAGGCTGGAGGCAGGAGCTCCTGCACATTCTCGTCTCCACCCCTGGATGCTTCCAGAGTGGTTTGGCCTAACTGCCACTGCCCCCGCCTCCTCAGCTCCTAGGATGCCCTTGACTTTTTGCCATTGGGCCACACTCCCCTGCTGACAGGCCAACTCCAGATGCTTTTCTGACCACGTGGCCCAGAGCCTCTGGCAGCGCAGCTTCAGGCTGTCCTGACACCACCCCTGCCCCTTGCACCTCCGCATCGTCCTCCTTGCCCCGAGGCAATCCCATTCCCTGGATCCCATTCGTGGCCCACTCCCACGATCTACCGCTAGGATATACCAGCGCCCCCGTGATCCGAGGTAAGTCAGATTCTGATCATCTTGTGCAAGCAACTCACAAGCAGAGGCCCTGTGCAGTCAGGAGAAATCTATACCTTTCCCCTTGGACATCCAAGAGCAAGTTAGATCCCCTAAAGGCCAGCTCTCACCAATAACCCTGACATTTCCAATATAAATGAGAGAGAACTCTCTGTTTTGAGACAAGGTCTTGCTATATTGCCCAGGCTGGAGTGCACTGCACCATGACAGCTCACTGCAGCCTCTTAACTCCTGGGCTTAAGCAATCCTTCCGCCTCAGCATCCCAAGTAGCCAGGACTACAGGCATGCGCCACCGCACCCTGCTAATTTTTAAATTTTTTTGTAGAGACGGGGTCTCACTGTGTTACCAGGCTGATCTTGAACTCCTGGGCTTAAGTGATGGGACCGCCTCCGCATCCTGAAGTGCTAGGGTTACAGGTGTGAGCCACCACGCTGGAGAGAGGCCTCTTATGTAGCCTTCACTGTAAAAATTAAGCTAGCTTCCCTTGACTCCCGAAGCCAGAATTCCTAGCATAATTTTCTCAAGTCACAAGGTGCCGAAATATATCTAATTATTTCCCAGTCAAGAATTCCTACTTTTGGCCAGGCGCAGTGGCTCACGCCTGTAATCCCAGCACTTTAGGAGGCTGAGGCAGGAAGATCACCTGACGTCAGGAGTTTGAGACCAGCCTGGCCAACATGGTGAAATCCCATCTCTACTAAAAATACAAAAATTAGCTAGTGTGGTGGCGCATGCCTCTAATCTCAGCTACTTGGGAGGCTGAGGCAGGAAAATCGCTTGAACCTGGGATGTAGAGGTTGCAGTAAGCCGAGATCGCACCACTGTACTCCAGCCTGGGTGACAGAGACTCCCTCTCAAAAAATAAATAAAAAATAAAAGTGATAAATTGGCAGCTGGCGCCAGGGACAGGCCATTTCTTGATGGGCCACACCTATTTCACTAAAGTGTTAATTGAATGCAGATTCCAGGGAGAATCAACTTCCCAGGCATGTGCATTAAGAGACAAAGTAGTGGAGTATGACCTTCCAGGGGCACCCCACCCGAAAACCTCAGATGGGCATGCATACAGTTTCCTAAACACACTGCATGTGTTTAGGAACTCCCAAGGGTAAGGAGGGTACTGTACATGTGGGCAGCCCACCCTATGGGAAGGATCATGGGAAAGGGGCTAGTCTAGAAAGTCCTAGGATCAAGGTTAAACACCACACTTGACTTTCATGTGCCCACTTAGGTCTCTTCCAAGCATACTTTCCTTTCTTTCCTGTTCTAAAGCCTTTTAAAATACACTTCCACTCCTGCTCTGAAACTTGCTTTGGTCTCTTTTTCTGCCTTATGCTCCTCAGTCGAATTCCTTCTTCTGAGGAACCAAGAATTGTGGTTGCTGAAGACCCATCCGGATTCACTGCCAGTGACTTGGACACCTTCCACTGCTAACACTATTAACTCGGACACCTTCCACTGCTAACACAATAACACTGGGTTATTGTGTTTATTTGGAGAGTAAGTATGGTTTAAGGAGATGTGTATGGGTGCCAGGTTGACAAGGGGTGGACTTTTGATGGTTAATTCTATATGTCAACTTGTCTGGGCCACTGGATGCACTCATATCTGGTTACACATTATTTCCTGGCAGGTCTGTAAGGGTGTTTTCAGAAGAAAGTGGCATTTAAATTGGTGGTGCAAGCAGCCATGCATACATTTCTGCAGTAGCTTCCCTATAGCTTGCAGGAACCAGAGCGGGCAATAAGAGCCCCATCCTCCAAATACTGGGGATCTGTGCTCTGATTGATGATGGCTGCTGTTGATTGTGAAAATGCAGACAAAGAGGCAGGCAGCCACTGCTGCAATCTCCACTGCTATGTTTGCAACGTCCCTCCTCAACCCTCACTGCCTCCCTGGGTACACACCTTCCAGGAGGTTTTTATGGATCAGCACCTCCTCCTGCCTTCATTTTTCTTTTCTCCTTCTTGGGAACCAGATGTTTAGGACTAGGACATTCAAAAGCAACCACATACCAGGCACAGTGGCTCATACCTGTAATTTCAACACTTCTGGAGGCTGAGGGAGGAAGAGAGCCTCAGTCCAGGAGTTTGAGACCAGTCTGGGCAACATAGTAAGACAAAAAAAAAAAAAAAAAAAAAAAAATTAGCCAGGCATGGTGGTGTGTGCCTGTAATCCCAGTTACTAGGGAAGCTGAGGCAGGAGGATGACTTGAGCCCAGGAGTTCCAGGCTGCAAGTGAGCTATAATCGCACCACTGCACTCCTGCCTGGATGAATTTCTCTCCACTCAGGATATCCTCCCTCCCAGCAGTAATATTGCTACCATTCATTCCAGCTGTCCATAAACCATAATTACTGAATACATGTTGCCATAATTTTTTTGAGCAAACTGTCATCTGTTAAAAAAAAATAAAGATTATATTTTATCTTAATTTATTCCTTCTCTAATGCACTTCCCTTTTTTTAGATCCAAATTTCCTATATCATTTTCCTTCTTTTTTTGAAACAAGGTCTCTCTGTGTTGTCCAAGCTGGAGTGCAGTGGTGCAATCATGGCTCGCTGCATCTCAGCCTTCTCAGTAGCTGGGACTGCAGGTGTGCACCACCATGCAGGCAAATTTTTTAGTTCTTTGTGGAGACAGGGTCTGGCTATATTGCCCAGGCTGGTCTCCAACTCTTGGGCTCAAGAGATGCTCCTGCTTTGGCCTCTCAAAGTGCTGGGATTACAGGCATCAGCCATGCACCTGACTTTTCATTTCTGTTGTGTTTTTGACTTCTTACATTTTCTTTTAGTTTTTTGAGACAGAATCTCACTCTGTTGCTCGGGATGGAGTGCAGTGGCAGGATCCCAGCTTGCTGGAAACTCCACCTCCTGAGTTCAAGCAATTCTTCGGCCTCGGCCTCCTGAGTAGTTGGGATTACAGATATAAACCACTATGCCTGCCTTTTTTTTTTTTTTTTTTTTTTTTTGAGATGGAGTCTTGTTCTGTCGCCCAGGCTGGAGTGCAGTGGTACCATCTTGGCTCACTGCAAGCTCCGCCTCCCGGGTTCACGCCATTCTCCTACCTCAGCTTCCCGAGTAGCTGGGACCACAGGCGCCCACCACCATGCCCGGCTAATTTTTTGTATTTTTAGTAGAGATGGGGTTTCACCGTGTTAGCCAGGATGGTCTCGATCTCCTGACCTCGTGATCCGCCCGCCTCGGCCTCCAAATAATTTTTGTATTTTTAGTAGAGATGGGTTTTCACCATGTTGCCCAGGCTGGTCTTGAACTCCTGACCTCAAGTGATTCACCCACCTCAGCCTCCCAAAATGTTGGGATTAGAGGTGTGAGCCACTGTGCTTGGCCAACTTCTCGCATTTTCTTTTCTTTTTTTTCCTTTTTTTTTTTTTTTTCTGAGATGGAGTCTTACTCTGTTGCCCAGGCTTGAAGGCAGTGGCATGATCTCAGCTCACTGCAACCTCCACCTCCTGGATTCAAGCAATCCTCCCACCTTAGCCTCCCAAGTAGCTGGAATTACAGGTGCATGCCACCACGCTAGCTAATTTTTGTATTTTTTAGTAGAGATGGGATATCACCATGTTGGCCAGGCTGGTCTTGAACTCCTGACCTCAAATGATCTGCCCAACTTGGCCTCCCAAAGTGCTGGGATTACAGACATGAGCCACCCTGCCTGGCCTTCACATTTTCTTTAGATTATTTCTTAGAATGTCTACTTCTCTGTTCCCATTATCAGTCTGTAATCTCATGTTGTCCACTTTTTCCATTAGAGCCCTTAGCATATTAATCATAGTTGTATTCCATTTCTTGGTCTGATAATTCCAACATCTCTGCCATATTTAAGTCTGGCTCTGATGTTTGCTGTGTCTTCAAACTGTGTTGTTTTTTATTATGCCTTGCAAGTTTTTGTTGAGGGCTGGTCGTGCTCAACCAGTAAATGGACTTTCTGTGTGAAGTTTTATGTTGGTCTGGTTAGGGGTTGCGCCATGTGTTCTGTTTGTTAACTGGAGGTGTCAGAGGCTTAAACCTCCTCTAGTGTCTTAGTTTTTGTCTCCCTGTTGCCTTTACGGTTTCCTAGAGATTTCTTGAATAAGCTCTGAGATGAGCAGTTCTTTCACTTGTATCCCCTGTTATTATACAGGAGCCCCGCTGATGTGGCAGTAAGATGTGGGGAAAGGAGAGCCAGAGCAGGCTGGGGTTAGCTATGTTCCCTTCCTCCAGGTTTGCTGGTATCTGGCAAAATTATGATTGGCCTGGCTGTGATTTTTTTTTTTTTTTTGAGGGCAGGCCTTGTAAAAAAAATAAGACTTCTTTTTATTTTTATTATTTTTAAATTTATTTATTTATTTATTTATTTTTTGAGACACAGTCTCACCCTGTCACCCAGGCTGGAGTGCAATGGCGCGATCTTGGCTCACTGCAACCTCCACCTCCTGGGTTCAAGTGATTCTCCTGCCTCAGCCTCCGGAGTAGCTGGGATTACAGGTGTGAGCCACCGCGCCCAGCCTCTTATTTTTAGGCAGCATCTCACTCTGTCACTTAGGCTGGAGTTCAGTGGTGCCATCATAGCTCACTGCAGCCTCGACCTCTGGGGTTCCAGCAATCCTCCCGCCTTAGCCTCCCGAGCAGTTGGGACTACAGGCGCAAGACACCATGCCCGGGTTTTTTTTCTTTTAATTTTTTAGAGACGGGGTCTCACTTTCCATTCAGGCTGGAAAGGATGCCTGGATGCCTTTTATTATTATTTTTTTAGACAGAGTCTCTGTCGTCCAGATTGGAGTGCAGCGGTGCGATCTCGACTCACTGCAACCTCTGCCTCCCGGTTCAAGCTATTCTCCTGCCTCAGCCTCCAGAGTAGCTGGGATTACTGGCTCCCGCCACTACACCCGGCTACATTTTGTATTTTTAGTAGAGTTGGGGTTTCGCCATGTTGGTCAGGCTGGTCACGAACTCCTGACCTCAAATGATCCGTCCGCCTCGGCCTCCCAAACTTCGGGGATTACAGGCGTGAGCCCCGGCGCCCAGCCCTGGATGCCTTGTAAATCACTACTCACCCAGGAAGAGCCAGCGACAGGCCCCGCCCCCGCCAACCGCCTCGCGCCTTCCGTCGCCCGGTTTCCATGGTGACGGGGCGCCAGGCTAGGGCGGCCTGGCCACTGAGCCGGGGTGCAGTGGCAGCGGGAGAGTACCTGGCGATGGCGATATGAGCGGTGCGGGGGTGGCGGCTGGGACGCGGCCCCCCAGCTCGCCGACCCCGGGCTCTCGGCGCCGGCGCCAGCGCCCCTCTGTGGGCGTCCAGTCCTTGAGGCCGCAGAGCCCGCAGCTCAGGCAGAGCGACCCGCAGAAACGGAACCTGGACCTGGAGAAAAGCCTGCAGTTCCTGCAGCAGCAGCACTCGGAGATGCTGGCCAAGCTCCATGAGGAGATCGAGCATCTGAAGCGGGAAAACAAGGGTGAGCCGGCGCGGGGCCCTAGGCCGGCCCTGCCTCCCCAGGCACACTCAACACTGCCGCTCCCGCAGCACAGAAACACAGCCATCAACTCCAGCACACGCCTGGGCTCAGGGGGAACACAGGACGGTAAGCCCGCCCTGCCACGCTGAGCTGTCCCCTCCTCCCAGAGGGAGACCCGCGTGGCCCCCGGGCAGTGCCGACCCTGTCTGCCTGTCTCGTAGGGCAGCAGCATTTCAGATGCTGACTCCGCCAATCCTCTCCTCTCCAAGCAGGGTCAGACACACCTCTGTTAAAAACTTTATAGAGGGGCCCGGGCGCGGCGGCTCACGCCTGTAATTCCAGCACTTTGGGAGGCCGAGACGGGCGGATCACGAGGTCAGGAGATCGAGACCATCCTGGCTAACACGGTGAAATCTCGTCTCTACTAAAAATACAAAACAATTAGCTAGGCGTGGTGGTGGGCGTCTGTAGTCCCAGCTACTCGGGAGGCTGAAGCAGGAGAATGGCGTGAACCCGGGAGGCGGAGCTTGCAGTGAGCCGAGATCTTGCGACTGCACTCCAGCCTCGGTGACAGAGCGAGACTCCGTCTCAAAAAAACAAAAACAAAAACTTTATACAGGGAAACGTGCCCAAGTGCGAGTGCGCAGCTCAATGAATTTCTTCCAGCTAAACACATCGGATCAGGAGCAGGCATTCCCCCGCCCCCCACCCCGTCCCCGCTTCGCCTGTGCCCATGCTGTCCTCCGGCGGGGCCTTCCCAACTGCACCCTTAGCTGCTCCTCACCCCCACGCCCCCCTTTCTCCCTCCCTCCTCCCCCACCCCTCCTGCCCCGAGCAGAAGGAGGGCCCGCCAGGATGTGGGATGTGGCTCCGCTCCTCGATCTTGCTTCAGGAGGGCTCCAGCAAGGGCACCAGTGCCCGCGGCCTCCTCTCCCGCCCCGTTCCCTGGTGCTGCCTTACCTGAGTGCCGAGTATCCCATCACCAGGCGTCTGTTTTGTCAGGACCCCGCTTCCCCATGTCTTCTTGAGCCTCAGGACGCCCAGTTCCTAATGTCTTCTTGAGCCTCCCCCGCAGTCCCTGATCCCCACGGGATCATGACACTGCCATAGCCAGGGGTTCCGGAGTTCACCTCTGTACCCCTAAAGCCCAGGCCCTGCCTGGGCAGTGTGGATGCCCTCCAGTCATCTCAGATGGATGAGGCCGATATGCCCGGTGGGCTCTGCCTAGGGAACAGGCAGGGCCATTCCTGGCCTGACACCCACGACGAAGGCGTGGTGGAGAGCGGGATCCATGGGGCAGGGCCCAATCAGCCAGTGGGGGGGCAGGACTTTTGGGCTCAGCAGCCAGGAGAGGACAGGCCAGGCTTCTTCTCTCAGAATAGCTGTGGTTTCACAAGTGCTGAGGAGAGCGTGTGCTTGCTTTCAGATCTCCATTACAAGCTCATAATGAATCAGACATCACAGAAGAAAGGTGAGAACTGGGCCCTTCAGTGACTGATGGGATGCTCTTGCCACCCAGGGGAGCCCCTCCAGACTGTCCTTGCCCACCTGGCTGCACTGGCCCCTGTATGCCAACCCAGTGGGTACAGGTTCTGGGGGACCTGGACAGATGCCGCTACCTCTAGCCGTGGCTGGACGATGTTATGCAGCCAAGCACAGCACGTGCTGCTCTCGGGAAGCCCAGGGCCTGAGGTCATTGCAGTGGGGAGGTGGGCACAGGGTGCTCCCCAGACCTCCCTCCTCCAAGTAGAGCTGAAATGGGAAGGAACCCCTGGGACAGCCCCTGCCCTGCTAGATCTTTGCCTCAGATTGCTGCTGTGGCCAGGCCCAGGATTTCCAGCCCTATGGCTCTGAGTCCTCACATGCTGGGGGCCCAGGGGCTCTGGACACACTCCATCCAGGGATCCCTTCCTGCCATCTGGGCAGCAACCATGGGGACAAAGGGAGGAAGCAGAGTCCTGTTTCCTTGCCACTTGTCCAAGGCACTTCCCCATCCTGACAGCGGCCCCCACCCAGCCCAGGATCCTGGGCTGTGGTCTCAAGCTCACTTCCCATTATCTTTGGGGCTGGGGCTGACATCAGGAGGACATCTGACTGGTGGATGGAGCCAGCCTGGGAACATCGCAGCTGGGGCAGTGCCTAGGGCTCTCCCTTCCCAGGGAGACATGGAGAAGGGGGTTGAGGGAGGGCCCTTCCCTAGCCGCTGTGGCAACTCCAGTGAGCTGTTCTGGGCAAAGTGTGGCCCAAGTCGGCAGCCCCAGCCCTGCAGTGCTGGGGACGCTGACAGGACACGGGAAGAGGCCATGCTTTCCCTCGGGACCTGCTGTTCCATGTGTCCCAAGCCCTCCTGCTTTCCAGATGGCCCCTCAGGAAACCACCTTTCCAGGGCCTCTGCTCCCTTGGGCGCTCGCTGGGTCTGCATCAACGGAGTGTGGGTAGAGCCGGGAGGACCCAGCCCTGCCAGGCTGAAGGAGGGCTCCTCACGGACACACAGGCCAGGAGGCAAGCGTGGGCGTCTTGCGGGCGGTAGCGCCGACACTGTGCGCTCTCCTGCAGACAGCCTCTCCATGTCAAGCTTCCAGTCTGTCAAGTCCATCTCTAATTCAGGTGAGCAGGCTGGCGTCCATGTGCTCACAGGGGTGAGTGCCCCACGGGGACCCCAGCCTGGGTGGCCTCTAGGGGTGCTGACCAGGCGCCCTCTGCTGGGCCAAGCTCCAGGATTTGGGGATGAAGGTGCAGCTGAAAAGAGCCCTGCAAGCTGAAGCCACCGGGAGGGGATTAAGGGGGGGTGGGCAGGACCAGGGACCAGTCACAGGGCAGTAAGGCCTCACAGCAGGCACCCCAGGGCGGGGCAGCAAGCAGGCAGGAGGGGCCTCCCCGGGTGGCCTTCTAGGGAGGATGTACCCTGGCTGCCCAGCAGCAGCCCTGCTTGGCCGTGTCCCTGCCACAAGCAGGCAGGACACAGGAGGGATGGCACTGCCCACGGAGCCCTGGGCTCATGGCACCTTCTGCAGAGTGAGCCGGGAGCAGAGAGCCTCTTTTCCCCACTCTGTGAGGCCGGGCATTTTCCTCAGCCCTGCCCTAACCCCCACCATTCCTGTGATGGGCCCAGGTGCTAGACGGGCCTTGTCCTTGCCGAGGAAACCCATGCAGGCTGGGTCCCAAGCCTCTCATGCAGTTTCATTTTACCCAAGATGGGGCCAGCTTCCACTATGTTGATTGTTCTAGAGTGTTCACAGGCACCACCCATGGGCTTCACCCTCAGAACCACATTGATTCCCCCCAGAACCCTCCAAGGCAGGCTTCCCTTTACAGAGGAGGAAACTGAGGCAGGGACAGGGGCTTCTTGGGTACACACAGCTGTTCCTGGAAAACTTGGGCGGTGACTGTTGGTGCCTGCAGTGACCGGCCTTGTAGGGTCTGACTTGCAGCCAACTCTCAAGGCAAGGCCAGGCCCCAGCCCGGCTCCTTCAACAAGCAAGATTCAAAAGCTGACGTCTCCCAGAAGGCGGACCTGGAAGAGGAGCCCCTACTTCACAACAGCAAGCTGGACAAAGTTCCTGGGGTACAAGGGCAGGCCAGGTAAGGCTTGGGTGTTCCTGGGGTGCAAGGGCAGGCCAGGTAAGTCTTGCCTGCACCCTAAGGGCCCCATGACTACATTTACTAGGCTCACGCCCTGCAGTCAGCCAACTGCTCTGCCCCTAGCTCCAGGGGCCTGTCTCCTGGGCTCATGATAGCAGATGACGGCCACGCTCTACCCATCGGTGGGCGCTGTCTTCCTCCCTTCCCCTGGGGGTCCTGCAGAGTACCTGTGCTGACCTGAGCCCACGAGGGGGGCCAGTAGCAGCCCCTAAACCACTTCCTCAGAGAAAAGTAAAGTAATATTCTTACCAAGAGAAGGCTTGCTGCCCCTGGCCACAGCCTGCCTTTGGAGGGCACTAGGCCAGCAGGTCAGAGTAGGAACAGGTTCTGGTGATCCCTGAGTTTGCGGGACTGCCCTGAGATGCTACAGAGTGCACACTTTCAGCAGCGCAACCAGCAGGACAGGCTCCTGCATCTGCACATCCCAAGACCAGGCCTGGAGCAAGATGCCCCACTGGGTGTGGGGTCACGATCAAGAGCAGCCTGGCAGCTAGCTGGTCACCCACTGAAGCCCATCTGACCCTTAGGGCACCTTCAGAGGGGAGAAAGGGACAGGCCCCAGTCCCAGAGACCCCCACCTGGTGCCCAGAGCACCCTGCTCAGTGGGAGAGGGGAACCAGGCCCTCTTCCCCACATTGGCCTGGGCGCTGCCTGGGGAGGTATGCTGGGTGGGTGGTTAGACGCACCTGGGCAGGTCACCTCTGGCTGCTGCAATGACTGTTTCAGAAAGGAGAAAGCAGAGGCCTCTAATGCAGGAGCTGCCTGTATGGGGAACAGCCAGCACCAGGGCAGGCAGATGGGGGCGGGGGCACACCCCCCAATGATCCTGCCCCTTCCCCTGCGAAAGCCCACCACACTTAGGCAGTGCGAAGTGCTCATCCGCGAGCTGTGGAATACCAACCTCCTGCAGACCCAAGAGGTGAGGCCCTGGGTGGTGGGGGTGGCCCTGGGCAGTCTGGCACCGCCACAGGCCCCACCATGCCCCTGCCCCTGCCTTTCAGCTGCGGCACCTCAAGTCCCTCCTGGAAGGGAGCCAGAGGCCCCAGGCAGCCCCGGAGGAAGCTAGCTTTCCCAGGTGAGTGCCTGGTGCACCCCTGCCCCATCCCTGGGGTCCTATCCACAGCTCACTGCTGACTCTTCCTTCACCCAGGGACCAAGAAGCCACGCATTTCCCCAAGGTCTCCACCAAGAGCCTCTCCAAGAAATGGTAAGTCCCACAGGCATGGGGACAGTGGGGCAGCCCTGCAGCCTGGGCCCCAGGGAGGGAGTGGGGAAGGGAGGGTGGCAGCGCAGAAGCAGAGCTCGCTGAGGCCTCTCTGTGCCCCCGTGAGGGCCATGCAGGCCGCACTCCCCACACACTCCACTCCCGGGGATGCTCACGGTGACAGTCCCTCTACCCGCCCCAGCCTGAGCCCACCTGTGGCGGAGCGTGCCATCCTGCCCGCACTGAAGCAGACCCCGAAGAACAACTTTGCCGAGAGGCAGAAGAGGCTGCAGGCAATGCAGAAACGGCGCCTGCATCGCTCAGTGCTTTGAGCCACCCCAATCTGGTCAGTGCCAGGCCCACCAACCTGCAGCTGGAGACTGGCTCTCTATAGCATTTCCTGATACTTCCGCTACTTTTAGGCCTGGCTAAATTCCAAGACAGATAACACTCAAGATAGATAAAGTACTTGATCTCCAAACTGACAAACTGTTTATTTTCTAGCTGTTATTTTGCTATTTGGCATTTACATAAAAGCACACGATGAAGCAGGTATCGCCTTACCTGTTGAAACTGAAAATAAAGCTTGTTTATTTCCAAGTTGTGTGCCTGGCTCCTCACTGGCTATCAGGCGTCGCGTCCCTTCCCAGTCCCAGCCCTTGGCCTCTAGCCCAGGCCCTGCTGTCTGCAGGGACCTGCCTGGGCAGCCCAGTCTTGCGCATCCTGGGACCTGCCAGCGGCCCTGGGAGATAGGCATTGGCAGAGCCATGCACATCCTCCCTGGAAGCGGGAGGGCTTTTCTGGTCCCCTGGCTGGGCTGGAGCTGCGTTCCAAACACATGATCACTCTGTCTCTTGCCCACACTGCACACTCCTGGGGGCAAGAGGCTGTCCTCTCCTGCCCTGACACAGCACCGCAGACAGGGGGTCCAGCCAGGCTCGCCCTCCTCCTCGGAGGGCTGTCTCGAGTGCTGTGGCCATGCCCACACCACCCCTTCCGCCATAGCACAGCCATGTCCATGTCGGGGGTGGGGTGGCCAGCTTACTGCCCACCCTCAGCCAGCCACACAGTCTTCCCAGGCCCACGGCCCCACTTCGTTGGCATTAATCTCAGCCTCTTCCTGCTTCAGGGAGCAGAACTTTGCCAGGAAGCTGGGGATGAACCAGGCCAAGGAATGGGACAGTGTGTCAGAAAGGACAGCCCAGGCCCGGGGGCTTACAGCATCCTAACAGGACAGCAGGCCCAGTTTCATGGAGTGGGGGACACAGTGACGAGTCCTGAAAAACACAGGAATAACAAGATTATAACAATCACAGATGATGGGGTGGTACGCATTAAAAGGGGCGACTCTTGTCACCAAAGGGCTGCTGGCCAGTGCCCAGGGCAGTGGGCAACATAGGGAGGCACTCACTGCATGGCCCCACCCACCGCCAGGCCCGCACTCTCTGGGTGGCAGCGCGTAGTGTTCTGAGGACGCGGGTCCAGAGGGCCTGGCTCTTCATCCTTCACAATGGGGACACGGCCCTCACACGAGTGACACAGGGGTGCCGGCAGCAGGATCCCCCGTGCCCCTGCTCCCTGGGGGCCCCACAGTGCTCAGCAGGAATGCCGTGAGGGCTGAGGCCCAGCTGGTGGTGGGGAGCTGGCAGCAGCCATGGGCCAGCCCTCCCTCCGATAGGCAGCCTGTGCCCTGGACTTAGGGGCTTCTCTGGGGGGTGCCCCACCTGCCCAAAGCAGCACAGCCTGAACCCAAAACTGTGAGCAGAGAATCCGACGTGTGTTTGAAGGGTTTCCTATGTCCTCTGTGTTCTCCTATAGAAAGGAGCAGGGGTGTGTTGAGCACACACAAGAAGCTCTAACAACACCCTGAGCGCACCCTCATGCCGCTGAGATGGACCTGGACCCTGGACAGGCCACGGCGAGCAGCCCGCTCCACCACGCCCATCTCAGTCTGTACAAGTGTGGGATTTCATTTGGCAGATCCCCAAGGCAGGAAAGAAAAGGAGGAAAGCTAACCTAACTCCAGGCTCTCCATGGATGCCAACACCTAGAAGTGTCTGACAGGAGGCATGCGTCCTTGGCCCCGATGAGGCTGCGGGCCATCCCTGCAGTCCTGGCTAAGCAGCCGAGAGGCAGGCCTTGTGGATGCTCTGGGCACAGGTGTTGAGCAAGGTGGTAACCGAGTGCTTTTCCAGGCTGTGGCTGCCTGGAGGTCACGCAGTGGTGCACCGACCTGAGGAAGGGGTTGGTGCCTGCAACAGAACAGTGGGCATGAGCCTGAGGCAGCTGGTGCTGCACCCACGGCCTGCACACCCGGCAGTGCTCTGGGAAGTGGCAGCCCCAGGACTGGCTGAAGCACCAGGAGGAGCCCTGCACGCTGCCTGCCTGGCCATCGGGCTCTCCTCCCAGAGCCTCATTGTCAGTGAAGAACTGAATCTGAATGGGATTTGGAGCCCAGGGCTCTGCCTCTGACAACCTTGGGGACCCAGCCCTGGCTCTGCTGTGTGCCAGCTCTGGGCTCAGGGATACTGACCCCTGTCAACATGACTCTCTCTGGAGCCACATCACCCAGATGGGGCCTTGTGTGCCCAAGCTACTGGTAGGACCTGTCAGCCCCGCTGAGCTCCCTGGTGGCCTCTGGGAAAATCAAGGTCTGTCCTTGAGCCATAGGCTTTCTCACCCTTCAGCCACTGAACACAGCCACCCTGGACAACTGACCTGATACAAGATGAAGGGGCAAAGGGACACAGAAGAAGAGCAGAGACCCCTCTCTCTCATGTGACCACTGGAAAACCCGTGCCTGCCCGTGCAGGGGGAGTCAGAAGACGGGAGGGAGGGGCCTGAGCTGGGAGGGGCTGGAGTGCACAGAGGCTGTCCCTGCAGCACTGGAAGCCTGGTGTTCCAGAATGACCCCTGCCTGCCCTGGGCCCCCAGACAGCTCCCTCTGGGTCTGCCCACTGTATAGCCACTGCCGGTCCATCCACAGTGGACTCTGGGTAGGGTAGTGGGTGGGCACATGGTGGCACACTTGGGAGGTTCTTGTCGTTTGCAACACACAAGGCTGTACCTGTGACCCAGACAAGCCCTGGCCTGCCCTGCCTCACAGCCCTGCTCCCGAACAGGACTCTTCACATCCCGGGAGGTTCTGGTGAGGCTTGCGGCAAAGCCTGGATGTCTCTCTCACTCTCGGATTTCCAAACCTGAAGCCAGAGTGACCTGCATCGATGGGTGCCCAGAGGTCCTGCCTGCCACCTCCCTAGGGCCCCAGGCAAGCAGAGCCGCATCTGTGTTGGGGAGGTGAGGGTGCGTGGGCTCCAGGGGTGGGGGCAGAGGCAATGGCCAGTCTGTCCTGGGCCCAGTGTATGTGAAGACAGAGCAGACAGCCTGCCGGCACGTGAACACAGGATGGGGTCTGGGCACTGTGCCCTGTGGCTTGGACAGCAGAGACCTGGGGCTGCGGTCGGGGGTTGCTTTCCTGCACCAGCCTGGCCCTCCTGGACACTCGCCCAGCTTGCAGATCAGGCGGACGGTGCCATTGTTGCTGCAGTGAGAAGGGTCCAGGTTTATCATGCACTTGGGCTCCAGCCTGGCCACCAGGCCCTGGAGCACGCTGGAGATGCTCTGCTGCTCATCGTCCTCAAGCCTGTGCTTCCGGGTGCATACCACTGGGGCCTTGGGGAGGCACCATGGTGACCACACTGGGCACACATGGCCCAGGGCCAGGCAGCCACCCTCCGCGAAGCCCAGCCCAGCTGGATGTACGTGATAGGTGGGCTGTGGATGGCAATCAGGGTTGGCATGAATATGCAGTACAGGGAATGGTTGAAGAGGGTGAGCGGATGTTGGCCAGGATGGCATCCAGGAGCAGCTGGCATAGGTACTGCTGTTGGGTCGGTGGCACCGGGGGCAGTGGGGGAGTGGGCTGGAGCAGGATGGGCACGGTCAGCAGCATGGAACCCGAGGGTTCCCCATGTAGGGGGCTTTCCCACCGCACGCCCGTCCTCACAGCCAGATTCCCGAGGCCTCTCTCTCAGCCTCCACCCTTGTGCAGACAATGTCGGCCGATCCTGGGTATAATCCCCACCCCCACAGCCTTGTCCTCCCCAGAGTCCCTGCCCCCTCTGGGCCGGGTGGCAGAGGCACCGATGGGGGCCGCAAACAGAGAGTGACTTCTCCCACGTTCCCACCCAGCACAGCAAACCTGGCCTGGAAGAGGCGTGGTGGGCAGGGTCTCAGGTCAGGCCCAGCCCCTACCCAGCCACCCTAACCTTGAAGGCCCCTCCCAGCAGTGGTCCCAGGAGCTCTTGGGGGAGCCCCAATTCTCCCAGGGATGCCCAGGATCCCACTCACCACTGCCATGTCAGTCCATTTTTTTTTTTTTTTGAGATGGAGTCTCACTCTGTCGCCCAGGCTGGAGTGCAGTGGTGCCATCTGGGCTCACTGCAAGCTCCACCTCCCAGGTTCACACCATTCTCCTACCTCAGCCTCTCGAGTAGCTGGGACTACAGGCGCCCGCCACCATGCCTGGCTAATTTTTTTTTTGTATTTTTAGTAGAGACGAGGTTTCACCATGTTAGCCAGGATGGTCTCGATCTCCTGACCTCGTGATCTGCCCGCCTTGGCCTCCCATAGTGCTAGGATTACAGGCATGAGCCACCGCACCCGGCCAATATTTTTAAATAAAAAATTACAAAGCTGTTTTTCTTAAAATGTTACAGTAAAATGTTATCTGTGTGTAAAATGTATCTATTTTATGTGTACCTGTGTGTGTATGTGTGTGTGTGTGTGAGAGAGAGAATTCTGAATTAGAAAGCATATGTACCAAAACATTAGGAGTAGTTATGTTAGAGTAATGAGATCATGAATGATTTTCACTTTCTTCTTTATACCTTATCAATCATCATCTCAAAATTTACAATCAGAATTCATTATAAGCTATTGTTTGTTTATTTATTTATTTATATTCGCAGTGGCACGATCTCAACTCACTGTAACCTCAGCCTCCCAGGGTCAAGCAATCCTCCCACCTGAGCCTCTGGAGTAGCTGGGAAAAATCAAAGTTAAGTATTCTTCAGTTTAAAATAACTTGTTATAATTATGTTGTTTAGCCTCATGGTAACCAGAAAACAAAAATCAATAATAGATACCCTAAAAATGAAAAGCAAGCAATTAAAACACACTATCAGAAAAAATTACCTCACTACAAATAAAGACAGGAAGGATGGGAAGGAGGAAAGAAAAGAAAGAAAGAGAGAGATCAGAGAGAAGAGAAAGAGGAAGGAAGGGAGAAAGAACAAAAGAAAAAAGAGAGAATAGCAAAACAACCAGAAAACAAGTAAAAAATGGCAGTAGTATGTTTTTAACCATTAATAATAACCTTGAATATAAATGAATTAAATTCTCCAATTAAGACAGAATGGCTGAGTGGATTAAAAGACAAGACCCAACTATATACTGCCTACAAGAAACTCAGTTCACCTATAAACATACATAAACTGAAAGTGAAGACATGATAAACGATATCCCATACCAGTGGAAACAAAAAAAGCAGGAGTAGCTCTACTTAGATTATATAGACTTTCAGTCAAAAAAAGAAAAATATGAAGATAATTATATAATGAGAAAAAGTAAACAGCAGCATAACAATTATAAGTGCATATGCAACCAGCACTCAAGCAACTAAATACAGTAGCAAATATTAACAGACCTTAAAGGATAGACTGCAATACAGTAACAGAATGCCTCAATGCTCCGCTATAATCAACACCCCACTGTCTTCAACGGACAGATCATCCAGACAACAAAACATCATCAGTTAAACTGTACTCTATACCGAATAGACCTAACATTTGCACAGCTTTCCACTCCGCAACTGCACAATGCACATTCCACTGAATAGCATGAGGATTATTCTCCACAACAGACTATGTGTTAGGCCAAAAAACAAGTCACAACACATTTTTAAAAACTGAAATCATGGCCGGGCGCGGTGGCTCATGCCTGTAATCCCAGGACTTTGGGAGGCCGAAGGGGGCGGATCACATCCTGGCTAACACAGTGAAAACCCGTCTCTACTAAAAATACAAAAATTAGCTGGGCGTGGCGGCGTGCACCTGTAGTCCTAGCTGCTGGGGAGGCTGAGGCGGTAGAATGCCGTGAACCCAGGAGGTGGAGCTTGCAGTGAGCCAAGATCGTGCCACTGCATTCCAGCCTAGGTGACAGAGCGAGACTCCGTCTCAAAAACAAAACAAAACAAAACAAAACCTGAAATCATATCAAGTATCTTTTCTGACCACAGTGGAATAGTACTAGAAATCAATAACAGGAGGAAAAACTGTACAAATACATGGAAATTAAAATACATGCTCATGAACAATAAATAAATAAATGAAAAAAATAAAAAGAAAATTAAAAATTTATTGAAAAAAGAATAGAAACACAACATAACAAATCCTGTGGGATGCAGCAAAAGCAGTTGTAAGAGGAAAAAGGCATAGGTATAAATGCCTACATCAGAGAAGTAGAAAGATCTCAAATAGCTAACCTGACAGTATACCTGAAGTAATGAGAAAAACGAGAAAAATAAAATGCTAAAATTAGTACAAAAAATATCATAAAGATTAGAGAAGAAATTTTAAAAATAGAAACAAAAAATACAAAAAGTCAATGGAACAAAGAGCTGGATTTTTTAGAAAAAAATCAAAACTGACAAGCTTTAACTAGACTAAGGAAAAGAAAAAGAAAACAAAATCATAGATGAAAAACGAGACATTACAATTGATAACAGAAATATGAAGGATTATACGAGATTACTAAAAACACCTATATAAAAACAAGTTGGAAAATCTAGGAGAAGTGATAAATTTCTGGACACATAACAAATTCCCAAGATAGAATGATAAACAAAAAACCGGAACAGATCAATAATGAGTAATGTAATCAAAGCAGTAATAAAGTCTTCTGTCAAACAAAAACACAAGAATCACGGTTTTACTGCTGAATTCTACCAAACGTTTTTAAAAGCGCTAATACCAATTTTACTCAAAATATTCCCCAAAAAATGAAGACAAAGTAAGTCTTCGAAACTTGTTCTATGAGGAGAGCATGACCCTGGTACAAAAACCAGACCAGGAAACAACACAAAAAGAAAACCACAGGCATTTTAAATATCCCTGATGAACACAGATGCAAAAAAATCCTCAGCAAAATACTTGAAAATTGCACTTGACAACACAATAAAAAGATGATCTGCCATGATCAAGTGGGATTCATCCCAGGAATATGAGGATGATTCAATAAAACACAAATAAATAAATGTGCGACATCACATTCAGCGAATCAAGAACAAAAACCATATAATCATTTCAGTAGATGCTGAAAAAATAAAAAAACATTCCTTCATGACAAAAACTGAACAACATGAGTACAGAAGGAACATATCTCAGTGCAATAAAGGCCATATATGACAAACCCACAGCTAACATCATAATCAATGGGGAAAGGTTAAAACTCTTCCTCTAAGGCCTGGAACGAGTGTGGCTACTTTTACACCACTTTTATTCATCATAGTACTGGAAGTCCTAGGTAGCGCAATTAGACAAGAGAATGCAATAAAAGGCATCCAAATTGGAAAAAAGAAAGTCAAGCTCTCTCTGTTTGCAGGTGACATGATCATATATATATATACACATAGAGAAACAGAGAACCCTAAAGATTCCACAAAATCACCTACTAGAAATAATTTAGTCAAGTTGCAAGATACAATATCAACATATAAAAATGAGTAGCACACTCATGCACCAATAATGAAATACCTAAGAAATGAAGACAGCTATTTCATTACCAAAATAATTATATCTAGGGATAAACTTAACCAAAAAGACAAAAGATCCCACAATGAAAACTATAAAACACAGATGAAAGCTATTAAAGCAGACACAAGTAAATGGAAAGATATCCCATGTCCATGCACTAGAAGAATATTGTTAAAATATCTATATCACCCAATGTGATCTAGAGTCAATGCAATCCATGTTAAATTACAAAAGACATTCTTCATAGAAATAGAAAAAAATATCCTAAAATTCACATGGAAAAGCAAAATATCTCAGATAGACAAAAGAATCTGGAATAAAAAGAAAAGCTGGAGGCATCACACCTGACTTCAAAACATACTACAAATCTGTAGTAAGCATGGTAATACCAAAACAGCATAATACTATCAAAAAAAGGGGCGGGGGAGAAACAGAGAAACGAAGGAATGACAGACATAGACAAGTGAAACAGAATAGAGAAATCAGAAATAAATTCACGCATTTATGGTGTACTCATTTTTAACAAAGGCACCAAGAACACACATTCGGGAAGGAAGGACAATCTCTTCAATAAACTGCTAGGATAACTCAACACCCACATGTACAGGAATACATCTAGGCCGTTATCTTACCATATACAAAAATCTACTCAAAATAAAGATTTAAATGTAGGACCTGAAACTATAAAACTACTAGAGAAGAAAACATAGGATAAATCCTTCATGAAACTGGTTAGGACAAGGAATTTTCAAATAGACATCAAAAGCACAAGCAACAAAAGCAAAGATGTAATTACATTAAACTTGTCAAAAGCACAATCAACAAAAGCAAAGATGTAATTACATAAAACTTAAAAACTTCTGCAAAGCACAGGAAGAAATCAGTAGAACGAAGAAACAACCCAGAGAATAGAAGAAAGTATTTGCAAACTATCCATCAGCCAAGGGGTTAATACACAAAATATATAAATAACTACTCAAAAGCAAAAATACAAATAATCTGATTTAAAAAAATCTACCCCAAATCTTTGTCTCCCACCATTATTTTCCCACCTTCTTTTCCCGACCGCCTTTGGCCTCCTCCCCCTCGCCACCCGTTTTCTTCCTCCATCTACCCCAAAACTTTTTCCCCACCATCATTTTGCAAAGCCTTCTCTGCTCTCTCACTCACCACCCTTTTCCCCATCCATTTACCCAAACACTTTCCCCACTGGTTTTTCCCACCGTCTTTTCCCCTTCTCCCTGGCCACGTTCTTTTTCCCCATCCCACTCTCATCACCCTCTTTTGCTCCTTCATCTAAGCAACAACGTTTTCTCCCGTCTTTTCCCAAAGCCTTCTCCTCACTCCTGCCGCTCAACACTGTCTTTTCGCCCTTCATCTACCCAAAAACTGTTTTCCTCATCGTCTTTTCCCCCCGTTCCTCCTTGCCACTTCTCCATCTACCCGAAAACATTTCCCCATAGTCTTTTCGCAAAGCCTTCTCCCCACTCCTGCTCACCTCCCTCTTTTCTCTCTCCATCTATCCCCCAGAATATTCCCCACCGTCTTTTCAGTCTTCCCCCCTTCCCATTCATCCTCTTCTTTGCCCTATCCTGCTTGCCACTCTCTTTTTTACCTTCCATCTACCCCAAACTACTTTCCCATTTTTTCCCAACTCTCTTTCCCTGCTCCCTCTCATCACCCTCTTTCCTCCTCCTCGTTACCCTCTTTCCCCCCTCCATCTACCCAAACACTTTTTACCCACTGTCTTTTTTTTCTCCACCGTCTTTCTTTCCTGCCCACTATCTTTTTGCAAAACCTTGTCTTTCTCCCGCTGGCTACCCTTTTCCCTTCCCCCACCTGTTACCCTCTTTTCCCCCTCTATCTTCCCAAAACCTTTTCTCCCCACTGTCTTTTCACAAAACCTTCTCTCCCTACTGCTCAACGCTGTTTCTCCCCCCGACCATCCTCTCTTTCCTCCTCCCCTTGACACCCTCTTTTCCTCCTCCATCTACCCATAAACTTTTTACCCACCATCTTTCTGCAACACCTTCCCTCCTTCGCGCTCCCCACCCTGTTTTTCCCCCACCATCTACCCAAAAACTTTTTTTCCCACCATCTTTTCCCCACCGTCTTTTTGCAACGCGTTCTCCTGCTCGCTAACTTCTTTTCCCTTTGGGACTAACCACCCTCTTTACCCCCTCCATCTATCCCAAAACTATTTTCCTCTTCTTACCGCTCCCGCCGCACTGCCATCTCGGTCGCGGTCACCACCAGTTGCAGCGAGGCGAACCACAGTGGAGCGGCTCCAGCCTCCAATTACCCATTCCCGGTCCTCTAAGCCGGTCACTGAGCAGCTCCATAAGAAAGTACGGGAACCTGGAAGGGCCTGCCTTCCCTTCGGGAGCATTCATATACTGAGGTTATATATATATATGAGGGTTCCTGGACTGCATGTTCTGATTGGATGAGAAAAACCCTCCAGGGTTACTCTGATTGGACTTTATTATCATGTTCTGATTGGATGAGAGCAAGTCTTGAGACAACCAATCACAGCATGAAAATAAAGTCCAATCAGAGTAGGCCTAGAGGTTTTTTCTCTCATCCAATCAGAACATGTAGTCCAGGAACTGCATGTGCGCGACCTCAGTACGTAAAGCATGCTGAGGCGGTGTCAGGTCATTTTAGGCTCTTCAGTTTCGCGTTTGGTATCCGGCATGGCTGCCACCTGTTTCTGGCTGGAGCCTCGGACACTGGCTCACTGCAGTTGGTGGTGTCGACAGAGCGGTAGGAGGGCGGCGGGCAGCAGGAGCTTCTCCTGCTGGGCAGGAAGACGAGTAGAAGGGAGCGGCACCGAGGCATGCTGGAGGCTGGAGCCTGAGCCACCCCGGCTCGCCTCGCTGCGGTTGGTGGTGACCTCGGACACTGCAGCTCGGCCAGAGTGGTAGAAATGTCCTGGTGTAGGTGAGTCAGCTGGGGATGCACTGCCCGCATGTGGGGGCAGGGGTTGGGTGTCCTATTGGGGCTCACTCCCCGAGGCTGCACTGCCTGTGTCAGGGGGCTGGTTGGGGGCACTCTCCGAGGTTGCATTGCTGGCGGTGGGGGTGCGGTGTTGGCTGGCTATCTGGGGCTACACTGCCCACGGTGGCGGGGGTGGTGGGCGGGGGAGGCAGGTTGTGTGCACTAACGTGTACTGCTGGTGGCGGGGGATGGGTTAGGGGCGCTATTTTCTGCTGCACTGCCCAGGGCAAGGAGTGGGTTGGGTGGTTATTCGGAGCTACGATGCTGGTAGTGGGGGGTGGTTTAGGAGTGTTGTCAGGTGTTGCACTGCCCTTGCTCAGGGTGCACTATCAGGAGCTCCCCTACCCGTGGCGGGGTGGGGGCGGCGATTTTGGGGCACTGTCTTGTGCAGCAACACCTGTGGCTGGGTCAGGTTGTGGGCACTATCGGGTGCTACACTGCCTGTGGAGGGGGTGGTTGGGGGGGTATTGGGGTTACACTGCCTGCAGCTGGCACAGGGTGTGTTGGGTGTGCTGTCCGAGGGCTACACTGCCGGCGGCAGGGGTCAGGTTAGGGTTGCTATGGGGGCTATACTGCCAGTGGTGTTGGTCGGCTGCAGAGGTGGTGGGGACAGCAACAGCCATGGTCTCCTTGCTCCTTCGGGTGACTCTTCTCCTTTCCGTACTCCAGACTCTAGAGGGTGATCTCTTCCTGCTCGTGCAATCTTGAGCATGGCAGGACCCCCACACCCACTGCGGTTCTCCGGCCTGCACCTCCCGCCCACACCCCATGCTCTGTGTTGGGGAGACCACCTGGGACTACCGGGTGGGGATTAGTGGGCATCGCGGGGGACTGTGGGAACAGGGCACTGTGGGTGGAGGTGTCAGGAACGGGAACCAGCAGTTGAGTGGGGAGGGCTGGCTGGGTCTGAGTTTCTCCTACTCCTGCTCCCCAAGGAGTGCAGCCCTGGTGGGCCCAGCAATTTCTGGCCAGTTGCACCTGGATGGGGGTGGTTTCAGCATAGGCACTCACACCCGCCCCAGTTCCTGGCCACCTTTTGCCAGAAAGAGAGGCTGGACTTCGGTGGGTGGGTGTGAGTGCCTTAGCTGAAGCTGGTCCCTGCCACCCAGTGGCCAGCATGACAAGGTGAGGCTCTAACGTTACCACTCCCTGCATCCCATTCTAGGCTTTTCTGGCTTTGCCCGTCTAGCTGCTCCAAGCCAGGCTGGAGGAGGAGGAGAAGGAATCACCTGTGGTACGCTGGAGCCTGCATGTGGCGTGACTCTGCAGCTCGCCTCATGTGATTGGTGGCAGCCACAGAGACTGCAGCTCGACAGGAGTGGTAGGAGGGTGCCTGCGGGGGCAAGGTGGTAGGAACCTTGTAGGGTGGGCTGCTGCATTGACGGCGACAGCAATTGTATTGGCATTGGTGCTAGTGGTGGTAGTGGCAGCAAGTCTGGGGGCCGGGAAGGGGGAGTAGGAGCGCTGCAGGGCCCAGCCCAACCTGGGGTGGGGAGGAACCTGCGGGTGCTGTACCATGGGCCTCGGTGGCAGTGGTGGAGGTGCACTTAGGGAAAGGGGTCCTCCCCCTTCTTTTGCAGTCTCTGGAGAGTGCCCTCCTTCTGAGCTAGGCGTGAGGGGCAGCATTGTCTCATTCTTAACAAAGTTTAGGGGGTCACAGTGTGTGTGTGTGTGTGTGTGTGTGTGTGTGTGTTTTCCTTTTCTTTTGAGACAGAGTCTTGCTCTTTTGCCCAGGCTGGAGTGCAGTGGCGCGATCTTGGCTCACTGCAAGCTCCGCTTCCTGGGTTCATGCCATCCTCCTGCCTCAGCCTCCCTAGTAGCTGGGACTACAGGTGCCTGCCACCATGCCCAGCTAATTTTATTTTTGTATTTTTAGTAGAGACGGGGTTTCACAGTGTTAGCCAGGATAGTCTAGATCTCCTGACCTCATGATCCACCCACCTTGGCCTCCCAAAGTGCTAGGATTACAGGCGTGAGCCACTGCACCCGGCCATTTTTTCCTTCTTTTTTGTTGTGATAGTCTTGGACTTTTTCAAATTTCGTGAATTGGGGAGGGGATAAAAGGTGTCATTATAGGCCTTCTAATTCCTGCACCTGTTCTTTTTGCTTTTCCTAGTTTGTATATTCTTCTCATCTTCTTGTTCCTCTTCATTTTCTTTTGCTGCTGCTTCTATTTCATGTTTCTATTCTTGTTTCTCCTCCTCTTTTTGTTTTCTTTATGCCAAGCAATGGCCTTAACAAACAACAAGCCAAAATTGTCATTGTGTTGTATTTTTAAAATAACTGGTCCCTTACTGTGTTTTAGGGATGAGAAAAAAAATCAGTTGTATAATTAGTTACTTGAATAGCTATGCTTTCATGATCTTGTTAACCCGCTTATGCTTAGCGTTCCAATAATGTTCCATTATTGGAACACTAAGCATGAGGGAGTTACTTACATCCTACTGCTCAAGGTCATTGACAAGGTCTGATTATTCACTCAGGCAAAAATTCAAAAAATTACAGCCTCTGGCATAAATGGGGTAATGCATTGTAAGTAGTTATTCAGAGAATCAAAAAATGAAGCATCACATAAAATATTGGTAGCAAACAGCCATTTCATCTCTCTCACATATTTGGAGCTATGCAAGAGTCACGGGGTAAGTTCTAATTTATGAGATTATTAAGTGAACTGTATTGCCTTCATTTTCTCTGCCACCATTTCCTTTGTTTTCTTTCTTTTTTTTTTTTTTTTGAGATGGAGTTTTGCTCTTGTTGCCCAGGCTGGAGTGCAATGGGGCGATCTCGGCTCACTGCAATCTCCGCCTCCCGGGTTCAAGCAAGTCTCCTGCATCAGCCTCCCCAGTAACTGGGATTGTAGGCATGCACCACCATGCCCAGCTAACTTTGTGTTTTTAGTAGAGATGGGGTTTCTCTGTGTTGGTCAGGCTGGTCTTGAACTCCCGACCTCAAGTGATCCACCTGCCTCAGCTTCCCAAGTGCTGGGATTGGACGTGTGAGCCACCACACCTGGCTCTCTGCCACCACTTTCAAGAGTATTGTCATCTGCCTGAGCAAACCTGGTTCATCACCACCTCTTTGCAAGAGAAAAAGAAGTGGGGAGAATCCTGTGTAATTTTTTTCTTTCTTTTTTTTTTTGAGATGAAGTCTCATTCTTTTCCCCCAGGCTGGAGTACGATGGCTCGATCTTGGCTCACTGCAACCCCCGCCTCCTGGGTGAAAGCAGTTCTTCTGCCTTGGCCCCCTGAGTAGCTGGGATTATAGGTGCCTGCCACCACACCCGGCTAATTTTTGTATTTTTAGTAGAGATGGGGTTTCACCATGTTGGCCAGGCTGGTCTAGAACACCTGACCTCAGGTGATCCACCCACCGTGGCCTCCCAAAGTGCTGGGATTAGAGGCATGAGCCACTGCGCCCGGCCATGTATGTTTTAAGGCAAAGATTCACAACCAAAAAACAAGGCTTTATTAACTTCTGTATCTAGGAACTTGCAGTGTTGAGCCCTCTTTTATTCCTAGTATTACTACTTTCGGTGTGAACTTTTTATCTTTATTTTACTGATTCCTCTAGAAGTTTATGCATTTTCTTGACTGCTTTAAAGACAATCTATATTGTCTCATTTTTCAAGCCCATAGAAATGTGTAAGGCCTATAATTTGGACACTTGTTATTTTTAAGGTTATGAGCATGTAGTATACTGTTGATACATGGAAGAATATGTATAAATACCACTAGATAGCTTATATTGAAGAGATAATATCTAAATTTTTGTCCAGAGTTGATTGGGTGCAGTTTCTTAGCTGTGTTTCTTAATACATTGTGTCCATGTTTTAAAGCATATAGAAATTTGAATACTGTTTAACCTCATATAGTCCTTGTTTATAGGTTTAATATTTCTAAAGACTAAAGACATAACAGCTCCCTTTAACATACAGTAATACTAACAAAATTTGAGATATACAGGGTTAGAATCCAACAAATTCAAAGGAAAATTGTTAAATTATATAGCTGTAGAGCAGGAATGAAACCCAGGTTCTAAGTTCCAAGGGGGCCATGAGCTACCATACAGGTGCATCAGTGACTGGGCATAGAGTTGGCGAAATTATGTAAAAGAGTGAGCTGTGGATCCTAATTATGTGAACATGAATTTTTGAACTGCATGGTGCCTCAGTTTATCCATCATTGCAGTGGGGACAGTAGTAAGTTTTTTTCTGCTCAGTTGTCTGAATTATTACCCCGGTCTGTCTTGTTGCCACTCTTGATGCCCACATGAGAGGATCTAAGGTAATTTCTGACACCTGGGACTCCTTAAGGAAAAACAAGATTCCACAAACCCCGTTTTAGGAGAAACCTCTGTTTTTGCCATGGAACCCCAATAACTTTAAGCAGACAGGTCTCTCTCAAAAATCTAAGGCTCTCTTCTGTTTTGCCTTGCATTGTCTGACCTTTTTGGTTTGGGTGGGCATCAGAAATTAGTAGGGGAGAGAGATCTAAAGAAAATTGTGGATATGAAGATGTATTTATTGTAAGAAATGTTATGAAGGAAAGAAATGTTATATGAGAGAGGATCTTATATGGCAAATGGTTGTCCTAAAGTAGAATGACTAATTACGAAAGAGGGAAATACAGGACAGGTCAGATAAATTTAATCATGTTGTAGATGGTCTGTGGAAGTTGTGTTATGGTTCATAAAATGGGAAAGAAAATCTTAACAACTGCTAGATCTTTTCTTGTCTAGAAGTGTTGTGCATGTGATGTATATATAATGGCTTGGCTTAAAAGAAAATGAAAGCTCTTAAATATTTTGTCAGAAAAATAGAAGCTGTAATGCCTTTTATTTCATGTGACTTCAGTGATCTTTGGGAAATAAAGACAGTGTTAAATCAGTTAAAATCAGTGGTAAAATAAAAATATCTTCAAAATTTATCCATTTGGTCTAATTGAAGTCAGAGGTTAAGTTTTAGAAGCGCTTTAATGTCATAAATTGATTCTTTGACTTTGGAAAATAGTTTCATTTACCTGGTTTGGAGCCGTTAGATTTCTAGATAAGGTCTCCGGACAGGTGGAGTTAGCCATGTCTCCTAGCTATGCTGGAAAGAGTCAGATTTTATCTGCAGTTCTGTCTTGTATCCTAGACTCTGCGCCTGGTATGCAATTAAAACTTACGCTGCTGCTAATCTCTGGGTTCCATTTAAAATCCTTCCATCACATGAATACTATCCCCTGTACTAAATTTTTCCACAATTAAATACTTAGAATCATTTTTGCTGACTTGACCCAACCATTAGTGATATATTTTAAAAACGCTTATAATGTGTCACAATATATTTAGCAAATGTAGGGAATGACATTTTTACTTTTGTCAGCATTTACATAGCATTTATGTAGCAATGCTATCTCAAGTATTTTTAGTCATTTAAATGTTAGATAATAGATATGCTTTTGATTCCTTTGTTTCTATGTAAATATAATTATGAGATATTTAGTAAATAGTATCAATTACATGTTTCACTTATAGAATATACTAATAAAGTTAGGATTATTTTTATATGCTACATCATATTTACTTGTTGGCTTTACAATAAGTTAGAAATAATATTCTGGATTAACTGTGTGACTCATGAGAGGGAGTTTGTGCAAGTATAGTCTTTCCAAATTTTTACTAGATTTTTCAAGACTTAACGCTAGAACTGTGAGAACAAGGTAATAAATAAGCATATCTGTTAATATCACCTTTGGTCAACTCTTGGCTAGACCCAATGATAATGTAGGAATTAACATAACTTTTCCTACTAAAGGTGTTGGATTTGTTCTGAGAGACCACAAAGTCATTGACAAAGTTTAAAAATCATTAGATTAAAAACTTATAGTGCGTTTGAAATTGTTTTGTAGAAAAATATCCTGGTTTACATTGATAGGTTTTTTTTTTTATAAGAACTAGATCAAGAGAAAGGGAGAGTAGTGATAAATGTCCATGTTTTCAAGTTGAAAAGTAACAGTGTATTACAACAGATGGATTTGATGTCAAATTACAAATGCTGAGAACATTATATGTAATTGACTTGCCAGAGTAATTATACAAGGCAAAGAAAGGAAAGGCATCTAAATAGGAAAGGAAGGGGTGAGATTGTCTGTGTTTTAGACTCCACAAAAAACCCCTTATAGCTGATAAACGCTATATTCAATAAAGTTGAAAGTTACAAAATTAACATACAAATAGTATTCTGGTTTCTATACACCAATGACAAACTATTATCTGAAAAATAAGATAATTCCATTTATAGTAGCAACAAAACAAATATATAAATAAAAGAGCAAAGAGTAATTTTAATGAAGGATGTGAACGATTTGTATACTGAAAATTATAGCACATTGATGAAAGAAATTGAAAGTGACAAATAGAAAAACATCCTATATTTATCAATTGAAAAAATTAATATTGTTAAAATTTCAATGCTATTCAAAGCATTCTACAGATTAAATGCAACCACTATCAAATTCCAATGTCATTCTTCACAGAAATGAAAAATTAGTCCTAAAATCTGAATGGAACCACAAAAGACGCTGAAAAACCAAAGCAATCTTTAGCAAAAAGAACAAACCTGGAGGCATCAGACTACCTAATATTTGACAAAGCAAACAAAAGAAAATGGGAAAGGACACCCTATTCAAATATGGTGCTGGCATAATTGGCAAGCCACATGCAGAAAAATGAAACCATTCTTCAAAAGGTTAAATACGGAATTACCACATGACTCAGTAAATTCAGTACTATGTATACACTAAAAATAAATTAAAACAAATGCCTCACACATACAAGTATTTATAGCAACAAAAAGTAGGAAATAACAGAAATGTCCATGAATTTTGGAGTGGATTAATAAAATGTGGTCTGTCCATAAAATAAAATATTATTTGGCAATGAAAAAGAAAAACATATTAATACATGCTCCAAAATGGATGAACATTGGAAACATGATAAATGAAAGTAGTGAGTCACACGTAACTATATTATTATGATTCCACTTACGTGAAATGTCCAGAATAGGCAAATCCTTCCAGAATAGGCAAATTCTTAGGAAGTAGATGGATGATTGCCTAGGGCTGGGAGGGGTTTAAAGGAAGAATGGGGAAAATGGGAAAAGATTGCTAGTGGGTGCAAGGTTTCTTTTAAGGAGCGTGAAAATGTTCTAAAATTACATTGTGGTGATTGTTTACCCAGTTAATACAGTTAAAAAAAAGTGAATTTTATACTTTAAATGGGTGAGTTAAATAATATATAAATTATATCTCAGTGAACCTGTGAAAAAAGTTAAAAAATATGTGGTATGCATAAACAAAAAGTTCTTCATTTTATTTCCATAGGGTTTTGGGGAAAAGGTGGTGTTTGATTATATGAGTAAGTTCTTTAGAGGTGATTCCTGAGATTTTGGTGCACCCAACACCTGTGCAGTATACACTGTATACAGTTTGTAGCCTTATATTCCTTACCCCCTCCCACCCTTTCTCCCAAGTCCCCAAAGTTCTAGTATTCTAATGCCTTTGCATCCTTATAGCTTAGCACCCTCTTCTAGCGAGAGCATACGGTTTGCTTTTCCATTCTTACGTTACTTCACTTAGAATAATAGTCTCTGATCCCATCCAGGTTGCTGTGAATGCCATTATTTTTTTCCTTTTTATGACTAAATAGTATTCCATAAGATATATGTATGTATGTATGTATACGTTTATATATATATATCACAATTTCTTAATCTACTCATTGATGGGCATTTGGGCTGGCTACATACTTTTGCTATTGTGAATTGTGCTGTTTTACACTTGTGTGTGCAAGCATCTTTTTTATATAATGACTTCTTTTCCCCTCTGGGTAGATACCCAGTAGTGGAATTGCTGGATTAAATGGTAGTTCTACTTTTAGTTCTTTAAGAACTATATTTACCATAGTGGTTGTACTAGTTTACATTACCACTAGCAGTATAAAAGTGTTCCCTTTTCACCAAATGCCCACCAATATTTTTTATTTTTTGATGTTTTGATTATGGCCGTTCTTGTAGGAGTAAGGTGGCATGGCATTGGGTGTTTTTTTTTGAGATGGTGTCTGCTCTGTTGCCAGGCTGGAGTGCAGTGGTGCAACCTGGGTTTACTACAGCTTCCACCTCCCGGGTTCAAGTGATTCTCCTGCCTCAGCCTCCCGAGTAGCTGGGACTACAGGTGCCTGCCACCACGCCTGGCTAATTTTTGTATGGTTTTCACCATGTTGGCCAGGGTGGTCTTGATCTCTTGACCTTGTGATCCACCCACCTCAGTCTTCCAAAGTGTTGGATTTCAGGCGTGAGCCACCACTCCCGGCCTGACATTGTGGTTTTGATTTGCATTTCCCTGATCATTAGTGATGATGAGCATTTTTTCATACTTGTTGGCCATTTTTTATATCTCCTTTTGAGAATTGTCTATTCAAGTATTTAGCCCATTATTTGAAGGGATTGGTTTTTTTTCCTGCTAATTTGAGTACCTTGTAGATTCTGGATATTAGTCCTTTGTCAGATGTATAGATTGTGAAGATTTTTCTCCCTTTCTGTGGGTTGTCTGTTTACTCTGCTAATTGTTTCTTTTGCTGTGCAGAAACTTTTTGGCTTAATTAAGTCTCACCTGTTTATCTTCATTTTGTTGTCACACTTGCTTTTGGGTTCTTGGTCATGAAGTCTCTGCCTAAGCCAATGTGTAGAAGGGGTTTTCCAATGTTACCTTGTAGAATTTTTATGGTTTCAGGTCTCAGATTTAAGTTGACTTTTGTATAAGGTAAGAGATGGGGATCCAGTTTCATTTCTTGGGATGTAGCTTGCGAATTATCCAAGCACCATATGTTGAGTAGGGTGTCCTTTCCCCACTTTATATTGTTGTTTGCTTTGTCAAAGACCAGTTGGCTGTAAGTATTTGGGTTTGTTTCTGGGTTCTCTATTCTATTCCATTGGTCTATGTGCTTATTTTTATACCAGTATTATGCTGTTTTGCTGACTATGGCCTTGTAGTATAGATTGAAGTCAGGTAATGTAATGCCTCCAGATTTGTTCTTTCTGCTTAGTCTTGCTTTGGCTATGTGGGCTCTGTTTTGATTCCATATGAATTTTAGAATTATCAGGAGTCGGCGCCGTGGCAGCTTTGGGATAACTTGAGGGCGCATCCTGGGGAAGAAACACCTCCTGTCCGTGGTGCTGACTGCGGAGGACAGCGCTTCGGCGTGGCTTCTCCGTGGCCCAGCTTCTTTGGTGCATTTTTCTTTCATGGTGAGTACAGAAGCTTTCGTTTTCTGGAATGTTCTGTGTATTTCTGCTAGATTCTCACTCCTTTTTCTTTTCTCTCTTGATATCTTACCATTAACTTTACAGTAATACTCATTCCCTGAGGGCTTTTGAGGTTGGAATGTGTAGGAGGCTTTAGGGCTGTTTCTGAGGGAGACTCCCCATGTAGGTGGAGAGAGAGGAAAGCTCTGGCAGTGGGAGGAAGGGGAAGCCCGGCCCAGGTGGGGTGTAGGGGCCAGGCCCCAGTTTGGCTGCCTTGCTTTCAAGCCTCAGGTGGAAGGAAAGGATCCAACTTAGCCTCCAGGGTTTGCTAATTTTGGAGATACGGTCTCGTCCTGTTTTTGGAGATACGGTCTCACCCTGTTGCCCAGGCTGGCGTGCAGTGGTGGATCTCAGTTCACTGCAACCTCCATTTGTGGGCTCAAGGGATTCTCCAGCCTTAACCTTTCCAGTATCTGGGCCTATGCCCCACGCCCAGCTATTTTTTTTTTTTTGTATTTTTGGTAGCCACGGGGTTTTGCCATGTTGCCTAGGCTTGTCTCAAACTTCTGAGCTCAAAGCAATCCTCCCGCGTCAACTTACCAAAGTGCTGGGATTACAGGCGTGAACTACTGCACCTGGTCTGCTGAATTTTTAAATCCGTGTCCCTGACGTCGGGACACAGGGGTCACATTTCTCCACTCCCTGCAGTGCCTGCCTAACTCTGTCCCTCTAGTCATGGCCACCTGACCGGGGGAAGGGACCTTGCGTGTGGTTTACTGTCCTCTTGGCAGAAATGTCTATTCAGGGTCCCTGCTCAGTTTTGGGTGGATCATTGTTTTTTTTGTTGCTACTTAGTACTGTTAATGTGTTGTGTATTTTCCATAACAACTCCTTAGCCAATAGGTGATTCCTCAAAATGTTCTTCCAGCCTTTCTTTTTGGGTTGTTTCCTTTTCCTTGCAAAAACTTTTCACTTTGATGTAGCCATGCATGTTTTTTTATGGCCAGGCATGATGGCTCATGCCTGTAATCCAAGCACTTTGCAAGGCCGAGGTGGGCAGATCACTTGAGCCAAAGAATTTGAGACCAGCCTAGGCAACATGGCATAACTTCATCTCTACAAAAAATACAAAAAAATTAGCCAGGCATGGTGGTGTGTGCCTGTAGTTCTTCCAGCTATTCAGGAGGCAGAGGTGGGAGGATCACTTGTGCTGGAGAGGTCAAGGCTGCAGTCAGCCATGATCATGCCACTGCACTGCAGCCTGAGTGACAGAGTCCCTATAGTTATCACTTCTATGATTCCCTCAAATTTTCTAACAATTTTTTTGAGACAGAGTCTCATTCTCTTACCCAGGCTGGAGCACAGCGGCATATCAGGGATTGTGAGTCCTCCAACTTAGTTTCTTTTTCTCAGGATTCCTTAGACATTCAGGGCCATTTGTGGTTCCATGTGATCATCAGCATTGTGTATTCACATTTCTTAAATTTCTGTGCATAATAAAGTATATAATTAGAGAGTATGCTGGGACTGTTGTTCCTCTGGGACATTTTGATTCATGTATATTTTTAATAATGATCAGATCAGGGTACGTGGCATATCTGTTCTCTCATACAGGTATTCTTCTTTTGTGAGAACATTGGAATTGCTCCCTTCTAGCTTTTTTGAAAAATATAGTATTTTTTTAACCAGAATCACCGAGCTGTGGTATAGAACACAAGAATGTATTTGTCTTAACTAACTGCAACTTTGTTTCCATAACCAATCCTCCCATTCCCTCCTTCCCCCTCCTCAGAAAACCGCTACTGTGCCTTCTACTTATCGAAGGCAAAGTTTTCTGGATTCCACATAAGTGAGATGAATCTGCTTGTTTTTCTATGCCTGGCTTATTTTATTTAACATATTTTCCAGGTTCATCCATATGGCTCCAAATGAAAATTACGTTAGTTTGTTATGGTTGAAGAGTATTGCGTTGTGCAGATAAATACTGCAGTTTCCTCATCCCTTCATCTGTGGATGAACAGGTAGGTTGATTCCATATCTTCTATATTGTGAATACTGTCATGAAACATGGGAAGGCAGGTCACTCCTTAAGGTACTGGTTTCCTTTGCTTTAAATGCATACGCAGTGTGAGGAACATCCCAACTTTTTCACAGTATATTCACTAATTCACATTGGCATCAACAGCATATAAGAGTTTCCCTTTCTGTAAATCTACATTGGCTGCTACTTTCCAAAAATGTTGTTGCTGTTTTTGGTAATATTCATTCTCAGTGGAGTTTGATGGTATCTGATGTTGGAGTGTGATTCTGACTCACATGTTTGGAGTATTTAGTGATGTGGAGAAACTTTTTTTTTCACCTGTGAATCAGTCTCATGGCCTTTGCAGAAGTGGTTGTGCAGGTCCTTTGCATATTTTTAGCTTGTGTATTTTTTTTTAAATCTTTTCTCCACTTAGTAGCTTTAGTGCTTGAATATGTTAGACAGCAACCCCTTCCAAAATTGCAATTTTCCACAGTTTTAACCCAATCATCCTTTCCGCCAAGGTAAGATGCTTTCTCTTTGGGTTCATTGTTTTCTCCCCAATGCAGAAGCTCTGAAGTGTTGGTCTCACAGGTGTATATTTGCTTTTGTCAGCAGGGATTTCTGTGTCCAATCAGAGAGGGGAAAAAAGAGATCACAAAGTCATTGTATTGTGTATAGGTATTTTGCCTGTGAGTCCATGTGGTATTTGGTTTTCTGTTACTGTGTTAGTTTGCTTAGCATAGTGACCTGCAGATCCATCCTTATTGCTGCCAAAGCCATTAAGTTTTTTTAAGCTATGTAGGTTGTTGTGGTATCTATGTACAGCACTTTTAAAACATGTAATCTCGATGTTATTTTATATTTCCATGTGAATAACACTTCCAAGAACATACCCATGCCTGTGTCATTTTGAAAGGAGGATTTATGATTTGTTTTCCTTTGTGTAGATACCCAGTTATGCGATTGCTCATTTGGATGGTAGTTCTAAGTTCTTTGAGGAACCTCCAAACCACTTCTCATAGTGTGAGAACTAGTTTTTATTCCCAAGAGTGTAGCGGGGTTTGCTTTCCTCCACTGCCTTGCCACCATGTAAATATTTGGACTTAGGACAAATGGCCATTCTGACCGATGTGAGATGATATCTCTGTTCGTGAGAGTTGCATTTCTCTGATGATGAGTGATGTTGAGGTGTTTGTTCATGTTCTCTACCCATTGTTTGAATGGTTTGTTTTTCTGCCTCTTAATTTTTTTAAGGTCATGTTAGAGTCTGGCTATTAGACCTTGGTGAGAAGCATAGTTTGGGAACATTTTCTCCCATCCTGTAGCCTGTGTGTTTACTGTGCCGGTGATGTATTTTGCTATCTGGCAGTGTTATAGTTTCTTAGGCCCAGCTTGTCCTTTTGGTTTTTCTTGCTGTTGCTTTTTGTCTAAATGCTTTCCAAAGTCCGTATTGAGAAAGATATGTCCTAGGTTTCCTTGTAGGACTTTTAATAGTTTGAGGTCTTCTGCTGAAATGTTTCATTGACCTTGGGTTAGTTTTTGCATCTGATGAGAGTTAAGGCTCCAGTGTTGTTTATCTGCATGTGTCTAGCCACCTAGCCCAGTGCCCTTCACTGCATAGCGAGCCTTTTGTCCATCTGACCTTTGGTGTTTCAGCATGGCTTTGGAGTTTCAGGGCATTTTGTGGTCCCACGGGAATTTTAGCATTGTTTCTCTATGTTGCTTTCAAGAAACAAAATTAGCCCTGTCCTAAAGATGGACAACTAGAGGGTCGAGAGGGACATTTGGGTCCATGCATGCATCGTATAGGGATGAAATCATGGTATTTAGCGTCATTTTTTGCCTTGTAGAGTTTTCATGTCTTTGAGTAAGGAGAGCGAGAACCCTCCTTTCTGGCTGTCTTGAAAACTACCCTTTGGTAAAGTTTTCCATAATCATCCTGCTGAGGAATAGAAAAGCAGGTTTCATTCCTCTTACGCAACGTGTCACTTTGTACCTGTTTCCTATGCCCACCCATGCCCAGCCTTCTGTTCCAACCCTGGCAAGCACAATGGTGCTTTGTAGGTCTGTGTGAGATAAAGTTTCCTAGATTCCTCATGAGTGAGGTGATGCGAGGTTTGTCTTTCCCTGCCTAGTGTGTTTCATTTACCATAATGTCCTCCAGGTTCCACAGTGTTGCCACGGATGACCTGATTTCAGTACCCGTGTCTGGCTGTAGAGTATCTGGTCGTGACTGGATACTGCAGTTTCTGGATCTCATCCTCTGGGGGTGGACAGGTAGGTTGATTCCTTATCTTGGCTATTGCGACTGGTTCCGCAGTCAGCGTGGGAAGGCAGATGTGTCTTCCGTGTACTGATTCATGTGATTCCAGTAGCAGCACAGCTCAGTGAAATGGTTGTCATATTTTCAGTTTTCTGAGGAACCTCCTGCCTCTGTAGTGTGCGTACCAATTTACCTGTTAACAGTTGTGGATAAGAGAGCTCTCCTCTTTGGAAATTCACAGCAGCATTTTGTGGTTTCCCTTCTTTTAAGATACATGAAGGTCTTTGTTATACTCATTCCACCGAGAGAGACACAGTATCTGAGTCTTGTTCTGATTTTCATTTTTGTCATGATTAGTGATGTTAACCAGGTGTTAACAAGCATACTTGTTTTCAGTTTTATGTGTTCTTTGCAGAAAAGCCTCTTTGGTTTCTTTATCCAGTTTTGGTTTGGTAATTAATTTCTGTTTTCTGGTGTTTTTTGCTAGTTAGTAATGTTAGTTACTTACACCTTTTCCAAAAAATGCCTCATCAGCTGTGTTTTTCTCCAAACGCTTCTTATGATCCTTTGTATGTTTCTTTCTTTTCATTCATGTTTTTCATTCTTTCTTGCCCACAAGCCATGTAGTCTGATGCAGTTTCAGGTGTGTGCAGTGTTCTGGTTTTCCGTTATGTTGGTGACTGATGAAGTTAAAGAAATTCACTAGCATATGCTTCTAGGATGGTAGAGAGCAGTTTACAGCCTGAGACCCATCGCTAGGTAAGAAACTGGTTTTGGATTCTGTCTTGCAAATTCCTTTTAAAGAATAAAGTTAACATTTAACAACCAGCTGGTGTTAATTTGTGCTTACACTTAGAGTGCTCAGAAATCATAATTTGTGTGACCATTGTTAGTTTAGCAGCATTTTGTCCTCGCTGAAATATGGTAATAAGATTAAAAGAGTTTTGTTTAAAGGAGCACAATTGTGTAAAAGCTTAATTAAAAGGGTAACATCCAGATGTGTGTGCATGTGTGTGTGTTTGTATTTGGAAGACCTTCATGTTTTTGTTTTTGTTCTGTTTGTTTTACTCTTCTAAGACCTTGTCTTTTTGTTGTTGTTGAGCAAATGTGTTTATTTTATTTTTTGTCTTTTTCTTCTCAGTTGACTGAATTCTGTTTTCACTTGATTTTTTTTTTTGACTAAAATAGTTATTGCAACAGAGGCTACTACTCTTGGGTTTTTAAGGAAGAGTGTAGTTTAATTTGGCTCGAAGAAAAATATTAGTGTCTTCCTGTAGCACCATCGGACTCTTACTTTCTGTGCTTTATGAAGTAAATTTTGCTATTGGATTTTCACCTGAGTTGTTTCCTTTAATGTTTCAATTTAAGGCTGTTTAGTTTGACAGCTGCCTAGGGTTGTGAAACAAGTTATCAAGAATCTGAAAGTCTGAGAGAGAAAAAAAGGGCGGAGGTCTTTAAATCTATAAAATGTACTGTGACAGCCCAATGCATTCACCTTGCCCGCTGCCTAGACAGAACCGATTTATCAAGACAGAGGAACTGCAGTGGAGAAGGAGTAACTCACGCAGAGCCGGCTGTGTGGCAGACCCAAGTTTATTACTCAAATCGGTCTCCCCGAGCATTCGGGGATCAGAGTTTTTAAAGATATTTGGTGGGTAGGGGCTTGGGAATTGGGGATTAGTCAGGTTGGAGATGGAATCATAGGGGGTTGAAGTTAGCTTTTCTTGCTGTCTTCTATTCATGGGTATGATGGCACAACTGGTTGGGCCAGATTACCGGCCTGGGCAGGGTCTGCAACACATAACAAGCCCTGATCTTAGGTTTTACAGTAGTGATGTGATGTTACCTGCAGGAGTTAGGGGAGGTTCAGACTTTCGGAGCCAGAGACTGCATGACCCCTAAACTGTACATTCTAATCTTGTAGCTAATATGTTAGTCCTGCAAAGGCAGACTGCTCCCCAGGCAAGAAGGGGTTCTTTTCAGGAAAGAGCTATTACCAATTTGCTTTCAGAGTCGAACCGTGGACCAAATTCCTTCCCAAAGTTAGTTGAACTTACACCCAGGAATGAACAAGGACAGCTTAAGGGTTAGAAGCAAGATAGAGTCGGTTAGGTCTGATTTCTTTCACTGTCATAATTTCATTAGTTATAATTTTGTAAAGGCGGTTTCAGTACTTCCATCGATATGCCTAACAGATTTTTATATGTATTTGTGTGTTGTATACAGGATGTTCCACTACCAAAAATATATGAAAGAGCTCTAATTAATTGGCTTAAAGAAAAATAAAAGTACTTAAGTTAGATACTAAAAAAGACTAGTCAAATGGTTTTTCAACTTTATGTAACTTAAGTAAAATCTTTAATAAGCTAGCTTTAAAATTATTGTAAAACAATATTAGAAATGTCTTAAGAATTGGCAGCATACATTTTTGTTTACATTTAGTAATCAACCGATTTCATACATATTCCTGCCAGATACTATAAGGTGTCAAAATTTGGCATGGGGGGGTTTCAAAACTATAAACTCAGCCCAAAATGGAATGATCTTTACTTGAGTAATTTTTAATAAGTAAGACATTGATATGGGTTTAATAAAAATAGCTGCATGTTGAATTTAGTAAGATTACTAGCACTTCTAATCCTGTGGCTTTTGGCAGTCTAGTCCACAGACAGTAAGGAAAGGACTGTTACTGCCTTTGTTTCAAAGCTAAAGTATAAACCAGGTTCCTCCCAGTGTCAGTTCGGCCTATGTGCAGGAATGAACAAAGACGGTTTGGAGGTTATGAGCAAGATGGAGCCAGTTAGGCCAAATCTTTTTTCACTGTCTCAGTTATAATTTTGCAGTGGTGGTTTCATAACTTTAAATCATGACTATCACAGATTTCATAAATAATCTAGGTAAACAATTAGGTAAATGTAGTGGGATAAGTACTTGTAGACAAACGTCATAATTTAGAATATAAAGTAAAATTAAATAATAGATATTTCATTATTTGGGTATTTTCCAATAAACATATTGTAGGAAAACATTCTTGCCAAAAAAAGTGTGTCTTCTTTTCTAAAAAAAAAAAAAAAAAGTTGAACAAGTTTTGTGTAATTCAAAGCTTATTTAAAGTTATGTATAAAACAAGGTAAAAGGAACCAGGAAATAAAAAAAAGCTGTAAAGAAAGTTGTAAAGAGGTTGTTTTTGAGGTAAAAAGAGCTTAAAGAGAAATACTATTACCTAAGAAAGAATCCCGTCTAGTAAGTTTAGTCCTAAAATAAAATACTTGGTTGTTTAAAAAGAGGGGGTGTTCAGAATAAATCAGAAAGTCTGACCATGTCGTAAACAGTCAGTGTAAAGTCACAACAAGGATTTATATGTTTAAAAAACCCAAAAACTTCTATATGATAAAGTTGTCATATTAAGTTTTGGTTTGCTTAGGAAAAAAAACCTGAGATTTTTTAAAAATTGAGGTCATTACATCCATGTGTCTTCCTGTATATGCTTTTAAAATCCTTGCAACATTGAGTTACAGGGCTTTTAACTCCTAGGTCTAAAAAGGACACTAAGTCCTGCTAATCTTAAACACCCACAGCAATTAAAGGCTCATCTTCAGGCCCCATAGAAGATGCCAATTCAAATAAACTGCTGCATTCCTGAGACACAGGGCAAGAAATGATGAAAGCTATTCAACTCCTCAAGACCCAGGGACTATTGTGAAAGAGGTGGGAGCATAAGATTGTAAGGGCCGATTTTGAAAAATAAAGTAGGTTCAGTTTCTCTATGCATTACTTATTAATGTCAAAGGCACACTGATGCAAAACCAGTATATGGACGCTTGTGTCAGATTAACAAGGTTTTCTTGAAGCATTAACCAACTGCTTAGTACAGGTTATAAAAGGCTGATGGAATTATATTTTGTAATCAAGATTACATTTTATAGATTGTTTACAAAATTTTTTTTTTAAGTTTTTTTTATTATACTTTAAGTTTTAGGGTACATGTGCACATTGTGCAGGTTAGTTACATATGTATACATGTGCCATGCTGGTGTGCTGCACCCACTAACTCGTCATCTAGCATTAGGTATATCTCCCAATGCTATCCCTCCCCCCTCCCCCCACCCCACCACAGTCCCCAGAGTGTGATATTCCCCTTCCTGTGTCCATGTGATCTCATTGTACAATTCCCACCTATGAGTGAGAATATGCGGTGTTTGGTTTTTTGTTCTTGTGATAGTTTACTGAGAATGATGATTTCCAATTTCATCCATGTCCCTACAAAGGACATGAACTCATCATTTTTTATGGCTGCATGGTATTCCATGGTGTATATGTGCCACATTTTCTTAATCCAGTCTATCATTGTTGGACATTTGGGTTGGTTCCAAGTCTTTGCTATTGTGAATAATGCCGCAAACAAATGTAATTGGCTTCATGCTGTTTTTAAAAAATTCTTAAATTATCACTTTGGTTAAATAAATGACTTTACAATGACCTGTAATCCTATTTTTAACATCAAGTGTTTTAAACATTTTATATTTGACAAACTTCCCAAAATCAAATTATATATTATGTCTTTTTCTATCCTAAGTAATCCTTTAAGACATTAGGTTCTCTAAAGTCTAAAAATGACATAATTTGGCTTACCTGCTATAAAATGTTTGGAAACATTGTCAAATATGAAATGGTGTTTGGCTTTCTTTCAGATCCATTTGTATATGTTTTTGGTATGTTTCCAAAATGATGGGAAACTCCTGTAATTCTGATATAACTTAGTGTACATTATTTGTAATAATCATAATTGTTATGTTAAAATCATTGTGTGCCACGGAGGTAACAAATTCACTTGTCAATTGTGTCTTTTAACTATGGCTGCCTTAAATTTTTTTTCATCCACAGGTAATTGTCTTGTTTTGTCTCGTTTTAAACCCTCTTTATAAGGTGGGTTTATAATCAGCTATAGGACTCTAACAGGTGCACTTAAGTTCAGGTTTTCTGATAATTTTGGAAATTGTTACACTGGAATAAAGCAAAAAATTTCAAAATTCTCATGGAGAGCTGAAATGTTCATGACTATCAAACAGAACAGGAGTTAACTGAGATAACTGAACCAATAGAAAACTGAAGTTATCTTTTTGACTTTTTGCTTAAAACATTGCTAATACTTTTAGTTTTTCAGAGTTAAGGAAACTTTTATTTACAGCTTTTAACAATAAATTATTGTATATTCCTGTGAACAAAATTTGGAGCATATTTGTTTTTCTCTACCTAATTTCTCCAGAATTTGGAAACTATGAGTATTCTTAATTTATGGCAGTATAGTTACTTGCATAAGTGCAAGAAGAATCTGTTTTATTTTGGAATAGGACACAGTTGGAGAATTTGGTTATTTTATCAAGGGTTTGACTGAAATGGTGTGCTTTCCTTTAAGGAATCAAAACTGACTTATCAAGCCAATAAAGCCCTTGGAAAAACTGGCCTCATATTTTGTGTACACAGTCCCTGTACAGGATTTTGACCTGTGGTAAATAAAGAATGTCATTTTCTGAGAGGTGCAGAAGCCCCAGGTTTATCTTGGAACCTCAAGAGGAGAGGAAATTCACTGAAATCATAGGTATTTGATGGCACAAATCCATGGCTGGGCTTGGCTTTGAAAAAGTCTTATCTAAGATTCCTGCTATGGAATAAAGTTCCATCAAAGCCAATTTAAAAGCCTATGTAAAAAATAATGATTGTTGCACTGTATGCAGATAATTAGGCCAAGTATAATAAAGCAAATCAGTTCTAACATGATTCATCTTTAGTAGAAATTTGAAAACTGGAGAGAGACAAAAATTATTTTTCAAAACTACAGTAGACTTGTTTTTAGATTCTAGTCTTGCCTAATGTTTTTTCAATTTTTATTATTTTCTACAGTTTGGACCGAATTCTAATTTTTCTTGCCTACGAGTCTTTAAAATAATGTTTTCAATTTTTTTTCAATTATTCCTAAACGAAGCGGTGCTTTCTTAAAACCCTGCAAACTGAAGCCAGACCACTTAAACTTCAGAAGAAAATAACAGCAACCTATTTACATACATAAGCCACTTTCATACCTGCCTACTGAGGTATGGACTGCAGAGTAACGTGGCTTATATTGATTTTTCCAGGATTGTTCTTTTGTTTGTTGTTGTTTTTTCTGCCTTCCTCCCCGCTATTTTAACTTCACAGGATGTGAGACTTCACAACCTGCTAAGAATGAGCATTTAGGACCTACCTATCTAGGAATAAACCCTCCTAGCCATGAGAGATCAGATGAAACCCGAGACCAGAGATTCATTTTCTTGTAAAATGTTTTTTCCAAAAGATTTTTTAAAAAGAAAAGGAGAGAGATGTGAAAGGAAAATATCTGGGGCCCCTAAAATCACTAAGGAAAACTCAGGCTGGAAACTGCTTAGGGCCAACCTGCCTCCCATTCTATTTAAAGTCGCCCCTCTGCTCCCTGAGATAGAAGCATATCTGATTGCCTCCTTTGGAGACTAATCAGAAACTCAAAAGAATGTAACCATGTGTGTATCACTCATCTGTGACCTGGAAGCTCCCTCCCTGCTTCCAGTCTTCCTGCGTTTGCTTCAAGTTGTCACATCTTTCTAGACCAAAGCAACGTACTTCTTACATATATTGATTGTTGTCTCATGTCTCCCTAAAATGTATAAAACCAAGCTGTGCCCTGACCACCTTGGGCTCATGTCATCATGTCCCTGAGGCTGTGTCACGAGTGTGTTCCCAACCTTGGCAAAATAAACTTTCTAAATTAACTGAGACCTTCATTTGAGTTTGCTGCTGGACACCCTCATTGTGTTTATTGGCCTGTTTCTCTGTTAATGCCTATCACGAATGGCTTGGGTAACTAAAGCTTTGGGAAGTAATGTAAAGTGGAAGAGTGTGATGGCTCCACCGACTTTGTATGTGTAGGAACTGCTTTGGGAATGCGGGGCATTTGATTGTCCCACGGGATTTTTAGTATTGTGTTGTGATCCTATATGGAAAACAAAAATAGGACATGGTCTGTGTTTTTATTTAAAGGGTGCAACGGACCTTTTTACATGAATCAATGAAACTGCAGGACCTAGCGTCTGTTTCATGCTACAGTGAGGATTTCTTGATGGAGAGAGCATTCCAAATCCTTTCCAGCAATATTGAATATTATGTTATGATACTGTTAAGCCTAGTCACCCTGCTGTGCCGTACAACACCAGAGTAACTGCGTCTCATCTGAACATCCCTTTGCAGCCATTTCCAATCCTCCCCCCAGCCTCTGGTACCCACTGTTGACATTGCTACTCTATGAGATTCACTTTGTTAGATTCCACGTGCATGAGATTTTGCAGTATTTGTGTTTGTCTTCCTCTGCCTGGTTCATGTTTTTTAACTTAATGTCTTCCAGGTTTTTCCATCTTGCTGGTAGTGAACTGATGTCCGGAAGTTTGATGGCTGAAGAGTATACCGTTGTGCATATATCCTTCAATTCCTGCATTTTTTAATCTGTAGAAAGACAAGTAGGTTGATTCCCCATCTTAGTTATTGTCCAGAGTACTTCATGAAACATGAGAGGGAGATACCTCCTTAAGGTAGGTTTGGTTGGCTTTGCAGGTATACCCAGTGTTGGGATGGCTAGAGGAACTGGTGGTTGTGTTAATTGTTTCAGAAACCTCCAGCTGTCTCCCAGCAGGTATACGAATTTGCATTCAAACCAGTAGTGTGTAATAGTTCCTCTGTCTGCAAATCTACACTGCCCTTATCTTCCAAAGTTTTATTGCTGTTTCTGGTCATACTCGTTCTCTGGGAAGAAACTCTTCTGATGTGGACAAACTTTTCTATTACCTGAGAGTCTGTTTCAGGTTTTTTCAGAAATGGCTATGCCAGTCCTTTGGGCATTTTTAGCATGTGTTTTGGTTTTTGTATTTTTGTCCACTTAGGACCATTAGTTTCTTGAGTATGTTAGATAAGAAGCCCTTCCAGATTGACAGTTTTTCATAATTTTCTTCTAGTCTGCAAGATGCCTTTTATTTGGGTTCAGTATTTTCTGTCCTGTGTTGAAGCTGCGTGAAGCTCTGAAGTTGTCCTTAGTCTCACATGGTCACATTAGCTTTTGTTAGTGGTGATTTCTGTGTCCCTTTGAGAAGAAAAGTGAGATGGCGAAGCCATTGTATGGTCTATGGGTATTTGGTTCCTATGTCTTCCTTTTCTGTTTGTGGCTTAGGTTCACAGGTTCAAGTTTACCCACAGTAGACACACACCCTACGTGTTTTCCTTGGAGATTTTGGTTTCAGGATTGAACTTAGGTGTTCAGTAGATTTTGTGTCGCTTTTTGTGTCTTGGGTAAAGGAAAGGTTCGGTCCTTTGCACGTGACCCCTCAGTTTCCTCAACCATTGTGCCTTTGGTGTGCTTTTGGAGGAACAACAAGAATCCCATGGGTTCAGTGTTTATAATTGTGGGTTGATTATTTGGCTCCTTCGTTGTGTCCATTCGGTTGTCTTTCTGTGTTCATGCCACTAATGGATGGATTGGGTCACTGTAGGCTTTTTGTTTTGTTTTGTGTGTTTTCTTCCTTTTTTCTATTTTTATTTCCAAAGCTGGGTTTTCTAAAATGATAGCTACTTTTATTGTGATCGAGGGGTACGCCTGCAGGTTCATTTCACTACATGGCTATACAGTAGAATTTTGATGCTTGGGGTCCTAACGTACCTGTCACCCAGGCGGTGAACACAGCACCAGTTGGGTCTTTCTTCCTCCAAGGCTCCCTGTCTCCCTTTTTTTTCTGTCTGGAAGTACCCAGCGTCTCTTGATTTCATCTTTATGTTGATGTGTATTGGGTGTTGCGCTTCCACTTATAAATGAGAACCTGCAGTGTTTGGTCTTCTGTTCTTGCCTCAGTTGCTTAGCAGAGTGGCCTCCAGTTCCACCCATGTTCCTACCGAGGGCATGATTTTGTTTCTGTGTTTGATTTTCCTTAGTGGCTTTTTAGCATTCTGTGATGTATAGGAACCACATTTTTAAAAATCCAGTTTTCTGTTCGTGGGCATCTAGATCAGTTCCACATCTTTATTCCTGTCAGTAACACTCCCGTGGACGTGTGAGTGTCATGTGTCTTTTTGATAGACGCATGTGTTTTTCCCTGGGGTAGATGCATGGGGTAGGATTGCTGGGTCAAAGCATAGCTCTGCCTTCCATCCTTTTTTTTTTCCAGAAATCTTCAGACTGGTTTCCACAGTTTAGGATCTAGTTTGCATTACCTCCAAGAGAATAGCCATGTTTGCTTTTCTCTGCTGCCACACTGTAGCATGTTATGTTTTGACTTGGGACAAATGGCCACTCTGACCAGCATGTGATGGTACTGGTACCTCATCTCTGATGATTAGTGATGTTGAGCGTTTCCCATGCCTGTTGGAATGGCAATCCGTTGGAAATGTCTTCTCAGTTACTACCCATATGTATGTTGCTCAGGCCACTGTGTGGCCCCAGCACTGTTGGTTTGCATCGGGACTTGGGGATTGTTTGTCGTTGTTAGCCAAGACAAATGTTACACTGCTGTTCCTACAGTGAGTAGTGGGAGTGGGGTATGGGGACATATGCTTATGCCCACAGTTCCATCAGAAATCCCACTGCCTTAAGACAGTCTCACGGGAACCCAGTCCCAGCCTTGCAGCACTGGGTAGCCCTGTGGCATTTTGACTTTGGATGTATCTGCATTGTTGAAGTCACTCAGCATGTTGCCATGCATTTATCCACTTAGGTCAATGTTAAGGGAAGTTCATCGCCTCTGCTTCTTCAGTAACTGATGTCTGGTGCATCAACTGAATGCATTTCAGGCTTTTAAGCAGTTCCCACGGATCTATGGGTAAAAAAGGCTTTCACCATGCCCACCTACTCAGTGAGTGACCAATGTCTCATTGTTAGTGCATCTGATGCACAGAGTTTAGTGGTCTGAGGGAGGTCAGTCGCCAAGCAGAGATTGAAATCACATTTGTATTTACATTATTACTTTTCTACAGCTTGGTTCCTTGCAGGGTTTCACACTATTTAGTCTGGATTGAATCCTTGAATTACTTTACTTTGTCTACCAAGGCTTTCAAAGAACTTGATAAACTTGTTCTAATTAGCCAACATATTCATCCATGATGTCCGTATACCAGGTCTAAAAATAAAACATTTCTTAATGCACACAGGACATGGAAGGCAATCTACACATTTTCAAGTGTAGACTTTGCTTGTGACTCTTTTGTGAGGAATAGTCATTGTTACTTTAGGAAAACCCTGAGTTTATCCAACTCTTGTTAGAATTGGATAAGTGTAAAAACCTACAATAGAATGCAAGTGTGAGAGCCAAGTCCTCTGGTAAAATAAACTCATATTATTCTTTATATATGTCTGGTCATTGTATTAATAAAATCAGTTTGTTTTGGCTGAAACACATGGTTGGCCTTTACAATAGATGTGAAAATGGGCTTATAGATCATTGCTCTTTATTGTGAATATTAGGTTGTATTTATTGCCAAACTCTTTCAACAGCTTCTAAGCAGTGAATTTCAGTGTGTTGTTGTTGTTCTCCAAGCACAAGCAGCTACTTCAGTTTTACCACATTCATCTCCCACACACTGATGAACCATATGGAGACAGCAGGAACTGCAGTAGAACCAGAGGGAGTAGTTAGGACAGACACTCTGATTCATTCATTCTGATTCTCACTGTTGTCAGTGAGTAAAGGTCATTGAATTTTTCTTCTGATGAATAAAATGGACAATTTTCTCAGTGCAATGGCTTACTTTTGGAAGAGCAGCCCTAAAGACTTTACTACTGATCAGTAAAGTCTAAACTGCTTTCTGTGTATTTTTTTAATTAAACTTTTATTTTAGATTGAATAAAAATGTGCAGGTTTATTGTGTGATACTGAGTTTTGGGGTATGATTGAAGCCATCACTAAGGTAGTGAGCATCTCACCTTCTCCCTCTCTTCACTCTGTTACAGAGAACAGACCCTCCCAGTCTTCAGTGCACTCTAAATACTGGCTAATTCTGGCCAATGGAAGGCATCTGTGGAAGAGAAAAGCCTCAGGTCATGTGCTATCTGTCTTTATTCACTGTGACATATTAGGTAATGGTCACAGCCACTCACCATGGCCCCAGTTTTTAATAACATGACCCTGCTTTTGTGTTCCAGTAACTTGTGTTGTTTTCCCAGTCCTAAGTATGATAGAAACTTCCTGCTGCTGCTAATCTCTGGGTTCCATTTAAAATCCTTCCATCACGTGAATACTATGCTGTGTACTAAATTTTTCCATAATTAAATACTTAGAATTATTTTTGCCTACTTATTTTGCCCCTTAGTGATATGTTTTAAAAACACTTAAAATGTGTTACAATATATTTAGAAAAGGTAGGGAATGACATTTTTACTTTCATCAGCATTTATGCTAGCATTTATGGAGCAATGCTATCTAAAGTATTTTTAGTAATTTAAACGTTATATAATACATATGCTTTTGATTCCTTTGTTACTATGTAAATAAATATATTTGTGATATTCAGTAAATAGTATTGAATACATGTTTCATGTATATAATATAAAGTTATGATTTTTTTTAAACAGTACATCATATTTGCTTGTTGGCTTTATGATAACTTAGAAATAATATTCTGGATTAACTGTGTGACTCATGAGAGAGTTTGTGCAACTATGTTTCCAAATTTACTTGATTTTCAAGACTTACACTAGAACTGTGCGAACAAGGTAATAAGTAAGCATATGTATTAATACCACCTTTGGTCAACTCTTGGGTAGCCCCAGTGTTGGCCTCCCGCTTTGGCCTCCCAAAGTGCTGGGATTACAGGCATGAGCCACCGCAGCCAGCCAACATAGAGATAATCTTAAAGACTCCATAAAAAAGAAAAAAAGTGTTAAAGCTGATAAACACATTCAAAATTGAGAATTACAAAATTAGCATACAAATAGTATTCTTGTTTCTATACACCAGTGACAAACTATTAACTGAAAAACAAATTAATGAAGTAATTCATTTTATAATGGTATCACTGGGCCCCAGTGGTAGTGTAGGAATTAACATAATTTTTCCTATTAAAAGTATTGGATTTGTTTTGAGAGACCACAGTTAAAAATCATTGACATACAAAGTTTAAAAGTTGTTAGATTAAAAAATTTTTAATGCATTTCAAGTGGTTTTATAGAAAAATAATTATCTAACTTGGTTTATGTTGATAGGTTGTTTTCTTGGATAAGAGCTAGACAAAGAGAAAGGGAGAGTAGTGATAAATGTCCAGGTTTTCAAGTTGAAAAGTAACAATCAGTGTATTATAACAGATGGATGTGATGTCAGATTACAAATGCTGAAAATGTTATATGTAATCATGTAGCCAGAGTAATTATACAAGGTAAAGAATGGAAAGGCATCCAAATAGGAACGAGGCTGGAGTGCAGCGGCACCATCTCAGCTCACTGCAACCTCCACCTTCCAGGTTCAAGTGATTTTCCTGCCTCAGCTTCCCAAGTAGCTGGGACTACAGGCGTGTGCCACCATGCCTGGCTAATTTTTGTATTTTTTAAGTAGAGACAGGGTTTCACTGTATTGGCCAGGCTGGTCTCGACCTCCTGATCTCATGATCCACCCGCTTTGGCCTCCCAAAGTGCTGGGATTACAGGCATGAGCCACCGCAGCCAGCCAACATAGAGATAATCTTAAAGACTCCATAAAAAAGAAGAAAAGTGTTAAAGCTGATAAACACATTCAAAATTGAGAATTACAAAATTAGCATACAAATAGTATTCTTGTTTCTATACACCAGTGACAAACTATTAACTGAAAAACAAATTAATGAAGTAATTCATTTTATAATAGTATCATAACAAATATAAGTAAATAAAAGACTAAGGAGTAATTTTAATGAAGGATGTGAAATATTTGTATACTGAAAATTTATAGCCTTGTTGAAAGAAATTGAAAGTGACATAAGTAGAAAAACATCCCATATTTATGGATTTGAAAAATTAATATTGTCAAAATTTCAATGCTAACAAAAGCAATCTGCAGATTAAATGCAATCACTATCAAAATCCAATGCCATTCTTCACAGAAATAGAAAAATTAGTCCTAAAATCTGAGTGGAACCACAAAAGACGCTGAAAAACCAAAGCAATCTTGAGCAAAAAGAACAAAGCCAGAGGCATCAGACTACTTGATTTCAAACAATATTAAAAAGTTATAGTACTTAAAACAGCATAGCACTGGCATAAAAACAGACACCTAGACCAGTGTGAAGGAATATAGAACCTATAAATAAATCCATGTGTCTGTGGTCAATTGATTTTTGGTAAAAGGACAAAGAATACACAATGGGGAAAGAAAATTCTCTTTAATAAATAATGTAGAGAAAAACTGACTATTCACATACAGAAGAATAAAATTGGATCATTATTTCACTCTTTATACCAACATCAATTAGCAATGGATGAAAGACTTAAATATAAACCTGAAACTGTAAAACCACTACAAGCAGAGATAGGAGAAAACCATATGACAATGGCCTCAGCTATGATTTTCTACAGATGACCCCAAAAGTACAGGCAACAAAAGCAAAAATACACAAACGAGATTCCATAAAACTAAGAAGCTTCTCTGCACAGCAAAAGGAACAGTAATAGAGTGAAGAGACAACCCACAAATGGGAAGAGAATGTTTTTAAACCATACCTCAGGTAAGGGGTTCATACCAATAATATGTAAGGAACTCAACCCAGAAATGAGAAAACAAGCTTACTAAAAAATAAGTAAAGGACTTGAATAGACATTTTCTAAAAACAGACATACAGAAGGCCAGATTTTTATTAAAAATGTTGATAAAAAACATCAACATTCCCAATTATTAGAGAAATAGAAGTCAAAACCACGAAGATATTACCTCATAGATGTTACTGAGGTTATTATAAAAAGATGTGGCCGGGCACGGTGGCTCACACCTGAAATCCCAGCACTTTGGGAGTCCAAGGCAGGTGGATTGCCTGAGGTCAGGAGTTCCAGACCAGCCTGGCCAACATGGTGAATCCCCGTCTCTACTAAAAATACAAAAAATTAGCTGGGCGTGGTGGCACGCACCTGTAATTCCAGCTACTCGGGAGGGTGAGGCAGAAGAATCGCTTGAACCTGGGAGGTAGAGGTTGCAGTGAGCCAAGATCGTGCCACTGCACTCCAGCCTGGGTGACAGAGCAAGACTTCATCTCAGTAAATAAATAAATAAAAAAATTAAAAAATGATGGAATATAACTGTTGATTAGAATGTGGAGAAAACCATTGTATACTGTTGGTCAGAATTGAAATTATTACCACCAACTTGGAAAATAGTATGAAGCTTTCTCAAGAATTTATAAATATATTCACATTATGATTCATCAGTGCATCTTCTGGATATATGTCTAAAGAACTTAAAATCAGTATGTCAAAGAGACAACTGCAATTTCATGTTCATTGCAGAGTTATTCATAATAGCTGTGATTTAGAAACAACCTAAGTGTTTATCAACTGAAGAATGGATAAAAAATATGTGAAAAATTGAAACCCTTATACACAGCTGACGAGACTTTAAAACAGTCTGGCAGTTCTTCAAAAGGATAAATACAGAATTACCACATGACTCAGTAAATTAACTCCTGTGTATACACCAAAAAGAAATTAAAACAAATGCCTACACAAAAAGTAGCATACAAGTATTTGTAGCAACAAGAAGTAGGAAATAACAGCAATGTCCATGAATTGCGGAGTGGATTAATAAAATGTGGTCTGTCCATAAAATATAATAGTATTTGGCAATAAAAAAGGAAAAAGGTATTAATACATGCTCCAAAAAGGATGAACATTGAAAACAGAAGTGAAAGCAGTGAGTCACATGTAACTATATATTATTATGATTCCATTTACATGAGATGTCCAGAACAGGCAAATCCTTAGTTAGGAAGTAGATGGATGGTTGCCTAGGGCTGGGAGGGGTTTAAAGGAAGAGTGGGGAAAATGGGGAAAGATTGCTAATGGGTGCAAGGTTTCTTTTAAGGAGCATAAAAATGTTCTAAAATTACATTGTGATTGTTTATCCACCTAGTTAATACTCTAAAAAATTAAAGTTTACACTTTAAAAGAGTGAATTAAATAATATATAAATTATATCTCAATGAACCTGTGAAAAATAAAAAAATATGTGATATGCTTACATAGATATACAAAAACTTCTGTTTATTGTATTTTTTTATTTCCATAGGTTTTTGGGGAACAGGTGGTGTTTGATTATATGAGTAAGTTCTTTAGAGGTGGTTAGTGAGATTTTGGTGCACCCAACACCTGAGCAGAATACGCTGTATCCAGTTTGTAGTCTTTTATTCCTCACCCGCTTCCCACCCTTTCCCCCAAGTCCCCAAAGCCCATTGTAGTATTTTAATGCCTTTGCATCCTCATAGCTTAGCTCCCACTTGCGGGTGAGAGCATACTGTGTTTGGTTTTCCATTCTTAAGTTACTTAGAATAGTAGTCTCTGATGTCATCTTGCTGTGAATGCCATTATTTTTTTCCTTTTTATGGCTGAATAGTATTCCATGGTGGGTGGGTGGGGGTGTGTGTGTGTATACTATATCTATAATATATATCATAATATCTTAATCTCATTGATTGATGGGCATTTGGCTGGTTAAATATTTTTGCAGTTGTGAATTGTGCTGCTGTAAACATGTGTGTACAAGTATCTTTTTCATATAATGACTTCTTTTCCTCTGGTAGATAACTCAGTAATGGAATTGCTGGATTAAATGGTAGTTCTACTCCTAGTTCTTTAAGAAATTTCCACGCAGTTTACCGTAGTGGTTGTACTAGTTTACATTTCCACCAGCGGTGTAAAAGTGTTATTTTTTCACCATATCCCCACCCACATTTATTATTTTTTGATGTTTTGATTATGGCCATTCTTGCCAGGAGTAAGGTGGCATGGCATTGTGGTTTTGATTTGCATTTCCCTGATCATTAGTGATGATGAGCATTTTTTCATGTTTGTTGGCCATTTTTATATCTTCTTTTGAGAATTGTCTATTTAAGTCCTTATCCCATTATTTGAAGGGATTGGTTTTTTTTCTGCTGAGTTCTTTGTAGATTCTGGATATTAGTCCTTTGTCAGATGTATAGATTGTGAAGATTTTCTCCCATTCTGTGGGTTGTCTGTTTACTCTGCTAATTGTTTCTTTTGCTGTGCAGAAACTTTTTGGTTTAATTAAGTCTCACCTGTTTATCTTCATTTTGTTGTCACACTTGCTTTTGGCTTCTTGGTCATGAAGTCTCTGCCTAAGCCAATGTGTAGAAGGGGTTTTCCAATGTTACCTTGTAGAATTTTTATGGTTTCAGGTCTCAGATTTAAGTTGACTTTTGTATAAGGTAAGAGATGGGGATCCAGTTTCATTTCTTGGGATGTAGCTTGCCAATTATCCAAGCACCATATGTTGAGTAGATTGTCCTTTCCCGACTTTATGTTTTTGTTTGCTTTGTCAAAGATCAGTTGACTGTAAGTATTTGGGTTTATTTCTGGGTTCTCTATTCTGTTTCATTGGTCTATGTGCCTATTTTTATACCAGTATCATGCTGTTTTGCTGACTATGGCCTTGTAGTATAGATTGAAGCCAGGTAATGTAATGCCTCCAGATTTGTTCTTTCCGCTTAGTCTTGCTTTGGCTATGCGGGCTCTTTTTTGGTTCCATATGAATTTTCAAATTATCTTTTTTAGTTCTGTGAAGGATGATGGTGATACTTTGATGGAAATTGCTTTGAATTTATAAATTGCTTTTGATGTTATGGTCATTTTTGCAATATTGATTTTACCCATCCATGAGCATGAGAGGTGTTTCCATTTACGTCATCTGTGATTTCTTTCAGCAGTGTTTTGTAGTTTTCCTTGTAGAGGTCTTTTACTTCCTTGTTAGGTATATTCCAAAGTATTTTATTTTATTTTTTTGCAGCTATTGTAAAAGGGGTTGAATTCTTGATCTGATTCTCAGCTTGCACATTATTGGTGTATAGCAGATCTTTTGATTTGGGTACATTAATTTTGTGTCCTGAATTTTTGCTGAAATTATTTATCAGTTTTAGGAGCTTTTTGGAGGAGTCTTTAGGGTTTTCTAGGTATACAATCCATATCATCAGCAAACAGAGACAATTTGACTTCCTCTTTACCGATCTGGATGCCCTTTATTTCTTTCTCTCATTCGATTGCTCTGGCTGGGATTGTCAGTGCTATGTTGAATAGAAGTGGTGAGAGTGGGCATCCTTGTATTTATTGTTGCAGTTCTCAGAGGAAATGCTTCTAACTTTTCCCCATTTAGTATTATGTTGGCTGTGGGCTTGTCATAGGTGGTTTTTATTACCTTAAGGTATGTCCCTTCTATGCCTGTTTTGCTGAGGGTTTTAATTATAAACGGATGCTGGATTTTGTCAAATGCCTTTTCTGTGTCTGTTGAGATGCTTATGTGACTTTGCTTTTAATTCTGTTTATGTGATTATCACATTTATTGACTTGCCTGTGTTAGACCGGAAGAGCTGGGGTGTTCTCAGGAGCCACCGTGTGCCGCGGCAGCTTCGGGATAACTTGAGGCTGCATCCTGGGGAAGAAACACCTCCTGTCCGTGGCGCTGATGGCTGAGGACAGAGCTTCAGTGTGGCTTCTCTGCGACTGGCTTCTTCGGGGAGTTCTTCCTTCATAGTGAGTACAGAAGCTTTCGTTTTCTGGAATGTTCTACGTAGTCCTGCTGGGTTCTCCTTTTCTTTTTTCTCTTTCCATCTTAGTATGAATTTTACAGTAGTACTCATTCCCTGAGGGCTTTTGAGGTTGGAAAGAGTAGGGGGCTTTAGGGCTGTTTCTGAGGGAGACTCCCCTTGTAGATGGAGAGAGAGGAAAGCTCTGGCTGTGGGAGGAGGGGGAAGCCCGGCCCAGGTGGGGTTTTGGGGCCAGGCTCCAGTTAGGCTGCCTTGCATCCACGCCTCAGGTGGAAGGAAAGGATCCCAGCCCCCTCTAGGGTTTGCTGATTTTTTTAATTGTTTTTATTTTTTTGGAGATAGGGTCTGGCCCTGTTGCCCATGCTGGAGTGCAGTGTCAGATCTCAGCTCACTGCAGCCTCCACTTTCTGGGCTCAAGGGATTCTCCAGCCTCAGCCTCCCCAGTAGCTGGGCCTGTGCCACCATGCCCGCTATTTTTTTTTTTTTTTTGTATTTTTGGTAGCCACGGGGTTTCACCATGTTGCCCATTTTGAGCTCTCGAACTTCTGAGCTCAAAGCAATCCTCCTGCTTCGGCTTCCCTAAGTGCTGGGATTACAGGTGTGAACTACTGTTCCCGGTCTGCTGAATTTTGTTTTTCATGTATTTTTGATAGAGACAGGGTTTCACCATGGTGCCCAGGCTGGTCTCAAACTTCTGAGCTTAAAGCAATCCTCTCACCTTGGCTTCCCAAAGTGCCGGGATTACAGGCATGAACTACTGCACGTGGTCTACTGAATTTTTACATTTGTTTCCCAGCCGTCGGGACACAGGGGTCACTTTTCTCAACACCCTCCCGCCCCCCATCCCCGCCCCGGCAGCATCTGCCTAATTCTGTCCCTCTAGTCAGGGCCACCTGACTGGGGGAAGCTCCCTTCCGTGTGGTTTAATGTCTTCTTTGCAGAAATGTGTATTCAGGTTCCCTGCTCGGTTTTGGATGGATCATTTTAGTACTGTTAGTGTGTGGCATATTTTCTGTAACAACCCCTTAGCTGATAGGTGATTCCTCAAAACGTTCTCCCAGCCTTTCTCTTTGGGCTCATTGTTTCCTTTTCCTTGCAAAAACTTCACTTTGAGGTAGCCATGCGTGTTTTTTTATGGCCAAGCATTATGGTTCATGCCTGTAATCCAAGCACTTTGGGAGGCCAAGGTGGGCAGATCACTTGAGCCAAAGAATTTGAGACCAGCCTAGGCAACATGGCAAAACTTCTTCTCTACAAAAAAATATGAAAAATTAGCCAGGCGTGGTGGTGTGTGCCTGTAGTTCCAGCTATTCAGGAGGCAGAGGTGGGAGGATCACTTGTGCTGGAGAGGTCAAGGCTGCAGTGAGCCATGATCATGCCACTGCACTCCAGCCTGAGTGACAGAGTCCCTGTCTCAAAAAAATTTTTTTAATCTCTTTAGTAACATTCATTTCAATAAGAGTGAAATGACATCTGAGTTTGGTTTTGAAGTACTTTTTTTTGATGAATAGTGATGTTGAGGACCTTTTCTCTGACCTGTTAGTTTTATGTCATCTTTGTAGATATCTCTATTCAAGTTCTGTGCTCAATATGAGTTTGGATATGTATTTTATGCTATTTAGTATTGCTTTTTTCTGTGTACATGTTTGGTAACAACAATTTGTCACTTCTACGATTCCCTCAAATTTCCTAACAATTTTTTTTGAGACAGAGTCTCATTCTCTTACCCAGGCTGGAGCACAGCGGCATATCAGGGATTGTGAGTCCTCCAACTTAGTTTCTATTTCTCAGGGTTCCTTAGACATTCAGGGCCATTTCCATGTGATCATTAGCATTGTGTATTCACATTTCTTAAATTTCTGTGCATAATAAAGTATATAATTAGAGAGTCTGCTGGGACTGTTTTTCCTCTGGGACATTTTGGTAAATGTATATTTTTAGTAATGATCAAATCAGGGTACTTGCTCTATCTGTTCTCTCATACAGGTATTATTTCTCTGTTGTGATAACATTCAAATTGCTCCCTTCCAGCTTTTTTGAAAAATGTCCTATTTTGTTAACCAGAGTCACCCAGCTGTGGTATAGAACACAAGAATGTATTTGTCCCAACTAACTGCAACTTTGTTTCCATAACCAATCCTTCCATCTCCTCCTTCCCCTCTCCTCAGAAAACCACTACTGTACCTTTTACTTAATGAAGGCAAAGTTTTTGGATTCCATATAAGTGAGATGAATTTGCTTGTTTTTCTATGCCAGGCTTATTTTATTTAACAATATATTTTTCAGGTTCATCCATATGGCTCCAGAGGAAAATTATATTATTTTGTTATGGATGAAGAGTATTACGTTGTGCAGATATACTGCAGTGTCTTCATCTCTTGATGTGTGATTGGGTAGGTAGGTTGATTCCATATCTCCTATATTGTGAATAGCGCTTCTTTTTTTTTTTTTTTTTTTTTTGAGACGGAGTCTCGCTCTGTCGCCCAGGTCGGACTGCGGACTGCAGTGGCGCAATCTCGGCTCACTGCAAGCTCCGTGCGCTTCTTAAAGCATGGGAAGGCAGATAGTTTTTTTACGGAACCAGCTGCCTTTGCTTTAAATGCATACCCAGTGTGAGAAACTCCCAAGTTTTTTTCACAGTATATACACCAACTTACATCAACATCAGTAGCATATACGAGTTTCCCTTTCTGTAAGTCTACACAGGTTGCTGCCATCCAAAATTTTTATTGCTGTTTTGGTAATACTCATTCTCAGTGTAGTTTGATGGCATCTGATATCAGAGTGTGATTCTGACTTACATGTTTGGAGTGATTAGTGATGTGGAGAATCTTTAGTTTCACCTGTGAATCAGTTTCATGTCCTTTGCAGAAGTGGTTGCGCAGGTCCGTTGCATATTTTTAGCTTGTGTATTTTTTAAAAATCTTTTCCCCACTTAGTAGCTTTAGTGTTTGAGTATGTTAGATAGCAACCCCTTCCAAAATTACGATTTTCCACAGTTTTCCCCCAGTCATCCTGTCCGCCAAGGTAGAATACTTTCTCTTTGGGATCATGTTTTCTCCCCCATGCAGAAGCTCTAAAGCGTTGGTCTCACAGGTTTATATTTGCTTTTGTCAGCATGGATTTCTGTGTCTCATGAGAGAGACAGAGAGAGAGAAAAAAAGAGATGGCAAAGTCATTGTATTTTCTATGGGTATTTTCACCCTAAGCGAGAACATGTGGTATTTGGTTTTCTGTTCTTTCCTTAGTTTGCTTAGCATAGTGGCCTGCAGTTTCATCCTTCTTGCTGCTGAGAGCACGAATTTTTTTTTAAGCTGTGTAGGATTTTGCGGTATCTATGTACAACACTTTAAAACATCTAATCAACTGTTAAGGGGGGACATAGGTCGATTTTATTTTATTTTTTCATGTGAATAGCACTTCCAAGAACACATCCATGCCTGTGTCATTTTGAAAGAAGGATTTATGATTTATTTTCCTTTGTGTAGATACCCAGTTATGCGATTGCTCATTTGGATGGTATTTCTAAGTTCTTTGAGGAACTTCCAAGCTACTTCTTATAGTGGGAGACTAGTTTTTATTCCTACCAAGAGTGTAGCAGTGTTTGCTTTCCTCTGCTGCCTTGCCACCATGTAAATGCTTGGACTTAGGACAAATGGCCATTCTGACCGACTTGAGATGGTATCTCAGTGTGCGTGTGAGTTGCATTTCTCTGATGATGAGTGATGTTGATGTTTTTTTCTTGTCTATTGGTCACTTGTACGTCTTTTTTTTTTTACAAGTATGTCTCCATGTCTTTTTGCCCATTGTTTGATTATTTGTTTTTCTGCCTCTTGATTTTTTTAAGGTCATGTTAGAGTCTGGCTATTAGACCTTGGTCAGAAGCGTAGTTTGGGAACATTTTCTCCCATCCTGTAGGCTATGTTTTTACTGTGCTGGTGATTTATTTTGCTATCTGGCAGTGTTTTAGTTTCTTAGGCCCAACTTGTCCATTTTGGTTTTTCTTGCTGTTGTTTTTAGGGACCAAGTCATCTAAATTCTTTACCAAAGCCTGTGTTGAGAAAGGTATTTCCTAGTTTTTCTTGTAGGACTTGTATAGTTTGCGGTCTTCTGCTGAAATCTTTCATTCACCTTGAGTTAGTTTTTGCATCTTGTGAGAGGTGAGGCTCCAGTGTTGTTCATCTGCAAGTGGCTAGACACTATCCCAGTGCCTTTCATCGCACAGTGAGCCCTTTCCACGTCTGAATTTTGGTGTTTCAAAGGTCAGATGGTTGCAGGTATGTGGGTTGCTTCTGGGTTTCCTATTCTGTCTAGGTGGAGGTGGGTCTGTAGCTTTTCTGTGAAATTTGAAATTGGAGATCGTGGTCCATCTGACATCGTCTGGATCTCCCAGCATGGCTTTGGAGTTTCAGAGCATTTCGTGGTCCCATGGGAATTTTAGCATTCATTGTTTCTTCACATTGCTTTCAAAAAACAAAATCGACCCATCCTAAAGGTGTACAAGTAGAGGGTAGAGTGGAATATTTGGATCCATGCATGCATCAGATAGTGATGAAATCAGGGTATATAGTGTCATTTTTTGCCTTGTAGAGTGTTCCTGTCTTTGAGTTGAGGAGAGCCAGAACTCTTCTTTCTGGCTGCCTTGAAAACTATCCTCTGGTAAAGTTTTCTCTAGTCACCCTGCTGAGGAATAGAACAGCAGGTTTCATTCCTCTTACGCAGCATGTCACTTTGTACCTGTTTCCTATCCCCACCCGTGCCCAGCCTTCTGTTCCAACCCTGGCAAGCACTGTGGTGCTTTGTAGGTCTATGTGAGATTAAAGGGTCTTAGATTCCCCATGAGTGAGGTAATGTGAGGTTTGTCTTTCTCTGCTTAGTATTTCATTTACCATAATGTGTGTTTCATTACCTAGTGTGTTTCATTTACCAGGTTCCACCATGTTGCCGCAGATGACATGATTTCAGTACCTGTGTCTGGCTGAAAAGTGTTTGTTTGTGAATGGATATTGTGGTTTCTGGATCTCATCCTCTGTGGGTGGACAGGTAGGTTGATTCCTTATCCTGGCTATTGCGACTGGTTCCACAGGCAGCATGGGAAGGCAGATGTGTCTTCTGTGTACTGATGACGTATGCTACCAGTGCACACCCAGTGGTAGCGCGGCTCAGTGAAATGGTCGTTGTATTTTTAGTTTTTAGAGGAACCTCCAGGTGGCCTCTGTAGTGTGCGCACTAATTTACCTTGTCAACAGTTGTGGACAAGAGAGCTCTCCTCTCTGGAAATTCACAGCAACATTTGTGGTTTCCCTTCTTTTAAGATATATGAAGTTCTTTGTAATACTCTTTCCTTTGAGAGGGACACGATATCTGAGTCTTGTTCTGATTTTCATTTTTCTTATGATTAGTGATATTAACTACTAGGTGTTAAGTACATTTGTTTTCAGTTTTAGGTGTTCTTTGCAGAAAAGACTCTTTGGTTTCTTTGCCCAATTTTGGTTTGCTAATTACCTTCTCTTTTCTGCTAGTTAGTAGTGTTAGTTACTTACACCTTTTCTAAAAAAAATCTCCTTAGCTGTGTTTTCCCCTATACCTTTCTTATCATCCGTTGGATGTTTGTTTCTTTTCATTCATTGTTTTCATTCTTTCTTTCCCCCAAGCCATATAGTCTGATGAGTCTGATGCAGATTCAGGGGTGTGCAGTGTTGTGGTTTTCCACTACATTGGTTACTGATGAAATAAAGGACATTCACTAGCATACCAATCTATTGTGAGTTTTGCTTGTTTGTTGTTTGTATTTTCTTTCCCCCATATTGTTTTCATTTTCCTTTTTGCAAATTGTAAGCATAGATCCAGGTTGGCCCAGGTATCCACACACCATATACTTTCTTCTCAGAGAGTGATAGTTTCAAGTTTTGGGTATAGGTCTTTCATTCATGTTGAATAGATGATTGTGAATTTCACACAATAAGGACCCTATGTTGTTATTTTGCCTAGGGATATCCAGTTCTCAGAACGCTGTATTGGACAGACTCTCCCTTCTTGTGGTGACGTTTGTGGTTCTTTCTAAACATGTGCTTAGGCTATACCAATTTGAACTTACTCCTAGGCACCTTCATTGTGTCCCCTGGTCTGTGTTTCTCTGCTAAGGCCTATCACAAATCATCTGGGTAACTAAAGCTTTGGGAAGTAATTTAAAGTGGAAGCATGTGATGGCTCCACCGAGTTTGTGTGTGTAGGAATCTGGGTAACTAAAGCTTTGGGAAGTAGGTTAAAGTGGAAGAGTGTGATGGCTCCACCGACTGTGTGTGTAGGAACTGCTTTGGGAGTGCGCGGCACTTCATTGTCCCACAGGACTTTCAGAAATATGTTGTGATCCTATTTGAAAACAAAAATTTCACATGGTCTATGCTTTTACTTTAAGGGCGCAAGGGACCATTTGACATATGGATCAGTGCTGTTGTGATCAAATTACAGGACCTCGTGTCTCTGTTTCAGGCTATAGTGAGGATTTCTTGGTGGAGAGAGTATCCCGATCACCCCTTCCCGCTATATTGAATATCATGCTAGGAGACTGTTAAGCCTAGTCACCCTGCTAAGCTGTAGAACACCAGAATTCTTGCCATTCATCTGAGCGTCACTTTGTAGCTGTTTCCAAGCCTCCCCTCAGCCTCTGGTACCCACTATTGACGTTGCTCCTTTGTGAGATGCATTTCATTAGATTCCATGCGCGTGAGATCGTGCTGTGTTTGTGTTTGTCTTCCTCTGCCTGGCTCATTTCCTTTGACTTAATGTCCTTCAGCTTTCTCCACCTTGCTGGAAGTGACCTGCTGTCCAGAAGTTTGATGGCTGAGGAGTATACCATCGTGCATGCATCTTTCATTTCCTGCATTTCTTCCTCCCTGGATGGACAGGTAGGTTACTTCCATACCCTGGTTATTGTCCGGAGTACTTCATCAAACACGGGAAGGCAAATATCTCCTTAAGTTACAAGGTTCCTTGGCTTTGCTGGTATACCCAATGTTGGGATGGCTACGGGAACTGGTAGTTGTATTGTTGTTTCAGAAACCTCCTGCTGTCTCTCCCAGTGGGTATACAAATTTGCATTCCTACCAATAGTGTGTGAGAGTTTCTCTGTCTGCAAATCTACACTGCCCTTATCTTCAAAAGGTTTTATTGCTGTTCCTGGTCATACTCGTTCTCTGGGGAGTTTGGCAGTATCTGAGTGTGGTTGGGATTTGCATTTAGGGGATGATTACTGATGTGGAGGAACTTCTATTACCCGCGAGTCTGTTGCAGGTTTTTTCAGAAATGCCTATGCCAGTCTTTTGGGCAATTTTAGCATGTGTATTGGTTTTTGTGTTTTTGTCCACTTGGGACCATTAGTTTCTTGAATATATCAGATAAGAAGCCCTTCCAGATCCACAGTTTTCCATAATTTTCTCCCAGTCTGTGGGATGTCTTCTGTTGGGTTCACTGTTTTCTCTCCAGTGTTGAAGCTATGTGAAGCTCTGAAGTTGTCCTTAGTCTCACATGGTCACATTAGCTTTTGTTAGCGGTGATTTCTGTGTCCCTTTGAGAAGAAAAGCAAGATGGCGAAGCCATTGTATGGTCTATGGGTATTTGATTCCTATGTGTTTTCTGTTTGTGGCTTAGGTGCACAGGTTCAAGTTTTCCCACACTAGACATGCACCCTATGTGTTTTCCTTGGAGGTTTTGGTTTCACAATTGCCCTTTAGTGTTCAGTGGATTTTGTGTCGCTTTTTGTGTCTTGTGTAAGGGAAGGGTTTATTTCAGTCCTTTGCATGTGACCCCCCAGTTTCTTCAACCATTGTGCTTTTGGTGTGCTTTTGGGGGAAAAGCAAGAATCCTATGGATTCAGTGTTTATAATTGTGGGCTGATTATTTGGCTCCTTCGTTGTGTCCATTTGGTTATCTTTCTGTGTTCATGCCACTAATGGATGGATTGGGCCACTGTAGGCTTTTTCTTTCGTTTTGTGTGTTTTTTTGTATTTTCTTCCTTTTTTTCTATTTCTATTTCCAAAACTGGGTTTTCTAAAATGATAGCTACTTTTATTGTGATCGAGGGGTGGACGCCTGCAGGTTCATTTCACTACATGGCTATATAGCAGACTTTGTATGCTTGAGGTCCTAGCGTACCCATCACCCAGGCGGTGAACACAGCACCAGTTGGATCATTCTTCCTCCAAGGCTTCCTGTCTCCCTCCTTTTTCTGTCTGGTAGTACCCAGCATCTGTTGATTTCATCTTTACGTTCGTGTGTATTCGGTGTTGAGTTTCTGCCTGTAAGTGAAAACCTGCGGTGTTTGGTCTTCTGCTCTTGCCTGAGTTCGCTTAGCAGAGTGGCCTGCAGTTCTGTCTGTGTTGATGCTGTGGGCATGATTTTGTTTCTGTGTTTGATTTTCCTTGGTGGCTTCTTAGTATTCTGTGGTGTATAGGTATCACATTTAAAAACATCTCATTTTCTGTTGTTGGGCATCTAGGTCAGGTCCACGTCTTTATTCCTGTGAGTAGCACTCCCGTGAACATGCAAATGTCTGTGTCTTTTTGATAGACACATGTATTTTTCCCTTGGGTGGATACACAGGGTTGGATTGCTGGGTCGAAGGGTATCTCTGCTTCCTTTCCCTCTTTGTTGTTGTTGTTGAGAAATCTTGAAACTGCTCTCCACAGTTTGAGACCTAGTTTGCATTACCCCAAGAGTGTAGCTGTGTTTGCTTTTATCTACTGCTACACAAATATGTTTTGTGTTTGGACAAATGGCCATTCTGACTGGTGTGTGATGGCACTGGTACCTCATCTCTGATGATTAGGGATGTTGAGCATTTTCTCCTGTCTGTTGGTCTTTTTTAAGTCTTGTTTTGACTAGTGTGTTTGTGTCATTTGCCCATTTTTTACTTGTGTTATTTTTCTGCTTCTTGATTTAGGTAAGGTCCTCTAGATTCTGGCTTTAGAACTTGGTCAGATGCTTGGTTTGGGAACATTTTCTCCCATCATGTAGGCTGTGTGTTTACTGTGTTGGCAGTTGCTTTGCTGTCCAGCAGGTCTGTAGTTTCTTCGGCCAGACTTGTACTTTTTGTTTTTTCTTGCATTTCTTTTGGGTACTAAATTGTCTAAGTGGTTTGCAAAAGCCTATGTTGAGAAAGGTGTTTGATAGGTTGTCTGTTAGGACTTTTATATTTGAAGTCTTCTATTTCAATCTTTGGTTGATCTTGAGTTAATTTTCCATATGATGAGAAGCAGGGCTGCAGTGTTAATTCTCCTGCACATGGCTAGTCATGTATCTGAGCGCCATTCGTTGCATAGTGAGCCTTTTCTTTATTTCTTATTTCTGTGGTTTTGTCAAAGGTCAGATGGTTGTAGTTCTGCCAGGCTACTTCTGCATTTTCTAACTTGTCTAGGTGAAAGCTAGGTCATTTTTTTCTGTTATGATCTATTTTGATTTCTTGGGTTCAAGAACTGATAAATAAATTTTAGAAACTGAAGAACCCACTTACTTTCTCAAGGTTAGAAACCATCACCATCACCGTATTCTGTGATGTTATGGGCTTTATTGAGTTATATCTTTGCCCTTTTCCTTCAAGTCTCTCCTCTGGATTTATTTTGTGAAATTAGATTCTGAATCCCATTTTGTTGCATAAACTGTGCTTGAGCAAAAAAAAGTTTTTCTTTTTTTTTCTAAAAACATCCTTAGTATACATGGGGTGAAGAACAACAAACCTGTCTCCTCTTTCCACTAGTCACACCATTACACTCCTTTCCAGCCTCTTTGCTGCTACATGTGGCCATTCAAATGAGCCCTGGCTAAGTACATGTGGATAGAAGTTAATGTTCGCTTCTTGCAAGCCTGGCCTGTGATTCTGTGTTGTGATTTAGAACATAAAGAAGAAGTGAGACTTGCTGAATGAGACTCTTGAACGCTTCCTCTGACAAGCTCCAAGGCACACTGGTTGTCTTGCAGTGCTTTGGACAGCTACTCGTTTGTTGGACAATAATTTCCCAACATGGGGACAACCCAGAGCATTTTCCACTTCCATATTCTGCTTCAGTTGCTCATGGTTTTGATCGAAGCTAGACAGTGACTGAACCAGGAGGCTCAGACCCCAGGCCAGCGTGGAGTCCTGTGGTTGAAGACAGGCTGGACCATCAGAGGAAGAAAACAAGTAGCCCTTTTTTCTGGATTTTCACCTTCTCTGTTTTCAGGAAACCTGAAGCCAATTATGTTATGCAGGCATGACTGAAAAGAGATTATTTTGAGTTGTTTTGGTGGCACCAAGAAATGTGCCAATGTGACAGCCAAAAAAGCAGAAAGACCAAGGCATTGAGAGTGGGAGAGCCACTGATGATGCTGGGTCTGGTAGGCTTTTCGAGATCTCTCCCAGCCCCAAAACAGCCAAGCAACTCTGTCCTGGGTTGTGAGTGGGCTCAGCCGCCCCTGTGCACACCCATGCTTGGATTCTGGCACACATGGCACCCACAGGAGGCAGTTCCCCCTTCAGGAGACTGGTTGGCAGGACCCTGTCTCCACACGCAAAGACAGCAGGCAGAACCCACACGTCCTCTAGTTTTCCCAGTGTCACTCGCCCATGGGGGTTCACGATGAGACCCCACGGGTCCAACCTGCAGGCAGAGTTGCCACCCCAGCCTGAGGCAAAGTGGACCTTTTTCTGCCAGAGGGGTCTGCTTTCCCATTGGCCAAAATGGCCTCAAATGACAGGGACAGAACAAGGCACAAGTGTACCCATTAGAGTGTCTGAGCCCGCCTGGTGTCTGCTTCCACACATCTCCTGGGAGGTCCCAGCAGGCACCCAGGCCTGGGCCACAGCTCACCCCACATTCAGAGGTGGGTAGCACAGCTGCCCTATGCAGGCCTCAGGGAGGAAAGGGAGAAAGAGATGACAAAAGCAAGACACAAGAAATGCAGCAAAAGCACACAAACACACACACTGACACTCATCTGGGGCAGGCCATCCTCTCACCCATGACCAGCAGTGCAGGCAGCTGAGAGTTGGGCAGGAGGTGGTGCCACCATCCCCTGAGTTAGGGCCTGGATCCAAGGAAGAACATAGAGTCCCTAGAGTCAAGCGCCACTGACCTCAAGACCTGCAGTTTGCAGGGAGGGGATGCTGTGAGAAGAACTGTTCTAGGTCACAGCGAAATATGTCTGACTTCAAGAAAATATTTGAAACCAAAGTACATTTATTGAAGACTCTCAATGATATAAAAAAGCACAGTTTAGAAAATGTGAAAGCAATCACTGAACATATTCATATATTTTCATCTAAATTTAGTTACAGAGTTTTTCTAAAACTGGGATCAGGCCAGGTATGGTGGCTCAGGCCTGTAATCCTAGCACTTTGGGAGCTTGAGGCAGGAGGATCGCTTGAGGCCAAGAGTGGAGACCAGCCTGGGCAACATGGTGAGACCCCTCATCTCTACCAAAAATACAGAACTTGGCCAGTCATGGTAGCACACTCCTGTAGTCCCAGCTACACAGAAGGCTGAGGTGGGAGAATTGCTTGAGCCTGGGAGGTTGAGGCTGCAGTTAGACAAGACTGCACCACTGCATTCCAGCCTGGGTGACAGCCTGTCTCAAAAAATAATAACAGTAATTCCCGATTTTAATAATTATTCTAGAGTTGTGTAAAAGAATACCCTTAGGAAATGCACACTTTGGGGTAATTATGTCTATAGTTTACACTGAAATCATTAAAAGAGGTATGTAAACAGACAAAGCAAATGGGACAAAATGGAGCAAATTTCTACAAATTTTAGAAATTGGTGAGTCTTGGTTAAGAGAAGGAGGAGGATTCTTGGTACTATTCTTGTGACTTTTGAAATTATATAAAAATTTTAAGTTCCTAAAAACTGGCTGTAGAACTATACGCTCAGAGTGAGCATTTATTTTGTAAAATAGTGATTAAGACCAAATCTTTAATCAGTTAAAAATCTGATCAAATAAAAGTAGTAATATATTACGGTATTTTTGACATCAAATCATTGTAAAGGGGCAATAACTTACAAGTTTGTCTCCAAGCACAGTACATTTTTATGGATTTTTAAAGAATTCACGTTCCCGTAATTCTTACCTTCCTCCACCTAAAGTGACACAGTTTACCAAATAATTTGGAGTAATGGTTAGATTGGGTTAAATTCTCAAGGCTTCCTCTTTAAAAATCATACATTTAATTCGGGTAGGGAATGACTTGGCTTCTTTGTTCCTGTGAAAGAAGTATATAAAAATGCCCCCTTAGTAACTATGCAGTCAGCTTACTATCTCAGCAAAGTCATTGTGAACTTCTTCCCTGTCTCAGGTTGGAAATAGGAACCAATTCAAGGTAGATTAAAGACTTAGGGCCGGGCGCAGTGGCTCATATCTGTAATCCCAACACTTTGGGAGGCCGAGGTGGGTGGATCACGAGGTCAAGAGATCAATACCATCCTGGCCAACATGGCCCGTCTCTACTAAAAATACAAAAATTAGCTGTGCATGGTGGTGGGTGCCTGTAGTCCCAGCTACTCGGGAGGCAGGAGAACCACTTGAACCCGGGCGGCGGAGGTTGCAGTGAGCTGAGATTGCGCCACTGCACTCCAATCTGGTGACAGAGCCAGACTCCGTCTCAAAAAAAGAAAAAAAGACTTAAATGTCAGACCTGAAACTATAAAACTACTAGAAAAACATAGAGAAAACTCTTCAGAACATCGGCTTAGGCAGATAATTTATGGATGAAATCTCAAAAGCACAGGCACCAAAAGCAAAAATAGTTGAGTGGGCTATAACTTCTGCACAGCAAAAGAATCAACACAGTGAAGAGACAGCCCCTGGAGTGGGAGAAAATATTTGCAAATTACTCACCTGACAGGGAACTAATGTGCAGAGTATAGAAGGAACTCAGACTCCTCAAAAGTTAAAAAATCAATGCCATTAAAAATAGGCAAAGGACAGGAATAGAGACATACAAATGGCTAAGATGTATATGAGAAACTGCTCAACTTCATTGATCAGGGAAATGCAAATCAAAACCACAGTGGGATATTATCTCACCTCAGTTAGTATGGGTATTATTAAAAAGACAAAAAATAACAGATGCTGGTGAGAATGAAGAGAAAAGGAAACTCTGCTACACTGTCAGTAGGAATGCAAATCAGTACAAGCATGATGGAAACCAGTATAGAGAATTCGAAAAAAAGAAAAAATAGAACTACTCTATGGTCCAGCAATCTCACTGGGGGGGTATTTATCCAAAGGAAAGAGTTCAGTGTAACAAAGGGGAACTTGCATGCTCGTGTTTATCACAGCATTATTCACAATAGCAAAGACACAGGATCAATCCAAGTATTCATCAACAGATGAGTGGATAAGATGTGCTAAATAGACACAGTAAAATACTATTTGGCATAACAAATAAGGAAATCGTGTCATTTTCAGAAACATTTTCAGAGACAGAAGGACAAATACTACGGGTTCTCACTCACGTGAGAGCTAAAAAAACTTGATCCCATGGAAACAGAGAATACAATGGCAGTACCAGAGGCCAGGAAGACTGGGTATGTGGAAGGGAGAATGAAGAGAAGTTGGTTATTGGGTACAAACCTACATTTAGAAGAAATAGGCTGTAATGTTTGACAGCAGGCTGTGGTGGCTAAGTAATATTATTATGTGTAAATATTCAAAGTAACCAGAATACGCATTTTATGCATGTAACAAGTATTTGTATGTACCTTACAAAGAGGTAAAATATTATGTGTCAATAAGATGGAGAGGTTATGCCCAAGCCTCCAGAGAGGGGCTCCTTGGATCCGCACAGCACATCCTGCATACCTGCATCCACTGCTGCGCTATGCTCCTCGTATCTGAGCCTTCATGCTCTGGTCCCCGAGGCAGGTGGTGCTGACTCAGGTGGCCACACTGTGGACCTGGGTGTTGGTGGCCCAGAGGGTGGGTGCTAGAGGCTTCCTGCCCTTCTTGTTCCACTGGGACCAGACGGAGCCAGGCAGTGACAGGGTACCACCTTCTTGACCGGATCCTGGAACACAGGAGTGTCACCTGGCCCCTCGTCATCCCAACTTAGCACCCAAAGTACCCCCGGGCCGGGGCCATGGCTGGGCTGGAACTCAGGATGGTTAGGATGCAGCTCAAGCCTTGTGGCATCTCTGGGTTCTCTGTCCACTGAGGGTGCCCTGGGATGCAAAGCTGGTGGAAGAGGTTGGCATTTCCCCAGCCTATCCTCACTCATGCCAAGCACCCCAGACTGTCCTTCCTGGTCCATCGCCCTGGTCACATTCCCCAGGGCAGCTCAGGGCTTTGTTCAGGGATTTCCTGTAGTCAGGTGCCTGATAAGTGTTGAGACGTGCAAGGCCACGTGGGCAGATGGGGAGGTGCTCTTTGGTGAGCACCCCCAGCAGGGCAGTCCCCCACCCAGGTGTCTGCCTGCTCCTGCTTGTGTTTGACTGTTAACAGCGCTTCATGCCAGGGCCACCAGCTCCCATCCCTCCTGTCAGGAAGGACACAGACAGCAAGTGCCTGGGTGGTAAGGCATTTGCCAGGTAACACAGGTGGCAAGTGCCAGAGCTGGGATTTGAACCCGGATCATGGCACTCTGTGTGGGGCAATGGAAGGTTTGAGAACGCCCATGTAGGAAGGAAGGGCAGCCTGGCCCCACTGAGCCCAGCTGCTCCCTGTGACCCTGGAGGAAACTATTCAGCCCCCAGCTGGGGAGAGAGTCCAGGAGGCCAGGCTTCCCCTTGCTTCCTGGCTCAGGGGATCACAGAGGGACAAGGAAATTTAGTGTATGTGTCTTCTTTTTGTTTCATTCAAAGTTTAATTTAGTATCAAGCAAGAGGAGCTTTAGTATCAAGCTCCTCTTTTTAGTATCAAGCAAGGTAGCTTAACCCTTCATAAGACTTCAGTTACAAAATAGTACTTTTTTTTTTTTGCACTTGTGATTGGCTTCCCCTCTACTTCTTTTGGTAAGAGTAGGTTGGTGTCCAGGCTCAGAATCCATTTTTCCTCCCACACCAAAGCACCTGTGGTTTGGGTGAAGCAGCCTGGAGCCTGGCTGCATAAAGCTTTGCAGCAGGAGGGTCCCGGTAGGAGGGTCGAGGTGCTACTTGCCCTGGTCCAGCTCAGAGGCCAGCACCAGGGAGGCTCAGTGTCCTGTTCCCAGGATCTGCACATGGGGTTGCCTTTCTGCATCTCCCCATCAGAGTGGTAGGTGCTCCTCCAAGCCCCCTCATGCCGGCCTGGACACAGCGGTCTGCACCTTGACCCTATTGCATGCCAGTGGAGCAGAGCCCCCCAGGCCAGAAGCCCCACAGCTGTTGGCCCTGGCTTGGACACTGGGCAGGGGGCACCAGGGCAGGAGCTGGCTGCAATCCTGTGGCCCCAAATGCCCCCTCGCTGATGGCCTCATGTTCTGTTCTGGGTGCGGAGCAAAGAGGAGCAGGTGTCGAAGGCACCTCAGGCAGGCGCTGGGCTTAATGGGCGTCTTGTGCTCCATGATTTTGAGGCCATTTGCAGCCAGCTCCGCCAGCCCGAGCTCCGAGCTGCAGCTGCTGCCATGCACAACAGCACCGCCAGGAGTGTCCTGGGGGCTTTCTTCAGGGGAGGCTGTCAGCATCCTCAAGTTCCAGCTGCTTAGCCCCAGTCCTCCTTCAAGAGGCTTTTTTTTTTCACCAGCGGCTTCTCAATGGCCTGAAAGCTCAGCTGACTCCCACAAAGTTTGCCGGGAACACAGGGCTGTCAGTGACATTCCTGGCGCCAAGACTTAAGCACGTGGGTTGCACGCATCGGCCAGTGTCTGTGCCACGTACACTGACGCCCCCTGAGATGTGCACACCGCACGCGCACGTCGCACGCGCGGCAGCGGCTTGGCTGGCTTGTAACGGCTTGCACGCGCACGCCGCCCCCGCATAACCGTCAGACTGGCCTGTAACGGCTTGCAGGCGCACGCCGCACGCGCGTAACGGCTTGGCTGCCCTGTAACGGCTTGCACGTGCATGCTGCACGCGCGTTAACGGCTTGGCTGGCATGTAGCGGCTTGGCTTGGCTTTGCATTCTTTGCTTGGCTTGGCGTTGGTCGCTTGGATTGACGCTTCCTCCTTGGATTGACGTTTCCTCCTTGGATTGACGTTTCCTCTCTCGCGTTCCTTTGCTGGACTTGACCTTTTCTCTGCTGGGTTTGGCATTCCTTTGGGTGGGCTGGGTGTTTTCTCCGGGGGGGTTGGCCCTTCCTGGGGTGGGCGTGGGGTCGCCCCCAGGGGGCGTGGGCTTTCCCCGGGTGGGTGTGGGTTTTCCTGGGGTGGGGTGGGCTGTGCTGGGATCCCCTGCTGGGGTTGGCAGGGATTGACTTTTCTCTTCAAACAGATTGGAAACCCGGAGTTACCTGCTAGTTGGTGAAACTGGTTGGTAGAAGGGATCTGCTGGCTACTACTGGTTTCTCCTGGCTGTTAAAAGCAGATGGTGGCTGAGGTTGATTCAATGCCGGCTGCCTCTTCTGTGAAGAAGCCATTTGGTCTCAGGAGCAAGATGGGCAAGTGGTGCTGCCACTGCTTTCCCTGCTGCAGGGGGAGCGGCAAGAGCAACGTGGGCACTTCTGGAGACCGCAACGACTCCTCTGTGAAGACGCTTGGGAGCAAGAGGTGCAAGTGGTGCTGCCACTGCTTCCCCTGCTGCAGGGGGAGCGGCAAGAGCAACGTGGGCGCTTGGGGAGACTACGATGACAGCGCCTTCATGGATCCCAGGTACCACGTCCATGGAGAAGATCTGGACAAGCTCCACAGAGCTGCCTGGTGGGGTAAAGTCCCCAGAAAGGATCTCATCGTCATGCTCAGGGACACTGATGTGAACAAGAGGGACAAGCAAAAGAGGTAACCAGGCCTGGGCTGGGAGGAGGTGGGACTTGGGGGGATGATGGGGACATACCGTCCTGATGGGGGAGGAGGGGGACCTGGCTTTCTCGCCTCCGCAGGCCTCACACCACCCTGGATGTGGAAACCTCAGAGAGGTTAGGGCACAGGCCCCTTTATGAGCAGCAACACAAAAACAAAACTTTAGCTGATTTCCGATCAAGTTATAATTTGCCTCGTAGAACACTAATAGACTGTTTTAAAGTGATTTAACTTGCAAAATTATCGATGCAGCAGATTTTTTTAATCTACAGATTGTAAAACAATGTTCTATACCTTACAGAAAACTGTATATTGAGAACTAAGAACAAAGCCCCATAACACATCAACTTCAGGGCTAAATATTCTTCAAATAAAATCCAGTATGGATTTTATATCAATGTACACTATGTAAATATGTTCTTTACTGAGGAACCTTAGAAGGAAACTGAAATGGGAAGATGGTTCCTGTGCTTGAATAGGAAGATTGAATTTTCTTAAGATGTGAGCTTTTTGGCCGGGCGCGGTGGCTCATGCCTGTAATCCCAGCACTTTGGGAGTCCTAGACGGGCAGATCACGAGGACAGGAGATCGAGACCATCCTGGCTAATACGGTGAAACCCCATCTCTACTAAAAAATATAAAAACAATTAGCCGGGTGCGGTGGCAGGTGCCTGTAGTCCCAGCTACTCAGGAGGCTGAGGCAGGAGAATGGCATGAACCTGGGAGATGGAGCTTGCAGTGAGCTGAGATAGCGCCACTGCACTCCAGCCTGGGAGACAGAGTGAGACTCCATCTCAAAAAAAAAAAAACAAAAAAACCCAAAAAGATGTGAGCTTTTTTTATTTAGCACTTTTACCTAAGCCAAATAAAAATAGCAAAGTTTTAGCGTTTTTAAATTACACATGCTGTCTTTTATTATTGTGATAAACTAATTTTTTGTAACAGAATGGAAAAAGGATTGCTTTTCCAGATATCAAAATGTGCATGTTATTTATTTCCACAAATTGTTTACTAACAGCTGAAAAGACATCAATGAATAGAACAGAATAGGAAATTTAGAAATACCCAAATATATGTAAGAATTTAGCACTTGATAATGGTGATGTTTTGTATTATTTAAAAAAGATGGATTGTTCATAATTCATTTTTGGAGAAAACTAGCTAGATTTTTATGTCACAGAAATAAGAGTATAGATTAAAAATTTTAAATATACAGAAAGAGAAACATACCAGAAGAAAACACAAATGCCTATTTATATATGCAGATATATATATATATATACTTTTTTTTTTTTGATGGAGTCTCATTCTGTTGCCCAGGCTGGAGTGCAGTGGTGTGATCTTGGCTCACTGCAGCCTCTGCCTCCTAGGTTCAAGCAATTCTCTGCTTCAGCCTACTGAATAGCTGGGATTACAGGTGTCTGCCACCACGCCTGGCTAATTGTTTTGTATTTTTAGTAGAGATGTGGTTTCACCATCTTGGCCAGGCTGGTCTTGAATTCCTGTCCTCGTGATCCACCCACCTTGGTCTCCCAAAGTGCTGGGGTTACAGGCGTGAGCCACTGTGCCTGGCCTATATATGCAGTTATAATAAAATAAGCTCATTTTAAAATTGGGCAAAGTACTTTTTTGCATATCTACCAGTGACCTATGCACATAGGAAAAGATAACGTTCCTGGTGGAAGAAGGAATATAAGTTAGAAGAGGAATGAAATACTGTTTTCTATTTAAGTTAGAAGAGGAATGAAAGGCTGGGTGCAGTGGCTTACGCCTGTTATCCCAGCACTTTAGGAGGCTGAGGCAAGTGGATCATGAAGTCAGGAGTTTGAGACCAGCCTGGCCAGTGTGGTGAAATCCCATCTCTACTAAAAATACAAAAAATTAGCTGGGCATGGTGGCACACACCTGTAATCCCAGCTACTCAGGAGGCTGAAGCAAGAGAATTGCTTGAACCAGGGAGGTGGAGGTTGCAGTGAGCCGAGATCGTGCCACTACATTCCAGCCTGGGTGATAGAGTGAGACTCCATCTCAAAACAAAACAAAACAAAAAGGCATGAAATACTGTTTTCTATCCACAAAGTTTGTGAGGATGAAGAACAGTGGTACTTATATAGTTGTTTAAAGTTTAAATTGCTACAGCGCTTCAAACAGACACTTTAGTGGTAAGAACCACATTTTAAAAATGTTATGCTTTTTACTCATCAATTCCATTATACTGAAATATCTTTACCAAATAGATGTCTGTTTTTCTTAGTATTGATTAAAATAGCAGTGTATTTAGAAGAACCCATATAAAGATTTCATGAACAAATTTCAGTGCATCCATAGGATGGAATAATATGTAACTATTGAGGGTGTCAGTAGTTACAGAGATATGTCGACGTGCAAAGATGTACTTTGCTATAACAAGTGAGAAAAAAGTCAGTTTGTTACACATATACACGAACAGAATCTGCTTGTGTTAGCTGAAAACCTGTAGAAAATACAATCAAACTTGTTTCTGGGGATTTGTAAGTGAAGTTTTTCCCTTTCTCTTATCTGTGATTTCTGCAGTGAACATCTGAGGTTTTAGTTAAGGTTCATTAGTAATGAAATAATCCTTGGGAAGAGAAGGAATATGCTTCTTGCATAGATGCGAATAATTTATCACATTCTATTATTTATTTTTCTTTCTGTGGTTGGCTATCTTCTGTGAACTTTTACCCTCTTCAGAAGTAGAGGGGTCGTGTTTACCTGTTCCTGTAGATTTTATTATATATACATTTTATTACATAATTATTTTTTCATTATATATAGATTAACATGTAAAAAGTATGAATTATTTCAGTTGAGTTATATATTTATGAAAATTAAAATAGCAAATATAAATGACTGTTACTATTGGAAATGTATTGCCCTACTCTACAGGAGTTTTCTTTAAAAATACTGAACTCCCAAGCTGTGTTTATCCATTCTTTCAATCCATTTAGTCATCAGACATAAGCCAGACACCTGTTATGTGGCAGGCATATTCTACTGTCTCTCAGGATCCTTCCATCTTTGAAAACTTCATGTTTACCTGCTGGGCTTGAGCAAGCTGAGAGATTTAAAATTGGTGCATTAGGACTTAATCTCAGTTGAAGCTTTTCCTCCCTCCTTTCAAACAGAAGCATTTCTGAAGGTAGAAAATAGTAAAAGACACCCCTTAACTGCCCTTTTGAAAATTTGCAAGTCTTGGATAAAGACTGTTTTAGTTGTTTTAAGAACTAAAATGTGGTACATAAACAGCATGGAATACTATGCAGCCATAAAAGAAGGAACGAGAGCATGTGCTTTGCAGGGACATGGATGGTGTTGAAAGCCATTATCCTTAGCAAACTAACATAGGAAGAGAAAACCAAATACTGCATGTTCTCAATTACAGGTGGGAGCTAAATGATGAGAACACACAGATACCTAGAGGGAAGCAACACGCACTGGGGCCTATCAGAGGGTGGAGGGTGGGAAGAGGGAAGGAAGCAGGAAATAGAACGAACGGGTACTGGGCTTAACACCTGGGTAATGAAATAATCTGTACAACCAACCCCCTTGGTGCACGTTTACCTATGTAACAAACCTGCACATCCGGCACACGTACCCCTGAATGTAAAAGTTGAAAAAAGCTCCACAAATAGTTTCATAAATCCATTTTAAAAAGAGAACATTTATAACAGTCTTAAATCCTAATATGAATGATTGGAAATACCTGATGTAGATATATTGTATAAATCTAAGTATTGACAAAAATGAGCCCATGCTATTCATTTGAATTCCAAGTTTTCTTTGGCTTAAAGTTTATTGAAAACCAAAGTAAGAATTGGTTTATTTTAGAAATTTATTTTTGTTTTCGCCTCAGCTTTCTTATTCCATGGTTCTTTTAAGAACTAAAATTTATCTAAATGCTGGTCATCTGACTGGAACCGCCCCAGACCTGTTATAACATATTCTACTTAATGTAAGACACCAGGGATTGTATGATGCCCCATTATTTTATGTCTCAATAAGAGAATTATTTAAATGCCGCCAATTATAGTAAATCATGAATTGTAAGTGGTATTTCAGTGGAGACAACATGGAGACAATGATCATCTCAGAATCACTAAAATACAATGTTAGCTGTAATATTTAAAACACACCTCAGTGTAGGTATAATTGTATCATCTCAATTCAAATGTTGTCTTTAGTGGTATCAGTAAAAATTATAATATCTAACAATTATTGAGCTGTTATTTGTGTTAGGAACTATTCTATATCTTTTGTGCAGAGTCTCATTTAAGCATTACGGTGGTTTCCTGTGAGAAAGCTACTATTCTCATTCCTATTTTATTGATGAGGAAACTGAGACCCCAAAAGGCTAAGCAACAGCTAGGAAGTGACAGAGCTTCAAGTAGGATTCCAGCCCAAGTTGAATGTCATCCAAGGGCTATGCTCTTTGTATTCATATAGGCTGCTCTTTCATTAATACAGCGAGCAATGAGAGAAAATAGTGTGCTTTTTTCATGGGAAAGTTAAATGTTTGTTTTGAAGGCAGAGTAATAGCAGGCTATTCAGTGTTTGCAAGTACATGAATCATTAATGTGGCTGTAGCTAGTGCACTACAATTTCCTAAAAAGTCTTGTCACTCTCACAGGACTGCTCTACATCTGGCGTCTGCCAATGGGAATTCAGAAGTAGTAAAACTCGTGCTGGACAGACGATGTCAACTTAATGTCCTTGACAACAAAAAGAGGACAGCTCTGACAAAGGTATGCAGTAGCCAACTCTATCAGCGTGAGGTGGGTTTGATTTCAATACATAGCATAAAAATGAGTTTTCTGCTTTAAATATAACTAGTTGGTGAAAGCTGTGGAATGTTATTTTGAATTCCTAAGATTTGTAATTTGTTTTTGGTCTAATACTGACAGGCCGTACAATGCCAGGAAGATGAATGTGCGTTAATGTTGCTGGAACATGGCACTGATCCAAATATTCCAGATGAGTATGGAAATACCACTCTACACTATGCTGTCTACAATGAAGATAAATTAATGGCCAAAGCACTGCTCTTATACGGTGCTGATATCGAATCAAAAAACAAGGTATAGATCTACCAATTTTATCTTCAAAATACTGAAATGCATTCATTTTAACATTGACCTGTGTAAGGGCCAGTCTTCCGTATTTGGAAGCTCAAGCATAACTTGAATGAAAATATTTTGAAATGACCTAATTATCTAAGACTTTATTTTAAATATTGTTATTTTCAAAGAAGCATTAGAGGGTACAGTTTTTTTTTTTTAAATGCACTTCTGGTAAATACTTTTGTTGAAAACACTGAATTTGTAAAAGGTAATACTTACTATTTTTCAATTTTTCCCTCCTAGGATTTTTTTCCCCTAATGAATGTAAGATGGCAAAATTTGCCCTGAAATAGGTTTTACATGAAAACTCCAAGAAAAGTTAAACATGTTTCAGTGAATAGAGATCCTGCTCCTTTGGCAAGTTCCTAAAAAACAGTAATAGATACGAGGTGATGCGCCTGTCAGTGGCAAGGTTTAAGATATTTCTGATTGCTCATGAGGCAGAAGTGGAAAGGGAAAAAGAGAGCAATCAGAAATATCAAGGCCAATTTGGAAATTAAGTAATAGAGGGAAAAGACCACGAAGAAGTTGTGTGTGTGTGTGTTGTTGTTGTTGTTGATTGATTTGTTTCCTTTGTATGGTGAGACAAGGTTCTCTTCAATTTTAAAGAACGACACTTTTCAGTTTGGGAGAGGGAGTTAGTGGGTTGGAAACTGAATAGAGATCAATTTTAGGAGGCCTCTGAGGAACCAGATAGGCAGTGAACAGGTGGTAATGTAAGAGGAAACCCTTGAGCAGAGGGAATATCAAGTAATTAACTGACTTAGTATCCTATTCTGGTAGAAATGGCCAATTAGAGTCTCAGCTCTGCTTTCAAATCTAGTGTGTCTGGATGGGAAGGTAGAAGATAAATAAGTAACAAAATCAAGTTGGATTTTGAGTTGACTAGACCCTGTTCTTCTCTTACTGGGGAAAATCATGTGGTGTTTTCAGCAAATGGGTCTCTCTCCTACTCCTTACTCTTTTTGGCCAAATCTTCAAATGAGAAAGGGAATTGGTCATGTGGGTGAGAAATGAGACTGAAATAATTGTCTGTTGCACTAGCTTTCAGCTAGAATTGTGCATCCCAGTAACCTGAGGAAAATGTTTAAATAATCAACAAGTCTAGGCTTTTTCTGAATATTTTGATACAGTAAGTCTAATAAATCCTGGATATGTATATTTGAAAATGTTTCCTTGAAGCCAGGCATGGTGGTGCATGGCTGTAGTCCCAGCTGCTAGGGAGGCTGAGGTGGGAGGATTGCTTGAGCTCAGGAATTCGAGTCTAGCCTGGTCAACATAATGAGACCCTGTCTCTAACAACAACAGCAACAACAATTTTCTCAAAATCTGGATACACTCCTGCTTAAGAACCACTCAATACATAAATGTAATATGTAAATTCTTATGTCTCAGAAACTTAAGGTATCTCTAGAAGAGTTGGGGTTGGATATGTGCTGATTTCTTTAAATCTTTCCTTTCCAATAACATTAATCTGACTTTTTTTTTTTTTTTCCCCCGAGATGGGGTCTCACTCTGTTTCCCAGGCTGGAGTGCAGTGGTGTGATCACAGCTCACTGCAGCCTCGACCTCCCCAAGCTCAGATGTTCCTCCAATCTCAGTTTTTTTTTTTTTTTTTTTTAAGTGGAGATGAGGTTTTGCCATGTTTCTCAGGCTGGTCTTGAACTCCTGGGCTCAAGCGATTCACCCACCTCAGCCTCCCCAAATGCTAGGATTACAGGTGTGAGCCACCATTCCTGGCCTAGTCTGACTTTTATCTCTGTGGTTGAGACATTAAAATGAATATTATTGGTAGTATGTATCAGCTTACAGAATAATATCTTTTCCTTCCTACCATCAGTTATTCACTGCCATTCAGAAGGTCTTTAGAAATTTGCTGTGAGTAGTCTTTCAATAAGTAGAGGATGGCCCTCTCAGGATTTTATGTCTCTTTGTTCAGTCATTCAAGTGCTTAGGTCAGTAAGTCGTTAAGAGCAGAGTTTTCTCAATTAGAATTGTAGCAAATTCTAAACCATTTTTTGTCAATTGACGCTGTATTATGGACTATCCAGTGTGTCTCTTAAGTATGTAGAGCTTTGGCATAATCAGAATGGCAGTTTTAAACACTAAAAACCATGGAGTTATTAAGAATACAGATAGGAATTCTGTTAATTTAGTTTCAGTAGTCCTATGAACTGATGATTTAGTTAACAATCTGGGAAAATTAAATACAAATAGATTTTAAATAAATAAATGTTGGAAAATTTTTTCAAATGGGCAGTATGAGTTTTAATAGCAATTTTTGTTGCATGTTGGAGGTTGAACTTTTGGTAAAACATGAAACTAAAGAAATACTTTACATGCAGATTCTTGCTTTATACACAATTTGTCTTAGGGTTGAGGATATAGAGACAAAAGATACAGCCCCTGCCCTCAAGGAGCTCTTTGTTTAGATGGGAAAAATATTATCATCCAATAACACCATGCCAAATGCTGAGTTAGAAGCAAAGAGCCTTGGAAGCAGTAAATGTTTAAAGTGAGTTTTTGAGATGATTAGAGTTACTGTGGTGAGGCAGAGAAGGGGTGTTTCCAAGGGAAGGAGCAGCGTGTGGGAAAGCACAGAAGAGTGAGAAGGAAGCGACTACATTTTATTTACTTCCTATGCGTGTAAGTCCATAAGATCTTATATAAAGTTTCCACTTCAGTTGAGGAATATGTACTTTTTTGAATTACATAGGTTTTTGCTTTATATTGTTTTACAGCATGGCCTCACACCACTGCTACTTGGTATACATGAGCAAAAACAGCAAGTGGTGAAATTTTTAATCAAGAAAAAAGCGAATTTAAATGCACTGGATAGATATGGAAGGTATAGTTCTTTCTTTTAATCTGTGTGTTCTAGATGGATAGCAGTCACTCAAGTCATAAATATTAAATTAATAAGATTAATGTATACTTACTGGGATATAGTGATCAGTATCAACACAAATCAGTTAGGTAGAAAAACAATTACTTGGACTGGGCAACATAAAGATCAGTTTTAATAGGATTCATCTTCTCATTATATTGACTGATGTTATTTGTTATATGACATTTTTGGTTACATGATCTTATGTTAGCTAAAGGGATTTCATATTAATTTAATGAAGTTTGAACTTTAACTTTTAGTTTACTTTATGACTCAGTATTGAACTTCTTAACCCTTTCTAATAGTTTTTAACCTCCGTGTCTTACATGCTTTTCCACTAAATATGCTGTATTAAACATAAATAGGGGTTGAAAATCCTTTTGTCTTTTCAATGACTCTGCTTTAAGTTGCTTTCTTTGAAGAATATTAATGTTAGCTTATCTCTACATGACAATTAATTGCTGTTCCCACATACTGTGGGTTCAACAGCTTTTTTCCTTTTTTATTTCTAGTGTATTTTTTATTTTTATTTTTAATTGGTATGGAGAGAGGGAGTGAAGATAGTTTTAAGTGGATACACTTTTCCTTTAATGAAGGCAAGCCGTAGGTGGGTGATAAAGAGAAAAGAGCTAGGCTTTGGATTCACACAAGACTGGGTTAATTCCTAACTTTCTTACTTGCTAGGTGTGTGACCTTGGGGACGTTATTTACCACCAAATATGTTGTCATATATGAAAAGTAGGAGAATATATCCTTCAAAGTTGGCTGTGCATAAGTAAGAAAGATACATGTGGCATTTAATTCAGTGCCTAGCACATGGTTATTGGCACCATTAACTGAAACTCCTACGACTACTATTCTTACCATTATTAATACTGCTTTGAGCATGCAGAGAGCTCTTATTTCTCTTACCCCCTAGCTGATTTTCTATTACAGCATATCAGTCTAGGGAAGCTGTGACAAAATCTTCACTTAAATCTTTGTCCACTTCAGATAAGTGGCCCTAACATTGTTTCTTGCCCATCAAAGGACGTTAAATTAGTAGCTTCTGCTATGCAATACCCCACTGAGATGAGAGGCTTTTTTTTGTCCCTGTCTTTTAACCTTTGTGGTATTTTAGAAAGATGAACACTTGAGCCCTCAAGATGCTTATGTCTTTTATTGCATGTAAATGTTTGATTCTGCACGGACAGGCAAGGTCTTACATTGGTAAAGTATATCAGATTAGCTTTAAAAATAACTTTATTACAGTTCCTATCTCTGTCATTTTAGAACTGCTCTCATACTTGCTGTATGTTGTGGATCAGCAAATATAGTCAGCCCTCTACTTGAGCAAAATATTGATGTATCTTCTCAAGATCTGGACAGACGGCCAGAGAGTATGCTGTTTCTAGTCATCATCATGTGTAAGTGTTTACATTAAAAGGCTAGTTAATGCTAAATTGAGGTTTAAAATAATTATAACAGTTGCATCTTACATATCAGGTGAGATGTCATAGTTTGGTTCAGGTAGTTTTCGCGTGTCAGTGAGTTAGTCCCTTGCATCAGCCAGAAATCAGACAAAAAGCAAGACAAGTTAGAAGTGCCAATGGGTGCAGGATTCTTTATCTCAGGACTTTTAAGATCTTTATCCTTAGAGATCCCAGCATTGTTCATTTGATCCAAGTGTAACACCTATGCAGGGATAAAAAAGAGTGTCACATCTTTAATTTTTCTGATTAGTTATTTGGGTCTTGAAATGTCCAGTTTAGCAGAAAGTCTTGTACTGTTTTCTGGGGACTATGTCCTACATACTCCTTGAATTTTTCAAGAACCGAAGGGGTTTACTAAATCCAAGGAAGACAGTCCCTTTTATCAAGTCAGAAGGAGGAGGAAAAAAAAGGACATTGCAATCATTCTGTTGTTTCCATTGATTCTGTTGCTGCATTGTTGCCACTCAAACTGGTCCTGCTGTCTTAAGATGAATCAGTAGATTCAGATCCCTCAAGTCTTCATGGTGATTCATACAGTGACTTTCATGTTTTTTAGTTCCCATACCTATGCTTATATGCTCAGCCATTGTTCCCAGAGGACCAGCCCCCTGCTCTGGCCGCTGGGCATCCTGACTTTATCCGCACACAAAGTGAGCAAATTGACCCTTCCCCACATATTCAGAACCTAATGTGGAACCCACATCTTAGCTAGGAATTAGCTGAGACCTTCATGGTAAGAGATCCTTTGAGGCTGTTGTTGGTCTTTTCTCTGGCAGATATTAGTTGGGCTTGTTCTAAAGGGTGAGAGGGGTTCAAATAATGTGGCAGAAAGAGATCAGTGTTTGTTTCCTTTTTGCTACCAGATCTGTACTGTGAGGCACCTTTATATCCTGTATAGAACCTTGGGCAGTAGAAAGTCCCATATGAACCTTGCCCTGAGCAGTGGCTCCCAGCTGTGGTTGGCCCCTTGAGTGATCTGATTTACATGATAATGAAAATCGTTGAAGCTACTTCCATCTCTAGCTCAAGATTTTAAAATATTTTCAAACTCTAGCTCACAGGAAGCCATTGAAGAGAAATCTCAGAATCTCAAGTAGGTTAGTTGGACTCAACAGAGCCAAGCCTTGTCCATGACGCATCACTAATCATGTGTAAAAGTAGGGCTTTGTGCTTGCTTCGGCGGCACATATCCTAAAATTGGAACAATACGGGGAAAGTTAGCGTGGCTTCTGCATAAGGAGGCAGCACAGATCTTTGAAGCATTCCATATTTTGTGCAGTCACTGGAAGGTCATTTGACTATTTGCTGACTAGCTCTAAGGAAATAGTGTGAATCAAAGCAAAATGGGTGCCACCCAAATATTGAAATTGTGATTTGCGCGGCAAAAAGAGTCATATAAGATGGTCTATGAGATGACTTTGAGCTGAATAACGTGTTTGGTGCAAAATATATTGTTAGTATGTATGTCGAAAATCACAGAATGTCAGCTTGCTACTTCTCCGTGGAAACTAAAAAAAATAAAAGTAGACTTTTGGTCTCCCATGTCAGCTGTAACTGAACATCAATATAAAGCATTATCCTAACAAACATCTGCTGGCTGAGAGTTTGAGTCTGTAGAGAAGGATCGTTGGTCCAAACCAGGTCTTAACATCCATTGGTTTTTCTGCCCTTGGCGTGATTGATCAACTCCGTAATAGTGGACAATCACATTATCTACTTTAATGAGATATTTAGGAATAAATTTAGTTACAAACTATCACATAGTTGAGATGCACTGAATTATAAGCCATAAGGAGTAGGACAACTAAGAAGCAAAATTAGGACTTAATAATATCTTCTGAAAACTACAACGTTTGCATATTAGAACCTATGAACAAAATACGCATTGGGTTTTATTTGGGATTCCAAGATAATTTCGGTCATAAAGTTTAGGAACAAATTATTCCATTGCTTTACTATTTCTCTCAGCTTTTAAAAAATGTTATCTTGTTAAATCTTTGTAACAACCTAGTGAAATAAGGCAGCAAAGTCCTCACTTTGTTGAAGAAGACATTGAGCCTAAGAGAAGCAAGTTGTCCAAGAACAAATAGTTATTCATTATGGAGCTAGGACTTATGCAGAGTTGGGACACTTTCTATTATATCAGGTTAATGTGAGCTAATTTACTGGGTCACAGTGCCCTTGATTTATGAGTATTTCAGCTTACATTTTTTTCTTCTTTAATTAGAAGCTTAAAGAGAAGTTTGTAGAATGTACTTATAAGTGGACGGGATAATACTGTTGGGTTCTGATATTCTGATATTGTTTGAAATATGCTTAAGAGTTTTACATTTGGTAAGTATTTTTTATATCAGTATTAAAATAGTAATTTGGTTTATTACATTTTTACACATAGAATTTGCCAGTTACTTTCTGACTACAAAGAAAAACAGATGTTAAAAATCTCTTCTGAAAACAGCAATCCAGGTAAGACTTGTGTTAGTGAATTACTTTAGGTTAGTTGTCCCCAACCTTTTTGGCACCAGGGACCAGTTTTGTGGAAGACAATCTTTCCATGGGCTGGGGGAAGGTGGGGATGGTTTCAGGATTATTCAGTCACATTATACTTATTGTGCTACTTTATATTATTATTACATTGTAATATATAATGAAATAATTGTACAACTTACCATAATGTGGAATCAGTGGAAGCTCTGAGCTTGTTTCCCTGCAACTAGATGGTCCCTTGTGGGGGCAAAGGGAGACAGTGACAGATCATCAGGCATTAGATTCTCATGTGAAGCACACAACCTAGATCCTTCAGATGGGCAGTTCACAACAGGTTTCATGCTCCAATGAGTATCTAATGCTATCACTGATCTGCCTGGAGGCAGAGTTCAGGCGGTAATATGAGCCATGGTGTGTGGCTGTAAGTACAGGTAAAGCTTCCCTGGCTTGCCTGCTGCTCACCTCCTCCTGTGTGGTGTGGTTCATAATAGTCCATGGACTGGTATGAGTCTGTGGCCTGGGAGTTGAGGACCCCTGCTCTGCGTGGTCCTACCATAGATAAAAAAAGTAAAAGTAAGGAATTTTTGATCACAAAAGAACACTGAAGCACAAGTCATGTTACATATGCTTGTCCCAATAAGGTCTCACTATTATTGACTTCATTCCTCCTCATTTGAAGTTGGAAAGAGATATATTTACTTTGTTGGAACAAGATGTGTTCTTCTACCTGCTGGCGCTAATTGTCATGATAACAGTAATTTTGTTAGAACAAGGTGCTCTGCTACCATTTGCCAAAAGATTGTCATAATAAATATACAAATTGCCCAACTCTAGGCTCAGCAGATTATAATAAGAGCAGAAAAATGTTTCACACTAACAAAAATGCTAGTATGCTACCTGGTTGTGGACACCTAATACATTATATAATCCAAACTTTATGAGGACACCTTTAATTTAGCCATCTATTTGTCAAAGAGCTTATGTAAGTTAGGTTTTATAAGTTACAGGAGACAAAGATGGAATAGATGTGGTTTTGATCTTTAAGGTGCTCATAATAGAGCTGTCTCCATTTATGTGCTTTTTCAATGGAATTTACAAAGAAAACATTTCTATTTATGTTTTCACTTGTCCACTTAACAAATAACTATCAAATGTATTTTAGATACTAACCATTTTTCTAATGCTAAAGAACACAACTAAAAAGGCATACAGGAGCTTATTATCATTGTCATTTTCATTATTTTACTACTTTATTCAGTGCTTACTGTGTGCTAGATGCCCACTGGAAGCTTATAATTATGATTTATTATATATTGATTATGTGCCAGACATATGTGATGAGGAATGAAGGTTTTGGAAAAATGTAGGTATGATTTAAGGTAAGCATGCAGAGAAGAATTTTTCTAGGTAAAGAAGCAGAAGAAGAATGTTTGGCAGAAGGAACATGTAGTGAGATTGTGTGTTTGCCAGAAGGAACATCTAATGAGATTGCCTGTTTGGCAGAAAGAGCAGCAAGTGCAAAAGACAAGATGCTTGAGTGGACTTTGCAGGGTTTCTGAGCAGTTCACTTTTGCTAGTACCAAAAGTGTGAGATACCAGAGATTGGGAAAGAGGTGAATAGTTAGCTAAGGCAAGTTTATGATAGACTTTTTAATACTATAGAAATGAGTAGGTCTTATCTTGTGGGCCATGGGAAATTTACCAGGTAGAATGCTTTGGACTGCAAATACTAGATGAGCAGCGGCTAAAACAGTAGGAACCAGAATTGTTTTTTTGTTCATTGATATCCTAGGATCCCACCTGTCCCTCTTTCAGCTGTGGTGTTGACAGTGTTTTATTCACATCTCCTTTCATGGTTGGCTAGTCCCCAGCAGCTCCAAACATCATGTTCTCACAACACAACATCACAAGGGCTGCTTTTCTTCACGTGTGTCTTTTAAACAGGGAGAAAACTTAGAAGCATGCAAGGGGCTTCCTGTAACATTTCGTTGGCTGGGTCATACCACATGCTCATTCCTAAACCAGGCACTGGGAAGGCAAATACCTGATTAGCTTAGAATAAACATTTCTGTTTCTGAGGCTGAGGAGGGGGATTGGGATAATAAATATCCCAATAGACTTGTGTTTCTTCTGCAAGAAAGAATGAGGAATGGCTATTGATAGGGAGCCAACAATGTGTGCTGCAGGGGCTCATTGGAGAAATTTGTGCAGGGGAGTCACAAGATTAAATTTGAGTATTAAGGCATTCTGGTTATGGTGTAAAATGGGTTAGCAAGCTTTTTCTGTAAAGGACCAGGTGGGAAATATTTTAGACTATGTGGTCTCTGTCATGTCTGCTTAACCCTGCTGTTGTCTGCTGTTGTAGTGTGAAAGCCACCATGATTATATGTAAGCAAACAGGCATGACTGAGTTCCTATAAAACTTTATTTACAAAGCCATAAGGCAGATTGGATTTGGCCTGTGGCCTATAGTTTCCTGGGATTGATGGAAGATAACCATGTAAAGAAACCAGGAGACAAAGGAAGCTTTTGCAGTAGTCAGCTATAGTTTCCATGTCACACATCCTTGGACTAGTATCAATGTATTATAAGGTTTTCACCTGTCCATGGTGAAGTAAATAACGTTAGGAATCTCAGTTACTCATTTAAATATGTTAGCCTTCGTTATGCCTTTTTCATTTGTTTTGCTTAATTTTTTTCATGTAAGAAATAACATTAAGAGTTGGCAGTTTTCTTTTAAATAAAAGCCATTTTGTAAATGTTTGTGTTCCCAGTGGCAGTGGGAATATAAAACGGAGGCAGAAGAGAGGTATAGTCAATATGATCTAGTGATAATTGAATGAGAAAGGCTTGGGGGACAGAAGATTTACAGGTTTCCAGGTTGTACACTAGTATTTAACCTGGACATGAGGAAAGAGTAGGAAATATTCTGGTGAATACAGAAGAACAAAGAGCAGCAGGTCAGCAGGAATGACTAATTTTTTTCTATGCAAGTTTAATAGAATATTCGTGTAGGATATTTTGAGTAGGTAATTGGATGACCAGCATTTATAACTCGCATCCTGGTAGTTTGACTCTCAGTAATAAGACTTGTCAAAGATCCAAGAATCTGAAAGTTGATGATAAATGTCCATGTATATCACCATCCGTGACCGAAAGTCAGCATCCACAGAACACAGAATTGGGACAGATGAACTTAATAGATAAAGATGAATATCAGAGTTGTTCCTCTTAGGGAATGATACTCTCCATGACCTGTGTGAGTCACAGCTGCCAGAAAAGAAAGAGCAAGGAGCGTATGAAGGCAGCACAGCAAATTCAGTCCTAGAGTGCCCTGCTTGGCTTCATGTCATAGTTCTGACTTCTAAAAAATCATTTTCTGCAAAACGTGCTTTGTGTTTTTCCCTCTTGCCGCCTGCAGCCAATCAGAATCTTTTTAGCATTGCATTTTTGTGTTCTTCCTTTAAAGAAGGCAACGTATGAATAATGAAAAGAAGTAAGAGAAAGAATGTTTTTTTGTATGAGATAGTATTTAATGTAAACTTAAGAGTGAGTGCCAGGATTATACTTAGAATTTATGGACTGGATGGGAAGACTGGATACAAATCTAAAGATTGCTGACTCAAACACAATGTGGTTTCTTTGATTTATTGTCACAGCTCTGAAGTCACAACTCTTAGTTGTATTCATATGCACTATAACTTTACAAAGCATCTTCCCAAACCAAATGTTTACTGATTTATTATAATTTGTATGACTTCATTATAGAATTGACTTTCCAAGTGTTCATGAGAATTGTTTAGAATTTGCTACATAGTATCATCTCAGCTGTGTCCACATGAGCTATCTGTCACCTTGTCTTAATGAATAATAGTTCACTGGTAATATTGGTTTTGGCATTTAAAGTGATCTATGTCTAATGCAGATAGGACCCAGGACCACTCTTGAACATTAATGTCCAAGCATCTTAAAATTACACATAAGGCTTTCATAATCTGACTTCTGCCCCACTCTCCATCTTTAGCCCTTTTCCCTGTGTGCCCTTTCTCTGGCATTACTGAGCTGCTGGTAATGCCCTACTCACTCATCCTTCTATTGTAGGCAAATACTTTCACTCTTTCAGGCCTTGCTCCTGCTCTTGCTGCTGCGTGGCATGCCGTCACCCTTTCCTGCCCTCTACCCCTTTTAATCTGGCTAGTCTCAATATTTAAGTCTCTGCTTGGGCATGTTTTCTAGAAAAGCCATCCCTGACATGCTTTATTTTCATTCTTTTTAGACCCTAACGCCTAGCATATATGTAGCAGGACTCAATAAAAAATTTTTGAGTAAAACAAAGATTGTTTTTACAAAGATGATGTGCAAGACTCTCCCCTGCAGTCTTGGAGCAGAGGGGACAGACATGGAGGAATAATGTACAGTTTAGGTGGTAAAGATGCAGTAGAAAAATCAGTAACGTAGTAAGGCAGCCTCAAGCAAGGAGGTACCTGTTTATTTGGGGAAAGACATGCAGAATCAAGGAAGACTTCACATAGCATTGTTTCAAAAGATGAAAATAAGGCCAGGTGTGGTGGCTCACACCTGTAATCCCAGCACTTCTGGAGAGGATCACGAGGTCAGGAGATCAAGACCATCCTGTCCAATGGTGAAACCCCATATCTACTAAAAATACAAAAATCAGCTGGGTGTGGTGGTGGTTGCCTGTAATCACAGCTACTCAGGAGACTGAGGCAGGAGAATCGCTTGAACCAGGGAGTTGGAGGTTGCAGTGAGCTGATCGCACCACTGCATTCCAGTCTGGTGACAGAGCAAGACCCTGACTCATAAAAAAAAAAATGAAAATAAATGTGTCAGAATAGTGGAGGGAAACATTTTAGATATTAGGAAGATGTTGTACACTAATAAAGGTGTCAGCAGTGATTTTGGAAATCATTTATAAGGTACTATTAGGAAGTGGAGAACAGTATACTGTGTCACTTTATATGTTTCTGCTGTATTTTGAAGCTGTGTTTCTGGTGGGTTTGTTCATTGATGTTGGGTGGATGAATTTGTAAGGGAATTTTTGACATGTTTGTATGTCTTCAATCTGGTGACATCTGGTATCTCCCCAAGTGGTTTTTTGAAGTTTTTGAGAATTTTTTCTTAAATGACAATTTCATGAAAGATTAAACGCCCAATTTATGAAATGAAATGTCTTAAATCTGTTTTTAAAAGGCAATAGTTTTTAACTGTTCTAAGTGGTTGATTTTAACTGAATATATGGATTTTTCAACAGAACAAGACTTAAAGCTGACATCAGAGGAAGAGTCACAAAAGCTTAAAGGAAGTGAAAACAGCCAGCCAGAGGCATGGAAACTTTTAAATTTAAACTTTTGGTTTAATGTTTTTTTTTTTGCCTTAATAATATTAGATAGTCCAAATGAAATTACCTATGAGACTAGGCTTTGAGAATCAATAGATTCTTTTTTTAAGAATCTTTTGGCTAGGAGCGGTGTCTCACGCCTGTAATTCCAGCACCTTGAGAGGCTGAGGTGGGCAGATCACGAGATCAGGAGATCGAGACCATCCTGGCTAACACGGTGAAACCCCATCTCTACTAAAAATACAAAAACTTAGCTGGGTGTGGTGGCGGGTGCCTGTAGTCCCAGCTACTCAGGAGGCTGAGGCAGGAGAATGGCATGAACCCGGGAGGTGGAGGTTGCAGTGAGCCGAGATCCGCCACTACACTCCAGCCTGGGTGACAGAGCAAGACTCTGTCTCAAAAAAAAAAAAAAAAAAAGAATATTTTAATAGATTCTTAAAATTTATTGTAATAAATTCAGTAACCTTATTAACAGAAGAATCAGTAGATTCTAATTTAATATTTGATATTTAACTTCAATATAACCCACTATAAAATTTAAAATACTCTTATTTTAAAATATTCTTATCTGCCTTCTTGATTAGCTTATAGCTTATCTTTCCTTTTGGAATAGAGGCAAAAACAAATTTCAGAACTTTGTTTGTTCTTTTATTTTTACAACACCGTAACATGATAAAGAAAGTAACATCAATTATTGAATCATATGATTAAGTAATGGGAATTATGAACAATGTAACACTGATGGTCCCTGAGCTGGATTCATGGTTAAAGAGTAATCATGGCCAGTGATTGAAAATCTGTGGTTTTATATTGCCAGTCACTGATACCAAGGTTAAAGATATATTCTGCCTTGTCTCTCATTGACCTCAGTGTTTCTGTTCAGGGAGGGAACCAGGTCATAAAAGCAACCCAACTGCCTATTACAAGGATCATATCTTGCAGAATGGAACCTTTGGTGTTAGTGCACAAACACAATAATATTCTAATTTATTTCAGTTACAGAAAATCAGTACAGATTAAAAATTTTTATCTGCTGTCATTAGTACACATTAGAATGTATTAGAACTGGACTTAAGCAGATAATCTGGATACATAACACTATCATATTACAGTATATAATTTTAATTAAAATTTGAGAATTTGCATTTCTTTCTGTTTGGTGTTGATTTTGGCTCCTAATAGTTTAAAGGGTGCCTACAATCCAGTTAGGGATCTTTTAAAAAAGCACTTCAGTGCACTGTAGGGGCTCACTAGTTAGGGTTTCGTGAGGTAAACTCTTTGCAAGTGAGGAAGATTTTGCAACACTACAAATCATCTGCTGATTCATTTTTGGTAGATTAACACATAACAAATTAAATTTAGTCCAAACAAATAGTGACAAAGTTAAGTTTGCTGGTTCATGTTTTTTTCTCCCGTTGTCTAAGGTGAATTATTTTTCACATGTTAGAAGCCAGTGATGTGGCAGTAGCTAAACATAGATTAAAAAGTTAATTCTTAATTTTAATTATTATTTATTTATTTTAACAGTTTAATTTTATTTTCTAATTTTTATTGTCCATACTTGATTACTTAAGAATAAAATTAATTTAAAAACATGCACTCCAAAAGAGGAGACGTCACAGAAATACAACAAGGAAATTAACCTTTTGTTTTTGCATCTGCAGAAAATGTCTCAAGAACCAGAAATAAATAAGGATGGTGATAGAGAGGTATACCTGTATATTCAAATGTTTGTGTTGAATTAGATTTTTACACTATGTTGTTTAACAAAGTGTAGTAAATGTAGGCATACATGATCCTATCATGTAAGTAGCATAAATCATCAGTGAAAAATTTAATACTTAACTCAGAATTCTGTACATTGAATTTTAAAGAGATGCAAACCCCAGAGATATTCTTTCATTATTATGGAATAATCCCGAATGGTGCCGTAAAATGCTAGGTAATGCCACTTTAGGAGCTTTGGACCAATTATTTTATCTTTCTTGGTTTTAGTCTGATTATCAATAGATAATGTGGCTAAAGTAGATAATTTCTTACTCTGTGTACTTTCCAGCTAGAAGATTTTATGGCTATTGAAGAAGAAATGAAGAAGCACGGAAGTACTCATGTGGGATTCCCAGAAAACCTGACTAATGGTGCCGCTGCTGGCAATGGTGATGATGGATTAATTCCTCCAAGGAAGAGCAGAACACCTGAAAGCCAGCAATTTCCTGACACTGAGAATGAAGAGTATCACAGGTGAGCCTAGTGGCAACATTGAACAGGAGGTAACTATGTGCTGTCAAACCAATCCTAATTTGGGCTAATAGTCATGATGAACAAATTTTATACTTTTACTAGGATATTCAGCCTTGCCTGTTAATCAGAAAAATGAAAATCAGCAAACAATGAGTTAACATTTTTTTCCAGTCATTAATTTATTTGAAAAATAACCAGTATTGGCAAATGTGAGGGAAAAGGCATTTTCTTCTCTTTTCAGTGAAGTTTTATTTTAGCTTCGGGGTACATGTGCAGGTTTATTATATAGGTAAACTGTATCATGTAGGTTTGGGGTACAGATTATTTCATCAGCCACATAGTAAGCACAATACTCGAAAGGTAGTTTTTTGGTCGTCTCCCTCCTGCCACGCTCCTCCCTCAAGTAGACCCTGGTGCCTGTTATTCTCCTCTTTGTGTCCATGAGTTCTCATGTTTAGTTCCCACTAATGAGTAAGAATATGTGGCATTTGATTTTCTGTTCCTGCATTAGTTTGCTTAGGATAATGGCCTCCAGCTCCATCCGTGTTGCTGCAAAGGAAATGGTTTCATTGAAAAAGACATTTCATACACGGTTGGTAAATACATTTTGAACATTAATTGAGTAGCATATTCACACAACACACATATATAACAGAGTAAGCATATATAATACATATAAAGGATATTTGTATAGATATGTTACATGTATACTTACATATAAGGACATTTATTATAGCATTATTATATAAAAAATTTGGAGCTATTCTAATTCCTTATCAATAGGAAATAGCTCAATTTCCATACCCCCAAAATAATGTATTATGCAACCATTTTTAAAAAATGAGGTTAGATCTAGAGTATACTGATCATTTCACAATTAAAATGTATTTAAAGCGTTTAGTTTGATGACACATCTTAAGAGTTCTTGTTAGAATTCTTGTAGTATCTGCTGTGTTGCAAATGGAAGCTACATGCTACATTGACACTGTACCTTGTTAGCAACAAGATTGCTAGTTACTAAATTTTTGTTGTCAGTGCTGAAATATGGGACCCTCAATCTGAATATTGCCAAGGGATTGTACATGGGGATCTGTATTTAATATAAACATTTCAGTATATTGGGTAAAACTTTTATTAAAATACATCAAATAATCTTTGATCTACTAAACCAGGAGTTGGCCAGCTTTTTCTGCAAAGAGCTAGTCGGTAAATATTTTAGGCTTTGTGGACTACATATATGTATTTTCTTGAGACAGGGTCTCACTCTGTTTCCCAGGCTGGAGTGCAGTTGTGTGATCATGGCTGACTGCAGCCTCGACTTTCTGGGCTCTAGTGATCCTCCCACCTCAGCCTCTCTACTAGCTGGGACCACACGTGTGCAACATCACACCCAGGTAATTGACACTATGGACTGTAAAGTGAATAAGCATGGCTGTGTTCCAAGATACTTGACTTAAAAAAACAGGCAGTGGGCTGGATTTGGCCCACAGGTGCTTATTTGTTGACCCTAGTGCTAAAAGGAAGGTGCTGCTAATGCAGTGACTCCTACTTGTAAAAGTGCCCTGCGTGCGTGACATTATCCTTCCTTTGAGAAAAGGATATATTTCAGTATTCACCTCACCATATTTTTCCGGTGACTTCATATGATTTTGAAAACTTCATGTATAAAATAAGATTATTTCCTGCATTTCTCCCACTTTATTCCTGTTAATAGAACTCAGTATTTTACTGTGATCAGTTACTTTGTATATTTGATGAGTGTCAACTGTCCTAGAATTAGCTGATTTTTATCAAGCAAGAAATATTCTCCTTGAGACTTTTAGTATTTCTTGGTCTTTATGTATAAGCACGAACAAAATGATAATCAGCTTATGTAATCTAGAAATGTTCAAGGGGCCTTTAAAACCTTGGTCTGGCATTTTTAAATGCCATATGTGTATAATTTTTATAACCTTTAAAATATATAATTGTTACATAAAATTTGAAAACTCCACCTGTTATGTAAAATTTGGAAACTACTATTTCTTGTCTATCACTTTTCCATGACTGTGGACGAAAATTACATCATTCTCAGTCATGAGTGTTGAGTATGTTGTCCTTAAAGAACTGTCTACACTCATGAACTCAAATTTTCTTTCCATTCACTCTTGATCTCAATGCCGGTAAGTCTTCAATTTCAGCACTCCTCCAGAGTTGTTTTTCCTCCAGATTATCACTAATTTTTTTAAATTATACTTTAAGTTTTAGGGTACATGTGCACAATGTGCAGGTTAGTTACGTATGTATACATGTGCCATGCTGGTGTGCTGCACCCAGCAACTCGTCATTTAGCATTAGGTATATCTCCTAATGCTATCCCTCCCCGCTCCCCGCACCCCACAACAGTGCCCAGAGTGTGATGTTCCCCCTTCCTGTGTCCATGTGTTCTCATTGTTCAATTCCCACCTATGAGTGAGAACATGGGGTGTTTGGTTTTTTGTCCTTGCGATAGTTTACTGAGAATGATGATTTCCAATTTCATCCATGTCCTTACAAAGGACATGAACTCATCATTTTTTATGGCTGCATAGTATTCCATGGTGTATATGTGCCACATTTTCTTAATCCAGTCTATCATTGTTGGACATTTGGGTTGGTTCCAAGTCTTTGCTATTGTGAACAGTGCCGCAATAAACATACATGTGCATGTGTCTTTATAGCAGCATGATTTATAGTCCTTTGGGTATATACCCAGTAATGGGATGGCTGGGTCAAATGATATTTCTAGTTCTAGATCCCTGAGGAATCGCCACACTGACTTCCACAATGGTTGAACTAGTTTACAGTCCCACCAACAGTGTAAAAGTATTCGTATTTCTCCACATCCTCTCCAGCACCTGTTGTTTCCTGACTTTTTAATGATTGCCATTCTAACTGGTGCGAGATGGTATCTCATTGTGGTTTTGATTTGCATTTCTCTGATGGCCAGTGATGGTGAGCATTTTTTCATGTGTGTTTTGGCTTCATAAATGTCTTCTTTTGAGAAGTGTCTGTTCATGTCCTTCGCCCACTTTTTGATGGGGTTGTTTGTTTTTTTCTTGTAAATTTGTTTGACTTCATTGTAGATTCTGGATATTAGCCCTTTGTCAGATGAGTAGGTTGTGAAAATTTTCTCCCATTGTATAGGTTGCCTGTTCACTCTGATGGTAGTTTCTTTTGCTGTGCAGAAGCTCTTTAGTTTAATTAGATCCCATTTGTCAATTTTGGCTTTTGTTGCCATTGCTTTTGGTATTTTAGACATGAAGTCCTTGCCCATGCCTATGTCCTGAATGGTAATGCCTAGGTTTTCTTCTAGGGTTTTTATGGTTTTAGGTCTAACGTTTAAGTGTTTAATCCATCTTGAATTAATTTTTGTATAAGGTGTAAGGAAGGGATCCAGTTTCAGCTTTCTACATATGGCCAGCCAGTTTTCCCAGCACCATTTATTAAATAGGGAATCCTTTCCCCATTGCTTGTTTTTCTCAGGTTTGTCAAAGATCAGATAGTTGTAGATATGCGGCGTTATTTCTGAGGGCTCTGTTCTGTTCCATTGATCTATATCTCTGTTTTGGTACCAGTACCATGCTCTTTTGGTTACTGTAGCCTTGTAGTATAGTTTGAAGGTCAGGTAGCATGATGCCTCCAGCTTTGTTCTTTTGGCTTAGGATTGACTTGGTGATGTGGGCTCTTTTTTGGTTCCATATGAACTTTAAAGTAGTTTTTTCCAATTCTGTGAAGAAAGTCATTGGTAGCTTGATCGAGATGGCATTGAATCTATAAATTACCTTGGGCCAGTATGACCATTTTCACAATATTGATTCTTCCTACCCATGAGCATGGAATGTTCTTCCATTTGTTTGTATCCTCTTTTATTTCCTTGAGCAGTGGTTTGTAATTCTCCTTGAAGAGGTCCTTCACGTCCCTTGTAAGTTGGATTCCTAGGTATTTTATTCTCTTTGAATCAATTGTGAATGGGAGTTCACTGCTGATTTAACTCTGTTTGTCTGTTTTTGGTGTATAAGAATGCTTGTGATTTTTGTACATTGATGTTGTATCCTGAGACTTTGCTGAAGTTGCTTATCAGCTTAAGGAGATTTTGGGCTGAGACAGTGGGGTTTTCTAGATATACAATCATGTCATCTGCAAACAGGGACAATTTGACTTCCTCTTTTCCTAATTGAATACCCTTTATTTCCTTCCCCTGCCTAATTGCCCTGGCCAGAACTTCCAACACTATGTTGAATAGGAGTGGTGAGAGAGGGCATCCCTGTCTTGTGCCAGTTTTCAAAGGGAATGCTTCCAGTTTTTGCCCATTCAGTATGATCTTGGCTGTGGGTTTGTCATAGATAGCTCTTATTATTTTGAAATATGTCCCATCAATACCTAATTTATTGAGAGTTTTTAGCATGAAGCTTTTTTGAATTTTGTCAAAGGCCTTTTCTGCATCTATTGAGATAATCATGTGGTTTTTGTCTTTGGTTCTGTTTATATGCTGGATTACATTTATTGATTTGCATATATTGAACCAGCTTTGCATCCCAGGGATGAAGCCCACTTGATCATGGTGGATAAGGTTTTTGATGTGCTGCTGGATTCTGTTTGCCAGTGTTTTATCAAGGATTTTTTCATCAATGTTCATCAAGGATATTGGTCTAAAATTCTGTTTTTTGGTTGTGTCTCTGCCTGGCTTTAGTATCAGGATGATGCTGGCCTCATAAAATGAGTTAGGGAGGAGTCCCTCTTTTTCTATTGATTGGAATAGTTTCAGAAGGAATGGTACCAGTTCCTCCTTGTACCTCTGGTAGAATTCAGCTGTGAATCCATCTGGTCCTGGACTCTTTTTGGTTGGTAAGCTATTGATTATTGCCACAATTTCAGAGCCTGTTATTGGTCTATTCAGAGATTCAACTTCTTCCTGGTTTAGTCTTGGGAGGGTGTATGTGTCCAGGAATTTATCCATTTCTTCTAGATTTTTTAGTTTATTTGCATAGAGGTGTTTGTAGTATTCTCTGATGGTAGATTGTATTTCTGTGGGATCGGTGGTGATATCCCCTTTATCATTTTTTATTGCGTCCATTTGATTCTTCTCTCTTTTCTTCTTTATTAGTCTTGCTAGCGGTCTATCAATTTTGTTGATCCTTTCAAAAAACCAGCTCCTGGATTCATTAATTTTTTGAAGGGTTTTTTGTGTCTCTATTTCCTTCAGTTCTGTTCTGATTTTAGTTATTTCTTGCCTTCTGCTAGCGTTTGAATGTGTTTGCTCTTCCTTTTCTAGTTCTTTTAATTGTGATGTTAAGGTGTCAATTTTGGATCTTTCCTGCTTTCTCTTGTGGGCATTTAGTGCTATAAATTTCCTTCTACACACTGCTTTAGTGCTATAAATGCCCACATTTATAGCACTAAATGTGGGCATTTAGTGCTATAAATTTCCCTCTACACACCCAGAGATTCTGGTATGTTGTGTCTTTGTTCTCTTTGGTTTCAAAGAACATCTTTATTTCTGCCTTCATTTTATTATGTACCCAGTAGTCATTCAGGAGCAGGTTGTTCAGTTTCCATGTAGTTGAGCGGTTTTGAGTGAGTTTCTTAATCCTGAGTTCTAGTTTGATTGCACTGTGGTCTGAGAGACAGTTTGTTATAATATCTGTTCTTTTACATTTGCTGAGGAGAGCTTTACTTCCAACTGTGTGGTCAATTTTGGAATAGGTGTGGTGTGGTGCTGAAAAAAATGTATATTCTGTTGATTTGGGGTAGAGAGTTCTGTAGATGTCTATTAGGTCTGCTTGGTGCAGAGCTGAGTTCAATTCCTGGGTATCCTTGTTAACTTTCTGTCTTGTTGATTTGTCTAATGTTGACAGTGGGGTGTTAAAAGATTATCACTAATTCTTTTCTGTAATAAATCTAGGCATTTTTCTTTACACCTCATTTAATCTGTCAGCAATATTTCAGCCAATGGAGGGCATCTCTTCCCTAATGGCGTCTTCACTTGGCTTTCAGGACCTCACTCCCTCAGGCTTTTCCTCCTGACTTTCTAGTCCGTTCATCATGGTCTGTTTTGCTTGCTGCTCCTAATCTTTCTCCTTTTGGACATTGTTGTTTGTCATGGCTGAGTCCTCAATCTTCTTTCTCATAACTTTTTTTTTTTTTAAGACGGAGTCTCAGTTTGTCACCCAGGCTGGAGTTCAGTGGCATGATGTTGGCTCATTGCAACCTCTGCCTCATGGGTTCCAGCGCTTCTCCTGCCTCAGCCTCCTTAGTAGCTGGGATTACAGGTGCGCGACACCGTGCCTGGCTAATTTTTGTATTTTTAGTAGAGACAGGGTTTCCCCATGTTGGCCAGGCTGGTCTCAAACTCCTGACGTCAGGTAATCTGCCCGCCTTGGCCTCACGACGTGTTGGGATTACAGGCGTGAGCCACTGTGCCTGGCTCCTCGTGACCTTTTCTACTGTGTATATGCTAGTGATTTCCAAATGTATGTCTCCAGCTCAGATCTCTCTCCTTAATTTCAGATCTCTATATTAGCTCCCCTACTTGACATCTCTATTTGATTAGCTGTTGGGTATCACACACTTGTCAGATCAAAAATTGGGCTACTGATGTCCTTCCTGAAATCTACACCTCATGTAGTCTTTCCTACTTTGGTTAACGGCAGCTCTTCCAGTTGCTCTGCCAAAAACCTCAGTGTCATTCTTGACTCATCTTTCTCTCTGTCTTGACACTTCACATCTAATCTCTCAGTAAATCTCGTCAGGTCTACCTGAAGAATATATCCAGAAGCCAGTCTATCTTGTACATCTGAGCCACCGTCATCTGTAGTCTAGATGAGTGTCATAGACTTGGAATTGATAGTCCTGGTTTTTAAAAACTTCCCCTTTTGTCAATTCTTAACTCAGTGGATGTATTTAAAACATAAGTCAAATTGTGTCATTCCTCTGCCCCAGCCCTTCTGATTGCCTCCCATTTCACTCTGAGTATGTGCCAGAGTTCCTCCTAATAACTGAAAGGCAGTAAACCATCTGGCATGTTACCTCTCCTGCTTAAACTTCTGTTTCTTATGTCTTTTGCTCTGTTTCAGCCACACTGAACTTGTTGCTATTCCTTACCTACCCTACTGCTTAAAGATTCCAGGCACACCTCTGCACTTAGCAGTTCCATGTGTCTGGGATGCTTTTTCCCCAGATATTCTTCTAGCTTACTCTTTCCATTACTTCAGTTCTTTACTTAAAATCCCCTTTCCAAGAAGAAGAAAAAGGGTAAAAAGAAACACATTAAGGAATTACCACTTTTTGAGGAAGAACCATGTACCAGCACAATTCCTAGTCCAGAGAAAATGAAGAAAACGAAAAAAAAGAGAATGATTACTAACAGAAAGGAATTAGGATTGTATCACCAGGATGCGTCAGGCTTGAGATTCAATTGGGAGCATACCAGGGATGCTCTCTAACGTAATTGAGGGAAGGTTCAATGAAACAAAGTGATTTATCATCTCTAACTTCAAACCTATTTGTGTCTTGACATCAACTCTGTTAACATCATCATTTTTTAGAGTCTTTGATGTACAAATAAAAGTTTCTTCATATTAAAGAAAAATCTCTTTCTCAGCAGGGACTTTTCTGGCCATCCTAACTTTCCCACTACTCTTCCCATCAAAGACATGAACATTTCATTTTCCTGCTTTAGTTTTTCTCCTCTAACGTACTGTATATTTTGCCTTATCGGTCTGTTGTTCTTGTGTGTTTATCTCACTCTCATGAATAGGGGTTTTATTGTTCATTACCATATCCTCACTTCCTAGAAAAAGGCCTAGCATATCAGACGTAGCTACCTAATAAATAGGTATTAAATGAATGAATGGAGTTTATCCTGGGTATATTGTTTGATTGATTCTCACTTAAAAAATGTTCGATAAGGTGCATTTTAACAATTTTGCCTGGTAATTGTATGTATTTTTAAACTTCTTTTGGCTTTTTATAATTGGCTACGTTCTTTATATTAATATTTTTTCACTTAGGGAGAAAAGTCCAATATTGTGGTTATTCACTATTCTTTTACTGGTAATCATGATAATTGCAATTATGGTAAAATGAGTCAGAGGAATTGCAAACTTTACTGGTATTTTATGTATTTAGAGACAGAGTCTTGCTCTGTCACCCAGGCTGCAGTGCAGTGGCATGTCCTCATCTCACTCCAACCTCCGCCTCCTGGGTTCAATCGATCATCCTGCCTCAGCCACCTGAGGAGATAGGATTACAGGTGCATGCCATGACGCCCGGCTAATTTTCGTGTTTTTAGTAGAGATGGGATTCATCCTGTTTGTCAGGCTGGTCTCGAACTCCTGACCACAGGCAATCCACCTGCCTTGGCCTCACAAAGTGCTGGGTGGATTACAGGCATAAGCCACCACGTCTGGCCACTAGTATTTTATTTAAAAAAAATTAGGGTGGTAAATGTAATGGACTGACAAATTCTTTCCAAGGGATTGTGGACCTTTGGTATTTGACATAAAAAGACAGAGTTGGAATTTTTTGCTTCCTATAGTAACTGTATTTGTCAGGCAATGTCTATTCTGATGGAGCAGCTGTTGCTGCTTGGCTGTCTTTCAGAAGCAAGCTGCTCACATTGATATTGGTTGGTGAGCAAGGCCAGTGGTCATTGATCGATTGACTAGATTTTGAACTGGCTCTGGGTGGCGTCTTGTGACCATGGCTACAGGTCAATTCTTCCCTAAGTTTCAGTCAACTTTAACTAGAAATTTTCTGTTCAAAAGTTGCCTTCCATTAGATATGTTCAAAATGAAACTTTTTAATATTCCAGAATTGTGGATTTAAAGTTTTGATTATGATGACTTGGTTAATAATAGCTCTCACGAAGATTTTTTTTTTCATACATTGTCTTAACCAGAAGAATTCTCTGTATAGTTTATTTCTTAAAAATAATTGTTTTGCTTTTGTTTTTGGTATTTTTAGAAGCTTTTGCTATAATCTCCAGTAGGAGATTTTAGTCTCTTTGTCAGTTCATGTATGTATATGATAGTCATATTCTGTCTTTTTAAATTCCTTTTCATGTTCACTTTTTTCTCTGTACAATAATAGTGATATTGTTATACATTTTTATCTCATTAAAAAGTTGTTACAATTTTCTGCTGGCAAATCTAGCTTTTTCTATATTTTGACTGAATAGGTTAAAAGTGAAGAAAATTTACCAGATCATTTTATTTTCAAACAAAATCATAACTAACAAAAATTGCTATTTTGAATTATAAATAATGACATTTAGATATTTTAAAAATAAGGATAACCACCCCCCCCCAATAGTTTGGCTTTGTGTTTCTATGCAAATCTCATGCCAAATTGTAATTCCCAGGTGTTGAGGAAAGACCAGCTGGGAGGTGATTGGGTCATGGGGTCGGTTTCCTCCATGCTGTTCTTGTGATAGTGAGTGAGTCCTCACAAGAGCTGACGGTTTCATAAGGGGCTCTTTGCGCTTCACTTCTCTCTTCTCTCTCTCCTGCCGCCTTATGAAGAAGGTGCCTGCTTCCCCTTCCCCTTCTACCATGGTTGTTAAGTTTCCTGAGGCCTCCCCAGCCATGCGTAATTGTGAATCAATTAATCCTCTTTCCTTTATGAATTACCCAGTCTCAGGTATGTACGTGTATGAATTACCCAGTCTCAGGTATGTACGTATGTATATGTGTGAGTGTATATACACACATACATATATATGATACATATATGTGATGTGAGATATATATATGTATATACATCCAGTTTTTTTATTCCACTCATCAGTTGATGGACACTGGTTGATTCCATATCTTTGCATATTGTGAATTGTGCTGCAGTAAACATATGTGTGCGGGTGTCCTTTTGAGAGTACGATTTCTTTTATTTTGTGTAGATATCTGGAAATGAGAATGCTGGATAAAATGGTAGGATCTACTTTTAGTTCTTTGAGAACTCTCCATACTGTTTTCCATAGATTTGTATGAAGTTGCATTCCCACCAGCAGTGTATCACTGTTGTCTTTTCACCGCATCCACCCAACATCTGTTGTTTTTTGATTTCTAATAGTGGCCATTCTGGCTGCAGTGAGGTGATATCTCACTGTGGTTTTATTGTACATTTCCCTGATGATTAGAGATATTTAGCGTGTTTTTATATGCTTGTTTACCGTTTGTACATCTTCCTTTGAGAAATGTCTATTCATGTAATTTGGCCACTTTCTAATGGAATTATTTGTGTTTTTCCTGTTGATTTGTTTGAATTTCTTGTAGGTTATAGATATTATTAGTCCTTTGTTAGTGTCATAATTTTCAAATTTTTCCCATTGTATAGGTTGTTGTTTTACTCTGATGATTATTTCTTTTGCTGTGCTGAAGCTTTTTAGTTTAATTAGGTCTTATTTATTTATTTTCATTTTTGTTGGATTTGCTTTTAGGGTCTTCCTCATAAATCCTTTGCCTAGGCCAATGTTTTCAGGCCTTAGGTTTAGGCCTTTCATCCATCTTGAATTAAGTTTTGTATATGGTGAGAGATAGAGATCCAGTTTCATTCTTCCACATGTGGCTATCTTTTTTTCCCAGCACCATTTATTGAATAACCTGTACTTTCTCCAGTGTATGTTTTTGTATCCTTGCTCAGAGATCACTTGGTTGTAGTGGCTTTATTTCTGAGTTGTCTGTTCTGTTCCGTTGATCTATGTATCTGTTTTTATACGAGTACCACGCTGCTTCTGTTACTGTGGTCTTAGAGTATCATTTGAAGTCAGGTAATGTGATGCCAACATATTTGTTCCTTTTGCTTGGTATGTCTGTTGCTGTTCAGGCTCTTTTGTGGTCCTACATGAATGTCAGCATTTTAAAATAATTCTGTGAAGAATGACATTGGTACTTTGGTAGGAAGTGTATCGAATGTGTAGACTGCTTTGGGCACTATTGTCATTTTCACTATATCACTTCTTTCAGTACATGAACATAGGATGTATTTTCATTTGTTTGTGTCATCTATTATTTTTTTCGGTGGTGTTTTCCAGTTATCTTTATATAGATCACTCACTTTTTTCGTTAAGTATATTCTTAGGTATTTCACAGTGTTTTGCAGCCACTGTAAAAGGGATTGGATTGTTGATATGAACTCTCAGCTTGGTCGTAGTTGGTGTATAGTGGTGCTACTGATTGGTATTCATTTATTTTGTAACCTCTGAGACTTTACTGAATTCATGTATCAAATCTAGGAGTGTTTTGTAGGAGTCTTTAGGGTTTTCTAGGTATAAGATCATATCATTGGTGAAGAGATAGTTTGACTTCCTCTTTTCTAATCTGGATGCCCTTTATTCCTCTTGCCCAATTGCTCTGCCTAGGACTTCCCAGTTTTATTCTTAATATGCATGAAATAAAAGTAAAATGGAAGGTGCTTAACAATTAGTTTATTTCACATCTCTCTCATACACCGATAAAATTAATTCAAAGTCATATGTTAAAAACATAATATTAGACCCTGTGTTGTTCTAAAAGGAATTTCTAAGTTGTTTATAAAATACATAGGAATCAAGAATATAAGTGGAAAGTGTTTCCAAAAAATAAACATAAAAGTATGTGTTACAGGCCACGGACCAGTAGCAGTCCCTGGCCTGTTAGGACCTGGGCCACACAGCAGGAGGTTAGAGGCAGGTGAGTAAGTGAAGCTTCATCTGTTTACAGCCACTCTCTGTCACTCGCATTACCGCCCGAGCTCCTCCTCCTGTCATATCAGTAGTGGCATTAGATTGTCCTAAGAGTGTGACCTGAACCCTGTTGTAAGTTGCTCATGCAGGGGGATATAGGTTGTTCACTCCTTAGAATTGAATTCCTTATGATCTGTCACCATCTCCCGTCACCCCCAGATAGGACCATCTAGTTGCAGGAAAACAAGCTCAGGGCTCCCACTGATTCTACATTTTGGTGAGTTATATAATTATTTCATTATATATTAATAATAATAGAAATAAAGTGCACAATGAATGTAATGTTCTTGAATCCTGGAACCATCCCCCACCTCAGGTTCCTGGAAAAATTATCTTCCACAAAACCAGTCCCTGGTGCCAGCATGGTTGGGGACACCTGGTTAACAGATGTGAGACCCCTTTGCCTTGCTTGGAATAATGTGCAGATATACATTGTGTGAATGACATCTGATGGCGCCATCTTGCCCTGTAGATCATTTTAGGGACACCTCCAGTATTTCATGAAAATTAAAATTTCTTCTAATGATGAACAAAATGATACTCAGAAGCAACTTTCTGAAGAACAGAACACTGGAATATTACAAGATGAGATTCTGTTCATGAAGAAAAGCAGATAGAAGTGGCTGAAAAGAAAATGAATTCTGGGCCGGGCACGGTGGCTCACGCCTGTAATCCCAGCACTTTGGGAGGCCGAGGCGGGCGGATCACAAGGTCAGGAGATCGAGACCATCCTGGCTAACACGGTGAAACCCCGTCTCTACTAAAACTACAAAAAATTAGCCGGGCATGGTGGCGGGCGTCTGTGGTCCCAGCTACTTGGGAGGCTGAGGCAGGAGAATGGTGTGAACCCGGGAGGCAGAGCTTGCAGTGAGCCAAGATCGTGCCACTACACTCCAGCCTGGGTGACAGAGCAAGACTCCATCTCAAAAAAAAAAAAAAAAAAAAAAAAAAAAAAAAAAAAAAAAAAAAAAAAAAAATTCTGAGGTGTTTTCTTTAGTTATTTTCAAATGTTTTTATATGTGTATATATTTTTAAAAAACTAGATATTTTGGAAATATAAAGGATTTTTAAGTCATATATATGTGTGTATATATTCTATATATCCTTTGTCATGTACCTATATATGTACATATAGGATAAAGCCATGTTCTTAATTCACCTCCATTTGCCTGCAACAGTCGAGTAGTGACCTTCACAATGGCCTCAGTCCAGAGGAGAAGCATTTGATACTTTTCATAAGAATTGATGATCTTTCCATATAAAAAGTTTTGCTGCTGAAAACAGATTTTCTTGTTTTTGGACATTAGTTTTTAAAAAAGTGTTAATAGAGAAGTCAATTGATTGTTTTCACTGATAGGAAAGTAGGAAATGTATAGCTGGGTCAGAGGCCACATTGTGGATGTCATTATCCTTACTTTTGTGGAGAGGAACAGTTTGCTCCAAGTAGTTTCTCATTTCAATGTAAAGAGGTTAGAAAACAATGACATGCCATGATACACATTTAGTGATCATTTATTGATAAGTATTTTGTTCCTAGAGAAATAGTTCAGTATATTTCCCCTATTTCACAGTTACTACTGTTTCAAATATTATAAAGAGGAAATAAGTTATCACAATGGGAAATAATCTCATGATTTCTAAGAAAATCTCTATAAGTTGTATCTTATTTACCATTCATATTTTGAAACAAAAGGCTTCTTTTGTATTTATATATTTACACCACAGAAGTAACTGTGGTTTTGTGGAGGATCACTAGAAGTAGCATCAGCAGACCTGGGGAAAATCCTGCATCTGTGTATATTTTTTGACCTCTCCTTTTAAGAATCGCGATCTTAAATGAGTTCAGTATTGTATGTAGAAGTGCAATGCCTAGATACAGATGTGTACAGTGTGGAAGGGTACAGTGCTTAGATTTGACAGTTATAAATAAATGTAATTCTTATAACTGAGTATAGAAATATTAGAAATGTAGAATATCAGTAAAACGTTCTTCAGTAAAAGAAACTTAAAGAACTTTGAGAAATTGCTTCTGTCCAAATATATGCATAGCAAGGCTCTTAGGATGGTGTGGTTGATAGGTTAGATATCAGAGAGTAAACCTAATCTTAAAAATATAGTCAAATGTATTAATCTTATATTTTATGCCTCTGGGTTTTTTGTAACTCACAGAAAGTCTTTTTTAATTCTGAGATTCTTAAAAATCCTCTAGTGATTTATTTTTCATAGTCTTTAAATAAATATTTAAACTTTTAGGAATTCAGGAGAAGATTCCTAAAAGTTTAAATATTTATTTAAAGACTATGAAAAATAAATCACTAGAGGAATTTACACTCTATTAGGTTTGAAGTTTTGTCCAATTTTTTTCCAGTTAAATATCCACTATGTGGATTCTTTCATTATACAAATACACGTTATTTTTTAATTTCAGAAGAAATCATGATATGTCAATCTATTGAGTGCTAACTAAAAGTTCCCTTTGTTTACTTAGCTTTCTCTTAGTTATAAGAAAGAAAAAGACTTCTTGCATGAAAATAGTACGTTGCAGGAAGAAGTTGCCATGCTAAGACTGGAGCTAGACATAATGAAACATCAGAGCCAGCTAAGAGAAAAGAAATATTTGGAGGAAATTGAAAGTGTGGAAAAAAAGAATGATAATCTTTTAAAGGCTCTACAATTGAATGAGCTCACCATGGATGATGATACCGCTGTGCTCGTCATTGACAACGGCTCTGGCATGTGCAAGGCCGGCTTTGCGGGCGACGATGCCCCCCAGGCTGTCTTCCCTTCTATCGTGGGGCGCCCCAGGCACCAGGGCATGATGGAGGGCATGCATCAGAAGGAGTCCTATGTGGGCAAAGAGGCCCAGAGCAAGAGAGGCATGCTGACCCTGAAGTACCCCATGGAGCATGGCATCATCACCAACTGGGACGACATGGAGAAGATCTGGCACCACACCTTCTACAATGAGCTGCGTGTGGCTCCTGAGGAGCACCCCATCCTGCTGACTGAGGCCCCCCTGAACCCCAAGGCCAACCGTGAGAAGATGACCCAGATCATGTTTGAGACCTTCAACACCCCAGCCATGTACGTGGCCATCCAGGCCGTGCTGTCCCTATACACCTCTGGCCGTACTACTGGCATCGTGATGGACTCTGGTGATGGGTTCACCCACACTGTGCCCATCTATGAGGGGAATGCCCTCCCCCATGCCACCCTGCGCCTAGACCTGGCTGGGCGGGAACTGACTGACTACCTCATGAAGATCCTCACCGAGCGTGGCTATAGGTTCACCACCACGGCCGAGCAGGAAATTGTGCGTGACATCAAAGAGAAGCTGTGCTATGTTGCCCTGGACTCCGAGCAGGAGATGGCCATGGCAGCCTCCAGCTCCTCCGTAGAGAAGAGCTACGAGCTGCCCGATGGTCAGGTCATCACCATCGGCAACGAGCGGTTCCGCTGCCCCGAGGCGCTCTTCCAGCCTTGCTTCCTGGGCATGGAATCCTGTGGCATCCACAAAACTACCTTCAACTCCATAGTGAAGTCTGATGTGGACATCCGCAAAGACCTGTACACCAACACAGTGCTGTCTGGCGGCACCACCATGTACCCTGGCATCGCCCACAGGATGCAGAAGGAGATCACTGCCCTGGCGCCTAGCATTATGAAGATCAAGATCATTGCTCCTCCCAAGCGCAAGTACTCCGTGTGGGTCGGTGGCTCCATCCTGGCCTCGCTGTCCACCTTCCAGCAGATGTGGATCAGCAAGCAGGAGTATGATGAGTCAGGCCCCTCCATTGTCCACCGCAAATGCTTCTAGGTGGACTCTGACTTAGTTGCGTTACACCCTTTCTTGACAAAACCAAACTTCTCAGAAAACAACATGAGATTGGCGTGGCTTTATTTGTTTTCTTGTTTCATTTTTTGTTTTGTTTTTTATTGGCTTGACTCAGGATTTGAAAACCGGAACGGCGAAGGTGATAGTAGTCGGTTGGAGCGAGCTTCCCCCAAAGTTCTACAATGTGGCCAAGGACTTTGATTGTACATTGTTCTTCTTTTCAATAGTCATTCCAAATATTGTGAGACGCATTGTTTCAGGAAGCCCCTTGCCCTGCTAAAAGCCACCCCACTTCTCTCTAAGGAGAATGGCCCAGTCCTCTCCCTAGTTCACACAGGGGAGGTGATAGCATTGCTTTCGTGCAGATTACGTAATGCAAAATTTTTTGAATCTTCGCCTTAATACTTTTTAACTTGTTTTATTTTGAATGATCAGCCTTCATGGCCCCCCTTTTTTGTACCTCAACTTGGGGTATATGAAGGCTTTTGGTCTCTCTGAGAGTGGCTGGAGGCAGCCAGGGCTTACCTGTACTCTGACTTGAGGAGAGTTGGATAAAAGTGCACACCTTAAAAAAAATTGAATGAGGAAGCACAGTATTTCAGTACAGTGGACAGCTTAGCATGTTGACAACTGAGAATAAAATGCTCAGTTCTGAACTGGACAGTGTAAGACACAACGAGGAAACACTGGAAATGGAAATTCAATTACGTCATTGTAGACTGGCTACTGCTCTACATGATTGTGACCAAAGTCAGATAGCTGAAAGAGACTTCTTTCCAGAGAACAAGACATGAGCAGGTTTATTTACAGAAGACAATGAATTCTCATTTATCTCACCTAAAATATAACAGATTCCTTCTCAACAAGTCTAATGAAGACAGTAAAATCAACAGGCTAAAAATTAAGCTCCATGAAACAAGATAAAACTCTGAGAGAAAAGACGGGGCAGGCTGCCATCTTTCCCGTTCAGGCAACTTAGTCATTCCAGCCTGCGGGCTTTGGAGAATACAAACCGACGAGGGACAGAAGAGATCCCACAGCACAGCATAGCTGCTTTACCAAATCATGGCCAGACTGCTTCTGTAAGCAGGCCTCTGATCCTGTTCCACCTCACTGGACAGGACCTCCCAACTGGGGCCTCCAGCTACCCCCACCAGCATTCCTTGGCCAATGGAAATGTGAAATGTTCCTGGGACAGAGCTCCCGGAGAGAGGGACAGGCCCCCACCTTTGCTGTTTTGGCGACTAGCCTTTCTGGCCTGCGGGCTTTGGAGAGCCCAAGCTGACAAGGGGTGGAAGAGGTACCTCAGCACAGCACAGCCACGCTACAAAAACGTGGCCAGACTCTTGTTTACGTCAGTCCCTGATCACATTTCTAGTCAGTGGGTGAAGTCTTTCAACCAGGGTCTCTGGCTACCTTGACTGCTGTTGTCTGGCTGACAGAGGTCTCAGGCTTCCCTGAGTCAGGGCTGCCAGGGGGAGGACCAGATTGTCATCTTTGCTTTTTGGGCGACCCAGCCATTTCAGCCTTAGGGCTTCAGAGTGTCTGAGGTGACCAGGGGCTGAAGTGAACCCCCAGCACAGCACAGCTGCTCTATAAAAACGTGGCCAGACTTTTTTTTTAAAGCAAGTCCCTGTGCTTGTTCCTCCTGACTAGGTAAGACTCCTCAACTTGCCTCCAGCCACATCTTATAGGTGTGGTCAGATTGGCAACAGGTTCGTACCTCAGTGGTACAGAGCTCCCAGAGAAAGGGGCAGGCTATCATCTTCCCTGGAAAATATGAGGCAATTAGGGACTGGAGGGACCCCCAGCATACCACAGCAGCCCTACAGAAAATTGGCCGGACTCTACTTGATGGGCAGGTCCTCCTGGCCTGGGTCTCTAGCCAGCCCACCACCGGAGCTATCAAGCCAGTAGCAACTCAGCAGTTTTTTGGACAGAGCTTCCAGGAGCAAATGAAATCCTTTCTGCCACTGCCTCTGCAGTAGAATTGCCCTTGCTACCCTCAGAAGATATATCAAGGGAGCAAAGACCCTAAGTGCCATATCAACACCTCCAATAAGCTGCAGTTGACCCAAAGAACAAGCCAGTCCATCTCCCATGGGTACCACACACCCTCCACTACTCATCACCAGACAGGGAACCCTGGCTTGGGCCCACAGCACAGACCCTCCATCCTGGGCCGATTACACTAAGTGATTGCTAACTCACATGTCTCTGGGATGGAGCACCCAGGAGACAAGCAAAGTGTTGGAGCAGCAAGTCAGGTGATGTGGAGCCCAGAGGGCTGGGACAGCTATCTCTCTAGGGTCTACTTGCCCTTGTGAGACACTTTATCCCAGCACTTTAGGAATGCTGAGGTCATACCAGCCACATCTCATGTGCAAGATTGCCCAGCAGAGATCAGGTCCAAGAGTTCCTGTTTTAAAAAAGGGGACTTGCTTAATAAAAGAAGTCTAGCCATGTTTGTGTAGAGCAGCTGTGCTGTGCTGGGGGTTCACTTTTGAGAGAGTTCTCCTCTGAGACCTGATCTCTGGAGGCTGGGCAGTCTTGCACATGAGATGGGGCTGGTCTGATGGCAGCACTCCTTAGTCTGCTTGCCTCTCCCATGGCCCTAGCCTGGCCACACATGCTTACAGGGCACTCTTAGATGCCCACACTATAGCTGCCGTGCTAGTGGACTGTACCATATCAGTGGAGAGCTGCAGCAAGGTGGCCCCTACAGCCGCAAACCAGCCTGCACATTACCTCTCCATACTGCAGCCCTTTATATGGAAACTTCTTACATCACTTTGCTGTGTGTGTTTACACAGGTGGGTTTTGCTGTACTTGCCCTGACAGCACACGAGAGTGCAGCACACACCCCAACCCACATCAACTGCCATTAAAGAAAAGAAATTTCAGCCCAGAATTTCATATCCAGCAAAACTAAGCATCATAAGTGAAGGAGAAATAAGATCCTTTTCAGACAAGCAAATGCTGAGAGAATTCGGTATCACCAGATCTACCTTACGAGAGCTCCTTGAAGGAAGCACTAAATATGGAAAGAAAAGATCATCACCTGCCACTACAAAAACGCTCTGAAGTACACAGACCAGTGATGCTAAAAACAAACCACATACATAAGTCTGCAAAATAATCAGCTGACAGCGTGATGACAGGATCACATCCACACATACCATTGCTAAGCTTAAATGTAAATGGGCTAAATGCTCCCATTGAAAGACACAGGGGGCAAGCTGGATAAAGAACCAAGACCCACTGGAGTATGCCGTCTTCAAGAAACCCATCTCACGTGCAGTGCCATACATAGGCTCAAAATAAAGGAATGGAGAGATATTTCAAGCAAATGCAAAACAGAAAAAAGCAGGTGTTGCACTCCTAGTTTCTGACAGAACAGACTATACCAATAAAGATAAAAAAAGAGAAGGACATTACAAAGGTGGTACTGACCTTTGATAAATCTCATTATTGCTTGATACCAACCTGGGCTATTTGTATTGCCCAAACCAATAGGATAATTTGCTGAGGTTGTGGAGCTTCTCCCCTGCAGAGAGTCCCTGATCTCCCAAAATTTGGTTGAGATGTAAGGTTGATTTTGCTGTACAACTCCTTTTCTGAAGTTTTGCTCATTTCCAACAAGGAAGGCAAGTTTTCCTGCTTCCATGACAAAGGAGAGCAGGCACCTCCTTTCCTGAGTTTCAGCTTGCTTCTGACAGGCAAGGTGAGTGTAAGTTTTTTCCAGCATCTAAGATGGCAGAGAACAATCACCAGCCTGAGCCTTATTTCCAGGTAAGTAGCTGAATTAGAGTTTGTCTTAAAATTTTTCCTTAATGACTAAAATTTAAGATGACCCACCAGCTGCTTTTAATTTCTCCTTACCATTAGAACACTCAGTAATCATATGAATTGTGCATTTGTTTGTTTTGCTTAACTCTTTTTGTTTATGTTTGGGGTTTATTGTTGCTGTTTCACTTCTCTCCCATCTCTTCCTGACTTGGTCAAATCCAAAGGAATGTTCCAAATTGTGGGGAGCAAGGCATCTGAATTGGCTAAAACTCCTGTGGCTGCCAAAAAAACCCCCAAAAAAACAAAAAAACAAACAATAAAAAAAAAGAAAAAGAAAAAAACCCCAAAAAACAAAAAAAAAAACCAAAACAAAACAAAAAACAAAAAAACCAGTTGGAAATTTTTTAAAACTTTTTTTTAATTTTGTAATTTTATTATTATTATACTTTAAGTTTTAGGGTACATGTGCACAACGTGCAGGTTTGTTCCATATGTATACATGGGCCATGTTGGTGTGCTGCACCCATTAACTCGTCATTTAGCATTAAGTGTATCTCCTAATCCTATCCCTCCCTCCTCCCCCCACCCCACAACAGTCCCTGGTGTGTTATGTTCCCCTTCCTGTGTCCATGTGTTCTCATTGTTCAATTCCCACCTATGAGTGAGAACATGCAGTATTTGGTTTTTTGTCTTTGTAATAGTTTACTGAGAATGATGCTTTCCAGCTTCATCCATGTCCCTGCAAAGGACATGAACCCATCCTTTTTTATGGCTGCATAGTATTCCATAGTGTATATATGCCACATTATCCAGTCTATCATTGATGGGCATTTGGGTTGGTTCCAAGTGTTTGCTGTTGTGAACTGTGCCGCAGTAAACATACGTGTGCATTTGTCTTTATATTAGAATGATTTATTATTTTTTCAGTATATACCCAGTAATGGGATTGCTGGGTGAAATGTATTTCTGGTTGTAGATCCTTGAGGAATTGTCACACTGTCTTCCACAATGGTTGAACTAATTTATACTACCACCAAGAGTGTAAAAGCGTTCCTATTTCTCCATGTCCTCTCTAGCATCTGTTGTTTTCTGATGTCTTAATGATGGTCATTCTAAGTGGCGTGAGATTATATCTCATTGTGGTTTTGATTTCCATTTCTCTAATGACCAGTGATGATGTGGTTTGCTTCACTTGTTCTTTGGCTGCATAAATGTCTTCTTTGGGAAGTGTCTGTTCATATCCTTTGCCCACTTTTTGATGGTTTTTTTTTTTCTTGTAAATTTAAGTTCTTTGTAGATTCTGCATATTAGCCCTTTGTCAGATGGATAGATTGCAAAAATTTTCTCCCATTCTGTGGGTTGCCTGTTCACTCTGATGATAGTTTCTTTTGCTCTGCAGACACTCTTTAGCTTAATTAGATCCCATTTGTCAATTTTGGCTTTTGTTGCCATTGCTTTTGGTGTTGTAGTGATGAAGTCTCTGCCCATGCCTATGTCCTGAATGGTATTGCCTAACACAAGAACATTTCTGTGCCTGAGTGCCATACCACCCAAAGTGATTTATAGATTCAGTGCTAACGCCATCAAGCTACCATTGACTTTCTACACAAAATTAGAAAAATTACTTCAAATTTCATATGGAACCAAAAAAGAGTCTGCATAGCCAAGACAATCCTAAGCAAAAAGAACAAAGCTGGAGGCATCACAGTACCTGACTTCAAACTATTGTACAAGGCCACAGTAATGTAAACAGCATGGTACTGGTACCAAACCAGGTATATAGACCAATGGAACAGAACAGAGGCCACAGAAATGACACCACACGTGTAAAACCATCAGATCTTTGACAAAACTGACAAAAGTAAGCACTGGGGAAAGGATTGCCTATTTAACAAATGGTGTTAGGAAAACTGGCTAGCCATATGCAGAAAACTGAAACTGGTCCACTTACTTACACTTTATACAAAAATTAACTTAAGAAGGATAAAAGAGTTAAACGTTAGACCTAAAAGCAAAAAACCTAGAAGAAAACATAGGCCACTACCCTCAGGGGAAATGTACTTGTAGGGAAATGAATGGCACAAACACACATTCCCTACTTCCTTGAGTGGGTGAGGTTGGTGGCTGGTCCACCTGCTCCAGGTGGACCCTTACAGAGGTGGCTGGTTGCTCTTTGAGCCAGCTTGGCCTTGCCCGGCATGCACAAGCCTCAGTGCAACAACTGTGCTACAAATGGAGCCACAGAGAGGAAACGAGCGGCAGGCTCAGGAGCAGGGTGTGTGCTGCCTTTGGGGCTCCAGTCCATGCCTCAGGGGTTGTATAGCACTGCAGGCTTCTTGGTTGCCTAGAGGCAGACCACAGGCCGTCTTGAGGAGGACTTTATGTTTAAGTGCAGAAAGCAGCCAGGATTACCATCCAGGGGACTCGGCCTTCTGTGGCCCTGGCCACACTTAGAATTTGTGTCAAGGCAGGACAAGCTCACTCGGAGCAGCGTGTCAGTAGCTGGGGCCTGCGCATGCCAGCAAGGCCACGCTGGCTCAAGGAGCAACCAGCCACCTCTGCAAGGGTGCGCCTGGACCAGTTGGTCCAGCCACCAACCTCACCCACTGAAGGAAGCAGGGATGGCCAGGTTACAACACCCTGAGTGGCTGCCGCCTGAGGGCTGAGGGAGCAGAGGCCTGAGGAAAATCAGATGGCATGTTTAACTCTTTAATGGATCTTAAGTTAATTTTTCTATAACGCAGATGTCACCAGTCCATGCCTCAGAGCTCGTATGGCACTGCAGACCACAGAAGGCCGAGTCCCCTGGGTGGCAATCCTGGCTGCTTTCTGCACTTGAACATAAAGTCCTCCTCAAGACGGCCTGTGGTCTGCCTCTTGGCCCTACCATTAGGGTAGAAGAACCGATGTACCATGTCTGGCAGCAAGTGAGGTTGGTGGCTGGTCCGGCTGCTCCTGGCACACCCTTGCAGAAGTGGCTGGTTGCTCTTGGAGCCAGCTTGGCCTTGCCCGGCATGCACAAGCCTCAGTGCAACTACTGTGCTACAAATGGAGCAGCAGGCTCAGGAGCAGGGTGTGAGCTGCCTTTGGGGCTCCAGTCCATGCCTCAGGGGTCATATAGCACTGCGGGCTTCTTGGTTGCCTACAGGCAGACCACAGGCCATCTTGAGGAGGATTTTATGTTCAAGTGCAGAAAGCAGCCAGGGTTACCATGCAGGGGGGCCTTCTGTAGCCCTGGCCAGATCTTGCAGAGGTGGCTGGTTACTCTGAGCCAGCTTGGCCTCCCTGGCATGCACAGGTCCCAGGTACTAACACGCTGCTCTGAGTGAGTTTGTCTTGTATTGGCTGCCACCTAATTGCTGATGGAGCAGAGGCCTTAGGAAAAGCAAGCAGATGGCACTGTGGCCCACCTTTAGGGTAGAAGAACTGAGGTACCATATCTGGCCGCTAGTTGGTGACTGGTGCACCTGCTCCTGGCACACCCTTGCAGAGGTGGCTGGTTGCTCTTTGAGCCAGCTTGGCCTTGCCCAGCATGCACAAGCTTCAGTGCTACAAACTGTGCTGCAAATGGAGCCACAGAGAGGAAACAAGCAGCAGGCTCAGGAGCAGGATGTGCGCTGCCTTTGGGGCTCCAGTCCATGCCTCAGGCGTCATATGGCACTGCGGGCTTCCTGGTTGCCAAGAGGCAGACCACAGGCCGTCTTGAGGAGGACTTTATGTTCAAGTGCAGAAAGCAGCCGGAATTACCACCCAGGGGACTCGGCCTTCTGTGGCTGTGGCCAGACTTAGAATTTGTGGCAAGGCAGGACAAGCTCACTCGGAGCAATGTGTTAGTACCTGGGGCCTGTGAATGCCAGGGAGGCCAAACTGGCTCAAAGAGCCACCAGCTACCTCTGCAATGGTGCTCCTCGACCAATTGGACTAGCCACCAACCTCACCCACTCAGGGAAGCAGGGATGGCCAGGTTACAGAATGCTGAGTGGCTGCCACCTGATGGCAGATGGAGCAGAGGCCTGAGGAAAATGAGATGGCACATTTAACTCTTCAATTCATCCGAAGTTAATTTTTCTATAAAGCAGATGGCAGTAGTCCATGCCTCAGAGCTCGTATGGCACTGTGGTCCACAGAAGGCTGAGTCCCCTGAGTGGTAATCCTGCCTGCTTTCTGCACTTGAACATAAATTCTTCCTCATGACGGCCTGTGGTCTGCCTCTTGGCCCTACCTTTAGGGTAGAAGAACTGATGTACCATGTCCGGCAGCGACTGAGGTTGGTAACTGGTCCGCCTGCTCCTGGCACACCCTTGCAGAGGTGGCTGGTTGATCTTTGAGCCAGCTTGACCTTGCCTGGCATGCACAAGCTTCAGTGCAACTGTTGTTCCACAAATGGAGCCACAGAGAGGAAACGAGCAGCAGGCTCAGGAGCCGGGTGTATGCTGCCTTTGGGGCTCCAGTCCATGCCTCAGGGCTCCTATGGCACTGTACAATTCTTCGTTGCCAAGAGGCCAACCACAGGCCGTCTTGAGAAGGACTTTATGTTCCACTGCAGAAAGTAGCCAGGATTACCATGCAGAGGACTCGGCCTTCTGTGGCCCTGGCCAGACTTAGAATTTGTGCCAAGGCAGGACAAGCTCACTCGGGGCAGCGTGTCAGTAGCTGGGGCCTGTGCATGCCAGGCAAGGCCACGCTGGCTGAAGGAGCAACCAGCCACCTCTGCAAGGGTGCGCCTGGAGGAGGTGGACCAGCCACCAACCTCACGCAGTCAAGGAAGTGGATGGCCAGGTTCCCACAGCCCACGTGGCTGCCACCTGATGGCTAATGGAGCAGAGGCCTTAGGAAAAGCAGATGGCCCTGTGGCCCTACCTTTATGGTAGAAGAACTGATGTTCCATGTCCTGTAGCGAGTGAGATTGGTGGCTGTTCCACCAGCTTCTCGCACACCCTTGCAGAGGTGGCTGATTGCTCTTTGAGCCCTGTTAGCCTTGCCCGGCATGCAGAAGCCTCAGTGCCACTACTGTGCTACAAATGGAGCCATATAGAGGAAAGGAGCAGCAGGCTCAGGAGCAGTGTGTGCGCTGCCTTTGGGCCTTCAGTCCATGCCTCATGGGTTGTATGACACTGCGGGCTTCTTGGTTGCCAAGAGGCGGACCACAGGCCATCTTGAGAAGGACTTTATGTTCATGTGCAGAAAGCAGCCAGGATTACCATCCAGGGGACTCGGCCTTCTGTATCCCTGGCCAGACTTAGAATTTGGCCCTAGACAGGACAAGCTCACTTGGAGCAGCGTGTCCGTAGCTGGGGTCTGTGCATGCCAGGCAAGGCCAAGCTGGCTCAAAGAGCAACCAGCCACCTCTGCAAGGGTGCGCCTAGAGCAGGTGGAGCAGCCACCAGCTCACCCACTCAAGGAAGCAGGGATGGCCAGGTTCCCACAGCCTGAGTGTGTGCCACCTAATGGCTGATGAAGCAGAGGCCTTAGGAAAACCAGATGGCACTGTGGCCCTATCTTTATGGTAGAAGAACTGATTTAGCCTGACTGGCAGCGTGTGAGGTTGGTGGCTGGTCCACCTGCTGCTGGCACATCCGTGCAAAGATAGCTGGTTGCTCTTTGAGCCAGCTTGCCCTTGCCCGGCATGCACAAGCCTCAGTGCAACAACTGTGCTACAAATGGAGCCATATAGAGGAAAGGAGCAGCAGGCTCAGGACCAGGGTGTGCGCTGCCTTTGGGCCTTCCGTCCATGCCTCATGGGTCATATGACACTGCAGGCTTCTTGGTTGCCAAGAGGCAGACCACAGGTCGTCTTGAGGAGTTTATGTTCCAGTCCAGAAAGCAGCTAGTATTACCACCCAGGGGACTTGGGCTTCTGTGGCCCAGGCCAGACGTAGAATTTGACAGAGTCAGGATAATCTCATTTAGAGCAGCATGTCGGTCCCCGGGGCCTGTGCATGCCAGGCAAGGCCAAGCTGGCTCAAAGAGCAACCAGCCACCTCTGCAAGGGTGTGCCAGGAGCAGGTGGAGCAGCCACCAACCTCACCCACTCAAAGAAGCAGGGATGGCCAGGTTCCAACAGCCTGAGTGGCTGCCACCTGATGGCTGATGGAGCAGAGGCGTGAGGAAAAGCTGATGGCACTGCTTTGTAGTGCTGTTCTTTGTCTCTCTTCATCTTTTTCAGTTAAAGTCTGTTTTATCAGAGACTAGGATTGCAAACCCTGCTTTTTTTTGCTTTCCATTTGCTTGGTAAATATTCCTCCATCCCTTTATTTTAAACCTATGTGTGTCTTTGCGCATGAGATGGGTCTCCTGAATACAGGACACCATTGGGTCTTTACTCTTTATCCAACTTGCCAGTCTGTGTCTTTTAACTGGGGCATTTAGCCCATTTACATTTAAGTTTAGTATTGTTACATGTGAAATTTATCCTGTCATGATGTTGCTAGTTTTTAATTTTTCCCATTAGTTAATGCAGTTTCTTTATAGTGTCAATGGTCTTTACAATTTGGTATGTTTTTGTAGTGGCTGGTACTGGTTGTTCCTTTCCACGTTTAGTGCTTACTTCAGGAGCTCTTGTAACGCAAGAATGTGGATTTATTTCTGGTAAGGTAAATAAGTGGATTTATTTCTCAATGCTGTATTCTATGTCCTTTACCCCAAGAATCATTACTTTTTAAAATGCAATTCAAATTAGCATAAAACATTTACAGCCTAGGAAAAGGCTTGTGGCATTAGAATACTTATTTATAGGATTATTTTGTGTTTTTTTGAGATACGGTCTTTGTCATCGAGGCAGAAGTGCAGTGGTTTGATCATAATTCACCACAGCCCTGAACTCTGAGTCCAAGCCATCCTTTTGCCTTAATCTCCCAACTAGTTGGATCTACAAGCATAAGGCATCATGCCTGGCTAATTTTTTTACATGTTTTTTTTTTTTTTTGTCGAGATTATGGTATCACTATGTTGCTCTGGCTGATCTCAAATTCCTGACCTCAAGTGATCTTTCTGCCACAGCCTCCTAAAGTGCTAGGATTACATGCATGATGCACCATGCCTAGCGTAGAGTATTACATTAGTTTCAAAGTCTTATTCTAAGAGCCATTTATTGACTTTGGCCTAAATAACTCAATATAATATCTCTGAAACTTTTTTTGACAAATTTTGGGGCATGATGATGAGAGAAGGGGGTTTGAAACTTTCTAATAAGAATTAACTTAGACCCATTTAAGAAGGAAAAAACACAAATTATCAGAAAAATATAAAAGTAAGATCAAGTGCAAAAGTTCTGTGGCAAAGATGATGAGAGTAAAGAATATATGTTTGTGACTCATGGTGGCTTTTACTTTGTTCTTGAATTTTTGAGTACGAGTTAACATTTAAAGAATCTACATTATAGATAACATTTTATTGCAAGTAAATGTATTTCAGAATTTGTTATTGGTTTTGTATGAGATTATTCTCAGCCTATTTCATTATCAAGCTATATTATTTTATTAATGTAGTTTGATGATCTTACAGCAAAGCTGGAAGCTGTATCTTCAAAATATGTCTATTTGACTAAGAAGAAGTTATTCAACAGGAGTTATTATCTATGAAAAAAGTACAACCAGAATATAAAAAACTTGAGGAGGATAAAAAGATGTTGGAAGAAGTAATATTAAATCTTAAAAAACATGGAAACTGCACATTGGTGAAGACACATTGGTGAAGTACAAAAATATAAATTGGATGTAGAAGAAAGGGCAATGCAGGCAATAGAAAAATTAGTAGAAATCCCTTTACAGGTTAGTTTGTAAAATCAGGTAAGTTTATTTATAATGTGCTTTCATTTATTTCACTGCAAATTATATTTTGGATATATATATTGTGTTTCCTCTGCCTCTCTTATAGCAATTTGCCTTGTAGAGTTCTAGCAAAAAGGTGGCATCTGTTTTTACTTTCAAATATTTAAATTTCCATCATTATAACAAAATCAATTTTTCAGAGTAATGATTCTTACTGTGGAGTCATTTGATTATTAAGACCCATTGGCATAAGATTACATCCTCTGACTATAAAAATCGTGGAAGAAAACCTAGGAAATATTCGTCTGGACATTGCACTTGGCAGTGAATTTATGGGTAAGTCCTCAAAAGCATTGCCAGAAAAATGAAAGTTGACAAGTGTGATTTAATTAAACTAAAGAGCTGCTTCTGCACAGCATGAGAAACTCTCAAGGGGGATTGAACAGACAGCGTACAGAATGGAAGAAAACATTCACACACTATGCATACAGCAAAGGCCTACTATCCAGAATCTATAAGAGACTTAGACAAATCAACAAGCAAAAAATAACCCCATTAAAAAATGGGCAAAGAACATGAACAGACAGTTTTCAAAAGAACACATATGTGGCCAACAAACATATTAACACATGCATACCATCACTAATCATTAGAGAATGCAAAACAAAACATCAGTGAGATACTATCTCACACGAGTTAGAATGACTTCTGTTAAAAATAATAAAAATATTTAAATATTCAATATTAAAATGTTATTTAGATTGAGATAAATTAATTTGTCATTATTCTCAAAACATGGATATTTAAGAATAACCTTACTTCACATGTAATAACACAACAACTACCTGAAAAAATAAAAGCTGGGGCCTAGCATGGTGTCTCAAGTCTGTAATCCCAGCACTTTGGGAAGCTGAGGTGGGCTGATCACGAGGTCAGGAGTTTGAGACAAGCCTGGCCAACATGGTGAAACCCCGTCTCTACTAAAAATACAAAAATTAACTGGGCATGGTGGTGGGCACCTGTAATCCCAGCTACTTGGGAGGCTGAGGCAGGAGAATCATTGGAACCTGCGAGGTGGAGGTTACAGTGAGCTGAGATCAGGCCATTGCACTCCAGCCTGGGCAACAGGGCGAGACTCCATCTCAAAAGTAAATAAATAAATAAATAAAATTAAATGAAGAAAAAAGCTGGAAGTTCTATGAAAATATTAATGCACATACCATCTTTTGAAAATGTTCATGGTTTCTCTAGAGATTCCAATACCTATTCTAGCTTATTACAGTAACCTATAATTTGTATTATACCAACTATGGTGTAAAAACCTTAAAATGTATATTTCTGTTTCCTCTCTCCTTTATACTATTTATGTCATGCATTATGGTATCAAATATTACGAATTCCATAATATAAAGTTACTCTTTTTTTAAAAAAAGTAAGACAATTATCTTTAGAGCAATGTAAAATAATGGGGTAATATATCTTTGTATCTTCTCTGGCACTCTTTATTTCTTTGTGTAGTTTCAACTTTCATCTGCTTCCATATTCCTTTTGCCTCAAGAAATGATTTTGACATTTATTTTAGTGCAGACCTGTTAGCAAGGGACTCTTCCAGTGTTAATCTGAAAATGTCTTCATTTAATTGTTATTTTCGCGATATAGTTAATGGATATAAGATTGGGGGTTGACTTTTTTCAGTTATTTAAAAATTTTGTATCATTGGTTTCTGACTTGTAGAGTTGCTGACAAGCAGTTCACTGTAATTTCTGTTTCTGTTTATCTCTCTACACAGTGTTCCTATTTTTCTGTGACTGAATTCAAGATTTATGCTAATCGTTGGTTTTCAGCAGTTTGACTGTGTGATTATTCTAGCGTTCTTTAAGTTTTGTATTAATCTTTCTTGGATCTTTTTGAGGTTATTTGGTCTCCTTAGTCATCTTTTTCAAATTTTTCTTCTCTCACATTCTGTTTTTACTCTCCTGGAATTCCAATTAATTGTATTTTAGTTAATTTCATATTACCCAAGAATTCTTGGATTCACTGGAGTATTTTATTTGCTTGGCTCATTGGTTTATTTTGTTTTTCTCTTTTCTCCCTTTGTGCTACCATTCAAATAATTTGTATTGACATAGCATAAAATTTACTGCTTTCTTTCTTTAGCTCTGATGACCAGTCTGCTAATCAGCCTGCTGTTGTAATTCTTCATCTCTGTTCTCATGCTTTCACTTATTTCTAGCTTTTGCCTTTTACTGTTCTATCTCTGCTGAAATTCCTCATTTTTCCCTACATGTTGTCTTTTTTTAACTAGATTCTTTAACATTTTGATCATTATTATTTTAAATTACTTGCATTTAGTTCCAACATCTGAATTATCTCTGAATTTGATTCTGTTGACTTTTTATCTTTTGAAAATATTATAACTCACAACTCAAATTTCTAACTTGCTTTTATGTGTTTTCCAATTTCTAAAAAATGCACATCATCAGATGTAGAAAAACAGTAGATGATGAGATAATTATTTATGTCGAGATTGTTTTATATTTATGTTTCATTTTGGTTTGTGTCATGCTATTAGTGTGGGCAGGAACAAAGGTTGTTTTTTGCTGCGGTGTCTGAAACATTCAGTGAACCATGTAACTCAAGATTTCTCCAGCAGTAGGCTGCTATATCATGTGCCTTGTGTGGGGCCTTAGGCTCTGGAGGGCATATGCCAGTGCTCCGGTTGCACAGTTATCTTTCTGTAGTCCTTACCACATATGTCATAGGAGGGTCTCTCTCCAATTTCTTGTTCCTCTCTAACTGTAGAACATCATTTTGTGTGTGTGTGTGACTAGGCAGAAAATTTAGGTTGGGGGCAGAGGGATGATTCATGTTATTTTTGAGCCAGTTTCATCATTGGACACTCAGAGAAGGGATATTTTTAGCACTTCCTGACTCTTATTCTAGTGGGAGTCAAACTGTCTCTTATCTGTGTTGTTTTTTGAGGAAGAAATAATACCTTGCCCTCCTCCCACCTCAGTGGTAGAAAACCTTTGATTTATATCATTGCAAATTTTCAACCCCACAATAAGGACATACTATTTTATTTCTCATTCCATAGGAACAATGCACCTTTGTCTGTGGTCACTGGATGGAGATTTTCCAACCCTTTACCACAGTAGCACAACTCTGCATTAGTGCAAAATCGTGGGCCCCAAAACAATCCTTGTTCCTGTCCTGATGGAGAAGTATTTTTCTTACATCCCTCCCCCAGAAGCAGTGATCCTTTACCTGGTCTCAGATGGGATAGGGTAGGGTATGAGAGGTTTCTTAACCTTCTCTGAAAGCTGATGTGTTTTGCTTCTTCTTATCTCCCAGAAACAGTAGACTTTTGCTTGGGTTCATGGACCCAGATGCTTTTTTGCCACAGAAAATTAAGGGTTTTGATTCTTAGGAGAGAAGCAAATGTTCATGTTCAATTTTTTTCTTATTTATTTTTTGCTTTGTTTTCTTATTTCAGTAATGAGTTGAATATGATCATTATTTTCCACTTACGCCGCTTGCAACTCTAATATTTTGTTTTTGTTAGCCCCCCTTTGACAGTTCAGCACTAAATCAAATGCAGATGATCATCAGTTGTGTGAATAAAGTGTTTTTATTGAGAACAAAATTGTTGATATAGACATAAATTAGGATATTATCCTACTTAGCACAATATGTCACTGGCTCAAAATGTAAAATCCTCTTTAGGCTCAACAAAGAATGGTTTTTGAAACTATTGTCTGTTTTTGACAAATAAAAAAAAACCCAATGCTTTTTATCTCATGGATAGATTATTAAAATAATTACATACCTGATCTTCATTTTATGTTCTCTCTCTTCAAGATATTTCCTTCAAAACTACTTTGACTGATTAGTCTCTTTTGAATTATGTTAGACTTTGTATTTTCTCCACAAGCTCATCAGGGTAAATCCTGCCTTTACATTTTTTATAAAAATTCTTTTTTTTTTTTCAAATCTTAGTTGAGCTGAAAGATGTCCACCAAATGTCTCCTATGCCACAAAGCCTTACTTTACTTATCTTCCCTGTACTTGCTCAAGCTCATTTAGGAATATTTTTATTAAAACATTCATGCAATACTGTTTTTTAAAAAATCTGAACATATAGTATTTTCAATTTGAACACAAAATAGTGCTCTAACATGAAAACAAGTTTTAGAAACAAATGTTTCTAGAAGGAGAATCAACAGTGTCATAAATATCATAATCCAATTTTCCTGTTTGTACTAAAACATTAGTAAATATTTATTGAGAAATTGCTGTCTGCCTGAAAGTATAATGCTTTTGATACACATTATATCATAAAAACTATGTACTATTATTAGTAGTATCTTAAGAGTAAAAATATCGAGTCTTAGAGATGTTAAACAATGTGCTCAAATAGCATAGGGAAAGTTGGAATTCTGAAATTCTGACTATGCCGTAGGTATGATAGGAGAATGTCAAATGTAACTGTCAAGTCATTGTGGGAATTCAGATGCCTCTGATTGCTAGGGTCAATACACTTAAGCAGATCATGTCACTACTTAGTTAAATCTATTTCATTAAAGCAAAATTCCACAAAGATTATTGGCACCAAAACCGTTATTTTTCTTCCTTCCTTCCTTCCTCTCCTTTTTCCCCCTCCCCTCCCCTCCCTTCCCTTCCCTTCCCTTCCTTCTTTCAAGACAGGGTCTCAGTCTGTTGCCCAAGCTGGAGTGCAGTGGCACAATCATGGCTTACTGCACCCCAGCTTCCCCAGGCTCAGGTGATCCTCCCACCTCATCCTCCTGAGTAGCTGGGACTACAGGCAAGCCACTATGCCTGGCTAAATTTTTTTTTTTTTTTGTAAGGATTGGGTTTCACCATGTTGCCGAGCCTGGTCTGCAACTCCTCAGCTGAAGCAATCCACCTGCCTTTGCCTCCCAAACTATTGGGATTCCAGGTGTAAGCCTCATGCCTGGACAAAAATATTATTTAACAAGTTCAATTTAACTATTAGATTTTGGACAATGAGGGATAGAATTCTCTACATCATAATTCATCTTGTGTTATTTATTTAAAGTAATATATAAGGACTTCAATTCAATTCAAATATGTTTATTAGCAAATTAAAGGTCTTTTTCAGGATTCCAAACTTTTGTTGAAGACATAAATTTTAAATGATGTCACTAATTTTAATTAGATTAACAGGAAGGTATTCTTCTATTTAATAATAGTGACAGAATGGGCTATTCATTTTATTTTCTTTCCCTTTCTCCCTTTCCTCTTTTTAAAATATTTTACTTTTTAGGCTCTTTGGAATCCTGCAGATATTATCATGATAATTAAACAAAACACTTAGAGAAACTGCCAACCCTAGGATGAAATATATTGTTACTGTGCTTTGGGATTAAAATAAGTAACTACAGTTTATAGAACTTTTATACTGATACACAGACACTAAAAAGGGAAAGGGTTTGGATGAGAAGCTCTGCTATGCAATCAAGAATCTCAGCCACTCATTTCTGTAGGAGCTGCAGGAGCTCTTTGTAAAGAGAGGTTATGGAGTCTGCAGCTTCAGGAAAGGTACTTAAAACCCTTCAGAGTTTCTCCATTTTCTCCAGAGTTTCCCCAAAAAGGTTATGACACTTTATAAGAATGCTTCACTTGTGAAAAACAAATATCAAAGTCTTCTTGTAAATTATATTTAAGGACAAATCTTTATTCCATGTTTAATTTATTTAGCTTCTCCTGTAGCTAATATCTCATGCTGAACACATTTTAAATGCTGTAAATGTAGATAATATAATTTATGGATCATTAATGCCTCTTTAGTAGTTTAGAGAAAACATCAAAAGAAATGGCCCCAGAATAAGCTTCTTGATTTGTAGAATTCTATGTCATTGGCTCAAATTTGTATAGCGTCTCAAAATATAAATATATAGACATCTCAGTTAATATATTTGAAATAGCAAATTGCTGTTAGAAAATAATAGTACTTAACTAGATGAGAATAACAAGTCACCATTATTTGAATTGTCTCCTATTTTTCTTTTGTTGTGTTACTCATGTTTTACTTATGGGGGATATATATAACTTCCGCTGTTTTCAGAATTGTTGTATGCAGTCAGTATGAGAATGCAGTTTAAGTTTCCCTGATGCTTTTTCACACTTCTATTACTAGAAATAAGAATACAGTAATATTGGCAAAGAAAATTGACCAGTTCAATAAAATTTTTTAGTAAATCTGATTGAAAATAAACATTGCTTATGGCTTTCTTACATCAATATTGTCATGTCCTAGACTACCTTATCTGCAATTACGGCTTCGAAATTCTAATTATGTGCAAATGTGTAAAATATCAATATTTTATGTTCAAGCTGGGGCCTCCTGAGGCATCCTGGGCTGAGAGGGAAAGATGCCAGCTCCGCAAGCTGGGAGGGAACACCGCCACATTGTTACACGGAGACACTGCCACATGGACACACGACCAGACTCACATGTACAGACACATGGAGACATTACCACATGGACACACCATCACACGGACACACTGGCATAGTCACATGGACGGACACACAGACATACGGAGAAATCACCACACGGACACCCTACCACACTATCGCAGGGACACACAGACACATGGGGACATCACCACACTGTCAAATGGACAGACACACGGAGACATCACCACATGGACACACCGTCACACTACCACAGGGACACACAGACACACAAGAGACATCACCACATTGTCACATGGACACACCATCACACACATGAACACACAGACACACTGCCACATGGACACTGCCACACACAGACACACCGCCACACTGTCACACCACCACACTGCCATGTGGACACAAGGACACACAGACACCGTCACACACATACACAAACACTGTCACACGGAGACATCACCATGCAGATACACCACCATGTGGAGATAGCACCACACAGACACACTGCCACATGGATACACCACCACACAAATGCGGACACACTGCCACACAGACACACCACCACGCTGCCACACAGAGACACCACCACATCGTTGCCACACTTTCATGTGTCAGCTGGCGGTGTGGGTCCCATGACTCTGGGCTCTGATCGAGAAATTACTTGGGCATATAGTGAGGGCGAAATTTTTTTTTTTTTCTGAGACGTAGTCTCGCTCTGTCCCCCAGCCTGGAGTGCAGTGGCAGGATCTCCGCTCACTGTAAGCTCCGCCTCCTGGGTTCACGCCATTCTCCTGCCTCAGCCTCCCCAGTAGCTGGGACTACAGGTGCCCGCCAACTTTTTGTGTGTTCTTAGAGACGGGGTTTCACCTTGCTAGCCAGGATGGTCTCGATCTCCTGACCTCGTGATCCACCCGCTTTGGCCTCCCAAAGTGTTGGGACTACAGGCGTGAGCCACCGCGCCCGGCCAAGAATTTCTTTCCGTCTCCTGTGTCATTGCTTTGGCAGTGGAAACGCACGTGGCCTCTAAAGAGTGGGTCCCAAGGTCATGAAGGCCTGTGGGGTGGAGGGCAAGGTCTCTCTTTCCAGGCTGGAATGGAGGAAGACGTGACGGCCGAGGGGCTGCATGTCCTCCTCGCAGCAGGCCCCTGAGGATCTTTATCCTCCTGAGCTGCGAATGTCCCTCAGGGGTGTCTAAAGCGCCCGGTGGGGCAGGGGGACCCCTATAGGCTTTAGGAGCTCTGGCCCATTAGTGGTCAGTAAAACGCAGAGGTGAACACCATAGAACCACAGGTCCAGGAGAATTTTGCAAAAGCTCTGAGGATGCCCTTTTTTGTTCTCCCACTGCAAAATTGCTTTAAAAAGGAAAAAATCCAGCAATGTCTGGGGAAAGTCAATACTGAGTGTCAGCGCGGGATGCCGCCGCTGATAAGATCCCGGCGTCCTGGCCGAAAGTGGCCTCGGGGACCGCATCTCCGTGCACCATGGCAGCAAACACCAGCGGTTTATGGGCGGATGGCGTCCCTGCGGCCATCCCCTCTCCTGAGTGCGGAAGGACAGACAGGAGCGGGGACTTATGGGTGTTCCTGGTGTCAGGCAGCTTGACGTCGTTGCTCCTCCTAGAAGTCCGGGATTTGGAGAAGCACCTGGTTCTGGATGGAGGCCGTGGGTCTCTTGGTTCCCGCTTACCAGGCAGCGGCGCCAGCCTAGTTCTCAGCCCCGCCCCGGATGGGCGCCGCCTTCCATCACGCCAAAGACTTTCCGAAACTGCCCTTCTTGGGACTGGGAAGCAGATCCTGGGCCTCCCTGGGGCCTGTGGCGCTGGCAGCAGCTCCACGTTGAGGTCGCCTGCAGCCCGCACTGCGGAGCGCTGGAGGTACCTGAGCCGGGCGTGGGGAGGCCAATCCGCGGGTGCCGTGCGCCCGGTGCCGGTCGCAGTCCCAAAAGCTCCTGGAGGTGACATCCAGGAGCACCACCGCGCTGCCCGCAGGGAGACCCATGGCAAGGCGCGCCCACTAAGGCGGCCAAGGAAGAAGCAGAAGGACAGGAAGGCGCCCCAGAGCTCGATCTCAGCCCGCGAGCACCGACCAAGTTCCTGGTCTCCGGGAGGCCTTTTTTTTTTTTTTAATTTCTTCCATTTTATTATTATTATTATTATTATTATTATTATTATTAACTTTTCAAGATGGATGAAAGACTTAAATGTTAGACCTAAAACCATAAAAACCCTAGAAGAAAACCTAGGCATTACCATTCAGGACATAGGCATGGGCAAGGACTTCATGTCTAAAACACCAAAAGCAATGGCAACAAAAGCCAAAATTGACAAATGGGATCTAATTAAACTAAAGAGCTTCTGCACAGCCAAAGAAACTACCATTAGAGTGAACAGGCAACTTACAGAATGGGAGAAAATATTTGCAATCTACCCATCTGACAAAGGGCTAATATCCAGAATCTACAAAGAACTTAAACAAATGTACAAGAAAAAAACAATCACATCAAAAAGTGGGAGGATATGAACAGACAACTTACCAAAACAAGACATTTATGCAGCCAACAGACACATGAAAAAATGTTCATTATCACTGGCCATCAGAGAAATGCAAATTAAAACCACAATCCGGGAGGTCTTGCCAAAGACGATCTGTGCTTTCTGGGCAATGTCCAGCCTGAGCTGGAGCTTCTGGGACGTGGTCAAGTGGCCCTTTGGAGATTCTACGGCTTCGGATCCCTACTGCAGGATGCTCCACTGTGTCTGCCAGCCTCTAGCGTTTTGCTGAGGGGTAACCTCGGAATGGCTAAAAATAAGAACACTGGGATGGCCCAGTCATGCCCCAGGCATTCCCGCACACGTGGTGGCAAAGGCAGGCGCGCAGACAAGAGTGCCCAGTCGGCTTGGTCAGAGTTCTTTACAGGTTAGTGACAGGTTGTGTCCTCTCATGTTTTCAGTTAACCTGCGGACGCCCAGGGGCTCCTCCATCTCCACCGTGTTCTCCTCGGGCTGAAGCCCAAAGTCCCACATTTTCTCCTCAAACAGCTCTCAGAGCCACTTCTGCAGGCAGGAGGACAGCGCGTGGACTCAGTGTCTGACTTGGGAAGCCACATGTGAAGGAACTGCTGGGTGACTATGGTCGTAAGTCAATCAAAGCAGACTTTCCCTGGCTTGCTGTGCTACGTTGATTTTGTTTTCGTATTTTAAAAGAAGCAGAAGGGAGGTTCTAGGAAATTTGCCCAACGTAGATGCTGACAAGAGTGGTGACATGAAAAAGATTACCCAGAAGGAAAACGAGCTATTTTCTAAACATCTGAAATCTGTGTAGGCTTTTGGAAAAGTGAAACTAGATGCAAAACACAATGATATAATTCTGGCAATTTCCACTGACACAGAACTCAGTCAATCTGAATTAATCTAAGAGTTATAAGGAAAATGGCACTCCAAGAAGTACCTATTAACATCACTCAGCTGCTGTGAAATAGGCTTACAGGCAACATGGAGTGTCAATTACCCAATGTTTAAAGTCGATCATACAGATTGGACTACAATCTCTATGGCTCATAAAGTCTTTAAAGGATTGACAGATGATTTATCTCATATGTAGACAATGATTCTCAGCAGTTAACTAGCGCAACTTGATAATGTCAATTGCTTGAGAAAATCAGATAATTGCTTGAGAAAATTAGGACATTGCTTGAGGAAGTTAGGTAGTTAAATAAATTACTTTTTTTAAAGAATAGTTTAATATTTTGGCAAGTAGACTTTAAAATAGGTTGGTAATATTTTAAAGGCTACTTTTAAAGAAGTAGCAATATAACATGTTTAATTATGAAAAATAATGTTGGAAACAATTCAATTTTCTATCAGATCATTCACAAATACAGAAATACCATCTCAATAATTAGAAGAAGTAGCAGCAATTTCTGTCATTTTTATGCAAGTTACTCTTAGTCCATTTATTTGGTTTTAAATAGTGTTTTTAAAATTTGTTTTCAAACAGGGCTAATCATAAATAATAGAACATATTTTACAATAGTTGAAGGTAACAAAAAGTAAGTGCCATTTAAAAAATTGTATTAGATTGTTTAAAAATGTTGTGGGTACATAGTATGTGTTGTGGGTACATCGTATGTGTTGTGGGTACATAGTATGTGGGGTCCATGAGATGTTTTGATACAGGCATGCAATGTGAAATAAGCACATCATGGGGAATGGGGTATCCCTCCCCTCAAGCATTTATCCTTCAAGTTATAAAAAATTCAATTACAGTCTTAGTTATGTCAAACTGTACAATTAAATTATTATTGAATATAGTCACCCTATTGTGCTATCAAATAGTAGGTCTTATTAACTCTCTATTTTTATATCCATTAGCCATCCCCACCTTCCCACAAACCGCCCCTACCGACTACCTTTCCCAGCCTCTGATAACCATCCTTATACTCTCTATGTCCGTGAGTTTGTTTTGATTTTAGATTCCACAAATTAGTGAGAACATGTGACATTTGTCTTTCTGTGCCTGGCTTATTTCACTTAACATAATGATCCATAATGTTCCATCAATGTTACTGACAGTGACTGGATCTTATTCTTTGTTATGGCTGAATAGTCAGTCCTCCGTTGTGTATATGTACCACATTTTCTTTATCCATTCATCTGTTGATGGACACTAAGGTTTCTTCCAAATCTTAGTTTTGTAAACAGTGCTGCAACAAATACAGGAGTGCAGATATGTATTTGACATACTGATTTGCTTTATTTTTGGTGTAGACCCAGCAGTAGGATTGCTAGATCATATGGTAGCTAAACTTTTAGTTTATTGAGAAACATCCAAACTGTTTACCTTAGTGGTTTTACTAATTTGCATTCCCAGGAGCAGGGTACAAGAGTTCCCTTTTCTCTGCATCCCTGCTAGCATTTGTTATTGCCTGTCTTTTACATACAAGTCATATAAACTGTGGTGAGATGATATCTCATTGTAGTTTTGATTTGAATTTCTCTGATGATCGGTGATATTGAGCACCTTTTCTTATACCTGTTTGCCATTTGTAGGTCTCCTTTTGAGAAATATCTATTCAAATCTTTTGCCCCCTTTTTCTTAACCAGGTCATTAGATTGTTTCTTAAAGAGTTGTCTGAGCTTTTTATTTATTCTGATTATTAATCCTTTGTCAGATGAGTAGTTTGCAAATATTTTCTCCCATTCTGTGGATTGTCTCTTAACTTTGTTGATTGTATCATTTTCTGTACAGAAGCTTTTTAACTTAATGCGATCCATTTGTCCATTTTTGCTTTGATTGCCTGTTCTTGTGGGGTATTGCTCAAGATATTTTTGCCCAGACCAATGTCCTGGAGATTTTCCCCAAAGTTTTTTTGTACTAGTTTTATAGTTTGAGGTCTTAGCTTTACATCTTTAAACAACTTTGATTTTACTTTTGTATTTGGTGATAGATACTAGTCTGTTTTCATTCTTATGCATATGGATATCCAGTTTTTTCAACACCATTTCCCACCAGTGTATGTTCTTGGCACCTTTGTCAAAAATGAGTTCACTGTAGGTATGTAGATTTGTTACTGGGTTCTGTATTCTGTTCCATTGATCTATGGATCTGTTTTTATGCCAGTACCATACTCTTTTTGTTACTATAATTCTGTAGTATAATATGAAGTCAGATAATTCCTCCAGTTTTATTTATTTATTTATTTTTGCTTAGGATAGTATTATTTCTTATACTGAAAGCATTCTATGTTATTTATTATTAGTCTAATTTTGTAGTTTTACAATGCTATCCTCTTTTACAAAGCTATGATCAACTCAATGTGTCCAGATCAGGGTCAATTGTAGCTATTTGCAAAACTAGGAATATTCTGGCTGGGCGTGGTGGCTCATCCTTATAATCCCAGCACTTTGGGAGGCCAAGACAGGCAGATCACCTGAGGTCAGAGGTTCAAGACCAGCCTGGTCAACATGGTGAAACCCTGTCTCCAATAAAAATACAAAAATTAGCCGGGGATGATGGCAGATGCCTGTAATCCCAGCTACTCAGGAGGCTGAGGCAGGAAACTCACTTGAACCCAGGAGGTGGAGGTTGCAGTGAGCCCAGAATGTGCCATTGCATTCCAGCCTGGGTAACCAAGCGCGACTCTGTCCCCCCCCCCAAAAAAAAAAAGCAATATACTGTGTGTAATTGTTGATAGCATAATTCACTATTATGTGGATCAGAGAGCAGAGGATTCTGAATGCATTAACATATCTTTAACATTTCAATACATTACTCATAATTACTAATGAACTAAAGAGAAACCAAGAAATTATGGTGATAGTTATATTGACCTGGAGAAATGTAGACACAAAAGAACAGTAAGATGAGAAATGTGTTAACACAGTCTATAAGGGCATGCAAGAATAAAAATAGGAGAGTTTTTCAAGAGCTTTCTAGTCATGTAAGTCAATTTGTATCGGTTAATTTTTAAAAGGTTTACTTACATGCAATAAACTGCACACACTTCAATTGTACATTTTGATAATTCTTGGCATTTGTAGCTCTATAAAACCAGCAACATATTAAAATAGCAAACATATCCATTACCTTTACCACCAAAGTTTTCTTGTGTTTTTTCTACTCACTTTTTCCTGCCTATCCCCATCCCATCCACAGGCAACCATTGATCCACTTCCAGTCACTATCTGTGAGTTTTTATTTCCAAATACATGAAATCATAGGGTATGTATACTTTCTGATCACTCAGCATCACTATTTTTGAGATTTATTCATGTTGCTACATCTATCAGTTGTTCTGTTCTTACTAGGGAGTATTATTTCATTATATACATATACCATAGTAAGTTTATAAGTCACAAATTCACCTGCCATAGACATTTGGAATGTTTTCAGGTTTTGGCTGTTGCAAGTAAAGCTGCTATGAAGATTCATGTAAAATCCTTTGAATGGGCATACGCTCTTAGGTTTTCATCTCTACTGGAAGTGGAATAGATAGCTATATGGCTATCATGTCTGTAATATGCAAACACAAAGCCTGACAAAACTGATTTCTAAAATGGAAACTCCACTGGAGAACCTTGACTCCAGCCTGGCTTTTGAGATTATCTCCTATGTCTGGTGCAATGATTGGTCCTGGGGTAGCCACATGACCCAAGGAGGACCATTTTAAACTTCTAAGTTTTCACCGAGATTAACATGCATTTGTTGAAAGACAAACCTCTTTTACCCTACTCCCCCAGCTGCAAATGCTTTCAGGGTTCACATCATGTTGGAACATTTGGTTACAGTGTTTCCTAAACTTTGCGGGTAAAAATTGTTCAAGTAGGTAAAAATGGAGCACATACAAAGAAAAAAGGAGTCCAGAAACATCAAATAAAAAAGAAAGGGCCTCCATAAAATCATTTGAACTTACGATTAATTCATTAGTCATTAAAACAAGTTTAGTGTACAAAGAATCATCCCCCCAACCACCCTTTATTCCTTCACCAGGTTTAACTTACATTTTTTTTAACTTGCAAACAAAAGATTTGTCATTAACTTAGACATCAAAATCCCTTGTCTCCAAGAGCAATCATTCAACTCTGTCCCTCTCATTGTTACAATAATATGTTCACTGTATTCTTCATACACCTGCTCTTTGCCCTTGTCTCCCTATTCTATTCTATTAAAGTTATATCCAGACATTTATTTCATTTTATATCAAAGAAACTATACATGTTTTTAATCTTAGAACAATTTCTGAGTAACTTTTTGTCTCATATTCGATTTTAAGCCACCCAAGAAGCATTATTTTTTCATTTAGTATTTTAACTTTTCTAACCCAGGACTAATAGTAGATATTATGTCTTTTTCTAAATGCTCTGCTTCAATTTACATTTTAAATCTAATTTTTAAAAAGTGTATGTTTTGAATATTTGCATCACGCATCTCAGGCCTAAATATCCCTTGACAACAAATATTGCCTTTTTTTTCCCCTACATTTTTCACATATTTCAATAGGGAGCTATATTGCCTGACACAATAAAAGTTTTTGTGAATATAACATAACACATAGGCAAAATCTTGTTTCCAAGTGATTGATGATGTGGTGCCTTCAGTCTAGTCCCAATCTTTCAGTGTAATCATCATCCCTAAATCTAATGAAATATGAAATAAATATTTCACTTTGTTTCTAAAATTCAGCAGACAAATATATAGCCTGTCACATATAGCCTGTAACACCAACACATAAAAATTAAAGCAGTTCCTTCTCCACTCCCACAGCTTCACTTGACTAGCCTTAAAAAATAATAACAATAATAAAAAATAAAAGCAAAATTGTTCCTTTACCTATCTTTGAAATTTAATGGATATACTGTCAGAAAAGCTCTTATATATATATGGAGGGCCTCTATAAAATATAGACTCTTAACTAGAAAAGTAGACTTATATGCTAGTTAAATTAAAAACACAATTATACATAGTACCTTCACAAATGCACCAGTACTTATTTCAGAATGCATGATGCAATTGACTAAACCGTTTAGGGCTAGACCTCTGAAATAAAAGGCATTCACACTTTGTGATTCTAAGGGGAAAATATTATTCAAAATAGAAGCATGCAGAACCTTTACCTGATCATAATATCTATTAGGCACAAATTTCTTCTGAAAGAAAACAGATACGTTTTTCTCAGAAATGTCTTTAGATGAAGATCTAGCACATGTGTTTTTCTAACTTCTGAAAATTTTGTTTTTATTGATAAATATATATGGGGTACAATGTGGTACAATACATGTAAATATTGTGAAATGGAGAAATTAGGCTAAATAACATATCCTTCACTTCAGATATTTATTACATTATGGTGAAACATTTAAAATGTACTATTTTAGTGCTTTTAAGATATGCACTACATTATGAGTAACTGCAGTCACTTTGCTGTGTACCATATCACCAGAATGTCTTTCTCCTAACTGAAGCATTATCCCATTCAATATTTCCCCTTTTTCCACCCCTGCCGCCCACCCTGCTCAGCGTCTGATAAACCACCATTCTACTCTTAACTTCTATGAGTGCACATTTTTGGATTTCACATATAAGTGATATTATGAGATATTTGTCTTTCTGTGTCTGGCTTATTTTACTTTGTATAATGTCCTCTAAATTCATCCATGTTTTTGCAAATGACAGAATTTCATTCATTTATAAAGATAAGTAGTATTTTTGTATGCATCCTACATATACTTTTAACTTTCCACAGCTTTATTGAGATATAATTTATACATTATGTAATTCACTCATTTAAAGTACAAACTTCAAATTCTTTTAGTGTATTAACTGGGTGGACAAATAATCATCATAATATAATTTTAGAACATTTTAATGCTCCTTAAAAGAGTCTTGCACCCATTAGCAATCTTTCCCTATTTTCTCTAGCCTTTTTTAAACCCCTCCTAGTCTAGATGACTGCTCATCTACTTTCTGACTATGAATTTGCCTATTCTGGGCATGTCACATAAATGGAATCATAATAACACATAGTCATTTTTTACTCACTACTTAACATATTTTTAATGTTCATCCATTTTGGAGCATGCATTAACACTTTTTTCCCTTTTGTTGCCAAATAAGATTCTACTTTATAGACACACCACATTTTATTTATCCACTCCTCAGTTGATGAACATTTCTGTTGTTTTCTACTTTTTGTTGCTATAAACATTTGTGTACTACTGTTTGTGTAGCATTTGTTTTATTTTCTTTTTGGTAAATACATAGGAGTGAAATTGCTGGGTCATGTGATAACTCTATGTTTAACCTTTTGAAGAACTTCCAGACTGTTTTACATTTTAAAATCTCACCAGCGGTGTAGAAGGGTTCCAATTTTTCCACGTATTTTTATCCATTCTTCAGTTGATAAGCACTTAGGTTGTTTCTAATTCATGGCTATTATGAATATTGCTGCAATGAACATGAAATTGCATATGTCTCTTTTTGACATACTGATTGAAATTCCTTTGGACACATATCCAGAAGTGGGATTGATGGATCATAGGGTAAATATATTTATAATTTCTTGAGGAAGCTTCATACTGTTTTCCAAGATGGTTGTACTAATTTCCACTCCTACCAACAGTGTACAGGGTTTCTTTTTCTCTACATCCTCATCAACACTTAACTTCCATCTTTTTTTATAATAGCCGTAGTAAAATGTGTGAGGTGATATCTCATGGTGGCTTTGATTTGCATTTCTCTGATAATTAGGAATGTTTATGATTTTTTCATGCACCTGTTGGTCTTTTGTATGCCATAGAAAATGTCTATTCCGATTCTTTGCTTATTTTTTTAATAAGCATAGTTTTTTTCTTATTTTTGAGTAGGTTGAGTTACTTATATATTATTATATGAGCCCCTTATATGATGTATGGTTTAAAAATGTTATCCCATTTGTGGGTTCTCTTCATTCTGTTATTGCTTCATTTCCTGTGGAAAAGCTTTTAAGTTTTATGCAGTCTCATTTGTGTGTTTTTGCTTTTGTTGCCTGTGCTTTTGGAATAATCTACAGAAAATCATAGCTCAGGCCAATGTCATACAGTCTTCTTCTATATTTCCTTGTAGTAGTTTTAAATTTAAGACTTTAATTTTGATTTGATGCTTGTATAAAGAGCAAAATAAAAGTCAAATTTTATTCTTCTGTATGTGGATAGTCAGTTTTTTCTACACCATTTATTGAAAGTAATTTTCTTTCTTCATTGTGTATTTTTAGTTATTTTATCAAAAAAATCAATTGACCACAGACACACGGATTTATTTACGGGTTCTATATCCCTTTGTACTGTTTTACATGTCTGTTTTTATGCCATTACTATGCTGTTTTAATTACTATAGCTTTGTAATAGAGTTTGGAGTCGGGTAGTCTGATGCCTCCAGCTTTGTTCTTTTTGTTCAAGATTGCTTTGGTTGGTCCAGGTCTTTTGTGGTTCCATACAAATTTTAGCAGTAATTTTTCTATTTCTGTGAAGAATGACATTGGAATTTGATAGTGGTTGCATTTACTCTGTAGATTGCTTTGGGTAGCATTGACACTTTTACAATTCTAATTTTTGAATTCATCAATAAAGGATGTTTCTCCACTTATTTATGCCATTTTAATTTTTTTCATCAATGTGCTATAGTTTTCAGTATGCAAATCTTTTGCGTTTTTGATTAAATTTACTGCTGTCTTTTATATATTTATATATGTTTTGATTCTATTATAAATTGAATTGCCTTATTAATTTATTTTTCAGGTAATAGTTTGTCATTAGTTTATAGAAACAATAATGATATTTGTATGTTGATTTTGTAACTATTAACTTTATTGAATTTCTTCATCAGCTTTAACCGTTTATTTTGGTGGAATCTTTAAGATTTTCTCTATCTTAAGATTATATTTTCAGAAAACAGAAACAATCTTACATCTTCTTCCTTCCCTATATGGATTTCTTTTACGTCTTTGTCTTGTGTAATTGTTCTGGCTAGGCAATTACACATAATGTTTTCAGCATTTGTCATCTATTGTAGCACATTGATTGCTACTTTTCAAGTTGTAAACCTGGACATTTATCACTACTCTTCCTCCAGTACAGGAGTCCATGGCGCGGTGTGGGCCCTACTGTGCCACAGTCCATAGCACGGCTGGGCAGAGGTTCTCTTGTGCAAGAGTCCGCGGCTCTGTGGCGCAAAGAGTTCTCCAGTGCCTTAGTCCAGGGAGAGGCAGGGGTGGGGCTCCTTCAGTAGCTTAGTCCAATGCGCTGCCCTGCGAGGGTCCTCTTGAGCAGGAGTACACGATGCGGCGGGGTCCTACTGTGCCTTAGTCCAGGAAGCGGGGGACTGGGTCCTCTGGTGCCATAGTCCAGGGCGCAAGGGGCTGGATCCTCTGGTGCCATAGTCCAGGGCGCAAGGGGCTGGATCCTCTGGTGCCATAGTCCAGGCTGCCGGGAGCTGGGTCCTCCGGTGCCGTAGTCCAGGCCCCCAGGAGCTGGGTCTTCTGGTGCCATAGCCCAGGGTGCAGTGGAACAGGAGTCCTGCGGAGCAGTAGTCCAGGGCGCGCTGGGGCGTGGATCCTGAAGTGCCACAGTCCAGAGCGCGACAGGGCGGGATTCCTGCCTTGCTATATCCAGGTTGCAGCGGGGCGGGGGTTCTCTTCTGCAGGAGTCCAGGACGTGGCAGAACGGGAGTCCTCCATGTAGGAGTCCTCCGGTGCTGGAGTCCAGAGCGCAGTAAGGCTGGATCCTCCCGTGCCATAATGTAGGGCATGGTGGGACAGGGATCCTGCCTTGTGATAGTCTAGTGCCTGAGTCCGCAGTAAGGCAATGGTCCTCCAATGCTGGAGTTCACGGCGTGTTGGGGGTCACGGTCCTTCAGTGACTTAGGCCAGGGGTACCAGGGCGGGGATCCACAGTTGCCATAGTGAGGACCTCTGAGGAGTCTGGTTCCTGCCTTGCTGCAGTCCGGGGAGCAGCGGGCAGGGGTCCTCTCTTGTCAGAGTCTCTGGCGCGAGGTGGGGGTGGGGTGGGGGTTTTCCTATGCGATAGCCCACGGGGCGGTGAGGCCAGGTCCTCGCGTGCCTTTGTCCAGGGCGCAGGGGGGCGAGGGTCTTCGGTGGTGGAGTCCGCGGAGCGGCAGGACAGGGGTCCTCCAGTGCCATATTCCAGAGCACGGCGGAGTGGGGGACCTGTCCTGCAGTGGTCCAGGGCATGCGGGAGTGGTGGGCCTCCTGTGCCATAGTCCAACGCGCGGCGGGGCGGGGGTCACCTCGTCCTGCAGTCACCATGCACGAGACCCCGGTCCTGCTGTGCCTCAGTCCAGTGCGCGGTGGGACGGCTGTTCTGCTATGCTGTAGTGCAGGACGCGGTGGGGCAGCAGTAACCCAGAGAGCGCCGTGGCAGGGGGTCCTCCAGTGCTGGAATCCAGTGCATGGCGGGTCAGGGGTCTTACCGTGCCGAAGTCAGTGGCAAGGGTCCTCCCATGCCATAGTCTAGGGGGCGACCGGGCAGGGTTCTCTAGTGCAGGTGTCCAGGGTGCGGCGGGGCAGGAGTCCTCTGGTGCAGAAGTCCAGGACGTAATGGAGTGCGAGTCCTCCAGTGGCGGAGTCCAGGGCTCTGCGGGGCAGGGTTCTCCCATGCCAGAGTGTAGGGCGCGTTCAGGCGAGGGTCTTGGCGTGCAGTAGTCCAGGGTGCGGTGGGGCAAGGACAGTCCAGACCTCCATGGCAGGGGCTCCTCTGTGCAGGAGCCCAGTGCCCGGCAGATCGGGGTCCCTCCGTGCTGTAGTCCAGGGCACGGCAAGGTGTGGATCCTCTGTGCCCTAACCAGGGGGCGGTGGGTCACAGGTTCTCCCGTGTCTTGGTCTAGGGCCCAGCGGGACTGGGGTCCTGGAGTCCACGCGGTAGCCCAAGTTGCCTCAGGACCAGGTCCTGTGGAACCACAGTCCAGAGCACAGAGGGGCAGGAGTAGTTCAGGGCGAGCCACGGCCGAGGTCCTCGGGAGCCAGGATCCAGGGTGTGGAGAGGCGGGGGTTCTGCAGTGGCACAGCCCAGGACACAGCGGGATGGGGCGGGGCGGGGATTCTCTGGTGCCTTAGTCCAGGGTGGAGCCGGGTGAGAGGTCCTTCAGTAGCATAGTCTAGTGCATGGTGTTGCAGGGGTCCTCCAGTGCCTGAGGCCAGGGAGGGTCGCGGGTCCCACCGTACTCTGGTTCAGGGCGGAGCAGGTCTGAGGTCTTCTCCTGCTTCAGTCTAGGGCGCTGGAGAGCGGGGGTCCTCTGGTGCCAGAGTCAGTGGAGCCATGGGTCGGGGTCCTCCCATGTCTTAGCCCAGGACGGGGAGAGGCAGAGATCCTCCTTTGCCCTAGTCCAAGGGATCGTGAGGCCCCGCTCCTGCACAGAGGCGGTCTGTGCCTCTACCGCCACAGGGGAAAACTGCACCATCTCTGGCAAGCCTAACAGAGCAGCTGTCCTTAAAAGACTCCCAGTTGAGTGTGGTTTGGAGCAGGCCTGAGAAGTGTGCCCTTAGATGGCTTCAAGGGCTCTGAGCTTTGTTTAAGGAATCCTGCTGACTTCAGTTACTCCAAGCCCTTTTCCACTCAGCAGAACTTCTGGCCACGGGGTCACCTATCTGCGGGGCCCTTCTATCATCCCAGATCCCCACAGGACTCCCTCTCATCCTCACAGTCTCAGCTCACCGCTTTATTCATCACCGCATTCCTGGCACCAGGCCTGGCCCATAAGAAATGGGTCAGATTAAGAGCTAAATGTTTTTTCATGGTCACTTGTTTTCTTCAGGCCTCCTTTCTTTGTGCCAACATCTTTGGGTTTCTGGTTAAAGTTTTCAGCAGCTGCATGCAGTTCCATTTTTCTTACCAGGTAAGAGGCATAGCTTCATGAAAACAAAGGCAGAATGCTTGTGACCAGAGAACTCCCAGTCCTCTCCCTGCATAGGAAAACTGGACTTCTCCGGAGGGCTCCAGCTTCTGGGCAAATCTCTACGGCCACTTAATTGGGCTGTCCCTCACCTTTGTTTCTGGTTTTGAAGGGGCCGAAGTTGGGAATCTTTTCTAAGTCTCTACACACAGAGCCCTTCTTTGATGGGAAAGTCTTGACATATACCAGGATTCTCACTGACCTTTCAGAGTCTTCAAGAATCCTGAGCTGCTTTGGCTTCTGTTCCTGGAAGAGAGGCCACTGAACTGCTCTGGAGCTGGAGTTCAAGTTCAAATATTCATCACTGTTACTAAGCCTTTACATAGCATGTGATTTCTTTCCGGCAGGCTCATGGTCACTTAGGTTTGCTTGTATGTAGATGGAGGGTCTGCATCCTCATTCAGGTAACACCCTCAGTCTTTCACGCTGAGATTGGCCATTTTATTTGTAACTCACTGTACAATCCATTTGCTCTTCCAGTATCCCTTAGAAGGATGCAGAGTGTTCTGTAGAATGCCATAGAGACCTGAGTTTAGGCAAAATATTTGACCAAAAGTCCACCAACTCACATGAGTATCTCCCCACAACTTGTACAGTGCTAGTCTCTGGGTATATAGTAAATGAAACCGTGCCTGAGCAGATGATAACTAACACCCTCCCCTGAGATACTCCAAGGTTGCTTTATTCAAGCAAAACAGTGAGTTGTAATTCTCACAGTAGTCCTACAGGATAGCTGCTGTTACTGCTTATGACACAGATGGGCAACCTGAGGCTCAGATGGAGTTAAGTGGCTTAATTGGTAGCAATAGAGCCAGAATTTGAACCCAGGCTGCCTGATCACCAAATAAAATTGTATTCAACATGATGCACTTAACTTTTCTGGCCTCATTTCTCTCACCTGTAAAAATGCAGGTTTCAGTGTTTGTAATATTTTACCTGTGGTTGAAAGTTACCAGCCCTTCCTTGATGACCCATGGTAAGACCCATGAGCCTTTGAATATAATTATAGAAAACATTTGGAGAGGGATAGAGAGAGACAAGATCATGCCTCCTTTGATAACGTCAAATTTTCAGTGCACGAAGCCATACATAGTGCAGTTTTCTAGCTTCCCTTTCACAAATGGTGTTGAAGAAAGTAAATAAAGCAACTCAGCTATCACTGGGAATGCAGTAGAAGTAATCAAGTCCAGTGCTGGGAGATAGTTGCCATGATATTCCAACATGGACACCAGGATCACAGTGGATGACTATGCCCTCCCTTGAAGATGGTGGCTTGCCTCTCTTTCTGTAAGCAAATGTCATGTCATAACAGTATTAAACAATTACAAGTAATGTCCCCATCTGCTTCTACACTGCCTTTGAAATATTATTTTAGATCTGCCAAAATAAATTGCAAACTCATTAACAAGAATGCGGGGTGGGGGGTGCATTCATCCCTGCCTTCCTGAGTAGTCTATTCACCCAAAGACAAAAGGATGACCAGCCTCCATCCGGGATATTCAAAGACACAGTCACCCTGCCATGCAGCCCGAGGCTGGCAAAGGTCCAATCCCCTTTTTAAGAAGCTTGTTGGATGAGCTCTTTAAACATACAACCACAAAGGAAAGGCACAGCCAGTGCGAGGGAGGCTGATAAGATGGGTATTTTGTTTACTTCAAGGTTAGAATGCAACTTCTCTATCAAAATGGGGTTATCTGACCTCCACAATGCTGCAGTCCAGCTAAATCCTGCAAATATTCATCCACCATTTACTATGGATAAAACAATAATGTGCTGTAGGGAATCCAATTACACACACACACGAAAGTGCACTCAGACATGCGTGCACACACACTGCTCCTGCTGCCTCAGAGCTTCCAGGCCGGCAAGGAGGAAGTGCAAACATTAGTAGGTAAGTCTGCTACCAGGAAGAATATGATAAGTAGATCCAACAATACAACACAGTATGATAGAAGCAAACAAGGTGGAGATCTGACTCCCTTTCACTTATGAAACTGATTATGGAATAGTTTATGAAAGACTTGCCTGGATGAATCTCGTATTTTCCAAGTGTTTTCTATCCCAGTGATTGGAACTTTTATTCATCTATACCATTTTCCAAAAGGAAAGAACAGGCGATTTTCCTAAGACCATCCTCTGTCTTATCCCTCATATCCCAAACATCACCAAGCCCTGTCCACTTTTACCTACTCAGTTTCTCTCCACTTGCTCTGTTTTCTCCATAAGCACTAGCAATACCTTGGTTACGTGATGACCACCAGCAGCAGCTGGGGAAACCAGCACCCTGTGGAACTGCATAGGGTGCATAGAATACGTCCTCCCTTCAGTTGGCTTGGGTCAGCTTAGGTCATGGGCCACCTGGGCTGATAGCAGTTTCCGCAGAAATGCCTCAAGATGGTAGAATAATCCAAATCTCTTTGCATGGGGCATGGTGTGGCTATCTGAGAAAAACCTGGCTTTTCTAGGAAGGAGAAAGAAGAATGCTTCTTGAGGGGAAGAAACCAACAGGAATGTGCCTGAGGGAAACGTCACCAGAGGAGAGTGAGCTGTAATGAGTACTTTGGCAGATTATTTCTTGTGGTTCTTGGGTTCCTTGGTCCTGCACAGAGCTACCATTTACTCATTTGACAAATATTTGAGTGGTAGACTCCAGGATTCAATAGTGATCAAAAATTTCTTCCCTAGTGGAGCTTAGAATCTAACAAAAAGAGTTGATGTTAGTCACAAAATTATGTAATAAGGGAAAGTGCAGCAGACCCAGGTGTGCTGCAAGAGCCTGTGAAGGCGGATTGACCCCAAGACAGAGGCAGGAAAGTCTGCCTCCAGGAAGCAGCAATTGAGCCAAAATCAGAAAACTAGGCAAAGACACAGTATTCAGGAGGAGGTAGAAGCTGGCCCATGAGGATGGTGGTGTGGAGAGATGAAGAAATACCCAGGTCCTTGGATTTATTGTTGAGCTGCTGAATGAACCAGGGCTGGCTCTTGCCCAACCTCTGCACTTCTTGTTTTGCAAGGTTATAAATTTTTTTATTTAAAAGCTAGTATGATTTGGGATCTGTTGCTTTTCTGAGACCCCATCCTGTGAGGTAGACGGGGCCTCACTGTACTCTGGGGAACTAAAGATGGAGAAGAGTTTTAGAGTGCCTGGAGAAGAGGCCCTTTAATGGATCATTTAAGAAGAGGGTGCTACCGCTAGACTGCCCAGATTCCCTTTCTGGGTTTGTGACCTTGGACTCTCTGTGTCTGTTTTCCAATCTGAAAAATGGAATAATGATAGTATCTGCCTCTGCCTGCAAGACCTTGACCTATCAGACCAACTACTTTTTCACTAGAACTCTCTTCTTGCACTGTACCCCAACTGGACCACTCATTAAAACTTAAAATGGTCATGTTTTCCTTTTCTAGATTTTGCTCAAGACATTTCCCTCATCAAAATTAAATTTGGTCCATCTCCCCCTATTGGAATTCAACCCATTCTCCAGAAATCAGTTCAAATTTTATCACCAGAAAGCCTCTCTCAATTACCCCCATCTTCTTTTATTCTTTGGGCCATTTCTGCTATCATTTCTATGTTTTTCTTTTTTGCTACATATTGGTGTAGGTACATATGATCTCCACTTCCACTCAAATGTGAGGTTACTGCGGGCAATCCCTATGGGTATAGTCATATCCCAAGAGTCCTGGGCATAGGGTCTCTCTCTTTCACCCAGGCTGGAGTACAGTGGTGCAACCAGAGCTTACTGCAGCCTCGACCTCCTGGGTTCAAATGATCCTCTCACCTTAGCCTTTCCAGTAGCTGGTACTAAAAGCGGGCACCGACATGCTTGGCTAATTTTCATATTTTTCATAGAGATGGGGTTCCACCATGTGGCTTTGCTTGGTCTCAAAGTTCTGAGCTCAAGCAATCCACCTGCCTCAGCCTCTCAACGTCCTGGAATGACAGCATGAGCTGCCACACCTGGCTGCATGCCGAATACTTTAGAGTTGTTTATGCCTGACACTTCCAGGGCATGCAGAACTATGGTGGCATTAACTGACACATTAACCAACTGCCTCGCTTACTTTTCTTTTGACTCAGTTTATAAATGTTCTTAATTTAAATTTTAATTTCAACATGTATACATCTTTGAAATAAATAAAATAATCTCTTTGAATGTTTGACATAATGTAGAAGAAATTGACAAATGGACATCTTTATTTCATTTTCCATCTCAAAATGTGGTACAAATATGCTCCCCTAAAGTGATCCCAATTATTACATAGTCATCTTGCTGTGGCTAATGTAGAATGTTTTTGCAATATCACATGCATGAAGGGCACATCCAAAAAACATTTGAGTGGAGATAATACTAGATTCTAGAAAGTATCTAGACACTTAAGAGCAGGCAGTGATGATGTTAATTAACAATAACAATGTCGAGGGGCTGGCTTTTGCCCTTCCCTAATAAGCATAAAGAGCATAGAAACTCAGCAAATTTGCTCTTATTTTCTTCATTATTTGGTTTTTGAATCAGTAAATGCTTTCCACAGGGGTCATCTTATTAGTCATCTTGTCATTTTGCTGCGTCCCATCTTCGTCCTTGCAATTTTTCCTTTTTCCCATTTTGGCATGTATTGAGAGGAGTGTTATGCTGATGAAATGCCCTGTCCTGAATTGCTATCTGATTAGAACTTCCCTCAATTTTTAAAATGCTTCTTGACATGGTTTGGATTTGTGCACCCCCCACCCCCAATCTCATGTGGAATTGTAATTGCCAGTTTTGGAGGAGGGGCTTTCTGGAAGGTGACTGGATCATAGAGGTGGTTTCTAATGGAATGGTTTAGCCTAATCCCCCTCGTGCTGTCTGATGATAAAGTTCTCCTGAGATCTGCTTGTTTAAAAAGTGTGTAGCACCTCCCCTGACTCCTTTCAGCCATGTGAATATGTGCTTGCTTCCTTTTCACCTTCTTCCATGATTGTAAGTTTCCTGAGGCCTCCCTATAAGCATAAGTCTGTACAGCCCACGGAACTGTGAGCCAATTCAATCCCTTTTCTTTTTCAATTACCCACTCTCATGTATATCTTTATAGCAGTGTGAGAACAGATTAATACACTCCTCCTCAGAAAGCATTCAATTTAGCTGTGTCTAAAGTATGCCAGGTGTCCTAGGGTGTTATCTTAGCCAATAATTCTTCCTCTTCAGCAAGATCTATTTGCCTATGACAGCTTGACCTACAGTTCCTACCATACTTGTCAGTAACAAGTAGCCCATAACATCTGAAGGGACTTCATTGAAATCACAGAGGTTCTTTAGTTCTTTACCTCATTAGTAGGCATTAGGGAAGCACATCAACTTTCTAATTTAATAAGGTGCCTGTTGCTTTGAAAAACTGCTCAAAAAAAGATAGGAGAGGCTTACTTAAAGATATCACTATAGGCGTGGCATGCTGCTTCACACCTGTAATCCTAGTACTTTGGGAGGCTGAGGAGAGAGGATCACTTGAGTCCAGAAGATCAATACCAACCTAGGTGACATGGCAAAGCCCCATCTCTACAAAACAAAACAAAATCAAAAAAAATATTTAGGCATGGTGGCATGTGCTTGCATTCCCAGTTGCTCAGGAGACTGAGGTGGGAGAATCACTGAGCCCAGGGAGGTTGAGGCTGCAGTGAGCCATGATCATGCTGCTGCATTCCAATCTGGGTGACAGAGCAAGAGCCTGTCTCAAAAAAAAAAAAAAAAAAAAAAAAAAAAAAAAAAGGTACTATCTATAACTATTCTTAATTAGAATAACTAGGTTTTTTTCAACAGTGGAAACTCAAAACAGACAAAATTGTTGTACCTCAAGGTGAGTTGTCATAGTCAGTTAATTCCTTTGCTTGCAACTGCCCAATAAATGGATGAGGACTCACTTCACCCATAAATAAGAAAGGTGAACAGCACATGGGGCCTGTAGATGCCTTTTGCAGGGCCCTCTTTTTCTCTTCCTAAAGTTGCAATTTGGGTATTTCTCTAGATGGGCACAACATAGAAACTGTCATCCTAGATCAGAGCCTGGAGAGAGAGATACAGGTGTCATGCTTACATCTGCAGAGTGGGAACAAGCCCAGAAAAATCAAGACGATTAAGCAGAGAGCTTCCATACTGGAGATAAACCAGCTGTGTAAAAAATCATGCTTATTGAGCAAAAAAGCATTGCATCATCGAAATAACTGCTTTAACTAAGAAGTAAAGGAACTGATGCCCCAGCAGAGCACAGAGAGCCACAGAGACAGGAGCTGCGTTTCAAACAAGGTCATTGCTGTTGTCCCCACCCTGAGTTAAGTATCTCTGCTTCACCCTTCTTTACCAAAGTTCTGCTTGATCATCCTTTTGTTTTATTTTCTTTTTTCTGTACTTCACTTCTTTGAGAAAATATAAACCAAAACCTTACATAAAACAGGAATTGAGCTTTTGACAGTGTTAGCCCTTGAAACAACCAAACAAAAAGGTTTCTATTATTTCTCATCTCTGTGCTACCCAATACAGTAGCCAATAGCCCCAGATGACTATTAAAATTAAAATTAATTCAAATAAAACAATTTACAATTTAGCTGGTCAGTTGTACAATTTAGCTGGTCAGTTGTACTACCCACATTTCAGTTACTCAATAGCCACATGTGGCTAGTGGCTACTGAACTGGCCAGCACAAATGTAGAACATTTTCATCATCATAGTTCTCTAGGCCATGGAAAACTTGCTGAACCAATTTCCAGTGTGCACATTTATTTGCATACCTAGGAGCTTTTTGACCCTGTGTTGAGATGCCTAACCAGCTTCCTGATTGACCTCCTGATATTTCTGCAAATGTGGACTAAGAGGCCAGGATTCCTCAGGGCCCAGGTGACTCAGGTTATTCAGAAATTATATTTGGACTACCAGTCCTCTGCTTGATTTGGGATGCAAAAAGGGACTTCTCTCCCTAATCACTAAAGTAGCTTTTCAAGGTCCCCCTCTCATCACGGTAAGAGTCTCATTTCTTGAGACTCTTATTTCTTTCCATGACTTATGTTTTGGAAAGAGTGGATTCAGACAGAAGAGCTGGCTCTGTGCTGGTTTTCCAGGGGTCAACCCTTTTGTCAGTGACAAGTCTGCCTCTCTACATGATGTACATTGTGTCCCACTACTGGTAATAGAAGCTCAGCAATTGATTGACTGTTAGGTTATTTTCAAAGCTCAATATTCACAATAATCTAAAAGACCCCCACATAACCATGAGGACAGACAGGGCTTTCATAACCTGCAAAAGACAAGGTGCAAATTTCTTCTTTCCATCCCAGCAACAAATCGACAACTCAGCCAGCACTTAAGTTGGGGTAAAAATTAATTAAAAGAAGAATGTATCAAGCAGAGATAAAAGAACAAAAAAGCTATTGCAGCTGTCCTCTCCATGACAGAGGCCTGTGATTTGAATTTTAATGTTTTCATCTACTTTCTGCTTTTGTGTTTCTTTTATTATTTTTTTCACTATCTCTTATTTGTAGATACAAATTTTTCATATTTAAAAGCTATTTTAAATATAATCTTTAAAAGGAGAAGCATTCTTTTTTTTAATTGCACAAAATACTGAAGGTGAGATCCACTGATTGCAATGCAATGGGACAGTATCTCTGGAAGCAATTTTATCCAGAAAAATAAATAGCTTTAAAACAATTCACAACCTTGGACCTAATACCTCTACTTCTAGGAAGCTAGCCTATGAAGGTTTCTGCTGAAGGATGTTTATCACAGTATTATTAATAATGCGAAAAAGCCAAAGAGGAGACCTAAAATGTTTCAAAGATGAAAACGGTTTGATAAAATCATTTTTTTTTGAGACAAGGTCTCACTCTTGCCCAGGCTGGGGTGCAGTGGCACAATCTCGGCTCACCGCAACCTCCACCTCCCAGGTTCAAGCACTTCTCCTGCCTCAGCCTCCCAAGTAGCTGGGAATACAGGCACCCCCACCATGCCTGGCTATTTTTTTGTATTTTAGTAGAGATGGGGTTTCACTGTGTTGGCCAGGCTGGTGTCAAACTCCTGAGCTCAGGCAATCCACCTGCCTCGGATTCCCAAAATGCTGGGATTACAGGCATGAGCCACCATGCCTGGCAATAAACAACATATTTAAACTCTAAAATGTTATGCAAGCATTCCAGGCATGCTTTGGAAAAACTATTAATCCTACAAAAGATGCTTATGTTATTATATAGACTAACAGACCAAGATTCTCCAGGACACTTACTTTGTTAAGTGTCTGAAGTAAAATACAATGCTGTATATAAAATGTGACCTCAAGTCAGGTCCCAGTCTTTTCATCTGGGAAATTCTGTTAATTATACTGCCCTTCCCCTTTATAGGTTTTCTGTAGGAGTTAAATAAAATCCACTTTGTTAATTGCTTAACACAATGCTCAACACTGGTAGGGGAGCTATAATTGTCAGCTATTGTCCTATGTGCCAAGAAAAAGACCACACAGACAGACACACACACAAACACACAAAGACACACATGGAGGGAGAGGAAGTAAAGATTAGGAAGCAGCACATAGTGTATCAGTAGACAATGGGACCACTAGTGATTTTCATATTCTTTTTTATTTTCTTTTTTATACTGCTTACATTTTCAGTGTTACATAATGAGCATGTATTACTTCTGTAATCAGAAGAAGGTGGTATAAACCTCACCTTAATATAATAAAACAAAATTACTGGCCAGGCACAGTGTCTCATGCCTGTAATCCTAGCACTTTGGAAGGCTGAGACTGGTAAATCTCTTGAGCTCAGGAATTTGAGACCAGCCTGAGCTCAGTGAGACAGTGAGACCTCGTCTCTGGAAAAAATACAAAAATTAGCCAGCGATAGTGGTGTACACCTGTAGTCCTAAGTTACCTGGGAAGCTAAGGTGGGAGGGTGGCTTGAGCCCAGGAAGTGGCTGCAGTGAGCTGTGATTGCACCACTGCACTCCAGCCTGGGTGAAAAAGCCAGACCCAGTCTCATACAAAAATAAAAACAAACAAACAAACAAAAAAGTTATTACTTAAGTCTCACATGCTGTCTTGGAGCCATCTTAGTGTTGAGGGATTCAAGAGACTGGAGAGACCAATGGGTGAGACAGGAGGATTTTATTAAAGTGACCACTTGCCCAGTGGATTTGCATCCAAAAGGCTGAGCCCGGAAAAAAGACGGGGCCTGGTTTTTAAGCATGCAGCTGTGCAAAACTTACAGGGCGGGCTTAGCAAGCTTACAGAAGCAGAACAAAGGCAGTTAATCAAACAGTGACAAGTGTATGACTCAAACATGTCTGATGACCTCTGCTGGGCCACCCAGCAGGCTCTCAGCAGATGGTAACTATTTTAGGCTTGCTCAGGCATGTCTTGTGACCTTCTCAGGGTCACACAGATGGAAAACAGGAACTTAAAAAATCCTTATAAACTTACAGAGATAGTTACAAAAATAGTTATGAGAGCAGAACAAAGAAATATTGGCCTGGGAAAGAATCTCAAAGGGGGAAGCTGATAAGAACTTGTTTTTCTCATCCCTGTTCCTGGAGTCCATTCCTTCTGGGCTCTTCCTGGCCTTGTATATAAAGTTATCTTAATTCTAGCACGGCCTTGGAGTGAGTCAGCCTGGAACAGGCAGGAACTTAGGTTTTTCTCTTTTTAATTTCTGCTTTAGTAGGCCAGGGTTCTGATTTTCACTGCTGAGAAAGTAAAGTGTGTTCAGGCTGCCCATGGTTCTGGGCCCCCCCGGGTCTCTGAGGAGGGCTGTCCCCTCCATCACAGAGAATATCAGGACACTAGCTTGTTCTAGTTATACTTACACACTCCTCTCATGTTGTCTATGGAGTGGTGGATGCTGCAGGGAGGGTGACATCCTAGTTAGTCCTAAGAGCCAGACTGCCTGAAGCTCACTATAACAAGTCCTGCCTTGGGGAAGAAGGAAGTGTGTCTCTGTGAACCTCCCACCTGGGCCGAAGGGAGGCCACTCTCTCTGCTGCCTCTCCCCAACCTTGGCCTTCTGTGCTCCTAGTGAACCTCTCACCCCCTGCCTACAGGCCTCGAATCTCAAGACCATGATGACCTCTGGTCACCCCTGAATCCAGAGCTTTCCTTTTACAAAGGGGAAACTGAGACCTGGAGCAGGGCTGATGTTCAGCCAGCGCACAACGGAATGGCCGAATTGGTGGTAAAATACTGAAATAGTTCCAGTGTGGATGGAAAGGGGCTGCTGCCCTAAGCATCTCTACTGCCCACCTCATCCCTTCCTCCAGGACCCTGGGTCAGCACCAGGAGCATCAAAGTGGCCAGGATTGGCCGGAGCCCATGCTAATGGCTCTGCCAGCCCTTCTCCCCACCAGAGAGGGCAGGGGGATTCAGGCCATCTAGAGGTAGCATTGTGACCGTATCTGCAGTAGTCAATCCTTGTGTGCCACGGTCCCTGACTTTGTTAATAAGGGCACCAGCCTACATCCCTCTGGTACTCAGTGATAAGCATCTAAAATCTTCTTAAAGAAAAAATTTAAAAAGCTTTCAAAATATATGACTTAACATATGAGGCTGCATAAACATCTCTAGTAGTTGTCCAACTGGTGCTTCTGGTTCTGCCTCCCCAGAAAGTGGATGACCTGGGCCACCCTCCACCACTGCCCTGTAAGGCCATGGGACACACAGCCCATCAGTTCTCTTCATGTGGTCATCCCCTGTTAGATGGGAGAAAATACACCTGCCTCATTTTTGTACCTTCTGTGTGAACATTCCACGACAGAACTTCACTAAATGTGTGATGAAGAACTGAATGAATGAATGAATATGAGAGAAAATGAATAAATGGCTCAGATCCTGGGCTGGAAGTCTGTGTATGAGGATGGTGGGTAAAGGAGGGTCTGTTTTTCTTGCCTTTAAGTCATTACTTCTCATTTTGGGGCAGGAGCACAGGCTTTGAATGCAGACCGACTGGACTTTAATTCTGGCTTTACTAGTTGTGATTGTGTGATCTTGTACATGTTACTTAAACCCTCTGTGCCTGTTTCTTTATCTGTAAAATGGAGATAATAAGATGTCAAAGGACTGTGGTAAGAATTAAATGCTTTAAACAAATCTCAGTTTGTATTAAGTCCTCAATAGATTGGGTTTAGCATCATGAGTGCATGTGTTTCTGGAGCAATGCTCATCTTGGGCTGGTACCTACACAGAGAAAGACTCTGGCCTCTTCTCATCCACATGTATCTGTCTTATGCCTGGTTCCCATTCCCAGGTCCTTGGAAGATCCATATTGCTGAAACAGTGAAGGGTGATAGGCACCTCAGGACAACTAAGTTGCTCCCCAAACATCTTCCCCCTCCCAAACGCCCCTGTGGTCTTTAGCATTTAACAGGAATCTCTCGACACTCTCAAGGGATGATCCTCTCATGGAAGACCAGTAGGGAGGAGGCTGCGGGAAAGGTCAGGCACTGTGCACTTCCCTGACAGCTGCATATGGTTCTGTTTCCAAGCCCACGGGTCACTACAAATAAGGCAAGTTATATGACATAATAATGTGATTCTTTGGTGCCTCAGTCCACACGGCACGTTAATACTCCTAGAGTGGATTGCATGGTGGTCTATCAAAAGATATGTCTACCTGGAATGTGTGAATGTGCCTTTATTTGGAAAACAATCTGCAGATGTAATTAAATCCAGCACCTTGAGATGATTAGGATGGGCCCTAAATCCAATGACAAGTATCCTTATAAGAAAAGCGGCAGGTAGGGCACAGTGGCTCACACATATAATCCCACCACTGAGGGAGGTAAGGTGGTGAGAGGATCACTTGAACTCCAGGCTTTCAAGACCTGCCTGGGCAACATGGTGAGACCCTGTCTCTCCAAAATGTATATAAAATATAATAGCCAGGCACGATGGCACCCGCCTGTAGTCCCAGCTACCAGCTACTCAGGAGGCTGAAGTGAGAGGGTAGCTTGAATCTGGGAGGTTGAGGCTTCAGTAAGCTGTGTTCATGACACTGCTCTCCAGCCTGGGGGGCCTCTCCAACCTGCACTAGAAGAGCTGGGCCCTGGCTCTGGGCACCATGCAGCCTCTGAGGTGAGGCTGAGCGCCAGTTTCTGCCCTCCTGCAGCTAGAGACCAACACCCTGACTTAGGCGTCGTGGAGGCTTCTGGCCCAAGGGTCCGCGCTGCTGGTGGAGCTGGCAGGGTCGGAGTTTGCCACAGCTGCTGCTGCGCGCCTTGTGCAGGTTACCACTGCAGCTGAATCTACAGCAGAGGCAGGCAGGGCTGGTCCCAGACAGCCTGGGGGTCGCTGAGTGGACGGTCCTTTCACCCTAGAGTCAGCTCTTTCTTGTAGGCGCCCAGATCAGGGTGTGCAGGCGCTGGGCACAGGGCAGCCGCCAGGAAATGGCTGAGCTGCCGGTTCCCGCCCTCCTGCAGCTGGGGCCGGACCACCTGAATTAGCCGCTGGGCGGCCTCTGGCCCTGGAGTCCGCCTGGCTGGTGTAAAAGCATGGTCTGGAGTTGCCATCAAGTCTGCTCCGCGCGCCATGTGCAGGTGGCTGCTGCAGCTGAGCCCATGACAGAGGCTGGCAAGGCGTTTCCGAGGCAGCCTCAGGGTCATTGAGTGGAGCACTATCCCACCCTAGGGTCCGCTCTTCCTTTGCCTGAGCCCAGAGTTCGGGTCGCGGGCACTGGGAACTGTGCAGCCAAGGAGACTGGGCCGAGGGCAAAGGTTTCTGCCCTGCTGCAGCTGCGGGGCTGACTGCCTGAATTAGGCGCTGAGGCGGCCTTGTCCCCCGTGTCAGGGCTCTGGTGCAGGCAAAGTGCCGGGTTGCTCTGCTGCTGTCGCGCCCTTGTACAGGTGGCAGCTGCAGCTGAGCTCTCAGTAGAAGCCGGCAGGGTTGGTCCCAGAAAGCCTGAGGATCGCGGTGTGCACCACCCTCTCAGCCTAGGGTGGACTCTTCCTTGGCCCGCGCCCAGAGCTCGGGGTTTCGGGCGCTGGGCCCTGTGCAGCTGCCCAGAATAGGCTGTGCGGCTGGTTCCCGCCCTGGCAAGGCATCCAGCTATGGAATCTGCACTGCTGTTGGGGGCAGGTAAGGTCGGAGGAGGGGGGTGTGGTTTCCACCATTGCTAACGGGCGCCACCTGGCGATGGTAGCTGCAGCTGAGAGCATGGCAGAGGCTGGCAGGGCTGGTCCCAGACACCCTGAGGGTCGCTGAGTGCACCGCCCTACCCCCTAGGGTCTGCTGTTCCTTAGACTGCTCCCAGGACGTGGTGTGCGAGCGCTAGACACAGAGCAGCCTCCAGGATGGGGCTGAGCGGCCGATTCCCGCCTTGCTGCAGCTACAGTCTGAATTAGGCTCCACCGCAGTATCTGGCCCTAGGGTTCGTGCTACTGGTGGCATGGACAGAGATGGGGGCTGCCACAGCTGCTATGGGGCTGAGCAGCCGATTCCCGCCCTCTTGCAGCTATGGGACCGACCACCTGACTTAAGTGCCTTGGAGGCGTCCGGCCCTGGGGTCTTTGCTGCTGGTGTCTGAGGGCAGGGGCAGGGCTGCCACTGCTACTGCCCTGTGCCATGCGCAGGCGCCAGCTGCAGCTGAGCCCAAGGCAGATGCTGGCAGGGCTGGTGTGAGGCTGCCCAGGGGTGGGTGAGTGCACCTCCCTTCCACCCTAGGGTCCGTTATTCCTAGACCAGCGCCCAGATTGCGGGGTCGTGGGCGTTGGACACTGTGCAGCCATGAGGATCTGGTTGAGCGCAGATTCCTGCCCTCCTGCGGCTGAGAGGCCAACCTCCTAACATGCGCTGCAGTGACCTCTGGCTCTGGGGTCCGCGTTCTTGCTGGAGCTGGCAGAGACCAGAGCTGCCACCAATGCTGCTTCCAGGAGTGTGCATGTGGCAGCTGCCGCTGATCCCGCGGCGGAGGATGGCAGGGCTTGTTCCAGAAGGCTTGAGGGTCCGCGAGTGCACCGCCCTCCCACCCTAAGGTCTAGTCTTCCTTGCCCGCGCCCAGAGAGTGGGATTACGGGCGCTGAGCACAGTGCAGGCGCTGGGATGGGGCTGAGCTGCAGGTTTCCCCCCTCTGGCTGCTGGGGGGCCGACCGCCTGAGTTAGGGGACGCGGCGGCTTTTGGTCATGGGGTCTGCACTGCCGGTGGCTTGCACAGGGTCGGGGGCTGCCACAGCTGCTATAGTTCACCGTGTGCACTTGGCAGCCGCCCCTGAGCCCACCGCTGAGGCCGCAGGGCTGGTCCTGTCCCAGACGGCCTGAGGGTCACTTGCCCGCGCCCAGAGCACCGGGTGGCGGGAGCTGGGCACTGTGCAGCCTCCGGGAATCCGCTGAAGGGCGCGTTGCAGCTCTCCTGCAGCTGTGGGCCGACTGCCTGACTTTGGCCACTAGGTGGCCTCTGGCGCTAGGGTTTCCGGGCCGCTGGTGTCGGCGGGCGGAGTCCGGGTTTGCCACCGCTGCCCACAGGCTCACCATGGCCTGAGTAAATGCTCGCACTGCTCATACATCCATTTTTAAAAATTGGGTTGAACATGAGAACATAATCATTCATATTTTATCCATTTGCATGTATTCGATAACATCCTTTCCCTGTTCTTGTCTCTGCTTTGCAGCCTTTTTCTTCAAAGAATGAATGTTTCCATGTTTTATACCCACAGAATTTCTGGTTTTTCCCGTTGGAGCCCAAGGAGCAAGGGCAGAATGAGGAACATGATGTTCCTTACAAACAGTTACTCATGAGGCTGCAGCACAGAAACTGCAATAAATGTCAGTTACAAAGTGTCCATGTGCATTTTAAATTGATGGTTATTAAAATCCTTCTTTATCTATAGGGGATCTAAAAAATTAAACAATTCGTAATTTAAACACAGTTGCCAGGTAGCCTGAGTCAAAAATCAGGAGAGGCTCCATGGTCTGAAGTCTCCTAGTGCTCACCTTGGTGAGGGTCTAGTTGCCTAATGGGTTGGTGTAATGAAGTCATTCTAACACAAGCAAAACACGACTCCCTTAGTTATTCAAAAAATCAGGAAATAGAAAAAAATAAATGAGAATAAAATATTGACAGGAGAGAAAAATGAAGAGTTAATTGGCGATTTGAAGGAGGTGAAATGGACAAAAAGTAAATTTAGCAATTAGAATTTAAAGTCAGTAGATAATTAAGTCGAATAATTTATTCTTATGTCCATGTATTTTGGTTTTAAAGTTTTGATTAATACTCACTCAACACTAATTTCTAACAAATTAGAATATTATCACATTGTCTATTTTTACCAGTGAGCTTGTAATAAAGATCCACTAGTAATCTTAGTACACCAAAAGAAGCCCATAGAATAAACTAATTTTTAAAGAGTCACATTTTATTCAATGCCTATTTGTACATGTTACTAGCAATAAACTCTTTTATCTTTAATTTTGAGAAGTTTTACAAATACAGCAAAGCAGAATGACTAATAGAGCCGGTAACCAGGACACAGATTTGGAAAAATAGGTCTAATTGGTTGTTACACTGTGTTTATATCATACATTTCGCTTATTTTTATCAAAGAAAAATCAGAATTTATAAAATGTTAATTAAAAGGAAAACATTCTGAGTAAATTTAGTCCCGTGTTTCTTCCTCCAAATCTCTTTGTTCTACACTAACAGGTCAGGATAAGTATGGATGGGGAGGCTGGAAAAAGGGCATCCTTCCCCATGCGGTCCCCAGAGCCACCCTCTCCAAGCAGGACTTGGGGAACATCCTTCTCCATCTGGGACCTGAAGGATGTCCTTCTCCACCCAGGACTTGGGAGGTGTCTTATCCACCCAGGACTTGAGGGGGATCCTATTCCATTCAGGAGTGGGGGAAATTCTTCTTCATCTGGACTTGGGGGGCATCCTTCTCCATTTAGGACTTGGGGGGCATCTTTCTTCATCCAGGACTGGGGGGTTATCCTTCTCCATCCAGGACTGGGGGTTGTCTTTCTCCATCCAAGACTGGGGGGTTATCCTTCTCCATTCAGGACTTGGGGGACATCCTTTCCCATCCAGTAACTAGGGGGCATCCTTCTCCATCCAGGACTGAGGGGGATATCCTTCTCCATCTAGGACTGGGGGGCATCCTTCTCCATCCAGTATTGGGGGTCATCCTCCTCCATCCAGGACCTGAGGGGTGTCCTTTTCTGCGCTTCCTTGGATGGCAGGCTTTCCTATGCAGTCATTCAGAAAGTCAGGCTGACACATGTTGTCGTCTTGAACTCTGGAATCTCATCTCTATTCTAGGTGAATCCCTTCATGTTTATAGTGATTTACCATTAAATCACTGTGCCGTTTTTTCCTAAAATATATGGGGCGTGTTTTTTGTTCTGACTTCTGTTAGTCCTTTGGTCCCTAGCTCCAGTTTTTTTGTAATTTCTTTTGCAACCTAATATGGGTCCCATTTAGTAAGTATTACATATATTAGAAAATGTATATTCAGCATTTGTTGTGATTTTAAAATATTTTATAAACACATAACATCTTTGTCTATTTCCCATTTAAATTCAGAAGTATGAGTTCCAGCATCCCTCTCTAGACCTGCTCTTCCTGTTAGTTTCTTTGTACGTCCTGGAGGCGAGGCCAGCGTTGGACTTGACGTTGCTTCACCTACTCGGTTCTATTGTCCCTCCATGTGCAGTGTCTATCCTGTTGTTTATTATTTCTTCCTTAAATTTTATTTGAACTAAAATTAATTTTGTGGTAGCAGCTTGCTTTCTGTGAATATTTACTTAAAATTTTTATTCCCATTATTTTTCTTTCTTTAATTTGAAAGTGCTGCTTTGTTATTAACAATTTTGTATTTTAATATATGAGGTTAATCCCTCTAGGTTTGGTAGGAAAAAGTGATATATTTGAACTTATTTCTATCACTTGATTTTGGATTTTGTATCCCAAAACCTTATCCTCAATTCTCTTTTCCTTTTTTCAGATTTCTTTTCTTTTCTTTTTTTTGGGGAGCGGGGGGATGGAGTTTTGATCTTGTTGCCTAGGCTGGAGTGCAACGGGGTGATCTCGGCTCACCACAACCTCTGCCTCTCAGGTTCAAGCGATTCTTCTGCCATAGCCTCCAAGTAGCTGGGATTACAAGCATGTGCCGCCACACCTGGCTAATTTTGTATTTTTAGTACAGACAGAGTTTCTCGAACTCCCGATCTCAGGTGATCCACCCACCTTGGTCTCCCAAAGTGCTGGGATTACAGGCATGAGCCACCGCGCCTGGACTTCCAGATTTATTTTCAATCAACATTTCATTTTCCACTTCCTTCCTATGCTGGCTTTTAGGTTTTCCAGACTATTTACCTTTAGTGTCAAAAATTCTTTTGGGAACTTTTGAGTTGTCAACCAATATTGTAAGCATATTGGATATTGCTGTTTTTCTCCCAGTGCTCTGGTTATAATCTCTTCTATTAATACCTTGTAGTGTTATTGTTGGAGTTATTTTTTTCTATTAATTTCTGAGATATAAGAATTAGAATTGTCAAATTGTGGATTTATGCATTTATCCTTTTAATTCAATAACTTTTGCTTTGTGTATTTTGTTATTTTTCTTAGGTGCATACATGCTTATGATTATTAGGTTTTCTAAGCAAATCGACTCATTAGCATAAAACGTCCTTCTTTATCCCTGTTGATGCTTGTCTTTCTTGTAGTCTGTCTTATCTGCCATTAATACACTGGCTGCAGTTTTTGATAACAGAGATTTGCATGGTGTATATTAGTCCATCTTTTCAGTTTGAATCTATTTGTATCTTTACCTCATAAGTGTATTTCTTTTTAAAAGCTGATATTGAGGTTTCCTTTTTACCTACTTTGACAGTCTCTGTTCTGCCTTCCTGGTCTTCTTCTGGATTATTGTAGTTTTCATTTGTTTGTTTGTTTGTTTGTTTTATGGGGTTTTCTTTTTTTTTAGTATGGATTTTGTATCTTGTTTTTTTTTAACTATGACTCTTTGTTTCATTTATTTATTTTTAGTGAGTTCTTTAGAAATTAAAATAAAAATACTTAAAGTATATTAAATATCATAACACTGTATATAAAATATAAAAACCTTACCTTACCCTCCTCCCTCCTCTGATCTTTTGTGCCATGTTGTCATAGATTTTTCTTCTGCACATGTTGTAATTCCTGGAGGATGTCATTAAAATAGCAATTTCCCCTCCACATGTTTACTATTTTTGGCACACTTTCATCTTTTCTGAGAACTAGAATTTCCAATTGTTATCATTTTTCTTCAACCTGAGCAGCTTTCTTTTGCATTTATTGTGGTTTGGGTGTGATGGCAACACATTCTCTCAGACTTTCTTTAATTGAAAATGTACTTTTCTCAACTTCAGTTCTGAGGGCGGCTTCAGCAAGTTCAGAATTCTAGGGACACCTTTGACTTTGAACAGCATGAAGTCTCTGCTCAGCAGTGCTGTAGGCACCATCTAACATATTGTTATATCTAGTTGTGTCAAATCTGTCATCGGCCATAGAACGCTTTGACAGGTGCTTCTTGTTGCTTCAGTTCTAAGTATTTCATAGTTTTCAGAGATATGGAGAAGCAGCAGTGCTAGTAACAGTACCAGTAAAACCAGGATAAGCCCTAAAATAATTAAGAAGCCATCGCATGCACACACGTGAACGTTTGACTTCAGCTAAAATGCTTTCAAGTGTACTATTTTATCTTTACACAAGGTTATAATACAAATTAAAGATTTAAAAATATTTTCACTTTATATATGTGAAAACTGCAGCTCAAAGAATTTAAAAGACATGATTGAAATCCCATAACTAGGTAAACATGGTCAAATCTGGAGCCCTCATGTCTCGGTCCCCCCACGCCCTGTTACAGAGAGTGCGAGGCTTCACCAGGAAGCTCTTTCGGCTCAAGGATTAGCTCTGGGGAAGTGCTGCAGGCAGGCCTGCTTTGCATCCTTTTTCCAGCAGAAATCCTATGTTTGTTTCAAGCTTCTAGTTCTTTTTGTTTTGTTTTGTTTCTTACCAGCACGGCTCTGGGAGTTATTTACACAACTTAATTTTAAGAGAGACAGTCCCCATCACTAAGGTTCCTTGGAAACTTATCATGCAAAAAAATAAAAATAATAAATGCTGGTAGATAAGCATACAAACCACTCAGGAGAAAGACAGTGGCCACTCAGGTCATCAGGTGAACTTGTGACGGGGCCATCAAGAGGCTGCACGTGAGCTCCAGAAAATGAAATTCCCACTATCAACCTATTTTCCATTTCCACCCAATGCCCCGCCCCTGCTCCAAATCAAGGTTTCCGCCTCTTAGAAATGCTTGATTTTCAGTATTGCTAAACAGGGGTCAAAGAAAACAAGCTGAACAAAGAAACAAATAAAGCCTTTAACACAGTGAGCAAAGACACAGCACCCACCCCTTCCCTGGGCCCCGCAACAGCTCCAGAGCTGCGCAGCTGCTCCCAGAGCCTGAGCATGGACCTGAGCTCTGGCCCATGGAGCTCACCAATGCATTTCTTCCCTCTGTGTCAAAAAAGCATCAAGAAATTGGATTCATTTACCTGGGACATAAAATAAGGTATACCTATAGTTTTGTCCCAGAACTGTGTAAACCGGCATGCTGCCTGCCACAGTACAGTCCTCCCCCTGCATCAGGAGCTCAGATGGGGGAAGCCAGCAGGGCTGGAGGCCTGGGAGTCACAGATGCTTGGAGGGGAGAGAAAAGCACCACAGAGAGCCAGGCAGGACCTGCCTACAAGTCACATTTTTAGGGGTCTAGTGGTCTGGGCAGGCTGGGAGATGCTCTCTAAAGGGAAGGCAAGAAATATTGCCCCACATCTCCCACCACCAAACAGAAAGTGCAGGTGGTCAGCCCCAGGGCTCACCTGCCCTTTGCCAGGGTCATGAGCTAGGCCCAGCCTGCACCCTCCACACAACCATCAAGGGGACTTCCTGTCAGGCTGGGACAACTGCACCGGGCCCTGATGCCCTGGGAAGAACAGGGTTGCATTTAACAGAAACAGCTAAACCTGAAGGGATGAGCTTGCCTTTCCCCAGGGCCATGGGATGGTTTATAGAAAGTTCTACCCATCAGGACGAGACCTCACATGACACCATCAGAGGAATTGATACCATGCCATAGAGGGAGGAAGAGGGCGCATGCCATAGGTCCACTGGTCACAGCACACACATGCTCCTGGGAGCTTCAGACCCAGCAGTTTGGCTCAGGTGCCAGGTCAGGATGTGGGAGGACACAGTGTCTGGGTGAATCTGTCACCCTTGCTAGCTGCCTTGTCCCACCAGGTAGAAGATGCGGCAATGGGAGCACAGCAGTAGGAAGCCCAGTGTCCCCCAACCTTCCACCTCACACCCAGGACCTCTGAGGTGCATCTATATCCTGCACATCTAGGCTCTGAAAAGCAGGAGGTCCTGGTTTCCACAGCTGTGGGGCTTCTAGACAGGACAAGGCCAAATTCTCTGAAAAAACAAGCTCTGGGTGCTGCTTTGTCCTCAGGCTGCTCCTCCATGGGACCTGCGGGCAGAAAAATGTGTACCACCTGGACCGTGGTTTCAGCAGAAGCAGGGTTATGCTGCCTGGGGCAGGAGGGGCTCTACACAAGCGCCTCTCAATACACAGCATTTGATGGTACGTGGACAAGTGTGGGAGCCCTAGACCAAGGACTCCGTGGTGAGCAAGACTCAGGACCCCTTAGGGGTGAGGGCCTGGGTTACACCACCAGGGGGTCACCCGGACCCTCAGCAGAAGGTGGAGGGGGTGGTGATCATTACCTTTGTGACCCTGCAATGGGTGGCAGCCACAGGACATAGGGTTCATTGAACGCACCTTGTGTAACTATTGCCCAGGAAAAGGCCCAGAATTTAATAAAGATGAGGCCCCTGGCAGTGAAGTGCTGGATGAGGCGCACCCCCTGGGGCATACCTGAACCTCCCCCAGGGCCTCGGCTGTGAGCTTTGATTATAGACACACCTGTGCCACAGCCCCTTCAGACTGCTCCCTTCACCTCTGAAAAACCAGACAGGATGCTTCTGTTCCTGGAAATGTGAATGCCCTTCGTGTGTTTTTTACTTTGACTATAAACTCATCTGCAACCAAAATATAGACTCCCACACAATAATAACGGGAGACTTTAACACCCTAATGTCAACATTAGACAGATCAACGAGACAGAAAGTTAACAAGGATATCCAGGAATTGAACTCAGCTCTGCACCAAGCAGACCTAATAGACATCTACAGAACTCTCCACCCCAAATCAACAGAATCTACATTCTTCTTAGCACCGCACAGCACTTATTCCAAAATTGACCACACAGTTGGAAGTAAAGCACTCCTCAGCAAATGTAAAAGAACAGAAATTATAACAAACTGTCTCTCAGACCACAGTGCAATCAAACTAGAACTCAGGATTAAGAAACTCACTCAAAACCACTCAACTACATGGAAACTGAACAACCTGCTCCTGAATGACTACTGGGTATATAACAAAATGAAGGCAGAAATAAAGATGTTCTTAGAAACCAATGAGAACAAAGACACAACATACCAGAATCTCTGAGACACATTTAAAGCAGTGTGTAGAGGGAAATTTATAGCACTAAATGCCCACAAGAGAAAGCAGGAAAGATCTAAAATTGACACCCTAACATCATAATGAAAAGAACTAGAGAAGCAACAGCAAACACATTCAAAAGCTAGCAGAAGGCAAGAAATAAGTAAGATCAGAGCAGAACTGAAGGAAATAGAGACACAAAAAACCCTTCAAAAAAATCAATGAATCCAGGAGCTGGTTTTTTGAAAAGATCAACAAAATTGATAGACCGCTAGCAAGACTCATAAAGAAGAAAAGAGAGAAGAATCAAATAGACGCAATAAAAAATGATAAAGGGGATATCACCACTGATCCCACAGAAATACAAGCTACCATCAGAGAATACTACAAACACCTCTACACAAGTACACTAGAAAATCTAGAAGGAAATGGATAAATTCCTGGACACATACACCCTCCCAAGACTAAACCAGGAAGAAGCTGAATCTCTGAATAGACCAATAACAGGCTCTGAAATTGAGGAAATAATTAATAGCCTCTCCCTGGGAATGGGCGGGCCTGGGTCCAGTCCACAGGGCCCCTCGTGGGCCCTGATGAAGGAAAGAGTTGAGATGGGGGCAGCGCTGGACCCCAGGGCCCCTGCCTGCCTCCTGGAGAGCCCGGTGACCCAGGCAGCCCTGGTGAGGCTGTGGGTGCCTGGGCCATAGCGAGGCCCGCGAGCTCCCACAGGACAGATGCGGACAGTGAGGCCGGGGAGGCCCTGCTGCCCTCCGAACTGTCCCTCCAGCCCCCAGCTTTCTGTGGTTCTCTGGGCCCCCTCTGCAGAGGGGCAGGGGAGCCCACCCTGGATCCTGAGACGCCAAGCTTGAGGGACCCCCAGAGCTCTAGCGAGGCTGCTTCCTTTGCGGATGGTGAAGCTGAGGTCCAGAGGAGGGCAGGGGCAGGTCCTGGGCGCTCCCTAGGCAAAGGGAGCCGATCTCCGGGAGGCGGTCACAGGGAGCGCTCCTGCGACTTCTAGGGCCCGAAAGCTGGGGAGGATGAGAGACCAGGGGCCTTTCGTCGTCCCCTGGGCTGGGCAGAGGCTCAGCCTGTGCCGCAACCCTAAGCGGCTTCTGGCAAGTCCGAGCCGCGGTCCCTTTAAGAGGGGGTGGAGCTTCAACCTGGCACTAGGGATGCTGCTAGCGTGCGTGTCCCTACGGAGCTGAGACTGCAGTTCCTGCGACGCCCCTGCAGCAGCAGCAGCGTGGTCAGAGCGAGCTTCTGAGCGGTGGTGGGTTCCATGTGATGGTGGAGTAGGAGACAGGTCTCCGCGGTCAGTGGCGGGGGCGTGGACCCCACCGGGAACCCTCCCTGCTCCTTCCCTGCCTCTCCCTGTTTTCGTGCCCGCACTTCTTCGTGGGCATCTGGGCCCGAGTCCTCCGCTTGGGGGCGGTTGTGCGGTCCTGGCTACTGCAGCGTCCGCACCCCGGCCGGGAAGGCTATGCCAATGTCCGACCCGCGTCCAGCGTATAGGAGCGCCCTGGCCCACAGCTGGCGGTAAAACGCGGGACCTGGGTCCCTCGGAGCCCCAGGGGCCTCTGAGCTGGAGTCTAGGATTATTTTTGATGCCTCAGCACCTTTAAAAAGAGACCTCGCTAGAGCAGGGGGCATCTGTATTTTCAGTTCTTTGAGGAGTCTCCAGCTATTTAGCTGTTTTCCATGGTGTGTATCCTAATTTTCATTTCCACCTACAGTGTATGAGTTTCCCTTTCTCCAAAACCACACCCGCATTCCTACTATTTTTGGTTTGGGGTTTGTTTTGTTTTTGTTTTTGTTTTGAGACGGAGTCTTGCTCTGTCTTACAGGCTGGAGTGCAGTGGCGCCATCTCGGCCGACTGCAACCGCTGCCTGGTTTTAAGCAAGTCTCCTGTCTCAGCCTCCAGAGTAGCTGGGACTACAGGCGCCGCCACCATGCCCAGCTCATTTTTGTATTTTTAGTAGAGATGGGGTTTCACGATATTGGTCAGGCTGGTCTCAAACTCCTGACCTCAGGTGACCCACCTGCCTCAGCCTCGCAAAGTGCAGAGATTACAGGCATGAGACACCGTTCCCAGCCCCTCCTATTTTTTTAAAAAAATCAAGGAATATTCGATAAGTGTGAGATTATCTGTGTGTGGTTTTGAATTACAGTTTTCTAATGAATAGTTGATTTTGAGGACCTTATCTCTTATTTGTTGTTCGATTTTATGGCTGTGCAGAATTGTCTGTTCAGGTTCTTTGCAAAATATTAGATTGGATGCTTTTGCTACTTTGTAGTGTTTTTTGTGTACATATTAGATGACAACTCCTCGTGAATTACAAGATTGCCTGAAATTTTTGCCTAATCTATAGGATGCTTTTTTAATTGGAAAGTAGTTTTCTTTGATGTGCAGAAACTTTTCATGTTGATGTAGTCAACATGATATTTATTTTTGCGTTTCATGCATGTAATTTTCGTCACCCATATAAGAAAATAATATGTCAGTGACAAAGCATTTAATTGTCAATGAGGTTTTTCTTCCAGGGTGTTTATTTTCCTCTTTGCAAAGGTGAGCAGAGATTCAAGTGACCCAAAATATATGCTCATCCTGTGTTTTAGTTAAAAACATTTTGTAGTTTATGGTCTTTTGTTTTGCCTTCAATTTGGGGGAGTGGGTGTTCATTTTCATACATCGTGTAAAATAAGGTCCTATTTCTCGCTTCTGCATCTGGATATCATTTTTGTCAAAGGTATTCATTCTCTGCCTTCCACATTGCAGTGTTCTTTATCAAAGTCAGTTGATTGTGTCCATATTTGTGTTGATCATGTTTTTGTCCTCCCTGTTTTTGTCCATAGTTTATGCAAGTATCATATATCAGCTGTATAACTACAACTTGGCAGTGTAATTTGATATTAAGGATTGTGGGTCTTCACTTTGTATTTCTCAGGATTCCTTTAGATATTCATTGCTTTTGTGGTTCCCTGTGATTTTTAGCAATACGTATTTATTTCTGTTAACTTTTTTTCACAACATAAAGGTCCATAATTAGGGGTACATTTTCATACATACAGATTGGGTAATGATCAAATCAGGGTACTTAGGATCTCTATTTGCTCATCCAGGTTTTTTTTTTTTTTGTGGGGAGAACATTCAAAATTCTCCCTTCTTACTCTAGAAAAATATGATATTGTTAACTCCAGTCACCAGGCTGAGGAGGAGAACCTCAGATTTGTTCCTTTAATGTTAAGATAACTTTGTTTCCATAATCAATCCTTCCCCATTCCCCCTCTATCTCCCAAACTCTGGTAACCAATATTGTGCTTTTTACTTCATTAAGATAAACATCTTAAGATTTCACATGAGTGGTATCATGCAGTGTTTTTCTAGGCCTAGCTCCTTACATTTAACATAATGTTTTCCAGGTTCATCTGCGTTGCTCTAAATGGGACTGTTTCATTATTTTGATGGCTGAAGAATATTTCCTAGTGTATGTATATGAGAGTTTCTTGATCTCTTTATCTGTGGATGAACAGGTAGGTTGAATTTACACCCAGTAATGGGACTGCTAGATGGAATGGTATTTCTTTTTTTCCTATTCTTTGCAAGACCTCTAACTGTTTTTTATAGTGTTAATACTAATTTATGTTTGCACAAACAGTTCCCCTTTCTGGCAATTCATACCAGGAATTGTCTTTTTAAATATTTTGATCTTTTTGTAATGTTCATTCTATTGGAGTGAGATAAGATCTGAGTGTGGTTTTGATCTGCATTTTTCTCATGAGTAGTAATGTTAACCACGTTTTTGTAGACATTCGGTCAGTTTCCTGTCTTCTTTGGAAAAATATCTAATCCGGTTATTTGCCCAGTTTTTGTCTGGCAATTGTTCTGTTGTTTTGTTATTTTTTTGCCAGCTGGTAGTATGACTGGCTTGTACCTTTTCAAAAATAATCCCTTATCCCAAACTTGTAATTTTTAGTGTGCCTTTTTATTTTGTTTATTGTTTCCTTTGTTGGTCACAAATGCTTCAGCTTGACGTGGTCCCACATGTGCATAATTTCTTGGTGGCTGTGCTGTTGGTTACTAATCAAGAAAAAACAAAATCACTACCAAAGCAGTCCCTTGTCAATAATTTTTTTCCCTTGTATTTTTGTTTACTTTTTGTGAACCCTGAGCATACATCCAAGTTGCTCTAAATATACGCACACCCGAGGTTGTCTTTATAGGAGCTTTATGGTTGCAAGTTTTGTGTATAATCTTTAATCATTTTGAGTTGATTATTGTGTATCTAGTACCATAAGGGTCCTGTATTACCCTTTTGCATATGGATATCTAGTTTCGGAAGTCTTCCCTGTTGTGTCATTTTGGTGGTGTTTTGAAAAATGTGTTCATTCCATATAAATTTTTGTTTATTATTGAGCACATTCATTTTGCTCACTGGTCTGTGTTTCTCTGTCTATGCCAGTAACATATGGGTTTGTTAACTACGGATTTTCATTTAATTAGAACTCAGGGAATGTGATGCATCCCGTATGGTTTGTATTTCTCAGAATAGCTTTGGAAATTCAGGGTGTTTCACATTTCCACATAAATTTTGGCATTGTTTCTTTATACTTCCTAAAACACTATTTGTCATATACTAAATGTATACAATTAGAAGGTACAAGGAAGGTTTTCATACATGTATATGTTGAATAATGATAAAATCAGGTTATTTAGCATCTCTTCATCTCATATAGTTATTATTTTTGGTAACAACATTCAGAATCTTTCCTTCCAGCTACTTTGAAATATATGATACATTTGTGTTAAGGCTAGTCACGCTGCTGTGGAATAGAAGGCCAGAATTGATCACTATCATCTGAGAGTAACTTTGTACCCATCACTGATTCCTTCCGAGACTGCCTCCACTTCCCCAGCAGCCTCTGGTAAGCCCTATTGAACTTTCTACTTCTAGAAGATAAAGCTTTTTTCAGTCTACATGTGTGAGATCACGTGGCATGGGACTTTCTCTACCAGGCTTATTCTTTGGACCTTGTTCTTCAGATTTCTTCATGTGGCTGCAGATGGCAGGATTTCCCAAAGGTTTATGGCTGCAACATATTCCGTGGTGTATCTGTACAGCAGTTTCCTCATTCCTGCAGCTGTGTTTGAACAGGTAGGTTGGTTCTCTACCTTGGCCACAGTTAAGAGTGCTTTAGTACCCATGGGAAGGCAGATAGCTCTCTTCAACCTAGGGACTTCAACTGCTTTAAATGTGGAACCAGTGGTGGGGCTGTTAGCTGACATGGTAGTTGTACTGTGAATTTTTTTCAGAAACCTCTAGCTGTTTTTCATAGTGTGTATACTAATTTACATCCCCACCAATAGCGTTTAAGAGGTTACCTTTCTGTAAGTCTACACTGGATGTCACCTTCAAAAATTCGTGTTTTGTTTTTGGTAGTACTCATTCTGAGTGGAATGAGACAGAATCTTAGTGTGGTTTTCATGGACATTTTTTTGTGAGGTTTAGTGATGTTGAGAAAGTTATTTGAGAAATCCCCACATTGCTTTCCATGGTGTCCGAACTAGTTTGCATTTCCACCAACAGCAGACCAGCATCCCTCCTCCTCTGCCTTGCTGGTGTTCATTCTTGTGGACTGTGTCATAATTGTCATTCATCAGAATGTGTGAAATACTATCTCATGGGCCTTTTGCTTTGCATTTCTCTGATGATTCCTGAGGTAAAGAAATGTCTTGTCTGTTGGTTGCTGTAAACCTTCTTTTGAGATGCATGTTTTCATGCCCCTTACCCTTTCTTCATTGAGTTTTTGTTTTTCTGATTTATTTGCTTAATGTATTTGAAGTAGATTCTGGATATTAGACTTCATCAGATGCAGATGTGGGAACATTTTCTCCCATTGTGTAGGCTGTCTGTTTACTGTGTTGGTAATTTCTTCTGCTGTGCAGCAGCTCTTTTGTATATTAGGCCCCACTTGTCAATAATTGTTTTAGTTGCAATTGCTTTTGGGGACTTAGGCACAGCCATGCTCTGCCAAATCCTCTGTCAAGAAGGGTATTTCCAAGTTCTCTTGCAGGCTTTTCATAGTTTGAGGTCTTGCGTTTACATCTTCATTCATCTTGAGTTAATTTCTGTACAGGGTGAGACACAGGGGCCCACTGTTTTTCTTCTGCAACTGGCTAGCAGTTTATCCTGGCACCATCTATTGAGAGGAGGGAGTCCTTTCTCCAAAGCTTATTTTCGTGGATTTTTTTGAAGATCAGATGGTGTTAGGGGTGTGGGTTTACATCTGGGTCCTCTAATTTGTTCCACTGCTCTGTGTGAAATGGGGTCCCTAGCTTTTCAATGAAATTAAAAATCAGGAAGTGTGACACAACCAATGTAGTTTGGACTTCTCAGGATTGCTTTAGAAATTCAGGGTGTTTTGTGGTCTGCATGAATTTTAGCATTGTGTATTTACGTATTTTTTAAAAGGTTGGCCATATAGTAAAGGTATACAATGGGGGGAGTTAGAGTGGGGCATTTTGGTTAATGCAGACATAGAGGAATGTTAAAATCAGGATATTTAGAGTCTCTGTTATCACAAAGTTGTTAATTTCTTTATGGTGAAAACATTTGGAATCTTCTTTTCCAGATTTTGTGAAAAAGATGTGATGTTTTGTTAACCTCTGGTCACTGTGCTGTGGAACAGAGAGGAACAATTCATTCCTCTCATCTAAGTGTAATTTTGGACCTATTTCTGATCCCTGCCCATACCCCTGCTTCCCTCCAATCTCTGGAAACCACTGTTATGCTCTCTAGATCTATTGCAATAAAGCCTTTTATTTTGGGTTCTACATGAGTGAGATGTGGCAATGTTTTTCTTTCTCTACCTGGTTTAGGTCATTTACCATGCGGTCCTCCAGGTTCAACAGTATGGCTCCAAATGATGAAATTTCATTCTGATTTTCTGGCTGAAGACTATTCTGTTTGTGTATGTCCACCACAGTTACTTTATCCCTTCATCTGTGGATGGGCAGGTAAGTTTATTCCTTATCTTGGCGATTGTGAATAGTGCTGCAGTCCACATAGGATGGCTGACATCTCTTGCATAAACTGATTTCTTTGGCACTGAAAGTATACTTAGTAGTAGAATTGTTAGATGAAGTGGTAGTTGTAGGTTTAATTTTTGGAGGAACCTCCCACTGGTTTCTGTAGTATGTATACTAATTAACATTCTCTTTTTTTTTTTTTTTTGGATGGAGTCTCGCTCTGTTGCCCAGGCTGGAGTGCAGTGGCATGATCTCAGCTCACTGCAAGCTCTGCTTCCTGGGTTCATGCCATTCTCCTGCCTCAGCCTCCTGAGTAGCTGGGATTACAGGCACCCGCCACCACGCCTGGCTAATTTTTTGTATTTTTAGTAGAGACGGGGTTTCACCATGTTAGCCAGGATGGTCTCAATCTCCTGACCTCGTGATCTGCCGGCCTCGGCCTCCCAAAGTGCTGGGATTACAGGCGTGAGCCACCGTGCCCGGCTGTATACTAATTAACATTCTTACCAAACGAGTTCTTCTCTGGAAATTTCCACCAGCATTTGTGTCTTTTTTAATATATTTTATCACTTTGATAACATCCATTTGAATTATAGTGAGATGATATATGTGTTGTTTTGATTTATATCTTATGGTTTGTGATGTTATTCAAGTTTTTAAAACTCGTTTTCAATGTTATGTCTTTTTTGTAGAAATGTCTATTTAGGTTTTGTTTGGTTATTAGTTTCTCTTTTGTGTTTTTGCTAGTAAGTAGTGTTAGTTGCTTAGACATTTTGAAGACAGCCTTTTATCAGATATATGTTTGTTGAAACATTTCTTGTAGAATGAAACATATATGGAAATGTTCTGTGCAATAAAAACAGCAGTGGTAACACAGATGTAGGCTCTGAGTGTCTCACTGGAGACTGAAGTCCACAGATATGCAACAAAGCCTTTGTCTCCCTGATGTTTTTGCCTCCTGCTGGTCATGTGCTTTCACACATCAAGAGAGGACATTTAACATTTGAGCCACAGTGTCATTTGCTGTTGTCTGATGGGTGAGATTTTTGCTGGCGTAGTCCGTATTGTCATATGTTCTTGGGGCCCACAGGATTATTCTTGGTCATCTAAGATGTTACTGACATCTTATCACCTTAAGATGTTGCTGACTTAATCACCTTCAACTGACTCCTATTCATTCTTTGAAATAAGCAGACACATGTTGTTTCAGTGATTCTTTCAGTTGGTGATTTGCCTGGTGCATTGCTATGTGAGGTCACCTCCTGTCAAATGACCCACAGGTGGTAACAGTCTGTGAACAAACAGTTTACAGGAGGGACCAACCATGTGCGGACGGACATGGGGTGGGTCATTTCAAAGTGAGGTAGTCAACCTGGGCCCTAGACTGGCACAGACAGAAGAAGCCACAATCCTTTAGAGAGAAAAAAATTACAAAGTATAAATATCCGTTGTTAAGAGAAACAGACCATTTTCAGAGGGCGTAATAGTATTAAAATGTGTTCTCATTGTTCAGCTCCCACTTATGAGTGAGAACATGCAGTGTTTGGTTTTCTGTTCCTGTGTTAGCTTGCTGAGGATGATGGCTTCCAGCTTCATCCCTGTCCCTGCAGAGGACTTGATCTCATACCTTTTTATGGCTGTGTAATATTCCATGATGTACATGTAGTACATTTTCTTTTTCCAGTCTATCATTGATGGGCATATGGGTTGGTTCCAAGTCTTTACCATTGTGAATAGTGCTGCTATAAACATACATGGAGCAGATGGTGCTCAAAGCAAGATGGACCTCTGAGCAAGATGAGCTCTAAGCTTGATGGAGCTCAGAGCAGATGGAGCTCCAGGTGAGATGGAGCTTCAATTAATATGAAGCTTGGAGCAGATGTTGCTCAGAGTATGATGGAGCTCCAAGCCTATGGTCTCACAGCAAGATGGAGCTCCGAGCAAAATGGAGCTCAGAGCAGATGGTACTCAGAGTAAGATGGAGCTGGGAGTGACTGGGGCTCTGAGCAAGGTGGAGCTAAGAGCAGATGGTGCTCAGAGCAAGATGGAGCTTGGAGCAGATGGAGCTCTGAGCAGATGGAACTCAGAGCAACATGGAGCATGGAGTGTCCAGCTCAGAGCAAATATAGCTCAGACAAGAAGGAGCTCCAAGCAAGATGGAGCTTGGAGCCGAGGTTCCTCTGTGTAAGATGGAGCTCAGAGCAAGATAAAGCTTGGAGTCATTGGAACTCTGAACATTGCTCTGAGCAGCTGGAACTCTGAGCAAGATGGAGCTCTGAACAAGATGGTGCTCAGAGCAGGTGAAACTCTGAGCAATAAGGAGATCTAAGCAAGATGGAGCTTGGTGCAGATGTTGGTCAGTTTCAGATGGAGCTCAGAGCAGATGGTGCTCAGAGCATGATGGAGCTCAGAGTGATTAGAGCTCCAAGCAAGAATGGAGCTCAGAGAAGATTGAGCTTGGAGCAGATAGAGCTCTGAACAAAAAGGAGCTCCAAGCAAGATGGAACTTGGAGCAGATGTTGCTCGGTGTAAGATGGAGCTCAGAGCAGATGCTCATAACAACATGGAGCTTGAAATGATTGGAACTTAAAAACTTTGCTGTGGAGGATTGGAGCTCTGAGCAGATGGTGATCAGAGCAAGATCAGCCTCGGAGTGATTAGAGCTTCGAGCACAATAGGGCTTGGAGGAGATGCAGCTCTGAGCAAGATGTAGCTCAGAAAACATGTTGCCCACAGTAAGATGTAGCTTGAGCAGATGGTGTTCAGAGCAAAATGAAGCTGGAAGTAATTGGAGCTCTCAGCAAGATGGAGCTCGGAGCAGATGGAGCTTGGAGCAAATGAAGTTCTGAGCAAGAAGGAGCTCTAAGCAAGATGGAGCTTGGAGCAAATGTTGCTCTGTTTCAGATGGAGCTCAGAGCAGATGGTGCTCAGAGCAAGACAGAGCTCAGAGAACATGCTGCTTACAGTAAGATGGAGCTTCGAGCACATGATGCTCAGAGCAAAATGGAGCTGGAAGTGATTGGAGATATCAGCAAGATGGAGCTAGAAGATGCAGCTCCGAGCATATGGAGCTCTGAGCAGAGGGTGCTCAGAGCAAGATGGAGTTTGTTGTAATTGGAGCTCTGAGAAAGATGGAGCTTGGAGCAAATGGAGCTCTGAGCAAAGTGGAGCTCAGAGTGATGGGAGCTCTAAGCAAGATGGAGCTTGGAGCAGATGGAGCTTCAAGCAGATGGTGCTCAGAGCAAGATGGAGCTTGGAGTGATTGGATCTCTGAACCAGATGGAGCTCAGATCAGATAGACCTCTGAGCAAGAAGGAGCTCCAAACAAAATGGAACTTGGAGCAGATGTTGCTGGTGTAAGATGGAGCTCAGAGCAGATGGTACCCAGAGCAAGAGGGAGCTCAGAGTGATTGGCACTCTGAACATTGCTTTGAGCAATTGGAGCTCTGAGCAAGATGCAGTTCAGAGCACGTAGAGCTCTGAGCGAAAAAGGAGCTCTAAGCAAGATGGAGTTTGGAGGAGATGTTGCTTGGTTTTAGTTGGAGCTCAGAGCAAAATGGAGCCCACAGTGATTACAGCTCCAAGCAAGGTGGAGCTCAGAGCACATGTAGCTCAGAGTAAGATGAGCTCCGCCTACATGGTGCTCAGAGCAAAATGGAACTAGAAGTGATTGGAGCTCCCAGCGAGATGGGGCTTGGAGTGATTGGAACTCCCAGCAAGATGGAGCTCAAAGTAGATGGACCTCTGACTAGATGGAGCTCTGAGTAAGATGAATGTCTGTGCGGATGTTGCTCACAGCAAGATAGTGCTTGGAGCGATTGGCACTTCGAACAAGATGGAGCATGGAGCAGATGGAGCTCTGAGCAAGATGGAGCTTGGAGTAGATAGAGCTTGGAGCAAGAAGGAGCTCCAAGCAAGATGGAGCTTGCAGCAGGTGCTTCTCAGTGTAAGATGGAGCTCAGAGAAGATGATGCTCAGAGTAAGATTGAGCTCGGTGATTGGCACTCCAAACATTGCTCTGAGCCCATTGGAGCTCTGAGCAAGAAGGTGGGAAGTGAGCAAGAAGGTGAAGAAGTGATACAATCCCACAGAACATTACAAGTTTAGTGGGAGCCATTATTAAATGTAAAGAGAAGAATGCCCCAGAATTCTATGTGGATTGTCAGGGGACAATACTCATTTCTGTAATCAGGCATACTTTCTTTGAAAAAGTTTATCATATCAAACCTCACAAGGACAACCAGAACTCTGTGATATCCACTCTACAAACCTCAGATCCCTACAGTGTAGTAAAGGTGATAGCCGAGATAGAAAGACAGAAACACACTGTTTGACGACCAATCTTTGGAAGTTGAGATGGCAAATGTGGATTTACTCAGATTATTTTCCTGTTAGCACCTCCAGGTGTAATTTTGACAGTACTTTGCATTGGGCTAATGACACAATGGGGAAACATAAACTGCTGACACTGGACTTCAGCAGTACAGTAACAGCCATGTGCAAGGCCATTGAAAAAGTAAAGACTGGTGGTTACATTGCCACATGTTTTTCTGCATGGCATCATCATCTTAACTATGGACTTTATGTGCTTTCACAGCAAGATGTTTCTAGTATTTAGAAATGGACCTTATGCATCGTATACTTCATAAGAGCTTGAAAAGCTCTCACCCAGGTATTACCAAATGCCAGACATCTCTCTATGTAGGCCATTTTCTGCCACAGCCAGAATTCATTCTGGGTGACATGCTGTTCTTGGCTGCTAAGGAAGTGATATGGGGGAGCCAGGTGTCTCTCGCTGTCTGTGAGTCTATGGGAAAAAGGAGAACACTGAAAGGCACTAAGTTTACTGCCACGTTTAGAGGAACTTGTGAAGGCAACACAAGAGTGTTGTAGTCCTATGTGGCCAACACCAACCTGAGTTTTTACAACAGTTATTGCATAATGATCACAATCACATTCAAGTTCACATTCTAAATCTTAGATTCTACAAAAACTCTGTCTGATAATATCCTATAGACCTTTTGGTAGCTAAAATCAATGAGTTTGAAAAATTTTTATGAGGCCAGCATCATTCTGATACCAAAGCCGGGCAGAGACACAACCAAAAAAGAGAATTTTAGACCAATATCCTTGATGAACATTGATGCAAGAATCCTCAATAAAATACTGGCAAAACGAATCCAGCAGCACATCAAAAAGCTTATCCACCATGATCAAGTGGGCTTCATCCCTGGGATGCAAGGCTGGTTCAATATACGCAAATCAATAAATGTAATCCAGCATATAAACAGAGCCAAAGACAAAAACCACATGATTATCTCAATAGATGCAGAAAAGGCCTTTGACAAAATTCAACAACCCTTCATGCTAAAAACTCTCAATAAATTAGGTATTGATGGGACGTATTTCAAAATAATAAGAGCTATCTATGACAAACCTACAGCCAATATCATACTGAATGGGCAAAAACTGGAAGCATTCCCTTTGAAAACTGGCACAAGACAGGGATGCCCTCTCTCACCACTCCTGTTCAACATAGTGTTGGAAGTTCTGGCCAGGGCAATTAGGCAGGAGAAGGAAATAAAGGGTATTCAATTAGGAAAAGAGGAAGTCAAATTGTCCCTGTTTGCAGATGACATGATTGTATATCTAGAAAACCCCATTGTCTCAGCCCAAAATCTCCTTAAGCTGATAAGCAACTTCAGCAAAGTCTCAGGATACAAAATCAATGTACAAAAATCACAAGCATTCTTATACACCAACAACAGACAACAGAGAGCCAAATCATGAGTGAACTCCCATTCACAATTGCTTCAAAGAGAATAAAATACCTAGGAATCCAACTTACAAGGGATGTGAAGGACCTCTTCAAGGAGAACTACAATCCACTGCTCAAGGAAATAAAAGAGGATACAAACAAATGGAAGAACATTCCATGCTCATGGGTAGGAAGAATCAATATCGTGAAAATGGTCATACTGCCCAAGGTAATTTATAGATTCAATGCCATCCCCATCAAGCTACCAATGACTTTCTTCATAGAATTGGAAAAAACTACTTTAAAGTTCATATGGAACCAAAAAAGAGCCCGCATCGCCAAGTCAATCCTAAGCCAAAAGCTGGAGGCATCACACTACCTGACTTCAAACTATACTCCAAGGCTACAGTAACCAAAACAGCGTGGTACTGGTACCAAAACAGGGATATAGATCAATGGAACAGAACAGAGCCCTCAGAAATAATGCCGCATATCTACAACTATCTGATCTTTGACAAACCTGAGAAAAACAAGCAATGGGGAAAGGATTCCCTATTTAATAAATGGTGCTGGGAAAACTGGCTGGCCATATGTAGAAAGCTGAAACTGGATCCCTTCCTTACACCTTATACAAAAATCAATTCAAGATGGATTAAAGACTTAAACGTTAGACCTAAAACCATAAAAACCCTAGAAGAAAACCTAGGCATTACCATTCAGGACATAGGCATGGGCAAGGACTTCATGTCTAAAACACCAAAAGCAATGGCAACAAAAGCCAAAATTGACAAATGGGATCTAATTAAACTAAAGAGCTTCTGCACAGCAAAAGAAACTACCATCAGAGTGAACAGGCAACCTACAAAATGGGAGAAAATTTTCGCAACCTACTCATCTGACAAAGGGCTAATATCCAGAATCTACAATGAACTCAAACAAATTTACAAGAAAAAAACAAACAACCCCATCAAAAAGTGGGCGAAGGACCTGAACAGACACTTCTCAAAAGAAGACATTTATGCAGCCAAAAAACACATGAAAAAATGTTCATCATCACTGGCCATCAGAGAAATGCAAATCAAAACCACAATGAGATAGCATCTCACACCAGTTAGAATGGCAATCATTAAAAAGTCAGGAAACAACAGGTGCTGGAGAGGATGTGGAGAAATAGGAACACTTTTACATTGTTGGTGGGACTGTAAACTAGTTCAACCATTGTGGAAGTCAGTGTGGCGATTAATCAGGGATCTAGAACTAGAAATACCATTTGACCCAGCCATCCCGTTACTGGGTATATACCCAAAGGACTATAAATCATGCTGCTATAAAGACACATGCACACGTTATGTTTATTGCGCCATTATTCACAATAGCAAAGACTTGGAACCAACCCAAATGTCCAACAAGGATAGACTGGATTAAGAAAATGTGGCACATATACACCATGGAATACTATGCAGCCATAAAAAATGATGAGTTCACGTCCTTTGTAGGGACATGGATGAAATTGGAAATCATCATTCTCAGTAAACTATGGCAAGAACAAAAAACCAAACACCGCATATTCTCACTCATAGGTGGGAATTGAACAATGAGATCACATGGACACAGGAAGGGGAACATCACACTCTGGGGACTGTTGTGGGGTGGGGGGAGGGGGGAGGGATAGCATTAGGAGATATACCTAATGCTAGATGACGAGTTAGTGGGTGCAGTGCACCAGCATGGCACATGTATACATATGTAACTAACCTGCACAATGTGCACATGTACCCTAAAACTTAAAGTATAATAATAAAAAATAAATAAATAAATAAATAAATAAAAGAAAAATAATTTGAATTTGGCTTGCTTCCATTTTCAGCAGAACGCACTTGTGAGTCCTGCTCTGTCATTGTATTTTACATGTGTGGCTGTCCCTCTTGCTGTGTTGGAAGTCAGTGTTCCAGAATGTTAACTTCCACAAATACCTATATATAGAGGAAACAGAAAACTCTTCAAGTCAAAAGAGTGTATGTTGTTTCAGGGCAGTTCTCTAGCCTTGGATTTGAAACTATAATATTTGTTACACAGAGAGAAGATGGTTCTTTTTTATATTTTATTTTTAATTTTTGTGGGTACATAGTATTTATGGAGTACATGAGATGTTTTGATACGGGCATGCAATGTGAAAAAAAGCACATCATAGAGAATGGGGTATCCCCTCAGTGATTCTTTGAGTTACAAACATTCCAGTTACACTCTTTATCTTATTTTCAAATATATGATTAAGTTATTATTGACTATAGTCACCCGGGTTTGCTATCAAATAGTAGGTTTTTATTATATATTATTTCTTTTTTGTTTTTTGTATCCATTAACAATTCCTGCCTCCCCCTCATTCTCTCACTACCCTTCCCAGCCTCTGGTAATCATCCTTCTACTCTCTATGTCCATGAGTTTAATTGTTTTTATTTTTAGATCCCGGAAATAAGTGAGAACATGTGATGTTTGTATTTCTGTGCCTGGCTTATTTTTCTTGACATAATAATCTTCAGTTCCATCCATGTTGTTGCAAATGACAGGCTTTCATTTTATGGCTGAATAGTACTCCATTGTATATATGTACCACATTTTCTTCATTCATCTGTTGATGGACACTTAGGTTGCTTTCAAATATTAGTAATTGTAAACAGTGCTGCAGCAAACCTAGGCATGCAGAAATCTCTTTGATATACTCATTTCCTTTCTTTTGGGTATATACCAAGCAGTGGGATTTTTGGATCATATGGTGGTATATCTGTTTTTTTCAGGAAACTCCAAACTGTCCAAGGGATAGTTCTGTTGTGATTACTTCATTGAGAAATTTAACTTATGAGCAGTTGAAAGGAATGCAAGTTGCTGGAAAATCAGAATGAAGAGTGCAAAATGACCAAGCTACAATGTATTGTCATTATTCACTCTGATGTGAAAAAGGCAGTGAATTCAATAGAAAATAACTTTGCAGAATAAAATCTCAGGTGTGTTTTTTTAGTGCCACAGTCTTGGATGATGGGCTTCTAGATGTTGAGTCCTAGAAGCTCTCAACATCTCTTCTTAATTGGAGAAAGTGTTAAGCCCCAAAGTAGCTGGAGCAGTACATCTTCAATTTTTGACAAGAAAGCAGGAACTTGGTTACTTTGAGTGTTATTCATTAGTTTCTGCTTTCATTGAGAATGCAGCAAAAGCCAACGAGGCTGCTGCTAACTCCTTGCTGGACATCTTCTGCCACTATCACAGGAACTGTGATCTCACTGGACAATTAACTAGGGAGCCTTTCATCTTGAATGACTGCTGCACAAATGATCTTCAAAGCATTTTAGCCACCAGAGGAATTCTCTTCAAATACCCAAAATCCATCAGTATCTTGAATCATGCTGGATTTTGAAGAATTCTTAACAAGCCATGTAAAGGGGGCTCTCTGGCCTTGAAATAGTGATGTTTTTTATACAGAAAGGAGAATGCCGAATGTTCAGACTACCATGCACTGTTAAATTTGATTTCAAGAAATTACAGGAAAACTTTCCAAAGTTCCGTCTCACAGAATTTATTTTTACAAAGAATTCCAAGATAAGTTTAGTTTTATGGAAGATTTTTATGTGGTTTTTACTCACTCTTCATCTCAGACATCAACCGATGATTACATCACTTATTTAGCTAGTAAATTTATTAATATAAAACTCAGAGACATTCCAATATCCACATTGCTTACATCATCAGGCATAGATTCAATGTCAGCTATGACAATTGAAAATAAGCTGTTTTGTGATTTAAAGGTTTAAATTTCTCTAACCAAACAGCTTGATCCAGATGCAGCACTGCAAATGTTAATATTTGTTCTGGAAGAGCAATCAAATAAGACTTAAGAGGAAAAGGAATGGCCACAATCCACCTGAAATTTTTTTTAAAAAAGTATGCAGCCTACTAAATCAGAATGAAAATAGAAGTACAAGATTATAAACAAAATGCAATCAAACTTTTCTTAAGCTTACCTAAAGTTATTTTATCTGAAAATTTCAAGCAACTTTGATCAACATTAAATTGACAATCTAAACTAACAAGTCTTTTGAATTTATGTATGGTAGTAAACATTCTCTCTATTAATTTTATTACCTAAGGCTAAACCTAAAATTTTTAAGCAAAATTAGAAAGTCTTCACTTATCAAAAAATAAAGTTTGTTACATTTAGTATTTTCCCAATAAAATTGGTCATTCTTGGTTTTTTATTTGGAGAATCTGTGCAAAATTTCACTGAAAATAAATTAGAACTAGAAATTATTTCTAAATACCAAAAAAAAAATGAAGAATGGTTTCACAAAGAAAAAAAGAAAACTTGCTTAATTAGCAGAGTATCATCTCTGTGATTTTTGTGATTATTTGATCAGTGTCCTGAGATGGATACAATGGCAAGTAATGACAAAATTAAAATAAGCATGCAGATTTTTTTAAATTAAGTGCCAAAAAATAATTGGTCATGCAAAGCCCTTAAAAATATTGTGGCCTAATTCTAAAGTTTTTTGCTACTATGCTACATCACACGCAACATCAGTTAAGTGCTCATTCTGTGACAGGTAGTACATTACATTTTAGCAAACTACACAAGACCCCTATGTGATAATATGCTTCAGGGTTGTAAGGTTGGGTGCATTTACTAGTCTTGAATTTTCTGGGAGTATACAAACCCAATATTAGTCTAGATGCCCACAAATCTATTTAGACGTCACAGTAGAATGGAGAGTAATCTTGACCACAGGAAGCTGTGTTGTGGCATTTATTTTGAAATTATTTTTTCTTGATTTTTTTGCCTTTTGTTTTGTGAGTTTTATAATGTACAGAATATTTTTAAATTATTATATATATCAACTAATTAGTCTTCATTTAAACTTACGCCTCTGGGGTCTTACTTGGGTTTCTCCTAACAATATTATACACATATTTGCAATAATTTCTCTCATACTGCTTTTAACTCATTTAATTTTTCAACTTTTTAAGAATAACAAAAGTGATATTAATTGTAAAAATGCTGAAGTGACATATGAATTTATGAAGTGCATATGTATTTTTTAGTTTACCAATGAGATGGGAGAAATGCTGTCTTATATTTTAACATACATTTTGGCCATTACACAGATGAAGCAACTTTTCATTTGTTAATACATAATGCATACTTTTTCTTCTGTGCAATTCCTCTTTGTATTCTTTGCTCATTTTCCCACTGGGATTTGCAAGTTCTTTATTATTTGATAATCTCTATACATTCTGAATATCAATTTTTTGTTATATATACCATGTAAATATTTTCTTCTAATTTGTTATTTGTCTTTTAATGGTATTTATCAATTGTTTGCTAAAAATGAGTTTGTTTAGTTAGTAAAATTTGTCTATCTTTAACTTCATGATATTTGTATATCATGTCATGAGGAAAAGGCATGAATATTTTAAAAACTTCCTTGTAGTGTTAATTTTATTTTTTATTTCATTCTTTAAGTTATTTGAAATTTATTGTTTATTTCTTCAAATTCCAAATAATAACCAACTTTCTCAAAGCAATACTTCTTTCTACTGATTTCAAACGTTACATTTGTCTTCTCTGAAGTTCTTGTTTTTTTGATACCTGACTGTCACACTACTGCTGTGGATGTGCTTCATACCATCACAGTACTGCAGGGTTATAAGATTATCTGATAGCCAATAGAAGCAGACGTCTACTCACTGTCATTCTTTTGTCTTTTGGAGAATAAAGTTAGCTATTTTTATCTGGGTTCTCAATTTTTTTTTTTTCTTTTCGAGATGAAGCCTTGCTCTCTCACCCAGGCTAGAGTGCAGTGGTGCGATCTTGGCTCACTGCAACCTCTGCCTCCCGGGTTCAATTGATTCTTCTGCCTCAGCCTCCTGAGTGGCCAGGATTACAGGCATCCATCACCACGCCTGGCTAATTTTTTTATTTTTAGTAGAGACAGGGTTTCACCATCTTGGCCAGGCTGGTCTTGAACTCCTGACCTCGTGTTGCACCCACCTCTGATTCCCAAAGTCCTGGGATTACAGGCGTGAGCCACCGCACCTAGCCGGGTTCTCAGTTTTGTATAAACTTTAAAATAGATTATCAAATCACATACCAATTACCATCTGATTGAAATTTCAATGTTTTTATACATAAGTTTCGAGACTAAAGCCATCTCTATTCTTTCAGCACTTCAGATGTTTATCTTTCAATTCAAAATGTATTCTAAATTTTATTTTGATGTTTCTTTGTGAATTATTTAGAAGTTTGTTGTTTGATTTCCAAACACTTGTGTGTTTACTAAGTATCTTATTGATATTCATTTTTTTCTTTTTTAATTTATATTTTAGGTTCAGGGGGTACATGTGCAGCTTTGTTATGTAGGTAAATTGCATGTTGCTGGGGTTTCATGGAAAAAACAATTTAGTCACTGAGGTAGTGAGCATAGTACCTGATAGACATAAGTAATTTTTCAGTCCTCACGGATTTTCCACCCTCTACCCTCACATAGGCCCTGGTATCTATTGGTCCCTGTTTTGGACCATGTGGAGCCAATGTTTATCTCTCATTTAGAGGTGATAATATATGCTTTCTTTTTCTGTTTTGGTGTTAATTTGCCTAATTTGTGGGACGTAGCCTCCAGCTACATCCATTTTGTTGCAAAAGCCATAATTTTATTGTTTTTTTTGTTGCTATGCAGTATTTCGTGGTGTATATGTACCAATTTTTTTTCTTTTTGAGATAGAGTCTCACTCTGACACCCTGGCTGGAGTGCTGTGGCATAATCTGGGCCCACTGCAACCTTCACCTCCCAGGTTCAAGCTATTCTGCCACCTCAGCTTCCCAAGTAGCTGGGTCTACAGGCACGGACCACCATGCCTGGCTAATTTTTGTATTTTTAGTAGAGGTGGTGTTTCACCATGTTGGCCAGGCTTTTCTCAAACTCCTAATATCAAATGATCCACCTATCTCGGCCTCCCAAAGTGCTGGGAATACAGGTGTGAGCAACCACGTCAGGTGGTACACATTTTTTTTTCTAGTCCACCACTGATGAGCCTCTAGGTTGGTTCCATGTTTTTGCTACTGTGAATAGTGCTGTGATAATCATACAAGTACATGTGTCATTTGGTAGAACAATTTATATTTCTTTGTGTATGTACCCAGTAATGAGATTGCTGCGCCAAATGGTAGTTCTGTTTAAGTTTTTTGAGAAATCTTCAAACTGCTTTATACAATGGCTGAATTGATTTACACTCGCAACAGAAGTGTATAAGATTTCCCTTTTCTCTGCAACCTCAGCAACATCTGTTATTTTCTGACTTTTTATTAGTAGCCATTGTGATTGGTATGAAATGATATCTTATTGTGGTTTTCATTTGCATTTCTCTAATGATTAGTGATTTTTGAAATGGAGCATTTTTTCATATTCTTGTTGACAGCATGTATGTCTTTTTTGAGAAGTGTTTGTTCTTGTCCTTTGCCCATTTTTCAATGAGGTCGTTTAGTTTTTGCTTAAAATTTTTTTTAAGTTCCTTACAGGTTCTGGATATGAGACCTTTGTCAGATCCATAGTTTGCAAATATTTTCTCCCATTTTGTAGGTTGTCTGTTTACTATGCTGATAGTTTCTTTTGTTGAACATAGTCTCCTTAGTATACTTAGGTCCCACTTGTCTATTTATGTTTTTGTTGCAATAGCTATTGGAAACTTGATCATAAAATCCTTGTTATTGCCTATGTCCAGAATATTATGTTCGGGGCTTTTGTCTAGGGTTTTTATAGTTTTAGGTTTTACATTTAGGTCTTTAATCTATCTTAAGTTGATTTTTTTAATAAGTTGGAAGGAAGTTGTCCATTTTAAATCTTCTGAATATGGCTAACCAGTTATCCTAGTACCATTCATTGAATAGGGAGTCCGTTCCCATTGCTTCTAATTATAGACTTTGTCAAAGATCAGATGGTTGTAGGAGTGCAGCCTACAACCTTCTCTAATCTGTTCCATTGGCTTTTGTGTCATGGTTTTTGTACCAGACCTATGATATTTTGGTTACTATATCCTTGGAGTATAGTTTGTGAACCCCCAAAATCTGAGACAGGTCTCAGTTAATTTACAAAGTTGACATTGCCCAGCTAGCTATATGTAGAAAGCTGAAACTGGATCCCTTCCTTACATCTTATACAAAAATTAATTCAAGATGGATTAAAGACTTAAATGTTAGACCCCAAACCATAAAAACCCTAGAAGAAAACCTAGGCAATACCATTCAGGACATAGGCATGGGCAAGGACTTCATGTCTAAAAACACCAAAAGCAATGGCAACAAAAGCCAAAATTGGCAAATGGGATCTAATTAAACTAAAGAGCTTCTGCACAGCAAAAGAAACTACCATCAGAGTGAACAGGCAACCTACAGAATGGGAGGAAATTTTTGCAATCTACTCATCTGACAAAGGGCTAATATCCAGAATCTACAATGAACTCAAATTTACCAGAAAAAAACAAACAACCCCATCAACAAGTGGGCGAAGGATATGAACAGACACTTCTCAAAAGAAGACATTTATGCAGCCAAAAGACACATGAAAAAATGCTCATTATCACTGGCCATCAGAGAAATGCAAATCAAAACCACAATGAGATAGCATCTCACACCAGTTAGAATGGCAATCATTAAAAAGTCAGGAAACAACAGGTGCTGGAGAGGATGTGGAGAAATAGGAACACTTTTACACTGTTGGTGGGACTGTAAACTAGTTCAACCATTGTGGAAGTCAGTGTGGCGATTAATCAGGGATCTAGAACTAGAAATACCATTTGACCCAGCCATCCCGTTACTGGGTATATACCCAAAGGACTATAAATCATGCTGCTATAAAGACACATGCACACGTATTTTTATTGCTGCACTATTCACAATAGCAAAGACTTGGAACCAACCCAAATGTCCAACAATGATAGCCTGGATTAAGAAAATGTGGCACATATACACCATGGAATACTATGCAGCCATAAAATTGATGAGTTCATGTCCTTTGTAGGGACATGGATGAAGCTAGAAACCATCATTCTCAGCAAACTATCACAAGGACAAAAAACCAAACACCACATGTTCTCACTCATAGGTGGGAATTGAACAAAGAGAACACCTGGACACAGGAAGGGGAACATCACAAATTGGGTCTGTTGTAGGGTGGGGGGAGGGGGGAGGGATAGCATTATGAGACATACCTAATGTAAATGACGAGTTAATGGATGCAGCACACCAACATGGCACATGTATACATATGTAACAAACCAGCACGTTGTGCACATGTACCCTGGAACTTAAAGTGTAATAAAAAAATATATATATATATATATATAAGTAAATGGCTGATCAGGAAAAAAAATTTAGGAAGTAGAATTCAACAACACATCAAAAAGATTATACATCATGACTAAGTGGGAATTATCTCTGGCATGCAAGGTTGGTTTAACATATGTAAATCAATCAATGTGATATATCACATTAACAAAATGAAAGATAAAACCACATGGTCACCTGAATTGATGCAGAAAAAGCATTTAACAAAATTTAGCAACCTTTCTTGATAAAACCTCTTAATAGTTTATGTATAGAAGGAAAGTTCCTCAACATAATAAAGACCATTTATCAGAAACCCATGGCCTACATCATAGTCAGTGGGGAACAACTAAAAGCTTTTCTACTAAGATTGAGTACAAGATAGGGATGCCCAGTCTCATCACTTTTATTCAACATAGTACTTGCAAGAGCAATCTGATGAGAAAAAAAAAGCAACTAAATTAAAGAAGTAAAATTATCTCTGTTTGCAGATGACAAGAATTCATTAATTCCTTTACACATTTTTAAAAGTCCTCCAACATGTTTTCTTATTCTCGTTTGCTCATAATCTTCAGTATCCATATTCTCTGATCTGTATTTTGATCTTTTAAAATACCTGTTGAGTATCCCTTAGCAAAAATGCATGGAACCAGAAGTATTTTGGATTTGGGATTTTTTTCAGATATTGGAATATTTGCATTCTACTTACCAGTTGAGCATACCTATTCTCCTTTGCAACAGAGTGCTAATATTCTCTTCTGTCTTTTTTGTTTTGTATGGTGGTCTATTTCCATCTTCTTCTGGAAGTTAACATCTATGCCATCAACAGTTCTCTAAATTTGTCCTGATTTTTCATGTTTCCTTCTTCAAAGATCTCTTGAGATTTTTGGTTTCTATGCCCAACTTAATTTTTGTGTAGAATCTTTAACTAGTTGTCCAGTCCCAAGAAACCCATCAAACTTCACATGTCTTTACTGACAAATGGACATTGCATTTCTCATTGATTTTACTATCTCTGGGGAGGTGTGCTCCCTGAAGGCAGCACTTTTATTTCCAGTGAAAAAGGCACGGTTAGGCAATATGGGAAAGGCATTTCTGAATTTCAGGACCAGTCCTAAAATTGAGTTTGGGTCAGTTCTCTCTAGAAAATATTCTATTTTATCTACAAAGCAAAATTATTTTATTCCTTACAATAATATCAGAGACAGTTTCGCTACTATTTACATTCAGTCTTTTGCCCTAAGTCAAACAGTCAACTCTGGGAGGAGGAGATCTTTGAAATAAATTTATTCTGTACCCTATAGACAGACACAAATTCTTTGGAGGCCTTTAGTTATATCTCCCTAAGAACTATGAAGGAAGATAATAGGCAACTGACTTCAAAAAATTTTGTTCTATTTTTTTGAAAACTCGACTCATTTATGCTCTCCAGTGTCTTATCTCCATACTGCTCTGTGTTTTACTTCTGAATCAATCTTCCCTCCCTCCCAAATATTTTCAGTGTGACTTCTGGAAACCTCATTAGAGGACATCGACTCCATTTCTTTGCTTTAATTAAAATTCAGCTATCTGTATGGGGACATTGCTTCCCTTGACGTGTGCTCCACTGAAGGCTAGTCATTTTCCCAAAGGCTAAGGTGTCATAGAATTTATTTAATAGAAGTAGGTTGGCATAATTTTAGCTCCATATTTCCTATTCCCAACCACTATTCCTCTATTTTAATACAAAAGCCCCCTCTTTACTGTCTATCCATCTAACTATAATGTCTTCTAACTATAATGTCTTCTAACAACTGCCACATTTATTCCAGAACTTCCTCTCCACCCAAGCAACATCATTTTCTCAGTTTCCTCTGAGACTTTTTCTTGAATTCAGCCTTCCACTGCCTATATCTTAGACATTTTTTTAATGGCCTCAACTGTTCCATGTAAAGAACCATAAGCTTAAATATCCATATTCTCTTAGCCTTATTTTGATCTTTTAAAATACTTGCTGAGTATCCCTTATCGAAAATGCATGGGACCAGAAGTATTTTGGATTTTGGATATTTTTCAGATTTTGGAATATTTGCATTATACTTACCAGTTGAGTATCCTTAATTTGAAAATCTGAAATCTGAAATGCTCCAATGAACATTTCCTTTGAGCATCATGTAAGTGCTCAAAAACTTTCAGATTTTGAAGCATTTCAGATTTCAGATTTTCAGATTAGGGATATTCATTGTTTGGCTGCCTTGGCTTGGGGCCACAATTTTATCTCCTGCTAGGGCAGGCTCTTCAGACCCACTTCTTCCAGCTGCTTCAGTGTAGGGAAGTAGTTGGCAGGCTTACTGTGAAGCTCCTCCCAGACTTTAGCCAACTTCAATCTCAAGCCACAGGCAGAGAGTCTTCTTGGTGTAGTTATAGTCCTTTCCTGCCCTGTTTTATGTTGGTTAGCTCCAGCTTGAGTTCCTCTCTTGGAGCCTTTACTAAAAGTAGCAAGAAGCAAGCATCTTATACCAGACACTTGAAATGTTTTCCTCCATGTTCTTTGGAGTTAGAGGTTCAGATGCCATGTGCTCTACCTTCCATGACATCATAGATGGTGGTTTTAACAAACATTTGTCCATGGCCTAGCAAAACTCACCAGCTTTATCACTGTCACATGCTGCGGAATTCTGAGTAAATGCCATGTATTTCAGATTATCTTCTGTTCAGCTCCTCTTCCAGGTACAAAGTTTTGTGTTAGTTAAGATGCAGGTTTGGTGGCTGTGATAGAAGTTCAAAATAAGAGTGGCTTAGACAAGAAAAGAGACTATTTCCCAGTCACATAATAGAACAAGTTGTTAAGGTGGCATAGCTTTACAGGGAGGTCAGTGCTTGGGTATCTTCTATTTTTCTTTTATCCAGTCACTATGGCATGGCCTTTGTGGCCCAAAAGAGCTCATCACCACATCTGCATGTTAGCTAGGGAAAAGGGGAAAATACTCCCTTCACTGACACACAGCAGTCACCAAAGCTGGTCACGTGGCTATTGAGAAGGTGCAAGGGCAGCTGGGAAAACTGCAGTGCATTCTGGGTATTGGTGAGAAGGCAGCCACTCTCATCTACTCTGATATTGAGAATTACATGTGATTGCTTTTAATTTTCATGTTAAACTTATTATGTGAGTTGGAACATTAAAGAAAAAATACACAAACAAATAAACTAGAGAATATTTTCCACTCCATTCATGTGACCGCCAGTCTTTGATGGAGTTGGAGCCTGACAGAGATGAGAGGCAGAGCTCACAGGATAGAAAGATTTGAATTTGACTTTACTTTTAAATGCTTTCTTAATAACTGAGTCCAAAAGTTAAGTTAAAAAAAAAAACTTGTTTAATTCTTCCCTCTGTCTCTAGGTAGCCCTGCATTGACATTATCATGAATACATTCCATTTAAAAACCTCCTTGAAAAGACAGTTCACTAATTGCCTCTATTAATGTTTCTCAGTTTTCTAGCCAAAACAAATATCTCAAGTTGTGCATTTCCTTTACGTAACAGTGTGCAGTTGTGATAAACAAATTATACATGGAACTGACATGATCCTACAACATAAACTCTTTGAGAACTGAGGCTGTGCATTTTTTAGATTAGTAGATACTTTGCAATTTTTTTAATGGAGTCTCACTCTTCTGCCCAGGCTGGAGTGCAGTGGCATCATCTCAGCTCACTGCAACCTCTGCCTCCTGGGTTCAAGTGATTCTCCTGCCTCAGTCTCTCGAGTACCTGGGATTACAGGCATGCGCTACCACGCCCGAATACTTTTTGTATTTTTAGTAGAGACGGGGTTTCACCATGTTGGTGAGGCTGGTCTCGAAATCCTGACCTCAAGTGATCTGCCTGCCTCAGTCTCCCTAAGTGGTGGGATTACAGGCATGAACCACCTCGCCTGGCAATCTTCTTTCAACTTAATCAGCCCTTATACACTCAAAGAGTTACTTGGATGCATGCTTTCTCATTATCTATTTTTGTCATTGCATATATCTGAGGAAGGATAATGAGACTCTACCATCAGTAGAAGGATGGTTGGATTATCAAGTGCAACACCTTATAGCCTATCTTGACTTTTCTCCCAAACTTCCTGGAAGAAAAGATGGGATTTTCTGACTCTTTTTAACTTCCTAGGACTAGAGAGCCAGGAAGACAGAAAAAAGGGGCAAAAGGGGCCTTACTTTTAACTTGGTACAAAGTTTATAATGGGAACATAATAGTTCCAGAAAGCAGAATAGAAGAATCTTATTAAAGAAACCAAGACAGGGAGCTTCATTAACATTCTGCTCTTGAACTCATGCTTTTATTATATACTTATGTGTAGGGCTATTCTGAGGACCTACTATTCATTTTTTCAAATAATTCATATTTTAATGTATTTACGTAGGTAATTTACATGACATTATTTTTAGAAATCATGACCTATTTCAACCTGTCATTGTTATCTATGGCTTAATTTCTGTGAAAAGCAATGAAGTCTGTCTGCAATATAGCTATGATGATCTCTAATTTTGTAGTTCTCTAATTTGTTCACACATTTAGAATGACCTTTTATGCCTTTCCAACTATGGCATCTTCTATTATTATATGATTTGGGTTGAAATGTTCACCAATACATAGTGCTTGAAATGCATATTAAAAAAGTATGAACAAGGGAGAATAGAAGTTGATACAGAAGCAGTAATACACAGTGTTCTCAAACAATCCACCTAAGTTGCCATTTCTAGTTTCATGTCTCATAATCCAAAATCCTGGGGAGCTGCCACTGAATCATTTCTTCTCCTAATCATAAATACCTAGACCCAATACACCAGGGAATACCAGGATCTTGAAAAAAATGAAAGAATGGAATAAAAAATCAGCCTCAGGAAAGCAGCCTAAATATATTTGAAGATGACAGATTGGTAGGTAGGTAGGTAGGTAGATAGGTAGATAGATACCTAGATAGATAGATAGATAGATAGATAGATAGATAGATAGATAGATAGATAGATGATAGATATTCCAAGACTATAAAACTATGAACCAATTTTTAAAATCATATAATCTTCTAGTATTATGCTGAGCTGAGATCACCTGCTTATACAAAATTCAAGACACATTCAAAGAGATCTTTCAGTGATAATTTTTTAATCAGAAGGAAAAAGTTTTAGATGCTACTTGAGAAAAGGACAAAGTATAGGTGGAGTTTCTCTTTTTTGCCAGTTGTTATTACTTAATTACACTATCTTTCTGGCCATAAAATGAACAAAAGGATTCATTCACTTGTCTCGTTAGGTATTAAGCATCAGTTGTCGATTCATTCATTTCACACATTTCACTAGTGACACTGAATACTGCAGAGCCTAAGATGAAAGGGGAAGCAATTCACAGGCCGATGAGAAGATGCACGATTGCCATTCAGGTACTGAGGGCTGCAACAGAGGAAGGGTGGTGAGAGCACTAATGAATTCTTGCTATTTTCTGATCATTGTCTCATCCTAATAACAGCTCCCTGGAAAAGGTACTATTAATCCCTAAAGAAACTAAAATTCAGAAAGATTAAATGACTTTCCCAAAATCACAAAACCAATATGCAATAGAGCCATAAATCCAATTCAGGCCTGTCTCATATCACAATTATTTTCTATCTGCTACACCAAGTGGCATCCTTGAGTTTTGCAAGATGCCCTCAGTGCCAAGGCATGAGTCCTTACCAGGGAAACTTTCTTTCTTTCTTTCTTTTTTTTTTTTTTGATGGAGTCTCACTCTATAGCCCAAGGTGGAGTGCTGTGGTGCAATCTTGGCTCACTGCAACCTCTGCCTACCAGGCTCAAGTAATTCTCCTGCCTCAGCCTCTGGAGCAGCTGGAATTACAGGCATGTGCCACCATACCTGGTGAGTTTTTTGTATTTTAGTAAAGACGGGGTTTCACCATGGTGCCCAGGGCAGTCTTGAACTCCTGAGCTCAGGCAATCCACCCGCCTCAGTCTCCCAAAGTGCTGAGATTCAGAGAAATTTTCATGGAGAGGGGACAGATGGAGTCATTTCTTGTGGGGTGAACATGAGTACCATGGGTAGACTGAGGTTGGGAAAGATTTTCCAGACAATTGGAAGAGCATGTGAAAGACACAGATTTTGAGAAATGTCAAGTCTAGGGAACTGCAAGCCTTTTGGCACAAGAAAGCCACTGTGGACTGTAGAGGCAGGATGCCTAGACTCAAATCCCAATGGCTACACTTCTAAGCTTTGCAATTTTGGCAAGTTTTTACCCTCTTTTTTTATCTATAAAATATAGATTTTATATATATAGATATAGATATATAGATAGATAATAATAGTACCTGCCTAATAAAGTTGTCAAAGATTAAATGTTATATGTGAAGTATTTTGTACAGTGATAGGAACCCAGGAAGGGCTCTATGAATATTATATATTATTATTATTCTAAAGTAGCCAGAATACAATTGTCAAAGGAGATAGTGGCCGGAGATAAGTTTGAATTGAAAGACTGAGGCCAGAACATAAAGTGCCTCCTATATTATATTTTATATAATTGGAACATCATTGAAAGATTTAAGTATTATTTATGTGTGTATGTGTGTTTTATATAATTAATTCTAGTTCATCATTTTAAAATATCTTTCTGGTGTCACTGTGAACAACAGATGAGAAGAAGTGAATCCTGAGTTAAGGAGACCAGCTCTCTGATTACTGCAATAATCCAGGGAGGGTACCATAAGGATTTCAACTGGAAATGAGTCCATCATGATGGAGAGGAAGGACAGGGCTGAAAAATACTTAGGAAGTAGTATCAGTAGGACTTGGTTAAGAGAGAGCAGAGGCAGGCTACAGGGGTTGGAGGTGTCAATCACAGAGATAGGGAAAATGGGAGGAGAAGCAGGCTTTGAAAAAGTGGCTTGTCTTGTAAAATTATGTCCTATTAAAACAGTAAAAGAAATTAATATATTCAATCCCAAAATACAGGTACAATTCTTTTTGAAAGAGTTACCCAGATAATCTTGCTTGAAGTTTTCAGTTAAAGAAATTTCTTGTTAACAAGTAATGTAGTCATAGAAGAAAACACTTAAAACTTTATTGAATAAAGCTAATAAATCATTTAATATAATTTATAGGAAACTGTTACATAACACACACATTCAATACTTTTTGCTAAAGTATAAATTAATGGAAGGAGAGCACACACACGGAGGTTGAATTATGTTTATGACTTTATTAGTCAAGAATACAAAATTGAGTAGCTACATCAAGCAGAAGCACACAAAGCAGAAGCTTTACAATCCAGCACAGAATCCCTTGACTTCCAAATTCCCGAAACAGACATATAAATACAGATGACATTGTCAGAACAAAATAGGGTCTCACCAGACCTATAATGTTCTTTTCTTGATATGCACATGAATTGCATACGGTCATATGGTGCCAATTACCATTATTTCCTCTGGGCTTAGCTATCCATTTAAGGAGAATTTACACCAACACTGTACCTCTACTTGCAAGAATATATGAAAGCATAGTTAACTTCTGGCTTAGGACCCCAACTCAGGATCAACAAAGCAGTCCTCTTGGGGGAAGCCCATTTCGCTACAATTTAAAGTCATTATAAGCATTAAATAAAAGCTAAGTACTTGTAATCAAGTGTGTTATAATGCAGTTAGGGAATTGGATTTCAGGTGTTTATTTTTAACAGAAATCCATTAATTCTGACACCTAAGGCAAATGCTAGTCAACATGAATGGAGAAACTTTTGATTAGTGGTATATGTTTTCAGATTTCTGGAACATTCATAGACGCTTCAATGTCTTATGTACTGAAATTTTTTAAACCATTGTTTTCTCTAGAAACTAATGAAACTCATCATAAACTCATTTTTCAATATTAAAACATAGTCATAAGTAGAATATTAATCTTATATTAATTAAGATGTTAACATATGTGAAATTTAATACTTCCTGAAAGGAAATGTCTAAAAGAAACTGTTTTAATTCTTCAACCACAAGGACTACACGGGGCAGTTTCAGCACCAGGGATAGTTTTCTTCCTGGATAACAGCGAATGCTCTAATACTGATGAGTAAATCCTGTGTGTCTAACTTCAAATTAATTGTTAGGTTTATATGAATGAGTATAACATGATAGTTAGGAGCATAGGCACAAAGGAAACATTCAGATTTGGTGTTGTTGTCCTTGCTATTATTCTTGTTGTATGTGAGGCTGTTATGATAAAAGATACTGATTTAGGTCAAATACACATATTACTTGTGGAAAATTAATAACTCTAATTAAATATTTCTTGTTTCATACACATTAATTTTAAATACAGCCCAACAATGGACCACTATTTCTCAATACAAGAAAGTAATACATAAAAATCATGAAGTTCTTCAATCAAACTTAAATAATGCTTATTGCAAACATAAAACATAAAAAACAACACATTTTTAAAGAAATATTATCTTTCCAAACATAGCCATATAATTCCTCTGTATTAGAATTTTTCACAGGAATTCTAACTAGTATATTTTTGTACATGCTTTAAAGAATAAAAAAATTTGAACTGTTGACCAAATGTGATATATTATATACTATTGTGTGTATTTTAAAGTGAGGGTAAAAAAAGACACCAAAGCCTCTGGGAAGTTAAACTATAAATTAACTTACAGAATTAATTAATTAGGAAGTTAAACTATAATTAACTTACAGAAGTTACCAAGAGGTGTTAATGCCTACCCTAGGAATGACTATAAATCTATTAGTTAGAATTTTCATATATCTCAATTTTTAATATGTAATTGTTTTGAAAAATTTGGCCAATTTGAAAAAACCATTAATATGTAAATAAATATATCTATATTAATACATATTCTTTATTAATTCTTTATTAGATACTAATCTGGGTTCTGCACAATTTTGTATCTGGGCATTTATTTGTTTTATATGCCAGTAACAAATATAAAACTTTTTGAAGCCACCAATATATTTTTAATGGATGGAGCCATCTCTATGCTGATATATCACAGTTACTACACCAATTTATAGTTAAGAGATATCTGAATGTGATGTTGGACCTAGGAAACTAGTACTTGTAAACCCAATCACCAGGAATGCATGGTTGAATGGCCAAAATTCAGGAAACGTACAGGTGGATAAACCAATGATCCATTAACCTAACAGTATAATGGTTCCCAGGAACCAAGGGGAACAAAATTGGTTGGAGAAGAAATATACGATACTTGCAGAAAAAAAAAAAAACAACTTGCTGCTAAGGCCAGGTTCCTTACTGGCATGCCAACCCTCCATCCTGGGGGTAGCCAGTCCTGAGTGAGCCTGGCCTGAGGTTCGCTGGTAATCACTACACATGTCTAGCTAGTGGCATTCCTTGGTCAGATTTGAATGTAGAGATAGAAAGCAAACAAACAGTTACCTAAAGACAGTAATTCTCTGCCATCCACAGGAGGGTTTTGCCTAGCATTCACATGCATGTTGCTACAGTACAATTGATTCATTAATTAACTTTAGCCAGTTACTTAGTAAACTCAGGTCAACAAGAGAGGAGGCAATGCTTTCTTTCCTAGCTGAAACCATACATACTGAGGATCTAATAATGAGTGCATACATCAACGACTGAGTTTTTTTACTTTCAAAATATTTTGTGGTATCATGAAAACATGGTGTAAATCCCAAGGGAAATTTGTCTAGAGATTTGACAAAGCTTTATCTTGCTGTCCAATTAGAAAATGGATGACTGGAAAGGTTCTTCTAAAAACTGTCTAAGATATTTATTGCCAGAATTTTCTTGAGGAGAAACTGTTGGTCCAGTTCCACCTACATTCCCTTACCTCGATCATGTAATCCTGAGCACCTGCTCCTCAAGAGTCAATGCTTTCCTTCAAAGGATCCTTATACATACACTGGAGCTGACACACAAAAGTGCCTTGCTGCATTTTTGAAGATCTCAAATTTGGCCTCTCGTTTACATTATCCTTCATTTTGTTCATCACATTTCCAGTTTCCTGACTGTTTACCAAACTTTATATTGCCTTCCTATTCCATTCTTGAGGATCCATGGTCACTGCAACTGTCTTTTCAGGTTTGCCCCAACTGTGGCTTGTGTGACCAGTTTTGATTCCTTGCCATTTGATTCCTGACCACTAGCTCTGGGCATGGAACCTGCCTAGCTCCAATTTTTTTTTTTTTTTTTGAGAGGGAGTCTTGCTCTGTTGTCCAGGCTGGAGTGCAGTGGCCACTGCAACCTCTGCCTCCCAGGTTTAAGCGATTCGCCTGCCTCAGCCTCCCGAGTAGCTGGGATTGCAGGCATGCGCCACCACACCTGGCTTATTTTTGTATTTTTAGTAGAGACGGGATTTCCCCATGTTGGCCAGGCTGGTCTCAAACTTCCTACCTCAGGTGATCCGCCCGCCTCGGCCTCCCAAAGTGCTGGGATTACAGGTGTGAGCCACCACGCCCGGCCCTGCTTAGCTCCTTTTAACATCCCCCACAACTTGTCACACACTTTATCCAAACCAGTTCCCTGCTCTGAGTCTACGAGCCGTGACTCACTACTGCCTGTATTTCCAGATGACTGGAATTACTGCTCCATTCCAGACTGCTGCCAGAATTAATGCTATTGCTTTCTCTGTAATACTTTGTACTTTTCAAAGGATCATAATTTATCTCATTTGTGCTTACAACCCCTTGCTATAATGAGAGCTGTTCATTCCTATGCTCTCATTCCTATTTCATTGGTAAGAAAATCAAGACTCCAAGAGGCCAAATAATTTACTTAACACAAGCAATGATGATTCAATACTTTGAATGCTAGTTTTGAGGACCTTATTGTTCTCCCAAAATCATGTTTTAGGGAATTTAACAGTCCCATAGAGGAATGATTTTATTCTGACTTTAAAACCTTTTGTTTTTCTTCCTTTAATATGTGACATTGCCTTGTAATGTAAGTAATCTGTGTCAAACTATTGAATGTATTGAATTTTTAGAATTTTTACCTTTAAGTTATTTCCTCCTTTCTTTCCTTGAGACATTTATCAATTATTTACCATGTATCAATCAATGAGCATAGCTTATTGCTGCAGAGTTTATTTATAAGCTATAGTCCCTGCCTTCAAGTAGTGCTAAAGTAGTCAGGAAAAAATTGTATAACAAATTACTACAAGACTATATTTTTTTCATAAAAATAAATACCATAAAAAAGTATCATTTTCTGAAATCATATTATTTATATACATTTTGCTAGTTTATTGTCTGTGACCTGTATTAGAACATAAGCTATATGAGGACGGGGACTTTGTTTCATTTACCGCTATATTTCCTGTACCTTGAAACTACACATGGCTTGCAAGATACATTCAATAGATACGTGTAGTAAGGAATAAAATGTTAGTTCTCCTTTAGGCTTTTAAGGGCGCCTGTAGTCCCAGCTACTCCGGAGGCTGAGGCAGGAGAATGGCGTGAACCCCGGGGGGCGGAGCCTGCAGCGAGCCGAGATCGCGCCACTGCACTCCGGCCTGGGCGACAGAGCGAGACTCTGTCTAAAAAAAAAAAAAAATTCTCTTATGTTTCTAGTGAATGAAGACTGTTTATTAGATACCACATGAGTGGCACTCATTGCATAATCAGTTAGTAGATTTACTTTTACATCTATTTTTTGAGTGGTCCCAGCAATAATTAGTGAAACATAGTGTAAGAACCAACCATTACCCCTGTTTTATAAATGACGAAACATACTCCAAGATTATGTGAATGGAAAAGGAAACATGGGAAAATCATATTTCTGAACATGATTTGTACAATTACAGGTTTTGCTTTAGGAAGACTCACTATTAAATGTGTGTGAGTGTTTGTGTGTGTATGTTTTTATTATAATAGTATATATGCTTATTGCAAATCATTTAAAAATAAATGTGAAGAAGAAATGGAAAGTCGCCCGTAATCTCATTGCTCCGTGGTCACTATTGTAAACATTTGACATTTGTTAAATCTATTATTTATGTCCTGTATTCAAAGTAGTGTGGAGGTAGGCAAGATCACTGGACTAGTCAGGAAATTTGAATTGTCTACCTGTCTGTTACCTTAGCTTTTGACCTTGGTGTAGGGATTCCATGATTACCAACATTTAATTTTTAAAATTATTTCTTACCTTACCTTCTTCTCCAGTTTCTACTGTTATTTCTATTAAATAAATATGACTTTGTTTTGCAGTGAGATAGCTAGATTAACAGCATTGCCTTTATAGTCAGTGAAGAATAAAAGATGATGTTTCACTTAGCTCATGTAGTTCTAGTTCTCAAGAATATGATATGTGATACTTTTTGAAATATTAAAAGTCATTTAAACAGTATCCATTTGACTATATAAAAGCCTAGCTAGGCTCTCCATGAAGGGAGCAATTCAAATAGATGGTTTGTAACATCTTTTTCAGTTTTAAAATATGGATACGCTGATTCCTTTGCACATTGATATATGAACTCATTCTTCCTTCTTATTATTCCCCAGGTGGTAATAATTTTGCTTCTAGACCAGCAAGCTAATATATCAAAAACTCTTACATATAAATGTAGTTGTTTAAAAATATTTATGCTGTGTAATGTCTGTAATTTATGAGTTACAGACATGATATCCATTATATTTTTGCCTAATAATTCATTTTTAGGAAAAACTAAGAATAAAGTTATTCTTTGTATTTTTACCAATCTTTTCCCAACCAAGTGTTACTGAAACTGTCATTCCGAAATCTTTTTACCTTTTAAGGTTCTCACTTTTGAGGCTGAGAACTATGAAACTAGTATTCAAATTTGCATTCATTGTTGTAATTTCTGGCAGCATGTCCAATTTACTTCTACTGTTAGGTGCTTGTTTGTTGTACTTATGAAGAACTAAGAAGGATTTTCTAGTAGCCCAGAGTTATGTTATTTTTTGCTTAGTGACAATTTTTACAAGAGACCTTATTATAATGAAACCAATGAAATGCATCACAGTACCTTTTTCAGAGTGCCAGTGGCTTATGAGATATTTTTTGATGTAAACTTGTTAAAGCCATGTAACTAACCAAGCTTATATCCTTACTGTAGAACTAGAGACATATTATAAATATTTATAACAAACAAAATTGGGGTAAGAATCCCTCATTTGCTCTATTTTTTGGTCAGTCAATAAATATATTTTTAAAAATTTGTGTCTGTGACTGGTTTTGGTAACAGTGTAATACTGGCCTCATAGAATGAGTTTGGAAGTATTCCTTCCTCCTCTATTTGGAAGTATGCCCTTCTCTATTTTTCAGAATAGTTTGAGTGGAATTAATATTAGTTCTTTAAATGTTTGGTTAGAATTCAGCAGTGAAGCTATCATTTCCCAGACTTTTCTTTACTGGGAGACTTTTATTACAACTTCAGTCTTGTAACTTGTTATTAGTCTGTTCAGGTTTTGGATTTCTTCCTGGTTCAATCTTGGTAGTTGTATATGTGTAGCAATTCATAAATTTCTTCTAGATTTTCCAATTAATTTGCGTGTAGTTGCCCACAGTAGCCGCTAATGATCCTTTGAATTTTTGCAGTATCAGTTGTAATGTCTCCTTTTTTATTTCTGATTTTCTTTATTTGGATCTTCTCTCTTAGTCTGGCTAAAGATTTGTCAATTTTGGTTAGCTTTCCAGAAAATAAACTTTTCATTTCTTTGATCTTTTGTATTTTTTATTTCAATTTTATTTATTTCTGCTCTGATCTTTATTATTTCTTTTCTTCTGTTAATTTTGGATTTGGTGTGCTCTTGATCATTCAGTTCTTTAAGATGCAGCATTTGATTGTTTATTTGATATTTTTCCTCTTTTTTGATATTGGCACTTATAAACATCACTCTTAGTACAACTTTTGTTGTATCCCATAGATTTTGGTATGTTGTGTTTCTATTATTATTTGTTTCAAGAAATTTTTCAATTTCTTTCTTAATTTCTTCATTGACCCACTTGTCATTCAGGAGCATATTGTTTGATTTCCATGTATTTGTATAGTTTCCGAAATTTCTCTTGGTATTTCTAGTTTTATTCCATTGTTGTCAGAGAAGATGCTTTATATTATTTCATTTTTTTGGAATGTTTCAAGATTTGTTTTGTGACCTAACATATGGTCTGTCTTTTCAACTGATCCATGTGCTGAGGAAAATAATGTGTATTCTGCAGCTTCTGGATGAAATGTTCTGTAAATATCTATTAGCTCAATTTGGTCTGCAGTGAAGATTAATTCTGATGTTTCTTTGTTTTCTTTCTGGAAGATGTGTCCAATGCTGAAAGTGAGGTTTTGAAGTCTGCAGATATTATGGAGCCTATAGCTGTCTTTAGCTGTAATAGTATTTCCTTTATATATCTGGGTGCTCCAGTGTTGGGTGCATATATATTGAAATTATTATATCCTCTTGCTTAATTGACCCCCTTATCTTTATATGGTGACCTTCTTTGTCTCTTTTTATAGTTAGCTTTTGTCTTGAAATTTCTTTTGCCTGATATAAGTATAGTGACTTCTGCTCTTTTTTTGGTTTTCTTTGGCATGGGATATCTTTTTCCATCTGTTTATTTTCAGTCTTTATGTGTCTCTATAGGTGAAGTGTGTTTCTTTTAGGCAACAGATCAATAGGTCTTGTTTTTTCATCCATTTAGTTAGTCTGTGTCTTTTGATTGGAGAGTTTAGTGTATTTACATTCACTGTTATTATTAAGTAAGGATCTACTCTTGCCATTTTGTTTTTGGTTTTCTGGTTGTTTTGTGGTCTTCTTTCTTGCATTCTTGTCTTCCTCTAGTGAAGATGATTTTCTCTGGTGATTTAGTTACTTGATTTTTATTTTTTTTTGTGTCCATTGTATGTTTTTTGGTTTGAGGTTACCATGAGCCTTGCAAATGCTGTCTTATCACTCATCATTTTAACCTGATAACGGGATACTATTTGCATAAGCAAACAAGCAAAAAGAAAACTAGTAAAAACTTGCCTTAACCTCATTTCCTTGCTTTTTAACTTTTCGTTTTTTCTGTTTATATCTTATTATACTGCCTATGTCTTGAAAAGTTGTTGTAGTTATTATTGTTGTTTAATTCATCATTTAGTCTTTCTACCTAGGATAAGAGTAGTTTGCAAACCACAGTAACAGTGTTTATAACATTCTGTATTTTTCTGTGTACTTATATTACCAGTAAGTTTTGCATTTTCAGGTGATCATTTATTGCTCATTAATGCCCTTTTCTTTCTGATTGAAGTACCCTCTTTAGCATTTCTTGTAGGACAGGTCTGGCGTTGATGAAATCCCTTAGCTTTTATTTGTTTGGGTAAGTCTTTATTTCCTCTTCATGGTCAAATGATATTTTCACTGGATATACTATTCTAGGGTAAAAGTTTTTTTCCCTCAGCAATATAAATATGTCATGCCACTGTCTCCTGGCATATAAGGTTTTCACTGAAAAGTCTGCTGCCAGATGTATTGGGACTCCTTTGTATGTTATTGTTTATTTCTCTTGCAGCTTTTAGGATTCTTATTTTATTCTTGACCTTTGGGTGTTTGATTATTAAATGTCTTGAGGTAGTCTTCTTTGGGTTAAATCTGCTTGGTATTCTATAACCTTCTTGTACTTGGATATTTTCTCTAGGTTTGGGTAGTTCTCTGTTATTGGAATGTTTACTCAAAATAAACTTTCTAACCCTGTTCTCTACCTCTTTTTCAAGGCCAATACCTCTTAGATTTGCCCTTTTGAGGCTATTCCCTAGATCGTGTATGCATGTGTCATTGGTTTTTATTCTTTTTTCTCCTCTGTGTGTTTTCAAATAGCCTTTCTTCAGAAGCTCATTAATTCTTTCCTCTGCTTGATCCAGTTTGCTCTTGAAGGACTTGATGCATTCTTAAGTATGCCAATTGCATTTTTGAGCTCCAGAATTTCTGCTCGAGTTTTAAAAATTATTTCAATATCTTTGTTAAATTTATCTGATAGAATTCTGAATCCCTTCTCTGTGTTATCTTGAATTTCTTTGAGTTTCCTCAACACAGCTATTTTGAATTCTCCATGTGAAAGGTCACATAGCTTTGTTTCTTGAGGATTGATTCTTGGTGCCTTATTTAGTTCATTTGGTGAGGTCATGTTTTTCTGGATGGTGTTAATGCTAGTACATGTTCCTTGGGGCCTGAGCATTGAAGAGTTAGGTATTTATTGTACTCCTCATTGCCTGAGCTTATTTGTAGCCATCCTTCTTGGGAAGGCTTTCCAGTGACACTGTGGTTCTTGCAGGCTTGTAGAGGTACTGCCTTGATGGCCTTGGATAAGATCTGGGATAATTCTCTAGATTACCAGGCAGAGTCTCTTTTTCTCTTCCCTTACTTTCTCCCAAGCCCACAGAGTCTCTCTCTCTCTCTGTTCTGAGATACCTAAAGCTGGGGCTGATATGATGTATGATACAAGCACCCCTATGACCACCACCACCATGACTGTGCTGGGTCACACCTGAAGCAAGCACAGTGCTGGGCCTTGCCTTAATCACTCCTTGGCTATAGCCTATGTTCACTCAAGGCCCTGGGGCTCTACAATTAGCAGGTAGCAAAGTCAGCTGGGCCTGTGTCCTTCTCTTCAGGGTGGCAAAGTCCCCCTGGCCACCAGTGGGTCCAGAGATGCCATACGGGAGTCAGGGACTAGAGTCAAAAACCTTAGAAATCTACCTGGCATTGTGTTGTATTGCGGCTGAGCTGGCACTCAAACCACAAGACACAATCCTTCCCACTCTTTCCACTTTTTCCCCTTTCCAAAAGCTGAGGAGCCTCACCCCGTAGCCACTGCCACTCCTGGCCATGAGTACTGCCAAAGTACCATCGATGTTCCCTTAAGGAGAAAGGGCTCTTATATCAGCTTGTGGTGAATATTGCCTGGCCTGGGACTCACCCGTCAGGGCAGTGGGCTCCCCTTTGTCCCAGGGCAGGTCTAGAAATGCTGTCCAAGAGTCAAGTCCTAGAATTGGGGACCCCAAGAGCCCACTTGGTGCTCTACCCCACGGTGGTGGTGTTGGTACCTAAGATGCAAGACAAAGTCCCCTTTACTCTTCCTTCTGTTTTTATCAAGTTATTCCTAAATCTTATCATTCTTTAAACCAAAAGGATATCCAGTTTGACAGTGTTCTTTTTTAAGAATGATGCTTATAACTGAATATAATAGTTCCTATGGGATTCAATCAACAGATAGTAACAGAGTATTATTATGTTATTTTGTTCTGTGTGTATTTGTCTATTACTGCACTTAAAATACGAAACGGGAGGGGCAGTATGACTTTGGACTCATTTGCCATAATGCTGAAGTCAAATGTGTTGCTGTTAAATCAGCTTTCTTTACCCAATTCACATTTGTGCTTAAAAAAAAAAGCATTACAAGACCTTGCATATTTCTGTTCAACTTATTTTTAACATTCATTTCATTATTGCAACATTTATTGTAAGTTGTATCAGTTTCATATTTCTTCATCTTCTATATATGGAGATTATGCCCCAGTTACATCTCTTTATCTGTAAGACTAGTAATATCAAAAAAGAAAATGAATTTCGTGTCTTAAAATTTATCCTTAGTAAATTCTACATTTTCTGTTGATTATCACTTTTAAAGGCCAAACCCTCTTTTTAGGAATTTTTCCTGAATCGCACCCAGGAATCACATGCTGTAGTTTGCTCTGTTTTACTAGACTTGAAATCACCCTTTCCCATTTATGTGAAAATTAGATTTCTGTTTGTAGGGAAAAGAAAGAGAGATCAGACTGTTACTGTGTCTATGTAGAAAGGGAAGACATAGGAAATTCCATTGTGACCTGTACCTTGAACAATTGCTTCGCTGAGATGCTGTTAATTTGTAACTTTGCCCCAGCCACTTTGCCCCAGCCACTTTGCCCCAACATTCAGCTCACAAAAACATGTGTTGTATGGAATCAAGGTTTAAGGGATCTAGGACTGTGCAGGACGTGCCTTGTTAACAAAATGTTTACAAGCAGTATGCTTGGTAAAAGTCATCGCCATTCTCGAGTCTCGATAAACCAGGGGCACAGTGCACTGTGGAAAGCCACAGGGACCTCTGCCCTGGAAAGCCGGGTATTGTCCAAGGTTTCTCCCCATGTGATAGTCTGAAATATGGCCTCATGGGATAAGAAAGACCTGACCATCCCCCAGCCTGACACCCGTGTAGGGTCTGTGCTGAGGTGGATTAGTAAAACAGGAAAGCTTCTTGCAGTTGAGATAGAGGAAGGCCACTGTCTCCTGCCTGCCCCTGGGAACTGAATGTCTCGGTATAAAACCCGATTGTACATTTGCTCAGTTCTGAGATAGGAGAAAAACCGCCCTATGGCGGGAGGCGAGACATGTTGGCAGCAATGCTGCTTTATTGTTCTTTACTCCACTGAGATGTTTGGGTGGAGAGAAACATAAATCTGGCCTACGTGCACATCCAGGCATAGTACCTCCCCTTGAACTTAATTATGACATAGATTCTTTTGCTCACATGTTTTTTTGTTGACCTTCTCCCTGTTATCACCCTGCTCTCCTACTGCATTCCTCTTGCTGAGATAATGAAAATAATAATCAATAAAAACTGAGGGAACTCAGAGACCGGTGCTGGTGCAGGTCCTTGGTATGCTGAGTGCTGGTCTCCTGGGCCTACTGTTGTTTCTCTATGCTTTGTCTCTGTGTCTTATTTCTTTTCTCAGTCTCTCATCCCACCTGATGAGATATCCCACAGGTGTGGAGGGGCAGGCCACCCCTTCAGTGTTCGCTACTTTCAGTGCTTACAATGCCTGTCATTTATCTGTAGCTCTTATACTTTTTATAAAAAATAATTTTATACCAAAAGCCTTGAAACTTTTTTAGAGTAGTAGCTTTGAATTGTTGTTATTATTTTATTCTACTGTTATCGGTAACCTCCCATGTTAACACTATTGTTTCTTTCTGTTTACTTTCAGTTGGTTGGCAGAGAATTTGAACTGGAGATGAACTTTATTATCCAGGATGCTGAGAGTATAACATGCATGACAGAGCTTTTAGAGCACTGTGATGTAACATGTCAAGCAGAAATAGGGAGCATGTTTACAGCCATTCTATGAAAAAGTGTTCGGAATGTACAGACTAGCACAGAAGCTGGACTAATTGAACAAGTATTGCTGAAAATGAGTGCTGTAGATGACATGATAGCAGGTATGGGGTTGTCTGTCAGGAAAGTATAACTTAAATGTTTATAAAGTTTCACATACTTCTCTTTATATTCTATAGGTAATGTAGATTTGTTGACACTGCTTTGATTTAAAATAAATGGAAATGTATAGAAATTTTACTTTTTATATTAATGGAAAACCTGAAAAGTGAAAGAAGAAAAACATAATTATTATAGTAGACAAACATAATTACTAACGTTGTTTTCTAAATTTTAGAAAATCTCAGTACCACGGAGTGCTATGAAGTCTATCAGAAAAATAAACAGTATCTTTTTATGTAGTATTTCATTCAGCTTTTACATAATTAAAATGCCACAATAGGTATTACAGTTCTGTATAATGAGCATTTCACCAAATTCCCCTAGTTCTGTGCCCCTCAATCTGGCATATATGCAACTATGACAGGAAGTACTAAAAGCCTTAGATAAGCATGGTGTATCTTTTTTTTTTCCCCACGTATATTTTTTGTTGCTTTTTGTTTTTTTTCTGTAAAATGTCCCGGTTCTTCCATAACTTATAAACATGATTTATACCGAGGAGATGGGGAAGTGGACGGGGCAAGGTGGACTGACCAGGGATGGGGAAGTGATTCAGGAAGGCCCCAAGGGCCAGTGTCAGGGGCAGGGGCGGGAGCTTCTTCTCCAACGTGGCACACACGATCCAGTTGCTATCCACAGAGCCTTTGGCCTTGGGCAGGTCCAGCTGGTACCCGAAGGAGACGCTGGTGTCCTGCATCCTTGTGCTGGCCTCAAACTCCACACCCACCTGCAGCTGGTCACTGGCTTTGTGGTAGTATGTTGCGTGCATGCCCGCCTGGCCCAACGTTACCGTTGCCAACCAGTTGTTCAATGTGTATTTCCCAGCTAGAGACATGACAGTGCCCTCCTCCCCAGGCTGCTGGTGGTAGACCAGCATTCTGCCCAGGGCCAGGCAAGGCGTGATGCTCTGGAGGTAGTGGGCTACGAGGATTCCTGAACCCACGAGGACGTCTGGGTTTCCCCAGGGTTACGGCTGCTGTGAGTCAGAGCCCCGATACTCCCCGTCCACCTGCCAGTTCACAAACTTCGACTGCTGGGTCTGGATGGCCATCTTGGACCTGAGGCGGGGGCCCAGCTGGTGAATGACCTGAGCGTTGAGACTGCCGCTGTTGTCCATGTCACCCACCAATACAAGGAACGCCTCTGTGGGACTCAGCTGCTTTGTCCCCACATACGTGACCCCGAAGTGGTAGCTGGACTCCCTGATTGTGCTGAGGGCTACTGTGTGGTTCACCTGGAAATGGTTACTCAACCCTTTGTTGACTATGAGCTTGACACCCTCCATCTGAATGGGAAACAGCTCCTTGCACTTCCGGTGGCACTCCCCGAATGTGCCCGGGTTGGGCAGGCAGCCGCAGGCCCCATCCTCGGCGGCCCCTGAGGCGCTGGCAGTTGCAGCCCCGGGGGTCAGTTCCGAACCTCGACTCGTACTGGTGCCGGCGCCCAGGCCGCCTCCCAGCGGCGGCAGCGTGAAGCCCGGCGGCGAGGGCGGAGGTGGCGGCAGCTCCACGAGGGCCGGCGCAGGCGGCGGTGGCGGCCCTGCGGGCGGCGACCTGGCGGCCAACACGTTCCCCATGGTCTCTGGCAGAGGCGCCTGCTCCCGGCCTGGGCTCCGCTCCCACCCCGTGCGTCACGCGCAACCGAACCCGCTGCCGCCGCCGCCACCACCGTCGCCAGCATGGTGTATCTTTTGGACATGTCCATTTTGGAAGAAACTTTTGTGTTAAAATAAACTAATATATTATGGGCTAGAACATAAAATTCACCAAGAATTTCAAGATAAAAATACTAATGTTTTGCTTGTTTGGGTTATTTCAAACAATAGCTTTGAAATCTATAATTGTTTCACCACCAACCCTTTCTTTACCTCCTTGCATGCTCATTCTCCTGTGTGGCTAGATGCATTTCAGAAAAGTGTTTTGAATATTATTCCAGAGCAAGGATCATTCCAGAAAATAAGTTTAAAGTTTGAAATGTTTATTTTTTGTAAGCCATGAATCTTCAGCTTAAGTATCTTCTGACATAAAAGCATTTTCATAATTATAAAAGTTCTGATATTACTCTCCACAGTATTATATCTGATCCTGCAAAGTAGTTCAGATACCAGAGAATACTCTTAAACATTTTGACTTATGCATTTAATTATTTTTAAAATTTATGGAACAAGACATTAAATGAGAAAGAATGGAATGAAAAATGGGTTAAAAGAATGCAAAATTGCAAAAAGAATGCTTTGAATTTAAATATTTCCAAAAATTTGATTTTCTGAGAAAATATATTAAAAATCATATCTAATTACCTTCAGGGTGGCATATATCTTTTTTTATAATGACTTAGCACCCCTGTATTGGGGACTGATGGCTAACTTGGTGAAAAATGAGATTCAGACATCTATTTCTTAAAATATCTTTTTAATACAGATATATTAATAGTAGCATTTCTATAAATTCTAGAGTTACTTAATAGGAATTTATTAATATAGACTTATGTGTACACGTTTTATAGAACATCATATGATCCTTCAATTCTTATATCTGAGTTTAAGCTCTTAATTTTTTTTTTTTTTTTGTAAATTTCCTGCTACTCTATGGAGTGCAGTTTAGAGAATGAGCCAAAATTACATGCATAGTCGTTTACTGGTACATAATTCATCAGCACTGAAATGTAAAAGTGACAGTGAGGGTGATTGTACCATAGAAGTTCATATTTTGACATTGCTATTATATAAAGCTTCTTAATTCTCCTATCTTTTTCTCAGTAATAATATTAATAACACAAAATTTTTCACTTTTTGTAATTTCTAGTATTTCCCTTCAAAAGAGCTTGATGATGGAAGGATATGAGAAAAGAGAATAAATGTCAGAAAAATACCTCTGTCTTGCTTTTTAACAGAGAAATTAAACTTTAAATATTATACTGAGGAAGAACTAGTAGCCACCAAAACACTACTAACTGTTCACATCTGAATGTATTGTATGTTAAGTTCAATGGGGTACTTTTTATTTAATAATGTAGTAAAAGTGTCACTAGAAGGTGGCTAAATTAAACATTTATAGCAAATTGATAAGAAAAATTATATTGTTTGATAATAAAATGTTATTTATATTGTATGATAATAAAACTGCCTGAACTAGTTGCTTACACACTAAAATCTGAAACGTTAGTATAGGGTTTAACTCATCTGAAATAGTGTGTGTGTGCACGCACGTGTATGTGCGTGTGTATGTGTATTTTTTTTCATGGCAAGCACTTAGAATTCTTTGACTACTTTGAGATTATTTATTGGCCATCTACAGAGTATTTTCTATATCTTCAGCCATTATGTTTGGAGTAGATTACATTCCTTACTCTTGAAGAACTCTGATGGCTAGACATGCAAATACAGCTTGTTTTATAAATGATACTGTAGATTTAGGTACTCAAAACTATGGGGACACAATTGAAAAGAGAAACCAAGCTAGGTTGAAGTCCAGAAAAGCTTCACAGATGAGGAACATATTAGTCTGCTATTAAAGAATAATTGAGATTTTGTTGGAAGGAAGAATGATTTGGATAGAAGCAACGTGATGTATAGGAAGAGGAACTGTAAAAGAACAAGTGGAATAGCCGGTATATTTAGATGTACTTTGGAATGTGGGGTTGGGTACTAGAGGAGGATAAAATCAAAAGGGTTTGTTGGAGCCATAGCATGTGGGAAGTCTTGTATAACCTGAAGAAATTAAAATTTTATTCTGAATGCAGAAGATTTTTGACATGGAAGGTCCGTGTTGTATTTGAGAAAGGCCATTATCAGCAATATGAAGGATCTGTTTGGGGAACAGATTAATTTTAAAGTCATAATGGGTAATTATTTTTTATGTAGAATTTGGATAAAGTCTAGGAAAATAAATAAATCCATTCAGATGTTTCTTGAAGTCAGGTGAAATAATCAGCTACTTTCTCATTTATTCCTTAGAATGGCTACATTTTATTTGATTGCTATTTTCAAGGGAGTCCTATATTATTCCTTTTCTGCTTATGAATGGATCTGAATCCTTTTTGGTTATAAATATCAGTGGTTATGTTTCTGAGTAATAAATGTCATGCTTTGCCTTTCTTGGTTTCAATGTTGTTAGCATTATGAACATTATCTCTTAATGCTTGCATTTCTTCAATATTGATTCCATTAACTTTCTCTAGCTCTGTCATTTTTGGCTTTAAATATTCAATCTCCTTTAACCAAATGGATTACTACTGAAAACCACTAGAATTAGTTGATCAACTTAACGATGTGTTGATCTGTAAGGATTGAAACCTCGGTAATTTTAGTATGCCAGTAATGCACAGTACAGCATACTTACCAATAAGAACATCAAACATTCATTGATTGCCATTGTATGTGCTAGGCATTGTAAGTGTTTATATATATGAACTCATTTAATACTTGCAATACTCTGAAATAAGACTGCCTGTGTTCAAGTTCTGGCTTCACCACCTACTATTCACCTTGTACTTTTGGTGTCTTCAACTATAAAATGAGGATAGGAATAGTGCCTATCCCATAGGATTTAATGAGAGAATCATATTTAAAGCCCTTTTATAATGGCTGGGTCAGAAATGTGAGCACAGAAATATGTGAGCTATTACTATCTTTTAAGCTCTATTATAAAATATGATATATGGATAATATGAGAGCAAGTTTTAAATAAGCATCTGAACTTCCAAACATAAATGGGGTTGAACTTCAAAGTGGTCATTTTGGGAGATTATACATTAATTTCAGTGGTACCTTCATTTTTCAATGACTACACATTTTTCTACCTCATGATTAAATTTACAGCTAAGGGGAATGCTCCTGTAGAAGAAAACAACTATATTTCATAGTTACATATTTTTAATTTTTTAAACTAAAAATGTACTGCTTTGCTTGATCAACTGCATTATTTATCAAACTTGGCTATGAACAAGTTTTTTTTCCTTTTTCTTTTTAATTTGTATGCTATTTTCAAAGGTACACCGGAATTAGAGAGCAGGTTGTTATTTAAAATGTGAACTTTGTATAAATGTGTTCTGTATTTGCTGATTGCAAATGGTCCTTAAAAGTAGATAAAGTCTACTTGGTGGTAGGCTTTTGTTGGCAATTAATTTGTTTTTATGTATTTCTGAGATTTTAGATTGAAATACTGAAAGCTTCCATAGTCTTTTATTTCCTAGTTTAAATTTCTTATATTTACTTATAACCAAACCTTTTATATTTTTGTTTAGTTTTTGTTTGACACATATTAAACTCCTTCTACCATATAGGGAAATAACTTTTATTTTTATAGGAATGTTTAACAGCCATTAGGTGTTTAGTTCTTTTTATCAGAGGATATTATACTATTCTCAGTTGTCTTTACAGTTTTCATGCTAGCAAAGGAGTTGGTTACTCTGCTCATTTTGTTGGCAACTGTTTTATAGTCACATCATTGAAGTCCAAAGGAAAATGTTTTCAGCATTGTGTGAAATATGATTTTCAACCACGTAAGGCAGGTAAAAGTAAATATTTTTGTAACTCACTTGTTACGACAGAATTCTTAACTATCCTTTTATGACCTCTGTAGTATTCTCTTTCACTGGCTTTCCTATGCTTTTAATGATTTTCTCTTATCCTAGTTTGCATTTTCTTTTTACTTTTATGTCTGATTTTTGTCTTCTATAAGATCAGTGCTTTGATCTCTTGTGGTGTATTTCTCTTACATTCTCTCGTCTCAGTCTGATCTGTTCTATGGCATTCTTTCAATAGATACTTATTATTTACTGAGTATTGGACACCATTGTAGGCACTAGGGAGTTATAAATCTTTGCCTCTTTTTTAAAAAAGTTAAATGTTAAACCCCCAGATTAAGCAATGCACAGATACTTTTCTTGTGGGAGATTCACCTAATCCTGGTAGTTCTGAATCTTGTTTCCTAAGATTGGAGGTTTTGTTAATTTCTGATGCTTTAGTAATGCTGGCTTCAAGGAATGGAATGTTGCTGTACTGTTAGTTTTGGCTCATGAAATGTGTCTTTACTTAATATCCCAAATAATAGCAAAAACAAGGTCAAAACACATTTTAAAAACTGCTGTAAAGAGAAAATGCAGAGAAATGTGCAACTGTATAATTAGAATTATAAGAGATAATTCATTCATAATCAGGTGGCATTTTCTAGAGAGATTTTCCTGCCTGTGTACCGGACTCCATCTTTGTGTCAGAGTAACAAGCCAACTGAAAGTCGAGATGAAAGAAAACAAGGACAGAGTGCGTAGGAGTTCCCGTCACACACGTTTAAGGCTTTTTTCCCCTTCCAGGTTCAGGGTTCTTTCTTGGGTATATGACAATGAGATTGTCAATGCTTTTTAGGGCACACTGCCTCCTCCTAACAGAAATATCACCTTACCCTTTGTGATTAATGGTACAATCATAATAGATATGATGAATCCAAATGTGGTGAGGGGGAGGTCTTTATATCTTTTTCATATCTTTTTTGTTTTCTTGTTGCTTATGATCTGATGTGTGTCTTGTCATATACAGAAAAAAAATATTTTGGGTGGTATTTTCAAAAATTTGTTTAGATTTTGCATGATTCTAATGAAAATATTTGTTTTATATTTAATGTCAGTAATTGTAGTTTCTATTAAAGAATATCAATTTAACAATAATTCATCAATATATACTTAGAAAATAGCTTAAAAAGCAGTGACCTGAATAAATATATTCATTCATTATAATGGTGTATTCTTTCTTTTTTAATGCAAATTGATTACTTTAATACCAATCACATTGCCTTTGCTCTGGAAATTCTGTTTTACTAAAACTAAGATGAGACCAAGATAGTTTGCTAAAATTGCCAAATTATTTTGAATTTCAGTGGAATTGATTAGAAGTACAGATTGTTGGTATTATAATTTTTCATGTTAGGATTGTGTGTTTTTAACAAATATTTAGGTAACTTTCTCATCAGACAGTTTTAGGAAACAGTGGTTTAAAGAATATACATGCAAACAATTAGGGTGAAGTTATAACCAAATGAAATTGTCATTAACCAATAAAAAGCGCTTTAACCCATTTGTTTTCACTTTTTCTATTTTGTGTTTTCTTCACTGTTTACTTGTGGAAAACACATTCTCCTTTGTAAAGCTCTCAATATGCAATGATTCTAAGGGGTCTAGTTAGCAGCAGGGCCAGAGAATGATGTGGATTTTAAAAAGTCTTCTGTGAAGATTCTCACAAACCTGGAAAAGTCATAAGTATTTGCTTTTATTGTGCTTCATTATTCAAAATAAATTTATTCTCTTATTTCTTCCTTTCTTTAATTTCCCACAGATGCCCTAGCTAAGTTGTTGTTATCCTTCCTAATAAGAGATTTACTGGCCTTTCAAAAAGAAATCTTTACATTAAAACTTTTGCTTTCCCAGCTGCACCACTTACCAGCTGTTAGAACTTGTGAAAATGGATATAAACCATTAGCATGTTATCTAATGGTAATATGTGCTCTAGACATATTAGCTACTATTGATATCATCTGTACTTTTTTATCTTCAATTTATTTCCATATCTTCAATTTGTAATATATATCTTGTGGATTCTTAATATGGAACTTTATTTTTTTCTTATTTCTGGTTGTGTCCTTCTTTTATAAATTTCTTTTTGAGTCTCAAACTAAATGCAGACTTCACTATATATACATAATATCACTATGCACAGGTAGTTTCCAAGTTTATTTTTATTTTCTTTAGTCAATGTATATCAGGTCAAAAGTTAGGCTTTTTTTTAACCATTGAAAAACTCACTTGTGTCTGTTATCTGTAGAGTACAGTTTGATGTATCAAGGAAAGAGAAAAGTTACTTTTCTTATAAATAAGTACTATGGTCTTAACTGAGATCAGTTCATTAATTCATCAGTGCATTCATTTAATTTTATCATATATTATTGTTACAACCAAAAGCAAACCTTGATAAACTCCAAATCTGATTAATTTTTCTGTATTAATGATCTTAAGTTAATGGTACCCTTACCCATCTAAGTGAAAATTGGAATCCATCTTAGACTCCCCTGTTATATGTTAACACTTCCTATCATTTCTGTTAGTTAATTCCCATCCTCATTTTAAAATTACTAATGCCTTTTTCTTAGTTCAGCAGCTTATGGTGTCTTACCCAAACCTTTGCAGTGGTTTTTCAGTTTTATCTTTGTCCACACTTGCCTACCTATCTCACCTCCAAATTGCTGCCAGCTATTTTCCTTAACTATGAAGCTGATCGTTTAACTTTCCTGCTCAAAATTATTTAGTTATACCACGTTATGCAAAAAAACAAAGGCCAGTTTCCTAAAGGTCTGTTTACAATCTGGTCTTCGCCTGTTTTTTTTTTTTTTTTTTTTTTTTTTTTTCCTGCTAAACCTACACACTGAAGAAAGTTTTGTCAAGCATCTGTGCTGTATCATATTAAGATTCCACCTGGAATGTTTTTTTACCCCTGTCTACTGAACAATTCCTTTTCATCCTTCAAGCATAGTCTTATGGTTCATTTTATTCTTTTAGTGAATACTTCTATGATAGTCTTTCTTCTCTATTTGTCTTTCTTTCCCTGTTACTTATAGTAATTACTTTTATTACTCTCAAATCTGTATTTTAGATATTCTCTATTGTTCTCATAACTGTTTCTCTAGTGAAACTTCCTTGAGTGTGTATATGTTGTCTGTCTTTATATATCCATGATCCAAGGTTGGGACAGGGTACTTGGCATAAAGTAGGCTCTTAGTACATTTTTTGAATGAATGAAATACTCTGAAAGGTAAATAATAATCAATTTTAGCATAAATGAACCTCATCATGAGGACATAGTAGATAAAATCATAATAGTAGTTTAGTTAATGGTGTGTTATTTATGGGTGCTGAATACATTGGGAACTTTTCTTCGTAGTTTTCATGTATTATCTGTTTATAATATTCACAAGGAATCCACAAAGTAGGCATTATTATTCCCCTTTTTCAGGGAGATGAAAATAGATTCGGAGATGCTAAGTAATTTGCCAAAAGCCATAGAGCTAGTAATTTGGGAACCCAATTCATGTCTTTAGGAAGTAAAATTTATCCTGCCCAGTACATTAAGTTATCTGAAGTAGTAAGAACTCAGTAAGTATTATTTGAATGAGTACTTTTTTTATCGTAAGTACACCAATAAGTATAATAATATATCTAGTATTTATCTTAAAATTGTCTTTGGGCAGGAAATCTTTGCCTATATATAGGTATTTATTTGTGTCTCTTCTCTTTAGAAATGTAAAGTTATTACACATTTTATTCCAGAATATAAAGATTGTGTCTTCTGTGTTATGTAGATAGCATTCTTGTTGGATAGTTTCAAACTCAGTGAAGGTAATATGTGCAAACTAATTCTTATACATGTAAAATTCTGTAAGATTTTCCTTAAATTTATTTGAAGCTCTTTTTTATGGTTTCTTCTTGATAATTTTGTAATATTTAGAAACAATGGTTAAATGACTACTTTAAAGATTTTCTCTTCTAATTTTAATCAGGGCTAACATATATGTCAGTTTCGAATCAAGTGAAAGACTTAGTTTGCAATAAATTAATGATTTCCTGGAATGAAAAACCTTAAAAAGGATGTGCATTTTAGACAGTTAAATGTCTTGACCTTTACACTGTTGTTTTGTATTACTGACTTTTTTGAGTTCTTTAACACACTATTTTTTTTCTTTTTCTTTTTCTTTCTGTTTTTTTTTGTTTTTTGTTTTTTGTTTTTTTTTTTTTTTGAGACAGAGTCTTGCTCTGTTGCCCAGGCTGGAGTGCAGTGGTGCAATCTTGGCTCACTGCAACCTCTGCCTCCCAGGTTCAAGGGATTCTTGTGCCTCAGCCTCCCGAGTAGCTGGGATTACAGGCAGATGCCACCACGCCTGGCTAATTTTTGTATTTTTAGTAGAGACGGGATTTCACCATGTTGGCCAGGCTGGTCTCAAACTTCTGACGTCAGTTGATCTGCGCACCTTGGCCTCCCAAAGTGCTGGGATTACAGGCATGAGCCACCGTGCCCTGCCTATTTTTATTTTCTAAATTGAAATGAAAAAAATTGAATTTTGCTCAAAGTATTTTAGATACCTTGAAATGACTAATATTTTAGTGATTAAGGATTATTATAACTTTTTATTTCTCAAAATATATATGAAATAATTGAATAGTGCATTGAAGTAATCTGTAGAACAAAGTTTGTGTTTTATATTTTGGTAGGAGGGAGAAACCAGTTAATTTTCCCCCCTTAACTTCAGAAAGCATACTTGTTCAAATGTTTATAAATCATTTGTATTTTTCTATACTTTAGAAAAAAATATTTCTATATTCTCTATTTTAGGATATTAACTCTCAAGAGACTAAAGGTTGTTTCAGAAATCAAACCATCCATATTAAAATAGATACTTAAAATGCTATTTGATAGCAGTAACTATAAAATGGGCACTTAATATGAACTCATTTATTGATTCTTAATAAACACACATTATTAAGTTATTAAATATATAATTATCACTGGATTTACTAAATCTTAATTGTGAGATTGAAACTACCTAAATCATATTATAAATGCTAAGATGTTGTTTCTTTGACAGATCTTTTCCTGACCATGTAATCCAAAGTAGAATCCTACTTTATTCTTTTTCAGTTTATACTGTTCTTTTTCTCTTCACTGTAATCACCATGATTTATAATTCTACATTTGTTTAATTGTGTCATATATATTTCTTTTATAGCTCATAACTTCTAGGAGAACTGGTTAGCCTTGGGTATCTGCAGTGCCTGGCACAATGTAAATTTTAAATGAATGAACACAAATGAATTGTATTTCCACAATTTTGAATCTTGGTATAGTGGAAAGAATATTACTCTGGAGGTCAAGGGGCTGTAGTTCTTGTCTTCTCCATGAATATTCTTTATGTGCCACTTCTACCATCTGTGAAATGAGGGATGGGAGGGGGAACTTGAGGAAGTGGTATTAGATGATCATTAATAGTCCTGTCAGCATATTATTGTAGGGTTTTATGAATATTATAATTGCATTTTAGACCATAATAACCAAACATTACATATTGATATATTTAATTTTTTTATTTAAGTGGTACATGATCAGCATTGTCCACATTTACAATCGATGGAGAAACAGTGAAATTCAGTGTTATGTTAATGGACAACTGGTATCTTATGGTGATATGGCTTGGCATGTTAACACAAATGACGTAAGTCTTTATTTTTCTCTCTGTGTTTTAATTTGTTTGAGAGTATGATCTATCATTACAAAATGAATTGAATAATAAAATAGTTTGGTAGAAACTTAAAACTTTGGAAGTTTATTCTTTTTATTAAACAAATCTTTCACTGTTAAATTTAATATAAGAAAATTGCTAAAAGACATGATTAGGGATGCAAAAACAGGAACATTTGGCCAAAGTTTTAAGTTTTTTAGATAAAAAACCGCGAATCCTGTATTCTATTTATTCCAGCATCAAGCACTAAAAAATGTGGTTTACCCCTTATTTAGATATAGAAAGAAGACCCTAAACAGAAGTGTAACATATAGTCACTATTATTAATTACATAGTGATAAATGCTATGGAGAAAATAAATTGGGGATACAGAAAGTGTAGTTGTAGGGAAGGGGGGAGCCGGATGGTCCAGAGATGATTTTAGTAGGAAGAGGTGAACAAGCAAGGTATGTGGGGAACTTCTTCTATCCAGTGGGAACAGTGAGTGTAAAGGCTTTGAGGCAGAATAGGAAAGTTCAAGGAAAAGGCAATTTGTCTGGAGCAGAGGTAGGTAGAAGCAGAATAATATTAAGAGATAAGGTTAGGCAGAAATCATTTTGGCCTTCATAAGCAAACATAAGGCCTGGGCTTTTGCATCTTACTCAGCTTAAAAATCCTTGGAAGGTTTTCAGCAGACAAGTGATGTGTGCTTATATTTTAAAAGCATCAGTCTGCCTGCAGTATTGACAATATTTTGAAGGGAAATTACAGAAGCAGGAAAATCACTTAAATGGCTTATTGCAATAAAACAAAGAGATTATATTAGTTTCTACCAGTATGTTAGCAGTGGAAGAAGTGACACAGTTGGATTCTAGATAGTGAAAAACTCGAATTAAAACCTCAAGTGTCCTTACGGTTTCTCTACTTTGGGCTTTCCATTGTCTACATTCTGGCCTGTCAGAGCCAAAGTAAAAGGTTTGTTTTAATGCTGAAAGTACCTGCAAGCTCAATAATATACAACCCTTCACGCTTACCTGGTTTTATAAGAACTTACCTCTTAAATACAATTCATTTTTCAGTTTTGTTTGCATGTCTATAGGCTTTAATCTCCCAAAGGGCAGGGATTTGCTTATCCTGTCTTGTATTCTTTTAACTAGCACTGTGTGTATGGTCCATAGGTTGTCCCCTAGATCGGGGCTTGGCAGACTACACCCTATGAACCAAATCTGACCCTCCCCCTGTTTCTGGTTTCGTGTAAGCTGGGGGCAAAGACTCTTGGCTTTTAATTTTTAAAGGTTTTTTGTTTGTTTGTTTTTTTCTTGAGATACAAACAAAATCAAAGAAGAATGGGACAGCAACCAGGTGTGGCAAGCAAAGTTTAAAATACTTTCTGTCTGTCCCTTTGTAGAAAAAGTTGCTTTTCCCTGCCATAGAAACTCATGGTTGTGCCACAACCAATTAATATTTAATGGAATGTTGTTTTCAGAATTAGAATACACAGATGAAATTCTGCTTTTTATCTTCTCTCCAGAGGAGATCTTCTCTCCAGAGTCTTTTTATTATAGAGTGGAAGAAATCCCAGTGGTCTTCTTGACTCATTCAATGATAAGACAGTATCTTGGAAAGAAAATACTTAGTTTTTTGGTTATTTATAATAGTGCCCTAAGAAGTGGAGAATTCTAGATAATAACACATATATACATACTTTATGCAGTTAAAGTTTAAGTTCCTATACTTCTAATTAAAGATTGGGTATTTAATGATGACAGTTCTTTTTGCCTTTGTACGCATTCACAATTTTTTTTGTTACTTTATTGAAGTACCAAAAGTACTTCTTACATATATAATTCTTGCTTATTCATTCTAAGGTGTGAAATAGCCTTTGGGGATAGGGGAAGGGAACTGAGCCATGACTGCTTTCCCTGGTTTGGGTGAGTGGGGTGTAAGAAGTAGAGGCTGGAAAGATCTTGTTAAGCTTTTGGCTTCTTCAGTGCTGAATTCCTCAATGTGGAGGGCACTGTACCATCTGCTTTAAGCAGCAGATTTTAGTCTTATTGTTTATTTGATTCTGTGTAGTTCCTACTCATATATGAGAGGGGATTTATTTTCTTTGTGTCTTTTACTAAATACGGAGGAATAGAGGAATAGATTCATAATTTCAAAAATAAAGGAGAATAAAAAAATTAGACCCTATGTGTTCACTACATTTTGGAATAGTCATTCCCTTGATTCAGATCAATCTCTCTATATATGGATAATTATACATCATTACAGTTTTAAATTATTTTAATGTTTGTAAATAATTATAAGCTATTTTGTCTTTAACTATAATATTTGAAAAGTGTTAAGTCAGAAGATTGAGTAGATGGCTACTGTTTGCTTAAACATAAGTGTAAAAAATGTAATTGATCATTTTTCCCAAAAAAACTTGGCTGGCATTTATTATTTAAATAATAAAGTCTTCATTGATGCTCTCCTCTATTATTATTGTTATATTTTAAAATATTCATAAAGGTTGATTTAAGGATTTAAACCTTTTCATCATTAAAAATGATGCTTTTTTAATGACTTTTATAAATAGAGCTATGACAAGTGCTTTCTTGGATCATCAGAAACTGCTGATGCAAATAGGGTATTCTGTGGTCAACTTGGTGCCGTGTATGTGTTCAGTGAAGCACTCAACCCAGCACAGATATTTGCAATTCATCAGTTAGGACCTAGATATAAGGTAGTAATAACTATAATTTTATAAATTCTATGGAGCATTTCAGATGTAAAATGTGATGTAATATAATTTTTAGTGAAAATCTTTCTTTAATACAGTTTAAGAGTCATTTCTATTTTTTGGATTGTAGTCAGTTTTTATTATGTGTTTCTTTTTGGTTCAAAGATGCTTTTTTCTCAACTGTTTTCTCTTTATAAACTTTTTTATTCTTCAGAATATTTTCTAATATTGATAGCATGCCTTTTGTTAACAGTTCTGAAATAATAAATCTTATAAAACTATTTTGCTTAATGTAGTATTTATAATACAAAAATTTGAAATATATATATTACATAGTAAACATAATAAAGAACTTGTTAATATTACTGGTAACTTGGAAAGAAGAGTTAAAGATTTAGAAGGAATCTAAGATAATATACTTCATGGGCCTAAAATTATTTAATTTTAGTTTATATTTTTGCTTTAATTGCAGTGAGGAAGTAGGTACAGTAGTGAGTAAACTAATTTAGCAAAACTAATTATTTAATGTAATTTATAATATTCTTTCTGTTTTTTAAACTTTAAGAACAAAGACTCTAGGTAAGATATAGCATGCACATATATGAGTTAGTTTTAAATGTGCAGTACACCTGGATAGGGGAATATATAAAGGTTCTGTCTAAATCACATTGGGAATTGTGAAGTCTCAAACTACTTGGAGCTGAAAGAGAATTACACATTATAGTCAAAGTGTTTATAATTCTGAAGGAGTACTTGTCTTGTATGGAAGTGTGGTTTATTTATTGAACTCAATTTAAATAATTAATGTGAAGATTGTGTTATGGAAAGGAAAAATATTTTTAAAAATTCCCTCTTTGGCCTTTGTATTTTTGCATTGGTATTTCTCTTTTTGTTTTTATGTCATACACACACACACACACACACACACACACACACACACATATATAGAGAGAGAGTGAGAGAGAGAGAGAGAGAGAGAGAGAGAGAGGAAAGTTTGAATTTACCCATATTAAAAGATCTTTTTTTCTCAGTGACTTTAATAACCATAATAATATTGAAGAATAATAATGCTATTATTTTTATGTCAAGGTAACAATACTTGCTATCATATATTTTCCATATCATTTTTGTTTTTGTCTTACTAGCTCTAGAAATGAATTTGTGCTTGTCCAGCTATTTCTTCTTTCATGGGTCTTTGTGTTGGGTTTGCATCCTGGTTCTTCCATTGTTGATCTTGCATAGGAATATTTTTGTAATTCACATTTTTTATTAATATGCTGCTTGCTTTTCTTTCCTACTTCTTTGAGTTGTTTCATAAAATACTTGCAGTGTCTTTTTAAGCTCTAATAGAATGATATTAAATAGAGTGACAAGCAAACAAATAAAATATAAAAAGGTAGAATATCAAGAAAATACAAATCCGATATGATTGCTAATGTGAAATATCAGAATTGATGGGAGCTTCCTGGCAACATCAAGGAAAAAGGCTGAATATAAGCGATTTTGTAATTCTATTCACAAAGAAGCAAACTTTGTCCTGAACAGCTTTGCAAACTCTGTAGTTTGTAGTATTCTTTTCACACGCCTTTCTCGTCATTCTTTTTAACAACAGTGATAATGAGCAGTAACCTGGTCATCATGTGTGCACAGCTCATGTGACGTAGAGTATTCTTAGTATCCTAACACACAATAGAGTACCTAAAGCCAGAACTTTTAAGAGATATACCTGTAAGTTTGGGCATTACATCAGATAGTATTTTATTAAGTTTTGAAAGTTCTCAGCTTACTGCACCCTTGTTGTTAGTGGGGGTTGATCATAAATCCACAGGTACATGCATTTTCTCAATTTGTAAATTTTTTTTTGAATGTATATAATTTTTATTTGTTAACTATATCTCAACAAAGTTGGAAAAAATGAAAGAGAAGTGAAGGAGCAGGAAGAGCAAGATGGAGAGGGAGAAAATCCAATAAAGAGTCCACAATGTAGGTTGCAGCTGTGAGGATGCCTCTCAGAGCTGAAGGGAAAAAAAAGCACACACACACCAGCTGCCATCCGCCACTGCCTGAGAGCTGTCCCTAGGAGTATTAATTAACTCCCTTGTGTTTCTTCTTAGCTGTGCCTGCCTCTATCTGGGGCTGAAAAGGGCTTCTGTTTCTTACCAAAAAAAAAAAAAAAAAAAGAAGAAGAAAGAAAGAAAAAATCCTAAGGCCGAAAAACAGAGAGAGGAACAGAGGGTGATTGAGGTGGGGTACAGGCGGCATGCACACAGATTCTTCACCACAGCATAGTTAAAGTCAGAAGTGGGCCCAGGAGAAGAATGGAGGACATGGAAAGCATTTGCATTGGTTCACCTTCACATGGCTTGGATCTACAGAGGCTACCTGATAAACTTTGTCACCTATTCAAAGAGGTGGCCAGCATAATCCCTAACAAACACACAGTAAGTAGTAGGACAAGCAAACATCCCACTGCACAGCTAGTACCAAGGTCAACACTAGACTTTGTCCTCTCCCCCTTCACTCCCCGCTTTCTTCCCTCAGCCAGACCTTTAGCTGCTCTGGGAGCTTGCCAGATTAGATGACCCTGCCTTTCACCTCTTAGGGTCTGAGTACCTTTGGTGGCTCTGGTTAGTTGCTGCAGTTGCATGTTGACTATTGTCACTGATGATGGGAGCACCAAGAGGTGATCCCACTGAACACAAGTTCTAGATTATGCCTCCCTGTCCCTGCTCCCTGTAACACCATCTCTAGCTACTCATGATGATTGTGGTTATTTCTCCTGGCTACTCACTCCTTTCTTTGAGGGTTGCCCTACCAGCATGAGGATCCCAAAGTGACCAGAGTTGTAATTGTATCTTCAGGTTGGTTGATTGCTTACCCTGTCCTTGGAATCTGAGACCTCTGATCCAGCAAAACCTAAAATAGTGGAGCTGGGACTCGTAAATTCTGCAAGTGGATTACTAAGAGTTTTAATAAAGGACACCAATTGTATTTCCACTCTTTGTTCCCAGACCCATGTTGTTGGCTATTAGAGACCAGCTATAGGAGACCACATAATGTTATTGAATATTTACTGTGTATAGACTATTTTGGAGAACAGAGCTACCTTTGTAAGTGTATCATCCTGAACTGGTTTTTTAGCTGAGCCTTTAATAAGTCACTTAATATAGATTATGGTAGAAAAAATGAGTCCCACAGTCACATGCCCTCTGTCACACTTCTACTGCTGAATAAAATGAGTCCCTGAGTCCGAGATGATGTTATTCAGGATCCCATGTCAGTAAAAGTAGATAAATTTGTAAATATTATAAGTACAATTGCACCATGACAGGCATCAGCAAAATTTTTTTATATTAAAAAGCTTTTTTTTTTTTTTTTTAGAAATTCAGAGAGCATAGAGAAGGAGGAATGCAAATGATCGGGTTGTGTTTTGACAGAAAAGCTGAGTAGTTCACACATTATAGTTACAATTATCTTGGTAAAGTCACTCTCTGTGAGAGAAGGGGTAGAGGGCTACAGTGGAATTTTTAAGGTGTAGAGAATATAATAACTAATGGACATTTGGATAAATCACAAATGGAGATTACTTAGTGTTGTATAATAACATAGTATTTATATTTATTGCCTTAAGTTATATGGAACTTTCTTTCATTGTAATGGTCAGACAAAATTTATGATTCTGAGTTTAGTGTAGGTAGCATGTCAACATATGGGCTTCAAAGTTAATAAAATAAGTTAATTCTACCTTCAAATAATGTCATCAAACTATATATTCAATAGAACCTGTCACAAATGATTTTGACTTGTTGGTCACTGTAGTGCTAGGTAAATTTTTTTCTGTTGAATATTTGGATTTGAGCATTGCAGCTTATCAGTAAGTATTCTGTACTTGGTTATTTTCTGGAAATGGTAAATAAGTTAGGGTATCACTTATTAACTAAATAAACCATTCAGTTTGGAAAATACAGAAATACAGAAAATATTTAAAATACAGAAAATCTCACTGTAGATTTGTCTAGTATAGTAAAATTTACTACCACATAAGTTTACTGTGGATCTCTATTTGGGGTTATTTAATGTCTTCAAGATTCTGTATGAGGTGGCCCTTTGACATAAGCTTCAAATCAGATTTTAACAAAGGTTTTATATTTTATAATTATTACTAGACATTTTCTCATTGTTTTGTTAATCCCGTGTAGCAAGCAGTTAGTCTTCATGGCCAGATATTTGAAAATTTAGTTTTGAGTTCTCTCTTTCATTTATGAATATGATAGCATAATGGTTTTTATAATTTGCTATATCATAATAAAGTTCTAACTGATAAGAGAAAAAGTATAACACAACCTCCAAAATTAAAAATCACTTCAGAGGACTTCCAGTACTTGTGTGGAGGGGTGAACTCCTAACAAACTGATCTTCTCACAAATAACCATTTGTAAACTCTGCACATAATATAGATAATATCTATCTGAGGGTTGTGGAGATTGAATAAAAGCAGGCAAGCTTCGGAGGGTAGTCAAAATATGGAACAGTCTGTCTACATGGACTGATATCCCCATTTTTTGCTTTTATAGGAAACTTTCTGGCTAGAAAGTTTCTCTATAATATTGTACAGAGTAATAGTCACACTATTTAGCATATAATCCAAAAGTACTTATTCTAAAAATGGTCAGAAAAAATGTGACTTATTCTCAAGGGAAGAGTAAATCCTCATATACCAACTCTAAGATAACCCACATGTTGGAAATATCACATGAGGTCTTATTGTAACTAGCGAGGTAGAGAAAAGTTTACTTATAATGAATTAAAAGATAGGAAGTATCAGCCATGAAATAAAACAAAATCAGATGGCAATTCTAGAACTGAAAAATATATCAGAATTAAAAATAAGCTGTATGGGCTTATTAGCAGAATTAATATTATAGAGAAGTAAATGAACTTGAATATAGATTGACAGAAAATCTGAAGAGAGTTATGAAAGATTGGGGTGAAAAAATAGAACCCTAGAGATGTATGGGGGCAGTTTTGAAAGGTCTAATAGGCACAGTATAAGAGAAAGAGCCAGAAAAAATATTTGAATAAATGATGATAGAAAACTTCTCAGATTTGATAAAAGGATTATGTTTATAGATTGAAGAAACTCTGAAAACTCCAACCAAAATAAATGCAAAGAGAACCAAAGTAGGCACATTACAGTCAAAGTGTGGAAAAACAAAGATAAAGAGAAAACCTTGAAAGCAGGCAGAGGAAAACTAGATACTGATAAGGGAACAATAATTTGAATTTCTGTACACATCTCATCAGAAAGCAGGGAAGCCATAGAGGTGGAACAAAATCTTTAAAGTTCTGAAAGAAAGAAAAAAAATCTGTCAACCTAGAATTTTTTATCCAGTGAAAATATTCTTTGAGTCTTTTGAAAGAAAATTTAAAAAATTTGTTGTTATTTGACTCTCATTACTGACTGAAGAAGCAAACCTGGATGATTCAGAGTATATAAATGTAATACATATGATAACTAGCAGAAAGATTTGGAGAGAGGCTATAAATGCACCTATGTAGTTGAAAAGTTACGTATTTTGCAATGTGTCTTGATAGAATGATGTTGACTACAATTCAATGGCTAAAACAAAATTATCAAAGTCAAAATTGCATGTCTTTTCTTGAATGATAGGTATGTATCCAGTATTTCATTTACCCACAGCATATGCTGTAGACCCCTCTTTCAAATTAAAGATAACAAAAGCCCAATTGAATGGAAAAACAAAATAAATCAATGCTAACTAAATACAAATAATTAGCCTTCACTAATTCATCCATTCATTCTTTTATTAAACAGTTGGGCACTGTTCTAGATGCTAGGGATATAACAATTAAACAAAACCAACAAAAACCCCATGCCTGTATCTTGGAGAAGTAGGGTGTGCAGTATCATGGGAGAAGACATAACAAAACAAAAGAAAAATATATAGTGTCTATATGGTGATAAGAGCTGTGAGACACACAAAGCAGGTAAGATGGAAGTTGAGGCTAGTCAAGTGGATATCCGGTTAAGAGCTTTAAGGGTAAATGCCAGAGCAAGCATGAAGGCCATTAGCAGAAGCTTACTTCACAGATTAAAGAACACTGTGACTATGTTTTGCTGTGACTGTCACAGAAGGAGCAAGGGGGAGAGTCAAAGATTAATTCAGGGAACAACTATATGCTTTCAGAGGATTGTTATGACTTTATTTTTGCTCTTGAGTGAGAGGGACAGCCATTGAAAAGTTTTGAGTGTCCTGGCCTGATACCAATTTGAAAAGGATCACACTGGTTACTATGGTAAATAGGGAGAAAAGGTGGAAATAGGGAGACTAGTTAGGGGGCTGTTGCAGTTATTTAGTGAAAGAGCTCTGGAAAGTATTGAGACTTGATTAGATTTTTGATAAAGCATATCTAAAATATCTAAGACTCTAAAAGGTCAGCTTTGGGGTATACTTTGGGGGTAGTGCCAGTAGGATTTTCTGTCACTGTGAACATGGAGTAAGGGAGCAAGAGAGGATTGAGAGGAGCAAGTAACCCCATGAATTTTAGCCTGAACAACTGAGCTGATGGAGTTGTCATTTACTGAGATGGGAGGACTATGAAGAAATAAGTTGTGGCGGAGAAGATCAAATATTAGGTTATGGACATAGGTTACGGGCATAGTTGTTTGAGATGCCTGATAAACATCTAAATGGAAAAATGAAGTAAGTCTGGAGTTTAGAGGTGACGTCTAGGTTGGAGATAGAAATTTGGCATTGGCAGGATATGGACAGGATTTAAAGGTAAAGGACTGGATTTAGGTACCAATGAAGTGAGTTCAGAGAAAAAGATAACTGAGAAATGAGTCCTTGGGAAAGCCAGTGTTTGTAGGTTGGGGAGATGCAGAGGAACCAGCAAAGGAGAAAGAGGAGAGCAAGGGAATAAGGAGAAAAAGCAGGAGAGTGTGGTGTTTTAACTTGACCTACTTGAAGTTAAATCTCCTTTCTTCATTGAGGATACTGACTGTCAAATACACACAGGATAATAGATGAGAAAATCCCATAATTATACATAAAGAACAGCCTCAGAATAATAATACCAATAATGCCCAATTGTTATAATTACTGAAAATGTAGTTAATTTGTTTTTGAATGTGTTCTCTTCATTCTCCCTCTTGCCATTTTTAAAATAGTTGAGGCGTTACAAGGTGAATTATGTTCCCCTAAAATTCATTAAAATTCTCACCCTCAGTAGCCTGAAATGTGACTGTTTTTGGAGGCGGGTCTTTAAAGAGGTAATTAAGATTAAGTGAGGTCATTTTGGTTATTGGGTCCTAATCCAGTATAACTAGTATCCTTATAAAGAGGAGGAAATTAGGACTCAGACACATGCAAAAGAAAGACCATGTGAAGACACAGGGAAGAAAAGGTAGTTAGGCTGTCTTCAAACCAAGGAGAGAGTCTTCAGAAGAAAACCCTGCTTACACCCATATGTCAGACTTACAGCCTCCAGAACTATGAGAAAATAAACTTATTTTATTTAAGCCATCCAGACTCTGGTACTTTGTCATAGCAGACCCAGCAAGCTAATACAAAGTCTTATCTACATAGTGAGCACAACAGTTATTACATACCATTCTCTCTTAACTGTTATTTAATCATAGTCCTATAAGTACCTGTGTGTTTAGGGCTTATATTATTTCCTTATATTGATGTGTTTTGGCTGTGTTTTAGCTCTTTCTGTAGTAGATTCCTCAGGAAGAGTTCATGGAAACAGTATTTCTTGAGAAATGCATTTTGATACTAGTGTGTAAGGCACTTTATATTTTTTACTTGAAAGTCATTTTGCCTGGTTATAAAATCCTTGACTTTTTTTTCTTTCTTTGGATGTCTTAAATATGCTACTAATTTTTCCCTAGCATGAGGTATTAGTATTGAAAGTCTCTTGACAATGTAATATCTTTTCCATTACAAGACACTCAGTCTTGTTAGATGTTCAAAGGATTTTTTTTTCTTTTTCCTTAAATCTAGTAATTTTGGTAGACATGTCTTGGTGTTGGTCATTCTGAGTTAATTTCTCAGGTATGTGGTGTGCACTTTCATATGTAGTTTCCATCTTTTCATATTTTAAGAAATTGTTCTTATACTACAACTTTAGAATTTCTTCTCTTTCCTTGCTTTGGTTTTCTTCTCCAGAGACTTGACTATGCATGTTTATTTACTTTGCTTATCTTTTTCTTAAATCACTTATTTTATTTCATTTTCTCTTAAATCTTTATCTCCTTCTTTCTCTCACATTTTAAAATTTAAAAGTAAAATAAAAACTACAGAAAAGCTACAAGCACTATGCCAGTCAGTTTTTTTCCTGAACCATGAGAGTAACTACTGACATGATGCTCCATCATTCCTGAATGTTGTGTTCCTACAAACAAGAACATTCTTTCACATAATTATTCTATAACATAAAATCAAGAGATTAGCAATGATTTGTTACTACCATTTAATTATCAGACCCCTTTAAAATTTTGCTAATTGTTGTATAATATATTTTATAGTAAAAAGATCCAGTTTACTGCATTTACATTATAATGCATCAAACAGCTTCTCAGTCTTTCCTTCATTTTCTATATGGATGCCCTCTTCACCTGAGGCAGGTGTTGGCTTCTTTTCTGATTACCTTCCATCATGGATGCCCTCTTAACCCTTCCTCAGTTCTAGCACAATACACTGAGCTAGGCTGTTGAGCTGATGCCTTCCCTATATCCTTCTGGAGCCCCCGGTTTCTTTACCTCCTGCTGGGCAGCCCTCTTATTCAGATGCTACCCTCTCTCTAGAACTCTTGACAACCCATCCTGGCTTACTCCTTTGGGCAATGTGCTCTCTGCCCTGCTGGTGGTGTGCCTTCCCTTGCCTGGTTGCTTCCCTTTGTGCGTATTTTCTCATCTTCCTCAGGCTACAACAACCTGAGCCAGGCAACCCCCTGTGAGGATGCCCTTCTCTGGCTGCCCAGGCTCCAACATGCCAAGCCACACACCAAATGAATGATTTTCAATCCCCACTCTAGATCCAGCTGCCTTCCATGGTTTGCCCTCTCCTCTCAGGCAGATGCCTTCTCATCCTTTTCAGGCTCTGACTCTACACAGAGAAGCCCTTAGTGTACCTAATCTTCCTTACCTTGCACATACTCAGAAACTTTATGTCAAGGCATAACCCACTTGCCTCTTCCTTGTTGTTTCAGGTAGACGCCTTATCACTTTTTTGGAATTCTGACTTCATGAACTGGGCAGCTCTCCTACCTACCCTTCCTATCCGTCTTATGCTCTGACATCCTGCAACAAATTGCACTATGTTGTTGGCTGTAGGTTTTTTATAGATGCTTTTTTTGGTAGTTAGAATTCCATTCTATTCCTAGTTTGTTCAATGCTTCTTATAAAAAGTGTTAGATTCTGTGAAACATGTTTAGTGTATCTGTTGAGATAATAATATTAATATGTTAGTCAGTCTAGGTACAGGCTTGTTAGTAGTGTTGATCTTTTCAAAGAACTGGCTTTTGATTTTATTGTGTTTTCACAGTTGTTTTCTTATTGTCTATTTCATTAAGTTCTTCTATAATTCTTTTTATTTTTTTCTTTCTGCTTGTTTTATGTTTAGTTTGCTTTTTTGCTTCCAGGGTCATAAAGTGGGAGGTTTAGTTGTTGATTTGAAGTCCTCTTTTTAAATACAAACATTTACACGTAGAAGTTTCTAAGTGCCTTAACTGCTTATATTTTGGTATTTGTGCCTTTATTCATCTCAAAATACTTTGTAATTTCCCTTTTGATTATTTCTTCTTTGACACATCAGTTATTTAGGAATGTGTTTATTTCCACATATTTATGAATTCCTCAAATTCCCTTATATTATTGATTTCTAACATTCCAGTTTGGACAGATAATATACTTTGTATTATATCTGTCTTCATAAATTTATTGAGGTTTGTTTTATGACCTGAGTTTGGTGTATCCAGGAGAATGTTTTGTGTGTACGTATTTTTTGGAAACAGGGTCTCTCCTTCTGTCACCTAAGCTGGAGTGCAGTGGTGCAGTCCTAGCACACTGGAGACTTAGACTCCTGGGCTCAAGTGATCCTCCTGCCTCAGCTTCCTGAGTAGCTGGGATTATAGGCACAAGCCACTGTGTCTGACTAATTTTTCAGCTTTTTATAGAGACAGGGTCTTGCAAGCTCAGGCTAGTTTTGAACTCCTGGCCTCAAGTGATCCTCCTACCTCAGCCTCCCAAAGTGTTGGGATTACAGGCGTAAGCCACTGAGCCCAGCTATGTGTACTTTAGAAGAATGTGTATTCTGCTGTTTTGGGATGGTGTGTTCTAGAGTTGTCTGTTAGTTCTGTTTGGTTTTTGTTCAAATCTTCAGTTTCTTTCTTGATCTTATGAATGGAAAGTTGAGTATTGAAGTGCCCAACTATTATTGTTAACTTGTCTATTTCTCCCTTCATTTCTTCAGATGTTTCTTCATGTATTTTGACACTCTGCTGTTAGGTGCACATATGTTTACAATTGCTATATCCTCCTCATGACTGACCCTTTTATCATTATCCAATGTCTTTTTAATATCTAGTAATATATCTTGGTTTAACATCTATTTTGTCTGATATTAGCACAGCCATTCCAGCTTTCTTGTGATTTATTGATATTTTTCCCATTTAATTTACTTTAAATATGTTTTTATCTTTGAATATTCTATAAACAGTATGTTATTGAATCTTACTTTATTATCCAGTCTGACAATCTCTGCCTTTTGATTGGATTGGTTATTTCATTCATCTTTAATGTGATTATTGATAGGTTTCCATGTGTCATTTTACTTTTTGTTAGCTATGTGTCTCAAGTTCTTTTTATTTCTTTATTTCTTCTTTACTGCTTTCTTTGGATTATGTGCTTATTTTCTTAAACAGCATTTTCAATTTTTAAATAATTTTTTTCACTTAAAAAAACATTTCCTTAGTGATTGCACTAGGGCTTACCATATACATCTTAACTCACTGGAATCAGCCTCAGATTTATACTAATTTTATCCTAGTGAGTTATATAAATGTTACTTCTATATAGCTCTATTTGTTTTCTCCGTTTTTTGTGACATTATTGTTATACATATAGTATCTGTATATGTTACAAACCCAACATGACATAATTATCACTTCATATAATTGTGTATTTTAAAGAAGCTGAGAGAAGAAAGGAGATACAGTATATGTTTGTAGATTTTATTATATTGATCTTCTGATTTATCATTTATGAATCTTTTCATTTGTTTCTGCGGATTCAGTTACCACTTGGAGTCATTTCCTTAGCTCAGTATAACTTTGCTTCCACCCACCTTCTTTGTTATGCTGAAGTGGTCCGTATTGAAAAGCATGCATCATACTCTACTCATTTGAGTATAATTGGTACAAAATATATTCATACATTCTTTTCTTCTCTTAAAATAATTATAACAGTTTTATTGAAGTGTAATTTACATGTCATACAACTCATTAATGTTAAGTGTACAAGTCAATTATTTTTTACAAACTTACAAAGTTGTGCAGACATCACTACAATTTAATTTTAGAACATTTCTATCACCCCAGAAGGATCCTACCTGCCTATTTGCAATCACTCCTCATTCTCATCCATGTCCTATTCATACAGTTTTATATAACAATTCTTCCTCTGAAAATCCTTCTGAAAGAAATAATACAATAAATATTGATATTTATATAAAGGCTTATACTTTTATGTAAAATTTTTTCTTTTTAAATTTTTTTGAGAGTCAGGGTCTCACTGTGTCACCCAGGGTGGAGTGCAGTGGTGTGATCAAGGCTCACTGTGGCCTCAAAATCCTGGGCTCAGTGATCCTTCCACTTCACCTCCTGAAGAGCTGGGACTATAGGCATGTGACACCGCACTCAGCTAATTTTTAATTTTTTGGTAGAGATGGGGTCTCTCTCTGTGTTGCCCAGGTTGATCTCAAACTCCTGGCCTCAAGTGATCCTCCCACCTTGGCCTCTCAAAGTGCTAAGATTACAGGTGTGAGCCATTGCGCATGTCCACCTTTATATATAAATTTAAAGACATAGAAATAACCTAATACTACAAATAAGGGAAGATAAGAAAATTATCTTTATTTAATGGATTTCATGTTTATATTTAAATTACATTATACACTTTTTTTAACCTGAAAATGTTAGATTTAATTACGTAAACTTGTTTTCCTCCTACAAACCAAAATAGGGTATGGTATGTATCATGGACTCAGAAAAACTAAGACCAATGTATTTCCAAATAAGAATAGGTTTTATTAGACACCTTACATTTCCACAAAAGTATTTTAAATCTTTTAAGATAATATATTAAAACTTGTTAATTCCAGTGTAAGCAGTATGAACAAAATGAAAGCAAGAGTTTTGTTCTAGACAATGGGATGTACAAATGTTTCCGCAGTGGTAAAATGCAGACACGGAAAGCTGATTTAGTGTTTAACAACGTATCTTGTGTGTTTAATTCAGTCATTGTTTTTTTGAATGCAGATATGCTGAGTTCTTAAGCATTCTAGTGATAACACTACCTTCCTCATTCAAAAAAAAAGTATTATCAATGAAATACTTCAGACTACAACATACACAGATTTTTAATTATTCATGTTGCTCTTGTCTTGGCACATGCCTAATAATTAATAGTTTGCATCCAGTTTCGTATTAGTCTCTACACACTAGTCCAGAAGTAAAAACTGACATGTTTGGTCTTCACAGTGTTAAAATGTTTGAATTAAATTTTAAAATATAGTGCTTTTAGATAAAAATTCGGATTTCATGTTTCTCTTGAAAAATATGGAAGAACTAGCAACAGTGAACAATTGACTTGAGCTGAGGAGTAGGGGCCACTTTTAGAAAGGACAAACATTCTCTAGTTTGAGGAAGTCCCCATCTGGCCCAATTCACTTACATGCATATCTGTGTGCCTTCTGTGAGAACTTGAGTTTGGGACATTTGATTTAACCTTATTATAACATTGAGTGAGAAAATTGGAGCCACATCAGCTAAATGATTTCCTAAGCTTGAAAAAGATAATTAGTGGCAGAGTCAGGATTTTAAGTTGATGTCAGCAGCAATACACTGAATATGGACTATAAATCAGAAGACTTAGAATTACATGCTGGCCCCTTCCCTTCTACATCTTAATTTCTTAACATTAAGCTTTCATAGTTGTAAGTTGAAAGTAATAGTAATATTGATATGTGATTATTGCAAAGGTTAAATATCATTTATCATTATTAGACTCATATCTGCAGAGCAATTTTAACCATGTCTGACAATACCTTTCTTGTTATAGATGGCATATGTTTAGTTGTCTTTCATAAAAAGTAATAACATGTTTTAACAAACTTCTCTTCTGAGTTTAGTATGTATATTGTGATATTATTGTTGAGTAGCATTGGTATTTCATAGATTGATTTGCTTTTTAGTGAAGATATGAATATTTTTGCATATTAACTTTTTATAGCCTCAAATGGTAGTCATTTTTATAAGTAATTCATGTGTCAGGCACTGCTTATTTACATAAATACTTTTTAAAGTGTTAATAATAAAAATTAAACTTATGCTATGATGTAGTCAAGTAAAATCCTATTATATATAATATCAGGTTTGATATTTTTTTCTAATGAAATGATTTTGCCAGTAATCAAAAACTTTAAATTAGAAAATGAAGATCTGAGCATCTTTATTGGCATAATAAAACTTAACTCTCATTGAATTGAAGTGACAATAACAAAGTAAGTAACACCACTGAATAGTCCCTGACACATGAAAGGTACACAAGTACTTTCTTATTGCAAATGTTTCTCTGCTTTAAAACTTTTAAGTTTTAATTGTTGCTTTTAAAAAGAGTGTTTACCTTGGTTTTATTTTTTCAGAGTACCTTCAAGTTTAAATCTGAGAGTGATATTCATTTGGCAGAACATCATAAACAGGTTTTGTATGATGGGAAACTTGCAAGTAGCATTACCTTTACATATACTGCTAAGGCCACTGATGCTCAACTCTGCCTGGAATCATCACCAAAAGAGAATGCATCAATTTTTGTGCATTCCCAACATGCTCTAATGCTTCAGGTGGGTGAATCATGGCTGTGTTTTCATGTTCTTGTCAGAATTTAACAGTATCTTTATTTTATGTATCAAACATTGCTCATCTATAAATCTGTGACTTTTTGTTTCTTTTTTGGCTTTTGCAGATCTTTTAAGTGAAACTTTAAAGAATGTCTATCTTTTCTGTAGCAATATGCTCTACCCTGGCCTTGTCTCCTTAGTAGGAAATCTGTCATATCTATTATCTTATATATTATACAGCCTTTGAAATTAAATCAATTAACTGAATAAGTTAGTTGTTAGATATAAAAACATACTTTGCTTTAAGATTGTATTACTAATATTCTGTAACATTAAAATTACTTGTCTTTAAATCCATCAATAGTATTTCTGGTTTTAAAATAACATTTGATTTTAACTTCATATTTTTAGTGTAAAAATGTCTCAACCTAAGATTTGAAATTTAAAAGTGATTAGCAAATGTACTCACTTTTTTGTCTTATGTGTGTATAAAAATTATAATTGAAGGCTTCAAAAATGTCCAACTATGTTATTTAATTCCCTTATAAAGGTATTTGGACCAAGGAAATAGTGATGAAAATCATTCTATAGAAGTTTAATAAACATTTTTGGTTTTAGACATAGGATGTGAAAGGGATAGTAACACATTCAATTCATAGTGCAATTCATTCAATTGGACAGATTCAAGTGCTTTTTCCACTGTTTCCCCAATTGGATAATCGGCAGCTCAATGACAGTCAAGTGGAAACAACTGTCTGGTAAGTTTTCTTTACATGTGCAATTGCTGGTATTTTATACACACTTAGACTATGCATGATGTACTCAGTGCTGTGTAAATGTATTACAGTATTTGGGTTCTGCCCTTAAAGTGCTAATAAATTTTTTAGAACTAATGCAGATAGATATTTATACAATAAATAAAACCCTGACATTTAGGTTGTTATATCATAAAGGAATGCCTTTTGTGATAATAAATAGAAAATTCTTAACAAAGATAGCATAGTGATTATAATATGTAGTTGAGGGAAAATATGAATCCTGACCTTATCATTTGCATATACTCATGGTTCGAATTCTCCATGAAACCCTGTCAGGTTGAAGAAAATTACTAGGGTAAAATTATTCAGAAGAAAAAACATTTATTAGCAATTACATAATTTATATCTTTAAGAGTGGTATTATTTTATGATGCGTTTGTCGTGGCATAAGTCTAGCATAATGTTAATTGACATCAACCCTTATTTATATATAGTTTATGTTTGAGGACTCAAATCTAACCAGTGGCAAATCCAAGTTTATGTAAAAATTAAATATCTTCTAATGAGTGTAATTTCATGTGCATTTTTATAGTTTCTCTTTTATTTAAAAAAACCTTATGTGCCAGACTCTAATTTACTGTTATATCTTAGAATTATATATACAAGAATTTAAAAATGAATTCTAATAGCTATTTTGACTATACACACTGCCATGCTTGGGGATTTTAATGGGCAAGTTATATAGATAAGCATTAATTTTTATTCCAAAAGTAACATAGTAGTGCTTCATTAGTACATATACATATATATGAGCTCCTTCATGGGTTATCTAATTTTGAATTGATGGCAAATCTAGTGAATGGAGGTATGAGAAAAATGTAAGGTACAATGAAGTGTAATACATGTTTTTTTCTCATAATTATTATCTAAATTAGCTATTAATGAAATTCAATTTTAGTATTTCTAATAATATTATTTCTGTTTTGGGAACATCTTTATGTAAAGTATAACTCTAAATATAGATAAGAGATTTGTACATTTATAACATTACCTCCCGTCTATGGGTCTTGATGCCTTTCATATCAATATAGTGTAAAGGTGGGAGTTTTGAAAGTAAAAAACTTGAAGTGAAAAGGAATCCTGAGGTTATGTCCTGCTGTGATACTATTTTGTTTGTGAGATCTTAAATAATCTAATTGGAAGTTAGCTCAGCTTAGTAGAAAAATCAAACTTAAAATTTCTGTCCTTTATTTAAATTCAAAATGTTTTGCTATTTATCATCTCAGTGAACTAGGACACATTATGATCAGTAATTTAAAATCTAGTCAGTACTATGAAAAAAAAGTAAGTGGGAGATGAAGTTGCCACTAGAAAAATCCATGTATAATTTAAATATTTCTTATGAAATATGAAATACATATAATCAAATCTTACTAGAAAAATCCATGTATAATCTAAATATTTCTCATGAAATAATATGAAATACATATATTATCAAATCTTACTGCTAAACCATATGTAATAGGTTATCTGGTTTATTAATACAAGATGCATGGTTACGTTTTACTGTCCTTCCTCAAAACTCATTTGATATGTATATCATATCTTGGTATTTAAATTGTATTTATTTCATCATGGAGATAAAAGAGAGTGTGAGGAGTCAGCATACTTATTTTCATTTTGATTTTAGTTCTTTTATATCATTCATCCTAATATTTCCCTGTATTAACTAATTCCAACTTTTTCAGTGATGCCTATTTTGTCTTTAGTTTCTTTCTTTCTTTATTTAAGATGGACTCCTACTGTGTTGCCCAGGCTGGAGTGCAGTGCTGTGATCTCTTGACTCACTGCAACCTCCATTTCCCAGACTCAAGCAATTCTCCTGACTCAGCCTCCCAAGTAGCTGGTGAGGCACGTGGGGCAGAGAAAAAAAAAAAAAAAACAAAAACCGCGCGAGCGGAGAAGCAGGGCCTGGGACCCCACAGACGAAAGTGCCTTCCCATCAGCCCCTGCGCTGGGCCCAGTGGAACCTGGCGTCCCTGGTTCCACCCCAGGGTGCGCCTCAGGCCGCTAGGGATACCTCAAGGCGGACAAAAGGCCCATGAGGGGAAGGTGAGGTTTGAGGGAGGATAGGTGAGGCACCTGTGGCAGAAAAAAAAAAAAAACGCGCCACGGAGAAGGGGGGCCTGGGTCCCCCACACACGAAAGTTTCTTCCCATCAGCCCCTGCGCTGGGCCCCGTGGACCCTGGCGACACTGGTTGGAGCACAGGGTGAGCCTCGGGCCTGATAGGGGTACCCCAAGGAGGGCAGAAAGCCCATGAGGGGAAGGTGAGGCACCTGGGGCAGAGAAAAAAAAAACCGCGCCGTGGAGAAGCGGGGCCTGGGTCCCCCACGGACGAAATTGCCTTCCCATCAGGCCCTGCGCTTGGCCCTGTGGACCCTGGCATCCCTGGTTCGAGACCAGGTGAGCCTCAGGCCGCAAGGGGGACTCCAAAGAGGGCAGAAGGCCCATGAGGGGAAGGTGAGGCACCTGGGGCAGAGAAAAAAAAAAAATGCGCCGCGAAGCGCTGTCTGGGTCATCCACGAAGGAAACTGTCTTCCCATCAGCCCTTGCGCTGGGCCCCAGGGACCGTGGCATCCCTGGTTCGCGCCCAGGGTATGCCTCGGGCCGCTAGGAGTACCCCCAACTCGGACAGAAGGCCCATGAGGGGAAGTTGAAGTTTGTGGGAGGAGAGGTGAGGCACCAGGGGCAGAAAAAAAAAACAGGACCGCGCCTCGGAGAAGCGGGGCATGGGTCCCCCACGGATGAAAGTGCCTTCCCATCAGGCCCTACACTGGGCCCCGTGGACCCTGGCGACCCCGGTTCGAGCCCAGGGTGCGCCTCGGGACCGCTTGGCGTACCACAAAGCGAACAAAAGGCCCATGAGGGGAAGGTGAGGCACCTGAGGCAGAGAAAAAAAAACGCGCCGCCGAGAAGCGGTGCCTGGGTCCCCCACGGACAAAAGTGTCATCCCATCAGCCCCTGCGCTGGGCCCTGGGGACCCTGGCGTCCCTGGTTTGACCCCAGGGTACGCCTCGGGCCACGAGGGGTCCCCCAAGGTGGGCAGAAAGCCCTGAAGAGGAAGGTGAGGCACCTGGGGCAGAGAGAAAAAAAAAAAAAAAACTTCGCCGCCGAGAAGCGCGGCCTGGGTCCCCCACGGAAGAAAGTGTCTTCCCATCAGCCCCTGCACTGGGACCCGGGGACCCTGGTGTCCCTGGTTCGAGCCCAGGGTGCGCCTCGGCCGCTTTGTGCCAAGGGGGGCACAAAGTCCATGAAGGGAAGGTGAGTTTTGAGGGAGGAGAGGTGAGGCACCTGACGCAGAAAAAGAAAAAAAAAACAGAACCGCGCGGCGGAGAAGCGGGGCCTGGGTCCCCCACGGGCGAAAGTGCCTTCCCATCAGCCCCTGCACTGGACCCTGTGGACCCTGGCGACACTGGTTCGAGCCCCGGGTGCGCCTCGGGTCTGCTAGGGGTACCCAAAGGCAGGCAGAAAGCCCATGAGGGGAAGGTGAGCTTTGAAGGAGGAGAGGTGACGCACCTGTCACAGAAAAAGAACAAAAAACCGCGCCACGGAGAAGTGGGGCCTGGGTCCCCCACGGACGAAAGTGCCTTCCCATCAGCCCCTGCACTGGGCCCCATGGACCCTGGCCACCCTGGTTCGAGCCCCAGGTGCGCCTCGGGCCCGCTAGGGGTACCCCAAGGCAGACAGAAGGCCCATGAGGGAAAGGTGAGACACCTGGGGCAGAGAAAAAAATGAAAAACTGCGCCGCCCAGAAGTGGGGCCTGGGTCCCCCACGGACGAAAGTACCTTCCCATCAGCCCCTGCACTGGGCCTCATGGACCCTGGCCACCCTGGTTCGAGCCGCAGGTGCGCCTCGGGCCCGCTAGGGGTACCCCAAGGCAGACAGAAGGCCCATGAGGGAAAGGTGAGACACCTGGGGCAGAGAAAAAAATGAAAAACTGCGCCGCCTAGAAGTGGGGCCTGGGTGCCCCACGGACGAAAGTGCCTACCCATCAGCCCCTGCACTGGGCCCCGGAGACCCTAGCGTCCCTGGCTCAAAACCAGGGTACGCCTCGGGCCCGCTAGTGGTACCTCAAGGCGGGCAGAAAGCCCATGAGGGGAAGGGGAGGCACCTGGGGAAAAGCAAAACAAAAAACAAAAAACAAAACAACAACAACAACAAAAAAACGCCGCGGAGAAGCAGAGCCTGGGTCCCCAAGGAAGAAAGTGTCTTCCCATCAGCCCTTGCGCTGGGCCCCGGGGAACCTAGTGTCCCAGTTTCGAACCCAGGGTGTGCGTCTGGCCACTAGGGGTACCCCAAGTCGGACAGAAGGCCCATGAGGGGAAGGTGAGGCACTTGTGGCAGAGAAAAAGAAAAACCGCCCCGCGGAGAAGCGGGGCCTGGGTCCCCCACGGACGAAAGTGTCCGTCAGCCCTTGAGCTGGGCCCCGAAGACGCTGACGTCCCTGGTTCGAGCCCACAGTGCGCCTCAGGCTGCTAGGAGTACCCCATGGAGGAAAGAAGGCCCAAAAGTTTCAGCTGAGGTTTGAGGGAAGAGAGGTGAGGCACCTGTGGCAGAAAAAAAAAAAAAAAAAGCGCAGCGGAGAACCGGTGCCTGGGTCCCCCACGGACGAAAGTGCCTTCCCATCAGCCACTGCGCTTGGCCCCGTGGAACCTGGCTTCCATGGTTCGAGCCCAGGGTGCGCCTCGGGCCGCTAGGGGTACCCCAAAGCGTGCAGAAGGCACGTGAGGGGAAGGTGAGGCACCTGGGGCAGAGAAAAAAAAAAAAAAAACCTCGCCGCGGAGAAGCGGGGCCTGGGTCCCCCACAGGTGAAAGTGTCTTCCCATCAACCCTTGCGCTGGGCCCCGGGGACCCTGGCGACCCTTATTCGAGTCCAGCGTGTGCCTGGGGCCGCTAGGGGTACCCCAAAGCGGGCAGAACGCCCATGAAGGGAAGGTGACCCACCTGGGGCAGAGGAAAAAAAAAAAAACCGTTCCTAGGAGAAGCGGGGCCTGGCTCTCCCACGGAAGAAAGTGTCTCCCCATCAGCCCTTGCGCTGTGCCCCGGGGACCCTGGCATCCCTGGTTTGAGCCCAGGGTGCGCCTCGGGCCGCTAGGGGTACCCGAAGGTGGACAGAAGGCCCATGAGAGGAAGGTGAGGCACCTGGGACAGAGAAAAAAAAACAAAACAAAACTGCGCCGCCGAGAAGCGGGGACTGGGTCCCCCACGGATGAAAGTGTATTCCTATGAACCCTTGCGCTGAGCCCCAGGGACCCTGGCGTCCCTGGTTCGGGTCCAGTGTGCGCCTAGGGCGGCTAGGGGTACCCCAAGCTGGACAGAAGGCCCTGAGGGGAAGTGAGGTTTCAGGGAGTAGAGGTGAGGCACCTGTGGCAGGTGTCCATCTGTAAACTGTTTATCCATGTGAGCCCTGATGTCCACCAGGGGCTGGATGTCCCCCTGGGGCTAGATGTTCACCTGGAGCCTGGTGTCTACCTGGGGCCTGATATCCAGGAGAGGCTTAGTTATCCACCTATGGCCATTTGGAGCCAGATGCCCACCAGAGGCTTGGTGTACACCTAAGGCCTGATATCTACCTGGGGCTTGGGTGTTCATGTGGGGCCTGATGTCCACCTAAGACCATGTGTTCACCTGGAGCCTGGGTGACCATCTGGGTTATGATGTTCAGCTGGGGCCCAGAGTTCAGCTGGGGACTGGGTCAACCTTCTGCCTGATGCACACCTGGGGACTAGGTACCCACCTGGGCTCCGGTGTTCACTGGAGCCTGATGTCTACCTGGGGTCTTGTATTTACCTAGGACCAGTGCATCCACCGGGGGTCTGAGTGCCCTCATGGAGCCTGGAGTTTTCCTGGGGCCTGGGGTCTGCCTTAGGCTTAAGTGTACATCTGTGGCCTGATGTCCACCTTGGGATGGATGTCCACCTGGGGACGGATATTCAGTAGGGGCCTGAGTGTCCACCTGGTTTGTGATGTCTACCTGGGGCCTGGTGTTCATCTGAGGTTTGATATCCACTTGGGGCCTGGACATTTGCCTGGAACCTGATGTACAGCTGGTGGCTGAAGTTCATCTATGCCTGGTGTCCCCCTGGGGCCAGGTAGTCAACACGGTGCCTGAAGACCTTCTAGAGTTCAGTGTTCACCTGTGGCCTGAAGTCCATCTAGGGCTTGGGTGTCCAAATAGGGCCTGGTGTCAGCTTGAGATTTGTGTATTTACCTAGGGCCTGGTTGTCCACTTGGGGCTTGATTTTTTTACTTGGTTTTTGTTTTAATCTGGGGTCTAGTGTCCACCTGGGGCCTAGGTATCCACCTAGGGACTATTGTCCAGCTGGAGACTAATGACTACCTATGGCCTGGTAATCACCTAAGGCTTTGTTTCACTTAGGTCCTTGGTGCCAAACTGTTGCCTGCTGTTCACCTGGGGTATGCTGTCCACCTGGGGCATATTGTCCACCTGGGGTCTGGATGTCAGCCTGGGGCTTGTTGTACACCTGTATCTTAGATATCTAGATAGGGGTCTGTTTTCTGCTTAGGTGCAGCAGTCCACCTGGTGCTTGAGTGTCAACCTACGGCCTGATGTCTATGTTGGACCTAGGGTTCACCTGAGGCCTGATATCCACCTGGGGCCTCAATGTCCAAATGGAGCCTGATGCCCATCTGGGCCCTGGGTGTCTACCTGTGGCATGGATGTCCACTGGTACTTTATGTCCACCAGGGGCCTAATGTCCACCTAAGACGTGGTGTTCACCTGGGGTCTGATGTTCAGCTGAAGACTGGATGTCCACCTGGAGCTGAGGAATCCACCCAGGGACTGGTGTTGAACTGGGGCCTGATGACCACCGGGGGACAAGGTATCCACACCAGGCTTGATGTCCACCTGTCACCAGATGTCTACGTGAGTCCTGATGTCCATCTTGATCCTGGGTGTCCACATTAGGCCTGATGTCCAACTGGGGCCTCGGTACCCACTGGGGGCTTCTGGTTAACCTGGGGACTGGTGTCAATCTGGGGCCTAATGACCACCTGGGTTGTATTATTCACCTAGGGCCTGGTGTCCACTTGGGGCTTGAGTGTAACCTTGGACCTGGCACCCACATAGGACTTGGGTATCAGACTGGCCCCTTGGTGTCCAGTTAAGACATCATGTGAACCTGGCGCCTGAGTGTCCACATGGGGCCAAATGACTACTGGGGGCCTGAATGTCAACCTAGAATCTGAGGTTTACTAGGGGTCTAGGTATCCACCTGGGGCCTAATGTCCACCTGAGCCTGGGTGTCAACCTGGGGCCTGATGTAAACCTCTAGTTCAGTGTCCACCTTGGGCTTGATGTCAACCTGAAGCCTGATGTCCACCTGAGTACTGATGTTCACCTTTGACCTGATGTCCACCTGTGGACTCTTTGTCCACCCATGGCCCGATGTTCACATGGGGCTGAATGTCCAACTGTGACCTGTTGTGCACCTGGAACCTGGGCATCCACCTGCGGCCTGATGTTCAGCTGGGCTGGGACCCGGAGTTCACCTGAGGCATGATGTCCACCTGAAGCTTGATGTTCATCTGAGGGCTGGGTGTCCACCTGGGGCCCGATATCCACCTGGAGACTAGGTACCCACCTGGGATCTGGTGTTCACTTGAGATTGGTGTTTAGCTGTGGCCTAATGACCACCTGGGTCATGGTGTCTACCTTGGACTGGGTGCTCACCTGGAGCCAGTGTTCACCGGGGGCCTAGTGTGCACCTGAGACTGAGGGATGCACCTGGGGCCTCCTGTCTACCTGGTGCCTAGTTATCCACTTGGGGCCTAATGTTCATCTGGAATCTGATATCCACCTGGGGCCTTGTAATTACCTGGGATCTGGGCATCCACCTAGGGCTTGAGTATCCTCCTGGGGCCTTGAGTTTTACTGGAGACTCGTGTCTGCCTTGGACCTGGGTGTACATCTGTTGCCTAATGCACACCTTGAGAGTGATGTCAACCTGGGGACACATGTCCTCTTGGGGTCTGAGTGTGCACCTGGTGCCTGATGTCTGCCTGGGGACTTGTGTTCACCTGAGACCTGATATCCACCTGGGGCCTGGACGTCCACGAGGGGCTGATGTTCAGCTGGAGACTGGATATCCACCTGGGGCTTAGGGATCCACCCAGAAACTGATGTCAAACTGGGGTCTGATGTCTACCTGGGGACTAGGTATCCATGTGAGGCTTGATGTTCATCCATGGCCAGACGTCCATCTGATGCTTGATGTCCACCTTAGTCCTGGGTCTCTACTGGAGACCTCATGTCGAACTAGAGCTTAGGAACCTACTGGGGGCCTCATGTACACCTGGGGACTGGTATGCAGCTGGGTCCTAATGATCCCCTGGGTCATATTATTCACCTAGGGCCTGGTGTCCACTTGGGGCTTGAGTGTCAACCTTAGGTCTTGTGTTCATCTTTGACCTGGTGTCCACCGGGGACTTGGGTATCAACCTGAGGACTTGGTGTCCAATTGAGGTGTCATGACCACCTGGGGATTGAATGTCAATCTGGGGTCTGATGTAAACCTCTAGTTCAGTATACACCTGGGCCTGGTCTTCATTTGGGGCCTGCTGTCTACCTGGGCCTTGCTGTCAACCTGGGGCCTGATGTAAACCTCTAGTTCAGTATCCACCTGGGGCCAGATGTCTTCCTAGAGACTTATATTCACTTTTGACCTGATGTCTACCTGGGGACTTGCTATCCCTCCATGGTCTGATATTCACCTGGGGACAGATGTTCAACTGTGGTCAGAAGTGCTCCTGGGGTCTGGGCTTCCACCTGGAGCCTGATGTTTAGCTGGGGCTAGAGTTCACATGGAGAATGATGTCCACCTGAAGTTTGATGTTTACCTGGGACCTGATACCTACCTGGTGCCCAAGTATTCTCATGTGCCTAACGTCCACTAGTTGGCCTGGTGTTCATCTGAGGGCTTGGTGTCAATCAGTGGCTTTATGTACACCTGGATTCTAGTGTCCTCCTGGGGCCTTATGCCTACCAGGAGTCTGGTGTACCCCTGGGGTCTAGTGTCCACCTGGAGTCTGGGTGTCCACCTGGAGCCTAATGTTGAGGTTAGACTGAGTGTCAGCTTGAGGCCTGATGTCTACTTAGGGCATAGGTATTCATCTGGGGCTTGTTGTTTACCTGGGGACTAATGTCAACCTTGAGCCTAGGTATCCACCTGGGGAATAGTGTCCAGTTGCAGCCAGATGTCCACCTATGGCCTGAAGCATGGTCGTTATCCTAAGACCTTGTCCGTTTTCACACTGTTATAAAAAACTACCTGATTTTGGGCAACTTATGAGGAAAAGAGGTTTAACTGACCCACAGTTCTTTAGGCTTAATAGGGAGAATGACTGGGCGGGCTCGGGCCACTTACAATCATGATGTAAAGCCAAGAGGAAGCAAGCCCTTTTTACCATGGGAGAGGAGGAGGGAGAGAGAAGGGGGATGTGCTACACACTTTCAAATAACCAGATCTCGTAAGAACTCTATCACGAGAACAGCAAGTGGGAAGTCTGCCCCCATGATTCAATCACCTCTCACCAGGCCCCTTCTTCAACCCATGGGGATTACAATTCAACATGAGATTTGGGTGGAGACATAGAGCCAATATCAGGCCTGATGCCCACCTGGAATCGTGTCTACCTGAGGCCTAATGTAGACATGAGGCCTGGGCATCCACCTAGGACCTCATGTTAAGATATGAGCTGGAGTTCCTTTCGTGTCTAGTGTATACCTGGGGCCCAGATGTATAACTAGAGCCTGATGTTTCAGATGGAAACCTGGGCCCCAGGTGCTCATCAGATCCTAGGTGAAAACTCAGGCTTCAGGTGCACATCAGACTCCAAGTGGACACATAGGACCCAGGTTGATAACAAGATTTCAGGTAGACTCTGGGTCCCAGAAGAACACCCTGCCCTAGGTGGACAGCTGAACCTGAGTAGACATCAGGCCCCAGATCGACATCTGGCCCCAGGTAGATTCCTAGGCCCAAGGTGAATACTCAGTCTCCAGCCCTAGGGGAATTCAGTCTTAGTTGATTAAGGACTGGTGTTCCTCTGGGGCCTCATGTCTACCTGGGCCCTGGGAGTGCATATGGAGCCAGATGTCTATAAAGGGCCTGAGTGTCCACTAGGGCCTGAGGTTCACCAGGAGCATAGACATCCACCTAGGACCTCGTGTCCACCTAAAACCTGGTGTTCACCTGGGACCTGGGTGACAACCTGGGATCTGATGTTCACCTGAGGCCCAGAGTTCAGCTGGTGCCTATGTCAGCCTGGCACCTGATGCACACAAGAGGACTAGGTGCCCACCTGAGGACTGGTGTTCATGGGGAATTGGTGTTCAGCAGTGGCTTGATGACCAACTGGGTCCTGGTGTCCTCCTGGCACCTGATGTCCACCTGGGACTGCATGCTTACCTAGGGCCTGGTGTTCCCCTGGGGCCTGGTGTGCCCCTGAGACCTGGGGTCCACCTGGGCCTAGTATCCACTTGGGGCCTCATATCCATCTGGAACATCATGTCCACCTGGGGCCTTGTAGTTACCTAGGGACTGGGTGTCCTTCTGGCACTTGAGTGTCCTCCTGGGGCCTGGGGTTCTCCTGGGGCCTGGGTGTACATCTCTGGCCTGATGTCCACCTTGGGATGGATGTCCCCCTGGGGACAGATGTTCACTTGTGGCCTGAGTGTCCATTTCGTGTCTAATGTCTACCTGGGGCCTGAGGCCTTATATCCACCTGGGGCCTGGGCATCCATTTGAGGCCTGATGTCTACCTAAGACCCAGTGTTTAATTGGGGCACAGACTTCTTCCTGGAGCCCAACATTCATCTAGAGCCTGAAGTTCACCTATGCCTGTTGTCTACCTGAGGCCTATGTGTCAACCTAGGGCCTGATGACCACCCTGAGTTCAGTGTTCACCTGGGGCCTGACATCTTCCTGGAGTCTGGATGTCCACATAGGGCCTGATGTTGGCTTGGGACCAAAGTATTTACCTAGGGCCTGGGTGTCTACTTACAGCCTGACTTCTACATGGTTCATTGTGTCAACCTGGGACCTGATGTCCACATAGGGCCTAGGTAAGCTCCTTATGACTAAAGTCCACATGGGGGCTGAAACCATCTCAGACCTTGTGTTAACCTAGGGCTTAGTGTCCACCTGAGGCCTGCCTGGGACCTGGTGACCCCCTGGGGTCAAGGTATCCATCCACCTTGGGCCTGATGACCAATTGGGACTTAAGGATCTACCTAGAGACTGGTGTCAACCTGGAACCTGATGTCCACTTGGGGTCTGGTGTACACCTTGGGCCTGATGCCCACCTGGGCACGGGTGTACACTTTGGGCCTAGTGTGCACCTGAAGCCTGGGGGTCAACCTGGGTCTTGATGCGCACCTTTAGTCAAGTGTTTAACTGGGGCCTGATGAAATACTGGAGCCTGATTTACAGCTGTGTACTGGGTCTCCACCTGGGGCCTGATGTCCACCTGCAGCCAGATATCCACCTGGCACCAGATGTCTACCAGGAATCTCGGTGGCCACCTTGAAAATGATGTATTCCAAGAGACTAGGCATGCACATTGGGCCTGGGGTCCACCTGGGTCCTGATGTCTACCTGAGGCTGGTATTGAACTGGGGCCTGTGTGTTCACTTGGAGCCTGATGTTCATTTGGAACCTGGTGTTCACCTAGGACATGGGTATTCACCTGGATCCTGATTTTCAGGTGGGGAGTGGATATAGACCTGGGAACTGATGGCCACCTATGCTATAAGTAACCCACCCCACCTGGGGCCTGGTGTTCATCTGCGGCCTGATATCCACCTGGTAACTGTGTGTCAATCTAGTGCCTGGTGTCCACTTGAGGACTAGGCAGACACCTGGGGCTTGGCGTTCACCAGGGGCCTGGTGTTCATCTTGCACCCAGTGTCCACCTGGACCCTGTGTATCAACCTGTGGCCTAGGTGGCCACTTGGAGCTTTATGTGCACCTGGGGCCTGAGAGTTTCCTAGGATCTGATGACCACTGGGGCCCAGGTATCCACCTGGGACATCAGGCTCCAAATGTACACCCAGGCTCCACATGGACACCAGGCCAGGAGAACGCCAGCCCTTATCTGAACATCAGGTCCTAGATGGATGCCCAGGCCCCATATGTACATCAGGCCCCAGGTATACACTGGACTCCAGGTGGACACCAGCACTCAGTTGGATACACACACTCAAGGTGGACACCAGGCCCCACGTGAATTCCTACACTCCAGGTGAACATCAGGTCCCAAGTGGATACCTGGACCCCAGGTGGATACCAGTCTCTAAATTAATACCAGGCCTCAGATGGTCCTTAGGAGCCATGTGTGCATTAGTCATCAGGAAGTTACCTAGGCCCAAAGTGGACATCAGGCCCCATGTTGACACAAGAGCTAGTTGGAAGTCAGGCCCCAGGTGGACACCCAGGCCCTAGGTAAATACTTAGGTCCCAAGTTGATGGCAGGCCCTATGTGAACACTCAGAACTCAGGTGGACATGAGGCCTCAGGTGGACATCCGAGTTCATCTGGAACCTCGTGTTACAGGCCCCATGTAAACACCAGGCCTTAGGTGGATACCCAATCTCTAGGTGGACATCAGAGCTCAGATTGACACAAAGACCCCAGTAGACATAATGTACCAATGAATATCCAGGCCCCTTGTTAATACCCCGGCCCCAAATTGACACCAGGGTCTATGTGGACACACAGGCCCCAGTTAGAAAACAGGCCCAAGGTGGACACTGGACTGGACATCAGGTCCTAGGTTGACAACCATGCTTCAAGTTGACACCAGACCCCAAGTGAACATCTGGCCCCAGCTGGACACTCGTCCCCTGATGAATACCTAGGCTCAAGGTTGACATCAGGCCCCATGTGAACACTAGACCCCAGATAAACACTTATGCCCTAAGTAGACATCAGGCCTCAGGTGGTTACCCGGTCCCAAGGTGAACATCAGGACCCTGATGAGCACCAGTTATCAAGTGGATTCTTAGGCCCCAGGTGAATATCAAGCCCTAGGTGGATACCAGGCCCCAGGTGGATACCAGGATCCTGGTAGACATCAGGTCCCAAGAGGACACTAGAACCCAGGAGTACATTAAGCCACATTAGCATGAAGGCCCCAGATGAATACCAGGCCAACTTGTGGACATCAGGCCCTAGGTGGACACGGGGCCACAGGTGGACATCTAGCTCCTGGGCGACATCCAGCTCCAGGTGGACATAACCGTTTCCATGGATAAACCATTCCCAGGTGGATATCAGGCCTCAAGAGGATGGCAGTCACCAGGTAGACATCTGGCCTCAGATAGACACCAAGGTCCCAGATGTACAGCAGGCCCCAACCGAACCCCAGACTCATGTGGACATCAGGCCACAGGTAGACACCAAGCCTTAGGTAGATAAATAACTTCAGGTAGACATCAGACCCAAGGTGGACACCCAGTCCCCAGGTGGACAATCAGGCCCCAGGCACACATCAGGCCTTAAGTGGACACCCAGGCCCCAGGCTGATATCCAGCTCCCAGGTGATCACCAAGCCCCAGGTAGACACCAGCCCATAGGTGAGCAACAGAATGCAGTAGGTCATCAGGCCACAGCTGGATACCAGTCCCTGGTGAACATAAGGTCCCAGTGGGACATAGACCTAAGGCAGACATCAGGCCCCAGGTGGACATACAGGCCTGAGGTGGAATTCACCCTGAGGGGGACATCGGGCCCCAGGTGCACATCAGGCCTCAGGTGAGTAACCAGTCCCCAGGTGGACATTAGCCCGCAGGTCAACCACAGTCCCCAGGTTGATACCTGGTCCCCAGGTGGCTACCCAATCTGCAGGGTAACATTAGGCCCCTGTAGGATCCCAGGCTGCAAGTGGATTCCTAGGTCTCTGGTGAACATCAGGTGCAGGTGTCCAAGCAGGCCCTGGGTGGACATAACTGTGTACAGGTAAGGAGTTGACCTGTGGGGAGGGTGAGCAGTCAGCAGCCCACTGGGGTCCTGAGAAGGTTTTCTGGAAGGAGGAGGCCGAGGGGATGGAAACTTAAAGAAGCGACCTCACTTCCTTGGCAACAGACCCTAACAGAACTTAGAATTCTGGTAACCAGGCCAGGCACGGTGGCTCACACCTGTAATCCCAGCACTTTGGGAGGCCAAGGCAGGAGGATCATGAAATCAGGAGATCGAGACCAGCTTGACCAACATGGTAAAACCACATGTCTACTAAAAATACAAAAAACAAACAAACACAAAAAACCTAGCCAGGTGTGGTGGTGCGTGTCTCATGCCTGTAATCCCAGCTACTCAGGAGACAGAGGCAGGAGAATTGATTGAACCCAGTAGGTGGATGTTGCAGTGAGCCGAGATCATGCCACTGCACTCCAGCCTGGCCAACAGAATGAGACTATGTCTCAAAAAAAAAAAAGAATCCCGATAACCGGGCACCCACATCCTAGCATTAGCCCCATAGCCAGCTCACTTGGTGGGAGACGCTCAAGAGAGCAAGATGTTCTTGTGCTGCATCCCCACATCTCAAGGCTCCTGCTTCAGGAATGGCAGGACTGAGAGCCTTTCTTTGCTGATGACGCCCTTGTAGGCTCATCCCTCACCCCAGATGCCTCTGGCCATTTGGCAGAAGCCCCCCGCCCAGGTACCACAGGACAGGAGTCACCAGGTAGACATCAGGCCCCAGATGGAGCTACCAGGCCAGGCCTCACCAGTGATCCCACCAGGGCCACATCTGCACATTGTCCTTGTCCAGCTGGAGCCTCTGGAGCTCATTGAGACACAGGCACATGCTGAGGTCACCTGCAGTCTGGAAGTCTTTCCAGGGACAATGTTTTCAGGCTGAAATTCCTTTAAATTCAATGAGGTTGTTTTCATGTTTGGAAATTCCAGTGGAAAGTGAGTGGTATTGGTGACCTCTCTCCTTTTTCAGCTCCTGCTTCAGGTGCAGAAATACAGCGATTTCCAGTGCCAGCTGTTGAGCCAGTGCCAGCACCAGGGGCAGATTCCCCTCCAGGGACAGCGCTGGAGCTAGAGGAAGCTCCAGAGCCCTCCTGCCGCTGCCCTGGGACTGCCCAGGACCAGCCCAGTGAGGAGCTGCCTGACTTCATGGCACCTCCTGTAGAGCCACCGGCCTCAGCCCTGGAGCTGAAAGTGTGGCTGGAGCTAGAGGTGGCAGAGAGGGGTGGCCAGCACAGCTCCAGCCAGCAGCTCCCACACTGCTCCCAGTCCTGGGCACAGTGGAAGCTATGGAGGCAGAGACCAGGGTTTGCAATCTGGGCTCCTCTGCCTCACTGGAGAGGGACTTCTCTCATTCAGCAGAGCAGCAGCCCTGCTGCTGAAGGGCCTGCTGCTACTGCTGCTGGGGCTGTTTGCCTGCCTGCAGGAGGTGCTGGAGAGCAAGAAAAGGAGCCTGTGAGCAGGGGTTCCAGCAGGTCCTCCTGCTCCCAGAGGCGACCTCCTCCTCCAGGCATGGAGGTTTGCCCTCAGCTGGGCATCTGGGCCATTTGCCCCTAACGTGCTGCCCAGGATGGCCTCCTCTTGACAGGCGGACAGGGGGTGAGGGGGCCAGGGGGCATCTCCAAAGGAAGCTTTTAAACTCAGCAGCTGCACCCCAGAATCTGTATGCCTGCACCTGCCCAAGGATTTATTCATAGCTTACCTAAGAATTTCAAATTTCTACCATAACACTGAATAAAGTTTGACTTTTTGAAACTTCCATGGCTTCTTTCACTCCCTAATATTGTAGATGGTGTTTTTGAGGCGATGTTGAAAACCTCTGATAGTTGTGTGTTTTGTTGTGGTTCTTTCTGTGATTAAATTACCATCTGATCAAGTGATATTGAAAACCCTTCAGGTATGGCTTTTGGCTTTTAGAAGACTTTGACCTATTTTTGCTTGTGTTGACTCTCCCTTCAGCCTTGTGGAAAGAGGGATCATGTAGGTTTCATTTCTCTGGCAGATCAGTCACCTTTTGCCATCAAAGTTTTAGCATCCATTTCCAAAATTTGGTGTACAAGTTGATATTTTGGTGTTTTTAGCTAATCTTGGGTCAAAACAGAATGCCATAGATGAGGAAGCTTATGAACAAATTTGTTTCTCTCAGTTCTGGAGATAGCAAAATTCAAGGTCAAGTGGTTAGCAGATTGCAGGTCTGGTGTGGGCTTGCTTTGTGGTTCATAGACAGCCATGTTTCTACCATGTCCTCACATGACAGAAGGGATGAGGGAGCTCTCTATGGTGCCTTCAATAGGGGCTACTAATCCCACTCATGTGGTCCCTGCCTTCATGATCTAATCATTCTCTAAGGCCCTACCTCCAAATATCATCACATAGGGAATTAGATTTCAACACTTGAATTTGAGGGGACAATAACATTTGGTCTATAGCATCAGGTTACCCAGAGCCTTATGCACTCAGAGGAAATCCAAAATCACCTATAAGTATTTGCTGGTCCCCTCTGGGCTTAGGGAAATCTTTAATTGCAGCTCTTGATTCAGCTTGGTCCAAGCTTAAATTCTACATTTGCCTGCATAACTTGTTCATGGGACAGAGGGAAGTTTAGAGGCAACTGACCATTTGGAGTTTTAGGACAAATGATGCAAGAGGGCTTGGCATCTGGATGAGAAGTGGAGGGAGAATAGAACAAAGGCACAGAAGGAGAGAGCACAATGAGAAAGGGAAAGAGGGACATCTGGACATAAGGGCCAACTGGAGGGCAGGGAAGGTAATTTTCCTTACATTTTAAACTCAGACCACATATCACATCAGAATCACGTGAGGGAGACATTTTCAATGCATATTCCTGGGTTTCTTCTCTTGGAAGTTTTTATTTCTTAAATCTTGAGTTGTGCTGATTTATCCATATTTATCATAAGAATTTTGGATAATTCTTATTTAGGGAGGCCTAGGCAGGTGGATCACTTGAGGTCAGGAATTCAAAACCAGCCTGGCCAACATGGTGAAACTTCATCTCTACTAAAAATACAAAAATTAGCCAGGCATGATGGTGCACGCCTGTAGTCCCAGCTACTTGGCAGGCTGGGGCAGGAGAATCACTTGAATCAGGGAGGCAGAGATGACAGTGAGCTGAGATCATGCCACTGCACTCCAGCCTGGGCAACAGTGAGACTCCATCTCCAAAAAAAAAAAATTGTGGATAAATCTGATGCAGTTAGAAAACAAAGCAGAGCTTGACAACCACTGGGTTGGGACGTATATCAAGAAGACATTTGATTATGTAAAATAACTGCAAAACAAACTGAAGGGGAATTATTTTAAAATGCTTGAATATAATTATATAATTCAACTCTTCCTATGTATGTAGTTTGACCACATATTTGATGTCTGCTGTACTAAGATCGGAAATGTGTAGAAGTTTTTCTAAAAATCAGGTAGAAGCACAGAAAAAAGGAGTTGGAGAGAAAAGAAAACTAGCTGTTGTCTGGTAACAAGAGAAGAGAAGGGAAACGAAGTAGCATATTTTTGTTCATTGTTTGATGGCATCTAAATTATGATCCCAAATATTTTTTTCTAAGAAATCCAATAATACAAGTATTCAGAGTGGAGTACCAACACTGATTTACTGGGAAAGAGAAGTGTATTCTGTTTTGCTGCACAATGTTGAGGGAGAAGGAAAGGAAAATTAGTTGAGTAAACAAGAAAGAGACTGGTCCTCAGGGAAGCTGTCTGCCTGAAAAATCACAACTACTGCACCTACAGATAAGCCCTGCACAGATGAGCATGCAGGGTCCAGCACAGACGCCTTCTGTTCTTTGTGTAATTGGCAAGCTCCCAGGAAAAATTTTCCTCCCTTTTTCAGGCATATACACGGTGGCCTCTGTGGGAACTTACACAGGGAGGAGGGGGGCTTACCTAAAACAAACCCACAGTTATACAACAAGAGAAGCCCACTTTGTGCTTGACTAGAGAGATACCCACAGCTGGATATATGAAGGGAATTGTGCAGACAGTTTTATACATAGCTGAGAGGAGTTTCTTATAAAAGCTTTTTGATTCAACTGTAAAAACGGCAATCCACTTGGACGCCCTTGTCTGCTGCAGAGAGCTTCCTCCTTTTGCTTATTAAACTTTCACTCCAACCTCACCCGTGTGTCCCGGTTCCTTAATCATCTTGGTGGTGAGATAAAGAACTCCAGGTGATACCTCACAAGAGAGACTGCTACATTGTGGTGCCTTGGCGAGACTGCAACTTTAAGAAGTGTGACTTTTATTGCTGCTGAATTATTTTATCTCCTACCCAATTGAAAATAAAGGATATAAAGTGCTTAGGTTGAACACAAAGTCCTCTGCTCTAGGTAACATCTTCAGCAGCCACATTAGTAGAGGGATGGGTGGTAATGGTGGAGTAGATGTCTCTGCTTCTGACAGGGTGTCTGCTTATGTGTTAAACAAAATAGTATGCTATATATTTCATTAAGAAATCTGCTAAAAAATGAAGTAAAACAGGTTCATGTTCTTAAGAGGCACAGTATTTGCTACGGCAGCAAGACCAAAAGGCTTAAGTAGCAAAAATGTGCATAGTAGTTACAAACATTTTCATATAAACAAAACAATGTGAGCATCTGTATATGACAATAACTCATGCAAAAAATATTTTTAACTGAAATTGAAATCATACATAACAAATGTTATCACTGTATTCTGAGGTAATATATTGTTTGTATATAGATGTTATAAATAATAACTTGTTTAAGTTACTCATCATTTATACAACAAATAATTCTTTGGAATCTACAAAATGCTGGTTTTGTTCTAGGCACTGAATGTACAAATTGATTTAAAATATGTGTTCTTAGAGTGTGGTAGATTAAAAAATACAAAATAGGCCGGGCACAGTGGCTCATGCCTGTAATCCCAGCACTTTGGGAGGCCGAGGCAGGTGGATCACCTGAGGTCAGGAGTTCGAGACCAGCCTCACCAACTTAGTGAAACCCCATCTCTACGAAAAATACAAAATTAGCCGAGGGTGGTGGCACATGCCTGTAGTCCCAGCTACTCGGGAGGCAGAAGCAGGACAATCGCTTGAATCCGGGAGGTGGAGGTGGCAGTGAGCCGAGATTGAACCATTGCACTCCAGGCTAGGCAACAAGAGCAAAACTCTGTCTAATATCTATACATACATTTTGTATATATACATATATACATGTGTGTATATATATACATAATATATTTATACATATACATATATGTATATGTATATTATATATGCATATACATATACATATACATATACATATACATATACATATACATATATATGTATATGTACATATATATCTGTCTAATATATATACACATATACATATATATGTATATGTGTATATATACATACACATATATATGTATATGTATATATGTATATATATGTGTATATATACACATATATGTATACATATATGTATATATATGTGTATATATATACACATATATGTATACATATATGTATATATGTGTATATGTGTATATATACATATACATATACATATATGTGTATGTGTATATATACATATACATATACATATATGTGTATGTGTATATATACATATACATATATGTGTATATGTGTATATATACATATACATATATGTGTATATGTGTATATATACATATACATATATGTGTATATGTGTATATATACATATACATATACATATACATATATGTGCGTATGTGTATATATACATATACATATATGTGCGTATGTGTATATATACATATACATATATGTGCGTATGTGTATATATACATATACATATATGTGTGTATGTGTATATATACTATACATATATGTGTATATGTGTATGTATAGATACACATATACACATATATTAGAGGTTGTACTGCTGAAAACAAGAGCTATTAATAAAAAAATTTCAGGAAACGTAGTGTGATTATTTTTAATAGAAGTGGATATTTTAATACAGGTCTCTTGTTTTTTCTTGTGGAAATAAATGACAAGATGGAATTTCTGGGTGTTTGGTATCTGAATATTTAAGTATAGCAGGTATTGTCAGTTTTTCAAAGGCATTTTACCATCTTACTTGTCCATCGGCAACTCATAAGATATTATGTGGAACAACGTCCTCTCCAACAACCTCCAGTATCAGTCTTTGTAAAGTTTGTCAATTAAATGGGTGTTTTTTTGTTTTTGTTTTTGTTTTTTGAGACAGTCTCACCCTGTCACCCAGACTGTAGTGCTGTGGTGTGATCTTGGCTCACTGCAGTCTCTGCCTTCCAGATTCAAGTGATTCTCCTGCCTTGGCCTCTCAAGTAGCTGGGACTACAGGTGCCCCCCACCACACCCAGCTAATTTTTGTATTTATAGTAAAGACAGGGTTTCACCATGTTGGCCAGGCTGTTCTCAATCCTGACCTCAGATGGTCCACCTGTCTCAGCCTCCCAAAGTGCTGGGATTACAGTCATGAGCCACCGCACTTGGCTGGGTTTTCTTTTTCTTTCTTTTATATATATATATATACACACACACACACACACACACAAGTATATACATATATATATGTATACACACACACAGACACAAATATATATATATATATATATATATATATATATATATATATATATATACTTAAGTTATGGGATAAATGTACAGAACGTGCAGGTTTGTTACATAGATATACATGTGTCATGGTTTGCTGCAAAATGTGCAAAATGGGTGTAGGTTTTGCAGGTAATTATTGTATTATTAAAAGATAACAGAATACCTAGCTAAAAAAAAATGCGAGGAGGCATTGATGGGCACATGTTTACTGAGCACATCCTGACTCCAGAATTAGAAATCCAATTTATGCCTCTGCAGTCCAATAAAATTTTTCCTTAAGAATCCAGAGATCAGACTTTCATTTCAGCAAACACTCCAATATGGTTTCTCACCTACTCACTCCAACGAAGCTGTTCGTATCAAAACATAAGTGCTATGCATATTGTTAAATTATAAATTGAACCATAACTCCTCGGACTTCGTCTTAATTTATATATCAGCAGCATTTCACACAGTTGATCTCCTCCTCCTCTTTGTAAAACTTTTTTTATAGAATTCCAGAACACTTAACCTACTTTCCCTCCACCATGTTTTTGATAATTACCTCTAGTCCTTTTTTGCAGGTTTCATCTTTACTATTTTTTAAATGTCAGAGGACGATTAGGCTCACGACTTTGACTGCTTATCTTTCTTATCTTTGCTTTCTTACTGATTTTTGTGTCATTAATTTCCTGATATTTCACATTACACTTAAACACTGGACACTACACCCAGCACTCCCTGACTTATCCACATGGATGTCAGTTAGGAATCTCAAAATTAATATGTCTATATGGAGCCACTGAAACTCCCCAAATTTGCTCTTCCCCATTCTGTTTAATGGCAACTCCCATTTTATAGTTTCTCAGCTCAATATTCTTGGTGTCCCCTTTTAATTCTGTCTCTGTAGCTCTGTCACTCTCTTTCTGTATCTGATTCTCTCCCTCTCTCTCCTCTCTCTCTTGCTCACTGTCACTCTTGCTCTCTCTCCCTGCTTCACACACACACAAACACACACAGACAGACACACGCACACACACACACACACATTTTCAGATCTGATGTGTATGGAATTCCTGCCAGCTTTACCTTTAAAGTATAATAATTCCAAATGTTGTTTCCAAATTCACATTCCCACCCCCACCACTTGGTAACTATAGCGCTTCTCTCACAAGGCCAAGTGCAGAGATTTCTTGGGGAAATAATGAGAACTATTATACATTCTTATTTCAAGGACCCTTAAAATTATAGGATTACTATATTTGATACTAATTTAAGCTTCTGTCATTGCCCTTTTTTCAATCCAGTCTCCACACAGCTACCACAGTGTGCAAGTAGAAGTCTCAGCCGTATCACCACACTCCTGCTTTAATGTCCCTACTCCATTGCTTCTTTTCTTCTTCAGAAGAGTTTAAGCTTAATGAAGCTGGGCAACGTTACATATTTTTCCATGAGCTGGAGATCACTTGGTGTAAGGTAAATGATCAGTAAATATTTTCAAATAACAGAATCCAGGAATAATAGTTTTGTTTCTTTGAGAGTACATTTACTTTTAAAAATCAAGGAAATAGATTGGTCAAGAGAATTCTGCTTGTTTTGATTTTGTTATCGATTAGATTAGATTAGATTAGATTAACTGTGTTAGTATAAATGTCAGTGTGGAAAGCTATAAGCATTTCCTAAACTTTAAAATGAAAAGCATGGAATTTAAGTATCTGCTCCTTTTATTTGAGCAACCAAAAAGCACAACTTTTAAAATATATTTTAATTATGTATGAAATCTAAATTTATTTTTCTCTCTTTATCCCTGAATACTTTTTAAAGTTATTCATGTCCTCATTATTTTTAATCCACTTTAATAACATTTTAAAATATATTTTCAACTTCATTAAGAATATCTTTGTGTTCCACTGAATAGCTTGCCAAATAATAAAACATTAGCAGTATAATTTCCTCATAAACATTATTTAATTTGTTTGGTTAACCATAGATTTCCTACTCTCAACTCATAATTTCATTCAAGTATAATATATTCTACTTGACCTTTGCGGGGTTTTCATACCATGTATTTGTCATTGAAATTGGTTTTTGATATTTGAACCACTAGTTTATAATTGTATTGTTGGTTAGACTGGTCTGTAGAATCTTTCTTTGTTTTGATTCTGTGGTTTATTCATTACGGAGTAGCTGTGCTACTGTAAATTTTGAGGTCAAAAGCTTAAAACATTTTATGTGTTTTAAAACAAAGTGGATGGCATTTAAATATCTATTCCTTAAAATTTGGAAGAAAGGTTAACACCATATAAACCCAGAGCCTGTATTTTTAGATTAGTAGCATGTAGACATTTTCAATTTCTTCTAAAGTTGAAAAAAATAAATATTTTGTATTCATAGAATGCTTGATAACAGGAGGTAAATATTTAATTTTCACTTAAAAGAAATTTGGTTACACTGAAAGGAAATTTGGCTAATATAAGTTAGATACATTTCTAATTAAAACAATAATTTAAGATAAATAATGCTCAAAGAACAGTGGTCACTGCATTTATTCCAGAGAGAGGACATTTATCCTGATCTGGCTGTAATAACGTAGTAGGTAGAACTGCTGGCGTGGACACCCAAGCACGGACGGGAAGCTGGTGTCTCAAGGGGTCCCGCTGAGATAGAAAGGGGTCAGGGCCCAGACTGTTGATGTCGCCTGGACCCAACCACCATGTCTCAGAAGAAGAAATGACCCTCCCCTCCTGGTGCTGCCCCAAACAAGGAGCTTAGCAGTGTTGCACACAGGATAGTCCTTGCAGGAGACATGTTTGACAAGCTGCTGAGGTGCCTGATGGGGCCAGGCTCTTGTCATGAAATGAGTTTGCATCCTGAGGAAACCTTTTCATTGGAAACCTGGCAGGGATCCAATTTCCCTTTGCCTTAACCCCGTAGGAGCACAGTAGACAGGGAGGAGGTCACCCAGGTGGCTGTTCCTGCTTGGCCCCCACTTCCCAGACCATTCCAGGCACGGAGAGCCGCTGAGCTCACTCCATGGGCTGCCCACGTGGGGTCTGGACCCAGCCGCCCTCCTGTGCCTGGCAGGCAGCCCCTGCGCCATCACAGGACCCATTGTGTGGTGATCAGTGGCCCATCGCCTGCCCTCGTGGTGGGTGCAGTTCACAGGTGCTGCCCCAGGCCTGGCACAGTGGCCTTCTCAGCCTGTCCCAGGATAGGGGACATGAATGATCCTTGCCTGTGCCCCTTCGGACTACGTGAGTTTGGACACTCACTGCAGAAGTCCCTCCAGGTCCCTTTTCAACTGAGTTGTGGGGGACTTGCTTAGTCCTCACGCCCAGGGTCAGGGGAGGGGTGCAGAGTCTGCACCCTAAATCCGCTAGGGCCAGAGGGAGGTCTCCCAGGTGACCTCTGTCCTCTCCAGTGACATGAGTCCTCCCAGATGGCCTCAGCCCTCTCAGGTGACATGCTTCCATGGTGACTCTGGCCCTTGCAGGAGGTGGGCTAGCACAGGGACATGAGCTGCCTAACTGCCATCCTCCTCCTGTATCTGCCAGAGGAAGACACCTTCTGGGCACTGGATCAGCTGATGGCTGAGGAGAGGCACTCCCTGCAGGGTAGGCGGACAGCTACCCCCAGACCTCACACAGCCAGGCCATGGGATGGCCACCCTGGCTGGGCGATCCTGACTTCCAGGCAAGGCAGCTTCCTTGCTTTCCAGCTTGTCAGGAGCCTTCAGGACATCCCTGCTGAGGGTCCCACAGGAGCCCAGAGCTGAACAGGGACCCTTTCACTTCAAGGCAGGCACCTTTCATCCCCAACAGCAGAGGGCACTGCAGCCTCCCCCTGGCCACCCGGTGTGTCCCAGAGCCACAGCTCTCTAGCCCTGAGTTCATGCAGGTGACTGTCACTTCCGCAAGAGTCCTCCTACCTCCCAGCTGGCCACACTCCCAGCTGCCGTCCCAGCCCACAGATGGGCCAATGCAGTCGAGATGGCAGTGTCTGCCCAACCCATGTCCCCCAGCCCGACCCCATGTCTGGGAGAGGCCATGTAGCCCCTTGGCACCCACCCGGTTCCCTCCACTGGCCACTGCCTGCGTCAGCCCTGCCTCACAGCCTCAAAGGCAGGCCTGCCCTCCTGGCACCTCTACCCAGGATGCTGCTGTGCAGTGCCTCCGGCTAGGGCCCACCTCCGTAGAGCTGAGGCCACGTGTTAGGGTCACCTGATGGAAGGGAGGAAGGCCTCAGGGTCCGGGGTCCCCTGCCACTTCCCAGCTCTTCCAGCTGAGGGCTCCACATCTTGGGAGTGGGCTCTGATGCCTGATGGGTCAGGGGCTTCTCAGTTTTCTACAGCCCAAATACTGCCCAGCTCCAGAGGCTCCCATCCCACCAGGAGCAGGTATAACACAAATCCTTCCCAAAGATCATGCGGTACCTGCTGAGTGGATGACACCCTCAACTCTTTCCCAGAGGCCCGGGGTCCCATGGGGCAGGGAAACAGGGAAAGATGGAGCTCCTCGAGGGTCTGACAAGAGACTGAGTCCCAGCCAGGGCCTCGCCCAAGGTGAGGATTCTCCATGGGTTTGGGGTTGGGTTTTCTTTTCCTGCCCTGGAGGAGGAGGCAGAGGTACTAGGATGGGGGCTGAGCTCCAGCTGAGCAGGGTTAAAGGAAGTATGTCCACCAGGCATCTGTGCATGGGGGAGTTGTTGGGGAAGCACTGGCCACTGCCCAGTGTTCTGCCCCAGGGCAGCTCAGGGGGCCGTGAGCACCTATGGTCCAGGAAGGGCCGTGCATTGAGGTTTGTTGAGTTGGTTCCTCTGGTGTTTCATTGATGGGGTAAGGAGGCAAATGGAGACCCCAGGCCAGGGACCCTCCTGTCCCACAGTGCCCAGCTCCCCCAGGAGGGCCTGGCTCACCCCAAGCCCACAGGAAGCACAGGGAAGTTTCTGCATGGCACAGAAGCCAGGCTCTCCCCAAGAGGGGGCATCACACAGCAGGGGCCAGGCCTCAGGCCCAGTGCTATTTTCACATTATTCATTTTATAAGATGATATGGTTTGGCTGTGTTGCCACCCAAATGTCGTCATCTTGAACTGTAATTTCCATAAGCCTCACGTGTCATGGGAGGGACCCAGTGAGAGGTAACTGAATCATGGCGGCAGTTTCGCCCATGCTGTTCTCATGATAGTAAGTGAGTTCTCATGTGATCTGACGGTTTTATAAGCATCTAGCATTTCCCTTGCTTGAGGTGATGAATGCCCCATTTACCCTGATGTGATTATTACACATTGCATGCCTGTGTCAAACTATCTCATGTACCCCATAAATATATACACCTACTATGTACTCATAGAAATTAAAAATAAAAATAAATTTAAAATAAAAAGTGTGAGCTTTTAAAGGTGAGGTTTACCCTCCAACCCTGGTCCCTGCCAGGTGTGACCTTCACGTCATCTTTCCACATGGTCCAGGCCCCCATCTGCAGAGGCCAACAGTTCCCAGAGTGACCTTCCTCAGAAAACAGGGTCTTGGAGGAGACAGTTAGAGGAGGGGGCCTCATCCTCCCCACTGCACAGCCCCTCATGGGGATTGGAAAGTGAGGGTCTCTGCCCACAAGTTGGCAGTCACCCTAAGCTCTTTTGTGGGAGGAAGCATAGGGAATATAGGTCAGTGTTGGGGCAGCATTTTCTGATCCTGACTTGGAGAAGGTGTTAAAATCTTGACATTCCCGACTCCTCCTTTGTGAGAGCCCGTGCCCTGCAGGTCTCACAGGGTTGTTGTGAGGGTCACCTGTGGTGATGGGTTTGGAAGTGATTTGTGAATGACACAGTGGGCCTTCCTATTCCTGTCATTGGCCTTTCAACCTTCAATACTAATTGCCTGGGGATCTCCAGGCCTCAAGGTCTAATCCCGGAAGGGTATAAGGTGTCCCTAGTGGAGTATTCTACACCTCCTGGGAGGTCCCTCACTTCCACCTTCACCTGACATAACCCCTGCTCCTGTTCCCTCAGCCTGGAGAGCTTGCCCAGTAGAGCACAGGGTAGTACTGGACTGACCTCTTTGGAAAGGGTGATTACATCCTCATTTCAGCTCTCCCTCTTCCTAGCTTTCCACATAGAATTCCAGGGCTCCATGCAGCATTTGCTGGACATGAGAGGGAAAACTTTTAGGGCAGGGATCTGCCCTGGGTGGGGACAGAGGAGTATCGTGGAGTCTGGGTGTCAGGAGTGTGAGCGCTGCCCAGCTGGCCAGCCCCTGTCCCCATGCTGCTCGATGCATGATGTTTCCTGCACAAGCTTCCTTTTGAGGGAAGCTTCCAGAGTGACTGCAGTGAGGTCCATGCTGTTGGGGGTGACAGAGCAGCCCTGGAGGTGGCCAAAGAGAAGCAGGCAGAGGAAGCTCCTCCAAGCAGGCTTGGAAAGAAATTGCCGCATATCACTTACGTCACTCTTGCCACTAGAAGGACAATTTTTACAGGGGAGTGGAAGGAAACGAATATGCTGTGGGAGAGAAGGGATCCATCCAGAAGAGCAAGGCGGGAGGGGGAAATGTGCCCATTGCCAGAATTTCGTGTCTTTTGAAGACATTTGCCAGAATTCTACTTTTGAAGGCTGCCCCTTTTGATAGTCAGTTACTGAGGAACCTGTGGGACATTTTCAAAGCCTTTTATATTAAAAAAAAAAAACACAACATACTGCTGTGGGTCTGTGTGCAGGGACCACGAAGAGCACAGCTGCCACTGTTCTGTGTCGCAGATGCTGTGGGAAGTGCCTTAACACACAGAGGTTTGCTTCATGCAACTGGGTGAGGAACATCTCTAAAACAGTTTACAGTCAAGAAACTTCAGTGTCAAGGAGGTTGAATGCGTTATCCAAGATCACACATATGTCCTGACAGATTCGGGGTTCAGTGAAGAATTATGTATCATGAATTATAGGGCTGTATTTTAATTTTGCATTTTAAATTTCTGCAGTTTTCTTCCATCACTTTTCACCATGCATCCTATACTTGGAATTACTTTTTTTGGCTTCTTGATCTTCTTTACTTGTATGTTATTGATTTTCTACAAGTTTTAACATATACTATTAAAGAGTATTTCTTAATGTTTTAATAATTACCCTAGAATAAAATATATTTACTTTGATAGATGTATGTATTGGATATTACAGTGTATTGTGTACATTTTCAAGCACATTGTGTTATACCGGAAGCATTATTCAACAGTGGTCTTTTTTTCTTTTTACCTGAACTATGTTCAGAAAATCTTTCCACCGCAGTACAAAAAGATCGATTTCATTTTGTTAACAGATGGATGTGCCATAGGGCAATTAACTGTTTAGTTATCCTGTTATCCTGTTGTGGATATTTAAGTTCAAACAATGCAGTAATAAATATGCAAGAGTGCTTTCAGACATTAAAGAATATGGCTCTAAATTAGGGACCTAGTGCCTGTAATCCCAGCACTTTGGGAGGTCGAGGTGGGTGGATCACCTGAGGTCAGAAGTTTGAGACCAGCCTGGCCAACATGGCAAAACCCCGTTTCTACAAAAAATACAAAAATTAGCTGGGTATGGTGATGCGCACTTGTAGCCCCAGCCACTTGGGAGGCTGAGGTAGGACAATTGCCTGAACCCACAAGGCGGAGGCTGCAGTGAGCTGAGATGATGTCACTGCACTCCAGTCTGGGAGACAGAGTGAGACTCTGTCCCAATAATAAATAAATAAGTAAATAATCTAGAAGTACAATTGCTTAGCCAAATTGCTTATGCATTTTGAATGATGAGAGTTGCTGCCTAATTTCTGTTACAAAGGCTATGGTAATTTACACTCAAAACACAGAATTGGTTGGTTGTTGTTACAGACGGAGTCTTACTGTTGCCGAGACTGGAGTGCAGTGGTGTAATCCTAGCTCGTTGTAGTCTCCAACGCCTAGGCTCAAGCAATCCTCCCACCTCAGCCTCCCTCCCAAGTAACTAGGATTACAGGTGCATGCCACCACACCTGGCTAATTTTATTTTTAGATATGGGATCTTGCTCCGTTGCCCAGGTTGGTCTCGAAATCCTGGCCTCAAGGCGACCTCAGCCTCCAGTGTAGCTGACATTACAGGCATGAGACACTGTACCTGGCTGAATGAGTGCCTCTATCCTGACACTTGTGTCCCCACGGGATCCTGCAGAATTCAGGACCCCGTCCACACAGGGGAAAACTCTCTGTTGCGGTCCTGATGACTGAGGAGGGAGCTTACCCATGGCTCTCCTGGTCATTTTTATTTAATAGTGAGCGCAGAACCTCACATTTTCTGGAATGTTCCCATATGATTTTGTGAGAGAAAAGAGAATAGAGACCCAACCCCAAGCTCACTGTGTCAAAGGGAAAATTAAGCTTGGGAACTGAGTTACGCAATACTCCTTCCTTGTTCTCAAACACATAGCTATAACTTCACAACCCTGTGTCATAGCCTCATCCATAAGCCAGGTTCCCACAGTGACAGAAGGCCGCATGTCTCCTCACATGTCCTCCCTCACAATTTGCCGTGAGCCCCTAAATCTTTCAGAATGCACATCCCACCTATAAACTAGCCCTAAAAGTGAGTCAGCTCAATTTCACCCTGACAATCTCAATTACCAGGTTATTTTCATAGTTCTGGGACAAGGTCAGGACCAGAAATCATCCCTCTGCCTATCCTGAGATGAATGAATCATTGACTTTTCCTCTATTCCACTCCCTCTATTCACATGCTTACTTTATCTTATGTAAAATGAAGATTTACTGAATGCGACATGAACTGTTTCCTCTGCTCCCTCCTTTCCTATGTAAAATGTAGATATCCTGATGCTAATCAGAGCCACACAAGAATGCAAACATATGCTTCACTGCCTACCTTCAGTCTCACGGGAGTTCTCTGGATTTCTTGTATCAGCTGGTGGACCTCTCTAGCAAGATTGAGGACACTTTCCTGAATTATATCCTCAAAAATGTTTTCCAAGTTGCTTACATTCTCTTCTTCTCTGTTAGAAATGCCAATAAGTCAGCCAGGCACAGTGGCTCATGCCAGTAATCCCAGCACTTTGGGAGGCCAAGGTGGGAGTATCACTCGAGGCCAGAAGTTTGAGACCTACCTGGCCAGCATGGCGAAATCCCATCTCTACTAAAAATACAAAAATTAGCCAGACATGGTGGCACATGCCTGTAATCTCAGATACTTGGGAGGTTGAGGCACGAGAATTGCTTGAACCCAGGAGGTGGAGGTTTCAGTGAGCCAAGATCATGCCACTGCACTACAGACTGGGTAACAGAGTGAGATTCTGTCTCAAAAAAAAAAAATGCCAATAAGTCATAGATTTTGTTCCTTTACATAATCCTATATTTCTCAAAAGTTTGGTTCATTATTTTTAAATTCTTTTTTTTATTTTTGTCTGACTGGGTTGATTCGAAGGTCTGGTCTTTGAGCTCTTAAATTATTTTTTCTATTTGGTCTAGTCTGTTGCTAAGGCTGCCAACTGTTTTTTGAAATTCCTATAGTAAATTTTTCAATTCAAGAAGCTCTGCTTGGTTCTTTCTCAATATAGCTATGTTGTCATTCAAATCCAGGATCGTTGTTATGGGGTTGTTGTTGGATTCAACTTTCTGTTGGATTTTGGTGAATTTTTTTGCCACTTATATCTTGAATACTATACCTGTCATTTCAGACATTTCATTCTGGTTAGGACTCATTGCTAGGTTGCTGGTGTAATCCTTTGGAGGTGATGGAACATTCTGGCTTTTTGTATTGCCAGAGTTCTTGTGCTGGTTTCTTCTCATCTGGGAGACTTGATGCTTCTTTTGTTGAATTTGATATCATTTGGAAGGAGGTTTTTTTTTTTAATTTTTCATTCTTTCTTTCTCTTAAGGGTGTGACTGTGGTGTGTGTTGTATAGGATCAGTTTGCTTCATTTCTGGGTACTTTCAGAGGACCAAGGCTCTGTACAAGTTCCTTGGTTGCAGATAGGCTCCTGTGGTGGCTTGATGTGGTGATGTATTTTTGTTTGGTGGTGTAATTCAGGCTTCAGTGCAGTAGACAGTGCTTAAGAGTAACAGCTGGCTGCAGGGTCTTCTCCTCTGTGTACTTGTCCACGACAGGTGCAGAAGTGACAAAGTGCCAAAAGTGCCCTGTCCCCATGTGTACTAGTCTTCAGCAGGGGCAGAGTCCTGGAGAAACCTAAGAAGCAGCCTCTTTCAGCTCACGTTCCTTGGGCCCCAACAGGGTGACCACTACTGGGTCTGCAGCAGTGCACTAGGAAGGGGACAGAGGGCAAGAGATGACCACCTCTCTAAATCTGTTCCCAGGCTTTGGTGTGCCCCTTTCAGCAGCTGATGTCATGATCGTGTTTCCTTTGACCCAAGGGGTGGGTTTGGCAAGCTGTATTCCTCCTTCCCTTAGGGCTGGTCCTCACCAAAGTTTAGGTCTCCTGGGGAATGGGGTTCACCTCCCTCCTGCTTCTTGGAGCTGATGAGGTACTCTCTCAACTGACCAAGAGAGCAGGCTGGGACACCCAGCAATGACACACACAGACCAGTTCCAGGTTGCAAAGCTGTTCTTGGCTGCAAGTCTCACCGTCCTTGAGAAACCTCTGCTTTAGCAACTCTCTTCCCACTACAGTCCTGCAAGAGGAGAGAGCCTAATTCCAATACCTACTGCTGGGGCACTTTCCACACTCAACACTCAATTCTGGCTGTGGAGGCTGCTCCCCTGCTCCAGAGCAAGCACTTCAATTCCTAGCCCAAGATTAAAGTGTCTGCAGTGGCCACCATTGCCAGGCACCAAAGAATGATTGACTTTGTATGAGCCCAGATTAAAAATGGCATCCTTCGCTCAGTCCCAGGTCTGGGGAAATGCCTGCAGCTTTTCTGAGTGTCTTTCCTCTTTCCCCATCTCTCAGCCACTTTTGTGCTAGCTCTAAGCACATAAGTGCTTTCTTGGGAGAAACAGTGCTCTCCCTTAATCTGGGTTGCACAGATCCCCAGTGGAAAGGTGAGTCGCAGAGGGAGACTGGATGCTCTTCTCTCGTACTGGAGTTTCATTCCCTTTTATGAACCAAATGCTATCACAGAGGCTGCTTTCCCACCTCCCCCTCCACAGGGTCTGGAGTGTTCTTCTCTATTCCTGTGAATTCCTATTTTTCTTCTTGAATTGAAGCTCACAAAGTTTATCTTTATGCTTATTTTTCTACTTCCAAGTGGCTGAGGCACACTGAAAGCCCCTAATCCATCATTCTAGGAAAAAAAGGATGGTTTAAATAAAGGAATGTTCATATAAAATATATATTAATTAACCCAAATATATTTTGTTTGACATGAGTTAGGTGAATCTTTGATACATTAATTAATTTTAAAATTGTTAAATAAAATTAGAAATATCTTCGAATTTGCCAAGGTATGTTTCTCTCCTGGGATTACTGGTCAGTTTTATTTTTTCCTCGGATAGATGTTTTAAGCCATAAATCTTGACATAGACCTGATGTAGACCTCCATACCTTTCCCAGATGTGGGACGGAGCAACTGGGACAGGTCCATCCTAGCACTAAGGGATGATTAAGCCTAACTTGTAGTCGTTGTACAACTATAGACATGGTTGATGCTTTAAGAGAAAGATCTTGATGGAAAGGGGTAAATGTAAAAATTGATCATATGAATTGGGTCATTCTTGTCACACCAAATAAAACCATCAAGAAGCCAGGGGGAGGAGGCATTCAGGGCAAAAACACCACTCCAAAAACGTAATTCTCTGCATGCCTGGCTGCTGAAATTACCTGCTTTAAGCTGAAACCAGTTTTATCGAATGGTTACTGAAACAACCTCTTGCAACACTAAGACTAGTTTTACCCACCACTGTCCCTCACCTATCAGAGCCTGCCAGCTCTCAAAAACCTTACTGGTGCCAGTGAACTTTCTCAAAGAGAAATACACACCATTTTTCTCTCTGTCTCCCTCTTTATAAAACCTCTAACTTTCTCTTTATGTTTTGGACACACTAAAGACACCCATTCTTCATGTATGTGTCAAATTGTAATACTTGTATCTCAAATAAAACATTTTAATTTCAGATGTTTGTCTCTATATTTATTTGACTTTGACAATCTGATATTATTTAGCATTATTTCCAGTCCCCCAAATAATGTCAAAATTTTGTTATGTTAGATAGGAATATCTTGTTATTCAACTTGAAGGTAAACTGCTTGATCAATGCATGTAATTCCTTGACAGATCATCAGCACCTCTAAGACAACATGTAGATATTGCTCATTATTAACTCATTTCATCTTTTCATGATAAATTACATAAATCTAATTTTCGTTTTTAAAATGCAAACCATTATGCCTCGTATTATGGCATTCTTGCATTACTATAAAGGAATACCTAAGCACTACGTAATTTATACAGAAAAGAAAGGTTGACTTGGCTCACAGTTCTGCAGGCTGTACAGGAAGCTTTGCATTGGCAGTTGCTTGGCTTCAAGAAGGGTCCTCAGGGAGGTTTTACACATGGCAGAAGGTGAAGCAAAAGAAGGTATGTCACATGGCCAGAGCAGGAGCAAGCAGGGAGAGGTGCCACACACTTTTAAACAGCCAGATGTCATGAGAGCTCACTCACTCTTGCAAGGACAGTGCCAAGAGGATGGTGCTAAACATGAGAAATCAGCCCTCATGACCCCATCACCTCCCACCAGACCCCACCTCCAACACTGGGAATTACAATTCAACATGAGACTTAAAGGGTACAACATCCAAACTATTTCATTCCATCCCTGGCCCTTCAAATCTCATGTTCTTCTCACATTGCAAGATACAATCATCCCTTCTCAATAGTCCCCCAAAAGTCTCAACCTGTTTCGGCATCACTCGAAAGTGCAGTTTCTTCTGAGACAAGGCAAGTCCCTTCCACTGATGCGCCTGTAAAATCAAAACAAGTTATTTACTTCTAAGATAAAATTTGGGTACAGGGCATTGGGTAAACCTTCCCATTATAAAAGAGAGAAATTGGCCAAAAGAAAGGGGCTACAGGCCCCACACAAGTTCAAATCCCAGCAAGGCAGTCATTAAATCTCGAAGTTCCAAAATAATCTCCTTTGAAACCATGTCCCACATCCTGGGAACATAGAGCATTCCCAGGATGCATAGGGTGGGCTCCCAAGGCCTTGGGCAGCTCTGCTCCCACAGCTTTTCTACACTGAAGACATGAGCTGCTGGTGGCTCTATCATTCTGGGATCTGGAGGGCAGCAGCCCCCCTCCCACAGCTCCACTAGGCAGCCCCCCCGAGTCAGGACCCCGTGTGGGGCCTCCAACCCCACATTTCCACTTGGCACTGTCCTAGAAGAGGTCCTCTTTGAGGGCTCCAGCTGGGCATAGGCTTCTTCCTGGGCATCCAGCCTTTCTCATACATCCTCTGAAATTTAGGCAGAGAATGCCAAGCCTCCTTCACTCTTGCACTTTGCTCACCTGCAGGCTTAACACCACATGGAAGCCACCAAGGCTTATAGTTAGCACCCTCTGAAGCCATGGCCTGAGCTCTATCTGGAGCCCTTTGAACCAAGGCTGGCGCTAGAAGGGCCAGGATGCAAGGAACACCCTCCTGGGGGTGGTACAGGGCAGTGGTGCCCTGGCCCTGGTCCAAGTGGAACAGGAATTAAAAGAAATTAAAGAATGTGTAAGCAGAAACTCAGTTGTATGTAAGAAAACCCAATTCCCCCTGAGAAAGAGAAAGAGCTGGAGCCCTTTAAAAATTAACTGCCGGTTTTTCTGTGGCTAGTGAGCCTCATCTCTCCTCCTTTCCCAGGCATTGTGAAGACCCTGTTCCTCTAGCTGCGCAGCTGCAAGGTCACTAGACAGATAAACTCAAGTCGTAAAACATGTTTTTCCTTGAAAAGTAAGAAATGATATAATGCATGTCTCAATTAATTGAATAACTGTCTTTGTTTCTCGCTTCTGTAATACGCTTCCCCCTGGACAGATCTCCCCACTCCCCACCACCCTACAAAACGCTTAAAAGGTAACTTAAGTCTTTGATCAGGACTCAGTCCTTTGGATGTTAATCTGACTGGGCCGGTGCAACTAAATAATAAATATCCTCCTCAACCCCATTGGTCTCTGATTCCTTAAAAAATCCCACTGCAGCCTGGGCATGGTGGCTCACGCCTGTAATCCCAGCACTTTGGGAAGCCGAGGTGGGCAGATCATGAGGTCAGGAGATTGAGACCATCCTGGCTAAGACAGTGAAAACCCGTCTCTACTAAAAATACAAAAAATTAGCCAGGCATGGTGGCAGGTGCCTGTAGTCCCAACTACTTGGGAGGCTGAGGCAGGAGAATGGCTTGAACCCGGGAGGCAGAGCTTGCAGTGAGCTGAGATTGTGCCGCTGCACTCCAGCCTGGGTGACAGAATGAGACTCCATCTCAAAATAAATAAATAAATTAATTAACTTATAAATTCCCACTACACAAGAAACCATTCTTTCATCCTAGACCTCTAGGTCTGTGCTGGGATGAGCTGCTGCAACGCTTTCTGAAATGCCTTCAAGGCCTTTTTTAATTGTCTTGGCTATCAGCACCTAGCTTTTTCTCAGTTACGCAAATGTCTCTAATAAGTGGTTGCTCCACAGCCTGCTTAGATTCTTCCCCTGAAAATGCTTTATCTTCCTCTGCCAAATGGGCAGGCTGCACATTTTCTATACTTGTATGGTCTGCTTTTCCCATTTAATTGTAAATTCCAACTTTAAGTCATTTTTTGCTCCTGCATCTGAGTGTTCAAACTTCCTCAGATCCCTAGTACATGAACAGACTGCAGCCAAGTTCTTTGCAAAGGCATAACAGGCATGACCTTTATTTGAAGTCCCAGTAAGTTCCTCATTTCCATCTGAGACCACATCAGCCTATCCTTCACTGTCCATATCACTATCAGCATTTTGGTCACAACCATTTAACTAGTCTCTAAGACATTCAGAACTTTCCTTCATCTTCCTGTATTCTGAGCCTTACAAACTCTTCCAACTCCTGCCCATTGCCTAGTTCCAAAGTCACTTCCACATTTTCAAGTATCTTTATAGCAATGCCCCATGTCTCAGAACCAATTTTCTGTATTAGGCCATTCTTGCATTGCTATAAAGAAATACCTGAGACTGGGAAATATATAAAGAAAAGAGGTTTGAAAAGAAGTTTGTATAGCTGCAGGCTGTACAAGCATGGTTCTGGCATCTGCCTAGCTTCTGGTGAGGCCTCAGGAGGCTTTTATTCATGGCAGAAGATGAAGAAGGAGCAGGCAGGCACATCACCTGGCAAGGCAGGGGAAGCACCACACACTTTTAAACAAATAGATCTTGCAAGAATTCACTCACTATCACAAGGACAGCACCAGGGAGATGATGCTAGACCATTCCTGAGAAATCCACCCCCATGATCCAATCACCTCCCTCCAGACCTACCACCAACATTGGGGATATCACAATGCAACATGAGATTTAGAGGGAACAACATCTGAGGTATCTCATGCCTCATGTTGTGACTTGGTATAATTTCCATAAGATTGCACTGACTTTACACATCATATTGCAGTTTTTGCTAGCTCTCCTGTAATAAGAAAATGGGATTCATCAGCAATGCCTTCTAAGTCTGGCTCTGTTTTCCCATGCAGACTTTTCCCTGAGCTCTGCTTGTAAGTCTTGCTAGAACCTCACCCTAGGCAGCAACCCCCAGTCTGAGACTGCCCTTGACAGTGGCTGAGGTTTGCATTGTTGGGATTAGAAAAAACAAAGGGAAGATAGACCAAAACAGATTTAAATACAGATCCCATTCGTTGAAGTTTTAAGTAATTTTAAATGTTTATTTTCACCAGCTGCCCACTCCCTTTGTACTCTCCTCACCCAAAAAAGCTGACTTGATATTCTAGTAAAAAGCCGAACTGTGCTTTAGAGAAACCCACTTGTTACTTCTTTAAATCCATATAATTTTGCCAAAGTGAATTTTTCTTAATATGCTCTGGCAGGATCAGAAAACTAATTATTTACACTAGAGTCACTTAACCTTTCCTCTTGGTCATTTGCATGTAAATTATTTTTATATGTATAAAATTTGCTTACTCATGAAAGCTCTTAACTATGCATATTTTTTGTTTTTGTGGTATCTTAACATATTCTAGTCTTGTCTTGAATTCCTTAAGACTTTGGGGTAAAGAACTCTATTGCAACAAGTTTCCACATCAAAGTGGGAAAGAGGAAGATTAGGTTAAGCATTAGGTCGTCAGGTATGTAGGACAGCTAATACCATTATCAGAATGGTAGTGATAGCCAGTTTGCATTCTGCATATTAGTTGTAACAAAAATATTCAGCATTTTAGTGACAAAACCAAAGTTGTTGTGAATCAGTTTGTACTTTATTTTTTGAGATAGGGTCTTACTCTGTCACCCAAGCTCAAGTGCAGAGGTGTGATCTTGGCTCACTGCAGCCTCAACCACCTAGGCTCAAGAGATCCTCCCAGCCCAGCCTCCTTAGTACAGGTGAGTGCCACCACACCCAGCTATTTTTTCTCTAGTTTTTGTAGAGATTGGGTCTCACTTTGTTGCCCAGGCTGTTCTCAAACTCCTGGGCTCAAGCAATCCTTCTGCCTCAACCTCCCAAATGGTGCTGGGGTTACAGGTTTGAGCCACCGCACCTGGCCAGTTTATAATGTTAATGGCTTTTGGAGCAGGAACCAGTGGGTGCTGCTTCTTGTCTGCAAGATGAGGAGCCTCCTCTCCCCAGAAGTGAGGCATCTTCTACCACAAGGGAGGCTTTGCCCAAACAGTCACTGAAAGGCTGAGATTGGGGAGAGAACAAAACAGGAGTGAATATTTCCCTGGAAACTAGCTGCTCCCCAATTCAATTCTACTGCAGACATTCAGAATGAAGGGGACATTCAGCTGAGGAACAGGAGTGCACTGGCTGTTAAAATCTCAGGTTGTAACAACAATTTTGCTTCATTTTCCCTAAATAATTTTTAAACAATTGTTCTTAGGTGGTTTTCTAAACTTCGGGTAATATCTGTGAATTAGTAAATGTTCTTTAAAAGATGAGATAATATTTTTATTTTGTTTAATTATATGTGTTTTTAAACTAATTTTGTGGGAAAAATAATTCCTTTCCTTCCCTGTTATACCAAATACAGCCTTTAGCTCAAGACATAAGTAATTCCAGGAAAACTGGAATTTAAGTTCAATATGTTACACTAAGTACATTTGAAAGTTCATGCATTTTTATTTTAATTTAAAAAATAAATTTGCTTTATGCCTAGAAAAATCAGCAGACCAGACCTCCCTGGATACGTCTTCTGCTGCACTCATCCTCTTGAATGCCCAGCTCCAGGGAGGTCCATCCCCAGGCCTGATGGCTGTCCCCATCTCTTCATCTCTGGTAACGTTTTGGCTTGATTTGCAGCTCATACAGGGAAGGCTTTGTAGCCCTGGGAAATTTCTACTAAACAGAGAAGTGGTTTTGTGAAGGTCAAGTTTTTTCAGCTGTGGTGATGGAAAAACCAAATTCTGCCAAAGTATTTGGATAGCTTTATTCTAAGCCAATGCGAGTGACCATGGCCTAGGGTTACACAGTCTTCAGAGCTCCTGGGAGAGTGAGCCCAAGGTGGTCAGCTTACAGTTTGATTTTGTACATTTCATGGAGACAAATTGCAAATTAAGTTGTAAATCAATAAGTGGAAGGTATACGTTGGTTCATCCTGAAAAGGCAAGACATCTCAAGGAGGGGTCTTACAAGTCATAGGTGAGTTTTAGGAATTCTTTAGTTGACAGTTGGTCAAGAGAGTTAAACCACTGTGTAAAGACATGAAGTCAGTAGAAAGGAATACTTGAGTTAAGATAAGGGGGTCTGCCATCTGTTATGTGATGCTGTCACAGGGTCAGGTTGGAAAATAAGCCACATTATACCAGGTTAATTGAAAAAAAAATCATGAGATTTTATGGCTTGTAGAGTGTGAATCTCCAGGCCCCTTAGACAGGATTTTTGGCAAGAGAATAAAAGGTCAGAGTTGAGGCCTCAGTCCCCACTATTGGCCAAAGATCATTTTATGGAATGTATGTGAAGGCCAACAACCAACAGGAAGTCCCACAATGCTAGGAAGTCTCATTCCCAGGGTTGTTTATTTGGTCATCTGTCATTGGTGATGATAGTTTCAATATTAGTGAGTTCAGATCATAGAAGAAGGACACAATCTGACGTGATTTAATAGCCAATTGTTTAAGTGGTGAGAGGGAGTAAGGCCCAGGGTTCAATCTGAAAAGCCATCCTGGATCAGATCTATCCTACAATTTATGACGATCTGGGTCTTTGATTGCATCTTTTTCTTTTCCTGCAATAGGCATGGCATTGACAGGAGACATATAATGATAAAATAGCAATACATGTATAAAAATAGTGAAGATTGGGCATACAAGAAAGTTATAGATAGAATCAGAGGACAGTAAACAACACAACCAGCCAAAAAAGTCCCCACATGCATCATCATATTCTTTAATGGAACTTACAACATGCATAGCTTCCTTGTCAATAGACTTTTGAAGTTTACGATCAATCTTATTTGAGGATTGTAGGACCAACAACCAAATCAGAGTGCAGTAAATTTAATTTCTCTTCTGGCCAACTGGTCTCAATAAGGATAACATCCTGCGGGGGTGTAATAGGCCATCCTTGCCCTGCTATAAAGAAACTCCATGAGATTGGGTAATGTATAAGAAAAGAGGCTGTAATCCCAGCACTTCGGGAGGCCGAAGCAGGCGAATCATGAGGTCAGGAGTTCAAGACTAGCCTGGCTAGCATGGTGAAACCCCATCTCTATTAAAAATACAAATATTAAAATACAAATATGTATACACAAATATGTATACACATATACACATATACATATGTGTATATGTATATATACACATATACATATGTGTATATGTATATATACACATATACATATGTGTATATGTATATATACACATATATACATATGTGTATATGTATATATACACATATATACATATGTGTATATGTATATATACACATATATACATATATACATATACATATATGTATGTATATATACACATATACATATATATGTATATGTGTATATATATTAGACAGATATATATGTACATATACATATATATGTATATGTATATGTATAATATATGTATATGCATATATAATATACATATACCATATATGTATATGTATAAATATATTATGTATATATATACACATATGTATATATGTATATATACAAAATGTATGTATAGATATTAGACAGAGTTTTGCTCTTGTTGCCTAGGCTGGAGTGCAATGGTTCAATCTCGGCTCACTGCCAACTCCACCTCCCGGATTCAAGCGATTGTCCTGCTTCTGCCTCCCGAGTAGCTGGGACTACAGGCATGTGCCACCACCCTCGGCTAATTTTGTATTTTTTGTAGAGATGGGGTTTCACCATGTTGGTGAGGCTGGTCTCGAACTCCTGACCTCAGGTGATCCACCTGCCTCGGCCTCCCAAAGTGCTGGGATTACAGGCATGAGCCACTGTGCCCAGCCTATTTTGTATTTTTTAATCTACCACACTCTAAGAACACATATTTTAAATCAATTTGTACATTCAGTGCCTAGAACAAAACCAGCATTTTGTAGATTCCAAAGAATTATTTGTTGTATAAATGATGAGTAACTTAAACAAGTTATTATTTATAACATCTATATACAAACAATATATTACCTCAGAATACAGTGATAACATTTGTTATGTATGATTTCAATTTCAGTTAAAAAATATTTTTTTCATGAGTTATTGTCATATACAGATGCTCACATTGTTTTGTTTATATGAAAATGTTTGTAACTACTATGCACATTTTTGCTACTTAAGCCTTTTGGTCTTGCTGCCGTAGCAAATACTGTGCCTCTTAAGAACATGAACCTGTTTTACTTCATTTTTTAGCAGATTTCTTAATGAAATATATAGCATACTATTTTGTTTAACACATAAGCAGACACCCTGTCAGAAGCAAAGAGACATCTACTCCACCATTACCACCCATCCCTCTACTAATGTGGCTGCTGAAGATGTTACCTAGAGCAGAGGACTTTGTGTTCAACCTAAGCACTTTATATCCTTTATTTTCAATTGGGTAGGAGATAAAATAATTCAGCAGCAATAAAAGTCACACTTCTTAAAGTTGCAGTCTCACCAAGGCACCACAATGTAGCAGTCTCTCTTGTGAGGTATCACCTGGAGTTCTTTATCTCACCACCAAGATGATTAAGGAACCAGGACACACGGGTGAGGTTGGAGTGAAAGTTTAATAAGCAAAAGGAGGAAGCTCTCTGCAGCAGACAAGGGCGTCCAAGTGGATTTCCGTTTTTACAGTTGAATCAAAAAGCTTTTATAAGAAACTCCTCTCAGCTATGTATAAAACTGTCTGCACAATTCCCTTTATATATCCAGCTGTGGGTATGTCTCTAGTCAAGCACAAAGTGGGCTTCTCTTGTATAACTGTGGGTTTGTTTTAGGTGAGCCCCCCTCCTCCCTGTGTAAGTTCCCACAGAGGCCACCGTGTATATGCCTGAAAAAGGGAGGAAAATTTTTCCTGGGAGCTTGCCAATTACACAAAGAACAGAAGGCGTCTGTGCTGGACCCTGCATGCTCATCTGTGCAGGGCTTATCTGTAGGTGCAGTAGTTGTGATTTTTCAGGCAGACAGCTTCCCTGAGGACCAGTCTCTTTCTTGTTTACTCAACTAATTTTCCTTTCCTTCTCCCTCAACATTGTGCAGCAAAACAGAATACACTTCTCTTTCCCAGTAAATCAGTGTTGGTACTCCACTCCGAATACTTGTATTATTGGATTTCTTAGAAAAAAATATTTGGGATCATAATTTAGATGCCATCAAACAATGAACAAAAATATGCTACTTCGTTTCCCTTCTCTTCTCTTGTTACCAGACAACAGCTAGTTTTCTTTTCTCTCCAACTCCTTTTTTCTGTGCTTCTACCTGATTTTTAGAAAAACTTCTACGCATTTCCAATCTTAGTACAGCAGACATCAAATATGTGGTCAAACTACATACATAGGAAGAGTTGAATTATATAATTATATTCAAGCATTTTAAAATAATTCCCCTTCAGTTTGTTTTGCAGTTATTTTACATAATCAAATGTCTTCTTGATATACGTCCCAACCCAGTGGTTGTCAAGCTCTGCTTTGTTTTCTAACTGCATCAGATTTATCCACAATTTTTTTTTTTTTTTGGAGATGGAGTCTCACTGTTGCCCAGGCTGGAGTGCAGTGGCATGATCTCAGCTCACTGTCATCTCTGCCTCCCTGATTCAAGTGATTCTCCTGCCCCAGCCTGCCAAGTAGCTGGGACTACAGGCGTGCACCATCATGCCTGGCTAATTTTTGTATTTTTAGTAGAGATGAGGTTTCACCATGTTGGCCAGGCTGGTTTTGAATTCCTGACCTCAAGTGATCCACCTGCCTAGGCCTCCCTAAATAAGAATTATCCAAAATTCTTATGATAAATATGGATAAATCAGCACAACTCAAGATTTAAGAAATAAAAACTTCCAAGAGAAGAAACCCAGGAATATGCATTGAAAATGTCTCCCTCACGTGATTCTGATGTGATATGTGGTCTGAGTTTAAAATGTAAGGAAAATTACCTTCCCTGCCCTCCAGTTGGCCCTTATGTCCAGATGTCCCTCTTTCCCTTTCTCATTGTGCTCTCTCCTTCTGTGCCTTTGTTCTATTCTCCCTCCACTTCTCATCCAGATGCCAAGCCCTCTTGCATCATTTGTCCTAAAACTCCAAATGGTCAGTTGCCTCTAAACTTCCCTCTGTCCCATGAACAAGTTATGCAGGCAAATTTAGAATTTAAGCTTGGACCAAGCTGAATCAAGAGCTGCAATTAGAGATTTCCCTAAGCCCAGAGGGGACCAGCAAATACTTATAGGTGATTTTGGATTTCCTCTGAGTGCATAAGGCTCTGGGTAACCTGATGCTATAGACCAAATGTTATTGTCCCCTCAAATTCAAGTGTTGAAATCTAATTCCCTATGTGATGATATTTGGAGGTAGGGCCTTAGAGAATGATTAGATCATGAAGGCAGGGACCACATGAGTGGGATTAGTAGCCCCTATTGAAGGCACCATAGAGAGCTCCCTCATCCCTTCTGTCATGTGAGGACATGGTAGAAACATGGCTGTCTATGAACCACAAAGCAAGCCCACACCAGACCTGCAATCTGCTAACCACTTGACCTTGAATTTTGCTATCTCCAGAACTGAGAGAAACAAATTTGTTTATAAGCTTCCTCATCTATGGCATTCTGTTTTGACCCAAGATTAGCTGAAAACACCAAAATATCAACTTGTACACCAAATTTTGGAAATGGATGCTAAAACTTTGATGGCAAAAAGTGACTGATCTGCCTGAGAAATGAAACCTACATGATCCCTCTTTCCACAAGGCTGAAGGGAGAGTCAACACAAGCAAAAATAGGTCAAAGTCTTCTAAAAGCCATACCTGAAGGGTTTTCAATATCACTTGATCATATGGTAATTTAATCACAGAAAGAACCACAACAAAACACACAACTATCAGAGGTTTTCAACATCGCCTCAAAAACACCATCTACAATATTAGGGAGTGAAAGAAGCCATGGAAGTTTCAAAAAGTCAAACTTTATTCAGTGTTATGGTAGAAATTTGAAATTCTTAGGTAAGCTATGAATAAATCCTTGGGCAGGTGCAGGCATACAGATTCTGGGGTGCAGCTGCTGAGTTTAAAAGCTTCCTTTGGAGATGCCCCCTGGCCCCCTCACCCCCTGTCCGCCTGTCAAGAGGAGGCCATCCTGGGCAGCACGTTAGGGGCAAATGGCCCAGATGCCCAGCTGAGGGCAAACCTCCATGCCTGGAGGAGGAGGTCGCCTCTGGGAGCAGGAGGACCTGCTGGAACCCCTGCTCACAGGCTCCTTTTCTTGCTCTCCAGCACCTCCTGCAGGCAGGCAAACAGCCCCAGCAGCAGTAGCAGCAGGCCCTTCAGCAGCAGGGCTGCTGCTCTGCTGAATGAGAGAAGTCCCTCTCCAGTGAGGCAGAGGAGCCCAGATTGCAAACCCTGGTCTCTGCCTCCATAGCTTCCACTGTGCCCAGGACTGGGAGCAGTGTGGGAGCTGCTGGCTGGAGCTGTGCTGGCCACCCCTCTCTGCCACCTCTAGCTCCAGCCACACTTTCAGCTCCAGGGCTGAGGCCGGTGGCTCTACAGGAGGTGCCATGAAGTCAGGCAGCTCCTCACTGGGCTGGTCCTGGGCAGTCCCAGGGCAGCGGCAGGAGGGCTCTGGAGCTTCCTCTAGCTCCAGCGCTGTCCCTGGAGGGGAATCTGCCCCTGGTGCTGGCACTGGCTCAACAGCTGGCACTGGAAATCGCTGTATTTCTGCACCTGAAGCAGGAGCTGAAAAAGGAGAGAGGTCACCAATACCACTCACTTTCCACTGGAATTTCCAAACATGAAAACAACCTCATTGAATTTAAAGGAATTTCAGCCTGAAAACATTGTCCCTGGAAAGACTTCCAGACTGCAGGTGACCTCAGCATGTGCCTGTGTCTCAATGAGCTCCAGAGGCTCCAGCTGGACAAGGACAATGTGCAGATGTGGCCCTGGTGGGATCACTGGTGAGGCCTGGCCTGGTAGCTCCATCTGGGGCCTGATGTCTACCTGGTGACTCCTGTCCTGTGGTACCTGGGCGGGGGGCTTCTGCCAAATGGCCAGAGGCATCTGGGGTGAGGGATGAGCCTACAAGGGCGTCATCAGCAAAGAAAGGCTCTCACTCCTGCCATTCCTGAAGCAGGAGCCTTGAGATGTGGGGATGCAGCACAAGAACATCTTGCTCTCTTGAGCGTCTCCCACCAAGTGAGCTGGCTATGGGGCTAATGCTAGGATGTGGGTGCCCGGTTATCGGGATTCTTTTTTTTTTTGAGACATAGTCTCATTCTGTTGGCCAGGCTGGAGTGCAGTGGCATGATCTCGGCTCACTGCAACATCCACCTACTGGGTTCAATCAATTCTCCTGCCTCTGTCTCCTGAGTAGCTGGGATTACAGGCATGAGACACGCACCACCACACCTGGCTAGGTTTTTTGTGTTTGTTTGTTTTTTGTATTTTTAGTAGACATGTGGTTTTACCATGTTGGTCAAGCTGGTCTCGATCTCCTGATTTCATGATCTTCCTGCCTTGGCCTCCCAAAGTGCTGGGATTACAGGTGTGAGCCACCGTGCCTGGCCTGGTTACCAGAATTCTAAGTTCTGTTAGGGTCTGTTGCCAAGGAAGTGAGGTCGCTTCTTTAAGTTTCCATCCCCTCGGCCTCCTCCTTCCAGAAAACCTTCTCAGGACCCCAGTGGGCTGCTGACTGCTCACCCTCCCCACAGGTCAACTCCTTACCTGTACACAGTTATGTCCACCCAGGGCCTGCTTGGACACCTGCACCTGATGTTCACCAGAGACCTAGGAATCCACTTGCAGCCTGTGATCCTACAGGGGCCTAATGTTACCCTGCAGATTGGGTAGCCACCTGGGGACCAGGTATCAACCTGGGGACTGTGGTTGACCTGCGGGCTAATGTCCACCTGGGGACTGGTTACTCACCTGAGGCCTGATGTGCACCTGGGGCCCGATGTCCCCCTCAGGGTGAATTCCACCTCAGGCCTGTATGTCCACCTGGGGCCTGATGTCTGCCTTAGGTCTATGTCCCACTGGGACCTTATGTTCACCAGGGACTGGTATCCAGCTGTGGCCTGATGACCTACTGCATCCTGTTGCTCACCTATGGCCCGGTGTCTACCTGGGGCTTGGTGATCACCTGGGAGCTGGATATCAACCTGGGGCCTGGGTGTCCACTTAAGGCCTGATGTGTGCCTGGGGCCTGATTGTCCACCTGGGGACTGGGTGTCCACCTTGGGTCTGATGTCTACCTGAAGTTATTTATCTACCTAAGGCTTGGTGTCTACCTGTGGCCTGATGTCCACATGAGTCTGGGGTTCGGTTGGGGCCTGCTGTACATCTGGGACCTTGGTGTCTATCTGAGGCCGGATGTCTACCTGGTGACTGCCATCCTCTTGAGGCCTGATATCCACCTGGGAATGGTTTATCCATGGAAACCTTTATGTCCACCTGGAGCTGGATGTCGCCCAGGAGCTAGATGTCCACCTGTGGCCCTGTGTCCACCTAGGGCCTGATGTCCACAAGTTGGCCTGGTATTCATCTGGGGCCTTCATGCTAATGTGGCTTAATGTACTCCTGGGTTCTAGTGTCCTCTTGGGACCTGATGTCTACCAGGATCCTGGTATCCACCTGGGGCCTGGTATCCACCTAGGGCTTGATATTCACCTGGGGCCTAAGAATCCACTTGATAACTGGTGCCCATCGGGGTCCTGATGTTCACCTTGGGACCGGGTAACCACCTGAGGCTTGATGTCTACTTAGGGCATAAGTGTTTATCTGGGGTCTAGTGTTCACATGGGGCCTGATGTCAACCTTGAGCCTAGGTATTCATCAGGGGACTAGTGTCCAGCTGGGGCCAGATGTTCACTTGGGGTCTGGTGTCAACTTGAAGCATGGTTGTCAACCTAGGACCTGATGTCCAGTCCAGTGTCCACCTTGGGCCTGTTTTCTAACTGGGGCCTGTGTGTCCACATAGACCCTGGTGTCAATTTGGGGCCGGGGTATTAACAAGGGGCCTGGATATTCATTGGTACATTATGTCTACTGGGGTCTTTGTGTCAATCTGAGCTCTGATGTCCACCTAGAGATTGGGTATCCACCTAAGGCCTGGTGTTTACATGGGGCCTGTAACACGAGGTTCCAGATGAACTCAGATGTCCACCTGAGGCCTCATGTCCACCTGAGTTCTGAGTGTTCACATAGGGCCTGCCATCAACTTGGGACCTAAGTATTTACCTAGGGCCTGGGTGTCCACCTGGGGCCTGACTTCCAACTAGCTCTTGTGTCAACATGGGGCCTGATGTCCACTTTGGGCCTAGGTAACTTCCTGATGACTAATGCACACATGGCTCCTAAGGACCATCTGAGGCCTGGTATTAATTTAGAGACTGGTATCCACCTGGGGTCCAGGTATCCACTTAGGACCTGATGTTTACCTGGAGTGTAGGAATTCACGTGGGGCCTGGTGTCCACCTTGAGTGTGTGTATCCAACTGAGTGCTGGTGTCCACCTGGAGTCCAGTGTATACCCGGGGCCTGATGTACATATGGGGCCTGGGCATCCATCTAGGACCTGATGTTCAGATAAGGGCTGGCGTTCTCCTGGCCTGGTGTCCATGTGGAGCCTGGGCGTACACTTGAAGCCTGATATCCCAGGTGGATACCTGGGCCCCAGTGGTCATCAGATCCTAGGAAACTCTCAGGCCCCAGGTGCACATAAAGCTACAGTGGCCACCTAGGCCACAGGTTGATACACAGGGTCCAGGTGGACACTGGGTGCAAGATGAACACCAGGCCCCAGGTGTCTGCCTAGTCCTCAAGTGGACACCAGGCACTAGATTGACACACAGGTACCAGGTGGATATCAGGCCGCAGGTGAACACCAGGCCCCAGGTGGGGTGGGTTACTTATAGCATAGGTGGCCATCAGTTCCCAGGTCTATAGCCACTCCCCACCTGAAAATCAGGATCCAGGTGGATACCCATGTCCTAGGTGAACACCAGTTTCCAAATGGACATCAGGCTCCAAGTGAACACACAGGCCCCAGTTCAATACCAGCCTCAGGTAGACATCAGGACCCAGGTGGACCCCAGGCCCAATGTGCATGCCTAGTCTCTTGGAATACATCATTTTCAAGGTGGACACCCAGATTCCTCGTAGACATCTGATGCCAGGTGGATATCTGGCTGCAGGTGGACATCAGGCCCCAGGTGGAGGAGACCCAGTACACAGCTGTAAATCAGGCTCCAGTATTTCATCAGGCCCCAGTTAAACACTTGACTAAAGGTGCGCATCAAGACCCAGGTTGACCCCCAGGCTTCAGGTGCACACTAGGCCCAAAGTGTACACCCGTGCCCAGGTGGGCATCAGGCCCAAGGTGTACACCAGACCCCAAGTGGACATCAGGTTCCAGGTTGACACCAGTCTCTAGGTAGATCCTTAAGTCCCAATTGGTCATCAGGCCCAAGGTGGATGGATACCTTGACCCCAGGGGGTCACCAGGTCCCAGGCAGGCCTCAGGTGGACACCAAGCCCTAGGTTAACACAAAGTCTGAGATGGTTTCAGCCCCCATGTGGACTTTAGTCATAAGGAGCTTACCTAGGCCCTATGTGGACATCAGGTCCCAGGTTGACACAATGAACCATGTAGAAGTCAGGCTGTAAGTAGACACCCAGGCCCTAGGTAAATACTTTGGTCCCAAGCCAACATCAGGCCCTATGTGGACATCCAGACTCCAGGAAGATGTCAGGCCCCAGGTGAACACTGAACTCAGGGTGGTCATCAGGCCCTAGGTTGACACATAGGCCTCAGGTAGACAACAGGCATAGGTGAACTTCAGGCTCTAGATGAATGTTGGGCTCCAGGAAGAAGTCTGTGCCCCAATTAAACACTGGGTCTTAGGTAGACATCAGGCCTCAAATGGATGCCCAGGCCCCAGGTGGATATAAGGCCTCAGACAAACACCAGGCCCCAGGTAGACATTAGACACGAAATGGACACTCAGGCCACAAGTGAACATCTGTCCCCAGGGGGACATCCATCCCAAGGTGGACATCAGGCCAGAGATGTACACCCAGGCCCCAGGAGAACCCCAGGCCCCAGGAGGACACTCAAGTGCCAGAAGGACACCCAGTCCCTAGGTAACTACAAGGCCCCAGGTGGACATGATGTTCCAGATGGATATGAGGCCCCAAGTGGATACTAGGCCCAGGTGGACCCCAGGTCTCAGGGGCACACCAGGCCCCAGGGGAACACCAGGCCCTAGGTAAGCATGCAGTCCCAGGTGGACACCAGGTGCCAGGAGGACACCAGGACCCAGTTGGTCATCAAGCCACTGCTGAACACCAATTCCCCATGAACACCAGTCCTCAGGTGGGCACCTAGTCCTCTTGTGTGCATCAGGTGCCAGGCTGACATAGGCACCAGCTGAACTCTGGGCCTCAGGTGAACATCAGATCCCAGGTTGTCACCCAGGTCCCAGGTGAACACCAGGTTTTAGGTGGACACGAGGTCCTAGGTGGATGTCTATGCTCCTGGTGAACCTCAGGCCCTAGTGGACACTCAGGCCCTTTATAGACATCTGGCTCCATATGCACTCCCAGGGCCCAGGTAGACATGAGGCCCCAGAGGAACACCAGTCCTTAATCAACTAAGACTGAATTCCCCTAGGGCTGGAGACTGAGTATTCACCTTGGGCCTAGGAATCTACCTGGGGCCAGATGTCGATCTGGGGCCTGATGTCTACTCAGGTTCAGCTGTCCACCTAGGGTGTGGTGGACCTCTATTCTGTCCCCACCCTGCAACATTGGGCCAGCTCAGTCTCTGCCACCAGCTTCCCACATCGTCGTCCCTCAGAGCCCTAGGGTGGGTTCCCCCTACCTAGTGTCTCTGGCCCCTGCTCTCCACTCTCAGGCCTGACAAACATGCAACCCCTCACACATGTGTCTTCCTGAAGGCGTGGGTGTTGGGACCGCTGGCACAGAAGTCACAGCTTAGCTACATGTGTGTCCCAGACTTGCTTAATCAATGGAGCAGTGAACCCGCTGCTTCTGGGGTACAGTCTCCTCCATTTCATGGGTCAGGTAGACAGGCTGCGTCCTCTTCACCCCCAGGTGTGCGCACACACAGTCATCTCCACCTGCAATCCAGTGCCAGCTGAAGCTGCACGCTCTGCAACAGAGGCCTGTGCACGACCTCGCTGCGCACACAGCAGGGGCTGCCCTCGGTCCCTCCCTCTCCCCTAAAGTCCCTGCCTCCCAGCCCCACGACCCACAGGAGGAGCCAGTCCCCTAGCCCACGGAGCCACGGTGGGTGCGGCCTGGGGACTTGGCATGGCAAGCTGGCCCATAGGGTCGTCCCTAGCACCTACCAGAGCGCGTACGAGGGAGCCGAGGCTGCAGCGCCGGGTGGGCAGCGAGCTCCCTGGAGACCCATGCAGCGGGTCAGGTGCCAGCTGCCGCCAGGTCTGTGCGCGGGGCCGGGCCACCAGCGTGCGGCTTCCCGCTCTGGAGAGTTTATGGCCCCTGTCCTCGGACGGCTCCGCAGCCGCCAGGGAGGGACTGGAGGGACCGCGGCTGAGACAGGCTGCTGCACCAGGCGGCCCTGGACCGCCGCTTCCGCCCCTAAGCCGCCCTCCCAGCCCAGGTGACAGGTCGCCCTACCCAGGGAGCATCGCCCTCCTCCGCCGGGGGGCCCGAGCCCGGCGTGGGGGTTGCAGGCCGGCGCCACAGCCTGAGGACACCGCGACCTCTGCCCCCGGGAGCGCGCCGAATGCGGGGTGGGGCTGCTGTCGCAGGCCGTGGAGCCGCAGCCCCGCTGGAGGGCAGGGTCCGGCTGGGCGTCGGGGTCCTGGCAGAGACAGCGGTGAGAGCAGGAGCAGGTGCACTGGCAGCTGCAGACGCGCCGCCAGGCTCCCGGACACCGCGGGCGCGCCCCCTGGTGGCAGCCGGCTCCGGAGCCGCGGGAGGGCGGTGCCCAGTCCCCAGCCGGCGGCAGCGCGAAGCGCCTTCCCCGCTTGGGGGAGCGGGCGTGGACCTGCAGCTGGAGTGCCTTACTAGTGAAAAAGCTGGGGTTGGAGCTGCCACGGGGGGAGGTGTGGGGGCCTAGGGGGCTCTGCCTGGACCTTCTGGGTGTCCTCCTGCGACCTCAGGTTCCTCACCTGTCTCAGAGGACTGATGGGCTGCTGTGGCAGGGTTGTTTGGAGGATTAAGCCAGATAGTCCCAGTAAAGCCCCATTAGCGCCCCCTGGCCTCTGGATTATTATTTTTTATTATTTTTCTGGCTTTCTTAGGAAACTTTCCGGAATGTGTCCAGGTGTTGAAGCGGGAAGGCTGGACACCCTCCCGTGGCGTTGCCGTTCCTTCCAGACGCCCCCTCTTCTTAGGCTGTTTTCAAGGGCACGCCCGGCAACATGTGCTCTACCCAAGAGCGCTTCACAGATCTTCCTGTGGGTCTAAAACCAGAACGCTTTCTTCCCCGACCCCTGCTCCCATATCACCCCAACCTCAAGTCTTTTGGCACAGCCGGCTACAGACTCGAGTGTCAGTTTAATGCTTGTTCCCTAAGGTCTCCCCAGGGCTGTTAGGACGGCGTTAGGGTTAGGATTCGGGTTCGGGTGCGCCTCTCCGCGCCTGCGCCGGCGCTGGGGGGCCTTTGCGAGGGCGGAGCTGCGTTCTCCTCAGCACAGACTTTGGAGATACAGTGAAGGCGGAGCAATGTTCTTCTCAGCACAGACCTGGGCGGGTCGGGGGCACCGCGAGGGCGGAGCTGCGTTCTGCTCAGCACAGACTCCGGGGACACCGCGAAGGCAGAGCAGGGTTCTCCTCAGCACAGACCTTGGGGGGCACTGCCTCGCTTTGGGACAACTCGGGGCCGCATCGACGGTGAATAAAATCCTTCCTGTTTGCAGCCCTGAATAATCAGGGTCAGAGACCAGTTAGAAGGGTTCAGTGTGGAAAACGGGAAACCAAAAGCCCCTCTGAATCCTGCCCACCGAAGTTCTCCCCAGCCAAGGCGAGGCGGCCGCAGTGCGAGATACACACCGCAGCCTAGGAAGACAAATGCAGCATTCCTAATGCAGACATGACACCCCCATTGCTCATGTAACAAGCACCTGTAATGCTAATGCACTGCCTCAATACAAAAATATTAATATAAGATCCGCAATCCCCTCGCTGCCGTGCAGTCCTAAGACAGCGATCATAATAATCAGCATTGACATAGTCAATACAAACGTAGTAACGAACCTAGGGTTAAGGTTGGTGTTAGGGTTAGGGGTTAAGTTTAGGGTTAGGGGTTGGAGATAGGGGTTGGGGTCAGAGTTAGGGGTTAGGAGTCAACGTTTAGAGTTTGGGGTTAAGAGAGGTTAGGGGTTAGGGATTAGGGGTTAGGGTTGGGTTAGGGTGAGGGTTGGGGTTAGGGTTAGCAGTTAGGGTTAAGGGTTAGGGGTTAGGGTCAGGGGTTAGGGGTCAGGGTCAGTGGTTAGGGGTCGGGGTCAGGGTCAGGGGTCCCACTCTGTGGGTTGCCTATTTACTCTGCTGACTGTTCCCTTTGCAATGCAAAAGCTCGCTCTTTAGTTTAAATGAGTCCCAGCTATTTATCTTTGTTTTTATTGCATTTGCATTTGGGTTCTTGGTCATGAAATCCTTGCCTATGCCAATGTCTAGAAGGGTTTATGCAGTGTTATCTTCTAGAATTTTTATAGTTCAGGAATTAGGTTTAAGTTCTTAATCCATCTTGAGTAGATTTTTGTATAAGGTGAGAGATGAGAATCCAGTTTTATTCCCCTACATGTGGCTCGCCAATTATCCCAACATCGTGTGTTGAAAAGGGTGCCCTTTCCCCACTTTATGTTTTTGTTTACTTTGTCGAAGATCAGTTGGCTGTAAGTATTTGGGTTAATTTCTGGGTTCTCTCTTCTGTTCCATTGGTCTATGTGCCTAATTTTAAACCTGCGGACAGGAGGGTCCTATGGAAGTCTAGCCACCCCTCCCAGGTTGGTGCTCACAGCCCCTCCCTGGCCCACTCCCTCTACACCTGAACCTGCTGGTCTCTGGGAGAGGAGCATCCATCCATCTTGTGCGCATAGCTTTCTGCTCCATTTTCATGAGTTTGGTCTCCTTGGCAGAAATGACCATTAGGTGATCCTGAGCCTGTGCTGGCTGTTCTCTAAGTGCCAAAGTCAGTGAGAGGGACTTGAAAACTCAAGAATTATTAACATTATTTTCTGCATTTTATGCTTTCGGGGTTGTTTTTTCCTTAAAATGTGTAAAAACAAATATTGAGATTTCTATCTTTTATATAATTTGGATTCTGTCATCACATGGACTTTTCATTTTCCTGAAATTTATTTTTATGTATGTATATCAAACATTGAATTTCTCTTTTCTTCTTTACTGGAATTGTTAACTGTCTTAGAGGCCAAATCTTTTTTTAAAAAATCTCTCTAATCTCTGTAAACATTTCTAATTACATATATATTTTCTATACCTAATACACTACTTTGGAATTCCTTGTGGCCTAATTGCATCGGGGTGCTCTGGTTTTGTTGCTGTTATTTCTGAATTACATTGACTTTGGTGCTCTTTATTTTGCATATTTAAAACTATTAGATAGTGTGATTATATTTGACAGGTCTTAATTGATGCGCTGTTCAGCGCTGTGAGTTCGGTTGAGATTTGGGTTGGAGAATTTTCTTCCACAGGGGATTGTCTTGGATTTTTCTGTTTCTCCCTCAATATCCACCTGGAAAACATTTCAATTAATTTATATTCACTTAAATATTTCTGTGCAAAAACTGTGTACAAAAGCCCCAAAGTATAATTTGGGCAGTTGAGCAGATATTCTGTTGTCCAGCATTTATGGTGGTTTGTAGTGGAAAAGACTTTTTGAATATGTGAATTTTCAGGATATTACCAGAAGCCCAGAGAGCCACACTTTACCTTTGGAGGAATTAATTCTCAGAATATTGCACACAATCAATTGCCTTTGGAAGGAGCACATATCCCCAGCAAAAGCTCTGGTTTTTTGAAGTCTGTATTGTGTGTTATTTCCAGGAGAATACGCAATGATGAAAATGTTATTAAATGATTCAAATATGAAATGCTGTTATGCCAAACAATGAATCTTTGTGTTATACATTATGCCGAACTATAAATCTTTATGTTATACATTCTAATGTCATTGGAGAATACTCCTGTCTTCTTGGCATTATTGATAATTAGATTCTAATTGCTAATAAGTCAGAAAAATTAGGAACATCAAATTTCAGTCTTCTCAAAAGCACTCCTATTATTAAATTTGGATTTTTACCTTTATCACATCAAAGGAAATATTGTTAGAAAGGTGTTTAATGTTTTCCAGATGGATAGATTACTGTTATTAGTTCTTATTTCATTGTTAATTTTTAAAACCATAAAGTTGGAAGTATCAATATGCCTTTCAATATACCCTAGTGGAATTTATTAAATTTTCATGGATGTCCTTTAGGAGGTTCAGGAAGTTATTTCTATTGCTAGATTTCTGGAAGACTCATCAGGAATGAGTGTCAGACATTGTCAGATGTCCATTGAAATCCTCATGGTCTTTTCCTTTATTCTATTAATATGGTGTATTACACTGATTGATTTTTAAATTTGTATTTGTAGGGTAATTCCACTTGGTTAATTGTCTAACTTTTTTCTAATTTTCTTTAATTTTTATTAGTGGTGAGGCCTCACTCTGTCCCCCAGGTTGGGGTGGAGTGGCACAGTCACAGCTAACTATAACTTCAAACTCCTGGGCTCAAGTGTTCCTGCCACCTCAGCCTCCTAAGTAGCTGGGACTACAGGTGTGCACCGCCATGCCAGGCTTGTCTAACATTTTTATGTGTTGCTTCCTCCAGTTTGCTAGAGTTTTTGGAGATTTCTGCCTTCATTCATGAGGGATTTATTTTATTTTTATTTATTTATTTTCTTGTGATGCTTTTGTCTGATTTGTTATCTGGGTAATTCTGGCCTCAAAAATGAATTGATGTTTTCCTGCTTCTCTGCTTTGCAAGTGTTTGTGAAGGATTGGTTATTCGTTAAGTGTTTAATAGAATTCACTAGTGAAGCTATGTGAGCCTGGGCTAGACTGATGAAGAGTTCTTATTAGTCTAATCTATTTACTTGCTGTATGAGTACACATATATTCTCTTTCTTCTTGGTTTACTTTTACAATTTGTGTATAGCAGGGAATTTGTTTCTAATTTGTAGTATTTCATGCTTCTAGGTTTTCATGGCAGCTGAGATGTAAGAATAAAAGTAATGTTGGGAGAAGGAAGCTGTAGACAATCCGTGAATATCCCAACATCTGTTGTAGGAAGGTTAAGATTATTATTTTTTTTTTGCTGTACTTAACTGAATACTCATATTTATAGTGTGAGACAAATGTAATGTTGCATATAAATAGAACTAGGAAAATGTGCTATTTGTCTTAATATTTAATCAAGATGGAAGTCTGGGCCCACCTCCTCTGTTTTATTAATATGTAGACAGGACACCAACACACATTTGAATGAGGACAAACAAAATGTTAGCAAATGAAGAATGGTATTAATTGGTTAAAATGCGATGAAATAGAGTGGTGAATATTTACATAGAATCCATGATGTGTTAGGTGCTATTTCAAGCTATTTGCACATATAGTTTTCATACCAATGACATTAAAATGTATAGCACAAAGATTCATATACATAAAAATTACAACATTGAAAATAATATTAGGTGACACTAAAACTGTCATAGCAATACACATTTATATAAAACATAAAGTAACATCAAGTATTAAATAAATTTTAGAAACTTTGATTACTAATCAGATGAACAAGTGATTAGCCTTTTTATCCAGTAAACAAAGCATACATATTATTTTCAAATTCCAGAGACAAATATTTTAAATATTGAAGTTTAAGACCTAAAAATGTGTCACTGACTTCATGGAAGTAGATATTCACTAGGTGATATTTTCTAGGCTCTCTGAAATTACATCAGAAAAATGTGAATATAACCCATAAATAATATCTGGCCACATACAAAGTAATTGAAGATCAATTTAAATAGCTATTGGATTAAGAAATAGAGACTGAGGTAAATTTACAGGGTCAGGGAGGATCTAAGGAGGAAGCATTGGCACTGGAGCCCAAGGACCTGGGATTACAGAACAGATTCTACCAGTGCTAACTTACTGCTCCAGAGAAAACATCAATTCTGCTCATGTGCAGGTACTATTCATCAAGAAAGGGATTACAACTTCAGAAATGTTTTCAAAATGTATCCATACTTTGACGTATTCATGAAGTAATCACATTCTACACACAACTACTCCATATGGAATATTGGGGAGGGGGTGTCCCAAATAAAGAGACTGAGGATTTCTCATGAGAACTCAGTGTCTGCTAGAAAATATCTAAGTAAAATATTTTACTTATGTGGAAAGTGTGGATGTTTGTGCATCAAAAGTTTCAAGAATCCCTAAAATGTACAATGGAGATGAGGAGAAAATATCAGAATTTCCCAGCACCAGAAATGAGGCAAGAAAAAATTCAGAGGAGTTATAAATGTGAAAAGCCAATGGCTGGTCACACAGCAACATTGATAACCTTGCACCAGGACAACTAGAATAAATACATAAACATACAGATTGAAAATATTTCCAATACTAGATCTCTCTCATGTGAGAACTAAATTATAAAGATTGAAGCATATAAGAAAAAAAGCTACCAGAATAAATTCGATTACACATAAATTTCTGATATTGAAATTGTCACAAATGTTTAAGTTGGTAGTGGAAGACAAAGGACATATAATCTTGGGAGTCCTAGGGCCCTGCCCACTGCCAGTCCCTCCACACTACTACAGCTGATGCCTTCTGGAAAGCACCACCTCCTGGCAGGAGGCCAACCAGCACAAATATAGAGCATTACACCACTAAAGCTAAGGACCCTCACAGAGTCTATTGCACCCTTCACCACCTCCGCTGGAACAGGCGATGACATCCATGGCTGAGAGACCCATAGATGGTTCACATCACCGGGCTCTACGCAGACAACCCCTAATACCAGCCCAAAGCCAGGTAGACCTTCTGGGTGTCTAGACCCAGAAGAGAGACAACAATCAATGCACTTCGGCTCACAGGAAGCCATGCCCATAGGAAAAGGGGGAGAGTACTACACCAAGGGAACACCCTGTGGGACAAAAGAGTCTGAACAAGTCTTCAGCCCTAGACCTTTCCTCTGACAGAGTCTACCAAAATGAGAAGGAACCAGAAAACCAACCCTGGTAATCTGACAAAACAAGACTCTTCAACACCCCCCCAAAAATCACACCAGTTCATCACCAATGGATCCAAACAAAGAAGAAATCACTGATTTATCTGAAAAAGAATTCAAGTTAGTTATTAAGCTAATCAGCGAGGGGCCAGAGAAAGGTGAAGCCCAATGCAAGAAAATCCAAAAAGTGATACAGTAAGTGAAGGGAGAAACATTCAAGGAAATAGATAGCTTAAATAAAAATAAAAATAAAAAATAATAAAAAATTAGGAAACTTTGGACGCACTTTTAGAAATGTGAAATGCTCTGGAAAGTCTCAGCAATAGAATTGAACAAGTAGAAGAAAGAAATTCAGAATTCGAAGACAAGGTCTTTGATTTAACCCAATCCAATAAAGACAAAGAAAAAAGAATAAGAAAATATGAGCAAAGCCTCCAAGGAGTCTGGCATTCTGTTAAACGATGAAACCTAAGACTAATTAGTGTACCTGAGGAAGAAGTGAATTCTAAAAGCCAGGAAAACATATTTGGGGGAATAATCAAGGAAAACTTCCGTGGCCTTGTGAGAGACCTAGACATCCAAATACAAGAAGCACAAATAACACCTGGGAAATTCATCACAAAAAGATCTTAGCCTAGGCACATTGTCATTAGGTTATCCAAAGTTACGACAAAGGAAATAATCTTAAGAGCTGTGAGACAGAAGCACTAGGTAACCTATAAAGGAAAACCTATCAAACTAACAGCAGATTTTGCAGCAGAAACCTTACAAGCTAGATGGGATTGGGGCCCTTTCTTCAGCCTCCTCAAACAAAACAATTATCAGCCAAGAATTTTGTATCCAGCAAAACTAAACATCATATATGAAGGAAAGATACAGTCATTTTCAGACAAACAAATGCTGACAGAATTTGCCATTACCAAACCAGCACTGTAAGAACTGCTAAAAGGAGCTCTAAATCATGAAACAAATCCTGGAAACACATCAAAACAGAACTTCATTAAAGCATAAATCACACAAGACCTATAAAACAAAAATACAAGTTAAAAAGCAAAAGCAAAAAACAAAAACAAAGTACAGAGGCAGCAAAGAACATGATGAAAGCAATGGCATCTCACTTTTTAATACTAATGTTGGTTGTAAATGGCTTAAATGCTCCACTTACAAGATACAGAACCACAGAATGGATAAGAACTCACCAACTAACTATCTGCTGCCTTCAGGAGACTCACCTAACACATAACGACTTACATAAACTTAAGGAAAGTGGTAGAAAAAGGCATTTCATGCAAATGGACACCAAAAGCGAGCAGCGGTAGCTATTCTCATATGAGACAAAACAAACTTTAAAGCAACAGCAGCTAAAAGAGACAAAGACAGACAGTATATAATGGTAAAGGTCTCATCCAACAGAAAAATATGACAATCCTAAACATACATGAACCTAACACTGGAGCTCCCAAATTTATAAAACAATTACTAGTAGACATAAGAAATGAGATAGACAGCAACACAATAATAATGGGGGACTTCAATACTCCACTGACAGCACTAGACAGCTCATCAAAACAAAGTCAACAAAGAAACACTGGATTTAAACTATACTTTGGAACAAATGGACTTAACAGATATATACAGAACATTTCATCCAACAACCACAGAATACACATTCTATTCAACAGCACATGGAATTTTCTCCAAGATAGACCATATGATAGACCATAAAACGAGTCTCAGTAAATTTAAGAAAGTTGGAATTGTATCACGCACTCTCTCAGATCACAGTGGAATAAAACTGAAAATCAACTCCAAAAGGAATCTTCAAAACCATGCAAATACAAGGAAATTAAATAACCTGCTCCTGAATGAGCATTGGATGAAAAATGAAATCAAGATGGAAATGTAAAAAATTTCTTCGAACTGGATGACACAACCTATCAAGACCTCTGGGATACAGCAAAGGCAGTGCTAAGAGGAAAGTTTGTAGCCCTAAACACCTACTTGAAAAAGTCTGAAAGAGCACAAAGAGACAATCTAAGTTCACATCTCAGGGAACCAGAGAAGCAGGAACAAGCCAAACCCAATCCCAGCAAACAAAGGAAATAACCAAGGTCAGAGCAGAACTAAATGAAATTGACACAACAACAGCAAAAACAACAAATACAAAACATAAATAAAACAAAAAGTTGGTTATTTGAAAAGATAAATAAAATTGATAGACCATTAGCAAGATTAACCAAGAAAAGAAGAGAGAAAATCCAAATAACCTCACTAAGAAATGAAACAGGGGATATTACAACTGACACCACTGAAATATTAAAGATTATTCAAGGGTACTATGAACACCTTTTGGCACATAAACTAGAAAACCTAGAAGAGTTGGATAAATTCCTGGAAAAATACAACCCTCCTAGCTTAAATCAGGAAGAATTAGATACCCCAAGCAGACCAATAAAGCAAGCAGCAAGATTGAAATGGTAATTTTAAAATTACCAACAAAAAAAGCCAAGGACCAGACAGATTCACAGCAGAATTCTAGCAGACATTCAAAGAATGTCTTCTCTCATTCAAAGAAGAAATGATACCAATCCTTTCACACTATTCCACAAGACAGAGAAAGAAGAAACCCTCCCTGATTCATTCTATGAAGGCAGCATCACCCTAATACCAAAACCATGAAAGGACATAACCAAAAAAGAAAACTACAGACCAATATCTTTGGTGAACGCAGATGCCAAAATCCTTAACAAAATACTATCTAACTGAATCCAACAATATATCAAAAAGATAATCCACCAAGATCAAGTGTGTTTCATACCAGTGATACAGGAATGGTTTAACATATGCAAGACAATAAATGTGATACACCAAATAAACAGAATTAAAAAAAACTCACATGATCATATCAACAGATGCAGAAAAAGCATTCGACAAAATCTAGCATTGGTTTATGATTAAAGCTCTCAGCAAAATAGGCATACAAGGGACATACCTTAATGTAATAAAAGCCATCTAGGACAAACCCACAGCCAACATAATACTGAATGGGGAAAAGGTGAAAGCATTCCCTTTGAGAACTGGAGCAAGACAAGGAGCCTACTCTCACCACTCCTCTTCAACATAGTACTGGAAGCCCTAGCCAGAGCAATCAGACAAAAGAAGGAAATAGAGGAAATCCAAATCGGTAAAGAGGAAGTCAAACTGTCACTGGTTGCTGACGATATGATGTTTCTCCTTGAGAACCCTACGGACTCCTCTAGAAAGCTCCTAGAACTGATGAAAGAATTCAGCAAAGTTTCCAGATACAAGATTAATGGACACAAATCAGTAGCTCTTCTATATATCAACAGCCACCAAGCAGAGAATCACATCAAGAACTCAACCCCTTTTACAATAGCTGCAAAAAACAAAACAAAACAAAACAAAACTTAGCAATATACCTAGCAAAGGAATCAAAAGACCTCTACAATGAAAATTACAAAACACTGCTGAAAGAAATCATAGATGGAGCCAAGCATGGTGGCACATGCCTATAATCCCACCTACTCGGGAAGCTGAGGCAGGAGAATCACTTGAACCCGGGAGGCAGAAGTTGTAGTGAGCCGAGATCACACCATTGCACTTCCACCTCAGTGACAAGAGTGAAACTCTCTATGAAAAAAAAAAAAAAAAAAAAAAAAGAAAAGAAATCATAGATGACACCAACAAATGGAAACGCAACCCCATGCTCATAGGTGGGTAGAACTAGAACCAATATTGTGAAAATTACCATTCTGTTAAAGGCAATCTACAAATTCAATGCAATCCCCATCTGAATACCACCGTCATTCTTCACAGAATTACAAAAACAATTCTAAAATTAATATGGAACCAAAAGAGAGCCATGTAGCCAAACCAAGGCTAAGCAAAAAGAACAAACCTGGAGGCATCACACTACTTGATTTCAAACTGTACAATAAGGCCATAGTTACCAAAACAGCATGGTACTGGTTTAAAAATAGGCACATAGACCAATGGAACAGAAGAGAGAACCCAGAAATTAACCCAAATACTTACAGCCAACTGATCTTCGACAAAGTAAACAAAAACATAAAGTGGGGAAAGGACACCCTTTTCTACACATGATGTTGGGATAATTGGCGAGCCACATGTAGGGGAATAAAACTGGATTCTCATCTCTCACCTTATACAAAAATCTACTCAAGATGGATTAAGAACTTAAACCTAATTCCTGAACTATAAAAATTCTACAAGATAACACTGCATAAACCCTTCTAGACATTGGCATAGGCAAGGATTTCATGACCAAGAACCCAAATGCAAATGCAATAAAAACAAAGATAAATAGCTGGGACTTAATTAAACTAAAGAGCTTTTGCATGGCAAAGGGAACAGTCAGCAGAGGAAATAGACAACCCACAAAGTGGGACCCCTGGCCCTGACCCGTGACCCTGACCTTGACCCATAACCCCTAACCCCTGACCCTGAACCCTAACCCCTGACCCTAACCCCTAACCCTTAACCCTTAACCCTAACTGCTAACCCTAACCTCAACCCTCACCCTCACCCTAACCCAATCCTAACCCCTAATCCCTAACCCCTAACCTCTCAACCCCTAACCTAAACGTTGACTCCTAACCCCTAACTCTGACCCCAACCCCTGTCTCCAACCCCTAACCCTAAACTTAACCCCTAACCCCTAACCCTAACACCAACCTTAACCCTAGGTTCGTTACTACGTTTGTATTGACTATGTCAATGTTGATTGTTATGATCGCTGTCTTAGGACTGCACGGCAGGGAGGGGATTGCGGATCTTATATTAATATTTTTGTATTGAGGCAATGCATTAGCATTACAGGTGCTTGTTACGTGAGCAATGGGGGTGTCATATTTTGGGTGTCATGTCTGCATTAGGAATGCTGCATTTGTCTTGTGAGGCTGCGGTGTGGATCTCGCACTGCGGCCGCATCGCCTTGGCTAGGGAGAACCTCGCTAGGAAGGATTCAGAGGGGCTTTTGGTTTCCCGTTTTCCACACTGAACCCTTCTAACTGGTCTCTGACCCTGATTATTCAGGGCTGCAAACAGGAAGGATTTTATTCATCGTCGATGCGGCCCCAAGTTGTCCCAAAGCGAGGCAGTGTCCCCAAGGTCTGTGCTGAGGAGAACGCGGCTCTGCCTTCACGGAGTCCCCTGGGGCTGTGCTGAGCAGAAAGCAGCTTCGCCCTCGCAGTGCCCCCGGCCTCCCCGGGTCTGTGCAGAGGAGAACTCAGCTCCGCCCTGGCGATGCTCTCCGGGTCTGTGCTGAGGAGTACGCAGGGAGCCGGCGCAGGCGCAGAGAGGCGCACATCACTGGCGCAGAGAATGCCCAGCCATCATTCTTGCACTCTGCATGCCCATAGGCTTAATACCACATGGAAGTTGCTGAGGCTTATAGCTTGCACCCTCTGAAGCAGTAGCCTGAGCTGTATCGGGGGTCTTCTGAGTTGAGACTGCCGCTGAAGTGGCCAGGATGTGGGGAGCAGTGTCCTGAGGCTGTCCAGAGCAGTAAAGTCCTGGCCCTCAAAAGCATTCTTTCCTCTTAGGCCTCAAGGTCTGTGATGTGATGGACTGCCGTGGAGATCTCTGGAATGCGTGCAAGTTCTTTTCCCCATTGTCTTGGGTATCAGCATCTGGGTTTTGTTTTAATTATGCAACTCTCTCTAGCAAGTGTTTTCTCCACAGCCTGTTCGAATTTTTCTCCTGGAAAAAGCTTTTTCTTTCTTTGTCACATGGCCAGTCTGCAAATTTTCCAAATTTTTCTGGTCTGCTTCCTGTTTAAACATAAATTCCAACTTTAAGTCATTTCTTTGCTCCTGGATCTGAGTATAGAAGCAGCGAGGCCACACCTTGAATGCTTCCCTGCTTAAAAATGTCTTCCATCAGACACCCTAAATCATCATTCTTTTTTTTTTATTATACTTTAAGTTTTAGGGTACATGTGCACATTGTGCAGTTTAGTTACATATGTATACATGTGCCATGCTGGTGCGCTGCACCCACTAACTCATCATCTAGCATTAGGTATATCTCCCAATGCTATCCCTCCCCCCTCCCCCCACCCCACCATAGTCCCCAGAGTGTGATATTCCCCTTCCTGTGTCCATGTGATCTCATTGTTCAGTTCCCACCTATGAGTGAGAATATGTGGTGTTTGGTTTTTTGATCTTGCGATAGTTTACTGAGAATGATGATTTCCAATTTCATCCATGTCCCTACAAAGGACATGAACTCATCATTTTTTATGGCTGCATAGTATTCCATGGTGTATATGTGCCACATTTTCTTAATCCAGTCTATCATTGTTGGACATTTGGGTTGGTTCCAAGTCTTTGCTATTGTGAATAATGCCGCAATAAACATACGTGTGCATGTGTCTTTATAGCAGCATGATTTATAGTCCTTTGGGTATATACCCAGTAACGGGATGGCTGGGCCAAATGGTAATTCTAGTTCTAGATCCCTGAGGAATCGCCACACTGATTTCCACAATGGTTGAACTAGTTTACAGTCCCACCAACAGTGTAAAAGTGTTCCTATTTCTCCACATCCTCTCCAGCACCTGTTGTTTCCTGACTTTTTAATGATTGCCATTCTAACTGGTGTGAGATGGTATCTCATTGTGGTTTTGATTTGCATTTCTCTGATGGCCAGTGATGAGCATTTTTTCATGTGTTTTTTGGCTGCATAAATGTCTTCTTTTGAGAAGTGTCTGTTCATGTCCTTCACCCACTTTTTGATGGGGTTGTTTGTTTTTTTCTTGTAAATTTGTTTGAGTTCACTGTAGATTTTGGATATTAGCCCTTTGTCAGATGAGTAGGTTGCAAAAATTGTCTCCCATTTTGTAGGTTGCCTGTTCACTCTGATGGTAGTTTCTTTTGCTGTGCAGAAGCTCTTTAGTTTAATTAGATCCCATTTGTCAATTTTGACCCCCGAGCAGCCTAACTGGGAGGCACCCCCCAGCAGGGGCACACTGACACCTCACACGGCAGGGTATTCCAACAGACCTGCAGCTGAGGGTCCTGTCTGTTAGAAGGAAAACTAACAAACAGAAAGGACATCCACACCGAAAACCCATCTGTACATCACCATTATCAAAGACCAAAAGTAGATAAAACCACAAAGATGGGGAAAAAACAGAACAGAAAAACTGGAAACTCTAAAACGCAGAGCATCTCTCCTCCTCCAAAGGAACGCAGTTCCTCACCAGCAACAGAACAAAGCTGGATGGAGAATGACTTTGACGAGGTGAGAGAAGAAGGCTTCAGACGATCAAATTACTCTGAGCTACGGGACGACATTCAATCCAAAGGCAAAGAAGTTGAAAACTTTGAAAAAAATTTAGAAGAATGTATAACTAGAATAACCAATACAGAGAAGTGCTTAAAGGAGCTGATGGAGCTGAAAACCAAGGCTCGAGAACTACGTGAAGAATGCAGAAGCCTCAGGAGCCGATGCGATCAACTGGAAGAAAGGGTATCAGCAATGGAAGATGAAATGAATGAAATGAAGCGAGAAGGGAAGTTTAGAGAAAAAAGAATAAAAAGAAACGAGCAAAGCCTCCAAGAAATATGGGACTGTGTGAAAAGACCAAATCTACGTCTGATTGGTGTACCTGAAAGTGATGGGGAGAATGGAACCAAGTTGGAAAACACTCTGCAGGATATTATCCAGGAGAACTTCCCCAATCTAGCAAGGCAGGCCAACGTTCAGATTCAGGAAATACAGAGAACGCCACAAAGATACTCCTCGAGAAGAGCAACTCCAAGACACATAATTGTCAGATTCACCAAAGTTGAAATGAAGGAAAAAATGTTAAGGGCAGCCAGAGAGAAAGGTCGGGTTACCCTCAAAGGGAAGCCCATCAGACTAACAGCGGATCTCTCGGCAGAAACCCTACAAGCCAGAAGAGAGTGGGGGCCAATATTCAACATTCTTAAAGAAAAGAATTTTCAACCCAGAATTTCATATCCAGCCAAACTAAGCTTCATAAGTGAAGGAGAAATAAAATACTTTACAGACAAGCAAATGCTGACCGATTTTGTCACCACCAGGCCTGCCCTAAATCATCATTCTTAAGATTGAACTCCCACAAATTCCTAGGGCATGAACAGAATGAAGCCATTTAACCAGTCTCTAAGAAATTTCAAACTTTTCCTCATCTTTCTGTCTTCTGAGCCCTCCAAACTCTTCCAACCTCTGCCTGTTACTCACTTCCAAAGTCACTTCCACATTTTCATGTATCTTTATAGCAAAACACCACTCTTCAGTACCAATTTTCTGTGTTAGGCCATTCTTTTATTGCTATAAAGAAATACCTGAGGCTGGGTAATTTATAAAGAAAAAATGTTTAATTGGTTCACAATTCTACAGGCTGTACAAATGTGGTGCTGGTATCTGCTCGGCTTTTGGGGAGGCGTCAGGGAGCTTTTACTCATAACAGAAGGTGAGGCAGAAGCTTGCACATCACAAGGCAAAAGTGGGAGCAAAAGAGAGTGGGAGGGAGGTGCCACACCTTAAAACAACCAGATCTCACAACTACTCACTCACTATTGCAAGGACAGGACTGATTCATGAGAGATCTGGCCCCATGACCAAAGCACCTCCCACCAGACCCCACCTCTAACACTGAGGATTATATTTCAACATGAGATTTGGACAAGGTCACTAAGTGCCTTCTTGCCCCTGGGGAAATGCTGATCAAAATCAGTGCTGAGCAGTGGTGCTGACAAATCCCCCTCGCAGACATTCTCGCTGCACTGGGTACACGTCTGCCCAGGAGTGGGGAACACAGGGGCTGGACACAGGTCCTCCTTCTTCTGACCCTGTGTATTCCTTTACGTAAAATGGGAGAAAGATACTTAGACCAGGACAGCTTCTCAGGTCCCTTCCACTCCAAACTCCCTGACCTATGACCCGGTTTCCTGCATGAGGCCTGGTGTGTAAAAGGCTCCCCTCTGCTGTAACCATGTGGCTCTTTGCTTGCATGGAGGAGAAACAAAGGAGTGATTCTGGTTTCATAAAAGAACTTATACACTTGGCCTCCCTTAATTCGTGCATGTCACTGGCAGCTGTTTATTGAGCACTGATGGGATGCCAGGCCCTGTTCTAGGCAGGATTCTCTTAGGTCCCCATGTGCCAAAATCTATATTTTACAGGGCTTAACTACAGATTTCTACACCCTCCCAGTGATGTGAAACCATTTCACCACTAATCTGAAAGGGGAGCTCCCTCTGTAGTATGTGTTTGCCCACCTAGGACTTCAGGGGACCCAGGGCTGCTTCCCCCCATGCTGCTCTGCTCCAGGAGGCCCAGCCTCCCTCTAGGTGATTGGGAGAGAAAAGATTCCCTTGTGGTGACCGAGGTGAGGGGGCTCAGAGCCCTGCAGCCTGGTGCTGAACCCCAGTGTTAGTTCAGAAATCAAAGCCTGTGTTTTGAGTTCTTTGAGATTAAGCTCACACAGGGTCACACAGCAAGGCGGGAGACTGAGGTTTGAGCCCCAGTTCTGCCTCTTTGCTGCTCACAGGCTGGTGGGAAGAGACCATTACTGTTCCCTGCAGGAGCCCAGTAGCAAAGTGCCAGGACCCTGGACCTGTGTGGGTCCCTGGGACGCCCCGCCTCTCAGCAGGGAAAGCGGGCCTCAGTGGTGTGTGGTTTGCTCCCTACAGCAGCACCCCTGTGGAATCCTGGGGTGTACTGTGCTTTTCTTGAGGGGAGAAGTGTTGAGGATTTCCTGGCTGCCTGGAGAAGAGGGTGAGAGGGGCAGCAAGAAAGGCAGGGTCTCCAAGGGACCTTATTCCTCAGACACTGGGAGCCCTTGTAGGTTCTTGAGAAGAGGAAGAGCCATGTGAGGCAAGTGGACTTACCTGTCGGGTGTCTGGGTGATTTCTGCTCATAGTCGACTCTGAAGAAATGGCCAGAGATGAAGAGATAAGGTGTTTGGACAGCTGCCTGAACCCTGATGCAAGGAGTAGGATTCAAATGTGACTCTGAAAAGGCAAGTGCCTGCAGGGCAGAGGGGAGGTGGGCAGGCCTGGCCAGCAACAGCCTTTGGAGCTGGGCCACCTGTACCCTCAGTCCAGCAGTCCCCAGGGAGAGAAAAGCTGGGGTGGATGGCGCTTGCTGACTGCTTCCTTTGGCCCTGCCCCATGGGACACACGAAGGCTATGGGCTGAGTCCAGCACAGCCCTTCAGGAAGCACCCACTCTGCCAGTCCCCCTGAGGCAAATGCACTGACCCCTGACACCTGGGGCTGGTGCTGGCCACTCTGGACACAGTGCAGTGGGAGTGGGAGAAGGAGGTCCCCAGCAGCTCATTGATTAGCAACTGACCTTGGGGTAAGAAGGGGTGCTCACAGATGGGGATGGGCAGAGGCCATGTTTGCCACTGTCCTAAAGCCTAGGGCAGCCTGTGGAATGTGGGTGGGGTGAGCTGGCTGCATGGCTGTATCATAGGGCCTGTTGGAGAGAGTCCTAAGCTGTGGTGGGCTCCACCCAGTTCGAGCTTCCCAGCTGCTTTGTTTACCTAAGCAAGCCTGGGCAATAGTGGGCTCCCCTCCCCCAGCCTCACTGCCTCCTTGCAGTTTGATCTCAGACTGCTGTGCTAGCAATCAGCAAGACTCCGTGGGTGTAGAACCCTCCGAGCCAGGTGCAGGATATAATCTCCTGGTGCACCGTTTTTTAAGCCCATCGGAAAAGCACAGTATTCGGGTGGGAGTGACCCAATTTTCCAGTGCCCCTTTCTTTGACTAGGAAAGGGAACTCCCTGACCCCTTGCACTTCCCGAGTGAGGCAATGCCTTGCCCTGCTTTGGCTCACACACGGTGTGCTGCACCCACTGTCCTGCGCCCACTGTCTGGCACTCCGTAGTGAGATGAACCTGGTACCTCAGATGGAAATGCAGAAATCACCCGTCTTCTGCATTGCTCACGCTGGGAGCTGTAGACCAGAGCTGTTCCTATTAGGTGATCTTGGCCGTGATCTCTTCTAGGGTAATTATTAAAACATTAAGAAATACTCTTTAATCATATACGTTAAAACTTGTAGAAAATCAATAACATACAAGTAAAGAAGATCAAGAAGCCAAAAAAAATAATTCCAAGTATAGAAAGCATGGTGAAAATTGATGGAAGAAAACTGCAGAAATTTAAAATGCAAAATTAAAATACAGCCCTATAATTCATGATACATAATTCTTCACTGAACCCCAAATCTGTGAGGACATATGTGTGATCTTGGATAATGCATTCAAACTCCTTGACACTGAAATTTCTTGACTGTAAACTGTTTTAGAGATGTTCCTCACCCGGTTGCATGAAGCACATCTGTGTGTGTTAAGGCACTTCCCACAGCATCTGCGACACAGAACAGTGGCAGCTGTGCTCTTCGTGGTCCCTGCATACAGACCCACAGCAGTATGTTGTGATTTTTTTTAATATAAAAGGCTTTGAAAATGTCCCACAGCTTCCTCAGTAACTGACTGTCAAAAGGGGCAGCCTTCAAAAGTAGAATTCTGGCAAATGTCTTCAAACACACAAAATTCTGGCAATGGGCACATTTCCCCTCCCGCTTTGCTCTTCTGGATGCATCCATTCTCTCCCAAAGCATAGTCATTTTCTTCCACTCCACTGTAGAAATTGTCCTTCTAGTGGCAAGAGTGATGTGAGTGATATGCGGAAATTTCTTTCCAAGCCTGTTGGAGAAGCTTCCTCTGCCTGCTTCTCTTTGGCCACCTCCAGGGCTGCTCTGTCACCCCCAACAGCATGGACCTCACTGCAGTCACTCTGGAAGCTTCCCTCAAAAGGAAGCTTGTGCAGGAAACATCATGCATCGAGCAGCATGGGGACAGGGGCTGGCCAGCTGGGCAGCGCTCACACTCCTGACACCCAGACTCCACGATACTCCTCTGTCCCCACCCAGGGCAGATCCCTGCCCTAAAAGTTTTCCCTCTCATGTCCAGCAAATGCTGCATGGAGCCCTGGAATTCTATGTGGAAAGCTAGGAAGAGGGAGAGCTGAAATGAGGATGTAATCACCCTTTCCAAAGAGGTCAGTCCAGTACTACCCTGTGCTCTACTGGGCAAGCTCTCCAGGCTGAGGGAACAGGAGCAGGGGTTATGTCGGGTGAAGGTGGAAGCGAGGGACCTCCCATGAAGTGTAGAATATTCCACTAGGGACACCTCATACCCTTCCAGGATTAGACCTTGAGGCCTGGAGATCCCCAGGCAATTACTATTGAAGGTCAAAAGGCCAATGACAGGAATAGGAAGGCCCACTGTGTCATTCACAAAGCACTTCCAAACCCATCACCACAGGTCACCCTCACAACAACCCTGTGAGACCTGCAGGGCAGGGGCTCTCACAAAGGAGGAGTCGGGAATGTCAAGATTTTAACACCTTCTCCAAGTCAGGATCAGGAAATGCTGCCCCAACACTGACCTATATTCCCTATGCTTCCTCCCACAAAAGAGCTTAGGGTGACTGCCAACTTGTGGGCAGAGACCCTCACTTTCCAATCCCCACGAGGGGCTGTGCAGTGGGGAGGAAAAGGCCCCTTCCTCTGACTGTCTCCTCCAAGACCCTGTTTTCTGAGGAAGGTCACTCCTCAGAAACTGTTGGCCTCTGCAGATGGGGGCCTGGACCATGTGGAAAGATGACATGAAGGCCACACCTGGCAGGCACCAGCGCTGGAGGGCAAACCTCACCTTTAAAAACTCACACTTTTTATTTTAAATTTATTTTTATTTTTAATTTCTATGAGTACATAGTAGGTGTATATATTTATGGGGTACATGAGATAGTTTGACACAGGCATGCAATGTGTGATAATCACATCAGGGTAAATGAGGCATTCATCACCTCAAGCAAGGGAAATGCCAGATGCTTATAAAACCATCAGATCACATGAGAACTCACTTACTATCATGAGAACAGCATGGGGGATACTGCCGCCATGATTCAGTTACCTCTCACTGGGTCCCTCCCAGGACACATGAGGCTTATGGAAATTACAGTTCAAGATGAGATTTGGGTGGCAATGCAGCCAAACCATATCACCTTATAAAATGAATAATGTGAAAATAGCACTGGGCCTGAGGCCTGGCCCCTGCCATGTGATGCCCCCTTTTGGGGAGGGCCTGGCTTCCATGCCATGCAGAAACTTCCCTGTGCTTCATGTGGGCTTGGGGTGAGCCAGGTCCTCCTGAGGGAGCTGGGCACTGTGGGACACGAGGGTCCCTGGCCTGGAATCTCCATTTGCCTCCTTATTCCATCAACGAAACACCAGAGGAACCAACTCAACAAACCTCAATCCTGGACCATATGTGCTCAGGGCCCCCTGAGCTGCCCTGGGGCAGAACACTGGGCAGTGGCCAGTGCTTCCCCAACAACTCCCCCATGCACAGATGCCTGGTGGACATACTTCCTTTAACCCTGCTCAGCTGGAGCTCAGCCCCCATCCTAGTACCTCTGCCTCCTCCTCCAGGGCAGGAAAAGAAAACCCAACCCCAAACCCATGGAGAATCCTCACCTTGGGCAAAGCCCTGGCTGGGACTCAGCCTCTTGTCAGACCCTCGAGGAGCTCCATCTTTCCCTGTTTCCCTGCCCCATGGGACCCCGGGCCTCTGGGAAAGAGTTGAGGGTGTCATCCACTCAGCAGGTACCGCATGATCTTTGGGAAGGATTTGTGTTATACCTGCTCCTGGTGGGATGGGAGCCTCTGGAGCTGGGCAGTATTTGGGCTGTAGAAAACTGAGAAGCCCCTGACCCATCAGGCATCAGAGCCCACTCCCAAGATGTGGAGTCCTCAGCTGGAAGAGCTGGGAAGTGGCAGGGGACCCCGGACCCTGAGGCCTTCCTCCCTTCCATCAGGTGACCCTAACACGTGGCCTCAGCTCTACGGAGGTGGGCCCTAGCCAGAGGCACTGCACAGCAGCATCCTGGGTAGAGGTGCCAGGAGGGCAGGCCTGCCTTTGAGGCTGTGAGGCAGGGCTGACGCAGGCAGTGGCCAGTGGAGGGAACCAGGTGGGTGCCAAGGGGCTACATGGCCTCTCCCAGACATGGGGTCAGGCTGGGGGACATGGGTTGGGCAGACACTGCCATCTCGACTGCATTGGCCCATCTGTGGGCTGGGAGGGCAGCTGGGAGTGTGGCCAGCTGGGAAGTAGCAGGACTCTTGAGGAAGTGACGGTCACCTGCATGAACTCAGAGCTAGAGGACACACAGGGTGGCCAGGGGGAGGCTGCAGTGCCCTCTGCTGTTGGGGATGAAAGGTGCCTGCCTTGAAGTGAAAGGGTCCCTGTTCAGCTATGGGCTCTCAGCAGGGCCCTCAGCAGGGATGTCCTGAAGGCTCCTGACAAGCTGGAAAGCAAGGAAGCTGCCTTGCCTGGAAGTCAGGATCGCCCAGCCAGGTTGGCCATCCCATGGCCTGGCTGCGTGAGGCCCTGGGGATAGCTGTCCGCCTACCCTGCAGGGAGTGCCTCTCCTCAGCCATCAGCTGATCCAGTGCCCAGAAGGTGTCTTCCTCTGGCAGATACACGAGGAGGATGGCAGTTAGGCAGCTCATGTCCCTGTGCTAGCCCACCTCCTTCAAGAGCCAGAGTCACCATGGAAGCATGTCACCTGAGAGGGCTGAGGCCATCTGGGAGGACTCATGTCACTGGAGAGGACAGAGGTCACCTGAGAGACCTCCCTCAGGCCCTAGGGGATTTGGGGTGCAGACTCTGCACCCCTCCCCTGACCCTGGGCATGAGGACTAAGCAAGTCCCCCAAAACTCAGTTGAAAAGGGACCTGGAGGGACTTCTGCAGTGAGTGTCCAAACTCACATGGTCCGAAGAAGCACAGGCAAGGATCATTCATGTCCCCTATCCTGGGCCAGGCTGGGAAGGCCACTGTGCCAGGCCTGGGGCAGAACCTGTGAGCTGCACCCACCACAAGGGCAGGCAGTGGGCCACTGATCACCACACAATGCTCCTGTGATGGCCCAGGGGCTGCCTGCCAGGCAAAAGAGGGCAGCTGGGTCCAGACCCCAGGTGCGCAGCCCATGGAGTGAGCTCAGTGGCTCTCCCTGCCTGGAATGGTCTGGTACCAGAAAAAAAAAAGTTTATAGAGTTAAAAAGGTACAGTAAGGTAAGGTTAATTTATTGCAAAAGAAAGAAAATATTTTTAATAAACTTATTGCAGCCTAAGTGTACAGTGTTTATAAAGTCTCTGGTAGGGTAGGTCATGTCCTAGGCCCTCATATTCACTCCCCACTCATCACTGACTCACCCAGGCAACTTCCAGTCCTGCAAGCTCCATTCACGGTGAGTGCCATATACAAGTGGACCATATTTTACTTTTTTTTTTTTTTTTTTTGAGATGCCCAGGCTGGAGTGCAGTTGTGCAATCCTGGCTCACTGTGACCTCTACCTCCCGAGTTCAAGTGATTCTCCTGCCTCAGCCTCCCAAGCAGCTGGGATTACAGGGGCGCACCACCACTCCTGGCTAATTTTTGTATTTTTAGTAGAGATGGGGTTTCGCCATGTTAGCCAGGCTGGGCTCGAACTCCTGACCTCAGGTGATCTGCCCGCCTCTGTCTCCCGAAATGCTGGGATTACTGGTGTGAGCCACCATGCCTGGCCTTATTTTACCTTTTATATTATATTTTTACTGTACCTTTTCTATGTTTAGATACACAAGTACTTACCATTGTGTTCCGATTGCCTACAGTATTCAGTTCAGTCACACGCTGTGTAGGTGTGTAGCCTAGGAGCAATAGACTATACTTGTATAGCCTAGGTGTATAGTAGGCTATACTGTCTGGGATTGTGTAAGTACATTCTATGGTGTTTGCACAGAAATGCCTAGCCATGCGTTTCTCCGAACATATCCCTGTCATTAAGTGATATATGATTGTATAGTTTTGTATCTGTAATCGTACACATACAGTATAAAGCAGTTTGCCTTAAAATTACACTTACTTAACGCATGGCTATACAATTTTATAAAGCATTGATTTTGTTTATAAACCCCACAAACGGCCGGGCGCGGTGGCTCACGCCTGTAATCCCAGCACTTTGGGAGGCCAAGGAGGGCAGATCACAAGGTCAGGAGATCGAGACCATCCTGGCTAACATGGTGAAACCCTGCCTTTACTAAAAATACAAGAAATTAGCCGGGCATGGTGGCGGGTGCCTGTAGTCCCAGCTACTCAGGAGGCTGAGGCAGGAGAATGGTGTGAACCCAGGAGGCGGAGCTTACAGTGAGCTGAGATTGTGCCACTGCACTCCAGCCTGGGTGAAGGGTGAGACTCTGTCTCAAATAAATAAATAAAAATAAACCCCACAGACTTCCTCCTTCAGCTTCTTCTTCGACTGGTTTTGAGTATATTGCTTGATAATATTACTTTGGTTCTTCTATTTTTCTTTTCTGACTGGCTTAGCCCTTAGCATAAGCCAAAATCACTGAACAAGTTATATCCCTGTTTCTCTAGAAAACTTGATTGATAATTGAACTATGATTCAAGAGTTCTAAATATTGATGGGAGGAGAAGGCGGAAAGTCGCAGGCATCTCTAAGAATCTGATGAAAATTCACAGCTAGTATGGCACTCTCAGGTGAGATTTTTGTCTCATTAAATGGGAAATAGCTTTGGGGTACTGGCTTGAGTCAACAGGGTCATATGAATCAGCTGTAAATTGTCACCTGGATTAGGTCAGAGGGGTCATAGGTATCCCTGGACCTTGAAATAAGGGCTCTGTCTTAGGGCAGTCACTCATCTCTTTGAACTTCAGTTTCTCAAAATGAGAATGACAATGATGAAATTTGCCCTCTGGAAGCAATGTCCTGAGGTGCTAGCCATCCATTTGGAAATCTGTGTTTGCTTGTGTGCACAATCAAAACAAGTGTAACCTGTCTGTTCCACTGACTCTTCAGAGGTTGCTTTTACCACTAGGACTTGTAGTTTAGTTTACCGTTGGAGTGCTTTATTTAAACTCTAATCTAGTTATATAAACACACTTCAGCACAATTTATAGGCTTGCGATTCTTTCTATCATGCCTGGCTCTTCTTTTTTCTTCTTGAAACAAACTCTTGAGTCTAGACTTTGTCAGGTTGATACATGAGTTTGGGGACTGTTTATATGGAAACCATATACATATTCCAGAAGCCTGCCTTGTTACTGATCTGCAATAAAGATGATAACCCTTTGACTCATAAAAAGACACCCAAGATATCCTTTGAAGTGCAAACCCTGATCTACTACTGAAAAGGGGCACAAAGAGATTCCTCAAAACTGGCCTTGTTGCTTTAAGAACAGGTGACTATTAATGAGAGAGCAACTCTATGGGAGAGAACTTTCTCATGATACAAACTGTTAGCAATGCAAGCAGCTGGAGAATCTGTAAACAGTGACTTTCCTCCCGGGGGAAGTGCTTAAGCAAGACTGATTGACCATCCTCAAGAAACAGTATGAAAGGGATTCAATCAATCAGTGGGAAAGAAGATGGATTTGTAGGTACCTTTCAATTCAAATATCCTGTCTTCGATTTCTCTAATAAGCCTAGGAAGACAGGATTGTGCTAATGACTCAGTCCTAAGGAATAGATCCTTGTAAACAGTGAATGTGGCCACCCTACCATTGGTGATGTAGTGCAAGTGATGGGGGTATATGTGTGGTAGTCCACTGGGTGTTTTAGGCCAAGTATGTAGTCCAAAGAACACATTTCTAAACTTTTAAAACACAGACAAATTATACTCAAGAAATCAATGCTCAGTGACTGTTTCTTGCCACTGCAGAAAATAAACTAACATAGAAATGGCCAAACTTTACTTTGCCAATCTGTCATAGACTACAGACTATTAGGAGGGGGATCTCAGTAAAGGTCAGGCCTAAAGCAATGAGGAGAGAAGGGGAGCTCTTGGTCCTTCAGAGAGGACCGATATCACAGCGTGATGACAGTCCAACTAGTACCAATGCACATGAGAAGCAAATCAGTTCCTGAAGCTTGATGCTATATATTCATCAAAAATAAATCTGAAATGCATTACCTGTTCTCTTCTGAATCTCATATGGATCAGTATCTGAAGAGCAATAAAGTTCAGGAGCTGTGTCTTCCAATACAAATGACTATATGACTATAAATATAGATAAACATAGATATAGATCTAAGGATATATGTACATATATTATTTTGGCCAATAATTTCTTCTCTTTCAACTACCAGAAAGTAAAAACATAGAGATAAAACAGTGGTGCTTTTGTTACTTCTTTCTGGGTTTTACTGTTGTTATCATTTTTCTTTTCTTTTGTTTTTTTGAGACAGGGTCTTAGTTTATCACCCAGGCCAGAGTGCAGTGGCGTGATCACAACTCACTGCAGCCTTGACCTCCCAAGGCTCAAGCGATCCTCCCACCTCAGCCTCCTGAGTAGCTGGGACTACAGGTGTATGCCACCATGCCCAGCTGATTTGTGTATTGTTTTTGTAGAGACAAGGCCTTGCCATGTTGCCCAGGCTGGCCTTGAACTCCTGGACTCAAGCAATCCACCTGCCTTGGCCTCCCAAAATGCTGGGATTACAGGTGTCAACCACTGCTCCTAGCCTTCTTACTATCTCCTGTGTACTGATGACTCACATCCTACTATGGAATAGATACACTGCTTTTGCCTTCCCAGCATTGAATCCTCTTTGTCTAGAAACGACACCTTAGTTTTCCTTTGGGGAACCACATCACTCTACGCTTGAGTGATTCTGGTGGGACAAACCCCATTGCTGGCTCCAGATATGAGCTAGTAACCTAGGTATGCTGATATGGTTTGGCTGTGTCCCCACCCAAATCTCATCCTGAATTGCAATCCCCTTAATCCCCATATGTTGAGGAAAGGACCTGGTGGGAGGTGATTGGATCACGGGGGCAGTTTCCCCATGCTGTTCTCATCATACTGAATGAGTTCTCATGGGATCTCATAGTTTTATAACCATCTGGCATTTCCCCGGCTTGCTCCTCTCTCTCTCTCGCTTGCTGCCATGTAAGACGTGCCTGCTTCTCCTTCTGCCATGATTGTAAGTTTCCTGAGGAGTCTCCAGCCATGCCCAACTCAGTCAATTAAATCCCTCTTCTTTATAAATTACCGAGTCTCAGGCATTTCTGGATAGCAGTGTGAAAATGAACTAATACAATAAATTGGTACCAGACATAGGATACTGTATAAAGATACTGGAAAACGTGGGTGCCCGGCGGTGGCGTCAGGATCAGCGTCTTCATGTCGGGGTCGCTGCTCCGCACCAGGGGCGGCCACCAGGGGCTGCCGGCCGCCAGCGCTACCTTGGCTAACTTGCGCACTGTTGGCCCATGGCTGGGTGGCGTGGGCGCGGGCAGGGCGGATGTCCCCAGGGGCGCGGTGCTGGGTCCCACGGCCACGGACACGCTGAGCAGGAAGCTCTGCCGGCTCGTAGAGGCGCCCAGCGGCTTGCCAGCTCGCGTATGTAGCTGCCCAGGGGCGCTGCGTGTGTCGCCAGCTCACGCAGCGATAGTTGGGTGGGGGATAGCAGCAGCCCCTCCAGGCCAAAGCGCAGGAAGTTTTCGGCTGAGCCTGGACTTGGGAAGCCCAGGAAGAGCACGCTGCGCCTGCGCGACAGGAAACCCACACCAGCCATGGGCGAGAAGGCGCGGTGCACTGGGACACTGTCAAGGCAAAACTGCAGCATGTAGCGGCACACGCTGCCCACGCGGCCGTACACGCAGCGCGCCTTGTGGACGTCCCAGTCCTCGCCGGGCACAGGCGTGAGCAGTAGTAGGTGTAGCAGCTGTGGCAGGACTTGACGTAGAGGCAGGCGTTGAACATGGTCTCTGTGTGCCAGCAGCGCGCACTGGAGCAGGTCATCAGGTCGTCTTCGTCGGCACTGGGTTCCGGGGACATGTCGGCCACCTCTCCCGGGGCCGCGGGCTCCTGGACGATGCCGGCGGAGGCTGGGGGCGAGCGTGGCGGCACCAGCGCGGGGGCCCCGGAGCCCGCGGGCCGCGAGTCCAGCAGTTGGCACAGTTGGGGGCCCAGGCAGTGGGTTGTGGGCTCTGAGGCCTGGCTGGCAGTGGGTCGCAAGTCGATGACCAGGTCCTTGATGAGCTCGTACAGCTGCTCTAGGATCCGCTGGCGGCCAGAGGTGGGGCCGTCGGGGGCCGCATGGGGAAGTGGCCGCGTGCAGCCCCCGGGCAACTCCCAGGCCCTGGTGCGCGCTCGGTGGCGTGCAGGTCATTGTCAGTGATGGTGATCTCGGGCATCACGTACCAGTTGCGGCCCGGGCCCTCACCCGCGCGGCCCTTCTCCGTCAGCGACGTGTCAGACAGGGACAGTGGGGCATAGCGTCTGGGCGAGGTGGACAGGTTCACGACGACGGGCGGGCACCAGCCTTCGGGGGACACGCCTCGCGGCTCCCGCACCTCGCGCCCAGCAGGTTCTCATAGCTGCGGCCACGGCCCAACTGGTCTCCGCACGGCCCGGGGCCAGAACGTTGTCCCAGGAGCACGAGTAGTGGCGGCTGTCGGTAGCCAGCCGGGGTGGACTGGTGCCGGTGCCGCCATGCCAGGAGGCGAGCAACGGGTCGGGGTCAGAGGACTGCACCACTTGCAGGGTGCGGTAGGGTCGCAGGCCCCAGTCCGCCCAGGCTGGGCTGCTACGCTGGTGCGGGTACGTCCGAGCCAGGACGTCACGCTCACGGTATTTTCCGAAGTCCTCCGTGTAAAAAGGGCGGGCGGTGGAGTGGGCCCGGGGCTCCTCAGGGACATAGCCGGGCCCATAGGGCAGGCCGTAGGCTCGGGGAGCCTCCCCATAGTAGGAGCGGGAGGACGGTTCCTGGATTGGGAAGGTGCCCACCTCTCCCGCGTAGTAGCCCCCCATGCACCTTGGACTGGGCCCTGGGAGCTCCTCCGACGGATAGGGCCTGGGGCAGTAGGCGTCGAAGGTTGGACCGGGACTGGCCGCAAAGCTGCCCCGGAAGCCTTGGGGCTCCTCTGTATAGAAGAACTGGGTGGGGCCCGGAGGGGTGATGAAGGGCAGACTGCGGCGCTCGGCGTAGTCCCGGGGCCCAGGCAGGGGCCCGTCGCAGTAGAACGCCCGGGGATCCGCACAGTATGAGTCGCTTGGCGTCGGGGTGTGCGACAGCGCCATATGGAGGGGCCCGGGCACCGTGAGGCCGTGGAACTGCGGGGCGGGGCGGGCCCAGGGCGCGGCCTCGGCGGGCCCGCAGGACCGTGAGCCCCAGGCGGCGTGCTGGAGCACTGCGTCGTCTGGCTTGATGTCCGGAAGGAGCGCACGTAGGGATAGGGACCCGCGGGTGGCTCGGGAGGTGCGCGGCGGCCCGCGGCGGCGCACAGGGGCGCGATGTGGCCTGGGCCGCCCAGCTGCGGCTGCAACTTGATGGGACGCAGCTAGTTGGCAAGGGCGCGGCGATGCCTCGGCCCGCGCCGCACGCTGGGCCTCCCGCCCTCGGCGGGGCAACACGGGCGGCAAGGCGGGCGCGGGCGTCAGGCCCGGGGGCGCGCTCTTGGAGCGGGCGCGGCGGCGTGGCTCGGCCTCGCGGGTCCGGGCGCGCGGCACAGCGGGCTCCGGGGGCGGTGGCTCCGGCAGGGTCTCCGTGGTCGGCCGGTCCAGCGCCTCCAGGAAGTCGAAGCTGGGGCAGTGGCGCTTGTTGAAAGGCGCGGGCTCAGCAGGCCGGGCCACGGATCGCTCACATGGCGAGCGCTTGGAAGCGGGTCCCGGGGTCGCCACCTTGATGTCCTGGTACACGGTCGACACCAGCAGGTCCGGAGCGTCCGTACGGGTCATCTTAAAAGAGGTCCTCAGGCTGGCGGCTCCAGCTCACACTGCCTTGCGGGGCTTTTGCCCTGGGGGGAGATGCGGGTCAGGGCGGCCCCATCCGCAGCCCAGGCCCCGCTTCTCCCCCACGCTGGCCCGGCTTACCTGGGGCGCAGCGGGCGGAGCAGCCCTGGCTGCGGGCCTGGGCCGAGAAAGCGGGCGCTTCCTCCATGCCGGAGTCAGAAGCACCTGCGGGAGGAACCCAGCTGTCCAGGCGCCCGTCCTGCCCCTCCCCCATCCTCTCCCTGCGATGGGGCGGGCGGGCCAGAAAGGCTTAGTGGTGGCTGTGGTTCCCGCGTGAAGCTCCAGGGCCTCCCCTCCCTCGACTAGTGACCGCGGGGCCGGCTCGGGCGGACCCCTTTCCGGGTGGGGTAGGGGAGTGGGGGCGTGGTCCTGGGGCTGCACCCTCTGGTGTCCGCAGCTGGAAGGACGGACCGCATTTGGGCCTTATTTATAGGTGTTGCCCCAGGAGACGTCAGTGACTGCGCCCCCGTCACAGGGCCCACTGCAGAGCGACCCCTCCGATCGTGCACAGTCGAAGGCGAGTCCCTGGGCCTCAGCCTTAGCCGGCTCTGCACCAAGTGGGTGACACCAACTACCCCACCTGCTGGCCGGGCCGAGCACAGAGCCCCGCCCCCAGCACTGCAAGGACCCACGCCTAGGTGCCCTCAACTTCCCGTGAGCCCCAGGCCAGAAAAATGCCCCCAGAGAGCATACCTGGGCCCTAAATCTCCCTTTCCTTTGCCGACACCTTTTCTGACCCCAAGTATTTTTGGGTGGTTGAAACAAGGCCCCAGCTTTGTGTAAATGCACAGGACACCCCCCTAGGGTTTGCACGGCAGTCCCAAACCATCGAGCCACGAGCTCGTGGCAGCCCCTCTCCTCTGAGCTGCGCAGCAGGCCCAGAAGCTGCCCACTGGGGGTGGGCAAGGCGGAGGGTGGGGGAAGCCCCACTGCTTTGCAGGAGAGGGCCCTCCCCATTTCACTCAGAAGGTTCCATGGAAACCTGCGTTTCTTAGGCCCCCACGCTGCAGGCTGGCCAGGGTTCAGATGTGGGTTGCCAACCCCTCTGTGGTCCCAGAGCCAGCTGGGGGATGCGTCAGAGAGTGGCCACAGGCCTGGTCTCTGCACGCCCAACACCTGGTCTGGGGGGGGGGTCTACCCCAGAGTGAGCTGGGGAAAGCGGGTACCTGGCCAGGCCCCTTGCAGGGCAGAACCTCAGGTGAATGGGCCTCTCAGGGTCTGGCCGGGTCCCCCCTCTGTGTCCCAGGTGTGCAGGGGCTTCCTGCTGGCAGGGCTGTTTTTCTGGGTCAGGGCCACGAGTCCCGGGCCTTGTGCCCATCCCAGCCTCCCCCGCCCACCCCATCTCCCCCCTCCATCCCACCCGTGGCAGGACTGTCTACCCTCTTGCTCCCTCTTTCATGCTAAGCTCAAGGCCAGGCCGGAATCCGGCCGGATGACAGGGTGTGAGGCTCCACCCCAGGGAGGTGACAGTCGGCCTTGCTGGCTGCAGCTGTCGGTGACACCCCCTCCCGTGGGGATGGGGGTGGGGTCAGCACTCTCCTGGGCCCAAGGCCTTCTGGAGCCCACGGGGATGGCTGGCGGCCTTCCCTGCCTCCCAGCCCTGCCTTGCCTTGCCTTGCCCTGGCTGGGAGCGGCCCTTCAAGGGATACAGCTGGTGTTGCCTGGGGACGGGGAATCCTCATCCTTCCGGCCTCCCTAAGGCAGCCTCCCCTGCCCATGACAGTGACACACTCAGCAACTCGGCCCCTAGCCCCTTACCTGGGTGCTGCTCCAGCTGTGCCCCGGTGGGCTGTGCTACCCCCAGGTCGACTCCTCCTTGTCCCTGGCACTGCTGCGTCTCCCCGGCACCAGCAGAAGTTTCCAGGCAGCAGCGCGGGTCCTGACCTGGCTGCTCAGTGCTGCCCCCGATGGCAGCTGAAGGGGCTGTACTTAAAGGGGCCACACCCAGTGGGGGCTGCATGGTGGAGCTGGGGATCGTGAGCTGCGCTGGCTCCAATTTGGGGATGTGCAGAGCACAGGGTCCCTGCAGCACCCCCAAGACACAGACCTCAGTGTCTAAGCAGGAGTCCTGTGGCCCGGAGCAGCCTGCCAGTCCCGCCAGTGTCACCCCAACACACTTGCCTGAGAGGAGGGGCCCAAGCCCTGGCCTGGGCTGCAGAGATTGGTCAGGGGCATCTTGGAATTCGCATCTCCTGTCGGGCGAGGCAGGAGCAGGTGGGCTACTCTCTGCCCCACTGGCCTCTCCCCAGCCCCTATCGGCTTCAAGGCTGCCAATGCCAAAATCTTGGCGGGTACCTGGGGCCAGATGGCCCTTGCAGTCTCTTGTGTCCCCAGGATGCCATCCTCTCTGGGTGAGGCCACTCCTGCATCCAGTGTCCCTGCCAGCCTGGGAAGGCCTGCACGTGACCTATCATACCTGCCTGGTAATGTCATCGTCCCACTCTGCCAGCCCCTCCCAAAGGCATTGGGCCTGGGAACATTCTAGCTTGGCAGAGGGGTGGGGAGCCAATGCCCTTGGCTCTGAAGGGCAGGACCTACCCCATTCTGCGCTGCTCAAAGCAGGGCCCACTGAAACCCCAACATAGCCATCCATGGTGCGATCCTGGCAAGTTCACGTACTGTTGACCCATCCCCACACCAGGAGAACCCCTGAACCTGGCCCTGACCTCATGGGCTGTGGGCTAAGGGGCCAGGCTCCTAAGCTTGCTGTGGGCCACAGCACCTGCTCAGGGACTGCAGTGATTGCCCCACACCCTGGGGCCACAAAGCTCCCAGGCACAGGAGCCTCCAGCTTGGCCACCTCCTCCCCTTCACTGGCACGCTCTTCCTGCCCGCCCTGCAGGGTTCTCATGGCAACAGTAGCTGTGGGGGTGGAGGCTGGGTGCTGCTGACAGCTGGAGGGGGCAGGGGCCTGAAGGCGGGGTTGGGGGGGCAGGGCTGCAGGCAGCTGCCTGGGAGCCTTGCAGAGTTGACTTCCACCTCCTGGGGCTGAGGTCCCCAAGTGTGCTGGGTGCAGCTGCTGAGCCCTGGCATAGGTGGGCTGGGATGTACCCAGGGTGTGGCCAGACTTGGTGGGACGTCCTCACACCACTGCTGGGCAGCCTCCTGCCTCAGAGGACTTCCCTGCCAACCCATGGCAGCCTGGGCCGGGGAAGCGGGAGCAGAGGTGCAGGGAGAAGAACGGACACGCAGAGTGAAACAGGAGTGCTTTATGGTCTGAGTGGAGTGTTTGGGAGGAGTGCCTCCCAGATCCTGCCTGTGGGCTCACCTGAGCGGGGGCACAGCTGAGGCCACTGTGGGAAACACAACCCCCACTCCCAGGAGAGGCCTCACATGCTGCCCTCGGTCTCTTGCCAGCCTTGCCTAGCACGGGGCCTGGGCCGCCCTTTAGGGTGGGTCTGCACACCGGTGTTCAGGGCTCCTGGCTGGAAGCGGAGCCATAGGCATGCTGCGGCCCTGGGTGAGCGTGGAGGGCAAGCAGGTGCTGGGGCAGTGTGCACCCCACAGCCAAGTGGCCCCTGCCCAGCCTCTGTAAACAGACCCTCATGGGTCCCTCCTGGGCCTCAGTCACATCCCTGAGAAACACTGGGGACTGGCGGCTTTGCCCCGAGAGGGCCAGGGTGTCCACCGAGCCTGGCTGAAGCCAGCTGTCCCCTCCCTTCTTGCAGAGCGGGCTCATGCCAGGCCTGGAGGCCCAGCACCTGCAGGGCCCAGTCCAGGGACCACCAATGCCCGGCCTCTTCCAGCTCAGAAGTGCACACAGCAGCCGCCAAGCGTGGCAAAGGCAGGCAGAAGTGGCCCTGGGGTGGGGGACGTGCCTGTCACTGCCTGGGGAGGCGTTTGCCTCTGCACACCCCCAGGGGTTGTGGGATCTCAAACCAGGCCGGCAAAGCCCAAGTGTGGAGACATTAGACGTCTCTTCCAGAAGCCTCCTCCCACTGCACCCACCCAGATCAGGCCTGCGGGAGGGACCTGGCCTCCTGGCTGACCTCTGCGCTGGGAGGACTCGTCTTACTGCCCTGCACTGTGTGTCTGATGCCTCGCTCTCAAAGTCGGGGTCATCCATGACGAAGGACAGCATTTGTGCAGCGATGGGCCCCTCGGGGTCACTCTCGGACGAGGAGGCCTGCTCACCCTTCCCTGGCTCAATCTCAGCAGGGGGCCTGGTGCTGCTGCACTTCTCCAGACCTGTGCGAACAGAGGCACCACCTGGCCAGGGGGATGCTGCGGCCGTCATGGGAGCTGTCCCCCTCTGTGGCTTCGAAGCTGGTATGGAGGACCTTTGTGGACAAGCACAGGGTCAGTCAGGGTCCTCCGGAGGTGTCCTGAACTGCCCCACCCCAGTCTCCAGGCCGCACCCATGGGGCCACCTGCACTTACCACTTGGTCTCTGGCTCTGAGCACTGCTGGGGAGTTGGGGCAGGGCCTTTTGGGGGATCCGCCACTTCTGCTTCCTCCTCACTTGAAAGAGTGATGTCTTGACTGGGGACGGGGCCCGCGGGCGGCGGGGGACTCCCACGTGGCTGGTCTTCGAGGTCCACGTCGTCCTGGAACCCTGCCACAATCGGGTTGCCGCCCAGGGCCTCCCCATCACTGCGAAGCAGGGGGCAAAGCAGTCAGGCCACAGGGTAGGGATGACTGGCCGGGCTCACAGGCCTTGGTTCCAGGCACCCTGGTACCCAGCACACCCTGGCCGTGGGGCCACCCCGCCCCAGGTGCTGTGTTGTAGTGGAGAGGCCCCCTCATGGCCGTCACAGGGCTTCTGAGCAGGAGGGGGTCGGGGGCACAAGGTTGGACACAGTGTTGCCCTGCAGCCAGTCAGTGGGTGAAGGATGTGGAGCTGTGCAAGTGGGCACTCATGGAGGAGGCGGGCCCAGCTCAGGGCCACCCGGCTTTCTATCCTTTGTGTATTTCTGGAGGAAGCCACCGCCCCACAGCAATGGGTGAGGCTGAGGTGCTGAGGCCACTGCACGTGGAGCCTGTCCAGTGGAGTCCACGCCTGGGACCAAATGCAGGGCTTTGCTGCAGGCAAAATTTGTGGCAGCTTGGCAGACAGAGTGGTGGGAGGGGCTGGCAGATGGCTGGGGAGGCGGCTCTAGCTCCCAGCTCTGGGACCTGCAGGAAGCCGCCCCTGTCTCTGCAGCACCTGGGACCTGGCCCTGCAGAGACCATATCTGGTGGCCTGAACCGCTCATATGACCTGGAGTGGCCTCGCCAATGGCCTCCATGTGGAATCTGCCCACAGAAGACCCCAAGGTGCCCCTGTCCTCTCCAGGGTGTGGGCAGAGCAGGTGGCCAGGCCTTTCTGATGTCTGGAAGCCTCGTCAAAGCCCTTCCCTCATCTGCTCCAGCCACAGATCTGCTCTGTCCTCAGCCAACAGTGACCAGCCGGCAGGGGGCCCCTTCTGCGCCCCCAGGAAGCCAGCCCCACCTGCTGCTCGGGCGCCCTGGAGGCTGGGGGCAATGGGAGAGGAGGCCCAGGCGCACCCCTCCCCGTGTCGCTGTCCTGCTGGGCAGCCTTGGCCCCCACCTTCTTCTCGTCCCTGGCGGGGGTCATGTCTTCCAGGAAGCTGCGGTCCAGGCGGTCATTGGCAACGAAGTCCTCCACACTCTGGACTGTTGCTGGGGCCTCTGCGGCCGGGACTGGCTCTGTGAACAGTGACGCTGGGTCCTCTTCACTCGGCACCGGAACCCTCACTGCACCCAACCCCAAGCCAGGCCCACCCGGGATGTGCCCGTGGGACTGGGACAAGCAAGAAGAAGTGCGGAGCGCTCCGAAATCCAGGGCCCCACCTGTGAGGGCGTGGGGGGCTGGGACCAGTTTGGGAGGGGCAGCTCCAGGGCCTACCTGGAGGTGGATGGGCTGCCTCGGCGGCAGGTGACGTCCCAAACAGCCTAGAGATGATGCTACGCCATGGGGCGGGGGCTGAGGGGCACGCAGGTGGGGGCAGGGCCTCTGAGGGTGGTACAGGGGGCACAGAGGATGGTGGGGCGGCATTGAGGGGCAGCTGTGGGGCAGGCTAGGGTGTGCCGGGGCTGGAGCTCCCCGTGGACACGGCTCCTGGAGGCACCACTGGTGACTGGGAGCCTGAGGATGGGCTCTGCCCCTTGGCCGCCAGTGGGGACGCCTGGCCACGACTGTGAGCCTCCATCATATCCAGGAAGCTGGAAGGCAGAAGGCAGGTGAGAAGCCTGGCTCCCCTGCCTCTCCCTGAGGCCCTCAGGTGACAGGGGGCTCTCTGCTGCTGCTGATGGGACTGGGAAGAGCCGCTGTGTTCTGGGCCACCCGCCCCACCGGGGCCATCATCCCCATCCCCTTCCAAGGGCAGCACCTGTGTTGGCTGTGAACACAGATTTCCAGGAAGCAGAGCGTTGCAATCTCTCCCACCACAAACCTGGACCATCAGGGATGTTTCCATAGCAGCATCTATGCCAGTGAGGAATCTGGACGTGATCTGTGATGCCCTCTCCCCCTTTTCCCTTTCTCTTAGGATGGGACAGACCAGCCTGGAGCAGCTAGTGTCCTGTAGTGACTCCAGTTTGCTGCTCTCTTCCTTTCTTTCTTCCTCCTGCCCTCTGCCTCCTCTGCCTCCTTCACCTTCTACAACAGGAAACTCAAGTCACCTGCCTGAGCCTGACATTCTCATCTAAATCACAGAGTTCCAGTCAATGCCTCCCTTCCTCTTCCCAGGGAGTAACTTCAATCTTCCCTGCCTGCCGTGGGGAGATAGACCCTACCCCTTATTCCCTGTGGGACCATCTGCAGCCTAAGTTTCCTCACCCCTGTAATGGGACAGCAGTCCTGCCTGCCCACCTGGCAGTGCTGATTCCAGGCCTGGGGCCCTCCTGGGCAAATCGCCAGTGTGGGTGACATGGTGGGTGTTTGTGTGTGTGGAGGGGTGGGGCTGCCATCTGGCCATTCACAGACTCCATCCTTCCTCTCTTCCCATGCTTGTCACATGTCAGGAATCCCTCTCCTTTGTGCCATGAGACATTTTCAGATCCATCATCTTATTGAGCCTCACATTTCCTTGGTGAAGTTGGAGTTATTGTCACTATTTTACTGATGAGTAAACTGAGGCTCAGAAAGGGGAAAGTCATTGCCCAGGGTTCCACTGTGGATTTATAGCAGAGCGGGGATAAGGATGCGTGTTCTATATACCCACTAGGGTGCTGGCCCATCTGCAGCCAAGGCCTGTCTTCCTGATTCCACGAGGACCCCTTCCCATTCCTTTCCTTCCCATGACAGCCACTGTCACCACCACCCAGGGTCTGTGCTCACTGTCACTGGAACCCACCATGTCCATCAGATTGATTTACATAAATGGTGGTTGGGCTCCAAATCCACTCTCCCCAGACTGACACAAATTGCACCCCAGAACCAGACTGATGAAGCAACCATCACTCGGAACATTGCTGGACACCGAGGCTGAAGGAAATCACAAGCAGGGACTCACATGCAGGTTTCTAAGCACAGCCCCAAACCCAGAAGTCATCAATGGCTGATAAATTTGACTCCATGAAAATTAAAACTTTCTATAAAAAAACCCACAAAGTCAAAGATCTGTCAACAAACTCAAAAAAGTTCTGCAACATACATAAGAGATGACAGGCTAATGCTCGCACTGTATGTTAAAACCTACTGCAAATCACCCAACAGAAAGCCCACAGCCAGACTGGAAAAATGAAGAGACAGTTCAAAGACAAACAAATGCAGATAACTTCTTAATGTAAGACAAGATTAAAATGTTTGTCAACTTTGTGTGTGGCCCTGGGTGTGGCCATGAATGGGTAGTCACTAGAGGTATTCAGATATTCCCTTTTTTCTCCTCTTGGCACTTGTTGCAACTGCGTCTTCCCACCTGTGAAATTATGTACAGTCCTGCATCTTGCTTTGGAGGAGAAAGTGTGAGCAGAAGTGGGGGAAGCCGCCTGTGAGTCCTGGTTGCTTCATCACTCTGGTTCTGGGGTAAGGACAATCATGTAGTGAAACGAAGTCTTCAGGGGACATGTTGTGTTTGAGAGAAATAAACCTCTGTCATGTTGAGTTTTGGGGTGTGTATGTGGTAGAAGCAGAACCTAGCCTATTCTGACAGATTCCTCCACCATTGCTGGTGGGTGGACAGCATTAACATAAAGCATTTGTGTGCTTTTTATCTCAAAATTCCACTTTTAGGAATTTATGAAACAGACACACTCACATTTGCAGAGAGCATGGATAAAGAGAGTCATTGCAACTTTGATTGCAATAGGAAAGGACAGAGAACAGCCTACAAACCAATCAATAGGAAATTAGTTAAGAACATTGTGGAACATCTATAGAATGAAATGATCTGAACCCAGAAAAATAACAGAGTAGACGTTTGTGCACCGATGTGGTGTTTATCCCAAGATTAGGGCTGGGTTAGGATGTTAGAGATCCCAGGAGCTAAAAAGATTAAGGTACCCTTTTAAATTATATATAATTTAAAAAAACATAGGTACTTCATTAATTTTTAAAAATGGGTTTAAAAGTCCATTTAAAATATTTTTATTAAAGTAGATTATCTCTGAAAAGATATGCAATAAATGGATATATTGGAATTCTAAGGCTGCTGTAACAAATTACTACACATGTGATGGTTTCAAATGAGAAAAATTGATTCTCTTGCCATTCTGGAAGCAGGACTTCTGAAATCTAGGGTCCGCAGGTTGTACTCTTGCCATGGCTCTAGAGGAGAAACCTTCCTTTCCTTTTCCAGCTTCTGTTGGCTCCTGGCACTCCTTAGCTTGTGTCAGCACAACTGCAATCTGTGCTTCCATCATTATGTGGCTTTCTTCCCTAGGTCTCTCAGTGTCTTAAATCGCTCTCTTTCTTAAACCTTTCTCTTAAAATACCAGTCATTGGATGCAGGGCCCTCCCTAAACCCAGCATAATCTCATCATGAGATCCTTAGGTTAATTACATCTATAAAGGTCTGATTTCCAAATAAGGAAGGATTCACAGGTACCAGGGGTTAGGATTGAACACATGTATTTGGGGGACACATTCAACCCACTATCATGGATAACAGCGGTTTCCACTGGGAAGGTGGCGGTTCGGGAGTGGAAGAAAGATGAATTTTTCACTGTGTATTCTTTTGAACAACTCATGTTTTAAAAGACATTTTCCTTATTTGCAAACTATGCACCCAACAAAGGTCTAATATTCAGAATGTATAAGAAACTTAAATAATACTATAAGCAAAAAACAACCCCATTAAAAAGTGGGCAAAACACATGAACAGACCCTTCTCAAAAGAAAGAAATACAAGTGGCCAAGAAGCATATGAAAAAATACTCAACATCACTAACCAGAGAAATGCAAATAAAAAGCACAATGAGATACCATCTCACACCAGTCAGCAAAGCTATTACTAAAAAGTCAAAAAGCAACAGATGCTGGCAAGGCTGCAGAGAAAAGGGAACACTTATGCACTGTTGATGGGAATGTAAATTAGTTCAGCCACTCTGCGAAGCAATCTGGAGATTTCTCAAAGGACTTAGAACAGATCTACAACTTCACCCAGCTCTCCCATTACTGGGATTTGTCCATCAAAAAGACACATGCACTCATATATTTATTGCAGCACTATTCACAATAGCAAAGATGTGGAATCAACTTATGTGCCCATCATTGGTAGACTGGATAAAGAAAATATGGTACATATACACCATGGACTACTACACAGCCATAAATATGGAAATCATGCCCTTTCCATGGATACAGCTGGAGGCCATTATCCTAAGTGAATTAATGCAGGATCAGAAAATCAAATACCACATGTTTTCAGGTATAAATGGGAGCTAAACACTGGCTACACGTGGATATAAAGAAGGGACCAATAGACACTGGGAACTACTTGATGGGGGAGGAAGAGAAGGAGGCAGGGGTGGAAAAACTGCCTATTGGGTACTATGCTCACTACCTTGGTGACAGGATCAATCATACCCGAAACCTCAGCGTCACACAATATACCAAGGTAACAAACCAGCACATGTATCCCCTAAATCTAAAATAAAAGTTCAAATTATTAAAACAATTTAAAATAATACATACATTTTTTTCCTGTAAACATGTTTTTAATCAAACATACACAAACCTGCCTCAGCTTCCCAAGCAGCTGGGATTACAGGGGCGCACCACCAATCCCGGCTAATTTTTGTATTTTTAGTAGAGATGGGGGTTCGCCATGTTACCCAGGCTGGTCTCGAACTCCTGACCTCAGATGATCTGCCCGCCTCAGCCTCCCGAAATGCTGGGATTACTGGTGTGAGCCACCATGCCTGGCCTTATTTTCCCTTTTATATTATATTTTTACTGTACCTTTTCTATGTTTAGATACACAAGTAAAGCAAAAACCCGCGGCGGTGGGGGCAAAAAGCCGCGGCGGCGGGGGTAAAAAGATGCAAAAAGCCGCGGCGGCGGGAGCAAAAAGCCGCAAAAAGCCGCGGGGGCGAGGGCAAAAAGCCGTGGCTAGGAAAATTTGATATCCATACGTCAAAGAATGACACTAGACCTCTAACTTTCACCATGTATGAAAATCAACTCAAAATATGTTAAATATTTAAATGTAAAACCTGAAACTATTAAACTACAGGAAAACTGGGGAAATGCTTCAGGACATTGGGCTGAGGAAAGATTTTAAAAATAATACCTCAAAAGCACAGGTTGCAAAATCAAAAATAGACAAGATTAAATCAAACTAAAAAGATTTCACACAGCAAAGGAAACTATTAACAGAGTGAATACACAAACTACAGAATTGGATAATATATTTGTAAACCACATCTGACAAGTGATTAATATCCAGACTATATAAGGAATTGACTCAACGGAAAAAAATAAACCAATTAAAAATAAGCAATAGATTTTAATAGCCATTATCAAATGAACCTGGCTATTATAAATAGCCAGCAGGTATATTTAATAATGCTCAATATCTCTAGTCATCAGAGAAATGCAAATCAAAACCACAATGAGTTACCACCTTATTCTCTTTAGAATGGCTATTACCAAAAAGACAAAATAAAACAAGTGTTGGTAAGAATAAGGAGAAAAGGGAATATTTACATACTACTGGTGGGATTCTAAACCAGCACAACCATTTTGGAAATATGAAGGTTCCTCAAAAAATTAAAAGCAATTCTACCATGGGTGTATATCTAGAGGAAGTAAAATAAGTATGTTGAATAGATATCTGCAGTCACATGTTTATTGCAGCACAATTTAGAATAGCAAAGCTAAAAATCAACCTAAGTGACCAACAATTAATGAATTCATAAAAAATAAACGTATTGTGTGTATACACACACAAAAACACAGTCAAACACACGCACATATAATGGAATATTATTCAGTTATAAAAAAGAAGGAAATCCTGTCATTTGTGACAAATAGATGAACTTGGAACTTGGAGAAATGTCTGTTAAATGAAATAAGCCAGGAACAGAAAGACAAATCCTGCATGATTTCACGCAGGTGGAATCTAAATATATATCATAGAAGTAGAGAGTAGAACAGTGATTACCAGATACTGGAGAGGGGAGTGGAGATGTAAGGATGGGGAGACGTTGGTCAGTGGGTACAGAGTTACAATTAGATAGAAGGAATAATTTCTCATAATCTTTTGCACAGTAGGGTAACTATGGTTAACAGTAAAATATTGTTTATTACAAAATAGTTAGAAGAGGGGTTTTTAAATGTTTTTACCACAAAGAAATGATGCATGCGTGAGGTGATGGATACAGTAACTACTCTAATTAGATTATTATACAACATAGATATGCGTCAAAATTTAAAACTGTACTTCATACATAAGTGCATATACAATGTGTCAATTAAAAATACAAAAAAAATTAGCTGGGTGTGGTGGCGGGCGCCTGTAGTCCCAGCTACTCAGGAGGCTGAGGCAGGAGAATGGCCTGAACCAGGGAGGTCGAGCTTGCAGTGAGCCAAGATCACGCCACTGCACTCCAGCCTGGGCGACAGAGCAAGACTCCATCTCAAAAAAAAAAAAAAAAATAATAAATAAATAAATTAATTAATTAATTTTGTTTAAAATTTGCTCTCAGGCTGAAAAAAAAGAGAAATTCACATCTAGAATATGTACCAAACTTTGAAATTAGTAAGACAAAGACATCAATATAAAAAAATTGTCAAAAAGAATTTATCGGAAACCTCACAAAAAAAGAATATTCAGTTGGCTAATCAACATATGAAAGTACGTTCTACTCTGTGAGATATCCTGAGAATACAAATTTAAACCACAATTAGATGTCTCCGCGCTTTTGCTAGAATGACTAACTCATTTTTCAAAAGATAAATAATAACAAAACTGATGACGATCTGGAGCAACTTGAACTCTCATACAATGTTGACGGGAATGTAAATTGATATTATTACATTGGAAAATTCTTTGGTAATATATGTTTATCAATAGATGCATATACTCTGCCCTAGCAGTTCTACTCTTAGATTCTCTATATACCTAAGGGAAATGAATTACATATTTACCAATACACACATTTACATATATATATATATACACACACATACACACACACACACACACACACACACACACACGTGAATGTTAACAGAATACTATTTGTAATAGCCACAAACTGGAATCAACCTAGTAGAAGTAAAATGTACTGATGATATAATATCATAGATTATTAAGAATCATATCACAGATTATTAATAAATCATGTAAATCCAGTAAAAAAAAGGAAGGTCTACTGATACATACAACACTTTGGACAAAAACATTATGCTAAGTGAGAGAAGCCAGACACAAAAGTCATGTATTATATCAAGCTTGTGCAAACCATAGCACATAGGCCACATGTGGCCCAGGTGATTTACATGGAATCCATTTTTCTTCATCGCATCTCAATAAATTCATCTTATCAACTGTCTTAAATATACAACACTAAACTAAATCTACAAAAGTTAAATAATGTACCACAAATTACACAATTAGGACTGATTCATAAGTGTGAAACCTGTGTGGTCTCATGGGGCTTCATGCTGAAAAGGGCTCCACAAATGGTTACTGCTTTGCTGTTGTCATCTTGAAATTTTTAACAATATTTCAACAAGGGGCATTGCATGGTCATTTTGCACCGTGTCTCACAAATTACGCAGCCAGTTTCATTTACCATAAACAGGTGAACTCAGGTTCAAATTCATACATATGGTTTTAAAACAAAACAAAACAAAAGCATCTATGCCCTTGCCAGAACAAACATAAGAATTTTGATATAAACTGAATGTAATCCGCCTTTGACTTTGGCGTTGAAAGTTTTAACTCTACTAAATGTAGGTAATTTTGATATCCTGTTGAGACATTTTTATCTATTTTTACACTGAATCTTGAGAAAAGCCATTGTCATAGATAGAAATTTAAAAGTTAAACAACATAGATTTTTGCCTTGAGACAAAATACTGATTTTTTTCTCTTAAGTTATTTTGATAATATCACATAATGAAAGCACTTTTTCATTGAGAATATTATGATGTGTTTTATTTTTTATTTGAGAGTCACTGTAATAAAAATATGTCATAAAATTACAATTTGAGGTGCTACTCAGACACAAAATTAAAGAGGGTTTATACTGAATCTTTAAAGACTCCTCAAATCTTACTTGATAAGTTCATTTTTAACAATGCTTCCTGGAGATCCACGACTTACTTTAGAAAGTTTGACTTGGATCATGATCTTTTGACCAAATGTGATGTGGTAATATTATATAAAATAAAATTCTAACTTGCAACTTACTGCAATTTTTTTCCCACGTCTGTGATGACTTGCCTTATTACAGTTTCTCCATATTATCAACTTATTGATATACTTTAGATAGTGGAATTGATTTTCAGCAGCCAATCTTTTCCCTCTTACATTATTTATTATTTCACAAATTCAGTTGTGATGAGAGAAAATCGTTTCACTTGACTTGTACAAAGACTAACGTCATTTTCAGGACATTGTACAGTATAATTTTGCTATTTATTCAGATGACTAAAATATTGAGCATGAAGATGACTCATAATGAAAATGATGAATAAATAAAATCCCTATTTGATGGTACACAATACTGAAACTCTGGGTACATCTCATTATGAGAAATGAAATCTACCAATAGTCCAGACTAAAAATTTGATTAATTTCCAAGGTAAGAAATATACAGTTAATTCCTGCTAACACTAACACAGAAAAAGTGAATAAAGATTATCAAACACTTCTTTAATAAAAGAAGCATTTCTGTAGTTAAGGTGATTAAGAAGAAATGAGGTAAATGAGAACAAACTTTATGAATCAGGAGAAAAATAATCATTTGTAAAAAAAAATCCTCAAATGCAGTCATCTTATGCTAAACTCTGCTCATATTTTTTTCAATAAACAGGCAATATTATATGCAAATTATTATGTAGTTAACATTTTTGGAAATTTAATTATAATGAAAAGAGTGGGGTTTTTTCGAAAGACATAAATTGAGTCTTTATTCAGATACCAACTACATGATTGTAGGCATGACATATGTTCTAGATCATGGATTTTCATCTGTAAATTGGGGAAGCTAATTTCTTTTTAAGATTATGTCCCAGTACATTATTGCATATTGTATATACTTTGCATTATTGCCTAATTCCTTGTGCCTGAGTTTATTGTATAAATTACTGAGGGCCAAAATGAAGTTGTAAACCAACGTTGAAAAAAGAAGCACACTAAAATCAAATAGTAAGCTGAAAAATAACTAGTTTAAATTTCATCCAGATGTATCTGCTCATACGTCATTCAAAATCTTCAGCCAATTATTATTTACATTTAAAAAATGCAAATGATATCTGCTAGTACATTGGGAGTTTTACTATTACAACATTTAATAATCTTCTGTGAAGGTAAGACAAAATTGGAATGTAAAATAAGAATATTAAGACTTGTTTCACGCAAAAATCTATAGTAGTGACACTTTTGATCTTACCAAATCATATGTTTTGGTCCCATTGAGGACTATCACAGATTTGAAATGAGTTAGAAGCATCCCTGATCAATGAATTATTTACTGTGCACTTAAATATAGTAGCTACCATGGAGAAATGTACCAGAACTTATGGGATTTTTGTTATTCTTTGGTGTCTTCACTTGGGTGCCATCAAAAGTAGAGGCTGAGATAAGGTCTTAGGTGTGGGCTGGTTACTTATGAGGAAAACACAGAAAGTTAGAAAATGGAAATAGGGAAAATGTGATGGAGGGAAATCCAGTATAATGTTGCAATATATTGCATTTTCAAGGTGTCTGCTCTACAGTACATGGACTCAATTCAAAAAATATGTTTCTCTTGAGAAACATAAACAGACGTTTACGTAAAAGATAGGAGACCAGATTATTTAGTTAGGGCCCACAAGGTCCTGTGTCTCAAATTATTGAGATTGATTATAACAGAAATGATATTTCCATCTTGGTTCTTTTATATTACCTAAGAATATATCCTGGAGGTTACTGCATATTTGTATCAAGAAATTCTGCCTCATTTGTTTTTATATTCCTCCATGTATATGTAGCAGAGAATATTTAACAAGTCCACTGCTGATGGACCTTTGAATTATTTCCAACATCTTATGTTTACAAATGAAATCATGATAAATAGTCTTGATCATATGTCACTGTGAATTATTAACAGGTTGTATATGGGATATATTTCATGGTAATGTCAGGTAAAGGCATAAATGTATATGCAGTTTTTCAAGATGATGTCATAGTCCCCTTCACAAAGATTTTGTTATTTTGTATTCTCGCCAACCATGTGCAAAAATGTCTATTTCGGTATAATTTTACCCACAGGGTATGTTGTTAAACTTTTGAGGGTTTTTATTCTATTTTTATAGATGAGAAATGGCATCACAATGTTGTTTAAATTTGTATTTTATTCATTATTATTGAAGAAGGAAAATATTTATAATGTATATTGGGATTTTCCATATGGAATGCTTATATATTGTGCCTGCTTTAAGATGGTTTTTGGTCCTTTATTTTTATTTTTTAACTTTTATTTTAAGTTCAGGGGTACATATGCAGATTTATTATATAGGTAAACTCATGTTATGGGAGTTTGTTGTACAGATTATTTTGTCATACAGGTATTTAGCTTTGTACCCATTAGTTGTTTTTCCTGATCCTCTCCCTCATCCAACCCTCCACCCTCTGATAAGCTCCAGTGTTTGTTGTTCCCCTCTATATGTCCATGTGTTCTCATAATTTAGCTCCCAGTTATAACTGAGAACTTGTGATATTTTGTTTTCTGTTCTTGCATTAGTTTGCTGAATTTATAACTACGTGAATTTATAACTATAAAAAACTACGTGTACAAGATGTCCAAGATGAACAAAACTATACAATAAAGTTCATTTCAATATACAACATGTATTATATTCAACAAGGCTCAAATATTTTGATAAAGGGAAACAGAGACCTCTTTTTCTAGCAGGAAGATATTTTTCTTGGGAAGTTTTGTTTATGCTGGCTTGAATAACACTATGGTGAATGTCATAAGATTAATTCATTTTTAACATCTCTGTAAAAGCCAAGGATGCAGTGTGTCTGTGGGGAATTTAAATCATACATTTTAATACACATATTAAAATTACGGATTCTCAAGTAATGAGAGCTATATATATATATGTACGTATATAGCTATATAGCTCTCGCATACTAATTTTTGATCTTGCAAAGTAACATCTCAGATTCTTTGCAGTTTTGAACTAAACAGAATCAAATATAAATTAAACACCAGAATAACATTGAGTATCACAACTGAGTAAGATTACTTCCATTATACAAGTATGTCTCAACATTATTAAATCCATTGATATACTTCATCACATGAAAAGATTGAAAAAATAAGGCAATCATATTATTAAATTTCAAAATAATTTGATAAAATGTTGCATTCATTGCCAATAAAAAAAAAACCCCTTAAACTAAAAAATAAGAAATTTTAACTCTATTACTATAAGCCACAGGTAGAAACCTACTATAAACATACTTAGACAAAAACAAACATTTTAATATACTTAGCAAAGGAGAAAGATTCACACCATTGGAGCCCTACTGCAATAATACATAATAAAATAGTGGAAAAATTTTTATTATAATGAATAATAAAACAGGGATACCTGCTATCATTCCTTTATATTTTTCTATAAAATACTATAATCCTAGCTAACTCTGAAGATGACACTCAATATTTGTAGATTAAATAATTACTATACGAAAATATGGTTTTCAAAGTGTGGCCCTAAACCAGCAGCAGCTGCAGGTTCTAGACTTATTAGAAATGCATTGTCCAGTGGCTCAAGCCTGTAATCCCAAAGGCCGAGGTGGGTGGATCACAAGGTCAGGAGATTGAGACCATCCTAGCTAACACAGTGAAACCCCATCTCTACTAAAAATTCAAAAAAATATTAGCCGGCTGTGGTGGCGGGTGCCTGTAATCCCAGCTACTCGGGAGACTGAGGCGGGAGAATGGCATGAACCTGGGAGGCGGAGCTTGCAGTGAGCCGAGAGCGCGCCACTGCACTCCTGCCTGGGCGACAGAGCAAGACTCTGTCTCAAAAAAAAAAAAAAAAAAAGAAAAGAAAAGAAAGAAATGCATTGTCTCAGGCTCTATCACAGACCTGCTGTACCCAGTGATTTTTGCTGTAATAAGCATCCTGGGTAATTCCTATGCACCCTAAAATATGAGAACTACTAATATAGAAAATTCAAGAAATTTTAATACATTTCAAGATAATTAAAGATAATAAACTGAAAAAATATTAGAACAACGTAAAATCCATAACATACACCAGAAAAATAGCTTTATAAATACATGTATTAATGTCTTACTAAATGTCAGAAAGATATACAGAGCTAAAAGCTTTGTAAAATATGTAAGATAATATATCAACATCACCAGTATATAAAAAATTCTCAACGCAAAACAAATAGAGATAAAATGTATGAAGAAAACAAATGAATGACCTATCAAATATGTAAAAATATTCCAAATCAAACACTCATGAAAATTAATGCAACATTTTACCTTTTTTTTAATTCATTAGATTGACAACACTGAACGACCTAATACCCAGTATTGCCTAGGCCATAGAAAAATTCACACTCTTTGAAGTTATTGTGGAATTGTAGATTGTTAAAGCTTCTCCTGGAAAAGGGATAATTCAGCATTACTCATTAAAATTAATGTCAGATTTTTTCTTTGCCCCCAAATTTATACTTCTAGAATGTTATTTTATAAGGATTCTTAAACATGTGTAAAAACATGAACTTCCGTGTGTGAATCAAAGTATTATTCACTGATAGCAAAACACAGCAAGAACCTAAGTAATCTTTAAGCAGAAAATTATATAATAAATTTGTGTGTGTGCATGCAAAAGTGTAGAAAAGGAACTAGCAGAAATGACCTCTGAAAAATGAATAATTCATTGATAGAAGGGGAAAAAAGAAACAGCATAACCAATCTGAGAAAGAGAATGTTTCTCTTTCCAGTGTCATTGATCAATTTCAAGACCCCGTCTTTTCTCATGGGCCTTTAGACTGGGTCGGGGCATGTGCCCCAGAAATTGAGATTCATGGATCAGATGCAGCTTGTTCATCTTGTTCGCTGGTACAGGAAATGATGTGGAGCTCTTCCAATGGATTCAGAAAGAGTCACAAGTGGAAATTAAATTTAAGTGGATTTTAGCTATCACTGAAAAGGAAGAAGAGGTCATGTAAATGAGTTTAAAATGATAGCACTTAATGCTATTCATAATGAAGGAATGTATTCCAACTTAGATAACAGGACCATTTTAATAGATAATTTGATCACTTTTCTGATTTCTTACTAAGTCCACAACATTCATTTATAAATTTCTTTAAAGGCTTTACATATGCAGTTGTTGAAACAAGACAAAAAGAACGTCAACCACACAATAGCAATGAATACCTCTATCCTTATTATATCTGAAATAGTTTTCAGAATTATCATAACTAAATGTACTAATATTAAACATGTTCAAAATATATAGCTACAGGATTATATGAATAAGTGTCACAAATTACAAACATAAGTGATATTTGTTGATAGAACAAAGTAGTGCTTTTTGTTGTTAAAAATACTCACATTTTAAATAATTTGTGGATGTTAAGTTATTCTGGGGTGAGAATAGTAGCAACTGCCCAATTCTAGACCACAAAAATTGTGCACCCATTTCCTCTTGTAATGCGATAGGATTAGCTGTTACATTTAAGTCTCTGATCTATATTGAGTTAATTTTTGTGTACAGTGTAAAACAGTTGTCCAATTTCATTCTTTTGCATGTGGATTTTCAGTTGTCCCAGCCTTGCTGAAAACACTATTCTTTCCCCTGTTGAATTGTTGCAGCACCTATGTTGAAAATTAATTGACCATAAATGTGAAGTTTTATATCTGGATTCTCAAATATATGCCATTATATAAGTACAGCATTGTCTAATTATTGTAGTGTTGTGGTAAGGTTTGAAATCAGGAATAGTGATTCTACCAAATTTGTTCTTTTTCCAGATCATTTTGGCTATGCTGGATCCCTCAAATTTTCTTATAAAATTAAGGATTAGCTTGTCAATTTCTGTAAAGAAACCATCTGAGATTGACAGGGATTACTTCAAATATGTAAATAAAATTGGAAAGTACTAATACATTCTAAATACTAATATTTTCTTAATAATGCAAATGCCTTAGTTCATGGACATATTGATCTTGTGTCCTGCAATCTTGTTGAACTAATTTCTTAGTTTTAATAACATTTGTGGATTCTTTAGTATAATCTATACACATATTAGTCTGTTTTCATGCTACTGATAAAGACATACCTACGAATGGGTAATTTACAAAGAAAAAGAGGTTCAATGGACTCACAGTTCCACGTGGTTAGGAAGACCTCATAATTATGGTGGAAGGTGAAAGACACATCCCACATGGCGGCAGGCAAAGAGGGAATGAGAACCAAGTGGAAGGGGTTTCCCTTATGAAACCATCAGATCTTGTGAGACTTACTCACTACCACGAGAACAATATGGAGGAAACTGCCCCCCATGATTCAATTATCTCCCAATGGGTCCCTCCCACAACACGTGTGAATTTTGGGAGCTACAGTTCAAGATGAGATTTGGGTGGGGACCCAGACAAACCATATCATTGCAGGGGCCCTGGCCCCTCCCAAATCTCATATCCTTACATTTCAAAAACAATCATGCCTTCCCAACAGTCCCCCAAAGTCTTAACTCATTTCAGCAATAACTTAAAAGTCCACAGTTCAAAGTCTCATCTGAGACAAGGCAAGTCCCTTCTGCCTATGAGCCTGTAAAATCAAAACCAAATTAGTTACTTCCTAGATAAAATGGGGGTACAGGCATTGGATAAATACAGCCATTCCAAATGGGAGAAACTGGCCAAAAAAAAGGGGATAAAAAAAACCCATGCAAGTCCAAAATCCAGCAGGGTAGTCAAATCTTAAAGCTCCAAAATGATCTCCTTTGACTCCATGTCTCACATCCAGATTACACTGATGAAAGAAGTAGGCTCCCCTGCTAGACAATGCCCCGGTGAGGACACTGTGTGGGGGCTCCAACCCCACATTTCCCTTCCACACTGCCGTAGCAGAGATTCTCCATGAGGGCCCTGCCCCTGTAGCAAACTTCCACCTGGACATCCAGGCATTTCCATACATCTTCTGAAATCTAGACGGAGCTTCCCACACCTCAATTCTTCACTTCTGTATACCTGCAGGCTCAATGCCACATGGAAGCTGCCAAGGGTTGGGGCTTGGACCCTCTGAAGCCATGGCCCAAGCTGTACCTTGGCCCCTCTTAGCCATGGCTAGAGTGGCTAGGATGTAGGACACCAAGTCCTTAGGCTGCACACAGCAAGGGGGCCCTGGGTCCAGCCCATGAAACCATTTTTTTTTCTCCTAAGTCTCTGGGCCTGTGATGGGAGGGGCTGCCACAAAGGTCTCTGATGTACTGCCCTGGAGATATTTTCCCCATTGTTTTGGCTATTAACATTTGGCTCTTTGTTACTTATGCAAATTTTGGCAGCCAGCTTGAATTTCTCCTCAGAAACTGGGTTTTTCTTTTCTATCACCTCAGGCTGCAAATTTTCTGAACTTTTCTCTGTTTTCCTTTTAAAACTGAATGCTTTTAACAGCACCCAGTCACCTCTTGAATGCTTTGCTGCTTAGAAATTTGTTCTGTTACATACCTTAAATCATCTCTCTCAAGTTCACAATTCCACAAATCTCTAGGGCAAGGGGGAAATGCCACCAGTGTCTTTGCTAAAACATAGCAAGAGTCCGGCCGGGTGCCGTGGCTCAAGCCTGTAATCCCAGCACTTTGGGATGCCAAGGCAGGCGGATCACAAGGTCAGGAGATCGAGACCATCCTGGCTAACACGGTGAAAACCCGTCTCTGCTAAAAATATAAAAAATTAGCCAGGCGTGGTGGCGGGTGCCTGTAATCCCAGCTACTGGGGAGGCTGAGGCAGGAGAATGGCGTGAACCCGGGAGGCGGAGCTTGCAGTGAGCTGAGATCGTGCCACTGCACTCCAGCCTGAGTACTCCGTCTCAAAAACAAACAAACAAACAAAACATAGCAAGAGTCACCTTTATTCCGTTTCCAACAAGTTCCTCATCTCCATCTGAGACCACTTCCACCTGGATTTCATTGTCCATATCATTGTCAGCATTTAGGTCAAAGCCATTCAACAAGTCTCTAGGAAGTTCCAAAATTTCTCACATCTTCCTGTCTTCTTCTGAGCCCGAGCCCTTCAAACTGTTTCAGCTTCTGCCTGTTACCCAGTTCCAAAGTTGCTCCCACGTTTTAGGGTATCTTTATAGCAGTGCCCCACTACCTCGGTACCAATTTACTATATTAGTTCGTTTTCATGCTGCTGATAAAGATATACCTGAGACTGGGTAATTTACAAAGAAAAAGAGATTCAGTGGACTCACAGTTCCACGTGGTTTGGAAGGCCTCACAATCATGGCAGAAGGTGAAAGGCACATCTCACATGGCAACAGGCAAAGAGGGAATGAGAGCCAAGGGAAAGGGGTTTCCCCTTATAAAACCATCAGATCTCGTGAGATTTATTCAATACCATGAAAACAGTGTGGAGGAAACTGCCCTCATGATTCAATTATCTCCCACTGGGGTTCCTCCCACAACATGTGGGAATTATGGGAGCCACAATTCAAGATGAGATTTTGGTGGAGACACAGGCAAACCATATCAATATATAAGACAATGTCTTCTGCAAATAGACAATAAGTTTGAACATTTCTCCCCCTTGCTCTCTCTGCTGAGTTACCACTTATTCTCCACATCCATCCACTGAATGTTGCAGCCCCTGTCAAGCAGCTCTGACTATGGCTATTTTCTATGTATGCTACTAATCAGTCTCTCTCTTTGTCCCTTTAGGCCCATGGATGCCAATGGCTTTTTGATTTTTTTAGCCCTGAGGGACCTCATTAACTATTATACATTTCTTCTAGCCTTGCCCATACAATTTTCCTACCTTAGAATATCTTTAAATTATATGTTAACATACTAATATGTATAAAAATCTAAGACATAGTCTAAAATGATAAAAATAATTTGCATTGTTAAAAAATATATGACTTCTTTCAATCTAAGTATGGGAAACCTTAAATATCTAAGGCCCTAAATCCTATGCTACTGCTAATTTGCCTTTGCTTTTAAGGATTTAGAAATATTAATGCAAAGCAAGCACAGTGAAACAATATGTAGCATTTATACTGAGAATCACTATTTTGAGAAATTTCTAACCTTAGTGTATGCTGGGAATTTAGAATCTATTAAAACGTCATGAAGAGTGCTGCATTTGTCTTTCAATAGTGATATATGTAAGGCAAATGCATTAATTGGCTTTTGAGTCAGAACAGTTTTTTTACGAATTACATATTAGCTGCAGTTCAAATTAATCCATATGCCTCAATTTTATTTGAGAGCAGAAAATGCCAGGCTTGAATAACTACCAATAAGTGACATGTCAAAATAATTCATATTAAAGTATTACATATACTTCAATATCCTCAAACATATCAGTCAATTTTACAATAGCTTCTGTTGAAATTCATCATAGTTTTCAAAGAAAATCAGGCATAGAACAATTATTCTCTCCTTATCATTGTGTTTAGTGTTTTAGAAATAAGCCAGTTACTGAGTGAGAGAGATTTCGAAAGAAAAAAGGCATTGTAAAACAGCACCTTAGGTGGAAGAATTACAGATTTTAATTGAAAAACATTACGCTTACATTTCAATAGCTGGCATTTCTCACTTTTATATAAAATTTTAATAATAATGGGTATTATGAAAAACACACTTGGTAATAAATAAGATTTTGCATTTAAAATCTATTAAAATTTTATTAGTTTCTCAAATCCAGGAAGAAGATATTTTTGCATATAAGGTACATATTTTCCCTCCTGTTGTTGCTCCAGTGCTATTTCTTATAAGAAACTCAAGCTCTTTAGGATTTGTGCCTACCTTATGAAATTTACTACTTTTTTTTTTTTTTTTACTATTCTACTTATCATCTCAGTTTCATTTTGTTTTCCCACCTCCTCTCCATAATCCAGCCTGTAGAGATGTATTATTAGCCTGTGGAACATTATCTTTCAAAACATGCAGCCAATTGTGCAGAGGTCTGTATCTTTGTTGCTTTGATATTTCCAAGCTAAAATAATGCAGATGTCATTATTGGGGATCACTTTGAAAAGATCTTAAATCATGGGTAATTCCTTCTTTTTGTATGAGGAATGATTGTCCATGGAAACTAGGAAGGCGAAGACACATAAAATCCCTGGGCCCATGTATGTTGATTATAAGAAGGTTGCAGGACCTGAACAATGACATTATGTCTGTGGATAATAAATACAGATGACTTTATAGCTTCCAAAATATGTTCCAGAAACATAATTTTATGTTACATTATAGTCCTCATTTAATTAACAAACATATAGTTGCAAAACTTTCCCCAAAACTCACATACACCCAAATTCACAGCATTCTAAAAACAATTGCTAAACCATCCACGTGGTACTTGCCAAATGATGGCCCCAGAACTATTCTGCTGACATTAATGCATTACCCATTATATAAAAAAAGGGACAAGGATGAGAGGGGAGAGGGGAGGGAGAGAGTTTATTTTAAGGGAACAGTGTGAATGGCATTCCATTTATCCATCACCATCTGTGGCTGAAAGGAAGAAGGCGTTTATCTTTTAGCTTAAGTCAAGTGAGGAGGGGAGTTTCAGGAGAACACACACACACACACACACACACACACACACACACACACAAACTCACCCATATAACCATACAACGAAACAAAACAAAGCCTTTGAGACATTGATTTAAGCGCAGGATTTCAGGAGATACGAGTATGTTGTAGCTTACTGAACAAGGATACAGCGATCTATGTGTTTTACAATGACAAAGCAAAAGCATGAATTTCCCAAGGACTAGATTTAAGAACATGCTAGGCTTGTGTTATTGTAAAAGGGATCTTGATCCAGACTACCATCAAGAGAGAAAACGCAGCTGCAGCAAGAGCAAGAGACAAGGTGAAGTCCAATGGCTCGCTTCAAAAAATAGTGGCCAAAGGACCCCAGAAAGAATCTAAGAGTAACCTTCACTGTCATCCTACTGGAAGACAATTGCACTTTCAACATTCATTCACCAAGTCCAGAGAGTACCAACACCATCTCTGGTGTACCATACGCATAAGCCTGTGTTCACTACTCCAAATATCAGCTTACCTTGGCCCTATCTGTTAGGCAAGGTAGCAGAAGAGAAAGTAAGGTAAGGAGAAGGAAACAAAGCCATCACATTTCTCCCTCCACTACAGGCTCCTAACACTGGAGTGAGCCCAAGTTAGGGGAGACAAGAAACGTTAAACAGATACATGTTTGTCATTTGGACTTTTTACGATGGATTGGACTATGTATTGGTACTGAATGAGTAGGACCATTTGAAATGTCAAAACATCAATTGCTGAGCATGTAATTATCAGGAGTGGTATGTTCTGCTAGAGATTTTATTTAGTGAGACAGAGAAAAAAAGAATAAAGTTGCTTTCTCCTGCATACTAGTGAATCCAGGATGATTTTTTCTTATAGAACCAATACTTTTCACATCCTGCTGTTTAGACAAATTCACATCAACCCTTTTCTCACAATATAAAATACATATCTGTTTTGGCACTTACAAACACTGTGGAGCAGCAATTTCCTTTCTTCCCTCATCACATTTTTTGACATATCAATATAACCTTAATCAATTGATCATTGCCAACATGCTAATCATAGGCACTAGCTCAGCCCAGGTTTATTGCAATTAGGTTATTTCACAAGTTGAAAACATCCCCTGGCGGATTTTAATAAAACGGGGAACTTTGCTGTGAAACTCTAGTTGTGGTATGTTCAAAAAGTACACGTTATTAAAAATGTTAGGGATTTAAACTTTTATATACATATTATGTGTTAAAATTAATATTTCAATACAAATACAATAGAAAAAGGGGGAGCAGATACAAAAAGAAACTGGCAATACATAGATTTTTTACATGTTATCAAGATATGAAAATATTTTAATAAAGTACTGAATCTGTTTAAAATATCGAATTCTACTGATGTGTTAAAAGCGTGTTTTGAGTAGTTAGGACTCTCAAAATGCTGATTACATCTCCAGCACATAGCCCGTGCTGGATATTTATATATCTGGTCCTACCTATTTATGAGAAAAATAAGAAACAAAAAAAGAAAGAAGCAGAAATTAAAAGGATAAGGAAGCTAAAAAGGCAGGCAACGAAGAGATAAACTCTATGATAGTGTTATTATTTATTTCAGATGTAAAGTTATATTACATGTTCTTTTTAAGTCTATTTGTCCTCCAGCAGCAAATGTACTCCTACTTTTAGGATTATAAATCACAACTATTTATTGAGAAACTGTCATAAGTCAGGCACTATATTCAAGCTATGATTCTTTTACTATTTGAAATAAGGTTTAACCAGAAGGCTTACATGGAGTTAAAAGATGACCAAATATTTAAAATGACTCAAACTGAATATGCTTTGTTTAGTTCAGGTCTGTTAAACATCAAGGGTAGACATGCCAGCGTTGCTTGAGTTCAGCACTGAGCTTGGTCAGCTATCTCCTGCTGATAAATAACAGAGGCAAAGATGACATTGAAACTAAATGATCCTGAGAAGGTGAAGAAGGTTGAGCCCTCTTGAAGCACATCCATAAACATATGCACACACACACACACACACAGGCCCCAAGTCACTTGGTCACTTCATAGGAAATAACTTCAACTACCAATGTGTATGTTTTGGGAAATAAACATGGAAGAAGATAGGTCAGAGTCAGCTTAGTGTCATCATCAAAAAATGCCTATACTACTTGGCTCTTCTTTAAATATGATACTTGGGTTAGGAACAAAGACTCTGCTGGAAAAGCAGTTTAATTATCACCAACCTTCTCAAAGCAAAGCACAAAACAACTACTGTGGGATTTCAAATCTGTCATCAATCTCTCTTATACTTCATTCATCACAAGGCCCCTGGATTTAACAAGCACTAGGCCTCACCCACTTCAAAGACCATGGGGAAACCCACTTCAACAAAAGTCTCCTTTGAGCCTATGTGGAGTGATTTTACTTTTTTCTTACTCTTCATCCCAGAAGTTAATTCCAGAGTTGGTTGATACAATAATCTTGAGCAATCGACTGCAGACCTAAACACTTCTTGGCTGACTTTATCCCATTTGAAATGCATAAAGTTACTGTGATTCAAGTTATGCCCTAGGTGTTGATTTTTTATGAGCCTATAATCCCAGAGATGTAACATTTGATTTGTTCACATGGTGTCTATAAGAGTACCTTGCAGTGATAGAAAATTAGAAACAACATTTATTAATAAGTGCCAGGTTTCAAGGACTCCTGATCCATCCCCATGACATAAATCCTGGAATCTGCAGCATGTATATTTGAAATACATTACCATAAAATATTTATAATTACTTTTTAAATTCTCTTGGACTTGTCTTGGTGTCAGAAATATAATATTTATTTATTATTATTTTTCTCTTGGCTCATTTCTCTTTGTGCATTTTCAGAGAATAACACTTGACCTAAACATTTGCATTTTTAATTTATTTATAATAAAAAGAACTGATAATTTGCCAGCCGAGACATTGTGCTGATCTTCACCACAAGAAATAGATGCTATGTATCTATGTGTGTGTGTACATACTGTGATGCAAACAAAGAAAGTAAAATGTGGAGCAACTAGATAGTTTGTCCAAGGTCACACTGAAGGAAAGCCAACACCCAGGAATCTCACTCTGTTGCCTGTTTGCTTAACAATACCTTAAGCTGCCCATCTATCAACTGCAGCTCAGTTCAGATCCATCCTCCTTCGTGATCCCTTCTCTGACCTCTTGGACTCCAAATCCTTTGCGGCATCCCTACGACATTGGCTGTGTCGTTTATTTAGAACATATCATGTACCATTTTCCATTGTCAGTTATCTAAGCTGACTAAAATTTCTGGTAGGCAGATCCTAAATCTTGGATTATCAAGGACCTACACCCAATATCATCCCTAAGACTCAAAGCTAAGCAGTTACTCGATTTTATAAGCTCTTTAGAAGAATCAAAACTGGAGTATATAAAAAGCTTTTCTAAATACAGTTTTGAATAATAGGGTCATAGATTTACTATCATTAATACTTGCGTATAAAGAAAGAAAACCAAAGGATTTATTTACTTTTGCATCTTATAATTATCCAACTCATATCTATCAAAAGTAGGTACTGATTACAGACCAATGTTTCACAAGCCCCAGTGAGCACCGATTGCTTAACACAGAGAGAAATTGTTATTCCCTGATACACAGACTGAGAAACAGAAATGATTAAGAAAGGCCTACCCGCCAGTAGCCAACCTCTTTGGAAGTAGAGGATATCTACATCATGTTTCCTTTGATGTTAGGAATGAGGACTCCAGACTAACACAGACTGTATTTTCCCTGATACTAATCATAATTTCCTCAAATTTTCCAGTTCCAACCACTAGATGTCATGCAGAGACCACAAAGTAGAACATCTTAGTGGTTTTCATTGTTTTTTTTTTTCCCCCACGTCGAGCATTACCAATTTTATTAACTTCAACATTTAAGGTGGTTTGGAAAAATTTTAAGTGACAGGCACTAAAGACACAGATCAGTGCAATTTATTTCACAGGCTGGGTGCATAGACATTATGGCAAAAATATATAGAATTAAAAGTACTACCTCATTCATTGCAAAGCATTATTTCTGGAATCTGAAAAATTCATGCAAGTGGGTTCCAAAAAAATAAAAAATAAAAAAGATAGATAGAGAGAGAAATTCTAAAGCCTCCCTTCTTTAGCAATCATGTACTTTACCCTGGTAGACAAAACTGGAATTCAAGAAAATGGAAAGAAAGCGTATATAATAGAAAAAAAATCAAAAGTTTTGGATTAAATACTAGCTTGGACATGTGCTAATTGAGTAAACCTGCTGTAATACTTAACTTCTGTAAGTATCTGTTTCCTGGGCTGTGAAATGAGAATACCTGACATGCAATAATTGGGAAGTTTCAATAAAACATTGTATATATATATATATATATTTTATATTTTATATATATATATTTTATATTTTATATATATATATTTTATATTTTATATATATATATATATATATATATATATATATATATATATATATCTCAGGACCTCAGGACCTCAGAAGAGAATTAAAGAGTTATAGATTCTGGAGTCAGCAAGTTATGAGTGAGAGGTGAAGCAATTGGAAGAGGACTAAGTTGTCCAAAAAGACTGCAGCAGATTAAAAAAAAAAAAAAAAGAGCATCTGGCTTTAGGCATGGGAACATTTCAGAAATGGGTAAGCAAAAGATAAGAAAGAATCTACAGATACCAGTTTGGGTGTATACGTAAAAAGATAATTTCAAAATCATTTCTTTATTGTTTATAATTAGATAAGCCTCCACTAGTGGAAAATGAGAGTCAGAAGACAGAAAAAAAAATTGACCTCTTGAGAATAAAAATTCTCAAGGAGGTGAAAGGAGATGGGATTCAGACCTGGACAAGGCTGATTGGAAAGATAAAGGATCCCTCCAAGCATACAATTAAAAATACAAACAATAATACACCAAAATAAGTTTAAGGAAGGCCAATAGAGTTTGAGGAAGTAAATAATATAACATCTCACCCACCATCACACAAAACTAGTTTTTTAATCAAGAGAAAACTTACAAAATGGGAATCATGGCCTTTAACCTAAGAGCTATACTGGATGTAAAAATCTCTCTAAAGTACATGATACATATTTAAATATACACATATACATACACACATACACATATGCATATGTTTTTGAAAAACAAAATTATGAAAAATTTTTCTTTTTTATGCATTTTTGCTTGTATCAATAAATCCTACAGTCAACTTACAATGAAGGCCAGTTCTTCTCAAATGCCATAATGCTCTGCCTAAATCATTCATTTTAAAAATGATGGGTAAAACTTTATGAATAAAATGAAGTATACTTTATGTTAAATAATTTTGAATTATCTATATTTAAAAATAATATTGAGATTATGACTCCAGTAAACAAAACTGAAATGCTAAAGATGACATTTAAATAACACATTCTTTATTATTATTATTTTCTTATTTTAAGTTTTACTTTAAGTTCTGGGATATGTGTGCAGAACATGCAGGTTTGTTACATAGGTATACATGTGCCGTGGTGGTTTGCTGAACCTAACAAACTGTCATGTAGGTTTTAAGCCTCGCATGCGTTAGGTATTTGTCCTAATGCTCTTCCTCTCTCCCCTTGCCCCCTACCTACCGACATAGTGCATTAAAACATCAAGTATTGTAATTTGCAGTTTGTGATACACCATTTAGGCTAGAATAAGGAACCTTTTAAGTATGAAATAGGGAGACATAAAGAAATTAAGTTTTAAATTTAATTTTAAATTTTCTATTAATGTTTATATTTTAATAATGCTTATAGTTTAATATTAGCTATTGATGTTTTATCTATAAAGGTAGACTATGAAATTAATTTACTTTTTACATATTTCAACTTTCTTAGTTTTCAAGATTTTTCAAATCATGTACATATTTGATGATTTTTATGATTCATTGAGGAAACTATTTGATAATATTGTTCAAAATGACCACATTAATTATGTTTTTAGTCATGATTTACTCCCCAAAAGGTGTATGTTTCCACCTTAAATTCCTGTAAATAAAATTCTTGTGATAGCTTCTTAAAAAGTAAGAGAAAAGAAAGACAGAGAAAACTGATTCCTTTCTACTTGGAGCTTGATTTCAAATATGTAAACCCTGTGTACGTAATTCTGTACACAGGGATCTCATTATTTATTTTCATAGTTGCTGCTTTGTTTAAAATTTTGTCTCTAAAGTTTATATTTGGCAAGACAAATAGAAATAAGCTGGTTTATAATTTTTCTTATTCTAAGATGTGCATGTGTATATGTGTAAGTATGTTTTAATTTCTAATGGCCTGTCCAGATGATGGTATCACTCCTGGAGACATGGCAACCCATATGAGAATGTTTATATACACTGGGGTGGAGAAGAACAACCATGCCCAAATGCTAATTTAAATCACCTTCACCTTTGAAATGTTAAAACTGTATGTGTCTTTTTCAATTTCTCTCTGCTCCTCCTTTTCTCCTATGCTCTTGCTCAGAAAACATTTAATTTCAACTCAGGTGTATTTATTAGAAAGAATCCTTCCATTTTAATTTTTTAAAAGTCACTGGAAGCAGATCCTGTGTCCTTATAAAATTCCACAATAAAACATTTACTTTTGTAAGCTATGTGTATCTAGATGGTGATATTATTGTTAGGAAATAAAATGAGAGCATTTGGTAACTATGGCAACATGATATGTTTCAAAAGAAATATGAACTCTTTTTCCTTGAAGAAATTAGATATTTTCCTTGACTGGTACTTAGGGATCCAAGTCTAGAAGAGAAATAGGATTTTTTAAGGCTCACTATTTTAGTCTTTTTTTTTGGAGGGGGGGAAATTTTTCACTTAGCCACATCTGACAAAATAAAAGATTAAATTTGAGGCTGCAGAAACAAAACTGCAGTTGTAATTTGCCAGCACCTAGTCCATGTTAGGGTAAACAAACACAGTCAATTCCCATTTATCTAAAGTTTAAGCAATAATAATTTTCAAAAATGGAATTTCTTGCCTTATTATTTTTTCTCTGAAACGCACAAAATGAGAATGTGTTAGTCTAGTCTCATGCTGCTGATAAAGACATACTGAAGACTGGGCAATATACAAAGGAAGGAGGTATAATGGAGAACTCACAGTTCCACATGGCTGGGGAAGCCTCACAATCATGGCAGAAGACAAGGAGGTGCAAGTCACATCTTACGTGGATGGCAGCAGGCAAAAAGAGAGCTTGTGCAGAGAAACTTACATTTTTAAACTATCAAATATCATGAGACTCATTCACTGTCTTGAGAACAGCGTAGGAAAGATCCACCCCCATAATTCAATCACCTCCCACCCGGTTCCTCCCAGGACATGTGGGAATTGTGGGAGTTACAATTTAAGATGAGATTTGGGTGGGGACACAGCCAAGCCATATCAGAGAATATTCCTTATATAGAGATATATTGAAAAATGTTACTTCTTGTTTCAGTCATTACACAATAATAGAGTCCAACTTCTAAGTCAATAGTTTTAAACAAACAATTTATTTTCACCACAAAGATTCCAAAACACTATGTGACTGTGAATTACCATCCTAATCACATTAATTTTTTGGTATAATTTTAGGGTTAGTTTGGATTATTTATGTATGGGTTCTGTGAAAATTATGACAGTAAAATATGCCTGTAGCCATTAGCCTATAACAGGAGATCTCATTGTGAGCTCAAGGAAGAAGTAAACACACTGAAATTTCTATATTGGTGCAGGATGATGGTAATTGCAAGAAAGGGCTTAAATAAAACAGTAGAATAAAATTCAATCTGATACAAAAAAGTCAGAGGCAAGACAAAAATAGTTTATAAATATAAAATAAGGAATCAAATCTAAGCTTGTGCATGAATAAGATAAAAAAAATTATCAAATTCATGTTCAGTCTGGTAGGAGTGACCTAGACAAAACATGAGGAAGAAAGAGGGACTATCTCAGTAATTTTATGGGATTATTATGACTTTTAAAAATATTTGATCTTTTGAACATCTCACAGGATAAAATATTGAATTAATTAGAATATTTAGTTGACTGAAACACCCATTTTCCTACTCATTTTAAAAAACTGAATTTTAATGTATGTAAGTATAGATTAATGAACGTATACATAAACACAGAGAAAGAGAGAGAGAGAAAAAAACATTCTCTGCATATTGTTTCTTCTTGCAAGAATGTTAAGAACAAAGGTTTTTCTTTATGTCTCTCTCCAATTAAGTTAAAGATGGTGGAGCTGCATACTAGTTGCTATTATAATAGCTTTTGCATAACATTTTGTTCACAGTTGGGAAAAACAAATGAGCAAATAAACATTGAGCTGTAAAAGCAGTATACCACTACCTTTAATGTACCAGTCTTTATTAGGTAAGAGAGTGTTTTGATGTGTATATTATCTTCTGCTTTATAAGGTAGCTTACTTTCACCTGCTTAGGTGGGAACAGATAGATGATAGATAGATAGATAGATAGATAGATAGATAGATAGATAGATAGATAGATAATAGCCAGATAGATTAGATAGATACATAGACATATAGGTAGATGGATAGATAGCGTCTTAGTCCATTTTGTGCTAATGTAGCATACCTTAGACTGGGTGATTTGTAAAGAACAGAGACTTATTTCTTACAGTTCTTGAGACTGGGAAATCCAAGGTTGAGGAACCTACATGTAACAAGGACCTTCCTCCTGTGTTATCCCATGGTGGAAGGCAGAAGAGCAAGACAGCATGTATGCATGTGACAGAGAAATAGGAATAGTGCTGAACTAATCCTTTTATCAAGAACTCACTTCCTAGGTAGCTAACCTACTCTGAGGATAATGGCATTAATCAATTCATTCAGCAGAGCACTTGTAACCTAAGTTACCTCTTAACAAAAACATTTTTGTCAACTAAAGTACAGTGTTCATGAGGCAAATAAAATTCATTTATATCATATATAAAGTAACTTAGGTTAGCACATTTTCTTCCTCTACTGACTTCAGTGAGGTTGTGTCACACATGTGAAATACAGTTAGTTTTTTTGGCTTAGTTGGTGTCAGGGATCTCCAGACATACTATATGTTTCCTTTTTAAATTTGCATACATTAAGGTTTACTATTTCTTCTGTAAAGTTCTGTTGGTTTTGACAAATATATAATGCCATGTATCCACTATTACAGTATCATACAGCATAGTTTTATTGACAGAAGAATCATTTGTGCATCAATTATTCTTCCATCCTCCTTTACACCCCACAAACATTTGGCAACCCCTGATAGGTTTCTTTCTTGTGGAATATCACATAATCAGAATCATTAGTCTGTATCCTTTTCAGATTGGCTTATTTCACTTAGAAATTTGCATTTAAGATTCTTTCATTTTTTTCATGGTTTGATTGCTCATATCTTTTTATCATTGAATATTATCTCACCATATGGATGTATCACAGACTATCTGTTCACCTCTTGGGGAACATCTTGATTGCTACCAGTTTAGGGTAATTATGAATAAACCATCTATAAAAATATAAATAGAATTTTTGTGGGCAAAAATTAACAAATCAGTTTAGTAAAAATCTAGGAGCACGATTGCTGAATTATATGTTTAGCTTGATAAGAAATTGAAAAGCTCGGGAGGCTGAGGCAGGAGAATGGCATGAACCTGGGAGGCAGAGCTTGCAGTGAGCCAAGATTGTGCCACTGCACTCCAGACTGGGTGACAGAGTGAGACTCTGTCCCAGAAAAAAAAAAAAAAAAAAAAGAAATTGAAAAGTTGCCTTCCAAGGAATCTGTACGGTTTTTCATTTCCACCAGAAAAGAATGAAAGTTCCTGTTACTCTGCATCCTTCTCAGTATTAAGTATTATCAGATTTTTAGATTTTAGCAATTCTAATAAATAAGTAGTGGTTCCTAATTGTTTTAATTTGCAATGTTCTAGTAACAAATGATGTTGACCATCTTTATTTTCTATCTGTGTATCTTCTTTGATGAGGTGTCTATTTAAATCTTTTGCCAACTTTCAAATGTGATTGTTTTCTTATTGTTGAGTCTTAAATGTTTATTGTATATTTTGGATACAAGCCTTTTATCAGATGCATGTCTTGCAAATTTTTTCCCAGTCTATTACTTTTTAAAAATTATCCTAACAGTGACTTTCACAGGGCTGAAGTTTTTAATTTTAGTAACATCTAAGCTTTCACAGAATCTTTTTGTGGTTGTATCTGAAATCTTATGGCCAAATTCAAGGTCACCTAAATTTGCTCCTATATTTGTAGTTTTGCATTTAAATCTATGTTCTATTTTAAGTTGATTTTTTGTGAAGCTCTGAGGTTCGTGTGTCCAGGTTCATTTTTTTTATGTGTGTGCAGAAGGATATCCCATTGTTGCAGCACCACTTACTGCATTTATTGCAAAGACTATTCCTTTGCTATTGAATTGCATTTTGCTCCTTTGTCAAAGATCAGTTGATTACATTTGTATGAGGCCTATTTCTGGACCCACTAGTTCCATTGAACTATGTGTGAATTCTTTAGTCAATACCACACTGTCTTGACACTGTGCCTTTATAGTAAGTCTTAAAATTGGGTAGTATGCATCCTCCAACTTTATGGTTTTTCAGTTTGTATTGAGTATTTCAGGTTTTTTGACGTTTCATATAAACTTTATATATCTGTTTGTTGATATCTAAAAAAGTATTTTTCTAAAAAATTGGGATTGCATTGAATATATTCATCAAATAGGAGAGAATTAACATCTTAACAATATTTAGTGAAGTAATGTTGAACTTATCACACTTTATTTAGATCTTCTGTAATTTCTTTTATCAGAATTTTGTAGTTTTTCACATGTAGTAAAAGACATGTAGATTATTAAAAAATTTTGTCAGATTTATATCAGCATTTATTTTCATGTCTGTGCAATTGTAAATGGCATTTTTAGAAACTAATATTGTTTCTCATTGCTCACTGCAAAGGATGAATTTCATAGTAAGTAACTAACTTTTGTATATTGACCTTGTTTTCTGAGATCTTATACTTAAATTAGATTTTAAAAACTTCTTGTTTTTGCAAATTCCTTGAGATTTGTTATATAGATAATAATATAAACTCAGCACAGATAGTTCTAATTCTTCCTTTTCTATCTTTTTTTATTTCTTTTCTTGTCTTATTGCACTAGTTAAGACTTTTAGTATGATGTTGAGTAGAAATGATGAGAGAAGTTATCTTTGCCTTGTTCCCAGTCTTAGGAGAAAAGCTTCCAGTCTCTCAACATTAAATATGATTCCACCTGTAGGATTTTTGTAGGTGTCTTCATCAAATACAGGGAGTTCCCATCCTCTCTACTTCTAATTTGCTAATACTTTTTATTATGAATAGGTTTCATGTATTTTCAAATGCTTTTTCTGTATCTATTGATATAATTATTCAATTTTCTTCTTTATTTGTCTTTAATGTGGTAGATGTCTTTAATGTGGATGTAGAACAGCCTTGCGTACCTGGAATAATTCCTTCTTGATCATGGTGTAGAATTATTTTTATATGTTGTTGTTTGATTTGTCAATATTTTATTGAAAAATTTTGAATCTGTGTTCATGTGAAATTTTCACCTGTGTTCATAATCTTTAGTTTTCTTTTCTGTAAGGGTTTTATCTATATTTAGTATTAGGGTAACACTGTCTTCATAAAAAATGTTAGGAAACATTCTTGTTTTTTTCTACTTCCTGACAGAGGTTGTGGAAAATTTGTACAATTTCTTCTTAAACAATTGGTGTAATTCAGCAGTGAAACCATTCAAATATTGTGGTTTCTTATTTGAAAAGTTATTAGTTATTGATTGTCATATTTTGTTTTATGTGTTGACTTTCCTGGATCATGGGGTCCAGACATCTGTTTAGACAACATTTCTCAGTGTCTCTGTCATGGTATTTATGGGAGAAATTAGCATTTTTATCAATAGACATAGTAAACTTGATTGCCCTTCTCTATGTGTGATATCAACTAATTCAGTGAGCGTCTGAATAGAAGAAAACGGTGAAGGACAGGAGAATTCACTCTTTCTCTGCCTGCTTGATTGAGCTGGAATATCTATTCCTCTCCTTTCTTTGAAATGCCAGGCCTACAAACTGGGACTAAAATTACACCATTGAATCTTTGACTTTCAGGCCTTCAGACTACACCAGCTGGGTCTCCAGGTTTCAGAGGACAGATTTTATTGATTTTATTTCTCTGGATAACCCTGACTAAGACATATATTGGTACTGGGAGTGGTTTTACAGAAACATAATTTTATAAATAACTTTCCCAAATTGATGCTGTATATTTTGGAATAAATTGTCTAATCTGATTAGATGTAAAGGTTTGGATGACTCTATTTCCAGTAGTAAAGAGAGCACTAACATCCATGACATAATCTTGTAATAGAGATATACAAAATATCTGCCTTGGATACCACTTATAAAAAGCAAGGAACTGAATGGCTGTGTAGATGATGCTTTTGAACAGTTTTGGAAAACTAACAAATATAATAAGGTTGGCTGTTTGCTCCTAATGTCACTGGACAAAGTGGTGAAAGAAAAGGATGAGCTTAGGATTTAAATTCCCACAAGCATAAGTGACCTGAGGACTTATTGTCATCTGAAGATAACTCTTATTTTTGGTGTCCACAGAGTTGAGATTGCAGAAAGTGAAATGCAGAATCTCATCCTGTGAATGGCTGAATTGTAACGGAAATTAAACTCCAAGTCTTTCAGCATGTTCTTGTTAAAGCAAGAACATTTGTTGAGAGAGAATGGGGAAAGGGTTTCCAGAAGGCTGTGTATGTTCTGTATCAGCATCTGATATATGATCCTGTTTCTCCTACAGCCAGTATTCGTGGGTCTAGGAATTAAGGAGTAGAAATGGGAGTGAAAACCCTCACTACTACCACTAATAACTCACTAGCAAAATATTTATTTTCTTTTCCCAAACCCTGTGCTGTGCTGGGCTGGAGGTCTTAGTTGCAAAGGGAGGAGTCCTTCCATTAGGAGACACAATAATGATTCCATTGAAATGGAAGCTAAGACTCACCTGGCCACTTTGAACTCCTCATGCTTCTCAATCAATAGGCAAAGAAGGGAGTTAAAGTATTATCTGGGGTGATTGATCCTGACTACCAAGGGGAAATTGGACTGCTAGTCCATAATGTAGGTAAGGTAAAATACATCTAGAGTGTGGGTGATCCCTTATAGTTTTGCTTAGTATTACCATGCCCTGTGATTAAGGTTAATAGGAAACAACAGCCCAATGAGGACAAGGTTGTTAGTGATCACAGCCCTTCAGGAATAAAAAATTGGGTAACCACAAAAGACAAAAAACCACTACCAGCTGAGGTGCTTCCTGAAGACAAAGGGAATACAGAATGGATAGTTGAATAAAGTAGTTATAAATACTAGCTATGACTACATGACCAGTTACAGCAATGATAATTTTGATTGTCATAAATATGATCTCCCCATTTTGTTATAAATGCATTTTTGGTTGTGTATATATTGTGTATATAATACCCTTGCTTTCTTCTTTCACCTATTCTCTTATCATGTAACATAAGATATATTGGCTTTATATCATAGTATTTAAGTATGTAAGGAGATGAATATAAGTGCCACATTGACAATTAGTGTATTTGTGAAAGTTAATTTTGTTAACTTGACTGGATCACAGGATGCCCAGATAGCTGATTAAATGTTATTTCTGGGTGTGTCCATGAGAGTGTTTATAGAAGAGATTGGCATTTTAATCAGTAGACTGAATAAACTGAGTTGGCTTCCCCATTGTGTGTGGGTAACATTTAGTCCCTTGATAATTGAATAGAGCAAAAAGATGAAAGAGAGAGGATTCATTCTCTTTCTGCCTACTTGAACTGAGACATCAATCTTTTCTTGCCCTTGGTCCTTCTGTTTCTCAAACTTTCAAACTCAGACTGAAATCTGTACCATTGGCTCTCTGGCTTTCAGGCTTTTGAACTACACCACTGACTGTCCAGTGTCTCCATCTTGCACAGATGGGATTTTTCAGACTTTATAATTCCATAAGCCTATACCTCATAATAAATCATATATATATATAAATCATAATATATATTATATTTTATATATATATAAATCATATATTATATATATTATATATATATAGCTATAGCCAGATCATAGATAGATAGCTAGCTAGATAGATAGATAGATAATTAGTTTGTTCTTAGGCTGCTGTAGAGAAATACCTGAGGCTAGGTAATTTATAAAGAAAAGAGGTTTAATTGACTCACAGTTCCACATGGCTGGAAAGGCCTCAGGAAATTCACAAGCATGGCAAAAAGCACCTCTTCACAGGGTTGTGGGAGACAGAATGAGTGCAAGCAGAGGAAATGTCAAATTGTTATAAGACCATCAGATCCCATGAGACTCACTCATTATCATGAGAACAACATGAGGGAACTGCCTCCATGCTACAATTACCTCTACTTGGTTCCGCCCTTGACACATGGGATTATTACAATTCAAGGTGAGATTTGGTTAGAGACACAGAGCCAAACCATATAATTTCACCCATGGCCCTCTCAATTCTAATGTCCTCACATTTCAAAACACAATTATGCCCTTCCAACAGTCCCACAAAGTTTTAACTCATTCCAGCATTAACTCAAAAGTCCAAGTACAAAGTCTCATTTGAGAAAAGGCAGTCCCTTCTGCCTATGAACCTGTAAAATCAAAAGCAAGTTAGTTACTTCCCAGATACAATGGAGTATAGTCTTTGGGTAAATATACACATTCTAAGTGGAAGATACTGGCCAAAACAAAGAAGCTACAGTGTAACGGTTAATATTAAGTGTCAACTTGATTGGATTGAAGGATGCAAAGTATTGATCTTGGGTGGGTCTGTAAGGGTCTTGCCAAAGGAGATTAACATTTGAGTCAGTGGGCTGGGAAAGGCAAGCCCACCCTTAATCTGGGTGGACACATTCTGATCAACTGCCAGTGTGGCCAGGATATGAAGCAGGCAGAAAAACGTAAAAAGCCTAGACTGGCTTAGCCTCCTAGCCTACATCTTTCCCCTGTGCTGGATGCTTCCTTCCCTGGAACATCAAATTCCAAGTTCTTCAGCTTTGGGACTTGGACTAGCTTCCTTTCTCCTCAGCTTGTAGATGGCCTATTGTGGGACCTTGTGATCATGTGAGTTACTACAACATAATAAACTCCCTCCCTTTCTATATATAGATCCTATTAGTTCTGTCTCTCTAGAGAACCTTGACTAACACAGATTTTGGTATCAGGAGTGGTTCTAGAGGAACAGAATATTAATAATGGAGTTCTTCTGTTGTTTTTAGCGTTTCTAGAATGGCTGTTTAATATGATTAGACCCCAAAATGCTGGCATTTTTGTTGGCAAAAATGTGTTGATTATAATGACTCCTATTTTGATTAATAAAGATGTGTTTGAGCCTAGTTATAATGATTTAAAATTCACAGCCCAAAACCACAATTACTTTTGCACCAACCTAAATCATATTTATGGCATCTAGTGATATTTCAATACATGGGTACAATGTGTAATGATCCAATTAAGGTAATCAAGATAAATAAAGATAATTAGCATACTCATAACAGTTTGGGGAACATTCGAAATTCTCTCTTCTAGCTTTTCAAAAATATATAAGAAACTACTTTTAACTATATTCTCCCTACAGTGCTATAGAGCACTAGAACTTATTCCTCATATCTAGCTGTAAGTTTGTATGACTTAGCCAACTTCTCCCTACCCACCCATACCCCCTATACTTCCAAGCCTCTAATAACCACAATTCTCTCCACTTCTATGTGTTCAACTTCTTTCAGTTCTTACATATGAGTGAGAACATTCAGTATAAATCTTTCTGTGCCTGAGTTACTTTATTCAACATAATGTCCTTTAGGCTTATCCCTGTTGCCACAAATGAAAGTATTTCATTCTTTTTATGGCTGAATAGTATTCCATTGTGTATATATATATATATATATATACCACATTTTCTTCATTCATCTGTTGATAGACATTTAGGTTGATTCTGTATCTTGGCCATTGTGAATGGTACTTCAATAAACATGGGAGTTCAGATATATCTTTGATAAGCTGATTTTCTTTTCTTTGGATAAATATTCAATAGTAGGATTGCTGGATAATATGGAAAATTTATACATAGTGTTTTGAGAAAACTCTACTGTTTTCCATTATGGCTGTATGAATTTATATCCCATTAACAGTATACAAGAATTCCCTTTTCTCTGCACAAATTTTTTGGGGGATCTTTTTGATAGTAGCCATTCTAACTGGGGTGAGATGTTATCTCATTGTGGCTTTAATCTGCATTTCTCTGATGATTTGTGATGGATTTTTTATATACTTGTTGATCATTTGTATGTCTTTCTTTTGAGAAATGTCTACTCAGAAATGCCTGTGTTTTAATGGATTTTTTTTTGTTGCTGTTGTTGTTGAGTTGTCTGAGTTCCTCATATATTCTGGGTATTAATCCCTTGTCAGATGCATAGTTAGTTTGCAAATATTTTCTCCTAATCTACAGATAGTTTCCTCACGTTGTTGTTTCCTTTGTTATTTATGCAGGGAGTTTTAGTTTGATATATTCTTGTTTGTCTGTTTTAACTTTTGTTGCCTGTGCATTTGAGGTCTCATCAATGAAATCTTTTCCTAGACCAATGTCCTGATGAATTTTCCCTAACTTGTTTTCTATTACTTTTATAGTTTTGCATCTTACATTTAAGTCTTTAATAATTTTAAGTTAAATTTTGTTTAAAGGGCCTCATTTAGCTGTTCTGTGTATTGATATCCAAATATCCTGGCACCATTTATTGAAGATACTGTCTTTTCCTCAATGTATGTTCTTGATGTCTTTGTCAAAAATCAATTGGCTCTAAATCCGTGGATTTATTTCTGGATTATCTCTTCTGTTCCATTGATCTACGTGTCTGGTTTTTATACCAATGCCATTTTATTTTGGTTACTATAGCTTTGCAGTATATTTTGAAATCAGGTGGCATGATGTCTGCAGCTTTTTGTTTGTTTGTCTGTTTTGCTCAAAATTTCTTTCTTTGACTACTTGGGCCCTTTTGTAGTTCCACACAGATTTTACGATTTTTAAAAATATTTCTTTGAGGAATGTCATTTGTATTTTGAAAGGCATTGCATTGAATGTGTAGATTCTTTTGGGTAGAGTGGACAATACTCACCTTACATTTCTTTGAAAGAAAAGAGTAACCTGAAAGAAAATGTAGTGGTTATAATGAGGTGCTGTTTATGTCATCCTTTGGGATGGGGGCCCTTATTTTCTTACCTACTGGCAGTGTTGCTTGCATCCCTTGTCAGAAATTGTTCTCAACCTAAGGGAACTATCCCATCTCTTTCCCTGTGTCCAGTGATTGATGTCCAATAATTGGTCATTGCAGCATTCAAAGGCCTGGCTCCCTGGTCTCAATTAGTGATATCTCTAAAGGGCTCTAGAATTCCTTATGGGAGTGGCTGACATTACTGTGGCAACTGCAATGCTGTTCATTTAATCTTTATACCTACCTCAGCTTTTCTTGCTCTTTTCTAGATACTGTATCAGAGAAGACCCCATACATATAAATATCAAAAGTTTTTCCTCCCTGGGACCAGACTGAGAGAGGAGAATATCTTCTTAGCTTCCCCCCTTCCACTCCATTATGTTTGAGATTGAAAGGATAACGGGATGGAAAGGAAAACTCACAGAAGGAAAACTTGTTATTCTGGTGTGGTTGGTATCAGCTCCTTACTACATTAATACATTAATGTTATTATGCTGTCCTAGTTTTACTCAGTATCATTGAGCAACCTGGCCTCTTGCTTAGGATTTCCGTAATGAATGGAAGGGCAATAATCCTCTTAAGTTAATATCAAAAGACAGGAATAGAGCTCCAAAGCTTTCTTCCAAACTTTCCTTCAATTGATATGACTGGAAGTCCCTTTCCACAGATGCTGATATGCCTCCCCTACTTCTAACTCCTGTCACTCCACACTTATCCACACACATATACATCAGCTTTTGATTTCCCGTATTGAATTACTTTTTTTTTTTGTTAGTTTGTTTTAACTCCAGGAATTTATACATTACTTTCACACACAAACACAAAGGTCATTATATTTTTTAGGAAAGGTACAATTCAGGTATAAATCCATATGACGATTATTCAGATATAAGCCCATATCTTCTATTAGCAACTTTCAGTGAATAATGAGGTTTTTTGTTTTGCTTTGATTTGTTTTAACAGCTCAACCAAAAAAGACTATTAGAATTTCAAAAATGCACACTAATTAATGTGAGCTCTCTATGTTCCCTGGTAATGGAGGCCAGCCTCCAACAAACTATTTTCAGGTTCATTCAACCTCTGGATTGAGGTTGAGGGTTTGCAATTACTCTCAGCACACTGTTACTCTAGATAATGTGTTCATCCACACTACACAATAAGTAGTTTCAACTTAATGATCCTCAGAGTCTACACCTGAAGTTCTCTCCCTCCACCGACTCCATGCAAATGAATTCAGTTCTTATCTCTGTTAGTAGAAAGCGGGAGAGCATTCTACTAACAGTGACTTTCTCATCAGCATCTATATTATCAGAACATCCTGCCTGATCTCCAGCTTGATACACCCAATTGCCTTCACACATTCACTTCCGCGTCCCGAAGACTGGTTCAACTCAACCTAACCAATATTGTAATCAGGATCTTCACCCTTAAACCTGATTCTCCTGTATCCCTCAATGATCCCTCCTGTTATGTGGCACCATCACCTATCCAGCTGTTCAGACCAGAATTCTGGCTGTCCATAAATTGTCCTCATTTGCAGTCATCAATATATTCTGAGACACTTATCTGCCAATTCCTCTTGAATCTATTTGTCTCCTTCTCTGATGTCAGCATCCTAGTGCAAGCTAGACTTATCCTCTCACTTCTACTGACATGACAACCTATTAATTAGCCACCTCACTAACCTCTACTCTCTACAATTCCTTCTCCGTACTTCAACTAGATAGACTAGTCTTTATGCTTGACCCATTCTTTAGCTGTTTAGAAAGATAATTTAGATGGAAATATTCTTTCAAATAAAACTTGTAATTCTTAATATGATCCAGTAAACTCTACATTTTTTAGCCTCTGCTGACATTCAGCTCCTCTAAAGTAAGCATTAATGTGGTCTCGATTTTTATGAATGAAGACCAAGAATTATAGAAGTGAAAATCCTGCCTATAGCTTGTTTTGGATGTTATGATATCTAGATCTTCTAAGTCCTATAATCTTCACTCAGATATGACACTATATTTATTCAACACTCAGAAATGAAATAACTGTATTCCTACCACTCAGCTAAAACATGGGTCCACAAATATGAATACTGGAAAGCCTTTCCCATCGGACTCACCAAATTCTAGGAGGATGGTTACAGGGATATGTGTGTTCCAAGACAGTGTTTTTTTTCTTTTTTCAATTGCCTTTTATATAATTTTCAAAAACTAGGAACTCACTTGTAAATGTTTTAGGTTGACATTTAAATGTTTTCATTGAAATAGTTGTAAATGGTGTATAATCTTTGGTACATTATAAACAGAAATATTTTGAAATAAAATCTATCAATTTTAACAACATATTTGATGAAATTGAAAATATATTGGCAATTTGATCCCTGCCATCATCCATATAGAAATATTCATGAACATGTTCATTCGTAGCATCTGGAAATCTTTGACTGTTCTTTTTTTTCTTTGAACATATAGTTCTATTTCACTTCCACAAAAAATTTATTCTACTGCATAGAATTATTTTATTGAACACTTTATCATTTTCTGCAACAAATATAGACATATGAGTAGGCCGGGCGCCATGGCTTATGCCTGTATCCCAGCATTTTGGGAGACCAAGGCAGGTGGATCACCTGAGGTCAGGAATTCGAGACCAGCCTGACCAACATGGAGAAACCCCGTCTCTACTAAAACTACAAAATTAGCCGGGCGTGGTGGCGCGTGCCTGTAATCCCAGCTACTCGGGAGACTGATGCAGGAGAATCGCTTGAACCCGTGAGGTAGAGGTTGCGGTGAGCTGAGGTCGCGCCATTACACTCCAGCCTGGGCAGTAAGAGTGAAAAAAAAAAGAAGTATAGGAAGTATTAATTAATTAATTAATTATTATTGTAGGCGGAGTTTCACTCTTGTTGCCCAGGCTGGAGTGCAATGTCGCGATCTCGGCTTATCACAACTTCCGCCTCCTGGGTTCTAGCGATTCTGCTGCCTCAGCCTCCCGAGGAGCTGGGATTAGAGGCACGCGCCACCACGCCTGGCTAATTTTGTAACATTCAATGAAATGTTTATCTTGTATATTTAAATTGAAATAGCAGCTTGATTATTATTTTATGTGCAAAGTCATGATATAAGTATCCTTCATAGGTATTGGTACAGGTAGGTACATAACTATAAATTATATGTGTGTATATATATATACACAGACACACACGTATACACATGTATGAAACACTTCATTAAATCAAAATCATTCGAATTATTAATCAGTAAATGTTTAGTATCAATTAATAATAAATTCTATATGTACAATTATTCTTTCATAAAATAACTATTAACTCATTTTAGCATCACTGTGCCATAAACTACATGAGTAAACTGTTTTCTTTTCATATATATTTGCATTACCAAGTTGATATATTTTAAAATATATTTAATGCAAGGTTAACTTTGAATGAAGCCATTTACTACAATCAGAAATTTTAGAGGAAAAAGCAGAAAGGCAATGTCACTATTCCCTTCTCCCTTAAGGTGTCCCTGGTTCTCACACAAATGCTTGAAAAGAGGTGGAACATGGAAAACACAGAAAGACCCTATTTGGCTTTAATACCTTCACTCATTAGTCACTGGAAACCAGTCACGAGGAGGGGTTTCTCTTTCTCTCAGTCTTCTCTCTCTAGGACTCCCTGGGCTATCAGCTAGAAAACTGGAATTAGACTATATTGGACATTATGTTACACTGAATATTTTTTAGTGTCTGTCATTCTATTTATTCAACTGAATGTATAATATATTCCTAAGAAAGGTAGTTAATTAAACTATCAACCAACAAAAGGGAGATCTAATTCTTTCTTCTCTGTTCCTTCACTTCCTCTTCCTACCTGTGCGTGCTCTCTCTCTCTCTGTCTCTCCCTCTCACTTCTTTTTTCCTTCACATATATACTCATTCACTCTTAAAAACAAAATTGCCACCATTTCAGGTTTCTTTCCCTATTGTATTTTTCTTCCACAACACAATTGCAGGATATATCTTTCTATTATAGAATACTTATTTTATAAAATATATTTTTATTCTTCAAAATTATTTTAATAAGTCTTTTTATGCATTAAAATATTATTAAAGATAATTTCTGGTGTTAGAGTGGGCATGGTAAAATGTGTGCAATTATACATTGCTGATGGGGATGATTCCAAAAGATTCTTAGATGGTCACAGAGGTTGAAGCCGCCCTGTGAGACTCAGTTTCCCTGCTTCATCAGGTCCTAGTCTGTGCCCACTTTGGCTTTAGAGTTATAAATACCATGTGCCAATGTATGAAAATGTGTTGGTGTAAACACAACTTTAATTTTTAAAATTGATATGTCATAAAAGAATACCAAAGAGAATATTTGCATAAAAGCACAATAGGAAAAGAGAGGTATACTTACATATTTTGCAGTCTAAGGAAATGTAATGAGATGGTTGACATTCCTCAATTAAGGAATGTTAAGGGCTTAGTTTTAGGCTGAAGTAAAAATATATTTCTTATGCTTATACTACTTTTCTTTGAGTTCATTGCTAACACATTTTCTACAACTGTTGATATCTCAGAACAGTATTTTTAGTAAAATAAAAAACAATTTTATTTTATAAAAATGAGTAAATTTCTAATAGCATAATGTAAACAAAAAAAGTACATGTAACTCCATTTGGATAATATAATCTAAAATATTTTGTGTGTTTCTTACTTGTCTTTTTATAAATACATATATAATTTGGATATAAATTCCTTAAATATACTTTTAAACTAACAATTCGTAGATGTGATTATTTATAATAATTTTTAGTTTTACTCTACACCTGTGTCATTAAATCTTCTTCTATTGCATGACTTTTCATGGCTGCACACATTTTATTTCATGAATATTCCATGAGTTTCACCATTCCCTTACTACTAACAATTAAAATTATTGGAATGTTTTATTATTATAAATAAAATGTCAATAAACAGTATGGTAATAAATACTCATATTCACTCTAATGATATCTTTAATATAAATTAGTAAGAATTGAAATAATGTGTAAAATGATATGAATTTTAAGGCTTTTGAAACATGCTATCAAAGTATCTTCTATTACAATTAAGATACTATTTTCTGTTCTTACAGCACACATATATACATCCATTCACACGCACACACACACATCTTTTTAACATAGACAAATTGTTCCCAGTACCTCATTTTATACATAATTCTAACCCTGGACCAGAAGTGGACATCTGGCTCAGACATGCCCAGGCAGGCCAGCTGTTTCAGATGGTTGCCTTGGCTCCCACATTAACCCCTTCTTCATTAACCCCTTCTTCAAATACTTCTCAAGGTCTAGTCATCCTCTGGTCATGAACTCCATGGAAGATTATTGCAAAATTGTACAACTGAAAAATAATTCAGGTTGATCAGCTTTCATTTTCATTCTGCCCACTGTGTGATGCTTTAAAAGGTTTGCTGCTTTAATTTAAAATCCCTTACAAAAGCAACTGGGCATTTGCCATTTTTTTTTTATATCCTCCAACATTCTGATCCTTTAAACTCTTTCCAACAGCTTTACGTAGCACATGATTCTAATTAAAAGCCTCCACGAATGCTTGATGGCATTACTTTCACCACTGATTATATCAAAATAAATTGGTTGCTTCATACACTTAAAAATATATTAAAACTTTAAAACATTGGCTTTTTTGCCTCTCCATATCTTTTCACCAGCATGAGTTACCTTTAAAAGTAACTATGTGATTTATTCACATATACCTTATAAACACTTAATAATGACAATACTTTATTATCAAAGAAAGTAATGTTTCCAAGATCAATTTAGCCTCTGACAGTAAAGGGAAATAATTCTACACTATTTCAGACCTTTATCATTTCTTACTAGGATAATTTCAAATGCCAAAATACCTCTACCTTCCTTGTTGTTGGATGTGTGTGTGTGTGTATGTGTGTCTGTGTGATTGTAGCTTTTAGCTATTTTAAATGCTCAAATGACTTGCTACTTTTGTCTAAAAATTTATTTTCTTAACATACAGTGCAGCGTTTTGGAAAAAACAAAGCTTAGTTAGGTAAATTTCCCATTCTCTGACTTGTCAGTTACATAATCCTGGGAAAATTATCTTGACCATCGAAATTTAGTTTTTTCATTTATCAATAAGGGTGATGATTACCTTCTATAACTGCGGTACTTACCACTCTCTGAAGTTTCATACTATTCAAGTTAATTTCTCATTCTATTCCTCAATGTATCTCTTTATTTTCATGTGAATATGATGCATCTCCTACTCATATAATCCTACTCTCAATCTTGAACTATATTTGATACTCCAAGACATAGTGCCTTGGAGTGCCATTTGAAATCCATATGTCAACCATTATTATTAATTATTATTTTATTTCATACAAGATTTTTGAAGTTTGGCCCTCACTTTCAAAGCCTAGCCTCTGCTTTTCTTGTCTCACATCCCATTTACAGTTTATGTGTCAGCTACACGAGAATGTTCAACACTCTCACCACTGTTTAGCCCTTCTATGCTACTGTCCCTGCAGCCCTCTGCATGGCACACTGCCCTTCACCACCGTGGGAAAATTTCTCCTCTGTGAAAGTTCTACTCTGTCCTCGAATATTTTGGATAAACATATATAATAACGTTTATTTAAACGTTTATCTTTTAAAATTCAAATACCCTTGTGGAATAAAATACATCAGGTCAGTTTTTTACATCTCAGCATAAATTAAAATCTTAGCTCCTGCAAGATACTGAAGTTCATATCTTTAACTCCTTTAGTCTTGTTTTTAGTCTCCATAGGGTAATTTGGTATTGTTATTTCCACCTACTGTGGGCTCCGAGTCACAAAGAAAAAAATAACTGAGTGGATCTAACATTTATCAAGTGTGCTTACCACATGAGATTCACACACTAAGGCAATCATATTCTTTTATATTCATCCTTTAACTCTTTATGAAGTCACAGATAAATATTATTAATTATCAATCAAAATTTATAGACATTAGCTTTAACTCTCAGAAAGATGAATTTACTTTATTTATTTATTTATTTTATTTTACTTTTTTTTTTTTGAGATGGAGTCTCGCTCTGTTTCCCAGGCTGGAGTGCAGTGGCATGATCTGAGCTCACTGCAGTCTCTGCCTCCCATGTTCAAGTGATCCTCCTGCCTCAGCCTCCCAAGTAGCTGGGATTACAGGCACGTGCCACCATGCCCAGCTAATTTTTGCATTTTTAATAGAGACAGGGTTTCGCCATGTTGACCAGGTTGGTCTTGAATTCCTGACCTCAGGGGATCCACCCACCTGGGCTTCCTAAAGTGCTGGGATTACAGGCATGAGCCACCACACCCAGCCTGAATTCAAATTTGCAGGGTCACATAAAGATTAGAATTAAAAAAAATTGAATATCATAAAGTTAAAGTTACTCTGTTCTTCTGCTTGTAATTAAAGTATGTACTCTGATTGTTCTTCCTTAAAGCCAGTTCCGGTACAATATAAAAAAAGTGGTTAGGTGGCTGCCCATGAAGTTTTCCCAGGACTTCTCGTATTTCAATTATAATCTATTCTTAATAACTCTAGAATACTAATAAAGATAAATAGAGAAGAATAATAGCAGGCAAAGGTACCATACTGGATAGTTTTTCTCATTGGATCTAGCAACAATGAAACTTCTAAGATTTTCATTTATTCAGTTGAGCCAAATCAAGCTGTAAGTATTCCCAAATCGATTTTGAAGAGGACACTATTCTTAAATGAAGTATTATAGCATATGAGTTAATACATCTCATGTAATTATGTAATACATTCAGAGAAAGAATAAGCATGTAAAATTTATCAAATTATAAATTGTATAGATACACTTTATATATTAAATATCAGAAATTTGAATTTTTGTGCTTTGATTTCACAAACATTGATATGTTTGATATGGCTTAGAAACTTTGTGGGCAGTATTCTGCTAATATTGCCTGGAAAAATATAGGAGATGAAAAAAGACATACAAATGTTTTCAATAGTTAGTTTAGTATTCTTATAAATTATAAAAAGTTTTTCTGCACAAGACTATTATTAAGAAAATCAAAAACACATATTATGTAAGTATTTTACTAAGATGGCTATTTACATTACTTAAACATAATCTGCTGTTTCCTCCCTATAGTTTTTGCTGGAAGTAGTAGTGATAATGTATAGTAACTTCAGTGAGCAACACAACATAATTTGAACGTTTTCAATAGGAGCCAAATATGATTATATGTGACAATTATGATATTTATTAGCAGCTATGGGATGTGTTCTCTTTCACCAGAATGAATTGATATATGTAAAGTACTTATAAATATAGCTGGCACATTGTAGGCTCTTTATAAAGGCCAATAGCTTGATAGCTATTATTATATTAATAAAAATGCATTTGCTAACACAGAAGACCCAACTGACAATTATTTAGTTTTTTTATTTGCTTAATAAAAATCCAGCTCTGCGGAGTTTACAGTGGCCCAGAAGTCTCATCCAAACCTTTGTGGCTTTCCATGATTTACTTTGCTATCTATAGACTGTATATTTTGTTGCCACTTATGATGGCAACATGGCCTTAGTAATTTCTGTCAATGCATGCAGGCATAATGATGTTGTCATGAAGAATATTTTCTTCTGTGCAGTTTTTTTTATTAGGAGGGAAAATGTGGATACATTTTCCTTGAAAAATCAAGAAGATTAAGTTTCTTGCTAACTTCTAAACTAACCACTGTGAAGGAAAATGCCATTTATATGGCTGGCTAAAACCAATAATCCTTCTAATAGTAAAAAGTGCATAGTGTAAAGGTAAACACTTTAATAATATCAGGCTAAATCAGCAAAGGGTAAGAGAGCTACAGGTGGTGGTGTCAGTAATGGTGGTGGTTGTAGCAGTGGTGAATGGTTCTGGGGTAGGTGGCTGGAGATATCTGCAACAATATTATGAGCAATTCTTAGAATTGCTAATTAAAATTCAACATGCTTCCTATAGTAGACAGTGTTGGTGCCTCATGTAAAAACCGTGGATCCCCCGTAGGAACTGTGTGACCACTCCTTAGGCTCTCTGTGCTTTGCTGCTAAAGACTGGCATGGAAAGTTTAGAGGACAGATTATCTTTTTAGAGCTGAGTTGTCTGTGGACAGCTTATGGCCCATAGCTAATGAATGGTTAGTGGAATACAACAGCTCAGCACACCTGATTCCCCATAGGACCAACTATAAAGTACAATTTACTCTCCAGAGCTCCCCATCCAGTCAGACTGAGGCTGGTGCCTCACCTGAAATCATAGCCTTGCTTGACTTGTTTTTTCCAGTTGTGTTTCCCACACTTTCTGAGTGGTTTCTTTTGGCAGAACTTCTTTATTGCATCACTTGCTCTCAAATCTTGTGTTCAGATTCTACTTCTGAAGGGCCATTAACTAAGATGGCTTCAGAAAGGTTTATTAACACATTCAATATCTGTCATTTTAAAATAGTAACCAATTATATAAGAATCATGTTTAGAACAGTTCTGATTTAATATCAGCACAAAGAAAGCTGATACAATTAAAAAAATTATCATTTCCTCAGTTTCTTAATTTAAACTTTCATAACTGTTATTTTTCATGACTGGAATATCTTTTTTTTTTTTTTGAAATGGAGTTTTGCCCTTGTCGTCCAGGCTGGGGTGCATTGGCATGATCTCAGCTCACTGCAACCTCCACTTCCTGGGTTCAAGCGATTCTCCTGTCTCAGCCTCCTGAGTAGCTGGGATTACAGGCTCTACCACCCTGCCTGGCTAGTTTTTGTATTTTTAGTAGAGACGGAGTTTCACCATGTTGGTCAGGCTGGTCTCGAACTCCCGACCTCAGGTGATCCACCCACCTCGGCCTCCCGAAGTGCTGGTATTATAGGCATGAGCCACCGTGCCCAGTCATGACTAGAATATCTTATATCTTATCATTTATTTATATATTTATCTTTTTTGCTGTTCTGTATGACATAAATATAATTCACTAAATTCTCATTATAAGTCTTGGACACCATAAATCAGATACAAATTATTTTAAAAAGTAAAATAATATAATAGAAATTTTAACACTGTAGCTACTTATATATGATCAATATAAATTATTTTCTAAAACTTTCATATAAATTACAAACATATATAGATTTATAGAAAATAATTGTCCTTTGAATAAAGTGAAACCAGGTAGTCAATCAAATGGACATATTTTATTTGAGAAAAGTTTATAGTTTTTTCAGCTCAACATTTCTTCTATTTTTTTTAATAGTCTAAGTTCCTAAATCAGAGATAGCCTTATCAATAAATGACAATCCTCAGTAGCTAAAGTATTATTTCAAGATACAGGCAATGTAAAATATATTGAAATGTTAGAATTTATATAGAGTCCAGCTCTATACTTTCAGAACACACACAAATGCTTTGAAATTCATTGAAAAATTCATTCATTGAAAATTCTTTGGCAAAAAACTCTTGCTTACTCTTCCCCCTTCAAGAGAACATGATCTAACAAGGTCTATACTCTGAAATTGTTTAAGATCTTTAAAGTCTGTTGTTACTCTTGAAGTAAGACATTTCCTTTGGTGATGACCTCATTGGAAAGGTCAAGGAGTGAATAGGAAATTCTTAGAGATTGAGATGGCATTGCCAATAGAGGGGAGGAAATTACTTACTTCATTATTTTCAAAGGACTTTTTTGTTTGCAGGTCAGATTAGGGCTTTCCATCCTCTGTTTTTTCCTCCCATTAAGTCTTTCATAAGAACAAAATGTGTTTCTGGCTTGCTTCCCCTGTAATAGGGAGGAGAGATTCCTATGCCTCATGTGCATTTTCTTCAGATAAATGAGATAAAGAGTAATGATAACTGGCATCTAAAGAAACTGAAATAAAGTTTTCTTAAAGTTATCCTGGCTGAATATATGTATATGTGATATCAAATATGCTATTTTTAAAAAATATAATTTTATTTGATAATATGCACATAAAATATCCATGTAATTGACTGTTTCTACTTCTCTTACCCAGCTGTGAGTCAGTACAGAATAAAAATTCCAATGAATATTTCATTGTGGGATGATTTTACAAGCCATTCATTCATGATTTACAAGCAATTCAGTTCCATTAACATAAATTTTGAAGGAAATAGGCATATCACAATGATTATAAGAGGGCAGCCTTGGTGGCTCACACCTGTAATCCCAGCACTTTGGGAGGCTGAGGCAGGCAGATCACCTGAGGTCAGGAATTCGAGACCAGCCTAGCCTAAATGGCAAAACCCCATCTCTCTGTCTCTACTAAAATACATATATCAGACCAGAAATGGTGGCATGCACCATAGTCCCCACTACTCGGGAGGCTGAGGCTAAGAGAATTGCTTGAACCCAGGAGGTGGAGGTAGCAGTGAGCCGAGATCTTACCACTGCACTCCAGCCTGGGCAACAGAGTTAGACCCTGTCTCGGAAAAAAAAAATGATTATAACATATTGATGTAAATCAGAAATGTAAATATCTTCAATGCAAGGAAAGAAAAAACACACAAAGACAGTTGATGGAAAAAGGAAGTAACTGATGGAATCAGGAAGATCTTGAAATTGGTGTGTCATTTGAACCAGAGGACAGTTTTTCTAGAGAATGCCATCCCATCTTCTAATCTGGAGAGTCTCATATATTCAATGAGGTGGGCTTAAAAATTGATTAATAATAATAATCCAGTTAATCTATAGGCTATAGATATGTGGTAAAATTGAGGGGTTTTTTCCAGATAGTAGCATGTCTTAAATGCCAACCTGCTGTGTGAGCTTCATTCAGAAAGTGGGAAAAGTGGGGATTTTTGGGAAGAGGTATTGCAGTTTCAAAGCCAAACCAAACCAAATGCCCATCAGTGATAGACTGGATAAAGAAATGTGGCACATAAACACCATGGAATACTATGCAGTCATAAAAAAGAATGAGTTCATGTCCTTTGCCAGGGCAGGAATGAAGCTGGAAACCATCATTCTCAGCAAATAACACAAGAACAGAAAACCAAACACCGCACATTCTCACTCATAAGTGGGAGGTGAACAATGAGAACACATGGACACAGGGAGGGGAACATCACACACTGAGGCCTAACAGGTGTTGTGGGGCAAGAGAAGGGAGAGCATTAGGACAAATACCTAATACATGCAGGGCTTAAAACCTAGATGATGGGGTGATGGGTGCAGCAAACTACCATGGCACATGTATACCTATGTAACAAACCTGCACGTTCTGGACATGTATCCCAGAACTTAAAGTATATATAAAAAAAAATCACCTGAGATCAGGAGTTCAAAACCAGCCTGGCCAACATGGTGAAACCCCATCTCTACAAAACTACAAAAATTAGCCAGACGCGATGGTGGGCCCCTGTAATCCCAGCTACTCAGGAGGTTGAGGCGGGAGAATCGCTTGAACCTGGGAGGTGGAGTTTGCAGTGAGCTGAGATTACACCACTGCACTCCAGCTTGGGTGACAGAGCCAGGATCCATCTAAAAAAAAACAATACATCAATGACAAAAGACAGTATAAATTTGTGCATCTATTTGTGCATAGTGATATATATTAAACACATTTCTGTGGAATCTTCTTAAAACAGGTATTTCCTATTTTCTACAAATATGATGGTAGTAGGAAACATCTAGAAAAGTTACGATTCTTAAATTACCATGAGTGATTATCTCAGTTTTCAGTGGAAACTCCTAGGCTCTAGTTGTAAACTGTAGCAATGAATCAGATATGTAATTCCAAATGTGTTCTTATTGCATGAAAGCTTTAACAGTGCATTTCCATTTGGAAGATACACCAAGAAGGAATTTTTCAAGACCTCAACTTTAGAGAGACCTTTAGGTGAGGATTAAATACTTAATCAGGGAGAAATGGTGCAGTTCAAAAAGAATTTTTGATTTGGGATTTGACCACTCCTCTTATTTGACAATTTCAAATCATAATGGAGGAAAAGTATTTTTAATAAGGAATATGTAGTTTTCATTCCTTGAACAAATATTGTAAATAGGAGAAGCTATCAGGAGATGACTTTATTCTGAATTTTTGCTTGTGTGTGTGTGTGTGTGTGTAAATTTAAATACATTCTTTTTATTGCCAATAAACTTTCTTGCAAGTACCAGTTTTTTCCCAAATGAGATGCAGATATATAAGTTTCATATGGTAATTTGGTTATAAAAGAAGATTAAATGCAAAGAAATGCTGTGTTCCTATCTGTGGCAATAATTTTATATGCATGAGGAAAATATAGAGCACAGAAAGCCTTGAGTCAATAGAAAGTTAGGGAAATAATCACTGTTAAGTAGACACAGCAGGTATAAACTCTGCTGGGAGAATCTTTTTACTTCTACAACTCAGATAAATTGTTTTCAATTAAAATTAATTTTCCAAGTAATAATTCTATATAATGAAGCTATTACTATAGTAGGCAATTTGTCATTGCCAATCTTATTGCAGATAATCTTTATTAGTACCATACATAAGTGTAAACCTCTGCTCAGAAAATCTATTTCTTGGGTGACTCCCAAGAAAATCCTATTTCATTGGAGCTTTCAATGTAATTTCTACTAGAATTGGTTCATATTGCTTTGACCAATGGATAATAATGTAATTAAAGGAAGAAGAGACAGAAAATGGATTTGTTTATATTTACTTCAGAAAAATCTGAGAAGGTGAAAACCATTTTCTAAGGTCTGGAATATGTACTCCTGGCTACATTAGACTATCTCTAATGCTTTTCTTACTTTCTGAATGTTTATTTCTTTTACTACGTTCTCTTTCTTCTCCTCCCACTGGATTGGAGTAATTCCTCAAGCATTAGTTTTTAGTTTTGTTTTTCTCTACATTTATTCCACACAAATTTAATCTGAATGAATGGTTTCAATGTCCCCTTTATTTGCTGGTATTTTCTCCTGACTGTCCTCAATTTTTTTTTACAAGGAATTTCCAGACTTAATTCTTAAAACTTCCTTTAAACAATTTCCTCAGATTTCTCGCTATCATTAAAAATACATACTTGGCTCTAAACCCTTCTCCAACTCTATCAGTGACATAGAAGTTCTCACACCAACGTGATCCAAAGAAAATTTTAGGGTCACAAACTGCATGTTTCCCACTGACTCCCTACACAATCACCTCAAAACAAACTCAATTTCCTCCTTTGTTTCAATCTTTATTAATTGTTTCTGTACAATTTTTGGTGTGTTAAAAATATCTCAGACATTGACAGTTTGTATTTCCTTTATACTTGTACCAAAACTATTTCATACTCAAAGCTTTTGTATTTGCCCCCCTTGATATAAGAGTTTTAATTCACTAAAATTCACAGCTGACAGCATTAATCAGTTATTATAAAGTGACAGTAAAAATTACCTCTCCATTGTATATAAACAGAGTATGATAGTCACAGTTCTCCAGTAAGACACAACTAATAGGGTGTGTGTTGGAGGGGAAAGAGGTTGGGTCACACACATGCAAAGAGATTTATAGTAAGGAATTGGCTCATGTCATATGAGGGCTAGTAAGTCCAAAATCTGCAAGGTGAGCTGGCAGAGGAGACTCAGGAAAGCCAGTGGTACAGTTCCAGTCTGAAGGTAGTCTGCTTTAGAGTTCTCTCTTGCTTTGAAGAAACTAGTGATTTCATTCCCTTCAGCCCTTCAACTGATTGAATGAGGCCCACCTACATTAACGAGGGCAATCTACTTAACTCAAAGTCTACCAAATTAAATATTAAACTTATTCAAAAACTCCCCCACACAAATGCTCAGAATAATATTTGACCAAATTTCTGGGCACCCCATGGCCCAGTAAAATTGACACAAAAATTAATCATTGCAGTAAGCTATGTAGACAGCTTCAGACAAACACTTCCTAAAAGGTTTCATGTCAAGCATAAGTTTCTGGTTATAGACTTAATGAAACAAATCATTGTATATATCAGGAATTTATGAATGAGAAAAAGGGAGAGAGGAGATAGTTCAAGACTCTAATACTATAGATATTTCAATGCCCAGTGTAAAGAACATGTGTTACATCTTCTTATAAAAGAATACTGAGGTGAATAAAGTTACCTTTAAATTAAAAACCAGGTTACAAATGAGGTTTTGATATAATAAAACTTTTTATTTTACCTGCAAAAGACCTCTCATTAATCTTATTGCAAAGAAGTTTATAAAATATGTGCTTTTGTCATTCATTATTGTATTAGTCCATTTTCATGCTACTATGAAGTAATACCTGAGACTGGGCAATCTATAAAGAAAAGAGATTTAATGGACTCATGGTTCCACATGGCTGAGGAGGCCTCCCAATCATGGTGGAAGGTGAAGGAGGAGCAAGGCACGTCTTACATGGTGGCAGGCAAGAGAGCATGTGTAGGGGAACTGCCCTTTATAAAACCATCAGATCTCGTGAGACTTATTCACTACCACGAGAACAGCATGGGAAAAACCTGCCCTCCTGATTAAATCACCTTTCACTCGTTCCCTTCCATGGCATGTGGGATTTATGGGAGCTGCAATTCAAGATGAGTTTTGGGTGGGGACACAGCCAAACCATATCAATTATATATAGGACACATAACTTCCTTTAAATAAATAAATCATGTGCTATTTCTATTTTAAGCAGAAAGAAGGATACTAATGTAACATGAATCTGCAATCTTTCTTGTAGTGATAGCCATAATAACTTGCTGGGAAAAATTATGTACGTAATAACATGAGATTTTATGATCTCTCTCTGTCTCTCTCTCTGTCTCACTCCCTCCCACCCCCATTTTGTAGTAATCTGTGAAGAAAAAATGTGGGTGACAAGATCTTTATAAGGTTCCATCCAAACCTTAGGTTATGTAAGTCTAGCTAAGTTCATTTAATAAATGGTTACATTTAGTATTTGAAACATCAGATGGCTCATTCAAGTATATAGAAGTGCAAAGCAACAGTGTCACCAACTGTCATCAACTCATCTACTCTAATTCAACTTGCTCATTTGTCATCAGAAATGTGGAAATCACCAATGCAAAATCCAGCCAATTTACAACTACTTCAAAAGTAAACACCAAGTTCTCCTTGAATAGTGGTGCTCAAGGAAATCAGAGAGAACACAAACAAATGGAAAAACATTCCATGCTCATGAATAGGCAGAATCAATATCATAAAAATGGTCATGCTGCCCAAAGTAACGGACAGATTCAATGTTATTTCCATTAAACTACTGTTGACATTCTTCACAGAATTAGATAAAAATTATTTTAAAATTCATATGGAACCAAAAAAGAGCATGTATAGCCAAGACAATCCTAAGGAAAAAGAACAAAGCTGGAGGCATCACTCTACCTGACTTCAAACTATACTACAAGGCTACAGTAACCAAAACAGCATAGTACAAAAACAGACACATAGACCAATGGAACAGAATAAAGAACTCAGAAATAAAACTGGATATTTACAACCATCTGATCTCCAAAAAACCTGACAAAAGCAAGCAATGGGGAAAAGATTCCCTATTTAATAGATGGTGCTGGGAGAACTGGCTAGCCATAAGCAGAAAATTGAAACTGGACCCCTTGTTACACCATATACAAAAATGAATTCAAGATGGGTTAAATACTTAAATGTAAAACCCAAAACTACAAAAATCCTAGAAGAAAACCTGGGCAATGGCATTCAGGACATATGCATGGGCAGATTTCATGACGAGAAAATCAAAAGCAATAGCAACAAAAGCAAAAATTGACAAATGGTATCTGATTAAACTGAAGAGCTTCTGCACAGCAAAAGAAACTATCATCAGAGTGAACAGACAACCTACAGAATGGGAGAACATTTTTGAAATCTATTCATCTGACAAAGGTTTAACATCCAAAGTCTACAAGGAACTTAAACAAATTTACAAGAAAAAAAATAGCATTAAAAAGTGGGCAAAGGAGGCTGGGTTTCGTGGCTCATGCCTGTAATCCCAGCGCTTTGGGAGGCCAAGGCAGGTGGATCACAAGGTCAGGAGTTTCAGACTAGCCTGGCCAAGATGGTGAAACCCCGTCTCTACTAAAAATACAAAAATTAGCTGGGCAAGGTGGCAGGCGCCTGTAATCCCAGCTACTCGGGAGGCTGAGGCAGGGAATTGCTTGAACCCAGGAGTCAGAGTTTGCAGTGAGCCGAGGTGGCGCCACTGCACTCCAGCCTGGGCAACAGAGTGAGACTCTGTCTCAAAGAAAAAAAAAAAGTGGGCAAAGGACATAAACAGACACTTCTCAAAAGAAGACATTTATGTGGCCAACAAACATGTAAAAAATACCCTCAACATCACTGATCATTAGAGAAGTACAAATCAGAACGACAGTGAGATACCATCTCACACCAGTCAGAATGATGACTATGACAAAGTCAAGAAACAACAGATGCTGGTGGAGCTGCAGAGAGATACAAAAAATTTTATACTGTTGGTGGGAAAGTAAATTAGTTCAACCATTGTGGAAGACAGTGTGGTGATTCCTCAAAGACCTAGAACCAGAAATACCATTTGACCCAGCAATCCCATTACTGGGTATATACCCAAAGGAATATAAATCATTTCTATTACAAAGATAAATGCATGCATATGTTCATTGCAGCAGGGACAATATTCACAATAGCAAGGACATGGACTTAAATGTAATGCCCATCAATGACAGACTGGATAAAGAAAATGTGGTACATATACACCATGGAATACTATGCAGCTGTAAAAAGGAATGAGATAACAAGGACATGGATGGAGCTGGAAGCCATTATCCTCAGCAAACTAACACAGGAACAGAAAATCAGATACCACATGTTCTCAATTATAAGTGGAGCTGAACAATGTGAACGCATGGACACAGGGAGGGGAACAACACACAATGGGGCCTAGAGGCAGGTGGCGGGGGAAGAGAGAGCACCAGGAAAAATAACTAATGCATGTTGGGCTTAATACTTAGGTGATAGGTTGATAGGTGCAGCAAATCACCATGGCAGACGTTTACCTATGTAACAAACCTGCACATCCTGCACATGTACCCTGGATCTTAAAAAAAAAAAAAAAAAAAAGTGTGCACCAAAATGATACAGTCCTCAAAAAAGAAATATAAAAGATATTTTCATAAAATTTTATGTCAAATTTCCCCTTTAGTTAGACTTTTTAAACTTTCTTAAGTATTTATTTAAAATGGGAAACTTCATTTTTGTTTCATCTAGAGCTTCTATGGACTGGCACTATATATTTAAAATTAAAACAAAAGCCAGTATAGCAAATATACAGCTCTCAGACCTCCCACCTTATCTGGGTTTGTTCCAGACACTTCCTTATGGTATGGCACTCTGGGGAGCAGATATCCATTGCTAATTAATCACCATTGATATTCAAGATAAGACTAATTTGTCTTCCCTGATGTATAATAATCCAGCCAGTTTTATAAATATTTTATTAAAATAAAATATTTTATTTCCTCAGGAAAAACATTAAAAGATATCTTTAGACTCATTTTGAAATCTAGACATGCCCCAAGGAATAATATCTTCTCGTATATGTTTAGTTCCTATAAATTGATGGGGGTATACAAATCAGTAGCCTAAATAATTAAATTATCTTTTAATAGGTTTATGTCATTATTCATGTTATTTTTATTATATATTGTACTTAAATATGTTAATAAATATACTTAATCTTATATTTTAGTTGGAAAAACAATCCAAAGTACCGATATTTTAATATTTTCTAATGCAGCTGCATATGGATGTGTTTGTGTATATACTGAGAGTTATTCCCTAGGCCTAAACTGTGCACCATCAGTAATCAGACATCTCTCAGCAAGTATAGGATAGCAGCTTGTCAGCTTGGTAGGATAGAAAATCCCTTTGGTAAGCTGTAACCACCATTAAATTTCTTTCCCAGATCTCACCATTTGGGTAGATACTGTACAAACTAGGATAAATAGCCTATATTCATTAGTATTTACCATGTGCTAAATAATTAACATGTATTATATAATATCTTCAACAACTCTATACAGTACATATTACAGAAAGACCCATATCACGGATGAGAAAATTTCAACTTGGAGCTGTTAAGTAGCTTGTCCAAGGTCAATGATCATGTTTTAATAGGGTAAAATTATATAAGGTATACAAGTTTGATATGGGTATTCAGCATAGTTGGACTAGCATCCGTATATATCCTCATATCTGTGCCCTCTGATTTTCAAGTATGAAATTGAGAGAACACGAGACAATATTATTTTTTATACAAAAACGGGACAACACAAATGAGAATTAATATGTTCTTCCTAATTTATTTCAACATGAGTATAAGAGATGGCAGTTAGACTATCAAAAGAAATCTACCTTTTGGCTGGGCGCAGTGGCTCATGCCTGTAATCCCAGCACTTTGGGAGGCCAAGGCTGGCAGATCACGAGGTCAGGAGATCGAGGCCATCCTGGCTAACACGGTGAAACCCCGTCTCTACTAAAATACAAAAAAATTAGCCTGGCGTGGTGGCGGGCGCCTGTAGTCCCAGCTACTTGGGAAGCTGAGGCAGGAGAATGGCGTGAACCTGGGAGGCGGAGCTTGCAGTGAGCCGAGATCGTGCCACTGCACTCCAGCCTGGGCGACAGAGTGAGACTCCGTCTCAAAAAAAAAAAAAAAAAAAAAAAAAAAAGAAATCTACCTTTTAAATTAGATGGAAGACTTTTCATGCAATTAGAGTTCCAATGATCAACCTTCTATCAGCAAGTTAGAAAAAAATGTATTTTATTCTTTTGTTTCATTTTTGTCACATGTTTTTCTAGACTGGTGGATAGGGAATGCCAGAGACAGGTAATAATTATGAATAAAATATTGTTTATTGAAACCTATGATATTATTTGTTCTTACCTTGCCATTTGTTCCTTCATGTTTAAAGGGAGGGAGATGACCTAAATAAAGTACCTTTCATAGCACCTGGAATATATTAAGTGCTCAATAGATGATAGCTCCCTTTTCCTTTTTGCTTTCTCTTCATTGAAGCAGAACTGCTAACTCAGATACCTGCATGTCACGGGACCACTTTCTTTCAAGATTGTGGGTTTTTGGAAAGTTTGGGCATATGTTATTATAGTTGCATACTAACCGAAATGGTAACTTAATTGAGTCCCAGATGAAGGGGTTTTAGTATTGAATTTAGTGCTTAGCTTTAGTTTATTTTATGCATTTTCTGAGGCATTGTGTGGCCTTCTAACTTTCCACAAAGCCAGGTGTTCTGTCTGTAGAAAGTGCAGTTATGGTTATTTTATCTGGTGCCTGTGTGTTCTTTGCACATGTCAAAAACCAAAACAACAACTGAAAACACATCTGCATCTTATGATGTGATTATGTCCCCATTGAAAAAGCAAGTTGTTCAGGTATTTCATATTATCTTATCCTCATTTTCATCCGAAGGGCCTAGGACTTTTCATGCTGCCCTTTTTCCCCCTGTGATATCTACATTTTAATTTTTTAATTAATTAATTAATTTGAGATGGAGTCTTACTGTGTCGCCCAGGCTGGAGCGCAGTGGCGTGATCTCGGCTCACTGCAAGCTCCGCCTCCAGGGTTCACGCAATTCTCCTGACTCAGCCTCCCGAGTAGCTGGGACTACAGGCGCCCGCCACTATGCCCGGCTAATTTTTTGTATTTTCAGTAGAGACGAGGTTTCATCGTGTTAGCCAGGATGGTCTCGGTCTCCTGACCTCGTGATCCGCCCACCTCAGCCTCCCAAAGTGCTGGGATTACAGGCGTGAGCCACCGTGCCTGGCCGATATCTACATTTTAAAAGAAAGAACATTTAAATTTGTCTTCAAGGTTATTTTATGAAGTGATATCATTGCATTGACTCATTCAAAAGGGGGAAGTAACGTCTCTTGTTTGGGAATTGTGAAGAGTGGAATATATAGAATGAACAGAAAAAAATACCATTCACAGAAGGACCCACCAGCACACTTGCTCATTTATTTACTGAGTGTTAGAAACGCCTTAGTTTCATGCCAGACCCTGTGATTGATGAAATTGAGCTTAAAATAAATGAGATCTGATTTTTCTTTTCACAGAATTTATAGAAGTCCAGTGTGTAAAGTTGACCTCCAGGCTTTTTCCAAGTAAGCCAATAGCTACTTGTTCAATGTTTAATTAACAGCAGCAAACAGATGTTGTTGAATAAATGACTAGAAAAAGTAAAGGGCCAGTATGGACAGAAACATTTTTCCTTTTCTCTGAAATGCCAAGATTGCAATGACCGTTGGAGTTGGTCATAAATGGCTGAGTACAAAACTATTGAAACATCTTGCCTTCCACTTGCTTGTAACTACATATAGTGCTTTGCTTCAAATTCCAGAATATTTTTATGAAACATCTCATAAAAATCACATTTATGGAAGAAGCAAATAAAGGCAACAACTATATTATATATTTAACAATTTTGCAATCTTCAATTTTAAAAAATAACTGTTTTGTAGATTTTCTTCAATAAATGAAGCACTTTGCTTTCTTAAAATAAGCTATAAGTGATTAATAAATACAAGATGCTAAATCAAGGCTTAGGATTTTAATGACTCAACTATTAATACTATGATAAATTCATAATAAGAGAGAATCAGAACATTGACACATTGATCATACATTTCCTAAAATTAAACTACATCAGATGGAGACTGTGGTATCATGCAGATCCCTTATTCCGGTGATCACGTATTTCAGATTTCCCAGTGTATTAGAAAAGATCTGCCTGTCTCTCCCCCAACTGTATCTAATAAATGAAGTTTCATTATATTTGACCAGTATATTCATATTGTAGATATTGAAAGGTAAAAGAAATCAAACAGATTCTGTCTCTCCTGCTATTTTTGGAAGAGTTGGAGCTAAGTTTGAATCCCAGCTGTGCCATTTGCATGCCTCATGGCCTAGTTTGAATGTCTCATTCTCTCCGTTGAAATCCTCCTTTGTACAATGTGAATAATACTAATGGTGTATTCTAGTATGTGTGATGGAGGCTTTACTTATATAAGGTACATAAAAGTAATAAGTATCTGATGCATAATGTATTCTCTATATATTAGTTCTTTCTCTTTGTTCTCTGCAAATGGTTCCTAAACCCACAAGCATCTTTGCATAAGCATCAGGATTATAAGCAGCATCAAGTAAATTTAGGCAGGAGAGGACAATCTTGGGCAGGCACCTGTTACTGATGTTTATACTACAATTCTCTGTTGAAGGTATGTGATGTTTGTCCTACCCCAAATATCTGCAAATTCAGAAAAGATCCTGAGGAATAGTAAGAGATAAGTCCCTCCTTTCTATGTCTTTGAAGGCAGTAGCTTCCAAACGTGGCTCTACAAATTAATGATTCCTGAGCCCCAACACAGCAGATTCTGATTCAGTATCTGGCTGAACCTGGACTGATGCTCAGGAATCTGTATATTTAACATTTCTGTCAAGTGATTTTAATATGAGCAGCATTTGATCATCACCACATTTTGTGACACCGTGTTCAGTCTAAAGTCTATAATTCCTGTTTGTAGAGAAGGTAGATAGCCCTCACTTTTGAAAATTAGCAATAATTAGAAAAAGAGACTCCTGCTATGGTTTGAATGTCTCTCCCATAATTCATGTGTTAGAAGCTTAACCCCTAATGCAACAGTATTGGAAAGTAGGGTCTAGTAAGAAGTGATTAAGTCATGAGGGCAGAGACCTCATCAATGGATTAATGTTGGTCTCACAGGAATGGGTTAATCATTGCAAGAGTGGGCTTGTTATAAAAGCAAGCTTGGCCCTCTTTTGCATTTTCACTCTTACATCCTTTCTTTCCCTTCTGCCTTCTTGGATGATGCAGCAAGAAGGCCCTCACCAGATATGAGCCCCTGGACCTTCGACTATTTTTTTTTTTTTTTTTTTTAGAACTCAAATAAATTTCTCTTCTTTTCAGTCTCAGGTATTCTGTCATAGCAACGGCAAAGCAGACTAAAACAATTCCTCATTTTAAAGAAGATCTTGAATCCATTTTGCTGTCTTGAAGTGAACTGACCTTAAAATGTGTTTTAGTTATAAGCACCCATTTTCTAACTTCTCTCTCCAATGCTATGTTCATAAAATAACAAGAACAGCGACAGCAACAACAACAGCAATTTACTGGATGAACCTGGCAAATATAATCTGATTCATTAGCAGTTACAAATTATAAACTTCATGCTAGAAAATAACCCTTTATTATAATATAGGTAGTACCTGCTGAGAGAATTAAGACTAATTCCCTGGGAACTTTCCTGAAGATGTTATGGTTTATTGCTCTGAGAGATATTTTTGCTGCTTCTGGCAGAACATTCAGTTTCATTTGGTTGTTTACATTTAATTTAATTTATTATCATTAACCTTCTGGTTAAGACCATTTTGGTCAAACTTCTTCTTATATGACAGTATCCATCTGTCTCTTTTCCTTTGTGTTAGGAAATAAGGGAATTGAAATACACTTTTGGCTTTAAATTAAGTTCATCTATTGCAACAACAAGTACAACCAAGTTCATATTTGATATCAAATATTTCATTCCTTTCTAAATTCTGTACAACTGTAGGACTGCTATTGTCCCCACAGCATCTGGGTCAGCATGTGTGACAGTCATTTCAATAATATAAACCTGTTATTAAAAATATACACATTAGTTTCTCTATGAAGGAATAGTTTTGACTGCAATAGAAAGATGTTTAAGCAAAACTCTGGCCATCTCTCTCTCTGTGTGTGTGTGTGTGTGTGTGTGTGTGTGTGTGTGTGTAAATATTTGCTAACATTGTTCCCAATTGGTTAACTAGTCTTATACAGGATTCTAGAAGGTTTTAGAAGCCAAATGAGTATAACATATCAGAACACTGCATAAAACTGATTTATTGAGATTCAGCTTTTAAGACATTCAACTTTTAAGACATCTAAGGAAACAAATAAAATATATGGATCTACCTCTGTTAATTTAACAGTACACATGTTTGGCCTCTTTTTTGCGGGGGGAATTGGATACCTTTTCTTGTGGATTTTGTGTTTTGTGAACTACTTTGGGATAAGTTGCTGATAGTTCCTGTTTTGCTGACTCTAGAACATATGTGCCAAACATGTTTTTTCTCAAAATTTTCATGTGTCAAAGAAAATTTAATCCTTATTTTTTTATTTACATTTATACTTAAACTCATCAAAACATTATTATGCAAAAGCTTTTGAATTCCAAGAGACATTATAGGGCCTAAAAGTCCCAAGAAAACACTCTTCTAAAATTAAAATATTTTATCATTAGAATGTTCATTTAAAATTTTTAACATATATTTGAAGAAACCAAAATAACAAACAGATTATGTTCCCCTTTTTTGACTGCCATTCTCTATAATTCAAAACTAGCAAATCGTGCATAAATATTGTGTACAGACTACTAACATTTAGTAAGTCCTTTCCTTTTAAGGAATCCAAAACAATGTGAATTGAGATTTCTCAATTTTAGATCCCATTATCTTGGCTCCAGTATTCTCATGGTTGTAATTCAGAAAATGCATACATAAAACCTATTGCACAGGACAATTAGCTATACACACACAATCATCACAGAGCCCTGTGAAATAAAATGCAGATGAGAAGAGAAATAAGAAATATCATCAATGTATGAAGGATTTTAAAAACATTCTAGAGGTTGATGATGAGACCATGAACATAAATGAAGCTGAGCAGAAATGACCGAAGACTGAAGGAATATAGGAGGAAATTTCCAAGCAGCTGGTACCAGTCTTCCACAAAGCATATCTTAACGGATCAAAAAGATGTTTTTTTTTAAAGGGTCTAAAACTTGAAGATTAACTGAAGGACTTATAACATTCCTAAGCAACGAAAGCAAAAATAGACAAATAGGATCACATCAAATAGAAAGCTTTTGCACAGCCAAAGAAACAATCAGCAGAGTGAAGAGAAAACCTACGGAATGGCAGAAAATATTTGCAAACCACCTATCTGATAAGGAGCCACTACCCAAAATACATAAGGGACTCAAACAACTCAATAGTAAACAAACAATTAAAAATGGGCAAAAGGCCGTGCACAGTGGCTCACCCCTGTAATCCCAGCACTTTGGGAGGCCGAGGTGGGTGGATCACCTGAGGTCAGGGGTTCAAAACCATCCTGGTCAACATGACGAAACCCCGTCTCTACTAAAAATGCAAAATTAGCTGGGCATGGTGGCACATGCCTACAATCCCAGCTACTTGGGAGGTTGAGGAAGGAGAATTGCTTGAACCTGGAAGGAGGAGGTTGCACTGAGCCGAAATCACGCTATTGCACTCCAGCCTGGGTAACAAGAGAAACTTCATCTCAAAATAAATAAATAAATAAATAAATAAATAAATAAATAAATGGGTAAAAGATCTGGACAGACATCACTCAAAAGGAGATATACAAATGGTTAACAGGTATGTAAATAAGTGTGCAACATCACTAATCATCAGATAAATGCAAATTTCTAAGTCTGAGATATTAGGAAACAATTCTTGATGAGAAATTGCACCTGCTAAAATGGCTATTATCAAGATGAATGATAACAATAGGTGCGGCTGTGGAGAAAAGGTAATCTTTGCACATTGTTGGTAGGAATGTAAATTAGTGCACCCACTGTGAAAAACAATATAGAGGATCCTCAAAAAATTAAAAATAGAATTACTGTATGTTGCAGCTATTTACTTACTAAGTGTATATCTAAAGGAAGTGAAATCAACATATCAGAAAGATATCTTCACATCATTGTTTATTGCAGCATTATTCACAACAGCCAAGATAAGAAACCAGTCTAAGTAAGTGTCCATCAACAGATGAATGGATAAAGAAATTGTGGTGTATATACACAAGGGAATACTATTTTCTCATGAAAGGAAAGGGAAATCTTTCATTTGCAACAATATAGATGAACCTGGACTACATCAGGCTAAGTGAAATAAGCCAAAGAAAGAAAGACAAATACTGCATAGTCTTATTTACATGTCAAATTTTAAAAAGTTGAACTCATAAAAGTAGAGACTAGAATGACGGCTATCAGGGGCTTGTGGAAAAGGGGTTGGGGTGATATTAGTCAAAGGATACAAAATTTCAGTTACATATGAGGAATTCATTCAAGAGATCTATTGTACAACATGGTGACTATAGTTAATAAGAATGTATTGTATTATTGAAAAAAACTTTTTACATTAAAAACAACAACAAAATTTTTCCTAGGATTCATCTGTTTGACAGCATATAATGCCTTCAAGTGAATTTTCACTGTTATATAGTGTTGCATTTTGTGAGCTATGAGATTTTTTTCACAGATGGACATTTAAGTTGTTCTCATGTTATTGTTATGAACAAGACTGTTATGAACATTCTGTGGCTTTAAAATATCTGTAAATTCTGGCTGGGTACGGTGGCTCACGCCTGTAATCCCAGCACTTTGGGAGGCCGAGGCGGGTGGATCATGAGGTCAGGAGATCGAGACCATCCTGGCTAACACGGTGAAACCCTGTCTCTACTAAAAATACAAACAATTGGCTGGGCGTGGTGGCAGGCACCTGTAGTCCCAGCTACTTGGGAGGCTGAGGCAGGAGAATGGCATGAACCCGGGAGGCGGAGCTTGCAATGAGCTGAGATTGCACCACTGCACTCCAGCCTGGATGATACAGCGAGACTCTGTCTCAAAAAAAAAAAAAAAAAAAAACTGTAAATTCCTTCACAATCTTCCAGTAAGAGATTTGAACTATTTCCTCTTCTTGAACTAGACTGACCTGTGATGCCTTTAATCAGTTGAATGTAGAGAAAATGATGTTATGCCAGTTTCAGATCTAGCTTCAAAGAGGATTTGCAGTTTCTGCTTTGATATATAGAAGACCTAAGCTGCAATGCAGTCTCTATACACTCAAAGGGTAGTCTGACTCCTCTGCCAAGGGGACTTTATGGAAAGGCTGTAAGACTACATTTAGAGAGACAGAAGCCCATTCATTAGAGGCCAGCCTTCAACTGCCCCATTAAGAGACCAGGCATGTGAGTGAAGTCTTAATGGAAAGTCCTGATAAAGGACACATACACCCTCCCAAGACTGAACTAGAAAGAAACTAAATTCCTGAACACACCTACAATGATCTCTAAAACTGAATTAGTAATAAATAGCTTACCAACCAAATAAAAGCCCAGGACCAGATAGATTCATAGACAAATTCTACCAGCCGTACAAAGAAGAGCTGGTAACATTTCTACTGAAACTATTTGAAAAAAATGAGAAGGAAGGACTCCTCCCCAACTTATTCTTTGAGGCCAGCATCATCCTGATATTAAAGTCTGACAGAAACACAGCAGTAAAATAAAACTTCAGGCCAATATCTTTGATGGACATTGATGAAAAAATCTTCAACAAAAAAACACTAGTGAAACACATCCAGCAGCACAACAAAAAGTTAGTCCATCATGATCAAGTTAGCTTTATCCCTGAGATGCAAAGTTGGTTCAACATACGCAAATTAATAAATGTGATTTGGCAGAGCGCGGTGGCTCACGCCTGTAATTCCAACACTTTGGGAGGCTGAGGTGGGCAGATCACAAGGTCAGGAGATAGAGACCGTCTTGTCCAACATGGTGAAACCCCATCTCTACTAAAATACAAAAAATTAGCTGGGTGTGTTGGTGCGTGCCTGAAGTCCAAGCTACTTGGGAGGCTGAGGCAGAGGAATTGCTTGAACCTGGGAGGTGGAGGTTGCAGTGAGCTGAGATTGTGCCACTGTACTCCAGACTGGTGACAGATCAAGACTCTGTCTCAAAACATATAAATAAATAAAAATAAAAATAAATGTGATTCATCACGTAAACAGAACTAAAATACAAAAACTACATGATTATCTCAATAGATGCAGAGAAAGCTTCTGATAAAACTCAACATTCATTCATGTTAAAAACTCTCAATAAACTAGCTATTGAAGGAACAGACCTTAAAATAGTAAGATCCATCTATGACAAATCCATAGCCGACATCTTACTGAATGGGCAAAAGCTTGAAACATTTCTCTGGAAAACTGGCATGAGACAAAAATACCCTCTCCATCACTCCTATTCAACAAAGTATTGGAGGTCCTGGCCAGCGTAATCAGGCAAGAGAAAGAAATAAACGACACCCAAATAGGAAGAAAGGAAGTCAAACTATCCCTATTTGCAGAAGATATGATTCTATACCTAGAAAACCCCAGAGTCACAGCCTAAAAGCTCCTTCAGCTGATAAACAACTTCAGCAAAGTTTCAGGATATATCAATGTACAAAAATCACTAGCATTCCCGCCAGGTGTAGTGTCTCATGCCTGTAATCCCAGCACTTTGGGAGGCTGAGGTGGGTGGATTGCTTGAGCCCAGGAGCCCAAGACCACCCTGAAAAATATGGTGATACTTTGTCTCTACAAAAAATAAAAAATTAGGTGGGTGTGGTGGCACGCACCTGTGTTACCAGCTACTGGGGTGGCTGAGGTGGGAGGATTGCTTGAACTTGGGAGGCAGAGGCTGTAGTGAGCCATGATCTTGCCACTGTACTCCAGCCTGGGAAACAGAGCAAGATCTTGTCTCAAAAACAAAAAAAATTTTACTAGCATTCCTATACACCAAAAACAGCCAAGCTGAGAGCAGAGTCAAAAATACAATTCAATTCACAATACTCACAAAAATAATAAAATTCTTAGGAACAGCTAACCAGGGAGTTGAAAGATCAGTACAATGAGAATTACCAGACATTGCTTAAAAAATCAGAGATGAAACAAATGGGAAAACATTTCATGCTCATGGATAGGAAGAAATTAATATGGTTAAAATGGTCATACTGTCCAAAGCAATTTACAAAATCAATACTATTCCTATCCAACTACCAATGATATTTTTTACAGAACTAGAAAAAACTATTTTAAAATTTATATGGAAGCAGAAAAGAACTTAAATATCCAAGGCAATCCTAAACAAAATCAACAAAGCAGGAGGCATCACGTTCCCGGACTTCAAACTATACTACAGGGCTGTAGTAACTAAAACAGCTTGGTCCTATTAGTACAACATAGACCTCATGGTACAAAAGCAGACACATAGATCAATGGAACAGACTAGAGAGCCCAGAAATAAGCCATACACCTATAACTATCTATCTGATTTTCAAGAAAGTTGACAAAAATGAGCAATGGGGAATGAACTCCCTATTTAATAAACGGTACTAGGGTATTGGGGGAACCCAACCCCAATATTTCAAAGTAGGTTCTTTCTATTTTCCATAAGTGTCAGCCAGCTGAGAAATAAAGAGAAAGAGTACAATAGAGGGATTTTACAGCTGGGCCGCTGGGGGTGACATCACATATTGGTAGGACCATGATGCTCACCTGAGGCTCAAACCAGAAAGTTTTTTATTAAGGGTTTCAAAAGGAGAAGGGGTGTGAAACAGGGAGTAGGTACAAAGATCACATGCTTCAAAGGGCAAAAAGCAGAACAAAGATCACATGCTTCTGAGGGAACAGGACAAAGACAAAGCAGAACTACTGATAAAGGTCTATGTTCAGCTGTGCACGTATTGTCTTGATAAACATCTTAAACAACAGAAAACAGGGTTCAAGAACAGAGAACTGTTCTGACCACAAATTTACCAGGGCGGAGTTTTTTCCCCACCCTAATAAGCCTGAGGGTACTGCAGGAGACCAGGGCGTATCTCAGTCTTTATCTCAACCACATAAGACAGACACTCTCAGAGTGGTCGTTTATAGACCTCCTCCCAGGAATGCATTCCTTTCCCAGGGTATTAATATTAATATTCCTTGCTAGGAAAAGAATTTAGCAATATCTCTCCTACTAGCATGTCTGTTTATAGGCTCTCTGCAAGAAGAAAAATATGGCTCTTTTTGCCCAATCCCACAGGCAGTCAGACCTTATGGTTGTCTTCCCTTGTTCCCTAAAAATTGCTGTTATTCTGTTCTTTTTCAAGGTGCACTGATTTCATATTGTTAAAACACATATGTTTTACAATCAATTTGTACAGTTAACACAATTATCACAGTGGTCCTGAGGTGACATATATCCTCAGCTTACGAAGATAACAGGATTAAGAGTTTAAAGTAAAGACAGGCATAAAAAATTATAAAAGTATTATTTGGGAACTGATAAATCTCCATGAAATTTTCACAATTCATGTTCCTCTGCCACGGCTCCAGCCAGTTCCTCCGTTTGGGGTCCCTGACTTTCTGCAACACTAAGGTAACTGGCTAACCATATGTAGAAGATTAATACTGGACCCCTTACTTGTACAATATACAAAAATCAACTCAAGATGGAATGAACACTTAAATGTAGTTCTCAAAACTATAAAAACCTTGGAAGACAACCTAGGAAATACCATTCTGGACACAGGAATTGGCTAAAAATTCACAACAAAGACGCCAAAAGCAACTGCAACAGAAACAAAACTTGACAAATAGAATCTAATTAAATTAAAGAGCTTCTGCACAGCAAAAGAAGTTATCAATGAGTAAACAGACAACTTACAGAATGGGATAAAATATTTGCAAACTATGCATCTGACAATGGTCTAATATCCAGCTTTTTAATTTTTAAATTTGTTTAAGGAAAGTAAATAAATTTATAAGGAAAAAACAAACAGCCCCATTTAAAAGTGGGCAAATGATATGAACAGACACTTTTCAAAGAAGATATACCTGAAGCCAACAAGCGTATGAAAAAAAAAAAGCTCAAATCATTTGTCATCAGAAAAATGCAAATAAAAACCACAACGAGATGTTATCTCATACCAGTCAGAATGGCTGTTGTCAAAAAGTAAAATAATAGTAGATGCTGGAGAGGTTGCAGAGAAAAGGGAATACTTATATACTGTTGGTGGGAGTGTAAATTAGTTCAATCATTGCAGAAAGCAGTATGATGATTCCTCAAAGAGCTAAAACCAGAAATACCATTAGACTCAGGAATCCCATTACTGGTATATACCAAGAAATGTAAATAATTCTACCATTAAGACACATGGGCATGTATGTTCATTGCAGCACTATTCACTACAGCAAAGACATGGAATCAATATAAGTGCCTATCAATGGTAGACTGAATAAAGAAAATGTGGTACACATAAGCACATATGCACCATAGAATACTCTGCATCCATAAAAAAAGAATGAGGTCATGTCCTTTGTAGGAACATGGATGGAGCTGGAGGCCATTATCCTTAGAAAACTAACACAGGAACAGAAAACCAAATACAGCATATCCTCACTTATAAATGGGAGCTAAATGATGAAAACACAAGAAGGGAACAACAGACACTAGAGCCTACTTGAGGGTGGAGGGTGGAAAGAGGGAGAGGATCAGAAAAAGTAACAATTGAGTACTAAGTTTACAGGCACCCGCCACCACGCCTGGCTAATTTTTTGTATTTTTAGTAGAGACGGGATTTCACCGTGTTAGCCAGGATGGTCTCGATCTCCTGACCTCATGATCTGCCTTCCTCGGCCTCCCAAAGTGCTGGGATTACAGGCATGAGCCACAGCGCCAGGCAGAAAAACGTTTCTAATAAAAATCTCACAATACCAAAAAAAAAAAAGAATGTGTATGAGGGAGGAGGGATTTACCTTTATGGTTTATTATGATAAAAGCTGTCTATTCCCCTGAAGCTTTTATCTTGATACACAAATGTATGAGAGCTTGGATCTATTTTCTGACTTTATTTAATTGCTGATGTTAACTATTTACTACTTATCTGATTATATTGGATGTGTATATTTGAAATTTGATTGTTCCTAATATCTGACTTTTCCAAAATTATTTAACTTCTTCAAGTTAAGGCATTATCAGCAGAAAGCTGGTAAAAGCCAATTAATTTTCCTAGTGCACTGTGGCTACATACTATTAAATTATCTTGATATCAAATAGGTGGAGCCATACCAAAGGAAAGAGATTTCTGTTTCTGGCTAAAATGTAGAAAGCTGGAAAGAAGATTGTTCCCATTCTAACAATGAGATAAAGGCAAAAAAAAAACCCCATAAAATTATAACTTTTTTGAGCACATTAGATACCTGAGGTTGCAGTCCAACCAAATTACTTAAATTCCAAAGAGGAACATACCCCTATAATAAGAGATAAAACAGAAGAATAGTCTTATCTGAGTCAAAGAATTAGGGAAATAAGGGGCTACTCAACAGCTTCCATGAAAGAAAATTTAAAAATCAGCTGAAATTTTATAAAATTATTAAATGCCAAGGGTGAGCTAGCTTTCAGGTATGGCTGAAATAATTGACAGCCCAGATACTCTCTTGCAAGCTCTTTTAAAAGTACCTCCTGCAGTAATTTATGAGATAGTCTGGAACAGAACAGACCAAAAAGAGCTCTTCTTGCTGATGCAAGATTGTAGAAAAAGATCTGTAGCTACTGGGGCCTGGGAGATACAAATTCCTACAATTATATTTAGAGTCTTTTCTCCTATGAATCAAAAACCTACAGCACTTGGAGGAGGGACAACAACCCACACTTTAAGGACACTGGCAAAGACCCATTTTCACTGTGGAAAAAGCAGAAGAAAAATTCCTGTGAAAACTATCCTGGGCCCAGAATCTATTATCTATCACCAATTCGAGGTCTGCTATCATGGGGTAGGATCAGAGAATACCTTGTAAGAACCAACCACAGATCAAGGACATAGCTGGCTGACATGAGGTGAAGGAGTAAGAATGCTGAGAAAGTTCCCTCCTCCCCAGGAAGCCTGGCACACAAGGTCTGTCTAAGCTGAGGCTGAATGTGGACAAGAGTGAATCCTTGCCAGCCACCACCACTAGCCCAGAATCCAAAAGGTAAGAGCAGGCTACCAGTATGGGAGGAGGACAGTAGTATAGAGTGAGAACCCTGCTGTAGTGCAGTTTGCAGAGATTATGAAAGTTGAAGGTAGATCACAAACACTAAGAAAAAAAACAAAAAAACAAAGAACAGAAAACCAAAAATCTCTGGCACTTCAGCCACCCCTTTGAGCACAAGGCAACAGTCCTGTAAAACAATACAAAGCCTGCAGTAAATAAAAGAAATAGCAGCAGCAAAACTCAAACTTGGTTAAACTGAAAATGTTCAAATAACAAAACAAGGCAGGGAAGGGGAAACAGAAAAATAAAGCAAAGGGAAGAAAAAGTAAGCATACATGTTAGAGTGGTAGGCATAATTCGAAATACCAATATTTACATTAAATGTAAATGGCTACACAAACCAAGTAAAATACTGACATTGTCGGCTGGGCGCAGTGGCTCACGCCTGTAATCCCAACACTTTGGGAGGCAGAGGCGGGCGGATCACGAGGTCAGGAGATCGAGACCATCCTGGCTAACACAGTGAAACCCCGTCTCTACTAAAAATACAAAAAAATCACCTGGGTGTGGTGGCGGGCGCCTGTAGTCCCAGCTACTCCGGAGGCAGAGGCAGGAGAATGGCGTGAACCCGGGAGGTGGATCTTGCAGTGAGCCGAGATCGCACCACTGCACTCCAGCCTGGGTGACAGAGCGAGACTCCGGCTCAAAAAAAAAAAAAAAAAAAAAAAAAAAAAAAGAAATACAGACATTATCAGAATGGACCAAATAAATAAAAAAATCAAATATATCCTTTCCATAAAATGTTACTTTATGTAATGATATAAATAAGTTAAAAATAAAAGGATAGGGAAGGTATACCATGGAAACACTAATGAAGAGAAAGCTGAAGTGACTATGTGAATATCAAAGCATATTTCAGAGCAGAGAAATTTAAAAGGAACAATGAGAGATATTACATAAAAATCAAAGGGTCAATTTGCCAAGAAGAGATAAAAATCCTAATTGTATATGTATCTAATAGTAGAGCTTCAAAATACTATTTTGAAGCCAATACTAAAGCCAGTTGTATATTCTTTGGAGAAATGTATATTTATTCTCTTGCCCATTTTTAAATAGACTTGTTTGTTTTTGTTGTTGCTGAGTTTTAGGAGGTCTGGGTGTATTTTGGTTATTAATCTCTTATCAGATATTTCATTTGCAAATATTTTCTCCTGTGGATTGCCTTTTGTTTGTGATTTTGATAAATAATTTTAAAAAATTTTTTATGGTGGCTGGGTGCAGTGGCTCATGCTTGTAATCCCAGCACTTCAAGAGGCCGAGGCGGGTGGATTACTTGAAATCAGGAGTTCGAGACCAGCCTGGCTAACATGGTGAGACCCCCTGTCTCTACTAAAAATATGAAAATTAGCCGGGCATGGTGTCACATGCCTGTAATCCCAGCTACTTGGGAGGCTGAGGGATGAGAATCACTGGAATCCAGGAGGCGGAGGTTGCAGTGAGCCAAGATTGCACCACTGCACTCCAGCCTGAGCGACAGGGCAAGACTCTGTCTCAAAAAAAAAAAAAAAAAAAAGACTAGGAGCAGTGGATCACACCTGTAATCCCAGCACTTTGGGAGGCTGAGGCAGGCGGATCACGAGGTCAAGAGATCAAGACTTATCCTGGTCAACATGGTGAAACCCTATCTCTACTAAAAATACAAAAATTAGCCAGGCATGGTGGTGCGTGCCTGTAATCACAGCTACTCAGGAGGTCAGGAGGCTGAGGCAGGAGAATCTCTTGAACCTGGGAGGCAGAGGTTGCAGTGAGCCAAGATCCTGCCACTGTACTCTAGCCTGGACGACAAGACTCTGTCACAAAAAAAAAAAAAAAAAAAAAAAAAAAAATTATGATGCCCAATTTTTCTTTGTATTTTTTGTTGTGTTGCCTGTGCCTTTGGTTATATCCCAGAAGTTACTGCCAAATCTAACTTTGGGAAACTTTTGCCCTGTGTTCCCTTCTAAGAGTTTTATAATTTTAAGTCTCATATTTAGGTCTTTAACCCATTTGGGGTTAATTTTTGTATATGGAGTTAGGTAAAGGTCCAAAATCTTTATTTTGCATGTGGATATACAGTTTTCAGTATCATTTATTGAAAAGATTGTTCTTTTCTCATTTAATAATCATGGCACCCTTCTCAAAAAACATTTGACCATACAGGTGAGGATTTGCTTATGAGCTCTCTATTCTATTCCGTGTTCATTAATCATCAGAGAACTTCAAATCAAAACATGAAGATAGCACTCAATACCCATTAGGATGACTACTATTAAAAAAAAAAGAGAGAAAATAACAAATGTTAGCAAGCATGTGGAGAAATTAAAACCCTTGTGTAGTATTGATAGGAGTATAAGATTGTACAGCTGGAAGAAAGTATGGTGGTGTCTCAAAAAATTAAAAATACAGTTACCATATAATACAGCATTTACGTGTCTGGGTATATATCCAAAATAACTAAAATCAGGGTCTTGAAGAGATATTTACCAAATTTATTTCAGCATTACTCATGATAGCAAAATGTGGAAGCAACCCATTTCCATCAACAGATAAATGGATAAGCAAAGTGTGGTGTGTGTGTATATATATATATATATATATATATATATATGATAGAATATTATTTAGCCTTAAAAGGAAAGAAAATTATGATAAATGCTACAACATGGATGAACCTTAAGGACATTATGCTAAGTGAAATAAGCCAGTCATAAAAAGGCAAATACCCTGTGATTCTACTTATATGAGGTAATTAGAGTGGTCAAAAATCATAGAGATATGAAATAGAATGGTTGGTGCCAGGAGCTGGAGAGAGGGAGGAATGGGGAGTTCCGTTTTACAAGACAAAAAGTGTTATGGTGGAGATGGATGCATGACATACTGGATGTATTTAATACTATTGAACGTTACATTTAAAATAGTTAAAATGATAAATTTTATATTATGTGTATTTTACTACAATAACAAAAACAAACAAAAATAAAATAATAAAGCCAAAACTGGATAAACTGAAAGGAAAATTAAAACAAACTCAGTCATAAGGAATGAATGAATGGCACTTGCAGCAAGTTGGATGGAACTGGAGATTATTATTCTAAGAGAAGTAACTCAGGGATGGAAAAACCAAACATCGTATATTCTCACTCGTAAGTGGGAGCTAAGCTGTGAGGATGCAAAGGCATAAGAATGATAGGAGGGACTTTGGGGACTAGGGGAAAGGGTGTGAGGGGAGTGAGGGATAGAAGACTACAAATTGCATTCAGTGTGTACTGCTTGGATGATGGGTGCACCAAAACCTCACAAATCACCACGAAAGAACTTACTGGGGTAACCAAAATACCACCTGTTCCCCAAAGCCTATGGAAATAAAATATTTAAAAATAAATAAATAAAACAAACACATAGATCCACTATTACAGTTGAAGACTTTGACATTTCTTTCTCAGTAATCAACAGAACACATGGAAGGAAAATCAGGCAAGGATGTGCTTTTTAGAGAATGATTTAAAAACACTGAAGCTAATCACCATACTAGGTAAGAAATATCAGAAACGAGGCATTGGTTAGCTTATGTTTCCACACTATCTTCCTGTAGAATTAGCAAAATATCTATTAGTAATTCCTCTGCTGAATTAGGCAATAAAATCAATGATATATACATGCATAATCTGTCTTAAGAATAATTTTGGTTACTGTAGTTTTCTCTGTTTGATTAGAGTTTAAATGAGTCCCAGGGTCATAGGTAAAAATTACTCAGTTCCTGCTCATAATCTGTCCTTTTTCCTTCTCACCATGTGGCAACTTCTTGTCCTACAAGATCTAGAAAGTGGCTGAGGTGGGAGAATTACTTGAACCCAGGCAGCAGAGGTTGCAGTGAGCCAAGATTGCGCCACTGCACTCCAGCCTGGGTGACAGAGCAAGACTCTGTCTCAAAAACAAATAAATAAATAAATAAATAAACAACAATCTAGAAGTTGTATGTGTCGGCCGGGTGTGGTGGCTCACGCCTATAACCCCAGCACTCTGGGAGGCTGAGACGGGCAGATCACCTGAGGTCAGAAGTTCAAGACCAGCCTGGCCAACATGGTGAAAACCTGTCTCCAAAAAAATACAAAAATTAGCTGGGCATGATGACAGGTGCCTGTAGTCCCAGCTACTCGGGAGGCTGAGGTGGGAGAATCGCTTGAACCCAAGAGGTGGAGGTTGCAGTGAGCCAAAAGATCAACCAGCTGTAGTCCAGCCTGGGCAACAGAGCAAGACTCCATCAAAAATAATAGTAATAATAATAATAATAATCTAGAAAGTGCATGTGTCTCACTTCTTGAGAGGCTTCCTCCATGCTCTCCCACCTTACCCTGCCATCAAGGGGGCTCCAGTAGAGACATAAGTCTCTGAAAACCACATTCCTCTTCTTTTCTGGGAACTGTTGCAAGAATGGGGTGAGGGACTCTAACAAGGTCCAATAGATTCTATCAGTTGAATGGTGTGTTTGAAGCACTCTTGTAACAGAAGCAGCAAGAGCTCAATTGGGCTGTTAACTCCGTAGGGCATCTATGGATGACCTTTTACACTAATATCTTCATTGTGGTTCTCAAGAAAACAAAATAGATATTTTATTAACTGTGGCCCTGAGACATATTCTTATAAACTTGATTTTACAAAAGATAAATACAATTGTCCCTGTTTTTCTCTACTCTCTCAGGAATCTTATTATCCTTGACCATTTGCTTAGTTGTACTAATTCCTGTCCTTAAAATTGAAAGGAGAGCATCCCAAATTTTGTTGTTGTTGTTCATGTAGGGTCACACAAAAATATGTGGGGGCACTTTGTAATAATCACACCACTTTTGGTAGTGTGTCAGCTGGCTGAGTTTTGGTTGTTGGTGGCAATTTTATAGCAACTTTATAGAAAAGATTCTAATTCACAGCCAATTCTGCTGAAAAATAAGAAAATGCTGAGACTAACAAAATCACAAGAGCTTAGAAACTAAACATTTATTAAAAGGTGCTGCATTAGAGAATAAGTACATTACTGTCCAGAGGAAATACAAAGAGGAGAAGCACAACTGCCCCTCACTCCATCACCATAACTATAAGCTAGCAGAAAACATACCTCTTCATCATTTATGGATTATTAACTATATTTTTAAAATTAGTTTCTCTATCCAAAGTTGTAAATTTGGCTCATTTACATAATATCTTCTTGTAGAATTTCATGGTGTGTACAGTGTTCGGATGACTTAAACATGCTGATACCAGGGATAGAGAGATGCAGTGATTGAGATGACCAAAATCTCTATTCCAAACTTTAAAGTGTTGCCAAAAAAGGGAGAAATTCCACCATCTGTCAGTTACATTTAGAATTAAAATTATATAACTTTTCTAAATTTTAGAAATTATTTACATATTTTTATAATATAGATAAGAAAAATTGAAGCTCCAGAGTTGTTTACACAGGAAGTTAGGAACAGAGCAGTGAGTGTAACCCGTGAGCCAGTTCCTTGACGATCATCTCCGTAATGACTCCAAGCTGCAGGTAATTGTCCAGATAGTCCCTAGAGCAAGAGCCACGAGGTCAACATTGTAGAGAAAGTGATCACAGCTGAGGAGAAACATCATGCGGCATCTGTCCCTGTTGCATTTTGCAGTGTATAATAAATGGATGTGTTAAATTTCCACTCTATTTCTTCTCTACCACTGGCTCATTTTGGAACCTGAATTGTAATACTGTTCAGCCAGGGTTCTGTTCAGGAAAATAGGATCATTGTACATGAAAAAAGGCTTGTTTTCTCACTTAGGCATAATTCATAAGGAAGTGAAGAAGAAACACTAACCAAAATGAGGAAATGATATTAGCAAAAACACACTTCTATATAGTTACATGAAAACATTATAGATTTGTGTTGTGTAAGGGTACCAAATTCTAAAACCTGTATTCACCCTTTTGAAGCTACTGGTCCAGCTTATGAAATCTTGCAGTTTGAATAAATTGTCTCAGTAATGTGCTGTTTAATAAAAACAAGAGCTGCTATGTCTAATTTATAGCAGTCCTACTGAAGAGAAATGATAAGGAGAAATAAAAGTGCTGGTTTCATAAAAGATGGTTTAAAGTTGTATACACTTTGATTCCAACCAAAGAACAAAAGGTATCAGTCTTTTCCACACAGGTTTTATATAGTTTTTGATGAAAGCATATGCTTAACTCAGCAAGTTGATTGAAGGATTATAATCAAGATTCTCCTGTGGAAAATGCCAGTGCCTTACAGTACCAATTGGGAACAGAGGCAGGGTTGGAAGAATTACTGGACAGTAGAAGAGAAGTAACAAAAAATAAAGAGGAAAGGGTGTGCTGTAACTTAAACTAGAGTGAAGCAAAACCTTACTCTTTTTCCCTAAGAAAATAGGGCCAAACATTATTTCATATTGCCTTGCTTTCCACCCTGGGATCCAACTCCCTCTGCCATGACAGGACTGTGTGTCCTTTGCCTTGAGTTGACAGAGAACTGTTCTTTTGCTTCTAATTAAAACAGTCAGGGGCATTACTGATTAAAGGTGGGGAAGCAGAGAACTGTTTTCATTTTATTCCAAATTAGTTTGAGCTTACCCAAGATCAAAGAAAATCCAGACCTGAGAAAACAAACAGACCACAAACAAGTAATTTGTTGACCTGATGCTATTTCCTGGAAGTAAAGTTATTGTGGCCCATTGAAAGGCTAGCTCAGCAATCATGAATCCATCAAAAGAGTGTCTAGCCAGGGAGCATCTCAGGGTTCCCTGTTTCTGAAAGCACACTTTGAAATCAAGATTTTAATAACACGAAGTCCAGTCCGAATATTATCAAAGGCTCAAACATAAGTGGATTTCAGTTGAAACATATATGCAAGCATACACACACACACACACACACACACACACACACACACACACACATTGCCCTGTGTGCAACAGTTTGCTTGTCTGGGGCTTTTGGTTGTATGTTTGTCATTAGGATTGCCTTCTGCTGCTAACAGCTCAGCCACTCCATAGGATGTGCTAGTACAATGACCTCCTTCGGAGTTGACAATTACATCTATTTTCTTACTGTATTAGAAATATCAGCCTTTTTTTTTTTCTAGAACCCATTGTTTTCATGACATGTCCTTTTTAATTTTTTTTTCAGGGCAGTAATAAAAATCTACTCACTTAAAGTCCTAAAACTTTCAACTAATTTTCTTTTCATCCCAGATACTTGGATGCAAAGTAGAATCAAGATAGAGGATTGAAGAGAACATAAAAGTGAATATTTTGGGCCTTATTGTGAAAATTTGGACAAAACAAAAATTGTGAAAATCAAACATATATGCTGTAATATAAATACTTTTATCCCCCATGCTAAATAAGGCACAAATCTTACATCATACAGTTCTATTTCTCATGATGTACACAACACTTTCTAAACTGAATGCTTAGTGGATAAGATAATTTTTAAAGTGCAACTGATATTTATATTTAAATGTTAAATTTAAGGGTAAAGATGAAGTCAAAACATTCTCACCAGTTATTTAATAGGTATAAGTGAGCTGAACCATAATGAGGAAAGAAAAATCTGTACATTCTACTCTAATGAGGAAGGAAAAATCCATACATTCACAAAGATTCAAATGAGCTTGGGTATCAGAGCTCCGGGGTCAGACTTTCGGAAAATAATGAGACCAATAGATATGCATAGAGATACTTAAAATTAAGTATTACATGAGATATTTAAATTGTTTGCTGGTCCTTTGAGTCATCTCTGTTTGGTGGTGCTTTGAAAAGTGTCTTTATCAGAGAATTTTTGAATGGATATTTGAAGAGCTCAATAAATATTTTATGCTATCTATTTTGTGACTTCTGTACTTAGGATAGATGAAAAAAGAAAATGAAAGAGAAAATGAAGAATGAGGGAAAGCCAAAGACACTTTGTCCAAAATTTAACAGAGCTATTTTAAAGACAATTGTCTTAGCTTAAATGTGACTTTAAAAAAATCTTTCATATGTTATTCAAGAAATGAAATATATAGTAACATTACATTTATACCTCTTTTTACTTAAAGTTAATGCATATTTTATTTTCATTTCTTTTCTGTTTTTTAAGGAAATCATAAAAAGTACTCAAATTTATGGAATTTTCTACTGACTTGCCTCCTCTGTTCCAAATCTCTGCGCTAAATAATGGATACATAATTGTGTAGTGTGGCGCTTAATCACTTGTGACTTTAATACTAGAACCCTTGAACCAATAGACCCGAATAAACTCAAACACTAGAGACTTGTAAAAATATATTTTTTAAAACATTTGCACATCTTCTTACAATGCAGTATACGATTCCTCATTGATAACTTCATTAGGATGCTTAGCAAGTTCTAAATGAATTCAGAGAAAGAAACATTGTTATGGTGTTTATTAGCTTGCTTGCTTTCTTTCTTTCTTTCTTTCTTTCTTTCTTTCTTTCTTTCTCTCTCTCTTTCTTTCTTTCTTTCTTCCTCTTTCTTTCTTTTTTTTGAGATGGAGTTTTGCTCCTATCACTCAGGCTGTAGTACAATGGCATGACCTCGGCTCACTGCAACCTCCACCTCCCAGGTTCACACCAATCTCCAGCCTCAGCCTCCTGAGTAGTTGGGATTACAGGCACCCGCCACCATGCCCAGCTAATTTTTGTATTTTTAGCAGAGACGGCGTTTCACCATGTTGGCCAGGCTGGTCTCAAACTCCTGACCTCAGGTGATCCGCCCGTTTCGGCCTCCCAAAGTGCTGGGATTACAGGCGTGAGGTACCACGCCCAGACTGTTTATTAGGTTTCTATTGTGCAATAACAAATTACAGTCAATTTAATGACTTGAACAACACAAATGTATTATCCAAAATCCAGCAAAGGTTTCAAGCAGGCTGTATTCTTCTCAGGAGGCTCTAGAAAAAGCCTCTTTCCTCATTTAGGCTGCTGGCTGAGTACATATCCATAGTGGTGTAGGGTAAAGGCTCCCATCTTTTGGCTGTCTCTCAAGTGAGGGCCATTTCCACCTCCTGGAACCACCTATATTCCTCACCTTTCACCCTATTCTTCCATCTGCAAAGCTAGCAACATCAAAGCTTGTCCCTCTCACTCTTTGAAACTCTTTTCTTTTTCCTGTCTCATCTTGCTCTCTGGCCCAGCTAGGAAAGATTTCCTGCTCTAAAGAGATTATATCATTAGGTTGTATCTATCTAGATAATCCAGAATAATTGTTCCATCTCAAGAATTTAATAGCACCCACAAAGTCCTGCTTTCCATGTAAGGTAACAGATGAATAGATTCTGGTGACTAAGTCATAGGCATTTTTGGGAGGCTATTCTCTCTAACACAAGTTGTTAAATGATGCAAAGTTTCTAAGGGAAGAGGTAGACTAGATTTTTTTGTTTTGTTTTGTTTTGTTTTGTTTGTTTTGTTTTGAGATGTAGTCTTGCTCTGTCACCCAGGCTGGAGTGCAATGGTGCGATCTCAGCTCACTGCAAGCTCTGCCTCCCGGGTTCAGGCCATTCTCCCGGCTCAGCCTCCTGAGTAGCTGGGACTACAGGCTACTATGCCCGGCTAATTTTTTGTATTTTTGGTAGAGACGGGGTTTCACAGTGTTAGCCAGGATGGTCTCGATCTCCCGACCTTGTGATCTGCCTGCCCTTGGCTTCCTAAAGTGCTGGGATTACAGGTGTGAGCCACCACGCCCGGCCTAGGTAGACTAGTTTTAAGAGAACATAGAACTAAAAAAATGCGGAAAAATACTGTGGCTTGAAGCTGTCATTATAATGAAGCACTATTGATGCATCGATGTCTCACGGGGCAAACATTTTTTTTTTAGGCAATGAGCAACTATGTAAAAATTATTTATGTAGAATGGTGGGTATCAGACAGTATTTAGAGAAGAAGTAGTTTGTGCAATCTTCAGCTTAAAACAAGGTTTCTTTCATTTAATTTCTTTTTAAATTTTGGCTGCATCTAATAATTATCTACTCTAGACTGTATCTACATAGAAAAACAATGTCTGACAATAAATAGATGCCATGAGAGCTATAAGTGTAATTACAAGTAAAATAACAGAGCCTCTGTCCTCATGGAATTGTTTATTTATTCAATTCGGATTTGCACATATTCATAATGAACTAAGTAATTGGATAATTAAATTCAGAAGATTTTGTAAACTTTGTTTTAATTTACTTCTCCATAGCACCAAGTAGATATGAAAGAAATACTGTTGCCAAATAAATGGGTGAATTGCTTCCCAAATACAAAGCACATGCTTGAAAATTTAGGGCCACCAAAATGTTTTATATGCAAAAAAAAAATCTTTCAAATTCCATCAATTTATTGGTAAGTTGTATCCTGAGAATATAAAGCATAACATGCACTTTGCTGACTGCTAAAGATAGAATTATAAACAAGGTAAAAGCAAGTGTGTATTTTGTGTGAATTTTTCCATTCCTTATTCAAAAAAGATTAAGAAAGCTTATGACTTGAGCATTTTAGAGTATGGTGAGGAACACATATAAATATAATGTGAGTTCTACTAAGATTTACAACTTGGGAATTTATAGATAACATTAAATAATGGGAAAATTATAATAGAACATACATAAAACAGATAGATATAATCACATATCTTTGGATACACATCAGAGAAAGCAACTAGTCTACCTGAAAGACTCATGAGAGTCTTCCCCAAAGTTTTGCATTTTAGCCATTTAATCACCTCAGAGAGAGAAGAGAAGATAATGCATCCATAAAACAAGAAGAGGATGTTACAAACACCAGAGAATAGAAAAGGTCTCAGAAATGGCATCTATAATAGAAAGGAAACAATCAATAAAAAGATTAGAAGATAAACAACATACAGTATAGACTGGAAGGATTTAAAAATCAAAGGTAAAGAATTATAATGTTAGAATCAATCAATCCAGTAGATTCAATATCCAAGTAATTTGATAGAGAAAAATGAAGAGAGGAAATCATTCAGTCAATTGAAGAAAGTTCCTGAGAATTGGACAGGTAGAAATGAAACAATTAATACAAAGATTGGAAGGTAAACTTGAGAAAACCTCATACAACATGCAGTACAAACTGGAAGGACTTAAAAATCAAAGGTAAAGAATTGTAATGTTGGAACGACTCAGTGTAGTACATTCAATATCCAAATAATTTGATAGAGAAAAATGAAGAGAGAAAATCATCCAGTCAATTGAAGAAACTTTCTGAGAATTGGGCACATAGAACTGTTCAGATTAAAAGGGTCCATTTTAACCAGTACAATGGTTAAAAAATAAATGCAGACTAAGACAAAGGTTTTTAAGGCCTGGGAACACTGGAGAAAATAGAAGAGTCCATAGCTTCCAGAGAAAAAGAACAAACACATACAAGGTTAATGATGACTGCCATTGGCATTTTTACCTAAATGATAAAACTAGAATACAATAAAGCAAATACTTCTATCATAGGGGAAATTTACTTTCAATCTGTATTTCCAAACCCTGCCAAGCTCTCACCAAAAGTGAGAGTACAGTGAAGATATTTAAAAACAATAGATCAATAACTTCAAAATTCTAAGGGAATATGATTTCCAACCTAGAATCCTATACCTAGATAAAGAATTATTCAAGTTTAAATATAGAATAAAAGCATTTTGATACATTTAATGTTTTAAACACAAAAACAAAATTAAAAACCATGTATACACTCTTTCTTTTAAAGCTTTTGGGGGTTGTGTTCGGCCAATGAAGGGAATAAAACAAGGAAGAGGAAGACATAGGCTAAATGAACAAGATAGTCAAATAAAAGAAGTAAAAGACAAGAAAAGTCAGGATTCATTCATCAGTTCAAAAATTATTTATTAAATATCTTTCTTATGCCTATCTTTACTGCTGGGAATGCTTTAGATACATCAGTGAACAAACACGAAAATATTCTACCTTGTTTAAACATACATTAAAATAATGCTAGAATCATGCTTACAGAAAATCCCAAAATGAGAACTGAATAGAGAGTTGATAGAGAAATCTTCACTTTCCAAAATGGGAGGAAACATATGATGTTAAGTTATGTTGTTTGACTTCTGAAGGTAAATATCAAAATAGTTAACATGATTGAAAGTGGGGAAAAAAAAGATGGGATTGAATTGGGATAATCCTGTTTTATGGAAAAAATCTAAATCTAACTCAAAACTATGTACATATTTTGATGAAAATAAAAGTTAAATGTAAGAATGAAAAGTAAGAGTGGTGTGAGTGTTTCTGTGTGTGTGTGAGAGAGAGAGGGATGGACAGAGGGAAAGATCTTTGACATAAACAGAAAGAGAGAGAGAGAGAGATCTTTGACATAAACACTAAAAGACAAGAATTTCAACGAATGCAAAATGGTGAGAAGTGTAAAATCAGGGGTGAAATCGAGAAGGATCCAGATACTCCAGGGACCTGACCCCAGGGACACTAGCTAGAGGACCACCGTATATTCAGTTTTACTCTTTACTTTGTCAACTGTCATCAATGGGATGTAGGGGTGGAAAGATGTGATACCTTTCTTCATTCATCATAAGGGTTCATGGCCCTGGTTCTGCACTAAGTCTGCATCAAGTCTTATTATTAATTATTACCAACGGATATCTTAATGATATTTCTGATGAACAAACTATTGAACTAAGATTAGTGGGATATTTTTATAATGTATTTCAGCACCAGACACATTTCATAAGAATTAAATTTTATAGAGAAGCCTGATATTAATTGAGTAATGTATATATTCACTTGATCACAATTTTTTAATACTTACTATGGACCAGTGACTATGAGACACTATATAACAGGCATAGCTCAAATTGAGGTGCTGTGGTTATTGTCAGGTGACTGAGTTTGCTCATCTTTGTCCTTTGGCATTTTGTCCCTCTCAAGACTCTTCCACTGGCAATCTAGTTTTCTGCAGGGATTGAACACTAGTGCTGAGTCAAATTTTTCAATGTTTTCCACAAAATATTAAAAACTAGTTTTGTTGCATGTGCATTTTTACTCTGACAGTCACTGTACCTTCCAGATATTAATTCATGTGATAGCCTCAATAACCCATTTATTGTCATTTTACAGGTGAAGAAACATAAATGCTAACAATTTACATACTTTGTCCAATATTGTACAACTAAGGACTGGTAGAAACGTGATTTACACCTAGGTAGCCTAGGTTAAATTATTTTTCACATTCTTAAAAAAATGGAAGAAATGATGTATTAATAGTTATATAATATTAGTTTAGAAAGGACTTCAAAATAATTTTATTATTTATACAATTTTTGATAACTTTATTAAAAGCCTTTTAAAGGGGTTATTCTGCCCCGTTCGAACACTTCCAGTGATGAGGATTTACACATCAGAGCCATCCACGTGATGCTTCTCATGTTTAGGTTTCTCTGATTTTTAAATTTCTGTTCATAACTTCAGTACATATGTCCTAGATCAGCAGGAACCCCTGGGGCTACAGAGATCACATGTAATATCTTTTTACATGACACCTCTTCATATGTTTGGAGATATTTGGCCTTTATCCAATAGAATTTTACTTAGTGTCACATGTTCAGTTCTTTGAAACACATTTTACACCTGGCATCAAATTTCCTTTAACCCCTCTGATATCTTCCTTCTGAGCATGATTTCGAAGGCCTACACTTCTTTTGGGATGTCGTACCCAGAAGAAATATTTTTAACATCATAGGTGGACAAATGAGTGGACCACCAGTTTCCATTAGATGTTATTAGGTTTTTTTCCCAGAAGTGCAACCACATTTTTCATATTATATTAAAATTGCTGTTAACTATAACTTCTGAGATTTTTCATCTATCAACTATTTATATCACCCCCCTCTCATACCTTTGAAATTGGTTTAGGAGACTCAGGTGCCTCTATGTAATTTCCTCTTGTCAAAGTCATTCTATTTCTTTAGCCTGCCATGACGTAGTTGCATCCCCATTTCATCATCTAATTGATATATACATTCCCTTATGATTTGGGGTATCCATAAAATTGATAAAAATGTTCAGGAGGTTTTCATCTAAGTCATTGAAGTTATGAGCAATGTAAGGCTGAATCTTTTGAGATATCTTTCTATATACTTGAAGTGCTCTCATTCATATATTAAATAAATACTGTTCATTCAGTGACTCTGAGTTGAGCACAGTGCCAGTCATATAGCATATACCTTAGCAAGATGAATATGTTCTCTTCTAACAGGACGTTTATAGCTTAGATTATATGCCCTGCAATAAATATTATTCCAGATCTAAATAAGGTAATTTATAATTAATATTTTAATATTATATTTAAAATCGGTAAAAATTTACCTAATTGCACTACAATTCAATCTCAAGTCTCCATCCTGAAGATGAAAATATGAGACAAGTGAAGCAACTTACTGAAGTTCCCAAACAAAGTATCTTCTACAATGGCCTTACCTGAAGACCTCGTGAAAAAGAAAATCAGTTTGGACTTATATGCCTTAACCTTAAGGCACTCATTCTGAATCTGTATTTTACTAAGCCACCTTCTATTTCAGTTTTGTTGCCAGGTAATAGTTCACCACCCAGCTCAGGCAACTACAGTAACTCATCACCTCTTGGCCTGAAACATGACTCAAAAGTCTGATGTTTGGTTGTAACATTTTTGTTTGTTCCTTGTTTTTTGTAAGACCCCTTTGTTGGGGTCAGGTTTTTTTTTGTTTGTTTGTTTGTTTGTTCTTGACAGACTCTTACTCAGTCGCCCAGGCTAGAGTGCAGTGGTGCGATCTCGGCTCACTGCAAGCTCTGCCTCCCGGGTTCATGCCATTCTCCTGCCTCAGCTTCCCGAGTAGCTGGGACTACAGGCGCCCACCACCACGCCCGGCTAATTTTTTGTATTTTTAGTAGAGACGGGGTTTCACCGTGTTAGCCAGGATGGTCTGGATCTCCTGACCTCATGATCCGCCCACCTCGGCCTCCCAAAGTGCTGGGATTACAGGCGTGAGCCACTGTGCCTGGCCTGGGTTCAGTTTTTTAACTTTCTTGACATTTACAGGTTCATGCACATCCATGAAACACTCTAATTGACTTTGGTGGAACATGAGGGCTACTTCTGTATTTACAGTGATTTCTTTGCAACACCTCTTAAAATTGAGATGTAAAAAGAAAGAATGTAAAAAACTTAAACTGCAGATGGTGTACCATAAAATTTTAATTCATGTTACCTAACATCAAGACAACCTTTTCAGGCTATTAAATTTCAAGGTAAAGGTATCATTCATCAGGCATCTAGAGCAGAGAAAGAAAATACAAACAGAGAAGACAAATCAGATGAGTCCCATATTTTCTCCACAGTCATCAGTATGTTGTGGCTAAAGACAACGAAGCAACTTCTAAAAGTTCAAAAGGTAAAGAAATGTGACCCAATCATTGTATAGCCAGCTAAGTTAGAGTTCAAGTATCAACAAGGCATGGAGACATTTGAAAACATGAAAGACCCTAATAATTTATGGAATATAAGACTCAAAGAATTCAAGTAAAGACAGTCTTATAACACCTACACTAATAAAAACCTATTCCCTTTGAAAATAGAACTAAACATTTTTTCAGAATGTAACAATATAAAAAGTAAATCCAAATAATGTAAATAGAATAATATATTTTACAAACGTTGGGATATAAGCAGAAGACGGATGGAAATACACTACATTCTAATATCTTCCTTGTTTGTAGCAGAAAGTTAATAGATTTTTTAAATGGAAAACTATGATTACATTAACAATGCATGTCTTTTAATCTGAGTAAAATATTTTCTAAACTTTAGGTTATTTAAAAATATAAAACAGCACTGTGGTAAGGAAACATTTATTTGAACTCCTTTATTTTGTTTTATTTCAGATATTTTATTCTTATAAATTAAAGTAAAATAAATCCATTGATTTTACTATAATAGCTTTATATAGTACAGTCTCATTTTTATTAACAAAAAGTTTATCTTTGTCTTTCTGTTTTTCCATATGTGTATATCCATAGAAAAATATCTGAAATGAGGTTCACTCATAGTTAATGATTACATTAGTCAGGGTTCTCTAAAGAAATGGAACTAATAGGATAGATGAATATATGAAGGGGAGTTTTTAAGGGAAATTGACCCACACAATCACAAGGTGAGGTCCCATAATAGGACATCTGCAAGTTGAGGAGCCAGGAAGCAAGTCAAAATCCCAAAACCTCAAAAGTAGAGAGGCCGGCAGTGCAGCCTTCAGTCTGTGGCTGAAGGTCTGAGAACCCCTGGCAAATCGCTGGTGTATGTTCACAAGTCCAAAAGCTGAATAACTTGGAGTCTGATGTTCAAGGGCAGGAAGCATCCAGCACAGGAGAAAGATGGAGCCCAGATAACTTAGCCAGACTAGTCCTTTCACGTTCTGTGCCTGCTTTTATCCTAGCTGTGCTGGCAGCTGGTTAGACGGTGCCCACCCAGATTGAGGGTGGGTCTGTCTCTCCTAGTCCATTGACTCAAGTGTTAATCTCCTTTGGTAACCCCCTCACAGACACACCCAGGAATAATACTTCGTATCCTTCAATCCAATCAAGTTGACACTCAATATTAACCATCACAGTGATGCTTACTTTCATGTGTAAATATTTGGAATAATTGTTTCTTCCTATTTGTGATTTTATGCATTTTTTTACATCTTTGAAAATCCATATGCATGGCATATGCAGGAATTTACCATGCATATCCAAATAGAGTGATATTTAGTTTTTGTTAAATAGCTGTAGGCAAAATTTACCAGCTATTAATTCTTTGTGGTCAAGCCTTTGTGTTGGGAATATGGATGTGTTGGGTTTCTTATTTTGCCTTCTGACCTCAATCAAGTCTTTGTCTTTTCATGTTCTTTTCTCTGTTCTGAGAGTCTGACTCCCTTGGATTGTGTTACTGACTTTCTTTCCATTTGGCTTCAGATTGCTGGGTTCAGGAAATGGGGAGCAATGGCATGCCAATTACAAGGCAAGAGGGAAGGTTGGGGTATTTTTTCCCCACTCCCTATCATATTTGGCAGCATTGTCTGTCAGTGGTCGATACCTTCAATGACTGCAGTTCCAATGAGGAAGACCACTACCTTAAGGCTCTATTACTCTTCAGATCCTGTAGTGCTATTACCTCCTTTGCTCTTCAGCTTAGAGCTGGCAATGACTTCCCACAGCTGCTAATCTCTAGATTTCTCGACATTCGTTCATTCATACTCTTACTTGAAAAATTTCTCAAATTATCTGAGCAGGATTCTGTTTACTGCAGATCTGAAATAATTAATAATAAATAAAATTTTGTTTTGTATTTTCTGATATTCTTAATTTGAAAAAGAAAAAAACCCTACATACTACATACATGATTTGTATAAATTCACATGATAGGCTGTAGGATTTTACTTCAACATTGAAGTTGTGTAAATATGAATCAGTCCTAGGGTAAAAGTTTGAGTTAATAGTAAAATATTTTAAAGCAGATAAATATCATAACATTTTACAAAACTTTTTATTTAAGTATTTTATACAAATGGACAAGGAATATTCATTGATTAAATTTATTTTAAAGTGCTATTGTTATTTACTATTTTTAAATTATGGTATAGCTTTAAGTAGAATAGAATTTTTTTTGGCCAATTAGGTATTCTCTATGTATAAAATTGAATTGCTTAATCTACAAAGAGCTTTACATGGATGTTTCTCCTAAAAGAATAAAAGTTCAGACAGTGGGCCCTTTCTCCAACACTATAATAGATTTACGTATGTTGAAATACTGCAGATAAAAGTGGAGGAAGATAACACTGCCAGATAACATATTAGCTCTAAAGGATTTCTCCCCAGCCCATCCCCACTCTGCCATTGAGCCTTTGCCCTTTTACCTCTTAGTCTTTGAAATCAGCTGGGATTTTAGGTAACTGCTGGGAAGTATTAAAACTCATTACTTGGTTGACCAGAATAGTTGCCCTCTCTTATTTTCCAATAATGCTCTCTGAATGGTTTCCTTAATACTTTTAAAAGATGTGTGGCACTACAGCAGAGTGTAATCTAGGACAGGAATTATAGTTATCGTTTCAGATGAGGTGTGTTGAAAGGGGTCAGGATGACGCAGATGGCAGCTCTCAGAACTGGCCTCTTTGTTATTACCATCTGTGTCAACTTGGAGCCTTCATTACAGAGAAGATGAGAAAAATGAAGCTGTAGCTGTTTTGGGGGAGGGTTTTTTTTTCATTATGATTGATCCTAGTTTGCACACTAGGTGAATGAAACTGAAAAATTATTCATGTTTCTGCTAGATATCAGTTGGAACTTTCTATATACATAATTAATGTTTTAAAACTTTTTCCTTCTACACAATTTTCATGCATATATTTATTTAGAGAAACAGCAATGGTGATGATAAGGTTTTTTATGGAACCTAGTGAAATTTGCAGTATAACCTTTATAGCAAATACATTATTATTGACCAAAAAATGTGGTTCATTTTTATAACAAAATACATTGGCAGTAGAAATGAGCAAAGAACAAGTATTGAGCAGCAGCCTATATAGAGGGCTTGGAATCCTAAACAGTTTGGAAGGAAGCTGACTCATTTCAGGGAAATTATGTAGGCCACAATCAACCGCAAAATGAGGAAGGCCAAGAAAATGCTCAGAGTCAACTTTTAGGTTTCTTTTGTTGAATTCATAGAAAATTACATAATTTAAAGACATTGTTGTAGGGCTACACTGAGAAATATCAAGTGCATAAATGAGTCACAGGGATAAGAAAACTAAAGTGGATTGGTTTATTCTTCTTAACAATACTCACTAAAGCATTTTTATGCAGTAAGAATGATAAAAGACTTTTTTAAATTTTTAGTACTAGACTATAGGAAGTACCATTTCATAATATCACGTATAAAAAGTTTTTTGGAAATTAATACCAGAAACATGTTGCAATATCTGATCTTTTATATATAGTTAAACTTAGTTTAAATATATTCAATAAAAGGGTACAATTCTTACAGAATATAAGCCCAGCCATCCTCAATTAACATTCTCATTGCTAATAAAAATTCCTGAAGAAAACATGTTAAATATTAACTATTTGAATGAGGTTCATCTAAATAAGAATGATTGTCAAGATTCAAATGAGTAAATATACAGATTTTAATTAGTGTCATTCCTGGCATTGTGTATCATTTCATAAATCAAAAAACTTAACAGAGACTCCCCATTGCATATATGAAAGAACTAAGAGAGGGATAAGGATGCCAACAGGATCTCTTTCAGAAGTGGGTCCCACTATCACTTCACTGTTTTTTTTTTCTCTTTTTTTTTTTTTTTTTGATACAGGGTCTCCATCTGTCTCCTAGGCTGGAGCGCAGTGGCACAGTCTCGGCTCACTCTATCCTCTGCCTCCCGGGTTCAAGATATCATCTAGCTTCAGCCTTGCTAGTAGCTGGGACTACAAGCGTGCGCCATCATGCCTGGTTAATTTTTGTATTTTTAGTAGAGATAGGGCTTCACCATGTTGGGGAGGCTGGTCTTGAACTCCTGACCTCAGGTGATCCACCCATCTTGGCCTCCCAAAGAGCTGGGATTACAGGCGTGAGCCACGGCACCCAGCCCCGTACTATTATTTCTATCTGAAAAATGTAAAATGTTTTATGGCTCTCAATGTGATCACAAATTCCAATAAAAATGCCTGAAAATTCACTCACAAACATCATCATAATAATAAGGTAATAATCATCCATTATTTTGCAAGTAGAATGTGAAACCTACAAAAGCAGAATTAAATATTGCTGAAAACACTGATCGAGTATGAGCTCAGGTTCAAATAAACTAATACCAAGATGTTAATATATTTATCTATTAATTTTCTTTAATGGAGACTTTTAGCCCATGAAAGGTAGAAATCTTCTCCAAAATTAAGGTTCTTTCTAACATACAGTGATCTGTCTGATAGAAATAAAGGAATGTGGCTGGGCACAGTGGCTCACGCCTGTAATCCCCGCACTTTGGGAGGCCCAGGAGGGTGGATCACAAGGTCAGGAGATTGAAACCATCCTGGCCAAGATGGTGAAACCCCATTTCTACTAAAAATACAAAAAATTAAGCATAGTGGTGGGCGCCTGTAGTCCCAGCTACTCAGGAGGCTGAGACAGGAGAATGGCATGAACTGGGAGGTAGAGCTTGCAGTGAGCCAAAATTGCGCCACTGCATCCCAGCCTGGGCAACAGAGTGAGACCCAGTCTCAAAAAACTAAACTAAACTAAAATAAAAATAAATAAAGGAATGCATCCAATAGAAAGCATGGAAGGTAAAAAAAAGTTAGAAATTTCCTAAGGAAAAAAAAATGAGGAAGGAGTCTGTAAATAAACACATAAGGAAAAATCTTACATCTAACAAGGAAACAATGGTTTGAGGCTATAAATAGTGACTCTCTGTACTTGAGTCCACTTTCAGCTATATGCCCCTAAAAACCCACATGATCCCTGTGAAACACAACCTATAGTAGGTGGGTACACCAGATATACAGACTGTATCAGTAGAAAGAAAATTCCTCAAAGAATATTTGGGGTTCCAGATGCTTCTGCAAACTTAACACTCCAAGTGTTAAGTTGGACAAGAAAGTCAACAAGTTGGTAGATAAGTACAGTAAACTTTAGTATAATGGGAACTGGGTGAGAACTGCAAAAGTCTCTGTTCAACCCAGCACACCAAAACTTGATCACACTCTAGCCATGGTAATCCTGGACCATGTCCCTAGGGTTACCTCAACCTCTTTAAAATACCAGCCTTAGAAATCTCAGTGCTACTGATATGGACAGGAGACAGGGAAATACTGGGTAGAAGAGGGTGGTTCCCTGGCAAAGACCCTGCCCTCAAGCCTGGAAACCTGTGGCCCCAAATGGGAACAGACATTCCAGTTTTGGCACCCAAAAGTTGTCTTTTGGCCTGCCACACCCCCCTATTCTGTACCCATATAAATCCCAGACCCCAGGCTCTAGAAGCAGACAAGCAGACGAGAGGACTAACAGAAGAGCAGACGGATGGCAGGAAAATGGGGCAGAGAGAAGAGAAGGAGCACCTGAACGCCAATAGGAATCGGCTGGGGGCAGTCAGAGAGGAGATCAGCTGCTGGATTGTCAACTCCAGGGGAATATCATCTTCCCACTCCATCCCTTTTTCAGTTCCCCATTCATCCTGCATTCCTTAATAAACTTAATAAAAACCCCTGCATTCCTGCATTCATCCTTCAAGTCCTTGTGTGACCTGATTCTTCCTGGATGTCAGACAAGGACCTGGATACCAAGAGGGCATTGAGCTGGTTAACACTTAAGCCATCCATAGATGGTAAATCTAAGAGAGTGTACTGTAACACTCACCCCATTGTGATTTCAGAGCTGCAGGTACCCACTCCTGGACGCTGCTCTGGGGCTGGAGACCAGGGGCACTCATTCTGGCTCCTGCACCTGTCCGTTTGCATGCTCCCCTTCTCTTAAGGGAAGACTACCTTTTAAAGGATCAGAGAAATAATTGAAAATTGTAAGCTGTCAAAAATAAATAAGGGAGTCAGCGCCCTATAGTTAGGTATTGACTGGAACAAACAGTAAATTCTTTTGATAGTGAAATGGGAGAGTTCCCCGACCTCCCTTGCAGGACATGTGACAGGGATTGGCTTGTCTGTTTGGCCACCACAGATACTCAAACCCTTAAGGGAAGGGGAGCATGCTGGGCGTGTTTGTGGGCACCTGTAGTCCCAGCTACTCAGGAGGCTGAGGCAGGAGAATGGCGTGAACCCGGGAGGTGGAGCTTGCAGTGAGCCGCGATCACGCCACTGCACACCAGCCTGGGTAACAGAGCGAGACTCTGTCTCAAAAAAAAAAAAAAAAAAAAAAAAAAAAAAGAATGCTATAAGGCCTTGTCCAGCAGGAAAATATCACAGTCCTAAACATATGCACCTAACACTGGAGTTCTGAAATTAATAAAACAATTACTAATAGACCTAAGAAATGAGATGAGATATACAGCAACACAACAATAGTAGGGGATGTCAATACTCCACTGACAGCACTAGGTAGGTCATCAAGACAGAAAGTCAACAAAGAAACAAAGGGTTTAAACTATACCTCGCAACAAATGGACTTAACAGATATACACAGAACATTTCATCCAACAACCACAGAATACACATTCTATTAAACAGCGTGTGGAACTTTCTCCCGTATTGACTATATTATAGGCCATAAAACGAGCCTCATTACATTTAAGAAAAGTGATATTATATTAAGCACTCTGTCAGACCACAGTGGAATAAAACTGGAAATCGACTCCAAAAGGAACCTTCAAAACCATGCAAATAAATGAAAATTAAATAACCTGCTCCTGAATGAGCATCGGATCAAAAACAAAATCAGGATGGAAATTAAAAAATTCTTCCAACTGAATGACAAGAATGACACAATTTATCAAAACCTCTGGGATACAGCAAAGGTAATGCTAAGAAGAAAGCTCATAGCCATAAACACCTACATCAAAAAGTTTGAAAGAGCACAAACAGACAACCTAAGGTCACATCTCAAAGAACTAGAGAAACAAGAACAAACCAAACCCAAACCAAATAGAAGAAAGGAAATAACCAAGATCAGAGCACAACTAAATGAAACTGAAACAAAAAATATACAAAAGATAAACAACATAAAAAGCTGGTTCTTTGAAAAGATAAATAAAATTGACAGACTATTAGCAAGATTAACCAAGAAAAGAGGAGAGAAAATCCAAAAAACCTCACTAAGAAATGAAACAGGAGATATCAGAACTGACACCACTGAAATGGAAAAGATAAGTCAGGGCTACTATTAACACCTTTATGCATGTAAACTAGAAAACCTAGAAGAGATGGATAAATTCCTGGAAAAAACAAGCCTCCTAGCTTAAATCAGGAAGAATTAGATACCCTGAACCGACCAATAACAAGCAGCAATATTGAAATGGTAATCTAAAAATTACTAACAAAAAATGTCCAGGACCAGACAGATTCACAGCAAAATTCTACCAGACATTCAAAGAAGAATTGGTACCAATCCTTTTGACACTATTCCACAAGATAGAGAAAGAAGGAACCCTCCCTAATTCATTCTATGAAGCCAGCATCACCCTAATACCAAAACCAGGAAAGGACATAACCAGAAAAGAAAACTACAGACCAATATCCTCAATGAACATAGATGCTAAAATCCTTAACAAAATACTAGCTAACTGAATCCAACAACATATCAAAAAAGTAATCCATGATCAAGTGAGTTTCATACCAGGGATGCAGGGATGGTTTAACATATGATACAACACATAAACAGAATTTAAAACAAAAATCACTATGATCATCTCAATAGACACAGAAAAAGCCTTCGACAAAATCCAGCATCACTTTATGATTAAAACTCTCAGCAAAAACGGCATACAAGGGACATAGCTTAATGTAATAAAAGTCAACTATGACAAACCCACAGCCAGTATAATACTGAATGGGGAAAAGTTGAAAGCATTCCCTCTGAGAAATGGAACAAGATAAGGATGACCACTGTCACCACTCCTCTTCAACATAGTACTGGAAGTCCTAACCACAGCAGTCAGGCAAGAGAAAGAAATAAAGTTCACCCAAATCAGTAAAGAGGAAGTCAAACTGTCACTCTTTGCTGATGATATGATCATTTACCTTGAAAACCCTAAGGACCAGAAAGCTCCTAGAACTGACAAAAGAATTCAGCAAAGTTTCTGGATAAAAGATTAATGTACACACGTCAGTAGCTCTTCTGTATACCAACAGTGACCAAGTGGAGGTTGAAATCAAGAACTCAACCCCTTTCACAATAGCTGCAAAAAACAAACAAACGAAAAACTTAGGAATATACATAACCAGGAGCCAAAAGACCTCTACGAGGAAAACTACAAAACATGGCTGAAAGAAATCATAGATGACACAAACAAATGGAAACACACCTCATGCTCATGGATAGGTAGAATCAATATTGTGAAAATGACCATACTGCCAAAAGCTATCTACAAATTCAAGGCAATCCCCATCAAAATACCACCATTGTTCTTCACAGAATTTGAAAAAACAATTCTACAATCATATGGAGCCAAAAAAGATCCACATAGCGAAAGCAAGACTAAGCAAAAAGAGCAAATCTGGAGGCATGCACTACCTGATTTCAAACTATACTATAAGGCCATAGTCACCAAAACAACATGGTACTTGTTCAAAAACAGGCCTATAGACCAATGGAACAGAAGAGAGAAGCCAGAAATAAACCCCAAAACTTACAGCCAACTGATCTTCAACAAAGCAAACAAAAACATAAAGTGGGGAAAGGACATCACTTTCAGCAAATGTTGCTGGGATAATTGGAAAGCCACATGTGGGAGAATGAAACTGGATCCTCATCTCTCACCTTATACAAAAATCAATGCCAAATGAATTAAGGACTTAAACCTAAGAACCTAAACTATAAAAATTCTAGAAGATAATGTTGGAAAAATCCTTCTAGACATTGGGTTAGGCAAAGATTTCATGACAAAGAACCCAAAAGCAAATGCAATAAAAACAAAGATAAATAGCTGGGGCCTAATTAAACTAAAACTCTTTTGCATGGTAAAAGGAACAGTCAGCAGAGTAAACAGACAACCCGCAGAGTGGGAGAAAATCTTCATGATGTATACATCTGACGAAGGACTAATATCCAGAATCTGCAACGAACTCAAACAAATTAGTAAGTAAAAAACAATCCCATCAAAAAGTGGACTAAGGACATGAATAAACAATTCTCAAAAGAAGGTATACAAATGGCCAACAAACATATGAAAAAATGCTCAACATCACTAATGATCAGAGAAGTGCAAATCAGAACCACAATGTGATATCACCTTACTCCTGCAAGAATGGCCATAAACAAAAAATCAAAAAACAGTAGATGTTGACGTGGATGCGGTGAACAGGGAACACTTCTACACTGCTAGTGGGAATGTAAACTAGTACAGCCACTGTGAAAAACAGTGTAGAGATTCCTTGAAGAATTAAAAGTAGAACTACCATTTAATCCAGCAATCCCACTATTGGGTATCTCTCCAGAGGAAAATAAGTCATTATTCAAAAAAGATACTTGTACACGCATGTTTATAGCAGCACAATTCACACTTGCAAAATCATGGAACCAACTGCCCATCAATCAATGAGTGAATAAAGATACTGTGGTATATATACTATGAAATACTATGCAGCCATAAAAAGTAATAAATTAACAGCATTTGCAGTGACCTGGATGAGTTTGGAGACTATTTAATTCTAAGTGAAGTAACTCTGGAATGGAAAAACAAACATTAAAAGGCATAAGAATGATACAATGGACTTTTGGGACTTGAGGGGAAAAGTGGGAGGGGGGCGAGGGATAAAAGACCGAGTATGGTGCAGTGTATACTCCTTGGGTAATGGGTGCACCAAAATCACACAAATCACCACTAAAGAACTTACGTAACTAAATACCTCCTGTACCCCAATAACTTATGGAAAAATAAAAGTAATAATAATAAAGAGAATTGCAAAGCTAGTAAGTACCAAATTTTCAAGCAAAGCTATAAATTTTATCTAAGTTCATAAACAAATTTCTTCCAAAAAAAAAAAGAAGAAAAAGAAAAAGTTGTCCTTAGGCACAAATGGAAATAGTAAGTGTACAAAAATTCTCAATGTTTTTCTGAAGAAGTGTAAAAATGGCAACATGCATATAGAGTACAAAAATGAAAACAACACTAATTGTAGTTTGGTAGACTAAATCAGGAGATCAGCAAACTATTTTCTTAAAGATTCATGTAGTAAATATTTTAGCCTTTGTGGTCCAAGAGACAAAATTGAGGATATGATGTAAGCATTTATAATACATTAAAATGCAATCACTTAAAAATAAAGAAACTATGCTTGGCTTGCTGGCCATATAAAAACACATGGTGAGCCCAATTTTGGCTTATAGACTATAGTTTCTGACTTCTGGAAATTAATACAAGGGGGTGTTCATCTGAAATCAGGCAATATTTCTATTCCTCTAGTTGAGATTCTGATCCCTAATTTTAAGCAACACAACGAGAGGACTGTATATACCACATGATTTAATTGTTAAATTGAAGTTCTGTATTAATTCATTTTCACACTACTATAAAGAACTGCCTGAGACTGTGTAATTTATAAAGGAAAGATGTTTAAGTGACTCACTGTTCTGCATGGCTGGGCAGGCCTCAGGGAACTTACAATTATGGTGGAAGGTGAAGGAGAACCAAGTACCTTCTTTACAAGGTGGCAGGAGAGAGAGTGTGTGTGCACAGGGGAAACTGCTACTTTAAAAACATCAGATCTCATGAGAACTCATTCACTATAACAAGAACAGCACAGGGGAAATGGCTCCCATGATACAATCACCTCCCACCAGGTTCCTCTCTCAACAGTTGGGGATTACAATTCTAGATGAGATTTGGGTGGGGACACAGAGCCAAACCATACCACATCTGTGATTTCTGTTTTAATCTACTGGTCTTGGTCTACCTTGATTTCCACTAGGGAAAAGGGGAATGTGTCCCCTAGATCTATGTTTCTGTCACATGGTAAATTCTTGAAAAAGATTAGCTATTTTTATTATTATTAGTCACTATACTAATTAACGTCCTTCTATGGAAACTGCTGTGAGAGATCTAGCCTTCATTGGCCGTCCCTGACTTTTGCTCCTTTACCTCTGTCAATAAATTTGTAAGCATCTAATTACTTTAATGAATTCTTTCTTGCTTAAAATATTCAAAGTGTGTTCTGTTTCTTCATTAAACTCTTAACAAATGAAGGGTATAGGAAAAATTGAAAGAGCTGTTTTATTTTTTAAATATCTACAAGATATTGGGGCATGAGTAGACACCATGGACAACCATATATCGTAACAAAGTGAAACAGACCAATAACAATACCTCCCTTTTTCATTGGAACACAAATGAGGGATTGAGGTACACAAGACTGATTCACCATTAAAAAATTCAATAAATGTAATCCACCATATCAACATGTTAAAGAAAAAAGTATATGATTATATGAGTTGATATCAAAAATGCATTTGACAAAACTCAACACTCATTTATGATAATGAATCTCAGAAAACCTAGGATAAAAGGGGAATTTTCTCACCTCAATAAAATACATTTACACAAAACCTGCAGTTAACATCATACTTAACATACAACACTGAACACTTTTCTCCTAAGATTTGGAAGAAGGCAAAGATGTTTTCCTATGCTATTAAACAACAAACTGAAAGTCCTCGTTTGTGCAATATGACATTAAAATAAATTCTATTTATAAACTATAAAAAGGAAAGAAATAAAACTGTCTTTCATTACAAATGATGTAACTGTCTATGTAAGTAACCTCAAAGAATCCACCAAAAAACTCCTGTCACTAATAAGTAGTATAGCACATTGCAAGGTACAATTTAAATGTACAAAGTCAATTGCTTTCCTAAATACCAATAATAAACAATTAAATTTGCAATTAAATAAAAAATATACATATATATTTATATTTGATGTTAATTCTTGCCAATTTGATCTATAGATTCAATGCAAACTCAGTCAAAACCCAGAAAACTATTTTGTAGATATAATAATTTTCTGAAGTTCATATGGAAAAGCAAAGGCTCTAGACTATCCCACACAGTACTGAAAAAGAATAACAAAGTTGGAGGACTCATACTACCCAATTTTAAAATTTACTATAAGGCAACTATAATTGAGACAGTGTAGTTTGCCAAAGGAAAACAAAACAAAACAAAACAAAACAAAACAAAACAAAACATGTGAATCAATAGAATAAAGCATACTAGACCCACACAAATATTGTCAATTGATTTTTGACAAAGGCAAAAATTCAGTTCAATGGAGTAAATATAGACTTATTTGGATGGCCATATGATAAAATAATCCTAAACACAGACTTTACACTTTACTGAAAAATTAAGTTAAAATGCATCATAGACCTAAATGTAAAATGACAAACTATAAAAGCTTTAGAAGAAAACGTGGGCAAAATCTACATGCCCTTGAATTTGATGACAAGTTTTTAGATAAAACAACAAAAGGATGATTAATGAAATAAAATATTGATCTTCTATTTCATTAAAAATGAAATATTTTATGAAAGTGACTGTTGATAGAATAAAAAGCGAAGCCATGAACGTGGGGAAAGCATTTGCAAAATATATCTGATAAATGAGTAGTATACAAAGTATGCTAGGAACACTAAAAGTCAGCAATATTAAACCAAAAGACCCAATTAAAAATGAGCAAAATATATAAACTGTTCCATTACTAAATGTAACAGATAGCACCTAAGGAAATGATACATCATTTGCTTGAAAATTTGCTTCAAATGAAAACAATGATGATATACCACTACACAACTGTTGGACTGCGGCTAAGAGCTCCCTCCTGTCTCCCAAATAAACCTGATAACATCAATCACAAGAAAGGAGACTGAGCAACCATTCTTGCTAGTGGAACTGCAAATGATACAGCCACCCTGAAAGACAGTTTGATAATTTCTTAACAAAGCTATGTTTATTGTATTTTTATTCATAATCACCAAAAACTGTAAGCAACCAGAATGTCCTTCAATAAGTAAATAGATAGCATAATACGAGAAATCCATTCAATGAAATACTATTAAATAATAAAAAAGGATGAGGTGTCAAGCCATGCAAAGATATGGGTGAATCTTAAATGCATATTGCTAAGGAAAACTATCCAGCTGGAAAATGCTACTTACCATATGATTATATTCATATGCTATTTTTAAAAAAGGCTAAACTATAGATATGCTTAACATACCAGTGGTTGCCAGACATTCAGTGGGGGTTTGTGGGATGGGTGACGGTAGTGAAGAGATGGAACACAGAGGTTTTTTTAGGGAGCTAAGATTATTCTGTGTGATGCTGAAATATTGAGTACATACACTATGAGTCTGTTGCGATCCACAGAACTTTACAAAACAAAAAGTAAACCTAACCTTACGCAGATTTTTTAAAAAGTCATTTAGAGGTCAGGAGACTCCAAGATGGAATTCAGGCTGAGACAAAAAATATCTAACTGTATTACAAATGTAGGAAAAATCTTATCTGAAGGGAGTGGACAATAACAGTGGTGACATAAGTAACTTTAAAAATAAATGGAGATGAGTCTGTAATAGAAAAGGCAAAAGACACTGTACATAAGCACTATATTCTAGTTGAAAACCCGGTTTACATAGGGGTATGGATTAACAATCCTCATACCACTATACAAACATAATGGATTTGAACAAGTATATAAATGATTGGCTGACAGTGGCTGACAGGCAGTTTTCTTACTTTTGGAATGAGAGATTGCAGTGACCAAGGAGATACGGCTAGAATTATCCATGTGTTATTACAGAAGACTTCAATACACCAGTATGAACTTACATTTTGCTTAATATAGATATTCCTGGATATAGAAATATAGATACATTTATAAATATGTGTATATACATGGGTTAATATACTCACACATATATTTTTTCTCTGTCAGTTGAGATAGTCTGGAAGCGTCAACACTGAAGTAGCAATAAGCCCACTTAGCACTTAGATCTTGGTTCCTAATATTATTCTCTGTTAAAAGGAACCATGAATCTTTGGAGAAATGGCTGGTTCTAGGAGTGAGTCAAGAAATATAGGACATGTGCTTGGAATATCTTGTAGGGGCAGAAGGCAAGCAAGTGCAAAAAACCAAAACAAACAAACAAACAAAAATACTCATGATGATAGAATTGTGTCAAAGACACGCAAGAGACACAGGAGCCAACTAAAATAGCTCCCAGTGGTGAAAGCTAGAACACTTTGAAAAACAAAATAGTGTTAAATACTGAATATAAACCCCAGCTTAAAAAATATATTTGTGAGTCCATACAAATATGTTGCCATATAAATAAATGAATAAACAAATAGGAGAGAAGAGACAAATCTCTGATGCAGAAAATTTCGAAGCAATTTACATAAAGAGTAAAAGTAACATAGATGAGTATCTACATTACACTCTGCCCTCAAGGAGGTAGAGAATAAGCCCTCATTCTTTAAATGTAGGCTGTGCAGTGACTTCCTCCCAAAGACTACAGTGTAGAAAGGGGGAAAAAAGTAAGTTTATGGTCAAGGAAAATGACAAACTCTATCAGCTACGTGATCAAGATTAACATCAACAGTAATACATTTTAGGTGCTCTTACCTCACACGCAAAAACAATGTAAAGTGATAGATACGTGAATTTGCTTGATTATGCTAATTATTTCAGTATGTGTAAGTATATCAAGACATGTTGTACAGTTTAAACATACACAATAAAATCAGTGGTAGATTATGCTTATAGTATCTACTTTTAACATAATGTGATGAGAATTGCACTTTACCTTGTGGTCTTCCTTTTAAAAACCAATAACCTATGTCTTATGATGAGAAAAGCATTAGAGAAAACCTGACTGATTCTGCAAAGTACACGATGAGTACCCCCTCAAAACTCTCAGGTCATTGCATTAGTCTGTTTACTCCCTGCTGATAAAGACATATCCCAAGGAAGAAAAAGCGGTTTAATTGAACTTACAACTCCACATGGCTAGGGAGGCCTCAGAATCATGGCAGGAGGCAAAAGGCACTTCTTACATGGCAGCAGCAAGAGAAAATGAGGAGCAAGCAAAGGGGAAATCCCGATAAAACCATTGGATAGTGTGAGACTTATTCACTGTCATGAGAATAGCATGGAAACGACGGTTCTCCCGTGATTCAATTACCTCCCCCTGAGTACCCCCCCCAACAACATGTGGGAATTCTGAGAGATACAATTCAAGTTGTGATTTGGATAGGGACACAGCCAAACCATATCATTCCACCCCGACCCCTCAAGATCTCATGTCCTCACATTTCAAACCAACCATGCCTTCCCAACAGTCCTTCAAAGCCTTAACTCATTCCAGCATTAACTCAAAAGTGCACAGTCCAAAGTCTCATCTGAGACAAGGCAAGTCCCTTCCACCTATGAGCCTGTAAAATCAAAATCAAACTAGTTACTTCCTAGATACAATGGGGGTACAGGTATTGGGTAAATATAGCTGTTTAAATAGGAGAAATTGGCCAAAACAAAGGGGTTACAGGCCCCATGCAAGTCCAAAATCCAGTGGGGAAGTCAAATTTTAAAGCTTCAAAATGATCTCCTTTGACTCTAGTTCTCACATCCAGGTTATGCTGATGTAAGAGGTGGGTTCTCATGGTCTTGGGCTGTTCCACCTTTGTGGCTTTGCAGGGTACAGCCTCCCTCCCAGCTACTTTCATGGGCTGGCGTTGAGTGTCTGTGGCTTTTCCAGGAGCATGGTGCAAGCTGTTGGTGGATCTACCATTCTGGGGTCTGGAGGATGGTGGCCCTCTTCTCACAGCTCCACTAGGCAGAGCCCAAGTAGGGACTCTGTGTGGGGGCTCCAACCCCACATTTCCCTTCCACAGTGCCCTAGCAGAGGTTCTCCCTAAGGGCCCCACCTCTGCAGCAAACTTGCCTGGGCATCCAGGAGTTTCCATACATCTTCTGAAATCTAGATGGAGGCTCCCAAACCTCAATTCTTGACTTCTGTGCACCTACAGGCTCAACACCACGTGCAAACTGCAAAGGCTTAGGGCTTCCACCCACTGAAGTCACAGCCCAAGCTCTACATTTGCCCTTTGGAGCCACATCTGAAGCAGCTGGGACACAAGGTACCAAGTCCCTAGGCTGCACACAGCATGCGGATCCTGGGCCTGGCCCACAAAACCACTTTTTCCTCCTGGGCCTCTGGGCTTATGATGGGAGGGGCTGCCCTGAAGGTCTCTGACATGGCCTGGAAACATCTTCCCCATGGTCTTGGGGATTAACATTAGCCTCCTTGCTACTTACGCAAATTTCTGCAGCTGGCTTGAATTTCTCCACAAAAAAAATGGGTTTTTCTTTTCTACTGCATCATCAGGCTGCAAACTTTCTGAACTTTTATGCTGTTTCCCTTTCCAAACAAAATGCTTTTAGCAGCACCCAAGTCACCTTTTGAATGCTTTGCTGCTTAGAAATTTCTTCTGCCAGGTATCTTAAATGATCTCAAGTTCAATGTTCCACAGATCTCTAGAGCACGGACAAAGTGCTGCTAGTCTCTTTGCTAAAACATAACAAGAATCATCTTTGCTCCAGTTCCCTACAAGTTCTTCATCTCCATCTTAGACCACCTCAGCCTGGACCTTATTGTTCATATCACTATCAGCATTTTATCAAAGCCATTCAACAAGTGATTTGGATGGGAACACAGCCAAACCATATCATTCCACCCCGACCCCTAGAAATCTCATGTCCTCACATTTCAGAACCAATCATGCCTTTCCAAACTTTCCCACATTTTCCTGTCTTCTTCTGAGCCCTCCAAGCTGTTCCAACCTCTGCCTGTTATGCAGTTCCAAAGTAGTTTACATATTTTGGGTATCTTTTCAGCAACACTCCACTCTACTGATACAATTCAAGTTGCGATTTGGGTGGGGACACAGTCAAACCATATCAGTCATCAAAAACAGGAAACCTCTAAGAAATTGTCATGGCCCACAGTAGCCTAAGGAGACATGACAGAAAAATGTAATTATATTCTTGATGGGATCCTGGGACAGAAATCTAAAGCCAAGGAAACCTGAATAAAGTGTAGACTGCTGTTAAAATAATATACTTGTATTTGTTTATTAATTGTAAAAAAAAGTTACCATACTAATGTATAATGTTTGCAACAATAAAAACTCGGTGTGGTGGTGCACATGAAAACTCTGTCACCCTCACAGTTTTCCTGTAAGCCTAAAACTATACTAATTTCTTACAAAGTTTAGTATGCATATATATTTTTTCATATATGTACTCATATACATGTAGATACTCTTTATCCATTTATCTGTTGATGGACACTTAGGTTGATTCCATAGCTTCACTATGTGAATATTGCTGCAATGAACATGGGAGTGCAGATATCTCTTTAATATACTAATTTCCCCTCTTTGGATATATAGCCAGTAATGGGATTGATGGATTACATCGTAGTTCTTTTTTTTTTTTTTTTTTGAGACAGAGTCTCGCTCTGTCGCTCAGGCTGGAGTGCATTAGCATGATTTCGGCTCACTGTAACCTCCACCTCCCGGGTTCAAGCAATTCTCCTGCCTCAGCTTTCCAAGTAGCTGGGATTACAGGCATGCACTACCACGCCAAGCTAATTTTTGTATTTTTAGTAGAGATAGTGTTTCATCATGTTGACCAGGCTGGTCTTGAACTCCTAACCTCAAGTGATCTGCCAGCCTTCACCTCCCAAAGTGCTGGGATTACAGGCTTTTTTTGTTTTGTTTTGTTTTGTTTTGTTTTTGAGGAATTTCTATACTGTCTTCCGTATGGCTGTACTACTTTACATTCCCATAACAGTGTATGAACGTTCCCCTTTCTTTGCAACCTAGCTAACATTTTCTATTTATTTCTTTTTAACAATAGCCATTCTAACTGGGATGAGTTGATATCTCATTGTGGTTTTGATTTGCATTTGCCTGATGAATAGTCATAGTGAGCACTGTTTTTGTATTCTTGCTGGCCACTATTTAGCCATAAAAAAATGAAATCTTGTCATTTGCAGCAACGTAAACAGAACTGGAGGTCATTATGTTAAGTGAAATAACCCAAGCACAGAAAGACAAACATTCCATGTTCTCACTCATATGGGGGAGCAAAGAAAGTGGATTTCCTTAGGTAGAGAGTAGAATGGTGGTTATCAAAGTGTGAGAGGGGTAGGGAGGATGAAAAAGAATTAGTTAATGGTAAATAATACAGTTGGACAGAAATAATAAGTTCTAATTTATTGTTAATATTTTATTGTACATTTCAAAATAGCTAGAAAAGAACTATAGTGTTCCCAATACAAGGAAAAATAGATTACCCAGTAACCCTGATTTGATCATTTCATATTACATACATGTATCAAACTATCCCATGTAGCCCCAAAATATATACAACTATGATATATACCAATAAAAAGAATAAAAACAACAGTAATACTAACAAGTTTAGTAAATACACTTTTGAATATTTTTGCGTTTTTTGTAATTATATTTGCCAAGTTTTTGTGGAGTTCAGAACATTCATATTTTCTGATCTTAACAGTAAACTCATCACATATGGTTATCTTCAGGATTTTCAACTTCATATTATATCCACATATGTAACTTGTGTATATTGAGATAAAATATCTGTATACAATTTAGCACGTATGTTTCAGTTAAGGCTCTAAGGAAAACATATACATTAGATATTATACTATTGAAGATATTTGCTTGTCTGTGTGTATGTATCTCTGTGTGTATTTTTTCCTAAGTAGCCAAGATAATTAAATTCTATCTTGTGCTAAAACTGGTCAATATACCTCTGACTCAAATCAACAAACTTGAAAGCCCAAACGTCTTCTAATATTCTACCAAATGATATTTTACACAACTAAAAAAATCGTTTCAACAATATAAAACTTGCCAACATAAAAAAGATAAGGAATAATTCTTGTATGTTTCCTCAATGCCAATTACAAAAAGTGCCAAAGGAAAATAAATCTGCTATGGAATTACTCTACAGCTGCAACACATTTTCAGGAAGTATTGTTGTCACAGACTGCCAATGACCAGAATGAGAAGAAATGTGGTGAGGAGAAAATTCTGGCGTAAAATATGTTGACTTAGACCCTCATTTTGCCCACTTGGCACATGTTCCATTTGCTACTCTCTTTCACAGCACTTTTCTATTTCATTTCTCGAACTGCTGTGTAAGAATTCTGGTTTCCAAGAATTTTACTGGATATTCCCCCAACTGTCATGTGAGGATAATTAATTTAAAAGCATATTCTGTGCATTTAGACATTTAAATCTTATGAAGTATTCTACCATTTTTATGATATAACTAGATAATAAAAGACTTACCACCTTCTGAATTCATGTATACCAAGAGAATCACAAAGAAACCTAGGCAGGCACTTCGCTTATATGCAGAGATTTGGAAACATCCTTTCTAGAAATCCTTGTCATTCATTCTCTTTAATTAGTTAGTTGCTGCAACGTGGCTTTATTTCTTAGAAACAATGGTGGGTACAAATATGCAAAGGAAAGTTCAATCATTCATTATGTATTCCTTCTAGAACAATATTAGGTGGATGACAGGTGAAATGGTGAAGAGCATGATGAAAATTTTATCAAGTCTATGGTTTTACATATGTGTTGCTCAGAGTTCCCTACTCTGAGCTGTCTTCCCAAGAAAAAACGCTGTAAAAAAGTTTCTCTTTTCATTACCGACCTCAGTATTTCTAGTGTGTCCTATCCAAAAGGAAAGTGAAAAAATAAGTCACCCACAGTTTTTTTGTTTGTTTGTTTTTGTTTTTGTTTTTGTTTTAGATGGAGTCTCACCTTGTTGCCCAGGCTGGAATGTGGAATGCAGTGGTGTGGTCTCAGCTCACTGCAACCTCCACCTCCAAGGATCAAGTGATCCTCCTGCCTCAGCCTCCTGGGTAGGTGGGACTACAGGTGCATGCTACCATGCCTGACTAATTTTTATATTTTTAGTAGAGACGGGGTTTTGCCATGTTGGCCAGGATGGTCATAAACTCCTGACCTCAGGTGATCCACCCAACTTGGCCTCCCAAAGTGCTAGGATTACAGGCATGAGCCACTGCGCCCAGCCACAACCACAGTTTTAATGGGAGTTAACCAATTTAAATATTTTGTTTTATCATTGGTATTTTAGACTCATTCAGCATTCATATATAGTGTAATTTTTTTACTGATTGTTATAACATTATTTTTAATACTCTCTAGAATATTAAATATTTTTCAACACAGAATGTTTTGGATTGAACATAATGTTTTGTATTGTATTTGTAGCCAGCAAATATTGTAAAATTTGAATATATCATACTGAGATACAGGTTGAACATGCTAGATTTGAAAATTTGTAATTCTGAATGCTCAGTTTAAAACTTTTGAGTATTGAAGTGATGCTCAAACAAAATGCTGAGTAAAATGCTTAAAGTATTTCAGATTTGGGATGCTCAAACAGAATAATGCAAATATTTCAAAATCCAAAAATCCCTAAAATCCAAAACACTTCTGTTCCTTAGCATTTCAGATTAAGGATACTTATCCTGTATTAATTTTCAAACCGTTTGGCTAATTTCAGATCAATTTGCTAATTATTTGCAATTTAAAACCATGACAATATTTGTACACAAAACTTACCTATGTAGTGCCTAAGATGAAGAATAAGCCTAACTGGGTTTGAAATCAGGCAAATCTCTTTCAATAGCTGTGCAAACTTGAGCAAATTATCTCTCTGAGTCCAGTTTCTTTACTCATCCACATAATAGGATAATAATGGTACCCACCCATTTTATTGTTGTGAAGATCAACTTAATTTTTATATATCTTTGGTATGTCAATTAGGACCATTCCTGGTGGATAGCACATTCTCAGTGTGTATGTGTGTGTGTATGTGTGTGTTTATGTGTGTATGCATGTGTGTGAATATTGCTTAGAATTTTAATTTATATATATATTTACATATGTAAACAATGCTTGTTGAATAGTAAGTCCTTATTTGACTGAAAAATGGAAATATAAAGCAACTGTTAATAATGGACCCATAAGCCAGGGGTGGTGGCCTACGCCTGTAATCCCAGCACTTTGGGAGGATGAGGTGGGTGGATCACCTGAGGTTAGGAGTTTGAGACCAGCCTGGCCAACATAGTGAAACCCAGTCTCTATTAAAACTACAAAAATTTAGCTGGGCGTGGTGGTGGGCACCTGTAATCCCAACTGCTATGGAGGCTGAGGCAGGAGAATCACTTGAACCTGGGAGGTGGAGGTTGCAGTGAGCCGAGATCACACCATTGCACTCCAGCCTGGGAAACAAGATCAAAACTCCGTCTTAAATGATGATACTACTACTACTAATAATAACATACCCATAAAAAGGTCACTGCTGAAATTCATATGAAGAAAAATGCATAAACCAAGGCAGTGGTCATCAGAGCAGCATGAAGTACATCAGGAAAGAGACTTATTTTTTCTTTTCTGAAATTGGACACCACTTAAGAACCTTAAAATCACACGAAGTTATATTCAATGCTTATTCTTTACTTCAATGAATGAAAACTAGAAAAGAAAATTGAAAAGAGAATGCAGAACGGCACTTACTCAAATAGTTTTGATGATTTCTGCTTCACTGGCTGATTTTGTAGTAGGTGGCTGGAAATTACAGTGGGATCTTTAAATAAGTTTAAAGTCATATCTCTGACTTACCCTGAGTAATTTTTGACACAGTAAAGCTGTTTTTTTTTTGGTAGGCTTAAAAATTCCACTGAGATTTTTCAGTCACCCACTCACCCACTTCCAAATGAATCAGAAAAACAGAAATCATCAAAACCAGTAGAATAAATGTTGCTCTGTTTTAAGTTTTCTTTTCCAGTTCTCATTCACTGAGATGAGAGTAAACATTGAATAAAACTTCATGTTAAAATGTCCATACTATCCAAAACAGGGTATAGATTCAATAACATCCCTATGAAAATCCCAATGGCAAGTTTTTACAAAAATTGAAAACAATTATAAAATTCATATGGAACCACAAAAGACCCTGAGTAACCAAAGCAATCTTGTGAAAGAAGAACAAAGATGAAGGCATAACACTACCAGGTTTCAAAATACATTACAAAGCTACAATAATTAAAACAGCATAATAGTAGCATAAAGCAGACAGATACACCAATGAAATAGAATAGAGAGTACAGAAATAAATCCATACATATATTGTTATGTACTGTCACATATACTTGAATTTTGACAAGTGCGACAAAAATACAAAATGGGAAAGGGATAATGTCTTCGACACATGGTATTGGAAAAACTGAATAACCTCATGCAAACAATGAAATTGGATCCTTATCTTACACTATACAAAAAACATCAACTCCACATGGATTAAATTTTGTAATGTAAGACCTGAAACTGTAAAACTCCTAGAAAAAATATAGAAAAAATGCTTTATGATATTGGTGTTGGCAATGATTTCTTGAATGTAATAGCAAAAGCACAGGCAACCAAAACAAACATAGACAAGCAGAACTACATTAAACTAAAAAGCTTGTGCACAGCAAAGGAACCAATCAACAGAGTGACAAGGAAACATATGAACTCAGGGAAAATGTATGTTTTTCCAAACCATGTATCTGTTAGATGTTAATATGTAAAATATATGAACTACAATGCAATAATTAAAAAAAGCAGATCAAGCCATAGGCAAAGGACTTGAATAGACATTTAGCCAAAAAAAAAAAATACAAATAGCCAACAGCTATATGAAAAATATGATAATCATCATCACTAATCAGCAGGGCAATGAAAATCAAAACCACAATCTTTTCACCTCAAACCTGTTAAGATGGCTATTATTTTTAAAAAATTCATTGATAAGGATATAGAGAAGTTGAAACTTTTCTGTACTGTTGGTGGGAATATAAAATGGTGCAACTGCTACAGAAAACATTAAGAAGGTCTCTCAAAAAAATAAAAATAGAACTACCATGTGATCCAGCATTCGCAGTTTGGGGTATATATAATAATTAAAACCAAGATCTTGAATAAGTATCTGCACTCCCCTGTTCACTGTAGCATTATTCACATGAGCCAAGATATAAAAACAACCTGAATCTCCATCAATAGATAAATGGATAAAGAAAATGTGTCTGCATGTGCAATGGAATATTATACAGACTTACAAAAGAAAGAAATCCTGTTATAGGTGACAAAATGGATTAACCTGAAGGACATTATGCTATGTGAAACAAGCCAGTCACAGAAGGACAAATGCTGCTTGACTCCATTTATACGAAATATCTAAAACCGTCAAACTCAGAAACAGAGCAGAATAGTGTTTATCAAGGACTGTGGAGAAAGGAAATGAGAGGTTGCTACTTAATGTGTACAAAGTTTCAATTATGCAAGATAAATAAGACCTAGAGATCTACTGCATAACATCATGCCTATAGTTAACAATACTATACTATGCATTTGAAAAGTTGACAGTATGTCTTAACACAACATAGACAAACAAAATATTTTCTTTGGCAGATTCACATTTTATTATTTGATTTTAATTGAAATATCTTAATTTCAAATATTTTATTAAGTGCTTTGTGTCAAAAAACTTTCTTTTTTTTTTTTTTTTGAGATGGAGTCTGGCTCTGTTGCCCAGGCTGGAGTGCAGTGGCGTGATCTCGGCTCACTGCAAGCTCCACCTCCCGGGTTCACACCATTCTCCTGCCTCAGCCTCCCGGGTAGCTGGGACTACAGGCGCCCACCACCACGCCTGGCTAATTTTTTTGTATTTTTAGTAGAGATGGGTTTTCACAGTGTTAGCCAGGATGGTCTCAATCTTCTGACCTCGTTATCCGCCCGCCTCGGCCTCCCAAAGTGCTGGGATTACAGGCTTGAGCCACCGCACCCGGCCAAAACACAATTATTCTTAAAAACAATCATCTAACAAGCAAATCTCCATTTTTAGTTAAATTGAGGCTTCTTCTTTAATAACAAAAAAAAGAGTGCACTGTGGTTGAAAAATATACAATTCTTTAGCCATATAGTGAAACCTTAATAAATGTTCAGGTTTCTTTCCAACAAATCAACAAATACAAGTATAAAGGCATTCAAGAAATATAGCTCATCATGTACATTGACTTCAATCACTTCATTTTTATGAAGCAAAGTTAACCTAGCTAACTAGTCTTTTACATACCGTGAATACTTAATATTAATTATTCAAAGATATTTCATTTAAATCACTGTTAACAAATTGAGATTAAGTCAGGCTGTCCATTTTAAAAACAGTAACTGCTGTAATAAAATATTAATCTGAGTTGGAGACTCCAAGAGGACAAAGAACATTAGAATATATACAAGTGATTTAAAAGTAACAAGCATGCATTTGTTCCTGAGCACATCTGTACTTTGAAGCTTCTACTCAGTGTTGTGTGGAACTAAAACATACTTTCCACTTACAAATGGAATAGGAGACCTGACACAATCCTTATACACATTTTAGCCTGGAAATGTGCTAGTTTCATGTTTTCCATTTCCTCTGACCTTTTCCCTTCCATCAGAACTATAAATGGTGAACAGTATGCTTATTTGTATTTGTTTTACTGTTTGAGGCTTTTTGATTTTCAAGGAAACTCATTTTGTGCATAACTTTTTAAGGCAAAATTAAGGAATATGTTTTGATGAGACAGGAAGGTATAATTAAAGGAAATAAATGAGTTTAATTAAGGGATTTTAGGATTTCAAAATCAAGAAGAGAAGTAGGAGAACATAAAAATAATAAATAAATCAGCAAATAAAAATTCCCAGACACTTCTTTGAGAGTGTTTACATATTTCAGTGAAAGTAGGTAAAATATAAAAATAGTATTTAGAAAAATCTAATATATTTATGCAAGTAAATAAAGACCAATTTATTTTTGAACATTTCAAGATAAGGAAAGCACAATATACAGAATTTCAAGTTATTTAGAGACAATAACTGCAATTATTTAGAGACAATAACAATGCAAGTTATTTAGAGACATTTTCAACGCACTAGCAAGACATTACGTTAATACCTGTTTGGGAAGTACATTTTCAGAAGACTATTAAAATAGTATTACGAGAATTTTGCTATAGATGACAACACCAAATAAGAAAATTAAAAGTAATTTGTGTTAATTAGCTCTATAATATCCATTCAATGAAAATTATAATTTATGTATAATTTCAAATAATAATGAAATAACATTATACTATAGTGTTATATAAAAACATAAGGTTTTCTAATATATAGCATTCAACTCATTGGGGTGTGGGGAGGTGAGGGGAAGCAAATTTCAGAACAATGTGTGCTAAGTGCAAACATTTGTGTAAAAAGCTTCTGTTACATGTATAGAGTTTCTCTGGAAGAATTTATAAGTGCATATAACACATATTCAAACCTACAAACACAGAGTTGTTTCTATCGGTTGATTCCTTGGTTGGCTGGAGGAGAAAGGTAAAAGAATTTTGATTTTTACTTTGTATTCTCTTATGGTCTTTTACTTTTCTTCTCAATGCACATATTACCATTTTTAACAAATAGATTAAATTTTAATAATGTTGCTACCAACATACTTGTGTTTATTTCACTGTCAAAATTGTGAATAAATTTTCAAAAGCTTAGCTTATATTTTATAATTATAGCTAACTACATATTATTAATAGTTTTACAGAACAAAAATTACAAAAATATATTAATTTCTATAAATTATATCCTCTAATATTAATTAGAAGAGCTATCTGATCAAAACACATCAGGTGATTTGTGGGGAGACAAATATATTTGCAAAATACAGCATCCTCATTAAACTGTGTATCAGGCCATTCTTGCATGCTGTAAAGAAACATCTGAGAATGGGTAGTTTATAAGAAAGGAGGTTGCATTGACTCACAGTTCTGCAGGTTGTACAGGCAGCATACTGGCATCTGCTTCTGGGAAGGCCTCAGGAAGCTTCCAATCATGGCAGAAGGTAAAGGGAGAGCTGGCACGTCACATGGTAAAAGCAGGAGCAAGAAAGAGAGTGAGCAGAGGAGGTGCCACACACTTTTAAAGGACTAGATCCCATGAGAACTCACTATCATGAAGTAAGTACCAAGTCATGAGAGATCTGCCTCCATGATCCAAACACCTCCCACAAGACCTCACCCCAGCACTGGGGATTACAATTCAACATGATATTTGGGGGATATCATTCTGAAAAGTATATCATTCTGCTCTGGCCCTTCGCAAATCTCATGCCCTTTTGACATTTCGAAATGGTATCATGCCTTCCCAACAGTCCCCTAAATTCTTAACTGATTCCAGCATTGATTCAAAAGTCCCAAGTCCTGTCTGAGACAAGGCAAGTCCCTTCCATCTATGATCCTGTAAAATAAAAAACAGGTTATTTACTTCCAAGATACAATGGAGGTATAGGAATTGGGTAAGCATTCCTGTTCAAAAAGGGAGAAACTGACCAAAAGAAAGAAGATACAGGCCCCAAGCAAGTTTGAATCCCAGCAAGGCAGTCATTAAAACTTAAAGCTCCAAAATAATCTCTTTTGATTTCGTGTCCGACATCCAAGTCATACTGGTACAAGGAGTGGACTCCCAAGTCCTTGGGCAACGTGATTTCTTAGTTATAGTTAAAAATGGATTATGGATATTTACAAAGCTAGCTCACATGTCCTTGTCTGACTCTCTCTTTCTTCTTTCCTTCCCTCCCACCCTCCCCCTTCCTTCCTTTCTTTCTCTCTCTCTTTCTTTCTTTTCCTTTTTCTTTCTTTTTCTTTCTTTCTTTCCTTTATTATTTATTTATTTCTTCTTTCCTTCCTTCTTTCCTTCCTTCCTTTCTTCCTTTCTTTCTTTCTTTCTTTCTTTCTTTCTTGCTTGCTTGCTTGCTTGCTTGCTTGCTTGCTTTCTCTTTCTTTTTTTTCTTATAATGGCTGATCAATAATTCATTTTTAGAGAAATATGAGTTGATGTATGGATTTTTAAAATTCATTGATTAGTCAATAAGTAAATACTTTGCTATCAACTGTGACATGCTAAGCATATTAGGTGAATCGTACAAAATGTTGAGCAAGATGCCCTTGGTCCCTTCCTTCGAGAGATTACATTCCCATAGGAGGGTGGTAAATTCAGAAATACATCAATATAAATCGAGTATATAGGTAGGAATCTAGACAGTGTGATACATGTTCTCATAGTTTACAGAAACACAAGAAAAGTATCTGTAACCTGGATGTAAGTGACAAAGAAAGGAAGACTGCCTATGCCGAAGGATTCTTGGATACCATTCTAGGCCTGCTTCACGGCTTGTTTCTGTCCACCCTTCACAAGGCCAGGGAAACTTTGTTCACCATCATGGGATATGGTTGAGGTATCAAGTGCCTCTAAGAAGGACCACATTATCCCCAAATTTTAGAAGGGTCTTCTGTTGAAAAGACTTCTTTCTCCAGTGCATTGTCTGGGCAACCTTTTATATATATATATATGTATATATTTATTTATCTTTGTACTAATCCTACAATGCCTTGATTAATGTAGTTTTACAGTAAATTTAAAATCAGGAAGTCAGGATCTTCCAACTTCAATCTTTTTCAAGATGATTTTGGCCATTCTTGGTCCTTTACATTCCTTATGAATTTAAATATCACCTTGTCAATTTTGAAAAAGGAAACTTGGATTTTGATAGAGAATGTACTGAATCTGTAGATTATTTTGAAAATTTTACCATTTTAATAATATTAATTTTCTTACACATAACCATCAGGTGAGGTGGCTTACCTTTTATTTAGTTTCTTTCAACAACAGTTTTTAGTTTTCAGTGTACATGACTTTGATTCTTTTGTTAAATTTATTCCTAAGTGATTTTAAATTTTAGATGTTATTTTAAATGGAAGTGTTTTCTTAATGTTTGAATTTTTCATTGAAAGTGTATAGAAATACAGCTGCTTTTGGGGTAGTCATCTCATATCTGGCAGTCTTACTGAATTCATTTCTTAGATTTAAGAGGGTTTTATGCAGATTCATTAGAATTTTCTATGTCCAAGATTATGTCATCTGCTAATAGAGATAGTTGTATTTCTTTTTTTCCAATCTGGATGACTTTTATTTCTTTTTCTTGCCAAATTGTCTGGGCCAGATCCTTCAGTACAATGTTGCACAGTCACTGTGAGAATACCCATCTGTCCTGAACTTAGGGGTAAATCATTCAGTCTTCACTATTAAGTATAATGTTGGCTTGGGCCTTTTGTAAATAACCTTTATTTGGTTGAGCTAGTTTCCTTCTATAACTAGCTTCCTGGGTCTTTTTTTTTTTTTTTTTTTTTTTTACTTTTTTGTTTTAAATAGTGTGTGATTTTGTCAAATGCTTTTTCTGTATCTATCATGTATTTTTTTGTCCTTTATTGTATCGAGATGGTATTTTACCCTGACTTATTTTTGAATGTTAAAACAAGCTTGTATTCCCGGGACAAATCGTTGGTCATGGAAAATAATCAGTTCTTTTCTATATATTGCTGGATGTAGTTTGCTAATATTTTGTTTAGAAATCTTGCATTTATATTCATAAAGTATTTTAGTGTGCAGTTTATTTTCCTATGATGGCATTGTTTGGTTTTGGTATTAAGGTAATTTTGGCCTCACAGAATAAGTTGGGAAGTGCTTGCTCTACCTTTTAATTTAATTTTATTTTTGAATAGTTTGTGAAGGATTGATATTACCATTTCATAAACATTTGGTAGAACTCACCAATGAAGCCATCTGGGCTTGGACTACCCTTTGTGAAAATAATTTTATTACAAATACAATTTCTTTAATTGTTATTGGTTTATTTAGATTTTGTATTAATTCTTGAGTCATTTAAATTAGATTATGTCTTTGAGGAGTTAATTTCATCTAGGTTATATAATTTGTGGACATACACCATTTTTAGGTACCTGAAAATTTGTTAGTGCTGCTATTCCTTTTCATTCCAATTTTAGTAATTTGAGTCTTTGTTCTTTGTTTTCCTATTTCATCTATCTAAAGGTTTGTCACTATTTGTTGACCCTCTTGAAGAATTACACATCTTTTATTTCCTGGTTTTCTCTATAACTTTTCTAATCTTTATTTTATTTATTTCTACTCTAATTTTTATTATCTCCTTCCTTCTGCTTTTTTGACTAGAATTTGCTCTTCTTTTTCTAGTTTCTGAAGATAGTCATATTATTGATTTGGATTTTTAAAAATATGGACATTGGCAGCTATACTTTTTCCTCTAAGTGCTATTTTATCTTTATCCTCTAAGTTTTGGTATGCTTTGTTTCTATTTTTTTAATCTCACAATATTTTCTCATTTTTCTTTAACTTATTCTTCAATTCATTTGTTATTTAGGGAGTTTATTAATTTTCACATATTTGGGATTTTTCCAAATTTTCTTCTGTAATTGATTTCAAATTTCATCCCATTTGGGCCAAAGAACATACATTGTATGATCTCAGTCATTTACATTTATTGTGTCTTGTTTTGTAAGCCAATGGATAGTTTAAGAATGTTCCAGGTATGGTTGTTCCATGGGTGTCTTTCAGTTCTGGTTTGTTTTTAAGATTGATCCTTGTAATCTTCTGCTTAGTTGTTCCATCTACAACTGAGAGTGAGGTACTGAAACCTCCAACTATTGTTGTCAAATTGTTTACTTCTCTATCATTTCTGTGTATTTTTGCTTTATGTTTTCAACTTATTTTTTATTTTTTGATTTTTTGATACACAATAGAAGTACATTTAGAGTAAACGATAGTCACTCTCCTTATCTCTCAAAGAGTAGATCTTATTTCTTCTACCAAACTAAGTATTTGTACCCACTAATCAACCTCTCTTTGTTACTCCTCACCCTCTATCTTTCCTGGCCTCTGGTAAACCACCAATCTACTCTCTACCTTCATGAGATCCACTTTTTTAGCTCCCATTTATAAGTGCGAACATATGACATTTGTCTCTCCGTGTCTGGCTGATTTCACTTAACGTAATGACCTCCATTTCTGTCCATGTTGCTGCAAATGGCAGGATTTTATTCTTTTTTAAGATTGAATAATATTTTATTGAGTGTATATACCACATTGTCTTCATTCTTTCATCTTTTTATGGGTGATTAGATTGATTCCATATCTTGACTATTGCAAATAGTACTGCAATAGACATGAGAGCACAGATACTTCTCTGATGTATTGATTTCCTTTAATTTAGATACATAGTCAGCAGTGAAATTGCTGGTTCTTGACCCTAACTTGGATTTAAATAATGTAAAAGAAATCTTATTTTTATCTTATAATTGGCACTTATTATCAAGTGCTGATAAAAATATTTTCATTTCAGGTGATATTAAATTCTACTCTAATGCAAAAGATAAAGGAATGGTATCAATGAAAATGACGGAGTGAGGGCATCAGCAAATTACGTCCTCCATAAAGGCAATTTTAAAAACTGGCAAAAATAATCAGGGTCAACATTTTTAGAACTTGAAAAATTAGCCAAATGCTTTGAGGAATCCACAAAGTGTTTATTCAAAAAACAAACAAAAAAGGTGGAAGTTTGGTAAGAACTGTAAGTGGCTGTACTAATTTATAGTCCCACAAACAGTAAATGAGCATCCTTCTTTATCTACATCCTCAGCAGTATCTCTTATTTTTTCTTTTTGAAAAAAAGAAATTCTCTAACTAGGGTTAGAGAATATCTCATTGTTTTGATCTGCATTTTTCTGATGATCAGTCATGTTAAACCTTTTTCATACACCTATTTGCCATTTGCATGTTTCCTAGTGAGAAATGTCTATTTAATCTTTTGCCCAGTTCTTAATCAGATTTCTTTTCTATTGGACTGTTTAAGCATCTCATATACTCTGGTTACTAATTACTTGTCAGATTGACAGTTTGCAAATACATTATTCAACTCCATGGCCTTTATCTTCAGTTTGTTGATGGTCTTGTTTGCTAGACAGAAGCTTTTTAGCTTAATGTAATCCCATTTATCTGCTTTTGCTTTTGCCTGTGATTTTGAGGTCTTAAAAATAATCTTTGCCCAGACCAATGTCCTGGAGTGCTTCCCAAAAGTATACTTCTAGTGTCATAGTTTTATATCTTAGATTTAAGTCTTTAAGTCATTTTGATTTGATTTTTGTATATGGTAAGAAATAAGGGGTTAGTTTCATTCTTCTGCATATGGTTATCTGGTTTCCTAGCACCATTCATTATAGAGACTGTCCTTTTCCCATTGTGTATTTCCAGCATCCTTGTCAAAAATGAATTGGCTCATTTGCGTAAATGTTGTAAATGCGTGATTTACATCTGGGTTCTCTATGATGTTTCATTAGTCTGTGTTTCTGGTTTTGTTTGTTTGTTTGTTTGTTTGTTTTTGAGATGGAGTCTCGCCCTGTCGCCCAGGTTGGAGTGCAATGGTGTGATCTTAGCTCACTGCAACCTCCACCTCCCAGGTTCAAGAGATTCTCCTGCCTCAGAATCCCTAGTAGCTGCGATTACAGGTGTGTGCCACCACACTAATTTTTTTTATCTTTAGTAGAGACAGGGTTTCACCATGTTGGCCAGGCTGGTCTCAAACTCCTGACCTCATGATCCACCCACTTCAGCCTCCCAAAGTGCTGGGATTACAGGCATGAGCCACCGCACCCAGCCAATGTTTCTGTTTTTATGCCAGGAACATGTTGATTTGGTTACTATAGCATTGTAGTAAATTTTGAAGTCATATAGTGTGATGTCTCCAAGCTTTGTTCATTTTGCTCAGGATTGCTTTGGCTACTGGGTTTTTTGTGGTTCTATATCAATTTCAGGATTTGCTTTCTATTTATGTGAGAAACATGAGTATTTTGATAGGGAGTGAAATTGATTTATAAATTGTTTTGGGTAATATTGTCATATGAATCAAATTAATTTTTCTAATTAATGAGTATGGAATAGTTTTCCTTTTTTCTGTCCTCTTCAATTTCTTTCATCAATGTTTTACAGTTTTTCTTGTATAAATCTTTTACTTCTTTGGTTAAATTGATTCCTAGGTGTTTCATATTCTCTGTAGCTGTTGTAAATGGTAATTTTTTTATTTCTTTTTCAGATCATTCTCTGTTGGCATATATAAATGCTACTGATTTTTGTATGTTTATTTTCCATCTTGCAACTTTACTGCATTCATTTATCTGTTCTAAGAGTTTTTTCATGGCATCTTCAGGGTCTTTTTTAAGTATAACATTATGTCATCTGCAAACAAGGATAATTCAGCTTCTTCCTTTCCAATTTGGAATATTCTTTAATTCTCTTGCTTAATTGCTCTTGCTAAGACTTTCAGTACTATGTTGAATAAAAGTGGTGAAAGTAGGCATCCTAGTCTTGATCCAGATCCCAGAGGAAAGGCTTTCCATTTTTCTCCATTGAGTAAGACGCTAGTTGTCATTTGCCATATTTGGCTCTTATTATTCTTAAGTATGCTCATTCTATACCCAGTTTGTGGAGGGATTTTATCTTAAAGAGATGTGGAATTTCACTGAGTGGTTTTTTTAGCATTTATTTAAATGATCGTACGTTTTTTGCTCTTGCTTAGTAATGTAATTATTGATTTATATATGTTGAGCCATCCTTGCATCCCTGGAATGAATCCCAGTTGATTATGGTGTAAGATCTTTTTAATGTGTTGTTGAAATTGGTTTGCTAGTATTTCGTTGAAGATTTTTGCGTCTATGTTTATCAGTGATACTGCTCTGTAGTATTCTCTTTTTGTGTGTCCTTGTCTGGTTTGGGTATCAGAATAATGTTGGCCTGGTAGAAGAGGTTGGGAAGTACTCACTCTACTGCAATTTTTTAAAAGAGTTTGAGAAGAATTGGTATAATCTCTTTTTTAAATATTTCATAGAATTCAACAATAAAGCCATAAGGTCTTCCTTTGATGGGAAAATTTTTATTATGACTTCAGTCATAATAAAGGTACTCATAATAATATTATTCACTATTGGTTTGTTGAGGTTTTCTATTTCTTCATGGTTCAAACTTGTAGGTTGCATGGGTTCAGGAATTTATTCATTTCTTCTAAGTTTTCAATTTATTAATTTATAGATGTTTGTAATAGTCTCTAATGATTATTTGTATTTCTGTGGTCTCAGTTTTTATGACTCCTTTTTTGGTTTCTGATTTTATTTAGGTCTTCTCTCTTATTCTGGCTAAAGATTTGTTGAATTTGTTTGTCTTTTCAAAAAACAACTTTTTTTAATTGATCTTCTGTATTATTTTTAGTCTAATTTTTATTCATTTCTGCTAAGATTTTTATCATTTGTTTTCATTTACTCACTTTGGGTTTTGTTTATTCTTGCTTTTCTAGTTCCTTAAGGTGCATTGTTAGATTGTTTATTTTGTTTCTGATTTCTGTAGCTAGGCATATATACATTTATAATTGTTATAACTTCCTGATGAGTTGAATCACTCATCATTTTATAATGTCTTTGACTTCAGTAACAAATTTTGTCTTAAAATATATGTGTCTGTATTAGTATATCTAGCTCTATTTTGGCCACTCATGGTATATCCCCTTCCTTCACTTTAATTTCAACGTATTGTGTCTTTGAATATAAAGTATCTCTTTTAGAGAGCATATAGTTAACCATACTTTTAACCATTCTGCCAATCTCTAAATTTTTAATTTTTGTAATATTTTTATTAAATGTAATTATGATGATATAATTAAAAATAACCAGGATAAATTCAATGGGATAAAATCAAAACTACTTGGAATGGCATATTGATCAATTAAAATCAATATTTCATAATTCTGTTTTATTTCCTTTTTGTTTTTTTTCCTTGGGGTATAATGCACATAAAATAAAATTTGATATCTTAATTATTTTACATATATCATTTAGTGGTGCCGATTACATTTGCAATGCTATGCAACCATCATCATTATTTGCAAAACTTTTTATCATCCTAGGGAGAAATTCTCAACTCAGATAGAAACTCATTAAGCAAGGTGAGTGCTCTTGTTAAAAATCGGTTTTCCATAGATGTATAGGTTTATTTCTGAACTCTCAATTTTATTCCATTGGCCTGTATGTTTATCCATGTACCAGGACCATACTGATTTGATTAACTGGCTTTGTAGCAATTGGGTAGTGTGAGTTCTTTCAATTTTTTCTTTTATTTTTCAACGTTTCCCTTCATTTGCCTTCACCCCAGCCTATGGTAGCCTCTCCTCTATTTTATGTCCCTATAATATATATTTTATATAGGTGGAATCATACAATATTAATACTTTTGTGTCTGGCTTATTTCACTCAGCATAATGTTTTCAAGGTTAATCCATGTTTTAGCATGCATCAGAACTTCATTTCTTTCTATTGCTGAATAATATTTTATTGCAGTTATATAGAATATTTTGTTTACCCATTCATCTGTGGATAGTTACTTGGGTTGCTTTCACCGTTTGACAATTATGAATAATAAATATTGGTATACAAGTACCTGCATGAGACTTTGTTTTCCATTCTTTTAGTCATATACCTAAGAGAGAAGTTGCTGGGTCATATGGGAGTTCTATTATTAACATCTTGGAAAACTGCCAAACTTTTCTACAGCATCTGCACTATTTTACATTCCCATCATCAGTGTCTGAGGGTTACAATATCTCCACATTCTCACCAAGATTTATTATTTTTCTTTTTTAAAAAAATTATATAATTATCCTGGTAGATACGAAGTAACAACTCATTGTGGCTTTTATTTGAATTTCCCTAATGGCTAAAAATGTTGGACGTCTTTTTTGTGTGCTTATTGGTCGTTTGTATAACTTATTTGAGAAACATCTATTCGGACGGAGTTTTGCTCTTGTCGCCCAGGCTGGAGTGCAATAGTGCGATCTTGGCTCACTGTAACCTCCGCCTTCCAGGTTTAAGCGATTCTCCTGCCTCAGCCTCCCAAGTAGCTGGGATTACTGACACCCACCACTTCACCCGACAAATTTTTGTACTTTTAGTAGAGACGGAGTTTCACCACTTTTGCCAGGCTCGTCTCAATCTCCTGACCTCAAGTGATTCACTCGCCTCGGCCTCTCAAAGTGCTGGGATTCCAGGCTTGACCCACCGCGCCCGGATGGTTGTGTGCATTTCTGTTGTTGAGTTGTAGGTCTTCCTTGTAGATTCTGATTATTAAACCCCTATTAGATATATAATTTGCAAATATTTTTATCCACTTCTATACGTTATTTCACTTTATAATGTCCTTTGATAAACAATATATTTAAATTTTGATGAATTTCAATTTGTCTAACTTTTCTTTTGTTGCTCATTATTTTAGTTTTACACAAAAATAGATTAAATGCCAAATTTAAAAATCATGTAGATTTACTCATGTTTTCTTCTAAGCATGCTATAAGTTTAGCTCTTATATTGGGTCAATGAATCACGTTGAAGTAATTTGCTATATGGCATAAAACGCAGACCCAATTTTATTCTTTTAAATGTAGAAATACAGTTGTCCCACACCATTGTTGCTAAGACTATTCTTTTCCCCATAAAATACACTTGGTGCTTTTATTAAAAATCAGTGTTCCATAGATGTATGGGTTTATTTCTGGACTCTCTGTTTAATTCTATTGGCTTGTATGTTTAACTGTTTGCCAGGGCCATACTGATTTGACCATCTAGTTTTGCAGTAATTGGGAAGTGTGAGTCCTTTCATTTTGTTATTTTCTTTTTCAGCATTGTTTGGAGTATTCAGATCCCTTTGCAACTCCATATGAGTTTGAGGACTGGCTTTTTCATTTCTGCAAAGGGGCTGTTGGAATTTTGATAAGAATTGCTTTGAACTTGTAGATCACTTTGGGTAGAATTGGAAACATAACAATACTAAGTCTCTCAATATTTTCATTTATGTAGGTCTTCTTTAACTTTTTTAGCAATGTTTTGTAGTTTTCAGTGTACAAGTCTTTCACTTCCTTGTTCAAATTTGTTCCTAGGTATTTTATTCTTTGAGATAATATTATACATTGGAATGCTTTATTAATTACTTTTTTTCTGCTTGTATTCATAGGAAATATTGTTCTGTAACTTTCCGTTCTTTGGATTTCTTCAGCTGACTTTGGTATAAGGATAATGCTTGTCTCATGTAATGACTTGAGAAATGCTCCTTCTTCTATTTTTTGGAAGAATTTAAGATGAATTGGTATTTATTCTTTTTTACATGTTTGACAGAATTCACCAGTGAAACATCTGATACTGGGCTTTTGTTGTTGTTGAGGAGGAGTTTTGATTACCGGTCTATTCTCCGTACTTGTTGTAGGTCTGTTAAGAATTTCTTCTTCTTCTTGAATCACATTAGGTAATTTGTGTGTGGCTAAAACTTTGTCCATTTCATCTAGGTTATCTAATTTTGAGGTGTACAGTCCATTTCACCTAGGCTGTCTAATTTTGGGGTGTTCACAGTATTTCTTTACATTTCTTTCTGTCGTTAGAGACAAGTATAATTAATAAATATAAAATATGGTATTCTCCTGTTTCCACAATGATCAAGAACAAATTCTTCAATTTTATGTTTTTATTATGTCCTCTCTCCCGAACTTCACTCCTATCATTTTCCTTTCTTGGGAATCTTGGTGAAGGAGTTTTGCAAACAACATTAAATTTCAGAATCTGATTTTGGAAATTGTTGACAAGATTCTGGCTAGTTTCAGACATTTGAAAGCTTTGTTCTGAGTGAAATAATTTACGAATCCTCATCTTTTACACTAGTTCATTGGTATTTAAAACCAATAGGATTAAGTGATGCCCCTTTGTTGGTGGCCAAAGATGAAATCTGGAATTAAAGATATTTTTACCTTTCCTCCACCATTCAGGGACCAATGAAAATTATAGATAATCTGGGATAAATCTCTCATAACGTTACTATTTGATTATGTATTACAAGCTTCCCCTGCTTTTCTCTCTCTCTGTCTCTCTGACACACACACACACACACACATTCTTTCCTAACCAGCAATCAGTGTCTTAACACAATAAAAACTGTTCTTCTTTTCACGGTCTTTAGTTCTAATGCAGAAAGATTTAACACTATGTATAGAGAGTATTTCTTTCTCGAAAAAAATGTGGCAGCATTTTTTATGATGTTGATATAGTTACCTATTTTAGAAATGTTAAGACCAGTCTTGATATAGATTTGAAATAGTAGTTAAATAATACACTAAACATATATATCCATGAATGTATTTCCTCAGGAATGTTAATAATAGAACATTTACCCTGGAACATTGGATAGATAACTCTGCGATAAAGATCATTAGACATTCGGCTGCAATGATCTTTGCCTACCTAGAGAATTTGTTCAAATGCTTATGTATGCATCTGTAGAAGATCCTGCAATGTTGCTAAACTGTTCAAACCCAAGGTGACCAGTACATTTTCCACTAAGTGAAAAATACTGAACTGGATGATGACTCAGATTTTCTCTCAATCTTAAGTCTCTATCATTTAAAATAAGTCTGGGCGTCTAGGGTTATGAGATCAAATTGTGTTTCTTTGTCACTGGAAATCCCCACTTCAAACCTTAAGAACAAGCCATTCAAAAGCTTGCACTGAGGCAACACACTTAATAGGAAAGCATGACTTTATTTTGGCATGATTCATCTTCAAATCAGGTCAGTGATTTAGATTTGAATGAGTGGATTGTTCATGGGCACCGGATCAAATTAGACTTTCATTTATTTTAAGAAATTCATTAGACCAATTATGACAACCACAGAGGGATGTCTTATGACTGAGAAGTGAAAATTATAAGAACAATAATATCCATTGTTAAGTGTGAGATGAAAATTTCTGTGTAGCTTGCTCATTAACATCTGCTTCCTTTTACAGAAATGATTTTTATGTAATGTAAATGGCAGGTAAAAAACACTGAACCAAAACATAATTACCGAGTTTATAACATTCTGGTAAATGCAAATCGTTTATAAAATAAAATCAGGTCAGAAAATTTAAAGGAAACTGAAAATACCAAATTTATTTTTTAGCATTATGTTATATATTGTGGAAATACACTAATTAGGTTTCAAATAAATAGAAACAAGAATCAAATTATTATATAGTTGGCGTTTTTATAGCCACACACTTACATTTTAGATAAAAATACTTACTAAACACTTTATGAAAAAGTGATTGGGATTTGGAGTCTGACTCATTTATATCTGACTCCATTACTGTTTTTCTTTGGGCAGCTTCCATAGATTATGGTCATCTTAATTTAATCATTGGTGAAACAGAGGCAATTGTGCTTATTTTTTTAACAATTCAATTAAAAATGATATGTGTGAAGTGTGAAGTATTTTGCATACTATGTATTCTCTTTAAACTTTAGTTAATTTAATATCATATAACATAATTAGGCACAATTTTAGAGAAAAATAATTGACATTCTTTTTTTTTTTGGCAAACCTTTCGAAATACAGCAATGCAAAGGTACACTACTCACAAAACAACTTTTCATTTGTTGTGGTTCACCATTCCCTTGTAACTTAACTCTCTCCCTCCATGAAAAGCAAAGAATACAAAAGGATTTTAACAAACAATATTAGTATTAGCTTCCTTAGAGTTTATATTTTGTTATGACTGAAATGTTCCATTCCAGCAGAAATATTTAATCATTTTTTTTCAGACTGAAAAACAACCTACTAACAAATCTGCAGCCCTCTCAGGAGTGTTATATAGTTTCAGAAATTTTTTTTAAATTTGGTTTAGCAATTCATGTTTTTTCATGCTTATCACATCCAAGCTACTGAGACAACTAGAAAAAGAAACTTTTGAGTGGCCTCATTATTTTCCCTTAGCTAGTATGTCAGATTATGGAAATGGCTTGATACTTGGCTGGAATTAAACTATCTAATAAAAAATATACATTACTATACATATTTCTCAATTCTGGTGATGTTAGTGAAAATGTTTGTACAAACAGCTCTTGTAGTACAATTATATTGTATATAGTTGAGTTGAATAATCTCATAATCTGATTACTAGGTTTATAAATCTGATTACTATGTTTTGTTTTATCATGAAGAAGAAAAACTAAACAGCCAATAACTATATAAGTTCAAGTTACCGAATGAGGTAGCACTGGTTTCTCACAAATACTATTCTGTGATTGAGTGCATATCATTCTGTCAAGACTACATTTATAAAATCATCAAAATTTATATAAATATTTTATTAATATTAATCTAAAGGAGGCTTCACAATTAAAGAACAATATGATCTCAATCACAGGTTCAAAGGGATTGAACTGCCATCAGCTTAAATTTTTCTGAAACTAAATAAAATTAGAGCTTTGTTGAGGATGATAGTGATTGATGATGATCATGATAGAATTGTTAGATGGGCCACATATAAAAAGAAAAAAAAATTAAACAGAGACTATTTGTGCTCCTTTTACAACTGTAGACAACTGTTCAACTTCCTTTTCCTTAATGTGCTGTTTATGAGTGAGTCAATAACAGCCATCACTGACTTCTGAGTCCTTTACAACTAACAAAGAAGCTGTGGTTTTCATTGATCCTACCCTTGGGTAAGCCTGTGAAATTGGAAAGTTGTTTAAAAAAATTCAGTAACACCAAAAACTGCATAAGTAGCCAAGGCTATAATCAGAAATCACATTTGCATGCAGGTTTCTCTACTGGATTAACTTGTCAAGGCTGTACTAAAAACCAACCTACACACTCATGGATCTTTTCATAGGAACTGAATAGTATCTTTAAACAAACTAGACTCAGCATCCCTGTTGTACCTTAGAACTTTGTCTAATTACTTGTAGCAAAAGAAGACAAGGTGGGACAGACCAGAGGATCAAGACCCTACACTCGGCTGGGCACTGTGGCTCATGCCTGTGATCTCAGTGCTTTGGAAGGCTAAGGTGGGTTGGATGGCTTGAGGCTGGGAGTTCATGACCAGCCTAGGCAAAATGGGGTAAACTTCTCTACAAAACAGTTCAAAAGTTAGCCAGGCCTGATGGTGTGTACCTGTAGTCCCAGCTACTTGGGAGGCTGTTGGGATGATTAGTTTGGGACTAGGAGGTCAAGGCTGCAGTGAGCCATTATCATGCCACTGTGTTCCAGCATGGGCAAGGAAGTGAAACTCTGTCTCAAAAAAAAAAAAAAAAAAAAAGACCCTACACCCTGTAGAACAGAAAACATTGCAGAGACACCACTACTTCAGATAAACAGTTGGAAACTCTAAGACAGAGTAGAGAGTACTCTAGGAAGAAAAAAAAGGATATTAGCCAAGAATACAAGGCCACAGAGAGACTATGAGTCTCTTCGTAAATGTTATAAGACAGACCAATTGAGAAAGGAAAGTTGTCCCTCCTCATTATAGGACAGGGGTGCTCAGCACTTTGCAAAAATAGGACCTCAAACATAAGGCTTACAATATAATTCAAGGGCAAATTTAAAAATTGATATGCTGCCTTCTATGCCATTGCTGATGATAGAGGATTTCATATTTGCTATAATTTAGACAAGGGGTCAGCAAATTTTTTCTATAAAGAGCCAGAGAGTAAATATTTTAGATTTTGTGAGCCATATTGTCTCTGCCACCATAGACAGTTTGTAAATGAATGGACTTGGCTGAGTTCTGATAACATTTTAGTTACAAAAACTGGAGAATGGACCAGGTTTTGGCAGTGGGCTATCCTTTGCAGACTCCTGATTTAGGTGCTAGAACATAAATTTTACTAGTCATATGATGACTTAGATCAATATTAGTTAGACTGATGTGGTCAGCATAATTCTGTGCTCGATTTTAGATCCAGTGGAAGTAAGTGCCAGGATTGGGGGCTACCACACCCTCTTTCTTCTCTGGCCTCATCTCCTACTGCCTAACCTCTTGGTTGCTCCATTCATTCACACTGGTTGTACTGTTTTTCAAAGATCCAGGCAAGATATGATTTCTTTAATAGATCTTGGTGTTACTTCTGTCCAAAACAGTCTCCTCTGAGATATCCTCCCTTAAATATTTGTTTAAATGTCCTTATATTTGTAAGGGATGCATCAGAAAACAGATTTCATCCCAGACATTCAAATGGATATAATTTAATCCATAAGATTAGAGAAAGATGTAAAAAGTGGCACAAGAGCAGGAAGCAAGGCTTAGAGGTAGAGTCACAGTACTCTGGGATGAGAGACCAAGGGGAGAGTCACAGTAGTTGAGTGCAGATTAAGAGCGGAATAGACAGTGGTGAAGGGGTAGAAAGGTGTGAGATATCTTTCTTCACACATCATAGGTCATGGCTGTCACTCCTGTAACAAAAGACAGAGATTAACAAGAGAAAAGGATAGCAATTTATTTAATCAATTTTTTACATGACACAGGAGCCTTCAGAAATGAAGACCCAATGACCCAGGGGGAACTGTCTATTTTGATGCTTAGGCTCCTGAAGAATGGGTATCCACGTAGAATGTTGACTGGACAAAAGTGTATAATCCGTTGGTAACAGACTGAAGGGGGAAACACAATAATGCCTTTCTATTCAAATATTTATTAGCCTCTTTGTGTAGGGTTTCTTCCTCCTAGGTATGGGCAGGACCTTCCTAGAATAAGTGTCTTCAAGGGAGAAGGGAAAAAAGTTAGAACGAGCCTTCTAGGTTTTATGGCTTGCTTTGGAGAAGAATTTTTGTTTCCATGATGTGCCTTGGGAAAGAAGAATTTTACTTTCTATGATCCACCTTGGAGAAGAGGAATTCTGAGTTCCATGACTGACTTCAGCAAAGAAAGAGAAGAAGGAAACAGGAGAATAAGAAGTCAGAAAGACCTTGCTTCTGAGGTCCTTCCAATCTCCTGTAGTTCAAAGTACTCAGCACACCAGGTACCAAATTTTAGGGTATTGTGTTCAGAGCCCTAACACTGACCTCGATTTGGGAAAAAGTAGTGTAGATGAACACGTGGAATCAGGTGGAAAGAAGATGTATTGTTATCTTACATCAATGCCCATCAGAGAACACCTACTGAAGAGCAGACACTAAACAACAAAGTGGATGGGATGTCTTTTATCCAGCAAATGCCAGCTAGTATCTCTCCTTAGCTGCTCATAGTGGAGGCGCTCATAGTGGATGTAGCCAAGGTGGCTGCTGGCAACCCAACAGCATAGGCTCCCTCTCATCCAGGTTTCTATTGTGGCTGCAGAATATCCATCCTGTCATCATCAGAAACCATGACCTCAACAGGACACTGTTCTATGGGGAGGCCAACCAGCCACTTGGTTGCAAGTTGAGCATTTAGGATCATTCCAAAAAGGGGAGCAGTTGGTTTTGAGTAAGGCTCATGTAAAATTTGCTTTTCTTGCTAACAATGGCTAGGACCACACTACTACTTAAGGATAGTATTGTTCACAGATATATTGACATGGGACCCTGTATTATATACTCACAGGCAAAGAAACCTGTTTTATGGTGAAAGAGGTGTGTTAATGGACACAAGACGATTGCATACTAAACCCCATATCACCCAAAGAGGTGAGGCCTGAGAAAATTTAAAGTGAAGCTAAGCATAAACTTGGAAATAATATGCATGGGATTGTAGTGTTGTCCTTTGAGATGCAGAATGTGTGTTGACCTGACGGTCATTTAACCATTAAGATAGACTGTATGAGTCCAAGAACCAAAGAGTAAAAAGTGGAGTGACCTTATTTTCATGACTCTGAGAAGCCCAGTGCTTAAGCTTCCATGAGCCAGCCAGGGACTAGTCCGGAAAATAGATATTTCTTGGGAATGTGGAAGGTTTGAGCAATCTCATCTATTGGGTTAACCCTCCTTTGCACAGTTATTTAGAAATGTAGAGGTAAATACCAGGTGAACACCAAAAAAAAAAAAAAAAAAAAAAGAAAGAAAATGGAGACGCGTTTGCTTTTATGTGATAAAACTAAGGAAATGGAAAGGGTTCAGCACAGTACTCCTTGTGTAGGTAATAATTCTTATAAATGACAAAGCCAGAAGGCATTAAGTTTTAACCATACATATATGCAGTTATGTGTTTCTCTAATATACATACTCTACATTATTTTCTCTTGCATATTGTTGATGTAAATTAACATCTTCTTTAAAATGCTCTTCTTTCTTACCATAATTAAATTTAAAAGAGAAAAAACAGTTCCCATGCCAAATTATTTTAATATGTTTACCACACTAGCAATTTTCTAGATGTTTTCTCATTGCTTTCTTCATTCTGCTTCCATTTATGCACAATATATTATTTTTATGGAAGGCCAAAACCATACTTCAGCACTTTAGCATGTGTCAAAACTTTTCCGAATATTTTTAAACAAGTAATCAATGTGTGCTATTTAATTAATCTTCATTAAATATTGGTGTCCTATGCTTTTTAAGCAAAATTGCTTAGATATTTGATATTATCAACACTAAGTTACAAAAACCTTTTTAGAAAATAAGTATGTTGTTAGAAAGTGTGTCAATAGAAAAAAATTCCATTCGAAGTCTTTCTTTTGGCTAAATGCAACCTATAATCTAAGACTCTGCCACACTACTTGTCAGAATGTCAAACATTTGCAACTGAAAAGACACTAGTTATGTAGAAAAATAAAAGTAATGAAAATGTAGCTATGTAAATCATACTGTCAGAAAAAGTCTTTTGTTGTTTTTTTACTAGCATATCATTTTTTTTGCCAGCAAATTTTATTTAGCATTAGATAATAAAATATTCATTTGCCACAAAGGAAAGCAGTGCTTTTGATCTCTTCACAGTGAAAAGTTTCTATTCTGTAATGGAGTAAAGCTCTAACTAGATTCCACAAAAGTATTATGAAAGTTTGTTCATGTCCATTTTAAATTAAAAAAAGAAATAGAGAACAGCTATTGTGGCTTGATGACATATTTTTAAATTTTTTTTTATAATTAGCAATTATTATTTTACAGTCTTTTTCTCGTTTTGTAACATTTATTCAGCCTTCTCTAAGAATAAAAAGACTAAAAGAAACGGGCCTTCATCATTTTAATATTTATATTCAAATGTGAAAAAATAAGGCTGAAACTTTTGATGATAACACACAATATTTTAATTCTGCTGCTATGCATTATGGTACAGGTCAAAATAGATTTCTAGAGCCAAATATTTATTGCAGAAAATAGTTTTGTCCTAATTCCAAGGACAGAAGTTCTAATGATATACAGACTCATCTAATTGCTATAAAATGCTAAAACTTACACACATTGAAAAAAACAGGTAGGTTTCTTAAGAGAACAGGATTGCTGGCATGTTGAATAGTTTTGTATTTTTTTGTTCTTTTATTTTTATTACTTTTGAAATTAATTGTTTCTTTCTCCCAGGTATTCACCTGGTATCTAAGCTAGTGAGTGTAATAAGAATAAATACAAGCTTGAGGCAATAAACGAACTCTGGGAAACTATAAATGCTGGCACGCCTTTACTTCTTATGAAAGCCAACCACCTGAATGATTAACTAAACCACCTCAAAGCAAGAAGAGAAATATTTATTGGAATTTCAGATGTAAAATGTTATCACAGAAACAGCAAATGCAATCCCCGTTTAGTTCAATGTACCATATCTTAATTCCAAAAGGTTTCCTTCATGGAAAGAAAAAAATAACCACTTCAGATATGTTACAGAAATTAAATCTCCAGTAACCAGTGACTTCATAATGCCAAAGTTTGTGAAGAGTGAAATTATTTTCTTCTGTTAGTGTATGTTTTAATAAATAAATGATTTTTCTTTTCATTTGGCAAGGCAGGTGAAAGAAGCATAAAATGCAACTTAGGAAAATAGAGCCAAATGAAATTTACATAAATGAACAAAAAAGCCTCCACTGTTGACCAATATTTGTGAAATAGTTTAGTATAATGTCATTCTGTTCTTGTTTCATGAGTCTCTCGGAAGAAGAAAATTATCTCACTTTATTTCCAGGAAGAAAATATTCATTTTTATTTCAGGACATTGGATTATTACAAAATGTAGGCAAGCAAACAAGTATTTTCTGGTATTATTGAGTTGGCTTTGGGGTCATGAAAACGACTGATGCAAATTAATATCACTAGAAATCATTATAAAAAGCAACTTGACCATGTCACTGTGCATAGTAGTGTTGCAGCAAAATAAATATAGCTTTGCTTAACTCTTACAGATTTTTTGTATCTTTTGACAAATAACTACAGCAGGAAACAAGGAAGGAATTCTTTTCTTTTCTTTTTTTTTTTTTTTTTTTTTTTTTGAGACGGAGTCTCGCTCTGTCGCCCAGTCTGGAGTGCAGTGGCGCCATCTTGGCTCACTGCAAGCTCCGCGTCCGGTGTTCACGCCATTCTCCTGCCTCTGCCTCTGGAGTAGCTGGGACTACAGGCACCCGCCACCACGCCTGGCTAATTTTTTGGAGTTTTAGTAGAGACGGGGTTTCACCGTGTTAGCCAGGATGGTCTCTATCTCCTGTCTGGATCTCCTGACCTCACGATCCGCCCGCCTCAGCCTCTGAAAGTGCTGGGATTACAGGCGTGAGCCACCGTGCCTGGCCAGGAAGGAATTCTAAAATAACATTTACTCTTTCTTATTTTACAACATCATGACAGGTGACAACGTGCTAGCAGCCCTCGCTCGCTCTCCGCGCCTCCTCGTTCTCCATGTCTGCTCTGGCCGCGCTCCAGGAGCCCTTCAGCCCCCCGCTGCGCTGTGAGGGCCCTTCTCTGGGGCTGGCTGAGGCCTGAGCCGGCTCCCTCTGCTCTCCGGGAAGTGTGAAGAGAGAGGCGCGGGCAGGAGCTGGGGCTGCGCGCAGCGCTGGCCGGCCGGCGTGGGGTCCGGGTGGGCGCGATCTCGACACCTGCTGGGCTTGATCGGAGGCTGGGTCCCGTGCGTGGACCGCCCTTCCCTCTTAGTGGGGTCTTTGGCCACGCTGGCGGCTCTCCGTCTCTTTCTCGCTTCCCCTCTTTTCCTCTTGATTGTCTGGGAGGAGCTTCCTCTAGGCTGCGGGAGTGCCCGGGCTAGGTGCGGCGAAGTCCTGCAGCCAGTGCCAGTGAGAGGTGAAGCCAGCTGGGCTTCTGGGCCGGGTAGGGACTTGGAGAACTTTTCCATCTAGCTAAAAGATTGTAAACGCACCAATTAGCACTCTGTGTCTAGCTAAAGGTTTGTAAACAGACCAATCAGCACTCTGTCAAAATGGACCAATCAGCTCTCTGTAAAATGGACCAATTAGCTCTCTGCAAAATGGACCAATAAGCAGGACGTGGGTGGGACCAGATAAGGGAATAAAAGCAGGGCACCGGAGCCAGCAGCGGTAACCCTCTCAGGTACCTTTCTAGGTTGTGGTGGCTTTGTTCTTTTGCTCTTTGCAATAAATCTTAATGTTGCTCGCTCTTTGGGTCTGTGCCGCCTTTATGAGCTGTAACCCTCACAATGAAGGTCTACAGCTTCACTCCTGAAGCCAGCGAGACCATGAACCCACGGGGAGGGTCGAACAACTCTGGATGGGAGGAATGAATAACTGTGGACACCACCTTTATGAACTGTAACATTCCCCTGGAAGGTCTGCAGTTTCAGTCCTGAGGCCAGCGGGACCAGGAACTCACCGGAAGGAACGAACAACTCCAGATGTGCCACCTTTAAGAGCTGTAACACTCACCGTTAAGGCCTGCAGCTTCACTCCTGAAGTCAGCGAGACCATGAGCCCACCAGAAAGAAGAAACCCAGGACACATCTGAAAATATGAAGGAACAGACTCCAGACACACTATCTTTAAGAACTGTAACACTCACTGCGAAGGTCCGCGGCATCATTCTTGAATTCAGCGAGACCAAGAACCCACCAATTCTGGACACAATCACAAAATTAAACCTCCTCAAATAGAGATTGACAGTAAATGTAATCTGTATTTCTGTTCATGCCATCATTGGTAGTGAATTATTTAAATATATAAAACATTGTCGAATAACTCGTAACAGGACAATTACCTATCTAATTTTTGCTCATTATAAAATGAAATGTAATCTCCGTCTAATAATTTAAATTGTTTTTACAAGCTGGTCTAACAGGAATGTTTCTTATTCTTCCATATGTTCTTAACAGACTTACTTTGTTTTTACTCTTTGTCATCTTTATAAAATCACAAATCTCTACATTATGTATTTATGCGAAACATACACTTCTCTTGGATTGTCAAAACGAACTTTCTCCCATAAAAAACATTGTAATATTTAGCTTTAATAGCCTCTCCCCAGAGTGAAAGAAAACCTTATTTATTTCTTACTATAAAAGCAAGAATGTGTCTATGCCTAATTTCTTTAATAACTGGGACCAGTTCTCACTGTCTTTATATGAACCGAGGTCAAGGGTTCATGAGGTTTAATAGCACATAACATTCTCTCCTAGGGAATAAAACTGTGAAAAGGTATCCTGAGTGGAAAATCCACTTTACGATTACTTTCAAGGTAGTTTTGATAGTATATTATCCTTTTCCCATCAATCAGGGATAATATAGATGTTTATATTGATTTTATTTACACTGAATTACTCTCAAATTCTACTTCATAAAAGAATGTCATAATTCATTTTGTTTTGCTTTTGAAAGCTCACATGTACATTCCAAAGCATACCTCTTATCCAAGGCAGCCACTGAAAGACTTGGGGAATCAAGTAATAAAAGGGAAATAATATTTAAATTATTTGTTAATTGAGCATTAGGTTTCTCTCAAACTTTCTCATAATGGTATATGAATTAACTCAAATTAAATATTTCAAACTTGTAGTAGTTACCAATAGTCTAAAAACCAGTCTTCTGATCATCTTGATCAGCTAAGAAAATTGAAAGAGACAAAAAAAATTATATATATTATATAGATAGATAGATAGAGCTAGAGTGAGTGAACTAACAATTGTATTTTGCTGCATTAGCAAAATATATATTGCCCAGGATGCTACTACTCCATGAGGGTAATTAATTATCTACTTTATATTTTGACTAGGAAGAGTTTCCGAAATTTTTGCTTGCTATTTCCAAATATCTATTTTAGACAGAGTTCTCCAGAGAAACAGAATCTATAACTATATAAAAATATATAGAAAGATAATTATTATGAGGGATTGGGTCATGTGATTTTGGAGGCTGAGAAATCCCATCAACTGCTGTTTGCAAGCCAGAGGCCCAGGAAGGCAAGTAGTGTAGTGCCAGTCCAAACCTCACGGTCTGAGAACCAGGGGAATCAATGGCAGAAATTCCATTTTGAGTCCAAAGTCCAGAGAACCAAATAACTGATGTCCAAAGAAAGAAAAAGATGATGTCCCAACTCAAGCAGAGACAGCCAGTTCTCCCTTCCTCTGCCTTTTTGTTCTGTTTGGGTCCTCAATGCATTGGATGAGCTCCACCCACATTGGTGAGAGCAATCTTTACTCAGTCTATCAAAATGACACCTTCACAGACGCAGCCAGAAATAATGTTTTACCCGCTATTTGGGCATCTCTTAGCCCAGCCAAGCTGACCTTAGAAAAATTAACCACCACATTTTCTATGCATGTGCACACTTCAAAGTCTCCAAGTCCTGGAGGAATGAGTTGTCTTTTCTGTAATCACGTCAGATTAATTCAATAGGGAATCTCTCTTTTACTACTAATATGTTTAGTTTGAAGCCCTGGTTAACCTCCACACAATTTTAGGAGTAGAATTAACAAATAATACAGTGAGGATGCAGAAATGGCCAGAGAGAAGTTGTTTGATGGAGTTCTAGATCCACCTTTTCCACAACCACCCCAATTATGGGCTTAGTACTTAAAGAAGATTGCAAATAGGGGAAAAACATTTTCGTCTATTCTTCCCAAAGGCTTTTGAGTATGAGAATTGGTGGATTTAAATAGCACATTAATAGCCATACATCTCTCCCACCAATCCACACTTCCTCCACCACCACTTCTCATATGGGATTCCTTTCACTGACCTATATCTAGATTCTTTCTGCCTATGTGGCTCTCAGGAAGCTTCAGGATTTTTAACAGTTTATGTATCAGGACATTGTGCTGGGCTGCTCTTGGCGATCTTTCAAGTTAGACAAACTCCAAACAAAATTTTATAAATCTTATTTTTCAATGATTTCAGACTCCTCGTTTTGAAGTGGTAACTTTACAATAATATTTATGTTATTATAATATATATCACACATAATACATAATAACATTTAACAAAATAATTGTTGCCATTTATTGAATCTATATGTATAGGAGTAGGTATGGTGTGTGTATAAACATGTAAGTATATATTAATATATACCAGGTACTATTAAACATAGTATAGGCATGCTTTTATTAATACTCAGAGCGGCCGGGCGTGGTGGCTCATGCCTGTAATCCTAGCACTTTGGGAGGCTGAGGCAGGCGGATCACGAGGTCAGGAGATCGAGACCATCCTGGCTAACACGGTGAAACCCCATCTCTACTAAATATACAAAAAATTAGCCAGGCGTGGTGGCAGATGCCTGTAGTCCCAGCTACTTGGGAGGCTGAGGCAGGAGAATGGTGTGAACCCGGGAGGTGGAGCTTGCAGTGAGCCAAGACCGTGCCACTGCACTCCAGCCTGGGCAACAGAGTGAGACTCCGTCTCAAAAAAAAAAAAAAAAATACTCAGAGCAACTTTGTAAAGAAACTATTGTCCAGAGGCAGTAAGTCAATCATGAGAAATGAAAGTTCACAGCTGTGGTAGAGATGTACGTGGCCCGGTCCTTCTGAAGAACTTCTTTCTCCAGCTACTGGGAGTGCTGCCAGCATAAAACTCTCAGCTGTCAGCTTTCTCCAGAAATTGTCCTCAGCTGAAGAGTGCAATCTTGTCAAAGAGCACTCCCTTTCTTAGGGCCGGACCTCATATGGTGAGTGGGATGATACAGTGGTATCATGGCTCAGAAATTCTTGTTCCAAATGGAACAACTCCAAAGTGTCATTCCAGCTTCCAAGGTCCCTGTGGGGTTTGCTGAGGCTTTTGTTCTTCCCCTGGCCAATCTTGATTTTTTTTTACCCCCTAAGGTGTAGATCCAGAAAGTGTTCCCCAATTAACTTCTGGCAAGCTCATCTGTGACTTCAGAGTCAGCTTCTTGTAAAACCCAACCTTCAACGGTGACCATCTAATCTATTGTCAAATCCGAGATTTTTTTTTTTTTTGTAAGTGAAAGAGTGTGCTAATTGGATGCAATGCAGGTGCAATAGGCACAGACTACAATAGTCCCAGGTGAATTGAGATTTTGTGGTCACTCCAGGTTTCAGGTAATAGAAACATGGGTTCAATACCACCTTACTAGTTGTGGAATGTTGGGCTGATTATTAACCTTGCTAAGTCTCACTCTTCTCATTTGTAAATGCAAGATAATAATACCAGCTCTACTGGAGAATTGGAATATTGGGAAGATAATATGTATAAAACGTTGATATATTGCCCAGGACTTAAATGGGAGATGTTATCATTATACTCAATTTATAGATGATATGAAGCTCAGAGAGATTAAGTAAGCCCAAAGTTCACACATCTCATTACATGGAGCAGTCAAAACTCAAACTCAGTTTTCTAATTCTAAAAACCATCTTGATAATCTATCAATTTGTTACACTATTTTTCTGGTCATTTTAAGAATTTATTATTTGAAACTCAAAACACTACTCCTTAACTATCTGATGTATTGAGTACTCTTTTGATTATAATTGACAAAAACACACACATTCAGACAAGCTTAATCAACAAAGAAATTTATTCACTCATGTAGTAGAAAACCTCAGGGGGTGCTCTGTGTACAAGCCTGGCTGCTCTCATGCCCTGCAATGGTAATGTAAGAATTTTGCCTCTCTCATTCCATATTTGTTCTATTATTTTCCTTGTTAACTTTGTTTTCAGTCTGACTTTTCTACACATTTGGAAAGATGGCTGTTAGCAGCTCCAGGCCAATATAGCATGCAATTCCAGATCTGAGAAAAGCAAAATTCTGTCTTTTCCACCATTCATACTAATCCCTTAAAAGAGTTTTTGGGTCCTACCTGGGACATGTACCTTTCTGAGGTACACTTTGACCTCTCTTCTTAAACCTCCAAATTTTTCTGCCCTTCCTCTCTCAGCTAATATTCTTGTTTTTCATTTTACAGGGAAAATGAAAGCAGCCAAAAGAGAATTTCCTGATGCTCCCACCATCAAATCCACCAGCATACCTGCATCTGAAATCACATTCTTTGCTTTCCTTCCTTTGAGAGTGGCTGGTCTGTCAGTATTTCTAGCAAAGACCACACCACATCCTATCCTCTTACCAGAGAGCATTTTCCTGAAAATGACCATTTCTGCATTCCCCCTTATGTTTTCCCCTATACTGAATCATTCCGATTATCATTTGTTTCAAATGAAGAATTATAATTCAAGTATTTCTTTTAGTGCAATGAGTGAGAGATAAAGGTTACATTTAACATTAAGATTGGTTCAGGACATAAAAGTTCTTTTTGCACCGTGTTGGAAACTATTGAAGTACTATCTTCACAGCGTAACTCTCCATACATGCACTTCATTGCTCCTCAATTTTTCTGCCTTTCTCCAACACAATACCTGGTACTGCCCTACTTTCTATTCTCTTGTATCCTTATTTTTTTCCTAATTGAGAGAGAACAGTGATGATAATTAAACAATTGAGTGAAAACCAATTCCTGCGATAGTGCTAGATGCTTAATAGGTAACATCTTCTGCTCGAGTTACTGAGACTTCACCTACTTTGAAGCTACTGATCTCAAAGAAGCTTAAGGAATAATTATGGAGGAGATAATTTTAGGTAAATTTGAATTTATAAGGAAATGTTGTCCAGGAAAATTATAGGGTCCATTTTTTACCAGGCTTGAGACATATTTGGTACAGAGAGTATTAGGGAGTGGTTAGTCAGAATGGCTGCTTTGGAAAATGAATTTAACTGTAAGAAGTCTGTTGAGTACATATAACAGTGGAATTAAATGGTGGTGGAGGTGAAAGATCAGTTCATATGATACATTTTGACTTCAAATTTCTCGTCTCTGAGGATTAAGAAGGTACCAGTGAAGAAAGGTTTGATTTTCAAAGAGAAGCAGCCAATGTCCCATGACACCATTAATAAAAAAAAATAGATAACACTTTAGAGTTTGCAAAGTTCATTTATTTTGATTATCTAATTCAAAAGTGACACAATCTTATGAGGTAGCAATTGCTATACTTTAATAAGGAATGGAAACTAAGAGAAATTAAGTGAGATTTACCTTGGATTTCCAAGGTAATCCCATAAGCGAGTCAAACCCAGGCTATAGGCAAAGAAATTGGCCACTCAGTTCTACAATATGTATGTTCACCATTGTAGAGTGCTGCTGTCTTTTGAAAAATGGCCCTGAGTGAAACATGCTGTCCAGTATTCACATTTTGTATAGTTTTTAACCAAAATAAATGAGGGCTTGCCCTATGTAAACAATAGAATGTGGCGTTTTTCTTTTTCTCTAGGAATGTGTAGTCTGTAGGAAGCCAACTTTCTGAACATGAAGTTCAAGCACTCTGAGGACTCTAAGTTTGAGGAAGCCCAAGCTAGCCATATGGAGAGTCCACAAAAAGAAAAAGAGCTATAGTGTCTGCTCTTTTAGCAATCCCACCTGAGGTGTCAGACATGTGAATGAAGATACTTTCTTGGTTGTCCAGTCTAGTTGAACTTTCAGATGACTCTAGATTCTGCTACCATCTGACCGACACTCCAGGAGATATCTCAAGTGAGAAATAACCAGTTGAGCTCAGTCAACACACATTACCATAAATAATTATTTTGGATTCCAAGTTTGGGGGTGACTTTTTGTGTAGCATTAGATAAACAAAACCCTGCTTATCTCCAAAGTTGGGGAAGGGGAGAAACAAAAGAATCACATAAGGTAAATAAGGGGCATTGCTTTGCAAACTTTGAAAAATACTATATACAATGCATGGATGTAGTGAAATACATAGAGACTCAGAAGTCATAAGCCCTGAGTTTGAAACCTCCTCTTGATATTTTCTCACTCTGTGACTCTTGGATAAATCACACTCAATTTCTCCTAGTCTAAATGTGATTATCAATAAAATTATGATAATAAGGCCTTGCTCTGTTTAGAGTCTTAGGTGAGAAAATGCGGACTGTAAATGATTTTGTGAATTTTATAAAATTATGCAGATATATTTCATATTGCTATTATTATAATTAAAAATACAGAGTCAGGATAATTTCATCCTGTGCACAAGAGGCAGATTATGTTTGAATTAATCAAATAGAATTTGAGCACAGGAGTCATTCACCCCTTCATTCAACATGCTATTTAGCACTGAGTATACATCAGAAACTGTGCTCAAATCTTGGTATCTGACACTGAAAAAAACAGATAAAAAAACTGACTACGTGGAGCTTACACTCTAACACTTACCAAATAAATGATGTCCATTTAGTTGGCTTCTATTAACATTATAGGAATCAAATTATGCTCTGATTATTCTCAGTCATCATAGTGCTGGTGGTGGCAAAGTGACAAATTTTGTGGAGATAGTGGCAGAGAATTTTTATTTTGAAACAGTAATAGAATAATTAATTGTTAATTCTTGTGAGAATGACGGAAAATTCTATCACACTGTTTGGCAAAGGGAGAAGGGGAAAGTCAGCATCACATTGTTCTTGGAAAATAACAATTTCCTAGGTTTCTCTAGTTTAAAAATAGTGAAATATGAAATTTGATGTTTCTTGCGGAAATGTAGTAAAACAGACACTCATCTGAAAAGGTTACTTCCCTCCTAGTGTAAGCATTTGAGGACTCAAACATGGATCAGTTTTCCATGAAAATAATTTGCTTTAAATTATTCCAAGTGCCTGAAAGGGAAAACTATATTATTACATAGGCCTATCACGTAGAAAAATACAAAATCCACAAAGTGGACATCTGAGTACTGCCTTTCTAGGTTTACAGCTTGAAATGTCAGAAATAATAGCATTTGAAAAGATACGAATTTAGAATGGTGTGATGTAGCCAAAGTGAAAAGTATCACTTACATGCTTACCAACAACCTGCAGGTTTGAGATAAAAAGGAATCCTGTTTCAATTCCATGAGAGATGGTGTGTCTACTATACATCATGTAAATGAATTTCTAAAAACTTATATGCTTAGAAGTTATTTCATGATTGCTAACCCTCAGAAAGAAGATGACCACAGGAGTCAGATAATTCTAAAACATAAGGGAGTTGAGGGAAAAGACATTTGTTGAATGAAATGGGTAAGGAAAGGAAATGGATCCAATTGTTTACAGCTACATTGTGTTATTTAGGAAGGAACCACTACCTTCTGAATATTGAAAAGCATTTCTGAAAAGGTCAAGTTTAAGGCTGAATCTTGATCTTAGCAAGTGCTCATGAAAATATTTTTATTTCTAGTGATATTACATTTGACCATAATATGAAGAAGAAGAGTGATAGCAATACAAATGATGATGTGAGGGCATATGCAAATTATCTCCCCCACATAAACAATTAAAAATGTGCAAAAATAATCAGAATCAGCTCTTTTAAAACTCTTAAATAATTTATTTAATAAACAAAGAACCAAAAGAGAAAGAAAGGTTAAATTATGGTAAGAGCTGTAAGCTTTGTGGTATTTTAGGCTGCTTATTCTCATCACCCTCTCTCAAGTTACACAGTCACCTTGAAAATAAATATCTCTCAATCGCTGACTACTAGCAATCTGGCAGCCTTCAGCTTAGTTCCCTGAGAATTATTGTTTGACCTGGAACATGGCTTACTGCAAGATACCACTTATAAAACTGTCTTTATTTGACCTCATTTGTAACTGGCCCATGAAAGTCTTTTTAACTAGCATACTTATTGAAAACATTGAAAGGCAACTTTTTTAAATCATGGTAGACTAAAGTGGTAGATAACAGTTAGGGCAAATAATATGGTAGCTGGAAAACTTAAAAAGCTAGGAAATATAAATAGGAGTTTTGAAGACTTCTGACATATTACTGGCACTATAAAAGGTCACTCACACACGTATGATTGTGCACATTCTAAGCACAATGCTTATTCTCAAGAAAAATATGAGAAGGCCCTAAGCTTTCACCTCCAGATGACCATGAAGCTATGGGAAAGCAGAATGTGAAGACTAAGGCAGAGTTGTCAACCAACCGGCTGGGTGTTAAAAGTGTGCCCTGAAATGCACACAGAGCCACTCAGCAGAGACCGGAAGAGTTACGGGTTCCAGGTCTTTAATGAAATTTCTGTCTATTCTTTCACTGACTACTAAGTTAAGCAAACAGAGACTTCAGTGTTCAAACATGATGACAAACAAAAACTTTAGACAATTAGTTCAGAAAAGTCACTAAAGAAACAAATGACAAAAACAAATAGCAAAATCAACAAAATTTGAAGGGAGTAAAATATAATTTTCAGAGTTGTCACATTTTTATTATTTAAAATGTTCAGTTTTCAACAAAAATTTATAAGGCATACAAAAAGTAAGACAATATGTATGGCTCACACACAGGAACAACACGCAATCAATAAAACCGTCCATGAGAAAGCTCAGGTGTTTGGCTTAGTAGACAAAGGTTTTTAAATCCACCATGATAAAAATTTGTTTAATAACTAAAATAAGCTATTTCTAAAAAGCTAAAGGAACATTTGAGAATAAATGTCTCACCAAATAAATAATACTAATAAGCAATTCTATAAATAATATATATTAATTACAGAATTAAAATGTATAATAACTGTATAAAAATGTACTAGAGTGACTTAACAGCAGATTTTAGAAAGCAGGGAAAAGAGTTAGCCAACTTAAATATAGGTCAATGAGATTATCTAATGCAAGAAACAGAAGGAAAAAGAAATAAAGACAAATGGACAGACTCAGAGATATCATCAAGCATAGCAAAATATGTATAATGGAAGTCCCAAAGGAAGAGGGAACAGAAGAGAAATGGGGCATAAAAATATGTGAAGAACAATACAAAACATACTTAAAAACTTCCAAAATTTGACAAAGAATATTAACTTGCACATCCAAAAGATCTATGACTCCCAAGTAGGATAAACTCAAGAGATTCACATTTTTAAAAAATTATAATTAAACAATCAAAAGAAAATGACAAAGAAAGAATCTGAAAACAAAAAAAGAGGAGCAACTCTTCATGTGCAAAAGAGTCTGAATAATTTTTCACTGATTTTTCATTAGAAACCATGGAAACCAGAGGCAGAGAGATGACATTTTTAAAGTTTTGAAAGTAAATGACTATCAACGAATAATTTCATAACCAACAAAACTATACTTCAAAAATGAAAAAGAAGTGAAAATATTCTCACTTATTCTCTGAAACCAAAACTGACAGAATCTCTTACTAGCAAAGTTTCCATGCAAGAAATATTAAAAGAGGTATTTCAATATGAAATAAAATTACACTTGACAATATCTAGAGTCCATATAAACAAATGCAGAACAATAGAAAAAGCAAAAATTAGAAATATATGAAAGAGAATGTAAATTTATTTTTTGTAACTATTTTCTTTTCTCCTACCTGATTCAAAAATAAACTGCATAAAGCAATGGTTATAAGTAATACAATGAATAAAGATGTAATGAATAAAGATGAATACAGTGAATTCATACATTGAATAAATATGTAATATGTATAGTAATACAACAAAGGAAGGAGAGAACAATGCTATTTAGAATCAAAATTTTTGTATGCTATTAAAATTAAGTTGATAGTAAATCTAACTAGATTTTCAAAAATTAAGATACTACTTGTAGCCCATCAGGCAACCCTAAGAAAATAACTTACAAACTATAATAAAATCAGTGATAAGGGGATTAATACAGTGCATTAAAAATATCTATTGACTAAAGAAAAGGCAATCTTAGAAAAATAGAGAAATAAAAAAGCAGAAGACATATAGAAAACAACTGGTAAACTGGCAAACATAAATTCTATATATCAGTAATTACATTAAATGTATATAGATTACAAACTCCATTTAAAATAGAGTTTGCAGATGGGTTTAGAAAAAACATAATCCAACTATCTGTTTTATTCAGCAGACACACTTTATATTCAAAGACACAAACAGTTTGAATACAAATGACTGAATAAGATAAATCATTCAAACAGTAATCAAAAGAGACCTGGTCATAATAACACACAAAACAAACTTCAAGAGATAAATTGTGATTAGTGAGAAAGAGTATTTTACAATTATAGAAAGGATTAATACATCAAGAAAACATAACAATAAGCACATATGCATCTGTCAAGATAATCCCAAAATACATGAAGGAAGAAATAAAGTAGGCAATATAAAACTTCCCTCCACCAATACGCACATAATCCCTAGAATAGATGGCTTTACTGATACATTCTACCAAATGTTTAGAAGAGTTTACACTAATTCTTCACAAACACACTCAAAAAATAGAAAAGGAGGGATTATTTTCCAACTCTTTTTATAAGACTAGTAAAACCAGACAAATACATCACAAGTAAAACAAATTAAGAATCCCTATTTTTTTTCCCAAGGTGGCAGATTAGAGGCTTTTATGATGCCTCAGCCACTTGGAAGTAGTAAAATAGTGCATAAAGATCAACTCTGTGAGCTTTAATTCAAGAAGAAAATGGGAAACCATCAGAATTGTGAAGGGCACTCCAGATCCTGTGGAGAAAGAACACTGACAGACAGTCCCCATGATGGTATCTGTCTGGTAAATGTGATTGAAGCTCCAGGAGGATATGAGAGAAGCAGAGAGCCTCCCCATGTGACTCATTTTTCCAGTGGGAACTCAAGCGACCCAGGTCGAGAAACAGCACTGTCTTTCTCCCAAGCCCTAGAGCCAGCATGGGGAGAGGCTTGAAGATGTTGTGAGGGAAAGACACTGGGAAAAACTGCAGACATTTTCCCAGACCTGGGACCAAGAACAGCATACCATTTTTAATCCAGGCATACAAAGTCAGGCATTCTTTGGCAACTTGGCAGCATGACCACTCAGGAATTTTATTCTTGAGGCAGAGATTGGGGGGGCCTGCTCTAGAGTGGGATAAGGGCCTCCACAACCAGAGCTATGGAAAGCACATCCAGAGAGGACACTGAAATTGTGCTTTCCCTTGTCACAAGCCTGGGGCAGGAGGAGTGCTGCTACAGCTGCAGTTTCTTCCGGGTAGTGAGATTTGCAGCCAAGGCCAGCCTAGTGACCTGGAATTGGTCTGTGTGTGCCATTTCTAGATGTCTCCATCTGCTCTACCAAGATAATAGTGCAGTGAGTTCCTCTGCTCAAACCTCAGGCAAAAATTCAGGCATTTGGCGCAGCCGCTTTCCTGGACTAGCAGCCTTAGCCACTCAACTCTTCATGAACATAGATTGTGGTGCAGAGCAGCCCCCTACACTTTATGCCAAGGCAGATCTCCAGGCATTAGGAGCATCTGTTCACTGGGTTCAGAGCCTAACCTGCTCCACCCTTCCTGTACAGAGATCCTGGTGCAGTGGGGCTTTCTCTGCTCCATACCCAGGCAGGCCTCCAGACATTTACTCACTTGAATCAGCAGCCTGACTCACCACTATTCTTTCTGTTCAGAGCTACTGGTGCAGGGAGGCCTTCTCTGCTTCATGCCTGGGCAGATCTCCAGGCAGTTAAAGCACCTGTTCTTCTGGTTCAGCAGCCGGAGCCACCCAACCTTCCTGGACATAGATCATGGTACAGAATGGCCCTCTCTACTCCACACTCAGGCAGACCTCCAGACATTCAGAGCACCAACTTGCCTGGATCAGCAGCTTGATATGCCCCACTCTTCCTGGTTAGAGGTCTTGGTGCAGGGGCCTTTGCTGCTACATGTTCAGGTAGATCTCCAGGCATTCCAAGCTTCTGCCTGCCTGGTTCAGCAGCCTGAATCACCCCACCTCTTCTGTGCAGAGATCTTGGTGCAGTTGGTTTCCCTACTCCTAATTCAGGAAGGTGGGTGCTCTGAATGCCTGGAGAACTTCCCACAATCCTGTTGTATTAGTCTGTTCTCAGACTGCTAATAAAGACATACTTGGGACTGGGTAATTTATAAAGGAAAGAGGTTTAATTGACTCACAGATCCACATGGCTGGGGAGGCCTCACAATCATGGTGGAAAGCAAAGGAGAAGCAAACACGTCTTACATGGCAGCAGGCAAGAAAGAGTGTATGCAGGGGAACTCCCCTTTATCAAACCATCAGATCTCATGAGTCATGAGACTTATTTACTATCACAAGAACAGCATGGGAAAGACCCACCTCCATGATTCAATTACCTCCCACTGGGTTCCTCCCACAACACATGGGGATTGTGAGAGCTAAAATTCTGGATGAGATCTGAGTGGGGACACAGGCAAATCATATCATTCCACCCATGGCCCCTCCCAAATCTCATATCCTCACATTTCAAAACCAATCATGCTTTCCCAACAGTCCTCCAAAATCTTAACTCATTTCAGCATTAACTCAAAAGTCCACAGTCCAAAGTCTCATCTAAGACAAGGCAAGTCCCTTCTGCCTATGAGCCTGTAAAATCAAAAGCAAGTTAGTTACTTCCTAGATACAGTGGAGATACAGGCATTGTGTAAATACAGCCATTCCAGATGGGAAAAATTGGCAAAATGAAGAGGCTACAGGCCCCATAGAAATCCAAAATCCAGCAGAGCAGTCAAATCTTAAAGCTCCAAAATGATCTCCTTTGTCTTCATGTCTCACATCGAGGTCTCACGGATGCAAGAGGTAGGCACCCATGACCTTGGGCAGCTCTGCCCCTGTGTCTTTACAGGGTACAGCTCCCTTTCTGGCTGCTTTCATGAGCTGGCATTGAGTTTCTGCAGCTTTACCAGGTGCATGGTGCATGTTGTCAGTGGATCTACCATTCTGGAGTCTGGACGATGGTGGCCCTCTTCTCACAGCTCCACCAGGCAGTGCCCCAGACAGTGCTTGACTCCACATTTCCCTTCCACTCTGCACTAACAGAAGTTTTCCATGAGGACTCTGCCCCTGCAGCACACCTCTGCCTGGACATCCAGACATTTCCACAAATTCTCTGAAATCTATGTGGAGGTTCTCAAACCTCAATTCTTGATTTCTGTGTACCTGGAGGCCCAATGCCACATGTAAGCTGCCAAGGCTTGAGACTTTCACCCTCTGAAGCAATGACCTGATCTATACACTGGCTCCTCTTAGCCACAGCTGGGATGCAGGGGAGCAAGTTGGGAGAGTGCTCAAAGCAGCAAGGCCCTGGACCCAACCTATGAAGCCATTTTTCCTCCTAGGCCTCTGGGCCTGTGATGGGAGGGGCTGCCATAAAGACCTCTGACATGCCCTGGAGATATTTTCCCCATTGTCTTCATGATTAACATTTGACTCCTTATTACTTATGCAAATTTCTACAGCCAGCTTGAATTTCTCCTCAGAAAATGAGTTTTTCTTTTCTATCACATCATCAGGCTACAAATTTACCAAACTTCTATGATCTGCTTCCCTTTTAAACATAAATTTCAACTCCAAACCATACCTTTCTGAATAAATAAAACTGAATGTTTTTAACAGTACCCAAGTCACTTCTTGAATGCTTTGCTCCTTAGAAATTTATTGCATCAGACGCCCTAAATCATCTCTCTCAAGTTCAAAGTTCCACAAATCTTTAGGGCAGGGGAAAAATGCTGCCAGTCTCTTTGCTAAAGTATAACAAGAGTCACCTTTGCTTCAGTTCCCAACAAGTTCCTCATCTCCATCTGAGACCACTTCAGCCTGGACTTTATTGTCCATATCACTATCAGTATTTTGGTCAGAGCCATTCAATAAGTCTCTAGGAAGTTCCAAACTACCATGTCATTTTTTTTCTATAAAACCAGAAAAAAACTATTAAATAATTCATATGAAACTCCAAACAGCCAAAATAGCCAAAGTAATCTTAATCACAAAGAACAAAGCCAGAGGCATCATGTTTGCTGACTTCCAAATATACTATCAGGTGATGGTAACCAAAATAGCATGGTACTGGTGCCAGAACAGCATGGTACTGGTACAAAAACAGACACATAGACCAATGGAATGGAACAGAAAACCCAGAAATAAAGCTGCACACCTACAGATATCTGATCTTTAACAAAGTTAAGAAAAATAACCAACAGGGAAAAGACTACTCTGTATTCAATAAATGGTGTGGGCTAGTTGGGTAGCTGTATGTAGAAGAATGAAACTCAACCCCACCTTTCACCATATAAAAAAATTAACTGAGGTTGGATTAAAGATTGAAACACAAGACCTCAAACTACAAGAATCCTAGGAAACTCCATTCTGGACATTGGCCTTGGGAAATAATTTATGACTAAGTCCTCAAAAGCAATTGCAACCAAAACAAAAATTGACAAGTGGGGTCTAATTAAATTAAAGAGCTCTACACAGCAAAAGAAATTATCAACAGAGAAAACAGGCAACCTACAGAATGAGATAAAATACTCACAAACTACACTTCCAACAAAGGTCCCAATACCCCAAATCTATAAGAAAATTAAACAAATTAATAAGCATAAAACAAATAACATGAATACAAATGAACAAAAGACATGAATAGACACCTCTCAGAAGAAGACATAAAAGTGGTTTACAAACATATAAAAAATTCTCCACATCACTAATCATCAGAGAAATGCAAATCACTGCAATGAGGTTCCATCTCACATCAGTCAGAATGGATATTATTAAAACATCAAAAAATAACAGATGCTGGCAAGGCTATGGAGAAAAGGGAATGCTTGCACACTTTCAATGGAAATCTAAATTAGTTCAGCCACTATGGAAAGTGGTTTGGAGATTTTTTAAAGACTTTAAAAGGGAACTACAATTTGACCCAGCAATCCCATTACTGGTTATGTATCTAAAAGAAAACAAATTGTTTTAGCAAGAATACATAGGCTCTCATATGTGCCTCGCAGTCCTATTCACAATAGCAGCCATGAAATCAACCTAGGTGCCCATTAATGGTGGAATGGATAAAGAAAACATGGCAAATATACATGATGGAACACTACACAGCCATAAAAAGAACAAAATCATGTCCTTTGCAGCAACACAGATGTAGCTGGAGGCCATCATCCTAAGCAGATTAATGCAGTAACAGAAAACTAAATACAGTCTTTTCTCAATTATAAATTGGAGCTAAATATTAGGTACTCATAAACATAAAGATGGCAACAATAGACACTGGGTGCAGCTAGCAGGTGGAGTGAAGGAGGAGTAGAGGCAAGGGTTGAAAAACCTGCTTTTGTGTACTATGTTTAGTACCTTGGTAAATGGGATCACTTATACCCCAAACCTTAGCATCAGACAATATATCCAAGTAACAAAGCAGCACATATGCCCCATGAATCTAAAATAAATATTGAAAAAAACTCTGATATTCCTTACAAATACAAAGAAAAGAAAAAAAAAATCCTCAGTCAAATACTAGCAAACTAAACCCAATAACTTTAAATAGGATTACAAAACATGACCAAGTAGGATTTATCCCAGATACACAAATATGCTTCAACAATGGAAAATCAATTAATAACATATGTATATTAATAAAATAAAGGATCAAAAAGGATTATCATGACAATAGTTGTGGAAAAATCTTTGGAGAAAATCCAACACTCATTCATATTAAAAAACCTATGACACTTAACAAACAATAAGACACTTAAAACACAAGCAACACGAGAAAAATATTGTTAAACTGGACTTCATTAAAATTAAAGGCTTTTGATCTACAAAATACACCACTTATAAAGGGGAAAACCAATGTATAGCAGGAACCAAAATATTTTCACATTGTGTATCTGATAAGGACTTATGCATACTATATAAAGAACTGTTACAACTAAAAAATCAAAAGACAAATAACTCAATTAAAAAATGAGCAAGTAATTTGAAAGACTTTATGCCAAGGAAGATATACAAATGGCCAATAGGCACATGAAAATATGCTGACTGTTATTAGCCATTAGGGAAATGCAAATCACAATCATAATGAGATGAAACTTCACAAATACCAGAATAACTATAATAAAAAAGACAGATAATAACAAGTGTTGTTGAGGATGTAAAAGAATTAGAACTCTCATACATTGCTTCTCAGAATGTAAAACAGTTTCTTTGAAAAACAGTTTAGAAATTCTGCATAAAATCAAACATAGAGCTGCCATAAGACCCAGAAATTCTACTTGTAGGAATATACACAAGAGAACTGACCATGTCTGTTCTATTTGTTCACACAAATACTTATACATTAACGTTCATAGCAGCATTATTCATAATAGACTGAAAGTGAAAATAATTCAAGCATCCATTAACTGATGAGTGTGTAAATAAAATGTATTTTTAAATCTAGAATTAAAACCTTGAATGTCAGTACTCAAAAATTTCTATTTTAAAAAATATATGGTTATCCATTTCATTATATTTTCTGCAGTTTTATTCCATCCATATGTGGAAAAGATAAATTGTATGAGAAAGAGGACAGAGTTCATAAAGAAAGACTAGTGTTCCACAAAACCCTTAAATTCACTAGAAGAGAAGGTCCTTGACTCAGCGACCATGAAGAAGAGTCCAATCAAGCCACTTGAAATTCTTAAACTTTTCTTCTTGCCACCTGTTTTGGATAAAATGCAAACGAAAATTGCTTATCTAGGTTCTCTGTAGTCATTCAACATAGGCTCACCAAGTTAAAAGTTTTAATTCTAGATTTTAGACTCTGAGAAATGCAAATCAAAACTGCAATGAGATACTAACACCAGTCAGAATGGCTATTATCAAAATAAAAAAATGAAAGATGCTGGCAAGGTTGTAGAGAAAAAGAGATGCTTATACACAGTTGGTGGGAGTGTAAATTAGTTCATCCATTGTGGAAGACAGGGTGGTGATTCTTCAAAGACCTAAAGAAAGGAGTACCACTCAACCCAGTAATCCCATTACCTGTACTAGTCTGTTCTTATGCTGTTAATAAAGATGTATCTGAGACTGGGTAAATTATAAAGAAAAGAGGTTTAATGGACTCACAGTTCCACATGGCTGGGGAGGCCTCACAATCATGGCAGAAAGAGAATGAGGATCAAAGTCACATCTTACATGGAGGCAGGCAAGAGAGAACTTGTTAACTTGTGCAGGGCAACTCCCATTTATAAAACCATCGGATCTCATGAGATCTATTCACTATCAGGAGAACAGCATGGGAAAGACCTGCCCCCATGATTCAATTATCTCCCACTGGGTCCCTCTCATGAAACATGGGAATTACGGGAGCTATAATTCAAGATGAGATTTGGGTGGGGTAACAGCCAAACCTTATCAATACCCAAAGGAATATAAATTACTCTATTATAAAGACACATGCATGCATATCTTCATTGCAGTACTATTCACAAAGCAACGACATGGAATCAATCTAAATGCCCATCAGTGATAGACTGGATAAAGAAAATATGGTACATATTCATCATGGAATGCTATGCCGTAAAAAGAATGAGATCATGTCCTTTTTAGGGACATTATGGAGCTGGAGGCCATTATCCTTAGCCAACTAATGTAGAGACAGAAAACCAAATACCACATGTTCTCACTTATAAGTGGGAGCTAAATGATGAGCACATATGGACACAGAGGGTAACAACACCCATGGGGCTTTTCACAGGCTAGAGGGTAGAGGGAGAGGATCAGGAAAAATAACTAATGGGTATTAGGCTTAATACCAGGGTGATGAAATAATCTGTACAATAAACCCCCAAGACACAAATTTACCAATGTATCAAACCTGCACTTGTACTCGTGAACTTAAAATAAAAGTTAAAAGAAAAGTCTAAGAGTTCATTAAACATGGAAAAGAGCAAAGAAGATTATAGGTAGATTAATAGTGGATAGAGAGATAATGATCAAAACTAATTTTAATAAGTAATTGAACCATTGGTTGTTTCTTGTCAACTTCCTTTCTGGAATGTAGACTTTATGAGGGCAAGCCCCATGACATTTATAAAATTATCTCAATAACCCTCTTACCTTGGAGGTGGGCACTCTCATAAATAAATAGAAGAAAGGTGAAGAAAAATGAAAAAACAATGTGTTTGAAGAAGTGACTGTGTTTCTCTGTGTGTGTGTGCATGTGTGTGTGCTGAATCTGTAGGATGTTATGAGCTTATTGATTAGCTTATTGATTATTAGAATGGGAAAGAAAATTTAGGGTCAGATTAAAATGGGCCTTGAATTATAATTATCACATTGGATATGTTTATCATTTGTAGAAAATTTGAAGTCATTTCAGGTGATTTAGCCATGATGTTTTTATTCTCTTCTTCTTTAAACTTACAATGTGATATAAAAAGTAAGGGGCCTCTCACTCAAATCACAGTGAAATTTTTAAATCTTCCTTGCCTAAAAATTAGTTGATATCAGACTTTTAAAACTTGCTTGTCATTTAACCCTTCTTCATCTTCTATTCTCCTTAAACAGTTAACCATGTCTTTAGACACGAGTCTATACCTTGAATTAAAACAAAAGGAAAATGATCAATTTTCACCAGATCCAGAATTTTCTATTCTGAAAGTGGTAAAATGAACAGGAACTCCTTTTCCATTCCATTTAGTTACAATGTAAGCTAATTTGAATTATATGGATTTTAGTTAGCTCCATATGTTATATGAATAAATTCTCGATTTGTGTGTAAAACTCGAAATCATCTTTCAAATATTGCCATCTGGAGGCATTGTAAACTTTGTTTATGCCATTGCCTTGTGCAGGTATTATTCGAGTTTGTAAACACCGTTATTAATTATTTTTCATCTGGATTGATTTTGATTTACATGAGGTTTTACTAATGTGTTCCCATACAAAACACACAATTACTCTTCACATCATATAGTTCTGGGCACCACATCAAATATGTGAGAAAAATTTCCCCAAATGTATTCTATATATGGGTTCAACTACTATCACATGTTGTTTCAGCATTATATTGAATTAGTAAATTCTCTGTGAAATGTCATCTATTTCTACACATATGCCCCTCGGGACATCTGTCCTATTTGTCAATACCACAATCTGGGCATCTGTCAAAATTACAGGCTATACCGACGTTTAGGCCCCTACATTGATTGGCCCTATCACAGGGTATGTAAAATAAACAAAGTTTAAAACATCATCAAAATGGGACCATATGTCTAAACCTATCTCATGACCCTTAGCAGAAGGAATGGGTGTTACTACGAATTGTCCCATCTTTCCAGGAACCTGAACTAGACACAGTAAAGAAGTCTCTTGCTAAATAAATGGGTCCTTCTGGTTCTACAATAGGTCAATGTAGATATTAGTCTGCTACCTTATGTGTACTTTTTATTTTCTGGCAGCTGACAAATAAAATTACCTCAAACTCTAAGATGAGAAAACTAAAGTTTGAAAATCCAAATTTCTTATGCCATCTTTGAATGAATTGCAAATGTCTTAAGCCATCTCTGAATGAATGACATTCAGAAACAGCAAAATATTGACATGCTTACCTTCAAGTATCCCTGTTATCTTCAAGCAACCCTGTTCCAACAGCGAAATTTTAGCCCTGTGAAACAATCCCCAGGGACTGTGAGAATATGAATTGATTTTAAAGGATGGCTGGTTAGCTGACAGGGTCTCTGCTTTCCAAAGCATTGCCAATTCGGTGTTCAACTGCTCATAGGGGTTATTTTAAACTAACCCAACTGACGGTATAACAGTCTTAGGGTTTCTGAACCAACTTGCTTATATGAGCAAGGAATGAAATTATAAGACAGACACGGAGGAATTCTGAAAATTCCTTGTGGACAAAGAGGAGTTGGGCAGAGAAAAGCTTGTGCACTCACTCTTTCAGACTGTGTGAAAAGAAATGAAGTCCTTTTTTACTTTTATTTTATTTTCAAGTCATTATTTTTCAATTGTACTCCTTTGGTTGCTAGTGAAGTAAACATTGTTCCCAAGTGACTTTAATTTCCCCAAATTACAGGAACTATAAATAAACATTCACAAATTCTGCATTTATATTACCAATTCAAGTAAGATATTTTTATACAATCATGTTTAATTTGGGTTTGTTTATTTGAATACATTTCATGAACATCTTAGTTCAGCTTAGCATTTTAATGCTACTGAAATGTTTTATCAGAAATAATGGGGCTAATTATGAACTCATGATAGGTCACCAATTTCTGGATTTTCTCCCAAATCACCATCAAGTCTGTGAAAAGAGCCGTTGAATCATTTGTTTTTAAACATAAACCAAGCAAACCTTTCTAGGAACTGAAAACTATATTTTCTCATTAATGTGATCATTTCAGGAATTTTGCTAAATAGGGGGTCAATATAAACCAACAAAAATTACCCATACTCACCATCAAGAGGTAGTCGTGGTAATTTATTTTTGTATTTCCTTCAATTCTTTTCTAAGCTTTTTTTTTCAACTTTTATTTTAGAATTGGGGGTATGCATGCAGGTTAGCTGCAAAGGTATATTGAGTGATGTTGAGGTTTAGAGTATGAATCAATCTTTCACCGAGGTAGTGGGCATAAGATCCAAAAAATAGTTTTTTAGCCCTGCCTCTCACCCTCTTTCCATCCTCTAGTAGTCCCAGTGACTATCCTTTCCACCATTATGACCATGAATACACAATAGTTAGCTCCTGCTTATAAGTGAGAACATGCAGTATTTGGTTCTGTTTCCTTGTTATCTTGCTTAGGATAATGGCCTCCATATGCATCCATTTTGCTGCAAATAACCTAATTTGGTTCTTTTTTATGACTGTGTAGAATTCCAGTGGTATACATGAGCCACTTTTTCCTTATCTACCAGAAGATATTTTTAATAACTACTTTAGTGGAGAATGAAATCACCTTTGGTCAGAAAAGATGGACTCTCAGCAAAATTTTAGAAAAAGATACAGAAGGAGATTTGGAGCATGTGAAAATGCATAAAATAAGAACACCATTGTCATAATCCAAATTGCAGGTTAACCAGATTGCCAGCAGATCCAGTTTATTTTGATTTACAAGAAGTAACATACATTTCCCATCAGATTATTGGCAAAAATGTATTTATTGCCAACCTTGGCCACATTTTGTCTTTGAGTTTTCTTGATAAAGTTCAGGTGTTGAAAATGGAGTAGGGGTAAGAGGAACAATCTCAAAATCAGAAAGCAAAATGAATTTCTCTTTCTTTTTAAATCTGCCCTTGGGACAGGCCTGAGTTTTTAAGCATAGTAGGTTCAACAGTGGATCTCCAAAGATATGTTCAACTGGAATCTCAGAATGTAACTTTATTTGGCATAAGAATCTTTGTAGATGTAATTAAGGTTAGCATCTCAATTTGAGGTCATGCTGGATTGAGATAAGCATGAAATCCACCAATGAGTGTCCTTATAAGAGACAGAAAAGGAGAATACAAAGAAACATAGGGAATAATGACATATGAAGACAAAAGTAGAGACTGGAGTTATGCTGCCATCAGCCAAGCAATGCCTGGGGCCACCAAAAGCTGGAAGAGGCAAGGAAGAATTAAAATTTTTCCCTAGGGCTTTTGGAAGGAACATGGTCCTCTGACACTTTGATTCCAAACTTCTGGTTTCTACAACTGTGAGAGAATAAATATCTGTTGTTTTAAGCCACCAGCTTGGATGTAAATTATTATGGCAGCCTTACAAAACTAGAAGACTAGATACGTGCTCTTATTGTTAAACCCAACCAACCAACCAACCAACAGACAAACAGCATCCAACATGATCTAATGTTTTCTTCATATCCCTCATGACGAAAGGAAGGTACATAGAAAGAACTGGAATTGTCCTGAGTTAATCCACTCACTGACACTCTAGCCCAAACTTGAGGGGAACCATCCAAATCATAGTGAGTAGGTCACAGGAGGATGTCACATGTCACAGGAGGATACTAATCCCACCATTCACAATGTCTTTGCCCAGGGAATGGGGTCTGTTATGAGGCATTATACCACCTGGGCCTACACTAGGCAGGGATTGGCCTGAAAGCACATCCTTCATATATCTTCTGCTGCCTGTAGCATGTATGATGCACTCAAAATCTTAAGAGTCCATGGCTTTGCATACAGGTATAAGGTTTTTTATATAAAGGATGGATAATGAGGATGTTATTAAAGCCACACTGCCCCAGGCTGGGACACAATTTGAGAACCCAGCACTGCACATCTGAGCCTAAACACAAAAATTGGCCATCCTCTGTCAAGCCAGTCAGCAAGATGTTACAGGCTGCAGTTGTTATGTGGGACTTAAAGACAGAAAATTTTCAGTGGCAAGGCTTAAATAGGAAAATGTTTGGGAGGCCGAGGTGGGCAGATCACAAGGTCAGGAGATTGAGACCATCCTGGCCAACAAGGTGAAACCCCATCTCTACTTAAAAAAAAAAAATACAAAAAATTAGCTGGGCGTGGTGGTGGTGGGCACCTGTAGTCCCAGCTACTCGAGAGGCTGAGGCAGGAGAATGGCATGAACCTGGGAGGTGGAGCTTGCAGTGAGCCGAGGTCGCACCACTGCACTCCAGCCTGGGTGACAGAGCCAGACTCCGTCTCAAAAAAAAAAAAAAAAAAAAAAGAAAGAAAAAGAAAAAATAGGAAAATGTTCGTTGAAATCTTGCTAAAGTCTTAGAATGCAATCTGACTAAAATCATAAATAAATACATAAACAAGCAGACAAACAAATTATCCCTGCCCCTGAAAAGCAGTCAATCAGAAGTTCTTTGTGCTACACTCCTACTAAGAGGAGATAATAGCTAATTGGTATTTACCCTCATGGTAAAAATTCCCTTAGTGCCTTCAGAAAATATTACCATTTACCTAAGAGAGAGTTCAACAAGTGCTCTAGGATGCAAGTGGAGGCAACACAGGCTGAAGTACTATTGTGTCCTGCCTCAGCATCTGCTCTCCTACTTCTGTGAAAGAGGATGCAGCTGTCCTGATGCTCTGGCTTTTTCTACAGGGGAGACAAAACTAACTGATGGTCTTATCCTTCTTTCATGTATAATATGCATAAGAGGAGATTTTACATATTTTGTGTATTAAAGGGCTTTGACCATGCACTTCATTTCCAAGGTGACAGTAGTTACCTTGTGAAATGATAATGAAACCACAACAACAAAAGTCAGCAGTGAGGATTAGCAAAGAAAAAACTGGGACCAGGAGTGGAGGTGCTGATTGATGTAATGTAGTCACCATGTACACGTTGCTATGGAAATTATGCAAAAATGAAAGAAAAAAGGAACTAAGTAGTTGTATTGAGAAGATAGAAATGACATGGCATGTCTCTGGTAACATTATTGAAGAGATTTCTTCCATTTCCTGAGACAAGCATCTAGAATAGTTAAAAATGGGAAATTAAGGGGTTCAGTCAGAAGATTAAGTTAGCATTACAAATCTCTCACAAAATAAGAATCAGCATCTCTCCTCAGTCTCCTGATGAAATTTTTTGGCACTGTGTTTACATCTCAGGTTCAGAAAGATCACTTGCAATCCTCATGACTAAGCTAATTTCACTGACTTGGTTAAAAGGATATTTTCCATTTTTTTTAACAGCACAGTCTTTGCTAAAGAATGGCTCCCAGGGTTTAATCTCTTATCCTAATTCGAATCACACAGTCCATAATTTCCTGGTATCCAAACAAATTCAGTGGGCAGGCATGAACAAAATTTGGCCATAAACACTAGTAATCACCATTTTGTTTCAAGCTTTAATAAGAGGTTGTGGCTACAATGCTACTTGCCAATGGAGAGAAGTCCTCATATCAACCTCGGCAGTGGTTATGATTTATTTAAAAAAGAAAGAAACCAGGAGCCATCTCGGTAAAATTAACTGCCTGTGGTATGAACTTTGATCAGCCTACCAGAACCACCATCTAGCAACAAAATCCTTGGGTAAATCGAAAATGTTAGAATAAAAAATAAAGAAAATACAGGCAAAGAGAGAGAAAGCAAAAATATTCTAAAACTCATGTCAGAGTTAATAGTCTTTAGCAGTGAAAAAAACCTTTTTTTCCTTGAGGGTTAATTAGTTGCTTCACTTTCCCTTGTCTAGAAAAGATTGCTGTAGTAATTATTATTAACACTCTTAATAATAATGGTAACCAGTAATAATAACTGAGCCTTTTTACATCCCAGGGTTAGTATTATAATTGGTGCCTTATGTATTAATTCTTCTGATCCTCACCAGAGGAAGCTCACAAAGGTAACTAACTGGCTAAACCTCTCATAGGCAGTAGGTGATACAGCCTGAAGAACCCAGATGGTTCAGCTCCTGAATCCTTCTTCTTACCATTATGTTCTGCCACGTCTCACATACCAGTGGGAATCCACACAGCAGATGACCCTTAACTTTGTTCTGTAAAAATTCCATAGTAGGTAAAATAAGCTATCACCCAAGGGGTTTCTCTACTCTCCAATACAGAAAATGGACATTAGCCTAGTGATACCAAAATGCTACTGTTCTTCGTGTGAAATCCTAGCCAGTTGAAACCATTAAAGGGGACAAATGTCACTGAGCATCTACTGGATGCCAGACATTATTTCATGCATTTCAATGTGATTTATCTCACTTAGTCAAAAAAAAATATATATGGTAAATTTGAAGAATGGTTAAAGAAGTGGGTGAACAGCCTTGGCATTTTCTCAACACTATAATTTTTTTGGTTGTTTACTTTGTTTTTTCTTGTAATTAACTAATAATAAAAAGTTCAATAACAACAGCTCACTTTTTTGAAGAATGGTTAAAGAAGTGGGTGAGCAGCCTTGGCATTTTCTCAACACTATAATTTTTTTGGTTGTTTACTTTGTTTTTTTTCTTGTAATTAAGTAATAATAAAAAGTTCAATAACAACAGCTCACTTTTTTTTTTTTTTTTTTGAGACAGAGTCTCGCTCTGTCCCCCAGGCTGGAGTGCACTGGCGAGATCTCAGCTCACTGCAAGCTCCACCTTCCAGGTTCACACCATTCTCCTGCCTCAGCCTCCTGAGTAGCTGGGACTACAGGCATCCGCCACCATGCCCGGCTAATTTTTTGTATTTTTTTTAGTCGAGACGGGGTTTCATCATGTCAGCCAGGATGGTCTCGATCTCCTGACCTCGTGATCTGCCCGCCTCGGCCTCCCAAAGTGCTGGGATTATAGGTGTGAGCCACCGTGCCCAGCCAACAACAGCTCACTTTCAAAATGTATGTTACTCTTTAGAATGTATTCAATCACTAATTTTTGCTATGTGCGAGTTGTTCTTATAGTGGCCAGAGTCCCTCTTCAAATAGGTGATAAAATATCTTAAAGTATGTGAATATTCATATGTCTCAAGTTCAGTTAACAAACAAATATAATTAGATTAAGCCTTGATATTTCTAATAGACTTCTCTAATAAATGTATTTTCTTAATTTCTACTATTATTAATGCTTTTTATTTAAAATTGAGGATGTGATACATAAGAAATAAATATAACTAGATAGAGCCTTCATATTTCTAAGTTTTCTCTAATAAATATATTTCCTTAATTTCTACCACTATTAATGCTTATTTAAAATTAAGCATGTGATAACTATTTGTTGCCACCTCATACAAAATAAAATAATGTAATATTAATTATGCTTATTGTGCATGTGCTTTGTGTCGACTTACGGTGTAAGTTGTCTAGTAGCTCAGTTAGCCCCCACTTGCCAAACTATGTAGTCATACCAATTTTTTTTTCAGATGGATAAAGGGAGGCAGGAGGGTTTTGTAACCACAGAGTTCATCATCAGAGGTGAACAGGACCAAGATTTGAACCTGACAGTTTTTCTTCAGAGTTGGAAATCTTAATCTCCATACATACTTGAGGTTTTCGGATGCTCACCAAATTTTCAGTTATCTAACTTAAATACGGACAATGTGAAGGTCACAAAATTACTTTCAGTCATCTCTAAGATAAATCTCAGAGAGATAAGCAATTTTTCAGCAGATGAAATATAATTAAAACAAGAGATTACGTACCTTCTGGTCCTGTTGCCAAGAGATCACTGGTTTCCCCCAAGGCTTGATCTATTCATGAGGGCAGACGTTGGAATACTTCGAATTTCTCCTCATCTAGGTAAGCTTCGGGATGCATTATGGCAACCAGAATAATTTTATTCAAGAATAGGAAAGGCCAGCTAGTTTAGCACACTTAGACATGAAATTTACTATTATCATATTTAATTCAATCTTATTTCTTTTCTATTTCAATTTACAGATAGAAATTATAGAGTAGTTTTATAGGCTGACCTGTGTAAACTCCTTCTCATAATTTTTTAATACAGTCCTGAGGATTCTATACAATAATGTAATTGTGTTGCCTGCCATTCAATGAGTAATTGGCCTTCAGGTTTCTCTTAATGATGGTAAATAAGATGTTACGATTTCCTTTGTTTTCTGTAAGATATTTAATAATGAATGTCTCAATCTACCACAATGTTTAACTTTGGGGAACAAGATCTGAAAAAAATATACTCTTAAAAACTTAAATGTTGAATTATTCCTTCACATGTAATGTCCTGACACTGATGTTTCTACCAGCATACAGGGAGTAAATATTCAAAATGATTGCATAAATGTATACAAACTAGAGGCTAGGAACTGGTAAGCCTTGTCCAGATGACAAGACACTCTTTGCTAAAATTAACATTCTCTCTCACCTCAGAGGTTTCATCATTGCTATTGTTGTCAATATTGCTGTTTATTAAAACTGTATTCTGTAAATTACCAGTGAGAGTGAGTGGTTTTAATATTACTTTAGTGTCCACATAGAAATTCTTCAGTGATGAGAAGACCCAAAAGATTGCTCACTGTACAGGGACTCTTGGCTAGCTAAAAAAAAAAAAAAAAAAAAAAAAAAAAAAAGCTAAATATTTCCATTGCTGAGATGTAAACGAAGAATTCCCAAACATTTGAGGTATCTGTTTAATGTCTAAAATAAGAAGTTGAAACCTTTCACTAACAACTTGTGCTGTGAAACACATAAGTTTAAATGAGTAATTCAACAGTTACTGTTTGGATTTACATAGAAAGACTTTTGCCAAAGCCTGTGCTGAACACATATCAAAACAATTATGCCTAGCATGTACACAGTGATAAGAATGTTTTCTTTTGGCATCCACTAGAGGAGAAACTTAGAGCAGCACCACTTTCTGCCGCTACCCTTGGGTCCATGCTGCGGTAGTTACTTACCTGAATTGTCCTCGGAGTAACTGCATTTCCTTGTATATGAAATGGACCTAAAGTAATGGATTTGCCCATTAGTGAATAATATTAGAAACAATTTCAATTGTAATGCAATTGCTGTTCAGTTCCATGCAATTTCTGCATAGAAACACAACTGAAAGAAAAATGACAACCAATCAACCAGTAAAACGGCAATAAATACTTTTTAGGTGAGAAAACGTCAAAAGAGTGTGGATTTGGAAGTCCTTCCATTGTGCTAATTATCGATCTTTTTTCTCTCTCTGAACACTTGTCAACAGTCATTAGGTTTATACAATTTTCTCTTTTTAATGCATCAAAAAATCACCAAATAGGAAGAAGTAAATCTGTATAACGGGACATCTAACAATTGGTTTTAAAATACATAACCTACAGTCTAAAATAAAGAAGAAATATATACATGTGAAGCTTTTTTTTGACTGACTATATTATAAAATATGCTAAAATTGTACTGCAAATGAACTCTCCTCACCTCCCAAATAATAACAAAACATACAGTGAAACAAAATTGTACAAGTTTATATTAAGGCTCTCAAATTTAAACTAAGCATAAAAACTGAGCAATTTATCTTGGGATTCTAAAAAATAAAAATGAATCTAACAAAATTCAAATTGATGATACCCGACATGTTGTCATAATATAACAAAGTTTACTCTCTGAAGAAATATCAAGTTTTAAAAATAAATAGGAACAAAACCAAGCATCATCTAAAGGCCAGTTTCTAGTTTTCTCAGCACCATGGGTAACTTTTGTAAGAAATGAGATAATCCTGTAGTCCCAGCTACTTGGGGGGCTGAGGCAGGAGAATGGCCAGAACCCGGGAGGCGGAGCTTGCAGTGAGCGGAGATCGCACCACTGCATTCCGGCCTGGGTGAAAGAGCGAGACTCCGTCTCAAAAAAAAAAGAAATGAGATAATTAGATTTACCGCAAATGAAATTTTGATGAAGTGCTATTGAAGTATAATATTCTATGAAATCCCTTGTTACCTTGAAAGGAGCTAAATGACAACTGCTTGATTATCATGGGACAAAGATAACTTTAGGTTTTTTTCTTCTAAATTGTGGATAGTGACTATTTCGGTATTTTCTGTAATGGTATTTTCTGTAAGTGATATTACCCAGCTTTTAGGTCCACATCTTAGCCAAATCACTTCCTGAAACCTGACTTACAACAAAAACCTTCTTTGTTCTTCCTTAGCCTGTGAATAGTGGCAGCATTTAAAATTAATACCATGCAATTACCTTCTGTTCTATGATAATCTTTCATATTTTCTCTTGTTTTCTCAAACTCTTCATAACTCTTAGGTCAAATTTCATGCACTATATAGTTCCCTTCCTTTTGTATCACCTTTATGTAGCTAAGATTATAGTAAGTTGTTAACAAGAATTTATAGATTTATCGGTCAAATTATTAACCGTTCAACAAGAAGACCAAAGCCAATGTAATATTTTTAAAAGTAGGGATTAAGAAAATTACCTTTGGTATTATCCTTAAAGAGAGTTTTAGTCCTTATTTTCCAATACATACACTCAACTATACCTCCCGTTTTGTAAGAAAACCACCTGCATTAGGGAACATTTCTTAAATTGTTGAAGTCTTAACATTGATACATTTAACTATTTACTTACAATCTTTGGGAATATTATAGAGGATATTCACTAAAGATAATTAAAGAGATTGTACTCCACATGTCAGATGAATGGCTTTAAAACCTTAGTAGAATTCACCAGGATTTTTGCTTAAAGTGCAAATTTCTCAGTTAGTTCCAAGTCCAGAGATTCTGATTTAACAGGCATAGAACAGGACCTGGGAATCTGCATTTTAAATAAACTCAAGGTCCATCTTAAATGCACTCAGAAATAAGTGATTTTACTACTTGAGAAATGTAACTTGAGGAGTTTAAAATCTGTGAAATCTGTGATAAAAATTAATTATGTGGCTGGGCATGGTGGCTCATGCCTGTAATCCCAACACTTTGGGAGGCCAAGGCAGGCAGATCACAAGGTCAGGAGTTCAAGACCAGCATGGCCAATATGGTAAAACCCCGTCTTTACTAAAAATACAAAAAAATGTAACCAGGTGTGGTGGCTGGTGCCAGCTACTTGGGAGGCTGAGGCAGGAGAATTGCTTGAACCGGGGAGGTGGAGGTTGCAGTGAGCCTAGATTGCACCACTGCACTGCAGCCTGGGTGACAGAGTGAGACTCCAGTTCAAAAAAAAAAAAAAAATTAAATATGTGCTTTGGCACTTTAAAGAGAAGTAAATAAATGATTCGTGTTTGGCTTCTATTCTGTCCATCTCTGCTAATTTTCTTTCTTTCTTTATTCACCTTGGCTGGTCTGTGTATTTACATGTAACTTTCATGAAAACTCCATCCATCTTCATCAATACACATAATACATACCTTGCAAGGCCCTTTTTAGAAGTCCTATTCAAATATTTCTGAGCCAGATGAATCAGTCTGTGTTAGTCTGTTTTCATGCAAATAAAGACATACTTGACGGGTCATTTATAAAGAACAAGTGATTTAGTGGACTCACAGTTTCACATGGCTGGGGAGGCCTCACAGTTTCACATGGCTGGGAAGGCCTCACAATCATGGCAGAAAGCAAAGGAGGAGCAAAGGCATGTCTTAGATGGCAGCAGGCAAAAGAGCTTGTGCAGGTGAACTCCCATTATGAAACCAACAGGGACTTATTCATTACCATGAGAACAGTATGGGGGAGACCGCCCCCATGATTCAATTATCTCCACCTGGCCCTGCCCTTGACATATTGAGATTATTACAATTCAAGGTGAGATTTGGGTGGGGACAGAGCCAGACCATATCACAGTCCCATAATCTCTTTTGTAGTGATAAAAATCACAAGTCTGAACCATTCATGATATTTTCTTATACTATAATTTATGAAAGACTTACGGAAGATTTTTTTGTATCTCCTCCACCTTCACTATTGCAATGGATTAAATGGTTGTTTTTCTCCCCCCACCCAAATTCATATGTCAAAATCCTAACCCACAATGTATGGTACTAGGAGGTGGGGTCTTTGGGAGCAAATTACATCATGAGACTGGAGCCCATGTGAATGAGATTAGCACCCTTATAAAAAAGACCCCAGAGAACTCTCTTGCTCTTTTTCTATTGTGTGAGGATATAAAGAAAAGACGGCAGTCTACAAGTCAGAAGAGGGTCCTCACAAGAATTAATCCATGCTGGCACTCTAATCTCATATTTCTGAACTCAAGATCTGTGAGAAATAAATTTCTGTTGTTTATAAACCCATCCAGTTTACAAAGTGCCTAGTCTATGGTACTTTGCTCTGGCAGCACAAACTAAAACAACTATATTTTTAAGAAAAAAAAAATGCATGAACATACATCTATAAAAGTCTTCAACCTGATAACTCTGAAATAACTTTTACTTTAATGGTATTCATATAAGAAAGAAATGTATGAAGCCAAAATAAATCTCAAAATTAAGGGGGAATATTACTTACCAAAATGCATGTTTGCTTTGCCAAAGCCTGAAACTTTTTTCTTTTTAAGCAAATTGAAAACCTCAAAGATTTCAATATTTTTTATTACTTATCCCAGCAAAATCATTCAGACCACTTATTTTTAAAATTATATAGTCACTGATTTATTTCACTTTTATGCAGTTAGGATAGGAAGTGGAGGTCAATTGGAAAATATAATTATAGGAATAGGACCATCATGAAATGATTTTTTAATTTATTACCATTCAGAGCATCTATACTTGTTTGTCACACATTCAGAAGAATGGAAGAAAGGAGGGTAGAGAATGAGTCATATGCATTGAAAATTATTATTCAGTTTCAAAATGAGTGCCCAAAACTATAGACACTGTAAGACACTGAATTTGAATATTTTACATTTCATTCTTCTATTAAAATTCATTTCATTGAGAACAAAAAGAAAACAAGAAAAAATAAGAAGATAAGCATCTTCAGAGAAACAACTACAGCCCGAAACCATGAACTGAGAAGCAAACCTTCCAAATACTGTTATATTTCAACTAAAACAAGGAGTGATCAGAGTGAATGCTTTCACATGTATAATCAGTACATGTTCAGGATGGTCATTTTTTCCAGCTATCATTGCCACTACTCTGGGAGATGTAACTCAAAAACTATTTTTCTTAAAATTGTTAGATTTTATGGAATAATGTGACCATGATATTAATAAAAGTAGGAAAGTCACTATAGAGTAACTCAGTGTTGTCTAACCATAAAATGGAAAGAATTTGAAGTTGTAAGAGAATTCAGGCTGATGTACTCTATTCATTTCATATACTCTGAGTTCCAAACAGAATGAAGCTCACAGAAGTGGAGAGGAGCAAAAGAGAAAAGCATTAACCAGCATGTGATAATATAGAGATTAGAAATGTAGATTTAGAAACCTAGGAATCTAAATATGAGCCACATTACCTTTAGAAAAGTGAATGCTGATAGGAGGAGAAACAAGTGTCCAGTACTTAGGGAGTAAGGAAATTAGTGTGACAGTATTCCATTACAAAAACATGGATTTAAAAAAAGGTACAAACTGCAATGCCACACCGCTCCTGCCCCAGAGGATCCCTTAGCTAATACCTGGATCTGTTCTATGAGGAATGCAGAGAGAAAAAAATCAGTAAAATATATATGCCTGGTGTTCTATTTTCTAAATATGAAAATGAACAAAAAGCATAAACAAGATGCAGTTGCTAAAACTAAATCACAAGTAGAATTACCAAAGTAATCAGAGAACAAATTGAAGTTAACTTAATCTCAATTTAGAAATTGAAGTGAACAACTAAGGAATTATATAAAAAAGAAATACATAGGCACTATACATCAGCAATTACATCCAGAAAAATAGTGAATATCTAGAAGAAACCACACAAAAGTAAATTATATGAAAAGACAAAGGCATAATAAAAATCCTTAATATGGCATTGGTAAATATAGATGCATGACAATGGAGACTCAACCTCTGCCTACTTGATGTTTTGAAGAATAAGAAAGAACATTAATACTGGAAACATTACTTGTTGAAAACTTCAAAGAGATAAAATGACACTTGAATCTATAGATTAAAATAGCATTCTGTTTTTTAGACAAAAATATAGAGATACTGATCATCACTAAGACTGACTTTGATTCACTTACTAGATTTGAAGAATAAAGCAATAGGATAATTGTCATCTGGGCAGTTAAACAAGTCTCTGAGAATTCAACTGTTGCCGATAAAGAATTAATGATTACCAGAATTATGCAACTTTTGTAAACGTCTAGAAATCCAGAACAAGTATATAAACTGTTTTTATTGCATGAAAAAAATAGGCAGCCCAAAACTGTCATTTCTGAGAGAAAGAAAACAATATATACCCTTTATTGTGCCAGCATACTTACTGAAAGTGATTTCCAGCCTCCAGCATGGTATGAGACAATCCGAGAGAGAATATCATGATTTGCTGAATTTAAGAGCAAGATATCAAAGTTTATGTAGGCCAAGGTGACTAGAATCATCAAGGCAGACTGACAGAGAGAAGAGGGCTGCACAGAGAGAGAACTGTGGAGATTTACATAGAGGTTCTCTGGAGTCCTTGAGTGAGAACTGAACTGTGCCTACATAAAGTAAAACTCCATGAGATAGAAAAATGAGTCTTCATTAGCAATGGGCCAGAGAAATTCCTGGAGGTCATATGGGCCTTAGAAGAACCCGTATGTGCTCCAGCCAGAGTGAGAAACTTATAATAGCAGATAGAGTTCTCAGAATAATCACACCTTAGTAGCGGGGTGAATCAGTTCTAGAGTCAAGGCTCTGAAGCCATTATAATCACATTTAAAAGCAAACAATATCACCATTGATCTCAGATAACTTAACTGCATTTGAAAACAAAGTTCATCTCTCTTTAAAGAAATAAAACAAAATCCAGATCCTAACAATGTAGAATTCAGAATTTCCCTTAGACATTAAAAAAATAACAGAAATGCATATAAACAAAAAAATTGATCCAAAACAAGACAAAAATTAATCAAAACAGACCAAGAAAAGATAGAAATTATGGGATTAGAAAATATTAAGCAGCTTAACAACACACATAATTGAAATCCCAGGAAATGGGGGCAGGGCAAAAACTACTTGTAAAGGTAGTGGTTGAGATATTTTTAAAACTTGGTAAAACTATAAACCAACAGGTAAAAGAAGTGCAGTGGACTCAAAGCAAAATGAATAAAAGGATTAAGTTGAAGAAAGTTGTTTTTAAAAAGAAAACTTAAAAACAGTTGGAGAAAAAGAGATGTATTACTGACAATGGAACCAATGTAATAACTACTTTTTATGATAAGCATGTATATCAGAAGACAGTAGCGCAACATTCTATTACTTAAAGCAAGAGAAACAAGTCAACCTGGAAATTCATTCAAGTGAAAATTCTAAAAAAATCAAGAAATTTACAAAAATGAAAGCAAATAAAGCTATTTTGACAATAAGTAGCTGATAGATTTTATCAACAACATACTGGGACTGAAAGAAATGGTAGACAAAAAGAAAGTAACAGGATGATAATGTACTTTTTTTATTATTATACTTTAAGTTTTAGGGTACATGTGCACAACGTGCAAGTTTGTTACATATGTATATATGTGCCATGTTGGTGTGCTGCACCCATTAACTCGTCATTTAACATTAGGTATATCTCCTAATGCTATCCCTCCCCCCTCCCCCCACCCCACAACAGGCCTTGGTGTGTGATGTTCCCCTTCCTGTGTTCTCATTGTTCAATTCCCACCTATGAGTGAGAACATGCGGTGTTTGTTTTTTTGTCCCTGCGATAGTTTGCTGAGAATGATGGTTTCCAGCTTCATCCATGTCCCTATAAAGGACATGAACTCATCGTTTTTTATGGCTGCATAGTATTCCATGGTGTCTATGTGCCACATTTTCTTAATCCAGTCTATCATTGTTGGATATGGGGTAAAGGATTCCTATTTAATAAATGGTGCTGGGATAATTTACATTTTTAAAAAGAAATGATTCATGTTAGAAATAATACATAGGGCAGTGCATGGTGGCTCACGCCTGTAATTTCAGCACTTTGGGAGGTTGAGGTGGGCGGATCACAAGGTCAGGAGTTGGAGACCAGCCTGACCAACATGGTCAAACCCTGTCTCTACTAAAAATACAAAAATTAGCTGGGTGTGGTGGCACGTGCCTCTAATCCCACCTACTCAGGAGGCTGAGGCAGGAGAGTCTCTCGAACCCACGAAGTGGAGGTTACAGTGAGCCATGATTGCACCACTGCACTCCAGCCCGGGCAACAGAGCAAGACTCCATCTCAAAAAAAAAAAAAAAAAAAAAAAGGAAAAAGAAACAATACATACAAAAGACATTTTTTCATGTTTTAAGTAATGTTAAAGGTAATGGATTATTTAAAACCAAAATAATAATTATTTCTGTGGTATTCAAAATATTTATAAAGAAAGGAGGAAAACCCTATGACAGTAGGGCAAAGAACTGTAGAGAGAAAATGGATAGACAGTTATAATATTTGTTTTTTTATTTGAACATTTATTTTAAATTTATGGAACACATGTACAGGTTTGTTACATGGATATATTGCGTGATGCTGAGGTTGGTGGTACGGTTAAGCCCGTCGCCCAGGTACTGAGCATAGTACCTAACAGATAGTTTTTCAACCCCGGTCTCCCTCCCTCCCTTCCTCTCCCTCTAGCAGTGTCCAGTTTCTATTGTTGCCGTTTTCATATCCATGAGTACCCTGTGTTTAACTCCCATTTACACGTGAGAACACGTGGTATTTGATTTTCTGTTTCTGCATTAATTCACTTAAGATAATGGCTGCAAGTTGCATCCATGTTGCTGCAAATAGATGGTTTTGTTCTTTATTATGGCTGTGTAGTATTCCATAGTGTATATGTACCATATTCTCTTTATCCAATCCACTGCTGATGGGCACTTAGGTTGATTCCATATCTTTGCTATTGGGAATAGTGCTACAATGAACATACAAGTGCATGTGTCTTTTTGGTATATTTTCTTATGGATATATAACCAGAAATGGGATTATTAAGTCAAATGGTAGTTCTGTTTTAAGCTCTTTGAGAAATCTCCAAACTACTTTCCCCATGGGCTGAACTAATTTACATTCCCACCAACAGTGTATAAACATTCCCCTTCTTCTATAGCCTTGGCAGGAACTTTTCAATAAAATATATTATTAAACATTTTTGGAGCTTTTATTAATAGCCATTCTGGCTAGTGTGAGATGATATCTCATTTTGGTTTTGATTTACATTTCTCTGAGATTAGTGATTACGAGCATTTTTTTCATGTTTGTTAGCCACTTGTGTGCCTTCTTTTGAGAAGTATCTGTTCATGGTTTTGCTCATTTTTAAAATTATTTGTTTTTTGCTTGCTTAATTATTTAAGTTCCTTATAGATTCCAGATAAGAGACTTTTATTGAACACGTTGTTTGTGAATATTTTCGCCCATGCTGTGGGGTGTTTGCTTATGCTGTTGATAGTTTCTTTTACTGTGCAGAAGCTCTTTAGTTGAATTAGGTCCCACTTGTCAATTTTTGTTTTGTTGAAATTGCTTTCGAGGACTTAGTCATAAATTCTTTCCCAAGGCTGATTTTCAGAATGGTGTTTCCTAGCATTACTTCTAGGATTCTTATAGTTTGAGGTCTTACATTGCAGGATTATAGGTTGCTGGGTTTTAGTATCATGGTAATGCTGGCTTCAGAATTGCAATATTTTAAAACTATATAGCAGGTATTATAAATATTATTTGAAGGTTGAGTGTTTTAAGTTAAAAAAAATGTACAGATGGTACTCTTTATGCACATCAGTGCGGGGCCTTAGTAACCACTGTGCAAGTTGAAACTGGGCAAAGTTATCTTAATAATTACTGGAAAAACATAAACTTGTTCCTGCAATCATTAAAAACACTTGTCAGTCAGGTGCAGTGGCTCGCACTGGTAATTCCAGCACTTTGGGAGGCCAAGGTGGGCAGATCACTTGAGCCCAGGAGTTTGAGACCAGTTTGGGCAACATGACAGAACCCTGTCTCTACAAAAACTACAACAAATTAGCCAGGAGTGGTGATACGTACCTATAGTCCCAGCTATCCAGGAAGCTGAGGTGCGAGGATCACCTCAGCCTGGTGGTCGAGGCTACAGTGAGCCTTTTTGATACCACTGCACTCCAGCCTGGACAACAGAGTGAGGTCTTGTCTCTAAATAAAAGAATAAATAAATAAACACATTTGTCAAAATATTAAAAATGTCTTACTGTTGGTTATATATGCATAGAAAAGTAAAAACCAAAAAACAACCCTAAAACTAGTATTTACATAGTACACTATAATTTAAAACATTGATAATTAAAATACATGTTTTATATATTTCTTTGAAATGTATTCAGATTAGTTTGTACAGTATTTGTACAACTTCTCATCATGTGACTCTCAATATTTTTTATGCTTTGGTGAATTGCCATACTTCTTTATAAATTTGATTATTTGTCCAACATTTTATTGTTTGTGCGTTCATTGTCTTTAAACATCTTGGAGAGTTTCTTCAATGTAATTTTTTTTCTCAGCATCACATCTTCTGGGAAAACTTTCGTCTTTTCCCTGCAATCAGCTTCTTCATTTAAGTTGTAAATATGTATTCCATAAGTTCCCCTGACTGCACATATGAAATCTCTTGGATGGTAGTTGTGTCAGCATTCTCGCAATTAACTATTTCTTCTATAAATCCATCAAGATCCGATCTGAATTCACTTTCGGTGTTGACACTTTCATTTATTTGCCACACTTTCATTTTTGTTGGCTGATTTTCTGTCGTTTATCAATTTTTGTGTAATGTCACGTCTTTATCACTGAAAGACAAAGAAGCAACACTACTGTATGCTTTCCTATCTCTGTATGAATACAAAACAGATACATAGTAATTGATTATTGATAGATATTGAGAAAAGTGACATGACTAATCATGGATCTTGATGCAAATCTGACATTTACCTAATAGTTTTATGGACTGAAGAGTTAACAGAAAAAAATTGTACTTCAAGCCATTAGTCCCAATTAATACACTGCTGTACCTACACTGTTTTGTTTTGGGGCTTGTGCTATGTAACTAAAGCATGATAACTAAAGCCTTTGCATATCAAAACTAAGGAAAACAAGAACTGTCTATTTTATGAGCCCTATATCAATCATTAAAATTAAAACAATGGAATGGTTAAAAGCTAATAGTGGAGATAAAAGCGGATCTTAAAAACTAAATTTTCAATTCAAAAGAAGGCAGAAAAAGGGGGAAAATGAACAAAAATGATGAGACATTTAGAAAACATATAGCAAGAGAGTAGTTATACACCCAATCATATTGATAATTGCATTAAATATAAATTGACAAAATATTCTTATTAAAAGGCAGAGATCATAAGACAGGATTAAAAACCCTGACTCAACTATATGCTCTTTATAAGAAACTTACCTGAACCAAAAAAAAGAAAAACAAACAAACCAAAACCCACTAAAACTGTGAAGAGCAAAGTAGGCATCAGAACAGGAAATATCACTGGGGATGAAGAATAACATTTCATAATGACAAAGGGGAAAATACACCAAGAAGACATGTAAATAATAAATATGTATGCACACAATAGCATTACTTCAAAATACATAATATAAAACCTATTAAAACTGAAAGGTAAAATAGTAAAACCACAGTCATCCATGGGGATTTCAACAGTCTCCTGCCAGAAATTTTTAAAATTTGTTAAACAAAAAATTGGTAAGGGTAGAGAGGATCTTAAAAATACAATTAGCCAACTTGATCTAACTGAATCTTTTAGAATAATCTAAGGATGAGGGATGAGGTAGCAGAGAAAGAAAAGGCAGACATCAATGTGACATTACTGTTTCAAGGCTATGAGAATACACCAATAATTGTGTGTGTGTGTGTGTGTGTGTGTGTGTGTGTGTGCAGATGGTAAGCTCAATCTTAAAAATGTTGAGTTTTAACTGAAAATTCATTATTAGGAAAGATAAGAGGAGATGATATCTAGTGAGAGGCTGTATGACTGAACTCTAAGAGAAAGGTCACAGCAGAAATTGTGTACCTGACAGCTCTAGAAGGAGGTCAGTCAAAAGTAAGTCAGTGATGAATTCTCTGGTGTAAAAGCAGAGGAATGAGGATTAGATTTAAAACACATGGAAGCAGAGTGACTTATGATAAAAACATGAGCTTGAAAATCCTGCAGAGAGGGCTTTAAATCCTGGGTATGATATCCTGCTTGTGTAGGCAATAGTGATAAAAACACAACAACAAAGAGAGGTAAAGAGCACTTTCCTTTGATATAAGTAAAGGGCACGACTTATTGCACATATATATATAGGTATTCAACTGAGATTCAACATGTTTCTCTCATTGAAACAGCAAGCTCTCCAGGCCTTCATGTTCCCAGTGAGGTAGGTACCCTTCTGATGATTATACTCACCCTCCCTCATTGCAAAGCTCCCGTTGTTATTGTCTTGGCTCTGGATTCCCTCAAAAATAGACTATGAAACAAATATCTGGGGTCAGATACTTTAATCAGAAATTGAGTGAGAAAGCACAGAAGTGGAGAAAATGAAACAGAACACGAAGCCAGTGTGAATGAGTAGTTACTGCTATGTGCTCAGTAATGACGGAGGTATGGAGATTGTCTCAAAATAACTTTACAAAGAGATGGGGATGCTGGAATCCCCATCTCTTATTGCTTAAGGATTACCTTAGAATCATTAACTCTCCACCCCTAACTCCTTCTTTGTTCCTATGTGTGGTTGAGAAGCACTGGTTAGCCTCAAGAAGCTTGCAGGCAGGTCCACAAATCAGAAAGACAGGCATGATGTGGGGAGCTCTCAGTTAGCTGGAAACAGGTGAATTTCAGGTGAACACATTGAGTCCAGGACATAGAAGACAAGTCATCAACAATATCTGCTATAGCCAGTTTTCTTTTTCTATAACACATATACTTTTTATTGGGGGTCCCCAAGTCCCCCTTTGGTTTAATGATTCACATAACTCAAGAAAGCTGATTTTTTTTGTGGTTATAGTTTCTAACAGTGAAAGAAACCAGATTAAAATAATCAGAAGCATAAAAGCACATAAAGTTGAGTCCAGGACAAACCAGATATGAGCTTACAGGTGTCCTTTCATAGTGGGGACTTCACACTGACTAATTTTCTTTACAATCATGTGAGACAACATGTGTGAACTTGTTGCCAACTAGGGAAGCTCAGTCAGTCTTGAGTCCAGGGTTTTTATTAGGATTCCACCACATATGCATCGAGCATCCTGTGACTGAACTTAGCTACTTAGTTCCCAACCTCCCTATGCCCTGAGAGGTCATATTAATATGGCATTACACAAAGTCATAGGCATACAGAAACAGGTGCTCACAAGAAATAACGTTGTTAGCATCAGCTATTTGGTATGACCTACGTTTTCAAGTATACAAAGACTCTCATCAGGCAGCATATACCAAGGGCTCATAGGTTGTCATCTCCCAGGAGGTTGTCAAGGGCCAGTGCTGAAGACCTTTGGAATGCGCAAGGTTTTGGAAAGCCATGTCTGCAGAATTAACCATTACACACCTTCCAAGAATTTTTTTTCTCTTTAAAAATGTTTTTTGATCTTTGACAATGTACCAACCAAGACTGAGTAATTAGTAACAGCAGTGTACTCCTGAGTACTTGCACCTGCAAGGAGAAAAAGGACAGATGCACTTACATAGGACAGATGCAAATAGACACCACTATGACAAGTAAAGCTGGAATAATCAATAAATTCCTAAAGACAAAGTGGGGCTGGTCAGATTGGGAGACCGCTGACAGCTGCAGAAGTTGGGAAAGATCCATCATCTTGAAAACTTTTTCCCCACAAACCCACTGCGATCTCTCAAGCAATTGGTAAGGAATCCAAGAGAGTCTGTATATGACACAGATCAGGGAGAGCAGAACACTTGGGAGGTGACCAGGTCTTGGGGGCTGAGCCCTTATGAATGGGATTAGTGCCTTTATAAAAGAAGCTCAATGGAGTTCTTGTGTGCCTTCCACTATGTGAGGACATAGAAAGAAGGCACCATCTATGAACCAAGAAATGGGCTCTCATCAACACTGAATTTGTGAGCATCTTTACCTGAGATCTTTCAGCCTCAAGAAGTGTGAAAAAAGAAATATCTGTTGCTTTTTAGTCACCCGGTTTATGTTATTTTGTTATAAGAGTCCAAATAGACCAAGATATTCCATTCCACTTAATATGTAGGGGAAGACAACAAAAACTGCCACACTTAGAATACTCCTGATACTGGAAGTATGAAAACAGGAAAAACAAAACAAAACTGCTCTTGAAGGTGAAGGAGGAATATCACTGAGCTCACCAACACAGCCAGGAAAAGAACAGAAGTGTGAGAAGGCTACATTCCTGAGACCCTGAGAAAAAGTACCTGCATAAGACTGAGATGAAATTACCTACCCTAGTTATAATTGAAATCCCAAAAAGAGGAAAAAATAATGGAGCAAAAGAAATATTTTTCAAAATAACTGCCAAAAATATTCTAAAAGAAGTGACAGAAAATCAAACTTCAGATATAGGAAACTCAGAGAATGTCAAATAGAACAAAAATAAATAAGAAATACATCTTGAAAAATCTTTAAGAAATCAACTCTAAATTTTATATCTTGCTCCAAATATATAGAGATATAAATAGGTTAGCATGAAGATATGGAGAAAGCCATATCATGGAAACACTAAAATAAAGCTGTGGAAGGACATTGATATTAGACACAACAAAGTTCAGAACAAGAAATAGTATCAGAAATGAGAGATAATAGATAATATAATAATTCTCAAGATGTGAACATCCTACTAATTAGGGTATGCAGCTAACAACAGAACCTCCAAATACATGAGGTAAAACAGGAAAGAAATCAAAGGTGAACTAGAAAAATCCAAAATTATATTTGCAGACTTCAACACTTTTGTCTTAGTAATGGACAGACTAGGCACAAACTCAGTAATCCTATGGAAGATAAGAACAACAATATCACCAACAAGACACGCAATCTTCAATGGCAGACACGCTTTCAAGTGAAAAAAAAAACAGTATGGCATATTTTCTAACAAACCCAGAATTTCTAATATTTGCGGTCTTCCTTCCATCTTCCTTTCTCTTCTCTTCTTCTTTTCCTTTCTTTTCCTTTTTTCTCCTTCCTTCCCCTTATTCTTCCTTCCCTCCTCCCTCCCTTTTTTTCCTTCTTTTCTTATTCTTTCTTTCCTTTTTTCCTCCCTTCCTCCCTCCTTTTCTTCCTCCCTCCCTTCCTTTTTCCTTCCTTCCTCCCTATTTTGTTTGCCTTCCTCCCTTTTACCATTCTCTCTTCCTTTCCTTCCTCCTTCCTTCCTCACTTTTTCTCTTTCTTTCTTGAGTTCTTGCTTTCTTTTTTCTCCCTTCCTCCCTCCCTTCTCTCATTTCCTCCTTTTCTTTCTTCTTTCTTTCCTTCTTTTTTCTTTCTCTTTACAACTCATATTATTTAAAAAAAATTAAGACAGGCAGAAAAATAAAGAACACTTTAATCTGCAGGTAAATAGATTATGTCTGCTGTAGACAAAATAATGGCCTCCCAAAAATGTTCATGTCCTAATTCCCGGAGTCTAACATACAAATATGTTATGTTGCATGGCAGTGGGAAATTAGATTTCAAGTGAAATTAAGGTTCCAAAGGCAGCGGGGGCAAAAAGCCTAGGCGGAGGGGGCAAAAAGCCGCGGCGGCGGGGGCAAAAAGGAGCGGGGGCAAAAACCCCACAAAAACCCGCGGCGACGGGGGGAAAAAACCGCGGCGGCAAAAAGCCTCAGCGGCAGGAGCAAAAAGCCGCCGCAGTGGGGATAAAAAGCTGCGGTGGAAAAAACCCGTGGCGGCAGGGGCAAAAAGCCGTGGCTTCGGGGGCAAAAAGCCACAGCAGCAAAAACCCTCAGCGGCGGGGGCAAAAAGCTGTAAAAAGCCGCGGCGGCGGGGGCAAAAAACCGCGGCGCCAAGGGCAAAAAGCCGCGGTGACGGGGCAAAATGCCGCGGTGGCGGGGGCAAAAAGCCGCGGCGGGAAAAAACCGCAGCGGCGGGGGCAAAAAGCTGCCGCAGCGGTGACGAAAAGCCACAGGGGCGGGGGCAAAAAGCCGCAAAAAGCCCCGACGGCGGGTCAAAGAGCCGCAAAAAGCCCCAGCGTCGGGGGCAAAAAGCCGCGGCTGCCGGGGCAAAAAGCAGCGGAGGCAAAAACCCGCGGCGGTGGCTGCAAAAAGCAGCGGCGGCAAAAAGCCGGGGCGGCGGGGGCAAAATAGTGGAAATGGGGTAGAAGGCCAGCACAGCTTGGCATTCCTGGACTGTGATGTGGAAGGAAAAGTGCAGCGCAAGACAAAGATGTAAGTAGGCTTGACTCAGTGCAGCTAAGAACTCAGATGTTATCTTGATGTTAACTATCAGCTGATTTTTTGTATTTTAGTAGAGAAGGGGTTTTACCACATTGGCCAGGATTGTCTGGATCTCCTGAGCTCATGATCCACACACCTCAGCCTCCCAAAGTGATGGGATTAGAGGCATGAGCCACAAAGTGCTCAAAAAATCTATTAATTAAAAAAGTGTATGTAGCCGTCTTCAATCTACCATGTCCATTAGCAGATAAATACTACAAGCAAAATAACAACAATGAAATAAACATAGACTTAGAGTAGATACTCTGATTTAATAAAAATTTGAAAGTAGACCAAATTACGATTAAAAAAACTCTGTTACTATTGAGGATGAGGGTTAGTGTTTGGAAAGGGGCAGGAGAAGTATCACTATTTTTAGTAATGTTCTATTTTCATACATGGCTATAAGCAAATATATGTGTTTCATTAATCAAGGTATCCATATTTAATCATTGTACTTTTCTGCATGTATGATATATGTCAATAAAATGTCTTAAATTATATACAGCAAAAATAGACAAAACCACAAGAAGACATACATGAATGTTAAACCTAGAGAGAAATTTGAATATAAGTAAGTCTCTGAATGACTGCTAGAACAAACCAAAAAATAATCAGGATGGAGAGGTTTGGAACAGCATGATTAGCAAAATTGACATATCTGTCTTTTAATATAGGCAGAAACATAGATTAAAAAAGGACTTGTCTCAGAGTATGATTTCTGAAAATAGTGGAATCAAGTTTGAATCTAGTAAGTACATATAAATAAATGTCTTAAAACTCTTATGTTAGCTAATTAAGAAATTATTGTAATAGATATTAGAAAATATTTTAATACATTGAGTGGATTTCACACGCTAAGGAAATGATCTTACTTGCATTTGATAGTTCAATTACATACATATATACCTATAGGTAGTTTAAAATATTTCTAATAACCTTATATACTTTTAAAAAGCATTGATATCTGTTTGCACTATCTGGTCTATAGAATACACATACCAAACATGATTATAGCTCTTCTGCTATAAACTTCAAATGTCTAATTAATACAAAAATCTAGAATGAGAAGAGTTCTTTGCAATTTTTTTTTTTTTTTTTTTTTTACCAAATAGAATATAGGAAGGATAGCTGCAAATATACCTGACACACTTATCTGTGAGTATGGTGGTAGCCTTTTTATTTTATTTTTGAGAGAGGGTCTCAATTTGTCACCCAAGATGGAGTGCAGTCATGTGATTAGAGCTCACTGAAGCCTTTACATACTGTGCTCAAGCGATTCTCCCACCTCAGCCTCCTGAGTAGCAGGGACTGCAGGTGCATGACACCATACTAGCTAATTTTTGTAAAGATGGGGTTTCACCATGTTGCCCTGGCTGATCTCCAACTCCTGGACTCAAGAGATCTGGCCACCTTGGCCTCCCAAAGTGCTGGGATTATAGTTTTGAGGCACCGCGATCAGCCCAGCCTTAAAAAAGGCTGACTAGAGATCTTTATCTATGTATATCTATATCTATCTATAAAATAAACGTGTTTATTATATAAAAATATATATTATTAATATTATATAAAAATTTTTTTTCAAGGTAGAAATATATAAAGAGGGTGCATGTAGAGCCTGGGTCATTGTGTAGTGAAGCTCAAGGCCTCTGAAGAAATGCCCCTTGCCTCTTTTGTCTGGGCTAGAATCCAAGAAGGGAAAGCAGCAGATGCACTGGTTCCCAGGTTCTTGGCATCCTACAGAGAGAAACATGTTTGAGCTAGGATAGCGTTAAACACCCTTCTTCTCACTCTCCTGTTTTATGTAGTGAGCAGAGACTAGCTTCATGAGAACAGACTGTGACAGTCAAGGCTGTCTGTTATTTTGTGCAGCATTAATTGAGAAATTCTAGCACCTGAAGACCTCTGGGCCATTTGAGGGTAGGTGCAGGGAAGGAAAGGGAAGTTTGCATCCCTCCTGCTGTGGAGAGAACCCGTGGGAAGCACAGACCTTGTCCTAACTAAAGGCAGACCCCCTTGCTAACCAGCTTCTCATCAGCCAACCCTGGGTGAGTTTCCATGTCTATTTACTAAATAATCCTTATTGCTTTTCTTCATAGGGGCAAAGTATGGTTTACAGGGAATATTGTTCCTTTGAACACCCATTGTGCAAACTCCTTCCTGTTGTGGGAAAACAGGCTTCCATATGTGTCTTTTTGGGAAACACATTGGCAATTTCTATGTTTTTACTGCATCTATTTCTTGGATATGGGAACTGAATAGTGCCCATCAAAGGCTCACCTGATGTTGGATATTGATCTGAGAGCACGGAAGGACAGAATTCTTTCTTTGTTCCTGGGCAGCCGTGGTTGAGGGATCATTTTGTGGCAGCTACAGTGGCAATGATGGAGGCAGAACGGAGGGCTCAGTACCAAGACAAGGAGAGACTTGGCCTCACAATGGCAGCATTGCAGGGGTGCGTTCTACAGAGCATTTGCTCACATGGTTTTGGGCATTGTCTCTAACTACATTGCTTCCCCAATAGGTTGACCCATTCTAAATAACTCCTTTTCTCTTTAAAACAGAAAACTTCATTTGTATGACTTGCAATTGTAAATGACACGAATTGGCCAGTTATCATTCAAATTCCCTGTTACTTAATCCTGCCTTTTTCTAACGTATGCAACTTTCCCCTAAAAAACTGGACACTTCGTTGCTTATTCATTGTCTTTACACATTTTAAAATGTTGCTTTATGCCCCCAATCCCTAACTACATTTTCGATGTTTTGCAAGTGGAGTCCATGTGTTCTTGATTTACATGAAGCTCAAAATAATGGTTATAGTAACTAGTACTTCATAATTAAGCAAAAAGCTCTTATTGAAAAATGACAGAACTATACATAGAGATGACAACATGGAGAGATATTTCCTGAGATCACAAAGTTATGGTATGGCAGAACTAGAAAGTTGAGTAGAGACTCTGTTCCCAATCATTATTTCTACCACCAGCTTTCTATTTTGATGTTAATAGTGTTCTTATGTGGGAAACCCTACATATTTGCCAGTGTTTAGTTCATTGACAAATATAAAGAACTTCAAGAACACTCTAATCTTTTAAAAATAAAATATCTATAATTGGCCATATGAAAAAAATTGGTACTTGACATATACTGAGATCGTTTTATTTTGTGCTAGACAAATGAAGTCATAGAACAGAATGTGCTTTAAATATTATGAATAGTGCTTGCGTGTGTGTGTGTGTGTGTGTGTGTGTGTGTGTTTATAGATGCATATTAGGCTGCTGAAAAGTTTGACTATTCTTTCCAGGAGAGAGACTGCCAACTTTTGAACCTAATTAGTACAAGTATATTGCTTCTTCATATTTTTATTAAGGCAAAGAGAGTCTAGTTAAAAATAATTCAACTTATTGTGGAAATGCTATAAATTGCTGTGAAGTGAGTTGCTGGCTATGGCTTGTCAGAGCGAATATATTGTACAAATCTTAGGGGAGAATTAGTGCTTATGCATTAAAATCAAATCATCTTGCAGCACACTGAGAAAAAGGTTAGATTTTTAAAATAATTTCAGAGTCATGAAAAGAGCAAATATGCTCAACAAAGAGCCTAGCAACCCTCAATGACCAATTCCCCTTTTATATAGTTTGGTATCTGAATTAGAATCCCAGAATCTACAAATTCCTCTGGGTGTGGGTGCTGCATTTTGAGGATTTTATAACACTGCCATCACCAAGCTCTCTTTTGATATTCAATTTAAGGAGATAATTTACGGGCAACCAGAGAGCATACACCAAAGTAGGTATCTATCTAGATAGACAGATACATCTCCATATCATTGACAGGATACTTTCTGGCCGAGCGTGAGTACAACCTATGGGTGTGGTTGGAGAGAACATGTGTTCCACCTGAATGGCAGATCAAGATTATTCCTTCTCATCTGCTGCAATGGCTCAATGTGTTAAGGAGAGGAGTGAGACAGCAAGAACTGCATTCATTCAGTCATACAGACCAAAAGGAGGAATGTCGCCCAGCCCTCTAAACTGACCCAGAACCCAGCTCATGTCTCAACTGCTACCTCTACTACTTAGAAAGAAGTAACTCCGCTAAAGCAGGGTTCTGGACAAATATATTTTTATTGATCATATACAAATAGATGAAGATGGACTTGGATGTTAAGAAAAATAATACTATACAAAATCAAGAGTAGACAGTCACCCCTAGACTTAAATTAAGAGTGTGTACATTAGATAATTTAATCCAATGTATCAGGTAAAAACTTGAACAAACGTTTTGGCCTCTTCCATAAAATTCAGGGAAGCATGTCCTCCACAAAACAGAATCAAAATATAAATGAAAGACTGGCTTAAGATGAAAGGAAACCTTATAAATGAAAAGAAGCCAGATGAGAGGCACTTAACTGAGAATGAAAAAAAACTGAGTGGACAAAATAATTATGAGAAGATGAATCTTCAAATCAGAAAGAGGGAAAAAAGCTCATTTGATACTATGGGAACTCAAAAGAGAGTGAACACAAATGTGAAAATTCCAAGAGTACAGAAAAGTAGCATAACTAAATTAAGAGCATGAGAAAATGTATACAATTCTGAGTAATAAGAACAGAAATCAAAAGTTAGTATTGTATGTTTTAGTAGAGCAACACTGAAGACGAATGAAAACAAGAAATAATATTAAATATGAACATATGGAGAACAGAACAATATTTTTAAAATTTTTAGTTTCTAAGTTTACCTGAAATTTTAATTTTGGTTTCTTATGTAATACCAGAGTTATTAGGAAGATATTAGCTAATAACACTATTTTCAGTGGTATTTTAAGTATTTGTCCTAGAAAAATTTCTATTTTTTAAAAATGTATATTTAAAAATACATTAAATGTGTATATACATCAATCATATGTATCGATTTCTGTTTTTTTTGAATTGCAAATGAAATTTGTATTTTTGTGTTCCTGGAATAAAATAAACTTGAATGGATTGTGATATATTATTCATGCTGTAATTCAATGTATTTGAATTCTTTAAGAATGTTACATTTATAGTTAACAGATATTGACCTATAAATTTTCTTTCATATAATAATGCTGTGAGACAATATAAGAAGAATTAAAATTTAAATTCATGTATTCCTACTTTTTCCTCTGTTCTCTAACTGTAATATATTTTAATTACAGATGGAGGAACAGATAGATGTTAGATAAATAGGTATATAATAGATCATCCAAAATTCTTATTGTTTTATGTAGTCAGTATTTACCTCTGTTTTTCTACATGTTTATCCTTCCAATTTAGTTCATTACTTTCTGCACCTTTGATGTCATATACATAAACAGGAAATAACACATGGTGGCCGGGATGTAGAGAGAGCCACAGGACTTGTGAATACAATCCACAGGCAAGGATGTGGCGATTCCTTTTGCAGTATTGGAGGGAATGCCAAACGCTATGTTTGCTGTGGAAAAGAGTATGGTAGTTCCTCAAAACATCAAAATGGTATTGCCATATGATTCAGCAGCGCCACATCTCAGGATAGCAAAAGAATTGAAAGCAGAGTCTTGAAAAAATATTTGCACATCCATGCTTGCAGCAGCGTTATTGGCAATAGCTAAAACGTAGAAGAAATTGAAGTGTCCAACAACAGATGAATGGATAAGCACAATATGATATATACACACAATGGAATATTATTCAGCCTTAAACATGAGGGAAATATTCTGACATATGTTGCAACTTGGATGAAACTTGAGGATATTATGCCAAGTGAAATAAGTTAGTCAGTGAAGGACAAATACAGTATAATTCCATTTGTATTAAAGTGGACAGAATCATAGAGATAGTACAATGATGGTTGCCAGAAGCTGTGGGGAGGAAGAAATGGGGAAGTATTGTTTAATGGGTATAGAGTTTCAGTTCTACAAGATGAAATGAGTTATGGAGATGGATGGTAGGGATGGCTGCACAATGTTATGACTATATTTAGTACCACTGAACTGTACACTTAAAATCGTTAACAGAGTACATTTTATTTTATGTGTATTTTACCACAATAAAAAAATAAAATACCTTAGGAACATTTTCCTGAAAGAGTCCACATAAAATTCATTTTAATGCATGTGTTTATGCATAGCTTTCTATTTTTCTCTTTTCTATTTATATTCCAAATTAGAATATAATGCTAATCAAGCATAGTGGCTGTGTTTCTTGCTTCGTCTAGTCTGCAGGTAGCATACAAATGTAATAAACTACTTATTCATGTCACATCTATTTATTTTCTGCCTTATACCAAGCTTGTGGGATTCTCTTAAATACAACATTTTTATACTTACACCTAGGCAATACCCATTAGCATCGCCTTCCTAAATCAGGGGAAATTGAGCCTCTGTAAGGTGGAGTAACTTACTAAGATACAAAACTCAGCATTAAAGTCTGTATACTTCAATATCCTGCCCTCTTCTCATTTGTCTTTACTGCCTTTTATGTATGTGTTAGATGTTCAATAAATTCTCTTTTTTAAACTGAATTTAAGCCGTGGAGCAGTGTTTTGTTGAACAATAAATATGATATAGGACACTCTTCCTCCCTTTCATTTATGATCCAGTTCATGAAAAAGAGAAATTCTTTCATTGTGCTAGAAGCTTAAAATAATGAAAATGCCACTTTCTACATTAAACAGAAACTGAAGGGAATCAAGGTGAATTGCACGAGACATAGAAAACAAGTGGGAAAGAAATCTAGTATAATTTGCCCTTTTTGTACCTTTATTATTTGGCGTTTGAGTAAATGTTTCCCCCAAATATCTTCCCATCTTAATTCATGTCTATGAAGTAGACATTTATGTCTCACCTTGTCAAGAAGGGCAAACTCTAACATAAACATTTCCCAAAAATGCTTTCTGCTAAAACGTAAGCTCAGTCTGGCTAGAAATGAAGCTCACTTCATAAAGATTAATTGGTAGCTAATCTTTGCATGCTGTTCTCTGAACCTGAGTGAAAGCTGTCCATCAGGCATACAGGGAATGACGGAAAAGGTGACAACAGAAGATGAATGCTATGTCACTAACCTTCAAAGATGACCTGCCTTTTCTTTCAAATTCTTGATATCTTAAGACTTCATTATTTCATCTCTCTTTGCCCTTGGTTCAACATTGTGCTATACCAAAACTCATGTAAAACAATGATCTAATGTAATAAAAATGGCATTTTTCTTTCATGTAGATGCAAGCTAACTGGCATTTTTACAATCAACGTATTTCCTTTGTCAATTTTTCATTCTGTATTGGAAGTAATTGATAGGTATTTCTGAAGGGATGAAGGTGTTTCTGTGTTCATTGTGATCCAAACTATTTTTAGACCTAGGGGCATTTGTAAAACAATTTGTGCCAGCTGACCAAGGACCACTGTGGCAGAAAGCAGCAAACTTGCATAAGATGTCACTGCCTCATAAGTTGGCTTTGAAAACTAGGGGCTTACTCTATAGTCTTATGAATCAAAGACATTGATAGATGTAGTATAAGATTACAATCATATTTTCCTTTTGACAGTCACATTATAAAGCATGATGTATTGCAATTAATCTCAATTAGCTGATCACAATTAAAATTAATGTTTATTATTGCTGATAAACAATCATGAATCTCCTGTTCTCAAATGTGCAAGTAATTCTTGTAATTTTAATACAAATTTGCATATTATTACTAATTGATTTAATCTCATTGGATTTGGTTCATGGATCCAATTTATTAAAATATTGGTAATGGGATAATGATTTGTCTCTCCATTTCATGTACGCTAAAAGCCACAATTCTTACAATGGTCTGCAAGCCCATCATGATCCGCTGCAGGTTAACCACGAAAATTCTTTTATTTCTTCACCCTTGATCTTACCAGTGGTCCTGGCCACCTCACTGTCCTCTGGACATGCATGTTTGCTGCTGTCTTATGACCAAGACTCTAGTTAATTTCTTGGCTTGGAAAGATAGCCCTCCATATATCCATTGATCAGCTCACTCAACTTCCTCAAGTCTTTACTGAAACCTCACATTCTCGATGAGACCTATTCGGTATTTCAAACTGCCTCCCAGCTGCAACATTCCCAAACCCCGTACTCTTCTGTGTATTTTTGAAAGGATTTATTGAGATATAATTTACATAGTGTAGAGTGCACACATTAATGTCTACAAGTCAGTGGCTTTTAGTATATGCACAGGTAAGTGGAGCCATCATCACAATGAATTTTAGAGCATTTTCTTCACTTCAAAAAGAAACCCCACCTTCTCTAGCTGTTAACCTCCTATGCACCCATCCCCTACTCAATCCTAAGCAACCACAAATCTGTTTTGTCTCTATAGATTTTCCTATTCTATTTTCATCTAAATAGAATCATACAATAGGTGGCCTTTTGTGCCTGGCTTCTTTCAGTTGGCATAATGCTATCAAGGTTCATATATGTATTGGTACTTTATTTCTTTTTATAACTGTAGAACATTCAATTTCATGGATATAAAATTTTGTTTATCCAATAATATTTTTATTGACATTTGAGTTGTGTTCAGCCTTTGGCTATTTTAAATACTGCTGCTAAAAATACTTGTGTACAATTTGTGTTTGAACACCTCTTTCCAATAATCTGGGTGTATACCTAGGAATACATTTCTGGGTCATATGACAATTCTATGTTTAATATATTTAGAAGCCATCAAACTGTTTTCCAAAGTGGCCAGTTCTAGCCATAGAGTATCTAACTGTGGTTTTGATTTGTAGTTGCCTGATGAGTGATGCTATTGAGTATATTTTTATGGGATTATTGGCCGTTCGTGTAACTTCTTGGGAAACACATCTATTCCTATCATTTATCAGTTTTGAGTTGGGATATTTGTTACTGAGTTAAAACAATTTTTCTATATTCAAGATACATATATATATATACAGACATATAGACACGTGTTTTTCAAATATCTTCTCACAATTTTTGAGCTGCCTTTTGACTTGCTTGGTTGTCCTTTGAAACACCAATGTCTTTAATTTTTAAGAAATTTTAAATATCTAATTTTTATTTTGTTGCTCATGTTTTTGGTGTTACAGCTATTTCTTTGCTAGATCCAAAATCCTGAAGATTTTCCCATATGCTTTATTCTAGCTCTTGCATGTATGTCTTTAATTCATTTGAGTTAATATTTTTGTATGCTTTGGGGTAAGGGTTCGAATTTATTATTTTGCAAGTGGTGATCCATGTGTACGTTGTTGACCCAGCTTGTTCAAGACTGTCTCTTCCTCATTGAATTGCACATGGCACCACTGTAAGAATCCATTGACTATAGATACATAGTTTTATATATGGACTCTCCATTCTCTTCCATCAATCTATTTTTCCTTCATCAGTATTGTGTTGTCTTGATTACTGATGCTTTGCAGTAAGGTGTGCAGCACGGGGGTGTGAATTATCCTATTATGTTTTCTTTTTTCAAGGTTATTTTGGCTATTTTGAGTCCCTTGCGATTCCATGTGTATTTTAGAATCAGCTTGTCAGTTTCTAGACAGAAGTCTGTTGGGATACTTTTAGGGATTTCATCAAATCTGTAGTTCAAATTGTAAAGTACTACAATATTAAATCTTCCAATTCATGGCTATAAGACATTTGCTAATTATTTAGATCTTCTTTAAACAATAATTTTTAATTTTCAGAGTAAAATATTGTATCACATTTTCCAAATTAATTATTATTTCTTTTTTGACGCTATTGTAAATTGAAATGTTTTCTTAGTTTCATTTTGGGGTTTTCATTGTAGATGTGTGCAATTGATTTTTCTATATTTATCTTGTATGCTGTAATATTGCTGAAATAATTTACTAGTTCTGTCGTTCAGTGGATTCCTTAAAATTTTCTATATACAAGAATGTTATTTGCAAATAAAGTTTTATTTCTTTCTATTCAATATGGGTGACTCATTTCTTTAGTTGCCGATTTGCCATGCATAAAATCTTTAGTATAATGTTGACTAGAAGAGGTCAAAGTATATATCCTATTCTTATCTCTGACCATAGCGGGAAAGTATCCTTTCTTTTACCATTAAGTTGCATGTTTGCTGTTGGCTTTTCACAGGTGCCATGTATCTGGCGTAGAAAGTTCTCTATTCCTGGTTCATTGAGTTTTTATTTTTATTTTTAATCATTAAAGAATTTGGATTTTGTTAAATGTCTTTTCTGAATCTATCGAGATGATCATGCAATTCTCGTTTCTTATTCTATGGATAAGATATATTACCTTAATGGATTTTGGGCTGTTTAACCAACCTGGGATTACTTGTATAAATTTCACTTTGTCATAGTTTATAATTCTTTTATATGTTGCTAGATATGATTTGTTAGTATTTTTTAAGGAATTTTGCATTTATACTTATAGTAGTTTTATTTTTCTATGCTATTTGGACTAATTTTTGTATCAAGGTAACACTGGCCCCACAGAATAAATTGGGAAGTGAATATTTCTCTTTTTTAAAAAAGCTAGTCAAGAATTAATATCAATTATTCAATACTAACAAATATTGTTATAAATTATTAATTTCTCTAATTTTTATTTTCTTCCTTCTGCTTGCTTTAGTTTTGCTATTTTTTCCAGTGCCTTAATGTGGAAGGTCATCTTATCTCATCCTTTCATTTGTCTTTTCATTTTCTAAATAGTGTCTTTTTAGCATCAGGTGAGCTCCCCAGGTTGGTAGTACTCCATGTTTATTGCTGTACAACAATGACAGGTAATATGTCCTGAAGACAATGGAAACTTAACATTCAAAATCCTCCTAGATTCCACCTTATATGATATGTCTCTTCCTTTAATTGGTCCTAATTTCTACCCTTTCTCTATTATAAACCATGAGTACAATGGCATTCAATGAGTTCTGTGAGTCTTTCTAGTAAATTCTTGAATCTGAGGGTGTTCAGGGGAAACCCCTGAAATGGCAGTTGGTGTCAGAAGTGAGAATCGTCTTATATGGCCTCTTCCTTTGAACTTTGCAGCTGGACCCAAACTCTGCATAATTTGGGCCAGAAGTCTCGTGTTGACTTTGCAGCCTAAAGTACCTTGTAGTTTGTCTAACCCTCAATAAATTTGCTTTCATCAAATATTGTATTTGTTACCGCAAAATTACCATCATGTTTTTTTTCTCCAAATAACTAACATTGGGAGAAATAGCCAGCTGAATCTGTAACTCAACAGAAACAAGTGATCCATATACCATATACCATGTAAGTGGCCATTTTGCCTCCTTCCACCACATCTTAGCAACCTCAACCATTGCCATGAGCCACTGTAGGCCTACCGGCTACAAACAAACAAGTATCTTTTAAAAACACTTCATACTCCCATTTGATAAATTTCCCAGCAAAGAGATGTCTACTTTAACTCTATGCAAGTGGCTCATATTCACGAAGTCTGGAGATATTATTCATGTAGTGTGAGAAAATCATCCCAGCGATGCCAGCACATTCTCCTTCCCATAATCTGCTTAGTTTGCAAACATATTCAGGCCATAGGTGAGAGATTTGTATTTCACAGTACAACAATTTTATGGAGGGCATTGAAACTTAGATTGAGCATTTTAGTACAGTCACACATCACTGAATGATAGGGATACGTTCTAACAGATGCATCCATAGGCAATTTCATCATTTTGCAAACGTCAGAGAGAATATTACAAACACCTAGATTGTACAGCCTACCACGTCTGGGTTATACGGTATAGCCTCTCTCTCCTAGGCTACAAACCTGTGTACTACATTACTGTACTGAATACTGCAGGCAATAAGAACACAGCGGTAAGAGTTTATGTATCTAAACATACTTAAAACATAGAAAAGCATGTAAAAATATGTATTATAATCTCATAGGCCCACTTTTGTATATGTAATCCATCTTTGACTGAAATGTTATTATGCATGACATGACTCTATGACAAAAATAAAATAACACACTGTAAAAAATTACATATGTATCAAACATATTAATATAAAAATAAAAATATTCAGTGTAAGAATTTGTAATGATCACAAAATGTTCACAGCTTATATTTTAGTACAGTTTCAAATGCCTAGTGCAATTACTATTTATTTGTGTATTTTAAACATGTATATAATAAATATTTTTCAGGTTCAACAATGTATATCAATCCAACTGGCTTTTATAAATATTAGTTAAAATCAATTAGTAAATTCATATATATATACACACACGTGTATCAGTGTGTGTGCATGTATGTGTGTGTAAATGTAATTGTATGTGTGTGTAAATGTAACTGGATGCATCCTAATATTTAGCCTTACCTACAAGATTTCCAAGATTCATTTATTATCTTTAGATGATGTGCACTTAAAGATTTGCCAAATAAAACTGTAACCGTGGAAAATATCAAGATGTTATTAAATTCATCTTGTGCACGTAATTGTTTCTCTACATTTATGTTTCTTGCACAACTTGCAGTAATGCTCATGCACAAAATAATTTTCTAAATAAAAAATAAAAACATTTTCTCAGTCATTAATTCTTAATAATTATTTCTCTCTGATAATTATTGTGAATTAATTCTTAATTCTTAATTATAGAATAATGTTGCCTTTCAGAGTTCTGAATCTTTTGCATGTTGTATACATTTCACTAACTAGAACAACTTCTGGAATATTGGCATTAATTAATGTCACTCAGCAATTATTGATTTCAAAGAAATTAAATACCATTCATATTCTGAATCACAAGGGTGCTTTGGCATCTAATTTAATCAAGCTCTTTGTATCATCATCTACACTTTAATTACTTAACAAACATTTCTCTGTGTGAGAAAGATTGAGCAGGTTATTGTGCTTTGTTAAGATGCAACTTTTGCTTAATCTAGAGATAGGCAATGCTCTCTATAAGGGACAAAGAGAAAAATGAAAGAGCAATAGAGACGTGACAGGCATGGAAAAAGACAATACATTTATAAAACAAATAGGACCACAGATGACAATAATGGGGATCAAATCTTGAGATACTGACTCAGTTTATAACCGCACTGTATAATAGAGCAAATCACTTGTTAATTTTTTTAAAAATGGAATTTAATTTAAGATGAATACAGTGTTTTAAACAAGACAGGTCATCTTAAAATAAAATAGTGGAATAAAGTGATAAAACCAATGTAAAAATCATAAACAATTTATAAAGAATTTTTGTCATGTAATTTAATATTTTTATTTAAAAATCACCAAAATCAGAATAATTTTATCTTAATTAACATAATCATCAGAAGTTAACTAATTTTTACTTTATAATACTACGTTTAAAAATCTTTATATTTTTAATCATATATGCTTATATATAAAATAGACATAGGATATATATTTAATGTTCCCAATATTATATTGCAATTGTTCCTATGGATGTGGTTTTTCAATAGAATTAAGTACTTTTAAAAAGTTTCAATCTCAATGATATATATGTTTGATTTTTCTTTGACAAAGCATACATATATTGATAGGTAATAATATGAAAATCTTCTAAAGACATTACAGGAACATGAAAATGTAATTAAATACTCACTAATTTGTAATGTTTTATGTAAGCGGAACACATTTAACTGAAAATTGCTTTTATATAATAAACGAGACTAGAAACATTTTAACTAACGGAGTAAGTCTTCAAATTGATAATCTGAACTATACAAGAGGAGAAACTTCAGGCACTCAAATATTTGAAATGATACAAAATATTTATATAAACTATTATTTAACAATTTCTGTTTGTAGAGTGCTATAATCAATATAAATGACATCTCAAGTCTTTCTATCGCTTTGACCACATTTACCTCCTAATTTTAATTACTAATATGTTGGAGCAATGCATACAACTAGATTCTGATCTTCCTTTTTAATGAGTAAAAAATATGTCCTTTGAGACAGCATTAAAGAAAGAGCACCTTGTATAAATTCAATGCCAAGAGACAAGATATTCTTGATTCTGAAGTCTTGTTCTTTTATACAACAATGTAATTAATAATAAGAAGAAAAGCAGGACATAGATGTGGAGTCTATTTTAATCAAAAATTGTCTATAGATTTTGATGATAAAATTTAAAAATCTACTATATTTAGTCAGTTACAAAAAACTAGGTTGTGGGAACATATTTGGTCAATAAAACACCCCTACCAAATGCTAACAAGAAAAAGTTATGTACCACCTTTCTTCTCTGCAGATGGCCTGAGATGGGTTAATTTGAAAGAATGTTTCCAAACCTGAGGTGACCCCTGAGAACAGCATAATCCACTGCTGTCTCCCACATTCAGTTTCTCAGTTTGTGCTCTTTTAATCTTGGGGGGAGGGAAGCCAGTCCTTTAAAGCAATCTTCAGCATGATGGCAGAGCCAAGGAGTGTGGACAGGTGGCACGGTGTCTGACTTAGTTCCAGCAGCCACTTGGGTTTCTCTGGGTTTTCTCTGCCCTAGGGATAGCACCACTATTGAAAACATGTCTTTGTGACATTCTCTATGCCAGGAACTCCCAACACATTTTCCTTGAAACTGATGAAATGAATAAAAATAAACCAAGAGGTGTGCTGTTTGTTTCTGCTTCCTCCTTTCTGCAGCCCTTCTTGATCATCTAATATTTTTAAATACATTGTCGATCACCAAAAGGAGCATAAGGGGTATATTGATTTGTAGCTGATGTATTAATAGCCGAGCCCCTATTCCTTACCTGTAGCTGCTGGGAAGAAAACCATTCTTAACACTCTACAAGGTCTCATCTCCAGAATTTGCACCTGTTTCTAGCTGAGGACTTTCTCTAGCAGCACGGGAGCTTGATACTGGGCATGAAGTGGGAAGAAAAGGTGAGGGTTACTAAGAAGAATCTCCCTGGATTCAGTGATGTAATTCTGAGGCATGTTCCACATAGCTTCCCATAGAATTAAGCCCAGATATCTAACACAGGAACTTGCCTGTTAACACGTGTGGTACTGGCTTTTCTATCTTTCCTGTTTTATTTTATTCTCTCTTCCTTGTCTCACTTTCGCTGTGTCCTCACTCCTGCTTTAAGAATACCCAAACAAATACATTCATTTATTTTTTTAGACTCTCAGAACACAGTTGATAGTTGAACTTGTAACCTATGATAATCAGCTTGGATGCTATACTGAAAGGAAGATGGTGAACTCACCATGTCTAATTAAGATAAAATTTAAAAAATATATTGATTCATGTCCAAAGATTTAAAAAACCTAAGCGGCAGTGTCACAATTTCTTCTTTTTAGTTTACATGGTTTCTTAAATGCCTACAATTATTTTAAAGGAAGCCTTGGGTTTAGAGAAAATTGAGACATACGGAATAAATTACTAACCCATTTCTCCTTGAAATCCATTAGATGCTGATGATTTTTCACATATACTTCTGAATTGAAAAGCTAGTTGCGAATTATTTTTATAAGCATATCCTTATGTAATATTTTGTTTTTAACAGTAAGTTGAAGATTTAAAGATTAAATTATTCTATCCAGAGAATAATTTAATCTTTAAATCTTCAATTTACTGTTAAAAACAAAATATTACATAAGATTTTAAAACAGGTCCCATATTCTTTTGAGTCAATTAGAATATGTTTGTATCAGTCTGTCTACAGTTTTACACCTGTCAAAATGTACTTGAACTACAAGTACCTTGAACAATTTTCACATTTATTATTCCTCTGAAAATGATTAAAAGAATTAGAGTGAAATTCTGATTGGCATAATTTGGGAGAGAAATTATTCCTTGGAGATCAACCTCTGCCAAGATAGTTTATAATGACATTGAGACTTTTTGATTTACAAAGTTTGTTATATAAAAAATACTAAGACGATGACAGATAATACACACACTTTAATTAAAATTGTACTAAAATTAAATGTCTAAATAAATTAGAAGGGTACGTGGTACATCTAATTGTATGTTTATATATTTCATTTGTGTATTTTATTCCTAGGGTTGCTTTTGCTTTAGTTTGTAACACGTTCTTATTTTTATGATAATGTAGTATATGCTAAATAAAGAAAAATCAGGAAATAGAAAATGAAGAAGAAAACATTAGCTATTGTCAACCAAATAAAAATTGTGCAATCTCTAAGCACATGAACTATGTATTATTTGTACAGCATGTACAATGTTTATGCTTCACAGGGTGAGGTAGAGACTGCAAAACATTGAACCTGGGACAAATAAGAAAGTAAGGAAATTTTCACAATATATTAATATTATAGAAAATGTTGAACTTAACAGTTAAGATACAAGTAGTGAAAAATGATAGTATTTAAGGAGATCTAGAAAATTTAATCTATATCTGTAATGTGTGAGAAGTATTAGAATAATGCTTGTATTTCTGGATTGGCATCGATTTCTATTGAGACTGGAAACATAATAGAAATGAGGGAAAAAGAACTTAAATTGTGGATACTTGAGTTTTATACCTAGGAGTTTGAGAAATACATTTTGTTACTATCAAAGCAGTTGGCACAAGAGTGTACAAAATTCCCTAATTGTGTCAACGTGGAGAAGACATAGACAAACAGAGAATAGCAAAATAGAAATAGCAAAAAAGCACAAATAAATTTTACCTGTATTTTTACATAAAAGCCAATTAGAGTAGGAAAACATGAAATTTGTGTTTAATCAAAATTTTTCTCTTTCTTATAGTCTAGTGGATTATATTACTGGAAAAAAATTGAAGCATTGGTATGTTCACAAAAAAAAGTAAAATATAAGGTCAAAACCATGGGAATGCAGGGAGCAGACAAAATATACCTAAACACCGAAACTGATTTTGCCCTACGGACATGTACCAAAATGAATGAGTGCAGATTCCTACTGTCATACATCACATAGGACAGTAAAGAAATACATAGTTTTTCCTAAGATAGGGCATCACACAGGAGCTCCTCCCTAAAGCTAGGACCAAAGTTTCTATCCTCAGTATAAAGAAGAATCAGAGGTAAATTAGTCCCATTTCACATTCCCTGGAAATGGCAAATAAAAATGATTGAGATTGGACAGATTTAAAGAAATTCAATCATTAATGATTTACAGCAATTAATTTAAAAATTGTTTAAATGTGCAGTCCAAACATATGTCCAAACACCTTTAGGCCAAGAATTAATATAATGTGGTCCCAGAATGGTGGTGCGTTTAGTAGACTCACAAAAAAATTCAAATTCTCTTTGGCAAATTTTCTTCTTACTAATCCGCAAAAGTGCACAAAAATAATTTTCAGAGAAAAATAAATATTTGTCATTCAGAGGCATCTAAGTACACAAGGAAATGGTATACCACCGTTTGAAAGGAAAGCAGAAAAAGAGTACAAACAGATCCACAAAGGTTCATTAGTAGAAATATCACTGTTAGATTATAAAGCACATTTGCTTTAAAAAATTTTTTTTAAAAAAGAATATATTTTAGGAGACTAAAAAATTGATGTAGAAAATTTGTAAAGTAGCTTGTATAAAAATATAGTATTTTAAATTAAAAACTCAAAAATGAACTCATCAGATTAGACATGGCCATGGTGAGAGTTAATAAATATTTCACAATGCATCACAGAAAATTTAAAAAAATGCAAAATGTGGACAGAATCATGAAGAGACAAGGAAGATACCGTGAGAAAGTGTAGCATGTGTTTAGTGAGTGTTCTCATAGAAGAAGGGAACTGGGAAGGGACAATATGTGATGGTATTTTGGCTGAAAGTTCTCTAGACTTTTGTAAGACACTAATCCGCATATTGAAAAATTCCATGCATGCTAAGCAAGCTACAATGGAGATAAACCTACACCTACGTATCTCCTAGAGAAATAGCAAAGAATCAGGAAGGGAAAAATATTTCAATTAGCACTAGAAAAATCAAATTACCTTTAATCATATTGAAATCGGAAAGAATGAAAGGTAAAATAAAAAATATTATTTGTTAATAATAATAATGCCATTCTGAAATTCTCAACCAAGAAAAATATTCATCAACCTATGGCTAAATAACATATTTAGAGAGAAAAAACAAAGCACCACCAGCAGAATTCCACTAAAGAAACTAAAAAGAAACTCTGAAAACATGCTTCAGAAAGGTTGAAGTTCTGAAATCAAAGAATGAATACAGAGCAAAATAAACATACAGGTAGATCTAAATAAAAAATTAGGTGTTGAAACAAAAAGATATTTAAAATTAGATAAGCACTGCAATATGTATGTTAGGAAGCAAATTATTAGGGCTGAAGTATTCAATGACCCCTTAATTGTCTGACAAGAGCAGAAAGGTGAGTATGACTTTGCAACTTTTTTTTTTTTTTTTTTTTTTTTGAGGAGGAGTCTCACTCTTTCACCCAGGCTGGAATGCGGTGGTGCCATCTCCGCTCACTGCAACCTCTGCCTCCCAGGTTCCAGCAATTCTCCTGCCTCGGCCTCCTGAGTAGCGGGGATTACAGCCGCGTGCCACCATGCCTGGCTAATTTTCGTATTTTTAGTAGAGACGGGGTTTCACCATGTTGGTCAGGCTAGTTTCCAACTCCTGACCTCGTGATCCACACGCCTCGGCCTGCCGAAGTATTGAGATTACAGGCGTGAGCCACTGCGCGCGACCGATTTTGGAACTTTAATAAATTCAGTGGACATTATGCATTTCTCTGTTGTATCTATGAAAACAATAAAAATAAAAGTCATAATTTAAAAACAAGAAGACAGAAACTGATAGGAGAAAATGACACATTATATACATATATATATACAACAAATTAATAAAACAAATTACGTATAAATGATCAAAGATTAACTTAAACCTAAGTAGACAATGTTTTTGTTAAAATACAAAGATTGGCAAAATTAAAAAAATCCGTCTCTATCATAGTTACAAGACAGGCAACTAATATATAAATTTACAGAAACTTTGAAGTTCAAACAATACAGATACTGTGTATATATGATATACATACAAACATACTACATGAATATAATTTTTTAAAAAGTTGCTATGTAGACAAAATAGAATGTAAGTTAGAAACATTTATTAAAATAAGTTAGTCTAACCAGTGTGATAAAAGTTTTAAGTTATTAAGAAGATGTGATGACTTAAATGTGCATTAGCCTGATACATATATACATATATACACACACACCACACACACACACACACACACACACGTATTTAGATAGTCAAATTATATAAAGCAAAAATATCAGAAAGTAAGTAGAAATGGATAAGCCCCCAAATCATTAGACATTTCAAACACACATCTTTCAGTAATAGATAAAAGAAAAAATTAAAAGAGTAAGTTTTAAAAGAAGCTAGTGGATTTTAAAAAGGGCAAATGTTATATAAGGAACATGAATATTATAATTCATGTTATTTTCATGTTCATACAGAATACTTACAAAAATTAACATTTTCTAGACCATACCACAAATTCAAACAATTTTCACGGAAATAACGTGACACAGAATATATTTCCTAAACAAACAGCAATGAAGGTAGATATCAATACAAAAAAGAAAGCTAGAAACATAAGTCTAATAATATTGGTTGGAAGCTGTTTTAATTAATATTGAAATATTTTAAAGGTGAATAGTCAACACAAATGAACCAAACACTTTTGTAAGGCCACTAAGATGCATGTGTAATGTGTAATGCCTCCTTTTATAAGGAGTAAATCTGTAACATCACCTGGGCTATTTGACAACTGCAAAGTGAATGTGAGAAGGAGAGAAACAGTGAGAGAGAGAGAGAGATAAAACCAGTAAAATAAACATAAAGAATGAAGGAGATAGCCGGGCGCCATGGCTCATGCCTGTAATCCCAGCACTTTGGGAGGCCAAGGCAGGTGGATCACCTGAGGTCAGGAGTTCGAGACCAGCCTGGTCCAACATGGTGAAACCCACTCTCTACTAAATATACAAAAATTAGCCTGGCATGGTGGCATGCACCTGTAATCCCAGCTACTCAGAGGCTGAGGTGGGAGAATTGTTTGAACGTGGGGGGTGGAGGTTGCAGTGAGTAGAGATCACGCGACTGCACTCCAGCTTGGGCGACAGAGCAAGAGTCCGTGTCAAAAAAAAAAAAAAAAAAAAAAGGAGGAAATAGTACATGAAAAAGCAGAATTAAAGCAACTGAGTATATATTTAAAAATGCAACAGCTCACTTTTTCAGAAAAATATTAAAATATTAAATCTAACAAATATCTAGGTAGACTGATGGAGAAAAATACAGAAAATGCACAAAAAACCAATTACCTGGAATTCAAAGGTTACAAAACGTAAGCAGTTGTAGGTTTTAAATAAGCAATGACTTTGAGTTCAACCATGATGGGGTATATTGAAAAGAATCTCTCAGAAAAAAAGAAAAACTGTTATAAAGCTATGTAGAAAATGTTAAGCACTATTAAAGTCTTCCAATTCTACCAGTTATGGAGTTATTGGTCTTGGACTAACTCTCCTGAAAAGAAAAAAAACAAAACAAAACCTAAAAACCTGGATAAAATGGCCTACCGTGGGCACTGGCAATGCAACCAAGCAGGTAGGACATGGGTGCTACTTTCTCTTTGTCAGAACACAAAGCATTCATACACTCTTCTCACCCTCACTCTCACCTTTTAATCTTAGATCTACTATTAAATGTATTCAACTACTATCAATCCTTTGGTCAAAATTTCTTTTCTCACATTTTGCTTGATGCACTTGGATAGACTGTTCAAGAAAGTGTGAGTACTGAATTCCTCAAACTCTTGCATATTTAAAATTACATTTTTGAACCTTGATGCTTGAAGTGTAGCTTGGGTAACAGGTGGGCTTTAAGCCGATTTTGGCATGCAAGGGGTTGAGTTTATTAGGCATCAGCACCTCTGAAAATCGTGGGGATGCAGGCTTAATTTCAACACTATTCTAAATACTTGAAAGATATATAATTCCTTAATAAACTCCTTTGTCTACAAATGGTTCACATTAACTCAATATCCATGATTAAACATCTATAAAATCAAGGCACTGTTATTTAGTGGAGACTTGCTGGCTATTCTATGAGAGGAGGTATTGTTATTTTAATCTCATCCTCTCATAAAAGTGTATCATATTACTCATAACCAGCCCTTCATATTCTATTCCTATTTTGGTATTTTAAAATAAGATATCTTTGAAACTCTTGAATTCAAATAGAGAATCTGAATAGTTTTTAAAATGTCAATGAAATGCCATTTCTTCATGCTTCAACAACTAAAATTTGACTAAAGTGCTTCTCTTCAAACTTTCTGTAACATTTTTTAATCTAAATTCTAAGAACGATCACAATAGGTTTCAACCACAAATGTGAGAATATTGTAAATGTTCGGGTGGAAAAATTTTTAAAATAATTTTGTAGTAATTTTTGAATCATAGTGACAGTGCGCTAAATTTTTTTAAGTCAAATATTACTGTAGACATTTAAGTCAAGATTCTAAGAAACTGTTCTAAAGTCCAAAATTTAGTTTCATATACAATGATATTATATATATATTTGCATATAAAATTAATATATGTGAGCCATGTTTCAAATAGTTGAGAGATTATATCAAAGATTCTTGATTATATAAAATGCCAATTACTTATAGGCACACGTGCTTTAAATAATTACAAAGGCAGCTGTGGTTGATTCTACTCTTGCTACTGGCATTTATATGGACATACTATTATGGTCTGAAGAATATTTAGGCAAATTTATCCCTCATACGATCAGAAGAACAATGCACGATAGTTTATATCTGAAAGGAAAAAAAATCTTTATATGGTTCTGAAAGCCTAAATCATTAACAACTTGGATAATAATTAGCATAAAAATACACAAACATGCCCTCTTCCTAGCGGTAAGTACAGAGTGACAACAGAATCAAAGCATGTGGCTATGTGCATGTTTATATTTCAAGACGCAGAGCACTCTATTCCTCTTCTCTGCCCTTTCTAGATGGCACAATTCCTCATGAATCTAAGTGCTGTCATAGGGTGGATTAGGGTGACCTGCCATTTGTATGCAACCGATCTCTATTTTGGAAGTAATTAATGTAAAAATATATTTTTAAAAGATAATTTCAAATTTCAGGGCAAACTAGCATGGTTTCACCCCTTTCCTTTGTAACATTTTTCCTAAGGTTGGAAAAGTAAGGTAGGCTTTAGTACGATTTTTAATAACAAGTTTTCAAAGTGAGACGCAAAATGGTGGCGCCAACACATTTCAAGTCTGCTACATTTTGAATACACTTATTGGAGAAAAGACCTTCTCATCATTTTTCTCTTACAGGAAAGGAAATAACATGTACAGTTGACCCTTAAGCAACACCGAGGTTGGGGTGCTGGCCCCCCTGCACAGTAGAAAATCCACTAAAACTTTGACTCCTCCAAAACTTAACTACTAATAGCCTACTGTAAGCCTTACAAATAACACAAGCAGTCAATTAACACATATTTAATGTTATATGTCTTATATACTGTATTCTTAACAAACACGCCAGAGAAAAGAAAAAGAAAATCATAAGGAAAATATATTTACTAGTTATTAAATGGAAGTAGATGATCAAACAGGTCTTCATCCTCATCCTTTTCATGGGCAGGGTGTGGAAAAGGATGTAGAATTTTTGGTTTTGCTAAGTGGACCCGCACAATTCAAACCCCTGTGGTGCAAAGGCCAACTGTATAGCCACTGAATAGCAATTTATTTCTAGAAATTAACCTCACTAAAATATTCTTAGAAAGATGCCAAGAAAAAAATGAATAAGTATTTTTGGTACATCTATTTCATCATTTCATTTCCTCATTTCATCATTTCATTTCATCATTTCATTTCATCATTTCATCATTTCATCATTTCATTTCATCATTTCATCTCAACATTTCATTTCATCATTTCACTTCATCTCATCATTTCATCATTTCATTTCATGATTTCATCTCATTTCATCACTTCATTTCTTCATTTCATTTCATCTGAACATTTCATTTCATCATTTCACTTCATCTCATCTTTTCATCATTTCATCTCATTTCATCTCATCATTTCATCTCATCTCATTTCATCTTTTCATCTCGTCATTTCATTTCGTCATTTCATCTTTTCATCCCATTTCATCATTTCATCAATTCAACATTTCAATTATTTCATCATTTCATCATTTGACTTCATCATTTCATAACATTTCATTTCATAATTTCATCTTTTCTTTTCATCATTTCACTTTGTCATTTCATTTTGTCATTTCATTTCCTCATTTATCATTTAATTTCATCCTTTCATCATTTTATCTCATTTCATCCTTTCATTTCATTATTTCATCATTTCATCTCATCATTGCATTTTGTCATTTCATTTCATTTCAACATTTCACTTCATCTTATCATTTCATCTCATGATTTCATTTCATCTCATCATTTCATTTCGTCTTTTCATCTCATTTCATCATTTCATCTTTTCATCTCATTTCATTTGATCATTTCATCAATTCATCATTTCATCGTTTCATTATTTCATCATTTAATCATTTCACTTCATTTCATCATTTCATCATTTCATATCATTTCTTCATTTCATCATTTGATCTTTTCATTTCATTTCACCATTTCATGATTTCATTTCATTTCACTTCATCATTTCATTTCATTTCACCATTTCATCATTCCATCATTTCATTTCACCATTTCATTTCATCATTTCATTTCATCCTTTCATTATTTCATTGCATCATTTCATCTCATAATTTCATTATTTCACTTCATCTCATCATTTCATCATTTCATCTCACGATTTCATTTCATCTCATCATTTCATCACATTTCATCTCATCAATTCATCTTTTCATCTCATTTCATTATTTCATCCTTTCATCTCATCATTCATCATTTCATTTTATCAATTCATCATTTCATTTCATATTTCATCATTTCATTTCATTTCATCATTTCATCATTTCACTTCATCATTTCATTCCATCATTTCACATTTCTTCATTTCATATCATTTCATCATTTCACTTCATCATTTCATTTCCTCATTTCATTTCACCATTTCATCAATTCATTTAATCATTTCATCTCATTTCATTTCATCATTTCACTTCATCTCTTCATTTCATCTCATGATTTCATCTCATCATTTCATCTTTTCATCTCATTTCATTTAATCATTTCGTTTCATTTCACCATTTCATCTCGTCATTTCATTTCATTTCATCAATTCATCATTTCATTTCATTATTTCATCATTACACTTCATCATTTCATTTCATCATTGCATATCATTTCTTCATTTCATCATTTCATCTTTTCATTTCACCATTTCACTTCATCATTTCATTTCCTCATTTCATTTCACCATTTCATTTCACCATTTCAGTTCATCATTTCATTTCATCACTCCATTTCATCATTTCATCATTTTCTTTCATCTCATTTCATCATTTCTTCATTTCATCATTTTATTTCATCATTTCATTTAATTTCAGTGATACATGTATTCAAGTGCTAATGTGATGCCCAGGAGACACCCTATTTCCCTTTGTAAAACACCTCCTTCAACAAAAGGCAACCTCTCATGGCTGGCTAAGTCTACAGGGATACCAGCCTCTCTTCAACCACCCAATTTGATTTAGAACCTCAAACAGCACCTCAGTTTCATAAAAACCTAAAACATAAAACACAACACTTGGTTGTAAGTGAGCCAACAGTTTGTCTCTTTCTCTGCCCAAGGCTTAAGGCCGTGTTTCCCCAACTACGTTCAGTGGAAGAAAAGATCCCCTGGACAAATAAGTTTGAGAACTGTTGTTGCAGGACTTCTCAGAACCTTTAAAACACAAATCCTCATCCGGAGGGATCTTCAGGAGGGAGATGTCTGATGCAGCACAACTTTCTTTCACAGGAGCATCCTGCAGAATACAGTATGAGATGCAGAAAGGCTGCAATGAGTCTTTTTAATGGCCCGGGCCTTGGTGGGGGTGGGGTAGGAGCTCTCCAGATAGCATCTAATGAGTAGGAACATTCAGGTTGCTTTTTTTTTTCCTTATTGGCAAACCTGTGTGCACACCATGAATGAAGCTGATCTCCCTTATCCATATCAAAACTAAACCCAAATTAATTGGCTAAATTGGGAATCAACACCTCCAGGAGCTACGCAGAAGAAAGCCCCACCACACTTTAAAGTAGCTTACCTCATATTTGACGAAAGCAAAACACTTATGACCAGTGTGCTGCTAATACAAGTCTACAGATAACGCTGCATGAAAAATTAGTTTTCCCAATCGTAGCTGGCATAGTCCACATTTTGCATTACACTTTCCCCCCTTGTTTTAAATTTTAAACACAGGTCTTTTTCTCTTCTTTTTTTAAATTTTAATTTAATTATACAAGACAGAGTCTCAGTATGTTGCCCAGGCTGGTCTTGCACTCCTGAGCTCAAGCGATACATCCGTCTCCGCCTCCCAAAGTGCTGAGATTACAGGCCTAAGACACTGTGCCCGGCCTTAAACACAAATCTTAATTCATTCTTACAGTTATCCTGAGGTTAGAAAAATGGAAGGGGAAGAAAAATGGCAAGCAGGTAGGTTGACTTCGGCTTCATTATTTGAAAGGACAGTTTGCTCAGTTAAAACACACTACTGCCCACAAAGGCCAAGACAACAGAAAAATACAGACATATAAATAGATTTTATATGTGACAGCAGTTTCAATGGAGACTTTTTCAATGCAAATGACAAACAGCTGTGCTTGGGAATAAATGACAAGGAATTTTTTTTATCTCAACAGCTGTCCTGAGAGCACATCTCTACATCTCTACCTATATTCTGGAATCAGGGAGAAAGCCAAAACGGATGACAAGATACTAGATCAGCCGTGTCCAACCCTTTTAGTACAAGGACTTTTCCGCCTATCTGTGGTGGTGGGTATCATGAAAATTATGCACAAACCTTTTTTTTTTTTTTTTAAGCTCATCAGCTGTCGTTAGCATTAGTGTATTTTATGTGTGGCCCAGGAGCATTCTTCTTCCAATATGACCCCGAGAAGCCAAAAGACTGGACACCTGTGCACTAGATCAAAAGGCTACTCCTTCTGGAAGCAATTATAAAGAATTTCTGACATTATCTTGACATGAAAACCAATGGATAGTGGGACAGAATGCAAAATCTTCAAGAATTTTTCTTGTTGGTTTTTTTTTTTTTTTTTTTTTGAGTCAAGGTCTTTCTCTGTGGCCCAGGCTGGAGTACACTGGTGAGATCACAGCTCAGTGCAGACTCAAGTGCTCCTCCCACCTCAGCCACAGTAGTAGCTGGGACTACAGATGCGCACAACCACCCCTGGCTAATATTTTATTTTTTGTAGAGATGGGGTCTCACTATATAGTCCAGGTTGGTCTCAAACTCCTTGACTCAAGGGATCCAGGACAGGATAACAGGTGTGAGGAGCCACCACACCTGGCCATGTGCATGAACTTTTAAGACAAACACAAGGCCCCACAAAAGTTAAGGTTTTCCCACCTAATTTCCAGGGGATCTTTTGGTGCAAAGCTGAGAAGCCCTTAAAAGTACACAGACAACTCCAAAGATTCAAGAGAGTTCATTCGGGGTGAGCCAGCCCACTGGGCAGACTGACCTTCAAAAAAGGCCCACCCATGACACACACCAGATGGCTCTCCAAGAATCTCTTCAGTCCTCAGGGTCCCTAAGGCACTGGACAGAGCTAGGAAAGCAAACCCATTTGCTTCTCCCTGCAGGAAACCCCTTGAGGTCAAGACCCCACAATCAGACAAGGATGGAGTGGCTCACCTTCAGTCAACAGGCCAGACTCAAGGTGGTATAATGTCTTAACCAAGGGTGCAGTCCTCCAGGTCTGACTCCCAACTCAGTTCTCCTTTAATAACCACACTTTGTTAATTCTCCTTAACAGGAGTTCCTGACAAGTCAGTTCTCCCTCAGACCTTCAGTGGCCTCACCTAGAAGATGAGAGGGCTGGATCAGATGGAAATTCGGGGAGTAAGGGAATGTCGGCACGCAGCCCACCTCCCCCAAGGGACCCTGGAGCCTCCATCCCAGTTCCCACCATGCACCCGCCCCACAAATCCTGCCCAAGGTGAGGGCTGGTCCCGGGTCCTCCGGGTGCCGCAACAGCGAGGGAAGGAGGGAGGGGAAGCCTCCAAGGGCGCGACGCAGGCTCAAGGATGCAACTCGGCCAGGAGTGAACTGGGGACCCGAGGGAGGTATCCGGGCTGCTCCTCGAGCCCAGCCCGGGTCCCCGAACCCCTTACCTCCAGGGTCCGTATCTCCTGCTGGGTGAGGCCGTTGGACACAGCGCACTTGGTGCGCAGCCCGTGCAGGCTGCCGATGGAGATGCCGATGAGCTTCTGTAGCTGCCCGCACTGCTGCAGCGTCCGGCTGGCCGCGGCCCCTGCGCCACCCCATCACCCCCGCCCCCGCCCTCCTTCTTCTCTCCCATAGCCTCCCCGCGCAGCGCCGCTCTATGCAGGCCACAGTGGCCAAGGCGGGGAGCCCGGGGCGCGGGCGCCTAGGCAAGGAACCCCGGAGACGGGAGAGCTGGACCAGGAGCGCCCCTCGGCGGTGCCCTTACCAGGACGCCAGTAGAGCTGGCAGCCGAGTCTGCCGCTCCCGCCCTCAGAACCGCGGCGGCGGGGACAAAAAGCCGCGGCGGCGGGGGCAAAAAGGCACGGTGGCTGGGGCAAAAAGCTGCAAAAAGCACGGCTGCGGGGGCAAAAAGCAGCAAAAAGCCGCGGCGGCGGGGGGAAAAAGCCGCGGGGGCAAAAAGCAGCGGGAGCGGGGGCAAAAAACCACAGAAAGCCGAGGCGGCGAGGGGAAAGAGCCGCGGCGGCAGGGGGCAAAAAGCTGCAAAAAGCAGCGGCGGCAAAAAGCCGCGGCGGCGGGGGCAAAAAAACCGCGGCGGCGGGAGGCAAAAAGCCGCGGCGGCGGCGGGGGCAAAAAGCTGCAAAAAGCCGCGGCGGCGGGGACAAAAAGCTAGGGCGGCAAAAAGCCGCGCTAACGGGGGTAAAAAGCCGCGGCGACAAAAAGCCGCTGAGAGGGGGCAAAAAGCAGCGGGAGCGGGGGCAAAACACAAAAAGCCACGGCGGCGGGGGCAAAAAGCTGCAAAAAGCCGCGGCGGCGGGGGCAAAGAGCCTCGGCGGCAAAAACCAGCGGCGGCGGCGGGCGCGAAAAGGCGCAAAAAGCCGCGGCGGCGGGGGCGAAAAGCCGCAAAAAGCAGCGGCGGCGGAGGCAAAAAGCCGCGGCGGCCGGGGCGGAAAGCCGCAAAAAGCCGCGGCGGGGCAGGGGCAAAATAGGAGAAATGAGGTAGGAGGCCAGCACAACTTGGCATTGCTGGAGTGTGATGTGATAGGAAAAGTGCAGCCAAAGACAAAGAAAGATGTAAGTTGGCTTGACTCAGTGCAGCTAAGAACCCAGATGTTATCTTGAGGGTATTAACTAATAAGCAGTTTAAATCAGAATGGCACATTCTGATTTGTTTTTTATATTCACATTTGGCAGGCATAGATACTGTTTGAAGAGAGTAAAGTCAGTAGATAGAGGTAACAAACTTAAATATGTGCCAAGTCTAGAAACAAGAGACTAGGGGGATAAGGACCTTTCAAAAGAAAATGCAAGATTTGAAAACTGATTGGCTGGGGGATGAGGAAAAGGCACGTCTTTAAGGTCAATCCCTGTTTTGCTTTAAGTTGTTAGGGGGTGGTTTTATCACATATTGTAGAATATGTCATTTCAGTTTTGAACATCTTGAGTTAAATTGTCCTAACATATTTTATGAATTTGATTTTCTTCCCTGGGAAGCTAGTATTTCAAAAACTTAAAGAGTATAGATTTCCAACTTGTATCCAATTTATAAAACTATCTCTAGGCTGCTGGTTTCAGGAGGAGGCTCATGAATATTCTATTTGCAGAGAATATATCAGGAGTTAACAACAGCGTCAGTATTTGTGGACGACCAGTTAACTAAGCCACCTCTTAGTGTATTTAGATAGGAAATCTTAGCTGAAGATATTCAATAATGAACCAACAGTGACTAAAAAATTCAATATTTAAGTATATTTCATTGCAATTAATTTGAATTTAAGTAGCCATATACAGCTAGTATTTACTACATTGAAAAATGCAAACAAGAGGAAAAAATTAATAACCATCCCTAATACCACATGCCAAAATCCTCATCAATTTATTCTAGCTAAAGGAGTTGATCAGAAGCACCAATTTAAAGCACCAATCACTGTCGTTCTCTCAGAACCATCTCTTCTCTGAACAAAACAAGTAGAAGAGTTAATAGTGAATCTGCATTTTCCTTGCCTATTTTAAGGTTTTGATGTTGACACTAATTTGTGAAATCCCTCCTGTGGTGTGATATTTCGTTTTCCTTGCTTTTTGTTAGGACAAGAATGCTTCAGCTCTTAATTTAAAATTATGTTTCTCCCTCCCAGGTGGAGTGAACTTAGCATGCATTCTCTGACATATCCAAGTTTTTGTTAATATGAATTTGGGGGGAAAAGCATACTTAATTAGCTAAGACTTCTTATTCTAGGCTTGACCCTGTGTTCGACATCTTTTTAATTTGTAGTTGCATAGGCTGCTCTCTGACACTGGTTAGTGATCTGGAAGCTATATTAACGTTAGGAGAGGTGGTGTATGAGCACTAGAGGTATCCTTGCAAGGGAAGACTTGTCTTATGTCAATACGTCTTTTTTTTGCACACAAGAAAGTCAATGTTTGAGTCTTCTAAAATCTTCCTATTTCCAAGTTGCAGAGTACAATTGATTCCTAAACAACGATCTAATTTTTGACTCAGAGACGTGGCAAGGTAGTGAATCACCATTATAATTTAACAATCTTCAAGATAAAATTATTTCTCTGATATTTAGATTTTGCCCAATTATTAAGATATTTGGGTGTTTCGTTAAGAATGGAAGACTCTAGTCTCTTGAGCAGAGACTATAAAGGCCTCAGATGATCATTTATAATTTTATGCTCTTTTCTTTAACACCTTCAACACAGTTGGAAGCAGCCAATATTCCCCAGTGTTGTTGTGTTTTTTAAACCAAATGCATGGTTCAGTGGTAGAAAACTGGGCTGATCCAAGCTGTTTTCAGTAAACACTTCATTTCAGGTGACCTATTTCATATTAAATAATCTCTAGATCCTGTCTTCAAAACTAACTAGATCAGATAACCTACCCTAGATTTTCCCCTTTAGGGTCTGTTAGCTGCAGTCACTTTTGTGAAAATGATTGCGATGAAAAGATAGAGTTGTAGATGGGGAAAATGTTTTGACTAATTTAAGCATAGTGGTATTTAATATGAGAATTTAAGTTACACACATTTGAAAATTATAATGGAGTCTCTTGGCTGAGCTTTAAAAAAAATAGCGTTTAGGCTAAAAAGGGAACTGCTACCTCTCCTAAAATCAGAAAGATGTTACAGTAATTCTCCATTCTCTAGAATTATCAGGAAGCACCTTTGTGATGATTTACTTTTGCTCTTGGGAGTGTGAGCCTGTGTAGTCGTGGAACCGTCAATTAGAGTGATGGCTTTCTGATCCCAAAGTCATTCGTTCTGAAAACAATATTTTTCATAAATTTGAATGTGAGAAGTTTTGATCTTGCCATTCCCAAGTAACTCTCTTAATAAGAGGCATCAGCATGCTTCAGTGACAGCTGTCACCTTCCAGTGCTGAGAGTCATCTTTGAGTTCTCCATTTCACTCCCTACACTCCAATTTAGCTGCAGTTCTCTTGGCCAGTCCTATGAAATACATCCATGGCCTAACGACTTCTCACCACTAATACCACTCATACTTACAGCATTCTCACCTAAGTCACTACCTTTTTTCTCTGGATTACAATAGCCTCCCAATTTATTTGCTCACATAACCTATTTATTCTACACAGTGCACCAGATACACCCCTTTGAAATGCAAACGGAATCATATTATTCTCTGGTGAAATTATCTCATATATTCCTATCGCATTTAAAATTAATTCAGAATAATCCCATGATTATCAAAACCCTATGTGCTCTTCCACAACATGATTTACTTCCAAGATATCTCTTCTTCAACTTTTTTTTCACTGTACTGAATTGGTGACTAAAAGTCATATTTTTGTTTTTGCTTAAAAAGTCTTGACTTGTAAATTTTTCAGTTTCTCCTTTATCCACAGGTAACTCTTTCCTCATAAGGCGAATTGCTTGCTTCCTTGAGTTCTGCTCTCAAAGATACCCTTCATGTTCTACCTAATATTAATAACTTTAATCATTCATTATTCCATTACTATGCTCTATAGTGTATACAATTTCTGTTCTTTGTCCTGTTATTAACTAAATTATTTATTTGTTCCAGTAACGTATTCCATAAATATTGTACACATAAAAATTATGTTATTTTTATTGCTGTATGCTCAGCTGCCCAATAACAGTTTGAGGATTAACATATTTGTTAAATGCACAAATACATTCTTTCACAAATATTTAATAATTTTATATTAAACTCCCTATATACTTACAGTATGAATTAGATAATTCAGAATAAACATTCCATTGGAAAAAACTAAACAATTTGTTATAAAACATCCTTAAAAGCATCAGAAGGTTAATACAGACATGAAGAATTACAGGACCAAATTAAGAACGGTATGGAAGCCTGTTTGTGAGGCTTATGTTTGGGTTATCTCTTTACTTAGAGTGACTATAAATCTCAAAAGAGAACTAAAGGGAGAAATAACCATATCTACTAACATGGTAAGGGTATTTAAACATCTCTTAGTAATTGAGAAAATTGAAAGAAAAGAAAAAAGAAAGGGAGAAAGAGAAACAGAGCAAAAGGGATAATGAAGGAGAGAAAGAAGAAGAGAAAGGAAGAGGAAGAAAAGTAAAAAGGAGGAGGAGGGGGAGGGAGGAAGAAAGAAAGGTGAAAGGAAAGAAAGGTAAAGTTTTTAACAGCATAATTTATCCTTGTAGAATATGAATGTTGGTCTATTTGATGATGTCCCACAGATTCCTTAGTCTCTGCTCATTTTTTATCTGTTTCTCAGAATCAATATTTTCCATTTTCTTATCTTCAAGCTCATGACTTTTTCTGTGTGTGCAAATATACTCTTAAATCCCTCTGGTGATTTTTAAATTTTTATCATTGTAGTTTTCCACTCCAGAATTTCTGTTATCTCTTTGTTGATATTCCTACTTTTTAATATTTTTTTCTGATTCCTTCATTTCTTTGTTTATGTTTTCCTTTTGACATTTGACATTTGAGTATAATTAAGAGAGTTGTTTTAAAGTCTTTGTCTAGTAAGTTTGATGTCTGGGTTTCCTTAGAGATATTTTCTGTCAATTTATTTTGTCCCTTTGAATGACCCATACTTTCCCGTTCTTTGTATGCCTTGTAACTTTTTTTGAAAACTGGACATTATAATAATTATAATTACTATGTGGTTACTCTGTAAATCAGACCCCCCCCTACAAACATACTAACGTTCTGTGGTTTTAAATTTTATTTACTTATTATATTGTTAAGGATTTTTTTTTAGTGAAATTTTCCAAAGTGATTAACAAAACTGTTTGCTTTATAAGGTGTGGTCACCCAAGTCTTTTTGTTTCCTTAACAAATGTTAAGATAATGTTTTGACTGATTTTCTTGTATGTCAGGAACTAAGCAAACAGGCAAATACAACAAAAACAAAAAGAAAAACAAGTAATCATTATCCAGCAAAATAGGTCTCTAGGCCATGCAGACTGGCTTTGTGCTGGGTTCTTTAAAGCCGGGACAAAGTGTGTGTTCACTCTTGCACTGAGTGAAGTTCAAGTTCACTCTTGCACAGAGCCTGCACTGAGGGGAGGGATCAGCGAAGGTAAAAGTGTAGGGTCTTCTTATGACATTTGTCAGCATGTGGCTTAACGTATGCATACATGTGACTTTCTAGACTCTCCCATGTACGTGAATGATTTTGAATGTCTTAGTTTTCCATATACTCTACTCCAACTTTTCTTCCTGTGCTGAAGGTGATCTACTATATGTGTAAACTCTAATTTTTGCCCTAAGCATCTGTGGCTTGTTAGGTCTCCTTGTAGAGTTTCTTAATAATGTCCATTCCTTATCTGTTCTGTATCCTAGCAACACACACAAAAAAGCCTTTCATTAGTCCTTTAGGTATCCCCCAGACCAGTCAGAACAGACACATAATAATTTGAGGGTAAGATCTTCTCTTGTTCCTTTGGACGATGGACCAGGTTTCCTCACTGGGAACGTGGGCTTCTGACACTTCAAAACAGCCAATTTGCTGGGGCAAAGGCAAGTTAAAAACGTCATAAAGTTTTCAAGTTGTCTTGTTCTTGAGTCTGCTTTCACTTGGTTGTTGTAATCTTTTGACCATTTTCCAGAGTTTTGGCAAAGTTTATTCGGACAGTTTCTCTTAGTTGTGTGATGTTTCTGTGGGGAAGTGAAAGATTGCAGTTGTCTCCACTGCCATTTTGCTGATGCTCCTCTTTTGTCAATTTTTGCTTCATGTTCTTATGCTTTGTTATTAGTTCATGTATTAGTTTTCTAGGGCTGCCATAACCAAGTAACACAAACTGGGTGCCTTGAACAACACAAATTTATAGTCTTATAGTCCTGGAAGCTAAAAGTCTGAGACTGAGGTGTCAGCAGGGATGGTCCCTTCAAGGGCTATGAGAGAAAGTCTGTTCTGTGCCTTGTTTCTAGCTTCTGGTGGTTTAGTGGCAGTCTTTGGCATTTCTTGGCTAATCTCTGCCCTCATAATCACATGGTACTCTCCCTGTATGTATGTCTCCCTCTACTCAATTTTCTTCTTTTTATAAGGACATCAGTCATATTGAATTCAGGCTCATCTGATTTTATCTTAACTTAATCACCTGCAAAGAACCTATTTCCTAATGAGGTCATATTCAGTGGTTAGGATTTCAGCGTCTATATAGATGAAACAATTTAGCTCATATTTGTGCATACATGATTGTAATAGCTATGTCTTCCAAAAGTGCTGACCCCCTTATTACTACAATATAAATTTTTAAAATCCTATTCACATTTTTAATAGTCTATATCGTGTGTTATGAGTATAATGAGTTCAGTGTTCTTATGATTGCTCTTTGCATGATATTTTTTGTCATCTTTTTACTTTCAATCCATTAGTATCCTTGCGTCTCAGCGTATATTGGGATCACTTGTTTTAATCCAGTCTGAGAATCTCTGCCTCTTGAATGGATTTTAATCTGCTCACATTTAATATTATAATTGGTATAATTCTATTTATGTCTGCCATTTTACCGTTTGTTTTGTGTATTTCTCAAATATTTTTCTTTATTGCTTTATTTTGCAATGAATGAATATTTTCTAAAATATGGAACTTTAGATTACTAATGAATTATTTTAGTATATATTTTTGGGAATTTTTGTTGTTGTTGTAAGTTTACCATATAGGTATATGGAAAATTAATTATTCAAATCATCTTCCAATTTATACTAGTAAACTTTTAGTAATACATAGAAACATCATTCTTATACAAATCTCTTATATTTCCTCCATTTTAAAGTATTATCACTTTACACATTATATCTATTAAAGTTACAAAGCCAACAATACATTTTAGTAATTACTACTTTACCATCTAGAGTGATTACCTTATCACAATACATTTTTCTTCCAACTACCTCCTCTTTGATGTTACTGGAAAATATGTTATAGATATATTACATTTCTACATGTCAAATACTCAGCAATACATTATGAGCATATTATTATTATTATTATTATCATTAAGACGGAGTCTCCCTCTGTCACCCAGGCTGGAGTGCAGTGGCACAATCTCTGCTCACTGCAAGCTCCATCTCCTGGCTTCATGACATTCTTCTGCTTTAGCCTCCGGAGTAGCTGGGACTACAGGCACCTGCCATCACGTCCAGCTAATTTTTTGTATTTTTAGTAGAGACAGGGTTTCACTGTGTCAGCCAGGATGGTCTCTATCTCCTGGCCTCGTAATACGCCCACGTCGGCCTCCCAAAGTGCTGAGATTACAGGTGTGAGCCATCCTGCCTGGCCATTATACGCATATTATTTTATAAACAATTTATGATAAAGAGAAAACATGGATTTCTACTGTCTTTTATAATGTTAATATTACCTATACCAGTGCTTTTTTAAAAATGTGGATTCAAACGACTGGCTTGTGTAACTTGCTTTTAGCCTTAGGAATTTATTTTAGTGTTTTTTTTTTTTTTTTTTTTTTTTTTTTTTTTTTTTGTATGGTAGGTCTGCCAGCAACACCTTCAGTTAATATTTCTGTTTATCTGGGTAAGACTTTGTGTTATCTTCATTTTTGAAAAATAATTGCTGGATAAGGAATTGGTGGCTGACAGTTTTTTTTCCTTTGCATCTTTTGAATATATTATTCTACTGCCTCTTGCCTTCCATTGTTTCTGTTAAGTCAGCTGTTAATCTTACAAAACCTAGGTGTTCAAAAAATAAACATGTGCATGAATATTTATAGCAGTAATATTCATACCGTCAAAAAGTGGAAACAATCCATATGCTTGTTTACTCATAAATAGACACCCAATTTTCAGCTATAACAAAGAATGAAGTACTTATACATGGTATAATATGGGCGAAATTTGAAAGCATTATGTTAAGTGCACAAGAGGACAAATATTACTTGATTTTATTCACATGAAACACCAGGAATTGGCAAATTAATTGGGATATAAATCAGATTAGTGGTCATTAGGGCTCAGGGAAGCAGAATAGGGTGTAACAACTTTATGCATAATGGGTTTTTAGAAGGGACATGACGAAATTTTCCTGGAACATTGTGAATATACTAAAAGCAAGTGCATTGTGCATTGTATGCTTTAAAATGGTTGTTATTAATTTTATATTATGTGATTTTTTACCTTAAAAAACAAAAAAGAGAAAATAGCCTTACTCTATATACAATAAATTCAAGATGTGTTACAAATTTATATGTGAAATCCAAAATAGTATAATATTTAAGGAATAGCTGAGTAGAATAACACTAAAATTTAACATAATGAAATATTTCCTTAAAAAAGAAAAAAGCACAGTAATTAAAAAGGGAAATATAGTTAATATTTTTTCTCTCCATTAAGCATGCCATTAACTGAGTAAAATATCAAGCTGCAATATGTAAACTGCATTTTCTAAAACCATAAAGAAAATAAGAAATGAAAAGGGATTGGGGAAAAAAATCCAAAGGTACAGTCAACTACACAAAAAAACCTTAGTCTCATTAATCAGTATGAAAATGCAAATTGTAACTGAAATAAGATAAAACTACAATTCAAAGAGAAAGCCTAAAATTTCAACCCCCCAAAAATTCTGGGTTTTGGAGAGCTGGGATGGAATAGGGCTGCTAACCTTACAACAATGAAAGAACCAAACTAACTTCAAAGTCATGACTTTATTTTTATAGTAACCAGGTTGCGAAGAACTGAGTAAAAATGTGAGGGAAAACAAGCAACTGCAAGGAGAAAGAGGACAGATGCACTTACATAGGACAGATGCAAATAGACACCACTATGACAAGTAAAGCTGGAATAATCAATAAATTCCTAAAGACAAAGTGGGGCTGGTCAGATTGGGAGACCGCTGACAGCTGCAGAAGTTGGGAAAGATCCATCATCTTGAAAACTTTTTCCCCACAAACCCACTGTGATCTCTCAAGCAATTGGTAAGGAATCCAAGACAGTCTGTATATGATACAGATCAGGGAGAGCAGAACACTTGGGAGGTGACCAGGTCTTGGGGGCCGAGCCCTTATGAATGGGATTAGTGCCTTTATAAAAGAAGCTCAATGGAGTTCTTGTGTGCCTTCCACTATGTGAGGACATAGAAAGAAGGCACCATCTATGAACCATGAAATGGGCTCTCATCAACACTGAATTTGTGAGCATCTTGACCTGAGAACTTACAGCCTCAAGAAGTGCGAAAAAAGAAATATCTGTTGCTTTTTAGTCACCTGGTTTATGTTATTTTGTTATAAGAGTCCAAATAGACCAAGATATTCCATTCCACTTAATATGTAGGGGAAGACAACAAAAACTGCCACACTTAGAATACTCCTGATGCTGGGAGTATGAAAACAGGAAAAACAAAACAAAACTGCTCTTGAAGGTGAAGGAGGAATATCACTGAGCTCACCAACACAGCAGGAAAAGAACAGTGAGAAGGCTACATTCATGAGACCCTGAGAAAAAGTACCTGCATAAGACTGAGATGAAATTACCTACCCTAGTTATAATTGAAATCCCAAAAAGAAAAGAGGAAAAAATAATGGAGCAAAAGAAATATTTTTCAAAATAACTGCCAAAAATATTCTAAAAGAAGTGACAGAAAATCAAACTTCAGATATAGGAAACTCAGAGAATGTCAAATAGAACAAAAATAAGAATTACATCTTGAAAAATCTTTAAAAAATCAACTCTAAATTTTATATCTTGCTCCAAATATATAGAGATATAAATAGGTTATCATCGAGATATGGAGAAAGCCATGTCATGGAAACAATAAAATAAAGCTGTGGAAGGGCTACATTGATATTAGACACAACAGAGTTCAGAACAAGAAATAGTATCAGAGTTGAGAAGTAATAAGTAATATAATAATCAATTCTTAAGAAGATGTGAACATCCTACTAATTAGGGTATGCAGCTAACAACAGAACCTCCAAATACATGAGGTAAAACAGGAAAGAAATCAAAGGTGAACTAGAAAAATCCAAAATTATATTTGCAGACTTCAACACTTTTGTCTTAGTAATGGACAGACTAGGCAAAAACTCAGTAATCATATGGAAGATAAGAACAACAATATCACCAACAAGACATCCAATCTTCAATGGCAGATACTCTTTCCTTTCAAGTGAAAAAAAAAAAAAAAACAACAACAGTATGGCATATTCTCTAACAAACCCAGAATTTCTAATATTTGCGGTCTTCCTTCCTTCTTTCCATCTTCCTTTCTCTTCTCTTCCCTTCCCTTGCCTTCTTCCTTCCTTTCTTCTTTTCCTCTTTCTTTTCTCTCTGGTTTTCTTTCTTTTCTTTCTTTTTTCTCCTTCCTTCCTTCTCTCCTTCTTTCTTTCCTCATTCTTTCTTCCCTCCATCCTCCCTTCCTTTCTCCCTCCCTTCTTTTCTTCCTTTTCTCTTATTCTTTCTTTCTCACTTTCTTGCTTTCTTTCCTTTTTTCTCCCTTCCTTCATCCCACCTTTTCTTCCTTCATCCCTCCCTTTCTTTCCTCCTTTTTCCTTCCTTACTTCCTTCTTTACTTCCTTCCTTCTCCTCTTTATTTTCTTTGTTTCTTGCCTTTTTCTCTTTTAACATTCTCTCTTCCTCCTTTCCTTCCTCCCTTCCTCCTTCCTTTCTTTATTCTTTCTTTCTTGTTTCTTTCTTTCTTTCTTTCTTTCTTTCTTTCTTTCTTTCTTTCTTTCTTTCTTTCTTTCTTTCTCTGTCTCTCTTTCCTTCTTGTGTTCTTGCTTTCTTTTTTCTCCCTTCCTGCCTTTCTCCCTTCCTCCCTCCCTCCCTTCCTTCTCTGATTTCCTCCTTCTTTTCTTTCTTCTTTCTTTCTTTCCTTCCTTTGTTCTTTCCTTTCTTCTTTTTTCTTTCTTCTTTTCTTTTCTTTCTTTCTCTTTACTACAATTCATATTATTTAAAAAATTTAAGAGAGGGAGGCAGAAAAATAAAGAACACTTTAATCTGCAGGTAAATAGATTATGTCTGCTGTATACAAAAGAATGGCCTCCCAAAAATGTTCATGTCCTAATTCCCAAAGTCTAACATACAAATATGTTAGGTTGCATGGCAGTGGGAAATTAGATTTCAAGTGAAATTAAGGTTGCAATAAAATGATGGAGAGATTATCTTAAATGGGTGGGATCAATGAAATCACAAGCTTCCTTATAAGTGAAAGAAGAAGGCAGAAGAAAGGCAACCATGGAGGTGGTGGCATGAGAAATTACTCAACATCACTGACTTTTAAGATACAAGAATGAGGACCCAGCGCGGTGGCTCACGCCTAATCCCAGCACTTTGGGAGGCCGGCGTGCGTGGATCACGAGGTCAGGAGATCGAGACCATGCTGGCTAACATGGTGAAACCCCATCCCTACTAAAAGTCCAAAAAATTAACTGGGCATGGTGGCACGTGCCTGTAGTCCAAGCTACTCAGGAAGCTGAGGCAGGAGAATCGCTTGAACCCAGGAGGCAGAGGTTGCAGTGAGCTGAGATCGTGCCACTGCACTCCAGCCTGGGCGACAGAAGGTGACTCCATCTCAAAAAAAAAAAAAAGATATAAGAATGAGGTCATGTTCCAAGGAATAAAGGTGGCTTCTGCATGCTGAAAAAAATCAAGTACATAGATTCTGCCACAGAGCCCTCAGAAAGACTGCAGCCCTGCCCAAAACTTGATGTTAGCCCTGTGAGTCTCATTTAAGCCTTCTGAGCTCCAGTACTGTAAGATTACCAGTCACTTTACTGTAAGATATGAAGTTTGTGGTAATTGCTTACAACAGCAAGAGGAAGTTTATATAGTAATTGTATCACGAAAATGAGAACCATAATTTACAACTGCTTTTAATACTGCACTTGGATGTTTGAAATCACGTACATGGAAATGATCAGTATGTGTATGAGGGAAGATAGCAAATTGATGCCAAAATAACGCAAATGCAAATCTTACACTCATTTCTATGTAGGTTTCATTTAATCTTTGAAATTAAAATGAAATTAAAGGATTATGATATTTTGATGAAATTAGACTAAAATGAACAATAACAAAATAAGAACTTACATATATTCCTTATATGGTCAATAATGAAGTGATAGTGGAAAAAAACAAGGTCAAATGAAGGTGATGATTTAGGAAGTTGGAAAGATAGCTTAAAATACAAAATGGTGTATAACTAGTGAACACTTAGACACACTGATTGATGAACTTCAGCTTTTGGCTTGATGAGAGCATAAAATGAGAGCAGCTGAGGTTTGCAAATTTGTAATCTGCTTGTGGAAAAACAGGGGAAAACACATCTCAGCCTAATAAGATTTATCTACTAAAGAGTCAAGAATTGATCCATTTGTCCTTGTAATTCAAAAGCTAATTCAAATACTGATTTGATGTATTGTGTGAACAATCATTGCTGATTATCATCGCATACCTGGCATTCTCTTTTATCTGATATCTAAAATATTTGGTAATTCCTGGACTTTCTCTTTTCAAACCCAGTATGGATTAATTTCAATCTTAGAACAGTTGTCTTTGAGAAATTCTTCCCTCTACTGCATCTGTGAATGGGCATAGCATGGTTACCTACATACTGTCGCCCCAGAGAACATTTGTTGAATTAAAGCCAAAGTTTAAAGCAACAGCTTTAACTCACTGGTTTTACTAATGTTTTCCTCCCCATTAGCCACAACAATATTGATACCCTCACACCCTTTAACATAAAGCTTGGTGTTGTCTATTTTTCACGTGCTGTCATCTATATGATCTCAGTATTTTAAAAATCAGCTTCCAGCCCATATGGTGGCTCATGCTTGTAATACCAGCAGTTGAAGAGGCTGAAATGAGAGGATTCTTTGAGCCCAGGAGTTCAAGAGCAACCTGGGCAACATAACAAGACCCAGTCTTCATCAAAAGTTAAAAAAAAAAAAGGTGGCCATGGTGAGGTGCACCTGTTGTCGTAGCTATTTGGGAGGCCAAGGTGGAAGGATTGCTTGAGCTTGGGAGGTTGAGGCTGCAGTGAGCAGTGATTGCACCACTGCACTGCAGCCTGGGCAACAAAGCAAGACCCTATCTCAAAAAATATATATAATAAAAATAAAAATCAGCTCTCATTGATTTCTACATAAATGTGAACAGGTGATGTCCATATAGACATAAATAATAATATATCTGACAATGGTCCATATGATCTTCAAAATGTAAAATGCCTATCTGTGTAATTGACTGGTTAGTCTCATTAATGAATATAGATTCAATTCTACTTTCTTGTTCTAGATAAATTATATAATCTAGCTTTTCCTTTCACTCATTTACTGATAACAACAGGAAGAATGACAAGATATCTATTTTGGAAAATTACTCTGGTAGGAGTAAAGATGAAACAATGATAGAATTGCATGGAAAACTAGAAAAAAGTATGGTCTTCTGATATTATATCACATCATATAATAAAGCCCTCATACAACTCAGATATTTTATCTAAAAATGTTATTTTCATCTTAGGAATGATCACAGCATGAGACTAGAATTGTATTACAATGACTCTCACAAGCACATGTGCTAAAAAGGAGAGGAAAACATCATTACTGATATTTTAAACATATGTTTTACTTTCCATCAACGTGAACCTCAACTTGATATGATGCAGATTGAAGGAAATCACCCATAATTCCATATGAAGAAGGCCTGTGATATTTTATGGGAAAATAAATAGAGAAAATGCTAACAGAAACCCTATTAAGCATTAAGCTTTATGGAGCAAAGACAAATCCAGTGGTGAAAGATACACACTCGAGTTCTGTTTGTTGTCTTGGAACAATACGGTTTAGAGGTGACTGGTGGGTGAGGAGAACATATGCGAGTTCACCAAACAGAAAAGCTGAATGAGGCAATGCCTCTTTCTGACCATATCTCTTACTCAGATAACTATATAATTTATTGTCCAGTAAAGGGTATATTTAAAAATCATATTAAAAGTCATGCAATGAAGTTGTCCAGGGAAATCAAGACTTAAGAGTCTCACTCTGACAATAATGAATGGGGGGGGTTCCCTCAAGAAAGACTAGGACATGACTCCACACTGGCAGGTAGTAGTACCAGAAAAGAACCCATGGAAAATCTTTACCTTATGCTTGAGGTAGGGACCAGGCTAAAGTGAAAGCCAGACATAAAATTCAATCTAAAATATATCCAAAATTGAAGAAAATATGTGTTGTACAGGCATAGAATGTCTTTCCTGGATCATTGAAATAGTAAGATAAATTCAATTTTTTACATTGTTTTATTTTCCTCCAGTTAGGGCTTGAGGTTTGTCTCTGGAGAGAGACTGTCAATTGGAGCCCTGCCTTTCTGGGGTTCTGGGCAGGGGGTTGTGGATGCTTAACATGTGCCTTTCACAGGACACTTCCTTACCCCAGCAGTGGCCAGGTGTGCATCCCACGAGCAGGCCTCCCTCTCACAGAAAATCTGTTGAGACTAGGAGATGCCTGGTGGCTGTTGCGTGACCTGTGTCCTGTGTATTTCTGACAAGAGCCACTCTCAGAGACCCTGGCCAGGAGGAGAGTTAGGTTCCAGTGTAGGTCAGCTCAGACACATGGAGGCCACAGGACCAAACATGGGAAATCACAGAAGTAGTTTTATTACTCACAGATCCAGAGAGAAGAGGGTAGCTGAGAAGAGGGTTTAGCTGTGTCCCCAGCCAAATCTCATCTTGAATTCCCACATGTTGTGGGAGGGAACAGGTGGGAGGAAATTGAATCATGGGGACAGGTCTTTCCCATGCTGTTCTTCTGATAGTGAATAAGTCTCACAAGATCTGATGGTTTTATAAAGGGGAGTTTCCCTGCACAAGCTCTCTTGTCTTGTCTGCTGCCACGTGAGACCTGCCTTTCACCTTCCACCATGATTGTGAGGCCTACCCAGCCATGTGGAACTGTGCACCTATTAAACCTCTTTCTTCTGGAAATCACCCAGTCTTGGGCATGTATTTACCGGCAGTGTGAAAATGGACTAATACAGTAGCACACCTCATAGGGCTGAACAAAATGAGGAAGATAAGTGGGGAGCAAGAGAGAAAAAAGTGGTCTGTGGGACTCCAGCCTTTATTGAGCCCAGAACATTACCCAAATAAGTTTTCCACGGGGCTCTGGTCAGTGGGGTGAGAGCCAGTAGGCACATTTCTTGGCTGCAGCTGCAACTGAGCAGGTCACTCTGGCGTGTGGGGGCTGTCCATGTGGGCTGTGAGGTCTGTGGGGTGAGTCAGGTAGGTTGTATCCAACAGTTCCACAACGGCTAGTCACCAGGAGGAGGCAGCTGTGTAGGGTCAATATCTGGGCCAGCCACACTGAGGAACTGTGAGGGTTAGAACTGGAAATCATCAAGGGAATCTGAACCCAGCTACCATATGAGAGAGTTCAACTTACGTTCAATGTGAATGCCATGGCAATATTAAAAGGTAAGAATTCGCTCCATACGTGTTTGAGGTAAATAGGAGAAACCTAGAATTTATGTAAACAGTGAGAAGATTGGATGCGTTTTCCGTCACATATTTTAATACTAGCAGCATATTATATATGTCAATCCATCAGGCATTCAGAAGTACTTGCTTATGAAAACTTTTTGCACCATCAGACAAAAGACAAGGGTAGAAGACATTTTTAACCCTACAAACACTAGTAAATTAAAAACAGAAGGACCTTTATGTCCTAATATGTCTATGTTGTGAAAGGCTGCCCTGTGAAATACAGGATTTCTTAAACATATTTTAAAAATCATAGCTGTCAATATTTTTTAGAAATCCATTTAAATTTTCTCTTGCTTTTTTACAATTCCTATTTATTTATTTAGTGGTTCTGTTGATTTTGATGTATAGCCTAAACTTTATATTTCTTTAAAGTATGTTTTATACAACTTTATGTAAAATGTTTGAGTATCTTCACGTTCTCACCCTGTCCTTTTGTTTTGCTCTTATATGGTGGCCTTGAGTCTTTTCTCTGGCTTTTCAAACCTAGTAAGACTAAGACACCAAAGTAACTTTGCCCGTGGTTTCGTAATGCCTTCTAAAGCACATCCTAAGCTCTCGTGCATACAGGGGTCTCCTTTGAGCTCTATGCTTTTGAGATCCCATATACCTAAATTCCAGTACTCCAAATCAGTACTGCTCAGTTTTAGTTACTAAGTTTAAAAATGTATTTTAATAACAAGTTAGTTTAGTTCACTCTTGCTTCTTTCTTTACTGCTGGTATACATGTATATTCCTTTAAATAAATCTTGGAATTTATTTAAAAATTTTAAATTATACTAATGAAACTGTATATTGTTGTGGATTCATAGGTGAATTTGGAAAGAATTTGTCTTTGTGATACTAAATCCTTTTTATCCAAGAATCATATGTGCCTTTATATTTATTCCAGTCTATATTTATATCACTGAGTAAATATATAGAAATGTAGATACATACAGCTGTAGCTATAGATAGATACAAATATAGATATAACATGTTAAATCTATATCTATCCCATATAACATATATGCATGTTATATGTGTGTGTATATATATATATGTTTGTGTTATTAAAGAGCTCCCTTAAAATTTTTCTTTTATTTCCTATATAATTTTAGGTTGAGCTTGAATTTTCTTTGTACAAACAAGCAAATATTTATACTAGTTTTAATACTGAGGTTTAGACATTCTATCTTATATTAGCATTGAATATTTTCACAATTATAAATATTATCTAATATTAATAATGTAACTTAAAAATATTTAAAATTTTACCTTTGAATTATTTTATTGTTGAATTTAAATTCCTTTAAGTATGACAGTAAATTTCTATTTTATGCTTTCTCTATGCATATGAAATTAATCTATTCACTTCTCTACCTTTATGTAGTAACATATGAAAATCAGGCCTCTGTTCTTCTAATGGACATACACATGTTTGCATATAGAATATCAGACTCTTTATAGTATTTAAAATCTTTAAAGACGTGAATATGACCTTTTAACAAATATATTTTAGCGTGTACTGAGAATCCCCTATTTATTTTTTATTTGGGCTAATCAATATGATTATTAATATTATTGGATTACCAAATTTGGAATCACACTTTCATCCCCAAGGTGGATATTTGTTTTATTTTTTTGCCAATTTCTTGTCTTACTGTTTCAAATACTGTTGGATATTATTTTTATTTTATTTGGCATTTTAGTATCAATATTTGTAAGTGATGTACTCTACATATTTTTTCTTCAATATCTGGTGGGTTTTATAATTACTGCTATATTGGATTTGTAGTAGACATTGAGAAAAATTATTCCTGCATGTTTTATAGCTGTATGAAGGAAACTAATATATTTTACCCCAAAATATATTTCCTTGATATATTTCAAAATGGCTATTGAGAAGGGCTGGAAATGCAAACATAGCTGCAAAGCTGTCTTGGGGAGATTTGCATCAGTAGAGAATCTGCCTTGATGCAGCCAGGCTTTCTCTGAGATCTGTTCCCTTGTCTGGATCTAGGAAAGATTAACTGAGGGTCTGAGGTCTGCAAAGGTCTGAAAGAAACATTTTCTGTCTATTATCTCTGAGGACTGCTCCCAGTGAGGTTTCACCTACGTAATAAGTCCACTGTTGCTAGCCAGGGTCCTTTTCTCACATAACTTTTTTTTTTTTCCTCTGTGATCCAAGACCCCATTCTTTCTGTAAACTTCATGTGGTAGTTAAACTTCTGCACCCATCGTGTGTCTGGGTCTTCATTCTAAGGGCTCCAGTGTACACACATTGCAGAAACCTGTATGCCTTTTCTACTATTTATCTGCCTCCTGTTAGTGATTTTCAGGGAAACTTCAGAAGGCAAAAGGGACATTCTCCTTTAGCCCATACTCAGACAAAATCCCCCAACATTTAACTGATTCCTAATAGCTTAAAATCACTTTGAAAACTCCACATATTTATAACTTTTCTTCCCTCTATGATTTCTGTTCAGCTTGGGTTTTGTTTTTTATTCCATTTACTTCATCCTCGAAAGACCTATTTTATGTCTATTTATTCTCATTTATTGACATTGAGAAAAGAAAATAACTTTCATGTGAGAAACGCAAGTCCTTTTAAATAATCAGGCCCAGAGAGATATTCAGATGAGACAGCAGTTCTGTTCTGCTCCTCTTTGAGCTGTGTGTTCATCTAGGCTGCCGCTGTTGCCACAGTAGCTATAAATTAACCAATAACGCCACACCAGACACTATAATCCACACCCAATAATAGTGTAACAGTGTATAGCCAGTCACTAATAAATGTTATTTCCATAAGCCAATGAGAATTTGTGACAAACCTCTTTGCATCATCCCACTTCTTGTCCCTTTTTTGCCTTTAAGAAACTGCTTGTTGCAAAGCTCCAAAGGGAGTTCATATCCAAGGATACTTGGGTCTGTTCCTTCCAGGCAGCTGTCCTCATTGTGGCTCAAGTAAACTCTTTGAATTACGTTTTGTGCTTCAGCCCCTTCCACTTAGATTAACAACATGGATTTGTGTCACCATGTACAGCAATTAAAATGTTTACACTTTTCCCCTCGAGGGCACTGATGTGTTTTCCTGAGCACTTGGAATAGCTACTTAGTGTTTACTTTCTAGAATATGGTTTCTCAACCTTGGTGCTACTTACCTTTAGGACCAGAGGATTCTTTGTTGTGGGAGGCTGCCCTAGCAATGCTAGGTGTTTCGTTTGACCTCTAAATTTCACACCTCCACCAGTCTTGACATCCCCACAATAACCCTAGACATTGACAAATGTCTCCTGGGGAAAACTCCACCAGTTGACAGCCAAAGTTCTTGAAATATTGGAATCGTCAATTGAGTTTTTATGTTATCCAAAACAAATATTTTTCTTTGTTTTTAAACATCTACTTCCATCTACTTATCTACTTATTTTTACTTTTATTTATAACTTAATTCCATCAAGGAGAGAGAGTGCATTTTGTGTTATGCTAAATTTTTGAAGAATGTATTGATTTTTTATGGCCTGATATATGGATGATATGTAGATATTACATGTTTGTATTATCAAATTTCAGGGTGATAATAAAATAAATACTTATAATATTTATATTGTCACTGTATATTAGTTATTTCTTTCTTCACTACAGGAGTTTTTCAACCTATAGGCTATTTTTCAATTCTAGGTTATCCAGTAGATTTTGAAATGTTATGATTAAATATCTACTTCTCAAGCATTCATCTTTGCAAAGGAATCAATCCCAAGCTCTTATAATGCACATCATATAAAGGGCAGATTAGTCAATATATGGTTCAGAAATAATTATGTAATATTTATAAGAAAATTAAAAATTTAGATCCTTAACTCAGATAACAATAATCCAAATTAAAATTTGATTTAATTACATAATTTAAAATGACACCAGAATACTAGTAAAAATGTAGATAAGTTTATATAATCCTTTTTAGCTGTAGAACTTTATTAGCATAAATTCAAATACAGGAACCAAAGTAAGATTGAGACCTATAGTCAAAGGTTAAAATGTACACATTATAGGGGCATGATTAAACTAATTTAAAGCATAGTAACATGGAGAAATATTGCAAAACATACATTTTACTGAATTAATTGTTAATATCTAATCATTACATGAGAACAAAGGTAAAGAGTAGCTACACACACACACACACACACACACAAGTGCAATATTTTCAGTAAACGTGATGTTCAGCTACACTACAAATCACACCTATGTTTTCTCCACAGAAAAGTAAAGATTAAAAATCACAATAATATTTATTGTACATATGGAGGTAAAGATACTCAAAATATTACCCTAAAATACTTTTTTTTTTGAGATGGAGTCTTGCTTTTATTGCCCAGGCTGGAGTGCAATGGCACAATCTTGGCTCACTGCAACCTCAGCCTCCCAGGGTCAAGTTATTCTCCTAGCTCAGCCTCCCAAGTAGCTGAGATTACAAGCATGCACCACCACACTCGGCTAATTTTTTATATTTAGTAGAGACGGGGTTTCACCATGTTGGTCAGGCTGGTCTCGAACTCCTGACTTCAGGTGATCTACCCACTTCAGCCTCCCAAAGTGCTGGGATTACAGGCATGCGCCCGGCCAACTTTTTGACATATTTCAAGATGGCTACTCGGAAGACTGGAAATAGCTTCTTCTACAAGAATAGCTGAAAAGCTGTGTTTGTTGGGGAGATTTGCATTTGTAGAGAAAATCTGCATTGATATAGACAGGCTTTCCCTGAGATACTCCCTTGTCTGGGTTTAGGAAAGATTAACTGAGTCTGGCACGTTTACATTTCTAAAAACCATTTCCTATCTTTACTTCCCAAGAGGAGGGCTGCTCCCTGTGAGGTTTCATCCATGTAACAAGACCACCTCTGCTGCCAGGCTCCTCTTTCTTCCTTGTCGTCACCTGCCTTCTGCAAAGCCTGATTTAGCAAAGTACAGCTCTGTGTTTTCTGTAACCTCAAGACAGCATAGGCGTGTTGACTACCTTGCCTTTCCTGGAGTTTTTATACATATACAGTATATATTTGTATATCAATTTATAATATACAAATATTTGTATATACATATTTATGTATATTATGTAAACTCCAAGTGCATACTTGTGCACGTAATTATATCTGTAAACCTTTTTTCCTGTTAATTTGTACATTATCAGTTTGTTTGATAGACTCAAATAATTAAAGCTTCAAGGGAAAAATTTAAACTTTCCTATAGAGAAAAGACATATATGTGACAAATAATATTTAGAGTGTAAGACGCTTTTTAAAGGTATATTTGCAATTTGTGTCAAAACATTTAAATATACATTTGTTACTTTATAAAATTTCAAATAATTTAAGCTAAATACATAGTATATGCAGAAAATTTAGCAATATTTGTATGTAGCACCTTACTGTGCATTACTGTAACCAGCTGTCTAATATAAAGAACTAATTAAGGTAGTACCTACTTTTCAAATATCGCATTTTTTCACAGACCTATTAAATAAGACAAATAACATTTAAACTTTATTTTTAAATTTGCAGAATAGTATTTTTCAGCAGATGGTTTATTTTAGCAAATTCCATCTTCACATTGTGCTATGCTTTTATGAGTTCCAGCTGTTAACGGATAATATTTTACTGCTGAATCTATCATGTGTGATATAATTGCTCATTATGTGCCTTAAAACACAAGCGATATGGTTATTTTCAACTTGGAGCAAATTAAAATCTTATCAGCAATTTAAAAAGTCTAGAGTCGTCTTCTTCTGGTTAATTTTTTTAAACTTGTATTTTTCTCTTTATGTTTTTAGTGAGTTGTCTTATCAAGGAGAAGAACTCAAGCTGATTATTCTTTTTTTTTCTCTTCCATCCACCTCGCTGGTGTGTGAATAATTTCATTTCTCAGAAAATGTTCTTTCATATCCATCTTACAAGATGAGAGACCTTTTAACATCTTCCATTCGGATGTGATACCAGTAATGGAAAATATTCCAGCTTCATGAATATGGTGATACAAATAGTTATCCGTCTAACCTCTGTCAGTGCCAAATGTTTACTTTACTCAGTGAATTACTCAGCTGACTGGTAATTTCTTCTGAAATCACTAATGAGAGGATCAGAGGTCTGGCTGTTGTCTGTACCTCGTATGACTCCCAGTGCAGACAATTGTTTCTATGGAGCACAGACAGTTGAATGGATTGACTTCCTGCCTAGAATAGTTTCTGCTGTGCTTCTTATCCTTCTTATGGAGATTTCAGATTATCTGAATTGCTTTTCTATCTTAAGAAAAAACTCAACAATTCTCCCACCTGAGAGGAAAGTAAACTTTAGTAAGTTAGCAGAAGCAATCCGTAAAGTTTTTACATTGTTTGTTGTAAAATGCAGCGTTGGTGTCTCCATCACTAACCTTTTCTATCCCTCATTGCTGTTTCTTTGACTGCAATAGGATACCTCTAGGCAAATCTGTATTCCCGAGACAGAGTGCCCTTTCCGTTAGCTATAAGTACACTCAATGGTAGGCTGAAATGATAGTTTTTATCTATGGTGAAATGGAATCATATCAGTGATTTTTTTAAAGGAATTTTAACTCTTGCTATGGTTTGAATGCTTGCCCCTTCCAAATCTCCTGTTAAAATTTGATCCCCAATGTTGCAGGTGGGGCTTACTGGGAGGTGTTTGGTCATGGGGATGGAACTTCATGAATGGATAATACCCTCCCTTAGGAATCTCAAGCTATCCTCCCTCCTCGGTGCCCTCAGGAATGAATGTACCATTCTTTATTCAACTATAATTCCCCCACCCATCCCTTTTGAGATATTAATTAAATGTATGTTACACTGCTGCATATTGTCTCACGTATCAGTGAGTTTCTGGCTTTCTTATTTTAGTTTACCCTTTGTCCTTTAGTTTGTAAAGCTTCTAATTTTTCTATATATTTTCTGATGTTAGGGTAAAATACATGACTTATTCTATCTCATGGAATTTTTATTTAAAATATTTATTTTTCATCTATACGTGTCACATTTTTCATTTTATAACTTCCATTTTTCTCCTATGTTCAATTTTCATTTAAGTACTTTGACATATATATGTATTTATCTATATGTATTTATAAAATATATTTACTTTAAGGACCTTGAAAATTCCTTCTTCTGTCATTTATAAATGGCTTATTTTTATCCTGTTAATATATATCTTAATAATATATATCTTCTGGCTTCTTTGCATGTCAGAGTTTTTTTTGGGGGGGTATTTTGATGTTATGCTATTGAATATCTAGATTTTATTGGCTACCTTTGAACAATGTTGTGGCAGGCAGTTCAGTAACTTCAGGATGAGTATTTTTCTGTTGTTGTTTTAAATCTTCTCTTTAAACTTTGTTGAGTTAGTCTAGAGCCATCTGTAATTTGGAGCTAAATGAGCACTGTCACTAGGGCATAACCTCCAGTGGTCTTTACTGAATATCCTGGAGGTACAGAGGGGATTCCCTTCTCTGGCTGGTCAGAGCTAACATGTCTTCCTGTCATGTGACGCCAGGGAAGTGTTCTTCCAACTCCCTGGTAGAGTCCTTTGCTGAGCTCCTTAGAATTTCATCCTATGTACATTTGGCTTAGGGACTTGGGAGAAACCTTAGGCTGATTATTGGTTCCTTTTTCTGTAAACGTTCTCTTCTACTACACATTCCAGCTGCTTAACATTTTGGTTTTTATCTGGTTCCTCAGTGCAATGACAATGTCTGCTCTCTCTGGGATTCCTCTCTACTGCTGTCACGGAGAACCTGGGAATAAAGCAGGACTCATTCTGGCTCCTTCTTTTCTCTTGCGGAGCACAGTCCTGTGCTGCCTGATGTTCAGTATTTCAAAAAAAGTTTCATATATTTTGTCCAGTTTACTATTCTTTAACTCTAAAAGAGTAACTCCAGTCCCAGTTACAGCATCATGTTCTGTAACTCTACTCCTTGTTGCTTCATTCTGCCATTGTCTGGTATGATTGCCCCTTTCCCTTCTGTAATCAGGCCAAGAGCATAACATAATACTAGTTATAACTGCACAGCTTGCCTCCGTTGTGTAAAAAAATCACTGAGACTTAACTGTGTCCAACTTTTTAAATGTGAATATAAGTACAACTAAAGCTATATTTTGTTTAATATTTGCATTGCATGCTTTTCCATTATTTAGTTTCAAAATATGTGAAATATAAATATAAATTATAAAAACTTTAAGAGAGTACATTTAAAAAATCTGGTCTGATTATGTTTTAACTGGTTTATTACAACATGCATTCTTGAATTCAGGGTCTAATATAATTGGTACATTTGTCTATTTGCAAAAAAAACTTGACAATATTTTAAAATTAATTTATCCAACTCACAACTTATATGCTTCTGCTGTTGTATGGAAGATGCATTTTAAACTTTATGAGCTAGCATTCTGTTATACAGTCGATGTCCAATTAAATTTCTCTCTATGTTTATTTCTTTCATTAAAAAAAGCGTTCTTCTAACTGCAAACTTTCATCAGGGATCATAGCTCTTCTACCTGAAGAATAATCTTTAGTATTTCTTATCCTGTGGGTCTGCTTGGGATAAATTCTTTATTGTATCTTTGCTTTTGATGGATATGTCCACCAAGTAGACAGTTCTAGGTCGGCACTTATTTTATTTCAGGACTTGAAAGGTATCAATACCTCACTTGTTGGCTTTCATTGTTCATTTGAGAAGGTTGTTATCAGTCAACTCTTTCTCTTTATAGTTAGCCCAATTTTTTTATCAAGTGCTTTTGACATTTTTCTTTTACTTTTCAGAAATTGTCCCATCATGTTTCTAGGTGTGTCCTCTCTGTGTGTTTTCATTTGGTTTGCAAAGCCTCCTGAACCTGTGGATTAATATTATTGGTCAATTTTGATAAAACCTCTAACATTGCCACTTAAAATGCTGTTCAGACCAGCTGTTTTGTCCTTCTTAGATTTCAACGTGTTAGATTATTACTGTATGCTTTATATTTTTTAAATAACCTTTCTCTACTTTTTTTTTAGTTGGTTAATCTGTATTAGTGTATCTTTTGCTTTTTTATTTTATTTTATTTTATTATTATACTTTAAGTTTTAGGATACATGTGCACAATGTGCAGGATTGCAACATAAGTATTCATGTGCCATATTGGTGTGCTGCACCCATTAACTCGTCATTTAGCATTAGGAATATCTCCTAATGCTATCCCTCCCCCCTCCCCCCACCACCAACAGTCCCCGAAGTGTGATGTTCCCCTTCCGGTGTCCGTGTGTTCTCATTGTTCAATTCCCACCTATGAATGAGAACATGCTGTGTTTGCTTTTTTGTCCTTGCAATAGTTTACTGAGAATGATGATTTCCAGTTTCATCCATGTCCCTACAAAGCACATGAACTCATCCTTTTTTATGGCTGCATAGTATTCCATGGTGTATATGTGCCACATTTTCTTAATCCAGTCTATCGTTGTTGGACATTTGGGTTGGCTCCAAGTCTTTGCTATTGCGAATAATGCCACAATAAACATACGTGTGCATGTGTCTTTATAGCAGCATGATTTATAGTCCTTTGGGTATATACCCAGTAATGGGATGGCTGGGTCAAATGGTATTTCTAGTTCTAGATCCCTAGGAATCGCCACACTGACTTCCACAATGGTTGAACTAGTTTACAGTCCCACCAACAGTGTAAAAGTGTTCCTATTTCTCCACATCCTCTCCAGCACCTGTTGTTTCCTGACTTTTTAATGATTGCCATTCTAACTGGTGTGAGATGGTATCTCATTGTGGTTTTGATTTGCATTTCTCTGATGGCCAGTGATGATGAACATTTTTTCATATTTTTTGGCTGCATAAATGTCTTCTTTCGAGAAGTGTCTGTTCGTGTCCTTCACCCACTTTTTGATGGGATTGTTTGTTTTTTTCTTGTAAATTTGAGTTCATTGTAGTTTCTGAATATCGGCCCTTTGTCAGAAGAGAAGGTTGCGAAAATTTTCTCCCATTTTGTAGGTTGCCTGTTCACTCTGGTGGTAGTTTCTTTTGCTGTGCAGAAGCTCTTTTGTTTAATTAGATCCCATTTGTCAATTTTGGCTTTTGTTGCCATTGCTTTTGGTGTTTTAGACCTGAAGTCCTTTCCCATGCCTATGTCCTGAATGGTATTGCCTAGGTTTTCTTCTAGGGTTTTTATAGTTTTAGGTCTAACATGTAAGTCTTTAATCCATCTTGAATTAATTTTTGTATAAGGTGTAAGGAAGGGATCCAGTTTCAGCTTTCTACATAAGGCTAGCCAGTTTTCCTGACACCATTTATTAAATAGGGAATCTTTCCCCATTGCTTGTTTTTGTCAGGTTTGTAAAAGATCAGATAGTTGTAGTTATGTGGCATTATTTCTGAGGGCTCTGTTCTGTTCCATTGATCTATGTCTCTGTTTGGTACCAGTACCATGTTGTTTTGGTTACTGTAGTCTTGTACTATAGTTTGAAGTCAGGTAGCGTGATGCCTCCAGCTTTGTTCTTTTGGCTTAGGATTGACTTGGCGATGCAGGCTCTTTTTTGGTTCCATATGAACTTTAAAGTAGCTTTTTCCAATTCTGTGAACAAAGTCATTGGTAGCTTGATGGGGATGGCACTGAATCTATAAATTACCTTGGGCAGTATGGCCATTTTCATGATATTGATTCTTCCAACCCATGAGCATGGAATGTTCTTCTATTTGTTTGTATCCTCTTTTATTTCATTGAGCAGTGTTTTGTAGTTCTCCATGAAGAGGTCCTTCACGTCCCTTGTAAGGTGGATTCCTAGGTATTTTATTCTCTTTGAAGCAATTGTGAATGGGAGTTCTCTCATGATTTGGCACTCTGTTTGTCTATTATTGTTGTTCAAGAATGCTTGTGATTTTTGTAAATTGATTTTGTATCCTGAGACTTTTCTGAATTTGCTTATCAGCTTAAGGAGATTTTGGGCTGAGAAAATGGGTTTTTCTAGATATACAATCATGTCATCTGCAAACAGGGACAATTTGACTTCCTCTTTTCATAATTGAATAGCCTTTGTTTCCTTCTCCTGCCTGATTGCCCTGGCCAGAACTTCCAACAGTATGTGGAATAGGAGTGGTGAGAGAGGGCAACCCTGTCTTGTGCCAGTTTTCAAAGTGAATGCTTCCAGTTTTTGCCCATTCAGTTTTCTATTGACTGTGGGTTTGTTTTAGATAGCTCTTATTATTTTGAGATACGTCCCATCAATACCTAATTTATTGAGAGTTTTTAGCATGAAGAATTGTTGAATTTTGTCAAAGGCCTTTTCTGCATCTATTGAGATAATCATCTCGTTTTTGTCTTTGGTTAGGTTGATATGCTAGATTACATTTATTGATTTGCATATGTTGAACCAGCCTTGCATGACAGGGATGAAGCCCACTTGATCATGGTGGATAAGCTTTTTGATGTGCTGCTGGATTTGGTTTGCCAGTATTTTATTGAGGATTTTTGCATCAATGTTCATCAAGGATATTGGTCTAAAATTCTCTTTTTTTGGTTGTGTCTCTGCCAGGCTTTGGTATCAGGATGATGCTGGCCTCATAAAATGAGTTAGGGAGGATTCCCTCTTTTTCTATTGATTGGAATAGTTTCAGAAGGAATGGTACCAGTTCCTCCTTGTACCTCTGGTAGAATTCGGCTGTGAATCCATCTGGTCCTGGACTCTTTTTGGTTGGTAAGCTATTGATTATTGCCACAATTTCAGAGCCTGTTATTGGTCTATTCCAAGATTCAACTTCTTCCTGGTTTAGTCTTGGGAGAGTGTACGTCTTGAGGAATTTATCCATTTCTTCTAGATTTTCTAGTTTATTTGTGTAGAGGTGTTTGTAATATTCTCTGATGGCTGATTGTATTTCTGTGGGATTGGTGGTGATAACCCCTTTATCATTTTTTATTGCATGTATTTGATTCTTCTCTCTTATCTTCTTTATTAGTCTTGCTAGTGGTCTATCAATTTTGTTGATCTTTTCAAAAAATCAGCTCCTGGATTCATTAATTTTTTGAAGGGTTTTTTGTGTCTCTATTTCCTTCAGTTCTGCTCTGATTTTAGTTATTTCTTGCCTTCTGCTAGCTTTTGAATGTGTTTGCTCTTGCTTTTCTAGTTCTTTTAATTGTGATGTTAGGGTGTCAATTTTAGATCTTTCCTGCTTTCTCTTGTGGTCATTTAGTGCTATAAATTTCCCTCTACACACTGCTTTGAGTGTGTCCCAGAGATTCAGGTATGTTGTGTCTTTTTTTTCATTGGTTTCAAAGAACATCTTTATTTCTGCCTTCATTTCATTATGTACCCAGTAGTTATTCCAGAACAGGTTGTTCAGTTTCCATGTAGTTGAGCAGTCTTGAGTGAGTTTCTTAATCCTGAGTTCTAGTTTGATTGCACTGTGGTCTGAGAGACAGTTTGTTATGATTTCTTTTCTTTTACATTTGCTGAGGAGAGCTTTACTTCCAAGTATGTGGTCAATTTTGGAATAGGTGTGGTGTGGTGCTGAGAAGAATGTATATTCTGTTGATTTGGGGTGGAGAGTTCTGTAGATGTCTATTAGATCTGCTTGGTGCAGAGCTGAGTTCAATTCCTGTGTACCCTTGTTAACTTTCTGTTTCATTGATCTGTCTAATGTTGACAGTGGGTTGTGAAAATCTCTCATTATTATTGTGTGGGAGTCTAAGTCTCTTTGTAGGTCACTCAGGACTTGCTTTATGAATCTGGGTGCTCCTGTATTGGGTGCATATATATTTAGGATAGTTAGCTCTTCTCATTGAATTGATCCCTTTACCATTATGTAGTGGCCTTCTTTGTCTGTTTTGATCTTTGTTGGTTTAAGGTGTGTTTTATCAGAGACTAGGATTGCAACCCCTGCCTTTTTTTGTTTTCCATTTGCTTGGTAGATCTTCCTCCATCCTTTTATTTTGAGCATATGTGTGTCTCTACACGTGAGATGGGTTCCTGAACACAGCACATTGATGGGTCTTGACTCTTTATCCAATTTGCCAGTCTGTGTCTTTTAATTGGAGCATTTAGTCCATTTACATTTAAAGTTAATATTGTTATGTGTGAATTTGATCCTGTCATTATGATGCTAGCTGGTTATTTTGCTCGTTAGTTGATGCAGTTTCTTCCTTGTCTCAATGATCTTTACATTTTGGCATGATTTTGCAGTGGCTGGTACTGGTTGTTCCTTTCCATGTTTAGCGCTTCCTTCAGGAGCTCTTTTAGGTCAGGCCTGGTGGTGACAAAATCTCTCAGCATTTGCTTGTCTGTAAAGTATTTTATTTCTCCTTCACTTATGAAGCTTAGTTTGGCTGGATATGAAATTCTGGGTTGAAAATTCTTTTCTTTAAGAATGTTGAATATCGGCCCCCTCTCTCTTCTGGCTTCTAGAGTTTCTGCCAAGAGATCCGCTGTTAGTCTGATGGGCTTCCCTTTGTGGGTAACCCGACCTTTCTCTCTGGCTGCCCTTAACATTTTTTCCTTCCTTTCACCTATGGTGAATCTGACAATTATGTGTCTTGGAGTTGCTCTTCTCGAGGAGTATCTTTGTGGCATTCTCTGTATTTCCTGAATCTGAATGTTGGCCTGCCTTGCTAGATTGGGGAAGTTCTCCTGGATAATATCCTGCAGAGTGTTTTCCAACTTGGTTCCATTCTCCCCGTCAGTTTCAGGTACACCTATCAGACGTACATTTGGTCTTTTCACGTAGTCCCATATTTCTTGGAGGTTTGTTCGTTTCTTTTTATTCTTTTTTATCTAAACTTCCCTTCTTGCTTCATTTCATTCATTTCTTCTTCCATCACTTATACCCTTTCTTCCAGTTGATCACATCGGCTCCTGAAGCTTCTGCATTCTTTACGTAGATCTCAAGCCTTGGCTTTCAGCTCCATCAGCTCCTTTAAGCACTTCTCTGCATTGGTTATTCTAGATATACATTCGTCTAAATTTTTTTCAAAGTTTTTAACTTCTTTGCCCTTGGTTTGAATTTCCTCCTGTAGCTCAGAGTAGTTTGATCGTCTGAAGCCTTCTTCTCTCAACTCATCAAAGTCATTCTCCACCCAGCTTTTTTCCATTGCTGGTGAGGAACTGCGTTCCTTTGGAGGAGGAGAGGTGCTCTGCTTTTTAGAATTTCCAATTTTTCTGCTGTGTTTTTTCCCCATCTTTGTGGTTGTATCTACTTTTGGTCTTTGATGATGGTGATGTACAGATGGGTTTTTGGTGTTTATGTCCTTTCTGTTTGTAAGTTTTCCTTCTAACAGACAGGACCCTCAGCTGCAGGTCTTTTGGAGTTTTCTAGAGGTCCACTCCAGACCCTGTTTACCTGGGTATTAGCAGCGGTGGCTGCAGAACAGCAGATTTTCATGAACCGCGAATGCTGCTGTCTGATCGTTCCTCTGGAAGTTTTGTCTCAGAGGAGAACCCGGCCATGTGAGGTGTCAGTCTGCCCGTACTGGGGGGTGCCTCCCAGTTAGGCTGCTTGGGGGTCAGGGGTCAGGGACCCACTTGAGAAGGCAGTCTGCCTGTTCTCAGATCTCCAGCTGTGTGCTGGGAGAACCACTGCTCTCTTCAAAGCTGTCAGACAGGGACATTTAAATCTGCAGAGGTTACTGCTGTCTTTTTGTTTGTCTCTGCCCTGCCCCCAGAGGTGGAGCCTAAAGAGGCAGGCAGGCCTCCTTGAGCTGTGGTGGGCTCCACCCAGTTCGAGTTCCTGGCTGCTTTGTTTACCTACGCAAGCCTGGGAAATGGCGAGCGACCCTCCCCAAGCCTTGCTGCCGCCTTGCAGTTTGATCTCAGACTGCTGTGATAGCAATCAGCGAGACTCCGTGGGCGTGTCACCCTCTGAGCCAGGTGCAGGATATAATCTCCTGGTGCGCCGTTTGTTAAGACCATCGGAAAAGCACAGTATTAGGGTGGGAGTTACCCGATTTTCCAGGTGCCGTCTGTCACCCCTTTCTTTGACTAGGAAAGGGAACTCCCTGACCCCTTGCACTTGCCGAGTGAGGCAGTGCCTCACCCTGCTTCGGCTCATGAACTGTGCACTGCACCCACTGTCCTGCATCTGCTCTCTGGCACTCCCTAGTGAGATGAACCTGGTACCTGAGATGGAAATGCAGAAATCACCCATCTTCTGCATTGCTGACACTGGGAGCTGTAGACCGGAGCTGTTCCTATTCGGCCATCTTGGCTACACTTGGTAGTTTCTTTTCCCTCTGCTTCTGGGTTCTGAGAGTTTGTCACTAACATAGGATTCCAGAACACTGCTGCAGGGTTCTGAGTGATTGTTGCTCACATGGGATTCAAAAACACTCCTGCTGGGTTCAGAGTGTTATCCCTCACATACGATTCCAGAACACTGCTATGAGGTTCTGAATGTTTGTCCTTCACAAAGGATTCCAGAACACTGCTGCTGGGTTCTGAGTGTTTGTCCCTCATATAGGATTCCAGAACACTGCTGCTGGGTTCTGAGTGTTTGTCCCTCACATAAGATTCCAGAACTCTGCTATGAAGTTCTGAATGTTTGTGGCTCACATAGGATTCCAGAACACTGCTGCTGGGTTCTGAGTGTTTGTCCCTCACATAGGATTCCGGAACAATGCTGCTGGGTTCTGAGTGCTTGTCCCTTATATTGGATTCCAGAACAATGTTATGAGGGTCTGAATGTTTTTCCCTCATGTAGGATTCAAGAACACTGCTAAGAGGGTCTCAATGTTTTTCCCTCACAAAGGATTGCAGAACTCTGCTGCTGGGTTCTGAGTGTTTGTCCCTGATATAGGATTCCAGAACACTGCTATGAGGGTCTGAATGTTTTTCCCTCACAAAGGATTCCAGAACGCTGCTGGGTTCTGTTTGTTTGTCCCCCACAAAGGATTCCAGAGCACTGCTGCTGGTTTCTTAGTGTTTGTTCCACACATGATTCCAGAACACTTCTGCGATGGTTTGAATATTTCTCCCTCAGATAGGATTCCAGTACACAGTGGCTGGGTTCTGAGTGTTGGTCCCTCACATAGGATTCCAGAACACTGCTTCTGGGTTCTGAGTGTTTGTCACTCACATAGGATTCCAGAACACTGCTTCGAGGGTCTGAGTGTTTGTCCCTCACAAAGGATGCTGGAACACTGCTGCTGGTTTCTGAGTGTTTGTCACTCACAGAGGATTCCAGAACACTGCTGCTTCCAGAACACTGCTGCTGGGTTCTGAGTGTTTGTCCCTCACATAGGATTCCAGAAAACTGCTATGAGTGTCTGAAGGTTTGTCCATAACAAAGGATTCCAGAACAATGCTGCTGGATCTGAATGTTTGTCCCTCACACAGGATTCCAGGACACTGCTTCGAGGGTCTGAGTGTTTGTCCCTCACACAGGATTCCAGACCACTGCTTCTGGGTTCTGAGTGTTTGTTCCACATATAGGATTCCAGAACACAGCTACAAGGCTATGAAAGTTTGTCTCTCACAAAGGATTTCAGAAAAATGCTGCTGGGTTCTGAGTGTTTGTTCCTCACATAGGTTTCCAGAAAACTGCTGCTGGGATCTGAGGGATTGTCCCTGTCATTGAGTACGAGAACACTGCTGCTGGGTTCTGAAGGTTTGTCCTTCACTTAGAATTGCAGAATACTGCTGCTAGGTTATGAGGGTTTGTCCCTCATGTAGAATTCTAGAACTCTGCTGCTGGGTTCTGAGCATTTCTCTATCACATGAGATTCTGGAACACTGCTAAAATGTAGGAATGTTTGTCCCTCACAAAGAGTCCAGAGCACCGCTTGTGGGTTCTGAGTGTTTGTCCCTCACATAGGATTGCAGAACACAGCTGCTAGGTTCTGAGTGTTTCTCCCAAACATAGGATTCCAAAACACCGCTCAGAGGGTCTGAAAGTTTCTTCCTCACCAAGGATTCCAGAACACTGCTGCTGGGTTCTGAAAGTTTGTCCCTCACATACGATTCCAGAACACTGCTATGAGGCTCTGAATGTTTGTCCCTCAAAGGGATTCCAGAACACTGCTTTTGAGTTCTGAGTGTTTGTCCGACACAAAGGATTCCAGAACACTGCTGCTGGCTTCTGAGTGTTTGTCCCTCACATAGGATTTCAGAACACTGCTATGAGGGTCTGCATGTTTTTCCCTCAGAAAGCATTCTGTATCACTGCTACGAGTGTCTGAATGCTTGTCCCTCACATAGGATTCCAGAACACTGCTACTGGGTTCTGACTGTTGGTCCTTCACATAGGATTCCAGAACACTGCTCCGAGGGTCTGAATGTTTGTCCCTCACATAGGATTCCAGAACATTTGCTGCTGGTTTGTGAGTGTTTGTCCCTCATATGGGATTCCAGAACACTTCTGCTGGGTTCTGTTTGTCCCTCATATAGGATACCAGAACACTGCTATTGGCTTCAGAGTGTTTGTCCCTCACATAGGATTCCAGAAAACTTCTAAGAGGTTCCGAATGTTTTCCTTCAGATAGGATTCCAGAACACTGCTGCTGGGTTCTGAGAGTTTGTCCCTCACATAGGATTCCAGAACACTGCTAAGAGGGTCTGAATGTTTGTTCCTCAGATAGGATTCCAGGACACTGCTGCTGGGTTGTGTGTGTTTATCACTCACATAGAATTCCAGAACACTGCTACAAGTGTCTCAATGTTTGTCCCTCACATAGAATTCCAGAATATTCCTGCTGTGGTCTGAATGTTTGTCCCTCACATATGATTCCAGGACGCTGCTGCTGTGTTCTGCGTGTTTGTCCCCCACATAGGATTCAAGAACACTCCTGCTGTCTTCTGAACGTGTGTCCTTCACAGAGGATTCCAGAACACTGCTACTAGCCTCTGAATTGTTGTCCCCCACAGAGGATTCCAGAACACTGGTACTAGGGTCTGAATGTGAGTCTCTCACATAGGATTCCAGAACACTAATGCCGGGGTCTGAATGTTTGTCCCTCACCTAGGATTGCAGAACACTGCTACGAGGTTCTGAATCTTTGTCCATCACGTAGCATTATAGAACACTGCTACGAAGTTCTGAATGTTTTTCCCTCAGAGAGGATCAAAGAACACTGCTGCTAGTGTCTGAAATTTTGATGATCACGTAGGATTCCAGAACTCTCCTGCTGTGGTCTGTATGTTTGTCTCTCACATAGGATTCCAGAACACTGCTACGAGGGTCTGAATGTTTGTCCCTCACAAAGGATTCTAGAACACTGCTGCTGGGTTCTGAGTGATTGTCCCTCACATAGGATTCCAGAACACTGCTGCTGGGTTCTGAGTGTTTGTCCCTCACATAGGATTCCAGAACACTGCTACAAGGGTCTGAATGTTTATCCCTCACAAAGGGTTCCAGAACACTGTTACTGGATTCTGAGTGTTTGTCCCTCATATTGGATTCCAGAACAATGCTACGAGGGTCTGAATATTTTTCCCTCACATAGGATTCGAAAACACTCTTACGAGGGTGTGAATGTTTTTCCCTCCCAAAGGAATCCAGAACACTGCTGCTGGGCTCTGAATGTTTGTCCCTCATATAGGATTCCAGAACACTGCTACGAGGATCTGAATGTTTTCCCTTACAAAGGATTGTAGAACACTGCTACTGGGTTCTGTTTATTTGCCCCTCACAAAGGATTCCAGAGCACTGCTGCATATTTCTTAGTGTTTGCCCCTCACATAGGATTCCAGAACACTTCTCCAAGGTTCTGAATGTTTGCCCTCAGATAGGATTCCAGTACACTGGCTGGATTCTGAGTGTTTGTCCCTCACATAGGATTCCAGATCACTGCTACAGGTTCTGAATGTTTGTCCCTCACAAAGGATTCTAGAACACTGCTACTGGTTTCTGAGTGTTTGTCCCTCACAAAGGATTCTAGAACATGGCTTCTGGGTTCTGTGTGTTTGTCCCTCACATAGGATGCCAAAACACTGATGCTGGGTTCTGAGTGTTTGTCCCTCACATAGCATTCCAGAACACTGCTGCTGGCTTCTGAGTGTTTGTCCCTCACATACAATTCCAGAACACTGCTACGAAGTTCTGAAGGTTTGTCGCTGACATAGGATTCCAGAACACTGCTGCTGGGTTCTGAGTGTTTGTCCCTCACATAGGATTCCAGAACACTGCTACAAGGGTCTGAATGTTTATCCCTCCCAAAGGATTCCAGAACACTGCTGCTGGGTTCTGAGTGTTTGCCCCTCAAATAAGATTCCAGAACACTGCTATGAGGGTCTGAATGTTTTTCCCTCACATAGGATTCAAAAGACTGTTACGAGGGTCTGAATGTTTTTCCCTAACAAAGGATTGTAGAACACTGTCACTGGGTTCTGTTTGTAGGTCCCTCCCATAGGATTCCAGAACACTAATACGAGGGTCTGAATGTTTGTCCCTCACATAGGATTCCAGAACAGAGCTGCTGTGTCCTGATTGCTTGTCTCTCACAAAGGATTCCAGAACACTGATGCTGGGTTCTGAGTGTTCGTCTATCACATAGGATTCCAGAACAAAGCTGCTGGGTCCTGATTGTTTGCCCCTCACAAAAGATTACAAAACACTGCTACGAGGGTCTGAATGTTTGTCCCTCATATAGGATTCCAGATCACTGTTGCTGGGTTCTGAGTGTTTGTCCCTCACATAGGATTCCAGAACACTGCTGCTGGGTTCTTCGTGTTTGTACCTCATATAGGATTCCAGAGCACTGCTACAAGACTCTGAATGCTTGTCCCTTACATAGGATTCCAGAACACTGTTTTGAGAGTCTCAATATTTGTCCCTCACAAAAGATTGCAGACAACTGCTGCTGAGTTCTGAGAGTTTGTCCTTCACTTAGGAATCCACTGATTCTGGGTTCTGAATATTTGTCCTTCACATAGGATTCCAGAACAGTGCTGCTGGCTTCTGAGTGATTGTCCCGCACGTAGGATTCCAGAACACTGTTACGAGGGTCTGAATGTTCTTCCCTCACAAAGGCTTCCAGAACACTGCTGCTGGTTTCTGTTTGTTTGTCCCTCACAAAGGATTCCAGAGCACTGCTGCTGGTTATTTAGTGTTTGTTGCCCACATAGGATTCCAGATCACTTCTGCGAAGGTCTGAATGTTTAGCCCTGAGATAGGATTCCAGTACACACTGGCTCGGTTCTGAGTGTTTGTACCACACACTGGATTCCAGAACACTGCTGCTGGGTTCTGAGTGTTTGCCCCTCACATAGGATTCCAGAAAACTGCTATGAGGACCTTAATGTTTGTCCATCACAAAAGATTCTAGAACAATGCTGCTGGATCTGAGTGTCCCTCACATAGGATAACAGAACACTGCTTCGAGAGTCTAAATGTTTGTCCCTCACAAAGGATTCTAGAACATTGCTGCTGGTTTCTGAGTGTTTGTCACTCACATAGGATTCCAGAACACTACTGCTGAGTTCTGAGGCTTTGTATCTCACATAGTATTTCAGAACACTGCTATGAGGTTCTGAATGTTTGACCCTCACAGAGCATTGCAGAACAGGGCTATGGGGATCTGAATGCTTGTCCCTCACATATGAATCCAGAACACTGCTGCAGGGTTCAGAGTGTTTATCCCACACATAGGATTACAGAGCACTGTTCTGAGCATCTGAGTGTTTGACCCTCACAAAGGATTGCAGAACACTGCTGCTGGGCTCTGAGTGTTTGTCCCTTACATAGGATTCTAGAACACTGCTGCTGGGTTCTGAGTGTTTGTCTCTCACATAGGATTCCAGAACACTTCTCTGAGGATCTGAATGTTTGTCCCTCACAAAACATTCCAGAACACTGCTGCTGGGTTCTGAGTGTTTGTCCATCAAATAGGATTCCAGAACACGGCTGATGGGCTCTGTTTGTTTGTCCCTCACAAAGGATTCCAGAGCACTGCTGCTGGTTTCTGAATGTTTGTCCCTCACATAGGATTCCAGAACACTTCTACGAGGCTCCGAATGTTTGTCCTTCAGATAGGATTCCAGAACACAGTGGATGTGTGATGAGTGTTTGTCCCTCAAATAGGATTCCACAACACTGCTTTGAGGGTCTGAATGTTTGTATCTCACAAACCAGTCTAAAACACTACTTCTGGGTTCTGAGTGTTTGTCCCTCACATAGAATTCTAGAACACTGCAGCTCGTTTCTGAGTGTTTCTCCGTCACTTTGGATTCCAGAACACTGCTAAGATTGTCTGAATGTTCGTCCCTTACCAAATATTCCAGAACAGTGCTGCTGGGTTCTGAGTGTTTGGCCCTCACATTGGTTTCCAGAACACTGCTGTGATTGTCTGAATGTTTGTCCCTCACAAATTATTCCAGAGTACTGCTGCTGGGTTCTGAGGGTTTGTCTCTCACATAGAATTAAAGAATACTGCTGCTGAGTTCTGAGATTTTGTACCTCACATATGATTCCAGAACACTGCTATGAGGGTCTGAATATTTGTTCCTCACAGAGCATTCCAGAATGGTGCTATGAGGGTCTGAATGCTTGTCCCTCACATAGGCAGGGTTCTGAGTGTTTGTCCCTCACACAGGACTCCAGAACACTGCTCTGAGAGTCTGAGTGTTTGACCCTCACAAAGGATTCCAGAACACTGCTGCTGGGTTCTGAGTGTTTGTCCCACACATAGGATTCCAGAACACTGCTGCTGCTTTCTTAGTGTTTGTCTCTCACATAGGATTCCAGAACACTGCTGCGAGGATCTGAATGTTGTCCCTCACAAAGGATTAGAGAACACTGCTGCTGAGTTCTGAGTGTTTGTCCCTCTCATTGGATTCCAGAACACTGCTGCTAGGTTCTGAGGGTTTGTCCCTCACATAGGATTCCAGAACACTGCTGCTGGTTTCTTGGGTTTGTCTCTCACATAGGATTGCAGAACACTGCTACGATTATCTGAATGTTGTCCCTCACAAAGTATTACAGAGCACTGCTGCTGGGTTCTCTCTGTTTGCCCCTCACATTGGATTACAGAACACTGCTGCTAGGTTTGAGGGTTTGTCCCTCACATAGGATTCCAAAACACTGTTGCTGGGTTCTGAGTGTTTGTCCCTAACATACGATTCCAGAACACTGCTATGATTGTCTGAATGTTTGTCCCTCACAAAGTATTCCAGAGCACTCCTCCTGGGTTAAGAGTGTTTGCCCTTCACATAGGATTCCAGAACAGTGCTGCTGGGTTCTAAGTGTTTGTCCCTCACATAGGATTCCAGAACACTGCTACGAGGATCTGAATGTTTGTCCCTCACAAATTATTCCAGAGTACTGCTGCTGGGTTCTGAGTGTTTGTCCCTCACATAGGATTCCAGAACACTGATACGAAGGTCTGAATGTTTGTCCCTCAGATAGGATTACAGAACACAGCTACGAGGTTCTGAATGATTGTCCCTCACATAGGATTCCAGAACACAGTGGCTGGGTTCTGAGTGTTTGTCCCTCATATAGGATTTCAGAACACTGCTATGAATTTCTGAATGTTTGTCGCTCACAGAGGATTCTAGAACTCTGCGGCTGGGTTGTGTTTTCCCCCCACATAGGATTCCAGAATACTGCTGCTGGGTTCTGAGTGTTTGTCCCTCACATAGGATTCCAGAACTCTCCTGCTGGGTTCTGTTTGTTTACCCCTCACAAAGGAATCCACAGCACTGTTGCTGGTTTCTGAGTGTTTGTCCCTCACTCAGGATACCAGAACACTGCTACGATGGTCTGAATGTTTGTCCGTCACAAAGGATTCATAACACTGCTATGGGTTCTGACTGTTTGTCCCTCACAATGGATTCCAGAAAACTGCTTTGAGAGTCTCAATGTTTGTCCCTCACAAAGTATTCCAGAGCACTGCTGCGGGGTTCTGTGTGTTTGTCCCTCACATGGGATTCAAAAACACTCCTGCTGGGTTCAGAGTGTTTTCCCTCACATAAAATTCCAGAACACTACTACAAGGTTCTGAATGTTTGTCCCTCACATAGGATTCCAGAACACTGCTGCTGGGTTTCGAGTGTTTCTCCCTCACATAGGATTCCAGAACACTGCTGCTCGGTTCTGAGTGTTTGTCCCTCACATAGCATTCCAGAACACAGGTACGAAGTTCTGAATGTTTGTAGCTCAAGTAGGATTCCAGAACAATGCTGCTGGGTTCTGAATGTTTGACACTCACACAGGATTCCAGAACACTGCTGCTGGGTTCTGAGTGTTTGTCCCTCACATAGGATTCCAGAACACTGCTTCGAGGGTCTGAATGTTTTTCCCTCACAAAGGACTCCAGAACACTGTTGCTGGGTTCTGAGTGTTTGCCCCTCATATAGGATTCCAGAACAATGCTACGAGTATCTGAATGTTTTTCCCTCACATAGGATTCCAGAACATTGCTACGAGGGTCTGAATGTTTTTCCCTCACAGAGTATTCCAGAACACTGCTGCTGGGTTCTGAATGTTTGTCCCTCACATAGGATTCCAGAACACTGCAGCTGGGTTCTGAGTGTTTGTCCCTCACTTTGGATTCCAGAAAACGTCTACGACGGTCTGAATTTTTGTCCATCACAAAGGATTTTAGAACACTGCTGCTGGATCTGAGTGTTTGTCCCTCACACAGGATTCCAGAACACTGCTTCGATGGTCTGAATGTTTGTCCCTCACAAAGGATTCTAGAACACTGCTGCTGGTTTCTTAGTGTTTGTCACTCACATAGGATTCCAGAACACTGCTGCTGGGTTCTGAGTGTTTGTCCCTCACATACGATTCCAGAACACTGCTATGAGGTTCTGAATGTTTGTCCCTCACAAAGGATTCCAGAACACTGCTTCTGAGTTCTGAGTGTTTGTCTGTCAAATAGGATTCCAGAACACTGCTGCTGGGCTCTGTTTGTTTGTCCATCACAAAGGATTCCAGAACACTGCTATAGGTTTCTGAGTGTTTGTCCCTCACATAGGATTCCAGAACAATTCTACGAGGCTCCGAATGTTTGTCCTTCAGATAGGATTTCAGAACACAGTGGCTGGGTTCTGAGTGTTTGTCCCTCACATAGGGTATCAGAACACTGCTGCTGGGATCTGAGCGTTTGTCTTTCACAGAGGATTCCAGAACACTGCTGCTTTGTTCTGAGTGTTTGTCCCTCACATAGGATTCCAGAACACTGCCGCTCGGTACTGAGGGTTTGTCCCTTACATAGAATTCTAGAACACTGCAGCTCATTTCTGAGTGTTTGTCCCTCACTTAGGATTCCAGAACAATGCTACGATTGTCTGAATGTTTGTTCCTTACCAAGTATTCCAGAACACTGCTGCTGGGTTCTGAGTGTTTGGCACTCACATTGGTTTCCAGAACACTGCTACGAGGGTCTGAAAATCTCGCACATAGGATTCCAGAACACTGCTAAGATGGTCTGAATGTTTTTCCCTCAGAAAGGATTCTGGAACCCTGCTACTGGATTCTGTTTGTTTGTCTCTTACAAAGGATTTCAGAGCACTGCTCCTGGTTGCTGAGTGTTTGTCCCTCACAAAGGATTTCAGAGCACTGCTCCTGGTTGCTGAGTGTTTGTCCCTCACATAGGATTCCAGAACACTTCTACGAGTGTCTGAATGTTTGTCCCTCAGATAGGATTCCAGAAGACAGTGGATGGGTTCTGGGTGTTTGTCCATCACATAGGATTCCAGAACACTGCTGCTGGGTTCTGAGTGTTTGTCCCTCACATAAGGTTCCAGAACACTGCTTCTGAGTGTTTGTCCCTCACATAGGATCCCAGAACACTGTTGCTGGGTTCTGAGTATTTGTCCCTCTCATGGGATTCCGGAAACCTGCTGCTGAGTTCAGAGTGTTTTTCCCTCACATAGGATTCCAGAACACTGCTGCTGGGTTCTGAGTGTTTGTCCCTCACATTGGATTCCAGAACACTGCTGCTGGGTTTTGAGTGTTTGTCCCTCACATAGAATTCCAGAACACTGCTGCGAAGTTGTGAATGTTTGTCGCTCACACAGGATTCCAGAACACTGCTGCTGGGTTCTGAGATTTTGTCCCTCACATAGGATTCCGGAACACTGCTATGAGGGTCTGAATGTTTATCCCTTACAAAGGATTACAGAACAGTTCTGGAATCCTATGTGAGGGACAAACACTCAGAACCCAGCAGTGTTCTGGAATCCTATGTGAGGTCAGTGTGGGGGGATGGGTGAGGGACAGCATTAGGAGATATACCAAATGCTAAATGACGAGTTAATGGGTGCAGCACACCAACATGGCACATGTATACATATGTAACAAACCTGCACATTTTGCACATGTACCCTAAAACTTAAAGTATAATAATAAATTTTAAAAATTAAATAAAAAAATTAAAAAAAGAATTAGCATAGTTTTATGTAGTCTTCAGTAGACAACATTCATCCATGCAAATTAAACAGTATTTTCTACAATCATGTGAATATAAGGCCACACTATTTACTATGAATAAATCCCTTAAATAGTAATTTTAATATCGTTATTTATTCTTTTGAAATAGAAAGTATTATAACTGAGTTAAGGTTACAGATAATTTAAAAAATGTATGCCATTACTAGTATATTAAGATTATTTATACTTAGATATTTATATCTAATATCCAAAGAAAATTTACTATCTAATTGTTACAGTAGATATTAATCTGACATGCTTATTAATTCATCCCATAGATATAATAATAGGTCATCTGGGCGTGGTGGCTCATGCCTATAATCACAGCACTTTGGGAGGCCGAGGCAGGCGGATCACCTGAGGTCAGAAGTTTGAGACCACCCTGACCAACATGGAGAAACCCCGTCTCTACTAAAAAAAATACACAATTAGCCGGGGATGGTGGTGCATGCCTGTAATCCTAGCTGCTCGGGAGACTGAAGCAGGAGGATCACTTGAACCTGGGAGGTGGAGGCTGCAGTGAGCTGAGATTGCACCATTGCACTCCAGTCTGGGCAACAAGAGCACAACTCTGTCTCAAAAAACAAAACAAAACAAAAAGATAGAGTAGTAGGTTAGCAAAATTTTACATTCTATTTTTTTTTGTTGTTTTTGAGATCGAGTCTGGCTCTGTCACCCAGGCTGGTGTTCAGTGGCATGATCTCAGCTCACTGCAATCTCTGCCTCCTGGGTTCAAGCGATTCTCTTGCCTCAACCCCTAAGTAGCTGGGATTACAGGTGTCTGCCACCACCCCTGGCTAGTTTTTGTATTTTAGTAGAGATGGTGTTTCACTGTGTTGGCCAGGCTGGTCTTCAACTCCCGACCCAGGTGATCTGCCTGCCTCAGCCTCCCAAAGTTCTGGGATTACAGGCGTGAGCCACCGCATCCTGCCTCACAGTCTATTCTTATGTTTTACTATATTTGGAATGCCACTCTTACAGAACAAATCAATGCAAGTGATGTGACTACCCAAAAATCATGAATCATAATAGTCTTCAGTTAGATATGTTGCAATCTCAGATATAGTTCTACTATGTAAACAGAGTCAAATTCCAATTCTTTATCAAAAAGTGCTGGTGAAGGTTGCCTGATGTGTTCCAGTGTAGATCCTCAATCCAATGGCCAGCAGATGAGAGAGCAGCAGAGATGGAAGAAAAATCTTAAGAAATTCTGCTGAGAATATGCCCCCTTTCTTCATAACACTGTGTTTCTTGTGTTGAGAGTGGCTGTGCATTTTGGGTGTTTAGAGAGAAACTGTCTCAGGGGAGTATTTTCTGGTCGACTTGGCTAATATTATATGTAATCTGAATTTTTCTTTCAGTTATTTTTAACCTCTTAATACAATTTTATTCAGACTGAGAGCTGTTTTTCTCTTCAATGCGTTTGGTGTCTGTCTTCAGAAGGGATACCCGGAAGTGTCTCATGGTGTTTCTGAGTGAGCTGGGCTGTCACAATGAGAACTCTTTGGCACTCTATCCAGACCCATGCTGGGAATCCAGCAGTATTTTTTTGTCACCATTATAAATAGAAACGTAGCTGAAATATTGCTCCCATTTCCATTATTGCAAAAGTGCAATCCTACCCAGGAGTCCTGCAGGTTCTCCTCCTGCAGTTCAGGGACCCTGCTCCATAATGTGACACTGGAGTGCAGCTGTGGTGGTTGGAGTCCATGTGGAATGTGGGCTGCCAGCTGTGTGCTGTGAGGTGTGCCTCAGTGGTAGATGGTAGGGGAAGAGATGGGACACAGGCCACCAGGACAGGGCAAGCAGGATTATTGCAGCCCGTGGCCTAGGGAGTAGGGACCCTTTGCTTAGAAATGTAAATAGCCAAAAAATAGTATCCTATTTCACAGTGTCTGTAAAAGAACCAGAGCCTACTTTCAGCAGGCACCTGGCTGTAAGTTGCAAAACTACCTCCTATCATGAAGATGTCAGAAGTTTATTTTTCCTTTCAATATAACCAATTAACATACACAGATGGCCTCCCCAATTACCAGGTGAACTTAGGATAAACTGTGTATGACAAATGGTGCTGTCAAGTCTTCTACTTGAGGACTAATTATAGAGACCTTTCTGTCTTTGCAATCTCTTGAGCAGATTGTGATTCTTGTCACATCACATTCTGGTTTTATTGTGCAATAAAACACCTTTCTTTCTGTTCTGTTATTGTGGGGTTTTTCTAGGATTGGAGATAATTTTCCTTTTAATTATATTTCTCAAGCCCTGTTCACAATTACCAGACATTGTATATATGTATAAATTGCCCACCAAGCTTCATTTTAGAGAAGGCTTTCCCCCTCAGGCTTCCAGTCAACTCAGTCAGTTGTGCTTCAAAGTGCACACTGCCCCCAGAGTATGCAGGCAGACTTGTGTCTCTGCCTGTTTCACATCTATAGTCCTCTACAACCACTCGTAGAGAGGTTAAGCCTTTCTACAAGTGGTTGACAAAATTCACAGGACAGTAATCAGCCATTTCACCTCTTTCAGTGACCATAGTGTCTTCAGGCCTGAAACTGAGTTGGAGACTATTAGGCCCAGAAGAACAATTAGGGTGACATGTGTGCACTGAGTAAACATGAGTATCTCAAAGTTCCTCTTTCTCCTCCTCCCCAAATTCCCATAAATGTGCAGTTAACACCTGCCATTTCTCCATCCATCCAGGACCTAAATCTACAATACCAAATTCTGAATCTCGGTCTTGAGATTAGAGGAAAAAGAATAACTTTGATCTGAGGATTGCAAGTCCTTTTAGTTTTATCAGGCTCGGAGAGACATAAAAATGAGAACATAATTATGTTCTACTGCCTCCTTTGAGCTACATGTTTACCTCTTGAAACTGTTTGCTATTCCTACAAGTAGATATAAATTAACCTAATAATGCCACACTAGATGTTATAAGCAATACCTCACAGCTTAAAAACATATAGCCAATTAGTCATCAATGTTATCTTTGTAGATCGAGAAGAATTTCTGACAAACAACTTTGTTTCAGTCCACTCCCTGTCCCTCTCTTTTGCCTTGTAAATCCACTTGTAACTGCTGCTAATTAAAGTGTACATTCAAGGCAACTTAAATCTATGCTCCCAGATTTCAATCCTCAGGCTTGGCCCAAATAAACTCTCTACTTAAATGAGTGTTGTCTTAACCTTTTCTTTTTAGGTTGACATATCATGTCCTAGAGCAGACTTTATGATGGGAACTTTTTTTTTTTTTTACTCTCCTTGCTGTAACACCAAAGAATGAAGAGTCAGGTTGATCTTACCTGTAATCTGTACATAAGAGCTGAGCTCTCCTGGGATTCACAGCAGAGAGCCAGATTTTGGATTGAGAATGTACAGAAAACCCATAGGAGACATTTTCTGATCTGTGAGATGTCAGCATAGAAATCTTAAAGCCCTCCTTTCAGAGTGTATCCCTTTGAGCTTTCCAGATCTTTTCCAGTGACCTGCTATGTTTATGTGAGAGGCTGCTGGTGTAAATAGAATCTGGTTGCACAATCTGTAAGTGTAAACATGCATGTCAGCAGGGAGAGATCAAAGCCACAAAATACCCAGAGAAATGACATAAGTTTACTTATTTGTAAAATGTGATACTGGAGTAGAGTATTCTTGTCCTTTCTCTTACCTAAGACCTAGCTAATCAGAACAGGTGATATCACACATAGATCCAGGTTCTGGAGCTGTACCAGGGCAGTTCCATTTTCTATGTAGAATCAGCTTGAGTCTTTCCTACCTGGATCAACATGTGGTCATCAGTCCATGGTCACTAGGAATCCTCTCACAATCACCCGGGAATCTTTAAGACATTTCAGGATGTCCTGTACACACTTGGGTCAGGCTGGCAGGAGTGTCTAATTCTGCTTCCATGTTAGAGGAAGGGAAATGAGTCATTCAGTGTCTGTTCCTTCTTTTGTAGAAATAATCTCCTTGGTTGGTACCTGGACGAGAGTTTCTCCAGTTTCCTTGGCAAAAAATTCAGGAGTTCTGGAGACTCAGACTGATAAACAAATTGCCTCCATTTCATATGGCCTTTAGAAAAATAGATGAAGCAGTCATGGTCCCTGTCACTCAAAAACTTTCAGTCTAGAGCAACTGGATAAATAGTTTAATTAAGCATCATATAGTCAATACAATAAAGTGGGAGTGTTAAGGGGACTTGGGCAATGGCTCTGATGTTGTTGTGACTTCTGATGTCACCACCTGAAGAGCTATTCTCAAACGGGAGAGTTATTTGTATTTCTATTGCTTTTACCTTGCTAAGAATACATATTTTCTAATAAAATTATCCTAGAAAGCCCTAAAAATTTTGGTTAAATTGCTTGTTATTATACATTATAAAATAGGGTAGTGGCTAAATGGATTAAAATTATACAAACTCTTAAGTTTCTCTTGGACAGGCTTAGGAAAGACAGAACAAGTACTCCAGCAGTATAGAGATCATAATTCAACATAGGACAGTTTCTCCACCCCAGCTCTGTCCAGATTCACCCTTTTCTGAGACTCATTCAGGTCTGGTCCCACCCTGGAGTCTCTCCTCACAGAACTCATTAGAGGAGACCAGAGATTTGGGAGGTGGCTCCTGCTGCCTCTCCAGAGCTTATGCTCACAATATTCTGAAACCCAAAAGCAGATAAATTAGAGCAATAAACTATATATTTTGAGGTCTTAACTTCTTTCTTTCTAATTAAAACCAGTGCTTGTAGAGACATTCTATCCCAGTAGTTACTCCAAAAGTCACAAGAAAGTAAATAGAAACACACTAAAAAATCCCTCTAAACTACACTTAACCCTTTCCTTTCTGTATCCCTCCCATCTGTCTATATTTATCTCTTATGCTATACATTTTTTAAAAAATCAGTGAGAGGCCGGACTCTGTGGCTCATGCCCATAATACTAGCAATTTGGGAGGTCGAGGTGTGTGGATCACTTGAGGTCGGGAGTTTGAGATCAGCCTGACCAATATGGAGAAACCCCGTCTCTACTAAAAATACAAACTTAGCTCAGTGTCGTGGTGCATGCCTGTAATCCCAACTACTCGGGAGGCTGAGGCAGGAGAATCATTTGAACCCAGGAAGCGGAGGTTGTGGTGAGCTGAGATCGTGCCATTCCACTTCCAGCCTGGGCAACATGAGTGAAACTCTGTCCCCCCCCCCCAAAAAAATCAATAAGAGATAAACAGGGAAGAAAACAATGCTGGCCCCTTCATCTAAATTCTGAGAATTATTGAACACTTAGTGCCCAACTCTCAAGCTGTTTTGAAGATTAAATCACATAATGTGATGTTCCCAGCACAGTGCTCTGTAACACACTCCTGAGCACATAGTACCTGCTTAATAAGCATTGCATAAGTATATGTGTACATGTTGCTTTTCAGTGCAGACTTACTCAGACATTGTTGCCTTCTCCTGTCTCTGTAAACTTTAAAGAGCTAGCAAAGAATGTGGTTTTTCAGGATAGAGATTGATTGTTTATTTGATCAGAAGTATTTGTGTTGTGATGAGTGATGAGTGTGAGAGTCTGTTCCATGCCTGCTTTTTCTAGCTAAATGCTACTAATGATGGGTCTGGGGAAGCTACATCAGCATTGACAGGAGATGTGTTTAAAATGCACTTTCATGGATGCTTTTAAAACCTGCAGAATCACATTACATAGTGTGGGGCCAGGGTTACCAAATGATTTATATGCACATTGAAGTTTGAGAGGCAATGCTTAGCTAAGTGGTTCTTGGCCCAGGCTTCTAATTAAGATTCCATGGCCAGGTTGCAGAAATCTTTTCACTTGTGCCCTTCCCGCAGGCTCTGTATATTGTTCTGGGTGGAAGCATCCTTGTTGATATAATTAAGTGCCTCATGTGACTCCAGGTTGAGGCCAGGGTCAACCACGAGGAATTCAAAATACATTCATGAGAGTTGAGTTCAAACTTTATTCCAAAGGGAGGTCACAGGGTCTCCTATGGTTGGATTTGGTAGGTACAAGTTAGTGTGGCCCATATCCCCATTGCTGTAGCAGAAATTGTGGCGTCTGTGGCAGGAAAAGAGAAAGATAAATTTTGAACTTTGTGGAGGAGCTCACTGTCCTTGAATCTCACCTGTTATAAAGAACATAAATGGGTGGACATTTTCTGCATGCCTGGATCTTTCTACCTGTGTTTGTGGTGGTAGCAGGTGAAGAGATTGTGCTGATTCCTTTAAAGGCATATTCCCAAGATGCAGGTGTGACTTGTCCAGAAAATATCACCTGAGAAGAAATCCTAGAGAAGGATGATGAAGAGAAAAATGGCTTTTTCTCAGGTGACTGTGTCTCAGATTAGGAGCAGTGTTCACTCTGCCTCCTGGAATGCCATATGTTTAGAACTTACAAACCTGTACTTCTTGACTTTATGCTGTTTCTCCCTATAAGTTTGTTTAAACATTTTTTCTTCTCATGATAGTCAAGCAACTCTGAAATATATTATTTTCTATATACTAGAGTCTTCTCGACATTCTCTTCATCTTGGCTTCTTCTCTGCCATGCGGAATTCTCATCATTAATTATGACTCGTAATATTAAAAATATTCCCTTTGGCTGGGCGCGGTGGCTCATGCCTATTATCCCAGCACTTTGAGAGGCCGATGTGGGTGGATGACCTGAGGTCAGGAGTTCGAGACCAGCCTGGCCAACATGGTGAAACCCTGTCACTACTAAAAATACAAAAAATAGCTGGGCATGGTGGCGGGTGCCTGTAATCCCAGCTACTTGGGAGGCTGAGGCAAGAGAATCACTTGAACCCAGGAGGTGGAGGTTCTGGAGGTTGCAGTGAGCCTACATCGTGCTACTGCACTCCAGCCTGGGCAACAGAGGGAGACTCCATCTCCAAAGAAAAAAAAAAAAGAAAAATACCCTTTGTTGCTGGTGCTGGTGCACATGGGAAGGTATGGATACACAAGATTCCTACTGGGGAAGAGGTGGGGTTCTTAGATATTCATGAAAAAGGGGAATATGTAATGTTGAAGTTCTGTCTGTGTGCTCCATCAACTCCATGTGGAACAGTATTAAAATATGCACATTTGAACAGGATGGTATTTATTACCCAGAATAATTCAGAAAGTTTTGAAAAAAATAATTAGAAGATACTCGCTTTCTAGAATGCTGAAGAAAGTCTGCGTAAATACTTTAATAGAGATTACACAACATGAGCAATTACTGTAGTTCGCATTTTGCATAAAACTTGTTTCTTTATGATTAGATTTGAATTATAATTTGCTTCTTTGGCGGGGGCCAGTATCACAGCAGTGATATTGTGTCCTTCTGTGAGCATCAGCGCATGATGAAAATTTGTTCTGTTATAATTGGTGTTAATTTGATTCGTTTAGTTAAATAGTTCTCTGAGAATTTTTTTCCACTGTAGAGTTATTTTTCTCTTCATTATTGAGTACCTTGGGGACATTTACCAGCTGATGTGAATAAAGCATCCCATGTAATCTGGAAGTTCTCTTTTCTTCTTAGATTGTCTTTGCATATGTCTTTCTTTAAAAAGTGAAGTCTCTCATCTTTGTTTACTGGTCATAAAAACCCAGGCTCTGTCAGTTAATGAATGTTTGACAAAATATTTATCTTGGGCCAGAAAGATTGGTGTCACTTGTGAGCTTGTTAGAAATTCAGAAACTCAGGTTTTACCTCAGGTTTCTTGAAACAAAATCTGCATAAAAAGATCTCCAGTTTATTGTTGTACACATTAAAATTTGAGAGGTACTTTATAACTAAGCCTGACTTTTTAATCTGAGAAATATACAGAACTTATACTGTATGATTAAATGGAGCACTCAAAAATGTACATGTCTATGTTCCTGTTGTTAATTTTGTACTTTATCATTCAAAAAATATCATCAATACACTACACTGGTATTGTAAATCTTATGCTCTCTTTTCTCAGAGATAGAGAATACAACAGAGAATATTTCTTTGTTGGGAATTATTTTATAGGACAATTTCAGTTGTATAAGTCAGAATCAGTTCTCTTCACTCATTTTATCTTGAGTCAATTTAAGAATTCTGCCCATGGCCACTTGAAGTGGGTGTGTGTGTGTTTTCAGGGACTGTTGACATTCAGGGATGTAGCCATAGAATTCTGTCTGGAGGAGTGTCAATACCTGGATGCTGCTCAGCAGAATTTGTATATGGATGTGATGTTAGAGAACTACAGAAACCCGGTCTTCTTGGTTGAGGATAACTTCAATATAGAATTCCTAATTTACCCTAAAAGTTTCATTTTCTTCCTTTGTAGGATGTGTTTTGGTAATTTCTGCTTTGCATGAGTGAATTTCAGATCCCTGTTTTCAAGACAATCTTGCGGATTTTTTGGTGTGGAAAATAAATTCTTTAGGTTGTTTCATTTTGACCTGAATTTTCCCCTTTCCTGAGTTTATCTATATTATTCACTCTAGATAAGTGGTAATTTCAGAAATTTAGTGACATAAAATAATGTTGTCCACACCTTAAAATTCAATTGCCACCATCAATTTTTGATTCAGTAATACTGGGGAGTGAAACAGAGGACCCTCATATTTAATGTACTTTCTGAATACACTAAAGGTTCTGTCAGTAAAAAGTATTTTGGAATTAATTTTCTAGAATCTTCTATTATGACCTCTTTTCTCTACTTAGCACAGTATTAGGTTGGTAAATGGAGAATCCCAGGAAAAGTCATGCTCATGCTGCTTTTTAAAATAAAACAGGTATTGTCTTCTCTAAGCCAGACCTGGTCACCTGTCTGGAGCAAAGGAAAAAGCCATGGAGTATGAAGCACCCAGGTAGGTGAAAGCGAATGAAGAAGAGGATGACATAGATGAGGCATCCAAAGGCCAAGAGGAACCCGGACTTTAACATGTAATTTGGGAAGCTGTGCTCCAGTGGAAATCCTTTCTGAGAAGCCTGGGTTTTTTCACTTGTTCTCACATAGGGGCATCCTCTGTCCCATGCGCTCTAACGACTCTACATTTTCTTCAATAATTTTTCTTCAGATTTGCAGTGAGAGCCAAAGTTCTCTTTATGGCTTATAAAACAGTGCACAATCTAACTACTTTTATTGCTTTTGGGGATATACAAATAGCTGCATATGTTTTAGAAAACCTGTGTTTAACCATTTTTAAGTTCTCTTTCTGCATTGTGTCTGAAATATGTAAAAGTAGTGATATTGAGATTTGGTTCAGAAATCCCAGAAATACAACACACATATGTTGTATGTTTTCTGCTTTATAGTTTCTTATTTTATGGAGGTTTCAAATGTGTTTCTACAGAAATTCATACTCGGTAATTTAATCAGAATATTAAGTATCTCTTTAAGAATATCTAATGTTATTTGAATTGAAATTTTTATTCTTTTAGTACTAACTGAGGTTGGTAATTTCAATTCTGTCTTAATTTCTCAACTGTAATATAACGTAGATATTTCCTACATTTCTACAATTCACTATGTCAGGGAACTTAGAACATAACTGAGCATACGTTAAGCTCCCACTTCTTTCCTTGTTTTTTAAATTACTATTTTGTAATTTTATCTTGTTCAGGATAAAGTTTACCAGAACTGTAATTTATATGTGTGTATATATATGTAGGTGTGTATTGTGGATTTTTTTACAAATAAAAATTGTATATATATTTATTGTGTACAATGTAATGACTTACTGCATGTGTATATTATAAAATGATTAGCACAATTATGTTTATGAGCATTTTTATCACCTTTCCTCACATAGGTACCTTTTTTGTAATGAAAACCTCTAAGATCTGCTGACACCAAATTTTAAGCATACAAAAATTTAGTGTTAACTGTATCATGAAGATATACATTACATTTGAAAAACTTACTCATAACAGAAAATTTGTGTCTTTTCAATATCTTTTCATTTTCTCCCATATCTAGTCCCTGACAACTTCCATTGTAGTCTCTGCTTCTGTGAGTTCAGCTTTCTTAGATTCCCCATATAAGTGAGAATGAGCAGTATTTCTCTTTCTATGTCTGGCTTATTTCCCTTGGCATAAGGTCTTCCAGTTTTACCCATGTTGTTGAAATGGCAAGATTTTGTTATTTTTCAGGCTAAATAATATTCTATTGTTTATTTATACCAGCTTTTCTTTATTCAGCATCCACAAACATTTAGGTTTTTTATATCTTGGCAATTGTGAATAATGCTGCAACAAATATGGTAGTACAGATATGTCTTCAAGTTACTTATTTCATTTCCTTTTGTTATATACACAGTATTATATGCACAATACTACTATTGCTAGATTGTGTAGTAGTTCTGTATTTCAGATAACCTCTATTGGTTTTTGTAATGACTCCATCAATTTATAACTCTCCAAGAATGTACAGAATTTTTTTTCTTCAAAGTGTTGTCAACACTTGTTATGTTTCTTCTTTTTACATTATCCATTCTAACATGTTTGAAATGATACTCATCATGGTTTTGATTTGCAATTGCCTGATATTTGGTGATATTGAGTACTTTATGGCTTATGGCCATATGTATGGCCATTTGTATGTCTTCATTGGACAAATATCAGTTTAGATTTTTGCCTATTTTGAACTGGGTTACTGTTGTTCTTGCTTTCAATCTGCTTGCATTTCTTATATATTTTGTATATCAATCTTTTATCAGATGTATGGTTTGCAAATATTTTTTCCCATTCTACAAATTTTTTTATTTTATTGTTCCCTTTTCTGTGCAGAAGGTTTTTAGTTTGATGCAGTCCAGCTTGTTTATATTTGCTTTTGTTGCTGTACTTTTGGTATTATGTCTAACAAATTATTGTTAAGACCATATCATGAGGGTTTTCCATGTATTCTTTTTCAGGTTTTTTAAGGATTCATATTTAAGTCTGTAATTTAACTTTTAGCATGGTGTAAGAAAAATAAGCTAATTTTATTCTTTTGCCTGAAGGTATCCAGTTTTTTCAGAACCAAATATTAAAAAGACTATACTTCGTTCATTGTGTATTTTTGGTGCACTTGTCAAAGATTAGTAAACTTTATATGCCTGGGTTTATTTCTGGGCTCTATTCTGTTCCATTGGTTTATTGTGTCCATATTTTGCATGTATCATCCTGTTTTTTTACTACAATCTTAAAATATAGTTTGAAATCATAAAGTATGAAGTTTGGTTGCTTTGTCCCTTTTCCTCTAGATTGCTTTGGTTTTTCAAAGCCTATCATAGTTTCATGTAAATTTTAGAATTGTAATTTCCATTACTGTGAAAAATGTCACTGGATTTTTAATAGAGAGTTCATTGAAGCTGTAGATCACTTTGAATCATATGGTACTTTATAATATTTATTCTTCCAGTTCATAAGCTTGAAATCTTTTTGCATTTGTTTGTGACTTCTTCCATTTCTTTCATCAATATATGTTTCAGTGAAAAGATCTTTTGCCTTCTTTGTTAAATTTATTTTTCAGAAATTTATTATTTTAATTCTATTGGAAATGAGATTGTTTTCTTCCTTTTTTATCAGATGGTTTGTTGTTAGCATATGGAATCATAACTGATAATTATATGTTAATGTTATATATTGCTAATTTTCTGAGGGCATTTGTTATTTTTTGATGTATTGTTTATGGTTTTCTATATATAAGATCATGTCACCTACAAACAGCAACATTTTAATTTTTTTCCTCAATTTGAATGTCATTTTTAGGGTCATTTTCTTGACTAATTCTTCTGCAAAGTACTTTCACTGCTATGTTAAAATAGAAACATTGACAATGGAACCATGTAGCCTTACCCCGGTGTCTATAAATTTGAAGAAGCAAACAGCTCTTTAATTTTTTATAAACTGGTTTCAGGAGGTACAGATCTTCTTTTGTTGGGTCCCCAGGGTAATGGTATTCCCTATGAGCTTGTAGTAGGGAAGAGTTTATAACTGTGTCACAAGGCTGCTGGGTATGCAGTGGATTCAACCTTCAAGTGGCTTTTTACCAGGGGCTTTGGTTGTTGTGATTCCCATCTAATGTCTGGGCAGGCTGGATTTCCTTCAGGACTTTTATTTATAGTGCAGAAACTAGGACAGATTTCTGCAATTGGGTGTGCATATGGTGGACCTTATATCGGGATGTGGTAAGTGTGGCTACCACTGAGTATTTGGAAGTTTTTTTCCACATCACTGTGTGGGTTTGAACTGTGGCAAAGACAGCTGAAACTGAGTCACTGAACTCCTTCAGCGGCCACAGTAGAGGCCAAGGTCTGCAGGCCACAGTAGAGGCCCAGCTGGAGTGCAGTGGCACAATCTTTGCTCACTGCAACCTCCGCCTCTCAGGTTCAAGCAATTCTCCTGCCTCGGCCTCCCAAGTAGCTGGGATTACAGGTGCCTGCTACCATGCCCAGCTAATTTTTTTGTGTTTTTAGTAGAGATGGGGTTTCACCATATTGGCCAGGCTGATCTCTACCTCCTGACTGCAGGTGATCCTCCTGCCTTGGCCTCCCAAAGTTCTGGGATTGCAGGAGTGAGCCACCACGCCCAGCCTTCTTGGCTGATTTTCAACAGTTGTCTTATTATGTGAAGGTGAGTAGTCATAGAAACAGTGGTATATTCACTAGGTGTTTAATGATAAATATATATATTTTCTTTGTGTGAGAGAAACACTTTAGTGATTTGAAGGTGATTTATATTTATATATTTATATATTTTATGATTTATAGAAAGACCTATATCACTTTTAGTTGTTTTCAAAAAAAAATGTGAAAACACATAACATAAAATTTACCATCTTAAAGCTTTTTAAGTCTATATTTCAGTGCTGAGTGTGGTGGAGGCTCATGCCTATAATGCCCGTACTTTGGGAAACTGAGGCAGAAGTATTGCTTAAGCTGAGGAACTTGAGACCAGCCTGTGCAGCATATAGAGAGCCCTTCCCCACAAAAATTTAAAATTATCCAGGTGTTGGGTTGTCCACCTGTGGTCCTAGCTCTTTGTGAGGCCATGGCAGGAGAATCACTTGTGCATGGGAGGTTGAGGCTGCAGTGAGTATGGATTATATGACTTCATTCCAGCCTGCAGGACAGAGTGAGAACCTACCTCAAAAAAGGTATACATTTTAGTCATTAAGAGTATTTACATTGTTATGTAAAGACCTCTAGAACTTTTACGTCTTCTAAAATTAAGACAATACCCATTAAGTAACAACTGCCCATTTTACCCTCTCTTTAGACCTTGAGCAACACCATTCTCCTTTCTGTTTCTATTTGACTATTTATAATGACTCATATCACGGAATCATATAGTATCTGTCACTTTATTACTATCTTATTTCAGTTGACATAATATTCTCAACGTTTATGTAAGAATGTGACAGATTTACTATTTTAAGGCTGAATAATATTCCACTGTATGTATATGTCACATTTTTAATTTGTTTATCAGTCAAGGGATATCTGGGTTACTTCTGTCTTTTGGCTTTTGTAAATATTGGTATAATATATTTATATATATAGTATATATATAAATATATGTGTATATATTTATATATAATATATTGGTATAATAAATATATTATACCAATATTTATATATTTAATATATATAATATATATTTATTTATATTATATATATTTATTTAATATATATTATATTAATATATATAAAATATATAAATATTGGTATATTTATTATACCAATATTTGAAATATATATTCAAATATATCTTCCACGTTCTTTGTTTGAATATAGATTTATATTTGGAGTATACATTTATATTTATGTTTGAATATAGATTTATAAGTGGAATTCTTGGATTCCATTTATATATATATTAGTATATAAAAATGTATTTTATATTCCAGTCAAATAATATGATTTATAATTGAATCTAGGTTTATAAGTGGAATTCTATAATTTAAATTTTAAGAAACATTCATAATATGATGGTTGCATCCTTTTTCCCCACCAACAATTCACATGAGTTTTAATTTCTTTACATCCTCAACAGATTCGGCATTTTAAAAATTTATCATGGCCATTCTAATGGGTATGAGGTGGTTTTGTTTTGGATTGTAATTTTGTTTTGTATTTCTCTACAATTGGTACTTTTTTTGCATTATTTTAAGTGCTTTTTTCTACTTCCATATATATTTTTGATTAAACAGTTCAATTCTTTGTCCATTTCTAAATCAATTTATTCATTGTTACTTTTTCAGTTTTAGTTGTTTATAATTCTGAATATTAACTCATCACATGTAATTTGCGAATATTTTCACCCATTTCTTCGGTGGCAGTGTCATTCTACTAAATATTTTCTTCGGTGTGCAGAAAATTTGAAGTTTAGCACAGTTAAATTTTGGGGGTTTTTATGTTTTTCATAAGTATGATGTCATATCTACAAAAAAGTGCCAAAACCAGTGTTCTGTATTTTCCCTATTTTTTTCTTCTAAGAGTTGTATTAGTTATATGTTTTTTAGTTTCATTATTTTATTTAAAATGTGCAAGAAAATAATCCAACTTTATTTTTTTCAGTGTAGATACTCAGTTTTCAACATCATTTGTTGAAGATATTTTCTTTTCTCTATTGTGTAGTCATGGCAACTTTGCGGAAGATTATTTGATTATATAAAGAAAGGTTCATTTCTGGGCTATTTTGTTCTATCATCTGTTTATTTGTCTCTGTTAGTACCACATTGCTTTTGTTTATTATAGCTTTTTAATATATTTTGAAATCAGGAAATATAATGCCTCTTTGTTCTTTCTCATGGGTGTTTGGCTAGTTTTAGCTCATAATCAATTTAAAAAGTTTTAAACAATATTTCTGGTCAACAATGTACCATTGGAATTTCTTCACCACCGTGAGTTGTTTTCACATTTAGATTAAATTATCTGGACCTTGAGCAAGAATATATTAAAGAGTGTGTTTTATTTCCATATATTTTTGAATTTGCCAGTATATCTCTTGATTTTGATGTCTAGTTTCATTTTATTTTAGTCAGAAAACATAACTGTATAATTTTTGTCATCTTAAATTTATTTATTTATTTTTGTTGCTATTGAGAGACAGATTCTCACTGTGCCACTCACGCTGGAGTGCAGTGGTACAATCTTGGCTCACTGCAGCCTCAGCCTCCGAGGCTCAAATAATCCTCCCACCTCAGCATCGCAAGTAGTTGGGACTACATACGTGTGCTTTCACACCTGGCTAGTTTTTTGATTTTTTGTAGAAATGCGGGTTCTCACTGTATTGCCCAGGCTGGTTTTGAAATCCTGGTTTCAAGTGGTCTTTCCTCCCAAAGTGCTGGGGGCTACAGGCCTGTGCAACCACACATGGCCAGGCTTCTTAAACTTAATAAGACTTGTTATGTGTCCTAACAGAATGCACCAAGTTCAAACAAGAATATTGTGTAATCTGTTCCTTTTTACTGGAGAGTCCTGTACATATTTTTAATGTGTAGTTGGCCTATGATATGATTTGGATGTTTGTACCCTTCAAATCTCATGTTGAAATGGGATTCCCAATGTAGGATGTGGATCCTTGTGTGATGTGTTTGGGTCATGGGAGCAAATCTCTTGTAAATGACTTCGCACCATCCCCTTGGTGATCAATAAGTTCTCACTCTGTTAATTCACATGAGAGCTGCGTGTTTAAAGAACCTGGCACTTTCCTTTCATGCTTGCTCCCTCTCTCCCCATGCAATATGTCTGGTTTCTCTTTGCCTTCACTATGATTGTAAGCTTACTTAGACCCTCACCAGATGCAGATGCTGGCACCACACTTATTGTACATTTTGCATAACTATGAAGAAAATAAATCTTTTTTCTTTATAAATTACACAGTCTTAGGTACTTATTGCAATACAAAATGAATTAATACAATTTATAATGTCATCCAGGTTTTGTTCTCTTATTGATGTTTTATCTAAACTTTCACTCATTATTAAAGTGGGGTCTTAATGTCTGTAATTATTATGTTGCTATGTATTTTTTGCTTCACTTCTGTCAATATTAGCTTTATATATTTTGGAACCCTGATCTTTTAAATAGATATAATAGTTATAGATTCCTGGTAAATGACCAATGTTACCATTACATAGTAACAATCTTTACCTCATGCTAGTTTTTGATTTACAGCGTATTTTGTCAAATATAATTTATGACCACCTCACTTAATTGTGGATACTGTTTGCATGGAATATGTTTTTTCATTCTGTTTCTTTCAACCTATTTGACTCAAAGTTAAAGTGAGTCTCTTGAAATCCTGGTCTCAAGCAATCTTCCACTCCTGGCCTCCCAAAGTGCTGGGGCTACAGGCATGAGCCACCACACCTGATTAGTCTTCTTAAACTTAATAAGGCTTGTTATGTGTCCTAACAGAGTACACCAAGTTCGAACAAGAATATTGTGTGATTTGTTGCATATTGTGTGATTTGGTTTGTTCTTATTCCATTGGGCCATTTAATTTCTTATTATTAGTTTAATCAATTTATATTTAAAATGATTCCATAGAGAAATGAAGTTATTATTACCATTTTGATTGTTATTATTTTCTGTGTTTCTTGTAGAGATGTTTTCCATAATTTCCTATTTTACTGTCTTAATTTTTGCTTTTTTGAGTTTCTAGTGTTATGCTTTGTTTCCTTTCTCATTTTGTATTGCATACTTTCTATAAACTTGTAATTATCTAGGTAATTGGAGATTATGTAAAACATTTTAAAGTTATAACAATATTAGTATGTCATAACTTCAGTTGAATACAAAAACTATACCTCTTTACATCCTGTAGTGGGTTTTTTGTTTGTTTGTTTTGTTTTGTTTTTGAGATGGAGTCTCGCTCTGTCACCCAGGCTGGAGAGCAGTGGTGTAATCTTGGCTCACTGCAACCTCCGCCTCCCAGGTTCAAGCAATGCTCTGCCTCAGCCTCTCGAGTAGCTGAGATTACAGGCACCCACCCCCACGACCGGCTAATTTTTCATATTTTTAGTAGAGATGGGGTTTCACCATCTTAGCCAAGCTGGTCTTGAACTCCTGACTTCGTGATTCACCCATCTCGTCCTTCCAAAGTGCTGGGATTACAGGCATGAGCCATTGTGCTCAGGCTTACATCCTGTAGTTTTTTATTATTACAAATATTATTTTATATTGTGTATCTATTAACAGATTTATGCAGATTTTTTTGTTGAAATTCTATAGCAGAATTTTAAGAGATTTTGCTTAATGATTATGGTAGTAAACAATTGTATATGTGTTTATATATTTACATTTAACAAAGTTTATAGTTTCATGTAGTTTTTTAAGGTTGTTCAGCATCATTACATTTTTCAACATATGGACTCTTTTTGGCAATAAAAAAATAAACAGCATCTCATTATGTTACTCAGGATCATCTTGAACTCTTAGCCTCAACTAATCTGCCTGCCTTGGCCTCCCAAGACTCTGGGATTACAGACATGAGCCACTGGTGCCTGGCCACCATGTAGCATTTCTTGTGGGACCATGCCTGTGGTGATAAATACCTTCACCTTTTGTTTATTTTGTAAGTTCTTTATTGTTTCCTTATTTTTAATTCCAGAATAATTCCAAATAATTTCAAAGCAAACAGTATTGATTGGTATTAGTTTTTCTTTTATCACATAAAAATTTGGAAAGTTCTCATCCTCTTTTATCTTCAAATAACCCCTGTAACTACTTTTTCCCTACATTCGTCTTCTAAGATTTCTTTTCCAAATGTAGTAATCTACTTAATGGTGTTCAGTAAGTTTAACATTCCATGTTTTCATTTTGTTTTGCAATTTTATTTTATTTCATTTTATTTTATTTTTTTTGAGACACAGCCTTGCTCTGTCACCCAGACTGGAGTGCAGTGGCACGATCTCGGCTCACTGCAAGCTCTGCCTCCCAGGTTCACGCCATTCTCCTGCCTTAGCCTCCCTAGCAGCTGGGGCTACAGGCGCCCGCCACCATGCCCAGCTAATTTTTTGTATTTTTTAGTAGAGATGGGGTTTCACCGTGTTAGTCAGGATGGTCTCAATCTCCTGACCTCGTGATCCGCCCTCCTCAGCCTCCCAAAGTGCTGGGATTACAGGCATGAGCCACCACTCCCAGCCAATTTTATTTCTTTTTTGTTTCATATTTTAGAGTATGCCACGTCACATCAGTTAATTGTGTTTTTAGTTTTTATTTTGTATGACAATTGTGAATGACAATATTCAACTCTGTACACTTTAAGACAGCGCGGAGCCAAAGTTACATATGAATCAGTCATATCTCTATTCCCAATATAATAATTTCTGTGTTTGTGTATACACATATTATTTCTGTATTGTTTATGACTTGTATGTTTGTGAGTGATCAATGGTCGTTTTATCTGAGTAGTCATAAAAATTCTCCTACTTCTATATCTATTTGGGGATCTATTTTTGTGTGGGAGAAACACTTTTTTGATTTGAAGGTAATTTTAAAAACTGTCAATTTTGTCCCTTTTTTAAGGTATTATTACTGTTTACTTTTAATTATCAAGAACATAAAATTTAGAATCTTAATTTAAAAATATGTAGTTTATATTAATTATATTGACATTATTATACAATATATCTGTAGAATGTTTTTGTCTTGCAAAACTAAAACTGAATACACATTAAACAACTACTCAATTCTCCCATTTTCTGGCCCTTTACAAACAATTCTGTTTTCCTGTTTTTGAGTCTAACTGCTTTAAATATCTCATGTAAGTGGATTCATACCATATTTTTGTGGCTGACATATGTTATTCTGCATAATTTCATGAAAGTTTGTTATGATTGTTAGAATATTTCCTTTTTTTATTGCCTTTCAATAACAATGCTGTAAAAATTATGGATGTGCAGCCGGGCGTGGTGGCTCATGCCTGTAATCACAGCACTATGGGAGGCCAAGGTGGGTGGATCATAAAGTCAGGAGATCGAGACCATCCTGGCTAACACGGTGAAACCCCATCTCCACTAAAAATACCAAAAAATTAGCCGAGCGTGGTGGCGGGCACCTAGAGTCCCAGCTACTTGGGAGGCTGAGGCAGGAGAATGGCATGAACCTGGGAGGCAGAGGTTGCAGTGAGCCTAGATTGTGCCACTGCACTCCAGCCTGGGCAACAGAGCGAGTCTCCATCTAATAAAAAAAAATTATGGACGTGCAAATATCTCTTCCTGTGATTATATGTGTGAGAGTTTATATTTATGCTACATTCTCTTTATTTGGTCTAGTTCACTTTTTATAACCAAACCAAATTGTTTTAAGTCTATATAATGTGTTTTGAAATCAGGGAGTTGTGATGCCTCCAACGTTGTTCCTCTCTTTGAAGATTATTGGGTGTTTCATTGTTTCTTAAAATTTCATATAATTTGGGGGTTGCTTTTTCTATTTCTGCTAAAATAAAATTAGATATTTGAAAGGGATTGCATTAAATCTGTAGATTACACTCAGCAGTATGGGCATCTTCACAATATTAATTATTTTACCCTTTGATCATGCTGAATATTAATTATTTTACCCTTTGAGCATGCTGAAGAGTGTGTTGTTTAATTTTCATGTATTTGTAAATTTTTTAGTTTTGTTTTTGTTGATTTCTACTCTCATTCCATTTTGGTCATAAAAAGTAATCTATCAATTTCAATTTTTAAAGATTTAGTAAGTTTTTATTTTTATCATGGCCTAACAGGCAGTTTATCAAAGAGAATGTATGTGAGCTATTGAGAATGGTTATACCCTGCTATTGTTAAGAGGTATTCTTTGTTAGGCATAATATTGTTTTATACTTCTTTCTTTGTATATTTTTTCTTTTTGAGATGGAGTCTTGCTCAGTCACCGAGGCTGGATTGCAGTGCCGCAATCTCGACTCACTGCAAACCCCGCCTCCCTGGTTCAAGCAATTCTCCTGCCTTAGCCTCCTGAGTAGCTGGGATTACAGGCGCCTGCTACCGCACCTGGCTATTTTTAGTAGAGATGGGGTTTTGCCATGTTGGCCAGGCTGGTCTCAAACTCCTTACCTCAGGTAATCTGTCTTCCTTGGCCTCCCAAAGTGCTGGAATTACAAGCATGAGCCACTTGTTCCCATCTGTACTGCTTTCAGTTTCTCTTTTCCTTTTTTTTTTTTTTTTTTGAGACAGAGTCTTGCTCTCACCCAGGCTGGAGTACAGTGGTGCGATCTCGTCTCACTGTAAGCTCCACCTCCTGGGTTCATGCCATTCTCCTGCCTCAGCCTCCTGAGTGCCTGGGATTACAGGCACCTGCCACCATGCCCTGCTAATTTTTTGTATTTTTAGTAGAGACCGGGTTTCATCGTGTTAGCCAGGATGGTCTCCATCTCCTGACCCCGTGATCGCCTGCCTTGGCCTCCCAAAGTGCTGGGATTACAGGCGTGAGCCACTGTACCTGGCCCTCTTTTCCATTATTAATATTGTTTTGTTTTATTGTTCATTGCAGAAATTGAAGTATTAAAATATCTTATTATAATTATATTGCTCTTTATTTGTTGCTTTAATTCTGTCAATTTTTGCTTTGTATTTTTGGAAACCTAATGTGAGAAATACACATACACACACAAACATATAAATATATGTATGCACATATTTGTCATACATTTTCAATAAATGATATCTTTATTATTGTTTAATGACCTTTTTTCTCTTGTGAATTTTGACATAGAGTATATTTTATAAAATAAGAGAGTTGTTGACTTACGATGTATTTTGTATAATACAATTTTGATCTCTTCTGCTCTCATTTGGTTAATGTTTGCCTAAAATGTCTTCTTCCACTTGCCACTTTCAGGCTGATTTCACTACTAGATCTCAAGTGACTCTTGAAGAAAGGCAAGTTGGATCTTGGTATATAAAATTTTATATAATCCCTCTATTCAATGTATGTGTATTGATTGGCAAGTCTATTTTTAAAATATTTATTTTCTGAAGACAAAGATTATTGTTATTTTATTGTTTAATGATTCTTATAGGTCTCTTTCTCATTCTATCTTCCTTTGTGTCTTTTTTATTTTTGTATGGATAGGCTGTCACTTCTTTCTTATTTCCTTTTTTGTACCTGTACAGACATTTTCTTTGTGGATGCCTTCAGGATTATATAAAAACCTCTTAAAATTTCAACAATGTATTTTGAAGTGGTGAAATTTAAATTCGGGTCCATGCACAAATTATTTCTTATTACATCTGTCCTCAACTTAGTTATTGATGTCACTGAACATATCTATTTATGTTATATATTTATTAACAGATGTTCATTATTATTTTTAGCTTTTATCTTTAAATTTTAGAGAATAATTAAATAAAACATTTTTTGGTATTATAATAATGCTACAGGATATTTTTTCTATAATATTTGCATATCTTTATATCTTTCCTAGAAAGCTACCTATTTTTATATGATAGTTTTGTCTTTTAGCATCATATAGTTTTAGTAGGAGGACTCTCCTCAGCATTTTTTGTAGGGCTCATGTAGTGTTGCTATAATTTTTCCACATTTGGTTATCTTTAGAGGTCTTTCCTTTTTCTTCATTTTTGTAGCACAGTTTTGCTGGTTATATTATTCTTACATAGAAGCTATTTTTCACTTGGCACCTCGACTATAGCACACAATTTCCTTCTGGCCTGCAAGGTTTTTGTTGAAAGAGTCACTGGTTATATCATAGAACCATAATTATGTATTTTCCAGCATTTGAGATTCTCTTCTTGTCTGTGACTTTGGGAACTTTGCTTTGCATGTTTTGTTATGGATCTGTGTGTTTCCTAGTTTTAGTATGTTGAGCTTCTTCATTTTTACAACCTTATTTTCTTACTTTTGAGAATTTCTCAGGTATTCTTAATTTTTTGAGACAGTGTCTTGCTCTGTCACCCAGGTTTGAGTACAGTGGCATGATTGTAGCTTAGTGCAGCCTTGGGTTCCCTAGGCTTATGTGATCCTCCTACGTCAGCCTCCTGTTTACTGGGACCACAGGTGTGTGCCAATACACCTGACTAATTTTAATTTTTATAGAGGAGAAGTATTGCCATGTTTCCCAGTTTAAACTTGAACTCCCTAGGTTCAAGTGATCTGCCTCCCTCAAACTCCCAAAGTGCTGGGACTACAGACATGAGCCACTACACCTGGCCTCAGTCATTATTTCTATTTCTATTTTCTACTTCCATAATTTCTATTATATTTTTCATCTTTTCCTTGATATTCTATTTTTTTCTGATTTTATTTAGTTACCTGTGTTCCCATTTAGGTTAAATTTTTAAAATTAATGTGTACATCTTTATTTTCATGGTTGTTTTCTGACAGTTTTAAGTTTTTTTTTTTTTACTTAGGCCATGTCACTCTAATATTTTGTATGTATTGTACTCTTTGGTTGAGATTTGGACATTAACAAACAGCTACCTCTCACAATCTTTATAATGCAGTGTTGTCCTAACATAATCTGAAGCCAGTTGTCTCAACTAGAGATTCTAGGAGCCTATCAAATATGTTATGATGTGTCTTGTGTGGAATTTTCTGTTGATTATTCAGTTAAAGAGGTTTGTCTGTGTTTCTTAACAGTCTGTAATTACTTCCTATACATATTGCATGTCTGTGGTACTGTAGTTTGTTGCTGTAACATTTACCTTTGGTCTCAGCAGACTCAAGCTGTTATTTCAAAGTATACCATCATTTCTTTCAGCACATTTTGTCATTGGAGACAGAAACAAGTCTCTGTAAAAGTGCCCAGAAGCCAGAAGTAAAAATACATGAGCCAGTTTTTCCTTTTCTATATTGAGGAAGATGCCAGGCATTGCAGTTTACTTCTAAAAGTGCCATGCTGCATTATGGAGGAATAAAGGTGTTGGGCAAATGTAAAAACTTTTCTATCCATTCAGTATGGCTTGTGGCATTTTGCTCACCTGGTACACTGAACACTCTTAACTCATTTCTAGATTTTCCATAAAGACATTTTGGTCAGTACAGTTTTGTTATAAGTCTATAAAAGAATTAAGACCTGTGGTATTTTTGTTATGCCATGTTGCTAATGTACTTTGTATAATTTTATGTATTAGATTTGTAAACAATAGATTTGTATATTTACATGGCCCTAGTGAGATAATTTGTTATTTTTATTTCTTTCAGCTGTGTTCTCATTTCACCCAAGACCTTTGGCTAGATCAGAACATAAAAAATTCATTTCAAAAAGTGATGCTGAGAAGATATGGGAAATACAGACATGAGAATTTACAAATAAGAAAAGGCTGTAAAAGTTTGAATGCATCTAAGGTGCAGGAAGGAGGTTATAATGGACTTAACCAATGTTTGTCGATTACTCAGAGCAAAATACTTCAATGTAATACATGTGTGAAAGTCTTAAGGAAATTTTCAAATTCAAATAGACTTAGGAGAAGACATACTGGAGAGAAACCTTTCAAATGTAAAGAATGTGGCCAATTCTTTCACAGGTTCTCACACCTCAGACAACATCAGATAATTCATACTGAAGAGAAACCCTACCAATGTGAAGAATATGGCAAAGATTTTAAGCAGTCTTCAGGTCTTACTATGCATGAGAGAATTCATACTAAAGAGAGACCCTACAAGTGTGAAGAATGTGACAAAGCCTTTAAACAATCTTCAAGACTGAATAAACATAAGAAATTTTATACTGGAGATACAACCTGCAAATGTGAAGAAAGTGGCAAAGCTTTGAAGTAGTCTTCAAACCTGACTATACATAAGATTATTCATATGGGAGAGAAACCCTACAAATGTGATGATTGTGGCAAAGCCTTTAGAAAATCCTCAAAACTGAAAGAACATAAAAGAATTCATACTTGAGAGAAACCCTATAAATGTGCAGAATGTGGCAAAGCTTTTTACTCTTCCTCAGGCCTTACTCAACATAACATAGTTCATACCGGAGACAAACCCTACAAATGTAAAGATTGTGGCAAAATTTTTAAGTGGTCTTCGAACCTTACTATACATCAGAGAATTCATAGTGGAGAGAAACCCTACAAATGTGAAGAATGTGGCAAAGCCTTTAAACAATCCTCAAAACTGAATGAACATATGAGAGCTCATACTGGAGAGAAATTCTACAAATGTGAAGAATGTGGCAAAGCTTTTAAGCAACCTTCAGGCCTTACTCTACATAAGAGAATTCATACTGGAGAGAACCCTTACAAATTCGAAGAATGTGGTAAAGCCTTTTATTGGTTTTTAAGCTTTACTAAACATATGATAATTCATAGGGGAGAGAAACCCTACAAATGTCAAGAATGTGGCAAAGCTTTTAAGTGGTCTTCAAACCTTACTATACATAAGAGAATTCATACGGGAGAGAAACCCTGCAAATGTGAAGAATGTGGCAAAGCTTGTAAGCAGTCTTTGGGGCTTACTATACAAAAGAGAATTCATACTGAAGAGAAACCCTACAAATGTGAAGAATGTGGTAAAGCCTTTTACTTGTCCTTAAGCTTTACTAAACATGATAGTTCATACTGGAGAGAAGCACTACAAATGTCAAGAATGCATCAAAGCTTTTAAGGGTCTTCAAATCTTACTATATATAAGAAAATTCATACTGGAGAGAAACCATACAATTGTGAAAAATGTGGCAAAGCATTTTACTGTTCCTCAAAGCTTATTCAAAATAACATAGTTCATGCTGAAGAGAAACACTACAAATGTCAAGAATGTGGCAAAGCTTTTAAGAAGTCTTTAGACCTTAATGTACATAAGATAATTCATAGTGGAGAGAAACCCTACAGATATGAAGAATGTGGCAAAGTCTTTAAACTATCCTCAAAACTGAATGAACATAAGATAACTCATAGTGGAGAGGAATCCTACAAATGTGAAGAATGTGGCAAAGGCTTTTACTATTCCTCAAGCCTTACTAAGCATATGATAGTTCATACTGAAGAGAAACTGTACAAATGTGAAGAATGTGGCAAAGCTTTTAAGTGGTCCTCTGAGCTTACTATACATCAGAGAATTCGTACTGAAGAGAAACCCTATAAATGCAAAGAATGTGTCAGAGTCTTTAAACACTCCTCAAAACTGAATGAACATAAGAGAAATCATACTGGAGAGAAACCCTACAAATGTGAAGCACGTGGCAAAGCTTTTTAAGCAGTCTTCAGGCCTCACTATACATAAGAGAATTCATACTGGAGAGGAATCCAGAAATGTGAAGAATGTTGCAAAGCCTTTTACTGGTCCTTAAGCTTTACTAAACATAAGAGAGTTCATACTGGAGAGATACCCTACAAATGTCAAGAAAGTGGCAAAACTTTTTCTTGTTGCTCAAGTTTACTCGACATAAGAGAGTTCATACTGAAGAGAATCCCACAAATGTAAAGAATGCTGGAAGCCTTTAACAAATCCTTTAGCCTTACTAAACTTATGAGAACTCATACTGGAAAAAAATCATACAAATCAGAAGACTGTGGCAAAATCTTTTAAGTTTTGCTCAAATATATCCAGCCATAATTCATACTAAAGATTATGCCTATGAACCTAAAAAAGTTTGGCAAAGCTTATGAATACACCTCAAACTTTCCTAAGCATTGGAGAAATATCAGTGAGAAACCTCAGAAAACTGAACAATGTGGCAAGGCCTTTAAATGGTTGTCACATCTTACTGTAGGTAAAATAATTGATAGTGGAGAAAATCTCTACAAACAAAGAATGTGTTAAAACTTCTAACATGCTCATACCTTATGGCACATAAAAGCATTTATACTTGAAAAATTATACAGAGTGTGGAAAAGCCATTTCTATTTGCTCACATCATAGTCAACATCAGGAAGTTCATACTTAATAAAATTATCATAAATGTAATTACTTTTGAAAGACCTTGGAAAATTTAAACCCTTAAAGTAAAAAAGAGTACTCTGGAGACAAACATTACAAATATAAAGAGGGTTGTAATACCTTTACTTGCCCTATATAATGTACAGATTTTATGCTAGAAGAAAACTATAAAGGAATTACTGAAATTTGTTCAGCATCAGAGAACTTATGTTGAAGGAAACCATACAAATGTAATAAATGTGGAAAAACATTTATTCAGAAACTACAGCTTAAAAAACACCACGCAGTTTATAATAAAAGATATTTTTGCAGATGGAAAACATGTGTAAAAATATTTAGCCAAAATTAAGCCTTTGTAAACTTTAGAAAATTCACAGAAGGAAGAATTAAGGCACTGGCACTTAAGACGTTACACTAAATCAGAATGTTCTGTATAGAAAGTAATCCAAAGCTAAAACTGTTGGATAATTTATTTGTATATAAGTTTAAGAGGAGTGGAAGATTATTTTTTGGAGAGTTACAATTACATTCAAGGTATACATTTTTCCTTGAAAAAAAATGTAGATTTTTTGAAAAGCAAATAGTGAGGTAATTCAACTGTAAAATTGCTTCATTCTGTTCCTTTTCTCCTGTTGTTTGTGTAAAAGCATGTCATCAATTTCTGTTGCATCAGAAATCTGAGAGATTCCTTTCTTATTAGGTAGGCATCATTCATTAACTTTTCCGTGGAAGAGTAAGGATATTAAAATGTAAGATGAATATTGAAAATCTAATTGGAGAGGCTCTTTATGGCTGACTTTTAACATTGTTCATGTGATACATGAATTATGTGTTTAGAGTAATATTCTGCATTATAGTGAGAGGAAAACTTTGAGTTTTGGTAGTAAATTATTTTACCAATTGTACTTTTATGTAATAAAATGTAGGGAATTTTAAAAATCTTTTATAAGACTGTGATAACTTAGCTTTTAAATTAAATGGAATAGTTTTAAACTTTTTAAGACCTGCATTTAGTAAAGAGTTATGTCACCAACTTTAACGTGTCCCACCTTATTAAAGATGTAGATAAAAGATGGTAACATAGTAGAATGACCTCTCTAACAATCTCTTTTGCCTGTGGCATTAAACTGAAAGGTTTAAGAGTATTGTTTCAATGGGTAAAATGTACATTTGTTTAACGTTTTAAATTTTTGTAGGAACATAGTATTGTTTACCTATTTATGGCATATATAGAATATTTTCATACAGGCATACAACTTGTAATCACATTAGAGTAAATGAGGTATTCATTACATAATGCATTTATTTTTTTGTGTTACAGACAATCCAATTAAGCATTTTTAGTTATTTAAAAATGTACAAGTAAATTATTACTTGCTACAGAGGTTTTTTATGGTCATAATAATAATTACATAGTAGTATAATAAGAAATCCCACATTTCTAAGTCCTGAATAAATATTTTTAAAAATTGGTCATATGTATTTTGAACAAGTGGCCTCTCTGCCTGTAAACTCATACAGACTGTTAGTTTTTACTGACATGATGCTAAATATACAAATATATTACTCTTAAGATAAACATTAGGTGTAAGAAAATTGTGGGGGATGTAATTGTGTGAGTGTGAGTGTACCTGTTTTCAGAAAACAAGAAATATTGGAACAAAATATCACTTTAATATAGTGGACAAATCATTTACTAGAAGACTAGAAACCTCAGTGATTTTGAATAATATCTGTATTCTCTGCATTTTATTTAATTAATTACTGTGAAGTCTTATGGATTGCGTTTCCGAATCTTTCCATGCAAATTCTTTCTTTCATGTGCCTGATACTCATGGTAGACTGATATTTTTTTTCATATTTTTTGTGTTTATAATTTATTAAGTATTCATTATGTGAGTTGCTCAGGTATTCTAAGAATTTTTATAAAATTTACTAATTCACGCAAAATAATTTTTCAATGTTATTTCACAATGAGTGTATTAACTTATATTTCTTTTGTTGCTTTCTTTTTTCTTTTTTTTTTTTTCAGATGGTGTCTCACTCTGTCGCCCAGGCTAGAATGCAGTGGTGGGATCTCAGCTCACTACAACCCCCACCTGCTGGGCTCAAGCAATTCTATTGCCTCAGCCTCCTAAGTAGCTGGGACTACAGGCATGTGCCACCATGCCCAGCTAACGTTTTTGTATTTTTAGTAGAGACTGTGTTTCACTATAATGGCCAGAGTGGCATTGAACTCCTGACCTGGTGGTCCACCCACCTTGGCCTCCCAAGGTGCTGGGATTACAGGCATCAGCCACTGCATCCAACCAACTTATATTTCATTTAGTTAGAACATCCCATTTTGTTATTTTAATTGGAGAAACCTGTGTAAGCTGTTTCCTTTATTATTGTTCCTTTTACTCTTTATAATTGACATAGGTGAATTTATTCATTCAGCCAATTTGTTTAAGTAAATACTGGGGAGGCTTCATAAGTCATAAAGATATTTTGATATGTAAGTGTAGCAAACACAATGCTTGCTGTGTAATGGATGCACCATTATTGGCCACAAATATTTCTGCTGGAGTTAGTTTGTAGCTCCAAGTAAAAATAAAGAAATACGCATGGTGAAGAAAGAAAATCGATTCTGTATATGGAGAGGACATTGTTCTTATGCTGCAAAATTGACTCTTTCTGAATTTAAAGAGACATTCTGCTTATTTTCTGATTATCTTTAGTTTTGTTTGTGTGTCTACTTATGTTTATCCCAACTGTGTATGCATCACAGCCCTTCTTTTTATTCTTTGTGTTATGGCTACATCTTTATTGCTGTTTGTTTTGTGCCATGTCACTTCACACAATACTTTGTAGGTTCTGATGAAAGTGTGTCAATGTAACTTTCAGATCTGTTAATTGAGATAAAAGGCATGCAGTGTTCACAAGTGAGAGGAATAAATCAGTCAGAATTTCTTGTCTTTGTAAAACCAAACTTTTATTAAATTTTAACACAGTCTGTGTGTGGTGGCTCACATCTATAATGCCAGCACTTTGGGAGGCTGAGGTGGGAGAATCACTCGGTCAAGAAGTTGAGACCTTCCTGGCCAATATGGTGAAACCCCATCTCTACTAAAAATACAAAAATTAGCTGGGCATGGTGGCATGCACCTGTTGACCTAGCCATTCAGGAGGCTGAGGCAGGAGAATCACTTGAACCCAGAAGGCAGAGGTTGCAGTGAGCTGAGATTGCACAACTGCATTCCAGCCTGATGACAGAGCGAGACTTCATCTCAAAAAAAAAAAAAAAATTAACACAATGTGTGGAAAATATAAAATTAGTTAGAAGATATGTCTTAGAAATTAAACTTTTAGAAGAATTAATGGTAAGTGGAGAATGTTAAATTTAATTTTTTATTACATACTTACAGCTTAACTTAAGTTTTCATTCAGAATCTTTTATTTTGGTGTGAATGTTAAATATTCAAAAATAATATAATGACACCTGTGGATTTCACATGTGAAATAATCTTTTTCATATTAATGTTAAAATCTTGAGGAATTTCTCACACTTGTATAATGTACTTTTTTATTCGGTGCAGTTTACAGTTTAGGGGTTTCAGTCTTTGTCACCTAACTAGTCAACTCCTTGGTCATTTTATCTGGAAAAATTTTAAAGATCATGGCATCTTTTGAATTAAAAAATTTCTTCAGTGATCTGGGATGCAAACTTATTTACTCTCTTCAGAGTGGTTTAATCATGTGAAACACAGCAAGAGCTGCCCTTTTTGTGTCTTCCCTATCATTACCACCAGCACCAGAAACTCCAGTTGTCCCAAGCTCAAAATAAAAGCCCTAAGGTACATTGGCTTCTCCCATGCTCTGTGCTGGGTCCCGAACATGGTGGTAAATATTAGAGTTCATATGGTCATGACTGACTAGGTGACAAAACAGCACAGAAACTATGTATCTTTCATACTATTCAGACAGGTTTATGACAAAAACACAGGTCAGAATTTGAAATGTTGTCATTTTTAATAGTTTTTATAAATATATTTTTAAATTCACTGATGAAATATGTATTTTGTGAAATAGTATTTTGAAGTAAATATACATTGTCAATGCCTAATTTTAGCTAATTGTAAAATGCTTTGCCTCACATAGTTATTATTGTTGTGGTGAGAAGACAACATTTACTGTCTTAATATTTTTTCAGAAATGCAATACATGCATTATAATCTCTTGAACTTATTTTTCTTATCCAACTGTAATTATGTAATCAAGATACATTTTGTAGAATCCACATGTGAGTGAAATCATGAGATATTAACCTTTCTGTGCCTTATTTCAACAACTATAGTGTCCTTTAGGTTTATCTTTATGATTAAAAATAAGATTTTCTGTTGAAAATACAGTATTCGATTGTATATATATACCATAGTGTCTGTATTTCATCATTGGATGATGGACACATATGTTGATTCTATGTTTTGGCTTCTGTAAAGTGTGCTGCAACTAACACAATTGCAGATGTCTGTTCATCAATCTAGTTTCATTTGTGTTGTGATAGATATCCAGTAGTTCAATTACATGTTAGAGTTTAATTGTTTTGCAAAATTTCTATTTTTCATAATGGCTGTTTTTATTTACATTGACACAAACAGTGTGAAAGCTCCCCTCTTTCTCTTTTTTCAAGTTTACCAACAATTTTTTTAAACATTTTAACAGGAGTGAGTTTATATCTTAGAGTTGTTTTGGTTTGCCTTTCCTTGATGATAATTGACTTTGAGCCATATTCATCTGTCTGCCAAGCTATATGTATGTCTTTCTTTGAAAATTATTTATATAGATCTTTTGCTTATTTTTCATGGTTATTTGTTTTTTTGTTGTATAGTCCTTTGAGTTTCTTGTATATTTTTTATATTAACTGCTTTTCACATGTGTAATTTGCAAACATTTTCTTCCATTTTTCAGTTATGTCATTCTGCTGATTGTATCTGTTGGTGTGCAGCAGTTTCTTAATTTTAAGGAATCTGATTTGTCTATTTCCCCCTAAAATTTTGAGGTTAAACCCAAGAGTCACTGCCCAGACCAATGTTATGGGGCATTCATTCTATATTTCCTCATCTTAGTTTTAGATTTTCAGGTCTCATATTTAAGTATTTAATTTGAGTTAATTTTTGTATATGGTGTGAGATGAAGGTCTGATTTTATTATTTTGCACGTGGATATATATTTTCTCAATGTCATTTATAAAAGAGACTGTTCTTTTTTAAAAAAAATTGTCATCTTTATTTACAATCAGTTGTCTGTAATTACAGAATTTATTTCTGGTCTTTCTCTTTTGCTCTGTTGGCCTTTGTGTCCATTTTTATGTAAGTAACACTCTGTTTTGATTACTGTAGCTTTGTTGGACATTTAAAAGTCAGGTAGAGTGATTCCTTCAGCCTTTTATTTTCCATTTTTTGCTTGATTTTCTTAGCTATTAAGGCCTTTTGTGGGGCAATATACATTTTAGATTTTTAAAAATATTTCTGTGGAGAATTTAACTGGTATTTTAATAGAAGTTTTATTATATCTGTATATCAGTTTGTGTAATGCAGATATTTAACAATATTAATCATGCCCATTTATGAATTAGAAATATCTTTTTGTTTGAATATTATTTATTTTCTAACTTTTTTTTAGATTATAATGTACAGATCTTTCACCTTTTTGGTTACATTCATTTCTAAGTATAGATACTGCTGCAATTACTGTAGATGGGATTGTTTTTGGTTTTATTTTCAGATACTTTATTGTTAGTGTATAGAAATGTTACTGAATTTTTTAGGTTGATTTTGTATCCTGCAAGTTTAATAAATTTGTTTATTCTAATAATTTTTTGTGAAGTCCTAGGTTTTTCTATACTTAAGATTATATCATCTGCAAGGAAAATATAATTTATCTTCTTCATTTTATTTAAGATTGCTTTGATTTTATTGAATAATTTTTCTGTCTTGGTCATTTTGTATTATGTTCAGTAAGATCAAAGAAATTGGGCTGGGCGTGGTGGCTCACACCTGTAATCCCAGCACTGTGGGAGGCAGAGGTGGATGCATCACGAGGTCAGGAGACCAAGACCATCCTGGCTAACAAGGTGAAACCCCGTCTCTACTAAAAATACAAAAATTAGCCAGGCGTGGTGGTGGGCACCTGTAGTCCCAGCTACTCAGGAGGCTGAGGCAGGAGAATGGTGTAAACCTGGGAGGCAGAGCTTGCAGTGAGCCAAAATTGCACCACTGCACTCCAGCCTAGGCAACAGAGTGAGACTCCGTCTCAAAAAAAAAAAAAAAAGGATTGGAGGAATTGGACATCCTTGTCTTGTTCTAGCTCTTAGAGGAAAGGCTTACAGTTTTCCCTTATTTAGTATGTTAGGTGTGCATTGTTGTTACACATGACATTAACTTGAATTGCATTTATTTTATAACTAGTTCAAGAGATTTATTATGAGGAGATATTGTTACACTTTCATTATGCATCTATTTGAATGTTACATTTGTGACAACCAATCCCACAAAAATACGAAAGATACTTGCAGACTACTATAAATATCTCTGTGCACACCAACTAGAAAGTCTAGAGGAAATGAATAAACTCTTAGAAATATACAACCTCCCAAGATTGAATCAGGAATAAACAGAAGTCTTGAAGAAACCAAAAATGTGTAAGCAAATTGAATTGGTGATAAAAAAAATCTACCAATTATAAAAAGTGCTAAACGAGATGCATTCACAGCATGATTTTATCACATATACAAAAATGAGTTGGCTGTATTTCTACAGAAAGTATTCCAAAAAATCAAAGTGGGACTCCTTCCTAATTAATTCTATCATATAATATCAGTCTCATCTTGATATATTAATCAGGTAAAGACACAACAAAAAAAATTACAGGCCAATATCCCTGATGAATACAGACACAAACATTATTCATGAAATGCTTGCAAACTGAGTCAGGAAATCAAAGTTATTTCACTGCAACTATGTGGACATTATTCTGTGAATGCAGGAATGTTTTAACATGTGCAATCTATAAATGTGATTCAACATATAAAAATAATTAAAAAACAAAACCACATTACCTCAACAGATGTGGAAATAGCAATTAATAAAATGTAATATCTATTTATGAAAAAAATTCTCAAAAAACTAGGCATTGAAGGAACATACCTCAAAATAACAACAGCCATATAAGACAAATCCTCAGCCAACATCATACTGAACAGGTGAAAGATTAATGCATCCTTCCTAAAAATTGAAATAAGAAAAGAATATGCACTTTTACCACTCCTATTCAACATAGTTCTGAAAGTTTTAGCCAGAACAATCAGGCAAGATAAAGAAAGAAAAAGCACTCAAATAAGAAAAGAGGAAATCAACTTATCTGTCTTTACTGATGATATAATTTTCTACCTACTTCAAAGACTCCTCCAAAAGACTCCTAAGCCTAATAAAAGACTTCAGCCAAATATCAGCAACAACAACAAAAAGCAAAACAACATTCAAAAATGAGGAACATTTCTATACACCAGTAACACTTAAGCAGAGCAAAATTAAGAACACAATCCAGTTTACAATAGCCAGAAACAAAAAATAAAATAGTGATCCATTAAACAAAGGAGGTTAAATATCTCTACTAGAAGAACTGCAAACCACTACTGAAAGAAATCAGACACAGTGCAAATAAATGGAATAGTATTTCATGCTAATGGATTAGAAGTATTAAAAAGTTCATACTGCCCAAAGCAATTGACAGTTTATTTCTATTTCTATTACTCTACCAATGCCATTTTTTATAAAATTAGACAAAAAAACTATTCTAAAATTTATATGAAAACAAAAAAGCTCAAATAGCCAAGGCTATACTAAATAAAAAGAATAAACCTGGAGACATTATGTTACCAAACTTCAAACTTTACCACAAGCTACGGTAACCAATATAATATGAATGCAGATACACACACACACACATACACCCCTATTGAACAGAAGAGAGAGCCCTGAAATGAAGCTGAACTCTTACAATTAATTGATTTTTGACAGCATCAACAGAAACAAATGGAAAGAACTCCCTACCCAATAAAAGGTGCTGGAAAAACTGGTTAGTCATATGCAGAAGAGGAAAACTCGACCGCTACTTCTCATGATATAGAAAATTAACTCAAGATACATTAAAGACTTATCTGTAAGAGTTCAACCTATAAAAATCCTAGAAGAACACCTAGAAAATTCTCTCCTTGGCATTGGTCTCTGTAAAGAATTAATGACTACATCCTCAAAAGTGAAAGCAACAAAAATAAAAATTAAAAATTGTGACCTGCACAGCAAGAGAAACTATTAACAAAATAGACAACCTATAGTATGGGCTAAAATATGTGTAAACTGCATACAATAAATAACTAATATATATGTTTTATAAGGAATTTAAGAAAAAATGTTGACAAAAAATGTGAACATATACTTTTAAAAGAAAGACAAAAAAAGCAGCCAACAAACATGAAAAATTGATCAACATTTCTAATTAGAGAGATGTAAATCCAAACCACAATGTGATACCATTTCACCCCAGTCTAAATGGCTATTATGAAAAAGTAAAAAAAAAAAAAAACAGATGTTAAAATTGTGTAGAAAAGAGAACCCTGATATACTCTTAGTGGGAATGCAAATTAGTTCAGCTCCTGTAGAATGCATTTTGGGGATTTCTCAAAGGACTAAAACTAAAGTTACCATTTGACACAGCAGCCTCACTACTGGGCATATACCCAAATACAAATGAATTACACCTGCACTCGTATGTTTATTGCAGCACTAGTCACACTAGCAAAGACATGGAACGAAACCATGTGCTCATAAATTTTAAGATGGATTTTAAAAATTATGTAATTACACACCATCCAATACTATGCAGCCACTGAAGAAGAATCATGTAATACTCTTTGCAGCAACATGGATGCAGCTCAAGGTCATGATCCTAAGCAAATTGATGCAGAACAGAAAACCAAATACTACATTTTCTCACTTATAAGTGGAAGCTAAACATTGGGTTCACATGGAAGCAAAGATGAGAACAATAAACACTAAGGATTCCAAAATGGAGGGAGAAAGGGTACAAGTGTTTAAAAGTACTGTCATGTATCATGTACGCTACTTGGGCAATGGGATTATTAATTGCCCAAACCTCAACATCATGCAGTATACCTATGTTACAAATCTGCACGTGTATCCTTGAATCCAAAATAAAAATAATAAAATACTTTGTGATATAATGCCATGTTAGATTTCTCCAGTTTTGTTTAATGGTTGGAATTAAGGGTGGAAGACATAGAATTTTGTCCCCTTTAGACATAGGGGTGAATGTTTCTATAACAGGTCTCCTGACATCCTATAAGCTATTTTCTCCGAAAGCTCTTGGCCTTAGTCTTGAGTGTGCAGCTAAAATAAATGACTGTACATCAAGCTTGTCCAACTCATGGCCTACAGGCTTCATGTGGCCCAGTATGGCTTTCAGTGCAGCCCTAAACAAATTCATAAACTTTCTAAAGGCATTATGAGTTTTTTGTGATTTTTTTATCATCATTGGTGTATTTTATGTATGGCTCAAGACAATTCTTCTAGTGTGTCCTAGAGAAGCCAGAAGATTGGACACCCCTGCTTTAATTTTTATTTTTCATCTATTTACAGTATGCTAGATGATAATGTTAACTTATTACTCTTTGGGAAACAAAGATGGTCAGTGGTTTAGTTTTTTTAGAACCATTTTTGAAAATATGAAGCTATGGTAATCATACCTAAGTGACATAATTAGGAAATAAAATTTCTAGAAAAAGCATGAAAGCCTTGTGGTTAAAGTTCAAGAACAATGAAATGGGAGTATTGGTTATTTAAGACAGCAGTCCTTCCAAGGCAATCATTTCATCACAACCATTTTGGTGACAAAGAATAATGTGTCAGAAGGAATTTTTAGAATAATTTTCTGATTATATTGCAGTGTTAAATTTTTATTTGTATTATCTGTCATATATAAGTCTGTAAATCAAAAAGAAGATGGCATGACTTTCAGATGAATCTTTTCACACATATATTCTCTGTAGAAGGGCACTGGTGTGTTTTTCAAAAGGGTTAGCATTGCTGGCTTTTATTGTGCTGCTATGTTTGTGTGCTAAATGAAGGCAGAAAGTGAAGCAGAGTCAACCAGGACGTTTCTAGTTTCTACATCCACATCATCTGAAATCTAGTGTTATGTCAACTAGAAATAATCCTGGGGCTAAGTATTCTAAAACGGAAAAAAAAATGCATTGATAAATATAGTTTTAGTTTATTTTTATAGTTTATAAAAATTTATTGTTTCTGACTTATTACAAGTTAAAACAATTTGAACATGCAGATAACTAAAAGTTCCATCTAGATGAAGGTATTAATATTTAATAACTTATGATTGTGAGCCACAATTGCCCCATTTGGCTTACTGAAAAGCAGTATTTTAAATGGAGAATAGAATTTCCATAATTCCAAGCATACAGATCTTTTAAGATAAGCACTATGCTTAGATTTGAATAGATTGTGTTTGTAGTAACAGAAACTTTAATATTTTTTCTAATAGGAGCAAAAAAGCAATAAAAATAGGTAGTTAAAATTAGTTCAAAAGAAACTTCACATGTGGTCATTAAAGGAGTAGCTGGGGTTACAGGCATGTGCCACCATGCCCAGCTAATTTTGTATTTTTAGTAGAGATGGGGTTTCACCAGGTTCATCAGGCTGATCTCGAATGCCTGACTTCAGGTGATCCCCCCACCTCGGCCTCTCAAAGTGCTGGGATTACAGGTGTGAGACAACATGCGTGGCCGGAAAAAGTATTCTTATGTTACTATTTCTGAAACTTTCAGAAACTTTAGTTGACTCAGTGGATGATGATGTACATGCAGACCACAAATTATAAATAAAATAATAGGCTCCTTTTAGCTTTTAACATTAAAACTAAATATATGTCAAAAGTAAAATTAGTGGCTCTTTTAAGTCATGAGAAGAATGTCAGTGTTAGAAAGCCTTTACCAAAATATTTGTGTTAGGCTTAGTAATGAGTGCTTTGCACCAAAAATTAAGTTCATTTGTTTTTATATGTGTCTTTTTTCTTTTTTTGTTATTTCTAGAAGTATTTTAATTTTAAAATGTACAACTATGACTGTGTTAAATGCCTTCATTTCTATGCCTTTTTGTTAATATTTTGCCTGACTGAAAAGATGAGTTTTTAAAAAAATTTTCTTGAATCAAGACCATTAATCAACATAGAGACAAAATAGTAATGAAAATCGACCTTGATTAGTAAAACAATTATCTAGCTCCTAGTAATCCTTACCTGTCGCACTCAACATAAAGTCTACATCTTTGCATCTCTCTTAGTTATAAGGAAGTGGCGTTTGATCAAATTGGTCAGCACAATATTGGGTAAAATGTAACTATGTTTTGGTCTGACAGTTGAACTGATTTATTACCAAACAAGTTGATATTTTTAGTATGTGATATTTTACTATTTTCTATTTATTTAGGGAAACTAAACTGACAAAGCATGAAATTAAATTTTTATTTCAAATGGAAAATGCTTAAACATGTTTTATCATAACTAAAGCTAAAAATATTTTTGGATTTTTAAATTAAAGAACATCTCAAGTACTTCAAGTTACCTTCCCCTGACAGTAGATTATATTTTACTTTATTGCTAAAATTGAGTTTGGCTGTCTTTTTTGGCTGTATTCATCATTTTCATTCTATTTTTTGTGCACTATTTGCATCATGCATTTCACATTTTAATAGTTGTAGTTCATGTGATGTGATTTTCAAACAATTGTCCTATTTACATGGCAAGCCATCTGCTTAATCAGCAGTCACTTTATTTTCAGTCGTCTTTTCAAAGCCACTTTGCCTGAAAAGCAAAGAGACAATTCAATCCAGTGTGCCAAGCTGGTCCCCTCCAGTGACCATCTATTCAAATTCACACAGGCGATCTCTGGTGAAGGAAGGAAGGTGCACTTCAACAGCATTTTCACAGCAATGTGGAACACATATTATAACATACAAGACGAAACATTGCCTTCAAGGAAAAATAGTTGATTTTTCTTATTCTGTGTACATGAGTATCTGATGGTTGTAAGGTTGAGAATAAAGAGTAAAGTTGGGCCAGGCTCGGTGGCTCAGGCCTGTAATCCCAGCACTTTGGGAGGCTGAGGCAGGTGGATCACAAGGTCAGGAGATCGAGACCATCCTGGCTAACATGGTGAAAGCCAGTCTCTACTAAAAAATATAAAAAATTAGCCAGGCGTCATGGCGGGCACCTGCAGTCCCAGCTACTCGGGAGGCTAAGGCAGGAGAATGGCGTGAACCTGGGAGGCGGAGCTTGCAGTGAGCCGAGATTGCACCACTGCACTCCAGCCTGGGCAACAGAGTGAGACTCCATCTCAAAAAAAAAAAAAAAAAAAAGTAAAGTTAGAGAAAGAAAAACCTTTACATTAGTAGTACCTTCTTGTCTAACACATCCTGAATGGTTTTGTCAAGTGTTAGGTTGCTATATCCATCATTTGTTAGACTCTGATAATCATTTTCTATCTTACCAGTGTAATTATGCAATTGACATCATCTGGAGTTGATGTCTTTGATTCTTAGGTTCTCAGACATAAAACTATTAAATTATTATTGATAAAAATATTAGGTTTTATTTGCCTGTTTGTTTTACTACAGAACATTTGATGCCAGTAAGCTTAAGTCCCTTGAACCTTTCAAAAAAATGCTTTAGCTTTTCCTGTTTGGAAAGTCAAATTTGGTCAAAAGTAAATATAACAACAAACTTGAATATAAATTATTTTTTAATTGAATCCAAAAAATTGAATAAAACAATACATTTGATATTTACTTGAGTATATGTCAGAAATTTTCAAAAAATTCAAATAGATACAAATTTGTGACTGAGCTGAAACTTGAAAAATATACCTGCTTTCATGACAAATCATTTTATGATCACATTAATTTTCAATTTAGCCATGTTTTATAGTAGACTTCAGTAAAAGTCAGCTGTGGTCCAAATGTAAATACTGACATATTAGAGAATAAAATGTTGGTGATAAAGAATATAAAACAAAGCATAAAAGTACTTGCCTTGATTTATTCCCAACCACCAACTCTGAGACCAAGATTTAACTGTTATATCAACATTGTCCACAGTGGAAAAACCAGAATTTTAAAATCAAACACATCTGAGCTTGATTTGGGACATTAGCTGTGTGTCCAGGGTAAATTATTCCACAAGCTTGAAGCTTTACTTTTTTTTTAGATGAATTCTCACTCTTGTCACCCAGGCTGGAGTGCAATGGTGCAATCTCAGCTCACTGCAACCTCCACCTCCCAGGTTCAAGCAATTCTCCTGCCTCAGCCTCCCAAGTGGCTGGGATTACAGATGCCTGCCACCATGCCTGGCTAATTTTTGTATTTTTAGTAGAGATGGGGTTTCACCATGTTGGCCAGGCTGGTAGTGAACTTCTGACCTCAGGTGATCTGCCCACCTTGGCCTCCCAAAGTGCTGGGATAATAGGTGTGAGCCACTGTGCCCTGCCTTAATCTTTATTATTAATAGAATTACTATTTCTTCCAGGGCTATTTTAATTCATACATTGTAGCTATAAGTATTTTTCATTAAAAGTCTTGTCTAAATATGGTAAATATTTGAAAATAAGATTATCATTTAAAAATATTTTATTGTAATTGTATATGTTCTGTTATATTTAATGTATTTTTAAATGCTAATTTTTTATTTGTTGAGGGATGTCAGGGACCCCAAACGGAGGGACTGGCTGAAGCCATGGCAGAAGAATGTGGATTGTGAAGATTTCATGGACATGTATTAGTTCCCCGAATTAATACTTTTATAATTTCCTATGCCTGTCTTTACTGCAATCTTTAAACACAAATTGTGAAGATTTCATGGACACTTATCAATTCCCCAGTCAATACCCTTGTGATTTCCTATGCCTGTCTTTACTTTAATCTCTTAATCCTGTCAGCTGAGGAGGATGTATGTCACCTCAGGACCCTGTGATAATTGCATTAACTGCACAGATTGCAGAGCATGTGTGTTTGAACAATATGAAATCTGGGCTCCTTGAAAAAAGAACAGGATAACAGCAGTTGTTTAGGGAATAAGAGAGATAACCTTAAATTCTGACCACTGGTGAGCTGGGGAGAACAGAGCCATATTTCTCTTCTTTCAAAAGCAAATGGGAGAAATATCACTGAATTCTTTTTCTCAGCAAGGAACATCCCTGAGAAAGAGAATGCACCCCTGAGGGTGGGCCTATAAATGGCCTCTTTGGGTGTGGCCATCTTCTATGGTCAAAACTGTAGGGATGAAATAAACCCCAGTCTCCTGTAGTGTTCCCAGGCTTGTTAGGGAGATGAAATTCCTGCCTAATAAGTTTTGGTCAGACCGGTTGCCCTCAAACCCTGTCTCCTGATAAGATGTTATCAGTAACAATGGTGCCCGAAACTACATTAGCAATTTTAATTTTGCCCCGGTCCTGTGGTCCTGTGATCTTGCCCTGTCTCCGTTTGCCTTGTGATATTCTATTACCTTGTGAAGTACGTGATCTTTGTGACCCACACCCTATTCGTACACTCCCTCCCCTTTTGAAAGTCCCTAATAAAAACTTGCTGGTTTTGTGGCTTGGGGGGCATCACGGAACCTACCGACATGTGATGTCTCCCCTGGATGCCCAGCTTTAAAATTTCTCTCTTTTGTACTCTCTCCCTTTATTTCTCAAACCGGCTGACACTTAGGGAAAATAGAAAACAGCCTACATGACTATCGGGGCAGGTTCCCCCATATTTATTGGCATAATAGACTAAGGGTTTCTGTATTGTGACTTTGGTAATTTTTACAAATGGTTTTTGCCTGGTACTGTTGAAGTTAGGCTGAATTTTGAACCAGTAGATTTTTTGTTTACCTTATGTGGTTTTGGGTTCATTTGTTCTATAGGTATAATGTATATCCTTTTGGGGGTAATTTGGCTTTATTTCTGCTTTTTTATTTTTACATCTGGGACTGGAGAAATTGCTAGAATTTCAATAAGGTTGATTTGAAATCAGGCAATAGAAAATCCCAGAAAAGACTGAAGGTTGTATGTACTGGATAATGCCTTTAGGTGAGGCTTATACATAAAACACAATTCAGTAAAATTTATATAATCATTACAAGTTTGTTAAATTTGAGAACAAAATGCCTATGACATATTAGGCACTTGTCTTAGTTTGTCTTTGACATCCCTATCTTGGAGAAGCTGATATTACATGAAAGGATATTACTAATATAATATAATAAGAAGTGGAACAAATACTTATATGCTAGAAACATTCTCCTTAATAACCCTTAAATATGTTTTATTCTGGCTCAATTCTTTTTTTTTTTTAATTGACGGAGTTTCGCTCTTGTTGCCCAGGCTTGAGTGCAATGGCACGACCTCGGCTCACTGCAACCTTCACCTCTTGGGTTGAAACTATTCTCCCTTCTCAGCTTCCCAAGTAGCTGGGATTACAGCATCTGCCACCACACCCGGCTAATTTTTTGTATTTTTAGTAGAGGTGGGGCTTCACTATATTGGCCAGGCTGTTCTCGAACTCCTGATCTCAGGTGATCTGCCCACCTCAGCCTCCCAAACTCCTGGGATTACAGGCGTGAGCCACCACACCCAGCTGGCTCAATTCTTTTGGCACAAATATTTTTTGTCCCACAGGCTTCTTCCCACCAAATTTAAGCCATGGTGTTTTCAAGTTTGTATTTTTAGTTTTATTTGCTTGTTTTGTTTTTTACTTTTTTGGAAAGGGGAGTGTGGGCTTACCTCTGTGAAATGAGATCAGTCTATTTGTAGTTTTACCTAGTAAGCTTCATAGTTGACATCATTATATTGAGTTTCCCTAGGCCACCCTGAGCTTCAGAGCTGACCATCCTATCTCATTCCTCTTGGTTTTTCAGGCTCTGATGTTAAGTCCCTCCCACTTCAAATTTGAGCTTTCATAATGCCTCAGTTCGAAAGAAGCAGAAGAAAGTGTTGCCATATTTATCTGGGTGAGGATCAAGACTTTACATCCATCATTCATAGTACAAAGCAACACTTTAAATAATGTGGACATGTTTCACTCAAATTAAATATAAGCAGTTTTAGCAACATGCCAATATAGTCAAAATAAATAACTATCAAGTTAACCAAAATGTTCTGCTTTAGATTTTCCCAGCACAAAGATCAATATGTATGCATTGGTGGATGTTAGGGTTTTTTTGGTGTAGGTTTTTGTTTGTTTCTTTGTTTTTATTTTTTACAGATTTTCATCCTACTTTACACTGATGTAAATCTAACTACCCAAGGCTTACCAGAAGCTTTATTTTACATTATTTCTACCAAAAATTCATATCCTCAAATATTAAAAGTGGCATTCTGTATTACCATTTTTCAAGTAATGTAGTCTGCATTTATTAGTACATTTCAATATATGTTTTTTACATGGGGTAAGGTTATAAAAATGCCATGCAGTTGATTTTCTAGGTAACAATGGAATCTGTTTTCTCAAACAGTAGCATGAGAATTCTTGACATAACACCTTCAGAGGTACTGAAAACAACTACATAATTTTGCTGAAATTTGGATTTTTTCATAATTTCTTCAGAGGCTGAGTCATGGCAACATATGACAGCTGAATTTATTCTTCTTGTCTAAATGTTGTGGAGCCACATCCACCTGTGCAAATAACACTAACTGGGTAAAATATTTTTTATACTAAGCCAGAAATCATTATACCTGGTGGTTTTATTTTAAATATATGAACAGTATTCTATAACATTCAAATAAGTAATAGAAATTTAATTCTATATATATGGAAAGAAAATTTATACAGGCACACTGAGAATAAATTGGAATCTGGAACTGAACGCTGATTAGCATGGCCTACAAAATCATAAGCAAGTTAATTACTTCTAAGATACAATGAGGGTACAGGCATTGGATGAGGATGCTCCTTTTCCAAATAGGAGAATTGGACAAAACAAAGGGGCTAAAGGCCCCATGCAAGTCTGGAATCCAGCAGGGTAGTCATTGAATTTTAAAGCTCCAAAATAATCTCCTTTGACTCTATGTCTCACATTCAGGTCACACTGGTGCAAGAAGTAGGCTCCCATAGTCTTGGGCAGTTCTGCCCCTGTGCCTTTGCAGGGTACAGCCCCATTCCAAGCTGCTTTCATGGGCTGGCGTTGAATGTCTGCAGCTTTTCCAGATGTACAGTGCAAGCTGTTGGTTAATCTGCCATTCTGGGATCTGGAGAACAGTGGCTCTCTTCTCACAGCTCCACTAGGCAGTGTCCCATTGGGGACTGTGTGTGAAGGCTCTGACCTCACATTTCTTTTCTGCACTGCCCTAACAGAGGTGCTCCATGAGGGCTCCACCCCTGCAGCAAACTTCTGCCTGTATATCCAGGCTTTTCCTTACATCTTCTGAAATCTAGGTGGAGGTTCCCAAACCCCAATTCTTGACTTCTGTGCACTCACAGGCTCAATGCCACATGGAAGCCAACAAAGCTTGGGGCTTGTACCTACAGAAGCAATGGTCTGAAGTGTACCTTGGCCCCATTTAGCCACAGATGTAGTGGCTGGGACACAGGGCACCAAGTACCAAGGCTGCACAAAGCAGCAAGGCCTGGACCCCGCACACAAAGCCATTTTTTCCTCTTAGGCCTCCTGGTCTGTGATGTGAAAGGCTTCTGTGAAGGTCTCTGACATGCCCTGGAGAGATTTTCCCCATTGTCTTGGTGATTAACATTAGGCTCCCTGTTGCTTATGCAAATTTTTGCAGCTGGCTTGAATTTTTCCCCAAATAATGGGTTTTTCTTTTCTATAGCATTATCATGCTGCAAATTTTTCCAAACTTTTATGCTCTGCTTCCCTTTTAAATGTAAGTTTCAATTTCAGATCATCTAAATTCAAAGTTCCACAGCTCTTTAGGGCAGGGGGAAAATGCTGCCAGTCTCTGCTTAAGCATAGCAAGAGTGACTTTTGCTCTAGTTCCTAACAGGTTTCTCATCTCCATCTCCAGACCCAAAGTCGCTTTTACATTGCTGGGTATCTTTATAGCAGTACCCAACTCTACCAGTACGAATTTACTGTATTAGTCCATTCTCACACTGCAATAAAAATCTTCCCAAGACTGGGTAACTTATAAAGCAAAAAGGTTAAATTGACTCACAGTTACTCATAGCTCGGGAGGCCTCAGGAAACTTACAATCATGGCAAAAGGCAAAGGAGAAGCAAACTGGACCTTCTTACATGACAGCAGGAGAAAGAACATGTGTGTGTGTGCAGAAAAAACTACCATTTATAAAACCATCAGAATTCATGAGAATTTACTCAGTATCACAAGAACAGCATGGGGGAAAACACCCCCCATGACCCAATCACTTCCCACCAGGTGTCTCCCTTAACACCTGGGGATTACAATTCAAGATGAGATGGGGGTACACAAAGCCTAACCATATCTATCATAAAGACATAGTCCCAATTCCCTGATATCCCTGCTTCCTGACCCCTGTGTGAGACAGGCTATGTGTGTCCCAGAATGGCCTGTTTCTCTTGATTTGAGGGCAGTGTTTTAAGCACCTTTCAGCAGAATTCACCTTCTCTTTATGAATTAAGTCCTAGGCACAATTCACAATGCCAGCTCTCAATAAATTTGTTACTGTAATTTTTTTTCAGAAATGATATCGGAGCGGAAACACAAAGCAAAAGAAACCAAAAGATAGGTAATGCTGAATGGTTGGAGAGTATATTTACGAAGGGGCTATGCTTCACAAAAGCATCTTTGCTATGATTCAAGGGAGAAATCGTTAAACACCAACCCCATCATATCCACATAAATCCAGCAATTTAGAGACTGTTGGTCTTTTTTCTTTTCTGCATTATGTTTCTGCTCTCAGTAAAGCAAGGTTTTAATTGTAATATTGAAGCATTGGAAATTTAACACTAAGATACTTTCAAAACTAAGTGCTTTTTTTGTTTGTTTTTTTGTTTTTGTTTTTTTTGACAGAGTCTCACTCTGTCACCCAGGCTAGAGTGCAGTGGCGTGATCTCGGCTTGCTGCAATCTCTGCCTCCCAGGTTCATACCATTCTCCTGCCTCAGCCTCCTGAGTAGCTGGGACTACAGGTGAACGCCACCACACCTGGCTAATTTTTTTTTTTTGTACTTTTAGTAGAGATGGGGTTTCAACATGTTAGCCAGGATGGTCTCGATCTCCTGGCCCTGTGGTCTGCCCGCCTTGGCCTCCCACAGTGCTGGGATTACAGACTTGAGCCACCGCGCCCGGACAAAACTAAGTTTTAATTATAATAGGGAAACTAATGCAAGGCCAGAAATTATTGACTTTGTTCACAGAATGCTAATTTTCCCCACACAAAATATGCAGAGCTATGTTTCATTAATATGCAGAGCTATGTTTTATTACCAAAACACACTATTCCAAATGCGCAAAAGGAAAAAAGATATTTGTACTCTGTGCTAAAACAGATTCATTTGTGGTATTTAAATGACAAAACTGGAATTGTTTCAACCCGGAAATCATTGGTTAAAATTTCCATGGTTAAAGGTTTGCTCAAGCAAATCTTAAAACACAGGTATGTATTTCAGAAGATCAACCAAATTCAAGAGTTTGGATCCCATTTTGGGTACCTTATAAGTAGAAATTTCAAAATCTTCCTCAAAAACATCTGCATTTGTTTTCCAGATTCTTGCAACCCAAAACAAAACTTCACAGAAACTCTCCACAAGAGTTGGTAGACAGCTAAACCTTCTCCAAATTGAGTTATGGACAATAAGGTCTTGATTATAGCAGAACTGGAAGGTCTATTTACAAGCCTACACACAGTGCTATGTAAGTTGGCTGCTGGGGCACATTGATTGGCAGGGAAAGGCCAGGGAGGCAGTTGAATTCCTGGCATTTTTCAAAGCTTTGTTTCCTAGTTTCATTATTCCTAGAATTTTGAAGCTTATTAAGACATTCCCTATCCTATGTCATACTCTAGAGCGCTCTAGTCAGAATCCTGATAGAATAAACTCTTTTTTTGTTTTTTAAAGTGTACATTTCAATGATTTTTAATAATTTTTTTATACTTTAAGTTCTAGGGTACATGTGCACGACGTGCATGTTTGTTACATATGTATACATAGGCCATGTTTGTGTGCTGCACCTGTTAACTCGTCATTTACATTAGGTATATCTCCTATTGCTATCCCTCCCCCCTTCCCCCACCCCACAACAGGGCCTGGTGTGTGATGTTCCCCTTCCTGTGTCCAAGTGTTCTCATTGTTCAATTCCCACCTATGAGTGAGAACATACAGTGTTTGTTTTTTTGTTCTTGCGATAGTTTGCTGAGAACGATGGTTTCCAGCTTCATCTGTGTCCCTACAAAGGACATGAACTCATCCTTTTTCATGGCTGCATAGCATTCCATGGTGTATATGTGCCACATTTTCTTAATCCAGTCTATCACAGATGGACATTTTTGTTGGTTCCAAGTCTTTGCTATTGTGTAATAGTGCCCCAGTAAACATACGTGTGCATGTGCCTTTATAGCAGCATGATTTGTAATCCTTTGGGTATATACCCAGTAATGGGATGGCTGGGTCAAATGGTATTTCTAGTTCTAGATCCTTGAGGAATCACCACACTCTCTTCCACAATGGTTGAACTAGTTTACAGTCCCACCAACAGTGTAAGAGTTCCTATTTATCCACATCCTCTCCAGCGCCTGTTGTTTCCTGACTTTTTAATGACCGCCATTCTAACTGGTGTGAGATGGTATCTCATTGTGGTTTTGATTCGCATTTCTCTGATGACCAGTGATGATGAGCATTTTTTCATGTGTCTGTTGGCTGCATAAATGTCTTCTTTTGAAAAGTGTCTGTTCATATTGTTCGCCCACTTTGTGATGGGGTTGTTTGTTTTTTTCTTGTAAATTTGTTTGAGTCATTTGTAGATTCTGGATATTAGCCCTTTGGCAGATGAGTAGATTGCAAAAATCTTCTCCCATTCTGTAGGTTGCCTGTTCACTCTGATGGTAGTTTCTTTTGCTGTGCAGAAGCTCCTTAGTTTAATTAGATCCCATTTGTCAATTTTGGCTTTTGTTGCCATTGCTTTTGGTATTTTAGACATGAAGTCCTCGCCCATGCCTATATCCTGAATGGTACTGCCTAGGTTTTCTTCTAGGGTTTTTATGGTTTTAGGTCTAACATTTACGTCTTTAATCCATCTTGAATTAATTTTTGTATAAGGTGTAAGAAAGTGATTCAGTTTCAGCTTTCTACATATGGCTAGCCAGTTTTCCCAGCACCATTTATTAAATAGGGAATCCTTTCCCCATTTCTTGTTGTTGTCAGGTTTTTCAAAGATCAGATGGTTGTAGATGTGTGGTATTATTTCTGAGGGCTCTTTTCTGTTCCATTGGTCTATATCTCTGTTTTGGTACCAGTACCATGCTCTTTCGGTTACTGTAGACTTGTAGTATAGTTTGAACTCAGGTAGCGTGATGCCTCCAGCTTTGTTCTTTTGGCTTAGGATTGTCTTGGAAATGTGGGCTCTTTTTTGGTTCCATATGAACTTTAAAGTAGTTTTTTCCCAATTCTGTGAAGAATGTCATTGGTAGCTTGATGGGGATGGCATTGAATCTATAAATTACCTTGGGCAATAAGGCCATTTTCACGATATTGATTCTTCCTATCCATGAGCATGGAATGTTCTTCCATTTGTTTTATCCTCTTTTATTTCATTGAGCAGTGGTTTGTAGTTCTCCTTGAAGAGGTCCTTCACATCCCTTGTAGGTTGGATTCCTAGGTATTTTATTCTCTTTGAAGCAATTGTGAATGGGAGTTCACTCATGACTTTGCTCTCTGTTTGTCTGTTGTTGGTGTGTAAGAATGCTTGTGATTTTTGCACATTGATTTTGTATCCTGAGACTTTGCTGAAGTTGCTTATCAGCTTAAGAAGATTTTGGGCTGAGACGATAGGGTTTTTTAAATATACAATCATGTCATCTTCAAACAGGGACAATTCGACTTCCTCTTTTCCTAATTGAATAATTTTTATTTCTTTCTCCTGCCTGATTGCCCTGGCCAGAACTTCCAACACTATGTTGAATAGGAGTGGTGAGAGAGGGCATCCCTGTCTTGTGCCAGATTTCAAAGGGAATGCTTCCAGTTTTTGCTCATTCAGTATGATATTGGCTGTGTGTTTGTCATAAATAGCTCTTATTATTTTGAGATACATCCCATCAATACCTAATTTATTGAGAGTTTTTAGCATGAAGGGTTGTTGAATTTTGTCAAAGACCTTCTCTGCATCTATTGAGATAATCATGTGGTTTTTGTCATTGTTTCTGTTTATATGCTGGATTACATTTATTGATTTGCATATGTTGAACCAGCCTTGGATCCCAGGGATGAGGCCCACTTGATCATTTTGGATAAGCTTTTTGAGGTGATGCTGGATTCGGTTTGCCAGTATTTTATTGAGGATTTTTTCATCGATATTCATCAGGGATATTGGCTTAAAAATCTCTTTTTTTTGTTGTGTCTCTGCCAGGCTTTGGTATCAGGATGATGCTGGCCTCATAAAATGAGTTAGGAAGGATTCCCTCTTTTTCTATTGATTGGAATAGTTTCAGAAGGAATGGTACCAGCTCCTCTTTGTACTTCTGGTAGAATTCAGCTGTGAATCCATCTGGTCCTGGACTTTTTTTGGTTTATGTCCAATCAAAAATTTTTATCCAGAATATATGAAGATTTGTAGGAGATTTTTATATATTCTGGATATAAATTTTTGATTGGACATAAACATTGCAGATATCTTCTCCCACTTTAACTTGTCTTTTCTTTCTCTTAATGGTGAATTTGTTAATACCAATTTCTAATTTTAATGTAGTTCAAGTTATCAGACTTTTTCTGTGTAGTTAATGCTTATTTAGTCTTGCTTAAGAAATTTTTGTCTTCCCCATTGTCATAAAGGTATTCTTCTATGTTACAGAAGCTTTTCTTTTTGAATTTTTAACCTTTCAGATTGAGCTTTATAACCCACCTACGATTGACTTTTGTTTGTGAAGTAAGATAAGGGCTAAATTCTTTTATTCCCCCATTTTGATATCCAAATTATCTACCACCATTTATTGAGAAGATTATTATTTCCTCACTGCACTGCATTTTCACCTTTGTCATAAATCAGGTGATGGTATAAGTATGAATTTGTTTTTGGTTTCTCTATTTGTATGTCCTGCTAATACCATCTTATTTTAATTGTAATAAAGTTGGAAACATCTGATGGTATACATTCTTGAGCTCTGTTCTTCTTCAGAACTTTCTTGGTTCTTCTTGTCCTTTTAAATTTTCAAAAAAAATTTAAATTAGCTTGTCAATTTTCAAATTACCTGATAGGATTTTGAGTAGGATTGCATTCAACCATAATTTAATGAGTAGAAATGACTTATTCACAATATAAAATCTTTCTATTCACAAACATTGTGTGTCTTTTTTATGTATACAATATTTATATCTGTTTTAAAAATTTTACTTTAAGTTCTGGGATACATGTGCAGAATGTACAGGTTTGTTACATAGGTATACATGTGCTGTGGTGGTTCACTCCATCTATCAACCTGTAATCTAAGTTTTAAGCCCCACATGCATGAGGTATTTGTCCTAATGCTCTCCCTCCTCTTCTCCTCCAACCCCTGACAGGTCTCTGTGTGTGAGGTTCCCCTTCATGTGTCCATGTGTTCTCATTATTCAACTCCCATTTATGAGTGAGAACATGCACTGTTTGGTTTTCTGTTCCTGTGTTAGTTTGCTTAGAATGATGGCTTCTAGTTTCATCCATGTCCCTGCAAAGAACATGAACTCATGCTTTTTTATGGCTGCATAATATTCTATGGTGTACTCTAATTTGTACATGTACAAATTAGAACTCAGGATTAAGAAACTCACTCAAAACCACACAATTACATGGAAATTGAACAACCTGCCCCTGAATGACTACTGGGTAAGTAACGAAATTAAGGCAGAAATAACAAAGTTATTTGAAACCAGTGAGAACAAAGAGACAACATACCAGAATCTCTGAGACACAGCTGAAGTAGTGTTAAGAGGGAAATTTATAGCACTAAATGCCCACAACAGAAAGCTGGAAAGATCTAAAATCGACCCCCTAATATCACAATTAAAAAACCTAGAGAAGAGTAAACAAATTCAGAAGCTACCAGAAGACAAGCAATAACTAAGATCAGAGTAGAACTGAAAGAGATAGAGACATGAAAAACCCTTCGAAATATCAGTGAATCCAGGAGATTAATAAAATAAATGGACCACTAGCTAGACTAACAGAGGAAAAAGAGAAGAATCAAGTAGACATAATAAAAAATAATAAAGGGGGCTGGGTGCAGTGGCTCATGCCTGTTATCCCAGCACTTTGGGAGGCCGAGGCAGGTTGATCACGAGGTCAGGAGTTCGAGACCAGCCTGGCCAATATGGTGAAACCCCATCTCTACTAAAAATACAAAAAATTGCTATGTGTGGTGGTGTGTGCCTGTAGTCCTAGCTACTGGGGAGACTGAGGCAGAAGAATTGCTTGAACCCCGGAGGTGGAGGTTGCAGCGAGCCAAGATTACACCACTGCACTCCAGCTTGGGTGATAGAGTGAGACTCCATCTCAAAAAAAAAAAAAGAATGATAAAGGAGGTATCACTATTGATCCCACAGAAATACAAATTACCCTCAGAGAATACTATAAATGCCTCTCTGCAAATAAACTTGAAAATCTAGAAAATATGGATACATTCCTGGCACATACCCCCTCCCGCAACAAAATCAGGAAGAAGTAGAATCCCTGAATAGACCCATAACAAGTTCTGAAATTGAAGCAGTAATTAATAGCCTACCAACCAAAAAAAGCCCGGGACCAGATGGATTCATAGCTGAATTATACTGGAGATATAAAGAAGAGCTGGTACCATTCCTTCTGAAACTATTCCAAACAATGGTAAAAGAGGGACTCCTCCCTAACTCATTTTATGAGGCCAGCATCATCCCGATACCAAAACCTGGCAGAGACTCAACAAATACAGAAAATTTCAGGCCAATATCCCTTACGAACATTGATGTGAAAATCCTCAATAAAAGACTGGCAAAGTGAATCCAGCAGCACATACAAAAGCTTATCCACCATGTGCAACACTTTTTTTAAAGGCATGCTTCAATAAGGAAACACTTCCATTTAGTCAGGAGACTATCTCTTTGAGTCTAACATAGATTACAGCCTTGACATGAATAAGATTCTTCTTTTATGTACTCAATAAATGTTTACTTACAGCCTATTTTATGCTGGGTAGTATTATGGGAACTGGAGAGAGAAGGTCTGTCTTTATTGAGCTTGCAGTACAGTGACAGAGATAGAACATAAATGCGTAAACAGTTGCACACTAAAGTGATGGATGTACTAAACCCTATGAAGAAATACATTAGCCAAGTGTGGTGGTGCTCACCTGTGGTCCCAGCTACTTGTGAGGCTGAGACAGGAGGTCTGCTTGAGCCCCAGAGTTTGAGGCTGCAGTGATCCATGATTGTGCCACTGCACCCCAGCCTTGGTGACAGATTGCAGCCCTGTCTAAATAAAAAGTATAATAATACAAAGAAAATAAGGTGGGGTAATCACATTCAGGGTGTCAGTGACTGCAACTTTAGATAGGGAGCTCTGGAACAATCTTTTTGAGGAGATGACACTTGAGCAGGTCAGAATGGTATGACAGAGTAAGTTAAGCGAATGTCTAGAGGACAGAGAGAAGAGACACTGTGCAGAGTCTGAATACAGACAGCACTTGATGAGCTCAAGGATCACTACAAAGTCCAGTCAGGCTGCAGGCACTGGGAGGAGGAAAGGAGAATGCACAGTCTGAGGAGCAGATAAACACAGACCATAGTAAAGAGCTTGGATTTCTTTGTTAATTGTGATAGGTAACCACTGGAGGATTCGGAGCTGGGAATGAAATGGTATACGATATGTTCTTACAGGAATAGTCCAGCTTTGTGGGAGAATAGGTTACAGATTACCATAAATAGAATAATAATAAATGTAAAGGCAGCTTAGGAATGATTATATCTGTCCAGGGGTTGATACTGGTGGTGTTAGAACTGTGAGGTCCAGTATGATAGCCACCAGCTGCATTTAGTTTTTTACATTTAAATTAATTAAAATACCATAAAATTTATTCCTACCAGGGACTTGGGAGGAAAGGGAGAATGAGGAGTTGTTGCTTAATGAGTACAGAGTTTCAGTTTGGGGTGAAAAAAATTTTTGGAAATACATAGTTTTGATGATCGCACAACATTCTGAATGTAATTAATGTCTCTGACTTTTATGTTTAAAATGGCAAAGCTTATTATATGTGCTTTACCACAATAAAACATTATAAAATTAATCACAGAACCAAAACTCTGAAACCATTTCTTAAAATTGTATAAATTTAAGGAGTGCAAGTGCAATTTTGTTACATGGGTATATTGGGTAGGAGTGAAGTCTGAGCTTTTAGTGTGTTTACCACTGGAACAATGTACATTGTATCCACTAAGTAATTTCTCATCACCCTTCCCTCTCCCACCCCTCACCCTTCTGAGTCTACAGTGTCTTATCATTTTACACTCTTTGTTCATGTGTACACATTATTTATTTCCCATTTTTAAGTAAGAACATGCAGTATTTGATTTTATGTTTCTGAATTGCAAAACTATAAAACTCTTAGAATAAAAAATAACAATAAATCTTTATGGCCTTTGATTTGGCAGTAGTTTCTTAGATATGGCACTAAAAGCACAGTGATAAAAGAAAATGTACTGGGCTTCATCAAAATTAGAAACATTTGTGTTTCAAAGGACGTAACAAAGAAAATAAAACGACAACCAGAAAAGTGGAGAAAATGTTTGCAACTTATATATTTGATTAGAAATCTGTATCCAAAATGCACAAATAACTTTTACAACTCAACAACAAAAAGAAAAAATACATAAAAATAGGCAAAATATTTAAATAGACATTTTTGTGAAGAAGATATAAGAGCATCCAATAAGTGCTTGAAGAAAAGCCTAACATCACAAGCCATCAAGAAAATGCAAAATCAAAACCACAAGCAGATATGACTTAACACCCACTAGTGTACCCACAATAAAAAATGACAAATGGTTGGGCACGGTGGCTCACGCCTGTAATCCCAGTACTTTGGGAGGCTGAGGCGGGTGGATCACGAGGTCAGGAGATCAAGATCATCCTGGCTAACATGGTGAAACCCCATCTCTACTAAAAAATACAAAAAATTAGCCGGGCGTGGTGGCAGGTGTCCGTAGTCCCAGCTTCTCGGGAGGCTGAGGCAGGAGGATGGCGTGAACCCGGTAGGTGGAGCTTGCAGTGAGCTGAGAGTGCACCACTGCACTCCAGCCTGGTGAGGCCGTAGAGAAATTAGATCTTTCATACATCGCTGGTGGGAAAGTAAAATAGTGCACACATTGGAAAACTGTGAGGTGATTGCTGAAAAGGTTATGCATAGGTACCTTATGACCCAGCAATTCCATTCCTAGGTACATACCCGAAAGAAAAGAAAACTTATGAATGAAATATACAAAAGTTTGTACCTAAATATTATAGAGGCATTATCATAATTCTGAATAATACATACTAAATCGAAGGGATATTAAAAGTAATATTGATGAAATAAAGTTGTTGTTAGAAATATAAAATTTTTACCAGCGATTGATTGAGCTGATTCAAATTACTTCTTACAGTCTTCAATTCCATATTTTGTATATTCGGAGAGTGAGTTCAAGTTGCTTCACTTCTAACTTTTTCTTTTGTTGCTCTTCGATTTTTCCTAATTCTTCCCTAATTTTTTCATTTAATATATTGGCATTTCTTCTCTTCTCTTCTTCTTGGTTTAAAGTCAATCTACCATTAAATATACTTATCTTAAAATTCATTTTGTTAGAAAATAGAATTCACTTTGAGATCTACTTCTTCCCATATTGGTTTATTATTCCAATAAAATTCCTATATTCTTGAATATGTTTTTTCTTTCTAGTTCTGAGGTATTTAATTTATTACTGAACTCTCTTCCAAATGATACACATACTTGAAAAATAATGAGAAAGAACATCTTCTAGTTAGAAAGATTCTGTTACTAGTAACTTCAACAACAGTTATGGAAAAGAATACTGGAAGTTATCCAGTAAAATTATAAGATGAAAATTACTATTTTAAAAATATAACAGTCAAAATTACTCCTCAATAAGGACAGATCATTAAGAGTTAACTAATTAAAATGACATTACTTTTTATAAGCAAGTTTACATATTCATTAGACATAAATATTCATCTTTATAAAATAAGGCAAGTATCCTTAAAAATAATTATAATATTAAAATCTGAGACTAGGCTGAAAAATCTAATATCTGTTATCCCATATATGTTTTGTTTCTTTTTTTAGTAATACTTTAAATGTATCTTGTTGATTATTATATATTTTATCAACAAATTTTAAATCTCTTTTAGAATAACACAGAATATATTTAATTAAAATATAAAAATAACAAGTATTTTTAACATAGAACTCTGAATTAATTTTATTTATGTAGGAGAGAGAGAGATGTTGAATATACTAGTCATAAATTACTCTATATTTTTCTTTTTACTCCATGCATATTAAGATTACAAGTGTATAATTAAAGGAAAATGATTATTGGGGGTAGAGGAATGGCCGTTTCACTCTCTCTTTGTTGAACTATAAATAAATATAAATTTTCTTGAGAACAATTTAGAAATAATGAACAAAGAACTTCTTAAAAACTTCCTATAATTTAACCAAATATTTTTATAGTGAAGAATTTATTCCAAGTCAATAATTAGAATGATAGAAAAAGATTTACATGCAGTTATGCCTTGCAGCACTTATTATAACACAAAAAAATTAAATATAAAAAAATTAATTTGTTAAGTAAATAATTGGGTTTCCAAATAATGGCCTTCTATGCAGCCATTAAAATTGTGATTTAAATAAATATGCATTTAATTATCAGGAGATGTATTCACAGTTAAGAACTTGTATTATTTAAATGAATTTGACACTCTACAAGACAGAGATTTCTTTCTCCAGTTAAACCTCAGAAGGTATGTCAGCTAGTACAAAAAGTATCCTATATACTAGTATGTCATACCTCACAGTGCAGAGCTCTTGTTCTCTTTTAACTTTTTGATTCTCTATGATTTTATTTCTTTTGCTTCTGTTAGTTCCTTTTGTAGTACACGAAGCTTATTTTTCATTTGTTTCATTTTTGCTGTAAGTTGTTCACAGGGATTTTTTTTCTTTTTTTTTTTTCTTTTTTTCGACGGAGTCTCGCTCTGTTGCCTAGGCTGGAGTGCAGTGGCGCGATCTCCACTCACTGCAAGCTCCGCCTCCCGGGTTCATGCCATTCTCCTGACTCAGCTTCCCGAGTAGCTGGGACTACTGTCACCTGCCACTACGGCCAGCTAATTTTTTTTTGTATTTTTAGTAGAGACGGGGTTTCACTGTGTTAGCCAGGATGGTCTTGATCTCCTGACCTCATGATCTGCCCGCCTTGGCCTCCCAAAGTGATGAGATTACAGGCATGAGCCATGGCGCCTGGCCCACAGGGATATTTTTTAAGTTCCCTTGCTCTTTCACAAGAAAGAACTGCATCCAAGATTTTTGATAGGCTAGTTGAATCTGTCTCAAGGAGGAGATAGAAATAAAATATATTAGTACTTTTGGGATATAAAGAACTGCATATTTTAACGATCACTAATTCATACACTGATCAAATATATATTGATTGCCTGCCACGTGGAAGGCATTATACTAAGCTCTGCAGATTAAACAGAAAAAAACAAAAACCTCTGCCTTTGTTTAACTTAAAATGTGCTAAAAGACAAAGCCCCAGAAAAGTGACAGTTATAAATTCAGATAGATACTGTAAGAAAACAGATTGCTAAGATTTAGATCTATACTAGGCTCATGGAAAATTCCCCCGAGGAATGTATAGCTACACTAAGGAATGAAGAATGAAAAGGAAGCAGTTGAGCGAACAGGGAAGGAAAACATTTTAGCCAGTCTGTGGCATGTGCTGAAACTCTAGTGTAGTCCTCCTCTAGCCAAGGGAGAGCAACAGGTATGATTTTTCTTCTTAGCTAAAATAACTAAAATCAAAACACACAAAATACATTAAACAACTTTTCAGACACTGGACATTAGGCAAAGAAGATAATAATCCCTGAAAAACAGAAAATAAAAAAAGGGAAGAAAGCAAACCTTATGAATGTTTCAGCTTCCTGTCTTGGCAGAGACTCCGAGACATGACACAGGAAGAAAAAACTGAGGTGGGATCTACCAGACTCTCTTGGTTACATTGATGAAGCTTAGAGTCTGGTAAAACCAAAGCAGGCAGATATTACAGAACAAACACTGAGGAGGAGAGAGAGATACAGAAGCAACGGCAAGAAACCCCCTGTCAGTATTTAGCAAAATTTTGAAAATTGCATGTGAGCTAGAAAACTACCTAAGAACAAACAGGGTGGGGGTGGGGGGTGGCTTATAAAATTAGAGGAAATCACACCTGGTGTTCACACAGTGCCAAGAAGAGTGTCTGTTTTTATAGATTTGCCTGGGAAAACTCAGACTTCACAGGAAAATGAATACTCAGAAAGGCCTTGCCTCAGGTATGGGGAGTTAGCTCATACCATAAAAAGAAAAATGAAAAGGATCAAGCTGTTTATAAGTAACTCAACTCTATTCTACTATAAAAATCAAGAAGATAAATAAAGCAACAGAAGATACTTTTAAAAACCAAATTGCACTTGTAGAGATACAAATTACAATGCTGGAGATGAAAGCTGCACTGAGTAGATATGAGCATAGATTAATTCGCCATCATGAAAGAAAAGATTCACAAATTTGAGACACTAGTGAACTATGAGCAAACTTCCAGCAGGTAGTATAGAAGTCCCCAAAGAGGTAGGAGGAGAGGCAGAATCAAAAATTTGAGGAAAAATTGGCTAAATATGTTCTAAATTTAACAAAAGCCATAATCCCACAGATCTAAGCTGGGATCTGGTTGATAGAAAAGAAATGAAAATATGATTGTAATTTCTCATACCATCTATGATATGATATAATATTACTTGAAGGTGGATTGTGATGAGGTAAATTCATACATTATAAATCCTAAAGCAACTGCTAAGACAGCAAAGAGTTATACCTAATACCAAATAAACTTATACCAAAAAAGATATGACTAAATCATAAAGAAATGTAAAACTAGATTAATAACTAAAAATGTTATGCATATACAGATATGTAACTAAATCATAAAAATTACTAAACTAGTCTGAAGGAAGCAGAAAAAGGAAAAAAGCAAAGCAAAGAAGATCTGAGACTAATAGAAATCAGACAACTCTAATCATATCAATAATTACATTATAAATTAAACTGGTCTAAAAACCTCTGCTCAAAGGCAGATTATCAGAATGGATAAAAGAGCAAGTCTTATCTGTATAATGAGTATGAGAAATAAACTTTAAATATAAAGACAAAAATTGGTTAAAAGATGAAACAAGATACACCACACTAACACTTTACAAAAGAAGGCTGAGGAAGAGTGGTTGTATTAATACCAAAGTACATTTCATAGCAAAAATATTACCAGCAATAAACAAGGTCACTTTATAGTGACAAATGGTTCAATTAATCAAGAAAACATAACAGTCTTAAATATTTATGAACATAACATAAATGCTTCAAAATACATGATACAAAAATTGATAAACTGCAAAAGAAATGGACAAATTCCCAAGTATAGCCTAAAATTTCTAAACCCCTTACTCAAGTGGTATAATAAGGAGGCAGAAAATTCTGGGAGAATGTTGGCATGTGTACTCACCAGTCTAGACATTTTCCCACTACCTCTGTATGTATGCTGCTTTAGTTACAAAAAGTTAGGTAGGATCTTGGGAGATTTCTTCTTGGATACCAGAATTATCAACCACATCAACAGTATACCTAACAACTAAAATAATTCTTTTGAGCAGATTACCACTGAAGAACTTGTAAGTTAAATCCAGTAGCCTTTTGAGTAATTTTACTGCTTGAAATTCTCACATTTAAAAGAAATTTGCAACATCACTTTCTCAGACTCCTCTCCTACGTTTCTTTAACCACTGCTCAGTCTCCTTTACCAAGTCCTTTGACTCTTGTGAAATGTTGATATTCCCAGGGTTTTGTCAATGGCTTTCTTTTTATTCTACATCTTCTGCCTCATGGATAAGCTCATTGAGATCTATGGCTTTGCCTAATAATTATACTAAAAGTATTCTGAGCCTGCATCTTCAACCAGAGTTCTATCTCCAGCTAGAAATGCATATAATCAAATTACCTACTGAAAGTATCCCTCATGAATGTTTCATTGAACTCAATATGTAAAGAAACTGTTGGTGTGTCCCATGACTGTTTGCACTTCTCTGTTAACCTGACAAATACCTACTCCTTCCCCATGAGCATTGTAAATGCTTGTGCGCAATCTGAAAACTTATGAATGACCTGAGATTTTATCTGTCCCCTAGCTTTTTAAACTCAATTATCACTAAGCCATATTAACTGCACCTCTTTTCTGCCTTTGCTTTATCTTTCCAGTGCCACTGGAAATACAAACTTATTTATTTTATATTTATATTTCCTCGTTAAACGTGGCCCCTTAACTGATGGCTTTCACAGGGAAAAAGAAACCCTACAAATTACTGTTCCTATTTTTTAAGTTAAAAAAGTTAATCAAAATACAATAATGCCAAAGAAGGACCTACATGTTTAAATGTGTAAATTGAGCTTCTGAACTTGATTCATTTTACCCTTGATGGATCAAACTTTCATAATAGATTTATACTAGGCCACAGATTGGTTACAAAAAAAAAAGACTATCACGTGAACTACTACAAAAGCTTAATCTTTCAATCTTTTTACGTAATTATCCTCCATCTATCTTCTATATGAAGGGCCAGAAACTATAGGCCACAGGCCAAATTCAGCTTTCTAAATGGTTTTTTATACAAACTTTTATTGGAGTACAATCATGCCTCTTTGCCCATACATTATCTATGACTCCTTTCACTCTACAATGGCAGAGTTGAATAGCTGTAATAGAGACCACATGGCCCAACATATTCGCTATCTGGCACTTTACAGGAAAAGTTTGCCAATCTCTGCTTTATACCATGACCAGAATGCCCTGATACTCAAATCTAATCTTGTGACTCCCCTACTCAAACTTTTCCACTGAATTCCTGCAGAAAACATTGCTGGCTTCCTATGCATAGTCATTATTTATTCTTTATTGCTGCAGAAACACATGTTCACTTAGATATTTATTATTCCATTACCCCTATCCAATCTTAAAAGAAAAATCAGTATTGTAAGCTAATCACAGTAATTACATTTGCTTTCCTAGTGATTGGTATAGAAATTAGCATGTGGTATAATCCAGACAATAAAATGTTACAGGAAGATTACTGAAAGCTTCCGAGTTTTCTTCCTATTTAAAAAAAATGTGAACAAAAGCAGCCCTCCCAGCCTTCAGATATTGTCTTGAGATAGCATGATGATTGGAGCTGTTGCTAATTAGCCAACCAAGAAAGGAGACATGAACAAAACACTGCCAATAGCACAACTAATAATGGGGGGCGGGGAGTGAGATCCTATAACATCTCTGTACCACCAAAACAACTTTAGTTTCTATGGTTTTAGCAATTGTTAGTTAGTTCATCTAATATTTACAGCCAGAACTATTTTGGGAATTTTTCCAGGGCTTACAGAATAAGATCTACTCATTTCTACACTATGAAAATGTGTTGCCTAAGCTTGCCTTATCTAGACACTCAAGCCATTCCCGAATACTCCCATACCACACTATTTCCATTAGGGAACCCAAAGTGCCAATAAACTCTACAAAGTTCACTCAAGCATCTTACCATTTGTACTTGCTTTTGTAGCTGTTTTTTTTATAGGACATGTGATCATCTTAGATGTTCCTTCTTCCAAAACTTCAATTTTATTAGATGTTACTCCTGCCACTCATTCAGTCTTTACAGATGTTTCTTTTTCCTTCCATGTGGTCTTTGTAGGTCTTTCTCGTGGCCATGCAAATTTCTCAGATGTTTCGTTCACAGGCCTTGTAATTTTCCTAGGTGTTTCTCCTGCTGACTGTTCAATCTTTCCAGATATTGCTTTCCCCAAACATTGAACTTCGTCAGATGTTCCCTCTACCAAGGGTGCAGCTTCATGTTGGAAATAACTTTTTGGTGACACAAAGAAGAGTTAGCACTCCAGCCACAGGTTAACACTCCAGCAAGGCAAATTTACTTCTATAGAAGGCTGAGTCTTGCGGATGGAGCAATGGCAAGAGCACACTGGATAAGGGAGGGGAAAGGGTTCTTATTCCTAATGCAGCTAGTCCCTACTTTTGTGTCTTTCCCCTACTGGCTAGGGTTGGACCACACACTATAAGCTAATTTTGACTGGCTACTTCAAAGAGGACAGGGGTGCAAGCCAGAGTGGCGGGGTGGGTAGTTTCTGCAGGAAGGACAGTTACAGAGCAGGCGACTAAGGATGACTAAGGACAGAGCAGGTGACTAAGAATGACTAAGGACAGAGTAGGTGATAGGGACTAGGAGGGGGTCGTTTACTGAAACTAGGGGCAAGGAGGCATAAATAATGAGGAAGTTAAACTTTAAAATGGAGAACAAAGAACAGAGAAGCTGAACATACTGACATATTAGTTCTTTGAAGAGGAACTCAGAACTCACTGTACTTAACAATCTTCCCTCTCTTGAATTTTAAAGGACGTTAACAGGCTAAAACCTTTGAAGAGGAATTCACTGTATTCTACAATTCCCTCTTTCAATTTTTATAGCCCTTCCTCTTCAAACCTTTTTAACATGTCTTGGCTTTTTTTTTTTTTTCAACTTGATCCTCTAAAAAGAAAAGCCTATCTGAATAAGGTGGAGGACAGCTAAGGGAGGTTTTAGAAAGTGTTGTTTCTATAAGCCTTTGCACTAGCCCATGGATGCACGGTATGACACAACACCCAACAAGAATGAGTACAGCCGTTACTGCTGTAAGAGAAGTAAGAATTGAGGCTATGATTTCTTTCCATTTACTGAAACACCTTTCTAGCCATCTGAAGAAAGGGTTATTGGCCCCAGAGTTTTTAGCTAATTCATTGGATAAAGTGGTAAATCCTTGTAGGGCCCTTGTTATGCTCCCATTGGGGGCAGTGTTGTTTGCCCCCAATGGATAAAGGTATATCACTGAGTTTTAATCATAACACAAACACCACCTTTTTCAGCTAATATCATATCCAGGGCCATTCTGTTTTCCCAGGCCATCTGGCTAGTTGGCCTCAATTGTTCTGCTATTCCTTTGACAACATCCCTGGTGGAATTAATAAACCACTGTTGATTATTATAGATGTAATTCACCAAATCTACATTTTTATTGTCATCCACCAAAATATTGATTCAAATCCTGTAGCTATTTGATCTTAGGCTTAAATGTATCTGGTACTCCTCATGGGATTCCAATAGCATCTAAATAAATGTGGGAGTCAAAAGACCTGTAAGGGACTTCCCTTGCTTTACGATGTTGTGTTTTCCCTTTTTCTGGTTGATGAAATGCCAGAGTGAAAAGTATAGCCAACTGGACTAGAGCATGAGGGCTGCTCCAGTTACTTGGCAGAGTGTCCAGTAAAGGTCCACCACAATACCACCATACATCTGCTCAGGGATGTATAAGGGATGACTGATTGGTAAGCTCTTGGAAAGTCTTAAGCTTACTGCATCCTTTTAGGTCTCCAAACAATGCTAAGTTTCCTCCTTTTTGTGAGAGACATGAAGTGAACTTAGTGTCGGGAGACGGAAGCTGGATGGCCCTTGGAGGCTGACCTGCAGGGTGTTGAACTTTGGGATATAGCAGAGAGGGAGATTGACATGACTTGTTACCCCAGACTGTGGAACCCTGGAAAAGAGCTACCATACAGCCCATGCCTGGTCGACTGAAGGACCATCCTAGTGGAAAGGGGACAATCTGGGCCTCTGGTGTGCTGTGTGCACAAGCGTAACAATTGCTTTTGTTTAAAGTGCGAACGCAGTATTTGACGCATTCCAACCAGGCATTCACATCTTGATATGCTGTCTCAGTTGCCAAAGTTTGTTTTAGGTCTTTAACTTCTACAATAGCTACCTTGGTCTTCTCTTTAGATGGAGGAGGAACAACAGTTTCATTGTGAGAGTTTTTGGAAGAAGACTTAGGGGAAGCTGTAGGCAGTAGGGGAGCAATGAAGCATATTCCAAAAGATCCAATAGGGTCTGTTTCTGAAAACTCAGCCCCCATATCATAAAACCAGCTTAAAGAAGGGAATTGGCTTAGAGAAGGGGAAGAACTTTGAGGGTTTGAAATAATAACCTGTATTGGATTGCAGTAGTTTACCTGAAAGTTAGGGGGAGCTATATCTTTAGTAAAATGAATGTATGGTTTTAGGAATTACAACTACTGGTTGGGGCAGTCCATCCTTGCTCTCACTTGCAAGCAGTTGGACCAACTATGTCATAAATGCTGTGTGTCAAGGGGGCAAGACTCCCAGTTGACACTGGGGTCTTCATTGAAACTTTCTCAGACTAAATGATCCAAATTCACTAATGTCCAGTCTGAGGAGAACCAGGAAGTACAGAGGTACCTTTCTGAAGTGGAGAGCTGCCTTCAACTTGACAAGTCTCCACAAGGTATAACAAGGCATGCATCAAATGTAATAGTTTGAGGAAAAATGGGTTCCATTGTCTGAGTCAATGTTTTCTATTAGCCTAAACCTGGGCACTATATTTTCAATTAAGGCCATAACTACATTATTGGCCATCACATTTGAAAAGGGAATAGCTTTGACCCAGTGAGTAAGGTGATCTACTGTCACTAGTAAATATTTTAGATGACCTATTGGAGGCATCTCTGTGTAATCAATCAGGATACTTTAAGTCTGGACTCCTTCTCCCAAGGGGTAATCTTTTTATAGTTTGTTTATTAGTTTTCTTACATACTAAGCAACTGTCTGTAACCTGTTTGGCCAGAGTATAAATTCCTATACACCCCAAAACTTTCAGAACTGTGTCACACATGGCTTGGGACCCCCAGTGGTTCCCTTGATGCAGCTGGGACAAGTTTTCCCTCATAAAGGGTTTGAACAACATTTCCCTCTGGTCTGACAATATTCATTTTTATTCTGAATCCTCTTTAGCACCTATTTTTATTAGTTTCTCTTTTCAGTGGAAGAGAAAATGGAGATTATGGTAGGAGGAGGAAGGTAAAGAGTTCAGTGAAAAATAGATGTTTTAAAAGAAATGGCAGCCTGTTTGCCTATGTAATCTGCTAGGCTATTTCCCAGACTATCAAAAGAAAGACTTTTCTGGTGTCTGGGGACATGGACAATCATTATTTCTTCTGGCAACTGAAGGTTATTCAATACTTAGGTGATTAGATCCTTATGAACAAGATCTTGACGTTTAGTATTAATGAGACCTCGTTCAGTCCAAATTTTTCCAAATGTACGAGCCACTCCAAAGGTGTACTTAGAATTGGTATGATGGCTACTTCCTGGTTCTGCAAGTACTTTAAGGCTCAGCTGAGTGCAAACAGCTCACAAGTTTGGGCAGACCAATTCTTAGGCAATTTTCCTGCCTCAATTTCTTCAAGAGTTTCCCTATCAATTAGTGAATACCCATTGCATCTTTTTGCCTCAATCACCTGGGAGGAACCATCTATAAATAAGTGTCGTCCCATCCTGAAGGGAGTTTCTCCTAAGTCTGGTCAGACCTTTGTATGGTAATCAGTTAAATCTAAACATGTGTGCTATCTCTTTAGACTTGGATCCCCTATTAGGAAAACTGCTGGGTTAAGGGAATTATCAGTGGTTAATGTTAAATCATCTTTTTCTAACAGAATAGTCTCATACTTTAAGATTCTTGAGTCAGTAAGCCACCTCCCTGCTTTCTGGTTTAAGATAGTTCTAACTTGATGGGGCGTTATTACTGTCAATTTTCCTCCAAAGGTTAACTTCCTGCTTTCTTTGACCATTAGTGCTGTAGTCACAATGGATTGGATGTATTGAGGCCACTCACAAGTAACTGGATCTAAGACTTTTGACAGGAAGGCCACCATGGGCTGCCGATGGCCTCCGTGTTCTTAAGTGAGCACTCCTAAAGCTACCCCATTATCCACATTGACAAAAAGGTGGAATGGCTTTTCCAGGGAAGGTAAGGCTAAGACAGGGGCTGTTATAAGCCTTTTTTTCAGCTCTTCAACCTGATCGACTTCCTCAGAAGTCCACAGGAAATGGTCAGTATTCCCCTGGGCAAGTTTTGGATATAGAATTTTACTGTTTAGTGCATGTGAGTTAATCCATAAGCAGCAGTATCCAACTAATCCTAAAAATTTCCTGAGTTCTTGTTTAAGTTTGAGGCAAGGGTAGGGACACGATTCCCTCAACTCATTCAGGCCCTATTCTTCACTTCTCTGCACTTATCAAGTGGTCTAAATATTTAATTTCAGGTTCTACATACTGAAGCTTTCCCTTTGAGACTCATAACCCCTCGAACTGCAGATGGTTGAGAATATGTGTAGAGAAGCCAGCTACCTTCTCTATATCTTCACCAGATATAAGAATATCATCAACGTATTGGAGCAGGCATATTTGTTTGGGATGATAACTTTTTCTAATACTTGTTCTAAAATTTGACTGAAAAGGTTAGGGGAGTTTGGGAACCCTTGGTGTAAGACTATCCATTGATATTGTTGTTTCTACCCTGAATGGGGATCCACCCACTCAAAAGCAAATATATCTGGCCTATCTTCAGCCAGGAGACATACCCAAAAAGCATCCTTCAAATCTATTACAGTAAACCATTGATTATTATATGGAATCTTGCTGAGAATGGTGTAAGGATTGAGGACAATGGGGTGGGTAGTTTGGACTATTTGGTTAATAGCCCTAAGGTCCTGTACCAGCCGATATGACCCATCTAATTTCTTGGCTGGCAATATTGGGCTGTTATAAGGGGACATAGAGGGCCCAAGAAGCCCATCTTTAATAAGACCTTCAATTATAGGTTTCAACCCTATCCTGCCCTCTAGGGGAATGGGGTATTGTTTCCTCCTTACTACTTCCCTGGGGTTTTTTAGCTTGATGTGCTTAGAGGGACTCAGAGTTTCCCTCAGTTTCCTTCTTTGGATCAGACATTAGGATTAATATATTTTTCATCTGCAGTGGTAAGTAGCTTTAATGAGGTGAGGAATCCTCTTGGGCTGAGTCGCAGGCCTATGCCTAACTTCAACATTAAATCCCTGCCTAGTAAATTAGTCCCTGCTTTAGGGATTAACAAAAACTGAATATGAGCTGATTGAGCCTGGTATCTGACTTCTGTGTTTTCTAAAATTTTTGCTTTAAATCCTTCTCCCTTTACCCCACAAACCAAAAGTTCCTCTGAAGAGCAGGCAATATTAGATGGGGGGGAAACAAACAGAGGATCGAGCCACTCCTGAATTGACTAAAAAGATTATAAACTCATGCTTAGGTCTCACTTCTAGACTTATCAAGGGCTCCTGGTGGGACTCAAGATAAAAGAGACAGAACCCCTGACACCATTATTTTCCTCAAAAGCCATGAGTGGAAGGGCTTCTTTTTCCTTTTCTAATTTGGGACATTCTCTCTTGAAGTGGCCTGTTCTTCCACATTTGTAGTGCCTACCTTGCCCTTCCCCACTCTCAGTTCTGGGATTCTTTGATTTTACTCCCCCATGCTATTTAGATGGCCTGGTAGACGAGAGCCTTGATCTTCCCAGTGGAGGCTTGGGTCCTTTAAAGGAGGGTTTGGAACCTTTATAGTTTCTGGCCCACTGGAAGCTTTGTTTAGGGGTACATGGGTTTGGAGCCATCTGTTGGAAGGTGAATAACATAAGTTTTGTCTTTTGTTTTTGCTTTTCTTCGTCTCTCTTCACAGATACTTTTTGAGTCTCTCTGAGGTTCACTTGAGGTCATTTCACTTGAGGTTCACTTCTCACTGAAGTTCACTTGAGGTCAGTTTTCCCAATCTTCTAATTTTTGTAACTTTTTTGAAATATCTGGACAATGTTGGCCAGGTGCAGTGGCTCATGCCTGTAATCCCAGCACTTTGAGAGGCCGAGGTGGGTGGATCACGAGGTCAGGAGACTGAGACCATCCTGGTTAACACGGAGAAACCCCATCTCTACTAAAAATACAAAAAATTTGCTGGGCGTGGTGGTGGGCACCTGTAGTTCCAGCTACTCGGGAGGCTAAGGCAGGAGAATGGAGTTAACCTGGGAGGCGGAGCTTGCAGTGAATCAAGATCGCACCATTGCACTCCAGCCTGTGTGACAGAGAGAGACTCCATCTCAAAAAAATAAAAAGAAATATCTGGACAACTTTTAGTGACAAAATGGAGCTTTAACATTCCCTGTCCCAGGGGATTTTCCAAATTTAGGCCTGCATATTTTCTCATTTGCTCCTTTAGTCTGTCTAAAAATTTCATAGTCCACTCATCTCTCTCCTGTTGTTGTATATCAAATGCTTTAGAGAGATTTTGAGTTTGGGGTACTGATTCCCTAGTTTCTTTCATTATCATTTCCCTTATGTCTTGCATGTTTTCTTGGTGAGCTGCATTATTATTATCCCACCGGGGATCTTGGGCAGGGAATTTTTGGTCCGTGGTAGGAACGTTTTGACAAGGAGGGTGTTCATATTCCCAAATTGCCATAGCAGCCCTACGGATCAGATCATGCTTCTTTCCTCCTCCGAAAAAAGGATGCCTAGGATGGACATAAACTCGACCAAAGTGTATAACTGAGGTCCCAAGAATTGATCAACCTGATCTGCCACCTCATAAGTGTCGTCTAACGATGGCTTAATTTCCTTTTTCAAACTTCAGACTTCTGAACTGGTCAAGGGAGCATTCACAAATACAATGGCTCCTCCTCCTTGTGACATGTCTTTTAAGGGGAAGAGAGCTGGGGCTGACTCCTTAGGTGTGGAGGGAAAAGGGAAGTTCTGAACGTCCTTTTTACATTGCTGTACCTCATGCTGGAGTCCCTTTAGGGAGAGGTATTTAGGCTGACAGGGGACAGGCTCATGGGATGATGACATCCAAGAATTAGAGTTGTAAGGAGGAGTAACAGCGTGAGCAGGAGAAGGATCTGGGGTGGGATCTGGGGTGGCAGCAGCTGCCCGAGGGGAAGGGTCAGAGGCACTGAGCAGGGCAAAATGGTATAGGGGATCCCATGTGCTGGCTTTAGGTGTGGGAGTCAGCTCGTCTGACTTTTCAATTTGAGATACTGGATCGGGTTCTTCCCTAGTTGTCTTTATGGGAATAAAGACAGGTCCCTGTCTCCAACAAAGAGCATAGTCTAGTTCTTCTTGAGAAACCAGATTTTTATCATTAACATATTGAATTAGAAGTTGACATATTACATCCTCAATCGACCCAAACTTTGGCCAGAAGATTGAGGGTTTGAAAATGGGACCTTGGGTCCAAATGAAACAGCAATATTTTATCCTCTAATGCTTTTTCTTATGTTTAGTCCTCTCATTATTCTTCCAATATTTTAACATGAGACCCAGGGGACTATCAGGGGGCATGTCTTTGTTACTATCCTCTTCTTTTTTGCTCCCTATCTTACTTGGGGCTTTTCCCATGTTAGGTCCTGGTTAGGCTCAATCCCGCATGCTAGAGATTTCTTCCCTATCCTTTATCGCCACCTGCTGGAGGCTCCTTGCATCCTTCTTTCGCTTCATCCACTCTGGCTGCTTCCCTCCCAGGAATTTTAGGTCCCTCTTAGCATTGGCATCATGGTATAAACTCCACAGCAAGATCTGCCCTGAGCCCTATGAGGATACAGTAAATTCCTCTTCAAAGGTTTTTATTCAAATAAAAAACCGCAGATAGGACCCACTCACTCCTCACAGCAATAATGCTTAGTATCATCCACACAAACAGCACCACAAGCAGTAGTGCTTGTGATCATTCACACACACTTTCAACCTCCAGAATATCCCGACCACCAAGGAAATACTTTGTCACCCCTGCGACATTTCTTACCTCGGTCTGTGCACAGTTACCTGGTCGCCACGGTATGTGAAGATCCTTTCCCCAAAGTTGCTGGCCTGTTTCTTTCCACGTTGCTGAGAGCCCGGGTTTATTAATCGCACCAGTTGAGTCTTGATTCCTTACCTTTATGGCCACTGCAACGAGGCAGCGGGGTGCGCCTCCTCAAGGGAGAGGACTGGACCCTCCCCTAGAGGAGAATGGGAATGCTGGGTGGGCCCTTAAATTTGTGGAAAATAAATTTTCAGCGCCGCAAAGAACCGTCAGCACTCCAGCAACAAGTTTTTACAGCAAGGCAAATTTACTTCTATGGAAGAGTGGTCTTGCAGATGGAGCAATGGCAAGATCACACCGGACAAGGGAGGGGAAAGTGTTCTTATTTCTAACGCAGCTAGTCCCTACTGTTGTGTCTTTTCCCTATTGGATAGGGTTGGACTGCACACTCTAAGCCAATTCAGATTGGCTATTTAAAGAGGGCAGGGGTATGAGCTGGAGTGGCAGGGTGAGTAGTTTCAGCGGGAAAGACAGTTACAGAGCAGGTGTCTAAGGATGACTAAGGACAGAGCAGGTTACTAAGAATGACTAAAGACAAAGCAGGTGTTAGAGGCTAGAAGGGGGCTGTTTAATGAAACTAGGGGCAAGGAGGCATAACGAACGAGGAAGTTAAACTTTAAAACGGAGAACAAAGAACAGAGAAGCTGAACATACTGACATATTTGTTCTTTGATGAGGAACTCAGAACTCATTGTACTTAATCTTCCCCCTCTTGAATTTTAAAGGATGTTTACAGGCTAAAATCTTTGAAGAGGAATTCACTGTATCCTATTCATCAGGTGTTCTTTCCACCAAGCTTTCAGCCGTGTCAGGTGTTCTTTCCGCCAAGGGTGCAGCCTCATCAGGTGTTCCTTCAGATGTTCCTTCTGCCAAACACAGAGTCTGGTTAAATTTTCCTTCGCTAAATATCATCCTTCTGACTCTTTACCTGGAAAACTTCTACTCATTCAGCTTGCTTTCCTTAAATACTACCAAACTTTTGTTTTCTCCTTTTTTTTTTTTTTTTTTTTTTTTTTTTTTTGAGACAAGAGCCTCGCTCTGTTGCCCAGGCTGGAGTGCAGTGGCACGATCTCAGCAGATCACTGCAACCTCCGCCTCCTAGGTTCATGAAATTCTCCTACCTCAGCCTCCCATGTAGCTGGTATTACATATGCATGCCACCCAGGCCCAGCTAATTTTTTGTATTTAGTAGAGATGGGATTTCACCATGTTAGTCAGGGTGGTCCCAAACTCCTGTGCTCAAGCAATCCGCCCGCTTTGGCCTTCCAAAGTGCTAGGATTACAGGAGTGAGCCACCGCTCCTGGACACTACCAAACTTTTTAAAGCTTTAATTCTTCACGTTGGATATAAAATGTCTGACACATACTGAATATGGTAATGACATAATAAGTGATAATTATAAGCTCCCAAAGGGGTTCTCGCACAGAGTAAGCACTAAATAAAGTAGTAAATAATAAAAAAGATGATAATAACAAGAAAAATGCTAAGTACCTTAATAAACTAGTAAATAATAAAAAATGACAATGATAATAGCAAGAAAGATGCTTAGTACCTTAATGATACCTGACAGTTATTTGTTAAGTGGACAAGTGGATAAACAAATAGAAAACATAGTTAGGAAATTCTGTTGGAAAAATGAAGAAATTCAATAGAGACAGCTCTATTGTATTATGAGCACCTTAAAGACCCAGACTATGTGTATTCCATGTTGGTCTCCTGCAACTTGCAAAATCTAACTTATAGAAGTCCTTTGATAAATATGTAATAAATTAAAGATGTGCTCATACAGTTCATATTGTACAATGTATTGTGTCACATTTAGGTATCACAGTAGCACTTTTGTTATTGTGAAAATTTTTTCCACTTTTATTATAATTCGTTGAGCCTAGAGTTGAGCTAGTTTTATATTTATAATGATAATATTTTGGCTAGTAGGAACAGAGTAACTTGTTGTAACAAAATTACTATCAACACACTAATTATTCAGCAGATAGAACAACACATCTTGTTCTAATGAAGTAAACATATCTTATTTGGTTTCAACTTAGAGGGAATGAAGTTGATAATAGTGAGACCTTGTTGGTACAAGACTATGTAACATAACCTGTACTTCTCAACAAAGAATTGCTTTTCTGACTTCTGCACTCAGTAGGTATCTTTGAAAAATAATCTCCTACTGGTACTGATGCACCCTCACTAAGTTATGTTAATTCTTATTGACATTCATTTAGGGTGCAAGAAAAGTATTATTGAGATCCAAATTCTAAAGATAGTTACTTTTTTAGTGACAAAAGTCACTATGCCACACAGTTGATCTTTGAATAAGGGTTTTCACTCTAGGAGCCCACTAATAGACAGATTTTTCTTTTCCTTTGCCACTGCAAGATACTAAGACAAATCTCACCTCTGCCTCCTCCTTATCAGCCTACTCAACATAAAGGCAATGAGAATGAAGTCCTTTATGTATAATAATTCACTTCCATCTAATAAATAGTGAATATATTTCTTCCTCTTTATAAGTTTCTTTTCTCCAGCTCACTTTATTCTAAGAATACAGTATATAGTACATATAAAATAGAAACTATGGGTTAATTGACTGCTTATGCTTTCAACTTTTTTCAGGCTCCAGGTCAACAGTAGAATGTTAGTAGAGTTTTGGAGGAGTCAAAAGAAACAGATTTTCCTATAAAGCAGATTTTCAGCTGCATGGGGGGATCAGCACCCTAACTCTCATGTTGCTCAATACTCGACTGTAATTAATTCTAATTTTCTGAATGCAAATCATTTATTACAAAAATTAAATAAAGCCCAGAAGTTCAAGACCAGCCTGGGCAACATAAGGAGACCATGTCTCTACAATAAAGAAACAAACAAATAAATAATTTATTTGTTAAATTAACAAATAAACATTTTATATGTTTATGTTTAATAAACAAACAAATATTTGTTTATTTAACAGTTTATTTAACTGTGTTTCTTTATAGGTTATAATATTCAAATGTTGCAGTTTTCTGTTATTAATTCCTACTTTTCATTATTAGATGTTCTATTATTTGTGGCTTGTAATTCAAGGCACCTAAGCTATTTTATAATTTGTAATAAAATTTATTTATAAATATATTAATTCATTAAATTGGATAAGCTGATAATCCCCTATTACTGAGCTCATCAATCACACCAAGGATTATACATTTTATAACAAGCATAAATTTTTATGACAGTTGAGGAAACATAAAATAGATAAACTTAAAAATTGTTTTACTTATTTATACAAAAGTATTATATAGGATATTAGGGACCACAATTAAACAAACATTTTTTCAGATAATATTTTTGAGATTATAAACTACCTACAACTAAATTCTTAATGAATTCTGAATTATAAACTAAAAAATTAAATCAAAGCTTTGTATATAAAAAAACACATATAGGTCTATATGTAAACACATGCTACTTACACATTGCTTTTCTAATAGCTCTTTTGTGATTAACACTCCTATAATCTTATGGTAGCACCACCAAGAGTAGTTTACTATCAGAGGTCTTACCTGGATTACTATTTTGAGAATTTTTAGATATCTTTTGTTTATATTCCAAAAGTTGTTGATGAACGCTATGTATAAAAATGAAATAAATAAAATCACTATTTTAACATTGATATAAAAAATATTTACCAAATTTATTACATTCTTAGGGTATTTCAGACAATATTAGAGCTAACATCAGAACATTACTTTTTCCATAGACTTTAAGTTTGTAAGCTCTATGAACTTATTAAGCTTCTAATTAAAGAAGAAAGAAAGATAAAACACTCATGAAGTGAGGGCAGTATAACTCAGTAAATTAACTAGAGGTAGCTTGACATGTGGAAAATGTCCTTAACTCGGAATAAGTCCTAGCATGGCTACCAACAGGTATTTTTTCTTGAACAAGTTGCTTCTCTTAGACTCAATGTCTTCTAAAAATGAGGATTTTAGGGCCTTATTTCACTAGGTTATTATAAAGATTTAACAAGATAACATTTTAAAAATGCTTAAAATAAAAAATGAAGCAAAAAAAATTTGTTCTTGAACCTTATTGCTGAAACAATTTAAAATTCCCAATAAAACCCAATATATTGGCCTGGTGCAGTGGCTCATGCTTGTGAGGCAAGCACTTTTGGATGCTGAGACAGGAGGATTGCTTGAATCCAGAAGTTCAAGACCAGCCTGGGCAACATAGGGAGACCATGTCTCAACAAAAATTAAATTACAAAAAAAAAACAAAAAAAATGTTTTTCTTCATAGGTTATAATATTCAAATATTGCAATTTTCTGTTATTAATTCCTACTTTTGGACATTAGATGTTCTATTCTTTGTGGCTTGTAATTCAGAGCATCTAAGCTATTTTATATTTTGTAATGAAATATATTTATAAATATATTAAATCATTAAATCAGATAACCAAATTATACTCTATTACTGAGCTCATCAGTCACACCAAGGGCAGAAAACTAATAGATGTCAGCATCTGGCTTGGACTACTACTAGTCTTTATCTACCTCCTTAAACTCTGAACCAACAAATCTTTGTTAGAATGATGCTTAGTCACTATGTTCATTTCCAGCTGCTGTGGAAGACAAAACCCTACCTTTATTTTTTGTAAGTTCCACAAAGAAGATGCAAGTTGGTATTTTCTCATTTCTGAGATCCCTACTAACAAAATATTGCACACAAGATCCTATGTGTTACCACATCTCATTTCATAGATGACCTTACGTAAATAATTTTTTGTATGAAAATCACAATTGCAATACTGGGTGTCACCCATTTTGCTTTGACTCACACCATTTCCTTGGAGCTAGTTAGAAAGTAGTAAAATGTCCTTTTGGGGACTCCAAGAAATATGCAACACCTTACAGATTTCTATGTCATCTTTGTGCGGGGACCATGCTGATCTTCTCAACGTTGTTTTAATTTTACTATATGTACCACTGAAGCCAGCACAAATCCTTACTTTTATACGTGAAGACTGATCAGTGATGGATGAGGCTTAGCTCTGTTAAATCTAACCAACTTACTTGAGATTTAGTGAAGTCTATTGAATGGCTTCATGGTGATGCAGCATTTGAAAATATTTTAGAAACTCGAGGTAGAGATGTAAGTAGCATGGGAGATTTTTACTTTTAGGAAAAAAGAATCACTTGAGGGGACAACCACAAGTTGGAACCCACTACAACTTGGGAAAGATGACATGGGATTTTACAGAATGAGACCGTCCACTGCCTACAAAATGGTGCTACACAGGATATAAAGGGCCAGGGATATAGATCTGGTAACAAAGACAAAATGGATCTCTAATTTCTTCCTGTAACATTATTTCAACCTGACTTACAGTTTCAAACGACCACAACTAATATTGGCTAGAGAAAATAGAAAAAAGCCACTCAAAGGATAACTTACCATGAAGGTCTAGGCCATGTCCAGGCTAAGATGTGGGTTTCACATCAGGTTTTGAGTGTGAGGAGAAGAGTCAATTTGCTCACTATGTGTGTGGCTAAAGCTAAAAGTTCTAGCTGCCAGAGTGGGGTGCTGGTACTTTGGAAACAATGGCTGAGAATATGTACGTGAACTTTAAAAACATGCAGTAACTTCGAAGTCTACACCATGAAGACTGAAGAACCTGTGTTAGTAAGGGCTTCCTGGTCACAAAGGCCAATCATTACCAGACTGCAGGAGCAGTTTCAATGGCAACGATGCAGCAATAGAATCAATGGAAACAACAAAATGAAGAGAATGGCCATTTCTGCCCCCACCGCCAATCCTTCTGACTTGTACAAAAGGAATGTCTTCCTTGGACTTAGGTTCAGATTCTTTTAAAAAATTCAAGAATAAAGGTATGGAAGACAGCCCCCTGGGGACATTATCAGGTTTTCTGCTTAAAGTGGACTTTTCGAGACCCAAATAACTAATTAGAAAAACCAAAATTGTGACATTATATTTATCCCATGCATAGGGGTTATACTTCAAATCAAGTAGACAACATTAGCGTCCCTAAAGCCCTAAAATAAAGAATCCTGGAGCCATTAATCCTTCTAACTAGTCAGCTTTTTGCCTAGTTTCTGGCTGATGAAGTGAACTAACTCACTGTCATTCAAAAACTACCTGAAACAAACTATAAAATCTCACCTAGCCTTTAAATGTAAACACTTAGAGATTAAATCCACAAGCAACAGCATAACGTTCTGCAATCATTCCACATGTAGCTTCAGCACAGATGTCAACATTTTGCTGAAGAAGCTTGCCAACTATCTCTGATGATCCATGACATATGGCAAGCATGAGGGCTGTGCTAAAATAACAAAGAGATAACTTCATTATTAGGAACGAACGAATTTAATATGTGCCTGTCAGTATAGAATTAACCATTTACATGTATTAACAAACGTTAAGTATCTTGAGTGCTCAAGTGTTTATCCTTGTAAATCACGACCAAGGCTAAAAGGAAGGGGTGAAAAGACTCATGTCTCACTGGGATATGGCATAGTAGAATTGGCTAACATAAAGTCCACTGAGGGGCAAGAAAATACGTTCTGTTCACTAATCTAAAAGAGGCAAAGTTTTAAGTGAAGAATTATCTATTTCCTCCTTAGTCTGATATAATATTTTGTACTTCAAAGTTAGCTAGAAGTCGGACAAGTGAGAGCAATCTGAAGACTTAAAACAATATTAGGAATAATATTGTCCTGAGTACCTGGGACTACAGGCTTGTGCCACCATGGTTGGCTAATTTTTATATTTTTCATTGAGATGGAGTTTTACCATGTTGGCTAGGCTGGTCTCAAACTCCTGGCCTCAGGTGATCTACACACTTGGCCTCTCAAAGTGCTGAGATAACAGACAACAGCTACCATGCCCAGCAAATATTGCATTTTTTAAAAGTGTATGAAAAACAGAAGTTAGAAAAATACTATAAAGGTGTTAATCATTCAATACTGAATTATAAAGTAAACTAAAAATTCATACTTCTTAAAACTAATACAGAACCACTTTAGCTAATAGAAGATAATGCAACCAAAAACATCAGATTAAAAATAAGAATCAGTCAATATAATAAAAGAAGAAAATCCTACTGTATACTGTTCTTTGTGTTGACCAGTCCAAATAATTGCTTTTCTTCCTAACTGATAATTTGTGTTGGTATTTTTCTGCATAATCTAATAATTTTAAGTAAATGTTACTAATTTAATATTTCTGACTTGAGAGTTATTACTCTAGCACACTACTCAAGTGTTTTTTAATAAAAAAAACTACTATACCATTTAAACTTATCAACTGCATTTGCATTTGCATTTTTTGTCAGTAAAAATTCCACAATTTCCTCACTTCTTTTCCTTATGGCCAGTAAAAGTGGTGTGTGGCCAGCCTGTAAAACAGCAAAAACAATTTATAATTCATGAAATTACATATTTCTCAGCTGAATTGAATACCTTATATAATATCCTATGAACTTAAACAATGGAAAGTAAATCAATAGCAATCCCTTCTTTCTCACTTTTCTGTGCTTTCCCATGCACTGCACCTTCTCTTGTAAACATTCAGCCTCTGCATCACCACATTAACTCTAGTTATCTCCAAAAATCATTATATTGTAATGATTTTATTGTTTCCCATGTAAACCAAGAGCTTCTTGAGGGCAGGGGCTGTATCTTTTACCTCTATGTCCTTAAACCCTAAGACATAGTAGTAAATACTTTATTTTTTACTAAATTAGTAATCTAAATTATTACCTCTAGAACAGTGTTTCTTCAACTATATTCCAAAGAATAATTACCTTACCAGAAGCACTGTACCCCAAAAGATTCCACCATTATCTATGTTCAAGAAATGTTATAAAACTGTGAATTAAATATTCATTATTCAAGAAATGAATTGAACTTTACCTAATCCTTATTTGACAGTATATTTTTGTGGCAAACATTAACATTTGACAAATTAGAATTTCAGGGATACAGTTTTGAAAGCTTCCCCCCAAAAATGGAGGTTTCCTCTGGCTGATACAAACTCACTTGATTCTCTTCTATCAATGATTCCAAGATTCCAAATGCCAATGTCAGGCACTCCTGCTCTAAATGGGTCACTAAGGAAGTGGCTCTAAATTAAAAGAGATTGGCTTCAAATAAACTTTGATTGCTTATTATTAAATGGTCCATGGGGTTTATCCTATTACCAGACAATAGGATTTTATCTCGGCTATTAAAAATTCAGTATACAAGGCCAGGCAAGGTGGTTCATGCCTGTAATCCCAGCACTTTGAGAGGCCAAGGCGGGCAGATCACAAGGTCAGGAGATCGAGACCATCGTGGTCAACATGGTGAAACCCCATCTCTGCTAAAAATACAAAAAATTTAGCTGGGCGTGGTGGCACATGCCTGTGTCCCAGCTACTCAGGAGGCTGAGGCAGGAGAATCGCTTGAACCAGGGAGGCAAAGATTGCAGTGAGCCGAGATCACACCACTGCACTCCAGCCTGGTGACAGAGCGAGGCTCCGTCTCAAAAAAAAAAAAAAAGAAGAAAAAAAGAAAAGAAATTCAGTATAAAAGTTTATTCTCTATTATAATGATACTCCTAGGATCCTAATGCATATCTACTTCTTAAAATGCAATAATCCACTTTTATTCTGGTTTCTATTGTAATTGATACTATTTTTTGGCAAAATATCAGAAGTATGAATAAAACGGCTTATTAACGAAAGTTCTAACTCATGTATGTGGCTTAGCAAAATAGAAGCCATAAATCACTTGAATTTTAAGGGACAATTCTGTGGAGAAAGATATAATATTTTTTCTGCAATATGCATAACCTATTCAAATACAAACATGATTAATCTAAAAAGGCTTAAAGGCTTTCTAATAGAAGATGATTATTTATGGTTTATATGAAGAAAAATCATCATTTAAAAAATATTCTAAATTTTAGAAGACAACCCCATTATTAATGAATTAATGTAAAATATAAACTATATATTATAAACACCTATAAACTGTCTTCAATAACTTGAAATCTTTACCCAAATGTACTATGAGAGAGGAATTGATAACTGAAATATTTACAGAGGCAAAAGAGGTAAGTTGAATAAGTGATGTAACTAGGTGGGCACAGTAGCAAACTGGAAACATATGCTTTATGTAAAATTAGAATGTCTTCATAGCATACCAAACAGTCATACGGGCTCAAAAGACACAAGATTCAATCCTTTAAGAGGAAATCCAGATTTCTGCATGTCTCCTAAATTTTACATGTTGACTCAATTTATGCAGGCAAATTTTACTTTCCTGTAGTTTTACACTAACTGGAAAGAAAAAAAAAACTTGGGTGGGAAAGAATATTTGAAAATGTTTTACCTTTAACAAATTTAAATATTTATCATAATGCACAGAAAAGCCATACTAATAGTTCTTGTAAAAATATTAATATTTAAAGCAAAATCCTAGACAATTAAGTTTTCTCAAACTATTTTCATAGAAAAATAGGAATGTTTGAGCTTCCAAATATAAAACAATTTACATATGTTAATGTTAAAACAAATGGATTTCAAATATTTTGAAAATAACATTGGTTAATGTCTACCTTGTTCTTCACTTCGATGTCTGCACCACAGGACAGCAATTTTGCCACCACTGACAAATTCTCACTGTTAACAGCATAATGGACAGCTGTGTTGCCATACACATCTACAATATTTGGATCAGCACCAGAATCTATGAGAATATTTGCACAAGCCTCCCTCTGGCATTGCAGAGCCTGTCAGTATTAAAGCAAAAAGTAAATTATAAATTATAGGAAATATAAATAAATATTCCACAGGTTTCACAAACCAGTTATATTTCAATGAGATAGATTCATTTTTATTCTATGTATTTAAACCAAATCCATCTCCTGCTGAAAGAACTGGCTACCATTTACCTTCATCAGAATGGTCCTGTTTTCACCATCAAGGACGTCAAGCTGACACTTTCTATCTACCAGAAGTGTTACTACTTCTGCATGGCCATTGGCACAGGCCCAGTATAGAGCAGTCCTACAAGAATGAGAGGCCTTTTAAGGAAAGTTTAGTCCACTGTCTCAAAACATAGAATGATTTATGTAATTGTCAACATTAAATACCATGCTCTTTCTCTGCCTTCAAAACAAATATTTAATATTCTCCTGAAGAAACTACAATATTCCTTCACTGTTATTACTCACTACATTAATGAAAGAGTGCCTGTTTGAACAGAAAGAGCTTGGCCTTTGGATTCAGTTCAACTTGGGCTTGAATATTACTTTAAAGTCTTTCACCTTCTACTATCACTTAACCTTTCTCTGCCTCAATTTTCTCATCAATAAAGTGAAGATGAATACAGTAGTTATCTCACAGGACATCACTGTGATGCCTCATGAGAATATGTGCAATGTATTTGGAAGAATTCCTAGCACATGTAACAGCTCAGTAATTGATAGATAATGTAATTATTTCTACTACTTAACAAAGAAAACATTTTAAGTAAAATGGTACAATTATGCCTAATTTGTGGTATGTTTTAAAGGTTAGAGATAAAGCTATTTTAATAATTCTGAAATACTCTATTTCTCGTATTTTAACATCTCTGACATTGAAATGCCGCTTATAAGTCATTATTTGTTACAAGTATATTTTGCAGAAATTTAAACAATCTTGTATTGGTACATAAATAAGGAGGCATCACACAATTCACCGTGCCTTCCATGAAGTGGAATATGGTATATACAACAGGATGATGGCAGTCTTAGTCATAGGATTAACACTTAAAGAAATTTTAGCTTTTAAGAGTGCTATACAAAAGGAGAGTTGAAATAAAAACAAACTGTTAAAACAAAGTACTTCTTTAATATTTTTAAAACTTCAAGCCAAAGAAAACTTGGGATTCAAGAAGGTATGGCTTATTTTATTCCATGTTTAGATTTACAGAATGTATGTAAATTCATATTTAAATTTATAGAATGCATGTAAATTAGGTATTTCCAATGATTAATATTACTATTTAAAGCTGTTATAAATTTCCAAAATCGTGGTTGGTAGTTATCTTTTACTAGTTTCTTACTTCAGAAGTGTTTTTGTTTTAAAGATGAGAGGAAAATCTTCAATTGAGATTCATTCCTAGTACTCCAACTTTAAATCTCTCACTTTGCTAAGGCTGAGCAGGTAAATGTGAAATTTTTAAGGATGAAAGGATCTTGAGAGTTAATGTATCTTCTACATAATAGGCATTCAGCTTACATGTGATAAATTGATTAAAAGGATAAATACAGTTGAGAAGTTCAATACCTTAAAAAAACTGCTATAAATAAAGCACTTATATTTTCTATTTTATTTTCTTAATAATAAAACTACACTAATTAATCTATAATTATTGACATATATGTAATAAATCTATATATAATAAAAATATGTGTCTAATAAGATGTATATGTAAATCAACAAGCACAGGTAAAAAGATTGTCTTTTGAAGATGCTAAAAGTTCACAGAATATACTAATCCACAAAAAGTAATAATTAAATTACGGAAAGTGAGAAATTATTTTTATTGGTGCAAAATTATATTTCTGCTCTTCCCAAAAATTTTTCATTAATAATAAACTTTTTCTAATAGCATTGTACATGCTCAATGTGGAAATCAAAGATAATAAAAAGGAAAAACATTTTATATTAAACACCCTCAAATAACAAATTTTATCATATTTCATACACAACTTCAGATAACACAAGACTGTAGTCTGTGTGTATGTATAATCAAACTGAACTTTACCCTCACTTGATACACCAGAATACATTTTCAAATGTCACCTATTTCTCTACATATTTCTACCTTCAGTGGTCACATATTATCCCATGCTGTAAATTCACTGAAATGTATTTATAAAAGTCATTATATGAATTCTTCTTAATAATATGGTACTTACCACCAAATTGTCTATTTGAAAAGTTATCTGCAACTTAAACTTTAAACAGCAGTATAAATATCACTGCTCTTTATCCTCACAAACTTTGTAGATAGAAAGCAGTATTTGATTCCTTTTTTAACTTAAATGCCTTCTGTAACCAGGAACACTAAATATTGTTTTCTGTGTGCATAGGTCACTTACAGATCTTAAGAAAATACTTTCCCAATTTTAAATTAGAAGCAAAGTACTATTTTTAGATCTGCAATTTATATCTCTAACTTAAATTGCTCAATTATAATTAGCGGGTTTTTTGTTGATTTAAGTGAATTATCTATAAAATGACGATTTAAAAATCTAATATGTATACACACACTCACATACATGTGTAGTAAATATTTTACAAGTATGCTGCCTTTTATTTTTTCTCATTACAGTTTAATTTAATTTTGTTTTGCTTAATTATCCTTCAGACTGCTTGCTTCTGAGCTTCTTAGAAAGGTGTTGTCAACATAAAAATGTACCTGTGTAAATAGGTATTTATGTTTTCTTCTGGTGCTTTTATCATTTTGTATATTAAAAAAATTTAATCTATATTCCATCAGAAATTTACTTTGTGGCATAAAAATCTAGTTTTCTCCAAAAAGCAGGCATTTCACTTATGAAACTAATTCTTTCCCTACTAGTATAACCTGTGAGCATTATCAAGTTCTAAATTCTTAGATATTTGGGTGTTTCTGGATTTTCTACTCTGTTGTATTCATTTACCTGTCTTTTCAGCTGTTATCAAATAATTTGTGATTTATTTATTTATTTTTGAGACAGAGTCTCACTGTCTCCCAGGCTAGAGTGCAGTGATGGGATCTCAGCTCACTGCAACCTCCGCCTCCCAGTTTCAAGCGATTCTCCCTCCTCAGCCTCCCGAGTAGATGGGCTTACAGGCTCCCGACATCCTGCCTGGCTAATTTTTGTATTTTTGTAGATTTGAGGTTTCACTATATTGGCCAGGCTAGTCTTGAAATCCTGACCTCAGGTGATCCACCCGCCTTGGCCGCCCGAAGTGCTGGGACTACAGGCATGAGCCACGACGCCTGGCCCTTTTTTTTTTTTTTTTTCAAATTTTATTTATTTATTTATTTATTATTATTATTTTGAGACGGAGTCTTGCTCTGTCACCCAGGCTGGAGTGCAGTGGTGCGATCTCGGCTCACTCCAAGCTCTGCCTTCCAGGTTCACACCATTCTCCTGACTCAGCCTCCCAAGTATCTGGGACTACAGGCGCCCACCACCACGCCCGGCTAATTTTTTGTATTTTTAGTAGAGACCGTGTTAGCCAGGATGGTCTCGATCTCCTGACCTCATGATCCACCCACCTCGGCCTCCCAAAGTGCTGGGATTACAGGCATGATCCACCGCGCCTGGCCATGGCCCATTTTGTGCAAATTAATAGCACATTTTGAAATCTAGAAGGGCAAGACTTTTCTACTCCGTTACAAAATGTTTTAAATGTCACCACAATAGTAAAAGACAGCGTGTGTAATTTTAAAAATGTTAAAACGTTGATAACTTTATTTGGTTTATGTAAAACTGATAAAGAACTTGCATCTTCAGAAAAATGAGTCTTCTTAAATTCGAAAACATAAACCATCTTCCCACCTCAAAGTTACCTTCTAAGGTCCCTCAGCAAAGAATATATTTACATAGACATTCATTGATATTGAAATGGATACTGGACTTTATCCAAAAAATTTTTAGCCAAGAAGTTAATATATTATGGGAATTATTTCATTATGCACCATTTCATAATGTATCTAACATCTTTTAAAACCTGTACATTAAAAGTAAAACCCTGTATGTACTTAATTTTATAAGTTAAATCACTTTAAAATTCTCTACACAGTGCTCTGTGAGAGGAAGTGGGAGTGAAGGAGAAAGCAGCTAAAGTTTGGGGTTGATTTTAAGGTGGCCTGTGCCCTCCGCCCTGCAGGGCGCCCTCATCCAAGGCCTGGGGGACCTGCCCGGGAAGAAGGCCAAGACCTCGGGGCCCAGGACGGCCGCCCCGCTGCCCGCCACTCCTCCACCTGCTCCCCTCGTCCCCAGGACCCCCAGGCCCCACTCTGAAGGGGCGATCCTCCCACAGCCTCCTCCTCCTCCTGCAGCCCCGGCTCAGGCAGGGCCTGGTACCTCTTCTTCGCATCTCTTATGTTCAGGTCCATTGTCGTCTTCTTCATCATCCTCTCCAGCTTCCAGGCTTGGCCCCGGGAGGCAGCTTTGTGGATCTTCCTGAGATCCCCATGGTGAATCACGTAAGAGTCGTTGTTGGTGTAGACCAGCTGACTGAAGGGGCTCGGGCGCTCTGGGCCCGTCTGGCCCTTGACAGGGGCGGCAGAGAGCCTCTCCATGGCTGCAGCCACCTGCTAGAGAGAGCCCGTGCCTCCCGCTGCTCGCCCTTCCCCAGTCCCCGCCGCTCGCCCTCGCCCTTCTTCAGTCCCTGCATCCGCCCTGACAAGACTAGAAATCTCAGTCGGGCCAAGCTTTTGGACACTCCAACCTCTCCCGGGAGAAAATGGCTGCGCAAAACCGTTAGGCAGCTGAGCAGAACCGTTAGGCACCTGAGCAGAACCTTTAGGCAGCTGAGCAGAACCGTTAGGCAACAGCGCATGCGCAACTCAGCAGACCTGGGAGACACGCGAGGCAGGAAACCGCCCTGGCTGCGCTTCGCCCAGCACGGCGTGCAGGTGGCACCTGCTACTGAGGCGCTATCGGGCTGGCGGGGCTCCCTGGAGCGGAACGTGGGGGGCTCCCTGCCACATGGCCTGCTTGACAGAGCTGCCCCTGTCCCCTCCTCAACCTGAGATCCAGGAGCTGGGCCCTGGCGCTGGGCATCGTGCAGCCTCCAGGGTGGCGCTGAGCGTCGGTTCCCGGCCTCTTGCAGCCAGGGACCCATCCCTGACTTAGGCGCCTGGAGGCTTCTGGCCCAAGTATCCGCGCGGCTGGTGGCGCTGGCAGGGTCAGGGTTGCAGCCTCTCCTGCCACGTGCCATGTTCAGGTGGCAGCTGCAGCTGAGCCCATGGTAGAGGCTACAGGGTTGGGCCCAGACCGCTGAGCATCGCCGAGTACATCGCCCTTCCACCCGGGGCTCTGCTCTTCCTCGGCTCGCGCTGGCAGCGCAGGCTTGCCACCACTGGGCCCTGTACAGCTGCGGCGATGAGGCTTTGCGGCAGGTTCCCACGATCCTGCAACTGAGGTCCCACTGCCTGACTTAGGCGCAGTGGCGGTGTCCGACCCTGGGGTTCGCCTGCTGGTGGCGCGGACAGGTTCGGGGGTTGCCACCGCTGCTGCCACCTTCAAATGCCAGCTGCAGCTGAGCCCACGGTAGAGGCTGCAGGGCTGGGCCCGACGGCCTGAGGGTAGCCGTGTGGCACACGCCCTCCCACTCTAGGCCCTGCTCTTCCTTGGCTCGCGCCCTGAGCGCTGGTTTGCAGGCTCTGGGCACTGTGCAGTCGCCAGGATGCGGCTGAGCAGCAGGTTCAGCGCCGCCTGGGCCCAGAGGGGAAGAGGGGAGTTTGGGGTTGCTTGGCCGTATTTGCCTGTGCGCCAAGTGCAGGTAGCGGCTACAGTTCTGACAGGCACGGATGGCGGGTCCCGTTTAGAGGGCTTCAAGGTTCCTGAGAGCGCCCGCTGCCAGGCCTCAGGATCCCTTCCTCGTTGACCAGCATCTGGAGTATGGCAGTGGCGCTGGGTCATCTGCAGCCCTCCTGGATGGGGCTGAGCTGCAGTTCTCACCCTTGGACTGAGAGGGAAACTCGGCTGAGTGGAGCAGATGGAGAAACAGTTAAATTGAACTTATCTATAAAGACTTCCAGGCTGGGTGCAGGACCTCATGCCTGTACTTACAGCACTTTGGGAGACCGAGATAGGAGGATCACTTGATCCCAGGAGTTTGAGACCAGCTTAGACAACACAGGGAAACTTTATCTCTATAAAAATAAAACCAATCAGCCAGGCATGGTGGTGCATGCCTGTGGCCCCAGCTACTTGGGAGATTGATTGTGGCAGGATCACTTGGGCCTGGGAGTTCGTGGGTACAGTAAACTGATTGTGCCACAAACAAGGAATGAGAGGTCCTGTTGCTCCCCATCCTTGACAGCATTTGACCTTTTCAGTCTTCTGGATTTTGGTTATTGTTTGATTGTTTGTGCCGCTGCACTCCAAGCCTGGGCAACAGAGACTCTCTCTCAAAATAAATAAATGAAAGACTTCTAGTCACTATATCTTATCTATGTCGAATTGTTTACACATCTAGCTTGAAGAATTAAAACCCACAGAGCCCTCTGATTATGTGATAGGGACCATGTGATTAAAGTGGGTGACCATGTTCTTGCCTCCAGGGGGCCCAAGTCAAGGGATGGGTCCCCAGCTGCAGGAGGGTGGGAATGGATGCTCAGCACCACCCCGGAGGCTACACAATGCCCAGCCCCAGGGCCCAACTCCTGGATCCTGGATCATGAACAAAAACCCAAGAATTGAAGACTTGAGTGTTAGATATGCTCATTTCTGCTGGGATATCATTGCTTCTAGACCGTCTTAGTTTACAGAGCAAAGAAATAAATGTGTGTATACAAAGCTGTGTATACACATAACTATAAATATTTCTAAATGTAATGTGTGTAAGTGTTAGTTCATACTGATGTCTACGACTCAATTCTTTTATCACATGATCATTCCGGCCTTCTCCCCTTGCTTACATGTAACCTCCCACTTTAATAATGAGAAACCAGGCTCCTGTCATTTGTCATCCGTTTGCTTAACTGTCTAGTTCCAATATACATTCATTCTCTATCAATATCAGAATCGCTATCCCATTTCCTGTAGGAGACAGCTATACCAACCAGATCACATGAGTTGTTTGCAGTTTCTCTTCCTTTCAGTCTTCATGCATTTTCTTTGTTTCTTTTTCTTTTTCTTTTTTTTTTTTTTTTTTTTTTTTAAGATGGAGTTCTGCTCTTCTTGCCTTCTTGCCCAGGCTGAGGCTGGAGTGCAGTGGCGTGATCTCGGCTCACTGCAACCTCTACTTCCCAGGTTCAAGCGATTCTCCTGCCTCAGCCTCCTGAGTAGCTGGGATTACAGGCACCCGCCATCATGCCCAGCTAATTTTTGTCTTTTTAGTAGAGATAGGGTTTCACCATTTTGGCCAGGCTGGTCTCAAACTCCCAGCCTCAGGTGATCCGCCCACCTTGGCCTCCCAAAGTGCTGGGATTACAGATGTGAGCCACCACAGAAGGCCCATCCATTTTCTAAGATGCTTATGTCAGCACGTTTTTCCCACTCCCTAGAGTGAAGTGGCTTTATACATTTGTAGTACTTTAGATTTTCTATCACATTCTGCATTCCATCTCAGGATCCCCAGAACACCTACTTTGTTGTTGTTGTTGTTTTAAAATTTGCATATATTAAGTGACATTCTTTGTTTTTTAACAAATGCAGGCCAGGTGCAGTGGCTCACGCCTGTAATCCCAGCACTTTGGGAGGCCAAGGCGGGCAGATCACGAGGTCAGAAGATGGGGACCATCCTGGCTACACGGTGAAACCCCGTCTCTACTACAAATACAAAAACAAAATTAGCCAGGCGTGGTGGCAGGCACCTGTAGTCCCAGCTACTTGGGAGGCTGAGGCGTGAGAATGGCGTGAATCCGGGTTGCGGAGCTTGCAGTGAGCCGAGATCGTGCCACTGCACTCCAGCCTGGGCGACAGAGCAGACTCCGTCTCAAAACAAAAAACAAACAAAAAAAAACGCAAATGCATACTATCGTGATTCCACAGTTGTGGTATCATACAGAATACTTTGGTCCAAATAATGCCCACGTGCTTCACCTATTAAACCTCCTCACTGAATCTTTTGCCAAATCATTTATTTTTTTAGGAAGTAATATTCCCTTATATGACGTATCAGTTTTTTTTTTTTTTCCATTCATCAATTATGAGACCTCTTGGTTTCTTCCAGTTTTGGGAATTATAAACAAAGCTGCTATATATATATTCATGTGTCAGTTTTGGTGTGGACATAGTTTTCAAATAAGGTGGATAAACACCTAAAAACACATTTGCAGCCAGGCGCGGTGGCTCACACCTGTAATCCTAGCACTTTGGGAGGCCGAGGCGGTCGCATTGCCTGAGCTCAGGAGTTGGACAACAGCCTGGGCCACATGGTAAAATTTCCCAAATCAACAGGTTATATTGTCTCTAGTAAAATACAAAAAAAAAAAAAAATTAGCCGGACATGGTGGTAGGAGCCTGTAGTCCCAGCTACTCTGGAGGCGAGGCAGGAGAATTGTTTGAACCCAGGAGGTGGAGGTTGCAGTATCCTTCTATTGCACCACTGCACTCCAGCCTGGGTGACAGAGCAAGACTCTATCTCAAAACAAACAAAAAAAACCACAATTGCTATATTATATGTAAGACTTTTTTTTTTTTTTTACATATAGTATAGCAACTATGGGCATAAGAAATTGCCCATCTGTCTTCCAAAGTGGTGGTTTCATTTTGCAAGTGGTGAAAGAAAAAAAAACAAAAAACAAAATTCTTCTTGCTCCTGGTTTTTGGGAAAAAGCATCCCATTTCTCATCATTAAGTATGATAGTTTTAGGGGTTTTGTAGATGTTCTTTGTCAAGTTATGAAAATTCACCTCAATTCCTAGTTTTCTGAGAGTTTCTCAAATTATAGATGGGTGATAGATTTTGCCATAAGCTTTTTCTTCATCAGTTGATACAGTCACATGATTTTTCTTCCTTAACCTGTTGATTTAGGAAATTCTGCAGATAATTTTCTAATATTGAATCAGTCTTGCATACTTTCTTACCTAAAATAAATACATAGTTAGATTCAATTGTCTAGTATTTTGTGAAGGATTATTGAATCTTTGTTCATGAGAGATATTGATATATTGATTTTATTTCATGTTATGTCTATTGGATTTGGTAAGAGGGTAATATTTACCTCACAGAATGAATTAGGATGTGTTCTCTCTAATTCCATTTTCTTGAAAAGTCTGTGGAAAATTGGTATAATTTCTCCATTAAATGCTTGATAGAATTCACCACTAAAGCCATTTGGGCCTGGAAACATTGGGGGGGTGAGGGGGGGTTATTAACTATTTATTCAATTCCTTTTATAGATATAAGCGTACTCATGTTATCTATTTTTTCTTTTGTGAGTATTGGCATATTGTGTCTTTCAAGGTATTTGTCCATTTTATATAGGTTATTGAACTTGTGAGTATAGAGTTTTTAATATAGTAAATATATTATCCTTTTAATGTCCACAAAATCAGTAGTCATAACCCATACCCCTGTTTCACTTCCAATATTTGTAAGTTGTTCATTCTCTCTTTTTTTCTTTATTAGTTTGTCTAAATGTTAGCAAGTTTATGGATCTTTTCAAAGAAACAGCTTTCTGTTTCATTGATTTTCTCTATTGTTTTCCTGTTTTCTATTTTACTGATATCTGCTAAACTTTATATATTTTTCCCTTGTTATTTACTTTGGATTTTCTTTTTCTAGTTTCTTAAGGCAGAAGCTTAGGTTATTGATTTTATCTCTTTTTTCATAATAATATGCATTTAATACTATAAATTTAGGTACTAGTTCTACTGTATCTCATATATTTTAATAAGTTGTGATTTCATTTTCATTTAATTCCAAATATTTTAATTACTGTTTAGTCTTCTTTTGGGATGCATTTAGATGTTTTGTTAAGTCTTCAAATATTTGAAAAATTTTTCAATTCTTCCTGCTATTTATTTCTACTTTAATTTTTATTGTGGTCTGAGTGTGTACTTTGTATGAACTTTATTCTTTGAAAAATTTTAAGACGTTTATGGCCCATAATGCAGTGTGTCTTGTACAAGCTAGAGAAGAATGTGTATTCTACTTTTGTTGAAGTAGAATATAAACATTAATTACATTCATTTATTTTTATTTTATTTTATTTTATTTTATTTTATTTTATTTTATTTTATTTTATTTTATTTTATTTTATTTTGAGATAGAGCCTCACTCTGTCACACAGGCTGGAGTGCAGTGGTAGTCTTGGCACAATGCAACCTCCACATCTCAGGTTAAAGTGATCCTCCCACCTCAGCCCAGAGTAGCTGGGATTACAGATGTGTGCCACAACACCCAGCTAACTTTTGTATTTTTAATAGAGACGGTGTTTCATCATGTTGGTCGGGCTAGCCTCAGGTGGTCCACCCACCTTGGCATCCCAAAGTGCTGGAATTACTGGCAGGAGCCACTGTGCCTGGCCTGCCTCCTCTTATTTTAATTGATCATCTTCTATGATTATATTTTTGTCTCAGCTCTTGGTGTATCTCATCACCTCATGAGATGTGATCTCATCACTTCTTTTAAAAATTTGCGGTGGTTTTCTTAGGATTGATTATATGCATTTTAAGTCTATCTTTAAATTAATTAGAATCGATTATATATATTTTATGTCTATCTTCAAATAAAATTGTTACTTCACACGTAGTGTAGGTATCTCATAAAAATACTACCAGATTGTACCTCCTGTACCTTATGACATTGCTATTGTTCATTTCATCTGTCCACATTCTATAATTACCCATTTTTTGTAACTAAACAGTTATCTTATGGGTCAATAAGAATAAAAAAACTTTTTAACTTTAATTTATTCTTTTTCATTTATTGCTTCTTTATTGTGTATCTGAATTTCTCACTTGCATCATTTTCTCTCCACTTGAAGAACTTCCTTTAGTATTTCTTGCAAGACAGGTCAGCTGACGATGTATCACTTAAATTTTGTTTTTCTGAGAAAGTTTTCTATTTGCTTTCTTTGTTAAAGGAAATTTCAATATATAGAATTGCTTTATCCCCCTAAAATCATATGTTGTTGAATATATTTTCAAATACTTATTTGCCATTTTTATATTTCTTTTGGTGACTTATCCATTTATATTGCTTCCCCATTTTTAACTGAATTGTTTGCTTTCTTGTGAAATTTGAAGGGTTTCTTGTGTATTTTGAATAATGGCCTTTATTACAGATTACTGGATAAAGAAAATGTGGCATATACATACAATGGAATATTATTCATCCTTACAAAAGAAAGAAATCCTAAAATTTGTGATAGCATTGATGGACTGAGAGAACATAATGCTAAGTAAAATAAGCCAGACACAGAAAGACAAATATACTGCATAATCTTATTTATCTGTGAAATCTAAAAAATTTAAACTCATTAGATATTAGGGATTAGAAGGTAGGAAAAATGGGGAGATGCTTTTAGTTAAAAGATGAATAAATTCTGGATACCTAACATATATAGCATAGTAGCTACAGCTGATAAGAATGTATTGTATACTTGAATTTTGCTAACAGGGTAGGTCTTACGTATTTCCATACAAGCACACATAGACACACACAGAGAAAGTGTAACTTTGTAAGTTGATGAAAATGTTAATTGACTGTGGCTATTACTTCACAATGTATACATACATTACATCATATTATATAACTTAAATATGTACAATTTTTATTTATCAATCATACTTCAATGAAGCTAGAAAGAAAAATAAGAAAAAAAAACATTTGTACAGCATAATTAATTATGAAAGGGATACATTTTCTAACAATTATGATATCTTTTTCTATGCTTATTTTAGAATATTGTATTGTCATTGGGATTATTGCCACCATTTTCTTCTCTGCACCTGTATTCCTATCTTTATCACAGTGACCAAATCTCCTTTGATAACACTTAATTTTTGCCCAACTGAAATTATATCTTAAATTCCAAAAAGTAAATATTTTCTGATTTTTAGGGAAAAATAAGAATTTTTTAGATTTCCTAGGTGACCTCTAGAAAAACTGTGACAAATTTTGCCTTATAAAATGGATGAGGCTAAAATAAATTGGGTTTCTTTGGTGTGCCCCATATTTCTTCATTAGTTCCACACATTTGTGTGAGTTGCATGAGGTCAATTCTAAAAGACTCAGCCTTCTCAGTTCATTTTACATAATCTTACATATTAAGATGAATGGTGGCGGGGTGCGGTGGCCCACGCCTGTAATCCCAGCACTTTGGGAGGCTGAGGTGGGCACATCAGGAGGTCAAGAGATCGAGACCATCATGGCCACCATGGTGAAACCCCATCTCTACTAAAAATACAAAAACTAGCTGGGCGTCGTGGTGCATGCCTGTAGTCTCATCTATTCAGGAGGCTGAGGCAGGAGAATCACTTGAACCCAGGAGGCAGATGTTGCAGTGAGCCAAGATCGCACCACTGCACTCCAGCCTGGTGACACAGGGATACTCTGTCTAAAAAAAAAAAAAAAAAAAAAAAAGAGGTGAATGGTTTAGGAACTGTAGACATTTAACTCACAGATTAGAGACTGTAATAGGAAATTGCAGAGGTATATGCCCCCAGGTGAAACATTGGTCAAGTCTTTATGAGATAGTATTGAACCTAATGCAGAATTTTATTCTTCTCCATTTTTATATTATTGTTTACTATATAAATTAAACAGCCATTTAGTTGCATCTCTAGGTGGTTTTTGTTTTCCTCTGACACTTACTTGAATGTTCTCCTATAAAGTACTGAGCATAACAACTTACTTTTAAATCTCATTGTTTTAAGGATTTATTTTTTGCCTCATTGGTAGATAATTTTATCAAAGCAAAAAACTGACTCAACATCCAGTAGAAGGAACTGTGTATTAATTACACAGTTTCTTTTTCTAGCTCTGATCCTCAATTTTATATACTACAGCTTGTAAGTGAAATACATCCTTCAAACCCTGTCTAATTTCTATTTTTCTCTGAGAATTCAGAAAAATATATTTGTACTGACTCTCCATGCTTGTAGGACAACATATTATTATTGTAGGACTTTCTCCTTAGTTCAGCTAAAAGCTACATTCTTGTCACACAGCCTTGAAATATTAGGCTCACCGACGCTTTGAAGGGTGAGAAAAATGGAATTTATTGGGCAAAAGGGAAAAAAAGGGAAACAGAGACTGTCAGTAAAGTGAGTCCTGCTACCCAGCTTCCTGCCTCATAGATTGAATCCCAGCCTCCGTCCTGGAACAGAAGAGGCCAGGCTCCTCCCCGCTGCAAACTTCCCGAGGCTCCACCTCAGTGTGCACTCCTGCCAGTGTGCAAGCTGGTCGGAGGTTCTGCTGGGGAGCCCTTTTTACTTGCTGTCTCATTATTTGCATAGTTTCATCAAGAATCTGTCCTTTTTTCTTGGGATTTAATTGGACATCCAAGGTCATACATGTGTTTATAAGGTATGAAAATACCTATTAAGGAATAAGATTGTACTTTAAATGCTGAGCCAATACCTACTAAGTCCTCCACCTGTTCTATGGTTCCAGCCTCACATTGGTAAGGGAGTGTTTTCAGAAGGCCATGAATCTTACATTTTAGAACCTGGTGGAGGGAAGACTTCACCTATGTGTTTAACTCCTCTTTCTGAAGCTATATAAATAATCAGGGTCGAATATAGTCAGATAAACTTTTTCTTTTTTTTGATTAAGAATAACACTTGGAGGCCGAGCCGGTGGCTCACGCCTGTAAGCCCAGCACTTTGGGAGGCCGAGGCGGGCGGATCACGTGGTGAGGAGATCGAGACCATCCTGGCTAACACGGTGAAACCTCGTCTCTACTAAAAATACAAAAAATTAGCCGGGCGTGGTGGCGGGCGCCTGTAGTCCCAGCTACTCCGGAGGCTGAGGCAGGAGAATGGCGTGAACCCGGAGGCGGAGCCTGCAGTGAGCCGAGATCGCACCACTGTACTCCAGCCTGGGAGACAGAGCCAGACTCTGTCTCAAAAAAAAAAAAAAGAATAACACTTGGAGATTATTGACATGAAAATAAGGAACTGAGTTAGTTATGGATTAGCACTAACAGAGGACATATTTGTGATAGGGGACTGCTAAGGAAAAGTATCTAAAACTCTGACATAAAACATGTATTTTTAGTGTAATATTACATTATTAAAAGCTATCATCTCAAAGGCGAACCCAAAGATTACTTCATTTTCTTTTGACTTGGCCATGTATTAGTTGATTTGATCCTAGATGCTATGCGATTATGTGATAACTTCTAGGTTTCTCTCTAGTAGAAAAAGACAATGCCAGACCTTATGGATCTGTTTCCATGAAGGACATTAATCAGTTTTAATTCACAACTGATAGGAGTTCATCAAACATCAGAAAAACTGCTCTGGAGTGCATTTACTGTAAACATTTTTGTGAATTACTGCATTATATCACATTTCCAATTCCCTTTTTCTAATAAGTTTAATAAAGTTTAAATTTTATGCTTAATAACAAAAAATACAGTGCAATTGGGAATACGTATTTTTTCTTTTAATTTTCTTCTTTAAATTGTGCTAAAATACACATACTGTACAATTTATCACTTTAATGAATTTTAAATGAACAGTTCAGAGGACATTACATTCACCAAATTGCACAACCTTTACCACCGTTCATTTCCAGAACTCTTTAATCATCCCATATAGAAACTCTGTACCCATTAAACAATAACTTCTCACCCACACTAGTCCCTGGTAATGATTATTCTTTCTGTCTCTATGATTTGCTTATTCTAAGTACTTCAAGCAATATTTATCCTTTTGCATCTGGATTATTTCACTAAGCATAGTGTTTTCAAAGTTTACGTATGTTGTAGTCATTGAAATTCTGTAGTGTATATTAGAATTTCATTCCTTAATAAGGCTGAATAAGTTTCCATTATGTGAATATGGTGTATTTTGTTTATTCATTCATTTATTGATGAACATTTGAGTTGCTTCCTGCTTTTGGTTACTGTAAATCATGGTACTGTGAACATTGGTGGTCAATATCTGTTGGAGTCTCTATTTGCAATTACTTTGGGCATGTATATAGGCATAGAATTGCTGGATCACATAGTAGTTCTATGTCTAACTTTTGAGGAGCCACCTAACTGTTGTCCACAGAAGCTACACCATTTTACATTCCCACCAGCAATGCACAAGTGTTCCCATTGACTCTAAATCCTCACTAACACTTGTTATTTTCTGGGGTTTCTTTTCTGTAATAATCCTAATGGGTGTGAAATGATATCTCATCATTATTTTCATTTGTGTTTTTCTAATGCTAGTGATATTAAGCCTCTTTTCATGTGCTTGTTGGCCATTCATACATCTTCTTTAGATAATTATCTATTCAAGTCCTTTGCCTATTTAAAAAATTGAACCATTTATTATTGTTGTTGAGTTGCTGGAGTTCTTTATTCTATTATACATATTATATCCACATATACTGATGTCATATCACATATGTGATTTGCAGACATCTCCCATTCTTTGAGTTGTTGTTCCACTGTCTTGAGGGTGACTTTTTTTTTTTTTTGAGATGGAGTCTTACTCTGTCGCCCAGGCTGGAGTGCAGTGGCACAATCTCAGCTCACTGAAACCTCCGCCTCCCAGGTTCAAGTGATTCTTTTGCCTCAGCCTCCCAAGTAGCTGGGATTACAGGTGCACACCACCATGCCCAGCTAATTTTTGTATTTTTAGTAGAAATGGGGTTTCACCATATTGGCCAGGCTGGTCTCAAATTCCTGATCTTGTGATCCACCCACCTCAGCCTCCCAAAGTGCTGGGATTACAGGCGTGAGCCACCACACCTGGTCAACGGTGACTTTTAATGCACAGAACTTTTACTTTTGATGAAACTAATTTTTTTATTTTTTCATTCCCTGTACCTTTGATGTCATATCTAAGAAATCATTGCTAAATCTAACATAAAGAATATTTTCTCCTATTTTTTTTTCTAGGAGTTTAAGGGTTGTAGTTGTTACTTTTAAGTCTTTGATCTATTATAGTTTATTTTTGTATATTATGTAAGTTAAGGGCCCAAACTTTATATTTTGCCTGTGGATATCCAGTTTTCCCAGTACTATTTGTTGTTATTAATCAATTTTGCTTCTTTTTTTTTTTTTTTTGAGATGGAGTTTCACTCTGTCACCCAGGCTGGAGTGCAGTGGCTCAATCCTGGATCACTGCAAGCTCTGCCTCCTGGGTTCATGCCATTCTCCTACCTCAGCATCCTAAGTAGCTGGGACTACAGGCCACCACGCCCGGCTAATTTTGGTTTTGTACTTTTAGTAAAGACTGGGTTTCACCGTGTTAGTCAGGATGGTCTCGATTTCCTCACCTCGTGATCCACCCGCCTCAGCCTCCCAAAGTGCTGGGATTACAGGTGTGCATCGCTCCTGGCCCAGTTTTGCTTCTAACATAGTTGTCTTATTCTAACATTTCTTGTTTTTGGGGAAAAAAATCTGTAATTATTTTTTTTTTACTTGTTCTTGGAACCAGCTTTCCGACCTACTGATTTCCTCAGGAATAAGTGAAATAAATTTTGACAGAGGTTTATTTTGTATTTGTATGTGAGTTTTATTATTAAGCTCATTATTAAGTTTTATTATTAAGCAGAGAAAATTATACTCTGGCCATGTAAATATCCACAGTGTATTACTTTCAGAATGTCCTAATTTTTTCTCTTGCTATAAAGAAGACTCAGGGAATTTACAATAACACACCTGAGTGTTAGAGTCAGGCAGCCACTGTGAGTTGGTGGGTCAGAACTGTACATAGATTTTGAAACAAACAACAGCTACAATGACAATTTCTTATAGACAGAGAATGTAAACCCGTGCTTTATTTACTTCTCTCCCAACGAACATAACTAGGCCTATTTTTTATTCTGAGACTTCTCTAAAGGGGCCTTTCATTTGTTCTATGACAGATAACTTGATGGATCAAGTGGGTTAAAACTAAAATAATAGTGTGAAACACCCAGTTATGTCCTTGTAAGCATTGTATGTTGACATTTGCAGTAGGCTTTCATGAAATGATTTAAGGCTTTGAGACCCTGGAACAAACTTAGAACCACTATATTAATAGTGGCTACAAACTAGTATTAGCCAGAAGGGTTTTGAAAGATTATGTTGATTTCTTAGATATATTTGTGTCAGAGAGGCAACTGCAAGTTAATCTCTACTCTCAGTGAAAGGCTTAATGTGGACATCTATAAAATCCCCAGTGGTCATAACTTGCAGGAGTCTCTCCAGAGGGACAGCATCATACCCAGTAGGGTGACATTAATTTCCTCAGGACAGATCAGCAATTAAAAAAAAATACAGAACTAGGCATGCGTCAACTTCTCCCTTAAAATTGTATTTCTCCTCTAAATGAAAGCACATTTTTAAGAAAGAAAGATGTGTAAGATATAGAAATATTAAAGTAAGGGCTACAAGAGGCGGCTAAATATCAAAGTTGTGGGTGGTGAGTTATACTCAGCTACTTCATTTGACAGTTTAAGAAGTCAGATCTAAGTCAAAAGAAGTAACTTCTATCTCTTTGGAAAAGTGAATTGATTATATGCCATTGTCAATAAGTGAAGATGGTATCAGTGTTCTCTAGATGTTTAAAATATTGTAAGACATCTGTTCATATAAAAATTGTTAATCATCTTGCTTGCTATGGGCTTTTTAAAGAGAATTAAGGGCTACTCCTTTTAGTAAACATGTAACTCTCTACATTGAAAAACTCCAATTGTAAATTGACTTGCTATCCTTTCCTTCAATACAAACATTAGCCCCAAATGCAAAAGTGGCATGGATTCAGAGTAAATTAAGTGAAAATATGAAGGGGTGGCCAGCCCCTCCACATTTGTGGGTATTTCTAGTCAGGTGGGATGAGAGACTGAGAAAAGAAATAAGACACAGAGTCAAAGTATAGAGAAAGAAAAGTGGGCCCAGGGGACTGGCGCTCAGCATACCAAGGACGTGCACCAGCACCGGACTCTGAGTTCCCTCAGTTTTTATTATTATTTTCATTATCTCAGCAAGAGGAATGCAGTAGGAGAGCAGGGTGATAATAGGGAGAAGGTCAGCAAAAAAACATGTGAGCAGAAGAATCTGTGTCATAATTAAGTTCAAGGGGAGGTACTATGCCTGGATGTGCACGTAGGCCAGATTTATGTTTCTCTCTGCCCAAACATCTCAGTGGAGTAAAGAACAATAAAGCAGCATTGCTGCCAACATGTCTTGCCTCCTGCCATAAGGTGGTTTTTCTCCTATCTCAGAATTGAACAAATGTAAAATCGGGTATTATACTGAGACATTCAGTTCCCTGGGGCAGGCAGGAGACAGTGGCCTTCCTCTATCTCAACTGCAAGAGGCTTTCCTGTTTTACTAATCCACCTCAGCACAGACCCTTTACGGGTGTTGGGCTTGGGGATGGTCAGGTCTTTCTCATCCCATGAGGCCATATTTCAGACTATCACATGTGGAGAATCCTTGGACAATACCCGGCTTTCCAGGGCAGAGGTCCCTGCGGCTTTCCGCAGTGCATTGTGCCCCTGGTTTATCGAGACTAGAGAATGGCGATGACTTTTACCAAGCATACTACTTGTAAACATTTTGTTAACAAGGCACATCCTGCACAGCCCTAGATCCCTTAAACCTTGATTCCATACAACACATGTTTTTGTGATCTCAAGGTGGGGGCAAAGAGGTTGGGGCAAAGTGATTGGGGCAAAGTTACAGATTAACAGCATCTCAGGGCAAAGCAATTGTTCAAGGTATAGGTCAAAATGGAATTTCTTATGTCTTTCCTTTCTACATAGACACAGTAACAGTCTGATCTCTCTTCCTTTTCCCTACAAAATAGAAATGATCGTTAGCAACAGAAGAAAACTAAAACAAATAACTTATTTTTTTAAAGTAACATATTGGCTAGGCATAGTGGCTCATGTCTGTAATCCCAGCATTTTGGCAGGTGGAGGCGGGCAGATCACTTGAGGTCAGGAGTTCAAGATCAGCCTGGCCAACATGGTGAAACCTCACCTCTATTAAAAATACAAAAAACAGGCTGGGCACGGTGGTTCACGCCTATAATTCCAGCACTTTGGGAGGCTGAGGCGAGTAGATCAGGAGGTCAGGAGTTCAAGACCAGCCTGATCAACATGGTGAAACCCTGTCTCTACTAAAAATACAAAAATTAGCCAGGCATGGTGGCACATGCCTGTAATCTCAGCTACTCAAGAGGCTGAGGCAGAAGAATCGCTTGAACCTGGGAGGTGGGTAGCCGGGCATGGTGGCACATGCCTGCAATCCCAACTACTCAGGAGGCTGAGGCAGGAGAATCACTTGGACCTGGGAAGTGGAGGTTGCAGTGAGCCGAGGTTGTGCCATTGTACTCCAGCCTGGGCGATAGAGCAAGACTCTGTATTCAAAAAAAGAAAAAAGACAAAAACAAAAAAAAAGCCGTGTGTGGCTGGTGCCTGCCTGTGATCCCAGATACTCGGGAGGCTGAGGCAGGAGAATAGCTTGAATCTAGGAGACTGGGGTTGCAGTGAGTCAAGATGGCACCACTGCATTTCAGTCTGGGGGACAGAGTTAGGCTCTGTAAAAAACAAAAAATGCAGCAGCGTATTATGCTTATGCTTAGGATTTAGGCTGAACTACCATTTAAAATGGTATCCTTTCACTCTTCCTTTCCTAAGATTCCACATAGATATTGTAGAGAAGTCCAAACTCAACAACATTTGTTTACATTACTAAGGTCTTTAAAATTTTAAATAGATTTAAGTATTTACCTTAACCAAAACTAAATGCCTAGAGACTTGTCTCTACAGAAAATGAGCTTAATTCATATTTTTCTCAAACACTTGCCAAAACCTTAAACTTAAACCCATTTTCAATGCAAGTAGTGGCTAACTTTTTTGGTGCATATCTTTTTGCCTTTTTGCCATTTCCTTAGCCAGATGTGCCTATTTTTTTTTTTTTATTTTTGAGATGGAATTTCCCTTGGTCACCCAGGTGGAGTGCAATGGCACTTCCTCGTCTCACTGCAACCTGAGCCTCCTGGGTTCAAGCGATTCTCCTGCCTCAGCCTCCTGAGTAGCTTGGACTACAAGTGTGCACCACCATGCCCAGCTAATTTTTGTATTTTTAGTAGAGACAGAGTTTCACCATGTTGGACAGGATGGCTTCGATATCTAGATCTCATTATCTGCCCACCTCGGCCTCCCAAACTGCTGAGATTACAGGCCTGAGCCACTGTGCCCAGTTGTGCCTATATTTTTAAAAGATTAAAGGTTTATCTGAAATAAAGAGAAACTACAGGATTTTGTTCTGAGATTCAGTCAAGACCTGGTAAGACAGATAATTCAGAGCAAGCTTTGATCTTATCAATGTTTATATCAGCTGAAAGAAACACTCGCACACTCAGAGAGTCTTCCCTAGTGATTAAAGAATTTAATTTTCATTCACAATTCACAGTAAGGAATTGTTGAAAGAAAATACTGGATTTCAATATAGCATTTTCTCCTTTTTTGTTGTTTTAATGGCATAATATGCTATGTGTGAGGTCAACATGAGGAGAGACAAAAAGAACAAGTTTATAAATGTGGTTATATTGACCCCTAACCTAGGAAAAAATGACAATATTGACATTAAAATTTGCATTGTTTGCCTCTGGCTTTCATGGGAATTTTTTTGTTTGTTTTTTTGTTTTTGTTTGGTTTTTTTGTTTGTTTTTTACAGTTGGTATGCCATTTTTAATGTTACCTATAACTAGCATTAGAATTGTATGGGAGCTTTTGTTTCTTTTGTTTTGGAGGATGTGATTCTTAAAATGAAATGAATTTTTTTAGAACTTAAAATATATCAAGGCAAGGACATTTCTAAGAGTAATACTGGAAAAGAACAGTTAATCGGTGAATTCACCAGTAAGTTTAAGTCAATTAAAAATTAACTTAGCACATTATATGTTCATAGCACTCTGTGGACCAGTAGGGAATACAAAAATGAAAAAATCCTGACACTGTTTTATCAGTGAAAAGAGACAAGTCATTAACTTACTAAAATGTACGGCAGAGTAATGTATGTGCTAAATTATGACATATACAATAAAGTCTGTGGGAACCAAAGGATATGTCAATGAGTTCCAATAAAGGTTCAGGGACATCTTCAGAGAGGACAGAACAGTGGAATTTTTTAATTTAAATGTTATGGGGCATGGTAGGAAATTCCAGGTGGCCAGATGATTTGACTAAATGCATGGTAGTTAGAATGTGTTGGCTCTATTCATGAAACAATGAATTCCATATGTCTGGGACATTAGGTACTGATGTGAACATGGAAGAAAATTGTGGGGGCAAAGGAGAAAAAGGAGAAATGGGAATTTCTGTCTACATCATGCCAAGCATTATAATTTTACTTTCTAGACCAAGAAGATATTTTTATGTTTTTTTTTTGAGCAGACAAGTGACAAAGTGAGATATTTATGCTTTAGAAAGGTTAGTTGTATCAAAATGTAGAAAATATTTTAAGAAATAAGAAATAAAGACTGTATGGCAAACTTTGAGATATTTTAAAAATAGGCTAAATTAAGAGCCTAAACTAGAAAAATATTTTTCTAAGAGAAATAATGTGTTGGTACTATTAAACATGATAGGGGAAAATTGATGGGAATCAGTGACTAATTAAACATGAGATGTAAGGAAATGAAATAATTTGATAGAATTCTGAGGTTTTAAGCCTGGGTAACTGGGAGAATGGTGATGCATTTTGCAGAGGTAGGAAATGTTGAAGATACAACTGATTTTTGAAGACTAGTAATTTTACAGTCATGCACCATGTAAATACATTTCAGTAAATGGTGGACCACATATTGGTCCTGTAGGATTGTAATGGAGGTAAAAAATTCCTGTTTCCTAGTGATGTCATTGTCAATGTAATATCATTGCACAATTCATTACTCACATGTCTGTGCTGATGCTGGTGAAAACAGACCTATTGTGCTGCCAGGCCTCTAGCACATATAATTACTTACAGAACATAATACCTGATAATGATAATAAGTGACAATATTACTGGTTTATATATTTACTACTCTATTCTTTTTATCTTTTTTTTTTTTTTGAGATGGAGTCTCCCTCTGTTGCCCAGGCTGGAGTTGCCATGGTGTGATATCGGCTCACTGCAACCTCCACCTCCCAGTTTCAAGTGATTTTTCTGCCTCAGCCTCCCAAGTACCTGGGACTACAGGTGCCCACAACTGCACCTGCCTAATTTTTGTATTTTTAGTAGAAACAGGGTTTCACCATGTTGGCCAGGCTGCTCTTGAACTGCTGCCCTCAAGTGATCCTCCCGCCTCAGCCTCCCAAATTGCTTGCATTACAGGTATGAGCCACCATGCCTGGCCCTTTTTATCATGTTTTGAGAGGGTACTACTTATTAAAAAAGAAAAAGAAAACTGAACAGTAGAGCAATTTCAGGCAGGTCCTTCAGGAGGTATCCAGAAGGAGGGATTGTTATCATAGGAGATGACAGCTTCATGTGTGTTATTGCCCCAAGGAACTTCCATTGAGACAGAATATGAAGGTGGAAGACAATGATGTTGATGATCCTGACCCTGTATAGGCCTAAACTAATGTGCATGTTTGTGTTTGTTTTTATAAAAGAGTTAAAAAGTAACACAAAAATTAAAAATTGGAAAAAGCTTATAGACTTAGATATAAAGAAATGATATTTTTTGAAGTTGTACAATATGTTTATCTTTTAAGCTAAGAGTTGTGACAAAGGAGCCAAAAGGTCAAAAAAAGTATATTAAATAAAAAAATTACAGTAAGCTAAAGCTAATTTATTATTGATAAAAGAAAACAATTTAAAAATAAATTTGGCATAGCTTAAGTGTACATCCAGTACTGCTAAAGTCTACAACAGTGCCCGTAATGTCCTAGGCCTTCATATTCACTCACCACTCACTCACTTACCCAGAGCAATTTCCAGCTGTGCAAGCTCCATTCATGGTAAGTGCCCTCTACAAGTGTACCCTTTTTTTTTTTTTTTTTACTGCACCTTTTCTATGATAAGATGCAAAATACCTACCACTGTGTTACAGTTGCCTGCAGTATTTAGTACAGTAACATGCTGTACAGATTTGTAGCCTAGGAGCAACAGGCTGCATATACTCTACCATATACTCTAAGAGTAGTAGGCTATCCCGTCTATGTTTGTGTAAGTACACTCTATTTGCACAATAACAAAACTGCTTAAAGACATATTTCTCCAAATTTATTCCATCATCAAGTGATTCATGCCTGTATGCACACATATGCAGGGGCATGCAGAGAGGGCAATTCCTGTGTTCCAGGCACTGCTTTATGCTTGATAAATCTGTTATTCACCCTCACTACAATCTTACCCAGAGACAGGCACCATTATTTTCCCCATTTCACAAATAAATAAACTGAACACAGGTAATTTATGTAACTTGCCTAAGATCACATAACAAGAAAAGAGAGAAAAGAAATTTAAGCTGATTATAGAGCTCTTTCTATTAACGATTATGATATACTCTGTAATGTTATTTCTAGCTTTGATCATTTTATGAAGGAAAATAAAATAGATTAACAAAATTCAAAAATCTTTAACATAAAATTATAAAAGAACTTGATTAACGTTATAAAGTGAGGGATAGTCCAGGCGAGGTGGCTTATGCCTGTAATCCCAGCACTTTGGGAGGCTGAGGCAGGTGGATCATGAGGTCAGGACATTGAGACCATCCTGGCTAACATGGTGAAACTCCATCTCTACTAAACATACAAAAAATTAGCCAGGCGTGGTGGCGGGCTGTAGTCCCAGCTACTTGGGAGGCTGAGGCAGGAGAATTGCTTGAACCTGAGAGGCCGAAGTTGCAGTGAGCCAAGATCCCGCCACTGCACTCCAGCCTGGGTGACAGAGCAAGACTCCGTCTCAAAAAAAGAAAAAAGAATTAAAAAAATATTAAAATGAGGGATAAATGGGGCCGGGCATGGTGGCTGATGCCTGTAATCTCAGCACTTTGGGAGGCTGACGTGGGCGGATTGCCTGAGCTCAGGAGTTTGAGACCAGCCTGGGCAACATGGCGAAACCCCGTCTCCATTAAAAATACAAAAATTGGCTGGGCGTGGTGGTGGGTGCCTGTAATCCCAGCTACCTGAGAGGCTGAGCATGAGAATCACTTGAACCCAGGAGGGAGAGGTCGTAGTGAGTCGAGATCATGCCACTGCACTGACAAAGGAAGACTCTGTTTCAAAAAAAAAAGAAAGAAAGAAAGTGAGGGATAAATGGAGAGAAAGAAAAACAATCATAGAGATTCCCCTTAACTTCTACCACTAAAAGCAGACACACACACACACTCACTATAAGAGACAAAGTCAAAAGGAAAATGTCTTTACATATGTAGCCTTCCATTTACAGCTTAACTATCCCTGGAGGCCACATCTAAGGACAACCCTTTTAAAAAGCCATGGTGTGTAAATGAATATGTATTTTGTGTATATTCAGTATATTCAAGGTAAATAGTTGTTTCTATTAAAATAACAAGGGAAAAATAGTAGACCTTTATCTCTCATGAAGAACATGACAGGATGAACTGTTTAGGTCAAATTTTAAAAGACCAGGCTGGGGGCGGTGGCTCACACCTGTAATTCCAACACTTTGGGAGGCCAAGGCAGGCAGACCACATGAGGTTGGGAGTTTGAGACCAGCCTGACCAACATGGAGAAACCCCATCTCTACGAAAAATACAAAATTAGCCGGGCGTGGTGGTGCATGCCTGTAATCCCAGCTACTCTGGAGGCTGAGGTAGGAGAATGGCTTTAACCCGGGAGGTGGAGGAGGTTGCTGTGAGCTGAGATTGCACCACTGCACTCTAGCCTGGGCAACAGAGCAAGACTCCATCTCAAAAAAAATAAAAAATAAATAAAAAATAAAAAAATAAGAATTAGGAAGACCAATTTAATAATAAGGTAAGTTACAAAGAAAATTTGTAGGCCGGGCGCAGTTGCTCAAGCCTGTATCCCAGGACTTTTGGAGGCTGAGATGGGCAGATCACGAGGTCAGGAGATCCATACCATCCTGTCTAACATGGTGAAACCCCGTCTCTACTAAAAACACAAAAAATTAGCCAGGTGTGGTGGTGGGTGCCTGTAGTCCCAGCTAATCAGGAGGCTGAGGCAGGAGAATGGCATGAACCCTGGAGACAGAGCTTGCAGTGAGCCAAGACTGCACCACTGACTCCAGCCTGGGTGACAGAGCAAGACTCCATCTCAGAAAAAAAAAAAAAAGAAAATTTGTGAATTTGTATGCAGTTCACTTGCCTGACCCATAAATAAACATGAATGAGTAAAATGGAAGCTCAGCTTAATAATGAGTTATTGCACAATAGGAAGAAATAAGTTAGGGATGGATACAAATTGAAAGAAGGATAAATGCATGCTAACTTCTTATCTTGATCTATAAGTCTAAAAACATCTTAAAAGACCAGATGATTAAAAAAATAGTAACTTTAATTGTTAAAAATGATCATTTATTTTTCCTCAGGTGGTGGCTCAGTGTTCACTCTGAAAAATGAAAAATTGCCCATTTTTGTGAAAAAGTTCTACTGATATGTGAAGGTACCACATTTATTCATTGAATTCCCTTCCTGAGTGAATGACATAGAACCCCGACAGATAAATTAATATGTTAAAATTAAAAGATTATCTAATAAACAACTTTTCTGTTTTAATAAAATTGTATTTTGATATATTTGAAAGATTTTTATTGTAGTGAAAAATATATATAAAATAAAAAATAACGATGTTGGATAATATCATAAATGATTTCTAAGGTAGAAGGTTCTATTGTTTAGAAAAACATCTTTGAGAGTCTTTTTTCATGAGGCACTAAATTCCTTGGTACAATAAGTTACCCTAGACAAAGTAGCTTTTTTTTTTTTTTTGAGAGTCTTGCTCTGTCACCCAGGCTGGAGTGCAGTGGCACAAATCTCGGCTCGTTGTGACCTTTACCTCCCAGGTTCAAGTGATTATCTTGCCTCAGCCTCTTGAGCAGCTGGGATTACAGACATGTGCCATCATGCCCAGCTAATTTTTGTATTTGTAGTAGAGACAGGGTTTCACCATGTTGGTCAGGAGGTTTTGAACTCCTGACCTTGTGATCTGCCCGCTTTGGCCTCCCAAAGTGCTGAGATTACAGGCATGAATCACTGCACCCGGCCACTTTTAGAATATTTAATGCTTCATAAATATGACGTAAAAAAGGGTGAGCTGTAAAGTTAAGTAGTAACTAAGAGGAGTGCCAAGTTACCACCAGGCAGTTAGCAAGAGGGGGCAAGGCAGCCCCAGGTGTAGAATTAATAATGTGAGAGAGACTAGAAGTTCCAAGAAAATGGTAGGGTGGGGTGGAGAAATTCCTTCTGATGGGAATAAATGAGGAGATTCAGGATAGTGGTGGCAATATATGCATGTATATATGTGTGTGTGTATATATGTGTATACGTGTATATATGTGTGTATGTATATATGCATATATATGTATATGTGTGTATATGTGCATATACATGCATATATTTGTATATATATGCATGTTTATGCATTTTGCTGCTCTTCGTGGGATGTAATTCTCCCTTATCTCCTCCACATAGTGGTATTGAATTAATGGTGCTTGGTGCTAAGGTGGGGGTGAAAGTGGGATGGGTCTCCTCATTAGAGGGAACTGAGTAGAGAAAACATGATCTGCTCTGGAGCACAGAGAAGAGGGCAGGCACCAACAGTAAGTGAGGATAGGCCAAGCCCAACTAACCAAGAAACTCCCAGAAAATATGGAAGACTCTGAATGCTATGAAGCACAGGGGATAAAGGAATCAAGATTTTTTTTTTTTGAGATGAAGTCTCACTCTGTTGCCCAAGATGAGTGCAGTGATATGATCTTGGCTCACTGCAACCTCCACCTTCTGGGTTCAAGCTATTCTCCTTCCTTAGCCTCCTGAGTAGCTTGGATTACAGGCACCTGCCACCATGCCTGGCTAATTTTTTTGTGTCTGCGATAATATTTTGTCTTCAGCAAAATTCTATTATTGACCTTAATACATAGAACCTTATTTGTCTGCATGTCTGGTTTGTGAGCAGAGATTATTTTGAGTCCTCAAAACCTAGAGCAGTGCAGTTGTAAAAGGCTTTGACTGAAGTCTTAACAAATATTTGCTAAAAACTGAATTTTGTAGAAATGTTCCAGACTTTAGCATGGAATTTACAATTCACACATTCTTGTTATATTCAAATAATAAACTTTACTGAGTCAGCAGCATTTAATATCAACAAGAAAACAGTGAAATAATGTATGGATTAATTCTGAACTGCAAATTTAACTTTAATGTTAAAAGTTTCCATAAGTTATCCCCAAGCCTGGAAATAAATCCAAACTTGGTCTTAGTTATATATGTGTAAAATGCATATTCATATGAAGAATGAAACGCATCATCCTATATCTTTCCTTTTTTTTTTCTGATTTTGTGACTTGGATTTGTTTTTACCAAAATTCAGGGATTCCCCCCTAATCCCAGTGAGAATAATGTCTTAAATAAATGGAATTAAGAAGCTTCAAAATTCTTTTTTTTTTTTTGAGATGGAGTCTAACTCTGTCACCCAGGCTGGAGTGCAGTGGTGCAATCTCAGCTCATGCAATTTCCACCTCCCCAGATCAAGGGATTTTCTTGCCTCAGCCTCCTGAGTAGCTGGGACTACAGGTGCATGCCACCATGCTCGGCTAATTTTTTGTATTTTTAGTAGAGACAGGGTTTCACTGTGTTGGCCAGGATGGACTCGATCTCCTGACCTCGTGATCCACGTGCCTCAGCCTCCCAAAGTGCTGGGATTACAGGCGTGAGCCACTGCACCTGGCCCAAAACTCTTTAAAGTACTCAACCTATCATAAGACTAGTAGGTGTTTCTCAACTCTCCTTCTCAAAACATGAGATCATGAGGTCTTAATGCTGAATATTATGGATTATTTTATGTAGAGAACATGGAAGAAAGCTGGACTGTGCTCCGGCTCAATCGGCTCCACTTGCACACCTCTCAGCAATTCTCAATTCTCACCACCAGAGAGAAGAAGGCAGTCCCTACCTGACCATCGCCTGGCCTGGCTACCTTATCTGTCTAAACAGTGCATTGCAGGAGCCCCTTTCCTTTCTGTGCTGTTTTATTTTTTCTCCCCCAGTATTTTTCTAATTAGAATAATTGAGGAGAAATACAAGATTTTCATGGAAAGAAAGCAAAAGTCTTCCAAGTATGAGAAAAATAGAACAAAGGCTGTTTATATCCATATTGATTATAGTGGGAAGGTATTATTGTAATAAATGTGATGGTTATTAAAGCAAGTCTTGATTTTAAGGAAATGTTTTATCTTGGGACTGTGACAGGAGATTATGTGATGTTCATGAGGTGATCATACTGTCTCTGTCCAGGTCTCTGTAACATGTAGAACACAACAAAGGAAGAGGTTCAGTCCCATTTCATTTACAGAAACAGCTTGTTCCTCAGTAGTATTCTATATATAAAAAGTAAACACACACACTATAGTTCATAGAGAATACATTCACATGGATTACTAGGAAAACTAAATTATCCTTTCAAAATAATTAAAAAAGAGCCAGGTGCAGTAGCTCATGCCTGTAATCCCAGTACTTTAGGAGGCTGAGGAGGACGGATCACTTGAGGTCAGAAGTTCAAGACCAGCCTAGCCAACATGGTAAAACTCCATGTTTACTAAAAATACAAAAATTAACCAGGCGTGGTGGCATGCTACTCTAATCCCACCTGCTCGGGAGGCTGAAGCAGGAGAACCACCTGAACCTGGGAGGCAGAGGTTGCAGTGAGCCACTGCACTCCAACCTGGGTGACAGAGCAAGATGTCTCAAAAAAAAAAAGAAAGAAAAATAAAAATAATAAAAAAGGAATTCTTCTCAAAAAACTACCTTTCTATTAGATATTTTTTATCTCAAAACATAAAAGGTAAATTTTGAAATAACTAATAGTTAATAAGAAAAACATATAAATAGTACGTAACTAGAATTGTTAATTTCTTGAAACTTATGGTTTGTTTTTATGTTATGTTAGCAGGATATGTAAATCTAATGACATTCAAAAAGCATAAAGTGAGAAAAAAAGAGGCTGGTATTGAACATGTATATGTTTACTATATTCTAATAATTGTCAAGTTGTTTAATTTCTGCATGAATGTCTAGGCTTCATTATAAGTCTTCAGCTAAAATTCTGCCCATTTTGGTGAAGGAACTGTGTGTGGCACATAAGGAAAGCTTAATGTTAGTGTTTACCATAGCCTTACTAATATAATCCTATAATATTGTTCTCCATGTTCCCAAAATTAAAAAGTAGTCTAATTCTACATATGAACTCAAAATAAATGTATACTGTTATGTGTTATGTGGCATAACTCAAAATAATTAGAACTAAACACAGCTTTTATTTTCTCACACATACTGAGTATGGAATTACTATTATTTTTGTTTCCTTTATCAGAGGTAGATGAAACTTGATAATATAGTCACTGACTGAAGGGCATTGTTTTGCCAAAGTTCGTTAAGTTAAAAAATATTTTGGATCAATAAATGTCTTTCATTAAAATATTCACCTACATAAAATAAGTATTCAGAATTGCATAGGACATATGAATGTCATCTTTCTTTTGCTGTTCATTTACCCAACATTTTTCTTCTTTTTATATGTGCCAGGTTGAAAATTGTCATCCCATACTCTTTTCAGCTAAGAATATTTCTGTGTTGGGAATATCTTGAATTTCCCTCAAGGGTTGATGATATTGCCCACAAAGACTTTAGGCAATTTTGATGGCCAGAATGAAAACAGGCAGCTAAGATATTTATTTTTTTAAAAAAAGGATAGAAAACTTTGTAATCTAATCATGCATCGTAGGAAGTTTTTTGTTTTTTTTTTTGTTTGTTTTTTTTTTTTTTTTTTTTTGAGAGACAGAGTCTTGTTTTGTAGAGCAGGCTGGAGTGGAGTGGCGTGATCTCGGCTTGCTGTAACTTCTGCCTCCCGGGATGAAGCGATTCTCTTGTCTCAGCCTCTGGGAGTAGCTAGGATTACAGACATGCGCCGACATGCCCAGCTAATTTTTGTAGTTTTAGTAGAGATGGGGTTTAGCCATGTTGGCCGGGCTTCCTCAAGCGATTCTCTTGCCTCAGCCTCCCAAGTAGCTGGGACCACAGGCGCCCGCCACCACGCCCGGCTAATTTTTTGTATTTTTAGTAGAGGCGGGTTTTCACCGTGTTAGCAAGGATGGTCTCGATCTCTTAACCTCGTGATGAGCCCACCTCGGCCTCCCAAAATGCTGGGATTACAGATGTGAGCCACGCCCCACTCTGGAAGTAATTATTAATAATGTTATTTCTCCTTCCAGTTCTTCAGTTTGTTAAGCTCAACTGTTGAAAACATTTATTTGTCCCAGGAGATTATAGGAAAAAATTAAGTGAATCTACTTAAACATAAAATTCCCAGTTTTAGAATAGATTCTTTTTTTTTTTTTTGAGATGGAGTTTTGCTCTTGTCGCACAGGCTGGAGTGCAATGGCACAATTTCAGCTCATTGCAACCTCCGCCTCCTGGGTTCAAGTGATTCTCCTGCTTCAGCCTCCCAAGTAGCTGGGATTACAGGCACCTGCCACCATGCCCAGCTAATTTCTGTAATTTTTTTAGTAGACCATGTTGGCCTGGCTGGTCTCGAACTAACCTCAGGTGATTGGCCTGCCTTGGCCTCCCAAAGTACTGGGATTACAGTCGTGAGCCACTGTGCCCGGCCAGATTCAGATTTTTATTAGGGATGTCATTTAGCTAATTTAATGTATTTTTATGCCATAGTTCATATTTTCTGTGCTGTAAGTATTTTCTATATGTCTGATTTATGTTGAAGAATAGTATCTCTTTAGACGCAGAGGCATACTGTGAGCATCTACACCATGGCAAATGGCTTTGCATTTTGCACTCTATACCATTGCCAAAAAAAGGTTTGATTATGCTACTAAAAATCCGACATGAATCAGTGAACACCAAAAGCCAATAATTTTCGAATCTCAAAATAGTGGAATGTTTAGAATTGTGCTATTTTCAGTTTATTTTCTCCATCAATTTTCATTAGAAAGCGAGTAAGGAAAGTGGTAGAATTTAGGAGTTAAAAAATCAAATTAGCGGGCAGGGCGCGGTGGCTCACGCCTATAATCCCAGCACTTTGGGAGGCTGAGGCGGGCGGATCATGAGATCAGGAGATCATCCTGGCTAACAGGGTGAAACCCTGTCTCCACTAAAAATACAAAAAATTAGCCGGGCATGGTGGCAGGTGCCTGTAATCCCAGCTACTCAGGAGGTTGAGGCAGGAGAATGGCGTGAACCCGGGAGGTGGAGCTTGTAGTGAGCCAAGATCACGCCACTGCACTCCAGCCTGGGTGATAGAGCGAGCCTCTGTCTCAGAAAACAACAACAACAACAACAACAACAAATTAACACCTTGCTTATTATAATAAATAACTAAAGTAATCCAATACCTGTAACCTAGAGAATAAGGTTCACATCACTTAAAATGGCATTATACATAAAAGAAAAGATTGGTTCTACTACATACATCAGGCTTATTAAGTCACACTAGACAACTGAGGTTGCCTAAGACGTCATTGTCCTGGACTTGCAAGGGCCTCCAACTCCAGTTAAGGTGATAAGAAAAAATGAAAACGAGCAACCTAGCAATTTTCACAGGCCTCAGGAAACTGGGGCCACATCGAACCCAGTCACAGGTTATACCAATTTGATTTACAACAATGAAAGAACCATCTGCTTATACTTGAGTTACAGCACATCCCTTTGTAGACATCCATACAATAGAAAGCCCCAGCAGTTGATTCACAGTAGAACAAAGTGTTTGTGTCAAGCAAAGGAAATTCTGCACTTAGATGAAATTTTATCGGCACATTTAATTAAAAGATGGTGTAGGTAGGCATAAGTAAGAAAACCATAAGCAGACATAGTCAACATACTAGGTAAGTAAAACCAAATCCAGAAGATTGTATTTAGTAATATTCATTTCAGATTTCCTTGGATAATTGTGGTTTGCCTTATATCTTTTGACTATGACACAGAGATTTTATTCACTTTTTAAAATATCTCCTAGAATGTAGCTTGAGTCAGTCAAACAGGAAAACATATTGCAGCATTCTCTCTTTTACCTCCCCCAAAGCACTGTAATATGGCTTTTGGAAATATTTCCTCATTGTCCTTTAGTTTTTGGAATGATGTCTGAGATACTGCTGTATGTAAATACAATGATATTCCATATTTCCTGTAAGTTTGCCTATTCAGAAAGCTGCATTTACATACATGCTGAAACACAATCGCTGGTGATGTATCAACCAGAAATTTTATGTGTGAGCCTAAAAGGAAGTGTTGAGTCTTTCTCTACTTAAATAATTAGAAATTAAAAGTACCTCTTCTGCATTCTACAGCTTATGTAATATTAAAAGAAGGAATTTTGGCAAAGTAACTGAGGTTATCAGTTCAGTTCAATTTATAAATTTAGTGACATCAACTTGTCCCAGCAAAATAATCAGTAGATACTCCATAATCACCACTGTTTCTGTTTTCAAGTGGAGAGAAAAAAAAATAAATTAATTGTATTATATGTTACAATCTTGGGTAAATTCTTTTCTAAATTGGTGGGTATAGCACAGCAAATCAAAGGTTGATAACATAAAATAGTGGACTAAACTTCAGCTCTAAAAAGTTAACAAATCTTGAAGTCTGCTTGCTCAGTTGTAAAATGGGGATAATATTCTCACCTTTGAGTATCTCACACAGTTGCTGTAGGATTTATTTGAGAAAAAATATGCGTAAAGATGCTTTGGACATTATAAAACTTCATCTTAATACAGAGTAAAATTATAAAATTTGATTTGAATGATACCAACTAGTTGGGGATAAAACATTTTACATAAGAACTCCTTGAAAAAGGCAATCATGTGTCATGTCATGTTTGTCATCAAGGATGACAAGGTTTCAATTTGCCTAGGTCAGAAATGCTGTGGTTCTATTCCCTCAACAACTAGTTACTTCTGCTTCGAGTACATGTTTTCCAAAAGCTAGAAAACACCCATCAAAAGGCTACTTTCCAAACATAAAAAACAGGTTTACTTCAACACATTATGTCTGTAGGAAGAGTCAAATGAAACAAAACTACTGAATCATTTCCAGGATAGAGTCATAGTATCCAAAATTTGGAACAGAATTGGATGATAGTTGTAGGTCAAGTCCCTTTGCAGGTATAAATCCCCCCTTTAAAGTGGAAAAGTATACAAATTGTGTAATATAGGTATACATTATAGACTATACATGACTGGAATTTCAGAGGCATGTATGCAATATGAGTTTAGCATGGAGAAATAGCCAACTGGGTAAACATAATTGATCCATGCTGCTATAAAAGATAATCAAAGCTAAAGCTGATTGCCAGTTACACATTTAGATCTTTTATGCAGCGAATTATGATAAGCAGATGCAGATTTTTTTGTTTCAGACATTTCCCCTAAAAACTATCCTACATAAGGAAATTTCCTTTATGAATATGCCAGTTACTGTGTCTATTACAGGTCTTCCAAAACATACTATTGTAGGATTTGTGAATAAATATAATGGATGGAAGCAAATTAATGTTTTAGAATCTAATAAATTTTAAAAGTCAACTTAACTGAGGTTTACTTTCAATACAATAAAATACATCCAAATTAAGTACAAACATATAAAGTTATGTGGCTACCACCAATGAAGATATTGAAGCTGTCTATCACCTCAAAGGTTCTTTTGTACTCCTTACAAAAACCTCTGGCTCCAAGCAGCCATTGATCTGCAACCTACCACTATAAATTCAGTTTCTAGAATTTTGTAATAATAAACTTTTATAATATACCTACTGTTGTTTCATTCTCTCAATATATTTTAGGATCACCTATGTTGCAAAATCAGTGGTCCTTTCTATTTTATTCTATTGTATGGAAATACTACAATATGTTTATCCTTTAGCCTGTTGGTGAACCATTTACAAATGTTTCTATTCCTTGATTATTACAAGTAAAGCTGCTATGTTCATTTGTATGCACATGTTTTCATTTCTCTTGAGTAAGTAAGAATGGAATATTCTAGGTCAAATTGTAAGTGTATGTTTAACTGCCAAACTGCAATCCAAACTGATTATCCACTTTATACTCCCACCTAAATATGATAATTCAGGGTGTTGTATGTCCTCTCAAACATTCAGAATTGACATTTTTTGGATCCATTATAGTTTCTGTGCAGTGTTATTGCATTTTGATTTTTAAGTTCCATTCCCAGGTGGTTAATGATGCATTTTTCAGTGTTTATCCATCATTCATATATCTTTGGTTATTGTCATCTACTCAAATCTCTTACCCATTTTGTTATTGTGTTGTTTGACTTCTCACTATGGAGTTTGATTTTTTTTTTTTTTTTTTTTTGGAGATGGATTCTCACTCTGTCACCCAGACTGGAGTGCAGTGGCAAGATCTCGGCTCACTGCAAGCTCTGCCTCCTGGGTTCATGCCATTATCCTGCCTCAGCCTCCTGAGTAGCTGGGACTACAGGCTCTCACCACCACGCCTGGCTAATTTTTTTGTATATTTTTAGTAGAGACGGGGTTTCACCGTGTTAGCCAGGATTGTCTCGATCTCCTGACCTTGTGATTCACCCACCTTGGCCTTCCAAAGTGCTGGAAATAGAGGTGGAGTTTGATATTTTTTTCTACAGTCCAGTAAAGTCTTTTGTAAAATTCTTTTTCTTTCTCTCTTACTCTTCCTCTTTGACCATATTTATATCTATCCATCTATATCTATACAGTTATAAAAATACAAACTCATAAAACTCAAGAAACCCTAAGCAACATAACACAAGTAAGCCACAAGACAAGTCAGGGAGATAGGAAGACCACAGGGTTTGAAGAGTGCAGGGCAGGACAGGGCTCCACAGCATGTCCAGGCTCCATTGTGAACAGCCCTGCAGCTTGGGTCATATGATCTTGCAGGACCTGTATTCTTGCAGGTGTCAATGGTGGTCGCAGTGTGGCACACATGGCAATTCTCAGTGAAAGAATTACAACACCAGCTCCTGGGATTCTGAAACAAAGCCATGCCCTCCATAGCAGAGAATTATATGTTGGACCTAGGAGAGATGCTGTGCTTGATAAGTTACCATGCTTCTGGCGCTACCTCTTCCAGGCTGAGTTCTATTGGAACCACCAAGTCATGACACCAGAAGGGAAAAGAAGTAGTTCATCATGAGGTGGAAATAGTAAATATGAGACAAAGGCCAAGCAAGATGAGAGCAAGTGGATAAGTTGAATAGCAGGTAACCCAGATCCTCATGTCACCCACCATGTTTGCACCAGCAACCTTCCTTCAGCTCACACCTGTGACTGCATTTGTGTCCCTGTGGCCATCTGAAGGAGGGAGAAAGGGGCAATCTCTGTTTAAAGGTGTAGTTGCATTGCACCCCTATGCAAGAATGACTCTGAAAGACAGAAGGAAATTAAAATATTCCCTATTAGCAGCACTGGGAACAGTGGCCCTGGCCATCTACTTTACATAGAAGAAACATGGCCTAAGGCAGGAATATAAACAGATTTCTTTGCCGTAGTCAGTGGGTGAATCATCTGGTCAGAGGCTTAGATAGAAAAGAACTGAAATATCTGAGACGAGGAAGCTGGGTTAGAAGCATATGAGTGGACATGCAGGAGCAGGCACGGAGTGTAAAGAATCTTGTATTGCACGTTAACACTCACAAGAAAGCACTCACCACAGAAGAGGCACTCAATAACCAATCAGACAAAATGACATGACAAGCTGCCAGCCTTGGAGATTGGCTTTCCCACAACAAGCACAACAGTCACACATATGCAGTCACTCATATGACCATGTTGGCAGAGATGGACGATACATATGGGCCCCACAGCCTGGACTTTTATGTATCAAGGTTTATGTAACTACTGCTGCCTCTGACTGTCTTACTTTTCAACAGCGTAAATCAATAATGAGACTCTTATATGGCAAGTCTTTTGACCTTGAATGACCACCTTTTCATCCTCAGAGGGACATATCCTTATTCCAGGGCTGGGTTTGGCACTTCTGTTCACAGATCCTGAGCCAGGACCACTTTTCTGAGGCTTCCAGAATTCCTGATCCACAGGCATAAAATCCCACATGGTATAGCATCTGACCAGGGTTCCTTGTTCACAGCAAAGGATGGGCAGAAGTGGGTCCATGACCATGTAATCTACTATTTGTATTACATACACTCTTCAAGAAGCAGCTAGACTCATGGAGCCCTGGAGAAACGTTCTAAAGATGCAACTGAGGCACTATGCTAAAGGAGACATTCTGAATGCAGGGGGCACCATCTTTTATACATATTCTATCACAGATCTTTATATAGTAGTTCTTCTTCCATAGGAAGAATCTACAGGTTCAGAAAACAAGAGGTAGAAACAGGAATGTCCCTAATTACAAATGCTCCCAATAATCTTCTCAGGTTTTCCTGTGCTTCTCATCACTGCAGCTCTGGGATCTGGAAGGCAGGCAAGTCCTGCTCTCTAAAGAAGGTTATCTGTTGGGTGCTTTAGATTCCTTAGGTCCAGTAACCAAAAGACAAGAAATACGTCACCACTGGGGCAGGATGAATACACCCTGATTAGCAGGAGGAGGTAGGGCTACTTTTCTACAAAAGAAGCAGAGATAATTTCTCTCTCTCTCTCTCTCTCTCTCACACACACACACACACACTCACACACACACACACACTCCCCACTCCGATACTCTCTCTCTCTATTTCTCTCCCCCTCACACGACTGGGCATTCAAAGGCAGTTCTGAGACCAACTGCTATAGCATGGGCTAGAGTTGGTCTCATTAACCTTCCTTTTCTAAGGTTCCCCTTGGAAAAGAGAGGATCATGGGAATTTTGGAAGAGCTGGTATGAAGAACCTGTTTGGACAAATATGTGTGTGCTGTGGTGGGGTTAGGAGGTGGGGGTAATGGATTTTAATGACCAAGGAAATTTGAAATGCAGGTATCCTGAATCAGACAGCATAAGTCAGCGACAGCCTGGCTTTAGCCTTCTGTCTCTGGAAGCACTTCTACACTTGTGCAGCAGTCATGTTTCCAACAGTCATAGAGCTACATGGGGATTGTATGTGAGGATGTTTCCAGTGAGTTGTGAGAGTCTCCAATGAGTAACTTTAATTTAAGGAGTCCACAGTGACCTAAGCCAAAGCATTCTTGGAACCATGCTGTAGTCTCTTTCTACCCCAATCAGCCTTCCTTCTCTCTTTCCCTCTACAGGTGTAAGATCTGCACCTTAGTCTGAAGATTCTACCCACCTTCTCCTGCTTCCTCCTTCTTCCCTCTTGCAAATTTAATTCCATGGTGGTGTTTGCCTTTAGCAGATCTAAACATTAATTCAAGTCATATGATCAGATAAGATGAAAAATGACTAAAAATGTCATTCATGACATGTGAGTGGTGAGCTCTGCCTGGCAGTAGGGAGGAGAGAATTCTGAGAGAAATTAATTTGGAAAAAACAATGCTGCACATCCCAGCAAATACCATCCCATCTTATCTCTGCTAGGAATATTTTTTGTAACATGCATATGATTCACTTTTGCTTTATGAAGTAAATTTATATTTTAAGAATACAGCAGCAATTTGAGTGCTGTTCACAGCTAGTGTGAACTGAAATTTGAGGTAGGCTATAGAAGAAGGCCAATGACAGATGGGTTAGTAGAACAAAATGGATATAAATAGGAAAAAGTGAAAAATCAGTAAGACAGTATGTTGGAAAGGAGTACAGTAGTTGGAAGAATTAATGATTCAATATTTCTATAAAGAGTCTCCATTTAGATGATTCAAAGAGTATCCATGAAGAAATGCACATTTTATGGAATATACAGAAGTGTGATTAGTGGTGAAGGAGGGTGAATTTTGTTTGTTATATGACTATGACATGTAGAGAACTTCTCATTCAAGGTGAGTGTGCAAAAATATTACAAAACATGTGGAGAATTAACTATTAGAGAGATAATGAAATAATTATACAAAGAAACCTCCTAGAGATGAATTCACCACAGCAAATATGAGAAATATTATAGCAAACTAAATTTTCCTTTTAAGTGAGTACACTTAGAATTCTCAACTGGCTTTTTAAGAAGAAAACATCCAGGGCCAGGCATGGTGGCTCACGCCTGTAATCCCAGCACCTTGGGAGGCTGAGATGGGTAAATCATCTGAGGTCGGGAGTTCAAGACCAGCCTGGCAAACACCGTGAAACCCCATCTCTACTAAAAATTCAAAAATTAGCAGGGCACGGTGGTGGGTGCTTGTAATCCCAGCTACTCAAGAAGCTGAGGCAGAAGAATTGCTTGACCCCAGGAGGCAGACTTTGTAGTGAGCCAAGATGGCATCACTGTACTCCAACCTGGGCAACAGAGTGAGCCTCTGCCAAAAAAAAAAAAAAAAAAAAAAAAGAATAAAATTCATCAAAAAGAATAGAAGACTTAAAAATAAAAACAGACGTCGAGTGTGGTGGCTCACTCCTGTAATTCCAGCACTTTGGGAGGACCAGTTGGGTGGATCACGAGGTCAGGAGATGAAGACCATCCTGGCTAACACAGTGAAACCCTCTCTCTACTAAAAATACAAAAAAATTAGCCCAGCATGGTGGTGGGCACCTGTAGTCCCAGCTATTCGGGAGGCTGGGGCAGGAGAATAGCGTGAACCTGGGAGGCAGAGCTGGCAGTGAGCTGAGATCGCGCCACTGCACGCCAGCCTGGGCGACAGAGCTAGAGTCCATCTCAAAAAAAAAAAAAAGAAAAAGAAAAAGAAAAAAATATAAATAAAAACAGGCAAAAGGCCAGGCATAGTGGCTTACGCCTATAATCCTAACACTTTGGGAGGCCAAGGTGGGTGGATCACCTGAGGTCAGGACTTCTAGACCAACCTGGCCAACATGGCGAAACCATAGCTGGGAATGGTGGCAGGTGCCTGCAATCCCAGCTACTCCAGAGGCTGAGGTAAGAGAATTGATAGAACCCTGGGGGATTGCAGTGAGCAGAGATCACGCCATTGCACTCTGACCGGGGCAACAGAGTAAGACTCTGGGGGAAAAAAAAAGTAGGCAAAAAAGAACAAAGTAAAGATTGATATAAAAAATTAAAAGCAGCCAGGCGTGGTGGCTCACATCTGTAATCCCAGCACTTTGGTAGGCTGAGGTGGGTGGATCATGATATCAGGAGTTCTAGACCAGGCTGACCAACATAATGAAACCCTGTCTCTACTAAAAATTCAAAAATTAGCCAAGTGTGGTGGCGCATGCCTGTAATTCCAGCCACTCAGGAGGCTGAAGCAGGAGAGGAGGCTGAGGCAGGAGGAGAGTCACTTGAACCCAGGAGTAGGAGGTTGCAGTGAACCGAGATCATGCCACTGCACTTCAGCCTGGGTGACAGAGCAAGACTCCATCTCAAAAAAGGAAAAAAAAAAATAAAAGCTCTAGAAATGAAAATTATATAAAAAAGAAGTGTAAATGCAATAAACACAAAGAATTAGTCAATTGGGAGATAATGATGAATTTATCCAGATAAAAGGATTTAAAAGTCAGAAAGACCAGTCAAGAAAGTCCCCAACACATGTATGATAGGAGTTTCAAAAGGAGTCCAAAGAGAATGGAGAAGTCATATTTAAGGACAGTATTCATCCACTCAGCAAACTCTCACTAAGGGCCCACTTTGATGACGTTTCCATTCTAATGGTAGAGAATACTTATACACAAGAAAACACTGGCAATGCCTTCACTATTTGTATACTTTACATGATGCCATAAAATTTCCATTGCAGAGGAAAGACTTGAGGACTCTAATTTAAAGTATAAAACAAGTGCTGAGCAGAAGAAATAAAAATGAATCCATATCCAGACACATTGAGGACTCTGAGTTTTAGTGTTTACAAAGCAGTTCTTTAAAATTAACTTTCAGTAAGAGGATGTGTATATCACCTTCACTGTTTTCCTTTTTGTTTTGATCTATTCCTCTTGCTTATTCTAGTTTGAAATGATTTCTTCAAAAAAAGTCTTAAAAGTCTTATCCATTTATGAATCGATTTATATTTTTCATTTTCTAGATTATAATTTTTACTTTTCTGTTATTAATTTCCTTCCATTAGGTATGTTTTTTGATCCTGTATTTACTTACTGACATGAATGATTAACTCATTTATCTTCTCTGGCTTAGTAAAAAAAAATTGAAAATCTTGAAATTATATATGTTTCTTATTATCTTTCTTAATTATATTGTGTGTAGAGAGGTTTGTTAACTTTTCCAAAAAGTAGATTATTTATTTATAGGTTAGTTGTTTCTTCTTATAGTAATTTTACTTGCAGGATAAATGTTAAAATTTGAAGCACAATAACTTTTTGTTGACCTTTAAAAAATATATTTTTATTTGAAAGGAACAGTGTTGGATATTTTTACTAAAATAACATAATTATTTACACACTGTCTTATCTAATTACCCTGTTTTAGTTCCTATGAACCTTATTATAAACCAGCAATGTTTCTTCTGGCCTATGTATAAGCTTTTATTTTTATATTTAAATAAAGCTATTTAATGAAAGAAATACCATTGTGTATTTTTAAATTATAGACAGTAGATTTACTCAAATAAAAATTTCTTCTCTCTTCTAGTTGATAAACTTATTTCTGATTCTCATTTCTCTAGTTTATATATCTACAATCACAGCTCTTTCCTATACTAATGTAGTCATTTCTGCATACACTGAGGGTGTCTTATTTACAATATGACATGTAAAATATTTTAACAAGAGTTATTGTTTTGCAATTGTATAGTTTTTATTATTTTCATTTTTCTTGTTGAAGATGCTTAGTCTCTCTTTTTCTCTTTCATAATTTACTATACCTTCTTTCTTTCTTTTCTTTCTTTCTTTCTTTCTTTCTTTCTTTCTTTCTTTCTTTCTTTCTTTCTTTCTTTTTTTTTTTTTTTTTTAGACAGAGTCTCCCTCTGTCGCCCAGGCTGGAGTGAAGTGGAGCGATCTCGGCTCACTGCAAGCTCTGCCTCCCGGGTTCACACCATTCTCCTGCCTCAGCTTCCTGAGTAGCTGGTACTACAGGCATCCGCCACCATGCCCCGCTAATTTTTTGCATCTTCAGTAGAGACGGGGTTTCACTGTGTTAGCTAGGATGGTCTCCATCTCCTGACCTCGTGATCTGCCCGCCTTGGCCTCCCAAAGTGCTGGGATCACAGGCATGAGCCACAGCGCCCAGCCTTTTTTTTTTTTTTTAGACAGTTTTTGCTCTGTTGCCCCAGGCTGCAGTCCAGCAGTGAGATCTAGCCTCACTTCAACCTCCGCCTCCAGGTTCAAGCGATTTTCCTGCCTCAGCCTCCCGAGTAGCTGGGATTACAGGCGCCCACCACCATGCACAGCTAATTTTTGCATTTTTAGTAGAGACGACGTTTCGCCATGTTGGCTAGGCTTGTTTCGAAATCCTGACCTCAGGTGATCCACCCAGCTAGGCCTCCCAAAGTACTGGAATTACAGGCATGAGCCACTGTGCCCGGCCCAGTCCTTGTATTTTTAAGGTTTCATTTGTGTATTTTCTTTAGGAAAATATTTCAATAATTTATCACTGCAATTAGCTGAAGTTATAAAATTACTTCTGGATTTGGGAAGATTATACCTGAGCATGGCAAAGGATTAGAAATAATAGCTAGCAGCTGGGTGCAGTGGCTCACGCCTGTAATCCCAGCACCTTGGGAGGCCGAGGCGGGCAGATCAGAAGGTCAAGAGACATAGACCATTTTGGCCAAGATGGTGAAACCCCATCTCTACTCAAAAAATAAAATTTAAAAAAAATTAGCTTGGCTTGGTGGTGTATGCCTGTAATCCTAGCTACTCAGGAGGCTGAGACAAGAGAATCGCTTGAACTTGGGAGGCATAGGTTGCAATGAGCCAAGGATGCGCCACTGCACTGCAGCCTGGAGACACAGCAAGACTCCGTCTCAAATAAATAAATAAATAAATAAATAATAACTAACTTTTTCTATCTGCCAGGCACTGTGCTAAATACTTTGCATGAAGATGATAATTTTGAAACTAAACACAGAAGAGCAAGTGTAAAATAAGTAATTTCTTTCTTTCTTTTCTTTTCTTTTTTTTTTATTTTTTGTTTGAGACAGTCTCGCTCTGTGGTCCAAGCTGGAGTGCAGTGGCGGGATCTCGGCTCACTTCAACCTCCACCTGCCGAGTTCAAGCAAATCTCCTGCCTCAGCCTCATGAGTAGCTGGGATTACAGGCATCCACCACCACAGACGGTTAATTTTTTCTTTATATACTTTTATTTAATTTGGCTTAGGTTACTTGTTTATTAGTAGTAGTTTTGCATCTATGGGATTGTTGTATAAAATAAATGGTTTAAATATGTAGGATATTTAAAAGTCATTCTTTCTGCATTTGAGATTTTGAGCCTTTAAAGAGGGCAATATACGGGTAGAGACACAACCAAAAAAGAGAATTTTAGGCCAATATCCTTGATGAACATTGATGCAAAAATCCTCAATGAAATACTGGCAAAACGAATCCAGCAGCACATCAAAAAGCTTATCCAACACGATCAAGTGGGCTTCATCCCTGGGATGCAAGGCTGGTTCAATATACGCAAATCAATAACTGTAATCTAGCATATAAACAGAACCAAAGACAAAAACCACGTGAAAAGGTCTTTGACAAAATTCAACAACCCTTCATGCTAAAAACTCTCAATAAATTAGGTATTGATGGGACGTATTTCAAAATAATAAGAGCTATCTATGACAAACCCACAGCCAATATCATACTGAATGGGCAAAAACTGGAAGCATTCCCTTTGAAAACTGGCACAAGACAGGGATGCCCTCTCTCACCACTCCTATTCAACATAGTGATGGAAGTTCTGGCCAGGGCAATCAGGCAGGAGAAGGAAATAAAGGGTATTCAATTAGGAAAAGAGGAAGTCAAATTGTCCCTGTTTGCAGATGACATGATTGTATGTCTAGAAAATCCCATTGTCTCAGCCCAAAATCTCCTTAAGCTGATAAGCAACTTCAGCAAAGTCTCAGGATACAAAATCAATGTACAAAAATCACAAGCATTCTTATACACCAACAACAAACAAACAGAGAGCCAAATCATGAGTGAATTCCCATTCACAATTGCTTCAAAGAGAATAAAATACCTAGGAATCGGACTTACAAGGGATGTGAAGTACCTCTTCAAGGAGAACTACAAACCACTGCTCAAGGAAATAAAAGGGGATACAAACAAATGGAAGAACATTCCATGCTCATGGGTAGGAAGAATCAATATCGTGAAAATGGCCATACTGCCCAAGGTAATTTACACATTCAATGCCATCCCCATCAAGCTACCAATGACTTTCTTCACAGAATTGGAAAAAACTACTTTAAAGTTCATATGGAACCAAAAAAGAGCCCGCATCGCCAAGTCAATCCTAAGCCAAAAGAACAAAGCTGGAGGCATCACACTACCTGACTTCAAACTATGCTAGAAGGCTGCAGTAACCAAAACAGCATGGTACTGGTACCAAAACAGAGATATAGATCAATGGAACAGAACAGAGTCCTCAGAAATGATGCCACATATCTACAACTATCTGATCTTTGACAAACCTGAGAAAAACAAGCAATGGGGAAAGGATTCCCTATTTAATAAATGGTTCTGGGAAAACTGGCTAGCCATATGTAGAAAGCTGAAACTGGATCCCTTCCTTACACCTTATACAAAAATCAATTCAAGATGTATTAAAGACTTAAATGTTAGACCTAAAACCATAAAAACCCTAGAAGAAAACCTAGGCTTTACCATTCAGGACATAGGCATGGGCAAGGACTTCATGTCTAAAACACCAAAAGCAATGGCAACCAAAGCCAACATTGACAAATGGGATCTAATTAAACTGAAGAGCTTCTGCACAGCAAAAGAAACTACCATCAGAGTGAACAGGCAACCTACAAAATGGGAGAAAATTTTCGCAACCTACTCATCTGACAAAGGACTAATATCCAGAATCTACAATGAACTCAAACAAATTTACAAGAAAAAAACAACCCCATCAAAAAGTGGGCAAAGGACATGAACAGACACTTCTCAAAAGAAGACATTTATGCAGGCAAAAAACACATGAAAAAATGCTCATCATCACTGGCCATCAGAGAAATGCAAATCAAAACCACAATGAGATACCTTCTCACACCAGTTAGAATGGCAATCATTAAAAAGTCAGGAAACAACAGGTGCTGGAGAGGATGTGGAGAAATAGGAACACTTTTACACTGTTGGTGGGACTGTAAACTAGTTCAACCACTGTGGAAGTCAGTGTGGTGATTCCTCAGAGATCTAGAACTAGAAATACCATTTGACCCAGCCATCCCATTACTGGGTATATACCCAAAGGACTATAAATCATGCAGCTACAAAGACACATGCACACGTATGTTTATTGTGGCATTATTCACAATAGCAAAGACTTGGAACCAACCCAAATGTCCAATAATGATAGACTGGATTAAGAAAATGTGGCACATATACACCACGGAATACTATGCAGCCATAAAAATTGATGAGTTCATGTCCTTTGTAGGGACATGGATGAAATTGGAAACCATCATTCTCAGTAAACTATCGCAAGAACAAAAAACCAAACACCGCATATTCTCACTCATAGGTGGGAATTGAACAATGAGAACACATGGACACAGGAAGGGGAACATCACACACTGGGGCCTGTTGTGGGGTGGAGGCAGGGGGGAGGGATAGCATTGGGAGTATACCTAATGCTAGATGACGAGTTAGTGGGTGCAGTGCACCAGCATGGCACATGTATACATATGTAACTAACCTGCACATTGTGCACATGTACCCTAAAACTTAAAGTATAATAATAAACATAAAAAAGTACATCACCAAAAAAATAAATAAATAAAGAGGGCATTATAAAATGCCTCATGGAAAAAATATTATTTTAACAATTATTAAAGTAAAATAAAAATTTGTGACTCATAAAGACACTTCATTTTTATCCTCTTTTTTTTTACAAATGGGACTTGAATATTTTAAGATAAAATTTAAAAAATCAAGTAATTTTAATCAGAAATTTCAAAAAAATAAAACCCTGAATCCAATTCAAATTTCACTTACTTGAAAATTCTCACTGATATAAATTTATTTATATAAATGTGATATAACCAATAAAGATATGCAATAGAGTCATTGTTAATTTGGGTAAAAAAATTTTAAAAACAATGCAAACTTGTATTACCTCCATATGTATGTATGTACACATGTACACATATATGAATATTTATATATATATTTGCGTACACACACCATATATATACCTGTGTATAAATGAATGACAATGGAATATCAGTTGGCCTCTACTACAACATTTGAAGGCCCATTGCACAATGGCCAGAACAGAGACGACATCGGAATGCAACTTAAAATTTCCAAGATGATGATGACTTGAATTGTATCTGAATTTCTAACAGGGCATAGAGAAATTAAAATCTTGTTTGATTATGGTGTTTATTACTGGGAGAGCCTCACATGCAAAGCAGATCAGGATATTCTCTTACCAAATGTGTTAATTAACAGTCAGTTCATAATGTAAGGGGGACTCAAATAGCAGATTCAATATCAAACAGGAAGGGCTTTTGTAGCCCGTTCTATTTTCGGTCAACCACAAACCACCCACCCCTGCTGAAATAAAAACTTAAAAGGCAGGTGGAGGAAAATATGTTCTAGACCAAGGGGTAGGTACTGGGTCTGCAAAAGACATAGTGTGCCACCCACAAACACACAAGTTCAAGGAGCTTGGCTCAATCCTTCAGAAAATTGGTTCTAACTTTCAAATCATTAGGGATCTTCTTTATAAAAGATATAGCAAACAAAAACACAAAATATACCCCTCTAAGATTATTAGGAAGTTAAAAAAAAGTGACTTGTAACTTTTAATAAATAACTAGGGAGGTAAGCTTGTTCATTTCTGAGATTCACAACTTTTATAAAGGTGCTGTATTAATACTTGAATTGCACTATGTTCAATAGAAACAATGAGACATAAGCCATACTGAGAGAAGAAAAAAATTTTACAACAAGAAAATCTAATGCTGTTTAATTTCTTTAAATATTTATTAATTTCTGAATGCTATGTGATTGCTTTCATATTAATTTTTCAGTAGAGAAACTGAATACAATTGAATACAATTTCTCAGTTGAGAAATTAAATACAATGGATATTAGTGTGATGACATACTTGGGATAATTTTAAAATCATTATTTTAATTAGATATAATACTTTTAGGTAGAATAATAAAAATAAAGGAAAACCGATTTTCTTTAAATTCCATCAATTATTTCTTTCTCACAATAATTAATATGTAATTTACCAATGATGTAGTAGATTAATACCAAATTCTCTTACTTTTGGTTTCATCAAAAAATGATGAGCATTTTTCTCTGATTGATGTTTAGATACTTTCAGATGGCTTGTAATCTTGTACTTTCAACATTGAAGATTTTTTTCACATATTGATACCAATCATTTTATGATATATCTGATTTTATAATTATGTATTCATTGTTTTCAAATGAGAGTTATGGTTGTATACAGTAAGAATTATAATAGAGGAAGTTATCTGGTGCTCCAGGAATTTAAATAAGAGAAGATATAAAGATCTCAGCCTTTGTATCAATATTTTAATTGGATCCTGAAAAATGAATGAAGATAGACAGAAAACAAGTAAAAAATGGTCTAAGCAGACAGAACAGAAGGAGTAAAAGGAGAGTAATAGAAAAGTGTGTGTATCTTTGAAGGAACATAACCTGTTCTGGGTGTGGCTACAGCACAGGTTTGTGAAGGAAAATGTTAAATGATTGAGGAGAATGTCTCTCAATATCAGTGATTTTGTATTTTACCCTTCAATGATGGGACATAAGTAAACAATTTTTAAAAGCATAGTGGGTGTGTGTGTATATAAATATATAGCATATATATATAGTATATAGCATGTCTATACTTATACTATATACATACATATAGTGTGTATGTATGTATGTATATATAGTATGTATATATGTATATATAGTATATATATATACTTATTTTCATTCTAGATAGAAGTTTTTGAGATGCAGTTAGAAGAAAAAGTCAGAAAGAATAGTCAAGATTATTCCAGCAGTACAGGCATGATGTGATGAATGACTAAATTAAAACATTAGCAGCAACACAGAAGAGAAATGGCAGAATAGAAAGGTAATTCAAGGTAGAAACAGCTGAACTTAATAATTCATTTAGAAGGAAGAGTCAAGGTATATATACTCTAAATTTTCTTGGCCACTGGCTTGATATTATCATCGTTAGATGAGATGGGCAATGCTTTAAAAGAAATAGATTTATTTGCCAAAATATAAAATGTGTTTATGGCTATGTCAAATTTGAGATGCAGGTGGTGAAGACAGAGGGGGAGAATCAGTTGACATTTTAAAATATAGGTTTGAAACCTACAGGAAAATATTGGAGTAAAAAAAAATAAAGAAAATCAAACATCAAAGGAAATGCTGGAAGTGTGGGAATGGATAAAAGGAGCACAGGAAAAGTGTGCAGAGCATTGTTATCCAAAGTGCTGTGGGAATTTTATACACATATGAATACAACTCGCAAAACACACAAATATTTTTGCTTCCCTGGATCATTTACTGGAGTCTTTTACATACACATTCTGAAGTATAAGGTATGCAGAATTTTCTAAGCGTATCATAGAATTCCATTCCAAGAATACATTTCAGGAAAACTATTGTCAATCAGGGAAACATTGGTGCAGAATAGTAAGAAAAGAAATACCCATTAAGACTAGTACTTACACAGTGGACGTGAAAAAACTAGGCAGCAAGGAGTTATTAAAAAGAAAGCATGGGCTGGGCATTGTGGCTCATGCCTATAATCCCAGCACTTTGGGAGGCCGAGGCGGGCGGATCACCTGAGGTGAGACCAGCCTGACCAACATGAAGAAACCCCACCTCTACTAAAAATACAAAATTAGCTGGGCATGGTGGCACATGCTTGTAATCGCAGCTACTCGGGAGGCTGAGGCAGGAGAGTCTCTTGAACCTGGGAGGCGGAGGTTGCAGTGAGCTGAGATCACACTGTTGCACTCCAGCCTGGGTGAAAAGAGGGAAACTTCGTCTCAAAAAAAAAAAAGAAAAAAGAAAAAAAGAAAAAAAAGAAAGAAAAAAATAAAAGAAAAAATGAAAGCATGGGGCCAACATTGAGTGGTCTTAAGGAAGTCAAGGTAGAAGGAAATTTAAAGAAGGAAATGAGAAGCAATGCAGAATGTTTAGAAAGGTCAATTAGGAAGCTCCCATAAATATTCTCACTATGTATTATAGGGAATTCATTTATAACTTCAAAAATACCACTCAAAAAAGATGGTAATTGTTGAAATGAGATTTCAATGGGTGAAAGAGGCTGGGCACAGTGGCTCATGCCTGTAATCCCAGCACTTTGGGAGGCTGAGGTGGATGGATCACAACATCAGCAGTTCAAGACCAGCCTGGCCAAGATGTGAAACCCCATCTCTACTAAAAATACAAAAATTAAACGGGCATGGTGTTGGGCGCCTGTAATCCTAGCTACTTGGGAGGCTGAGACAGGAGAATCACTTGAACCCGGGAGGTGGAGGTCGCAGTGAGCCGAGATGATGCCACTGCACTCCAGCATGGGTGACAGAGCAAGAGAAAGAAAAGAGAAAAGAAAAGAGAAGAGAAGAAAGAAAAGAAGGACGGAAGGGATTTTAAAAAGAGATGAGAAGTCAGTACACTCTTTTGGAGGAAGTGTAATTTATGATTGTGGCTATAACTTGCTACGAATGGAAACAGCAACACACCACTGGATTTCAACTTTTGAGTGCTTAAGAAGGTGGAGATGTTGATTAAAATAATAATAATAATAATGCTAAGTGTGTAATAGTTGCTAAGTGTGTGTTGTCTGAACCCAGGATATCAGGATGTCTGGAACTGGTATTTAATCCCAGCTCTTCCACTTTCTGGTTATATGAGTGACTGTAGACAAATTACTTAATCTTTTAATGCTCCAGTTTCCCATATGTAAAATGAGAATTATAATAGTAAACTACTTCATGGCTTGTGAGGATGAAGTGCATGTAGAGTACTTAGTGAGTTCTCTTTGTGTATTATGTATTAGTTTCAAAATGCAGATTCTAGAGCCCTTAGATTCTCATTCAATAGGTATGAGGCAAGCACGGGCCAGGATTCTGCATTCTTTAAGGAGGTGTAATTTCCTACATCTGCTGTGACAAAGTGGTTCACATTAGGTGGCTTAAAATGAGATAAAGTTATTCTTTTACGGTTCAGGAAGCTAGAAATCTTAAATGAAGGAGTTAGCAGTGCTGCATTTTTCTCTGAAGGACCTGGGAAAAAATCCTTTCTTGCTTCTTCTAGCACCGGGTGATCACTGAGCTTCATTGTCATTGCTTGGCTGGAGGATACCTCACTTTATTCTCTACCTCCATCCTCACATGGCCATCTCCTCCCTGCGTCTCTGTTTCCTCTTCCCTTCTTATGAGGATATCAACCATACTGAATTATGGCCCACTCTAATGCATTATGAGCTCATCTAGCATATCATAATTATACAGCATCTGCAAATAATTTGATTTCAAATTAAGTCATACCCTCACAGACATCAGGGGCTAGAACTCTAATATATATATTTTCTTTTTGAAGACACAATCTAACCCACAAAAGGAGGGGAGCCGCTTAAGATCATAAATAACTCAAGTAACAAGACTGTGTGTTTAAAATAGCATTTAAATTTCTCCAAATGGCAGACAGCTTAATTCAAATCAATACCAATCAGGAGATAAACAAGTGTTTGTCTCCTAATTGGCATTTACCTGAGATTAAAACATTATGGTAAAATACATTATCTTCAGTGATCTTTGGTTTAGGTGAGCATTCACAAGGCACACAGTTATTATCACTTGAGCCATCTCTCTCTAATAACTCTTTTCTAATCTGCTGGCCAACAATATCAGGTTCTTTCAAATCTCTGATTATCGGACCAAACCATAAGGTCCTCCACGTGAATTGGTAGAAGTATTTTTTACAAAGGTAAATGAAATTTTATTTACTTGATGGATTTCTCTTCTCCTTTGTACAAAGGGGTGACCCTTTGACAGCACAGGGAAAGAACATGATAGAAATAGACTTTCAGAAGGAAGGGCCTTCCATAACAAGGAATGCCATCTGTAATCCAGACTTTTTCCTCCTCAGGAATCCAGTCATAGGCAAATCTCTATGAATCACAGATAAATGGAAAGAAGGGTGGGAGTGTGTCAGGAGTAGGATGCTGAAAATGTGAGTAGCCTGTTCATTAATTGGTCCCTTGGAAACTGAGAAGGCAACGTGGCATACATGCAATTTCCATGGAATGATGGAAGACTGGTTGTAGTTAGTATGATACTATAATGCTCAGATCACAACGGGGTCACCCTTATTCATGATTGAGCATTCCTTCTTATTAGTATCCCAATGTGAAATTGTTTCTCAAAAAAGGAGGGGGCGGGTAATTTTTGTACAAAAGGCTTTTACTCCAAAATAAAGTGGCTTCTACTGTATTTCTCCTCTGGAGCCTTGCCGCTGGCTCCATAGGAAAATTCTGCCTCTCATAGATACCTGAGGCATTGGATTCCCTAAACAGAATTGTAGATCCACTTGTACTGCAGGCCTCTGTAGTCCAAAACGTTTCTCTTTCTCTGAGTCCCACTCACAGCTGACATCCTTCTTAACATTTGCATTTTATTTAGAATACACATCCAAATATGTTTTATGTTGCCTCTAACATTCAAAAGAGCCTCTAACAGTTTTCCTTTCCCTATCCCTTCCTTCCATTTGAAAGATGTTTGCTCCACATCACTTTCTACTGCATTCTTAGACTCCCTGAAGTTAGGAAACCCACATTTTTGTCATTTGCTCGATGTGTCTTTCCTGAAGTCTATGGTAGCTGCTATTTTTCTCTGGAGCATATCAACCGGATGCTGTCCATGTATTCCATAAGTTATGTCCATTTGGCTAGTGACATGGCCAGGGTTCCTGAGTACAAAATTATGACACAGACAAAAATAGTTATACTTCTACAGCTAAATAGTGAAGACACTCTGCCTGGAAAAAGTAAGAAATTTCAGCTATTTACCATTTATTTAAGATACAGAAAAATAATTTTCCTAAATGTATAGCAGGAAAAGGAGATAAGTGTATTCACTAAAGCAAGGAGACTACATCTGGATTTTAAATGTGTGCCCTCAGATAGGATTCCAGTACACAGTGGCTGGATTCTGAGTGTTTGTCCCTCACACAGGATTACAGAACACTGCTATGAGGTTCTGAATGGAAAAGGAAATATCTTCACATAAAGACAAGAAAGAAGCATTCTGAGAAACTTCTTTGTGATGTGTGCATTCACCTCACAGAGTTGAACTTTTCTTTTGATTTAGCACTTTTGAAATACTCTTTTTGTAGTGTCTGCAAGTGGATATTTGGAGCGCTTTACAGCCTATGGTGGAAAAGTAAATATCTTCACATCAAAACCAGACAGAAGCATTCTGAGAAACTCCTCTGTGATCTGTGCATTAATCTCACAGAGTTGAATGTTCTCTTGATTGAGCAGTTTTGAAACACTCTTTTTGTAGAATCTGCAAGTGGATATTTTGAGTGCTTTGGGGCCTATGGTGGAAAAGGAAATATCTTCACATAAAAACTAGACAGAAGCATTCTGAGAAACTTCTTTGTGATGTGTGAATTCAACTCACAGAGTTGAAATATTCTTTTAATTGAGCAGTTTTGAAACACTCTTTTTGTAGTATCTGCAAAGTTGGAGGGCTTTGGGACCTCTAGAGGAAAGGGAAATATCTTCCCTTAAAAACTAGACAGAAGCATTCTGAGAAACTTCTTTGTGATGTGTGCATTCATCTCACAGAGCTGAACATTTCTTTTGATTGAGCAGCTTTGAAACACTCTTTTTGTAGAATCTGCAAGTGGACATTCGGAGCGATTTGAGGCCTATGGAGGAAAAGGAAACATCTGCACATAAAAACTACACAAATGCCTTCTGAGAAACTTCTTTGTGATGTGTGCATTCATCTCACAGAACTGAACCTTTCTTTTGATTGAACAGTTTTGAAACACTTCTTTTGAAGGATCTGCATGTGGATATTTGGATCAGTTTGGGGCCTGTGGTAGAAAAGGAAATATCTTCAAATAAAAACTACACAGAAGCGTTCTGAGAAAGTTCTTTGTGATGTGTGCATTCAACTCACATAGTTGAAGATTTCTTTTGATTGAGCAGTTTTGAAACAATCTTTGTGTAGTATTTGCAAGTGGATATTTGGAGCGTTTTGAGGCCTATTGTAGAAAAGGAAATATCTTCACATAAATACTAGACAGAAGCATTCTGAGAAACTTCTTTGTGATGTGTGCATTCATCTCACAGAGTTGAAACTTTGTTTTGATTGAGCAGTTTTGAAACACTCTTTTTGTAGAATCTGCGAGTGGATACTTGGAGTGCTTTGAGCTCAATGGTGGAAAAGGAAGTATCTTCAATTAAAAACTAGACAGAAACATTCTGAGAAACTTCTTCATGATGTGTGCATTCAACTCACAGAGTTTAAACTTTCTTTTGATTGAGGAGTTTGGAAAATCTCTTTTTGTAGAATCTGCAAGTGGATATTTGGAGCGCTTTGCGGCCTATAGTGGAAACGGAAATATCTTCACATAAAAACTAGACAGAAGCCTTCTGAGAAACTCCTTTGTGATGTGTGCATTCATGTCTCAGAGATGAACCTTTCTTTTGATTGAGCAGTTTTGAAACACTCTTTTTGTAGAATCTGCAAGTGGATATTTGGAGCGCTTTGCGGCCAATGGTGGTAAAAGGAAACATCTTCACATAAAAACTGGATGGAAGCATTCTGAGAAACTTCTTTGTGATTTGTGCATTCAACACACAGAGTTGAAACTTTCTTTTGATTGAGCAGTTTGAAACACTCTTTTTGTAAAATCTGCAAGTGGATATTTGGAGCGCCTTAAGGTCTATGGTGGAGAAAGAAATATCTTCACATAAAAACTGGACAGAAGCATTCTGAGAAACTACTTTGTGATGTGTGCATTCATCTCACAGAATTGAAACTTTCTTTTGATTGAGCAGATTTGAAGCACACTTTTTGTGGAATGAGCAAGTGGATATTTGGAGGGCTTCAAGACCTATGGTGGAAACTGAAATATCTTCACCTAAAAACAACACAGAAGCAGTCTGTGTAATTTCTTTCTGATGTGTGCATTCATCTCACAAAGTTGAACATTTCTTTGGATTCAGCAGTTTTGAAAAACACTTTTTGTAGTATCTGCAAGTGGATATTTGGAGCCCTTTGGGGCCTATGGTGGAAAGGGAAATATCTTCACCTAAAAACTACACAGAAGCATTCTGAGAAACTTCTTTGTGATGTGTGCATTCATCTCACAGAGTTGAACCTTTCTTTTGATTGAGAAGTTTTGAAACACTCTTTTTGTGGAATCTGCAAGTGGATATTTTTAACACTTGACAGCCTATGGTGGAAAAGGAAATATCTTCACATAAAAACTAGACAGAGGCATTTTGAGAAGCTCCTTTGTGATGTGTGCATTCATCTCACAGTGCTTAACATTTCTTTTGATTTAGCTGCTTTCAAATATTCTTTTTGCAGAATCTGCAAGTGGATATTTGAAGCGCTTTGAGGCCTATGGTGGAAAAGGAAATACCTTCACATAAAAACTAGACAGAAGCATTCTGAGAAACTTCTTTGGGGTGTGTGCATTCATCTCACAGAGTTGAACCTTTCTTTTGATTGAGCAGTTTTGAAACACTCTTTATGTATAATCTGCCAGTGGTTATTTTGAGCGCTTTGAGTCTTCTGGTGGAAAAGGAAATATTTTCACGTAAAAAGTAGACAGAAGCATTCTGAGAAACTTCTGTGTGATATATGCATTCATCTCACAGAGTTGAACCTTACCTTTGATTGAGCAGTTTTTAAACACTCTTTTTGTAGAATCTGCAAAAGGATATTTGGAGTGCTCTGAGGCCAGTGGTGGAAAAAGAAATATCTTCACATAACAACTAGACAGACGCATTGTGAGAAACTTCTTTTTGATGTGTGCATTCATCTCACAGAGTTGAACTTTACTTTTGATTGAGCAGTTTTGAAACCCTCTTCTTGTAGAATCTGCAAGTGGACATTTGGAGCTCTTTGGGGCCTATGGTGGAAAAGGAAATATCTTCACATAAAAACTACACAGAAGCATTCTCTGAAACTTCTTTGTGATGTGTGCATTCATCTCACAGAGTTGAACCTTTCTTTTCATTGAGCAGTTTTGAAACACTCTTTTTGTAGAATCTGCAAGTGGACATTTAGTGCGCTTTGTGGCCTAAGGTGGAAAAGGAAATATCTTCACATAAAAACTAGACAGAATCATTCCGACAAACTTCTTTGTGATGTGTGCATTCATCTCACAGAGTTCAAACATGCTTTAGATTGAGCAGTTTGGAAACACTCTTTTTGTAGAATCTGCAAGTGGATATTTTTAACGCTTGGCAGCCTATGGTGGAAAAGGAAATATCTTCACATAAAAACTAGACAGAGGCATTTTGAGAAGCTCCTTTGTGATGTGTGCATTCATCTCACAGTGTTGAACATTTTTTTTTTATTTAGCTGCTTTCAAATATTCTTTTTGCAGAATCTGCAGGTGGATATTTGAAGCTCTTTGAGGCCTATGGTGGAAAAGGGTCTGCAAGTGGACATTTGGAGAGCTTTGAGGCCTAAGGCAGAAAACAAAATATTTTCCTATTATAATTAGACAGAAGCATTCTGAGAAAGTTCTTTGTGATATGTGCATGCATCTCACAGAGTTGAAACTTTCTTTTGATTGAGCAGTTTTGACACACTCTTTTTGTAGAATCTCCAAGTGGACATTTGGAGCACTTTGTGGACTATGGTGGAAATGGAAATTTCTTCACATAAAAACTGTTCAGAAACATTCTGAGAAACTTCTTTGTGATGTGTCCATTCATCTGACAGTGTTGAATCTTTCTTTTGATTGAGCAACTTGGAAACTCTCTTTTTGTAGAATCTGCTAGTGGACAATTGGAGTGCTTTGAGGCCTATGGGGGAAAACAATCTTCACTTAAGTACTAGACAGAATAATTCTGAGAAACTTCTTTGTGATGGGTGCATTCATTTCACAGAGTTGAACCTTTCTTTTCTTTGAGCATCTTTGAAAAACTCTTTTTGTAGACTCTGCAAGTGGACATTTGGAGCTCTTTGTAGCCTATGGTGGAAAAGGAAATGTCCTCACATAAAAACTAGACAGAAGCATTCTGACAAACTCCTTTGTGATGTGTGAATTCATCTCACAGAGTTGTAACTTTCTTTTGATTGAACAGTTTTGAAACAATCGTTTTGTAGAATCTGCAATTGGACATTTGGAGCGATTTGCAGCCTGTGGTGGAAAACGAAATATCTTCATATAAAAACTAGAAAGAAGAATTCTGAGAAACTTCTTCATGATGTATGCATTCATCTCACAGAGTTTAACATAACTTTCAATTGAGCAGTTTTGAAACCCTCTTTTTATAGGAGCAGCAAGTGGACATTTGGAGGTCTTTGAGGCCTATGGTGGAAAAAAAAATCTTCTCATTATAACTAGACAAAAGCATTCTGAGAAACTTCTTTGTGATGCGTGCATTCATCACACAGAGTTGAACTTCTCCTTAGATTGAGCAGCTTTGAAACACTCTGCAAGTGGACATTTGGAGCGATTTGAGGCCTATGGTGGAAAAGGAATTATCTTCACATAAATACTATACAGAAACATTCTCACAAGCTTCTTTGTGATGTGTGCATTCAACTCACAGAGTTGAACCTTTCTTTTGACTGAGCAATTTTGAAACACTCTTTTTGTAGAACCCGCAAGGGACATTTGGTGTGCTTTGAGGCATATGGTGGAGAAGGAAATATCTTCACTTAACAACTAGGCGGAAGCATTCTGAGAAACTTCTTTGTGTTGTGTGCATTTATCTTACAGAGTTGAACCATACTTTTGATTGAGCAGCTTTGAAAAACTCTTTTTTAGACTCTGCAAGTGAACATTTTGAGCTCTTTCTGTCCTACGGTGGAAAAGGAAATACCTTCACATAAAAACTAGACAGAAGCATTCTGTGAAACTTCTTTGTGATGTGTGCATTCATCTCACAGAGTTGAACATTTCTTTTCATTGAGCAGTTTTGAAACACTGTTTTTGTAGAATCTGCAATGGACATTTGGAGGGCTTTGAAGCCTATGGTGGAAAAGGAAGTAACTTCCCATAAAAACTAGACAGAATCTTTCTTAGAAAATTCTTTCTGATGTGTGCATTCATCTCACATAGTTGAACATTTCTTTTGATTAAGCAGCTTTGAAACACTCTTTTTGTAGAATCTGTAAATGGACATTTGGAGTACTTTGAGGGTGATGGTCAATAACGAAATATATTCACTTAAAAACTAGACAGAAGCATTCTGTGAAACTACTTTGTGATGTGTGCATTCATCTCATAGAGTTGAACATTTCTTTTGATTGAGCAGCTTTGAAACACTCTTTTTGTAGAATCTGCAAGTGGATATTTGGAGCACTTTGAGACCTATGGTGGAAAAGGAAATATCTTCACATAAAAACTATACAGAAACATTCTGACAAATTTCTTTGCGATTGGTGTATTCATGTCACAGAATTGAACCTTCCTTTTAATTGAGCAGTTTTGAAACACTCTTTTTGTAGAATCGGCAAGTGGATATTTAGAGAGCTTTGAGGCCTATGTTGGAAAAGGAAATATCTTTACATAAAAACTAGACAGAGGCATTCTGAGAAACTTGTTTGTGATCTGTGCATTCGTCTCACAGAGTTGAACCTTTCTTTTGATTCAGAAGTTTGGAAACACTCTTTTTGTAGATTCTGCAAGTGAACATTTGGAGCTCTTTGAGGTCTATGGTCAAAAAGGAAATATCTTCACACAAAAAAAAGACAGAAGCATTCTGTCAAACTACTTTGTGATATGTGCATTCATATCATGGAGTTGAACCTTCCTTTTGATTAAGCATTTTTGAAACACCCTTTTTGTACTATCTGCAAGTGGACATTTGGAGTGCTTTGAGGCATATGGTGGAAAAGGAAATATCTTCACATAAAAACTAGACAGAAACATTCTGACAACTTTCTTTGCGATGTGTGCATTCATCTCACAGAGCTGAACCTTTCTTTTGATTGAATAGTTTGGAAACTCTCTTTTTGTTGATCTGCAAGTGGACATTTGGAGTGCTTTGAGGCCTATGGTGAAAAGGAAATATCTTCACATAAAAACTAGACAGAAGCTTTCTGAGCAACTTCTTTGTGATGTGTGCATTCATCTCACAGAGTTGAACATTTCTTTGTATTGAGCAGGTTTGAATCACTCTTTTTGTAGAATCTGCAAGTGGACATTTGGAGAGCTGTGTGGCCTATGGTGGAAAAAGAAATATCTTCCCATAAAAACTAGATATAATCATCCTGAGAAAATTCTTTGTGATGTATGTATTCATCACAGAGAGTTGAACCTTTGTTTTCATTGAGCAGTTTTGAGACACTCTTTTTGCAGAATCTGCAAGTGGACATTTGGAGCGCTTTGAGGCCTATGGTGGAAAAGGAAACATCTTCACATAAGCACTAGACAGAAGCATTCTGAGAAACATCTTTGTGATGTGTGCATTCATCTCACAGAGTTGAACATTTCTTTTGATTGAGCAGTTTGGAAACACTCTTTTTGTAGAATCTGTAAGGGGACATGCGGAGCTCTTTGAGGCCTGAGGTGGAAAAGGATATATCTTCACAAAAAAAACTAGGTAGAAGCATTCTGACAAACCTATTTGTGATATGTGCATTCATCTCACAGAGTTGAACCTTACTTTTGATTAAGCAGTTCTGAAAAACCCTTTTGGTGCTATCTGCAAATGGACATTTTGTGTGGTTTGAGGCCTACAGTGGAAAAGGAAATATGTTCACATAAAAATTAGACAGAAGCATTCTGACAAATTACTTTGTGATGTATGCATTCATCTCACAGAGTTGATCAATTCTTTTGAGTGAGCAGTTTGGAAGCTCTCCTTTTGTAGCATCTGCAAGTGGACATTTTGAGTGCTTTGAGGCCTATGGTGGAAAAGGAAATATCTTCACATAAATATTAGACAGAAGCATTCTGACAAATTCTTTGTGATGTGTGCATTCATCTCAGAGAGTTGAACCTTTCCTTCGATTGTGTAGTTTTCAAACACTCTTTCTGTAACATCTGCAAGTGGACATTTGGAGTGATTTGAGGCCTAAGGTGAAAAATGAAATATCTTCACATAATAACTAGACAGAAGCATTCTGAGAAAGTTTTTTGTGATGTATGCATTAATCTCACAGAGTTGAACCTTTCTTTTGATTGAGCAGCTTTGAAACACTCTTTTTGTAGAATCTGCAAGTGGACATTTGGAACACTTTGAGGCCTATGGTGGAAAAGGAAATATCTTCATAGAGAAATTTCTTTGTGATGTGGGCATTCATCTCACAGAGTTGAACTTTCTTTTGATTGAGCAGTTTTGAAACACTCTTTTTGTAGAATCTGCAAGTGGATATTTGGAGCACTTTGTGGCATATGGTGGAAAAGGAAGTATCTTCACTTAAATAGTAGACAGAAGAATTCTGACAAACTTCTTTGTGATGTGTGCATTCATCTCAGGGAATTGAAACTTACTTTTGATTGAGCAGTCTTGAAACTCTCTTTTTGTAGAATCTGCAAGTTGATATTTGGAGCACTTTTAGGCCTACGGTGGAAAAGGAAATATCTTCACATAAGAGCTAGACAGAAGCATCCTGAGAAACTTCTTTGTGATGTTTTCATTCAACCCACAGAGTTGAATCTTACTTTTGGTTGAGCAGTTTGGAAACACTCTTTTTGTAGAATCTGCAAGTGGACATTTTGTTCGCTTTGAGGCCTATGGTGGAAAAGGAAATATCTTCACTTAAGATCTATACAGAAGCATTCTGAGAAACTTCTTCGTGATGTGTGCAGTCATCTCACAGAGTTGAACATTTCTTTTGATTGAGCACCTTTGAAACATTATTTTTGTAGGATCTGCATGTGGACCTTTGGAGCGCCTTGAGGCCTGTGGTAGAAAAGGAAATATCTTCACATAAAACCTATACAGAAGCATTGAGGCCTTCATTGGAATCGGGTACATCTTCACATAAAAACTAGAGAGAAGCATTCTCAGAAACTTCTTTGTGATGTGTACATTCAACTCACAGAGTTGAACCTTTCTTTTGATAGAGCAGTTTTGAAACACTCTTCTTGTAGAATCTGCAACTGCATATTTGGACTGCTTCGAGGCATTCGTTGGAAATGGGATATCTTCACATAATCACTAGACAGAAGCATTCTCAGAAACTTCTTTGTGATGTGTGAATTCAACTCACAGAGTTGAACCTTTCTTTTGATAGGGCAGGTTTGAAACACTCTTTTTGACGAATCTGCAAGTGGACATTTGAAGCTCTTTGAGACCTATGGTGGAAAAGGAAATATCTTCACATAAAAACTAGACAGAAGCATTCTCAGAAACTTCTTTGTGATGTCAGCATTCCACTCACAGAGTTGGACACACTTTATCATAGAGCAGTTTTGAAACACTCTTTTAGTAGAATCTGTGAGTGGATATTTGGACCACTTTGAGGCTTTTGTTGGAAAAGGGAATATCTTCACATAATCTCTAGAGAGAAGTTTTCTCAGAAACTTCTTTGTGCTGTGTGCATTCACCTCACAGAATTGAACCTTTCTTTTGATAGAGCAGTTTTGAAACACTGTTTTTGTAGAATCTGCAAGTGGACATTTGGAGAGATTTGAGACCTATGGTTGAAAAGGAAATGTCCTCACATAAAATATAGACAGAATCATTTTCAGAAACTTCTTTGTGATGTTCGCATTCAACTCACAGAGTTGAAGATACTTTATCATAGAGCAGTTTTGACACACTCTTTTAGTAGAATCTGCAAGTGGATATTCGGACCGCTTTGAGGCATTCGTTGGAAGTCGGAATATCTTCAGATAATCACTAGATAGAAGTTTTCTCAGAAACTACTTTGTGATGTGTACATTCATGTCACAGAGTTGAACCTTTCTTTTTATAGAGCAGTTTAAGAACCCCCTTTTTGTAGAATCTGCATGTGGATATTTCAACCAGTTTGAGGTCTTCATTGGAAACGGGTATATCTTCACATAAACTCTAGACAGAAGCATTCTCAGAAACTTTTTTGTGATGTGTGCATTCAACTCACAGAGTTGAACCTTTCTTTTGATAAAGCAGTTTAGAAACCCTCTTTTTGTAGAATCTGCATGTGGATATTTGGACCAGTTTGAGGTCTTCGTTGGAAACGGGTATATCTTCACATAAACTCTAGACAGAAGCATTCTCAGAAACTTTTTTATGATGTGTGCATTCAACTCACAGTGTTGAAACTTTCTTTTGATAGAGCAGTTTAGAAACCCTCTTTTTGTAGAATCTGCATGTGGATATTTGGACCAGTTTGAGGTCTTCATTGGAAACGGGTATATCTTCACATAAACTCTAGACAGAAGCATTCTCAGAAACTTTTTTGTGATGTGTGCATTCAACTCACAGAGTTGAACGTTTCTTTTGATACAGCAGCTTTGAAACACTCTTTTTGTAGAATTTGCAATTGGATATTTGGTCTGCTTTGAGGCCTTCTTTGGAAATGGGAATATCTTCACATAAACACTAGACAGAAGCATTCCCAGAAACTTCTTTTTGAGGTGTGCATTCAACTCACAGAGTTGAACATACCTTATCATAGAGCAGCTTTCAAACACTCTTTTTGTAGAATCTGAGAGCAGATATTTAGAGAGCTTTGAGGCCTATGGTGGAAAAGGTAATATCTTTATATAAAAACCAGACAGAAAAATTCTCAGAAACTTCTTTGTGATGTGTGCATTCAACTCACAGAGTTGATAATTTCTTTTGATAGAGCAGGTTTGAAACACTCTTTTTGCAGAATCTCCAAGTGGACATTTGGAGCGCCTTGGGGCCTATGGTAGAAAAGGAATTATATTCACATAAAAACTAGACAGAAGCATTCTCAGAAACTTCTTTGTGATGTTTGCCTTCAACTCACAGAGTTGAACATACCTTATCATAGAGCAGTTTTGAAACACTCTTTTAGTAAAATCTGGAAGTGGATATTTTGAACGCTTTCAGGCCTTCATTGGAAATGGGAATATCTTCACATAAAAATTAGACAGCAGCATTCTCAAAAACTTCTTTGTGATGCGTACATTCAACTAACAGAGTTAAACCTTTCTTTTGATAGAGCTGATTTTAAACACTCTTTTTGTGGAATCTGCAAATGGACATTTGGACCGCTTTGAGGCCTTCGTTGGAAACGGGAATATCTTCACATAAACACCAGACAGAAGCATTCTCAGAAACTTCTTTGTGCTGTGTGCATTCAACTCACAGAGTTGAACCTTTCTTTTGATAGAGTAGGTTGAAACACTCTTGTTGCAGAATCTGCAAGTGGACATTTGGAGTGCCTTGAGGCCTATGGTGGAAAGGGGAGTATCTTCACATAAAAACTAGACAGAAGCATTCTCAGAAACTTCTTTGTGATGTTTGCTTTCAACTCACAGATTTGGACATACTGTATCATAGAGCAGTTTTGAGACACTCTTTTCACAGGATCTGCAAGTGGATATTTGGACTGCTTACCAGCCTTCGCTGGAAACAGGAATATCTTCACGTAATCACTAGACAGAAGCTTTCTCAGAAACTTCTTTGTGCTGTGTGCATTCAACTCACAGATTTGAAGCTTTCTTTAGATAGAGCAGGTTTGAAACACTCTTTTTGTATAATCTGCAAGTGGACATTTGGAGGGCTTTAAGCCCTACGGTGGAAAAGGAAATATCTTCCAATAAAAACTAGAGAGAATAATTCTCAGAAACATCTTGTGATGTTTGCCTTCAACTGACAGAGTTGAACATACCTTATCATAGAGCAGTTTTGAAACCATCATTTTGTAGAATCTTCAAGTGGAAATTTGGAGAGCTTTGAGGCCTAAGGTGGGAAAGGAAATATCTTCACATAAAAACTAGGCAGAAGCATTCTCAGAGGCTTCTTTTTGATGTTTGTATTCAACTGACAGAGTTGAACCTTTTTTTTGATAGAGCAGTTTTGAAACACTCTTTCTGTAGAATCTGCATGTGGATATTTGAAGCGCTTTGAGGACTTCATTGGAAACTGGAATATCGTCACATAAACACTAGACAGAATTATTCTCAGAAACTTCTTTGTGATGTGTGCATTCAACTCACAGAGTTGAACCTTTCTTTTGATAGAGAAGGTTTGAAACACTCTTTTTGCAGAATCTGCAAGTGGACATTTGGAGCGCCTTGAGGCCTATGGTGGAAAAGGAAACATCTTCAGATAAAAACTAGACAGAAGCATTCTCAGAAACTTCTTTGTGATGTTTGCATTCAACTCACAGAGTTGGACATACTTTATCATAGAGCAGTTTTGATACACTCTTTTAGTAGAATCTACAAGTGGATATTTTGACCATTTAGTGGCCTTCGTTGGAAATGGGAATATCCTTATATAAAAATTAGGTAGAAGCATTCTCAGAAACTTCTTTGTGTTGTGTGCATTCAACTCACAGTGTTGAACCTTTCTTTTGACAGAGCAGGTTTGAAACACTGTTTTTGGCCTCTCCCTCTCCCTCTCCCTGTCCCTCTCCCTCTCCCTCTCCCTGTCCCTCTCCCTCTCCCTCTCCCTGTCCCTCTCCCTCTCCCTCTCCCTCTCCCCACGGTCTCCTTCCACGGTCTCCCTCTGATGCCGAGCCAAAGCTGGACTGTACTGCTGCGATCTCGGCTCACTGCAACCTCCCTGCCTGATTCTCCTGCCTCAGCCTGCCGAGTGCCTGTGATTGCAGGCGCGCGTCGCCACGCCTGACTGGTTTTCGTTTTTTTTTGGTGGAGACGGGGTTTCGCTGTGTTGGCCAGGCCGGTCTCCAGCTCCTAACCGCGAGTGATCCGCCAGCCTCGGCCTCCCGAGGTGCCGGGATTGCAGACGGAGTCTCGTTCACTCAGTGCTCAATGGGGCCAAGGCTGGAGTGCAGTGGCGTGATCTCGGCTCGCTACAACCTCCACCTCCCAGCCGCCTGCCTTGACCTCCCAAAGAGCCGAGATTGCAGCCTCTGCCCGGCCGCCACCCCGTCTGGGAAGTGAGGAGCGTCTCTGCCTGGCCGCCCATCGTCTGGGATATGAGGAGCTCCTCTGCCTGGCTGCCCAGTCTGGAAAGTCAGGAGCCTCTGCCCGGCCGCCATCCCATCTAGGAAGCGAGGAGCTCCTCTTCCCGGCCGCCATCCCATCTAGGAAGTGAGGAGCGTCTCTGCCCGGCCGCCCATCGTCTGAGAGGTGGGGAGCACCTCTGCCCCGCCGCCCTGTCTGGGATGTGAGGAGCGCCTCTGCCCGGCCGCCCCGTCTGAGAAGTGAGGAAACCCTCTGCCTGGCAACCGCCCCGTCTGAGAAGTGAGGAGCCCCTCCGTCCAGCAGCCACCCCGTCTGGGAAGTGAGGAGCATCTCCGCCCGGCAGCCACCCCATCCGCGAGGGAGGTGGGGGGGGGTCAGCCCCCCGCCCGGCCAGCCGCCCCGTCCGGGAGGTGAGGGGCTCCTCTGCCCGGCCGCCCCTACTGGGAAGTGAGGAGCCCCTCTGCCCGGCCAGTCGCCCCGTCCAGGAGGGAGGTGGGGGGGTCAGCCCCCCGCCCGGCCAGCCGCCCAGTCCGGGAGGGGGGAGGGGGGGTCAGCCCCCTGCCCGGCCAGCCGCCCCGTCCGGGAGGGAGGTGGGGGGATCAGCCCCCCGCCTGGCCAGCCACCCCGTCCGGGAGGTGAGGGGCGCCTCTGCCTGGCCGCCCCTACTGGGAAGTGAGGAGCCCCTCTGCCTGGCCAGCCACCCCGTCCGGGAGGGAGGTGGGGGGGTCAGCCCCCCGCCCGGCCAGCCGCCCAGTCTGGGAGGGAGGTGGGGGGATCAGCCCCCCGCCCGGCCAGCCGCCCAGTCCGGGAGGGAGGTGGGGGGTTCAGCCCCCCGCCCGGCCAGCCGCCCCGTCCGGGAGGGAGGTGGGGGGATCAGCCCCCTGCCTGGCCAGCCGCCCCGTCCGGGAGGTGAGGGGCGCCTCTGCCCGGCCGCCCCTACTGGGAAGTGAGGAGCCCCTCTGCCCGGCCAGCCGCCCCGTCCGGGAGGGAGGTGGGGGGGTCAGCCCCCCGCCCGGCCAGCCGCCCCGTCCGGGAGGGGGGAGGGGGAGTCAGCCCCCTGCCCAGCCAGCCGCCCCGTCTGGGAGGGAGGTGGGGGGATCAGCCCCCCGCCTGGCCAGCCGCCCCGTCCGGGAGGTGAGGGGCGCCTCTGCCTGGCCGCCCCTACTGGGAAGTGAGGAGCCCCTCTGCCCGGCCAGCCACCCTGTCCGGGAGGGAGGCGGGGGGGGGGGTCGGCCAGCCGCCCCGTCCGGGAGGGAGGTCGGGGGGTCAGCCCCCCACCCGGCCAGCCGCCCTATCTGGGAGGTGAGGGGCGCCTCTGCCCGGCCACCCCTACTGGGAAGTGAGGAGCCCCTCTGCCTGGCCAGCCGCCCCGTCCGGGAGGGTGGTGGGGGGGTCAGCCCCCCGCCCGGCCAGCCGCCCCATCCGGGAGGTGAGGGGCGCTTCTGCCCGGCCGCCCCTACTGGGAAGTGAGGAGCCCCTCTGCCCGGCCATGACCCCGTCTGGGAGGTGTGCCCAGCGGCTCACTGGGGATGGGCCATGATGACAATGGCGGTTTTGTGGAATAGAAAGGCGGGAAGGTTGGGGAAAAAATTGAGAAATCGGATGGTTGCCGGGTCTGTGTGGATAGAAGTAGACATGGGAGACTTTTCATTTTGTTCTGTACTGGGAAAAATTCTTCTGCCTTGGGATCCTGTTGATCTGTGACCTTACCCCCAACCCTGTGCTCTCTGAAACATGTGCTGTGTCCACTCAGTGTTAAATGGATTAAGGGCGGTCCAAGATGTGCTTTGTTAAACAGATGCTTGAAGGCAGCATGCTCATTAAGAGTCATCACCACTCCCTAATCTTAAGTACCCAGGGACACAAACATTGCGGAAGGCCGCAGGGTCCTCTGCCTAGGAAAACCAGAGACCTTTGTTCACTTGTTTATCTGCTGACCTTCCCTCCACTATTGTCCTATGACCCTGCCAAATCCCCTTCTGTGAGAAACAGCCAAGAATGATCAATAAAAAAAAAAAAAAAAAAAAAAAAAAAAAAAAGAAACACTGTTTTTGTAGAATCCGTAAGTGAACTTTTGGAGCACTTTGAGGCCTATGGTGGAAAAGGAAATATGTTCACATAAAAACTAGACAGAAGTATTCTCAGAAACTTCTTTCTGATGTTTGCATTCAACTCACAGAGTTGAACATACCTTATGATAAAGCAGTTTTGAAACACTCTTTTAGTAGAAACTGTAAGTGGATATTTGGACCGCTTTGAGGCCTTCGTTGGAAACGGGAATATATTTACATAAAAATTAGACAGCAGCATTCTCATTAACTTCTTTGCGATGTGTACATTCAACTCACAGAGTTGAACCTTTCTTTTGATAGAGCAGTTTTGAAACAGTCTTTTGGAGAATTTTCAAGTGGATATTTTTACTGCTTTGAGGCCTTCGTTTGAAACGGAAATATATTCACATAAACACTAGACAGAAGCATTCTCACAAACTTCTTTGTGATGTGTGCCTTCAACTCACAGAGTTGAAACTTTCTTTTGAGAGAGCAGGTTTGAAACACTCTTTTTGTAGAATCTGCAAGTGGACATTTGGAGCGCTTTGAGGCCCAAGGTGGAAAAGGAAATATCTTCCCATAGAAACTAGACAGAAGGATTCTCAGAAACTTCTTTGTGATATTTGTATTCAACTCACAGAGTTGAACATAACATTTCATTGAGCAGTTTTGAAACACTCTTTTTGCAGAAACTGCAAGTGGAAATTTGGAGAGCTTTGAGGCCTTCGTTGGAATCGGTTATATCTTCACATAAACACTAGACAGAAGCATTCTCAGAAACTTCCTTGTGATGTGTACATTCAACTCACAGACTTGAAGCTTTCTTTTGATAGAGCAGGTTTGAAACACTCTTTTTGCAGAATCTGCAAGTGGACATTTGGAGGGCTTTCAGGCCTACAGTGGAAAAGGAAATATCTTCCCATAAAAACTAGACAGAAGCATTCTCAGAAAGTCATTTGCTATGTTTGCCTTCAACTCACAGAGTTGAAAATACTTTATCATAGAGCAGTTTTGAAACACTCTTTAGTAGAATCTGCAAGTGGATATTTGGAACGCTTTGAGGCCTTCGTTGGAAACGAGAATATCTTCACATAAAAACTAGACAGGAGCATTCTCAGAAACTTCTTTGTGATGTGTACATTCAACGCACAGAGTTGAACCTTTCTTTTGATAGGGCAGGGTTGAAACTCTCTTTTTTTAGAATCGGCAAGAGGATATTTGTGCTGTTTTGAGGCCTTCGTTGGAAGCGGGAAGATATTCACATAAACACTAGATAGAAGCATTCTCAGAAACTTCTTTGTGATGTGTGCATTCAACTCACAGAGATGAACCTTTCTTTTGATAGAGCAGGATTGAAATACTCTTTTTGTAGAATCTGCAAGTGGACATTTGGAGATCTTTGAGGCCTATTGTGGAAAAGGAAATATCTTTATATAAAAATGAGACAGAAGAATTCTCAGAATCTTCTTTGTGATGTTCGCATTCCACTCACAGAGTTGAACATACCATTTCATAGAGCCTTTTGAAACACTCTTTGTAGAATCTGCAAGTGGATATTTGGACCGCTTTGAGGCCTTTGTTGGAAACGGGAATATCTTCACATAAGTACTGGACAGAGGCATTCTCAGAAACTTCTTTGTGATGTGTGCATTCAACTCACAGAGCTGAACTTTCTTTTGATAGAGCAGGTTTGAAACACTCATTTTGTAGAATCTCCAAATGGACATTTTGAGAGCTTTGTGGCCTATGGTGGAAAAGGAAGTATCTTCACTTAAAAACTAGACAGAAGCACTCTCAGAAACTTCTTTTTGGTATTTGCATTCAATTCACAGAGTAGAAACTTCCTTTTCATAGATCACTTTTGATACACTCCTTTAGTAGAATCTGAAGGGGATATTTTGACCGCTTTGAGGCATTCGATGGAAATGGGAATATCTTCACATAATCACTAGACAAGGGTTCTCTGAAACTTCTTTGTGCTGTGTGAATTAAAATCACAGAGTTGAACCTTGCTTTTCATAGAGCAGGTTTGAAACACTCTTTGCAGAATCTGGAAGTGGACATTTGGAGTGTTTTGAGGCCTATGGTGGAAAAGGAAATATCTTCACATAAAAACTAGACAGAAGCATTCTTAGAAACTTCTGTGTGCTGTTTGCATTCAACTCAGAGACTTGAACATTCTTAATAATAGAGCAGTTTTGAAACACTCTTTTAGTAGAATCTGCAAGTGGATATTTGGACCGCTTTGAGGCCTTCGTTGGAAACGGGAATATCTTCACATAATCACTAGACAGAAGCTTTCTCCGAAACTTCTTTGTTCTGTGTGCATTCAGCTCACAGAGTTGATCCTTTCTTTTGATAGAGCAGGTTTGAAACACTTTTTTTGTAGAATCTGCAAGTGGACATTTGGAGAGCTTTGAGGCCTATGGTGGAAAAACAAATATCTTCCCATAAAAACTAGAGAGAAGCATTCTCAGAAACTTCTTTGTGATGTTTGCCTTAAACTCACGGAGTTGAACATACCTTATGATAGAGCAGTTTTGAAACACTCTTTTAGTGGAATCTGCAAGTGAATATTTGGATTGCTTTGAAGGCTTCATTGGAAATGGGAATATCTTCACATAAAAACTAGACAGCAGCATCCTCAGAAACTTCTTGTGATGTGTACATTCAACTCACAGAGTTGAAACTTTCTTTTGATAGAACAGTTTTGAAACACTCTTTTTGTAGAGTCTACAAGTGGATATTTGGAACGCGTTGAGGCATTCGTTGGAAATGGGAATATCTTCACATAAACACTAGATAGAAGTTTTTTCCGAAACTTCTTTGGCTGTGTGCATTCACCTCACAGAATTGAACCTTTCTTTTGATAGAGCAGGTTTCAAACACTCTTTTTGTAGAATCTGCAAGTGGACAGTTGGAGTGCTTTGAGGCGTACGGTGGAAAAGGAAATATCTTCACATAAAAACTAGACAGTAGCATTCTCAGAAACTTCTTTGTGATAGTGATGTGTGCATTCAACTCACAGAGTTGAACCTTTCTTTTGATAGAGAAGGTTTGAAACACTCTTTTTGCAGAATCTGCAAGTGGACATTTGGAGCCCTTTGAGGCCTATGTTGGAAAAGGAAGTATCTTCACATAAAAACTAGACAGAAGCATTTTCAAAAACTTATTTGTGATGTCTGCATTCAACTCACAGGGTTGGACATACTTTATCATAGAGCAGTTATGAAACACTCTTTTAGTGGAATCTGCAAGGGGATATTTTGACCGCTTAGAGGCCTTCGTTGGAAACGGGAATATCTTCTCATAAAAACTAGACAGAAGCATTTTCTGAAACTTCTTGGTGATGTGTGCATTCAATTCACAGAGTTGAACCTTTCTTTTGATAGAACAGGTTTGACACACTCTTTTTGTAGAATCTGCAAGTGGATTCTTGGAGCGCTTTGAGGCCTATGGTGGAAAAGGAAATATCTTCACATAAAAACTAGACAGAGGAATTCTGAGAAACTTCTTTGTGATGTGTGCATTCTTCTCACAGAGTTGAAACTTCCTTTTGATTGAGCAGTTTACAGACACTCTTTTTGTAGAATCTGCAAGTGGGCATTAGGAGCACTTTGCGACCTATGTTATAAAAGGAAATATCTTCACATAAAATCTAGACAGAACCAATGTGAGAAACCTCTTTGTGATGTGTGTTTTCATCTCACAGAGTTAAACCTTTCTTTTGATTGAGCAGTTTTGAACCTCTTTTTTTGTAGAATCTGCAAGTGGACATTTGGTGTGCTTTGAGGCCTATGGTGGAAAAGGAAATATCTTCACATAAAAACTAGACAGAAGAATCCTGAGAAACTTCTTTGTGATGTGTGCGTTCATCTCACAGAGTTGAACCTTTCTTTTGATTGAGAATTATGGAAAAACTCTTTTTGTAGATTCTGTAAGTGGACATGTAAAGCGCTTTGCAGCCTAAGTTAGAAAAGGAAATATCTTCACATAAAATCTAGACAGAAGCATTCTCAGAAACTTCTTTGTGATGTTTGCATTCAACTCACAGAGTTAAACCTTTGTTTTGATAGAGCAGGTTTGAAACACTCTTTTTGTAGAATCTGTAAGTGGACATTTGGAGTGCTTTGAGGCCTATGGTGGGAAAGGAAATATCTTCATATAAAAACTAGGCAGAAGCATTCTCAGAAAATTCTTTGTGATGTTTGCATTCTACTCACAGAGTTGAATATTCATTTTCATGGGGCAGTTTTGAAACACTCTTTTTGTAGAATATGCTAGTGGATATTTGACTGCTTTGAGGCCTTCGTTGGAAACGGGAATATCTTCACATAAATACTAGACAGAAGCATTCTCAGAAACTTGCTTGTAATGTGTGCATTCACTTCACAGAGTTGAAACTTTCTTTTGATAGAACAGTTTTGAAACATTCTTTTTGTAGAATCTGCAAGTGGACACTTGGAACACTTTGAGGCCTATAGTGGAAAAGGAAATATCTTCCCATCTAAACTAGAGAGAAGCATTCTCAGAAACTTCTTTTTGATGTTTGCCTTCAACTCACACAGTGGGACATACCTTATCATAGAGTCGTTTTGAAACACTCCTTTAGTAGAATCTGCAAGTGGATATTAGGTACCCCTTGAGACCCTCCTTGGAAACGGGAATACCTTCACATAAAATCTAGACAGCAGCATTCTCAGAAACTTCTTTTTGATGTGTACATTCAACTCACAGAGTTAAAACTTTCTTTTGATTGGGAAGTTCTGAAACACTCTTTTTGTAGAATCCGCTAGTGGACATTTGTAGCGCTTTTGGGCCTATAGTGGAAAAGGAAATATCTTCACATAAAAACTAGACAGAAGTATTCTCAGAATCTTCTTTGTGATGTGTGCCTTCAACTCAAATAGCTGAAACTTTCTTTTGATTCAGCAGTTTGGAAACACTCTTTTTGGAGATTCTGCAAGTGGAAGCACTCTTTTTGTAGATTCTGTAAGTGGGCATTTGAAGCGCTTTGCAGCCTAAGTTAGAAAAGGAAATATCCTCACATAAAATCTAGACAGAAGCAATGTGAGAAACTTCCTTGGGATGTGTGCATTCATCTCACAGGGTTAACTCTTACTTTTGATTGAGCAGTTTTGAAACTGTCTTTTTGTTGAATGGGGAAGTGGACATTTGGAGCACTTTTAGGCTTATGGTGGAAAAGGAAATATCTTCACATAGAAACTAGACAGAAGCATTCTTAGAAACTTTGTGATGTGTGCACTGATCTCACAGAGTTAAGCCTTTGTTTTGATTGAGCAGTTTTGAATCTCTCTTTTTGTAGAATCTGCAAGTTAACATTTGGAGCGCTTTGAGGCCTGTGGAGGAAAAGGAAATATTTTCACATCAAAACGACACAGAAGAATTCGGAGAAGCTTCTTTGGATGCATGCGTTTATCTCACAGAGTTGAACCTTTCTTTTGATTAAGCAGTTTGGAAACACTCTTTTTGTGGAATCTGCAAGTGGACATTTGGAGCGCTTTGCAACCTATGTTAGAAAAGGAAATATATTACCATAAAATCTAGATAGAATGAATCTGAGAAACTTCTTTGTGATGTGTGCATTCATCTCACAGAGTTAAAACTTTCTTTTGATTGAGCTGTCTTGAAACTCTCTTATCGTAAAATCTGCAAGTGGACATTTGGAGCGCTTTGAGGCCTATGGTGGAAAAGTAAATATTTTCACATAGAAACTAGACAGAAAAATTCTGAGAAATTTCTTTGTGATGTGTGCTTACATCTCACAGAGCTGAACCTTTCTTTTGATTGAGAGTTTGGAAGCACTCTTTTTGTAGAATCTGCAAGCGGACATTTGGAGTGCTTTGTGGCCTATGGTAGAAAAGGAAATATCTTCACATAAAATCTAGATAAAAGCAATCTGAAAAACTTCTTTGTGGTGTGTGGATTCATCTCACAGAGTAAACCTTTCTTTTGACTGAGCACTTTGGAAACTCTCTTTTTGTAGAATCTGCAAGTGGACATTTTGAAGGCTTTGAGGCCTATGGTGGAAAAGGAATTATCTTCACATAAAAAATAGATAGAAGCATTTTTAGAAACATCTTTGTGATGTGTGCATTCATCTAACGGATTGAAACCTTTCTTTTGATAGAGCAGTTTTAAAGCTCCCTTTTTGTATAATCTCTAAGTGGACATTTGAAGGGCGTTCAGGCCTATGGTGAAAAATGAAATATCTTCATGTAAAAAGTACATAGAAGAATTCTGAGAAACTACTTTGTGATGTGTGCATTCAACCCCCAGATTTGACCATTCCTTTGAAGGACCAGTTTTGAAATACTCTTTTTGTAGAATCTGCAAGTGGACCTTTCGAGTGCCTTCGGGTCTACCGTACAAAAGGAAATATCTTCACATAAAAACTAGAAAGAAGAATTCTGAGAAACTTCTTTATAATGTGTGCATTCATCTAGAAAGTTGAACATTTCTTTGATTGAGCAGTTTGGAAACACTCTTTTTGTAGAATCTGCAAGTGGACATTTGGAGCACTTTGATTCCTATCATGGAAAAGGTAATATCATCACATAAAGACTAGACTGTAGCTTTCTCAGAAACTTCTTTGTGATGTTTGCATTCAACTCATAGAGTTGAACATACCTCTTCATAGCACAATTTAGAAACTCTCTTTTTGTAGAATGTGCAAGTTGTTATTTGGAACTCTGTGAGGCCTTCGTTGGAAACGGGAATATCTTCACATAAACACTAGACAGAAGCATTCTCAGAAACTTCTTAGTGATGTGTGCATTCAACTCACAGAGTTGAACCTTTCTTTTGATAGAGCGGGTTTGAAAAACTCATTTGGTAGAAACTGCAAGTGGACATTTGGAGAAATTTGAGGACTATGGTGGGAAAGGAAATATCTTCACATAAAAACTAGACAGAAGCATTCTCAGAAATTTCTTTGTGATTTGTGCATTCAACTCACAGAGTTGAAACTTCCTTTCCATAGAGCAGTTTTGAAACACTCTGTTCGCAGTATCTGCAAGTGGATATTTGGAACGCTTGGAGGCCTTCTTTATAAACGTGAATATCTTCACATAAAAACTAGACAGAAGAATTCTCAGAAAATTTTTCTGATGTGTGCATTCAACTCACAGCGTTGAAACTTTCTTTTGATAGAGCACGTTTCAAACACGCTTTTTGTAGAATCTGCACGTGGACATTTAAAGCACTTTGAGGCCTGTGGTGGAAAAGGAAATATCTTCCCATAAAAAATAGACAGAAGCATTCTCAGAAACTTCTTTGTGATGTTTGTCTTCAACTCACAGAGTTGAATATACGTTTTCATAGAGCAGTTTTGAAGCAGTCTTTTAGTAGAATCTGCAAGTGAATTTATGGACCGCTTTGAGGCCTTCATTGGAAACGGGAATATCTTCACATAAAAAGTAGATAGAAGCATTCTCAGAAGTGTATTTGTGATGTGTACATTCAACTCACAGAGTTGAACTTTCCTTTGATAGAGCAGTTTTGAAACACTCTTTTTGTATTATATGCAAGTGGACAAATGGAGCGCTTTGAGGGCTATGGTTGAAAAGGAAATATCTTCCCATAAATACTAGACAGAAGCATTCTCAGAAACTTATTTATGATGTTTGCATTCAGCTCACAGAGTTGAACATAGCTTTTCATGGAGCAGTTTTGAAGCACTGTTTTTGGACAATCTGCAAGTGGATATTTGGACCGCATTGAGGCCTTCATTGGAAACGGGAATAACTTCACATAAAAACTAGACAGAAGCATTCTCACAAACTTCTTTGTGATTTGTGCATTAAACTCACAGATTTGAACCTTGCTTTTGATAGAGCAGATTTGAAACACTCTTTTTTTAGAATCTGCACGTGGACATTTGGAGCACTTTGAGGCCTATGGTGGAAAAGGAAATATCTTCACACAAAAACTACACAGAAGCATTCTCAGAAACTTCTTCGTGATGTGTGCATTCACCTCAGAGAGTTGAACATTTCTTTTGATAGAGCAGTTTTGAAACACTCTTTTTGTAAAATCTGCAAGTGGATAGATGGAATGCTTTGCAGCCTTCATTGGAAACGGGAATATCTTCACATAATCACTAGACAGAAGATTTCTCAGAAACTTTTTTGTGCTGTGGCATTCAAGTAAGGGAGTTGAACCTTTATTTTGAAAGAGCAGGTTTGAAACACTTTTTGTGGAGTCTGCAAGTGAACATTTGGAGAGATTTGAGGCCTATGGTGGAAAAGGAAATATCTTCACATAAAAACTACATAGAAGCATTCTCAGAAACTTCTTTGTGATGGTTGTATTCAACTCACAGAGTTGAACTTTCTTTGATAGAGCAGTTTTGAACCTGTCTTTTTGAAGAAATGCAAATGGATATTTGGACCGCTTTGAGGCCTTCATTGAAAACGGGAATGTCGAAGGGGGAGGAGCCAAGATGGCCGAATAGGAACAGCTCTGGTCTACAGCTCCCAGCGTGAGCGACGCAGAAGACAGGTGATTTCTGCCTTTCCATCTGAGGTGCCAGGTTCATCTCACTAGGGAGTGCTAGACAGTGGGCGCAGGTCAGTGGGTGCACGCACCGTGCACGAGCTGAAGCAGGGCGATGCATTGCCTCACTTGGGAAGCACAAGGGGTCAGGGAGTTCCCTTTCCGAGTCAAAGAAAGGGGTGACAGATGCACCTGGAAAATCGGGTCACTCCCACCCGAATATAGCGCTTTTCGGACCGGCTTAAAAAACGGCACACCACGAGATTATATCCCGCACCTGGCTCGGAGGGTCCTACACCCACGGAGTCTCGCTGATTGCTAGCACAGCAGTCTGAGATCAAACTGCAAGGTGGCAGCGAGGCTGGGGGAGGGGCACCCGCCATTACCCAGGCTTGCTTAGGTAAACAAAGCAGCCAGGAAGCTCGAACTGGGTGGAGCCCACCACAGCTCAAGGAGGCCTGCCTGCCTCTGTAGGCTCCACCTCTGGGGGAAGGGCACAGACAAACAAAAAGCAGTAACCTCTGCAGACTTAAATGTCCCTGTCTGACAGCTTTGAAGAGAGCAGTGGTTCTCCCAGCATGCAGCTGGAGATCTGAGAACTGGCAGACTGCCTCATCAAGTGGGTCCCTGACCCCTGACCCCCGAGCAGCCTAACTGGGAGGCACTCCCCAGCAGGGGCACACTGACACCTCACACGGCAGGGTATTCCAACAGACCTGCAGCTAAGGGTCCTGTCTGTTAGAAGGAAAACTAACAAACAGAAAGGACATCCACAACAAAAACCCATCTGTACATCACCATCATCAAAGACCAACAGTAGACAAAATCACAAAGATGGGGAAAAAACAGAACAGAAAAACTGGAAACTCTAAAATGCAGAACACGTCTCCTCCTCCAAAGGAACGCAGTTCCTCACCAGCAACGGAACAAAGCTGGATGGAGAATGACTTTGACGAGCTGAGAGAAGAAGGCTTCAGACGATCAAATTACTCTGAGCTATGGGAGGACATTCAAGCCAAAGGCAAAGAAGTTGAAAACTTTGAAAAAAATTTAGAAGCACGTATAACTAGAATAACCAATAGAGAGAAGTGCTTAAAGGAGCTGATGGAGCTGAAAACCAAGGCTCGAGAACTACGTGAAGAATGCAGAAGCCTCAGGAGCTGATGCAATCAACTGGAAAAAAGGGTATCAGCAATGGAAGATGAAATGAATGAAATGAAGCGAGAAGGGAAGTTTAGAGAAAAAAGAATAAAAAGAAATGAGCAAAGCCTCCAAGAAATATGGGACTATGTGAAAAGACCAAATCTACTTCTGATTGGTGTACCTGAAAGTGATGGGGAGAAGGGACCCAAGTTGGAAAACACTCTGCAGGATATTACCCAGGAGAACTTCCCCAATCTAGCAAGGCAGGCCAACATTCAGATTCAGGAAATACAGAGAATGCCACAAAGATACTCCTCGAGAAGAGCAACTCCAAGACACATAATTGTCAGATTCATCAAAGTTGAAATGAAGGAAAAAATGTTAAGGGCAGCCAGAGAGAAAGGTCGGGTTACCCTCAAAAGGAAGCCCACCAGACTAACAGCGGATCTCTTGGCAGAAACCCTACAAGCCAGAAGAGAGTGGGGGCCGATATTCAACATTCTTAAAGAAAAGAATTTTCAACCCAGAATTTCATATCCAGCCAAACAAAGCTTCATAAGTGAAGGAGAAATAAAATACTTTACAGACAAGCAAATGCTGAGAGATTTTGTCACCACCAGGCCTGCCCTAAAAGAGCTCCTGAAGGAAGCACTAAACATGGAAAGGAACAACCAGTACCAGCCACTGCAAAATCATGCCAAAATGTAAAGACCATCGAGACTAGGAAGAAACTGCATCAACTAATGAGCAAAATAACCAGCTAACATCATAATGACAGGATCAAATTCACACATAACAATATTAACTTTAAATGTAAATGGACTAAATGCTCCAATTAAAAGACACAGACTGGCAAATTGGATAAAGAGTCAAGACCCATCAGTGTGCTGTATTCAGGAAACCCATCTCATGTGCAGAGACACACATAGGCTCAAAATAAAAGGATGGAGGAAGATCTACCAAGCAAATGGAAAACAAAAAAAGGCAGGGGTTGCAATCCTAGTCTCTGATAAAACAGACTTTAAACCAACAAAGATCCAAAGAGACAAAGAAGGCCATTACATAATGGTAAAGGGATCAATTCAACAAGAAGAGCTAACTATCCTAAATCTATATGCACCCAATACAGGAGCACCCAGATTCATAAAGCAAGTCCTGAGTGACCTACAAAGAGACTTAGACTCCCACACATTAATAATGGGAGACTTTAACACCCCACTGTCAACATTAGACAGATCAACGAGACAGAAAGTCAACAAGGATACCCAGGAATTGAACTCAGCTCTGCACCAAGTGGACCTAATAGACATCTACAGAACTCTCCACCCCAAATCAACAGAATATACATTTTTTTCAACACCACACCACACCTATTCCAAAATTGACCACACAGTTGGAAGTAAAGCTCTCCTCAGCAAATGTAAAAGAACAGAAATTATAACCAACTATCTCTCAGACCACAGTGCAATCAAACTAGAACTCAGGATTAAGAATCTCACTCAAAACCACTCAACTACATGGAAACTGAACAACCTGCTCCTGAATGACTACTGGATATTTAACGCTATGAAGGCAGAAATAAAGATGTTCTTTGAAACCAACATGAACAAAGACACAACATACCAGAATCTCTGGGACACATTCAAAGCAGGGTGTAGAGGGAAATTTATAGCACTAAATGCCCACAAGAGAAAGAAGAAAAGATAAAAAATTGACACCCTAACATCACAATTAAAATAACTAGAAAAGCAAGAGCAAACACATTCAAAAGCTAGCAGAAGGCAAGAAATAACTAAAATCAGAGCAGAACTGAAGGAAATAGAGACACAAAAAACCCTTCAAAAAATTAATGAATCCAGGAGCTGGTTTTTTGAAAGGATCAACAAAATTGATAGACAGCTAGCAAGACTAATAAAGAAAAAAAGAGAGAAGAATCAAATAGACACAATAAAAAATGATAAAGGGGATATCACCACCGATCTCACAGAAATACAAACTACCATCAGAGAATACTACAAACACCTCTATGCAAATAAACTAGAAAATCCAGAAGAAATGGATAAATCCCTTGACACATACACTCTCCCAAGACTAAAACAGGAAGGAGTTGAATCTCGGAATAGACCAATAACAGGCTCTGAAATTGTGGCAATAATCAATAGCTTACCAACAAAAAGAGTCCAGGACCAGATGGATTCACAGCCGAATTCTACCAGAGGTACAAGGAGGAACTGGTACCATTCCTTCTGAAACTATTCCAATCAATTGAAAAAGAGGGAATCCTCCCTAACTCATTTTATGAGGCCAGCATCATTCTGATACCAAAGCCAGGCAGAGACACAACCAAAAAAGAGAATTTTAGACCAATATCCTTAATGAACATTGATGCAAAAATCCTCAATAAAATACTGGCAAAACGAATCCAGCAGAACATCAAAAAGCTTATCCACCATGATCAAGTGGGCTTCATCCCTGGGATGCAAGGCTGGTTCAATATACGCAAATCAATAAATGTAATCCAGCATATAAACAGAGCCAAAGACAAAAAACCACATGATTATCTCAATAGATGCAGAAAAAGCCTTTGACAAAATTCAACAACACTTCATGCTAAAATCTCTCAATAAATTAGGTATTGATGGGACATATTTCAAAATAATAAGAGCTATCTATGACAAACCCACAGCCAATATCATACTGAATGGGCAAAAACTGGAAGCATTTCCTTTGAAAACTGGCACAAGACAGGGATGCCCTCTCTCACCACTCCTATTCAACATAGGGTTGGAAGTTCTGACCAGGGCAACTAGGCAGGAGAAGGAAATAAAGAGTATTCAATTATGAAAAGAGGAAGTCAAATTGTCCCTGTTTGCAGATGACATGATTGTATATCTAGAAAACCCCATTGTCTCAGCCCAAAATCTCCTTCAGCTGATAAGCAATTTCAGCAAAGTCTCAGGATACAAAATCAATGTACAAAAATCACAAGCATTCTTATACACCAACAACAGACAAACAGAGAGCCAAATCATGAGTGAATTCCCATTCACAATTGCTTCAAAGAGAATAAAATACCTAGGAATCCAACTTACAAGGGATGTGAAGGAACTCTTCAAGGAGAACTACAAACCACTGCCCAAGGAAATAAAAGAGGATACAAACGAATGGAAGAACATTCCATGCTCATGGGTAGGAAGAATCAATATCATGAAAATGGCCATACTGCCCAAGGTAATTTACAGATTCAATGCCTTCCCCATCAAGCTACCAATGCCTTTCTTCACACAATTGGAAAAATCTACTTTAAAGTTCATATGGAACCAAAAAAGAGCCCGCATCACCAAGTCAATCCTAAGCCAAAAGAACAAAGCTGGAGGCATCACACTACCTGACTTCAAACTATACTGCAAAGCTACAGTAACCAAAACAGCATGGTACTGGTACCAAAACAGAGATATAGATCAATGGAACAGAACAGAGCCCTCAGAAATAATGCCACATATCCACAACTATCTGATCTTTGACAAACCTGAGAAAAACAAGCAATGGGGAAAGGATTCCCTATTTAATAAATGGTGCTGGGAAAACTGGCTAGCCATATGTAGAAAGCTGAAACTGGATCCCTTCCTTACACCTTACACAAAAATCAATTCAAGATGGATTAAAGACTTAAACGTTCAACCTAAAACCATAAAAACCCTAGAAGAAAACATAGGCATTACCATTCAGGACATAGGCATGGGCAAGGACTTCATGTCTAAAACACCAAAAACAATGGCAACAAAAGACAAAATTGACAAATGGGATCTAATGGGAGAACATTTTTGCAACCTACTCATCTGACAAAGGGCTAATATCCAGAATCTACAATGAACTCAAACAAATTTACAAGAAAAAAACAAACAACCCCATCAAAAAGTGGGCAAAGGACATGAACACATACTTCTCAAAAGAAGACATTTATGCAGCCAAAAAACACATGAAAAAATGCTCATCATCACTGGCCATCAGAGAAATGCAAATCAAAACCACAATGAGATACCATCTCACACCAGTTAGAATGGCAATCATTAAAAAGAGAGGAAACAACACATGCTGGAGACGATGTGGAGAAATAGGAACCCTTTTACACTGTTGGTGGGACTGTAAACTAGTTCAACCATTAGGGAAGTCAGTGTGGTGATCCCTCAGGGATCTAGGACTAGAAATACCATTTGACCCAGCCATCCCATTACTGGGTATATACCCAAAGGACTATAAATCATGCTGCTATAAAGACACATGCACACGTATGTTTATTGTGGCACTATTCACAATAGCAAAGACTTGGAACCAACCCAAATGTCCAACAATGATAGACTGGATTAAGAAAATGTGGCACATATACACCATGGAATACTATGCAGCCATAAAAAATGATGAGTTCATGTCCTTTGTAGGGACATGGATGAAATTGGAAATCATCATTCTCAGTAAACTATCGCAAGAACAAAAAACCAAACACTGCATATTCTCACTCATAGGTGGGAATTGAGCAATGAGATCACATGGACACAGGAAGGGGAACATCATACTCTGGGGAATGTTGTGAGGTGGGGGGAGGGGTGAGGGATACCATTGGGAGATATACCTAATGCTAGAAGACGAGTTAGTGGGTGCAGCCAACCAGCATGGCGCAAGTATACATATGTAACTAACCTGCACAATGTGCACATGAACCCTAAAACTTAAAGAATAATAATAATAATAAAAAGTAGACAGAAGCATTCTCACAAACTACTTTGTGATGGGTGTACTCAACTCACAGTTAAAACTTTCCTTTGATACAGCAGTTTTGAAACACTCTTCTTGTTGAATTTACAAGTGGATATTAGGGCAGCATTGAGGATTTCGTTGGAAACGGGAATATCTTCACATAAAACTAGACAGAAGCATTCTCAGAAACTTATTTGTGATGTGTGCATTCAGCTCACAGAGTTGAAATTTTCTTTTGATAGAGCAGATTGGAAACACTCTTTTTGTAGAATTTGCAAGTGGATATTCGGACAGCTTTGAGGCCTTCGCTGGAAACGGGTATGTCTTCACATAAAAACTAGACAGGAGCATTCTCAGAAACTGCTTTGTGATGCTTGCAATCAACTCACAGAGTTGAACATTCCTTTTCATAGAGCAGTTTTGAAACACTCTTTTTGTAGAATCTGTAAGTGGAAACTTGGAGCGCTTTGAAAGCCTATGGTGAAACAGGAAATATCTTTCCATAAAAACTAGACAGAAGAATTCTCAGAAACTTCCTCATGATGTGTGTACTTAACTCACAGAGTTGAACTTTTCTTTTGATAGAGAATTTTTGAAACACTCTTTTTGCAGAGTCTGCAAGAAGATATTTGGATAGCTTTAAGGCTTTGTTTGGAAAAGGAAATATCTTCACATAAAAACCAGACAGAAGCATTCTCAGAAACCTCTTTGTGCTGCTTGCATTCAAATCACAGATTCGAACATTCCGTTTCATAGAACAGTTTTGAAACACTTTTTTTGTAGAATCTGCAAGTGGACATTTAGTGCGATTTGAGACCTATGTTGAAAAAGGAAATATCTTCACATAAAAAGAAGACAGAAGAATTCTCAGAAACTTCTTTGCGATGTGCGTACTCAACTCACAGAGTTAAACCTATCGTTTGATACAGCAGTTATGAAAGACTCTTCTTATAGAATTTACAAGTGGATATTAGGACAGCATTTGGATTTCTTTGGAAACAGGAATGTCTTCACATAAAATTGACAGAAGGATTCTCAGAAACTTCTTTGTGACGTGTGCATTCAACTCACAGAGTTGAAATTTTCTTTTGATCGTAGAATTTGCAAGTGGATATTTGGACAGCTTTGATGCCTTCTCTGGGAACGGGTATATATTCACATAAAAACAAGACAGAAGCATTCTCAGAAACTTCTTTGTGATGCTTACGTTCAACTGACAGACTTGAACATTCGTTTTCATGGAGCTGTTATGAAACACTCTTTTTGTAGAATCTGTAAGTGGAAACTTGGTGCTCTTTGAAGCCTATGGTGAAAAAGGAAATCTCTTCCCATAAAAACTAGACAGAAGCATTCTCAGAAACATCTTTCTGATGTGTGTACTCAACTCACAGATTTGAACCTTTCTTTTGATAGAGCAGTTTTGAAACACTCATTTTTTAAAAATCTGCAAGTGGATATGTGGATAGCTTTGAAGATTTCATTGGAAACGGGAATATTTTCATATAAAAACTAGACAGAAGCATTCTCAGAAATTTCTTTGTGATGTTTGCATTCATCTCGCAGTTGAACATTCCCCTTCATTGAGCATTTTTGAAACACTCTTTTTGTAGATTCTGGAAGTGGACATTTGGAGTGCCTTGAGGCCTAAGGTGAAAAAGGAAATATCTTCACATAAACACTACACAGAAGCATTCTCAGAAACTTCTTTGTGAGACTTGCATTCAACTCACACTGTTGAACATGGATTTTCATAGAGCAGTTTTGAAACACTCCTTTTGTAGTATCTGGAAGTGGACATTTGGAGCGCTTTAGCGCCTGTGGTAAAAAAGGAAATATAGTCACATAAAAACTAGAGAGAAGCATTCTCAGAAACTACTTTGTGATGTGTGTACTCAACTCATAGGGTTGAACTTTTCTTTTGATACAGCAATTTTGAAACACTCTTTGTAGAATTTGCAAGTGGATATTTGGATAGCTTTGAGGATTTCGTTGGAAACGGGAATATCTTCACAAAAAACTAGACTGAAGCATACTCAGAAACTTCTTTGTGATGCTTGAATTCAACTCACAGGGTTCAACATTCCTTTTCATAGAGCAGTTTTGAAACACTCTTTTTGTAGGATCTGTAAGTGGAATCTTGAATCGCTTTGAGGTCTAGGTAGAAAAGGAAATATCTTCCCATGAAAAGTACACAGAAGAATTCTCAGAAACTTCTCTGTGATGTGTGTACTCAACTCACAGAGTTGAGCTATTCTTTTGATAGAGCAGTTTTGATACACCCTTTTTGTTAAAATCTGCAAGTGGATATGTGGATAGCTTTGAGAATTTCGTTAGAAACGGGATTATCTTCACATAAAAACTAGACAGAAGGATTCTCAGAAACATCTTTGTGATGTTTGCATTCTTCTCACAGAGTTGAACATTCCCTTTCAGTGAGCAGTTTTGAAACACTCTTTTTGTAGTTTCACTAAGTGGACATTTGGAGCGCTTTGAGGCCTAGGGTGAAAAAGGAAATATCTTCACATAAAAACTATACAGAAGCATTCTCAGAAACTTCTTTGTGATATGTGTACTCAACTCACAGAGTTGAACCTTTCTTTTGATATAGCAATTTTGAAACACTCTTTTTGTAGAATCTGCAAGTGGACATTTGGATAGCTTTGAGGATTTCGTTGGAAACGGGAATATCTTCACATAAAACTAGACAGAAGCATTCTCAGAAACTTCTTGTGATGTTTGCATTCAACTCACAGAGTTGAACATTCCTTTTCATAGAGCAGTTATGAAACACTCTTTTAGTAGAATCTACAAGTGGACATTTTGTGCGATATGAGACCTATGGTGAAAAAGGTAATATCTTCACATAAAAACTAGATAGAAGCATTCTCAGAAACTACTTTTTGATGTGTGTACTCAAATCACAGAGTTACACCTTTCCTTATATAGAGCAGATTTGAAACACTCTTCTTGTAGAATTTACAAGAGGATATTTGGACAGCATTGAGGATTTCGTTGAAAAGGGGAATATCTTCGCATAAAACTAGACAGAAGCATTCCCAGAAACTTCTTGTGATGTTTGCATTCAACTCACAAAGTGGAACGTTACTTTTCATAGAGCAGTTTTGAAACACTCTTTTTGTAGAATCTATAAGGGGAAAGTTGGAACGCTTTGAGGCCCATGGTGAAACAGGAAATATCTTCCCATAAAAACTAGACAGAAGAATTCTCAGAAACTTCCTTTTGATGGGTGTACTCAACTCACAGAATTGAACTTTTCTTTTGATAGAGCAGAGTTGAAACATTCTTTTTGTCAAAATCGGCAAGTGGATATAGGGATACCTTTGAGAATTTCATTGGAAACTGGATTATCTTCACATAAAAACTAGACAGAAGCATTCTCAGAAACTTCTTTGTGATGTTTGCATTAATCTCACAGAGTTGAACATTACCTTTCAGTTAGCAGATTTGAAACCCTCTTTTTGTAGTTTCTGGAAGTGGACATTTGGAGCGCTTTGAGGCCTATCATGAAAAAAGAAACACCTTCTCATAAAAATTAGACAGAAGCATTCTCAGAAACTTCTTTATGATGTGTTTACTCAACTGTCAGAATTGAACCTTTCTTTTGATACAGCACTTTTGAAACACTCTTTTTGTAGAATCTGCAAGTGGATATTTGGATAGCTTTGAGGCTTTCTTTGGAAATGGGAATATCTTCACATAAAAACTAGACAGAAGCATTCTCAGAAACTTCTTTGTGATGCTTTCATTCAACTCACGGAGCTGAACATTCCTTTTCATAGAGCAGTTTTGTAACACTCTTTTTGTATATCTGCAAGTGGAAACTTGGTGAACTTAGAAGTCTATGGTGAAAAAAGAAATATCTTCCCATAAAAACTAGACAGAAGAATTCTCAGAAACTTCTTTGTGATGTGTGTACTCAACTCACAGATTTGAACTTTTCTTTTGATAGAGCAGTTTTGAGACACTCTTTTTGTACAATCTGCAAGTGGATATTTGGGTAGCTTTGAGGATTTTGTTGGAAACGGGTATATCTTCACATAAAAACTAGAAAGAAGCATTATCAGAAACTTCTTTGTGATGTTTCTATTCAACTCACAGAGTTGAACCTTCCCTTTCATAGAGCAGTTTTGAAGCACTCTTTTTGTATTATCTGGAAGTGGACATTTGGAGCACTTTGAGGCCTGTGGTAAAAAGAATTATCTTCACATAATAACTAGTTAGAAGCATTCTCAGAAACACCTTTGTGGTATGTGTACTGAACTCACCCAGTTGAAGCTTTCTTTTGATACAGCAGTTTTGAATCACTCTTTTTGTAGAATCTGCAAGTGGATATTTTGATAGCTTTGTGGTTTTGTTGGAAACGGGAATAGCTTCACACAAAAACTTCACAGAAGCATTCTGAGAAACTTCTTTCTGATGTGTGTACTCAACTCACAGAGTTGAATTTTTCTTTTGATACGCAAGTTTTGAAACACTCTTTTTGTAGAATCTGCAAGTGGATATTTGGATAGCTTTGAGGCTTTCGTTGGAAACGGGAATATCTTCACATAAAAACTAGACAAAAGCATTCTCAGAAACTTCTTTGTGATGATTGCATTCAACTCACAGAGTTGAACATTCCTTTTCATAGAACAGTTTTTAAACACACTTTTTGTAGAATCTGCAAGTGGCCATTTGGTGTGATTTGAGACCTATGGTGAAAAAGGAAATATCTTCACGTAAAAAGTAGACAGAAGCATTCTCAGAAACTACTTTGTGATGTGTGTACTCAATTCACAGAGTTAAACATTTTTCTTAGATACAGCAGTTTTTAACCACTCTTCTTGTAGAATTTACAAGTGGATGTTAGGACAGCATTGAGGATTTCGTTGGAAACGGGAATACCTTCAGATAAAAACCAGACTGAAGCATTCTCAGAAACTACTTTGTGAGGTTTGCATTCAACTCTCAGATTTGAAAATTCCCTTTCATGGAGAAGTTTTCAAACACTCTTTTTTTAGAATCTGCAAGTGGATATTTGGATAGCTTTGAGGATATCGTTGGAAACGGGAATATCTTCAAATAAAATCTAGACAGAAGCATTCTCAGAAACATCTCTATGATGTTTGCATTCAAGTCACAGAGTTGAACATTCCCTTTCATAGAGCAGGGTTGAAACACTGATTTTGTAATATCTGGAACTAGACATTTGGAGCGCTTTGTGGCCTATGGTGAAAAAGGAAATATCTTTCCATTAAAAACTAGACAGAAGAATTCTCAGAAATATCTTCATGATGTGTGTACTCAACTCACCGAGTTGAAGCTTTCTTTTGATACAGCAGTTTTGAAACACTCTTTTTGTAGAATCTGCAAGTGGATATTTGGATAGGTTTCTGGTTTTGTTGGAAACGGGAATAGCTTCACATAAAAGCTACACAGAAGCATTCTGAGAAACTTCTTTTTGATGTGTGTACTCAACTCACAGACGTGAACCTTTCTTTTGATACACAACTTTTGAAACACTCTTTTTGTAGAATCTGCAAGTGGCCATTTTGTGCGATTTGAGACCTGTGGTGAAAAAGGAAATATCTTCACAAAAAAAGTAGACAGAAGCATTCTCAGAAACTACTTTGTGATGTGTGTACTCAACTCGCAGAGTTAAATCTTTCCTTTGGTACAGCAGTTTTGAAACACTCTTCTTGTAGTATTTACAAGTGGATATTAGGACAGCTTTGAGGATTTCGTTGGAAACGGGAATATCTTCACATAAAACTAGACAGAGGCATTCTCAGAAACTTATTTCTGGTGTGTGCATTCAAATCACAGTCTTGAAACTTTCTTTTGATAAAGCAGATTGGAAAAACTCTTTTGTTGTATCTGTAAGTGGACATTTGGAACGATTTGAGATCCTTGGTGGAAAAGGAATTATCCTCACATAACAAATAGGCAGAAAAATTCTTAGAAATTTCTTTGTGATGTGTGTACTCAACTCACAGAGTTAAACCTTTCCTTTGATACAGCAGTTTTGAAAAATTCTTCATGTAGAATCTGCAAGTGGACATTTGGAGTGATATGAGACCTATGGTTGAAAAGTAAATATCTTCACATAAAAAGTAGACAGAAGAATTCTTACAAATTACATTGTGATGTGTGTACTCAAGTGACAGAGTTAAACCTTTCCTTTGATACAGCAGTTTTGAAACACTCTTCTAGTGGAATTTACAAGTGGATATTAACACAGCACTGAGGATTTCATTGGAAACAGGAATATCGTCTCATACAACTAGACAGAAGCATTCTCAGAAACTTCTTTGTGATGTGTGCATTCAGCTCACAGAGCTGAAACATTCTTTTGATGAAGCAGACTGGAAACACTCTTTTTGTAGAATGTGCAAGTGGATATTTTGACTGCTTTGACGTTTTTACTGGAAACGGGTTGATCTTCACATAAAAACAAGACAGAAGCATTCTCAGAAACTTCTATGTGATGCTTGCATTCAACTCACAGAGTTGAACATTCCTTTACATTGAGCAGTTTTGAAACACTCTTTTTGTAGGATCTGTAAGTTGAAACTTGGAGCGCTTTGAGGCCTATGATGAAAAAGGAGATATCTTCCCATAAAAGCTAGACACAAGAATTCTAAGAAACTTCTTTGTGATGTGCATACTCAACTCACAGAGTTGAACTTTTCTTTTGATAGAGCAGTTTTGAGAAACTCTTTTTGTAGAATCTCCAAGTCAACATTTGGTGCGATTTGAGACCTATGGTGAAAAAGGAAATATCTTCACCTAAAAAGTAGACAGAAGCATTCTCAGAAACTAATTTGTGATTTGTGTACTCAACTCACGGATTTAAACCTTTCCTTTGTTGGAGCACTTTTGAAACACACTTCTTGTAGAATTTACATGTCGATATTTAGACAGCATTGATGTTTTCGTTGGAAAAGGGAATATCTTCACATAAAACTAGACAGAAGCATTCTCAGGAACTTCTTTGTGATGTGTGCATTCAACTCACAGAGTTGAAATTTTCCTTTGATAGAGCAGATTGGAAAGACTCTTTTTGTCGAATTTCCAAGTGGATATTTGGACAGCTTTAAGGACTTCACTGGAAACGGATATATCTTCACATAAAAACTAGACAGAAGCATTCTCAGAAACTTCTTTGTGATGCTTGCATTCAACTCACAGAGTTGAACATTCCTTTTCATAGAGCAGTTTTGAAAAACAGTTTTTGTAGAATCTGTAAATGGAAACTTTGAGTGCTTTGAGGCCTATGGTGAAAAAGGAAATATCTTCCCATAATAACTAGACAGAAGAATTCTCAGACACTTCGTTGTGATGTGTGCACTCAAATCACAGAATTGAACTTCTCTTTTGATAGAGAAGTTTTTAAACACTCTTTTTGTAGGATCCGCAAGTGGATATTTGGATAGCTTTGAGGATTTTGTTGCAGACGTGAATACCTTCACATAAAAACTAGACAGAAGCATTCTCAGAAACTTCTTTGTGATGTTTGCATTCATCTCACAGAGTTGAACTTTCCCTTTCCTAGAGCAGTTTTGGAAAACTCTTTTTGTAGTATCTGCAAGTGGACATTTGGAGCGCTTTGAGGCCTATGGTGAAAAAGGAAATATCTTCCCATAAAAACTACACAGAAGCATTCTCAGAAACTTCTTTGTGATGTGTGAACTCAACTCACAGAGCTAAAACTTTCTTTTGATACAGCAGTTTTTAAACACTGTTCTTGTAGAATTTACAACTGGATATTAGGGCAGCATTGAGGATTTCATGGGAAACGGGAATATCTTCACATAAAACTAGACAGAAGCATTCTCAGAAGCTGCTTTTTGATGTGTGTTTTCAACTCAAAGAGTTGAATCTTTCTTTCGATAGAGCAGATTGGAAACAGTCTTTTTGTACAATTTGCAAGCGGATGTTTGGATAACTTTGAGGCCTTTGCTGTAAACGGGAATATCTTCACATAAAAACTAGACAGAAGCATTCTCAGAAACTTCTTTGTGATGTTTGCATTCATCTCCTAGAGTTGAACATTAGCTTTTATACAGCAGATTGGAAACACTCTTTTTGGAGTATTTGGAATTGGACATTTGGAGCGCTTTGAGGCCTATGGAGAAAAAAGGAAATATCTTCACAGAAAAACTAGACAGAAGCATTCTCAGAAACTGCTTTGTGATGCTTGCAATCAACTCACAGAGTTGAACATTCCTTTTCATAGAGCAGTTTTGAAACACTCTTTTTGTTGAATCTGTAAGTTGAAACTTGAAACACTTTGAGGCGTATGGTGAAAAAGGAGGTATCTTCCCATGAAAACTAGACACAAGAATTCTAAGAAACTGATTTCTGATGTGTGTACTCAACTCACAGAGTTGAACTTTTCTTTTAATAGAGCAGTTTTGAAACACTCTTTTTTTGTAGAATCTGCAAGTGGATATTTGGATAGCTTTGAAGATTTCGTTGGAAAGGGGAATATCTTCACATAAAAACTAGACAGAAGCATTCTCAGAAACTTCTTTGTGATGTTTGCATTCATCTCCTAGAATTCAACATTCTCTTTTATAGAGCAATTGGAAACACTCTTTTTGGAGTATTTGAAATTGGACATTTGGAGCACTTTGAGGCCTATGGTGAAAAAGGAAATATCTTCACAGCAAAACTAGACAGAAGCATTCTCAGAAACCTTTTGTGATGTGCGTACTCCAACTCACAGAGTTGAACCTTTCTTTTGATACAGCAGTTTTGAAACACTCTTTTTATAGAATCTGCAAGTTGATATTTGGATAGATTGACGCTTTCCTTGGAAACGGGAATATCTTCACATAAAAACTACACAGAAGCATTCTCCGAAACTTCTTTGTGATGCTTTCATTCAACTCACTGAGTTGAACATTCCTTTTCATAGAGCAGTTTTGCAACACTCTTTTTGTAGAATCTATAAATGGAAACTTGGAGCGCTTTGAGGTGTACGGTGAAAAAGGAAATATCTTCCCATAAAAACTAGACAGAAGAATTCTCAGAAACTTCATTGTGATTTGTGTACTCAACTCACAGAGTTGAACTTTTCTTTTGATGAGCAGTTTTGAGGCATGCTTTTTGTAGAATTTACAAGTGGATATTGGACACCATTGAGTATTTCGTTGGAAATGGGAATATCTTCACATGAAACTAGACAGAACAATTTTCAGGAACTTCTTTGTGATGTGTGCATTCAACTCACAGAGTTGAAAGTTTCTTTTGATAGAGCAGATTGGAAACACTCTTTTTGTAGAATTTGCAAGTGGATATTTGGACAGCTTTGAGGCCTTCACTGGAAACGGGTATATCTTCACATAAAAACTAGAAAGAAACATTCTCAGAAACTTTTTTGTGATGCTTGCATTCAACTCACTGACTTGAACATTCTTTTTCATAGAATAGTTGTGAAACACTCCTTTTGTGGAATCTGTAATTGGAAATTTTGAGCTCTTTGAGGGCTATGGTGAAAAAGGAAATATCTTCCAATAAAACTAGGCAGAAGAATTCTCAGAAACTTCTTAGTGATGTGTGTATTCATCTCACAGAGTTGAAACTTTCTTTTGATAGAGGAGTTTTGAAACACTCTTTTTGTAGTATCTGCAAGTGGATATTTGGATAGCTTTCAGGATTTCATTGGAAACGGGAACATCTTCACATAAAAATTAGACAGAAGCATTCTCAGAAACTTCTTTGTGATGTTTGCATTCATCTCACAGAGTTGAACATTCCCTTTCATGGAGCAGTTTTGAAACTCTCTTTTTGTAGAATCTGCAAGTGGACATTTGGAGCTCTTTGAGGCCTATGGTGAAAAAGGAAATATTTTCACATAAAAACTAGACAGAAGCATTCTAAGAAACTTCTTTGTGATGTCTGCATTCAACTCACAGAGTTGAACATTCCCTTTCATGGAGCAGTTTTGAAACTCTCTTTTTGTAGTATCTGGAAGTGGATATTTGGAGCGCTTTGAGGCCTATGGTCAAAAAGGAAATATCTTCACATAAAAACTAGAGAGAAGCATTCTCAGAAACTTCTTTGTGATGTGTGTAATCAACTGATGGAGTTGAGCCTTTCCTTTGCTACAGCAGTTTTGAAATTTCCTATTTCAACAGAGGCATCATTGGGTTCAGAAATATCCTTTTGCAGGTTCTACAAAAGGATTGTTTCCAAACAGCTCAATGAAAAGAAAGGTTCAAATCCGTGTGATGAATGCACACATTACAAAGTTTTCAGAATGCTTATGTCTAGTTTTTATGTGATGATATTTCTTTATCTCCATAGGCCTCAAAATGCTCAGATATATACCACTGCAGATACTACAAAAAGACTGTTTCCAATCTGCTAAATCAAAAGAAAAGTTCTACTCTGTGAGATGAAAGCACACATCATAAGGAAGTTTCCCAGAATGCTTCTGTATAGTTTTCTGTGAAGATATTTCCTTTTTCACCATAGGCCACAAACCACTCACAAATATCCCTATGCAGATAGTACAAAAAGACTGTTTCTGAATTGTGCATTCATAAGAAAGTTTCTACACTGTGAGAGTAATACACATGTCAGAAAGAAGTTTCTCAGAATGTTCTGTCTAGTTTTTATGTGAAGATATTTCCTATTTCACCTTAGTCCTCAAAGGGCTGACAAATATCCCTTTACAGATTCTACAATAAGACTTTTTCCAAACTGATCAACAAAAAGAAAGGTTCAACTCTGATCAAGGAATGGACATCACACAAAGAAGTTTCTCAGAGTGCATCTGTCTAGTTATTATGTGAAGACATTTGTTTTTCACCATAGGCCTCAAACAGCTCAGAAATATCCCGTTGCAGATTGTACAAAAAGACAGTTTCCAAACTGCTCAATCAAAACAAAGGTTCGACACTGTGAGATGAATACACTCATCACAAAGACGTTTCTCAGAATGCTTCTGTTTAGTTTTTATGTGAAGATATTTCCTTTTTCACCATAGGCCTCAAAGCACTCCAAACATCCATTTGCAGATTCTACAAAAAGAGAGTTTCTAAACTGCTCAATCGAAAGAAAGATTCAACTCTGTGAGATGAATGCAAACATCATAAAGTAGTTTCTCAGAATGCTTCTGTCTAGTTTTTATGTGAAGATATTTCCTTTTTCACCATACCTATCAAAGCGCTCAAAATATCCCTTTGCAGATTCTCTGAAAAGACTCTTTCCAAACTTCTCAATCAAAAGAATGGTTCAACTATGTGAGATGGATGCACATATCACAAAGAAGTTTCTCTGAAATCTTCTGTCTAGTTTTTATGTGAAGATATTTCCTTTTTCACCACAGACCTCAAGCCGCTCACAAATATCCCTTTGCAGATTTTACAAGAACAGAGTTTCCAGACTCGTCAAAGAATAGAAACTTTTATCTCTGTGAGATGAATGCACACCTTGCAAAACAGCTTCTCAGAAACATTCTTTATAGTTTTTATTGAAGATATTTCCTTTTTCACCATAGGCCTCAGAGAGCTGACAAATATACCTTTGCCAATTCTACAAAAATACTGTTTCCAAACTGCTCAATCAAAAGAATGGTTCAACTCTGTGAGATGAATGCACACATAGCCATGAACTTTCTCAGAAACTTCTGTCAAGGTTTTATGTGATGATATTTCCTTTTTCACCATAGGCCTCAAACTGCTCACAAATATCCCTTTGCAGATTGCACAAGAAAAGAGTTTCCCATCTGCTCAATGAAAAGAAACGTTTACCTCTGTGAGATGAATGCACACATTACAAAGCAGTTTCTCAGAAACCTTCTGTCTAGTTTTTATGTGAAGATATTTCCTTTTTCACCATAGGCCTCAAAGTGTTCACAAATATCCCTTTGCATATTCTACAAAAAGACTGTTTCCAAATTGCTCAATCAAAGGAATGGCTCAACTCTGTGAGATGAGTGCACACACCACACAGATGTCTCTCAGAAAGCTTCTGTCTAGTTTTCATGTGAAGATATTTCCTTTTTCACCATAAGCCTGAAAGTGTTCACAAATATCCATTTGCAGATTCTACAAAATACTGTTTCCAAAATGCTCAATCAATAGAAAGGTTCAACTCTGTGAAATGAAGTCACACATCACAAATCAGTTTCTCAGAAACCTTCTTTCTAGTTTTTATGTGAAGACATTTCCTTTTTCAACATAGGCTTCAAAGTGCTCACAAATATCCCTTTGCAGATTCTACAAGAAGACTGTTACCAAAGTGCTCAATCAGAAGAATGGTTCAACTCTGTGAGATGAATGTACACATCAAAAAAAAAGTTTCTCAGAAAGCTTCTGTCTAGTTTTTATGTGAAGATATTTCCTTTTTCACCATTGGCCTCCAAGTGCTTGCAAATATCCCTTTGCCGATTCTACAAAAATACTGTTTCCAAACTGCTCAATCAAAAGAATGGTTCAACTCTGTGAGATGAATGCACACACAACCAGGAATTTTCTCAGAAACTTCTGTCAAGTTTTTATGTGATGATATTTCCATTTTCACCACAGGCCTCAAACTGCTCACAAATATCCCTTTGCAGATCCTACAAGAACAGAGTTTCCAATCTGCTCAATGAAAAGAAACATTTACCTCTGTGAGATGAACACACACATCACAAAGCAGTTTATCATAAATCTTCTTTCTAGTTTTTATGTGAAGATATTTCCTTTTTCACCATAGGCCTCAAAGCGCTCACAAATATCCCTCTGCACATTCTACAAAAACACCATTTCCAAGCTTTTCAATCAAAAGAATGGTTTAACTCTGTGAGATGAATCCACACATCACAAAGTAGTTTCTCAGAAAGCTTCTATCTAGTTTTTATGTGAAGCTATTTCCTTTTTCACCATAGACCTCAAAGCACTCACAAATATCACTTTGCAGATTGTACAAGAACAGAGTTTCCAGACTGATCAAGGGAATGAAACGTTTAACTCTGTGAGATGAATGCAGACATCACAAAGCAGTTTCTCGGAAACATTCATTATAGTTTTTATGTGAAGGTATTTCCTTTTTCACCATGGCCTCAAAGCGCTCATAAATATCCCTTTGCAGATTGTACAACAACAGAATTTCCAAAGTGCTCATAATTAGTTTTTAGGACCAACATGAGCATTTAGAAACACTGCTTGTGGTGCAGCACACATGTGTTATCCACACTGAAATTAGGAATTCAACAGAAGTCCATGTAGAGCCGAAAATGTGAATATTTGGGGACCTCGGAGATGATCTAGCTCACTTTATTTTGTAGAAAAGAAAACAGATTCAGGGAAAGGGCATGCATTGCCTAAGGTGATTCTGCAGCTTTGGTGCAGAAACAAAACACAGCTAAGGTGATTCATCAGGTTTGGAGCAGAAATGCAATACAATCTCTGTTCTTTTGCTCCTCAGATCCAGAATTTTTTCACAATACTGAACTACTTATGTTTCTGATTCCTTATTTTTTCTTTTTAAATTTTGCCAGTATTGTCTTACAAAGATCCTATTCTTTACCCTAAATATTTAAATTGGTTACCACTATTGTCTCTTTATAAGTAAAATTACTAGTTGTTATTATAAATGATTATTCAATCACTTTTCATTTTTGGGGGTCCAGTACAAAGTTAGTAACAAATAAACACTATTGGCCTTGGCAATCCAAGAGGAGCTCAAGTCCTCCAGGGCACGTCAGGAAAAGGCTAAATGACAGCTGTGCTGCGAGTGGACAGAATACAGCTCTCATACAGACTATTGAATATTTGATGTTCTTCAACAATTTCATTAATCTTCAGTTTTTTTCCTCTTTGAAGTGAAAGTCTGCTATGACTTTCAACTTTCTTTTGAAATAATTATAGATTCACAGGAAGTTGCAAAAGGTACAGGGATGTCTTAGGTACTCTTCACTAATTCCAGTGGTGACATCTCGCATAGCCATAGAGCATTATCAAAACCTGGAAACTGACATAGGTACAATTCAGAAAGCTTACTCAGATTGCAACTGTTTTGCATGCATTCATTTTTGTACGTGTGTATGTGTGTCCATGTGTTCTGTTCATTTTTATGTGGTGTAGATCTCTGTAACTACCACTTCGACAGTCAAGATGCAGAACTGTAGCCTCACCACCAGGCTCCAACTTGGGATCTTTGCTGACACTCTGACACGTTTTCCTCCACCCCTTCCCCTTGGCAACCCCATAGTCTGTTCTCCATCTTTACAATTTTATTTCAATAATTTATATAAATGTAATTATACAACATCGTATTTTTAAAGGGAAAAAACAAGCCACAGATAGTTTTGTTAGCACTGTAAAACAGTCTTTAACATTCATCTGTTTTATGTTCTATTTGTCTCAAAAAATGTGCTTTGTTCTTTCCCATACTTTCTGATATCAGGATAGGAAATCAATACCAAACAAAACAATTCCATTCATTTTTTTCCACAGCTTGGTTTTCACTGTTGTTGCCTAACATTTATTGTTGCATTCACTCTTTCTCTCTGTTTTCCATCACCTAAAAGTAACTTTGTGTTCTTTATCTCTTCTAAGAAAACTTGGTAATGAGCCTTTAATGTGACGCCTGGACCACCCTTGTTTTGATTTTGTGTTATGGGTGTTCTTTTGTGTGATCGTTCTCATGGAGAGACCTTGTGAAGCTGGGCTTTTCCAGTGGTTTGTCAAAATGGAAATAGATATTTAACAAACCAAACACAAAATGACCTTGTTCCAGGAATGCATCATTTCTGAGAAAACACTACCTTTTCCAACTAGATATTGTGAATATTACTCATATTATCTTTTACTCCCTTTTATTAAAACTGTATTTTTTTTTACACTTTTGTGTAACTCGGGTAATGAAATGTGAAACTAAGTGATTGCCTACCAGTTACAATTGATGTTAACGATGCTACTGGGAGGCCACCCCTACAGTGGCTGCGCCAAGTCTAGGGACATGCTAGCTTTGCTAAGTTACATGAGATTGCCTACATACTAAACGGAGGTGGGGGACGGGTCCGAGGATGCAGCGGTGCTGCCCTGCCCCGACATGGAAGCTCCGGATGGGGCCCCAGGCACAGCCCAGAGCTGGCGGTGGGCACACGATGGTGGACGACACCACAGCATCCAGTGGATCACCACCAGGGGCAAGCGAACCACGGGACCATGGCCATGAGCACTGCCAGATGGGCCGTGTGGCAGGCTTCCAGCCCCAGACACACCGTGACGTGCCGGGCGGGTGGGGGGCAGGCAGGGGGTGGGTGGGCGAGGAGGACGGTGCCTCAGAGGAGTGTTGGGGAGGAGGGGCACTGGAGCTGTGGTCAGCCAGTCGCTGGGCCGCCTCCAGGGGTGGACGGCGAACTGCGGCGACTGTGACGTGCTCCCCCACCCTCTCCCCGGTGGACCCTTCCTATTTGCCTTCCTCCCAACCCCCAACAAGCCCCCACCACCGACGACGTGAGACGACGACGGCATGGGACCTTCCACCCCGCCAGGGCCAATGAACCCCACACCATGAGCTGCATGAGGCATGAGGGAGCCCCCAAGGGAGGAACCCAGACCGTGATGGTGGCCACAGGAACTCGGCTGCAGCCGGCTATCTTCCCTTTCTATTTTCATGGGTGGCGGTGCTGCCCTCTCTCTCTTCCTCACAGCCGGGAGCCCCCCTTCCCCACGCCACCCAACGCGTGACTACACAGGGCCGCAGGGGGAGGGGGAAGGGGCGGGCACAGCAGGATAGGAGGGCGAATGTCACCGGTCTACACTTGGGGGGACAGAGGGCCCCGTGGGCCCTGCCAGGGAACAGTCATGCACCCCGAGGAGCCCAGAGGCAACCCTGGGGGATTTTGATTGGCAAGTGACGCTCAGACAGGCATAGCCCTGGGAGGAACCCGGGCCGCAAGTGCATTCGAAGAGTCGATGATCAACGTGTCTTGCAGTTCACATTAATTCTCCCAGCTAGCTGTGTTGTTCATTGACACAGGAGCTGAGTGATCCACCACTAAAAGTCATACAAGGTTGATTTGGCGAGGGCACTCCCAACAACGGGAGGCCCTCCTGGCACAGCACGTCACCCAGAGGGGTTACCTCAGGCTGGCCAGTCAGACAGCAACTGGACCAGACTCCAGAGAGGGGTTGGAAGGTTTCACAACACAGAGAGGTGGTGCCGACCACAGTGGGGGGCAAACGCTGACACCACCCCATGGGAGCCCAGGGGTTCCCGCCCCCACAGAGCGGGGTACAGGCCACACGTGCAGCATGCACGACAGCACGATGGCCACTGGGTAAAGCCCCCACCGACATCAGTGGCGACACGCAAGTGTGGCGTGGCCCCAGCTGGCCGGGGGGACGGAGTCGGCAGGGGAGGCGAGGGAGGGGCGGGCCCCTCCTGAACGGACTCCACTGTGGGCCCACTGCACCTGACCCACAGGCAGACCGGCGACCCCTCAAGGGGTCCTTAAACCTCTGCACCAGAATGCGCTAGGTACCTGGATGGCGGGGGCGGATGAGGGGGGTGGGACCGGCATCCGGCCCCCTACCCTCGAGACCCCCTAGCGGGAAGGCTGGGGAGAGCAAGCGGGCCGGGCCGGGCCAGTGGCATGGTTTGGCAGAGGTGACGATGGTGGCAGCGGCAGCGATGGGAACCTGGCCAGCCCCAAAGGGAGTGGGCAGGATGGGGCTGGGACAGTGGGACAGGGCACGATGACAGCCCCAGTGGGGAGGGCACTGAGACCCCCACCCCACCGTGACGCCGAGAACCACCCCCGCGCCCACCGACACACACATGGGGGCCACAGCAGGGGACTGCTCCCCACTGCTCACCAGGCTGCGAGCCATCCAGCCCGCCCCACGACACGCACACACGGTTTCATCCCCACACGCATGTCTCTTTCTACCCCCTCTCTCCCTCCCGAGTTCTCTGGCTCTCGGGGCAGGTGGGGCCATGCAACGAACAAAGGGCACGACTCCGCCCATGCATGCGCCACAGGGGAACACGGTCAGCCAAGGAGGAAGGACATGGCGGCGTCTCCGTGGCTTCGCTCTTCTCTGTTAATGATCCCTCCGCAGGTTCACCTACCGAAACTTTGTTACGACTTTTACTTCCTCTAGATAGTCAAGTTCGACTGTCTTCTCAGCGTTCCGCCAGGGCAGTGGGCTGACCCAGCGGGCTGATCCGAGGGCCTCACTAAACCATCCAATCAGGAGTAGCGACTGCAGTGTGTACAAAGGGCAGGGACTTCATGCAAGCTTATGACCAGCACTTACTGGGAATTCCTCATTCATGGGGAAAAATTGCAATCCCTGATCACCATCGCCAATGAGGTTCAACAGGTTACCCACATCTGCCACATAGGGTAGGCACACGCTGAGCCAGTCAGTGTAGCGCGCGTGCAGCCCTGGACATTTAAGGGCATCACAGACCTGTTATTGCTCAATCTCAGGTGGCTGAACGCCACTTGTCCCTCTAAGAAGTTGGGGGATGCCGACCGCTCCAGGGTCACATAACTAGTTGGCATGCCAGAGTCTCGTTCGTTATTGGAATTAGCCAGACAAATCACTCCAGCAACTAAGGCCATGCACCACCACCCGTGGAATCGAGAAAGAGCTATCAATCTGTCAATCCTGTCCGTGTCCAGGCTGGGTGAGTTTTCCCATGTTGAGTCAAATTAAGCTGCAGGCTCCACTCCTGGTGGTGCCCTTCTGTCAATTCCTTTAAGTTTCAGCTTTGCAACCATACTCCCCTCGGAACCCAAAAACCCAAAGACTGGTTTCTTGGAAGCTGCCCAGCGGGTCATGGGAATAACACCGCCACATCGCCAGTTGGCATCGTTTATGGTCGGAATTACAACGGTATCTGATCGTCTTCGAACCTCCGACTTTCGTTCTTGATTAATGAAAACATTCTTGGCAAATGCTTTCGCTCTGGTCTAAACTGCCAGTCCAAGAATTTCACCTCTAGCGGTGCAATATGAATGCCCCCGGCCGTCCCTCTTAATCATGGCCTCAGTTCCGAAAACCAACAAAATAGAACTGTGGTCCTATTCCATTATTCCAAGCTGCAGTATCCAGGCGGCTTGGGCCTGCTTTGAACACTCTAATTTTTTCAAAGTAAGTGCTTCGGGCCACAGGACACTCAGCTAAGAGCATCCAGGGGGCACCGAGAGGCAAGAAGCAGGGACGGGCTGTGGCTCGCTAGCCCACCCGCTCCCAAGATTCAACTACGAGCTTTTTAACTGCAACAACTTTAATATACGCTATTGGAGCTGGAATTACCACGGCTGCTGGCACCAGACTTGCCCTCCAATTGATCCTCATTAAAAGATTTAAAGTGCACTCATTCCAATTACAGGGCCTAGAAAGAGTCCTGTATTGTTATTTTTCGTCACTACCTCCCCGTGTCAGGAGTGGGTAATTTGAGTGTCTGCTGCCTTCCTTGAATGTGGTAGCCATTTCTCAGGCTCCTTCTCCAGAATTGAACCCTGATTCCCTGTCACCCGTGGTCACCATGATAGGCACAGCGACTACCATAGAAAGTTGATAGGGCAGACATTCGAATGGGTCATCGCTGCCACGGGGGGCGTGCGATTGGCCCGAGGTTATCCAGAAGCACCAAAGCTGGCGGCACCCGACCCCCCGGCCGGGGACGGAGAGGGGCTGACTGGGTTGGTTTTGATCTGATAAATGCACGCATCTTCCCTGTGAAGGGGGTCAGTGCCCTTCAGCATGTAATAGCTCTAGAATTACCACAGTTTTCCAAGTAGGAGAGGAGCCAGCGACCAAAAGAACCATAACTGATTTAATGAGCCATTCGCAGTTTTACTGTACCAGCCCTGCGTACTTAGACATGTATGGCTTAATCTTTGAGACAAGCATATGGTTCTGATAGGATCAACCAGGTAGGTAGAAAGCGGCCTCTGGGACTCGCGAGGATGAGCCCGGCGTCCCAGTTGCGAGATTGGGCGCGGCAGGGCGGGCGATGGGGCGTGGGGGAGGGAGGGAGCAGCTTGGGGTGGTGGGAGGGGGGTGGTGGGGCGGCGAACCGGACATCCCATCCACCCACAGGACACAAAACCCCCCGACGGGCTCACCACTCCCGACCCTTCGTGCCCATGTGCGAGGAGGCCGACCGCCCGACCCGTGTGCGGCAGCCGCGAGGGACCGGCGGCCACTCATGCGCGGAGGGCGCGGGGCGGCCCCGACGTTTGGGCAGCGAAGGAGAGGCGGACCGCGGTGCCTGGGGTCTCACCGCCAGTGGCCTCGGGGCATGAAGGCGGCCCCTCGCGGCACCTGGAGCGGCCGACTGGCCTTCGGCGGGCCTGCGGCTTCCCCACCGCCGCCACTGTCGCGGCCAGCCCCCTGAACCCTCTTCCCTGCACACACTGCTGGCCGACCCCAAACCCTCCGGGTGTCCACCAGGCCCACTCGGGGTGCCGCCGACCTGGTCCCGAAGGCGCACGCCCGGGGACACGGACAACGGGCCAACCAGTGGCTAGCGGCGGCGCCCCACCAGGCAGAGCCGGGTTTGGTCCCAGACGGGGCCACCACAGCCTAAGGCGGTGAGCCGCTCGGGGAGAGAGGATCCGCGGGCAGGGTGGGGGGCACAGACAGGCAAGGCCAGGGACCGCGAGGGCAAGGGCACCTGGGAGCCCGCAGAGGGGCGGCTCGGGGAGAAACCTCAGGCACGGCCGGGCCACCAGGAAAACACGGCCACGGGATCCCACCGCCACAGACAGGAGGGAGGTACCGCAGCGACCCGCCTAGGATGCCGGACGGCCCTCGGCACCACCGAGACCCGCCTCATGAGCCCCAGGTCCCGCCATCAGGACCCCGAGGTGACCTCAGCCACAAACCTAACGCCAGGGCCACGTTGCTCGTTTCTCATCCATCCTCCAACCCGGTCAAGCTCCAGGAGACCGGCATGCCCCCCACTTGGGACGCTTCCCAGGGCCAGGCGGCCCAACCCCGTGCCACGCAAACACGGTCGTCGGCACCGGTCGCTGCTCTGCAGGGGAGCGGGCAGAGAGCCGGCTCACAGCGGAACGGGTCACAAGCCGGACTGAACGCCAGGCACAGCCACCGCTCACGCAGCCTCCCAACCGCTAGGACGCCGGCCCGGCCCGGCGGGATTCTCCCCTGACTCGGAAGGGGAAGGCGCGGGCCACACAGTAGGCGACGAGCTTCCCTGGGTCCCCACCGCGGAGGCTGGCGGAACCCTTGCTTTCCCCCACTCACCTCATCAAGGGGGAAGTGGAGGAGGGTCCTCTGCAAGCCAGTCGCCACGGCAGCGCTACCATAACGCAAAGAGAGGCGGCAGGCCGGGGGATCCGGTACCCCAAAGGCACACCTCTCAGATCGCTAGAGAAGGCTTTCTCACCGAGGGTGGGTCACACTCCCCACACGCCAGTCGCCCCTCGTCGGGCCCGCAGAGGCGCTCAGGGACGCCTGGGGAAGGGAGGGGGCCTGCGGTACCAGGAAAAATCTGCGTGCGGCAACCTTGAGCCTTCGCGGTCTGGGCAGGGGGCCTGGCCGCTGCGCGTGCGCGCAATCCCCGAAGGGCCCCCTAGTCCACCAGCCTCCTTTCTCCCAGGCAAAGCACCTCCAAGTAAACCCACACACAACCTGTCGGAGGCAGAACGGTAGCCCCTCGGCGGCCGGCCGGCGCACGCGTCATCTGCCCCAGCCCACCGCAATAGCTCACACGGCCCGTGCGCAGCCGCCAGAGGGGAGCACGGGACCTGCGCTCGCCAGATCAGGCGGCACCCTTCCCCGCGTGGGAGGGGCGCGTCTCACTCAACCGCCTCGACCCCCACACCAACGAGCTCCCTCAGGACCCACTGGTGGACATCGCGGCGGTGACCGGAGGAGGGGGCGCTGGGGGTGGGAACCACACACCACCACTCGACCTCGGGCACCTGAGGGATAAGCTGGGGGGTGAAGGGGAGGAGCCGGGCGTGGTAGGCTCACGCCTGTCATCCCCGCACTTTGGGAGGCGAGGGAAGGTGGATCCCTCGATCCAGGCCTTGGCAACATGGTGAAACCTCGTCTCTAAAAAAATACAAAAACTAACTGTTTTCATAAACTGGACTCAAAGTTAATAAATAGATAAGTAGGCCGGGAGCGGTGGCTTACTCCTGTAATCCCAGCACTTTGGGAGGCCGAGGCGGGCGGATCACGACGGTCAGGAGATCGAGACCATCCTGGCTACCACAGTGAAACCCCGTCTCTACTCAAAATACCAAAAATTAGCCAGGCGCCGTGGCGGGTGCCAGTAGTCCCCGCTACTTGGGAGGCTGAGACAGGAGGATGGCGTGAACCCGGGAGGCAGAGCTTGCAGTGAGCCGACATCATGCCACTGCACTCCAGTCTGGGCAACACAGTGAGACTCCATCTCAAAAAAAAAATAATAATAAATAGATTAAAATTGAAAATTTATAAAAAACATAGCTGGCGGGTCTCAAATGCTCATGCCTGTCATCCCAGCACTTTGGGAGGCCGAGGTGGGCAGATCACCTGAGGTGGCCAGTTCGAGACCCGCCTGACCCACATGGAGAAATGCCGTCTCTACTAACAATACAAAATCAGCCGGGTGTGGTGACACATGCCTGTAATCCCAGCTACTCAGGAGTCTGAGGCAGGAGAATCGCTTGAACACGGGAGGTGGAGGTTGCGGTGAGCCGAGATGGTGCCATTGCACTCCAGCATGGGCAACAACAGTGAAACTCCGTCTCAAAAAAAAAAAAAAAAAAAATTAAGCACTGTATTCTGTTATTTTTACTTCCTACCCAGAGAAGAATATAATACAACTGTTGTCTGCCTGCCTGCCTGCCTGCCTGCCTGTGACAGGGCCTCACTCTGTCTTTCTCCCAGACTGGAGTGCAGTGACACCATTATGGCTCACTCACTGTAGCCTCAACCTCCCCAGGGTTAGGCGATTCCTCAAGGGATCCTATGGCCTCAGCCTCCCAAAGTGTTGGGGTTACAGGTGTGAGACACCAGCACCCGACCTGAGTTAATACATCTGGTCTCACTACGTCTTAACCACACACCCATGAAGAACTCAAGTCAAGAGAGAGTCTGAGAGAGGCTCTCAGCATTCTCTCCCGAAAGCAGTGAGGTGGATGGCGGCTGTGTGTCCCGAGCTCCTGTGGTTTTAGGTGGCCACGCATAGAGGAGAGATTTCCAATGTTTCCAGAGATGCGCGAGCCACAGTCTTTCGGGGCATCCGAGTGTGAGATGGGGTTTCTGACAGTGACTTAAGGGCCAGGAAGGGCCAGAATCTGCCAAGGCCCGTGTCCCAGGGTGGGGCCGATGGAACCCAAGGTAGAGGGAGTCAGCGGTCCACACAGAGAGAGCTCCAGCCTTAGGACCCACTGTGCAGACCGAATCAGAATGAAGAGAGTCCTTCGTCCTATATGCCACATCCCTCCACTGAACTTGGGAGCGGATCTGTTTTCCAAACATGAGGTGACTCTCGCTTTGCAATGGATCACAAGGGGCTGGGCTTTCCAGAGTCGGCAGGCTAAAGAAGTCATTCTGGCTCAGCCTCCCCCATCCCCTGGTAACTGGTGAGTTTTTTTTTTATTTTTATTTTTATTATTATTATACTTTAAATTTTAGGGTACATGTGCACAATGTGCAGGTTAGTTACATATGTATACATGTGCCATGCTGGTGTGCTGCACCCACTAACTCCTCATCTAGCATTAGGTATATCTCCTAATGCTATCCCTCCCACCTTCCCCCACCCCACAACAGTCCCCAGAGTGTGATGTTCCCCTTCCTGTGTCCGTGTGTTCTCATTGTTCAATTCCCACCTATGAGTGAGAATATGCGATGTTTGGTTTTTTATTCTTGCGATAGTTTACTGAGAATGATGATTTCCAATTTCATCCATGTCCCTACAAAGTACATGAACTCATCATTTTTTATGGCTGCATAGTATTCCATAGTGTATATGTGCCACAGTTTCTTAATCCAGTCTATCATTGTTGGACATTTGGGTTGGTTCCAAGTCTTTGCGATTGTGAATAGTGCTGCAATAAACATACGTGTGCATAAGTCTTTATAGCAGCACGATTTATAGTCCTTTGGGTATATACCCAGTAATGGGATGGCTGGGTCAAATCGTATTTCTAGTTCTAGATTCCTTTGCCATCCCCATCAAGCTACCAATGACTTTCTTCACAGAATTGGAAAAAACTACTTTAAAGTTCATATGGAACCAAAAAAGAGCCTGCATTGCCAAGTCAATCCTAAGCCAAAAGAACAAAGCTGGAGGCATCACACTACCTGACTTCAAACTATACTACAAGGCTACAGTAACCAAAACAGCATGGTACTGGTACCAAAACAGAGATATAGATCAATGGAACAGAACAGAGCCCTCAGAAATAATGCCACATATCTACAGCTATCTGATCTTTGACAAACCTGAGAAAAACAAGCAATAGGGAAAGGATTCCCTATTTAATACATGGTGCTGGGAAAACTTGCTAGCCATATGTAGAAAGCTGAAACTGGATCCCTTCCTTACACCTTATACAAAAATCAATTCAAGATGGATTAAAGACTTACACGTTAGACCTAAAACCATAAAAACCCTAGAAGAAAACCTAGGCATTACCATTCAGGACATAGGCATGGGCAAGGACTTCATGTCTAAAACACCAAAAGCAATGGCAACAAAAGCCAAAATTGACAAATGGGATCTAATTAAAGAGCTTCTGCACAACAAAAGAAACTACCATCAGAGTGAACAGGCAACCTACAAAACTCGTGAGTTTAAATGAGCTGAGGCTGGCAAGGCCGGAGCCGCTATTGGCGGGGAGGGGGGTGGGCGGGGTGGTGGGGGGTGCCTGAGGCACTGCAGAAAGTGGGTCTGAGCCTCGAGGATGACGGTGTTGCAGGAACCCGTCTAGGCTGCTATATGGCAAGCACTAAACCACTATGCTTACTGAGATGGGGTTTTCCTCGCAGAACGCCTTTATGCAGAAGTACACTCAGAAGAAGCCTTGTTTTTACAGGCGACCTGTTCTTACCGCCCAGGAAAGGCCTATAAAACATATAGACTCTTGAAAGGACACAGTTGTCCTACACCACAATGCAAATACCTGCTTGCAAAATGTTGTGTTGATCTTAGCAAGCTTTCAGAAGGGGAACAAATCTTATCTGGTGGAGTGTTTCATAAGCAGAAAAGCCATGATGATATTGTTACTGAGTTTGGTGATTGAGCTTGCTTTCCCCTTCCATTGTTGGTACATGTATATTGCAAGACAGATTGGCTTGCCAAAGGATCAGAATGTTACCAAAAGAGCCTTAGTTTAAATCCTTTCCTCTGGTATCCCTTCGAATCATTATGTGAAATAGGTGAAAAGCCAGATCCTGACCAAACATTTAAATTCACATCTTCACAGAACTTTAGCAACTGTCTGCCCAACTCTTGCACAGCACAAGTACCTAATCATAGTTTATGTCACAGACAGCCTGAGACTGTTCTCACGGAAACACCACAGGACACAACTGAATTAAACAGATTGAATTTAGAATCTTCCAATTCAAAGTACTCCTTGAATACAGATTCCCCAGTGTCTTCTATTGATTCAGCTGTAATTTCACCTGATACTCTCCCACTGGGAACAGGAACTTCCATATTTTCTAAACAGGTTCAAAATAAACCAAAAACTGGTTGAAGTTTATTAGGAGGACCAGCAGCTCTTAGTCCATTAACCCCAAGTTTTGGGATTTTGCCATTAGAAACCCCAAGTCCTGGAGATGGATCCTATTTACAAAACTACACTAATACACCTTCTGAAATTGATGTGCCATCCACCGGATCCCCTTAAAAAAAGTCTGTTGCCAGAATCGGCCAAACTGGAGCAAAGTCTGTCTTCTCACAGGGTGGAAATAGCCGAGAGGTAACTCCAATTCTTGCACAAACACAAAGTTCTGGTCCATAAATAAGTTCAACACCTCAGGTATTGAGCCCCACTATGGCATCTCCCCCAAATGTGCTGCATTGAAGTTCACGACTCTACTAGTGACAGTTCCACAACCAAGGAGAATAGGAAGAAATTAAAAATGAAGTTTCCACCTAAAATCCCAAACAGAAAAACAAAAAGTAAAACTAATAAAGGAGGAATAACTCAACCTAACATAAATGATAGCCTGGAAATTACAAAATTGGACTCTTCCATCATTTCAGAAGGGAAAATATCCACAATCACACCTCAGATTCAGGCTTTTAATCTACAAAAAGCAGCAGCAGAAGGCTTGATGAGCCTTTTTCGTGAAAGGGGGAAAGGTTATTTAGCTTTGTGTTCATACCACTGCAAAGAAGCTATAAATATTTTGAGCCATCTACCTTCTCACCACTACAATACTGGTTGGGTACTATGCCAAATTGGAAGGGTCTATTTTGAACTTTCAGAGTACATGCAAGCTGAAAGAATATTCTCAGAGGTTAGAAGGATTGAGAATTATAGAGTCGAAGGCATGGAAATCTACTCTACAACACTTTGGCATCTTCAAAAAGATGTTGCTCTTTCAGTTCTGTCAAAAGACTTAACAGACATGGATAAAAATTTCCCAGAGGCCTGGTGTGCTGCAGGGAACGTTTCAGTCTGCAACAGGAACACGATATTGCAATTAAATTCTTCCAGAGAGCTATCCAAGTGGATCCAAATTATGCTTATGCCTATACTCTATTAGGGCGAGAGTTTGTCTTAACTGAGAATTGGACAAAGCATTAGCTAGTTTTTGAAATGCTGTCAGAGTCAATCCTAGACATTATAATGCATGGTAAGTGGCAATGATATGTAAAGACAAAGTCTTGTTGATGGTGCTGGTAGTCACTAACTTTTCTTGTTAGATAGCTCTTTATTGTCATGAATTTGGTTACTAATACTTAGGGATGGTACATACTGGTCAATAACTTCAAACTAACATGTTTTCTTATGAAATGTGTGTCTTTAACAAACTCTTAAGTTAACTAATGATAATAGAATACCAGATCCTTATACTCAAGAGTTTCAGTCTTCTACCAAACTTTTGCAGATACTGTAGTTGTGTTTTGTTTGTTTGTTTGCTTGTTTAGTTTTGTTACTTCATTTGTTACTTTTTCTTTGAACACAGAAATGGTGATTGGGACAAAAAGTGCTTGGGAAATTGGAAAGGAATAGCATAATTCACTTATTGGATAATAGAAAAAAACACTGAAAAAATTCACTAGTTGCTGCTTTTTGACAGTGTTCTAGTTTATTGAGTTACTATTAAGAAGTTAGTGTACCCTTTTACTTAGCAGTATCTCTGTTTTACTTTTTTGTACTTGTGTATAAGTAGACACATAGGAAATTACTACCCAGGTCACATTGTTATCAACTGAATAACATATGAAAATGTTTGGTCCTACTTCCGCCTCAACACCATACTTACTGTTGACATGTATTGTATTTTTCTGGACTGACTTAAACGTTTAAATATCAAGAGAAGGCCAGGCACGGTGGCTCATGCCTGTCATCCCAGCTCTTTGGGAGGCTGAGGCGGGCGGGTCACAAGGTCAAGAGATCGAGACCATCCTGGCCAACATGGTGAAACCCCGTCTCTATTAAAAGTATAAAAAGTAGCTGGGCATGGTGGCGGGTGCCTGTAGTCCCAGCTACTCAGGAGACTGAGGCAGGAGAATCGCTGGAACCTGGGAAGTGGAGGTTGCAGTGAGCCAAGACTACGCCATTGCACTCCAGCCTGGGCGACAGAGCAAGACGCCGTCTCAAGAAAAAAATAAATAAATAAATGAATATCAAGAGAAACTACAATTCTGAAGTCATAACTCTGTGGAAGCTTTTTTGTCAGATACGGTTATCTTTGGGTTTAATTATTATAGCAGCTGAGTTTTAACCCTTGATTTGCTTCTAAATCTGAAGCATTATATTACTAAAACATTTTTTGATTTGTGAATATGTTGTTCAATGGATTATATCTCATTTTGCAGTAGTAGTTGCAGTGCCTGAAAGATTGACAAAAAAATAGTGCTAGCTTCTGCTGACAAATGTAACAATCAACTTACCAATACTGCCTTCTCTTCTGATAGCTATGTTATCCGTAATATTTTAAGAACTCAGTTCTTCATAAGACTTGTGTTGTTTTTGATTTTTTCCCAAGTCTGGTTGATCCTTGTGTTGTTCTTTTTCAATTGTGTATTGTCTGTTCAGCTATTCTGCAGGAGTCACATTCTTAAAAACCTTAACCATATCAAAAATTGTGTTTAAAGGAGGATTATTCAGATTAGCAAGCTTTTACTAGGAGGAGTTTAAATGCTGATGTATTTCGGTAACTCTAAATACTGAGCAACTTTATTCTAACTATAAAATAGATAGCCTTTCTTTGTTTTCACTTTCACTATCATTAGCACCGTGTTTAATACCTTTTCTTCATCTATAACACAATTATAACGATATACAAAGCCACTCAAATAAAGCAGATATATTGTGCTTTAAAAAAAAAAAAGAAAAAAAAAAGAAGTCATTATGTGGCACACAATGAGGTGTGACTCGAATCTAGAATCTCCAGTGAAAACCAATGAAACAGGGTCAAACCCCGTGTCTACTAAAAATAAAAAAATGAGCCAGGCTTGGTGGCGCTGAGGCAGGAGAATCGCTCGAACCCAGGAGGTAGAGGTTGCAGTGAGCTGAGATCACACCACTGCACTCCAGCCAGGGCGAGGGACAGAGCAAGACTCCCTCTCAGAAACAAACACACAAAGCCAATAAAGATGTTAAGGTGTTTAACTCAACGTGTCAGGCTCAGGTCTCTTGACAGGATACATCCAGCACCCGGGGAAACGTCGAGGGGTGGGGTGGAATCTATTTTGTGGCCTCAAGGAAGGGTTTGAAAGATAGTCCCGCAAATGTGACGGCCTAAGGAAGCCCCTCCGCCCAAGAAGCGATATTCATTTGTATCCTGTAGCCACCCACGAGGGAGAATCGGGCTCTCTACAGACCCCCAATCCCCACCCCACCCGAACCCACCCCCCTGCCTCGTGAAATGAGCTCTCGCTCCGTCGGGCTCTATTCACGCCGTGTGGTTTTGTAACCTCCAGCGTGTGTGCGTGGGTTTCGGGGTGGGGTGGGGTGGGGTGGGGGCGGCTATGGACAGAGAAGGGGATAAAGCGGCGGTGCCCTGCTGGTGTCCGGGACGTGGGACGTGAGTGGGGTGGCCAGAGCCTAGGGAACTCATCGCCTGTCAAGACGTCTCCCCTCCTGGTCCCCTCTCTGACCTATGCTCCACATCTTCACAGTTCACTGGGGACCTTGTGGGTGGAAGTCACCATCCCTTTGGACTTTAGCCGAGGAAGGCCGGGCTCCCAAGAGTCTCCCCGGAGTTGGGGCCTTGGGCAGGCTCACAAGGATGCTGACGGTGATGGTCACAGTGATGTAAGTTGGAGGCCTCTGGCCAATGCAGAGGTATCCATTTGATCTCGGTGGGACAAGTCAGCTTTGCGGAGTCCCGCGCGTCCTTCCAGAGACTCATCCAGCGCTAGCAAGCATGGTCTGGAGGATCCCAGCTCCCAGCAGAGGCACTTTTGTTCACACAGAATACTGGGCAGAAACGTTCTCAGCAGGTTTAGACCTCCTAGTCAAAAAGCCAAAGCCACTTCTGGGATTTTTTTTCAAAGAGCCAGTGGTTCCACAATGGGCCGTGGGTAGTTGTGGAAATGGAGAGAAGTGTTTGCAGATACATATTTGAGACAGAACAGACAGGGCTCGGTCACAGGTCATGAAGGACACGAGCAGATGCACATTGAGAAAACCCTCCCAGCATCCTAGGTGAACAGAGGTATGATTTTTTGAGACAGTCGAGGGAGATGCAACCCCAGATTTTAGGGCTGGATCTTTATTAATATGTAGTATCTATGAGGTATCCAAGTCCAGAAATTGACTCACCAGTTCTGTACAGCGTTCGGTAGGGAGATCAAATCTGGGATGTCTAAAGTTAAGAATTCAGGCTGTGGTAATGGATTAGATTAGATGCACTTGAACTTATTTTGCAAAGAAAGAGAGGGTGGGAGACAGCGAGAGCCAGAGAGCGAGCGAGAGAGAGAGAGACAGAGACACAAAGATACACAAAGAGAGAAAGACAGAAAGAGAGAGACAGACAGACAGATAAAGACACAGAGAAAGAGAGAGATGGACAGAGACAGAGAGAAACAGAAAGAGAGAGAGAGAGACAGACAGAGAGAGACAGACAGACAGGCAGACAGACAGGCAGAGAAAGAGAGTAAGACAGATGGCAGACACACACAGAGAGAGACAGAGACAGATGGAGAGACAGAGAGAAAGAAAGAGACAGACAGAGGGAAAGAGACAGAGAAAGAGACAGACAGAGGGAGAGAGAGAACCAGACAGAAAGAGAGAGACAGACAGAGACAGAGAGAGAAACAGACAAGGAGAGAGAGAGAGATAGACAGACAGGCAGAGAAAGACAGTAAGACAGAAGACAGACAAAGAGAGAGAGAGACAGGCAGAGAGAGAGAGAGACAGAGAGACAGAGACAGAGAAACACACAGGCAAAGAGAGAGAGAAAAAAACAGGGAGAGACAGACAGACAGACAGGGAGAGAGAGAGAGAGAGGCCGACAGACAGACAGACAGGCAGAGAAAGAGAATAAGACAGAAGACAGACACTGTGAGAGAGACAGAGAGAGAGATAGACAGAGACAGCGAGACAGAGAAAGAAAGAGAGATACAGACAGACAGACAAAGAGACAGAGAAAGACAGAGACGGACAGAGAGAAACAAAGAGAGAGAGACAGAGAGAGAAAGAGAGAGACAGGCAGGCAGAGAAAGACAGAAGACAGACACAGTGAGACAGGCAGAGAGAGAGAGAGACACAGAGAGAGAGAGACAGAGAGAAAGAAAGAGACAGAGAGAGATGGACAGAGAGAAACAGAGAGAGGGACAGCGAGAAACAGAGAGAGAGACAGAGACAGAGACAGACAGAAACAGACAGACAAACAGGGAGAGAGAGAGAGAGACAGACAGGCATAGAGAGAGAGACAGGCAGGCAGAGAAAGGGAGTAAGACAGAAGACACACACAGTGAGAAAGACAGGCAGAGAGAGAGAGAAATAGGCAGAGAGAGAGAGACAGAGAGAGTGAGAGAGAAAACAGAGAAAGAGAGAGACAGAGACAGACAGAGAGACAGAGAGAGGAGCAGGAAGGGCGTGCTCAGGAAATAATTACACATATTTTATAACGCTTTTGATCCCGTAAACGGTGGCCGAGGTGTGCTTTGAAAACAACAACAACAGCAACAAGAGCAGCAGCAGCATTCGCTTACGGGTTTCTAGAACATAAGATGTTCTGAAGTCTAGTAAACATCAACGGGCTCTCACTACACGTTGAGAGATTCACAAAAGCTCTAGTTAACAGGAGAAAACAGCAGCTAATGTGTCTTGGGGAAAATATACGTCTTCCTGAAAATTGCGGATTTCTACTTCACCTGAAAAGAAATACATACGAAAAAGGAAAAACACGAACAAAACAAAACAAGCCAACGAACACGGGCCAATGCACCGTCCCTGGAAATCTTAAGTGAGCAAAGTATTAGTTTTCAGAAACCGTTTCTATTTTGGGCAAATGCTAAGAAGGCCCAGATTAGAGCTGTGACGCCCTTCCCATTGTGAAACTATGTTGGCCGGAGGGAGGAGAAACTAAAACATCATGATAAAAGGTGATTGAGACCCAGCCAGAGTGAAGCTTTCCTAGGGAGGGAGGCCTGAGGAGGGAAGCGGGGGAAGAAACCCACAACTGCAGACCCGCCCGCTTGCCCACGCGGGTCAAGGGCTATGCCATCGGCCCAAGCTGCCTCTGGGGAAGTGGGACCGTGCCACCCCCATCTTCAAAAACGGTGACCACTGAGTGAGGCCTGACGCCCACCGATGCAAATGTCAGCCTGGCAAGAATGAGATCGCCGGCAAGGGGTGGGGGAAGGGGAGAGAAGACGGAGGCACACCGGGGTGGCTCCGGAAGGTTTCCAAGCAGGGTGTTGGGAGGCGGGGGGTGGGGGTTTGGGGGGAACCCACCTAACTGACTCACTAAATGAAGGTAAAGGGACGTGGGTAGTGGGGGGAGCCGAGGGGCGACTTGAAAATTAAACTGACCCCTCCTAAATCCCAAGTAGAAGAGTCTATGCACACGAAAGAAACCAACACACAAAGAAAACTAAAGCTCTGATCAAAGAACAATAGGGCCCCAGCCAGGGCAGAGGTTCCCTAGGCAACGAGGGAGAGAGGGAGGGGCCTCCAGAAGGGAGAGAGAGAAACCGGTTGCCCCAGGTTCGGTGAAGTCTGGGAGACCTCCCTCTGTGTCACCTCGACTTTCAATAACAGTGGCCGCTAGGTGATGCCCGAAGACAACCGATGCCTGCAAATGTCAGTCAGCACGGAAAAGAATGTATGTATGTATGTATGTATGTATGTATGTATGTATGTATGTATGTATGTATTTATTTATAGACAGAGTCTCACTCACTCTACAGCCTGGGCTGTAGTGCAGTGGTGCGATCTCAGCTCACTGCAGCCTCCGCCTCCCAGGTTCAAGCGATTCTCCAGCCTCAGCCTCCCAAGTAGCTGGCATTACAGGCACCTGCCCCACCGCTCCTGACTCAGTTTTGTATTTTTAGTAGAGACGGGGTTTCGCTGTGTTGGCAAGGTTGGTCTCGAACTCCCAACCTCAGGTGATCCACCCGCCTCGGCGTCCCAAAGTGCTGGGATGACAGATGTGAGCCACCACGCCCGGCCTTAACCGTTTACTTTTAAGTTGAGGAACTTATCAGGGAAATATGAGAAGTACAGACGCCACACGTGACAGACAGAAAAGTCTGAAAATGCCCCTTGCATCCAAGTGGGGACCCGGCCTCGACCTCCCGAAATCATACACCGAGTGGGGAAGCCCAGCAAGGCCCGTCTGTCTAGATTCTTCTCAGCCTCTCTAAGCACCTAAGCATGCACTTCTCACTTTCGTGGAAGGGGCAGAGCCCTCCCCGTCATGAGGTGTCTGACAGACTGACACAGAAAGAGACAGACATAGAAAGACAGAGACGGACAGAGAGAGATAGAGAGAAACAGACAGAAAGAGAGAGAGATGGAGAGTGAGTGAGAGAGAGAGAGACATGGAGGGAGAGAGACAGAAAGGCAGAGAAAAAGAGTAAGACAGAAGACACAGTGAGAGAGACAGGCAGAGAGAGAGAGAGACAGAGACAAAGACAAAGAAAGAGAGAGAAAGAGACGGACAGAGAGAGACAGAAACAGAAAGAGAGAGAGAGAGAAACAGAAAGGGAGGGAGAGAGACAGAGACAGAGAGACTGACAGACAGATAGGCAGAGAAAGAGAGTAAGACAGAAGACAGATACAGTGAGAGAGACAGGCAGAGAGAGACAGAGGGAGAGACAGACAGAGAAAGAGACAGAGAGAGAAAGCAGAGATGGAGAGAGAGAGACAGACAGAAACAGAAAGAGAGAGAGACAGAGACAGAGAGAAGCAGACAGACAGGGAGGGAGGGAGACAGACAGAGAGAGGGAGACAGACAGAGAATGGGAGACAGACAGACAGGCAGAGAAAGAGAGTAAGACAGAAGATAGGCACAGACAGAGAGACAGGCACAGAGAGAGAGACAGACAGATAGAGAAAAAGAAAGAGACAAGCCGGGCACGATGGCTCATGCTTGTCATCCCAGCACTTTGGGAGGCCGAGGTGGGTGGATCACGAGGTCAGGAGATCAAGACCATCCTGGCTAACACGGTGAAACCCCGTCTATACTAAAAATACAAAAAATATAGCCAGGTGTGGTGGCGGGTGCCTGTAGTCCCAGCTACTCGGGAGGCTGAGGCAGGAGAATGGCATGAATCTGGGAGGTGGAGGTTGCAGTGAGCCGAGATCGTGCCACAGAAAAAGAAAGAGAGAGACAGACAGACAGAGGAAGACAGAGACAGACAGAGAGAGACAGAGAGAAACAGAGATAGAGAGAGACAGAGAGAAACAGACAGAAATTGAGAGAGACAGAGAGAGAGAAACAGAAAGGCAGGGAGGGAGAGAGAGACAGATAAACAAAGAAAGAGAGTAACACAGAAGAGAGACACAGTGAGAGAGACAGGCAGAGAGAGAGAGACAGAGACAGAGAGAAAGACAAAGAGAGAGAAAGAGACGGACAGAGAGAGACAAAGAGAAAGAGAGACAGAGAGAGAAACAGAAAGGGAGGGGGACAGACAGACAGAGAGAGAGAGACTGACAGATAGGCAGAGAAAGAGAGTAAGACAGAAGACAGACACAGTGAGAGAGACAGAGACAGAGAGACAGACAGAGAAAGAAAGGGAGGGACAGAGAAAGAGACAGAGAGAGAAAGACAGAGATGGACAAAGAGAGACAGACAGAAACAGAAAGAGAGAGAGACAGACAGAGAGAAACAGAGAGGGAGGGAGGGAGACAGACAGAGAAAGAGAGACAGACAGACAGGCAGAGAAAGAGAGTAAGACAGAAGATAGGCACAGAGAGAGAGAGAGAGACAGACAGAGAGACACAGAAAAAGAAAGAGAGAGGCAGACAGAGAAAGACACAGACAGAGAAAAACAGAGATGGACAGAGAGAGACAGAGAGAAACAGACAGAGAGAGACAGACAGATGGGCAGAGAAAGAGAGTAAGACAGAAGACAGACACAGTGAGACAGGCAGAGAGAGAGAGAAAGACAGAAGTCAGACACAGTGAGACAGGCAGAGAGAGAGAGAGAGACAGACAGACAAAGAGACAGAGAGAGACAGACAGAGAGAGAGAGAAACAGGAAACAGAGAAACAGAGAGAAACAGGAAACAGAGAAACAGAGAGAAACAGAAAGGGAGGGAGAGAGAGAGACAGACAGATGGACAGGCAGAGGAGAGTAAGACAGAAGACAGACATAGTGAGAGAGACAGGCAGAGAGACAGAGAGACAGAGACAGAAAGAGACAGAGAAAGACAGGGATGGACAGAGAGAGACACTGAGAAACAGAAAGAGAGAGAGACAGAGAGAAACAGACAGAGAGAAAGTGAGAGAGAGAGAGAGAGAAACAGAAAGGGAGGGAGAGACAGAGACAGGCAGAGAAAGTAAGACAGAAGATAGGCACAGAGAGCAAGAGACAGAGAGAGAGAGACAGACAGAGACACAGAGAAATAAAGAGAGAAGCAGACAGACAGAGAAAGAGACAGACAGAGAAAAACAGAGACAGAGAGAGACACAGAGAAACAGACAGCGAGGGAGAGAGAGAGACAGACGGGCAGAGAAAGTGAGTAAGGCAGAAGACAGACACAGTGAGAGAGGCAGAGAGAGAGAGAGACAGAGAGACAGAGAGACAGAGACAGAGAGAAAGAAAGAGACAGACAGACAGAGAAAGAGACACAGAGAGAAAGACAGAGACGAACAGAGAGAGACAGAGAGAAACAGATAGAAAGAGAGAAGGTCCTAGCCCAGTAGCGATACAGTGCCTTTTCTTTTATTTTCTCTTTCTTTTCTTTTCTTTTTTTCTTTCTTTCATTTATTTATTTATTTATTTATTTGGAGACTGAGTCTCGCTCTGTCGCCCAGGCTGTAGTGCAGTGGCGCAACCTTGGGTCACTGCAACCTCCGCCTGCCAAGTTCAAGCGATTCTTCTGCCACAGCCTCCCATGTAGCTGGGATTTCAGGTGCCTGCCCCACCGTGCCTGACTCAGTTTCGTATTTTCAGTAGAGACAGGGTTTCACAATGTTGGCGAGGCTGGTCTCCAACTCCTGACCTCGGGATGACAGACGTGAGCCACTGCGTTCAGTGTACAGTGCCATTTCTTAGACATCACTCTTGGGAACACACCTAGAGATTTTATTTATTTATTTATTTATTTTTTGCGCGGGAAGGTGGGGGGACGGAGTTTCGCTCTTGCTGCCCAGGCTAGAGTGCAATGGCATAGGGGACTCAAGGAGTCAACCTATGGCAGGGAGGACACGTCATTCTGAGTGTAAGGGCCACAGGGAAAGGTGGCAGGGCCCGTGCTTTTAAAGGCTGAAATCCCGGTGGTTCAGGCCTGTCGTCCCAGCACTTTGGGAGGCCCAGGAGGGCGGGTCACTTGAGGTCAAGGGTATGATACCAGTGTGGCCAACATGGAGAAACCCCGTCTCTACTAAAAATAGAAATATTAGCCGGCTGTGGTGGTGTGCGCCCGTAATCCCAGCTACTGAAGAAGAATCACTGGAACCCAGGAAGCAGTGGTTTCAGTGAGTCGAGAGAGCGCCACTGCACTGCAGCCTGGGTGACAGAGCGAGAGAGACTCAGTCCAAAAAAAAGAAAAGAAGAAAAAAAAAAACAAAACAGACCCAAATATTGCATTGTCGCTGAACTTTCCCCCGAAAGGCCAGAAACCCCCTGACTCAGGTCAAGGAGGTGGTGTTTCATTTTACTTCTCTCTCTCTCTCTCCCCTCCTCCCCCCCTCCCCCCAACTTTTATTTCTTGTCCAAGCATACATGTGCAAGATTGTTACATAAGTAAACTTCTGACGGGGGGGTTCAGTGTGCAGATGATTTCATCACGCGGATACTCAGCGCTGTGTCCGACAGTTTTCGTGTTTTGTTTTTCCCTGAAGCTGTCTCTCCTTCCACTCCTCCCTCAAGTAGGCTCCCGCGTCTCTGGTCCCCCTCGTTCTGCCCATGCAAGAACTCTCATCTATAAGTTCCCACTTGTAGATGAGAACACGCGGTATTTAGCTGATTGTTGCTTTCATCTTCGGTAGTGGCGGTGAAAGAGGCATGACACTAAATCGACCCTTAGGACGCTCCCCTCCGTCCCCACCCCTCACCCCCTTCCCACACACACCCTCATTCCTGCACCCCCTCCTCAAACGCAAGAAAGGGAGAAAGACAGAAATTAAAGTAACAGGTGAGCCTCCAAGGCGGTGGAGGCGGGGGATCTCAAAGGGTGAGCAAGCGATGGGGGTCGGGGGATGTCTTGGCTGAGCTATCAAAAATAGGGGACCCACTTTCCAGCCCCATCACACCCCGTAATCCTCAGCCTCAGCCAGCCTCTGGGTGGGGTTGCCCCTGTCAAAGCTTCTGAATGGAGAGAAGCCCAAGGCTATGGAAGGCATCAGCTCCAACTCCAGGAAGGGAATAGGGCTTTGTGCTTATGAATGGGGCTTTACAAGGCGGTGCCGTGGCTTCCAAAGCGACGCCCCTCCTCGCCTCGCCCAGAGCAAGACTCGGTCTGAAAATAAATAAACAAATATAAATAAGAAAATAATTCATCAATAAATAAGAAAGAACGAATCAGTACAGCGGTAGTGGTCGTGAATCATTCTCTGGAGTCCAGGCGTAGTGGCTCACGCCCGTCACGCCAGCACTTTGAGACGCCGGGTCAGGAGGGTTGCAACAAAATGATGAGACCCTGTCTGTGGAAAAACATTTAAAAATGAAGGCCGGGCGCAGTGGCTCACGCCTGCCATCCCAGCACTTCGGGAGGCCGGGGAGGGCGAATCATCTGAGGTCGGGAGTTAGAGACCAGCCTGACCAACATGGAGAAGCCCGGTCTCCACTAAAAATACAAAATCAGCCAGACGTGGTGGCGCATGCCTGCAATCCCAGCTACTCGGGAGGCTGATGCAGGAGAATCGCTTGAACCCGGGAGGCTGAGGTTGCGGTGAGCCAAGATCGCGCCACTGCACTGCAGTCTAGGCAACGAGAGAGAAACTCTGTCTCAGGAAAATAAAATAAAATAAAAATGGTCTGGGCACAGTGGCGCATGCCTGTTGTTCCAGGTACTGTACTCTGGAGGCTGAGGTGGAAGGATCCCTGGAGTCCAGGAACGTCCACGCTGCAGTGAGTGAGTTACGATGGCACCACTGCCGGGGTGACAGAGTGAGATGTTGTGTCTAAATCAGTCAATCAGATCACTGGAAGTCGCTCTCTGTGTCTTACTTTCAAAGGGTGTCTCTTTAGGCCAAGCAGGCACGGTGCCTCACGCCAGTCATCCCAGCAATTTGGCAGGCCAAGGCAGGAGGAAAGAAGGAAGGGAGGAAGTGAGGAAAGAAGAAAAGCAGAACGGCAGTAAGGCAGGAAAGAAGAAAGAAGGAAAGAAGGAAAGAAGGAAAGAAAGAAAGAAAGAAAGAAAGAAAGAAAGAAAGAAAGAAAGAAGAAAGAGAGAAAGAAAGAAGAAAAACAAAGAAAGAAAGAAAGAAAGAAGAAAAGAGAAGAAAAAAAAAGAAAAGAGAAGGGAAGAGAAAAAAAGAAAACGGGGAGGGGGCATATCTCCTTGACTGGTGATGGCCCAGGATACAGTGGGTCACGGCTTACTGAAGCCTCGACCTGTGGGACCACAAGTGATCTTCTCCTTATCTCAACCTCCCGAGTAGCTGTGACTACAGGCGGCCATCACCACACGCAACTCATCTTATAATGATATTAAGATTCTATTGGGACAGGGTCTCGCTCTGTCATCCAGGCTGGATTGCCCTGGCATGATCTCAGCTCATTGCAACCTCAGCCTCCCTGGTTGGAGCAACTCGCCCATCCCAGTCTCCTGAGCAGTTGGGATTACAAGCCCACGCCACCAGGCCTGGCTAATTGTTTTATTTTTCAGAGAGACGGGGTTTTGCCATGTTGGCCAGCCTGGTCTTGAACTCCTGGCCTCAAGTGATCCACCCGCCTCGGCCTCCCAAAGTGCTGGAATGACAGGCATGAGCTACAGTGCCCAGCCCAGATAATCTTTTTAATAAATTGTAGAGAAGGGGTTTCGTCAGCCGACGGGTGGAGGGTGGGGTGGGTTTTACTCAGCCTGCGTACTGTGAAAAGAGTGAGTGAGTGTGGTTTGTGAACTAGATGTGGAAATTGTGTGTGTGTGTGTGTGTGTGTGTGTGTGTGTGTGTGTGTGTGTAGGAGAGAGAGAGAGAGAGACCAATCCCACCATGAGGACCTGGAAATGGTGTTTGATTTGGGTCCTTGTCTAGTCACCTGTCTGTCTGTAGATGACTGAGGATTCCACAAATGAAGGTCAGCAGTATCTATTGAGCTGTTTCTCCCTCTCATGCGTCTCATGTGTGTGGTGGAGAAAGGGAAGAAAAGAGGTTCTGATGTGAAGTTGTCTTCAGGCCTGAGGAAGCTGAAGTCAGCCTGATGGGAAGGAGGGCATCCTATGTGACATTTCCATACCTGCGCACCCTTTACAATGCTGGGGCTGCCAGCTCACCCTGTACCTCAACCCACCCCCAAGAACAGCACGGTCCGGGGTGGTCCAGTCTCATCCCATCCGGCCCACGCGGGGCATCTGGTGGAAGTCTTTGCCGGAGGATTCGAAAGCAGCGTCAACGCGCTTCCCCTGCCGTTGCCTGGCAAAGGCCAGCTGTGGGAGGGTAGCGGGACGTGATGGGGGCTTCCGCCTCAGAGCTCCCTGAAAGGTGGCAGGTGGCCAGTGGGGGACGCTGAGGCAGAGACGTCTGGAAGGATATAGATCTGGAAGCCGCGTCAGTCCTCTCCCATACCTCTCCTATGGAAAATGCCATGGCCGTGGTGGGAGCCTTGGCTGGGGGAGAAGCGAGGACAAGGGGGAGAGGGAAGGAGGCCCTCAGGAGGATTTAGCCCTGAAAACCCACTCAGCCAAGCTCCCGCTGTCTTTTTGGGTCCAAGGTACACCCTGGGAGACGGCAAGAGAAACGTTCACTCCGTGCTTTTTCTCTCTTTATTTTTTTCATCTTTTCCATTTTACAAGAGATGCTCATTTCAACAACCAGACAGTGGATGTGACAGGAGAAGTGTCAAGGCCAGGAGTTTGAGACCAGCGTGAGCAACCGAGCAATACAAGTAAGAGAGCCCAGCTGAAGGAAATGAAAAAGGAGGAGGAGGAGGACCTGGGAGGCTGGGGGTGGGGGTGGGGGGGAGGAGAAGGAAAGAAAAAAAAGAAAAGAAAAGAAAAAAAAAGAAAAACAACCACCAAGAAAGTTAAAATTCTCCAATGGTCAGAAGTTCAAGACCAGCCTGACCAAGATGGAGAAACCCCATCTGTACTAAAAATAGAAAAATTAGCCAGGCATGATGGCACATTGTTGTCATTCCAGCTACTTGGGAAGGCTGAGGCTGGAGAATCACTTGAACCTGGGAGGCGGAGGTTGCAGTGAGCTGAGATCGTGCCATTGTACTCCACCCTGGGCGTCAAGAGTGAAACTCCGTCTAAAGAAAAAAAAGAAAGAAAGAAAGAAAGAAAAGGCAGATTGGTGAGATGCGTTTCAAAATTTCCTTTCCAGTCCCTATACTAAAAACGGAAAGAACCGACACATGAGAAATATGACCAGAGCATACTGTGCCCAAGAGTGTCATCACAGCACTCTGGGAGGCCGATGTGGGAGGATCGCTGGAGCCTTAAAGTTTGACATCACCTCGACATGTGAGATGACACCTGCAATAATAATAATCATAGAAGTTTAAAAATAGATTATGTGTGACAGAGCATGGAAAACAAAGCGAGAGTGCATCCGTACTAAAAACAAGATGATTGATAGACAGGCAGGCAGGCAGGCAAATATAGAATGAGCCAGGTGCAGTGTCTCACGCCTGTAATAGCAGCAGTGTGGGCGGCTGAGGCAGGCAGGTGGATTGCTTGAGAACAGGAGATAGAGACCAGCCTGGGCAAGATGATAGAACCCCGAACCCCATCTCACTCACATATATACATACATACATACCTACATACCTACCTACCTACGGAAAACATGAGAAACAACATAAAAGTCAACCGGTGTTGTGGTGCATGCCTGTAGTCCCAAGTAATGGGGATGGGAGAGATCAGAGGCAGGACAACTGCTTGGTCGGTCCAAAGCGTTGAGGCTGGGGTGATCCTGGGCGACAGAGACAGAGGAAGACCCTGCCAGTAAGGAAGGAAAGAAGGAAAGAAGGAAGGAAGGAAGGAAGGAAGGAAGGAAGGAAGGAAGGAAGGAAGGAAATAAGCAAGCAAGCAAGCAAATGATGAACATGACAATGACATAGAATAACCCATGACAATAAACAAGCAAATAAGAGGGTATGAATAAAGCTAAAAGGTAATTAAGATCACAATCAATTGTTTTCTCCCCACCCCACCCCACTCCTCCTCACCCCACCTCACCCCACCTCACGTAAGCTGGAGTGGAGGTGCGCGATCACAGCCCACGTTAGCCTCTGCCTCCCGGGCTTAAGAGATCCCTGTAGTCCCAGCTACTTGGGAGGCTGTCACCAGGGCCCAGAGTGAGAAGACCAGGCAGGCCCAAAAAGGAAAGAAAATAAGCGAAAATAAAAAATAATAAATGAAAGAAGGAAGGAAGGAAGGAAGGAAGGATATACATACACATGTATATGTAAATGAAATGGGTTTTCATTTAATACATATTCATACATTAAAATTAACATTTATAATATAAACAAGTATTAATTATGGAAATATCTATATAGTTTTATCACTACATATTTATGTGTGTGTATGTATGTATGTGTGTATGTGTGTGTGTATATATATATATAAATGTATGTTTATACACAACAGCGTGCAGAAAATAAGATTGAAGAAAAAAAGGAATTGGCCGAGCTTGGTGGCTCACGCCTGTACTACTCCCAGCACTATTTGGGAGGCCGAGGCGGGTGGAAGGTCAAGAGTTCGAGACCAGCCTGGCCAATATGGTGAAATTCCATCTTTACTCAAAATACAAAAATTGCTGTTCGCTTGAACCCTGGAGGCAGAGGCAGCGGCAGCAGTGAGAAGAGAAGGCACCACTGCACTCCAGCTCCAGCTTCAGCCTGGGCGTCAGAGCGAGACTCCATCCCCAGAAAAAGGAAAGAAAGAAAGGAAAAAAAAAAAACACACACAAGACAAAACCAAAAAAACCAAAGGAGGAAGTATTACTGACTGACAGCAACAGTGACTCCCTCTGAAAAGTACGGCGGAAGCAAACAAAGTGGGCCTGAAAAAAATGTAGGAGAGGGAGTTCCACGTGGTCCCAGCTCCACCAAAGGCTGAGGCTGGTGAGGGCCACCCGCGCGTGAACGGGGATAGGTGCCCTCACATGGGTGCGCTGCACCATCCAGTGGGACCGCCACTGGCCGCCTGCTGGTCAATCTGGGACACAGGAAGCCGCCGGCTAAGTCCGGAGCTCGCTGGCAGCAGCTGATCGACCCTGGAGGTTCCGACTGAGATGCGGACGCTCCAGATCCGGCTCATCCCAACAGGCACCCCTGCACACCTCTCGGTCCAGAGGGCCTGCCGGTCGACCTGGGACATGGCTAGCTGCCAGCTGTTTCACACCCTCAGGCAGCAGCTGGTCGACCCCAGAGGCCCGACCGAGGAGCAGCCACAAGTGGAGGTTGGCCATGTGTGGCCAAATTCTGACCCAGAAGCAGGTCGTCTACAAATGGTTTAGCACCAGGTTCCCCACGAACGTGTGTTGCATGACGGGCAAGGAGGCCACCTTTCCAGCCACACCCTTCCCAGGAGGAAGGGCACTCTGCACCGGACCCAGTCCTAGCACATGGTGGGGCACACCCCACCAAGGGTGAGGCAGCCCACCAGCGGGGGTGGGGAACCGGCTAGCCAAGGCCAGCCAAGGCCAGCCAAGGCCAACCAAGGCTCCACGGTGCTGCTGTATCCTTCCGCCTGGGCAGGATTCTGACTTAGAGGCGTTCAGTCACAATCCAACAGACCGTAGCTTCACCCCATTGGCTCCTCAACCAAGCACATGTCTGAACTTGCCATTCCTCTCATGCTGAGCAGGATTACCATTGCAACAACACACATCACGGAGGGTAAAACTAACCTGTCTCACTACGATCTAAATCCAGCTCACATGCCCTATTAGTGGGTGAACAATCCAATGCTTGGTGAATTCTACTTCACAATGATAGGAAGAACCAACATTACAGGATCAAAAAACATCCCTATGAATGCTTGGCCGCAACGAACCAGTTATCCCCTGTGGTAACTTCTGATACCTCCTGCTTAAAAACGTCAGAATGATCGTCAAAGCCCAGCTTTCAGTCTGTATTCGCACTGAAAATCACGATCAAGCGAGCTTTTGCCCTTCTGCTCCACAAGAGGTTTCTGTCCTCCCTGAGCTCTCCTTAGGACACCTGCATTACCGTTTGACAGGTGTACTATCCCAAACTCCCCACCTGGCACTGTCCTCGGGACGGGTCAACACCCGGCCGGCGTGCAGCTGGGCACTTGGCGCCAGAAGGGAGGGCCCCTAGGGGCTCACCCCCTGCCTCACCAGGTCAGTGAAAAAACGATCAGAGTAGTAGTATTCCATGGGCAGCCCACAGGACCCCACCCCACCCCCTCACGGGGATAGGGGGGCACTGGGGACCTCCCACTTATTCTACACCTCTCATGTCTCTTCACCATGCCAGACTACAGTCAAGCTCAACAGGTTCTTCTTTCCCCACTGATTCCACCAACCCCATTCCCTTGGCTGTGGTTTCACTGGATAGTAAGTAGGTAGGGACAGTGGGAATCTCATTCATCCATTCACGCACGTCACTAGTTAGATGACGAGGCATTTGGCTACCTTAAGAGAGCCATAGTTACTTCCGCCATTTACCCATACTTCATTGAATTTCTTCATTTTGACATTCAGAGCACTGGGCAGAAATCACTTTGCAACACCCCCCGAGGGCCTTCGCGATGCTTTGTTTAAACAGTTGGATTCCCCTGGTGCACACAGTTCTATAAGTCGGCTGCTAAGCACCGGCGGAGGTGCTGCATGGAACCGTGGCCCCTGTGGCGGGGACCAGCCCGCGGCCCGCCACCTCCACGGAGGGGGGGACAGGAGACAGATGGGGCTGCGGGGGAGGTGGGGGAATGAACCACCCCGCCTGCCACCCACTGACCCAATCACTCCCTGCCCACGCTGACACGCATGACAGCGCAGAGCGAGACAGGACACACCAGCACCCACTGGGCTCCCCATGGGTGGCCACAACTGGGGCAATCCATGGGAAGGGCCCAGCTTGTGTCCAGAGTCACCACCACCACCAGCACCCCCTCACGGGAGATCATGCCCTGCCACTGGGGCTGTATGGCCACTGCCACCCCTCCGCCCCCACACACCACCTCCATAGAGGGGGAGGACAGAGAGAGAGGGGGCGGGGGAGGGAGTGAGCAGCACACGGGTTGGGGCAGGGGAGGGCCACAACAGGCATTCCTGGGGCTTGGGGGGGGCAGCGGGGCCTCGTCGAGCGGCGGCACGCACCCAGCCCAACCGACCCAGCCCTTACAGCCAATACTTATCCCGAAGTTATGGATCCGGCTTGAGGACTTCCTTTACCTACATTGTTCCAACATGCCAGAGTCTGCTCATCTCGGAGACCTGCTGCAGACATGGGTATGGCCCTGCGTGAGACTTACACCGTCTACCCTGGATTTTCAAGGGCCAGCCAGAGCTCACCAGATGCCACCAGAACCACGATGCTTTCCAAGGTACAGTCCCCTCTCTCGGGGCGAACCCATTCCAGGGCGCCCTGCCCTTCACAAAGAAAAAGAGAACCCTCCCCAGGGCTCCCACATGCTTCTCCAGGGTCAGTCACATTACCGCACTGGACGCCTCATGGTGCCCATCTCCGCCATTCTGGATTCGGGGATCTGAACCCAACTCCCTTTCAATCAGCTGAGGGCAACAGAGGACATCACCCATCCCTTCGGAATGGCACTCACCCATCTCTCAGGACCAAATGAACCATGTTCAACTGCTGTTCACCTGGGACCCATGTTCAACTGCTGTTCACATGGAACCCTTCTCCACTTCGGCCTTCAAAGTTCTCATTTGAAAATTTGCTACTACCACCAAGATCTGCACCTGTGGCCTATCCACCTGGGCCCATACCCTAGGCTTCAAAGCTTACCGCAGCGGCCCTCCTACTCCTCCCGGCGTAGACTCCGTGGGGCTGCAGGGGAGGGGGGGGAGGAGGGGACGGGAGGACCCCCACTGCACTCACACGGGTGTACTGCCCCTGCCGCTCCCATCCACTCTCAACTGCTGTCAACGGCCGGGTATGGGCCCAACGCTCCAGCTCCATCCATTCTCAGGAGTAGTTGATTTGGCAGCTGAGTTGTTACACTCCTTAGCGGATTCCAACTTCCATGGCCACCATCCTGCTGTCTATATCAACCAACACCTTTTCTGAGGTCTGATGAGCATTGGCATCGGGCATCTTAACCCGGCATTTGGTTCATCCCACAGTGCCAGTTCTGCTTACCAAAAGTAGCCTACGAAGCACTCGCATTCCACGCCTGGCTCCACGTCAGCCAGCCAGGCTTCTTACCCATTTAAAGTTACAGAATAGACTGAGATCGTTTCGGCCCCAAGACCTCTTCCCGCTGAAATGTGGGTGTAGTTGGAGAGTAGCTGGGACAGACAGGAGGGTCCGTAAGTGGTGGGGGTGAAGAGGTGAGAGAGACTGGTGAGGGTCTCACTGAGGTCTGTGAGTTTGTAGGTGTTTCTGGGGTGTGAGAGACCGACTCCCGCTGAAATCTGGGCATAGTTGGAGAGTAGCTGGGACAGACAGGAGAGTCATTGATGGCTGGGGGTGAGCTGCTGGATGATGGCAGTAAGAACATATGGTATATTATTCATGAATGAGGTGACTGTGAAGAATCTCCAGAGGAGGACACGGGAGAGCACAATGACATGAGTGATTGTCCTGCTTGGCTAGGAAAGGGAAATGTAAAGTTATGAAATTCTGTTGATGAGGGATGTGAGAGTGGTGAAGCCCTGCGGGATGATGTAGAGTACTTCCACATCCCTGGTGAGGAGCTGCCTCTTGGGTCTGAGTTTCTGGGAGGGGAGAGGGAGAAGCTGGGTGAGACAGGTATGAATCTTGAGGAGTCAGGGCTGGGGGACTGCTCATATTCTCCCGAGACTTGTGAGTCTCTGGGGGACTCCTGGGTGCATGGGGCTGACTCCCGCAGAAACCTCTGGATGGCTGGAGAGTAACTGGGAGACACAGGAGAGTCCCTGAGGCCTGGGGGGGAAGAGATGAAAGACATAGGGGAGGAGCACCACAAGGCTCGTGAGTTTGTAGGCGATTCCTGGGTGTGGGGGGCTGATGCCAGATGAAATCTGGGGTTGTTTGGAGAGTAGCTGGGAGACACGGGAGACTCCCCGAGAGCTGGGGGTGAGCTGCTGGGTGATGGCAGTAAGAACATGTGGTATATTATTGATGAACGTGGTGACTCTAAAGAATCCCCAGAGGAGGACACTGGAGAACCCAATGGCTTCACTGATTGCCCATCACGGTGAAGAAAGGGAAATGGGAGCTTGTGGGATTCTGCTGATGACAGAGGTGAGTGTGGTGAAGCCCTAGGGGATGGTGAATGGTAGCTCCGGATCCCTGGTGAGGAGCTTCCTCTTAAGTCTGAGTTTCTGAGAGGGGAGAGGGAAAAGCTGGGTGAAGCTAGCATGGCTCTTGGGGAGTCCGGGCTAGGGGACCATTCATAAGAAGAGCCAGACAAGATCCTACTTTTCTTAGGTGCAGACATGATTAGGAAACCTGCAGCTCCCGGGGACCCCTACAAATTTTCTAACCCGCAGAATGAAGGAGTCTGTGTGTATGTGTGTGTATGTGTGTGTGTGGTGTGAGGTATGTGCTCCTTAAGAAAATGGAAATAAACCAACCAATGAGACAGACAGACAGACACAGATTCACTTAGCCAAGTGTTCTGTCCTGTCCTCTGAATCCACTTCCAAGTCACAAGATGCTGTAAGCTCCAAGTCCACGCAGAGCCCGCAAAACGCTCCGGCCGCTGCTACGCTGGGCGAAGATCTGAGTACAGCCCTGCCAGGGTGGGTTTAAATAGCCTCGGGCACAGCCTAGCAGCGGAAAGGGCAGAGCTTCACTCTTCCTTCCTATCAGTCACCCCCAACTTTCCCAGGCTACACCTAGTAGGAAACTGTTCTCCTGATTTGATTTCATGTGCCACATTTGGGACAATCTAAGAATTTACAAGTTTTCTTGGCCAAATACATTATGAATTAAATGCACTGAAACACTGAAAACCATCTAGTGGTTCTGTGGTTCTCACGCTGTGGTTCTGACACCAGCAGCATCCTTGCAACCCTCAAACCCCGGAGATCCACAGATTTGTGTTGTAACAAGCCCTCCCACTGACCCTGATGCATGGCAGTTTAAGAATTACCCGTGTAAGCGAAAAGACTTTGAAGAAAAAGTGGAGATATGCGTTGTATAAACTTTTTTTTGCTCTGGAACCACATAGAGACTTGGGAGCCAGTTGGGTGGAGCATTCGTTGGATGAGGGTGCTTGGGTTAGGAATATCAAGGTGTGGCTCCAGATAATTCAATCATCTCATTAAGTTTCCAGTTATGCTAATCTGTTTTAAAATTCAGTTTGTGTAAATTCTTTTACTCAGACTGAGAATGGCAAATCCTCAACCCCAATTTCCAGGGAGGGTTGAGAGCCTCAGGTTGAGTTGATCACCAATAGCCTATGGTTTAACCCATCATGCCTATAGAATGAGGTCTCCATAAAAACCCAAAAGGACTGGGTTTAGAGAGCTTCTGGATAACACTTCCTGGATGGTAGTGCTCCCCTCCCCACATGGTGGGCCCAAAATCTTTTTTCTGAATTTTTTGCAATATCCACTATAATAAAATGGTAAATGGAAGTCTTTCCCTGAGTGCCGTGAGCTCTTCCAGCAAATTAATGCAACTAAAACTGGGAGTGGTGGAAACCTGATTTATAGCCAGTTGCTAAGAAGCACAGGTAAAATAACGTAGGGCTTCCCATTGTTGTTAGAGTGGGAGGCCAGTCTTGCGGGACTGAGCCCTTTGGAATCTCATGCTATGTCCCAGTAGATAGCGTCATCATTGAATTAGAAGACACACATATGTTGAGAATAATTTTTCCAGTCATTTGCTGTATGTCTTATTTACAATATGTAATCAAATTCTTCATCCTGACCTTATGGCACCTGGGTTGAGAACCATGATTTGAACAAAAAATTGGTCTGTCACTTTCTCAGTTTGAAACTTTATTTTGCCACTAGCGTTTTGTTATAGTTTTTTCGTTTTGTTTTGTTTCCTTTTGTTTCTAAGTTCTGGGGTATATGTGCAGGATGTGCAGATTTGTTACAAAGGTAAACGTGTGTCACGGTAGTTTGCTGAACCTGTCAACCCATCACCTAGGTATTAAGCCCAGCATGCATTAGCTGTTTTTCTTAGTGCTCTGCCTCCCGAAAGGCCCCAGTGTGTGTTATTCCCCTTCCTGTGTCCATGTGATCTCCTTTTTCAGCTCCCATTATAAGTGAGAATGTGGTGTTTGGTTTTCTTTTCCTGGATTAGTTTGCTGAAGATAATGACTTCACATCACCAGTGTTTTTTTTTTTTTTAAAGAACAGTATTTTATTGAATAAGATTTATTCACAGAAAAATAAGCTTTAATCTACAATGAATGCCAGACTCTACCGCAGAAAGCAATTTTCTCAGTTTTCCACACACAAAGGTTCCTACTAAGTGAAAAAAGCCATAAAATTTCATTCACAAATGAACTACTCTGTCTCAAAACATTTCCCATAATCATTCATTGTGCTAAAACAATTAGATCAGTTACTCAGTCAAGTTAAAGTATCCCTCTGATAACTGATTTTTAAAATGCTATCAATATCCACTCCCTGTCAGTCTGCCATTGTTAATGGTATACAGCATTATGGAATACAATGGAATTGATGAAGCCGATATCCACGGACAAACCGTGACTTATGATGGTTTGATTTATGATTTTCAACTTTATGATGGGTTTATTGGGATATTAGATGCGTTTTTGAGTTACACTGGGTTTATGAGTATGTGACCGTATACTCCAGAAATAGCTGTATAAAGAAAAAGAAGTGTACCTAATTAAAATATACTGAGTGACTTGGGAGAAACCAATAGATGTTTACAACTGATGGAGAACCAAGAAAGAGAGATAGCGGTAAATAATAACAATAACACAATTTTCCTGCAACTGTCGAGGATTTCCCCAAAATTCACAGAATGTAGGATGCACCTAAGGCATATGAATGGGAGAAGGCAGAAGGAGTAAGAGAGAAATAGGAAGCAAGGAAGGAAGGAAGGAAGGACGGAAGGAAGGAGAAAACACCCGGTGGATACTAAAACCAAAAAAAAAAAAAAATGGTTTCCCACTGTGGGTAAGACTATAATGTGGATGAATCTTGAAAATATTGTGCTAAGTGTAAAGTCAGTCATAAAGTCTCACATACTGTGCAATTCTGTTTATAGGAAATGTCCACAATATGGAAATCTATGGATATGGGGTTGATCGCTCTATGTAGTTGTTACCTAGGGCTGAGGGTCAGGGAGAGGGTTTGAGACAGAATGAGGAGTGAATAATGTTTACAGGGTTTTTCTCTGGTCGGGGGTGATAAAATGTTCTAAAATGGATTGCGAATTAAAACTGAATATGCACAACCACAAATATACTAAAATCCACTGAATTCATGACTTTTAATGGGGGAAACTTACGTGGCACACTCTCATCGAGACCACGGCAGACATAGTGAATGAGAAAAAGGTGAGTAAATATCTGAAAGGGAGGCAGAAACAGAAAGAATGAAAAGCCCTGTGAATGGAAGAGAGAGAGAAAAGGGAAAATGGTCCTATTTACAAATGACAGATCTGAAACTGGGGCTCACATCAACAGTGTCACTGCCAGGGAGGAGGGGCATGCTAGCCATGTCACCGGTAGTGTCACCCGCAGGGACGCTGACATGCTGGAGGTTCGTGTCAGCATGGGCTCTGGCAGCCATGTGGGCCAGCAGGAGGGTCCCGCTGCACAGCTGTGGGGTGAGGATAGCCTGGGTGGTGATATCAGCCATTACAGGGGCCTCTTCTGCTGGCAACAGTGTGACAGTAGCAAGTAGATGGACAGGCCTGTGTGTGAGGATGGAATGCAGGAGGGGCTCTTCTGCGGCTGGGTGTGGGGCCCTCACCAGAAATGTGGAGAAATGGCCAGGTAACTGTGTCATGTTGGCTAGTAGATTGGCCAGGGCTTCGAACTGAAGGACAATAACGGGGAGTAGCTGTCAGGCCCTGGGAGTGTCTGAGTGTAAGTGGAGATGGGTTTGGGGTCACTGAGGGATACGTGGGAGCCATCCCTGTATAGATACAGGTCATAGGGAGATAGTCTCATGAGGCCTGTGAGTGTCTAGGGTTCTCCTGGGTGCCTGGGGCTGACTGCGGCAGAAATCTGGGGAAGGCTGGAGAGAAGCTGGGAGACACAGGAGAGTCCCTGAAGGCTGGGGGTGAAGAGGTGAAAGAAATGGGGGAGGGGTGCAGTAAGGTCCGTGAGTTTGTAGGTGATTCCTGGGTGTGGGAAGCTGACCCCAGGTGAAATCTGGAGATGGTTGGAGAGTAGGTGAGAGAGACAGAAGAGTCCCTGAGGGCTGGGGGTGACAACATGAGCGAGACTGGGGAGTAAGTCAGTGAAATTGGTGAGTTTGGTGGTGTGCCCTGGGTGCCTGGAACTGACTCCAGCTGGAATCTAGAGAAGTTTTGAGAGTAGCTGAAAGAGACACAAGAGTCCCTGTGGGCTGAGGGCAAAGAACTGAGAGAGACCAGGGAGGATCTCAGTGAGGTCTGTGAGTCTGTAGGTGATTCCGGAGTGTAGGAGGCTGACTCCGGCTGAAATCTGGGCGTGGCGGGAGAGTAGCTGGGACAGACAGGAGAGTCCCAGGGGGCTGGGGGTGAAGACGTGAGAGAGACTGGGGAGTAACTCAGTGAAACTGGTGAGTTTGATGGTGACTCCGGGGTGCCTGGAACTGACTCCCGCTGAAATCTGGGCATGGTTGGAGAGTAGCTGGGACAGACAGGAGAGTCCCTGAGGGATGGTGAAGACATGACAGAGACTGGAGAGTAATTGAGTGGAATTGGTGAGTTTGGTGGTGATTTCTGGGTGCCTGGAACTGACACCAGCTGAAATCTGGGCGTGGTTGGAGAGTAGCTGGGACAGACAGGAGAGTCCATGAGGGCTGGTGAAGACATGAGAGAGACTGGGGAGTAACGCAGTGAAATTGGTGAGTTCGGTGGTGATTTCTGGGTGCCTGCAACTGACTCCCGCTGAAACGCGGGCGTGGTTGGAGAGTAGCTGGGACAGACAGGAGAGTCCCTGAGGGTTGGGGATAAAGGCGTGCTAGAGACTGAGGAGTAATTCAGTGAAAGTGGTGAGCTTGGTGGTGATCCCTTGGTTCCTGGAACTGACTCCCGCTGAAATGTGGGCATGTTTGGAGAGTAGCTGGGACAGACAGGAGGGTCCGTAAGGGCTGGGGGTGAGGACGTGAGAGAGACTGGCCAGGATCTCACTGAGGTCTGTGAGTTTGTAGGTGTTTCTGGGGTGTGGGAGACCGACTCCCGCTGAAATCTGGGCGTAGTTGGAGAGTAGCTGGGACAGACAGGAGAGTCATTGATGGCTGGGGGTGAGCTGCTGGATGATGGCAGTAAGAACACATGATATATTATTGATGAATGAGGTGACTGTGAAGAATCTCCAGAGGAGGACAAGGGAGAGCATAATGACATGAGTGATTGTCCTGCTTGGTTAGGAAAGGGAAATGTAAAGTTGTGAAATTCTGTTGATGAGGGATGTGAGAGTGGTGAAGTCCTGCGGGATGATGTAGAGTACTTCCACATCCCTGGTGAGGAGCTGCCCCTTGGGTCTGAATTTCTGGGAGGGGAGAGGGAGAAGCTGGGTGAGGCAGGCATGAATCTTGAGGAGTCAGGGCTGAGGGACCGCTCATAATCTCCCGAGACCTGTGAGTCTCTGGGAGACTCATAGGTACATGGGGCTGACTCCCGCAGAAACCTGGGGATGGTTGGAGAGTAACTGGGAGACACAGGAGAGTCCATGACGGCTGGGGGTGAAGAGAGGAAAGACATAGGCGAGGAGCACCGTGAGGCTCGTGAGTTTGTAGGTGATTCCTGGGTGTTGGGGGCTGACTCCAGATGAAATCTGGAGTTTTTTGGAGAGTAGCTGGGAGACACGGGAGACTCCCCGAGAGCTGGGGGTGAGCTGCTGGGTGATGGCAGTAAGAACATGTGGTATATTATTGATGAACGTGGTGACTCTAAAGAATCCCCAGAGGAGGACACGGGAGAGCCCAATGGCTTCATTGGTTGCCCATCACGGTGAGGAAAGGGAAATGGGAGCTTGTGGGATTCTGCTGATGACAGAGGTGAGTGTGGTGAAGCCCTAGAGGATGGTGAATGGTAGCTCCAGGTCCCTGGTGAGGAGCTTCCTCTTAAGTCTGAGTTTCTGGGAGGGGAGAAGGAGAAGCTGGGTGAAGCTAGCATGGATTTTGGGGAGTCCGGGCTAGGGGACCGTTCATAAGAAGAGCCAGACAAGACCCCACTGTTCTTAGACGCAGACATGATTAGGAAACCTGCAGCTCCCAGGGACCCCTACCAATTTTCTAACCCCCAGAATGAAGGAGTTTGTGTGTGTGTTTATGTGTGTGTGTGTTTTTGTCTGTTGTGACATATGTGCTCCTTAAGAAAATGGAAATGAACAAACCAATGTGACAGACAGAGATTTACTTACCCAAGTGTACTGTCCTATCCTCTGAATCTACTTCCAAGTCGTAAGACGCTGTAAGCTCCAGGTCCACGCTGAGCCGGCAGAACGCTCCAGCCGCTGCTCTGCTCTGCGAAGATCTGAGCTCGAGGCCCCCCAACAGGGCGGGTTTAAATAGCCTTGGGCGCAGCCTGGCAGCGGAAAGGGCGGAGCTTCACTCCTCCTTTCCATGAGTCACCCCCAACTTTCCCAGGCTACACCTCGTAGGAAACTGTTCCCCTGATTTGATGTCTTGTGACATATTTGGGACAATCTGAGAACTTACAAGCTTTGTTGCTCAACTACATTATGAATTAAATGCACTTAAACACTGAAAACCATGTAGTGGTTCTGTGGTTCTCACATTGTGGTTTTGACACCAGCAGCATCCTTGCAACACACAGACCCCGGAGATCCACAGATCTGTGTGGTAACAAGCCCTCCCACTGACCCTGATGCATGGCAGCTTAAGAATTACCCGTATAAGTGAAAAGACTTTTAAGAAAAAGTGGTGATATACGTTGTGTAAATATTCTTCTGCTCTGGAACAATGTAGAGACTCCGGGGCCAGTTGGGTGGAACATTTATTGGATGAGGGTGCTTGGGTTAGTAATATCAAGGTGTGGCTCCAGATAATTCAATCATCTAATTAAGTTTGCAGTTATGCTAATCTGTTTTAAAATTCAGTTTGTGTAAATTCTTTTACTCAGACTGAGAATGGCAATGCCTCAACCCCAATTTCCAGGGAGGGTTGAGAGCCTCAGGTTGAGTTGATCACCAATAGCCTATGGTTTTACCCATGATGCCTATAGAATGAGATCTCCATAAAAACTGAAAAGGACTGGGTTTAGAGAGCTTCTAGATAAAACTTCCTGGAAGGTAGTGTGCCCCTCCCCCCATGCAGGGCCCCATCAATCTTTTTTCTGAATTTTTTGCAATATCCGCTATAATAAAATGGTAAATGTAAGTGTTTCCCTGCGTGCTGTGAGCTGTTCGAGCAAATTAATGCAACTAAATCAGGGGTGGTGAAAACCTGATTTATAGCCAGTTGGTCAGAAGCACAGGTAAAACAACCTAGGGCTTGCCATTGGTATTAGAGTGGGAGGCCAGTCTTGTGGAAGTCAGCCCTGTGTAATCTAACGCTATGTCCATGTAGATAGCCTCATAATTGAATTAGAAGACACCCAACTGATTTCCAGAGCAGAATGCATTGTGTGCTTGACTGACCGAGAGAAATCCCCAGACATGCTGTCACAGAAATCTTCTGTGTTAATTGTTGTGATATGAGAGCGGAGGAAAAACAGTTTTTGTTTTTTTCACTCAGCCTAAAATGTAAACGGGTCTATTTTCTCACACTATTGAGGATCACTTGATTTACAATAAAAATGTTTAGTCTTTGATATATAAAAAGGATGTTGGTTTTCATTTTATTGCTAACAATCAAGGTGGTCATAGTTGATGTCTTTTTGTCATTTTTCTTTTCACTGCCTTGTCATGTCTTTCACCCACTTTTTAATTATTTAATTTTTAACTGAAAAAAATTTTTAGGCCGGGCGCACTGGCTCACACCTGCAATCTCAGCACTTTGGGAGGCCGAGACGGGCGGATCACGAGGTCAAGATATCGAGATCATCCTGGCCAACGTGGCGAAACCCCGTCTCTACTAAAAATACAAAAATTAGCCGCGTGGTGGCTGGCGCCTGTAGTCCCAGCTACTCAAGAGGCTGAGGCAGAAGAACCGCTTGAACCCGGGAGGCAGAGGTTGGAGGGAGCCGAGATGGCCCCATTGCACTCCAGCCTGGCGACAGAGCTAGACTCCGTCTCAAAAAAAAAAAAAAAAAAAAAACTAGAGACAAGGTCTTGCTGTGTCACCCACGCTGAACTGTAGTGGCCCAATCACAGCTCACTATAGCCTCCAATCCCTGGGCTCAAACAATTCCGCTGCAACAGCCTCTTGAGTAGCTGGGACCACAGGCACACACCACCAGGCCTAGCTGTTCACCCATTTTTCAAGTGTTCATTTTCCCCCCTTCATTGTTTTGTGACCATTTCCTCTTAAGGAAATTAGCTACTAACCGTCATATGTGTTGAGAATAATTTTTCTAGTCATTTGCTGTATGTCTTAATTGCAATATGTGATCAAATTCTTTGTCTTTACTTTATAACACCTGGGTTGAGAACCATTATTTGAACCAAAAATTGGTCTGTCACTTTTTCAGTTTGAGACTTTATTTTGCCGCTAGCGTTTTGTTTTTGTTTTGTTTTGTTTTTAAGTTCTGGGGTATATGGGCAGGATGTGCAGATTTGTTACATAGGTAAACGTGTGCCATGGTGGTTTGCTGCACCTGTCAACTCATCACCTAGGTATTAAGCCCAGCATGCATTAGCTATTTTTCTTAATGCTCTCCCTCCCCTAACCCCACCCCATGACAGGCCCCAATGTGTGTTGTTCCTCTTCCTGTGTCCATGTGTTCTCATTTTTCAGCTTCCACTATAAGGGAGAACGTGGTGTTTGGTTTTCTCTTCCTGGATTAGTTTGCTGAGGATAATGACTTCACATCGCTAGTGTTTTCTTAAATGTCAGCATATTTCTGGGACTTCATTTCTCTTTTTGCTAATGCAAATTACATGCATGTTTAAGATAATATTTGCTTATGTTTTAATTTTTTTAAGTTAAAATGAAAGTCCCCATTGCTATATCAACCTCCTCTCTCTTGTTACTTTCATTTCCCTCCCAAAATTACCGTTATTAAAAATTTCACCTTAGTTGTTTCAGATCGGTTTCTATATATTTACACAGATATTTGTGTATAGTTAGGAATAGAGTTTGGGGTTTGTGTGTTTGTTTTTGCTTAAGTGGTGGACGCCTGTCATCCCAGTTACTCAGGAGACTGAGGCAGGAGAATTGCCTCAACCTGGGAGGTGGAAGTTGCAGTGAACCGACATCACATGCCACTGCACTCCAGCCTGGGTGACAGAGCAAGACTCCATCTCAAAACAAAAACAAACAAACAAAAAAAGCTGGCTCTTATTAATCCTTTTAGTCTTTTTCCATCAGGAGAACAATTATGGCATTACATTATGTTAATTTTTCCAGGTAGGAGATATTGGCCATCCTCTTATTTTTTGAGACAAGATCTCATCCTGTCTCCCAGGCTTTACTGCAATGGTGCAATTAGAGCCTCAGGAGATCCTCAGTCTCTTGAGCAACTAGAACTACAGGTGTGAACCACTGCACCTGATAATTTTCTTTTAAATTTTTTGTAGAGTCGAGGTCTCACTATGTTGCCCAGGCTTGTCTCAAACTCCTGGGCTCAAGCTATCCTCCTGCCTTGGCCTTCCAAAGTGCTGGGATTACAGGTGTGAGCCATCTCTCCCTGCCTCTTCATCCTCTTATAAGCTTATTCTTTTGTATTCCCCTTGCTATTTACTCCTTGTTTCTTTCTGTTTAGGTATGCATCTTATTTATGAACTCTTTGTGTGTTTTTTTCTAGGTTTTGATCTTTTTTCTTCTGTTATATGTATTAACAAGAAATTTACTTTCAACCTGTTGATTGACATTTGTTTTCATGGTGATATGTTTTAGAAAGTAATATTTCTTAATAAGAGGAATTATATTGCTAAATGTAGTAATGATGAATTTCCATGCATTACTGTTGTACTGTAATAATTTTAATATGTTGATGGATTTTGTTTGCTGCTTTCCATAAAATTTTGCAGTTCTATTCATTGAGACATTTTCCTTTAGTTTTCTGGCTGTTTTTTTTTTGTTGTTGTTGTTGTCGTTGTTGTTTTTGTTGTTGCTCTGTTAGGGTATAATTTGGTTATCAAGATTATACTAGGATTTGGGGTAGTAATATAATAAGTTAAGAAGCTCCTAACACGTTCTGCTCTCTGGAAAAGTTTATTCTAATAATCACCTCATTGTAGGTTTGTATTATTTCTCTCTTAGAGCATTCAGAATAGATTTCCTATTTGGGGATGAACCTTAGGTTTCTTCTGAGGTTGTTGTTTTATTTAGCATTTATACTGCTTGTTAAATATATTTGCGTTCTCTATATATTCCCTGAGAATTATATTCTTCATTTCACCTCTGTTTCTTCTGTATTACCTGCTTTCCACTTTCTCTGGTTTTGTTTTGCTGCTGTATATCTGAGACATAGATAGTTCAGTGTTAAGAGCATGGGGCCAGGCTCAGTGGCTCATGCCTCTAATCCCAGCACTTTGGGAGGCCGAGGTGGGTGGATCACGTCAGGTCAGTAGTTCAAGACCAGCCTGACGACCTTGGTGAAACCCCATGACTACTAAAAACAAAAAATCAGCGGGGCGTGGTGGCTCATGCCTATAATCGCAGCTAATTGGGAGGCTGAGGAAGGAGAATCGCTTGAACCCAGGAGGCAAAGGTTGCAGTGAGCTGAGATAGTGCCATTGCACTCCAGCCTGGGCAACAAGATCAAAACTCTGTCCAAATAAAAAAAGCTTGAGCTCTGGAAACTTCCTCTCAGTTTGTTGTACTAGATTGTTTAGTAGTTGGTCTGCCTTTTACTAGACATGCTGTTCTCTGTACCTCAGTGTCCTCATCCATAACATAGCAATATAATAGTGCCCATTTTGTAGTGTGACATGAGAATTAAATGAAGTAATACACATGAAAGACTTAGAACACACAAACCCTAAATGCATATCAGCTACCACTGTTATTACCACTTTCTTGAAATGGAAGTTAAGTTAATTTATTTTCACTCTTGTGTTTCATAAATTTAACGAATGTTACAAGTTTTCCTCTGAGTATGATTTTAAGCTATTTTCCTCTGTTTTGGATATGTACTTCTTTTGTTTTTATTTATTTTCAAATGGTATGTGACTATTATTTTGATTTCCTCTTTAATCCAAGCCTGCATTTAAAGAGTGTCCTCGGGTTCCTTTCAATCTTGAGGTGAATAAATAACTTACAGAACACTCTTTATGTCCTTTTGTGAATTTAATTGCATTATGGTCAATGAATGTGACCTACATGGTTTCTGTTCTGGGACATATGTTATCTGTTGCATTCAAAAACTACCATTTGAGCCAGGCGAGTTGGCTCAGGCCTTTAATCCCAGCACTTTGGGAAGCTTAGGCAGTGAAGTTCGAGACCGGTCTGGGAAACATGGCAAAACCCTGTCTGTACAAAAGATTAAAAAATTAGCTGCATATGGTGGCATGCACCTGTAATCCCAGCCACTTAGGAGGCTGAGACAGGAGATTCCTTGTCTCAAAAACAAACAAAAAAACAAAACAAAACAAAACCTACTATGTGTTTAACTCATGATTCTATAAATCAGTAGTTTGAGTGTGCCTCAGCCAGGCTCACGCTTGCATCTGAGTCAACTTCTAAGTTCACACTGCATATAATAGAACTCACGCATCCTTGTCAACTGCACCAGCTGGGTCCTGGGGTGGGGTGGGGCCCTCAACTGGGATCTCTGCCCCACTTGGTCTTATACTTCAGCAGGTCACACACTCACGAAGTCATAGCAGTCACAATGGCCCCAGAGACTGAACAGAGTTGTGCATTCTGTCAGATAAAATAAGTCACAATGCCAGCATTCCAGGGATGGGGGAATAGACTTCAGCTCTTGAAGAAATAAGGGGCTACAATGTCACATTGTCAAGAGTGAAGGATTTGGTCACTTCTGCCATCTCCCACAGAAAATAATTCTTGAGCTGTCATATGTAGTCTATATTTTGTTCTTCATCTTAGTTTCTCAGTGCTTTTTAATGCATGTTTCAAAACTATATTAGTTTCCTCAGGCTGCTGTAACAAAGTACCAGAAACTGGGTAGCTTCAAACAACAGAGATTAATTCTCTCACACTTCTGGAGAATAGAAATCTGAAATCAAGGTGTCAGCAGGGCCATGCTCTCCCTAAAAGCTCTAGAGAAGAATTCTTCCTTGTCTCTTCCTAGACTCAGTTTCCAGCAATCTTTGGCATCCCCTGGCTTGTATCATTCCACTTTTTGCCTCCATCTTAACATGGCATTTTCCCTCTGGGTGTGTCTGTGTCCAAAGTTTCTTCTGTTTTTTAGGACAGAAATCATTGCATTAAGGCCCACCCTAATCTAATGTGGTCTCATTTTAACTTGGTTATATCTGCAAAGATCCTGTTGGTCAATAAAGTTATGTTCATAGGTACTGGGTGTTAGGACTTGAACATATTTTTGGGATGGGGGGGCACACGATTCAACCCACAACAAAAGCCATGCATTTTTTTCTGGTCTTTGTGATATAAAAATTATGTATACATGAATATTTACAGCATTTTGTACTTCAAAACCTTTGTATCTTTTCATTTTATGTCAATGTCTCTGTCACTTTTGGAAAGCAAATGATGTTCTTCATCCTATCTCATTCATCCTCCTCCATGACTATTCACTAGTCCTTATTTAAAAAAAATCAAAACCTCAGTTTCCATGATCAATCTGCAACCCCATCCCTGAAGTTTATGCATCCTTCCCTCTAGTATCCCAACTCCAGCAATACCTTGTCCTGAGGGAAACTTCAATTCATAAACCCATGAATTTCTATGACTTTATCACACATCTCATGTTCCCATTTTTTTCTCCATACCCAATCCATAGTGCATTATGACCACAACCTTTTATATATCCTGAGTTCCCATTCCATTATCTCTCTTGCTTTTGTGGCAAAACTCTTACCCTTATTAAATGCAAATTTTTATCACAAACTTGTTGGGCATGTTGGCTCATGCCTGTAATCCCAGCACTTCGGGAGGCTGAGGTGGGTGGATCTCCTGAGATCAGGAGTTCGAGAACAGCCTGGCCAACATGGTGAAATCCCATCTCTACTAAAAATACAAAATTAGCAGGGCATGGTGGTGGGAACCTGTAACCCCAGCTCCTCAGGAGGCTGAGACAGGAGAATCGCTTGAACCCAGGAGGCAGAGCTTGCAGTGAGCCGAGATCGCATCATTGCACTCCAGCATGGGCAAGAAGAGCAAAACTCTGTCTCAAAAAATCAAAATAAACAACAACAGCAAGAAAATGTATCACAAACTTACCTGAGCAGTGGCTGGAGAAAAAAACACACAATTGTGCTACCAGGTCTTCCTCTAAATTTCAGGCCACAGACAATGAGCCAGTGCTCACTGCTTCCAGGCAATCCTACTCTATTTCTCTAGACTATTCAGCCTCCCATTTGCCAGAATGACCATTTCCCACTTTTCCATCTCTTCCCAAACATCACTCCCTGCCCTCTTCCTCCTTCTTCCCTTCTAGCTCATGACCTTGCTTCTCCTTTCACTGAGAAAATAAAATCAATCAGGAAAAATATGCCACCTTCTACTATGATATCTAGCAAATTTCTTGCACTGAATCCCCATATGCCTTCATGTCACCATGGCTGGGCTGTGCCTGCTTCTAACTGTAATCCCCTCAGCTTGTGCCCAAGATCCCATCTCTTCTTGACTAGTCAAGTACTCTGTTCCTGCTGCTGCCCCTTCAATTCTCCAGCACCACCAGCATCACTCTCTTTCAGTGCATTTCCATCAACTTAGGAACTTGGTTAACATCTCCAGTCTTGGTAGGCATGGGATGGTATTTGATTCCATTAGCCTTCCTAGCTACCCTCCCTCCTTTCACTGCTGTTCTTGACCACAAGTTGTCAAGAGACACTGCCTCAGTTTCTCCAATTCTTTTAAAACTCACTCCATTCATGCTTCCCACAACCTCCACATCATCCTGTCTGGCACACACATTTCCCCATAGCTGCTCTAGTTAAGATTACATCGCCAAATCCAGCAGTCAGTTTTCAGCCTCTCTCATCTTACTTGACCTACCAATAGCATATGACACCACTTGTATCATTAGTGTGGATGATTGTTTCCATTAGTATAATGCAGCATTGTCTCAATTAGTATAATTATATTAATATGCATTAATATAAATTCTATTAATATTATTCACTATAAAGCCATGTGGGAGGTTATGATTCTACTACCACTCATACAGTTTTTGTTTTCCTGGTGTTTCTAAGTGCTTTTTTGGTACATTATATGTAGTTATTATTTCTCCAAGTTTTCAGTGTCTCAAATATGTTCTATAATGTATGGAGTCTACTTTTTCCAGATTCCACCTTCCTGGATCCCCCCATCTTTATCCTTCCTTGAGGGCTGATTACCATCTTGGCCTGATTACAGTCTGGTTCAGTCTCCTGGGACTTCCTTTCGCTGTGATCCAGCAAAAAATCCAGGGTTGAATTTCCTACTCCCTAGATGCTAATCTTCCTCTTTCTTAAATTATTACCTCATTTGCTGCAGCACGTAATCAAGTAACAGCATGAGGGTTACTTCTCCTGCACTTAAGAGTACATAAAGAGTACATAGGAAGTACATTTTCTGAATCCCAGTATTTTTCCATTTAGGCAATTTATAGTTTGCATAACTATTACTGGGTCTAAGTTGACAATCATTTTATTTCAGAATTTTAAACAAAAATATGAATTGATGGGCAGAATAATGGATGCAATTGCTGAAGGTGCAAATTAGTGAGCTGGAAGATTAGGCAAGGGATTATTCCAGAGAGTAATGCAAGCAGATGGCACATTAGGATATGTGATGGGTATATGATGGATATTAGGAGACATGAAAGAAGGAACCAACATATGGATAATAAGAGTATCACAAAGGGAGGGAATATACAATAATGGGGAGGAAAACCTCAAAAGAAAAAAATAAAATAAAATATCCCAGAGCTGGAGGAGAGATTTGAGATTCTAATTGAAAGGTCCTGCTGAGTGCTTAACAGGAAGAAGCAAAAATCTCGTCAAATTAAATTATGGTAAACTTTCAGCTGATAAAGAAAAAAATCCTAAATGCCTCAAGAAAAAAAGTAAAACCCAAATATTACCTATTAGAGATTGAAGAATTAATTTGGTATCATAGTATTCTTCAGTAATAAAAACTAAAAGAGAGAGAGATAATGTTTCAAAGTTATGAAGAACTGTAACTTGTGTCTAAGTATTATATGCCCAGGCAAGCCAACATTTGCTGTGAGAGAAGAATGAAGACATAAGACAAAAGGACACAAGGAACTTACCAACTTCAGACTGTCTGAAAAAACTTCTTAAGAATACAGTCCAGCAAAATAAATAAATTCAAGATAGAGGAAGATGTACAGTATGTACAACAAGCAAGAATATACAGTAAATCTTAAGGTTAAATCTAAATAATTGTTTATATGTGAGGAAAAAAGAAAATTTAGTGTTCAGATTCTAGAAGACATAAATATGGGAGATGAGAGGAGAAGAAAGGAAGAAAGCTTGTTAAAAACATTCTTGTGGGCCGGGCCTGGTGGCTCACGCCTGTAATCGCAGGACTTTGGGAGGTCAAGGCGGGCAGATCACAAGGTCAGGAGATCGAAACCATCCTGGCTAACACGGTGAAACCCCGTCTCTACTAAAAATACAAAAAAATTAGCCGGGCGTGGTGGCGGGCACCTGTAGTCCCAGCTACTCGGGAGGCTGAGACAGGAGAATGGTGTGATCCTGGGAGTCAGAGCTTGCAGTGAGCCAAGATTGTGCCATTGCACTCCAGCCTGGGCAAAAAAGTAAGAGACTCCGTCTCAAAAAAAAAAAAAAAAAAAAAAGGAAAGAAAAAAATAAGAAAAAAACATTTCTGACCAGACATGATGGCTTGTGCCTGTAATCTCAACATTTTTTCAGTCCAAGGTGGGAGGATTGTTTGAACACAGATGTATCAGACCAGCCTAGGCAACACAGTGAGACTCTATAAGAAAATTTCTAAAAATCAATTAGGCATGGTGGTGCATACCTGTAGTTCCAGTTACTTGGGACACTGAAGTGGGAGGATTACTCATGCCCAGGAAGCTGAGGCTACAGTAAGCAACAGAGCAAGACCATGCATCAAAACAAACAAACGAAAACCAAAACAACGAACAGAAAACATTTTTTTAATTTGGAAAGATGATATCAACACTGATGAACTCTAATAAACTTTTAATAGAGGAATTTTATAACTTATATTTATAAAACATCTTATTATGTTGCTATAAACATGTGTATGCAACTATCTTTTTCATATAATGACTTCTTTTCCTCTGGGTAGGTACCCAGTAGTGGGATTGTTGAATCAAATGGTAGTTCTACTTTTAGTTCTTTAAGGAATTACCACACTGTTTTCCATAGTGGTTGCAGTAGTTTACATTCCCAGCAGCAGTGTAAAAGTGTTCCCTTTTCAGCCCATCCCCACCAACATCTATTATTTTTTAAATTTTTTATTATGGCCATTCTTGCAGCTGAAAGGTGGTATTGCATTGTGTTTCTGATTTGCATTTCCCTGATCATTCGTGATGTTGAGCATTTTTTCATATGTTTGTTGGCTATTTGTATATCTTCTTTGTAGAATTGTCTATTCATGTCCTTAGCCCATTTTTTGATGGGATTCTTCGTATTTTTCTTGCTAATTTGTTTGAGTTCCTTCTAGATTCTGGATATTCATCCTTTTTCAGATGTATGGATTGTGAAGATTTTCTCCCCCTTTGTGGGTTGTCTGTTTAATCTGCTCAGTGTTTCTTTTGCTGTGCAGAAACTTTTTACTTAAATTAAGTCTCACCTATTTATCATTTTTTCTATTGAATTTGCTTTTAGGATCTTGGTCATCAAGTCTTTGCCTAAGCTAATGTTTTGAAGGGTTTTTCTGAATTATCATCTAGAATTTTTATGGTTTCAAGTTTTAAGTTTTTGATCCATCTTGAGTTGATTTTTGTATAAGGTGAGAGATGAGGATCCATTCACATTCTTCTACATGTGGCTTGCCAATTACACCAGCACCATTTGTTTGAATAGGGTGTCTTTTTTTTTTTTTTCTTTTTGAGACGGAGTCTTGCTCTGTCACCCAGGCTGGAGTGCAGTGGCGGGATCTCGGCTCACTGCAGGCTCCACCTCCTTGGTTCAATCCATTCTCCTGCCTCAGCCTCCCGAGTAGCTGAGACTACAGGCCCCCGCCACCGCACCAGTCTAATTTTTTGTATTTTTAGTAGAGACGGGGTTTCACCATGTTAGCCAGGATGGTCTCCATCTCCTGACCTTGTGATCCACCTGCCTCAGCCTCCCAACGTGCTGAGATTACAGGCGTGAGCTACTGCACCCGACTTGAATAGGGGGTCTTTTCCTTACTTTATGTTTTTGTTTGTTTTGTCAAATATCAGTTGGCTGTAGGTATTTGGATTTATTTCTTGGTTCTGTATTCTGTTCCATTGGTCTTTGTGCCTATTTTTATACCAGTACCATGCTGTTCAGGTGACTACAGCCTTATGGTATAGTTTGAAGTCAGGTAATGTGATGCCTCCAGATTTGTTCTTTTTGCTTAGCCTTGCTTTGGTTCTGCGGGCTCTTCTTTGGTTCCATATGAATTTTAGAATTGTCTTTTCTAGTTCTGGGAAAAATGATGGTGGTATTTTGATGGAACTTGCATTGAATTTGTAAACAACTTTTGGCAGTATGGTCATTTTTACAATATTGATTTACCCATTCATGAACATGGGATGTGTTTCCATTTGTTTGTGTCATCTATGATTTCTTTCAACAGTGTTTTATAGTTTTCCTTGTAGAGGTCTTTCACCTCCTTGGTTAGAAATATTCTTAAGTATTTTTTTTTTTTTTTGCAGTTCTTAATTTCATTCTTAGCTTGGTTGCTGTTGGTGTACAGCAGAGTTATGATTTGTGTACATTAATTTTGTATCCTGAAACTTTGCTGAATTCATTTATGAGTTCTAGAAGCTTTTTGAAGGAGTCTTTAGGGTTTTCTATGTATATGATCATATCATCAGCAAACAGCAGCAGTTTCACTTTCTCTTTACTGATTCGATCGTTTCTTTCCCTCCTTTTGTTTGATTGAGGTTGTTGTTGTTCATTTTCTTTCCTTTAGAGCAGTGATTTTCAAGGTGTTACTGTTGGGTGTTTTGAATGGATGACTTCTTTGTTGAGATAATTAATTTACAGATGCAATATGTTTAGCATTCCTTACCTCTGCATACTAAACTCATACCCCAGTCACTGGAGCAAGCAAAGATCACCCACACAATTCAAAAGAGTCTTAGGGGGGCTATTTCCTTCCTCTTTGAGGGTCCCTGTTCTACTTTTTCATTTTCTTTTTCTTTTTTTAGACATAAAATCTCATGCTGTCACCCAAGCTGGAGTACAGTGGCACCATCATTGTCCACTGCACCCTGAACCTTCCAGGCTCAAGCCATCCTCCCACCACAGCTGCTTGATCAACTAGGATTACAGGCCAGAGTCACTGTTCTATAGTTGGGAATTAGAAGCAGCTCCTAGATCAATTATTCCAGCACTTTGTCTTTTGTTCCTAACACACCCATTTAAGTGTGTATTTTCAGACTAAAGACAAGCTCTTAGATTAGGTAAAAGTAACATTTAAAAATAACTATAATAATAAAGAGTATATAAATAATAAGATAAAAAATGCTAATTTTACGAGAAAGTGAAAAAATAAATACTAGAGGAAATCTAATGAAAAGAAAGCAGGTACAGTCGGCACTGAAAAGTAAACTCAAGGTGAAAATACAAAGTACTTAAAATGTTAATGACATTTTTGGTCCATCAAGAAGATATGACCATTATGAAACTTACACAGGGTCAGCATCACTAAATTTTAAAATCCAAAATGTTCCACAATCCGAAACTTTTGGAATGTGAACATGACACCACAAAAGAAAATTTCCACACCTGAAATATTTGCTTTCTTTCTCTTCTTTTCATTAATTGATTTTTCTTTGGTCATCTGACGAAGGCAATCTTTGCTTCTGATGGTTCAATGCACACAAACATTGTATACAAACCTTGTGAACAAAATTAATCAAATAATTCTATAAAATTAATTTCAGGGTACATGTATAAGGTGTATAGGAAACGCAAATGAATTTTGCGTTTAGACTTGGGTCTCATCCTCAAGATATCTCATTATGCATATGCAAATATTGCAAAATCTGAAAAAAATAAAAAATCTGAAACACTTCTGGTCCCAAGTGTTTCAGATAAGGAACAGACCACTTCCATACCTAATAACACAACTTTTAAAATGTAAAGCCGCTTGTATACCTAATAACACGACTTTTGAAAAATGAAGTAGGCTGGGCGCGGTGGCTCATGCCTGTAATCCCAGCACTTTGGGAGGCCGAGGCGGGCAGATCACAAGGTCAGGAGATGGAGACCATCCTGACTAACACGGTGAAACCCTGTCTCTACTAAAAATACAAAAAAATCAGCTGGGCGTGGTGGCGGGCGCCTGTAGTCCCAGCTACTCGGGAGGCTGAGGAAGGAGAATGGCATGAACCTGAGAGGGGGAGCTTGCAGTGAGTTGAGATGGCGCCACTGCCCTCCAGCCTGGGCAACAGAGCGAGACTCAGTCTCAAAAATAAATAAATAAATAAATAAATAAATAAATAAATAAATAAATAAAGCAAATGCTATAGAGAGGAAAATGACAAATATACCATTATAGACTTTTTTTTAATTTTTCTTTCTTTCTTTCTTTCTTTTTTTTTTTTTTTTTTTTTGAGACAGAGTCTCGCTCTGTCACCCAGGCTGGAGTGCAGTGGCACGATCTCGCTCACTGCAACCTCCGCCTCCCGGGTTCGAGCGATTCTCTTGCCTCAGCCTCCCAAGTAGCTGGGACTACATGTGTTTGCCGCCATGCCTGGCTAATTTTTGTACTTTTAGTAGAGACGGGGTTTCACCATCCTGGCCAGTCTAGTCTTGAACTCCTTACCGCGTGATCTGCCCACTTCGGCCTCCCAAAGTACTGGGATTACAGGCTTGAGCCACCACGCCCAGCCTGCGAGCCTTTTTGACATGAACTTTTCAATCATTGACAGATGCATAATGAAAAAATCTAAGTAAGCATAAATAAGCATGTAGGAAATTTAAATAGCACAATTAACAAGTCTGGTGAAAATATAAATGTATGCATATCCCTCTGATAGAGAAAACGCATTGTTTTCCAATAGACACAGATGTCACAAAAATTAACATTGTATTAGATCAAAAATAAAAATGTTCCTGAACTCGCTTTTTAAAATTCAAGTATGTCAAATTAAATCAAGTAATCCTTCAACTTAGAGCAATATATAAGAACATCAAACATGTAAACATCAAAAGACAGAAATAAGCCAAAAGAATTGCACTGTCCCTTTATGTGCCCTAAGTTGCAATGTCAAGCTATAGTTGGATATTATTCAACCATTTCCTGCCCATTGCCTAGAGGTAGGGGTCTTCACTTCTCTGTCTAATCTAGGACTGGAACTGCCTCACGACCCCTACAGCTTGAGGGTGCATGGAAAACGGAATGCCAGCCAGATATTCCAAACAGAGCCTCTACCAGCAGGACCAGGTGACCATTCCTAGGAGAGAGATTGTTCTCACCCATTATCAGGGCTTTCCTCCAGGCTAAAACTGTGGGTCTCTAATGGAATTCTTATTCAATTTTCCCACCCCATTAGAGTACACAAAATTGTCTTTAATAGAAATCTTAATTTTTTTTAATTTTATTATTATTATACTTTAAGTTGTAGGGTACATGTGCACAACGTGCAGGTTCGTTACATATGTATACATGTACCATGTTGGTGTGCTGCACGCATTTAGCATTAGGTATATCTCCTAATGCTATCCCTCCCCCCTCCCCCCACCCCACAACAGGCCCTGGTGTGTGATGTTCTCCCTCATGTGTCCATGTGTTCTCATTGTTCAATTCCCACCTATGAGTGAGAACATGCGGTGTTTGGTTTTTTGTCCTTGCTATAGTTTGCTGAGAATGATGGTTTCCAGTTTCATCTCTGTCCCTACAAAGGACATGAACTCATCATTTTTATGGCTGCATAGTATTCCATGGTGTATATGTGCCACATTTTCTTAATCCAGTCTATCGTTGTTGGACATTTGGGTTGGTTCCAAGTCTTTGCTATTGTGAATAGAGCCACAATAAACATACATGTGCATGTGTCTTTATAGCAGCATGATTTAAAATCCTTTGGGTATATACCCAGTAATGGGATTGCTGGGTTAAATGGTATTTCTAGTTCTAGATCCCTGAGGAATCGCCACACTGACTTCCAAAATGGTTGAACTAGTTTACAGTCCCACCAACAGTGTAAAAGTGTTCCTATTTCTCCACATCCTCTCCAGCACCTGTTGTTTCCTGACTTTTTAATGATCTTAAATCTTAAATGCAATAACATAAAGTAAAATAAAGCCTAAGTCCCAACAAGGGGAAATTTTCAAAAATAATCTGAAAACTTCCCGCGTTTTCTTGTTATGTTGTAATGAGTACTCCTGCAATTCCCCTATTAAGGATTCAGTCAATGGTTGTTAATTCATTCTGCTTCTTCTGAGACTAGGAAAAAAATTACAGGGCTATGTTATATCGCAAGTGTAGATTATGCAGTGTCTTCATCAACAGAAACAAAACATGGTGTGGGGCGGGGATGGAACTATTTAAGTGAATTTTAATTGAAAAGTTTCGTGGTTTTAACATTAAAAGACATGCCTATAAAATAAGAACCTGTAAAAGTCTTCACTAAAATGGTAAAGTGCTCATTTCCAAGTAGTAAAATATTGAAACTTTTTCTTTTCATCGTTGATAGTGATTTAACATTTCATTACTTTATCGTTATTATGATTGTCATTATTTTAGACGAATGCACGAAGTCAAAGGACTTCCAAATGCACGGACGTCAAAGGCTACCTTCACCCGGGTAGCCTTGCGAATGGCCACTGCTGCGAGTGGGGCTTTCTGGGGATTGTAGTCCATAGGCCTCCTTGCGCAAGCGCGTGGTACCAGACGCAAGCTAGGGGCGACATTGTTTGGAATGCTGGGTTGAGTCCCGGCTGGACCGCGCCCCTCTCGGAAGTGTAGCCAGGAGTAGGGGTGTAGGATGTGCAGCTGTGACCCGTCCCTGTGGACTGAAGTAGGAGGAGTGGAGGAGGGGACTGGTGACCAATGAAAAGGCCTCGTGGGTGGGGTAGGCTGGGGAAGTTCAGCAGCCCCTATCTACCCGGGATGGAATGGGAAGCGCTTGGGCTCAGTTTGGGGAGCAGCCCTGGGTTTGACAAAACGTGCATCTTCACGTTTCGTGACAGCGACTTGCGCTGTGCCACCTTGGGTCGAGGCTTAGGGTCAGTCTTGGAATGTGCATCCCTGGATGAGGGCAGAGGGGCGCTGGCTCAGGGTTTGGGAGTAATGGCTGGGGCTGTGCCTCCCTGAATGGGATGAGGGATTTGCTTAAGCAGCTTGTCTCTGGAGATAGAGGATGGCTTGGGCTATTCTCGCTCAGTTTGGTGGGGGCGATTCTGGCTCAGCACCCCTAGGTTCTTGGATGGGGAGTTGTCTTGGGTCTGAACTCTGGATTTTGGCAGCTCTGACTCCACTGGGGCATTTCTGACTTCAGGGCAGAGGTTCCGGCTTCTGGCAATAAAGAAACAACTCAGACTGTAAAAACTCTGGAGTTTAATGTCACCGAACACATTTTGAAAAGAACTGCCCCAGGACTGGCGCGGTGTCTCACTCCTGTAATCCCAGCACTTTGGGTGGATCACGAGGTCAGGAGATCGAGACCATCCTGGCTAACACGGTGAAACCCCGTCTCTACTAAAAAAAAAAAAAAATTACAAAAAATTAGCCGGGCATGGTGGCAGGCACCTGTAGTTCCACCCGGGCATGGTGGCAGGCACCTATTGTCAGGAGATCGAGACCATCCTGGATAACACGGTGAAACCCCGTTTCTAATTAAAAAAAAAATAATAATAATAACAAAATATTAGCCGGGCATGGTGGCAGGCACCTGTAGTCCCAGCTACTCGGGAGGCTGAGGCAGGAGAATGGTGTGAACCCGGGAGGCAGAGCTTGCAGTGAGCCGAGATCGCGCCACTGCACTCCAGCCTGGGCGACAGAGCGAGACTCTGTCTCAAAAAAAAAAAAAAAAAAAGAAAGAAAGAAAGAAAATAAAAGAACTGCCCCAAATTATTAACTCCATTCTCACCTCACATGCTGTGAGCCAGGGAGTACGGAATTTGAGTATTATAAAGCACACGAGCAAATGTAAGTTGTTAAATTACACTCACCAAATTTGAAGTTTGAATGCTCTCTGTATATTTGATAAAGTTAGAGATTTAGTGTTAATTATTTTAGGTGTAATAGCAGCATTTATTACATTTCTGATCGTGTTTCTGGACAATTGCAGTTCCAGATTCAGCTGCACTTTTCCTCTAGGTCTTCATTCCCTGAAGAGGTTGATATGGGCATCTGGTCTCATTCCTGATGTATTCCTCAGATCAGAGTAGTTGTCAGTTTGAGGGATGAGAAAGGCATTTGTGTGAGAGAGCTGTGTGGACTTTGGCAGATAGGGAAAAAACAAGAGTCCTGAGGTGCTATGTGTCCCATGCCTTTGGCTCCCCACCTTTTCCACCCTGCTGTCTGCCCTGAAAGGCCACCATTGCCTTCTGGCCTTGCTTGTCTTTGGCCAGTGGGAAGTCTCAACAGGAAAGTTTGGAGAGAGGAAGAAGTGTGAGTTGGAGGATCTTGTCCCCCAGTTCTCTCTCTGCAGGATTGTCACAGATTAGCTGCCCTTCTAAACAACAGGTCATGGTTTGGGTGGCCCTGGCCACACAGTCCTCTCAGTTCCAGGCTCCAGGGACTGCTCCCTCCCCTTACCTCTTAAGGCCCAGGTATTATAATGGCACCTCCTGTCACTTCCCAGGATAGAGCCTTATCCACTCTGATTTCCTTACCCCCAGCCAACACCATCGTAAGCCGTCTGTTTATTAAACTCCCCTCAAATTTGAATGTGCCATCTGGTTCCTGCCATGGCCCATAGTTGATACAGGCAGGGAGTGTCTGAAGCCAGAAATTCAGGAAACCAAACCCTCAACCATATATGTGTGACTGCATGTGTGTAGATGTGTGCTTGAAAATAAACCTGTCCCATCATTGGCTCTTAAGTGAGAACAGGTACTAGAAGTAGAGGGCGAGTTTATGTCTTTGCGCGTGCGTATAATGTATAATATCCAAGCCAATTCTATTTGTTCATTTGTTAATATTAAGAAACATTGATTGAGTGCTTGTTAAATGATAAGATCCTTAGCAAGTACAGTGGATAAAAGACTACAGCTTGTTTTTTTTTTTTTTGTTTTGTTTTTAGGATTTGTAGTTTTTTGACAGGGGAAAGGAGGAGTGTTTCCTTGGTAGGTTTTAACTATTGTAAAATGATGTAATTCATGCTGTATTAATAAGTTGAACATTCCTTATTTTGGCCTTTGTTGGAGCCCAAAATAAGAAGTGATTAATGATGTCTCTTAAAGGTATTAAAGGAGAGAAAAAGAGTCCGAGGATTTACCAAAAAGACATTTCATATTCTATTAACCTGATTCTATAACCCTGTAAGCTGCAATTCAAAGGGTAACCAACAGACCAGTGCCAATAAATGATATTGGTCTGTGACCAGATAATTTGAGAACTTGATTGTAGATGTTTAAAATTTTGTCTTATTGATTAATATAATAATAACAATTGGGCTTTAATTTGCATACCTTCTTTATTTCCTTTTTCCAGTAATTTCTTTTTACTGTATCTTACCAAAATATCAGTCTGTGACAGACTGAAAGTAACGGTAATAATAATATAAAAACTAGTCCTTTATCACAGATAGTGTGAGAAGCACTATCTGAGAAGGCAGAAACGTGGTTTTTGGCTTTTATTTTTTAATCTTTGGAGTTTACACAGTGCTTAAAGTGGCAATTTTATACAGTAAGTTTCCCCACAAAGGCGAGAGGCAATTGTGCTTACAGGGTTTACCAGATGGAATCCCAATAAAAAATAAACAGAACACTCAAATTGGGTAATTTGAGAAGAGCTTAATAAAGGGACAATCTATAAAGTTGTAGGCAGGCTGTGGTAATCAACAAAGGGTATTGCAATATTTCAGAGCTAGTGATAGCAGGGTAACTTACTGCCTTTAGGACTGAAGGGCTAAGGGAGGAGGCAGTCACTAAAATGTGAAGAAAGATTTATGGGATGACAGCTGCCTGATGGTGGCCATGACCTTTGGTCAATGAATATGGAGCATAGCCATTCCACAGCAACCTCTAGGGAAAAACCTGGGGGAATAAATATTCTGACTTCACTCTTGTCCCTTCCCTGGATCTCTTGCTGGCTTTCCCCATTGGCTGAACCCAACTGGAAGCTAATTGGCAAGGGCATCCACTGATATAAGCAGAACAGGAAGGGACTTTAGTGTATATGAAGTGGCAAGCTTAGAAGGTCTATCTATCTACTTTGGTCTACGTGCAGTCTGAGAACATGTATAGTTCAGTATACTGTGAGCATTTCCAGAGCAGAGGATGTGTCTTACATGTCATAAGTGTGTCATCAATATTTGCAAAAGCAAGGGATAAAATGGGTGCTGGAGAGACAGTTTAGGAAGCCAAGAGTCAAGGTGTAGATGTTTAAAAATTTGTATTATTGATTAACATAATAATAAAAATTGGGATTTAATTTGTATATCTTGGCTAATCGCAAGTTCTTTAGACCACAGGCCTGGCCATACAAGATCAAGTCTTGCATGTGAAAGTGGAAATAGCAGAAGGTCCCTGTCATCCTGAGATTGCTCTCTCTTTTTTTTCCTTTTTTTTTTTTTTTGAGACAGTCTGTCTCTGTTGCCCAGGCTGGAGTGCAGTGGTGCAAGCACAGCTCACTGCAGCCTCTGCCTCCCAGGTTCAAGTGATTGTCCTGCCTCAGCCTCCTGAGTAGCTGGGATTACAGGTGCCCGCCACCAAGCCCAGCTAATTTTGTATTTTTAGTAGAGACAGGGTTTCACCATGTTGGCCAGGCTGGTCTCGAACTCCTGGCCTCAAGTGATCCACCTGTCTCGGGTTCCCAAAGTGCTGGGGATTACAGGCGTGAGCCACTGTGCCCAGCCCTGAGATTGCTCCCTTACTCAGCAATTCTGGGGCCTCTTTTCCAGCATAATTCAGATGTAGATTATGTCAGTTCATTCACAAGTCTGAGAAAAGGAAAAGAATGTGCAGGTTTTGACCCAAAAGCTTGAGGAGAGAGATAGGAGTTACATAGTGGTCTGAGATTGAGGGACTGGGGACAAATCTAGGGAAGTCTTGAGGAGGTGGGAGTTCAGTCTGTTCAGAATGAGAAGAGATGATATCTAGGGAGAGAAGAAATTGTGAGAAATTTGTACAGATAAGGAAGGAACCAATGTTCATTTATAACTTGTTGAATCCATGATCTCATGGATTCTTTCTTCTTTGCAGTTCTGCTTTTCCAGAATCCTGCCCTTTCCAAAAGGAAGACGGTATGATTAAGTTCCAGGTAAGTTAAGGGTTTCTTTCTCTTTAAATATACTGTTCATTCTGAGGAACCAGCACTTCTGTTTTCTGAAAGGTCAGCATTTTTTGAGTGACTACTATGTATTAGGTACTTCATCTTGCTCATAATGACTTTGTGAGGCAGGTGGTTTGACTTCCTTTATAGAAGTGAAGAAACAAACTCACAGATTTCAAGATGTCTACTTTGGTGCTACTCTAAGTGTGGTTCATGTACCAGTACCAGTCCATGAACTGCTTATCACTGCCCCATGAGGGAAAAAGAATCAAGACTAAGTTCAGAAGCTTTTATAGCAATTTGGTGTTGCCGCAGCATCTGAGTGCATGGGCAGCATATACATGACCATACTCTAAATGTCACTGGTCTCGTTTGATAAGTAACAAGATTTGAATGGGTATGTATTTGGTCAGAGTTCAACCAGCAAGGTAGAACCAGTAAGAGATATATATTAAGAGATTTATCATAAGGAATTGATTTATATGATTATGGGGGCTAACTAGGCAAGTCCAAAATCCACAGGGCAGTCCCTCAGGAAGGGTGGGCCAGAACTCTTAGACACAGACTGAAGCTGCTGTCTATGGGTGGAATTTCTCCCCCTCCCAGGGAAGCCTCAGCTCTGCTCATAAGACCGTTCAGTTTTTTGAGTCAGACATACTCAGATTAGTTAGAATAATCTCCCTTAAAGTCAACTGATTATGGACTTTAATCACATCTACAAATTATCTTCATAGCAATACCTAGATTAGTGTTTGATTCAATAACTGAGGACCATAGCTTAGCCAAGTTGCCATATTAAAAAGACCGTCACAGTGTGGAGGAAGGATTTTCTTTTAATCATGAAAAAAATTAATTATGAAAATACACAAAAAGAACAAATGGTATTATGAGGCTCCATTTGCAGTACCCATCATGCAGTTTCAACAATTAACTTATTGCCGAAGGGATTTGCTTACTCTCTTTTTCAGTTTTTTCTTTCCCAGAGTATTTGAAAGAGGCATGGTATTTACACTGTATTGGTTTTTCTCTGAGCACATCACTTTTGTATAGTACCTTATTATATATGCAGCTAAAATGAATGAGCTCACACTTTTATCCTTCTGCCTGGAAACCATCTTGCCCAAGTCCAAGATTCATTAGGTACATTTTCTATCTTCCAAATTACAGCAACAATTTACCAAGTGTTCACCACTACATCACCCAGGTCACCATTTTTCCAGCCTCCTATAACAGTGTCCTCAATTGTTATGGCCTGGACCTAAAGCCAATACCATGAGTATTTGGTAGCACTCTGCTGGTTTTGGTTAGCTTGGGTGTGTCCTCATAGTGAAGACAGAGGGACAAGAGAGCAAGTGAACACGTGAGATCTGTCAAGGCCCAGGTTAGAAATGGCACATTCTCACTTCTGCTTCATTTTGGTAGCCAGAGAAAGTTACATTGCCAAGTCAAAACTAAAGGGGTAAGAAAACACACTCTGGTCCTTTAGTGGGATTGGTGAGCATGGAAGAGGATATTTCTAAACAGCAATCTAATTTACTACATTCTCTATGTATTTCAGTATATATTTCCTTAAAAACTGACTAATGAGATAATCAATAATTATTTGGTATTATCTAATACCCAGACAATAACCAAGTTTCCCTGATTATCTCAAAAAATTTTTGACAGTTGGTTTGTTCAAATGGGATCTTACCAAAGGTCTATACTATCATATAGTTGGTGGTTGTGTCTCATAATCTCTTTTAATCTAGAGAAATCTGCCCCTCTACTTTATTCTCTCCTGCTATTGACTTGTAGAAACCAAGTTTGGTGTCCTGTGTTCTTTCCTACATTTGGAATGCATTTGTTTGCTTCCTTTTGGTGTCTTTCAATGTGTTACTCTATCCATAGTATTTCTTGTAAGTGGAAGCACCAGATGCTTGAATAGATTCAGGTTCAAGGTTTTACAAGAATACTTCATAGATGGTTATACAAGAATACTTCAGAGAGGAAAATATTTATAGGTTTTTGCAAGTGTTTATTCGTTGAAAAATTTGGTTTCTTAATATTTTGGGGCTGTCCTTGTATCTGCATCCTATGACAATCGCTGCCTAGGATTCCTACAAGGCATCCATCCAGCTACAAGGGTGGTGGAGAAATGAGTGTTTTGTTTTCCCAGGCTCTATAGTTGAGGCAGAGAAGGGAGAATGGGGTGTAGGCTGGGTGAACCTCTATTCCTAACCCCTTCTCCCTACATTGGAACACCCCAAGCAGACTTCAGGGTATCTGTATTTCCTGAATGATTAACTCCAATTCAATTTTGTTGCCTCCCACAGAAGAAGGCATACAGTAGTGTTACTGAGAGAGTGATGCTATTAGGACAACCGTGCTGACTCCCCTAGATTTTGTTTTTAATCATTGTCAGATTTTGGTAATTGGACAATTGTTAGGAACATATTCTTTGTGAAGTCCTTTGTAACTGCTTACAACTTTCATTTGAAAGCTCTGCATTATTTAGAGATGCAGAGTCTATTGAGAGAACATATCTGTAAATACTTAACTCTGAGCAGTGTGATATATGCAGCAATAGAAATATTTTATGTAAAAATTGTTTTCTTGATTAGGAGATGGTTATTAATATGAGATTAATCCCCACATCATTTTATTTTGAGAAATTTCAATTTATCAGGAAAATGAAAGAATAGCATAATGTGTAATCTTCACATAGATTCACCAATTGTTAACAATCACCCATAAACATATGCATAATATACATATATACACACACATATCTATATTTTATTTTGATGACCCAGTTGGGGATATATTGCAGGCATGATTATAATTCATCCCTAAATATTTCAGCTTGTATCTCCTAAGAGTAAGAGCATTTTCCTACATTTCCACGTTACTGCTAACATACTCAAGAAATTTCACGTTGATACCACTATTTTTTAATACCTAGTTGATATCCAAGTGTTCTTAATTATGATAATAATCTCCCTTTTCTCTACTGTGTTTTTTGAATCTGGGAGTCAGGCTTTTGTTACCCTGTCTTCTTAGTTCCTTTTAACATGATACAAATAGATTAATCTGCCATGAAAAAGTGAAAATACCAAATCTTGGTGTGTGATGAGAAATGAACTCATGGAACAGTACTAGACTTGTGTATCAGCACAACACCTTAGTATAGATTTATCTGTGCCTATTTCCTGGGCCATATTTTATAATTTGATTAATATTGTCCTTTGGGAATCCCTGATCCAATAGGATTAATGTCCTTATGAGACAGCCTCAACAGAGCTTGCTCTCATTCTCCCTCTGCCATGTAAGGACACAGTGAGAGGACAGCTGTCTACAAGCCAAGAGAAGAAACCTGAATGAAACCTATCTTGGTGGTACTTGATCTTAGACTTTCCAACCTCCAGAAAAGTAAGAAGTTAGTTTATTTTGTTTAACCTAATCAGACTGTGGTATTTTATTAAGGCAGCCCAAACAGACTAAGACCAGTCATTTGTGTGGATGATTGACGTGGCATGTGGTTGATGTTTTAGGAAAGGGTGACATTCAAGGACATAGCTGTTATCTTCACCAAGGAAGAGCTGGCAGTATTGGATAAAGCCCAGATAAACCTGTACCAAGACGTGATGCTGGAAAACTTCAGGAACTTCATCTCAGTGGGTGAGTAACTGAGCATCAGACCACTGGACCTGTGTCCTGAAATCATCATTTCAAACCACATAGAAAACTCCAGTTAGATCACAAAGATAAACTTTGACCACTGGAAAGAAAACACCCAAGAGATGCATGTGCAGGTTAGAACCCTGCAGTTAATGAGCTTTTACAGATCAATGTGAGGATCTGGCCCCTTGTGATGGATTTGTGAGGGAGCTCTCCCCAAATCTCATACCCCTGGCCTGTGGGCATTCAATGCAGGCAGTAATCCCTCCCTCCCCTAATCACACATTTAGGCTCTCATTCTTTCCTCATATTTCTCAGAATGAGACATAAAATTCACACATCACCAAGAGCCCTGATCTATTGGATGCTTCTGGAGAAAAATCAATGTTTATCCAATGTTTTGGATAAATCAGTGTTAAAGGAACAAAGGGAGAACTTTGATTTGGTTGGCAGTTACAATAGCCAACACTTACTGGTATGTAGTAAGTGTAATCTAAGTGTTGGCTTATTTGATTACTTTTTGATAAATATCTAACCTCATTTTCATTTCTCAGAGGTTCATATACAGTTATGTGCTACCTAGGTTTATGAGATAGAGATATGGTTTGGCTATATCCCTACCCAAGTCTCATCTTGAATTGTAGTTTCCATAATTCCCACATGTTGTAGGTGGGGCCCGGTAGGAGGTAACTGAATCATGGGGCAGGGGTCTTTCTCATGCTGTTCTTATGAGAGTGACAAGTCTCATGAGATTTGATGGTTTTATAAATTGGTGTTCTCCTGCACAGGCTTTCTCTTTGACTGACACCATGTAGGATGTACCTTTGCTCTTCCTTCACCTTCTGCCATGATTTTGAGGCCTCCACAGCCATATGGAAATATGAGTCAATTAAACCTCTTTCCTTTATAAATTACCCAGTCTTGGGTATGTCTTTATTAGAAACATGAGAATGGACTAATACAGATAGTTATTGTTATTATCCCCCTTTTATGGACGTATTACTCTGTTTTCACACTGCTGATAAAGACATACCTGAGACTGGGCAATTTACAAAAGATAGAGATGTATTGGACTTACAGTTCCACATCCCTGGGGAGGCCTCATAGTCATGGTGGAAGGTGAAAGGCACGTCTTACATGGTGGCAGACAAGAGAAGAGAGCTTGTGCAGGAAACCCCCCCACCTTTTTTTTTTTTTTTAAGAGTCTGGCTCTGTAGCCAGGCTAAAGTACAGTGGTGCTATCTTGGCTCACTGCAACCTCCAACTACCAAGTTCAGGCAATTCTCCTGCCTTAGCCAACCCAGTATCTGGGACTACAGGCATGCACCACCATGCCCAGCAAATTTTTGTATTTTTTAGTACAGACAGGGTTTCACCATGTTGGCCAGGATTGTCTCAATCTCTTGACCTCGTGATCAACCCACTTTGGCCTCCCAAAGTGCTGGGATTACAGGTGTGAGCCACTGTACCCATTCAGAATCTCCCTTTTAAAAACTATCAGATCTCATGAGACTCATTCACTATCATGAGAACAACACAGGAAAGACCCGCCCCATAATTCAATCGCCTCCTACAGGGTTCCTCCCATGACACATGGGAATTGTGGGAGTTACAATTCAAGATGAGATTTGGGTGGGGACACAGCCAAACCATATTATCCCACCCCGGCCCCTCCCAAGTCTTATGTCCTTACATTTCAAAACCAATCATGCCTCCCAACAGTCCCACAAAGTCTTAACTCATTTCAGCATTAACTCAAAAGTCCACAGTCCAGTGTCTCATCTGAGACAAGCCAAGTATCTTCCATCTATGAGCCTGTAAAATAAAAAAACAATTTATTTACTTCCTAGATACAGTGCAGGTACAGGCATTGTGTAAATGCTGCTGTTCCAAATGGGAGAAATTGGCCAAAACAAAGGGGCTACAGGCCCCATGCAAGTCTGAAATCCAACGGGGCAGTCAAATCTTAAAGCTCGAAAGTGATCTCCTTTGACTCCATGTCTTGCATCCTGGTCACGCTGATGTAAGAGATGAGTTTCCATGGTCTTGGGCAGCTCCACCCCTGTGGCTCTGCAGAGTATAGTCTCCCTTCCGGCTGCTTTTGTGGGCTGGTGTTGAGTGTTTGTGGCTTTTCCAGGCACACGGTGCAAGCTGTCGGATCTAGCATTCTGCTGTCTGAAGGACAGTGGCCCTCTTCTCACAGCTCCACTAGGTAGTGCCCTGCTAGGGACTCTGTGTGGGGGCTGTGACATGTGGGAATTATGGGACATGACACTTGGGAATTATGGGAGTTACAATTCAAGAAGAGATTTGGGTGGGGACACAGCCAAACCATACCAATGGATGAAACAACTGAGTCACAGAATTAATAACTTGCCCATGATTACACAGCTTATAAGAAGAACTAGGATTTGAGCCTTCCTAATCTGGCCCTAGGTCCTGTGCTTTTAATAAATAACCTCGTTAAACCAAAGTGTAATCTGTAGACACAGGACCTTCTACATAAATCTGCATATCCCTGCAGTTGTTTCTCAAACTGCAGGATAAAACCCTCTTGGTGAGTCCTGAAATCAAATTACTGTGTCATAACTAGCAATTTTTAAAAAGCAAAATAGATTAATAGAGCAGAAAACAGAAGAATTTATCAAAATGCATTGCACATCGTATGTAAGTATCAGCTGATAAAACTTCTGTTTTAGTGAGCAGTCTGTGTTGATGTCCGTGCCTATTCCTACTGAGTCACAATGCTGATTTTATTGTGGGTTACAATCAAAACAATTGGGAAACCACTGCTTAAAACCCATCTGGGGCAGCTCATGGTCTCCCTTTCCCTGATACTATCTTATAAACTAAAGTCACTTTCAATAAAACAACCCAGAAAGGACCTTGAACCAGAAGCAGTATCCAGTGGGACTTGACCATGATATTCATGCCATTTTGAAACCCATCTTAGGGTCCCAAAAATATGATCATCCTCTTCTGCCTCAGCCCCCTGTTTGTTATATACCACAGTCTTGCTTCCCTGGGTGCCAGGCCATTGACAGTGCCACAGTATCTGTTCCCCATTCTCATTCATGGCTGTTTGAGATTCTGCAATAACTTAAAAGGTCAGAACTTAAGGAAATGGATTATAGTATCTGAGTGGTCTCTATCTTTTCATGAAGACAAAGAATCTTGGGGAAAATAAAAAGGATGTCTCTTAAAGCTTGTCTCAGAGGTTTACATATGCATCCCCGCACAACGCCAGGACCAAGTTTCACAATGTTTATCCCTATTTCAATCCCCATTGCCTTTTTATCCCCATCCCCTTAAGGCTCACCATGTACAGTTGTGCAGGTTGTACACAAACATACATGATAGTCCTCCATATGACAGTGATGTGAAGGAAGGGAAGCCATCAGGAGATAGGACTTGCTTGTTTCTGAAACCTCTTGTGACCCTTGTGTCCCTTACTCTGCCCAACATATAAAAAACACTCCATCAATATGTATTATTTCTATACACACATATACTACGTAAAATGGGAGTCTTTCCCATACCTTTTGTAGCAAGATTATTAAAGTCTTTTTATTGACCACTCTTATAAGGGGGAGGTGAATTTCTTCCTTCATAAATTTTTCCTAAGATTTCCTTTTATTCTTTTTTGCTGTGTGGGGGTGGAAATGTCTTGCTCTGTCACCCAGGCTGGAATGCAGTGACACAATCTTGGATCACTGCAGCCTCTGTGTCCCAGGATTAAGCAATCTTCCAACTTCAGATTTCCAGGTAGCTGGGATCATAGGCAAAACAGAACCAATTTTCAATTTTTTTGTAGAGATGCGATCTCACCATACTGCCCAGCCTGGTCTTGATCTCCTGAGCTTGAGTGATCCTCCCACCTCAGCCTCTGAAAGTGTTGCTGTGACAGGCATAAGCCACTGCACCTGGCCAAGATTTCTCTTAATTTCCCTACAATACTTGATTTCTAATTGGCAGCTCACAGGTTAGAATTACTGTGGCTTTAACTGTTTCCCATGCCAATAGAAGCCAGGGACAACTTCCCACCCCATCATATTTCATTTTCTCAAAACCTCTGGACAGGTGATTCACAAATTCTCTTTCTTCTCATGGGAGATGGGATTAAAAACAACATTTTGAATCTTCAGGGAAAGGGGTTAATTTACCTTTCTCAAGAAGAGCTTCATTGCTGGAAGATTTGGAAACAAAGGATCCGGGATTTAAGTGTGAGTCAGGATTATATCATGAACCTTCAAGAACAGTGTTCCCCACATTTAGAAGATGTATCCCTCTGTGAAGAGTGGGCAGGCATGTCTCTTCAGATTTCTGAAAATGAAAACTATGTAGTAAATGCCATTATCAAAAATCAAGATATCACAGCATGGCAAAGCCTGACACAGGTTCTTACTCCAGAATCTTGGAGGAAAGCCAACATAATGACCGAGCCCCAGAAATCTCAGGGAAGATATAAGGGAATTTACGTGGAAGAGAAATTGTACAGACATGCTCGGCATGATGAGAGCCTCAATTGGACCTCACGTGATCATCATGAGTCCCAAGAATGTAAAGGAGAGGACCCTGGTAGACACCCCAACTGTGGGAAAAACTTGGGTATGAAATCAACAGTTGAACAACATCATGCGGTCCATGTTTTACCACAGCCTTTCACATGTAATAACTGTGGGGTGGCCTTTGCAGATGATACAGATCCTCGTGTCCATCACAGCACTCATCTAGGAGAAAAATCTTATAAATGTGACCAGTATGGAAAGAACTTAAGTCAGAGCCAATATCTTATTGTTCATTGTAAAACCCACTCAGGAGAGACTCCCTATGAATTCCATGAATGGCCTACAGGCTGCAAACAGAGCTCAGACCTTCCCAGATGTCAGAAAGTCCCCTCAGGAGACAATCCCTACAAATGTAAAGAATGTGGCAAGGGCTTCAGGTGCAACTCCTCCCTTCACAACCATCATCGAGTCCACACAGGGGAGATGCCCTACAAATGCCACGTATGTGGGAAAGCGTTTGGATTTAGGTCACTTCCTTGTATTCATCAGGGAGTACACACAGGGAAAAAGCCCTACAAATGTGAAGATTGTGGGAAGGGCTTTGAACAGAGCTCCAACCTTCTTATCCATCAGAGAGTCCACACTGGAGAGAAGCCCTACAAATCCAGTGAGTGTGGCAAGTGCTTTAGTTCAAGCTCCGTTCTTCAAGTCCACTGGAGGTTTCACACAGGGGAGAAACCTTATAGGTGTGGTGAGTGTGGAAAGGGCTTCAGCCAAAGTACACACCTTCACATTCACCAGAGAGTCCACACAGGGGAGAAACAATACAATGCAATGTGTGTGGAAAGGATTTTGGGTATAGTTCTGTTCTTCACACTCATCAGAGAGTTCACACTGCAGAAAAACCATATAAATGCGAAGTGTGTGGAAAGTGCTTTAGTTACAGTTCATATTTTCACTTCCATCAAAGCAATCACACAAGAGAGAAACCATATAAATGTGATGAGTGTGGTAAAGGCTTCAGTTGGAATTCAGATCTTCAATGTTCATCTCAGAGTCCACAGAGGACAGAGGCCCTGTAAGTGTAAGGCATGTGGTAAGGGCTTCAGTCGTAATTCGCACCTCCTTGCCCAACAGAGAGTGCGTATAGATAAGACACAGTACACACATTGTGAGCATGGCAAAGACCTTCTGACTCATCAAAGACTACATGAGCAGAGAGAAACATTATAAATGTAGTAAGTCAGGGTTAAATTAGGAAAACAGAAGCCACACTGTATTCCAGATAATAGAGGCTTACTCAGCCTGTGGGAGGGCTGGGGGAGCAAAAGACAGGGACACTGCCATCGATAATGTCAGCCTGCAGCACTGGAGTGTGCCAGGCAAGGGTTGCGGATTTCAAGAACTTCTGTGAAGCTCCCATCAACTGCTGTATGCTACAATGGCAAAGTAGGTTACTCTTGACAAATGGGTGGTTTGTGGTAGTGTTTGTAGTTAGAGGTCAAATTTCCATTAAAGGGTGTGTCCAGGAAGGAAATTCTAATTGGGATGATTATGGTAAGGTCTTCAGTTTAGCCAAAGTCCTTAGATTTTTTTAGTCCCCAACAGAAAAATACTCTCTGTATGAAGAACATTCAAAAGTGTGCTCAGAAATGAAACTGATGCTCTTACTATGAAAGAACATTAGTACTCAAGTTTTCCATGAGATTCTCTGCACAGGCGAGAAGCTCTACAGAAGTGGCATTTGAAGGGTGTGGCAGAGGCAGTGCTGTGTTTATCACACTGGTTCCATTTCCTTGCAAATAAGAAGACTCTATTTCCCAGTAACACTTGCAGTTAAGAGTGTGCCCATGTTTGAGCTCTAGCCAATGGAATATGAGCAAAAGTGATATAAGCCACTTTCAGGTCTAGCCTTTATAAACATCCTCAGGCTTCTCTATTCCTGCCAAGGTGACCTTGGAGGCTGCTTATTCCAGACTGCATTGATAGAAGGTCGCTATCTGATCTGTGTTGGATTTCTTTTTAGAGTAAGAAATAAAAATTCACTGTGTCTCACCACTGAGATTTTTGGTGGTTTATTTGTTACTGCAGCATTGCCTAGGCCATCCTGACTAGCATGGAGGGATTTTATAGCAATATGTTTCATTGTCATTGGAGTCCACATACAGAAGCAACATTGTAATTCAGAGTTCAAACCTTTTAAGTCTTTAAGGCTTGATGTGGCAGTGCAACCATCTAAAATGGTATGGATGGGACTTCTCCAGTGATAACCTTCATTCATTTGTGTGTACACCAAAGAGAAATGTTCAAGATGATATAGCTGTGGTAAAACTTTACTGAAAAGTACAACCCACAGACGTAAGAAATCTCATACAATAGAGAAACTCTGTAGTGTGGGAGCTGAATAAGTTTGTCAGCTCACACCTTAAATGTGATTAAAAATTAACTAGAATAGGTGTTCTGTGGTTAGTCTTAATAAAATTAATTGAATAAAACTAACATTTACGAAAGTGAGCAACAACATGTAAAAAACCAACAGTGTTAATTGCAGACTGATGCAGTCTTCTTCTCAGCAGCTTCCTCCCAAAATTGTCATTTAATTGGGGATAATAGATGAATTCGAGAGGAGATCTCATTGCTTTTTTTTTTTTCTTTTGGAAACAGGGTCTTGCTCTGTCACCCAGGTGGCTGGAGTACAGTGGCCTGATCATGGCTCGCTGCTGAAGCCTTGAACTGCTGGGCTCAAGTGATCCTCCTGCCTCAGCCTCCTGAGTAGTTGGGACTACAGGCATATACCACCACTTTCAGCTAATGTTTTCTTTTAAAAATTTACTTGTAGAGATGGGGTCTTGCTTTGTTGCCCAGGTTAGTCTTATTCTGGTTTCAAGCAATCCTCCTACCTCAGCTTCCCAAAGTGCAGGGATTACAAGTGTGGGCCACTGCACTCAGCCCACAATGTCTTTTATTTTTTCTTCAAAAACAATGTCCTTTTCTGTTTTAATTGACTTATAAGTTTCTTCATTTGGATCATGGTTTATTCCTAGTTTTTCTTGCATTATATTTTCCTGCCAGTTATAGTTTGTAAACAGAACAGCCATTCAAGTGCAAATAAAACCATCCCTGAAGTGTCATTTTCTTACTGAGCAGGTGGATAAGAGTGAAATATTTTAAAAATTCTGTGTCAGTAGAAATGAGGAAATGAGTGTTCTTACATAAGTTGGTGGGGAAAAAAAACAGGTACAAAGTTGCTGGAGAGGATCTTGTCTATATGTATCAGATGTACAATGTGCATTGTCTTTGAGCCAATGATCCTGCTTCTCAGAATGTATTTTTAGGATGTAATTACATGAGTGGAAAAAAATGGTTTCAGAAAGAAATATGTTCTAAGAATTTTGCAATGAGAAGATCGTAAATGACCTGAAGCTTCATGTATAAGAGATTAAGTAAATTAGGGCATCCCATATAATGGAATAACATGGCTCCATCAACAATGATCTAGACCTATAAAAATGTCCACATATTATTGTCCATGTCCACCACATACTCCAGTCCTCCTACTTGCAAACAGTAGGTTAGAGAAAAAATCTGGGATACACATTATCCCAGGAAGCTTTTGGGGTTTAGAATGGGTGCAACATTCCCTCATGACAGAATCGGCCCTCAGCCTTAGTGGAGGTGTCCCAGGCAATCCTCCAGTATGGCCAGGAGCAGCCCTTGCATATCACATTAAGCTTTTTAAATATATGATGCTAACAGGATTGTCTCCCTACTTCATAAAATTGTTTGCTTTTCCTCTTGTAACAAAGTAGCATGGAAAAAGCAGAAATTAGTCTAGCTCCCAATCAGTGGGAGCCAACTCATTTACAAATATAGATGCAGAGATCCTAAATAAATATGAGCATGTCAAATCCAATGATTTGATAAAAGCGTAACAGACTCTGCTCATATATAATTTATCCTAAATATGCTTATCAGCTTCTGCCTCATAACACACACAAGAACTGAGTAGCTCTAAATACAAATTTATTTAGCTCATGATGTGTGAGCTGGCAAGTTCAGTTGGGCTTAGCTGGGCAGTTCTGGTGTGGGACATGCTAGATTATCTTAACTGGGCTTTGTACATGCATCTGCATTCAGCTGATGGCTCATCTGGGCCTGGCTGTTTTATGATGGTCATAGATGAGACAACGAAGTTCTCTCTGTCACCATGGTCTCTCATCGTCCAGAAGACCAATCTAGGGTTGGTCCCATAGTGCCAGGGTTTCAAGAGCAAAAGCTGTGATCTCTTAAGGCCTTGTCAGAGAACAGGCTCAATGATACTTCCACCACATTCTAATGATTAAAGCAAGTCACAACACTGGCCCAGATTCATGCGGTGGGATTAAGACAAGATAAAAAATTTTGAGATGTAATCATTGGAAGGAAAAAGAAGGTACTATTTTTATGTTAGAGAATAATGTTATTTACTTATAAAATTCAAATCCGCCTGTAAAATTTGACCAATTGAAGTCTGTTTTAAAATTATCACGTCAAAAAATTGGTTTCATACAAAATTGGCACATGAAAACTCATAGCATTACTATGTACGAGTCTTTTATAAAATGTAGCCAAAGTGTTTCATTCACAATAACAATTGTGTGCAAAGACCAGAATTGTCCAAAGGTAATTCTGGGAGTTCCCTTTGGGATGCCTAGGTGGGGAGCTATCTGGAGCCTCAGACTCCCACATTCTTCAGTGGGAAAAGCTTTACATGAGCTCAACTTCCCAGCGGCTTTCTCTTTCTGATGGGAGGTGTTAGAACCTGGCTTTCTCATGCAACTTCTGTGAAGCTCTGACAACTAAAGCCAGATTGTCTGCTTTAGTCAATCTGTTAGATCAATTAGTCATTTGATCTGACAACTAAAGCCAGATTGTCTGCTTTAGTTAAGTAGTCCAGATTACCTGCATAGTCAATTTGTTCCCTCACCAACATGGATGCCTTCACAATTGCTCTTTAAGAAGGATAAAAAGATAGGGGTGAGGTGTGGTCTATCTCCTGCTTCACCCAGGCCCTGGTGCTTCTTCAAGTAGCGTGAGAAATTGTGGTCCTGTGCGTTCTCTTCCAGACCCTTAGCTTATATGTTTTCCCTATAAAACTTAGTCCTAATCCCAGCACTTTGGGAGGCCGAGGAGGGTGAATCATGAGATCAGGAGTTTGAGAACAGCCTGGCCAACATAGTGAAACTCCGTCTCTACTAAAAATACAAAAAATTAGCTGGGCATAGTGGCAGGCACCTGTAATCCCAGCTACTCAGGAGGCTGAGGCTTGAGCCCAGGAGGTGGAGGTTGCAATGAGCCGAGATCGCACCACAGCACTCCAGCCCAGGCGGCAGTGAGAGACTCTGTCTCAAAAAAAAAAAAAAAAAAAAAAAAAAAGAAAAAAAAGAAGTCCCTTATGTGTGATGATAAAATTTGATGAAGAGCAACATTGGTGGACTTACACTACCAGAGATCAACATTTATTATAAATGTTCTATAATTAATACAGTGTAGTATTAGCTCAGGAGAGAAAAAATAGATCAATGGAAAAGAATAGGGAGTCTAAAAACAGATCCACATGTATACAGTGAGTCAGTTTATCAGCCTTGAAATATGTTGGAGAAATAATAGTCATTTTAATAACTGATGCTGGGTTCACTGGCTACTTAACACTAGTTCTTCATACAATTGCAGGCAATAAATACAAATAGCATGCAGCCGGCAGACTGGGATCAGTGGCTATGCCTCCACTAGACTGCCCATAGAAGCACATAGTAACAGCTACCAAAGATGTCTGATCTGTCTTGTCTTTTTTTTAACTCATTTTGTTCAGGTATCATTTACATAAAGTGCAGACTTTAACTACATTTGTTTTAACAAATGTACATATCCTTGTAAATAATGCCCATTCAACATGTTAAACATTTTATTTACCCCCAAAATTTCCCTTGTGCCCTTTCCCTTCATTTCTTTCCAAAAAAGGATATAATCACTGTTTTGGTTTCTATCACCATATGTTGGTTTTGCCTATTCTTGAACTTTATATAAATGAAATCATACTGTAAGATACTCTTGTATTTGGCTTTTTTTCATTCAACATGGTTTTCTAAATTAGTAATTTATAATAAAGAGTACTGCATATTTTATTATTGTTTATAAATTGTGTTCTAAAAACATTCTATGTTAGTAAAATTTATAGTAAACTTCTATAATGTACATACTTTTCTTTCTGGAGAGCCATTTATTAAACATTTATTAGCATACCACTCACAGAGGAGATGTAACCCCAGAATTGGCCTTTTTCTTCTGAAGTCAACTGGCTTTGAATTAGAATGTAACATTAGTTATTATTCCTCATTCCCCACTCATTCTCTGTATCTACTTCCCTTATTTTTTTTCTTTTATTTTTCTGCAGACACTATGGTTACTTAAGTATCTACTTCTCTTTTTCTGCATGTCTTTGAGTGGAGACACTGGTCATCTTTGTTTCCCACTGTCTTTTCAAAGGTGCATGTTAGGGAACAAAAATATAGTGTCTCCCTCTGGAGCAGTAGATTTGTTTATGGCCCACTCTAGTGAAGACAGTGTCTCCCTCTAGGGTGAAGGGCAGTGGTTTTATTCCCACGGGCTATCATAAAAGATTCAGGTTTCCTAAGCTTAAGGTTCTATTCTTACAATGCAGCCTGCTAGGCCTGTGGCACCTGGCCTTTCATGTCACTCTATGGGATTAGAATGCCAAAAACCATTGCAAAGAATGACACTCTGGCTACTGCTGTGGTTGTGGCTAATAAAGTCCTTTGTCTCAGAGCCAGGAGTCTTTTGTCTTGTGCCAGCATCTGTGAGACTGTCAGGCTAACTTGTGAGCTCATAAATTGGTTACTTTCAGATCCTTGGTTTTTGATGGAAATAAATGTCTCTTAATCTCATAGGCAAACTAGAGCTACCTGGAATGCTTTCAGCTTTTTACAATTTTTTACTGGTGAAATATACATAACATGAAATTTACCATCTCAACCATTTTTAAGTGTATAGCTTAGTAGTGTTAAGTACATTTATATTGTTGTAAAACCAATCTCCAAAACTCGTTTTATCTTGCAAAACTAAAACTCTATCCCATTCAACAGCAACCCTCAATTTTCCCCTGCTCCCAGCCACTGGCAACCACTATACTTTGTGTCTCTATGCATTTGACTTCTCTGGGTCACATAAATGGAATCATACAGTATTTGACTTTTTTTTTTTTTTTTTTTTTTTTTTGAGACGGAGTCTCCCTCTGTTGCCCAGGCTGGAGTGCAGTGGTTCCATTTATGCTCACTGCAAGTTCCGCCTCCAGGCTTCACGCACGCCATCTTCCTGCCTCAGCCTCCTGAGTATCTGGGACTACAGGCACATTCCGCCACGCCCGGCTAATTTTTTCCATTTTTAGTAGAGACGGGGTTTCCCCATGTTAGCCAGGATGGTCTCGATCTCCTGACCTTGTGATCCGCCCACCTCGGCCCCCTAAAGTGCTGGGATTGCAGGCGTGAGCCACCACGCCCAGCCCAGTATTTGCCTTTTTGTGACTGGCTTATTAACTTTCCATAATGTCCTTAAAGTTTATTTGTGTTGTAGAATGTGTCAGAATTTTCTTCCTTTGTACACTTGGGTTTCTTCCACTTTTCGGCTATTGTGAATAATGCTGTTACGAACATAGGAGTACAAATATCTCTTCAAGACCTTGCTTTCAATTCTTTTGGACACATACCCAGAAGTGGAATTGCTGGATCACATGGTAATTGTATTTTCAATTTTTTCAGGATCTGCCATTCTGTTTTCTATAGAAGCTGCCACCATTTAACATAATGTTTTTAAGTTCATTTATATTATTATGCTTGTCAGTCTTCTTTTTATGTTCAGAGTAATCAGGAAATTACCACAGTTTGCCCATTCTCACGTTGGTGAACATTTGTTTCCAGGTTTTGGAAATTTTGAATAAAGCTACTAAGAATATTCTTGTATTAGTGTTTTTGCAGACATATGCTTTGATTTCTCTTGGGTAAATACCTAGGAGTTGAATTGCTGTCATAAGCTAAGTGTATGTTATCTTTATGAAGAATTGGCTGTCCTTGTCTATTAACATAAAGAATGAGGTACTTTATTGTTCACTTAAAATCTTTATGTGGTTGGGCTCTGTGGGGTGGCACATACCAGTAACATACCTGTAGTCTCAGCTACTGGGGAGGCAGAAGGATCACTTGAGGGCAGGAGTTTGAGGCTATTGGGTGCTACAGTTGTGCCTGTGAATAGCCACTGCACTCTAGCCTGGGCAACTTAGCTAAAAAAATTTATGTGGTTAAAATTTCAATGTGTTTATGAAATTTTTGTATAACGATTTTTTAAAAGAAAACTTTCCCATACTCCCAGGAACTAATTATTTTCAAAACATGAAGAATATGTTTTAAGTGGTATCAGGCACAAATCTAATTTTAATTTTTTCTAATTGGATAGTCAAGGCTTTCAACATTTATTGATGAGTCCCTTTTTTATTTACTGATCTTAAAGGTCACATTTATACTACACTAGGTATATCCATTCCTGGAGTCTCCTATCTTTTATGTTTATCACTGAAATCTCTGACCATTTTTTTTTTTTTTTTTGAGATAGAGTCTTGCTCTGTCACCAGGCTGGAATGCAGTGGCATGATCTTGGTTCACTGCAACTTCTGCTTCCTGGGTTCAAGTGATTCTCCTGCCTCAGCCTCCTGAGTAGCTGGCATTACAGGAGCCTGCCACCGTGCCCAGCTAATTTTTGTATTTTTAGTAGAGAGGAGGTCTCATCATGTTGGTCAAGATGGTCTCCTGATCTCATGATCCACCCACCTCAGCCTCCCAAAGTGTTGGGATTACAGGTATGAGCCACCATACCCAGCCCATTTTTGTTTATTCTCAAACCACTATCTCACATCTTTAAGAATGATACTTTTGGTACAAGGCAAGTAACAGTGAATATGCTAAGTGTATGTTTAACTTTACTATTTCTAAAAATGACTATACCACTTCATACTTCCATTAGCAGTCAATGCAAGATCACTTGTTCTACATGCTAACCAATACTTGGGATTTTTAGTCATTGGGATTATTTGTAGTGTTATCTCACTGTGGTTTAATTAGCATTTCCCTGATAAGTAATGATGTGGTTATCAGTCATTTTATCATGTGCTGATTGGTCATTTTATATCTTCTTTGGAAAAGAACTTTTGAAAGTTTTGCTTCCTTACTGTTGAGTTGTAAGATTTCTTAATATAGCCTAGATACAAATCCTTTCTCAGATAAATACATTATTAATATTTTTTCCTAGTCTTAGCTTGCCTCTTCATTTTGTTAATGTTTTTAAGAGAGTAAGTTAATTTGATGAAGTTCTGGTTTATCTTTTTAAATTAGATTTTGTGCTCTTTTTTGCCTATGAAATCTTTTTTTGCCTATCCCAAGGTTTTGAAAATGTTCTCCTATATTTTCTTGTATAACATTTGTAGTTTTAGCTTTTCATTTAGGTCTGTTACCTATTTTGAGTTCTTTTTGTGTATGACGTGAGGTAAGTGTTGAGGTTCATAATTTTCGAATAGGTGTCCAGTTGTTCTAGTGCTATTTTTTGAAACAACTTTCTCCCATTGAATTACCTTTGTGGCTGCACCGAAAATAAACTGATCATATATACTTGGCTGTATTTTCTGGAATCACTTCTGTTCCACTGATTTATATAAATATTGTTAAGCTTTCACTATGTCTTGACTACAGGAGCTTTAGAATAAGTTTTGAAATCTGATACTGTTATTCCTCTAATGATGTTCTTCCTTTTCAAAACAATTTTGACTATTCTAGTTTTTTTAGTTGGCTGTTTTTTGCATATCAATGTAAATCTTAATATTAGTTTCTGCAAAAAGCCTGCTCTAAATTTGATTGATACTGTGTTGACTTTATAGATCAATTTGGAATTCCGGTTCTGGGTAAGATGGAGTAAGCCAGTGGCTGGGAAATTCTGGCCTAATGGTTAAATATGGTGTATTGACTGTTTTTGTAGGCCCCCATGAAGTAATAATGGCTTTTACATTTTTTATTGAGACAGGGTCTCACTCCATCGCCCAGGCTGGAGTGCAGTGGCATGATCTTGGCTCACTGCAGCATCAACCTCCTGGGATCAAAAAATCCTCTTACCTTAACTTCCTGAGTAGCTGGGACTATAAGCATGCACCACCATGTCCAGCTAATTTTTTGCATTTTTGTAGAGATGGGGTTTTACCATGTTGCTCAGGCTGGTCTCAAACTCCTGAGCTCAAGCATTCTGCCCTCCTTGGCCTGACAAAGTGCTGGGATTACAGGTGTGAGCTATCACACCCAGCCTACATTTTTAAATAGTCAAAAAAATCAAAAGAAGAATATTTTATGACATATGATAAGTATGTAAAATTCAAATTTCAGCATTCATAACTTTTGGTTGAAACACAGTTATGCTTATTTGTTTACATATTGTCTATGGCTGTTTTCCTGTTATATTGGTACAGTTGTGTACTTATGATAGAGACCATATATAATGCTCTCATCACTTCATACTTCTACTCAGTGTATCATAAATCACAGTAACACAGTTATTACAAGTTAACAGATTTTTGAGTGTCATATGTATCACTCTACTATGATATTTTATTTATTATGCATATTCGTCATGTCAAAACAAGAAGAGAAAATCAAATTTTGAATGTCATGCTTTTAAGGTATAGTAAAGTGTGGATTATTTTGTTATAGAATCTGACGGCTGACTATTGTGTTTGTTATGCAGTGACAGCTGTACAAGAAGAAAAATTATAACATTAATACTGCCAGATTAAAAACTTATCCCAATATTTCCAAATCACAGATAATTATGGCCAAAAATAAAAAATTTAAAATGGAATATCTTATCAAAGCAGAATTACTTTTATGAAATAACAAATGAAAATGAGGCTATAACCAAAGTAAGTTTTAGAGTGGCTAATCTGTTAGTCAAGCAAGAAAAGTTATTTACTGATGATGAGTTGGTTGAATCATATTTTGCAGCAGCTGAAGAAATGTATCATATAAATTTGTCTAAGACTATAAGCCTTTTGACAAGGACAGTTTCTTAAAAAGTTGAGAACATTGGGAGCAGCACTGATAGTCACTTTAAAAACAAGATAATAAAAAATTCCCAATTATTGTTGCCAGTGATAGTGAAAATTTATCAGCCATAAGTGAACACAAAACAAACAAAACTGAAAGACAAAATTATAAGAAAATTAAAATGAGAAAAACAGAGGATCAACAAATTTCTATTGTCACTTTGTATTTACCTCTGGGAGCCAAGAAACAATGCAACTGGGCTTAAGACCATCACTGAGGTGTACTTTTCTGGTGACAAACATTACCTGGATTTGTTACATGAATCTATTTGGCATCTCTGTGGGACCCCCAAAACTGTTAAAAAAATAATTTTCAAAAAATAAAATCATAACTCTTACACAGGTATGAAAAGACCAGCTAGGGAATGATAAACTATTTGCAAATCATGTATGTGTAAAAGTCTTGTATAGAGAACATATAAAAACTCTCAAAACTCAATAGGAAAACAATCCAATTTTTTAAGCTAAAAGATTTAAACAAGCACTTCACTGAAAAAGATATACGTATGACAAAGGGGCACATGCAAAGATAATCAACATCATTAGTCATTAGGGAAATATAAATCAAGACCACAGTGAAATATAACTACACATCTATTAGAACAGCTAAAAAAAAAATAGCAACAATGTCAAACTCTGACAAGAATGTAAAGAGACTGGAAGTCTCACAAATTTCTGTTGGGAATGTAAAGTAGTAGAGCCACTCCAGAAAACAGTTTGACAGTTCCTTAAAAAATTAAACATATCCTTACCATACAACCCCATAACTTCAATCCTGGACATGTACTCCAGAGAAATGAAAACTTACATACACGAACAAATGCACACAAACCTGTACATGAATGTTCATAGTAGCTTTATTCATAACGGCAAAAAACTGGAAACAACCAAAATGTTCCCTAATAGGTAAATGTTAAACAAATCGTGGTACATCCATACCGTGGAATACTACTCAGCAATAAAAAGGAATGGACTATTGATACACACACAACTTAGAGGGATCTTAAGATAATTATGCTAAGTGAAAAATGTGAATCTATTTTATGGTTCTAGTTGTATAACATTCTTGAAATGACCAAATTATAGAGATGGAAAGCAGATTAGTTGTTTCTAGATATCAGGAATGGTGGAAGGGAGGGGACTGGGTGTGACTATCAAGATGTAGCAAGAAGGAGGGCTTTGCAGTGATGGAATAGTTATTTATCTTGATTGTGGTAGTAGCTATATCCGTCTACAAGTGATAACATACAACTACACATATTCATGGTATCAATATAATTCCCTGGTTTTGATGTTGTATTTTAATTAAGGACAGTATAATCATTGGGTGAAACTGGGTGAAGGGTACGTGGGACCTCTTTCTACTATCTTTTCAATTTCATATGAATCTGTGATTATTTTAAAATAAAATGTTTAAAAAATAATTGGATGCTTAGGATCTCTATAGAGGATTTTATTTATTTCTGCCAGATTTACAAGCAATACAGGGTCAGGGATTGAGTTGACTTGGATTTGGGTTTGAATACCTGCCAAGTTGGGCCTACTTCCCATTCAACTTTACACCTAGGATGCAGCCCTTTGGTGTTCCATACACAAAACCCACGTGATTTTTTTTTCTTTTTTTTGAGACGGAGTCTCCCTCTGTAGCCCAGTCTGGAGTGCAGTAGTACGATCTCAGCTCACTGCAAGCTCTGCTTCCCGGGTTCAAGTGGTTCTCCTGCCTCAGCCTCCTGAGTAGCTGGGACTACAGGTGTGCGCCAACACAACCGGCTAATTTTTGTATTTTTAGTAGAGACAGGGTTTCACCATGTTAGCCAGCATGGTCTCAATCTCCTGACCTCGTGATCTGCCCACCTTGGCCTCCCAAAGTGCTGGGATTACAGGCATGAGACACCGTGCCCCAAGTGATTTTTTAAACCATGGTTATCCACCCCATCTTTGGCAGGTCCTAGACTCCAACTATCAGCTTCTCAGGTTTTTACCTTAAGGAATTGGCAAATTCCACCTCAAATTTTTTTTGAGATAAAAGTGGTCTCAAATACCTAGCTTACCTTAATGGATTTTTTGCAGAGACAAGGTCTCACAGCATTGCCCAGGCTGGTCTCAAACTCCTTGACTCAAGCAATCCTCTCACCTCAGCCTCCCAAAGTGCTGGAGATTACAGGTATGAGCCATTGTACTCAGTCTAGAATCTGATTTGTTATGATGGTTTCCATATTTTAATCTGTCTCTTTTTGCATATATGCTGTTATTTATTTTTGTCTTTCTCTTCAGAGGGAAACTTGCTGAGGATTTGCATTGACTTTAGTTGAAGAGAATATGGTTTTTGTTTCCAATATTTCCAGTCCCTTCTATGAAGTATTGCAAAAACCAATAACTTGTATTTAATCTAGACTTTACATCAAATTTCTACTTTACAGAACATTTAAAAGAGCAGAGGAGAAAATATGGCGATGCCTTTAGACAAATCCAGAATTTAGACACCTAATTTGACATTTTTATTTCCCCAGCAGTTCAAGGAAATAAAAAATGGTGGTGGTAGTGCTGTGTGTGGGAGGGTCGGGGTGGGGGCATAGTTTTAGAGTAAATGACTTCTTGGTGAGATAACAATCAAATAAAATGGATCAAAATATTCGGATAATGACTGGAATAAACCAGCTGTAAAAGTACTTTTCCCCAAAAAAACAGGATTCAAATTGGGACGCATATTAGATAATACTAAGAATTGTTAATTTTATTTCATGAGGTAACGATTTTGTGGTTATGTTAAAACATCATTATTTTTAAGTGATACAAATAGTATTGGGAAGGGATAAGGCCAGGGATCTACTTTAAAATATTTCAGTAACAAAATTCAATAGTCATAGATATTGCCTGTATGGCAAAATGTTGGGAAGTGTTGAATTTAGGGTAGGCGCATTTGGTGTTTCATGTTATCATTTTCTTTTTTTATTTTTCTTTTTTGTTTTTGAGATGGAGTCTCCTCTGTCACCCAGGCTGGAGAGCAGTGGCGTGATCTCAGCTCACTGCAAGCTCCGCCTTTTTGTGTTAATATCGTAAGTTTCATTAAAAAATTTTTTTCCTGCCCAGAAGGAAAGTGGTAAGTACATACTTCCCGTAGTTTGACTTGTTATAGTTATCTGGAGTCCGTCTCCCATCTCAACCTACCCACCTCTTCCTGAATAACCATAAATTCACACGGCTTAAACAGGTTTGTAGAAAAGATACGTTCATGTTAAATATGTGAGGTCAACGGGCAACAGAGGAATAGCCAATTCCAAGCCTGATTTGAACGCAAAAAATTTCAAGACAGGAGCCATTTTCCATATCATGTTTTCTAAATTTCCTGCCAGTACAGCTTCCTTCATTTTTCAGATACAACTTGCTCTTTCTGTGCTTGATTTCAAGACTGATTTGTCCTTGGAATTCCTTGTGGATTCTTGGCATCTTGAAATCAATTGTCCGTGCCAGATAGCATAAGCAGAGGTCTAGATGAGTATAGGCACATATAAAGAGGCAACGGAGTTAAACCACGTCTGAGATTCCATATTCCTTATGGTTATGTCCAGTGGACAGCCCAACTCCCTTTTAGAATCTTGTTTCTTCTCATACTCATCACTTTTCTGCTAAAGTGTGTTTCTTTTCATACTAAAACCTTCGCTTTTATCCTCAAATAGTTATATTTTCTTTATATTTCCACATGCTCGTTTTTTCTTGAGGAAAAAAATTACAAAAATAAAAAGCCCAAGCGCTCATCGCGCTAGAGAAGTGACCTTCAGTTTGAACGCGCTGAACCAACAGAATGAGCTGCAGGAAGGCGGAAGCACTAGCGTGCTGGGCATTCTGGGAACTGTAGTCGGAAGTATTTTCACCCAGGCTGGTGGAGTCCTTGTCGTCGTTCCGCTTAAACATTCTGGGAAGTGTGGGTCAGACGTTTCATATAGTCGACAACACTTCCTCTTCGGGAGTACAGGGTGTGGCCCTCTCGTGTGACTCCAGACTCTGGGAAGTGAGTCGCAGGAACTTCCGCTCCAGGGAAAGTTGCGGCCATCATGCTGCATGTGAGACTTGAGCCCCAGCGACGCTTCTGCGCCTCCTCAGCCTGGGTGAGGGACCAAAGATGGTCAAGGCCCTCTGTCTTGAGGAGGAAAAGTGGCAGCCGGCGGAGGATTAGGATTGGAAGTGTTTGCGTTTCCCTCGACTCAGTAGAGCTTTCTAGTGTTAGGGGAGGTTCCTGAGTCCCAGGTTGGGGAATGAGGCAGGGTCTTGCATCATTGGGTTTGATGGTTTCTTGGGTCTTGTACTCCCGTAGCCCTTCTGTTGGACCCACCAATCAGCATTGCCGCTTCCTAGGGAAGTTTCTGTGGCGTTGGAAATATTGTGTAACTTGATCGTGTTGGTAGTTACATGTTTGTACATATTTGTTAAAACTCATTGAACTATACACTTAACAATAGTAGACTTTATAATGTATGTACATTGCACTTCAATAAATGTGACTTTTTAAAAGTGTCTGGAACTTTATTTTTTTTAAGTGGCAGGACCTCATTACAAGTAAGTTCAGAACTAAGTTAGGACTACTATAATCCTGCTAGCACCACCCTCATGTAAACATTTTCATTTTGGTTTATTTTATACGTATATAGATATTTGCTTTTTATTAAATAATGTGTAAATTTTAAATTAGTATTTCAGTTAGTAATATACCATAAGTTAATTTTGCTGTTTCCCACATTCTTCATAAAGTTCATCTTTAATGATTGTGTTGTATTGAATTGAGTGAATGTGCACTTGTTAAACCTGGGCATCTGGGATGTGTTTAAAAATTATTCTCATAATTTTATGTATATATGAAATGTTTTACAATTTAAGAGATATATGCTGACTTCCATGCCTCTGTTCATCTTTTTTGTCTATCCTACTTGGGGTACTCATTTCCATGGTCATACTATAGGCCTTAAATTAGCAATAGCTGCAATCCCTCCATAGTCTCCATTTAAGGCATTACACTCTGCTCTACATATTCTCTTGCCAGATCTTCCTGTGGTTTACTGTGATATTGACTTCATCAATTTCTACAATTCATTGATCCTATTGCATTTTCAATATCCCTTATTCATCTCATATCCTCAATACCAACCATATCTTTTCTCTTCTCTCTAGTATAAACAGAAGACTTACACTTACATCTAATTGTTCAAAATATTGTCCTATGACAACCGTAGACTTAAGGAACATTAAGAAAGTATTTTGATTGTCCCCCATGATTTTATAGAAGAGACATGCAGGGTCAAAGGGATTATGAATGGATGCTCTGTGAGCCAGTCAATAGCATATGTCCCAAAGGCTACAGGTTAAGTATATTACCTGGCCCAGCAGCTTTAAAATCATCTTTTGGTCTCCTACTCTAGACAGCAAACTTCAGTTCAGGCACCAGTGATGCTATTACGTGAGGAATATTGACTTGCCTCTGTTTTTGTTTTTAAATAACATCAGATTTGGTATCAGTTATCACTTAAAAGTTATTTGTGAGACACTTTCTCAGTGTATGTGACCTTGGCTGGGAAGCATTGCTTTAGAGGTGCAGAGATCAGAGATCAGATAACTTTGATAAGTCGGTATGTGCAATGGTAGAAGTATTTTAAACATGCCATGAAAGGGGATATTTCAATTCATAGCATCTATTTTTGGGGAAAAGGCTCCCAAATAGTATTGGCTCAGTCAGTCAGATCACTTGTTTGGAGATAGGGTTGGTAATATGACTCTATGCACTGTGCATACTCTTAGATTCAAGGGTCCCCATTCAAGGAATTTATATTATGGTAGCACTCACTTAAAGATCAAGAACAAATGGACATGGGTGTTCACTAAAGCATACTTTTGTGAACCCAAAAGTATGTGAGACAGGTCTCAATCCATTTAGAACATTTAGTTTGCCAAGGTTAAGTACGCACCTGTGACACAGCCTTAGGAGGTCCTGACGACATGTGCCCAAAGTGGTCAGGGCACAGCTCGATTTTATACATTTTAGGAGAAATCAGGCATCAAACAGTATGTTTAAGTTATACATTGCTTAAGTCCAGAAAGGCAGGACAATCTCAAATGGGAGTGGGAGCTTCTACATCATAGGTAGATAAGAGACAAACAGTGGCATTATTTTGAGGTCTGATTAGGCTTTTACTGAATACAAAACTCACACGTGAGAGGTGGGTAGACGAATAGTGACTTAGGTCTTAATGTTGCTTAGTGAATATGCATTATTACAGAAACAATAGGGAAGAGGAAGCAATCAGATATGCATTTGTTTCAGGTGAACAGAGGAATGACTTTGAGTTCTGTCTGTCCTTTGTCCCACACCTGTGAAGATAAGCTATCAATTTACATTACCAGGGTGAAATTCAACAGAAATGCTTTTGGATAAAGATGTTCAGGCCCACAGGGAATTTCCTTGTTGACAAATTGTGAAGGAGGTATGTAGCTTTTTCTTCTTTATAGCTATCATATTAAGTAATAAAATGGGAGGTTTGCCTGACACAGTTCCCAGCTTGACTTTTCCCTCTGGCTTAGTGATTTGGGGGTCCCGAGATTTATTTTTCTTTCACATTTTGCAAGACTATGGATGCTTAATAGGATGAGATTAGCAATTGAAAGAGAAAAAATTTTGATTCTTAAAATCTTCACCCTTTCCCTCAAACTCTGTGAACCTTGTTCTTCTAATGGACATTTGTGTGCATGATTGAGGTGTAGTATCTTAGGTGCTGTAGGAAACAGTAATATTCAAGAATGTGCTGTGATCTGCACTAAGGAGGTGATGCTATTGAACAAGGCCAAAATAAACCTACCTATGGAGAAGTATTCTTGCCGAAAACGATGAACCTTAATCTTATCTGCTCTCTAAATCTAAATTGTAGTTTACCAGAGCCACAAAAGATATTCAAGAAAATGTTAAATGGCAGCATAATGAAACATTTTTAAAAATCCATAATGTGGGACATCTTACTTGACAACTGACCTGATGTCTTCTATAGGCCAAAAGCATGAATTTAAAGTGGATCAAAGGGGGGATACTCTTCCAGATTGAAAGAGACTCAAGAGAGAAAACAATCACATGCAAAGAATGGGTATTTTTGAGATGACTGGAAATTTTGAAGTTTTGTTTTGTAGGGTATAAAATAATATTAAGGAATTATTAACTTTCTTCAGTGTGATAGTTGTATTTTTGTTATATTAGAAAATGTAATTCTTTGAAGTATGCATGGGAGTGTTTAGGGGGAAAATAATACAGTGTTATGATTTTGTTTTAAAATTACAATAACAAAAAGGGCAGAAAGACAATATTGATAGATAAAGGAAGTGTGGCACATGTTGAAAATTGCTGAATCTGGGTGATGAGGTGATGGAATACTTCACTCTTTACTTCTATTAATGTTTGAAATTTTTCATAATATAAAGGTATGAAAGTGTTTAGTTCTTGTCCAGAAGAAAAGTGGTAAGCAGAACCTTCGTGTATTTTTATTTGTTGGATTTTCTGGATTTGCGTCCAACTGTCAATTGACTCACCTGAATGAAATACAGTTATTATTGTATTTATGATAATAAGAATAGGGTGGAAGTGGGTGATGTGATATTTGAACTTGAACAAAAAGAAATTCCAAATTTTTATATATTTATCTCTTTTCATATTATAATAATTCCTCCACATGAACACACCTCCTTTCATTTGCCTCATGAGCCATGTTTTACAATGAACAATTAAAGTCAAGGAACACCCAAAAGCTTTTGCTGCTTCTGCTTTATACTTTAATAAACTTTGCATGACCTTCTTGTGGGTTCTTGTATCATGGAATGAATAGCTAATATCTGATAACACCGCCAAGAGTTCTAGATGCATCCAACACACATGGATTAAAGTAGAAAATCCAGTCAAAGTAGGTTTGAGATCTTGTGTTCCTTACATTCGTGCCCAGTTTCTAAGTTCTGCATTTTTAGCTCACACATATCTTCCCCTTTATAATTTATGCCTCCTTTTCATTTCAAACTGTGTTCTCTACTAAAGGGAAGTGGGTGGGGGACAGGGTGGGAGCGGTGTTCAAATACACTTGTTTTGTCACATGTGAAAGAAAAAAAATGAGAATAACGAAAAAGAAGGCTGAGCTTGACCAGTGAGATAGAATGATTCGGACTGAACCTAGTTATCCAAAATAAAAAGGGAAACGCTGGTGAGAAGCGCTACCTGAAGAGGATTCTGGAAACTGGTCCAAAGGATTCACGGCGTCAAAAACACTTCTGTTCCAGGAAAGGTGGCTTTAATGATTGGGCTTCTGGGGGAAATATTAAGTATAAATTAGAATCCTGTTTTTGGAGACATTTTGGTTCAAAGAAGACAGTGCTGAGTTTGCATTCTGCTCTAGAATTGTGTGACATACATTCCAAATTCAAACGGTAGTAGCCAGCCCTCCGCCAGAGAAAGGCAACGACATTGCCAATTCTTTGCGAGGATTCTGGGAGCAGTAACCTTGGAGCTCTGTGTAGGCGGCCAGGCTTCCGCTACAGGAGGGCGTGGCTGTGACGATTATCTCATTGGGGATTCTGGGGTTATAATACAGGAATTGTGGGTAAGTACAGTCACTTCTGCTCCATGAAAGTGAGGTCATCATTCGTTTCAGGAAGTTGAGTGAGGCCTGAGACAGCAATGTTTCGTTTAGCCTGGCGGTGGCCCTCCTTGTCTTCAAGAAGAGCATCCGTGGCTAGCAGTGGAAGATGGGGTTGGGCCCCAGGTGAGTGACCCTTTGTCGAGTTTGCAGAATTTGGTCTTGGCGGGTTGAGGATCTCTTGTATTTTGTGCGCTCTGTTCCTGCTCCAGGACTGACCAGGCAGTTCTGCCACCTTCTAGGAGTGTGAAATTGGGAAGTAATTCAAAATGTATGTGCCTAGCATTCCTTTTATGTAACATGAGGGGAATAGAAGTACCAAACCGATGCAGTTCAGTGGAGAATTAAATGAGATAGTCACAAGTAAAAGGTGGTAAGTGTGGTTCATTTTATTAATTTTCTTTTAATTTCCCGAGAAGCCCCAGTTACCTGAAAGCTTCTGTGAGCCTGGGAAGGGATCAGAGTTCCACCTGCAGTGCTATTTTGCCCCTTCTTTCTGATCCTTACAGGAAGCAGGACGATTCCTGGATTCCCTTTTTAAAAAAGTGAGGGTGGCGGTGTGGGGATGGGGGTGGGGGGTGGGGCGGGAATCACTCCAGGCTACTGTATGGGGATGCCCTCTGTGATTCGTGCAGGAGGGAGACACAGTTCTGGTTTCTCGCAGATGGTCACAGGAATGAGGAAAGAATGACTCTGGCTCCTAGCAGCAGAATCTTAACTGAGTATGACTTAGCATCCTTCTTCTTGCTGTGTCATCTCTCTTCTCAGGGCAGAAGATATTTACTAATTAGCACATTCTGCTAGCACATCTGTGGGAAAAGGTAGGAAGGAAGGAGGGAGGGTGGGAAGGAGGAAAGAAGATCCACTCCTTATACTGGAAAAAAAGGAGCAATATACTTTTCCTCAAAATGAGAAGTCAAGCCCAAAAGAATTCTGTACAGACCACCTTAAAATAACATCTTTCAAGCCTGTCTGCATGATTTAGTTGCTTCTTTTTTAAAAAAAATTTAATTTATTTTTATTTTGTAGAGACGCGATCTTACTGCATTGACCAGGATGGTCTCAAACTCCTGGCTACAGGCTATCCTCCTGCCTCTGTCTCCCAAAGCGCTGGGATTACAAGCGTGAGCCACCAGGCCTGGCCCAATTGCTTCTTAACAACTTACTATTCTTTGTTCACTACAGTGTATACATAACTGACTTTTTATTTGGATCTTCATTTTGTAATGAAGGCTCTGGTCACATGTAAGACTTGTATTAAATAAATTTGCCTGCTGTTCTGTTAATCTGTGTTATGCTAATTTAATTCTTGAGCCCAGCTGGGTCCTGGAGAGGATAGAGTGAAATTTTGTGGCAGCTACGTAAGTCAATGAAATTGGAAACAGAAAAACAATCTTTAAAAATCAATAAAATCATAAACTTATTCTTTGAGAAGATCAATATAGTTTATAAACCTTTCAACTGACTCACCCACAGGGAAAAAGAAGAAAACAAAAATCAGGAGGGAGGGAATGTTATTACAAATTTTGCGGATATTAAAAGGATTATAAGGGAACATTACAAACAACTCCTTGTCCATAAATTGATCAATTTACATGACATGGAATATTACTTGAAAGGCACAAACTACCAAAGCTCACTCAGGAAGAATGGATAACCTAGATACTTGCGTGTATGTATGTGTGTGCATACATACAATTTTTACACACACACACACACACACACATATATATATATATATGCACAGTTAATTTTTTCTATCTTTTGTAGAGATGGGTTTTTACCATGTTGCCTGGGCTGGTCTTGAACTCCTGGGCTCAAGCGCTCTGCCCACCTTGGCCTCCCAAAGTGCTGGGATTACAGGCTTGAAACACTGCACCTGCCTGGCCTGATATATATTTCAAAACTGATTTAATAGATAAAGCCTTCCAACAACAACAATAAAAAAAACAATATTGAGATGAATTCATTGGTGGATTCTACTAAACATTTAAAGAGTAAAGATGTGAATTTTAAATAAACCCAGAAACAAAAAGAGAAGGGAACACCCACCCACCCCCAGCTTGTCTCATGAGGCCAGCATTAATCTGATAATACCAAACAAGACAAAGAAATTACAAGGAAAGAAAACTACAGATGAATATCCTTCATGAACTAAGTGAAAAAATCCTGAATACAGTAGTCCCTTGGTATCGGTGGGGAATTGTTTCAGGGACCCTTATGGAAATCAAAATCCGTGGATGCTCAAGTCTGTTATGTAAAATGGCCATAATATTCTCATGTAACCTTTTCATATCATCCTGCATACTTCAAATTATTTCTATCCCTATACAATAAAAATGCCCTGTAAATAGTTGTCATACTATATTGCATTTTTTATTTGTGTTATTTTTATTGTTGTGTTGCTAATTTGTATTTTTCTCTGAATATTTTTGATCCCTGTTTCATTGAATCTGTGGATGCTTCTGTAGTATCCACTGGCATGAAGATCTAGATGACAGAGATTGAGGTGACCACAGGACCTGGAAAGTGAGGGAAGAAATCCTGGGAAAAAGATGTCAAGCAAAGAATTGCTCCTTATTCTACATTAAACTCTGCCCAAATTTCAGACTGACTGACACCCAGAATGTATAAAGACTTGTACAATTCAATATTAAAGAGCCCAACATCTCAATTATAATGGGCAAAATTTGAACAGTTACTTTACAAAGGAAGACATAAAAATTGTTAATATAGCCTGTGAAGAAGTGTGACATTATTGGTCATCAGGAAAAAGCAAATGAAAACTGCAGAGAGATGCAACTACACAACCACCAGAATGGCAGATATTAAAAATACTGATAGCAGGCCAGGCGCGGTGGCTCACACCTGTAATCCCAGTACTTTGGGAGGCCGAGGTGGGCGGATCATCCAAGGTCAGGAGTTCGAGACCAGCCTGGCCAACATGGAGAAACCCCATCTCTACTAAAAATACAAAAATTAGCCAGGCATGGTGGCAGGTGCCTGTAATCCCAGCTACTCGGGAGGCTGAGGCAGAAGGATTGCTTGAACCCAGGAGGCAGAGGTTGCAGTGAGCCAAGATCATGCCACTGCACTCCAGCCTGCATGACAAGAGTGAAACTCCGTCTCAAAAAGGAAATATTAATAACAGCAAATGCTTATTAGGATTCAAAACAATCAGAAATTGCATATATTTTGGGAGACAGTGTAAAATTAATCTTTTGGGAGATGATCTGGTGTTTTCTTAAGCAGTTAAACACACCAAGCAATTCTAATCACAGATATTTATTCCAGAGAAAAGAAAGCATATGACCACAAAAATACTTTTATAAGTATGCTGCAGGATCTTTATTCATAAAAATATTTAGACAATTAAAATGTAAGCAAGTTTCCAAAGACATATATTCATGCAATAGAACATCACTCAGTAATAAAAAGGATCAAATGACTGATATGTGCATCAACATGGATGGATCTGAAAAACACTATATTCAAAGTATTGTAATGCAGAAGAGTTCTTACCATATGGTTCCATATATTTCATATTCTAAAATTAGTAAAATTTATGGTGAAAAAGTGGAACAGTGGTTGCCACTGGGGGAAGGGGTTAGAGATTGACTGGTAAGTGTCATGGGGGAATCTGTCAGGTAATGCTAATGTTCTGATGGATAAGTAATAAGTAAGATAGCTAGATGGATGACTAAGACATAAATGTTGCTAATTTTAGAATCTAAGCTGAGAATATATGGGTGACTACTGTATAATTCTTCCAACTCTTCTTTATGGTATAAAATTTCAGAGCTAGGCACAGTGGCTCCTGCCTATAATGCCAGCACTTTGGGAGGCCGAGGTGGGAGGATCACTTGAAGCCAGGAGTTTGAGACCAGCCTGGGCAACATAGTGGGACCCCATCTTAGCAAAAAAAAAAAAAAATAGCCAGGTGTGGTTGGGCACACCTATAGTCCCACCTACTTTGGAGCCTGAGGTGGGAAGATGGCTTCAGCCCAGGTGGTCAAGGCTGCAGTGAACTGTGATCATGCCACTGCACTCTAGCCTAGGTGACAAGGTAAGATCCTGTCTCAAAAAAAAAATTTTTAGTAAAATATTGAGAAAAACCTAGTTTTGAGTGAAAAATTTTAACAGAGTTTTATAACACAAGATATATATATATGCATCTGAAATTCCATACATTTGCCAAAAAGACATACCAGCAACAGGCACACATTAAACAGATCGACCTGGCTACTGATGCTACAGGGGAGAAAATGAGAGTGGGTAGTGGGGGATATAATGGAACAAATAAATAATATCTGTTTGTTTTTTTCTTTCTATGTTTAATATGTAAGCCCTCAAACATTCCCCTATTCAAATAAATGATATTTTTATGTTCACATTTTATTCAGTATTTCTGTGTAAATAAACTAGGAAGACGGTCTGTGGAAGCTTTATCTGTGTTGTTGCCAAAGGCCTGTAATATGTCTTGAAGAATATTTTCCAGAAAGAATTTAGAAGTGATTCACAACTGAATCTTGTATGCCAAGAATAGTGCACATGAACAAAACATTCTCTGACCATAGAAGGATCAATCTTTTCATCTCAAAACCCCATAGATTATTTTTATATTTTATTACTACTTTTAATGTTGCAGACAATAATTAAAATGAAAAGCTTATTTTTTCATTCCTTTGAAATTGACTCAATTCTTTAGTCTTCAGCCTTGCCATTAAAAAAAATTTTCAGTGTCTACAAGTGCATCTCTAGGAGTCTCTTCCTCCTTTTTCTCTTACTCTTCCTCTCCTACTTCTCCTCCTACACACCCTGGCCTTCCACCCACTTCTCCTCCATCTTCTTCTCCTCCTTCCAATATGTGATTTTGCCCATTTGGATAAATTGTTTATTCTCTTTTAATGATTTATTTATTACAATCTGCTTCCTTCTCTAGTCCACATTTTTTCTCATTAGCTTATAAGATACACCTGATCAATATGTTCATATTCATTATAGAGTTTCTCATTATTTTTAGCCCTTCCAAGTTCTGAAAAAAGTTCTATGCCATATATTCAGTTTCCTTTGAAACATATCATTGATTTTTTAAAAAAGACTTTATTTTAAGAGCAGTTTTAGGGTTACAGAAAAATTACAGAGAAAGTATTAATATTTCCCATGTGCTCTCCTTTCCCCTGCCCAGTTTCTCCTATTGTTTGCATCTTGCATGTGTGTGGCATATTTGTTACAACTAATGAACGAATATCGACACATTATTATTAACTAAAGTCTGTGGTTGACATTAGGGCTTACTCTTTGTGTTGTACATTCCATGGGTTTTGACAAAGCATAACATCCTATATCCACCATACCATATCATACAGAATAGTGTCACTGCTTAAAAATACCCTGTACTCTACCAATTAATCTCTCTGAACCTCTAACAACCACTGATCACTTTACTGACCTTTAGTTTTGCCTTTTCCAGATTATCATATAGTTGAATTACAGTATGTAGCTTTGACAGACTGGCTTCTTTCCATTAACAATATGAATTTAAGGTTATTCTATGTGTTTTCATAACTTCATATCTCATTTCTTTTTATGGCTGAATAATACTCTATTGTATTGATGTACCACAGTTTGTTGGTCATATATCATTGATTTTTACAGATTGAAATATCACTTACATTCAGAAAAGTGTCCAAATCATAAATACACATGTGAAAGTATGAACATAAAATGAACAGCTGTATAATCACCACTCACAGCCAAAAATGGAGCATGGTAGAATTGCAAACACCCCACTCTCACAGCATCATGATGCTTTCTTCCCCAGGAAAAGAAACCACTACCCTAAGTTTTAAGGTTCCCTTGCTTTTCTTTATATTTTTACTATTTAAGTGTCCAAAATCATCCTACTGATGAATTTTGCATGTCTAATGAACAAGTGGAATCACGCTGCATCTACGGGGTTTGTCTAGTTATTTTGCTCAACATATTTATGGGAGTCATCATGGTATTGCATGTACAGCTAAAGTTTGTTCAGTGTCCTTGCTCTTACCTTGTGTAAATAACAAAAAATATTTATCCATACTATCATCGATGGACATCTGAAGTATTCTCAGCTTGTCATTGTGATGAATGATCCTGCTATGAACATTCTTATATGTGTATTTTGGTACACATTTCTTATGGGTTTATACACTGAGTAGATTTAAGTGTCATAAGAAATGCTTTTCAAATTGGGCTCTACAATCCACCAGCCTTAGATTGTTGCATGTAGTGGGAGGTATAGGTCAATTTCAGTTTTATTTCACAATATTCAATTTAACAGCAACATGTGTTGAATATTTGTCCTGTTCCCATGGTGCTGCAGTGCCACATTTGTTGCAGATCTGAAGTCAACATGAGCATGCATATAAAATTCAAAAGATCTACACATAAAATATTAAAATTAATTAGATTATTTGGCAAGATTGCAGGATAAAGGAGCAAATGTGGTATTTAGTAGAAATGGTTGGAGTGGACATCATTATTTCGTTCCCCATCGTAGAGGAAATGTTTTCAATATTTCACTATTCCTTTTGGTATTTGTTGCCATTTTTGTAGATCTTTACTATTGCTTAGTTGCCTAAATTTTCTTATGACAAATGGGTGATTAATCAAACTTTTTTTTTCTGTTTCTGATACCTAGGTCATGATGTGTTACCCTCATATATGATTGGCAACATTTTGTTTAGGATTTTTGAAAGTATATTTATGACGAGATAGACCTGTCATTTTCTTTTTCTTTCTTTTTTCTTTTCTTTTTTTTTTTTTCTTGAGATGGAGTCTCACTCTGTCACCCAGGCTGGAGTGCAGTGGCACGATCTCAGCTCACTGCAATCTCCACCTCCCAGGTTCAAGTGATTCTCTTGCCTCAGCCTCCCAAGTAGCTGGGAATACAGGCGCGTGCCTCCATACCTGGCTTTTTTTTTTTTTTTTGTATTTTTAGTAGAAACGGGGTTTCACTGTGTTAGTGTTTGCCAGAATGGTCTGGATCTCCTGATCTCATGATCTGCTTGCCTTAGCCCCCTAAAGTGCTGGGATTACAGGCATGAGCCACCATGCCTGGCCAGACCTGTCATTTTCTATTCTAATGAAGCCTCTCACAAATTTTGTCAGTGTTATTATAGTGGCCTCATAAAGTTAGTTGGAAAGTGTTTCCTATTTTGTTATTCTGAGGAATAATTTTGAGATGAACATGGTTTCTTCTTTAAATATTTGGTGGAATTCACTGATGACACCAGATTTCAATGCCATACTCTTTTATCTATGGATTACTTAAAAGTGGTTTGATTAATTTCTAAACAAGTTTATAATTTAGGGTTCACCTAGAAGATAGAAACCTTACGAATTATTTGAAAAGAAAAATTAGCATATTGTAGAGTTGGTAGCTAGATTTCTGAAAGAGCAGAAAAAGAACTCTGGGCCAGATGCTGTGGCTCACGCCTGTAATCCCAGCACTTTGGGAGGCTGAGGCGGGTGGATCACGAGGTCAGGAGTTCAAGACCAGCCTGGCCAACATGGTGAAACCCCATCTCTACTGATAACACAAAAATTAGCTGGGAGTGGTGGTGCATGCCTGTAATTCCAGCTATTTGGGAGGCTGAGGCAGGAGAATTGCTTGGAGCCGAGACGCAGGGGTTGCAGTGAGCCGAGATGGCACCACTGCACTTCAGCCCGGGGAACTGAGCGAGACTCTGTCAAAAAAAAAAAAAAAAAAAAAAAAACTCTAATATATGATGGAAGTAGCAACTGCAGGAAGTAGCAACTGCAGCAAGCAGCAACCACCTGAGGTCTGAGGAAACAAAGTGAAGAGACAGGAATTACTAAAACTTAGAAGCTTGGAGGAAGGTCATGCTCACCTGAAACTCAGACCTCTAAGGAGAGGCCAGTGTTCAGCTGGCTCTGCTGTCTCTGAGCTCAGAAACAGGGCCCTGCAGTTTTAGCACTTAGACATCTAAGGATCAGTCTTTGGGAAGTTGTTTAATAATGTTTATAAAGAGCCATGATGAAATAGGTATTCAAGTGTTAGAAAAACTGAAAATTAGGCAGTTGCTACAAGAAAAAGTACTGCTGGCTGGCAGGCACAGGATACAGTATATCTCCCTGCCCCCACCACCCCTATACTCTTCTGCTAATAGTTGCCGAACACAGAACCAGATTGGGGGTGTAGAGGTCGGGAAAGATTGGCTGCAGACTCCCCCATTCCAGCCCCATAAAGCGGCGTGAAGAATGGTGGGTTTGGAGATGAGACAATATTTATTAAATGCACACATGAATCATTTAGTTGTATTTTTATTGATTTCTAGCCAAATTTCACTGTATTCGAAAACATAGTATTTCAGTATTTTGAAATCCCATATCATTTTACTCATTTGTACAAATCTTATGTGCTCTTGAAAAGATGTGCATTTTAATTTTTGCTAGAATCTTTCTTTCCCCCAGCTTCATATAGGTGTCAAAAGTGCTGCAGAGATTCTAGGCTTTTCAGATCCTAGACTAGACCATCATCCCCAGGAGAAAATTAGCCCCAAATGCATGACTCTCCCAACTGTTTCTGAATTTTGGCCCACCATTTCTCCATTATCTTGTCTTTTGATGTCTTTTGACATTTAAAAAGTTTGCTCACCTTTCCTCTGCTACATGTTTGTTCCAAATCACTCATTTTATTATTACTAGAAGTGGAAGTATACAAAGTATTATTCTGTCCCTTTTATTTTTAAATTTTCCTTTCATTTTTTTCAAAAAAATCACCTATTATCAGATTGATCCTCTTTAATATGTAAACCGTATGGATTTTCAAAAACATTTCCTTGGAAAGGAGTTAAATAAAGAATCAAATAGTCTCATCTCTTAATAGTGTCTTTTAAGCCACTGAGCGTTTTCACAGATTGGTCGTTATGTCTTTTTATTTTCCTCTTCCTTTTCTGGATTGAGTCAACCCATTCACCGTCCTCCCTGAGTCATCCTCCATAAGACAACTTACAATATTTGCTATATCAAGAGCAGGGTGAAAATAGGTGATAGATTTTTCTCAAAGAAGAAAAAAATTTCAAGGTTTTACAAGGGACTTATCCCTTCTCATAATAATAACATTTTGTCTGTATCAGTACAGCCCTTCTATTTGCCTTATGACTTGCATTTCATCATCAGTAGTTAAAGCAGAGGAAACGTGGGAACCGCTTGCTGTTTCTGTTTATGGCCTCATCAACGGTTGCATCTGTTTTTTTTTGTGGATTCTTGGCATCCACGTTCTTGTGGATCTTGCAACAAACACATTATGGTAGGTAGCAGCAGCACTATCAGTTTCAGACGCGTCCACACCAAAATGGAATAAAAAAGTAATCCAGTCAAAGAAAGGTTGAGATCCTGTATTCCTCAAATTCGGTGTCCAGTACAAATCAGCCCAATTTCCTTTGAGTACCTGCATTTTTAGAGCACACATCCCTTCCATTCTGTAATTCTTTTTTTTTCTTCCTGTATTGCAAGCTTCTCCGTTCTCTCCTTTGTGGGATATTTTCTTGGTAGGTAGGTAGGAAGGTAGGTAAAGTCCGCTTTGGTTGAGTTTATTTGGGTTTGTGTAGCGTTTGAAAAAAAATAAATTCAAACTCTAGGGGGAAGGGAGTAGAGCTTGACTGGCAGTATAAAATTAGACGGCTAACCAAAAGAGAATAGTGACTATACAAATACTGACTATCCAAACGAGAAAGAGACGACTTAAGGGGAAGTGCTGCCCTGCAAGAAATTCCGGGAATTGTCCAGAAGATCCACAGGGTCAGAGACACACGCGCCAAAAAGGCGCCTTTCATGCACGGTCCTCCGGGGAAAACAGAGAAATATATATAGGAGCTCTCTGCCTTTGGAAGCATTTCGGTTCCAGGAAGGGAGAGTTAAGGAATTCCTTTGGGACCGGCACATGTGAAATATGATCCAGGCTCTCCGCTTGGCACCCTGCACTTGCGTCCTAGGCAGGCAGAGAGTGGAGAGTTTTTCTAGGAATTCTGGGAAGTGTAGTTTGGGAGCCCCGTGTAGTCGGGTAACTTCCGCTCTAGGAGGCTGAGGCCGTCTCCCTGATCCCGTCGAGAATTCTGGGAAGCGTAGTCCAGGAGGTCTCCGTAGGGAGAGCCACTTCCGCCCAAGGTACGCTAGGCCGCGGCCTTCTTTTCTCCCAGAAAGGTGACCCTCCCCGCCCTGCGTCCTGCTCCTTCCGTCCATACTGATGTTTGTTTTGCTGGAGGCCAGTAGCAACTGGACAGTAGCTCTAGGGGAGGAGAATCCACCTGCGGCGAAGGGTGGGATTTGTTTTCTTTGAGCCTTCTCCAGTGTGGGGCAGCTGGCGCATCTCCACTTAGCGCCGGGGGTCCGGGATCCTACATCGCAGGGACTGGGGATCTCCTGGGTTCTGTACTCCCCCAGCCCTTTCCCCTGACCATCAGCCAGCTCTGCCATTTCCTAGCAGTATAATAAAAGGCGAGTATCTTAATCTCTCTGCCTATGTTTCTTTTTCTTTAAAATGGTACTAGTATCTATCTAATGGAGTTCTTTTGAGAGTTAAATAAAAAGGCTTGGAACAGAGCCTGACAGGTGGTAGAAGATGGGTCTCTTGTTATTAGCACGTTTTAATTTTCTGAGAAGGACTCAGTTCCCTGAAAGCTTCTGTGAGCCCAGGATGGGGTCAGAGCTCCAGCTGCAGAGTATCCCTGGCCCTTTTCTGATCACTGAGAGATTTTTCTTTAGGAGAGGATCACTCCGGGCTGTCTGGGCAGTCCACTGTAATTCATGCAGGAGTTCTGATTTCTCCCATCCTCCTTTCCTTCTTTAGCCTTGACTTCTTGAAAAAGGCTGCAGGGAGAAGGAGGGAATAACCCTTTGGCACTTGGCAGCGGAGTCTCACCTGAGTAGTACTTATCATCCTTTTTTCCCAGGGAGACAATATTTCCTTCATTCATTGGCAAATTCTGCTCGAAGATGCCCTGATATTTGTTCAATAAATGCAGAAACGGATGAGGGAGAACTTGGGCATGAGTAATAAAGATAGTATTTAAACATTGAGTGCTGATCATTCTTAGAGTTTGATATGAATTAACATATTTAATCCTCACAAGAGCCCTTTGAGGCTGGGTTGGGTGCCACCATTCCCATCTTAAAGAAAAGCAAAGAGACACACAGCATAGGTGGTTTACCTTTAGGTCACCCAGGTGGTAAGAGTCTGAGCTGAGATTTGAATTCAGATAGTTTCCATCGATTGCCTTAGTTCTTGATGTGTTTAGTGTCAGCTTCAGAAGACATGTTTGGATTTTTCTAGAGGACCGTAAAAGCGAGGTTAATGAGCTTTGAATTTTTTATTTTTTTTAGTTATCTGTAATTTAATTTTATTTGAAATATTTACATTCATATTCTGATTATATAAATGATTGCATATTGTAAAAGATTAAGAAAGTATAGAAAGAGTAAAAGAAACTAATTATGCTAACCACAAGATATAACAATAACAATATTAATTCAATGTTTTCCTCTTCCAGTAGACTTCTTTTTGGATTTTTACCCATGTTTAACCAAATAGGCTTCATAGCTTTTATTTTTCCCTTAAGTTTTTACTATGGAAATTTATAAGCATAGTCAAATGTAATATGACTAAAATAATTCTGTGGAAGCATCACCCAGCTTCAAACTTTGTTAACATTTGCCAGTCTCGGATCAACTCCATGCCCCTTTTTTTTGGTTTCAGTATTTTAAACCAAATCTCTAACATCGACTTAGTATAATATTGTTTGATTGATTGTCATAATTGTCAAACATTGATGATCATAAATTGCTTATATCCAAGACCGTGAAAGGGAAATGCCGGCAGCTACTCTAAGGTTTTCATTCGTTGCAGCTTACAGAATGGTCCTTATTGAGGACGCTAGGGGACGCAAGAGAGTTGTACCTTGGAGAAGAATGGTGCTGAATTTTGTGTTCCAGTATAGAGTTTGCCTTGCCTAAGTCTTATAGCTCTTTGTTTCTTATTTCTCTTTATCTAAGTCCATACACTGGAAGTTCTTCTATTTCTGGGACCATGTCATATTTTTCTCTATGTGTCCAGCACATCGTACAAAGTTGTTAAGTGTTTATGGTTAGAGTAGCTACTCAACAGACAGCTGGCATCAAGGATTTGCAGTGTAGAATTGGAATAGGTATCAAAATAGAATAGAAATAACCCCTGGATATATTCCTTAATCTCACTTAATATTGGTAGGTTATATAATCCACCAACTATTTCAGAGTATTGAAGAGTTGAAGAGCAATGATTGGTTATGTTTCGATAATCTAAAAAAAAATCCCTGGAAACAAATTGTTAGAAATGATAACAACATTTATAGACCATACCTTATAACTGAGATTGTGTTTCCAGGTTTTTAAAACAGGTTTTTAAAAAATGTTTCTACAGTAAAATTGACTATTTTGTTATTTTTGGTGTACAATTCTATTACAACACAGGCATAGTTTGTGTAACGACTACCGTAGTCAGAAAAAGAACATTTCCATCACCCCAAATGTCTTCCCTCATAATTACCCCTCACCATACCTGTAACCACTGGCAACTACCATAAGCACTAAAACTCTACAGCTTTGTCTTTTTGAGAATGTCATATAAATGGACCGACGCTATATGTAACATTTGAGACCGGATTCTTTTACTCAGCAAATTGGTCTTGACATTCACCCAAGTTGTTATACGTATCAATACTTCATTTCTGTTTACTTCTGGTTAACGGAAGTATCCACTTCATGGATATATCACAGTTCATCTATTCACTGGTTGATAGACTTTTTCCCCCACTTTTTGGCATTTATCAATAGAGCTGATATAAACATTCATGTATAGTTTTTTTGTGCTTATTTCTGTAGCATACGAAGCCAGGAGTATGTTTACTGGGTCATATGGGAAATGCATGTTTAACTTTATAAGAAACTGCCAAATTGTAGTATCTGTACCATTTTGCATTCTCACTAATGATGTAGAAAGTTCCAGTTTATTTACATCTTCATCAGCACTTAGTATTTTCCTTATTTTTTTATTTTAGCCATTCTAAGCATTGTGAGTTTAATTTACATTTCCCTAATGGCTAATGGTGTTCAGCAGATATTACTTTTTTGTTGTTGTTTCTTTGCCATCCTTATATCTTCTTTGCAGAAGTGTCTGTATGCATGCTTTGCCCAGTTTCACATTGGGTTATATTTTTCCTATTGTTGATTTTTGAGAGCTATTTATATATTCTGGATATAAGTCTTTTTTTAGATGTGTGATTTGCAAATATTTCTTCTCAGCCTGTAGCTTGTCTTTTCATTCTCTTAATAGTGTCTTTTGCAGAACAAAATTTCTAATTTTAATGACATCTGATTTATCGATGTTATCTTTTTTGGATTGTGCTTTTGATGTCATATCTAAGAAGTCTGCCTAGCCCCAGGTCATGAAGATTTTCTCTTGTTCTAGACGTTTTATGGTTTTACACTTAAATCTGTGATCCATTGTGAGTTAACTTCTTAATAATATGCGATGGTTAAGTTGGGGTTTATTTCTTTACATATGAATGACCAACCATCCCAACACCACTTGTTTGGGTTTATTTCTGTACTATGTTCTGCTAAATTGATCTATGTGTGTATCTCTTCACCAGTAGCAAGATGTCATATTTACTGTAGCTTGATAGTAAATCTTAGGATAGTTTGATTCCTCCAAATTTATTCTTTTTTTCCAAAATTGTTTTTAGCTATTCTGGTTCCTTTGCCTTTCCATATAAATGGAATGCATGCCTTTCCATGCATTTTAGAATCAGCTTATTTATATCTACCCAAAAATTCAGCTGGTATTTTCATTGACATTATGTTAAATCAGAAGATCTGTCTTTCTCACATTGAGTTTTCCAGTTCATTAATATAACAAGTCCCTTCATTTAAGTGTTCTTTAATTTCTTGCTTTAGTGTTTCATGATTTTCTGCATACAGATCTATACGTGTTTTGTTTAGACATATGCCCAAGTATAATCAGCCAACTGGTCTTCGACAAAGTAAACAAAAACATAAAGTGGGGAAAGGACACCCTTTTCAACACATGATGTTGGGATAATTGGCTAGCCACATGTAGGGGAATAAAACTGCATTCTCATCTCTCACCTTATACAAAAATCTACTCAAGATGGATTAAGAACTTAAACCTAATTTCTGAACTATAAAAATTCTAGAAGATAACACTGGATAAACCCTTCTAGACATTGGCAAAGGCAAGGATTTCATGACCAAGGACCCAAATGCAAATGCAATAAAAACAAAGATAAATATCTGGGACTTAATTAAACTAAAGAGCTTTTGCATGGCAAAGGGAACAGTCAGCAGAGTAAATACACAACCCACAGAGTGGGACCCCTGACCTTGACCCTGAACCCTAACCTTGACCCCTAACCCCTGACCCTAACCCTAACCCCTAACCCTAACCCTTAACCCTAACCCCTAACCCCTAACCACAACCCTCACCCTCACCCTAACCCAACCCTAACCCCTAATACCTAACCCCTAACATCTCTTAACCCCTAACTCTAAACGTTGACTCCTAACCCCTAACTCTGACCCCAACCGCTATCTCCAAACCCTAACCCTAAACTTAACCCCTAACCCTAACACCAACCTTAACCCTAGGTTCGTTGCTACGTTGGTATTGACTATGTCAATGTTGATTATTATGATCTCTGTCTTAGGACTGCACGGCAGCGAGGGGATTGCGGATCTTATATTAATATTTTTGTATTGAGGCAGTGCATTAGCATTACAGGTGCTTGTTACATGAGCAATGGAGGTGTCATATTTTGGGTGTCATGTCTGCATTAGGAATGCTGCATTTGTCTTCCGAGGCTGCGGTGTGGATCTCGCACTGCGGCCGCCTCGCCTTGGCTGGGGAGAACCTCGGTGGGCAGGATTCAGAGGGGATTTTGGTTTCCCGTTTTCCACATTGAACCCCTCTAACTGGTCTCTGACCCTGATTATTCAGGGCTGCAAACAGGAAGGATTCTATTCACCGTCGATGCGGCCCCGAGTTGTACCAAAGCGAGGCAGTGCCCCCAAGGTCTGTGCTGAGCAGAACGCAGCTCCGCCCTCGCGGTGCCCCCGGCCCGCCCGCCCGGGTCTGTGCTGAGAACACTGCTCCGCCTTCGCTGTATCTCCGAAGTCTGTGCAGAGGAGAACTCAGCTCCGCCCTCGCGATGCTCTCCGGGTCTGTGCTGAGGAGAACTCAGCTCAGCCTTCGCAAAGGCCCAGCGCCCGCGCAGGCGCAGGGGCAGGAAGGAGCCCAGCAGCGAGGCAGGTGGCACCACCAGGGGGGCCCTCAAGCCTGGCGCGCACGCATTCCAGACGACACCCAGACCATGCTCCGCCGCCTGGGCGCCCAAGCTGCAGTCGCCCTCTGTGTGCAGGCAGCAGCTGCCTGGCAACCCCCGAGCCCGCTCGCGCTCCCAGCATCGCAGAACCAGGGCCAGGTATCCCAGTGGCTGCGATCAAGCCAGTCATTCTGCCCGGCGGCGGCGGCTGCACAGGAGCCAGAACTGAGAACCCGCCGCTCAGCCCCACACGGGGTGACTGCCGAGTGCCCGTGCCAGCGGCCCAGATCTCCCTCAGGTGGAGGAGTGGGCGAGAGGCACGGCCTGGGGGCCCTCAGGCTGGGCGCGCTGGCGATCCCAAGGCCGACCAGGCCATGCACCTCCAGCCCGCCTGGGCACCTAAGCTGCAGCCGCCTTCTGTGTGCAGGCAGCAGCCTCCAGGCAACTCCCGAGCCCGCCCGCACTCCCCACATCTCGGAACCAGGGCCAGATGTCCCTGTGGCTGCGGCGAAGCCAGGCGGTCTGCCCTGCAGCAGCTGCACGGGGGCGGGAACCGGCCCTCAGCCCCATCCCCGGTGGCTGTAGAGGACCCCTAGCTAGAGGTCTCGAGCTCTGGCAGAGGAGGACCCGGGCGGGGGCAGGGTCTGGCGGGCTCTCAGGCCAGGGGCACTCGTGATCCAGAGGCCGCCCAGGCCATGCTCCACCACCTGGGCGCCCAGCTACAGGCGCCGGGCAACTTCCAAGCTGGCTGGCGCGCCCAGCCTCGCAGAACCAGGGCTAGATGTCGCCGTGACTGAGGCCAAGTCAGGCGGTCTGCCCGGAGGCGGCTGCACCAGGGCAGGAACCGACCCTCAGCCGCATCCCCGGTGGCTGCAGGCGGCCCCTGGAGCGGCCCCGATCTCTCTTCGGAGGAGAAGAGGGGCGGAGTCACGGCCAGGCGGGCCCTCAGGAGGGAAGGGATGAGCGCCTGCGATTCCGGGAAGTCCCGCGCCAGCCCAGGAGAACCCGCAAGCCCGCGGCGCCTGTTTCTCTGTGTGATTCTTTGAGGAACCACCAAACTGTTTTCCACAGCAAGTGCATCATTTTCTGTTCCTAGCAGCCAGTTCATGAGGGCTCCAATTTCTCCACCTCCTTAGCAACACTGATTTTCTGTATCGTTGTTATGAAAGCCTTACTAGTGGATGCAAAGTGGCATCTCATTTGGGTTTTGTCTTGCATTTTATTAATGAATAACGGTGTTTAGCATCTTTTCTTGTCCTTCTTAGACATTTGTGTATCTTTTTTGGAGAAATGTCTATTCAAGTCCTTTGCCTCTTTTTTAATTGGGATCTTAGAAATTCTGTTGAGTTGTGGGATATTAAGCTTTTATCAGATACACACTTTGATTTTAGCAGATACATATTTTCTCACATACTATGGGTTGTCTTTTCACTCCCTTGATAGTATCCTTTGATGCATAAAGGGTTTTTATTTTGATTGAATCTAATTTACATGTATTTTCTTTTGTTATCTGTGCTTTTCTGTCATATTTCAAAATACACTTAAAACTCAAAGGTCATAAAGGTTTACCGTGTGTTTTCTTCTAAGAGTTACATACTTTTAGTCCTTACATTTAAGTCTTTTATTAATTTAGAATTAATTTTTGTATATACTGCAAGGTAGGGGTCTAATTTCTCTCCTGTGCACTGACATCCAGCTGTTGAAGAGACTGTTCTTTCCTCCCTTGACTAGACTTGGCCACCTTGTTGAACAGTCATTGACCATATATGTGAGGACTAATTTGTAGGATCTCAAATCTGTTCTATTGTATTGGTCTAAAAGTCTGTTGGTCTTATGCCAGTACCACACTCTCTTGATGACTGTAGATTTGTAGTAGGCTGTGAAACTGAAAAATGTGAGTTTTCCAATGTTCTTTTTCAAGACTGTTTTGTCTGTCAGATCCTTTGAATTTTTGTATGATTTTAGAATGAGTTTCTTTGTTTCTGCAAAAATGCCTTTGGGATTTTGATGGTATTGCATTGAATCTGTAGATTACTTTAGATGGTATTGTCATCTTAACAATATTGTCTTACAACCCGTGAACACAGAATGTCTTTCCAGTTATTTCCACTCTCTTTAGTTTTTTTCAGCAAAGTTTTGTGTTCCACCATGGTTACATTTATGCCTGAATAACTTATTCTTTGATGCTATTATAAATGGAATTTTTAAAATGTTTTCATAGTTATTTACAACTAAATAGAAATATAGCTCATTTGCCTATGTTTGTTTTGCATCCTGCCTCTTTTATTAGTTATAAATGGTTTTGTGTTTTGTTTGGAGCTTTATACCCATAAGATCATGTGTAGATATAATTTTACACCTATTTTTTATTTCTAATGTAGATGCCTTTTATTTCTTTGTCTTGCCTAATTGCTCTGGCTAGAACTGCCAGTGCTACGTTGAATACAAGTGGCAAATGCACCATCCTTGTCTTGTTCTAGATGTTAGGAAAACAGCTTTCAGTGTTTCATCATTGATCATGATATTAACTGTTGGGTTTTTGTACATCCCATTGTCATGTTGCAGAAGATCCCTTCTATGCCTAGTTTATTGAGTATTTTTATTATAGCAGGGCGTTATATTTCATCAATGTTTTTTCTGCATCAATTGAAATAATAACATGCTTATTCATTTCAGTGTTACAGTATATTACACTGATTGATTTTTTATATGTTGAGCCACCCTTGCATTTTGGGGATAAATCTCAAAGGGTGATAGTTTACAATCCTTTGATTATGCAGTATTGCTGCTAGTATTTTGCTAGTATTGCTAGTATTGTGCTGAGATTTTTGCTTATATATTCATAAGGGATATTGTTCTGTAGTTCTCTCTTTTGTGCTCTCTTTGTCTTTGGTATAAGGATAATGCTGTTATCAAAAAATGAATTAGCAAGTATTCCTTCTTCATATATTTTGTCAGAAGAGTTTGAGAAGAAATGGTATTAATTCTTCTTTAAATGTTAGGTTGACTCAGCAGTTAATGCAGCCATTTGGTCATAAATGTTTCTTTGTTAATCGCTTTTGATTACTAATTCAATCTCCTAGGTTATAGATCTATTCAGATTTTCTCTTTCTTCTTGAGCCACTTTGGTAGTTTGTGTCTTTCTAGTGATTCATCCATTTCATCCAGGGCACCTAATTTGTTGTTAGACAGTTGTTCATAGTATACTCCTGTAATCCTTTTGTAGTTCTGTAAAGTTGGTTGTAATGGCTCTGCTTTCATTTATTATTTTAATAATTAGTCTTCCATCTTTTGCTCAGTCAATATAGTGAAAGGCTTGATCTTTCAAAGAATCTTTTTTGGGTCCAACAAATGTATACCTTCTGTGTATTGATTTATGTATTCCCCTGTAATTTCTCCCTCTCTAAAATGGAAAATCAACTGTAATTCAGCTGCTTTGCATGCAGTTTCTCAGGACTCCTTAAACCTGTGATTCACTGGGCCACAGTCATTCATATAAGCTCAAAATAAGCCTTTTTAAAATCCCTCAAAGAGTTTGGTTTTTCTTCTAAAATTTTGTAATGTAAATTATATGTAAATCATGGTAGTTGGCATTTTTCCACGCATCAGTAAGTTGTCTCACAGTGACCAAATGCAACTTGCAGAAAACAATTGGATATTATCTTCAAAATAATAGCAATTTCACTTCAGATGTTCTTTATCCAACATAGATTTAATACCTAAGAGATAACCTATAACATAAAGATTCATTAATTATGTCATCGTCTCCACCATTATCCATGATGATCACATACTTTGGAACTTATTCTATGGAGAATAGCCTAAAGTGAATTCATAATAATGATACATTGTTATGCATTATCTATCTTCTTCTTCTTCTTTTTTTTTTTTTTTTTTGAGACACAGTCTTGCTCTTGTTGCCCAGGCTGGAGTGCAATGGTGTGATCTCAGTTCACTGCAACCTCTGCCTCTGGTGTTCAAGTGATTCTCCTGCCTCAGCCTTTCAAGTAGCTGGGATTGCAGGTGCACACCACCATACCTGGCTAATTTTTATATTTTTAGTAGAGACGTGGTTTTGCCATGTTGGCCAGGCTGGTCTCAAATGCATTATGTGTCTTCTGAGAGTGGTCAGGGGATTCACTCTAGCTTAATTGTCACTTCTTACAGGGAGTGCTGAGGTTTGTATTAAGATTTTACATTTTGAATGTATTTATTAGGACCTGATTACACTCTCTTACGCTCTGACCAAACAATATGAATTCTATAATTTTTAATTCTATATCACTTCTCCAGGTACATATCATATTTTCCAAGACCCATGATTATTTTCATGGTGGAGCTACAAGATTCAGCAAATAGTCATATAGAATATACTTAAGTTCAAGATTCTGAAAAAAATAATACTTTTCTATTATGATATCTGCATACTTGCATGCAATATGTATATGCAATACTTTATAAATACACTAACTTTTATCTATTATTTATCTGAAGTTCAAATTTAACTGTGTCTTTTGTTATCTCTCAACTCCAATGCATGGGAACCTTGGTGTTCTTCTGTCCAAGCTTAGCTCCAACTACCTCCGGAGACCCATTGGAGAAAGACACCAGTTTTTGAGCCAACTACTACAATTCTTATAATGTAGATACCATTGTGTCTTAAAGTCAGTTTTTTTCTTATTATTCTTGTGTCCAAAATGACAGTAAAACACAAACAATATGACTGTGCTGATACGTGTTGGTGGCACCTATTAATTTTTTGGTTCTGGCACTGAAGATAAATATGTGTATTTATGAGATTAATCTTTTAGCTCGAGAATAACAACCACTTAATAAAATATACAATTTTGCTTTTATAAACTCAAATTTAGATTAAATTTTTTTTCAAGATGATGGATTAGAGACTTTAAGCATGCTTCAGCCACATGGACATAGCACAATAGTGCATAAATGTCAACTCTCTGAGCTTTAATTTAAGAAGAAGAAAAGGAATCCACCAGAATCTTGAAGGACACACCAGATTCCGGGAAGGAGAATGGAGGCAAACTGCCCCCATGATGGCATCCAGCTAATAAAAGTGAGTGAAGTACCAGTAAGTGAAATGTATTTTAAATATATTCTAAATATATATGCAATATATGTCTATTCTAAATATATATGCAGCCAACATTGGAACACACAGATTGGAACACACCCCAATGACAGTGTTAGACAGATCATTGAGGCAGAAAACTAATAAAGAAATTCTTTGGGAGGCCGAGGCGGGCGGATCACGAGGTCAGGAGATCGAGACCATCCTGGCTAACACGGTGAAACCCCGTCTCACTAAAAATACAAAAAATTAGCCGGGCGTGGTAGCGGGCGCCTGTAGTCCCAGCTACTCGGGAGGCTGAGGCAGGAGAATGGCGTGAACCTGGGAGGCGGAGCTTGCAGTGAGCCGAGATCGCGCCACTGCACTCCAGCCTGGGCGACAGAGCGAGACTCCGTCTCAAAAAAAAAAAAAAAAAGAAATTCTGCATTTAAATTCAATGCTTGACCATTTGGAATTACAATACACTTCATTCATCAACCACAGAACATACACTGTAGTATCATCTGCGTGCAGATGAGTATACTGCTCAAAGCGATTTACAGATTCAATGCTTTTCCTATCAAACTACTAATGTCATTTTGCACAAAATAGAAAACATCTAAAATTTATATGGAACCTAAAAGGAGTCTGAATAGCCAAGCCAAAGCAATACTAAGGCTAGAGACATAGGCTAGAGACATCATATTACATGACTTCAAACTATCCTAGAAGACTATAGTAATCAAAACAACATGGTACTGGTAGAAAAACAGACACATAGACCAATGGAACAGACTAGAGTACTAGAAACTAAGGCCACATGCCTGCAACCATCACATCTTTAACAAAGTTGACAAAAGTAAGCAATGGGAAAAAGACTTTTATTTAATAAATAATGCAGGGATAACTGGCTAGTCATATGCAGAAGAATAAAACTAGACCCCCATATTTCACCAAATACAAAAATTAACTTAAGATGGATTAAAGAGTTAAATGTAAAATCTCAAGCTATAAGACGCCTAGAAAAATCCTAGGAAATACTTTTCTTGTTTTTTTATTTTATTTTATTATTATTATACTTTAAGTTTTAGAGTACATGTGCACAATGTGCAGGTTAGTTACATATGTATATACGTGCCATGCTGGTGTGCTGCACCCATTAACTCATCATTTAGCATTAGGTATATCTCCTAAAGCTATCCCTCTCCCCTCCCCTGACCCCATAACAGTCCCCAGAGTGTGATGTTCCCCTTCCTGTGTCCATGTGTTCTCATTGTTCAATTCCCACCTATGAGTGAGAATATGTGGTGTTTGGTTTTTTGTTCTTGCGATAGTTTACTGAGAATGATGATTTCCAATTTCATCCACGTCCCTACAAAGGACATGAACTCATCATTTTTTATGGCTGCATAGTATTCCATGGTGTATATGTGCCACATTTTCTTAATCCAGTCTATCATTGTTGGATATTTGGGTTGGTTCCACGTCTTTGCTATTGTGGATAGTGCTGCAGTAAACATACGTGTGCATGTGTCTTTATAGCAGCATGATTTATAGTCCTTTGGGTATATACCCAGTAATGGGATGGCTGGGTCAAATGGTATTTCTAGTTCTAGATCCCTGAGGAATCGCCACACTGACTTCCACAATGGTTGAACTAGTTTACAGTCCCACCAACAGTGTAAAAGTGTTCCTATTTCTCCATATGGCAAATAATTTATGGCTAAGTCCTCAAAAGCAATTGCAACTAAAACAAAAATTGACAAGTGGTAGTTAATTAAACTGAGAAACTTTTGCACAACAAGAGAAACTATCAAGGTAGTAAAGAGATAACCCACAGTATGAAAGAAAATATTCACAAACTACGCATCTAACAGAGGTCTATTATTCAGAACCTATAAGGAACTCAAACAAATCAACAAGCAGCAGCAAGTAACTCCATTAAAAAGTGGGCAACAGGACATGAACAGACACTTCTCAAAAGAAGACATACACACAAGCACCCAACAAACATATGTAAAAGTGCTCATCATCATTATTTATTAGAGAAATGCAAATCAAAACCGAAATGAAATACCATTTCACACCAGTCAGAATGGCTTTTTTTGAAAAGTCAAAAGAAAAACACATATTGGTGAAGATTTAGAGAATAGAGAACACTTACACACTTTCTGAAGGAATGTAAATTAGTTCAGCCACTGTGGAAAGCAGATTGGGGATTTCTTAAAGAACTGAGAGTTGAACTACCATTCAACCCAGTAACCCCATTACTGGGTATATACCTGAAAGAAAATAAATATCCTACCAAAAAGACACATGTAGCCATATTTTTAGCACAGCAGTATTCACAATCACAAAGACATAGACTTAACCCAGGCGTCCATCAGTTGTGGTCTGGATAAAGACTCATGGAATACTATACAGCCAGAAAAAACTCAAAATTATGCCATTTGAAGCAACATGGATGCATTGTTTCCAGCAAACTAATGCAAAAGCAATAAACAAAATACCGCATGTTCTCTTTCATAAGTGGGAGCTAAAAGCTGGGTACACATGGTCATAATACAGAGGGGTGGGAGGGGCTGGGACTGGTGGCTCACGCCTATAATCCCAACACTTTGAGAGGCCAAGGTGAGCGGATCACCCGAGGTCAGGAGTTTGAGACCAGCCTGGCCAACACGGTGAAACCCCGCCTCTAATGAAAACACAAAAATTAACTGGGCATGGTGGCTGGCGCCTGTAATCCCAGCTACTCCGGGGTCTGAGGCGGAGAGTCGCTTGAACCCGGGGGGCGGAGGTTGTAGTGAGCCAAGATCGCGCCACATCACTCCAGCCTGGGCGACAGAGCAAAACTCTGTCTCAAAAACAAACAAACAAACAAACAAAAAACAAAGAGGGAGGGGGGAGGGAATACATATTGATTAAAACTACCGATTGGTTAGTGTCCTCTCTACCTTGGTAATAAATTCATTCATTTAATTCATAATTCATTCATTCAATTCATAATTCAGTTCCCCCTGAGAAAAAAATATTCACTTGTCATTAAAATCTCTCTGTATCTTACTGATTTCAGATAGAAGTTAAATTTCACCTTAATAATAGAAATAAAAGAACTAGTTAAACTGACAAAAACTAATAAACGTTTGCTCAAATTTACTGAGAGAGTCATGGGTACTTCATATAATAGTAACATTCTACCAGTTTTAAGTAAAATAAATAAGGAAACAATCTTAACTCCATCGCCTACCGGAAGGGACGTGCCCCCGCTCCCAGGTGAGTGGGACCCTGCTCTCTGGGCGGTTTGCGCCGCGGTCTCTGGCACCTCTTGTTGGCAGCGTCGCCGTTGCAGGCACAGGGCAGGCATTGGGGGGCGGGCAGCGGGCCAGGCCCAGGTGACTCCTTTGCCAGGGGCTGGGCAGGAGGGGAGAGGGGCGGAGCGGTGCTGCCCTGGGCGAGGGAGCCTCCCGCTCTGGATGGTTCGCTGCCCCTGCCCCAGGAAGGCACTGCAGGATCTGGGTGGGGAAGGGGAGGGACGAGGGAACACAGGCCAGGGCAGGTTGCCCCTTAGACCTGGGTGATGCAGGAGGGGCTGTGGGAGACCAGAGAGGACCCGAAGCAGAAACCGGGAACTGATACCTCTGGCTGAATATTTGTCCTCTTGCTGAAGTTTGAAAGTCAGTTATTTCATTAAAGTTTAATTTTATTATAAAAATAACAACTATTAAAAATTCCCTGTAGTCACTGGAATGATAAATTTTGGTGCAGTTTCAGCATAACACTCTAATTATTCAAATTGTGGCCATGTTTCAAAATATATGCCATACCACCCTGTGTCCCTGTGTCCCGCATCCGCCTCTGTGTCCCTGCTGGCTCAGGAAACGAGCTTCTTCCTCCTTCCACAGACTCGAATCAGGCCGTCCTCCCTCCTGCGCCTGAGGCTGTCACGGGGACAGCCTGCCTTCGAATAGCCGGAGAACGCCCGGCCTGTGCCCTGTGCTCGGCCTGGTGTCCTGGCTCGTGCCCCTCAGAGCCCCGCACAAAGCAGTGTGACAGGTGTGGAAGGACCCAGCACCAGGCAGCGGTGAGCGGATGGATGCTCCAGGGATGTGGGGCTGCTGGCAGTCAAGAACCCATTGCCAAATTCCATGGCATAATTTTGGATATTTTTCCCTTATATTTTTGTGTAAGGCTTTCAGACTTACACATTTTGAGTTTTAAAAAAAAATAGTATAAACTACAATTCTGACTTCTGTATTTTACATGTTGATAGCAAGTCTTCATACCGTTTTTTGTTAAAGGGGGCTATTCCCTCTCCATAGTTTGGCCTTTGCACCCTTGTTGAAGATCATTTTGACCATATATACAAGGTTTTGTGGAGAGAGGGGTCTCTATTATTTTCTATGTCTACACGTCTTGATTTAATACATTTCTTTTTAGATTTTCTCCTTTTTACTTTTTGAGACAGGTTCTCTGTCATCTAGGCTGGGGTGCACTGGTGCGACCATGGCTCACTGCAGCCTTGCTCTCCCAGGCTTAAAAAATCCTCTCACTTCAGCCTCTGGAATAGCTGAGACTACAGGTTCACGTCACATTGCCAGGTTAATTTTAATTTTAATTTTTTTTTTAGCGATGGATGTTCTCACTAGGATGTCCAGTGTGGTTTGAACTCCTGGGTTCAAGCAATCCTCCTACCTCAGCCTCACAAAGTGCTGAGGTTACACATGTAAGCCATAGAACCTGGCCTCAAAATACCACATTTGAAAAGAGTTCAACAGCACTGCAATTAGTTTTTGATTTAAAAATTGTGAGGGCTCCACAATTGACATTATTTTACAAGTTTAATTGGCTATTTTCAATCTTGAGATTTCATATGTTTTAGAATTTTGTATTTCTGCAAGTAAATATTGTTATGATTTATATAGCTATTGCATTTAATCTGTTGTTGATTTCATTAGTATAGACTTAAGAATATTGTTTTCTAATTTATGAATATGGGATATCTTTTCAATTGTCTAATCTATAAATATAGAATATCTTCCCCATTGTTTGTGACTTTTCTTCAGCAACATCTTGTAACTTCTAGTATACTAGTCTTACATCTCTTTGCTTGTTTATTCCAAAGTATATTCTTCTTAATGCTATTTTCAATGGAATTTTAAAAACTTGGATTGTACCGTGTAATGAAGAGAAATACACTTAATTTTGTATTCTGCAATTTTGCTAAATGCAACTATTAGTTCTAACAGGTATTGTTTTCAGCGTATAGGATTTTTTTGTATATAACATCATATCATAAGTAACAGGTACTTTTACTTCTTCCTTTAGAATGTGGATCTTTTCTTTTTTTCATTGCCTAGTTGTTTTGCCAGGACTTTCACTGCTATTTTTGAATAGATGTGGCAACAGTGAATATCTTGCCTTATTATTAATCTTAGAGGATAAACTTTCCACAGTTCAGAATTCAGTATAATATTAGTGATGATTGTTTTCGTTTTTTTGTTTTTGTTGTTGTTTTCGCTTTTCTGAGATAGGATCTTGCTCTGTCAACCAGGCTGGAGTGCAGTGGCATGATCTGGGCTCACTGCAACCTCCACCTCCCGAGTTCAAGCTATTCTCCTGCCTCAGCATCCCTGGTAGCTGGGACTACAGGCACACACCACAACGTCAAGCTAATGTTAATATTTTTTGTAGAGACAGGGATTCACCATGTTGGTCAGGCTGGTCTGGAACTCCTGACCTAAAATCATCCACCCACCTCAGCTACCCAAACTGCTGGGACTATAGGCATGAGCTGTTGAACCCAGTTGGTGATGAGTTATTTACATATCTTTTGCTATGTTAGTTTCCTTTTATTTCTAGTTTATTGAGTGTTTTTTTTATCTTGAAAAGATGATTAATACTGTCAGTTGACTTTTCTGCATTATTTGAGATGATTGTGTGGTTTATATCTTTTACTCTGTTAATATGATATATTAAATTGATTGATTTAAACTCTCATTCCAATATAGCCAAATAGGAAGAGCTCTGGTCTGCAGCTCCCAGTGTGATCAATGCAAGATGGGTGATTTCTGCATTTCCAACTGAGCTACCTGATTCATCTCATTGGGACTGATTGGACAGTGAGTTCATCCCACGGAGGGTGAGCTGAAGCAGGGCAGGGCATCAACTCACCCAGGAAGTGCAAGGGGTTGGGGGATTTTCCTTTCCTAGCCAAAGGAAGGCATGACAGACTGTACCTGGAAAAACAGGACACTCTTGCCCAAATGGACATAAATGACCTGATGGAGCTGAAAAAACACAGCTCGAGAACTTCATGAAGCATACACAAGTCTCAATAGCCAAAGTGACCAAGCGGAAGAAAGGATATCAGAGTTTGAAGACCACCTTGCTGAAATAAAGCATGCAGACAAGATTAGAGAAAAAAGAATGAAAAAGAATGAACAAAGCCTCCAAGAAATATGGGACTATGTAAAAAGACCGAACCTACTATTGATTGGAGTACCTGAAGGAGATCGAGCAAATGGAAATGAGCTGGAAAACACTCTTCAGGCTGGGACTACACAGCCAAGGTTTTATATACAGGAGAACTTCCCCAACCTAGCAAGACAGGCCAACATGCAAATTCAGGAAATACAGAGAACACCACTAAGATACTCCTCGAGAAGATCACCCCCAAGACACATAATCATCAGATTCTCCAAGGTCAAAATAAAGAAAAAAATATTAAGGGCAGCCAGAGAGAAAGGTCAGGTTACCTACAATAGTTTCATCAGACTAACAGCAGATCTCTCTGCAGAAACCCTACAAGCCAGAAGAGAGTGGGGGCCAATATTCAACATTTTTAAAGAACATAATTTTTAACCCAGAATTTCATATCCAGCCAAACTAACCTTCATAAGCAAAGGAGAAATAAAATCCTTTCCAGACAAGCAAATGCTGAGGGATTTCGTCATCACTAGGCCTGCCTTACAAGAGCTCCTGAAGGAAGCACTAAATATGGAAAGTCAAAACCAGTACCAGCCACTGCAAAAACACACCAAAATACAGAAACCAATGACACTATGAAGAAATTGCATCAATTAGCATGCAAAATAACCAGATAGCATCATGATGACAGGATCTAATCCACACATAACAATACTAACCTTAAATGTAAATGGACTAAATGCCCCAATTGAAAGACACAGCCTGGCAAATTGGATAGAGTCAAGACCCAGTGGTGTGCTGTATTTGGGAGATGCAGCTCACATGCAAAGACACACATAGGCTCAAAATAAAGGGATGGAGGAAAATTTACCAAGCAAATGGAAAGAAAAAAAAAAGGCATGGGCTGCTATCCTAGTCTCTGACAAAACAGACTTCAAACCAACAAAGATCCAAAAAGACAAAGAAGGGCATTACATAATGGTAAGGGGATCAATTCAACAAGAAGAGCTAACTATCTTAAATATATATGCATCCAATACAGGAGTACCCAGATTCATAAGACAAGTTTTTAGAGACCTACAAAGAGACTTAGACTCCCACACAATAATAGTGGGAGACTTTAACACCCAACTGTCAACGTTAGATGAACGAGACAGAAAATTAACAAGGATATTCGGGACTTGAACACAGTTCTGGATCAAGCAGACCTAATAGACATCTACAGAACTCTTCACCCCAAATCAACAGAATATACATTCTTTTCAGTGTCACATGGCACTTATTCTAAAATTGACCACATAATTGGAAGTAAAACACTCCTCAGCAAATGCAAAAGAACAAATCATAACAAACAGTCTCTCAGATCACAGTGCAATCGAATTAGAACCCAGAATTAAGAAGCTCCCTCAAAACCACACAACTACATGGAAAATGAACAGCCTGCTCCTGAATGACTCCTGGGTAAATAATGAAATTAAGGCAGAAATCAAGAAGTTCTGTGGCCAAAAACATATGAAAAAAGCTCAATGTCACTCATCATTAAAGAAATGCAAATCAAAACCACAATGAGATGCCATCTCACACCAGTCAGAATGGCGATTATTAAAAAGTCAAGAAACAATAGATGCTGGTGAGGTTGTGGAGAAATTGGAATGCTTTTGTACTATACGTGGGAGTGAAAATTAGTTCAACCATTGTGGAAGGCAGTGTGGCAATTCCTCAAGGATCTAGAACCAGAAATACCATTTGACCCAGCAACCCCATTACTGGGTATATACCCAAAGGATTATATATCATTCTAGTATAAAGACACATGCACACATATGCTTATTGCAGCACTATTTACAACAGCAAAGACTTAGAACCAACCCAAATGCCCATCAATGATAGATTGGATAATGCAAGTGTGGTACATATGCACCATGGAATACTATGCAGCCATGAAAAGGAATGAAATCATGTCCTTTGCACAGACATGGATGAAGCTGGAAGCCATCATCCTCAGCAAACTAACACAGGAACAGAAAACCAAACATCGTATGTTCTCACTCATAAGTGGAAGTTGAACAATGCGAACACATGGACACAGGGAGGGGAACAAAACACTGGGGTCTGTCTGGGGTCGGGGGAGAGGTGAGGGAGAGCATCAGGACAAATACCTAACGCACGCAGGGCTTAAAACCTAGATGATGGGTTGATAGGTGCAGCAAACCACCATGGCACATGTATACTTAGGTAACAAACCTGCACATTCTGCTCATGTATCCCAGAACTTAAAGTAAAATTAAAAAACAGCCACAAAAAAGAAAGTCAAGCTCCTGAGTGGAAGAAGGAAAGCACTTACATCCTCAATACATATCTGGATGGTGGAGTCAAACTTGGGACTTTCCTTTACTCCCACCACCTCCAACTGCTGCCAGTGTTACTGTGTATCAGGAAGTAAACTTCACAGGCAGCCTCTGAGGCAGGAACTCTCACTAGCTGTTCTCCAGGTAAGGAAACTGGTGCCCAATTTGTTAAGTACCTTCCTTGAAGACACCTGGCTCGTATGTGAGGGAGTTGAGACTTGAACCTAGGCAGTCTGCAGGACGGAGCACAGAGCTGAGTATCAAAGGATAAATGGATGGGGTTGGTGTGAGGGGAGAATAGGGTCTATTGAAAAGGAGCCACGATTTCTTCCTCAGTAGCTGGCACTGGTTGTTCTAGCAACACCAGCCATTCTCCCCACCCACACCCCTGCTGAAAGGCTGAGTTTCACTTCCAGTCCCTATGGGTGAATCCAGGGAGTCATATGTGAATCTGGTAGTCTCACCCCCACTCACAGTTGACTGGATTAAAGTCGAGTATTTAACACAAAGGGAGTGAATCAGAACTCTCTCCTAGGACTGTGGACTAAAGACATTAAGTAAAGGATTCAGTTGCTGTGAGGCCACGTTGCAAGGTCAGTGTCAAGGCTGGAATCAGCACTTGGGGTTTTGGTAGAGAAGCATCCTCAGCTAAAGCTTTTACTTTTTCTTAAATTCATCCTTATCAGACTTTTAAGATAGATGCTCAGGGATCCCAGGGTCAGATGAAAGTAGGAGAAATCTATTGCTGCTATGCCAGGATCACCAGGTGAGCCTTGAGAAGCGCTGGAATTCATAGAGTCATAGCTCAGCAAAGGAAAAGAGGAGTCCACAGAGTCCAGCCAGTGATGCCCGTATAGCTGAGAAGGGTACAGAAAGGTGAGGGCAGTGTCCAGATGACTGTCCCTCACCATCCTGGTCAGCCCCCTAGGTGTACAGGTGCACAGGTAGGAAGTCCTGAGCTTACTCTGTGTGGGAAAGCCAAGGTTTTGTTTTCTGTTTTTTTTTGTTTGTTTGTTTGGAAGCGGGGTCTCACTCTGTCACCTAGACTGGAATGCAGTGGTGTGATCTTGGCTTACTAAAACCTCCACCTCCCAGGCTCAGGTGATCCTCCCACCTAGCCTCCCAATTAGCTGGGACTACACAGGCACATGCTGCCACACCTGGCTAATTTTTGTATTTTTTGTTGAGATGGGGTTTTGCCATGTTGCCCAGGCTAGTCTTGAACTCCTGAGCTCAAGCAGTCCACCCACCTCGGCCTCCCAAAGTACTGGGATTACAGGGTTGAGCCATTGTACCAGGCCTGGGAGCCAAGGTTCTACATACAGATTTTTAACACAGAATTCTTAAAGCTAACAAAATATCACCAACACCTTATTAGGGGAAAGCAGAATGTTCCCTTATAAGTAATTTACTATTATGAAGTGGTTTGGTGAGGGTGGGGGGTTCAAGGTGACCTGGCCAGAAAATTGGGCTTTTTCTAGCTTTACACATGGCAAGGCAGAGCTACAGGGGAGTCAAAGTTAGTGAGAAGCAAAACCTTAAGAGTGTTTCAGGGGGGGTCCTTTTCCAGATTGGACAACAGCGAACTGGCCTTTCTTTCCTGATAGTCACAGACCTCAGCCCTGCTTACAGAGTCTGTGCACAAATTATCTTTGTGCTCTATAGTTTACCTTTTGACTTAAAGAGTCAATTTTCACCTCACTTTCACGCTAAAACTTCACCCCAAACTGAACATGGAATGTACGTTTCATATATGTTTACTCACTACACACACTCCTGACTTCCCTTATGAATATTCATAGATTTCCTCCAAACCTGATGAATATGTATGTAAGGCTAACCTTGCAAGGCATGAATATACCAGCTTTCCTTTCCCTTCCATGGAGCACATACTTTGTTTTCCTTGGAGGTGGCATTCCCCAATATGCAGATTATTTCTCCCTCTGAAAATAAAGTTTTCTCCTTTCCTTCCTCCATGAGGCTTTTTTGTTTACAATCCTCATCCTCTGCCATATGTCTTCTGCTGGGTTCTCCTAAAGTAGACCTGGAGTTCGAGACTCATGTGTAAATTGTCTGTTAAGGAAGTGTTCCCTGGAGGGCATGGAGAGGAGGAAGAAACGAGACAGGGCTGTGATATTTATTTATTTTATTATACTTTAAGTTCTAGGGTACATGTGCACAACGTGCAGGTTTGTTACATATGTATACACATGCCATGTTGGTGTGCTGCACCCATTAAGTCGTCATTTACATTAGGTATATCTCCTAATGTTATCCCTCCCCCCTCCCCCAACCCTATGACAGGCCCAGGGGTGCGATGTTCCCCTTCCTGTTTCCAAGTGTTCTCATTGTTCAATTCCCACCTATGAGTGAGAACATGCGGTGTTTGGTTTTTTGTCCTTGAGATAGTTGGCTGAGAATGATGGTTTCCAGCTTCATCCATGTCCCTACAAAGGAGTGAAGTCCGCTCCTCAGCTTGATGCCATGGGGCGCTCTGGAGTGGGAATTACCCCACAGTTTATCCCATCTCAAGACAAAGGAGTGGGACTTTCACACTCCCACACCCTTAGTAGTTAGTGCACGGGCAATCACTGAAGAAGGGAACACGTGCTGGCCATTAGGAGCCAAGCATGGAGAAGCTGTGAGACACTGCTGAAGGGATTTTGTAGGCACGTAGGTGGAGGTCAACCAGAAGACAAGTGAGCCGGGATCAGAGCTACCCAGCCAACCTGCAGCTGTGTGAGAAGGGAAGGCTTTTTGGCCTGTACCAGTGAGATTTTTTTGTTGTTTGTCATGCAGCATTATTGCAGCAGTAGCTAACGGTAAGTTATTGTGATTTTTTGGCTCCTTATGGTTTTCCAGTGCTTTGAAATGCAGCTGGACATTCTGCTGCTGGGTTCTGTGGCATACAAAGGATCCTAATTTTAAAAAGCAAAACAAACATTTCGACTTCAGCTAGTTTAAGCCGTTTCTCTTTCCTTGCAAGGAAAAGATTTCCCACCTATCAGCTATGCAGCTGCGGTCGTTCAGGTTAAGATATGATTTAACATACTCTGTGGCTTCTTCTTGGCTTAGAATATTTCTAGACAGTTTTTGAAAGAATATCCCTTGAGCTTAACCAGCCCAAGGTACACTCAACTCCTTTGAGTCTTCATCCAGGATGTCAGCTTTACCTGTGGGTCCTGGCAATTAAGTAACCTTTTATGAGAGTCCTGTAGGGGCCCGGAGGAGCTGGGCTCTGTGTATTGATGAAAGGAACCCAGTGCTTCCTCTCCTCAGAAGCTTGAATGGCAGAAGTGTTCGCAGCCTTGAGCTAAAGCAGGGATAAATCATTCACTGTGGGTTTTTTTTATTATAAAAGCCCAGATGGGCTTCCTGGTAGAAGGTGGCGGAAACAGAGCTGTCTGCCTCCAAAGGGCACCTCTCTATGTCTTCATTCCCAAAGTAGGTGCATAATTAGAAATCCTGCAATTCTTCTTTAAAACGTCTCTAAGGTTTTCCTTAAGATTGTCATTAGTGCCTTAAATTGTAGCATAACTTGATTTTCGTGATTGCTGACACCTCATACTATCAGAATCAAGGTATAATTTCCCCTGAAGTATTAATGAGAAGAAAAGATAAGGCCACTTTGACTTCCTCGAAGCATCCCTATTCTTTTTCTCTGGCGTGTTGCTGTTCTTTTCATTTTAATTTTTAAGAAACATCCAGGCTTTTTGCTGTAATTGCAAAGCAGGGAATTGAGTTGGTTTTGGACTTTATTAGTCTGCTTATGGGTTACAAATGTTTTGGACAATTGTTTAAATTGTAAATTCATGATCTTATTTCTTTTTCCTCTCTGTTTAATTTCCTTTTCTCTTTCTTCCTTGGTTATGAAAATGGGAGAGTTCTCTGAACCCCCTTGCAGGATGTGTGGCTTATCTGTTCAGCCTTCATGTGCACTCAAACCCCCTTAAGGGAGGGAGTGCATGCAGATGGGCAGGTGCAGGAGCCTGGGCGAGTGCCCCTGGGCTCTGGCCCCACAGCAGCATCCAGGGGTGGGTACCTAAGGCTCCTGAAGCCCAAGTGGGCATGTGTTACAGTGTGCTCTCTTAGCTTTGCCGTCCATGGACAGTGTTAACCAGCTTAGTACCCTCTTGGTACCCGGGTCCTGGTCCAGAATCCAGGAAGAATCAGGTCACACACAGACTTGAAGGATGAATGCAGGGGTTTTATTGAGAGGTGGAAGTGGCTCTCAGCAGGATGGATGGGGTGCTGGAAGGGAGATGGAGTGGAAAGATGATCTTCCTCTGGAGTTTGGATGTCCAGAGGCCGATCTCCTCTCCGACTGTCCCCAGTCGAACTCCTGTCAGTGTTCAGATACTCCTTCTCTTCTGTCTGCTGCACGGTTCTGCCATCCATCTGTTTTTCTGTTCATCTCCTCGTCTGCTCATCTGTCCATAGAGCCTGAGGTTTGAGGGCTTATGTGGGTACAGGGTAAGGGGTGTGGCAGGCCAAAAGGCAACTTTTGGGTGCAAAAATAGGAATGCCTGTTCTCAATTCGGGCTGTGGGTTTCCAAGTTTGAGGGTGGGATCTTTGCCAGAGAACGTCCCTCTTCTACACTGTATTTCCCTGTCTTCTGTCCATGTCAGTTAGAGTGTAAGACATTTGGTCAGCAAAATTAACTAGATCATGAGTTTGAGAGGTAGCTCAACCAAGGTATTGTCTCTTTATTATAATTGCCAGTTTTTCATCTAGTCCATTTATAAATTTTGAGTTAAGGAGAATATAATTTTGGTGATTAGAATAACTTTCTTCTGATGGGCCTGAATATTGTTGAAATACTTTTTCAAATCTCTCATAGTATGATATTATAGGCTCATCAAAATTTTGTTGGCATTGCTGTATTTTACTCCAATCAACTACTGTTTTGAAAACTAAGGGAATAGTATCTAGTAAAGACTTGGCAGTACTGCAGGCCCATTCATGATCTGCTTCAGAAAATTTATGCAAGTTTTTCACAATATTCCTGCAGTTTACCTTTGCTACCCAGTCTTGGCTTTTCTTTCTGATATTAACATGTGAACCAATTGGTATATGTCAGAAAATCCAGCCAGAGTCATAAGTTCAAATATTTAGTTCAAATTCTTTAGCAAATTCAATCGAGTTCTGAAGAGGATACAGGAATTCTTTACATCTTTAAGTTCCACTTTTGACCATAATCAATAACCAAGGCAGATTCTCCTCTATCAGACACAGAGTATTCCCAGAATGGAGCCAGAACAGCAGAAGGTAGAGGAGGAAAGAGAAGTAAGTTTGGACAAGGAAGTTCTGGCAAAAGAAAAGAAGATGAAGAAGGGGGAAAATTTTGGGCAGTCATTTTCAAATCAGAAAGTGTTTTAGACAATCTTTTGTTTTCCACTTGCAAAGAAATGACTATTAGAACCTGTCTAGAAACTTCTAAGTACCATTGAAAATAGGTACCATCCCCAGTTATTTTATTTTAGGGCTTGCTTTTTGTAATTGACTGTACTGATAAACTAGGCTAGGTATTTCAAAGGTACTCCATGTGGACCATTGTAATTTGGGGTCTCTGGGAGTTATGTGAGACCATTTTTCTAAATATTTGCATGAAGAAATGCTGTAAGTATTACACATAAGTCCAGTTAGTGTTTCTAAAGGTGATTCTCTCTGTAAGGAGGAAGACTCAGTTTTAGAAGTATAATTGCCCACAATTTAGATCTTCCTTTCGCAAGAGCAAAAATATCTAATGGGATTTTGTTTTGGATCAAGTGTGCAGCTTATAGGAATAGCTCCTCAAGGTGTCAGCCTTGAGTGGGTTCTTCCCTTTTACATGTCTTGGTGGTTCCAAGAAACTTGGTGCTTAAGGCATTAGATGACCAGCCTTTATGTGTGTCCGCTGGGTTAAGCAATGCTCCCTGCATGTTCTTCTTAAAAGACTTCCGTGAGACTGTTCACACTGTAAGTGATTAGCTCCAACATTCCCACAAGACCTTAGCCACCTAAGGTGCCTTTTGGTTAGGAGGAACAGTGTCTTATTTTGTCCTCTTCTTATTTTGGTCACTCAAGAAGAAAGTGTAGATTTATCAGTTGAGCCAAGCTTCAGAATCTGGCCAGCTTTTAAAATTACACTTTTTATTTATTTTTATATTTTTGCTTAAGCCACAAAGATCCACTTCCTCTTTCCAGAGAGAAACTGTTTCCCCACTGACTAAAATTCTGAATGAGAGAAAAGGTTGAAAATCAAAATCTCTAATGAATAATTCCAAAACAACCCCTTAATCTCAGAGAAAAGTAAAACTCACAAATTCATGATTAGCAGAATCTCTAGAGAGTAACAAATGAAACTCCTAGCTTGAGGTAGAGCTTCAATTCCAACTCCGTTGAGTTAGGAATGTGTGTAGCTCAAATAGTCTGAATCCGCAAGCGAGCCTGGGATGATTTGGACCAAGAGGGGCCTTACCAGAGATCTCCATTGACTCTTGTGAAACTGGGTGAATGAAAATCCTTTGCGTTGGTGCTGTTACCAGAAAGGGGTCCTGATCCAGACCCCAAGAGAGGGTTCTTACATCTCATGCAAGAAAGAATTCGGGGTGAATCCACAGAGTAAAGTGAAAGCAAGTTTATTAGAGAAGTAAAGAAACAAAAGAATGGCTACTCCATAGACAGAGCAGCCCTGAGGGCTGCTGGTTGGCTATTTTTATGGTTATTTCTTGATTATATGCTAAACAAAGGGTGGATTATTCATGAGTTTTCCAGGCAAAGAACCTGGAGTTCCTGGAACTGAGGGTTCTTCCCCTTCTTAGACCGTAAAGGGTAACTTGCAGACATGGCCATGGCATTTGTAAACTGTCTGTGGCACTGGTGGGAGTTCTTTAGCATGCTAATGTATTATGATTATTGTATAATGAGCAGTGAGGCTGACCAGAGGTCACTTTAGTCACCATCTTGGTTTTGACAGGTTTTGGTTGGCTTCTTTACTGCATCCTGTTTTATCAGCAAGGTCTTCGTGACCTGTATTTTGTGCCAACCTCCTATTTCATCCTGTGACTAAGAATCCCTAACCTCCTGGGAATGCAGCCTAGCACGTCTCAGCCTCGTTTTACCCCACTCCTATTCCTGGTAGAGTTGCTCTAGTTTGAATGCCTCTGATAGTACCAGTGCCCCATCTGTCGGTGAAGTGACAGGGATCACTGAAGGTCCACAAGAGAATTTCTCAGCTGCAGCACCTGATTAAAGCCTTCTTCCCTGGCAACATTCATCTCAGTGACTGGCATTCTGTGTGGCAAGCAACAGGATCTAGACCACACTCTTAGTGTTTTGGTGACAAGAGTTCATCACGCTACTCAGAACTGCATGTAATTTAAAATGTATGCATTGTTCATTCCTGGAATTTTTCATTTACTGTTTTCTGACTATGATTGACTGTGGGTAACTGAAACCATAGAAAGAGAAACCACAGATAAAGGCAGACTACCATAGTCAGAGGTTGTCAGAATGTTAATCTTAAATAATGAGATTCAGAAAAGATGATTAAGTATAGAGTTTATTTGAGCACAAAGCTTGGGAATGGCCACCCACAAAAGCACTGACTCCAGACAAATAGGGTCAGCATTTGATAAGTGGGGAAGCTAAAGTTTCAATTATATAGGCAAAGACAGAGAAATTCTAGCAGGATTACAACATTTTCCATATAAGATCAGGTATACATGCCATAGCAATTTGATTGTTTACAGATTGCCACATTCCAATAGAGATTACTTTATTACTCTTTGAGGAGGGGCAGTAATCTGAGGGTGTCTTATTTCCAGCACTGCTTGGTCTTTTTAATTATTTACAGAAACAAAAGGAAGAATTTGCAGCTGGATGTCATGTGACTCAGGTTTTATAGGCACATTCAAGACTCAGTATAATTTAAAGTCCCAACAGCTTTAAGTTTGAACTATTTAATTTCACAGCCTAAAATATTTCCTGTCTTAGAAATAAACATTTCATAAGTTTTAAATTGCATGCTGTTCTGAAATCTTGTTACAAAACACCAGAGATTTGTTCTAGGTCCTGTTGCTCACCACACAGAAAACCAGCCACTGAAATGAGTGTCGTCAGGAAAGAAGGCTTTAATCGGGTGCTGCAGCCAAGAAGAGTGGGAATGAGTCTCACATCCATCTCTCTGATGACTAAAATTGGGAGGTTTGTATAGTGGAGAAGGAGGGAAAACAGGAATTAGGGAGGAGTAAGGAAGCAGTTATGATGGATTAAGGGTCTGATGACTCACTGCCTAGATGCAGTGATCTGATGAGTTTCAGTTCATCTCCTGAGGAAGGAACTCAGATGAGACAAATGTAAGTTTGAAGTGTTAAGACCAAGGAGAATCAGCTTCTATGTTTATTCAAAAAACTGTAAATATTAGTTCCATGAGACAATTGAGGCAGTTTCAATCTTCACTTTCTATGTATCAATTCCTCAGTCATGGGGAATCTGCTGGTCATTTCTTTTGGCTGCTTCCTGCGGAAGAGGGGGCATTGTGGGATGATCATGAGGAATGAAAACATTACCCCTGTAAATGGAAGTACTCATGAGTACCTGGCTGGCATCCAGCTTGTTGAAACACCATGTGACTCCAATTGTGTCTTGTTATAATAAAAGAAAACAGATTCTTACTGAAATTAGGGAAATAGCTATATTGCCACAGATTAAGAATATTCAGAAATAGTTTCTGAATTCTGGAGAATTCAAGTAGAGATAGAGAAATATGCATCAGGTTTTGTTTACAAGGCTAAAATAGCTTAAAAAAAGAATTTTTCTTGACTCTGAAAAACAAAACAAAAAGAATTAGCAATGTTTGAAAGAAAAAAGCCACAAAAATTATTTCAGTTCTCTAATAGTTCAGTGCATGCAATTGACTCTTGTATTTGCTTCATATTGGGTTAACAATCTTCATGAACAAAAACAGCTCTGTAATTTTAGTCCTGGCCATTTCTTTTTTTAGTCCAATGGCATAATCACCAAAGTTATCAGAAATCTATATTCAAGAGTCTTTTTCATGGAATCTCCTAAAGAAGTAAGTTGTTTTTTAAAAAAACAAAAACAGGCCGGGTGCAGTGGCTCACGTCTGTAATCCCAGCACTTTGGGAGGCCGAGGCGGGTGGATCACCTGAGGTCAGGATTTCGAGACCAGCCTGGCCAACATGGTGAAACCCCGTCTCCACTAAAAATACAAAAATTAGCTGAGCATGGTGGCAGGCATCTGTTAACCCAGCTACCTGGGAGGCTGAGGCAGGAGAGAGAATCACTTGAACCCGGGGGGTAGAGGTTGCAGTGAGCTGAGATTGTGCCACTGCAATCCAGCCTGGGCAACAGAGCGAGACTCCATCTCAAAACAAAATCAAAAACAAAAAACCAAGACATTTATTCTCTCATGGTTTTTGAGGCTAGAAGTCCAGAATCAAAGCATTAGCTGAGCTGGTCCTTTTTGCAGGTTCTGATAGAGAATTCTGTGCCTTTCACACCACTTTCAGTGGTTGCTGGCAATGCTTGGCGTGGCTCGGCTTGTAGCTGTATCACTGCAATTTCCTCCCTCAGCTGCCCATGGCATTCCACTCTCTGCATCTCTGCATGTCCTTCTTCTTCTCATAAGGGGTCAGTTATCAGATTTAGGGCCCACCTAAAATGATCCTATTTCCAAATAAGGTCACATCTTGACGTTTTGGATGGACACAAATTTTGGAGGGACACTATTCAACCCATTACAATAGTCATCCAGGAACTATCAATGACCCTACTATAATTAAACTACCAATGTTTACACATTCTTCTTTTGTCCGTAGAGATACAGTGACTATAGCAAATTCTTTGGTAATTTCCTAATCCAGAAATGGTGTGGATATTCAGAAATCTAGATCAGCTTTACTCTGTATATGTGTAAGAAAATTTCTAAGACTAAGAAGTAAGTTTTGGACTGTAGCTGATTATAAGCTGCTTTTTGAGAAGAATCAAAATGAAGCAATAATTGTGGATGACAAAAGTCTTAGGACAGCCATAGTTAAAAACACAGTTGACAAAGAAATTTGGTTATTTCTGTGTCATACAACAATTTAACATAGTAATCATTATTACTATCACTGATAACATATACTAAGACATATAAGAATTTTAGGAATCTCATACAACTTTGGAACACATTAATAACATATTTATATAAATATAACCCAAAGAAAGTTAAATACAACTTCATATTTGATAATGTTTTCTGTATAATTTTGACATATCAAATAAGCTTACATGTCTCTCTTGGACTTTGGGGGAACTTAATATCTCAAAAGTTAGTTTGAGGTAAAAAAAAAAAAAACTGAATTAGAACTTGAGATTTTTGCTTTGCAAGTTTGTCAAATATCAAAGATCTAAAGCACTTGATATTCCCAAATAGGATCACAGGTCATTCATCTAGCCAAAATGACAATTCAAAGATTTCAAAAAAATGATAACATTTATTCTTTGATAGAGAGGAGACTCAGTTTCCCAAACAATAAAACCTAATAAAGGCAGCATGAAGCCAACTAAATCTTTCTCTTTCTTTCTTTCTCTTTTTTCTGCAGTTTACTCAAAAGGTAGACAACAATCTTTTATTATCTCTTATTAATATTACATGAAAATTTTGTTCAAAAGATAAAACCAAATTCTAACATTTGTATAGTGTACTATTAATGTTAAAGCTAATTTTAATGGAACCTTATGAATGTATCTATTTAATTTTAATCAGTTTGACCAAAAGATAATATTTCCATAAATCCTTTATAACCTTTTACAATTTTCTACTAAAATGTAGATCAGTGCTCCAAGAAAACCTCGTTATTCTGACACAGGGTCCCAGATGCTGGCCTTGCATTGGTGTGCTTTTGATATTAATGTTTAATTTGTAGAAAAATTCTGAACTAATCTTATCTCTCAAAATCGGCCCTTAAAATCTCATGCACTCACCTCTTCCTTGATAGTCCCTAGGCCTGGAAGGATTGAATAGTTTTAATATATAGCTCTGTGTCTCATGAAAGCAACTCATTTTGATTGTTGCCTTCTCCCAGGTCTGAAGACAAGGCTTTGACTGGTGTCAATGTTTAAGATTTAGCAGGAGTCGGTGCCTTTTTCAGACCCAGGAGTTAAAGGCCTGTAACTTGACAGCCAAGGACTTTAAAAGCAATACAGAAAGTTACACGGATGTAAAAACCTTAATTTATTTATATTTTAATTTTATTTATTTTATTGAGACAGGCTTTTGCTCTGTTCCCCAGGTCAGAGTGCAGTGGTGCAATCATGGCCTGCTGTAAGCCTCCACCTCCTGAGCTCAAGCAATCCTCCCATCTCAGCCTCCCAAATAACTAGGACTACAGGAAAGTGCCACACACCTTGCTATTTTTTTTTTTTTTTTTGGTAGAGATGGGACCTCCCTACGTTGCCTAGGCTGGTCTTAAACTCCTGGGCTCAAGTGATCCTCCCATCTCTGTTTCCCAAAGTGTTGGGGTTACAGGCATGAGCCACCATGCCTGGCCCTTCATTCCTTTTAATTCCAGTTTTCTTAAGCCATCAAAAACCTAATAACAATGACATAGGAATTATCTCAATAAAACATAGAATCTGTTTCTTAGGCCAGTTACCAAAAAGCAAAGAAAGATCATATGTAGTATGGTTGTCTCTCCTATGGTATCTTAACTTTTTCATATTCCTCTCCCCTGCTTACTGTTTCCTTTCTTCTTTATTTTATAAATCACCTTTTCAAGTCCATAATGTGAATCAACCTTTAGATAACTTTTGAATTTAGAGAATTTTTTTCTCAGTAGGGATACATTTTCTTTGTCACATTTTATATACAGAATTATATATTAATTAGAATTCTTATTCTTTAGCAACCTTACATTTTAATGAAAAACCTAGGAAGCAAGAAATATTGAACTATCTATCAGATATCAGCATCTTTTAGATAAGAACATTCCATAATTTTTAAAAACATGTTTCCCCATTTTATAATCCCTTCTTAATTAGAAATTACCAAGACATTTAATGACCATTCAAATGATTTCAAGATTTTAAATTACACAAAAATTTCACCCACAGTATTTACCCCATTTATATTTTATTCACTTTTAGCAATTTATCTAGATTACTTAGGAGAACTGAGATATTAGACAAAACTAGTCATTATTTCTTTGTCAACTAATTTTTATAACCTGTGCATATTAGGTGTTCACCTAAGTAAGAAGCTTAAGGTTAAATACCTGGGTATTTTCATCAATAACTCAGAAGATTCAGCTGTTTTCATAAAACCAAAAACATGAAATTAGTCTTATTTATCAAAAAAATCACTCAAAGATCATTTTGTTTTTGGTTGGGTTTATAGTCTTATAATCTTTTGTGCCAAACCCTGACATCTTTAAATATGTAGCACAGGCAAATATAAAACCTGGACCAAAAATGTATGCTGAATATTCCAAAGACATTTCTATTTTTATTTTACCCATAATCTTAAAGCCAGCTTGTTTATTAAATATTTACTAAAGTCATGTGAACTTGAAAAATGCTTAGACTTATTAACTTATGGGTGCTCTTTTGTTTACAAGCCAATTTGGTACTCTGTAGACACAATATATAATAAATGTACATTCACATAAACACATCTAGACATATATGCACACACACACAAAAAGATCCAATAGCTTTTACCTTGAAACTCTAGCCATGAGATAAAAACATAAATTTATCAGTTTACAAACATGTTCACATGGCTAAACTTTGTTTACCTCAATAGATAATCCAATGAGGGCTGTGACCAAAATTTTGGGTAAAGCAATGGTAGTTTAATTCTAAAGGACAAACCTCCCAAAACTCCAAAGAACACTGGGGGCCAAGCATACTACAGAAGAATGTCACATACTAACTGTGCCCGACTAGGGTTAGAACAGAAGCATAAAAGCCTGCATACATGGAGCTCCATCCTATTTTCCCATTCAACAGCAAAATGAATCCATTTGTAAGACAGTACTACAATTGAAAGACTCATGGAGTCCAAGCCTCCCCAAACTCCAAAGAATGTTGGGACAAATAGCATTACAAAAGAATAGTATTTTTCTTTGTTCTTTTCGTTTATAACTATATGCAGACCAATTTTGAAGAACACACCCAAGTCAACTGCATTCTAGAATCAAATTCCAATTTCCCATGACTATATCAACACACAGAAAAAAAATAATCAAAAATACAGTCTAACTGCAGTAGTGACTAACAAGCCCCAACAGTATCTGAACTGTAGTTGAGGTGCTTCCCTTTTATAGTTGGTTGGGCTTGTTCAACCTGCAAACAGAAATTCCTTCAAAATTCCCCATATCAAGAGGAACTGATCCTGCTCTCTGATATCCACAAAAGATGCTCATTTATCTGGTTACACACACAATTACTAACAAGCCCCCAGGAGTGTCCAGACCGAAATGGTCAGAGTGCTTCCCTTTTTCAATTGGTTGGGCTTGTTCAACCTGCAAACAAAAATTCCTTTAAAATTTCCCAAATTGAGAAGAGCAGATTCCACTGACTGGGCCCACACAAGACACTCACTGATGTGGAGGCAGATGTCATATTTCAAAGGCTGTCTTCCTAGGCAATCAGGAATACAGTTGGGGCTGGCAACAGTGCGAGCAGAGAGAGAGACACAAAAATCTACCTCTGGCTAAAAAGAGACAGATGGCTAGCTGCTTAGGAGGGCTTCTGAGACTCTCCTGTCCCTCGACAGCCAAGTCACGAGCAATGCACTCCTGATCAGGGAACCAAGATCTGTTAGCAAAATGCCAGGGGTTTGGTCTAGGTCCTGCAGCTCACTGCACAGAAAGCCAATCGCTGAGACAACAAGTATTGCCAGGGAAGAAGGCTTTAATCAGATGCTGCAGCTGAGGAGAACAGAAAATAAGTCTCAAATCCATCTCTCCAACTGACTAAAATTGGGGGATTTCTCTTCAAGGAACCCTTATTTTACTTAATAGTGGCCCCAAAGCACAAAAGTAGTGATGTTGGCATACTGTTATGATTGTTCTATTTTATTATTAGTTATTATGGTTAGTCTCTTACTGTGCCTAAATTATAAATTAAACTTCATCATAGATATATAATAGTATATATAAAGAGTTTGGTTGTGGTTTCAGGTATCCACTGGGGGCCTTAGAATGTACCCCCCTTGGATACTGGAGGACTAAAGTAGATGTTTTCTAAAGTTTCTCACAGATCCAACATTCCAAAGTTCTTCATTTCCAGCAAATTCAGCTCAGAGAGTTAGAGTCAAACTTTATTTGAAGACTTTAGTAATTCAATGTCAATTGGAAGTGATTTACAAAATGGAACAAACACTAACTTTGTAAAACATAGAAAAAATATTTTTAAAGCATAGTACATAACAAAATACCTTTCTTGGAGGTATTATAAAAAATTCCCTGGAATGGAAAATATATTTTGAGGAAAATCTTGAAAATTGCAAAGCATTTTTAAAGAGAGTTAAACCCTGGGCTAAAGTTGTGGCAGACACCCATGCCCCATCCCACCATCCTGGCCAGGTGCCACTTCCATGTGCTGTCCTCTAGGAATAGGGGCTGGCTGAGTTCAGGAAAGCAGCATTAGGGTTGTAGGAGTGATTCAGTTTTTCACTGCTAAGAGGTGAAAAAAATTTTACTTTTAAAAAGAAAATGTATTATCAGATCTCAAGTATGTTTTTTTCCCTTAAGAATGAAACTTTCACTTTGTTGAGTGTATTTAATTTTATTTATTCATTTTCCTTCCTGAAATTTTGGACTCCTTTATTAGGCTGACAAAGCCCACTGCCATTCATATTCAACTTACCTGCATAATGGTCTCATTTGCAATTTGTGGGTACGCTGAAGGAGCGTTGCTGGGCTGTCCTTCTGACTTTCTTCTGCTGTGAAGACCATTTGTGAGTTTCCAGGCAATGGGCGGGTGGGAGGGAATTCTCCCAACTGTAAAACCCAGGCTTTCAAACACTTGAATGCCAACAGTTCAACTCTTTTATCAGAGCCTTGGCATTATTCCTGAAGCTCCTCACAATAAACTTCTGTACCAAATTAATTAAAGAAAAGCCTGATAATTCCATTCCGAGGCATTCCAATGAAAGTAATTTCAGATACATAATGCACAATTAGCTTTTCCACTTAACTTCCAAATGAAATGCTCATGGTATTTAGTACCATTTGCATTAATCAGCACAACCATCAAATCCTTAGGCAGAAGAGAGAAACTGAAAATCTTGGGGAAGAAGATCTTCTTGAAGTGTGGTGGTCATTAGATTATCTGTGTGAAGTGTGGTGGTCATTAAGCTATCTAAATAAATGGTAGACAAGTGGCTACAGGGCTACCTCCTGCCTTTCATAAAGAAGGAGCAATTTTAGGAAAGAATATGATGGGACCTACTGTAGAAGAAAAATTATTCACTGGACACTTGTTAAAACAGTAAGAAAAAAAAAAACAGTAAGAAAGACTTTGTTCAAGACTATTATAATACCAGTCAACTCTATTGCAATAGGAGAGAGAGATTGAGCTAAACTCCTAATACAGCAGACAGCTTGGGACTTAGGGCCAATGGGCAGAATGAGAGGTCAGTGGATGGAAAATTACTAAGAGGTGACACCAAGGGTAGGAAGATTCTTGCTAAAAACAGGCAGAGAACTCAGATATCAAGGATGGGGGCGGGGAGGAACTGATCAGATATCAAGGGTGGGAGATGACTTAGAAGGATTCTTGCTAACATGGAGCTCACCAAGGGCACACAGAAAACCAAGGTGAGGCCTGGTAGAGAAAAGGGCTCAGGGGAGTCTAACTAAAGTTTGGTTAAGGAGGGCCGTCTTTGTCACTGATCTTCAGCTATTTTGTGATAAAATAGTAGAACGTGGGCTCATGAGGAAATCACAGGGTTAAACATTAGGCACTGGGCAGAATTCAGTGAAGATGGTTATCTGTGGGAGAAAGGGAACTAATGAAGACCACAGAGGCTTTACCTCCTGGGCAACCCTTCAAAGTCCAGAGTCATTGGTGTATTACCTGTGAGTTGGTGTGGCCCTGCCTAAGAACATGTACAATCTCAGCATCGCAACAAGGCTCCTGTGGGAGCCCCGGGTGAGTTATTGCTGGTGTTGCCTGCCAGAAGCTGCACCTCCAGTTAGTTGCTCATCACAAGGGGAGGCTGGCTGAGGTGCCATTGGCTCCCACCCCAGCAGCAGGCATAGAAAAACTCCCAGGTGAGGTGAGGGCCCATCCTGACCCAAGGTTTTCCTATTGCCAACATTACACAGCAGTGCTCCTGCATGGCTGGCCCCGTCCTACCTCTTTAGTTTCCACAAATCTTTTACATCCGGTTTCTCTATCATCTATCCAACTACTAGTTCTTCCTTCTGGGATCTGGTGTGTCCAGTATGCTGTTGCTGGTCAAGTCAGTATTGAATTGATAATACATTTATGTAGCCTGAAGCCCATAAACTCTAAAAATACAATATGTTCACTTGCACAAGCCCACAAAAGATCTTATGCCCTGTTCCTACAATCTCTTCATCAATAAGGTGCATGAAGGGCATGCCAAAATTAAATCCTGGCATGGAGAGATGCTACAGAAGACAGGCCATGTAGAGACAACTGGAAGCAAAGTGAATGTCACTTTTTTTTTTTTTTTTTTTTAAACAGAGTCTCCCTCTGTCGCCAGGCTGGAGTACAGTGGCATGATCTCGGCTCACTGCAACCTCCACCTCCTGGGTTCAAGTGATTCTCCTGCCTCAGCCTCCCGAGTAGCTGGGACTACAGGCGCACACCACCATGCCCAGCTAATTTTTTTTTTTTTTTTTTTTTTTTTTTTTGAGACAGAGTCTCGCTCTGTCGCCCAGGCTGGAGTGCAGTGGCGGGATGTCGGCTCACTGCAAGCTCCGCCTCCCGGGTTCACGCCATTCTCCTGCCTCAGCCTCCCAAGTAGCTGGGACTACAGGCGCCCGCCACTACGCCCGGCTAATTTTTTGTATTTTTAGTAGAGACGGGGTTTCACCATGTTGGCCAGAATGGTCTCGATCTCTTGACCTCGTGATCCGCCCGCCTCGGCCTCACAAAGTTTAACTAGGTTCTCAGTAACCTGAGACTGAGAGCTAGTTGTGAGATCGGTGACTCTACTGTCATGTGATGGTGTTGTGATGTATTATCCATATGTTAAGGATCATATTAAACACACACATTTACAGTGGACCTACTGTCAGTTCATATTTAACTTACCTGCATCATGGTCTCATTTACAATTGGTGGACACCCTGAAGAAGGCTTGCAGCTGAAGTAGCTGCCAGGCAGGTTTTACTTAATTCTTGTTTATTCACAAGGAACTGAGGCTCTGACAGGCTGAGAGGTCTGCCTAAGGTTGTAGGGGAAAAAAGTGACAGGGCTGGAAGTCGAGCCTCACCGTTGTGATTCCAAGACCAGACTCTTTCCTACATGTCGATAGTCATCTGTACACACCATCAGTGCTGGTCAGTGCGCCTCACTCACCCACTAAAGACTGGCCATCTAACTTCCGAATTCAAGGGTACCTCCCTTATCTTGCAGCCATCTGTTGCCTGCCGCAGCAGCAGGGAGGAATTAAGAGCAGCAGCTGCAGCTCCAGCAGCTCAGGGGCAGCTCTGGGCTCCCTAAATCCACCAGTGGAGACCCACGTGCAGTTGTGGGGAAAAGTTTAACTGCCTTGATCGTTTTCCTTCCAGTATGTTCTGCCTTTAGCTTGCCTACCTGGTCCTGTCTGCTGGCTTGGCATTGACTTTCAGAGAGATATGCTCCAGACTACACAAGTGGTTTTAAGCTCCTGGCTGTGTTGATCACTGTTCTTTCCCCTGGGCCTCCAGTTTTTCTGTGCCTGTCCTGCATCTCTGAAATCAAGTGATATTTATTCATAGCTCTCTAAACCTCTGGCTTGGGTTTCTTCTGGTAAAGACGAACTCTTCTTTCTGCTGAGGAACTATGCAACACTCTGGCCTTCTCTCTACTTCCTCTTTCATCCCTAAACCTTTCAGGAAGTGAAAGATAGGTCTTGTTTAGAAAAAATGTGGAAGCTGCTTCAGCACAGGTCTGTGGCCACTCTAGTCTGTTTGGCTTCCTCTGTTTTCTGCAGCCTTGACTTGATGCCACTTGTGCACCCGGCAGCATGGGCATCGGCATCTATTGTGCTGGCAAGGGTGGAGGAGAAACAGCTTTGCTGTTAGTCCTGGCCTGAGCATTGCTCATAGTGCCGACTTTAATTACCAAACCTTTATCAATGGATCCCACAAAAGGCTTTGGTTCATTCCATTTTGCTTTCCCCTAATTTACTTTTGAGAATGCTGGCTGAAAGCTTTAGTCATTCACAAAGTTGGCTTCTGACCTAGAAATCTCTCACTTTCTTTGGCCTGAGTGCTTGGCATCTCTACTCCCTCCAGCTACCACATTCTTCAGCTCCTTTGGAAAGATCAGTATTATTCACAGTGGTAATCAAAGAGGCATCATTTACAGTCTTATCTCATCTCTCAACTTCTCCATCATGATTGGAAAATTGATTCCCTACTGAATCAATCAATATGGCACAGCCATATTTCTTATGCAATAATATTAAACTTTCCCTATTAACAATTGATTCATGTCCCTTGTTGTGAATGTAACACAAAGAAATGAAGTATCCTAATAAATGAATTGGACCTGGCTGGCTACAGTGTAGAACCACTTGTTGGCGTCCTCACACCAGGGCATGTGGGAAGAAGTGCATTGGCACATCTGTGGCCATACCCATTCCTGAGGGAGGTGAAGAGATGGATTGAGGCTGGAGATGCTTGGGAAAGGTGTTCATAAAAAATACCCTCACTTATCAGCAAACTCAGAGATAAAGAAGAGGCACAATTCAAGGCTTTCAGATGTCAATTTCTTTCCAAACTAGAGTAAGAATTCAGCGTAAGTAAATCCATAGGGATAGAAATTGGATTAGTGGTTGCCAGAGAGTGGCAAAAGGAGAGTTGGGATTGACTGCTAATAATTTATTTTTGGGGTGATGAGAATGTATGGGACCAGATACTTGTGATGGTTACACAACCTTGTAAATATGCTAAAAACCACTGCATTGTACACCTTAGAAAATGGTAAAAAAATGTTTTGGCCAGCAGGGACCTCACAGCTCCTCTGGTCAGGACATGTGCCAGACTAACCAACTGTCTTCATTTGTCTGGGACTAAAGAGGTTCCTGGGGTCTGAGACTGTCACTGCTGAAACCAGTGACAAAGCAGGATGATTCAGTCACCCTAGTGTGTGCTGGGGCACTGTTCAAGGATGACAGCGAAGGCAGGCAACCTCCCATTTAACAGGGCTATTTCTCATTCACAATGCTCTTACTACCACCTTGTGAAGTAGCTGCCAGGGCAGGTTTTACTTAATTCTTGTTTATTCACAAGGAACTGAGGCTCTAACAGGCTGAGAGGTCTGCCTAAGGTTGTAGGGGAAATAAGTGACAGGGCTGGAAGTCGAGCCTCACCCTTGTGATTCCAAGTCCAGACTCTTTCCTGCATGCGTATAGTCATTTTTACACACCATCAGTCTGGTCAGTGTGCCTCACTCACCCACTAAAGGCCGGTCATCTAACTTCCAATTCAAGAGTACCTCTTTCATCTTTCCTTCCCACCCCTAGAAGCTGCCTCCTGTGAAACCTCTCCTAACACAGTGATCCACCCAGCACCATCTCTAAGTTCATCTTCCTTGTCCCTCTGCCATCTCTGTAGGCAGGGACTGTGTCTCAGTCATCTCTGCTCTTGGTTCCTATTACCTTGCCTGGTGCTCGATAAGCCCCAGCTGAAGGAAGCCTGGTGTCTGTTCCAAAGAACAAACAGGAACAGAGGTCTCAGATAAGAGAATATCCTGTTGTCCATCTCTTTGCTATTCCTTTCTTAAGGCCGAATGAGTCTCTTTTCCTGATGTGTTCATATTTCTTAGGTGTCATTTTCTGAGGAGCTTGCGGGTGGAGCTGTCACAATCTGTCTCTTTTCCTGGGTTCTGAAGTGCTGCTTTTCAAAATGTGTTGTAAACATGCTCCAAAGGCCAAGCCAAGCCAATGGGCAACAGGCAATGAGTGGTACAGCTCATGCAGTGAGGCCTGTGGCCTGGGGGAAAGGATGTGCCAGGAGGCAGGCAGGCTTCCTGGCAGGAAGGCAGTTCTGGAAAGTCTTAATATCAGGGAAGACTGTCATCAATCTTGACCATAGGTTGCATGCCAGTATGGGGATAGGTGGGTAAAGCGAGGGTGCTACTGCCAGAAGTAAGGCAGGGTTCCAGATCCAGAGAGATGGAGTGCTGGAATACTCTAGGCACAAGGTTTCAGAACTGAGTTAAAGGTAAAAAGATTGGGGCAACATAGGCAATGTGACGTCAAATCCAAGGGTATGGAATTAGAAGACCCAGACGATGGGGCTCCAATGACCAAGGGATGCTAGTTGGGGAGGCAGGTGGGCAGAAACTGTGACCAAGAAGAACTTGGCACAGATGATCCATTTAAATGAGAGGGTGGAGCTGTCCTTGCAAACCAATGATGCAGCTGATGCCATGCAGTGGATCTTCCTTCCCCCTAAACAGAGAGTATAAGTATGAGTTTGAGAAATGTGCTATAAGCACACAGAAACTCATGCACACACGCAGGGAGGAGATTTGCCTTTAATTTGTTTTGCTTGCACCTGTTGACTCATGGGGGTCAATGGTATCCTGTAAACATACCAGATACCAAATGAAAGTTCCCTCAGATAACCTCAGATAAGACAGCCAGTTCTCCCATGGCTTATTGTTATTATTATTAGAATTATATTTATACTGTCTTTTTTGTCTCTATTTTTTTATTTTTAAATTTTTTATTTCCATAGGTTTTTGGGGAACAAGTGGTATTTGATTACATGAGTAAGTTCTTTAGTGGTGATTTGTGAGATTTTGGTGCACCCATCACCATGGTAGTATACACTGAACCCAATTTGTAGTCTTTTATCTCTCACCCCACCGACCCTTTCCCCCAAGTCCCCAAAGTCCATTGTATCATTGTTATGCCTTTGCATCCTCATAGTTTAGCTCCCACTTATGAGTGAGAACACACAATGTTTGGTTTTCCATTCCTAAGTTACTTCATTTAGAATAATAGTCTCCAATTCCATCTAGGTTGCTGCAAATGCCATTAATTTATTCCTTTTTATGGCCTAGTAGTATTCCATTGTGTATGTGTGTGTGTGTGTGTACACATCATACCACATTTCCTTTATTCACTTGTTGATTAATGGGCATTTGGGCTGCTTCCATATTTTTGCATTTACAAATTGTGCTGCTATAAACATGCATGTTTGAGAATCTTTTTCGTATAATGACTTCTTTTCCTCTGGGTAGATACACAGTAGTGGGATTGCTGGATCAAATGGTAGTTCTACTTTTAGTTCTTTAAAAAAACTCCACACTGTTTTCCATAGTTGTTATACTAGTTTACATTCCCATCAGCAGTGTAGAAGTGTTCCCTTTTCACCACATCTATACCAGCATGTACTATTTTTTTTTTATGCCATTCTTGCAGGAATGAGGTGGTATCGTATTGTGGTTTTGATTTGCATTTTCCTGATTATTAGTGATGTTGAGCATTTTTTCATGTTTCTTGGCCATTTTTATCTCTTCTTTTGAAAATTGTCTATTCATATCCTTAGCCCACTTTTTGATGGGATTATTTGTTTTTTCTTGCTAATTTGTTTGAGTTCCTTGTACATTCTAGATAGTAGCCCTCTGTTGAATGTATAGATTGTAGAATGTATAGATTGTGAATATTTTCTCTCGTTCTTTGGGTTGTCTATTTACCCTCCCGACTGTTCCTTTTACAGCGCAGAAGCTCTTTAGTTTAATTAAGTCCCACTGATTTATCTTTTTATCTTTGTTTTTGTTGCATTTGCTTTTGGGTTCTTGGTCATGAAGTCTTTGCCTAAGCCAATGTCTAGAAGGGTCTTTCCAATGTTATCTTCTAGAATTTTTAGTTTCAGGTCTTAGATTTAAGTCCTTGAACCATCTTGAGTTGATTTTTGTGTCAGGTGAGAGATGAGGATCCAGTTTCATTCTCCTACATGTGGCTAGCCAATTATCACAGCACCATTTGTTGAATAGGGTGTCCTTTCCCCCACTTCATGCTTTTGTTTGCTTTGTCAAGGATCAGTTGGCTGTAAGTATTTGGGTTTATTTCTGGGTTCCCTATTCTGTTCCATTGGTCTATGTGCCTATTCTTATACCATGCTGTTTTGGTGACTATGGCCTTATAGTATACTTTCAAATCAGGTAATGTGATATCTCCAGATTTGTTCTTTTTGGTTAGTCTTGCTTTGGCTATGCAGGCTCTTTTTTGGTTCCATATGAATCTTAGTTGTTTTTTCTACTTCTTTGAAGAATGCTGGTGGCATTTTGATGGGAATGCATTAATTTGTAGATTGCTTTTGGCAGTATGGTCATTTTCACAGTATTGGTTCTACCCATCCATGAGCATGGTATGTGTTTCCATTTGTTTGTTTTGTCTGTGATTTCTTTCAGCAGTGTTTTGTTGTTTTCCTTGTAGAGGTCTTTCATCTCCTTGTCTCGGTATACTCCTAAGTATTTTATTTTATTTTATTTTATTTTTTGCACCTATTGGAAAAGGGATTGAGTTCTTGATTTGATTCTCGGGTTGGTCTCTGTTGGTATATAGCAGAGCTGCTGATTCATGTACATTAATTTTGTATCCTGAAACTTTACTGAATTCATTTACCAGTTCTTGGAGCTTTCTGGAGGTGTCATTAGGGTTTTCTAGGTATACAATCATATCATCAGCAAACAGCAACAGTTTGACTTCCTCTTTACTGATTTGGATGCCCTTTATTTCTTTCTCTTGTCTGATCACTCTGGCTAGGACTTCCAGTACTATGTTGAATAGAAGTGGTGAGTGTGGGCATCCTTGTCTTGTTCCAGTTCTCAGAGGGAATGCTTTCAACTTTTTGCCATTCAGTATTATGTTGGCTGTGGGTTTGTCATAGATGGCTTGAAGTATGTTATTACACTGAAGTATGTCCCTTCTATGCCGATTTTCCTGAGGGCTTTAATCATGCTCCCATGGCTTACTAAGTGATGACTGTCTTTAGATTAGGTTGTGGGTTTTTGTTTTTTTAAAACATTTTGACTAGTTCAAAAAGCACTGGGTGGTTATTCTACCCCAATATGCACCTATTAAGAGAGAAAGGTGAGAGGAAAAAAAAAATGAAAGTCCCACTCTACATGATACTGATTGTTACCCATGTTTTATCCTTTCTAGTAAACCCCTTGATCACAAAGTTGTTCAAAATGCCCTATTTCCAGCCTTTGGCACCAACCTGCAATTGCAGTGTTGCTTTTGACCTTCATCCTAACATCCACCCTCATTAGTGCCATTTTTCTCTGGTAGAGTCATGATTTAACACTCATTACTTCCAACACAAAGTTCTGCTTTGCCAAATCAGATCACAATACAGAAGTAGCACATGCATACTTTCCTCTAATTTAAAAGGTGTATAAGGAAAACTAGTATTTAGCCTTAGGCTTGGGACTCCTCAGCACCTGTGAAATGTTGGGGCTGGTGTTTACATTTCCTGAGGGTCCAAAGGTTTCAGGTAAGGCAGAGCCAGCAAACTTGTGGCCTGCAGGCTGCTTCCAAGCTATTGAACTGTCTTGTTGGCAGAACATGAAAAACTTGGAGGCCAGGTGCAGTGGGGCTCATGCCTGTAATCCCAGTACTTTGGGAGGCCGAGGGAGGCAGATCACCTGAGGGCAGGAGTTCGAGACCGGCCTGCCCAACATGGTGAAACCCCATCTCTACTAAAAAAATTAGCTGAGCGCAGTGATGGGTGCTTGTAATCCCAGCTACTCGGGAAGCTGAGGCAGGAGAATCACTTGAACCTGGGAGGCGGAGGTTGCAGTGAGCCAAGATCACGTCACTGCACTCAAGCCTAGGCGACAGAGCAAGACTCCATCTCAAAAAAAAGAAAAGAAAGACGGAGAGTTCCAGCTCCCTCTGAAACAATTGTGAGATTTGGCTGCAGTCAGCTGGACTTGAGTGCTGGATGCTCCTTTTGGACAGATATAGGTTCTCTGCAGTCCCCACCCCTCCCTATTGTTTTTTGCCAGCTACATCCTTTGGTGATGCTCACCTGCCTGGGCCCTGGAGGCATGTCAGTTTGTAAGTTCATGAAATTAGCACTTAGCTGAAACTACTTGACTGTAGCGGACAAATCATTCCATCATCCCCCACTCCTCATTTGAAATCTCAAAACAAGGGTGGACCATAACTCTCTTCTCCGAGCCTTTCTCACCTCTCTTCTAGTTCATCTGTATTCCCCAGATCCTTTCTCCTGTGACCAATAAATCCCATCTTTAGGCTTTGGCCTTCTGCTTTTCTCTCTGGACCTTCTCCCTGAGATGCTTCTTGCATTCCTGTGGTCCCCCAATTGACTGTTGGCTGATGACCCCCACAAAGCTCTTGGTACCCTCATCTTTCCCCTCAAGGTCTCATGCTAGGATTAAACTCAGAGAGCAATGGAGACTTGACTTTACTGTGGGGCAGCTCTGAATCAAATCCTGGGTTGGCAGGGTGGCTGTGGGCACACATGGAACATCCCTGGGCCTTCACACCTGTGTGATGGTTGTAGCATTACTTATGGTGATTGAGGATATTTAAGGTCATTTGTAGTGGGTGCTTGGCAATGGCAGCTGCTTCCTAAGCCCAAGGTCACTGGGTGTCAAAGCCTTGTAGTTTCCACACTATTGTACTGCCTCAATCCCAGAAGCCTTGTCTTCAAACATGACTTTTTACAATGAGTTGTCAGTGTTGTCTCCCTTGCAGTGCCCAGGACGAGGCCTGCCAGGGAGTTGGCAATGGATGGATGCACAGGCAGGCCACCCTGACAAACGGGACAAGGTAGAATCTGCTGACAAGGCAGATTGTCACGGAGTTTTTTAGGAGTCTGGAAGTGACAAGAATGGGGCATGTGCCTGGTGGCACTCTGCAATCCTGTCACATCAAATTGGAGCTGTTATTTCTATCATTAGCAGCAAAGGAAGCAACTCAACTCTCTGGAGCTTCCTTATTAACAATCACAACCAGCAACTAAACAAAGGCAGGAAAGCAGAGTGTCAATGGTGATCGGAGGTTTCCTCCACAGCTTCCACAAGCACCATTTTCTCCTTAATAATGGGTTACATTTTCAGGAGAGGCTTACTTTTTGTTTTGTTATACTCTTGTACTTTAAAAGAAAAAAAAAGAAAAGAAAATGCAGATATTTCACAGAACTGGGGAAGGTTAGGGAGGGGAAGGGAGAGGAAAGGAAGTAAGATTTGGTCCACTTCTAACACTGGGCTTGGTGCATTGCATTAATTATTTCACTTTCCATGATCCAGACTTAACTTTTTAAGATCCTAGGCTAGGTTTAAGTGTAGAAATATGAAGTCATAGAATGTAATACCTGGCTGGGTGTGGTGGCTCACATCTGTGATCCCAGCACTTTGAGAGACTGAGGCGGGTGGATCACTTGAGGTCAGGAGTCGGACACCAGCCTGGTCAACATGGTAAAACCCCATCTCTACTAAAAACACAAACAAATTAGCGAGGTGTGGTGGCACATGCCTGTAATCCCAGCTACCCAGGAGGCTGATGCAGGAGAATCACATTAACCCAGGAGGAGGAGGCTACAATTAGCTGAGAATGCACCACTGCATTCCAGCCTGGGGAGACACAGTGAGACTTCCTCTAAAAAAAAAAAAAAAAGAATGCAATCCTCTTTCCATTCTACAACTGAGAAAGAAGTCACGTGGTGGCTAGTGATAAAAAGAACAGGTGGCAGTTCTCCTTACCCCTCATGTCTCCATGTGTCTGAGATCCAGGGACATTTAAAATACTGCTGAAAGGTCAGGGGACATTGGTGAAAACAACTATGCAAGCAAAGAATGTTTTTCTTCCTGTGCAGAGAAAGAAAATCCCACTTTCTCTGTGTGTAAGCCATGGTATGTGGGCTCCCTGAGCCCAGTGAAATATGCAGAGATGGTAAAACTGTATTAAAATCTGATTTTCTTTTTGTTAAAAAGATACCCAGGAAGAAACTATTTCTTTTCTTCTTATTATTGGATATTGTCTTTTCTAGGCTAGGTACCTGGAAGTGAGACAGCTGTCTCTATTAGGAGTGCTAAGCTGGCACCCTGGGATGGCAGAAGAAAAGAGGGAAGGAACTAAGGTTTCGAAGATGAATATTGGGAGTGACATGAAAGAGTCTTGGAAGCGAGACGCTTCCAGCCTTCTTTTTATGTGCAACATTAAGTTTTCCTTATTTTTTTAAAGGAAGTGCAGTCAGCATTTTATATTCTGCCAATGAAGCCATCCCAAGGAGATTCTTTGAGATTCTGACACATCATCTGTTAAAGGGAAATAAACAGTGGAGAGCTGGAGCCGGCTCATACCAGCCAATTGCTAGAATCTCCTCTTAACTCTTCATTCAGTGGCATCACATAGGAAGCTCCAGTGAAGTCATGTGGATGTGGAAATTCACTGTGGTGGGAATATTTAGATGACAAAAATCAGCAACGCTACAAATTGGGGCTTTTTTAGGAGTCAGTTTACCAGCACACCGCTGGAAAATCGTGCAGAACCATTGAAAGCATTAGAGATATGTCTAAGGCCTCTGTTAATGGGCTTGCTATAGCAAATAGAATTTACTGCATTCCCCCCTTGCTCCTGAGAACCTCCCCCACTGTACCACCATACCTCCTATAGCTTCTGAATACCCCCATTACACCCCACTGCTCCTGAACAATCCCATTGTACTCCCCACTGCTCCAGAGACCCCCATTGGATCCCTGGCTCCTGATCACCTTCCACTGTGTCCCCCCTCTGCTCCTGATCACATCCCACTGTGCTCCCCTCTGCTCCTGATCACCTTCCACTGTGTCCCACCTCTGCCCCAATCACCTCCCACTGTGTCCCACCTCATGCTCCTGATCACCTCCCACTGTACTTCCAGCTGCTCCTAAACAACCCCCAGAGTACTTCCCACTTCTCCTGAGCACCCTCCACTGCAACCCCATACTATTACTGAACACCCCCACTGCCATAACCACCACTGTTCCTGAACACCCCCACTGCTCCCGAACACCTCCACTGTACCCTGACTACTCCTGAAAACACTTCAGTGTATCTCCTACTCCTCCTGAACACCCCCACTGTACTTCCCACTGCTCCTGAACACCCCACTGTACTTCCCACTGCTCCTGAACACCCTACTGTACTTCCCACTGCTCCTGAACACCCCACTGTACTTCCCACTGCTCCTGAACAACCCCACTGTACTTCCCACTGCTCCTGAACACCCCACTGTACTTCCCACTGCTCCTGAACACCCCACTGTACTTCCCACTGCTCCTGAACACCCCACTGTACTTCCCACTGCTCCTGAACACCCCACTGTACTTCCCACTGCTCCTGAACACCCCCACTGTACTTCCCACTGCTCCTGAACAACCCCACTGTACTTCCCACTGCTCCTGAACACCCCCACTGTACTTCCCACTGCTCCTGAACACCCCACTGTACTTCCCACTGCTCCTGAACACCCCCACTGTACTTCCCACTGCTCCTGAACAACCCACTGTACTTCCCACTGCTCCTGAACACCCCACTGTACTTCCCACTGCTCCTGAACACCCCCACTGTACTTCCCACTGCTCCTGAACACCCCACTGTACTTCCCACTGCTCCTGAACACCCCACTGTACTTCCCACTGCTCCTGAACACCCCACTGTACTTCCCACTGCTCCTGAACACCCCACTGTACTTCCCACTGCTCCTGAACACCCCACTGTACTTCCCACTGCTCCTGAACACCCCACTGTACTTCCCACTGCTCCTGAACACCCCACTGTACTTCCCACTGCTCCTGAACACCCCACTGTACTTCCCACTGCTCCTGAACACCCCACTGTACTTCCCACTGCTCCTGAACACCCCACTGTACTTCCCACTGCTCCTGAACACCCCACTGTACTTCCCACTGCTCCTGAACACCCCACTGTACTTCCCACTGCTCCTGAACACCCCACTGTACTTCCCACTGCTCCTGAACACCCCTGCTATATCCCCCACTGTTCCTGAACACCCCCCATTTCTCTTGAACTCACCCCTCCCTCACTGCTTCTGAACACGGCCACTGTACCCTGCACTGCTCTTGAACACTCTCCATTGTACCCTGACTACTCCTAAAAACACCTCACTGTACCCTTTACTGCTCCTGAACATCCTCCTACTATTTCCCCCACTGCTCCTGAGCACCCCCGCTGTATACTCACTGCTCCTGAGCACCCCACTGGATCAGTCACTGTTCCTGAACACCCCCACTGTACCCCCTACTGTTTCTGGTCACCCCTTCACTGCACCCCCACTGCTTCTGAACACTCCCCACTATATACTCACTGCTCCTCAACATTTCTACTCTTCCCCCGACTGTTCCTGAAAACCTCTAACTGTACCACCTGCTGCTTCTGAACACCTCAACTGTACCCTCTACTGCTCACGAACACCCCCACACTATATCCCCCATTGCTCCTGAACACCCTCACTGTACCTCTCAGTGCTCCGGAATATCCCCCACTGTAACCACTATCCCCAAATATCCCCCCACTGCTCCTGAACACCATTCGCCCTACCCCCAACTGCTTCTGAACACCCCACACTGTAATCACCATTGTTCCTGAATATTGCCTCACTACTCCTAAACAGGCCTACTGTACCATCCGCTGCTCTTGAACACCCCTCACTCTATCCCCGACTACTCCTGAACATCCCCTCTGCTCCTGAACACCTACCCACTATATCATTAAGTGCTCCTGAACACCCCAGTACTCCTGAACACTCCACTGCTCCTGAACACTCCCTCTGTACCCGTAGTGCTCCTGAACACTTCCCACTGTACCCACTAGTGCTCCTGAACATCCCCCACTACTCCTGAACAGCCCCACTATACCTCCTGCTGCTCCTAGACACCCCCACTGTACCCCCTGCTCCTGAACACCCCACTGTACTCCTTACTGCCCTTGAACACACTCACTATTCCTGAACACCCCCCACTGTACCCCTCACTACTTTTTTTTTTTTTTTTTTTTGGTGACAGAGTTTCACTCTATTGCCCAGGCTGGAGTACAGTGGCATGATCTTAGCTCTCCGCAACCCCCACTTCCCGGATTCAAGTGATTTTCCTGCCTAAGCCTCCTGAGTAGCTGGGATTACAGGTGCACGCCACCACCCCTGGCTAAATTTTGTATTTTTAGTAGAGGCAGGATTTCACCATATTGGTTAGGCTGATCTCGAACTCCTCACCCTGTGATCCACCCACCTCGGCCTCCCAAAGTGTTGAGATTACAGGCGTGAGTCACACCCCTCATTACTCTTGAGTACCCCCCACTATATGCCCCATCTATATCACTGTTGAACATCCCCATCTATATCACTCATGTACTTCTGTACACCCCTCACTGTACCACTCATTGCTTCTGAGGCCCCTCCCCCATCATAATCTCCCCCTGGCAGTCAGTGCAGTTACCATTGCTATGCATGGCTGTCACTGCTAATCATTGATATGTGCTTTTGTATATCTGTCACTCATTTATGGTTTAGAGTCCCTGTAGAAGCCTTCAGTTGGCTAAGCTGAAGTCATATGTGCACACCCTCAATGCCAGAAGGTAGGAAGAGAGAAGATCTGTGTGTTGTGACTAGCTGTGCCTCTCCCACCACCAAGACTCCATGGTGGAGTCCAGGAACTAGGAAGGAGATTCACATGCTGCGTAGAAGAGAAAGAACCTGGTAAACACTCAGTGTTTCTGCATAAAGTGAATCATATTATTGCTCTTTGGATATATGTTTTCTGTTGGGTGATGTTTGAGGTGGTCTCAGGTCATTTTTCTCATGTACCTCTGTGGATAGTTAGTGATGGCCCAGTCCAAAATGTACACATATTTTTCTCAAAGAGGAGAGCAAAGTCTATATAGTCGTTCCTTGGTATCTGTGGGAGATTGGTTTCAGGACCTCCTTCAGACACCAAGATCTGAGGATGCTCAAGTCCCTCATATAAAATGGTGTAATATTTGTCTCTAACCTAAGCACATCATTCTGTATACTTTAAATCAGTGATCCCCAATTTTTTTGACACCAGGGACTGGGTTCATGAAAGACAATGTTTCCATGCACCGGGGTGGGGAGATGGTTTTGAAATGATTCAAGTGTATTACATTTACAGTGCACTTATTTTCTATTATTATTACATTGTAATATATAAGGAAATAATTATACAACTCATCCTAAAGTAGAATCAGTAGGAGCTCTGAGCTTGTTTTCCAGCAACTAGATGTTCTGTTCCATCTGGGGGTGATGGGAGACAGTGACAGACCATCAGGCATTAGATTCTCATAAGGAGCACACAACCTGGATCCCTCACATGAGCAGTTCACAATAGAGTTCATGCTCCTATGAGAATCTAACGCTGCTGCTGATCTGACAGGAGGCAGAGCTCAGGCAGTAATGTGGGTGAAGGGGGGCAGCTGTAAATGCAGATGAAGCTTCCCTTTCTTGCTTGCTTGCCCTCGGCTCGCCTTCTGCTGTGCAGCCCAGTTCCTAACAGGCCACAGACCAGTCCCTGGCTGTGGCCTTGGGGCTGGGGACCCCTGCTTTAAACCATTTCTAGATTACTTCTAATGACTAAAACAATGTAAATGCTATGTAAATAGTTCTTATACTGTATTTTTAAAGTCTGTATTTTTTTATTGTTGTATTGTTAGTTTTTCGTTTTTATTTTTTTGAGTATTTTTGGTCTGCTTCATTGAACCCACAGATGTGGAACCCATGGATATGGAGGGCCGGCCACATTCCTTTTTATTAAGGTATATTACAGAATGTATACACAAGTTTCCTTGGTTCCAAGAAACAGACTGATTCTAGCCAACTGAGAGAAAAAGGACTTATGGCTAGGAAACACTTGAGCTGCTCCTGGATCTGGAAAGCTAGTCAAGAAACAGGGTGGCTTTCGCAATGGTTTCTGTCTTTCAGGATGGATTTGGTCTTTTTCTCGTGGCTCACATGGGCTCTGTAACTTGGCATCACTACTTCTCTCCTGCTTTGGCTGATTTCCTGCTCCGGCAACCTGGCTTGGATTTTGATTTGGTTCATTACTAATCGTTTGTTGGGTAGAAAGCCTCAAGGATCTTTGGCTAGGCTAAGGAATGAGCCTTGTGCACACACAGTTTATTCAATGACCACCTACCCATGCCCAAAGAATCACATAGAGCTGTTTTCCTGAACACCTTGATTAGAAAGGGCTTTTGGGTGTGGCAGACACCATGTCTCATCTGTGTCTGCTTTGAGGTCCCCTAATTGTGACCCAACTCCTCTCCCTGTCCTTGGGAAGTCATTGTCACTTTTTGGAAAATAAAGAAACCATTATTTAGTAAGGATTATGCATTGCATCTGCTATTATGCATTATATACCTTATCTCAAAGAATCCTCACCTCCTCTCTCTGAGGTAGGCATTACTCCTAGTTTACATACGAGGAAATTGAGGATCACCGAGGTTATGACCCTGAGGTAAGGTGGCGGAGCTGGATTTCAAAATATATATATATATATATATATATATTTTTTTTTTTTTTTTTTTTTTTTTTTTTTTTGGAGACAGAGTCTTGCTTTCTCACGCAGGCTGGAGTGCAGTGGTATGGTCTTGGCTCACTGCAACCTCTGCCTCCCAGGTTCAAGCAATTCTCCTGCCTCAGCCTCCCAAATAGCTGGGAATACAGGCACATGCCACCGTGCCTGGCTAATTTTTGTATTTTTAATAGAGATGAGGTTTCACCATATTGACCAGGCTGATCTGGAACTCCTGACCTCAAGTGCTTTGCCTGCCTCAAAGATAATAAATAATTTGTCTGGTCTTTGTCCTGGGTTCTTGGCATGGAGCTTCTAAAACCCATGGAGTTTCCTGGGTGATAGCAGTGGGTTTGTTATGGTAATGAGGTGACTCCTGGTAGGCCCATACATAGCTTCAAGGTAGGGGCTGGTCACCAGAAAGACCAGCCACAAGGTAGGATTTTGAGCCAGCCTGACCTCCAGGAAGGGGCGTGGTGGCTGGAGATTCAGTTCAATCATGTGCCTAGTGGTTTAATCAATCATACCTATACAAGGAAACCTTAGTAAAAACTAGACACCAAACTCAGTGGAGCTTCACCAGTTGGTGAACACATTATTGTGCTGGAAGGATGATGTGTCCTGATTCTACAGGGAAAGGTCACGTAAGTTTTGTGTTTAGGACCCTCCCAGACCTCATCCTATGCATCTTTTCATTTGTCTCTTCCTGATATGTATGCTTAATAAAATTGTAATCATAAGTATAGCACTTTTCTAGGTCTGTGAGTCATTTTAACAAATGATTGAACCTGAGGGCATTGTGGAACTTCGAAATTTGTAGCCAGTCAATCAGAAGTGTGGATAACCTGGGGACCCCTGAACTTGCTGCTTGTGTCTGAAATCAGGACAGTCTTAGAGAGGACTGAACCCCTTACCTTGTGGAACCTGTACTAATTCCAGGTGGTTCATGCTGAAATAGAGGTGTAATACACTCAGCTGATGTCAAAATAGTGAGGTTTTCTTCATTATCCTTTGCAATATTTATCTGACTCTTTCATTCCAGTTTTTTCCACCTTTTTTTTCTGGGATGTCTTTATTAATTATTTCTTCAAATATTAGCTGCCTTCTGTTTTCCCTCTCCTTCTGAAATTTTTATTTTAGGCACTGGGTGCCATGCATGAAGTTTGTTGGGGGAGTGTCTTTGGAACAACACTTGGTAAGGAATGAAGAAAGAATTAGGCAGGGGCAGTGGCAGAATTTGCCACATCACAGCCAAGGTCTGTCGATCTCACTGGGAGTAGGGATGGCCTCTTTGAATTGTTCTCAGTTAAGGCTCTACCAGTCATTGGATCCAGGCTGCCCTCAGGAGGGTGTCTGATTTTGGATGAAGCAGCTCTCTTCATCTAAACTGGAGAGGGACTCAACTGAGAGTTGGCAGTCACCAGTCCTCCCATTGAGGGAGTATTGAGGAAATGAGCACTTCATTACTTAAGGGGAAGAATCTGGGTCGGAGTTGGCTAACAACAGCCCATGTGCCAAACCCAGCCCACAGCCTGTTTTTGTTAAAAAAATTAAATAAATAAATAAATAAATAAAAGCTTACTTGGCGTGTCTGTCTTCACATAGCCTTTCCTCTGTTCATGTTTGTCTTTAACGTCTCCCCTCTTCTTATAAAGGCACCAGTTGTATTGGATTAGAACCCATCCTAATGATTTCATCTTGATTATATTTGCAGAGTCCCTATTTCCAAATAAGGTCATATTTACAGGTACCGGGGGTTAGGACTTCAACTTATATTTTGGGGGAGGGAACCACAATTAAATCCATGGGAGCCAGAAAATGTTTTCATTTGCCATTTAAGGAAACTTCTGTAAGGAAAAACCCCATATCCCTGTTGCAGGTGTGATGGTGAAGCAGGTGTGAGAGCTGAGCAGGCAGGAGTTGCACAAGTGATTCCCTTGTCTATTACTTGAGTGGCCAGACACCAGGAGGCAGCAAGTAGATTTCTCCACCGCCTCTGACTACTGAAGCCCTGGGAGTTGCTTAAGCTTATCTACTAACCACCTTGACAGGCTTGTAAAAATTTTGCAACATCATTCTTAAAAAAGAAAGAAAATCCAGCAGCCAGCAAACTGTCCATAACAGAGCCAAATGACTCACTGCCAGCACTGCTCTACATGTTTTAGGAAGTCCTTATCATCTTTCCACCAACACATCCAATTATTTTCTAAAGCAGCTTTATTCCCAGAGGATGCGTTTATTTTTTGGTGTAATGGCATCTATCCCAAAAGTTAACCCCTGATGGTTACCAAGTGAGAGGTATCTCCAGAGGCATAATGGTCAGTGTTTAAAAACCAGCACTCCAAAAAGAAAAGCTGGGGTGGGGGGGATGTGCTGATATAGTCTTTGCCAATTTCCATGGTGTAAACACTCCCACAATGATTAATTTCAAACTACTAATGTGAAGTACTGAACACAGAATTGAGAAGAGATATGTACAGTTAGCTTTCATGAGCTGATATGAAGCAACTTCAGCACATCACTGAATATCTCAATATAGAGAGAAAGGAGTATGATTTGAGATGTACAGGGAAGACATTCTGGAGGAAGTAGGATTTGAAATGGACTTTGAAGGGTGGCTATCATTTGGTGGTATCTCTAGCATTACACAGCCAGCCACATCAGTTTGGCAATTTGCTTCTGTCCTACTAAGACTAAACTATGAGATTCCTGAGGGCAGAGAACGTGTTTTATTCATCATAGTAACCCTACAGTAGGTGTTTCACAAGTATTTGTTGAATGCAGGAATGGAAAATGAATAAATAGAGAGGGCAAAGGAATTTTAGGCAGAGGGGACATTCACGGTGTGGGTAGGACAGAGTGGGAAGGAATAAATGAACAGGAGGTTTTGGGTTCAGTGAGTGGTCCATACTTGGAGTATAGTGTTGGGACATGTGGTATTTCAGTTATTTATGGCTGTGTAACAAGCCATCAAAAATTTAATGCCTTAAAACATTAACACATTTGTTTTGCTCATAAATCTGGAATTTAAACAGGGCTCAACAGGATCAGCTCATTCTGGTTCATATGGCATCGACTGGGGTGGCCTGAAGACTGAGGCTATAATCATATGAAGGCTTGCTCACTCATGAGCTGGGAAGACTCAAAGAGCTAGGGATTTGAATAGCTGAGGCACCTTGAATATCTGACTCTATGAGGGCTCCCTGCATGGTGTCTCCAGTATGGCAGCCTCAGGGCAACTGCAGTTTTTTGTACCAGCTCAGGGCTCCTGAGATGTATATCCTAAAAAGAGCAAACCAGGAAGAAGCTGTACCCTTTGGCTGACATACCCTTGGAAGTTACACAGCATCACTACACCATAGCCCCTACTCAGATTCAAGGAGCGGAAACCCAGAATCCACTTCTCAGTGAGAAGAGTGTGAGGAACATTGTAATAAGACCATTTGGGATGAAACACATTTTTTATATATGCGATATATACATATGCTATATATTTTCCATGTATAGTGTGTGTGTGTGTAAATACATTGGAGCGGCCACCATTGGAAAATATAATCTGCCACACATAGTAGATGGAAGGTTGAAAAGTTGGATGAGGCCAAATTGGAAGGGGTCTTGAATGTCTTAGTAAAGAGTTTGCTCTAAGACATGGAACCAACCCAAATGCCCATCAATGATAGACTGGATAAAGAAAATGTGGCACGAATACACCATGGGATACTATGCAGCCATAAAAAGGAATGAGATCATGTCCTTTGCAGGGACATGGATGAAGCTGGAAGCCATCATTCTCAGCAAACTAACACAGGAACAGAAAACCAAACACCACATGTTCTCACTCCTAAATGGGAGTTGAACCGTGAGAACACACGAACACAAGGAGGGAAACATCACTCACTGGGGCCTGTTAGGGGGTAGGGGGCGTGAGTGGAGGGAACCTAGATGATGGGTCAATAGGTGCAGCAAACCACCACGGTACACGTATATCTATGTAACAAACCTGCACCTTCTGCATATGTATCTCCGAGCTTAAAGTAAAATTTTTTTTTTAAGAAAAGGGTTTGCTCTATTTTTCCTCTAGAAGCAATTGGCATACTAGTTGCTGATCCTCCCCCAGGGTTCCACATATGTAGGTTCATCATCCCCAGCAGGTCTGCAAGACTAACAGGTAGCATCATCATGTCTTTTTATTTTATTTTATATTTTATTTTATTTGATGTGGTCTCACTATGTGTCCCAGCCTGGTCTCAAACTCCTGGGTTTAAGTCATCCTCTCGCCTCAGCCTCCCAAAGTGTTGGGATTACAGGTGTGACCCACTGCATCCAGCCCTTAGAGATCTTTTGAAAAAAGAAACCTCCCTCTGGCTGGGCACGGTGGCTCATGCCTGTAATCCCAGCACTTTGGTAGGCCAAGGTGGGAGGATCACGAGGTCAAGAGATTGAGGCCATCCTGGCCAACATGGTGAAACCCCATCTCTACTGAAAAAAATACAAAAATTACCTGGGTGTGGTGGCATGCACCTGTAGTCCCCGCTACTTGGGAGGCTGAGGCAGGAGAATGGCGTGAACCTGGGAGGCGGAGGTTACAGTGAGCCGAGATCACGCCCCTGCACACCAGCCTGGTGACAGAGCAAGACTCCATTTCCAAAAAAAAGAAAAAAAAAACCTTCCTCAAATGTCAGGGCTCTGCATTTGATAGCACCTCAGTACTTGAAATCCAAGTGTCTATTTGCCCAAGCAAATAATGATGGCAAATCAGACCACACTGGACATGCTTCTTGCCTGTCTCCCAGCTGGCACAAACCTGCATCTCACTTGGGCAGGTGATAATGGGGTGGCCTGTGATGGGCTACACTGGTGACAGCACTGAGTATCAAAATTGTCAGAGCACATCTAGATTGACTCTGGGCTTATTGCCCAACAGCTCAAAGAAGAGGCCAAATCCACCGTGTTGATTCTTGCTGAACACGTCACACCTAATGCTGATTCCATCTGCCAAGGGATGCTGGATCCAGACAGAATGCAATTTGCATTCACAGACCCCAAGGTGCTAGTCACTTCCATTCAAAATTGTGGCCTTTCTCTGCAGGGTCTCTATCTAGCCTGTTTGAAGAATTCGAGGTGAGGACACACTAATTGGCTTTGACTGTTTTTCTGAGACACAGATGGGGAGAAGCTGCCACTGAGTTTTGGATGAGTGTCCTTCGTCTCTGTCCTCCATTCTTTGATGACTTCTCTCCTTGCAACAGTGAGAAATTTGTTTCTGGCCATAAGGCAGTTGTTGGGAGGAATCCTGAGACAGTGTGCTCTTTCCCATATTTGTCAAACCACAGATGTTCCCCAATGGAGAGAAGATGGTTGCAGGAATACAGGGAAGACATTGTAATTAATACACAATCCTTCCTCTTGCTCCCGACTTGAAATGGTCTGCGTTCAAAAGTCTGGAACTAAGAACACACATTTTCCCATAGAATAACAGTGCCAGGCCAGGCCCACAAATGCACATTTCATCTATAATGTGAGCTGAGAGAGAAAGGCAGACATCAACCAGCAGACAGGTTGGCTCAGCCTAAGTGCTTGATGCAGCTACCTAAGCTGGTTCTGCCGTTCACAGTTTTTTTCCATTTCTGAAATTTGGAGCCCCACCAGAGATTTCTTAAAAGCTGCAAGCTCTAATGGCAAAGGCAATGAGGGTCTGAACACTGGAGTGGCTAGTGCTAAGTATATTCATTTGTAGGACAGGATCTGCTTGCACTTTAAAAAATAATGAACTGTGGCTTCAGGTAGCTGACTTCAGGAAATTGATGTGTTTTTAATTTGTTTGTTTGTTTGTTCGGTTTCTCAATGCACTAGAAAGTTTTCACAATGAAACCACTGAGATGGGGGGGTGGGAGTGGCAGGGATGATGCTGCTCCTTCTGAGGCCTGTCCAATAAGCTGATTAACTCCGTCGGCACACGCCCAGTGCTAACGCAATTAAGCTCACGCTTGCAATCCCCCTTAGAGTGGCCATTTCGTTTTGCGCTTAGAAAAAGTATCATAAGGCCACAAACTATGTATTTAAGCAGGCCTCTTGCCACTTGTTTGCCACAGCTCTGCAAACAACCTGAAGCTTATACTGAGTGAAGATAAAGTTGGAGAATACAGAGTCCCTGTTGTTCAGTGAATTCTGTGTTAAGTGCTCTGTTTGGAAACAGGGAATTTTGCTGAATGAAACATCTTAACTGTAAGATTCCCTGTGTGTCATACACCCATTCTCATTGTCAGAGATCAGGAATTTTGTTTCTCTTGTATCTAGCACTTTCTACAATTAACATACAAAGATATTAATTTGGCAATTTCCTTCCTTCCTTGCTTCCTTCCTCCCTTCCTCCCTTCCTTCTTTCCTTCCTTCCTTCTTCCTTTCTTTTTCTTTTCTTTCTTTCTTTCTTTCTTTCTTTCTTTCTTTCTTTCTTTCTTTCTTTCTTTCTTTTCTTTCTTTCCTTCCTTCCTTCCTTCCTTCCTTCCTTCCTTCCTTCCTTCCTTCCTTCCTTCCTTCCTTCCTTCTTTTCTTTCATGTGCACAACTTAAAGTTTGGATATATAGATATATATATCTATATATCCACAGTGAGTTGATTACTAGTCAAGCAGATTAACATACCTATCACCCTATGTGGTTGCCTCATTTTTTGTGGGTGGTTAAGAGCACCTAAAATCTATCTTAGCAAATTTTCAGCATATAATACAATATTGTCAACTATAGTCCTCATGCTGTACATTAGATCCCTAGACCTATTCATCCCTATATAACTATAACTTTGTATCATTTGATCTACTTCTCCCCATTTACTCCCCACTGGTAACTACTGTTCTACTCTCTCTATATTTTTGACTTTATTTTAGATTCCACATATGAGTGAGATCATGAGGTATTTTTCTTTCTGTATCCAGCTTATTCCACTTAGCATATTATCATCCAGATTCATCCATGTTGTTGTCAATATCAGTATCTCCTTTTTTATGCTGAATAATATTCCATTGTATATACACCACAATTTGTTTTCCAGTCATTCATCAACTGACATGTAGGTTGTTTCCATGTCTTGGCTCTTGTGAATAATGCTGCAGTGAACATGGGAGACAGATGCCTTTACAAGGTGCTGATTTCATTTCCTTTTGGTTCATACCCAGCATAGGGGTTGCTGGATCATATGGTAGTTCTATTTTTATTTTCTGAGGAACTTTCATAGTTTTCCATAATGGCTGTACCAGTTTAGACTCCCACCAACAGTGTAGGAGGCTTCCCTTTTCTCCACATCCTCACCAACAATTTTTATCTTTGTCTTTTTGATAAAAGCCATTCTAACAGGTGTGAGGTGATATTTCATCGTGGTTTTGATTTGCATTTCCCTGAAGATTAATGGTATTGAACACCTTTTCCTATACCTGTTGGCCATTTTTACATCTTCTTTGGAAAAATGTTTATACAAGTCCTTTGTCTATTTTAAATTCAGGTTATCTGTTTGTTTGTTTGCTGTTGAGTTGTTTAAATTCCTTATATATTTTGGATATTAACCCCTTATCAGATATATGGTTTACAAATATTTTCTCTCAGTCTGTAGGATGCCTTTTCATTTTATTAATTGTTTTGTTTGGTATGCAGAAACTTTTGTTTGATGAGATCCACTTGTTTTCTTTTGCTTTTATTGCCTGAGCTTTCAGTGTGATATCTAAAAACATTCACTGCCGAGGCCAATATCAAGGAGCTTTTCACTATATTTTCTTCTACAATTTTATGGTTTCAGGTCTTACGTTCACGTCTTTTATTCATTTTAGGTTGAATTTTGTGTGTAGTGTAAAATAAGGGTCCAGTTTTATTCTTTTGCACGTAGCTATCCACTTTTCCCAATGCCATTGATTGAAAAGATTGTTCTTTCCCCATTGTATATTTTTGGTGGCCTTGTCTAAAATTAGTTGACCATATATGCATGGGTTTATTTCTGGGTGCTCTGTTCTGGTCCGTTGGTCTACATGTCGGTTTTTATGCCAGTACCATAGTGCTTTGATTACTCTAACTTTGTAATATAATTTGAAATCAGGAAGTGTGATGCCTCCAGCTTTGTTTTTCTTTTTCAAGATTGTTTTGGCTATTTAGGGTGTTCTGTAGTTCCACATGAGTTTTAGAATTGTTTTTCATATTTCTGTGAAAAATGCCACTGGAATTTTGATAGAGATTATGTTAAATCTGTATATTGCTTTGGGTAGCATGGCCATTTTAACAATATTAATTCTTTCAACTCATGAATATGAGATATCTTTCCATTAATTTGTGTAGTTTTCTATTTCTTTCACCAATGTTTTATGGTTTTCATATAAGGTTCGGATCTTTTACTTCCTTGGTTAAATTTATTCATAAGTACTGTATTCTTTTTTAATTAAAATTTTTAAACATTTTAAATGCAACACTTCACAAATTTGCATGTCATCCTTGCACAGAGGTCATGCTAATCTTCTTTGTATCTTTTCAATTTTAGTATATGTGCTGCCAAAGTGAGCACAGTATTATATTCTTTTTGATGCTACTATAAATGGGATTGTTTTCTTGACTGGCAATTGTTGCCATCCAACAATTTACATGCTTCTGGCTTGAATTGCAGATAAGCTCCTTCAGAGGAGTAAGTGTCTTACTACCTTATAATCTCTACAGTACTTTCTAGAAAGAATATGCTTATCTGGTATCAGTTGCTTTAAATTCAGTGGAATACAGTAAGACAGAGCATTCAAACAATACTAGCTCAACTCTAGTGGTACCTGGAATGTTTAGAATGTGCCTTATTTTCAACAGTATGACCACAGCAGCTCATCGACTGTGAGCATGACATCAATGACAATTAAAGCTTGCCTAGAACTTTGTGTGTGCCTAGCATTGTTTTAAGTGTTTTAGCTATAAGATGTCATCTGGTCCTGCAAACAATCCTTTGAGGGAGGGGTCTTGTTACTTATTTTTAAGTTTACAGATGAGGAACCTAAAGCATAGAGAGATTAAGAAATGTGCCCAAGGTTACATCTCTAGGGAGGAGCAGACTCAAACACAAGCAGTTTAGCTCCAGAAAATGTGTTCTACTTACTGAGTTATAATGCTCTTTTTTCAAAGAGCTAACCTACATATAAGGAAATACTATATACCAGGCACTTTTTAATGTAAACTCGTTTAATCTCACCACAAGCCCAAGAGATGAGTACTACTGTTATCTGTATTTTACAGATAAAAAAACTAAGGCACAAATAAGCTAAGTGAGTGGTAGAGCCCCATTTCAAACCCAGAAGATCTGATTTCCAAGTCTGTCCTCTCAATCATCATGCCACAGCACTCTCAGAAGAGTCAGAGGCAAATAGAATGCCAATCCTGAATTGATTTATGTAGATTTACATAGCAAGAGATGGTGGATCATAGGCTACTTTATAAGAAGACCCTCCCATTTTCCATCAAGGCTGAACATCACTATATTTAGGGACAGTTGTGCCTGGGGATATGCATGGTTTCTTCCCAAATAGGCTGGGAAAATAGTGCCAGGTGAGAAAAAAAAAGAGTTTGTATTTTGCTTGGAGTATTAAGATAAGGAGACCAAGGTCCAGGGGTATTTGTTTTTTCATAAGGGTAAAGATAAGGGAGAAGCAAGGAGAGACGACAAGTTGGCCCTGCTGTTTCCCTGTGCTTTGAGCTTGCAATGTGCAGGGCATGAGATTGGGAGCAGCCCAGGTAGAAGATGGTTCCTAGCATAAGATGGGGGGAAACGGGGATGAATACACTGGTGTTTGTCTTTCCCTAGACTGAATGGCCACTCTGCTCCCAGAGGCTAAGAAATGGAATGCCTAATAGGTACCAGGGAGACTCCCTGCTTTGCAGCTTATAGCCAACTTATAGGAAAAAAAAAGGTATGTGCTGAGCAGAAACCATAATTTATCAGCTGTGCCTTACCTAGCCAATGGGACACTTTCCTTTTTTTTTGATCCCTTTTATTAGATGAGGAAAGAAAGGGAAAGCAACACATAAAATGTTGATTTGAAAAAGAACATGATTTCTTAAGAAGAAATCTGAAGCCTCTCAGCTAGGGCTCACCTAAGAATCAAAGTGGCACAGCATTCCATCAGGGCCCAGGAATGACCATCAACTTATTAAGGTTGTGAAGCTGGAAGTTTTCGTAAAGACCTGCCATTTGTCACAGGACCTCCTTCAGCCTTTTCCTTGATATCCAGAAGGCTGGATCCTTAGGCTGTCTACCAGATGGCATTCCAGTGGGGAGGGAGGGAGAAAGGAAGGAAGGGAGGAAAGGAGGAAGGGAGGAAAGGAGGAAGGGAGGGAGAGGGGGAGGAAGGAAGTCTCCCAGTTACATATTAATGGCTTCTCAGGGTCTGACTTGTCTTTGCTCCTACACTCATCTTGCCAGTGAGCCCTGCAAGGAATGTGGACAGTCAAGCTACAGGCTGCTGGCCATGGACCACCTCTTGGGTAGACGAGAAGAGACACATGGTGGGTGTTTTACAGACATGTAGGTAGGAATTTGCAAATTGAACCAGCAAGTGTCTGGTACACAGTAGGTGTTTACTAATGGGAGTTGATACTGCTATTGACAATGTGAGAATGAGTGGCTGCAACTGTCATCCCACTGAGTGAAAAGCGGGGTTGATTCAGCTGAGCCATCTGGCAACACGGGTGTTCTTCCTTTTTTAAGAAAGTTTTGTTTTAAAGTATTATGAAATATGACACACAGAAACCCATAAACCATAAGCAACTGCATAAGGAAAAATAATAAAGCAAAGTATCATGTAATTGCTACCATGGAACTACTTCCCTGGTTAAGAAATAGAATATTGTCAACACTCAGAAGCTGACACCCCACCCCATGGGTCCTTACCAGTCATGCACCTTCCCCAACCCACAAAAGCTGACCTTGATCCTTTCATGGAAACGACACATTTGCTTTTAAGTAAATATATGTATGAATTGTATATATGTACTCTCTTCATATGACCTATATATCCACATATAAAATCTATATATTTCTAAATATTATGATTTTGTCTGTTTTTGAATCTTATATAAATGCACTCCAACATGATCTTTTGTGTCTCACTTCTTTCAGGCATCATTATGGTTGTAAGATTTAACCGTATTGTTTTGGAAGTAACAGTTTATTAGTTTTCATGGCTTTCTAGTAGCTCTTTATATGGATATGCAACACTTTGTTTATCTATTCTCCTTTAGATGGCCATTTGGGTGTTTTTCAGGTTGGTGTAATTACTGACAATGTTGCTATGAACATTCTTTTATATGCATTCTGGGGTATATACCTAGGAGAGGAATTGCTGGGTCACAGGATATATGTGTGTCTATGAATAACTCTAGTAGACCCTGCCAAACTCTTCCGAAGTGGTTGCATAAATTTGCTCTTTATCCTCAAGGTACAAGAGTCACCATCATTTCACAGCTTCATGGACAGATGGTACTGGTTGTCTAAATGTTAGCCAGTCTGGTTGGTGTGTGGTTGTACTTAATTGTGATTTTAATTTGCATTTCTCTGATTACTAAAGAGGTTGGGTAACTTTTCATTGTTTTTTGTCCATCTGGATTTTCTCTTTTATGAAGGGCCTGTTTATTTCTTTGGCCCATTTAGAAAATGGGGTTGTTCACCTTTTCCTTAATGAATTTTATCCAGATAGATTCTTGATTGTCTCAAGAGGCATCTATTGAAAAGAGTGGTGTCCTGAAGTCCATGAGAGTTGATTGTTAAAATTTCAGGAGTTTTCTGAGTAGGTTGTGAAATTGCTGGTAGCTCAAAGTCAGCCACAGTGTTGATACCATGGAAACTGGCAAATGCGATATAAATCAGGGCATTTTCCGCTAGAGAGTTGGTTGATTACTACACCAATGGAAAAGCCCATCTTTTCTGCCCTGGCTCACGAGGCCATCGCTGTCATAAATCCTGGTCATACACATATGGATTTATTTCACTGCTATCTCTTCTGTTTCATTCCTCTCTTTGTCTATCCCCATGTCAAAACCACACTGCCTTGTAAACTACAGGTTTATAATAAGTCTTGGTATCTGGTAGAGTGGGTCCTCTCATCTCCTAAGAGTATCTTGCTCATTCTTGGCTCTTGACATTTCTCTGTAAATTTAGAATGAGCTTGCCAAGTGTTTACAGAAAAATCTGTTGAAATTTTAATTACATTGAATCTATAGATCAATTTTGGGAAGAAATGTATGTTTTTATCTGCTTTGAGTTCATTATGGAAGTTACTCATTACTGTGTAAAATCAATTGCATATATATTCTATAAGCTGTCATTTGTTATTTATCTTTATCCACAGTCTTTCTTGCTCTATTGGTCCATTTTCTTACTGCTATGAAGAAATACCCGAGACTGGGTAATTTACAAAGAAAAAGAGGTTTAATTGACTCATAGTTCCACATGGCTGAGGAGGCCTCATAATCATAGCAGAAGGTGAAGGAGGAGCAAAGGCATATCTTACATGGTGGCAGGCAAGAGCGCATGTGCAGGGGAACTGCCCTTTATAAAACCATCAGATCTCATGAAACTTATTCACTATCATGTGAACAGCCTGGGAAAAACCCACCCCATGATTCAATTACCTCCCACTGGGTCTCACCCATGACACAGAGGAATTATGCGAGCTACCAATCAAGATGAGGTTTGGGTGGGGACACAGCCAAACCATATCACTTGCCTTGCAGAACTTTTACATTTTTGTTAAATAAAGTTCATCAAACTTTTCCTTTATAGCTTCTAGGATATCGCTCCTAGTAGCCACAAAGGCAAGCCACACAAAACTTAAAATGTAATAGTAGCCACATTAAAAAAGTAAAAGGCTGGGCGCAGTGGCTCACACCTGTAATCCCAGCATTTTGGGAGGCTGAGGCAGGTGAATCACCCAAGGTCAGGATTTCGAGACCAGCCTGACCAACATGGCGAAACCCCTCTCTACTAAAAATATAAAAATTATCCGGCGTGGTGGTGGGTGCCTGTAATCCTAACTACTTGGGAGGCTGAGACAGGAGAATCACTTGAACCCAGGAGGTGGAGGTTGCAGTGAGCCGAGATCGTGCCATTGCATTCCAGCCTGGGTGACGTAGTGAGACTCCGTCTCAAAAAAAAAAAAAGTAAAAAAAGGTAAAATTATTTTTAATAATATATTTTATTTAATCCATTATAGCAAAATATGATCATTTCAACATGAAATCAATATATAAAAACTATTCACGAGATAATTTACATTCTTTTTTTCATACAAATTCTTAGAAATCTGGTCTGCATTTTATATTTCAGGGACATTTCAGTTTGGACTAGCCATATTTCAAGTGTTTATTAGTCACACGTGGCTAATGGCTGCCATGTTAGATAGCTCAGGTCAGTTTCTTTGTTAAGGCAGGTCTACAGCAGTCTTAGGTCTGTGGCTAGTTTAGTGCTACCAAGATCTGGCCCTTCCAGGGTTGGTTCAGTGAGGTCTCTTCACTATTGTTGGTTGAAACTTTAATGTTTCACAGCTCTGTGTGACTTTGGGAATTGTTTGTCTTACAGCCCCTGAATTACCCCCTAGCCCTGCAAGTTGCTCTTTCTTCAGCATATTTTGCCTAGCTCTTGGAGTTTCATCTGCACATGCCCATTTAGTATTTGGCAAAAGGCTCAAGAAGACTTCTGCATAGCTCTCTGGAACTCTTTCTCTGTGTAGTTTCCTCCTTTTCAGTACTCTTCTTCGTAGAGTCCAGTAGCCTCCTCCTGAATTCCAGTCTCTGACTCCCCAACTCAGTGAGATGACTGTGCTCTCCTTGGGGTTCCTTCTCTGCCCCATGGTCTGCAAAGTGCCTCCACACAGCAGGCCTGGGTGATCCCAGGGCTTACCTTATTAGCTTATCTTCCCTGAGAGATCACAATCCATGCTGTGGTGTGGGTCTGGGGTTGTGCACAGGCTGCCAGCCTAATACTCATTATTCTTAAGGCCAGAAGCAGAGGTCCTACTTAAAAAAAAAGTCTTAGCTGGCTGCAGTGGTAAATGTCTGTAGTCCCAGCTACTCAGGAGGCTGAGGCAGAAGGATCACAAGTTCAGCCCAACCTGGACAAAATAGCAAGACCCACCATCTACAAAAGAACACAAAACAAATAAGGTTTTGAGCTTACTTATTAGTTTTACTATCTAGTTATTTCGTAATTACTTTGATCTTTATTAATCGCTTCTTACAGTCTTCTTTAATATTATTCTTTTTATAACTTGATGTATTTTTATTCTTTCTTATTAGAAATAATTAGGGCTATGAGTTTTTCTTTCAGGGATTCCTTTAGCTATTTCCACAGGTTCTGACATGCAATATTTTTGTGGTCATTATTCTCTAGATAATCTGCAATTTGGGTTTTGCTTTTCTCTTTGACAAAGAATTGTTCCAGAGACTTAAAAAAAGTGTATTTTGAGATGGTAGAGTTTTATGTTTCAGTTTTCTGGTTTTGTTATTAATTTTAGTTATATTGTATTACAAATAAAGTTATCTACACTATTTATAATTTTTGAAGATGTTTTAAGTTTTCGTTGTAGCTTAATAATCATGACAAACCTTTGTAAACAAGATGTTATTCACTTTTTACTGTAAATTGTTTATCGACTTTAAATGAGTCTGTTATCAATGTTAGTATATAAAATAAATTTAAATTTACAAAAATATAATGCGTGTGTGTGTGTGTGTGTGTGTGTGTTTACTCTGGGTGCCAGTGTAAGATTATATTTCAAAAATGAGATTTTTTTTCTAAAAAAATGTGAAAACCACTAGGCAATGTGACTTCAAAAGTCATCTAGAATGTGTAGAATGGGAATATAAATTTGTGCAGGCTCTAGAGTAGAGTGAGCCTTGAGTTGTGTTGAGATCAAAGGATACCCAGAGTATTTTTTTCTTTCATTTTTCATTCATTTTCTTTCTTTCCTCTACACAATATGCTAATAAAACATCTAGATTACACAGACCGAGGCCAGGTGCTATACCAGTCTGTTATCAACAAGTGAGAGCACATGAAACCGTTTTTAATTGGCCTTAGGAAAAGCAGAGGTGAAATGAAAATTTAATTCTCCTGGACCTTTTTTCAAAATGTATTTTTCCATCTCTACTGTAAAGAGTGCATTTTAATTAGGTTGATTCTCACTGTTTGGCCATGCATTTGTAATCTGTGTTCACTCTTTGGGAAAGAAGAATTTGATGAAAGGAACCTGATAATAATGGAAATCTTGTCTGAGCAGAACAAATTGGAATTATCCAATATGATAGGGATGTGAGAAGCATTGAGGCTGGTGACTGAAAAAAAAAAAACACCTCTCCCCAAAACACCACTGTTCTGCCTAGCACAGTCTTGTCCTGGCACAGGGAGACAGTGCAATAGCATGGAATGTGCTTTTGGTGCGTCTGGGCCTTTCTGGTGCATCACAATCCCCCATCCTCAATTTCCCCGCCTGTAAAATGGGGGTAATAATCTCCACTTTGCACTATTGTGAGGATTGAGAGAAATGAATTATGTGAAAGTGCCTGACATGTTATAGGGGCTCAGATAATGAGTAAGAGGAGAATTTCCAAGGAAAGCTCTATGGCTGGGCTGAGGGTGAGGTTCCTAGTTTGTTTACAGCTTTGAAAAGAAAGAAGTGAGCAGGGGCAGGCATTTACGTGTAAGTGAGAGTGTGTGTGTGTGTGTGTGTGTGTATGTGTGTTCAGGGCAGGGGAATCTGTGGGTACATCCTAGTACAGTCCAGTGTTTCTGTGTGTGCCATTCAGGATGAATTTCCTGTGGGATAGCAAACAACCAGGCTCTGCCGTAGAGAAGTCGATTCAGAGTCCTCATCTGCAAGTAGAAAAGCCCCAGGAGTCCATGCTTACCCCCATTACGCTACTCCTGTGAGTGTTGTGGGACAGATGAAAGGTCAGCTAGGTCCTTCAGCTGAATGCAGTGCACTAATGAGGAAACGAGTTAGGAGTTTCTCCACCAGTGCCAACAAGCAGGTCAAGTAGCACACATCGGGGGTGGAGAGGCCGCCCACAAAACACATTATTTAGGGTGCTATGCCAACCTGTCAGAGAGGGAAAAGATACACTTCTTGGCTTTGGAGCTTGTGATTTAACAGAACAAAGAAAGAGAAAACATGAAAGGCACATATGAAGCTAATTTTAAAGATCCAGTGGCCATACAGCATTTTTTTTTTCTCCTAGACAGCATTAAAATCAAATAATCCTTGAGGTCATCAGACAATAGCTCCAGTGCACTGTGCAGAAAGTACAGTCCTGGCCGGGCGCAGTGGCTCACACCTGTAATCCCAGCACTTTGGGAAGCCGAGGTGGGCAGATCACCTGAGGTCAGGAGTTCAAGAGCAGCCTGGCCAACATGGTGAAACCCTGTCTCTACTAAAAATACAAAAAATTAGCCGGGTGTAGTGGCACGCACCTGTAATCCCAGCTACGCAGGAGGCTGAGGCAGGAGAATCACTTGAACCCGGGAGGCAGAGGTTGCCAGTGAGCCGAGATGGCGCCATTGCACTCCAGCCTGGGCAAAAAGAGCAAAACTCCGTCCCCTCCCCCCCCCAAAAAAGTACAGTCCCATGTTTCTATGTGCACCATTCAGGATGAATTTCCTAAGCACCTACTGCATTCCCAGAATTAGGAGTACAAACTCAGGGGTCAGACTGATCTGGATTAATTTCCAAGTCTGTCACTAACCATTTTTTAAAAATCATATATATTTAAGGTGTGCAGCATGATGTTTTGATATACAAAGTGAAATGATTACCACAGTCAAGCAAAGTAAGGTGTCTGTCATCTTCCACAGTGACTTTTTGTGTGTGTTGCACCTAAAATGGACTCTCTCTGCAAATTTTCAATCTACATTGCAACATTATTAACTGTTGTCCTGTGGCTGTATGATAAATCTGTAGACTTATTCATTTTGTCCTTTGACCTACATGTCCCCATTTCCTCTCCCTCCCAGGCCTTGGTAACCACCTTTCTACTCTTTGTTTCTATGTATTTAACTTTATTTTATATTCCACATCTGAGTAAGACCTTGCTCTCACTCACTCTTTTATGGCCTTGGGGAAGCATAGGTCCTCCAGACAGCAGAATTGCTTCATCTTTAAAATGATTGCATCGATGTGGCGATTGGGATAATTCAGAGATGTTTTCAGCACAGAGGGCTTGTGCTAGGCCCCTAGAATGTACAGATAAAGGGGATCCATGTTCTTCCTTTGAGGCAGAGGTTCTGACTTTGACTTTGCCACTCCCTGGCAAGGGGCATTTAGCAATGTCTGGAGACATTTGGCTGTCCCTATGGATGTGTGTATGCAGGTGCTAAACATCCTAGAACGCATAAGGCAGCCTTCCTCCCCCTTCATTGCTCATTCCCTCTGATTGTGGAATTAAAAGACGAAAATGGGTCCATTCGAGGGAAAAGGTCATGATCCTTAATGCTGTTTTTACATGACGGCCTTGTCAGAGCCTTCAGCTCCTCCTGCTGTCTTCGACGTTCTAGGCACAGCTCCCTCCGGAGGGCATGCTTCCCACCTGGGGCTTGCTGGCGGAGTGCCATCCTCATCCATATACATGTCCCCAATTAAAAGACGTCCCGCTGCCGGGAAAGCGGCTGCACCTTGGAGCGAAACTGAAAGAAGAGACCCCGGGGTCTTCGCGTCCCTCCGTGGGAAGGCGAGGCAGGGCCCTGCGCAGAACACCGGCAGGCTCTGGGGAAAGGCAGGGATTCTATAGTGAATCCTGCAAGCCTGCTTGGGGCCGACTTCCTGGAGCAGCGGCTGCAAGCAGCGCAGAGCCCAGCTGTCCTTGGCAAACACCCCACAGAGGAGGCGAGGGCTTGCTGGCTCCTCTGGGACGCCCCGGTCAAGCCACCACCAAACGGGCCGTGACCTCGCCTTCGAAGGGGGCCCCCAGGGCAGCGGTGGACGTGGGGGCAGTGCGGGCGAGAGGAAGTTTGTCTTTCTCCCAGCTCGGGAGGGTCGCCAGCTTCCCCGGGGCTGCACCTCCTTGGGACGCTTGTCGGGTTGGAGCGCCGCAGCTGCCTCTGCGGCTGCCGCCTGGGTGACGGAGGGTGGGGCGGGGGTGGGTCGCTCGTAGCTCGAGAGCCACGATCTGATTTCAGGGACCGTGCCTATGTGCTGAGTCAAACCCCGCCGCTGGGCTGGGTCTGCAGCCGGGCCGCTGAGCACAATCCGCTGTGGTTAATGATTAATCGCTGACCACCCCGCCTCCCGCAGCTCGGGAGAGGGTGCTCTGGGAATGTGGACCGGGGCTCTCAAGTGCCGGCAGCTGGAAAGGAAGAGGAGTGCTGCGAGGCGGAGTGCGCCCTCGGCGAAGAGGGGCAGAGGCGGAGCGCCAGGTGCTGCGGTCTCACTCCCAGCCAGCCAGGAGTTTAGAACGTTCTTCCTCCGCCCTCTCCCCGCCTCGCCCCAGCCACATACACTCCCAAACCTCAACACCCAGGCGCCTCCTGGGCCTCTCCTAGGTTGGGCTGCTCCAGCAAGTTTCCATGAAAGCACCTGAAATACTAAGTTACCTTCGCGAGGAGAACTCGAGTGAGATAAAATCGTGCGCCCACGCAGGTGAGTTTGCAGCCAAGAATTTTGGACGCTGCTGGGAGGAGAAAGGGAAGTTGAGAAAGTCTTTGGACCTGGTAGCCTGGTGCTCTTTCTCATGGCTTCACCCAGCCTCCCGGGCAGTGACTGCTCCCAAATCATTGATCACAGTCATGTCCCCGAGTTTGAGGTGGCCACCTGGATCAAAATCACCCTTATTCTGGTGTACCTGATCATCTTCGTGATGGGCCTTCTGGGGAACAGCGCCACCATTCGGGTCACCCAGGTGCTGCAGAAGAAAGGATACTTGCAGAAGGAGGTGACAGACCACATGGTGAGTTTGGCTTGCTCGGACATCTTGGTGTTCCTCATCGGCATGCCCATGGAGTTCTACAGCATCATCTGGAATCCCCTGACCACGTCCAGCTACACCCTGTCCTGCAAGCTGCACACTTTCCTCTTCGAGGCCTGCAGCTACGCTACGCTGCTGCACGTGCTGACACTCAGCTTTGAGCGCTACATCGCCATCTGTCACCCCTTCAGGTACAAGGCTGTGTCGGGACCTTGCCAGGTGAAGCTGCTGATTGGCTTCGTCTGGGTCACCTCCGCCCTGGTGGCACTGCCCTTGCTGTTTGCCATGGGTACTGAGTACCCCCTGGTGAACGTGCCCAGCCACCGGGGTCTCACTTGCAACCGCTCCAGCACCCGCCACCACGAGCAGCCCGAGACCTCCAATATGTCCATCTGTACCAACCTCTCCAGCCGCTGGACCGTGTTCCAGTCCAGCATCTTCGGCGCCTTCGTGGTCTACCTCGTGGTCCTGCTCTCCGTAGCCTTCATGTGCTGGAACATGATGCAGGTGCTCATGAAAAGCCAGAAGGGCTCGCTGGCCGGGGGCACGCGGCCTCCGCAGCTGAGGAAGTCCGAGAGCGAAGAGAGCAGGACCGCCAGGAGGCAGACCATCATCTTCCTGAGTGAGTCCTAAGTCGGGGGCAACACGTGAGCAGCTTCCCAACCTTCCCCCACGACCCGTGCCACTGCCTGTGGCCCTCTCCAGGGCAAGTCTTGCCCTAGAATTGCACACTTAAGTTTACTAAGGTGGAAGAGTCTTGTAGCAGTATGAGGGCATTGCTCTGGGTCTCTGAATGTTTCTTCTCTGTGTTTCGGGGATTCATGGTAGATTATGGTGAAAAGAGCACGAGACCAGAACCCAGAAGGTTTGGGTATATTCCAGAACATCACTGCTGTGACCTTTGGGAAGTCACAAAAATCTTTGGTAAAATGGGGACAATAATACTAGAGAATATGACGGACAAATTAGGTAATGCAGGACAGGTGAAAGTCCTTTGCAAAAGACCAAGTTCTGCAGAGATACAGGGAACCGTCTTATCTAGCTCTTTTACCCGGGGAAGACTTTCTTGTGCAATTAGATTTTGTTCCCATTTTTCTCCTCCTTTGGAGAAAGCAGGCTGTGAGCGACACACACTCTCGGGCTGCTATTTTATTCCTTGGAGCCTCTTCGACCCAATCTTAAGACATGGGAGCTCTCAGCACTCCCCAGGGCTTGGGTTTCTGCCACTGTGGGTCTGTTCCTTACCAGACCAGAGCAACCTGGCAGGACGGCCTGTTTATCTGATCCAGAAAATCTGGCTTCACCGATTCCTAGGATTTGAATAATCACCTCACAGACCCAATTCTTATGCTTGTTTTCCAAACTTTTGTTGTGATACAAGTATTTAAAGTTGAGGCCTCGTCTATTTAAAAAGAGCCCACAGGTCTGTTGACCCCAGAGCCTTCAGAAGAGGGACCTAGTGGCTGGGAGACAAGGCTTTAATGGAGACACATGAAATGTGTGTGAACAAAGGGTTTTAAAATATATTTTTTTAGCAGAAACAATAAAAAGGATGTATTGTGCGTGTGTGAATCAAAAAGGAATAGATATAACAAACATTTCCCTTCTTCCCTCTCCCCTGTGGCATCAGGAAAAGGAATAAATCATGGTGCTGTTTGTTTTGGTGTGGGCAACTGGGCAGCAGGTTCCAGGGACAGGAGGTAGACATGAGAGAGAGTTGGAAGGCACTTGGAGAATGATGGAAAGACCTGGGTCTTGCCTCAGACCAGCCCCTGGCTTCCAGTGTGTCATTAATTGTTAAAAGCTTAGGGTCTAATTTTACTCTTTATTCGATTTGAAATAATTGCCCTAATGAATTTCAAAGTACTCAGAGGCAGCCATGGATTGCCCCCAGGGAGCTGGGCTTTGAGAGCTGTGGCAGGTGACCAGCTGACTTGACTTTACTCTGTGTCTGCACAAAATGAGAATATTTGGATGCTACTCTGCATTAGGGGCTGTGCCAGGTGACTGATATTTCCATCTTCTAGAGGAGGAATTTGAGACTTAGAGAAGACCTAGTTCAGAATCACCTCAGTGCAGCTCAAAGAGTCCCACTGTGCTTTTCAGGGCAGAGAAATGCATGTCTGTTTGTGACTTTCACAGGCGTGTGGTGAAAGGAAAATGAAACAAGGCAGGACTTTGACAAGCATAGGTAAGCCTGGTGGTGTTGCTGCCTCTTAGGGCCAGCCTTTCTGGAAGTTGTAGTAGGTAACGTTATCTTGGGACTTGGGAAGCGTACCCAACTCAGTCTATCACCCACTGGTTGCTACTACTCAAATATTACAGAGAGGAATGGACATTGTATTTGCTTAAAGCTTGAGTGTTTGTTGAAATACTAGTTCTCCCTTCCTCCATAAATATTCCCTTAGGCATATCTTAAACTGTAAGGTGTAATTTATACTTTAGTGTGAGTTAATTAAATTTCCTTTTTTTTTGATCGGAGGAGACTGGCATGAGTGGATAAGAATTAGGGGGTAGATAAGCATTAGCAAGTGGTCTTCAAGTATCTCCCAGTCTAACTTAGGAATTAAGGCTGCCTTTGACCAAAGGGAAAATCATTGATTTATCGTTACTCTATTTGACCAATCTCTGTGTTTCCTGTATTTCTCTGAGTAGATGTCTGTTCTCCCCACAGCAGGTGCTCCAAGTTAAAGCCAGTCTCCATTTGCAGCATAAAATCAGAATGCCACAGACTTTTATTTAGAGATGGATAGGACCTTGGAGATCATCAGATCCCATTAGTAATTGTCTGGAATGAGTTTGTTCTTGCTGCTGCTCTCGTTCTTTTCTTCTGGCTCTTTCCTTCTTTCCTATACCAACTGTATGTTAATCGCCCACTGTGTTCTCAGCATAAAGATTGTTGAATGGCAATCAGGTGCTCAATGTGCGATAATGTCCTGGGGGAATTTACCGTTTGTATTTAGCCCATTTTCTCTGCGGTAGGTTTTCAAAGCAGTTCTCGCAAATGTCCTCCTCTCCCAATGAATTTCAAAGAGCTTTTAAAAATAGGAACCTCACTAATTAACTCAAGTTAGGAAATAAATTAATGGAGTGAAGAGGAAGAAATCATGGCCTGCATTCATCAGATTAATTCAATGCAATTTACTTTGTAAGTTTCATAAAACTTGTGCTTTGGGGCATTTTTAACCCAGAACAAATGAACATATAAATTGTTTACAAATCGCTGAATTTAATATAGTAATTTAGTTGTCTTTTTAGTATTTCATTTCACAGATGGGTCAAATTAAAATAAATATTTGCTTATTTCAAACATTTTAAATTTAATGTGAAATGTAAATGGCGACATATCACAAGTAGTTCTTGGAGCTCTTAAGGCAATAAAGAAAACAATTAAGATTGTTCGCCGCTCGTTGTTAAAAATGCTAACTTCTGCATGACAGAAACAAAATTCATAAATCTACGCAAGATGAGGAAGCCCATGTAAAAAATATTAATTTTCCTTCATCTTTCACTATTGTGCCTCAGTCTAGTCGATGTGCTGGGCTGGTGAATAAGGAAAACACATTGGGAACTCTGGGAGAGAAAGAGAGGCTGGGATACCTACTAGCTCTCAAGCAATTTACAGGAGAACACAATAGTGATGCAAAAGTGCACATTCCTGGAAATAGGAGTGTCTTGTCTTGCCTCTTGTCAGCCCAGTGACAAATCAGTACTAGACTTGGTTTCTGTTTCAAGGTTTCAGCCAGTGTGGCATGGTAATATTTGTCCGATGTCAGAACAGAGGTTGCTGGTCTGGATTTCTGCCTCTTCTGGAGGAAAGGAACTGATAATTTGATTATCTGTCCTGTCCCTTCAATGATGAGGATGTGTAAAATGAGACTTCCTTTCAAGCAAGTCTTTCCCCAGACCTCCCATCTTCTCTTTCTGAAGTCTCCTTTGGAGTTGTTCTCAATGCAGATAGCATCCAGGTCTGTGGACACTTGTGTGTGTCTATTGCACACATGGCTTGCTATCAAGTGTCACCCACTCAAAGTGGAATGACAAAGTAATTTTAAAAAAAGCATAGTTTTAATTTGTATAATAACTTTCAAGTGATTGGGACTCAGCTGCAACTACCTCCTAGAGAACTAGAGGGCAGTGATTGGCTTTCAACTATAGTTATGAAAAAAGATTTTACAGACAGTCATGAGGTTATTAAATAAAAGAAACATCATAGAAGATTCATAACTCTAGAATAATTACACTCTTTTGCATTCTGATTTGCTCTCCTGAGTCAGAAGGAAAGGGAAGAAGTTACATCTAGTGGCAGGGATTACACATCAACTTGGTTTGCTCATATTGAATATAGACATTATTCATCACGTGTATTTGGATGGAACAAAGGTTAGCAGTTGCTGCTGAAATGAACTACTCTAAAAATAAGGTTGATATACATTTAGATATTTGTGGCATGGTTCAGGGAGAAGCAAAGAGAAGGAGCTCAGAATCACATCCTCTGGGTTTTTAGACCACAGAATTAGGTCAAACCAAGCAGGGCCAGGGAAGAAGAAGAGAGAGAAGAGAGGGTAGAGGGTAGAGGGGAATGAGATATTGACAGTGGGTCCTCTTTACCTGAGGACAATCGTTACCTGAAAAGAACTCATAAAGTTGGTTCCTTTAAAGTGGGGTTGAAAACATTTGAAAAGAGGTCTCATTGGGACTTGAAAGTGAAAATTATGAAAAGAAATTTATTTGTATGTTACAAATATAAGTTATAGTTACAACTATATATTAATTCTTATAATGATTATTCAGAATGAATCCAATGTGGCTTGAGGGCACAATTTTTCTAACAAAACCATCTGATAACCTTTGTGTTTTATTTTCTCAGTAAGATTATAAAAAGGGCCTCTCTTCATTCTTTGTTATTTAAATCACCCTCATGGAAGCACCTATCCTTGCATTATCCTTATCAGTTTTCCATTCTTTCATAATTATCTGGTCTAATTCGAGCAAATCTTTGCTTGTCAGTGGCGTGGCATTTGAATCATCTGTTTCTTCAGCTTCCTTTTCATTGACTTCATGAAATTCTGTACCCTGTGTGCAGGCCATAACCAAAAATATAATTAATTTAAAAACCAATCCCTATACTCTACTGTATATTTCGTATTACACAGAAGTGGATGCCTTGAAATGCTTTGACAGTGCCCATAAGAATTTTTAGTAGTTGTTTTCTTCACTAGGTTAAATGCTTATCTTACAATCATGTTTTCATCATTAGTTTTCTTAGCAAAGGCTTTTTATTTGATATGAAAGGATATGTCAACACAGTCTTTGAGGGAAATACCATCAACATTAAATTAGTGACTTTTTTAGTGTAAGATATTATTTTGACTCCAATGTTTCAATATTTCAGAAAAAAGTTTTGCCTCAAATATTTTATGTTTATTACCCTATTTGTGATAGCTTTCATAAATTGCAAGTGTCCTGTGATCAGCCTGGCAGACAAATATAATAATGCTGCATTATTTTTATAATCAGGCTGTCTCAAAGATTTCATTTCTCTGTTGGAGAGATGCATAGTTTCCGAGGAAGGGGAGATTGAAATCCCAGTCCCCATTTATTAGCAAGCCTGTTCATCTGTCAGCCTCCTGGGGGCTGCTGAAGTGTAATAAGAGAGGCCTCAGTTGCACAAAGCATTTGGCTTATTAGTGCTAAAACCATTCAGAATAAAAGCCATTTACGAGTTGAGACAGCGCCGTGGAAGAATATTGAATTGGGAGTCAAGGAGCCCCTCTGGCTGTACAAGGCAAGGTCCGCTGGTCTACCATTTGGAGGACACTGTCGACTCCTATCCCTTTTCCCTCTGCACATGTCCCCTGCCAGGCTGCAGCCCTGGGACCACTCAACTGACTCTCCACCTCTACTCTTGGCTATTTACTGAGGACTGGAGACATGATTGGTCATCCTTTCTGCTGCACATTCTTGTAGATGAATAGCTGTCTTCTCATTGTGTCCTGACCTGGCCTTCTCTGCACATGTGTTCTCCTGGTGTCTCTTGCTCTTCTTATAAGGATGCTGGTCTTATCAGATTAGGGCCCCACCCTTACAACTTTATTTTACCCGAATTACCTCCCAAAGGCCCAATCTCCAAATACAATCACACCGGGGCTTAGGCCTTCAACATGTGAATTTGCAGGGGACACAGTTCAGTTTATAACACCCCTTAACTGCCTTATTCCACTGGCTCCCCTTCAAGTTCTTCAAGTGACCATGACTGGCTCTCTTCCCCCATGCTGCCTGTGTATGGGTTGTTTCCTCTGCCTGGCATGCTTTTCTATCTTACTCTATTCTCTACCTGCTCCCCACTTCCATCCCCTTCCCCAGGTTAATATCTTTCTCCTCTCTCAGATCTCCCCAGGGAAACTGGCCCATCCTCCCTGACTTCATTAAACCTCCCACAAAACAAGACTCACTGTTGTCATTTTACATTTAATTGTGCAATTACTCGACTGATGTCTGTCTTCCTTCTAATTCCTTGTGGATAGGTGCATGCCCTAATTTCCCTCAACACTGTACCTCATTCCAGCATAGTGTCTAGACATAGTAGGTAATGAATATTTGTTGACTGAACAAATGAATGAATGAGCCTCAGCTTGGAATTGAGAAGCAATGTTCTGTTTTCCCTTGGGCATGCATTCGTATAGAGGTTTATCATTCCTCAAAAGTGTTCTGGTTCATCTGAACCAAAGATGCTATCTTTGAAAGGGTTATGATTCCTCTGAGGCCTCTGAAGTCAAACCAACATGCAAAACATTTAAGATTTGCTTGCCCCTGAGCAAATGAACACTATGTGCTAATCAGACCCTGAATGTTAGCTTTAACCATGTATATCTGCCAGAAGTAACCGTGAGATGAAAGTGACTAGGGTGGTGAATGGTCCTTGTTAAAATCTATTGAACAAGATGTTAAATGCAATGATACAACTCTACACATTATTTCTTAGCAGGCTCTTTCACCACTTTTTAACAAGGGGTCCTCAAGGTAATGAGGATACAGTGGGGGTGACATTTTGAAAATATTAAACCATGTGTTTATGTCTCCACCTTAAATTGCATCCACTTGCAGCCATCTCTCTCAAGAGTGAGCCACACTTATCACCCCAGGGTAGGAATAAGCAGCTACTGCCTGGGACAAAGGTGTTGTGGATCCATCCTGGGTCCAGAGGATGGAATTACTGACCTCTTTAGCTGGGCAATTATCTTAAAAGCCAGACTTTGTGAAGGATGAAAAAGGATTGCCTAACTTCATATCTCTCCCTTTAATGTATCATGAGCCCAGCCTAGTGGACTGGATCAGCCAGTTCCAGATGAAACCATAGCTAAGGGGTTTGGAATTTATCCTTGGAAGCCATTGCAGGGTTTTAAGAAGTTAAACAGCACAGTTGGATTTCTAGTGCTGCCCCTAGAGTGACAGCATTTGTTGCATTCCAATTTGGGTCAAAGTACAGGCCTGGCTGTGTTTATAGAATAAAAAAACAGACAACCCTTCATTGGAACACAGTTCTGGCAGAGCAGCTGACACTGGTGAGTTCTCCTTTCCATTAGGCAGACCTCTGGCCCTTGGTTTCTCCAAGTCTTGCTGCTGCCACTGTCCTCCATGGCCAGACAGTGACTGCTTCCATTCAGCAACTCCCACTTTCCCAGCACGGAGGCCCAAACCGCCCCCATGTTGCTCAGGCCCTGATTAGGAGGTGGCCCTAGGGAGCTAAACTAGGTCACAGTAGCTCTCACCTGTCATCTCTATTGCTCAATGGTCTATTCGTTCTTCAACGACAATCTCCAGCTACGACCAACTCATATATCTCCCATGACAAAACTTCCTACCACTTACACTAGCATTCTGCATATGATATATCTCAGTGCCTCCCACTTCTTCCATGAAGCCTTCCTGGACTACGACAGCCTATACTGATGTTCCTATGCATGGTGAGCCATCTTAGACATTTCTCAGAAGGGGGCACAGATGATGTCTCTCGACTATATTGGAACTCCCTAAGATCAGGGACCCTTCACTGTTGTACATCTTCAACCTTCCTTACTGGGTTGGGGGCAGAGTAGCCATGCATTGCTTGAGAGATTGATGGATTGAAGTTCTCTGACAGTGGCTGCTGCTCCTGAAATGGAGGAAAAGCACCCTCACTGTGATCCTCAGGCAGCTCTCTTGGCTCTACCTTCCTTTCCTTCTTTCCCTGTGCTAGGCAGAATTCTGAAATGGCCTCCAAAATGCCTGGTCCATAAGGTATACGTATCTTCTCCCAGTTATTCAATCAAACACTAATCTAGTGCTGCAAGGAAGGAAAGTAATTAAGTTCCCAAATCTGTTGACCTTAAAATAGGGAGATTTTCTGTGTGGATTTAACCAAGTCACATGAGCCTTTAAATCTGGGTCTAGAGGTCAGAGGCAGGAGAACTAAGAGTCAAAGCATGAGAGGCATTTGACCAGGGAGAAATTCTCTGTTGCTGGCTTTGGAGATGGAGGGAGCTGGCAGAGAATATAGGTAGGTTCTAGGAGCTGAGCACCAGCAAGAAAATGGGCCCTGAATAAGCTTAGAGGTAAAATTCCCCCCCAGAACTTCTAGAAAAGAATTCAGCCTGGCCTACATGTTGAGAACCCAGGCATACCTTGCCTGGATCTCTGATCTACAGATTTGTGTGCTAATAAATAGGTGTTATTTTAAGCCACTAAATTTTTGATAATTCACTATGTACCAATAGAAAACGAATGGATTCACTGAACTCTGCTGAAAGGAGCTCCCAGGTAAACACATGGCCTACCTTAGTTATAACTTCCAAGACAGGTTCAATCTCCAGAAGCTTCTCTTTGAAAAGTCTCACCTTCCAAGAATTGCCTTTGGCCCAGCCATTCACAGATCCACCAACCACTTGTTGGTCACCTGCTCAGTGCTCAGTGATCTGGAAGTTTAACAAGATCCAGGGCACCATGGAATGTTCACTGGACTTTTAAACTCTCGTTTGGAGAATTACAAAATTTGTGGGTTTGAGTCCCACTGGCTGGATTTTCAGAATGCTGATGCCTTGATAGTCAGAAAGGAAAACAGTATTGAATTGATCTTATAATTATCATCCTTTTGGTAGCTCTATTTCGTCATAGCCTGGCAATGACTAGGCGCTGCATAAAGGTTTGGTGGATAAGCTGATGCCTAGGCAGCTCTGCTGCTTTCCAGAGTCCTCCTCACCAGAAGGGAGATGCCTGTACCCCTCATCATTTGGCTTCAGATGGAAAAAGTGTGTCAGGGAGGAAGCCAACCCTGGTGCTGAAGCAAGTCTGAATAACAGAAATGTCTTGGGCTAACAGACTTTATCATTTTCTGATTTTAGAGCCTTTCCCGATTTAGAAACTTGACAAAAAGTCTTGTTTGTACTTACTGAGTGTAAGAGCCATTCTGGCAAGCAGAGGGTTTAACACTCAGGCCACTGCTTTGCACACCGCAAAGGTGGCTAGGTAGTTGGAGAGCAGTGGTGTTACTGGTACCTAACAGACAGATCGGGAGGCAAGGCTGCAGCATCAAAGTTGCCATTGTACTTGTTCAGTGTCTAACTGTCCATGAAACTAACGGCATGCAGAAATGGGGGCAGGCCCAGCTGGGAGTGATGACGCTCATTAAACTTGCAGAGAGAAGCCACTCTCTTTCTTTAGTGAAGAGGAAAAAGATCAACTCTGCTTTAGAAATAAAACACTTTACACAGGGTGCTTGAGCCAGAGATGAAGTCATTTGAATATATATATATATGTACCTATATATATAATATACATATATAGGTACATATATATATAATATACATATATAGGTACATATATATATATATATATATATATATATATATATGAAATTTTTTTTTTTTTGAGACGGAGTCTTGCTCCGTCGCCCAGGCTGGAGTGCAGTGGCACAATCTCAGCTCACTGCAAGCTCTGCCTCCCAGGTTCATGCCATACTCCTGCCTCAGCCCCCGAGTGGCTGAGACTACAGGCGCCTGCCACCACACCTGGCTAATATATTTTTTTTTATTTTTAGTAGAGATGGTGTTTCACTGTGTTAGCCAGGATGTCTCGATCTCCTGACCTCGTGATCCACCCACCTCCCAAAGTGCTGGGATTACAGGCGTGAGCCACTGCGCCTGGCCTGACTTTACATATTCTATTCTATTTGGTTTTATATATTATATATGTTATATATTGTATGAGTATGTAATATAACATAATATCTTATACATATAATTCTTTGGAGACATATACTCAGCAGAAATAAAATTTCTGGCATATTTTTGAGTCTACTTTCTATGTGCTGCCATTCTGAAGGATTAAATATCACATTGAAATGACAGCTACATCTTTTTGTTTTTTCAGTTACATTTGGAAGAGAAGGATGGGAAGGAGTCTCAGTAAGTTGCCTAGGCTGGAGTATAGTGACTATTCACAGACATGATCATAGTGTCCTGAGGCCTCGAACTCCTGGGCTCAAGCAATCCTTCTGCCTTAGCCTCTTGGTAGCTAGGACTACAGGTGTGCACTACCATACTTGGCTTTTAAGCTGTACTTCATATATATATATAATATATATATAATATAAAATTATATTTAAATATATATATTATATATAGTTATATATATTATATATAGTTATATTTATATTTAAATATATATATATTTAAAAGACAGCTGATGGGTTTTCACTGTTTTTCAAGTTCAAGTTTACCCTTGATAGGGGTGACAAATGAGTCACCTTGGTGATTGAAGCTTGCTGTAGATATCCTCTAGAGAAGATGAAAAAAACTTCTGTAGGAACTAGCTGTTCTCCTTGTTAGACCTGGGGTTTTCCTCATTATTGAATCTCTTACAAGCTGACTTCCTCCAAGAAGCCTGCCTGGACTGGCTTTACCCTTCTCTCATTATTCCAGCAGATCTTCACATTTCATTTGTTTGTTCATTCATCAAGTATTTATGAAACTTAAGTTGTGCTTAACATCGTTTGTACCATAGAGATCAAAATGCTGGTTCCTCCTTTCAAGGAGCTTAATACTTGTCTCATTGGGACATCAAAGTATAAGGGCAGAGCCTTGTAGAAGCCTAAATGTACCACTTGATGCAGGGTCTGGGTTGTGGCTGTTTATGAAGTAAGCTAGTTCTAGTAAATGTTCTGCCAGAACTTTTAATAGACTGGCTAACTGGGCTTCACTCCAGAGATGTTGTTAGTCTCGATATTCACAGTATGGTCCAGGGACCCGCAGCATCAGCATCACCTGGGAAATTGTAAAAGGCAGAGTATTGGGCCACACCCCTACCAGTTGAATTGTAATCTGCATTGTAAGCAGATCCCTGGAATACCTATGTCCTAACATCAGGGTATGAGAAGCACTGATCTACAACACTTGGGGATTCTTTAATGTCAATACTAGAAAAGGGTGAATTGGGAAGGACTAAACTCACTAGTTGTGATAAGAACTGTCAATCACTTGTTGTGTAGTTGTAACAGGTGGGAATTTGCTCCATGACACTTAGACATAAAAAAGTTGCATTATTTCTAAAAAGAAACTTAAATCTGGCTCCAAGCTCTCATTTGGAAGGTGGTGAAAATGTTAATCTTAGTAACATTGGGGGTCGGGGTTTCCCCTTTCTCATGTTGTGTCAAAATTCAAGGGGCTTATGAGATGCCCAGAAAATGAGGCATTGGGTCTGTTGTTCAAAGTTCTTCCTATTGCCAATTCTGCTCTATGATTTTGCTGCCAGGGCTGACCAGAGCACTAGGGCCAGCCAGCCAAAGGGCTGGCCTTTATATTTTATCTTCAATCCTCATAGTATCATTAGCATGAAGGTATCGTTATCCTCACTTTGCAGAACTGCCTGAGGTCATCAAACATTGAGATTGGAGCTGGGATCTGGCATGTTTTGCAGTCCACGTTCTTTACATGAGCAGAGGGTGAGTCTCTCAAAAGAAAACGCTCTGTAGTCTCTCAAAAGAGAATACTCTTCAGTGGGGGAACTTGTTTTGGATGGTCAGTGTCAGGGAGGCAAGAAATTATGATGCCAAGTCTGGTGGATGTTTATCTTGCTTTTAGGCTACCCAGCAGCTTTTGGCTGCTTTTTATCTCTGGGAAATTTCCATCTTTTTGAGTCCTGCTTCCTCAAGATAGTGGTCAGAAGCTTGCTTTCCCAGCATCCCTCACAGCCAGAGTGCAGCATGTGGCCTGGGCTGCGCCAGTCACGTGCACTGGCATGAGAGTCTCATTTGGAAGAGAAGGATGGGAAAGAGCAGTAGCCACATGGACTCTCTTTGGGGTTAAAGCCAGTGTGTGACAAATGGGGTTAAAAGAGTGTAAAGGAGCCTTTAGAGAGAGCAAAGACAGAAAAGCTAAAGACAGCATCCTAAGCCAGATGTTTGCAGCACCTCTACATTGGTGCATTCTGATGGGATAACCTTATGTGATTCTCTGGCCCTCCTAGGGGTTATATGAAATAACTAATAGCCTCATTTCTGGATGAAACTGGAATGGGCTCTGCTGTTTGTCCTAAGAACTCTGCATGTCCAGAAAGTAGGTAATAGAATGATTGGACTGGAGTAGGGAAATCTAGAAGGTAGCAGTGATGAATTTAGACTGAAAAGTAGACTGAGTTAAATATGGAGGAAGTTGATAGCTAGGCTAATGGATTCAGACTATGTATTGGAGGCCATGGGAGCCATGGAAAGCTTTTGAGAAGAGGAGTGGCAGGAAGGAGTGCAAAAACACTGATGTGGCCATGTGGCCAAGGTGTGTGTTGCTGGCAGAGAGAGGCAGTGTGAGGGGCACAGGTGTGGAAGTGATCATGGGTTCTGATGACGGTTTGTGGTTAGGTTTAGTCATGAAGGGGTGGTAGTTATCAACCCTGCTAAACATTACAATCACCTGTGGAACTATTAAAAATGCCCTACTCCAGTCTATTTATATCAAAACCTTTGTGGGTGGAGCCCTGGACATTGGCATTATTTAAGCCTTCAGGTGACTCCAATGTGTAGCCAGGGTTGAGAATGGGAGAAGAAGGAGCTGGAAAGGCAGGCTGGGGGTGGCTGGGGAGACCTTGACTTTAGTAACTGTGCCAAGGTTCTTTGACTAGAGGCCACCAAACCGGATTCTTCTTATTTAGCAAGTAAGAAGGAATTTATTGGAAGTATGGGAGGTAGCTCACTGAGTCAAAGGGAAGGCTAAATAAAGAACCAGATTTATCAGGGACCTAGGGAGTAGAAATTCATGGACCACCAGCTTGGGCTCTACCATCAAGAAGGTATCAGCTTCAGGCATCATCCCATCTTTGTTGCCACTCCATCCAGGGATGAGAACCTTGTTGGACTGGCTAGGGCTGCTCATCCAGCCCCTGTGAGGCTGAGATGAGGGCAGGTGATGGACAGTGCCGTCAAGACTGCATGCAGTGAGAGGCGTGGTCCCCAAAGGAGACCCATGTTCTACCCAGGAGAGCGGGTTACAGAGCCAGGGAGCAGAAACAACAGACACCCCCTGTGGGGACCTTCGTAAGCTTAGTGATGTGCTCTGACATTGTTGAGTTCCTTCTTTGTTCCATGCAGACTTTCCCCAGATTCTATTCTCTCTTATATCCCTGGACTTCCCCTTCCCCCTGGCTGAGTCCTGGGTGATATTTCCCAGGGATCTGGTCATCTTAGTGCATGAGCAGTTTAGAGGGGTGGGGAGGAGGGGTCAGCAGCAGAGCCTCCTGCTTCTGAAATGCTGCTGCCAGAAGCTGGTTGGTGCCAAATCCCCAGGGCATGTCTCCTGCCTTGTAAGCTGACTCACTCACTCACCTAGGTCACTCACTGACCAAGTATCAGGTTGTGGCTGCTCATTACCATGAAATCAGGTTGTATTTGAAACTTGGCCTGGAAAACAAAGATCTCTGGCTGTGCTTCAGCATCAGATGCAACACCTATTTCTAGAATTGGGCATTTTCTAGTTATGTCTTAATATGATATTGGCCTTAAGCCAGGACTCCTTATTTCAGATGTAAGATCCTACCTTTGATGTCAAGCATATTGACCATGGAAAATAGGAAACATATGAGTTGCATTCATTGCCTTCTGGAAATCTAAAAAGTTATTTAAGAAAGAAAAACTAGTAAAATTTATTAAAGTTTTGTTCATAAAATGTTTTAGTTTCACATTGGAATGCTGATTGATCTTTGATTTTGATGTCAGTCACATTCTGTCTCTAGGGCAGTTACTGTTTTCTCTCCCTGCAAATTGAGAGGCCAGGAGGCTGCTCTCCAAGGCAGCTTCTCAGAGTCTTCACTTCTCTTGGTGATGTTTTTTTGAACGAGAGTCACCATACGCCAGGTGAGCCTTCCCCGTGGAACTTGGCAGTGAGCTGTGTGCATTGAGAATATGTGGAGGGAGTGTGGTGTGTGTGGACTTCACATTCAGTGGGTAGGGCCTAAGTATGTGACTACTGTATCTTAAGTGGTGGGGATGATGGCAAATGGGGAGTATATTAGTTTCCTGTGGCTGCTGTAACAAGTTACTACACATTTGACGGCTTAAAACAGTAGACATTTATTTTCTCACAGTTCTGGAGGCCAGAAGTCCAAAATAAGTTTCTCTGGGCCAAAATCAAGGTGTCAGCAGGACCTTAGAGCTTAGGCTTTAGGAGAGAATTCACTCTTTCAACCTTCCAGTTGCTGGTGACTGCTGGTGTTCCTTGGCTTGTGGTTGTGTTACCCCAGTCTCCAAGGCCAACATCTTCAGATTTCTCCCTGCTCTGTCTTCAAGTCATCTTCTTGTTTGTCTTGCTCCATTTGGGCTGTTATATCGAAATACCATAAACTGGGTGGTTTGTAAGCAACAGACATTATTTTCTCAGGGTTCTAGAGGCTGGGAAGTCCAAGATCAAGGTATTAGCAGATTTGGTGTCTGGTGATGGCCTGCTTTCAGGTTGCAAACTGCTGACTTCTCGCTGTGTCCTCACATGGTGGAAGGGGCAAGGCAGCTCTCTGGGACCTCATTTATAAGGACACAAACCCCATGAGGGATGTACTATCATGATGCAATCACTTCCCAAAGGCCACACCTAATACCATCACATTGGTGACTAGGTTTCCAACATACAGATTTGAAGGACACAAAAATTCAGACCATAGCATCCTCTGTGTGTGTCAAATCTCCCTCTGCCTCCCTCTTCTGAGAATGCATCTGATGAAATCTAGGGCCTACTCTGATAATGCAGGATCATCTCTCTACCTCAAAATCCTTCGCTTAATCACATCTGCCAAGATTCTTTTTCTTATAAAGTGACATTTACTGTATCCAGAGATTAGGACCTGGTATTCTCGGAGGACATTTTTCAGCCTACTGCAGGGAGCAAAGGGATACCAGAAAGTACAAAAATTTAATGTGGTACATGAGCATAGCCTTCCCACCTACAGAGAGACACTGCTGTGCATAGGTATATGTCCCAATCTCCTTTCCATCACCTACTAGTGTGTGTGACTTGACAAATTACTCAGGACCTCAGTTTTATCATCTCTGCATTAGACATAAACTGGTCTAAGGTTGATTTGAGCATGCAGTGAGAAGTATATGGAGGCCACCTGTGCAGTGCCTAGCATATGGTAGGTCGTCATTGAAAACTACATTTGACCCTTGAACAACATGGATTTGAACTACTTGGGTCTTCTTATACATGATTTTTTCCCAATAAACGTATTATAATACTTTTTGGAGATTTGTGACAATTTGAACAAACAAATGGTAAAGCTTAGAAGTAGAAAAAAGTTAAGAAAAAGATATGTCATGAATGCATAAAATATATGTAGATTCTTGCCTATTTTATTATTTACTATCATAAAATATACACAAATCTTTTATAAAACCTTAAAATTTATCAAAACTTACATACACACAAATACAGATTGTACATGGTGCCATTTGCAGTTGAGAAATATAAACAAATGTAAACATGCAGTATTAAATCATAACTGCATAAAAATTAGCTACAGTAATTTTTTGTAGCTACCTCCTGTTGCTATCGAGGTAAGCTTAAGTGTTCCTAGTGTCCACTTGCAACTCTGTGTGACGCTAATCATCTCAGCATGAGCAGTTTGTCTCTCCAGTAAAATATTGCAGTAAAAAAGTGATCTCGTGGGCTTCTCACATAAATTTCATCATGTTTAGTGCAAATACCATAAACCTTGACTAACATCATGGGACTCATACAAAGTGCCACTAGTGGTGCTGGAAGTGCTGCCAAGAAGTAAAGTCATGATATCACAAGAAAAAGCTGAATTTTGACATGTACTATACATTGAAGTCTGCAACTGCAGTTGCCCTCCATTTCAAGATAAATGACTCCAGTGTAAGGACCATTAAAAAAAAAAATTCATGAAGCCGTCACTTGCAAGAAGTATTTTGCAAAAAGTGTGAGGTTGTCATGCCTGCTATTACTACAGCTATGCCAGCAGGCATGACAACCTCATACTTTTTGCAGAATAGTTTTTTATATTGTATTGGAAATGCAGCTTTTATGTTGGTGCAGGATTGCTATTAGAAATAGCAATTGCTATAGACTCTAATATGATTCAAGAAAAAGCGAAGTCATTATATGACAACTTAAAGCACAATGAAGGTGAAGGGCCTAAAGCTGGAGACTTTAATGTCAGCAAAGGATGGTTTAATAATTTTAGACATTTGGCTTAAGAAATGACAAGATAACAGGAGAAGCAGCTTCTGATGATCAAGAGGCAGCAGATGAGTTCCTGTACACCATTAAGAAAATCATTGAGGAGAAAGGATATCTGCCTGGAGAGGTATTTAATGCAGATGAGAGTGCTCTATTCTGAAAAAAAATGCCATGAAGGACGTTTATTAGTAAGAAAGAGAAGTGAGCATCAAGATTTAAGGCAGGAAGGGATAGGCTAACTCTACTGTTTTGTTCAAATGCTGTTGGGTTTATAATCAGGAACTCCTTTATTTATAAAGCTGCTAACTCCTGAGTCTTGAAGGGAAAAGATAAACACCAGTTGCTAAGTCTTTTGGTTGTACAGCAAGAAGGCCTGGACAATAAGAACACTTTTTCTGGATTGGTTATGTTGATGCTTTGTCCTTGAAGTCAGGAGGTACCTTACCAGTAAGGAACTGCCTTTTAAAATTCTTTTAATATTGGACAGTGCCCTTGGCCACTCAGAGCCCCATGAGGTCAACACTGAAGGTGTTGAAGTGGTCTACTTGCCCCCAAACAGAACATCTCTAATTCAGCCTCTAGATTGGGGCCATAAAGACCTTTAAGTCTCATTACACGTGGTACTCTATGGAAAGGATTGTCAGCATTATGGAAGAAAACCCCAAGTCTGGAAGGATGACACTATTGAAGATGCCATCATTGTTACAGAAAAAGTCATGAAAGCCACCAAGCCCAAAACAATAAATTCCTGGTGGAGAAAACTGTCCAGATATGCATGACTTCACAGGATTTACAATAGAGCCGATTCAGAAAATTATAAAAGAGATTGTGGATATGGCAAAACATCAGGTGGGGGTGAAGGGTTTCAAGATATGGGTCTTAGAGACATACAAGAGCTAAGACACCACACCAGAGGAAATAACAGAAGATGACTTGACGGAGATGAGTGCTTCCAAATCAACGCCAGATGACGAGGAAGATGACATAAAAGAAGCAGTGCCAGAAACAAATGGACAATATTAGACAATCTGGCCAAAGCTTCTAATTATTCGAGACTCTTTTTGGCTTCTTTTACTACATGGATCATTCTATGATACAGACACAGACACTGAAAGTAAAGCAAACGGTGAAAGAAGGGCTGGTACCATATGGAAACATCTTTAGAGAAATACAAAGGCAAAAAAGACAGAAATTATGGTGTATTTCTGTAAAGTTGACCCGAGTGTGCCTGCCTCTCCTGCTCCCCGCACACCTCCTTCACCCCTTCTGCCTCTGCCACCCCTGAGACAGTAAAACCAACCCCTCCTTCCTCGTTCTCCTCAGCCTATTCAACATGAAGATGATGAGGATGAAGACCTTTATGATGATCCACTTTCACTTAGTAAACAGAAATATACTTTCTCTTCTCTATGATTGTCTAATAACTTTCTCTTTCTCTAGCTTACTTTATGGTATGTATACAATACATACACAAAATATGTGTTAATCGACTGTTTGTTATTGGTAAGGCTTCCAGTCAACAGTAGGTAATTAGTAGTTAAGTCTTTGGGGAGTCCAAGGTTACATACAGATTTTTGACTGTGCAGGGAAGGGTGTGTTAGACCCTGAATGCCTGCACTGTTCAAGGGTCAACTGTAGTTGCCTATAGTGACCTTGTGATATTACAGAAAGAATTTTGGTTGAGGACTCAAGAGAACTTGGTTCTAGTCATTGCCAGGCCACAGACTTGTAACATTTTGAGCAAATCTCCACATATTTTCTCGTGTAAAGCTTGAAGTGGTAAACTTGAGGAGTTTGTCTCAAAAGTCCCCATAGACATAAGACATGAAGGGGATATGGGTTCCAGACTTAAGCACTCCAAGGAATAGAAAGAGTGTGAAGATTATATAGTAAAGATGCATGGACATTTGCTTTTCATTCCATTGTATGTCAATGTCTGATACAATAGAAAAATGTTTTAAGTTCGTTTTCAGAAAGCAAAAGTGTCAGCCCAGGAAGGGCAATTCCTGATGGCTATAAGGAGCCTCTGAAAGACTCTCAGGTGGCCCCAGCTGTGTGCTCATTCCAGAAAGAGAGCTTTAGGCCCTGAGGCCCCCCGAGTCCCTAAGCTTTTGAAATTGTTTGCCTTTGACCTTTGTCCTGTGAGAAGTTACTGGAAGAGCAAGAGCAGCAGCTCCAGGCCCTGGCAGCCCATTCTAGGCGGGAGCTTTTGACAAATTACCACGTTGATGCCTTCTTCACGCACCTGTAAGGCCAAGGCATTATTGGCCAAGGCAATCGATATATCAAAATGAATTTTTGGAAGAGTGTCATCAAGCTCAGCTTTATTTCCAAAACAAACTCTGCCCCAGGGAGGGAAAAATGACTTTCACTGTGAAGTAAACAGTTGATTGTTTAGACATTACTTATGTCATGCTAGTCCATCTGAGATGTAGGCACCATGGTAACCAATTGTCCCCAGAATTCATATTTTTGAGGCCCATTAAAACTCGAGGCTGCTGGAGTCATGTTCTCCGCATTTTGGCCATTTTAATAATAATAATGAGAACGTTAAAATGACATTTGGAATTTATATCACACTTGTCTGTGAGGTGCTCTCAGCACTTTACAATGTATCATCCATCCTCATCACAGAGATGGGAAATATCAGAGGTGGGTAGTATTTGTGATTATATTCAGCTTAGTAAAGAGCCCCCCGGCTTGAAGGAATTTCAGTGATGTGGCATGGTGCTTGCCGACTTGTGGGGACAGAAGAGGCTGGTGCTGGCTTGGTGCTTCTGCTCGGTCCATCTCTCTCTGCCTCAGTTTCCATCAATCAAATCAGATAACAGCAGTGTGTCTCCTCATCCCGCAGCGTGGTTATGTGGATCATTGTATTAATCATATTAACTAACGTTTTAAAAAATTTACTTGCTATGTGCCAGGTGTTCTAAGATCTTTTTGTATGCTCATTCATTGAATTCTCCCAAGGCCCTATGAGGCAGGTGCAGTTAATTATCCTATTTTAGAGATAAGCAAATTGAAACACGGAGAGTTTAAGGAACTTGCCTCAGGTAACACAGCAATTAAGAACCTGAGGTGTATCTGACCCAGGCAGGTTGGCTACAGAGCTTGCAGTATTAACCACTGTGTTAGAGTTGCTTAAACTTTGATATAGCAAGACAATACACACACATGCACAAGTGCACACACCCGCACAGGCAGAGCAAACAAAAGTTTCACTGAACGATATTCACCCATCCTTACCTTTGAATGTGAAGTGCATTTTGATCTTTTCTCTTCTATTCATTTCATTAACGAAAATGCCAATCTGAAGCCAGTAAACTGAGTTTATGATCATGAGTAAGTCTGACATACATTTTGAAAGCCTTAGCACTACACCATACTCCTTCATAGATGCTCCTGGGGAAGCATTTGAGAAGAGACATGCAGGGAGTGTGTGTGATTGGCTGGGGAGGGTCGTGGAGACCAGAATGTGTGAAGTGTAGGCCCTGGCTCTGCTCCCACGGTGCTACCTCCTGAGGCAGCTGCTCCGTGTCATGTCTGGGCCTGTGGGTTGGCGGGCAGAGGCTGCCCCACTCTCCTCTTCTACTTTGTGTCATAATAGTCTTTGGGGGTCTTCTCTGCCAGCCTCCATGGGCTTCAGCTCTGAGTTAACCCCAGGTATTTACTGAATAGACATTATGTACTGGGCCTCGTAGGTATCCAGCTCTGACTGGGAGGCTACAGAGAGGCATTAGACATGTTCCTTGACTGCAAGGAAATTGCAAGACACCAGGGAAGGAAGGCTGACATGTCAAGGGAGAATTAGGGGCAGGTCCCCCAGTGCTGTATGTAGGGAGCATAGATTTTGGAGCTAGATGGCTCCTCCTAGTAATGTGACCTCGGGCAACATACTTGACCTCTGAGAGCCTAACTCTGGGGCTGCACCTGCAGCCTGAGTGATATTATCCTGGCTAGTGAAACTGTTTGGTGAACCATGAAGTGTTACTAAGAGGTTAGTATTTAGAGGTCATGTTGTCATAACAGTATTGCCAAAAGTCTGGCAACAGCCATAAACATTGGGGTTTCAGGGAAGGGACGGAGTGTTGCAGCAATCCTGGAAGCCTTCCTGGAGGAGGCAGCATTTAATCTGAAGCAGGTATTTTCAGTTCCTGACTGGAAGGATCATGGGTCACTTAGAGATGGAAACAGATACGCAAGGTCCAACCATTCATGTAGAAACCATGCTTATATATAATTAGGTCATAGCTCTGACTCCAATAGGAGGATCCTGAGTGCTTTCATAAGTTGTTGGGGTTTTGTTGTTGTTGTTGTTTGTTTTTAGAGACAAGATCTTGCTATGTTGCCCAGGCTGGCCTTGAACTCCTGGGCTCAAGTGATCCTCCTGTCTTAGCTTCCCAAGTAGCTGAGACTGCAGGCTCAAGTCACTCAGTACACTGCTTTCCTAAGTTTGACATGCCCTGCTGGCTTGAGGTCACTGGCAGACAACCACTTGATTCCCTTAGGTCAGGGGTTAGCAAATTACGTATGGGCAATCCCTGTTTCTATATAGCTCATGATACCTGTAATGTCAGCAAGCTTTTTTTTTTTTTTTTTTTTTTTTTACATTTTTTTGAGTGTTGTAGAAAAAAAAATATGCGACAGTACTATGTGGTCCCATAAAACCTAAAATATTTACTATCTGGCCCTTTAAAGAAAAAAATTTACCAACTGATGCCTTAAGTCTCAAAGTATACAATCCTTGTTTCAAGTTGAAGGTCTTCCTTAGTTCTGCATCATCCTTTAGTCATTCTCCAGGCCCTTCTGTCATACCCTGAGGGTACACAGGGCCCAAGCCCTGGAGAGAAGGGGAAAGTAGGCCTCCATTAGTCATTTCCTGGCTTCCATGGCTGTCGGAATTCCCCTGCTCTGCCATGGCAGCATATTAATATGTCGCAGCGAGCATGTGTATGTTTAATTCTGATGACATGTGGCGCATAAGTGATTAGTGGCAAATGCCAAAATGCTAGGCTGGAGCCCTGATGCTATTCATAATAACATTCATAAGAGTATTCCCCCAGGATGCAGCTTTCTGTTTCTCCAACATAAATAGCTTGGGAGGCCAAATCACAAACACGATTTCTCTTCATGCTCCACCTGGCCATTCGTAACAAGCATTAGATGTGAAATTTGATTTAAAGCAGCAGTTAAACTCGGAAAATCACAATGGTGTCAAGCCCATTGTTTATTTTAAAGATCAAGAGAAAACCAAAGGTGAGCAACTAATTCTTTATTTTATTTTATTTTTTTGTGGTAACAGTGTCTTGATGACAGGCTAATGTGCAGCTCAAAATAAAGGTACCTGGGTAGAAATAACCCCTCAAACATCATTGAGGCAATATGCCAAGAGGCGCTTGGTAAATGGCTGTGAAGGAGGACAGATTATCCTGTTGAAAGGCTGCTGAGATGCGGCTCCACTTGACAATGGTGGGACTTTTGTCACAGGAAAATTAGATGCCTTTGGATAGGTCTGAGATTGTTCTTATCTTTTCCATATAGCAAAAAGCTACCACTCAGAAAGAAAACAGAGAGTTGAAGGAGTACCCTGATTGAATGCCTTCCAGAAAAAGGATTGTTTTGAGAGAAACACTTTAATTTGCTTCAGATGATTCTGTGGAGGCTTATTGCTGAAGTGGTTCCATTTCAGCACAGGTTTAGCTGGCTCTGAAGAGAGAAGTGATTTTTAAAAATCTTAGGGAATACAAAGCATTTATCCATTAACCTGAGTCACCAACCAGTTTTCACAACAAGGCAGCCTAGGAGCTAGTGGTGGCCAGGATATGTTTTGTTTGTTTGGCTCAGTGTTTGCTGCTTGTTTTTTAAAGAATTTGAACACCGCTGGACTGCTTGTGCTGTCTCCAGTTTCTCACAGCATGCCCACTTCCTATGGGGCTGCTCCAGGCTGCCTCCCATATTTGTCTACAAAGGGATTGGAGTCCAAGGTGCATTGTTACAGCTTGTGGGTTCCATCGAAACATGACACCTAGTTATTCCCATCCTACTTTGTATCTTGTGACCACAGAACCCTCCTAACAAAGGTTTGTGGATGGTAGGTGACTCCCTGAAGCTCAGCCCTAGTCCTAGAGAAATATTACAGAGTCCCCCTGTGCTGATGGTAGGTCACGGACCCTAGCCATCTCCAAAGGACAGAGTCCTTTTCTTGCTAGTGCCCCTACTGATAGAAATGTTGAACAAAGGGCCAGTGGCCGTTTTCTAGCAGTGGTTAATTGCAGTGAGTTCTATTGTGGCAGAAAGGTTTGAAAACCATCTCTCGCCTGCCCTCACAATAACCTGAATTGTGGTTCTTGGTTAGACTAGGGCAAAGGGGTGGTGACATGAGAACACGAACCCTGGAGCTGGACTGCTGGGTTCCAATCCCAGTTCCCTTTTTGCTCCTTCCTAGGGGTGTGAACTGAGATGCAGGGGCAGCTTTTTAGGGGAAGGATGTATAAGTTGGGTGACAGATTGATGCAGGAAAGAGGAAGAACAATTGGAAATGGCTTTGACATTAGTTTGAATTCCAAAAGTGGGCAAGTAAATACCAACGCGGTGCTTGGATTAATGAGAGGGTGGAAATGGAAAGGGATCCACTAGTTAACAAAGTTTAACAACCACTGACATCAGGGTCAGTGTGGAAGGAAGGAACTCATGGCGTGCTCAGCCAAAGTACTTTAGAGAATGTCCTAGTTTGAAACTTTTTCAGTCACTGAGATTTAAAATAATAATAATAATAATGGCAAAATTGTCATGAAAAAAAGTCAAAAGAGGCTAAAGTGGCTCAGTTGCAACAAGACCCAGGAAGGATATGAGAGGCACATGTGCCCTTGCAGGGCGTGACTTTCCACAACCGGTGTGTGTGGTGGGGGTGCTCAGAGCAGTCCTGCCCCACATTCCCTCCAGCCTACTTGCCTTTGTCTGCCTGAAGGACACGCTCTTCTCTGCTGTTTGTCTATGTGGGTAAAGGTCTCAGCCAAGAGAAATTTTTAAGTAAATTAAAAACTCAAGCAGGCTGATCCATAGCCATGCTCATAAGAAGCCTGCCTCAAGTGACTGTTTATTTTCTTTATTCCTTGATTTTTTTCACAAATAAGTATAGTTACATGCCTGTTATATGCCAGCCTCTGTTCTGGGCCCAAAGTGAGGGTAACATCTTCAACCCCTGTGTGCTCCCAGAACAGGAAATGAGATGCATATACAAACAAGTGGGATGCAGAGCCCTGGGAGGGATCATGGTCAGGGCAGACAGTTCCCTGTTTACAGATACGCTGCATTTCAAAAGTTAGCTTTCAAACTCTTGGTTAAGAATCTGGATTCATTTTCCAGTACAGACTTTCTTTTCATGCATATATGCTTTTTTTTTTGTTGTTGTTGTTGTTGCAGATAGCAAATGTTTATTGAATGCCTACCATGGAAAGAACTGAAAATACCAGGAAGATAAAACTTTGAATCCCCTTCAAGTCAGGGAGTCATCTATACTTAACAAACCAGCAAAATGAAATGCTGGGCTTGGTGCTGTGTGTGGGAAGTGGCAATGGAAGGGCCCCAGGCAGGGCCCTAATGAATGGAGTGATTAATACACTTGACTTCTTTTTCTTTTTCTTCCCCTTCTCTATCACACCGAAGCTTCCATTTCTTCCATTTAGCTGTTATGCTAGGTGCTAGGAGGAAAGCAATAGTTTAAACTAATTTAAGTTTAGATGTGACTAGAACTGATGGGAGATTGTCAATAACCTCTGAGGGGAAACTTTCTGTGTCTTAATGATCTAAGACTCAGGCTTGGGGTTTTATATGACTGAAAGTCACAAAATACCTTAATCCGCTCTTCACGCAGAGGGGAGATCTTGCCGTGTGCTTGCACTCACACCCATGAATTTCACCTGCTTCTGGAGATGATTTTGCTCCAGTTCCTATGGTGTGTGTTCCCAGGGTGTTTCTCCTTGAAAATGCAGTTTTTTTTCTTCATTCTTTGCTTTGGGACTTCAGGTTCTAAAGTCAGTGTCAAGGCAAAAAAGCCTGTAGAGTCACAATTGTCCTTGAAAATCACTTAGCAAGGGATTACATTGGAGACCCAATTTTACCCTGTCTCAGTGAGTACCACCCAACCACTTTTTCCTTCCCTCTTAGAAAAAGGGACGTGATTGTTCAGTTGGAAAGCAGGAGAGGTAGTTGGGTCCAAGAAATAGAAAAACACAAATCGTGAAACAAACATTTCACTCAGAGTGGTGACTGATCACTCCCTTAGAAGCATGAGGTCGTTGCAACAAACCCATGTAGACAACTGTAGATGCCCAGGTCTCATCTCAAATTTGCTGCCTGCCTTAGAGACATGGGATTCTGCAGTTGAGTCCTTATGGCTGGGCGTGGGGGTGGAGGGGGGCTCCTTTCCTGTAAAGAGCACACAGATGCTCTAAATGTCCGCTCCCTGACCGCCATTAACACCGCTCAGGCCCCAGGGAAATGCTTTCCTTCATCTCTGGTCCTGCGTCCTTGAAACAGAAGGTGGGCCTGTCTGATTGCCAGGAAGGCTTTTGGCTCATGCCCCTGTGAAAGGCAGAGTCAGACACAGCTTTGGACTTCAGAGAAGATTTAAGCAGCAAAACTGCTTAGGTAAGAAGAGAAAACAAATGAATTACCTTGTCGGAGGCTTCCTCTCACATATCAGCGATGCAATAGATTCATGTATAATGAACTGTGGTTTCACAGCAGTACTGAGTGCCCATTTCCTTGCTGCTTTTTTTTCTTACAATTTGTGGTTTCGGAGATATTCACAGATTCCCAACACTTGCACATGGTGACTGAGGAACATTTTTTCAACATTAAAAAATTTATATCGCTCTTCACTCTGCATATTTAGGCAATATTGATTCTTTGCATTGGCAACTGGAGAGGCATGGACTGCTATAATTAGGAATACTCTTATTTTTTAAATGGTTAATAAGATTTAATTTACATTAAAATGAATAAAAATTAGCTTTAAATATCTCTGATATAAATAGTTGGAATATATTCAGTATAGTTAATATTTTATGTTTTAATTTTCATTTACATTTTAAAATTTAATGTAATTTGAATTTTTTATTACAAATGTTCAAATTTTATACATTGAATACAATCACATTTTATTTTAGAATAAACATTATATTAAAACTATTGATTTGAATAACATTAGCAATTTTGCTGAAATGAAAGCAAGGAAAGTTAGTTTTGTGAAACAAATATATAATAACTTATGAATTATTTATGCTTTTATTGCGTAACTCATCCAATATTACTAAAGTACAGATGGTACCTGACTTACGATGGAGTGACTTATGATATTTTGATGTTAGGATGACATAAAAGCGATACACATTCGGGAGAAAGCACTCTGTGAGTACCCATACAACCATTCTTTTTTTCACTTTCAGTTCAGTATTCAATAAATTACATGAGATATTCAACACTTTCCTAGAAAATAGGCTTTGTGTTAGATGATTTTGCCCAACCGTAGGCTAATATAAGCGTTCTGAGCACATTTAAGGTAAGCTAGGCTGAGCTATGATGTGGGTTAGGTGTATTAAATGTGTTTTCAACTTATGTTATTTTCAATGTATGATGAATTTATCGGGATGTAGGCCCACAGTAAGTTGAGGAATATCTGAATTAACAGAACACCCAGACATGTACAATGATTAGTCAATTTGCTGATCTTTGGTATTTTGTGACTTTCAGTCATATAAAACCCTAACTTTAAACATATTTTTAAAATTTTGTCAGCCAGGCACAGTGGCTCAAGCCTGTAATCCCAGCACTTTGAGAGGCCAAGGAGGGTGAATCTCTTGAGCCCAGGTGTTCGAGACCAACCTGGGCAACATAGGGAAACCCTGTCTCTATCACAAAAATACAAAACCTATCTAGGTTTGGTGGTGGCATGCACCTGTAGTCCTAGCTACTTGGGAGGCTGAGGTGGGAGGATCGCTTGAGCCTGGGAGGTGGAGGTTGCAGTGAGCCATGATTGCCCCACTGCACTCCAGCCTAGGCAATAGAGTGAGACCCTCTCTCAAAAAAATGGTCATTATGAAGGTGTATTTGTCAGGGAAGGAGGATAGAACACTTTATTGAACAATTCATCAGCTTGGTTTGTAACTTTAAAATATTTATGTGGCCTTCCATTTGTATTCTCATACTGACTACAAGTCAGAATTACCCGAACTATTGAACTGTTACCTAGTCTCACTAGCATATAGTTGAATTCTATAAATTACTAGTCTATGGCATTATGGGAATTTTTTTTTTTAAAGACAGGGTCTCACTCTTGTCACCTTAGGCTGTGCAGTGGTACAATCATAGCTCATAGTCGCCTCAACTCTTGGGCTCAAGCCGTCTTCCCACCTCAGTCTCCCAAGTAGCTGGGAATGCAGGCACACGCCCATACCCAGTTGACTTTTATTTTTTGTAGAGATGGGGTTCTCACTATGTTGTGTAGGCTGATTTTGAACTCCTGACCTCAAGCAGTCTTCCTGCCTCAGCCTCCCACAGTGTTAAGATTACAGGCGTGAGCTACCACACCGGCTATGAGATTTTATTCTAACACTGTGATTTAATTAGGCTTCTGAACTCATGCATCTGCTGGAGTCTGGCAGTGTTTGGCCGCTTCATTTAAAAACTTGATGCTAATGGCCAGGTAATTGTTTCAAAGATCACCATTGATGAAGTGTCCAGATCTATCAGCCACAAATGCTGTGAAGGAGAGAATGGCTATCTTCCATTTCCTTTGGGTTTGCTGTACTTTTAGTTCAGAGTAGCAGTGGCCCTTCAAGGTTTGAAAAAGCTGAAAACATCAGAGAGGATGCAGTGGACAAATATTGAGTCAGTCCTTATTAAAGAAAAGAAATTTTTGAGTGGGCGACATATCCCAAAAGGTACCAGTTTCCTAAGAGCCAGATAAGATAAGAACACAGATAAGATCTGTGTACAGATCTTAGGTTTATCAAATGGCTTCAGCTCCCCTACCGCCCATCCATTCCCTTTATTTAAATTGGGTGTCAATGTGATAGTTTTTAAAAAATTATAGAATAATCATTTAAAAATCATTCATGACTCATCATCCTAACACACCTGTTTTTATTGTTACATGTTAACTTACTCGTACATGTAAACTACTGCATTGTTCCAATCAGCATCCATATGTTATTCTGATTTTTTGTTTTAAATGTTACATTGTATATTTTTCTATGTTCCCATAGTCCTTATAATTCCCATTTTAGAGTCTATATAATATGATGACATGATTTTACATGCCTTTTTTTGTAACATGGAAATTTGAGAACAAAAGAAGAAACTGATTCATATCCCTAGATCCTTTGAGTTTTTATTAGTCTTATCACTCTTTAAAACCCCTACTGACTTATTTCCATGATGCAAGCAAGATAATTTGTTAATCAAAAGTTTAATTAACACACATACTAGAGTTACATATTTATTTTAGGCCAAATTTTAAAATGTAATAGACTTAACCTTGATATATGGCACCCCCATGTAATTGATGTATATAGGACATTTATGCCTGTTTTCTAGGTCTTTTCTTTCATTGCTTTATAAGGCTTTAAAAATGTATACAGGGATTTATTGTTGTGTCTTCGCTTCTATGACAAATTGTTTGCCATACCTGTGATTTATTTTTCACTAATTTGTTCCCAGAGAACAACCTTGAAATGTAGCTCTCCAATACAATGCTGACCCTATGAGGAAATGATGATCTGCCTTCTAGAAACACATTAGGGTAAACAGTAGACACTGCTGGTATTTGCACCAAGTACCAGTCAAGGGCAGGCCCCTGTATGAATAAGAGGCGAAGGTCAGTGGTCACCAGCGGGCTCAGGAGGAGACAGGGGCTTGTCTGGCATAGCCCACTATCATGGGCATTTCGTCAGTCACAGAGATCAGCACAGGAGACCTCGCAGGAGAAATGGCAAGCCAGAAGCGGGGGTGTGTTTTGAGGAAGGGGGTGAAGTGCAGAGATGTGACTCCTCAGAGAAGCATGTGGGCAAGTCTTGAAATAACAGAGAAAGAACTAGTTAGTAGATTAAAGCAGATTTTCAAATTACATTTAAAAAATTCTCTTAATTGGCATAGAGATCTCTAGACCAGGGCAATCTACATTTTTATTGAGACTCTATACTGAGTGCCCAGCATGGCAATAGCGTACTGCACTCACCCTTTTATTCACCCATTAATAGTGAGCACCCACTATGTGCCAGGCATGTGCTGGGCCTCAGAGACACAAAGCCATGAAGAAATGGTCTCCACCTTCCATTTTCTTCTGGTGTAATGAGAAAGACAGACACGCACATAAACCAGATGTTGCAATTCAGAGCAAAAAGTCTTAAAACAGTGTTAGGGCCAAGTGCCTTGGAAGCATTCATTTATTCAGTAAGCGTTTATTGAGTTTCTGTTGTGCACCAGGCATTGTGCTAGGTGCTGGACATGTAGGAGAGAACAAAGAGGGTAAAACTCCTAGCATTGTGGAATTGACAGCTTGGTGACGCTAGAATTCCTCTTAGAGAAAGAATTTTGTGCCTCTGCCTGTGTCTTGGAAAGCTTCCTGGAGATGCTGGCAAGGCTAAGTTTACAGGGCAGTAGGAATGAGGAAGTGGAAATGAAGGTGGGATAGGGGCAGCAAAGGAGTATGGGAGAGATAGAGGTGGAGCAGGGGCAGTAATGGAGATGAGATGGGAGCAGAAATGGAATGGAGTGGAGTAGAGAGCAGGGATGGGGCTGCAATGAGGGTAGGGTGGAGATAGGGTAGATTGTGGGGACAGGGATGAAGGTGAGGTGGACAGGCAGATCTTTTTCTAGTATGCAGAGACAAGTGTGCAATGGCACAGAAAAGTGAAGCAACATGGTTAGGGCCTGAATATATGCCCCATATGTAAAGATCCAGATGACCCAGCCAGGTCCCAAGGGGCATGTAATAGTGTTGGGCAGACAAGGTGAATGCATGAAACGGGCAAAGCAATGCCCCACCTGGTCAAGAGAGCTGCTGAATTTTGCACCTTTGGTTGTAAATTGCTCATTAGCAGAATCTGAGTAGCGGGCCTGTTGCAGTAACCGCCAGCCTGGTCTCTGTACCTCGGTCTTCATCCCTGTCCTATCCCTTCTGTCATTCATTAAATATTTACTAACACCTCCTAAGTCCTGGGCCCAGTAGATTCTGTTCATATATAGTTAATTTAAAGACAAAGTCTGTCTCCAGAGCCTAGGAGCTATTAGATAAGTTTGTACAATCCCAAGGAGTTAAGAGCTTTCTCAGGAATAGAAACCAAATCTAAGTGGAATGTAAAGAGGAGCTGGCTAATATTATCAGGGGCGCTTTGTTGCTGACATTTCGTTACAATTTTCTGAATGCTTCATGTATTTTCCTTCATTCTTAACTGACATTTTTGCTGAAGCTTGCTTCTCACCCTCTTGCTTAGAGATATCTTCAGCTGCTAGGCTCACCGTGGTCCAGGTCCACAAATCTCTCAAATTTGTATTATAACTATTATAACAATTAACTGAACATGTGTATTGGGTGCCTGCTCAGACTGAAAACTGCTTAAGGACAGGAGACTTCTTTTGGAGCCTTAACTAAGAACATTACAGGTGTTCCAAAAATATTTGTTTTTTAGCAAAATTGGAGCAATTAGAAAAGAATCCATTAAGTTTAGCAACTGAAGCAATTAGAGAATAATTCATTTTTAAAAACTTTAGAATATCAGAGTTAAAGTGTATGGCTTGGCTTTTTGATAAAGCTATTGACCTTTGGATTCCTTTTGTCAAATTCTGACTCTCCAAATATCACCAGCACACAACCAGTTGAGGAGAGAAAACTGAATTTATTGTTTGCTGCAGTAAGGAAGAAAACCACCTTGACAGCTTTGGTGGTGTCTTGGAACAGGGCAAAGCATGGTTGGAATTTGTTGAGAAGTGGAAGTTTGATTTAAGGCAGACCTAGATCTTTCAATGGGGAGGACTTGATTAGAATGGGTAAGGATCATGATAGAAAAGTTTAGAATTGGTGGAAATAGCAAGGTAAGGATTTTTGAGGCAGAAGACTTAAAGAATTTTAGGGAATAAACTGCTCTTGATGAATTCTTTTTATGAGAGTTCTTTGGGTCCTTTGAGAAGTTCCTATAATGAACAGTCAAATTATCTGCCTGGACAAGACTCTCCTGGCATACTAAGATGGTGCTAGTGATGACAATGAAATAGTAAAGTCATGTATGTAGACAGTAAGCTGTGTGGGGTGTGGATAGTTTTGGTTCTCACTTGCTAGCCAAGCAGGAAGTAATTGATGGCTAGAAAACAAAACACAAAAGGCTTTCTCTAACGTTTTGTTTGGGAGTTTGAATTTTCACTTAGGCACATGCAGAGGCAAAGAGGTCTCCTGTCCATGGAAATGTGTTTCATGGATAAGAAGAGGTCAGTCGTCAGGTTACTGGGTGCTGACCCCTGGGATTTGTCAAACACACGTCAGCGGCTGGCTTCCTTAACGGCTTTCTTAACAGCTGATGCCGAGTGCTGCCTGCAATGATGCAGTGAGTTTCCATGTTCCCTTGTTTCTGTGTCACATCTTTCTCTTGACATTTATCCTTCTATGAGATGTTTACTAATGCAGAGACCCACCAGATGAAAATGTCCAATAACATCATGATACTTTATTTCATATTTTATTGGGTCAGAAAACTGCAATGTCTCTTCCATTTCATGCTGACTGCCACCAACTCACTTCTAAGTATACTGTAAGAATCATGCCTTTCTTTAATCATGCGGCAAAATCTCACCCAAGGAATCTGAAATTGGTTTTTCTCCCCTTCTGTCCAGACACTGCAGCCCCAGACATCTTTTTGGTACCTTTCTGAGTAAAATGGGAGGACAATGGTGTGATGCAGATTTCAGCAATAAATAATTTTGTCTCTTACAGCCAGCTCTCCGCAACCCCCTGCAGGCTGTTTGCAAACTGCAGTTTTTCAAATACCACCTTGCATGGTATTAAACCCTCTTGAGCTGAGCATTGGAGAATAGTCAAAATAAGCTATTGAGTTCTGGGTGATAGCAGGTGGGCAGAAACTGAAGCCAGAGCTGCCATTGCCACACGGCAAGGTTTCTGCAAATCGCCTTCCTCCCCAACAGAGAATTTGACTCTGGTGCTTTCTTTTCTTTTTCCTTTCCTTCGTGTTTTTTTGTTTGTTTGTTTGTTTTGTTTTGTTTTGAGACAGAGTCTCGCTCTGTCACGCAGGCTGGAGTACAATGGCGCGATCTTGGCTCACTGCAACCTCCGCCTCAAGGTTCAAGGGATTCTCCAGCCTCAGCCTCCTGAATAGCTGGGAGTACAGGCATGCGCCACCATGCCTGGCTAATTTTTGTATTTTTAGTAGAGACAGGGTTTCACCGTGTTGTGGTCAGGCTAGTCTTGAACTCCTGACCTCGTGATCCGCCTGCCTCAGCCTCCCAAAGTGCTGGGATTACAGACATGAGCCACCGTGCCTGGCCTAGTGCTTACTTTATTAATGGAAGCTGTTTGAATTTTCATTTGGTTGTCTTGGGTTTGAGGGCTTCTCATCAGCCCTTTTTTATTGTTTCACTTTTCAAAAACATTCCACTTTGCTTCTCATCATCTTTGTTCCTCAGTTGAACTGAGAGCAAGTGTGATTTTAATGAAGCACTGATCCTTTTTTTTAAGAGCTTTTCAGCAGGCCTAGATGATTGGCATTTATTATCATTTTGTGTCTGCCTTCTGCTCAGAATATAAAGGAATCTTGGAATTATTTTCTCTCTTCTCTTATAGGCCCAAAGGGGTCTCACTTCTCTCCCCCTTCCTTGCTTTTTAAAATTTTACATCTCCTACACCTTCTAGCATCCCCTGGTACAATCTCCTACAGGCCCTTCAAAATCTTTTGGGCACAAGTGGCTGGGCTGAGTCAGACAGCTTGGAAATGCAAAAAGGCAGGCCAGGCAGAAAGATTGATGGTGGAATGTCAGCTTGCTGCCAGTGTCTGTACCATGTGGAACCATCAGGGTTTCCCTTGCCCTTTGTCTGTTCCAATATACTTTGCTTATCACCCAGGCTCTGGCAGGTCAAGGAAGACCTGACGTGGCAGCTTCTAGGGCTGAGATTTGCATGAAAGTGCTGGAATCAAAACTACCTGACTGATGTCTGCATGGAGCTCATAGGTCCCTAGGTTGTAACTGTACCTGCTAGGGCCACCACTGCTGATCAGCATAGAATTGATGCAAAGCAGATGGCCACCAACATTGAGCTTTCTGCTCAGCTCCTCTCCTGGCTGTGCTTCATAGAATGCAAAGGTAAGTGGGCTTTCCACTGGCACCTACTTTGTAATGGACATTTGATTATAGGCACTTGGCTGAGAGGCCTGTACATTTTTTAACATATTTACCTTCTGACTTTTCATTTCTTATCTGCATATGGTTGTTACCTACACCTGGGATTCGTAAAAGTTCATCAGGAAAGCACATGTAAGGTACCAGAAACAGTGCCAGGCACAGGGCAGCCTCTCTATAGCTGTTTATTCCTTTCTTTCCTGCTTCCTTCACCTATACCCTCTGACACCTCAGCCAGGCTGCTGGTTGCTAGTAGGTGCCAAGGGAATGGTGCTGAAGTGAGTGCCCTCAGAGAAGAGACAAGAAAGCTTTCTGAGTGGGGTTTGAACTTCTTCCCTCTACTCTGCCAGCCAACTGAGCTAACAGAAGTTCAGCAACAGCTCACCATTTCCTTTGAATCGGTGTCTCCAATTCTCAGTCTTCAAATAGCTCCAGCAGACAGCAGGGTTTTGTTTTTCCTTTATTTAGAACCAATTATGGTCTGGAACCAATTTGGTGAAAGGTGCCTGAGTTTTCCTTAGCAACCTAATTCTGTTTGCCTTATGTGCTTGACTTTTGCTGATTTTCAGCCCAAATTCCAGCTATGTCCAGTGCTCAAAGGTGGATGCCAGAGGAAAAGGGCTGGTGGGATCAACCTGCCCCAGGTGCTTGAACAGAAATGCTCTGGGAAGAGGTAGAGGGGATGCTATTTTTTAGCATGGGGCTGTGGGAAGCTCTGGAGGCTAGCTGAGAGCCATTGCTATCTTTGAGGCTGTGTGTGTGTGTGTGTGTGTGTGTGTGCACGCGCGTGAAATGCTTTGCCCTTTGATAGTCACAAGGGTCACCCATTCTTTCATTCTGTCCTCTGATACCTTCTCACCGCCACTCTCCCATTACTCTCTATTTCCACTCTGCTTTATTGTTCATCATAGTACTCACCTCTACTTGGCATTATGTTGTACAGTTATTTGTTTATAACGTGTCTTTCCAATTAAATGTAAGCTCTTTGAAGGCAGAGTCTTGCCCATGTTGCTCATTGCTCTATTCTCAGTGCCTTGAGCCATACCCAGTGCATATTAGGCACTCAATAAATATTCATTGAATGAATGGATGAGTGGATAGGTAAATGTCTTTGGTGTTTGGGACACCAAGCAGCAAGGTGAGAGGTTATTATATGACATGGGCTTGACAACAGGCTACATAGGGAGGAAACCTGGCAGATTAATGTTCTTTTAGTCTTTTCTTTCTTTCCTTCCCTTGCCTCTCATCCTCTACTCTATTTCACTTGTTTTACTATATTCTTAGGATTTACCTTTGGGCTGTTAAATAAATTTATTTACCAGTTTCTAATGATATCTTTTGACTTCTTAGCTATAGAAGATAATACAGTAGCTTCTTCCTTCCCCTTCTGTTAGTTATATTAGATCTACATTTTCAGGGTTTATAATATTTACCTGTTTTTAATCATAAATCCCAACTTGCTTTAGTCTTAGTCCTACATTTAAATAGATTCAGTCTTCTTCACTAGGCCTTTGCTGTTGTTTTCCATTCAACTCTTGGGTGGCTGAAAACTTCTTCCCCTAATAGTTTCTTCAAGACATAACAAAATGTCTTGAATTGTTGTAAGTTCAAATATGGTTCATTTCTTTTATAATGAATGATAGTTTTTGCTGGGTATAAAATTTTTGAGTCACACTGTTTTTTGGAGGACTAGTACCAAAGGTATCACTCCACTATCTTCTAATGGTAAATGATACAATGGTAAAGTCTGAGGCCAATCTCATTTTTCCCCATCATAAGGAAGGAGTGACTGCCTGCCCAAATATTCTTTCTTTATCTTTGGAGTCTCATAAATGTACTAGATTATGGTTGTCACTTTTTTCCAGGATACTCTGTGACTTTCAAGATGTAGTCAAGTACAATGTATTCAAGTCTTCTTTTATTTCTGGAAAATGTATTGAGTTACACCTTTAAATATTCTTTTATGTCTTTTGCTAATCTTCCTTACCTATCATTTTCTTTCTAATCCCTTTAAATTTCTTATTTCCATTTCATTCTGTTCTTACTTTTTTCAATCACTGTTCTTTCCTTTCTGTTTCTTTCTGTATTTTTTTAAATTATACTTTAAGTTCTAGGGTACATGTGCACAGCATGCAGGTTTGATACATAGGTATACATGTGCCATGTTGGTTTGCTGCACCAATCAACTCATCATTTACATTAGGTGTTTCTCCTAATGCTATCCCTCCCCCAGTCCCCCACCCCCCAATAGGCCCCAGTGTTTGATGTTCCCTGTCCTGTGTCCAAGTGATCTCTTTGTTCAATTCCCACCTATGAGTGAGAACATGCGGTGTTTGTTTTTCTGTCCTTGTGATAGTTAGCGGAGAATGACGGTTTCCAGCTTCATTCATGTCCCTGAAAAGGACATGAACTCATTCTTTTTTTATGGCTGCATAGTATTCCACGCTGTATATATGCCACATTTTCTTAATCCAGTTCTATTCATTGATGGATATTTGTGTTGGTTCTAAGTCTTTGCTATTGTAAATAGTGCTGCAATAAACATACATGTGCATGTGTCTTTATGGTAGCATGCTTTATAATCCTTTGGGCTTATACCCAGTAATGGGATTGCTGGGTCAAATGGTAATTCTAGTTCTACATCCTTGAGGAATCACCACACTGTCTTCTACAATGGTTGAAGTAATTTACACTCCCACCAACAGTGTAAAAGTGTTCCTATTTCTCTACATCCTCTCCAGCATCTGTTGTTTCCTGACTTTTTAATGATTGACATTCTAACTGATGTGAGATGGTATCTCATTGTGGTTTTGATTTGCATTTCTCTGATGACCAGTGATGATGAGCATTTTTTCATGTGTCTGTTGGTGGCATAGATGTCTTCTTTTGAGAAGTGTCTGTTCATATCCTTTGCCTAATTTTGTTGGGGTTGTTTGTTTTTTACTTGTAAATTTGTTTGAGTTTTTTGTAGTGTTTGGATATTAGCCTTTTGTCAGATGAGTAGATTGCAAAAATTTTTTCCCATTCTGTAGGTTGCCTGTTCACTCTGACAGTAGTTTCTTTTGCTGTGCAGAAGCTCTTTAGTTTAATTAGATCCCATTTATCTATTTTGGCTTTTGTTGCCATTGCTTTTGGTGTTTTAGTCATGAGGTCCTTGCCCATGCCTATGTCCTGAATGATATTCCCTAGGTTTTCTTCTAGTGCTTTTAGGTTTTAGGTCTAACATTTAAGTCTTTAATCCATCTTGAATTAATTTTTGTATAAGGTGTAATGAAGGGATCCAGTTTCAGCTTTCTGCATATGGCTAGTCAGTTTTCCCAGCACCATTTATTAAATAGGGATGCCCTTTCCCCATTTCTTGTTTTTGTCAGGTTGGTCAAAGATCAGATGGTTGTAGATATTTGGTGTTATTTCTGAGGCCTCTCTTCTGTTTCATTGGTCTATATGTCTGTTTTGGTATCAGCACCATGCTGTTTTGGTTACTGTAGCCTCGTAGTATAGTTTAAAGTCAGGTAGTGTGATGCCTCCAGCTTTGTTCCTTTGGCTTAGGATTGTCCTGGCAATGTGGGCTCTTTTTTGGTTCCATATGAACTTTAAAGTAGTTTTTTCCAATTCTGTGAAGAAAGTAATAGGTAGCTTGATGCAGATGGCATTGAATCTATAAATTACTTTGGGCAGTATGGCCATTTTCATGATATTGATTCTTCCTATCCATGATCATGGAATGTTCTTCCATTTGTTTGTGTCCTCTTTTATTTTGTTGAGCTGTGCTTTGTAGTTCTCCTTGAAGAGGTCCTTCACATCCCTTGTAAATTGAATTCCTAGGTATTTTATTCTCTTTGTAGCAATTGTGAATGGGAGTTCACTCATTATTTGGCTCTCTGTTTGTCTGTTAATGGTGTATAGGAATGCTTGTGATTTTTGCACATTGATTTTGTATCCTGAGACTTTGCTTAAGTTGCTTATCAGATTAAGGAGATTTTGGGCTGAGATGATGGGGTTTTCTAAATATACAATCAGGTAATCTGCAAACAGGAACAATTTGACTTCCTCATTTCCTAATTGAATACCCTTTATTTCTTTCTCTTGCCTGATTGCCCTGGCCAGAACGTCCAACACTATGTTGAATAGGAGTGGTGAGAGAGGGCATCCTTGTCTTGTGCCAGTTTTCAAAGGGAATACTTCCAGTTTTTACCCATTCAGTATGATATTGGTTGTGGGTTTGTCATAAATAGCTCTTATTATTTTGAGATACGTTCCATCAATACCTAGTTTATTGAGAGTTTTTAGCATGATGGGTTGTTGAATTTTGTCAAAGGCCTTTTCTGCATCTATTGAGATAATCATGTGGTTTTTGTCATTGGTTCTGTTTATGTATGGATTATGTTTATTGATTTGCATGTGTCGAACCAGCCTTGCATCCCAGGGATGAAGCCGACTTGATCATGGTAGATAAGATTTTTGATGTGCTGCTGGATTTGGTTTGCCAGTATTATATTGAGGATTTTTGCGTTGATGTTCATCAGGGATATTGGTCTAAAATTCTCTTTTTTTGTTGTGTCTCTGCCAGCCTTTGGTATCAGGATGATGTTGGCCTCATAAAATGAATTAGGGAGGATTCTCTCTTTTTCTATTGATTGGAATAGTTTCAGAAGGAATGGTACCAGTTCCTCCTTGTACCTCTGGTAGAATTCGGCTGTGAACCTGTCTGGTCCTGGACTTTTTTGTGTTGGTAGGCTATTAATTATTGCCTCAATTTCAGAACCTGTAATTGGTCTTTTCAGAGATTCGACTTCTTCCTGGTTTAGTCTTGGGAGGGTGTATGTGTCCAGGAATTTATCCATTTCTTCTAGATTTTCTAGTTTATTTGCATAGAGGTGTTTATAGTATTCTCTGATGGTAGTTTGTATTTCTGTGGGATTGGTGGTGATAGCCCCTTTATGATTTTTTATTGTGTCTATTTGATTCTTCTCTCTTTTCTTCTTTATTAGTCTTGCTAGTGGTCTATCAATTTTGTTGATCTTTTCAAAACACCAGCTCCTGGAGTCATTGAATTTTGAAGGGTTTTTTGTTTCTCTATCTCTTTCAGTTCTGCTCTGATCTTAGTTATTTCTTGCCTTCTGCTAACTTTTGAATGTGTTTGCTCTTGCTTCTCTAGTTCTTTTAATTGTGATGTTAGGGTGTCAATTTTCGATCTTTCCTGCTTTCTCTTGTGGGCATTTAGTGCTATAAATTTCCCTCTACACACTGCTTTAAATGTGTCCCAGAGATTCTGGTATGTTGTGTCTTTGTTCTCATTGGTTTCGAAGAGCATCTTTATTTCTGCGTTCATTTTGTTATGTACCCAGTAGTCATTCAGGAGCAGGTTGTTCAGTTTCCATGTAGTTGTGCGGTTTTGAGTGAGTTTCTTAATCCTGGGTTCTAATTTGATTGCACTGGGGTCTGAGACAGTTTGTTGTGATTTCTCTTGTTTTACATTTGCTGAGGAGTGCTTTACTTACAATTATGTTGTCAGTTTTAGGATAAGTGTGATGTGGTGCTGAGAAGAATGTATATTCTGTTTATTTGGGGTGGAGAATTCTGTAGATGTCTATGAGGTCTGCTTGTTGCAGATCTGAGTTCAAGTCCTGGATATCCTTGTTAACCTTCTGTCTCATTGATCTGTCTAATATTGACAGTGGGGTGTTAAAGTCTCCAATTATTGTATGGGAGTCTAAGTCTCTTTGTAGGTCTCTAAGGCCTTGCTTTATGGATCTGGGTGCTCCTGTATTGGGTGGATATATATTTAGGATAGTTATCTCTTCTTGTTGAATTGATCCCTTTACCATTATGTAATGGCCTTCTTTGTCTCTTTTGATCTTTGTTGGTTTAAAGTCTGTTTTATCAGAGATTAGGATTGCAACCCCTGCTTTTTTTTTTTTTTTCCATTTGCTTGGTAGATCTTCCTCCATCCCTTTATTTTGAGACTATGTGCATCTTTGCACATGAGATGGGTCTCCTGAATACAGCACACTGATGGGTCTTGACTCTTTATCCAATTTACCAGTGTGTGTCTTTTAATTGGGGCATTTGGCCCATTTACATTTAAGGGTAATACTGTTATGTGTGAATCTGATCATGTCATTATGATGTTTGCTGTTTATTTTGCCCGTTCATTGATGCAGTTTCTTCATAGCATCGATGGTCTTTTCAATTTGGCATGTTTTTGCAGTGGCTGGTACCAGTTGTTTCTTTCCATGTTTAGTGCTTCCTTCAGGAGCTCTTGTAAGTCAGGCCTTGTGGTGACAACATCTCTCAGCATTTGCTTGTCTGTAAAGGATTTTATTTCTCCTTCACTTATGAAGCTTAGTTTGGCTGGATATGAAATTCTGGGTTGAAAATTCTTTTCTTTAAGCATGTTGAATATTGGCTCCTACTCTCTTCTGGCTTGTAGGGTTTCTGCCGAGAGATCCGCTGTTAGTCTGATGGGCTTCCCTTTGTGGATAACTTGACGTTTCTCTCTGGCTGCCCTTAACACTTTTTCTTTCATTTCAACCTTAGTGAATCTGACAATTATGTGTCTTGGGGTGGCTCTCCTCGAGGAGTATCTTTGTTGTATTCTTTATATTTCCTGAATTGGAATGCTGGCCTGCCTTGCTAGGTTGGAGAAGTTCTCCTGGATAATATCCTGAAGAGTGTTTTCCAACTTGGTTCCATTCTTCCCATCACTTTAAGGGACACAAATCAAATGTAGATTTGATCTTTTCACATAGTCCCATATTTCTTGGAGGTTTTGTTCATTTCTTCTTACTCTTTTTTCTCTAACCTTGTCTTCTCACTTTATTTCATTAATTTGATCTTCAATCACTGAAACCCTTACTTCCACTTGATGGAATCAGCTATTGAAGCTTATGCGTGCATCATGAAGTTCTCGTGCTATGATTTTCAGCTCCATCAGTTCATTTAAGGTCTTCTCTACACTGTTTATTCGAGTTAACCATCGTCTAATCTTTTTTTAAGGTTTTTAGCTTCCTTGCGATGGGTTCGAATGTCCTCCTTTAGCTTGGAGAAGTTTGTTATTACCGACCTTCTGAAGCCTACTTCTGTTAACTCATCAAAGTCATTCTCTGTCCAGCTTTGTTCCATTGCTGTCCATATGTGGTGTCAGTCAGCCCCTACTGGGAGGTGTCTCCCAGTTAGGCTACACGGGGTTCAGGGACCCACTTGAGGAGGCAGTCTGTCTGTTCTCAGAGCTCAAACGTCGTGCTGGGAGAACCACTGCTCTCTTCAGAGCTGTCAGACAGGGACGTTTAAGTCTGCAGAAGTTGTCTGCTGCCTTTTCTTCAGCTATGTTTTGCCCACAGAGGTGGAGTCTAGAGGCAGTAGGCCTTGTTGAGCTGTGGTGGGCTCCGCCCAGTTTGAGCTTCCCAGCCACTTTGTTTAGTTACTCAAGCCCCAGCAGTGGTGGACACCCCTCCCCTAGCCAGGCTGCCACCTCACAGTTCGATCTTGGACTGCTGCGCTAGCAGTGAGCAAGGCTCCGTGGGTGTGGGACCTGCTGAGCCAGGCATGGGAAAGAATCTCCTTGTCTGCCAGTTGCTAAGACCTTGGGAAAAGCACAGTATTTGGGTGGAAGTGTCCTGTTTTTCCAGGTAGTCTGTCACGGCTTCCCTTGGCTAGGAAAGGGAAATCTCCTGACCCCTTGCACATCCTGGGTGAGACGATGCCCTGCCCTGCTTCAGCTCACCCTCTGTGGGCTGCACCCACTGTCCAACCAGTCCCAATGAGATGAACCAGGTACCTCAGTTGGAAGTGCAGAAATCACCTGTCTTCTGCATCAGTCATGCTGGGAGCTGCAGACTGGAGCTGTTCCTATTTGGCCATCTTCTGTATTCTTACCAGTCTTGTTTTACTTGTGTTGCTTCAATTTTGCCTTTATTTCTATAATGTTTTTATTTTTTAAAAAAAATTCACTTATTTCCAGATTTTTCTTAGCTCATATTTCAAATTCTTCTATCTTATCACATTTTCCATGAGCTCATATATATCTACTTTACCTCTCTCTCTCTCTCTCTCGGTGTGTTTGTGTGTGTGTGTGTGTGTGTGTGTGTGTGTGTGTGTAAGTGCTTCATTAAGTTTTTCAAAAATCATGACAAAGTATTTAGTCACATTTTTTGTATCTGCTCCATGGCAATAGTTCTCTGCTGAATGTTTTTTTGTTTGCCATTACTTTTCATATTTCTTTGCTTATTTTTCCTATAATATTGCTTTATAGAGCCTGTAGTTTTTCCTTCTTGATGACAAAGTTTTGAATTCTTTGAATTTTCCCCCCAGGCCATTTGTAGGAAATTTGTGTAGGGAAGAGAAGAGAACCACATTGCATTCAAGGAAAAATTTTTCTTCACTGCAGTGTTTTGTATGAATCCTTTTAGCCTTCACCTCTGTCCAGTCAATAAAGATGAGCAATTATAGAGCTGTTCACAATGCCAAATCTCTCTCCTCCCCAACTCATGTGGGAAGACTTTTTTTCTGCATATATGACATATCTGTGTGTCTCCTTATTCAACCCATTTTCACCTGTTTCTCAGAATACAGCTGGTTCCAAAGAGACATTGTTGACTGCATTTTAGAGCCCATTTCCATTGTTGAAAGTAAGGGATTCTGATTCTACACCTCTGGGTTGCTCCTCACTTTACAGTGTACCTTTTTCACTCCTTCCTAAAACAGCAACCAAAGAATATCCTCTCTCTGTTTCTGGGCTCTGCTATTTTTGGTGTCCTCTCTATTTACTTCATGTTTTACAGTTCCATGTCTCCTAGGTTCATCACAGGTAGAATTTGTGTTTGTGTCTCTTGTTTAGAGTTATTGTTAAAAAGGGAAGATTGAATGTTAGTCATGTGCTACCATATCCAGGTGGGAAAACCTCAGCCCTTTTTGAGAAATCTCTTTCTTCATTAATAGAAAGCCTGTTTTCCAACTCTCCTGATTCTCCAGGAAGCAGCTGTTTTCTTTTCTCGTTCTCTCCCTCTCCAGGTTTCCAAGTGAGGCCAGATTCCTTGTTCCTCAAAAGGCTTTACCCTGACCACCCATGCCTGAATCCTCATTGTGCTCAGATTCCACACTGGGTGTAGCTTCTACTGCTTTGATTGCACCACCTTTTTGTATGTGTATATTCCTTTTTGTCTAAATAATAGGGCATTTAGGGACATGGTCTGGGGCAGAAACACTCTGTATCCTCTCTGCTACTAGCATGTCACTCCATGTTGTAGGTGCTGCATACATGATCATGAATTATTCCCTTCTAGGGAATTCTTATTGAATTAGATAGCTGTGTACTTGGCATGCATTATATTTGACACATACTCAGTCACGAAGACTTGATAATGCATAGACTGCTTCTGATAAAGAACTGTGGGTAAGTGCCCTCTTGAACTTATATGACACTGAGCAATGTCATTAGAAATAACTTCAGCTTTTAGTTGTCTCCAGGATTACGTAGATCAGTGATCCTTCCAAAACGATACCTGCTAGTTACAGCCTTTGGGATCAAATCACAATGTTCCTGGTAGCCTGCATCCTGCATACTTTAGTCATGTTCCAGAGTATCAGACCTAAAAGTAAAAGGAGCTAATGAGGCCAGTGACTCTCACAGGGTTTCCCACTGCTTCCTAAGTAGAAGCATTTTAAAATTTGGGATTTTAGGGTAAATGGTTTGAAAAACAAACAAATGAAAAACCTGCATAGGATTCTAGTATAACTTCCTAGCAATATGTCTCCTCATCTCTACCCTTGCTCCCAGACTCCTAAAGATCCCTGGTTTAGTCCGATGCCTGTGTTTTAGCTGTAGAAAGCTGGCACAGAGGGGCACAGTAACTCATTTAAGGTCATACATCCTATGCATTTTTCCTGAATGGCTGTACCATTTTTGCCCTTCATGTAGTCCACAGATGGACAATTTCTTGATAGATGAATCTGATGTGTCTGAAAGTTGGCTTATGCTAAAGTTAGGCTTGATGTCTGGGCTGGGGGAGAGGGGAGAAGATGCTGTTGTAGAAAAAAAGGAGTCATTGGAGTAGAATGGAAAATGTACATTTGACACCAATCAATAAGCCAATGCTTAAACTGAGATTTCCAAACATGATAAAGGGGTGGAAAAGATAAAATAGTAATTCAAACCATAGCAGCCTCCTTGACCCCAGTCAGTAGGAGACTCAGTGGAACAAATGGTTGCTTTTCCAAATTAAAAAAGAAAAAAAGGTGGCAGAGGTTAATTTCCAGTTTCTGGGAAGGTGTGCTTAAAACATGATGGATTTGAAGACTCTGCCAACAATTTCTCTGTCTCTGTCTTTTTTTTTTCCTTACCTTTAACTTTCCTGTTTCTGAAATTCTAGTCATTTTTATTTCATTCAGTATCAATAAGGTGCCTACATGGTAACCCCAGATGGGAAAGAGATGCATAACCCCAGAGCACAGCCAGCTCTGGGCAGGGGCTTGCTCGGGGTTGGGCTTTGGGTGTATGGGTCAGCAAAGCCGAGAGCAGGCTGCCAGGGACATCCTGGAACTCGTTGGCACAGCCCAGGATTTTACATACTTGGCAAGGGAGTGGACTGAGAAGGATAGAGGGGTGTAACCTGTGCTGGGTTTGGAGATAGGGAACTGGGATGTATGAGTAACTTGGAGGATGTGGACTGACCCTTCCAAGGAAATTCCAAAGCCATCTGGCTCCCTTGGTAATGCTTGCCCTAGAATAATCGTATAAGACCCTTGTGGGTAGTATTCTCATTCTGCAGATAAGGAAAATGGGATGCTAATAAATGAAATGACATCCTTGTGTTACAAAAGTCACTCTAAACAAGTCTCAGTCTACAGCCCTCGACTCTGGGCTCTTACCTCACAACTCTCTCTACTCTATCACAGAGCTGGCTTTTTCTCTGTGTTACCACCGGCAGTTTTTTCCTAGACTTGCTAGCTGCCTAGTATCGTGCTCAAGGTACTGCCATGTATACAGTAGTTACAACATTAATTCCAGCTGAAGAGGAGCTTATTTTAAAATATTATTGAATGTATTTTCAATTTTGAAAGTAATATACCAAAATTCAGAACATTTAGAAAACCATAAGATCAAGAAACATTTAAAATAATCTCAGGCTGCTAACACAACAGCTGTAATCATTTTGGTCTGTGGGTTTTTGGTCATTTTCCTCATACATTTAGCATTTGGAAAAATCTGTTGAAAACCATATTGCACATACAATTTCATTTCTTGCTGTTTTCATATAGCTTTTTGTCGTAAATCCCCCATCACAACTTTAATGGCAGGAGAATATTTGTGAGGAGCTTAATCATGAAGCATTTACTAATCATAGTATTAAAGCATTTGATTATATTAGTTCAATAAGTATCTGTCAAGCACCTTGTGCCCAGGCTCTCCTGGCAGCCATTGCCCCAGTGACAGTCACCTTGCTGTGCCGAGGGATTTGGAATACTCAGAACCACATGAGTCAGAGCCCCACACACATTAGTGAGAACCCCCCATATGTTAATGGAAGCCCCAGACTTTCATTCTGGCTCTTCTTCCATCAGTGGGCCATATTCAGGCTGGCTGAGGCCAAGATGCAACGCAGTAAGATTACCATGGGCCCGTCTAACATTTTCTTTATAAATTCATCTCCATGACTGTTTTAATCACCTCTTATTAGCCCTGCTCATGAGGGAGGGACTCCTGGCCTAGGTTTCTGGAGATAGCCAAATATATAATACCCAACACTGGACAGATGAGATGTACAGCAGTTTATTAAGTCACATTTGCTCACAGCCCAGGGAGGACACCATGTTGCATGCAGGGCCTCACAAAGGTTGCACTCAGGAACAGAGTAGACCACCAGAGGCCACGGACAGCAGGCCTTGTAGTATCAAGAGGTTGTGGTGCTCCCTGTTTCTTGTGAAAGGATATGATTGGCTTGTTTGAATAATTTTGCAGGCTGGCACAGAACTGAAACCTACTTCTCAGGGGTAAACTGTAACTGTGCCTGGTCCCTTTGATAAGAAGGGTTGTTGGGCTAGGGGACCTTATCTAAGGGGGCAGAGTAGGGAGGGGAAGTGGCTGTTAGGCCATTCAAGGCCCTCCTGATTTTACCAGATGTCAAGGCAGCACCTAATAATGAGGCTTAATGTTACATCTTACACCACAATGACAAGAACTGCTTTTCCTGCCTCCATTTTCTACAGCTCTTTCCTCCTACATTTTTTTTAAACACTCTGGCCTTTGCTGACTTTTCTTTGTGCAGCTGTCTAATAGTATAGAGTTTAAAGTCAGCCAACCAGGCAGTCCAGGCTCAGCCACACACTAGCCTGATGGCATTAGACAAATCACTTCACCTCTCTCTGCCTTGGTTTCCTCATTTGTGAAATGGAGATGATGGTACTAAAAGTCCTTACCTCACACAGTTTTTGTGAGAACTAAATAATACAGATAAAGCATTTAGAATAGCATCTATATATGCTATGTAGGTACAAATATTCCTATTTTTACTTATAAGTTTATAATAATAATGTGATTCTGCTCTTTTCAGCCTTTCTACTCCCTTTCTCCAAGGTAAACTTACCACAAGCATGTTTCCAGAAAATGTACTCTGTTCATTCATTCATGTATTTCTTCATTTGTTCATCCATTCAGTCAACAAATATTTAAGATCCTCTGTCGTGCACCAGGCACTGTTCTAGGTGGCAGAATCCATCAGACAATGAAACTGACAAGCACCTTAGGAGCTGGGGCTTAGTGTGAAAGTGGGTAGACAGAAGATAGGCAAGTATATAAACTGAAAGGTAGTTATGACTGGCAAAGAGTGCTCTGAAGGAAGAAAATAAAATGAAAAGGAAGCCATCAGAGAGACAGCTTGGTTTCCTTATACAAGGCACTGAGAGAAAGCAGGGCTAGGGTTCTCTGGTATTACAGGGGTGGTGTGAGGTCTTTGGAGGGCAACAACCTCTGTTCTCTTGCTTGGTGAAAGATACAAGATTCATTAAGATTGTCTTCCTAAGAGTCGGGTCTTTTTTTTTTTTTTTGGTCTTCTTTAAGGCTCTTCCCTCCCCACTTCCCTGGCCATCTCTTTCCTCCTGTCAAGAAAGGTCCTATCTTGTTAGCCCAGTTTATGCATCGATTTTGGTCTAGAGTCAGGGAAATTAATAGGGAAAGACAGGAGAAGAGAGGCAAGAAAAAGGAGAAGGACCTGCTGTGTGAAGTTAAACTCAGTTTATAAAATAAGAAGCTTTACAGGAGTGCAGAGAGAGGTTCAAGGAAAACAAGCCCCAGTGTTATTTATTAGTTATGTATTGCTATATAACAAACCACTCCAAAATTTGGTAGCTTGAAACAACAGTGATTTATTATTTCTCACAATCCTGTGAATTGACAGTTAATGTCTCTGCTGGTTTTGCTTGGGCTCACTCGTTCAACCACGGGATGGGCAGGACTGGAATATCCGAGATGGGCTCATTCACTTGTTTGCAAGTTGGTGCAGGCTGCAGGCTTGGACATTTTGATGTCTTCATCCTCTAGGAGGCCAGACCAACTTCCTGTAAGCAGCCTCAGGGCAGCATTCCAAGATGATGAAGGCAGAAATTGCAAGACGTCTTCAGTCCTAGGTTCTGAAACTCACACAGTGTCACTTCTGCCACATTCTATTGGTCACAGGAAGTCACAAAGCCAGCCCAGATTCCAGCTGGTGAGATAGATGTTAAATTAAAAATCACGTAGTTCTTATTTTTGAAGCTGTGAAAGGGAGCTGAAGAAGAAGTATCACATGAGCTTATCCATGACGAACGACATGCCCAACACTGAGCCATCATCTGGATTGATTTACTTCCCCTTGCTTGGGATCATGCATATACAGACATGGCTGTTGGTGTTCAGTTGTGTGGTAAAAGTTTAACATAGCAGCCTTGAAGCTGGTGTCCTTAGAGAAGCTCGTGTGCAGGATTGGCCTATGACGGGCATCTGGGAACTTGAATCTCAGGAGGATCCCAGTATTCCCTAAGGATAGTGCAGTATGCCTAGACTATTTGTACAAACAACCTAGTTTATTCTGATCACTCATTTCTAGCTAGGAATCTGGACCATTGGTGCATTTTAGACAAATGGTATCCATGAGAGAAGCCCACATTAAAAACCTTCAGCACTAAGTCTCTCACTAGCTTCTCAGGGCAGAAACATCTCACTCATGCTGCTGCAGTTTGTTGCTCAGGGAAAAGTGGGCTGTATGTGAGCTCTCAGGGGAAGGAGAGAGAATAAGCAAGCTTGTGCATGGATTTCCCCAGACCCAGCCTGTGTCCTTCCCTCCTATGACCCGGCAGTATATCCTTCCAACATTGCTGCAATAAATTGTAGTCAAGAGTACAACTACATACTGAGTCCCACTAGTCCTTCTAGCAAACCTCCAAATGTAGAGGTGCTCTTGGAGACTCTAGCATATTAGTCTTGTTCTCTTACACGTTTTGTCTTCTATGAAGATGGGAGCCAATTCCCAGGGGGCATGGGGCAATACCAGAAAATTACCTTGAGGGATTTTATGCTAAGAAGGAAATGATGTCCTGTGTCCCTTAAACCAAGAGGTCCTAGCAGGCCTGGTGGCTGTAAGCCAATGTTTCAAAATGATGATTTGACTTGCTTATTCACAAAATTTGTTTGGATTTGAGACATAATTCATTTAATTAGTAGCAAACAGGTGGTAATTTGGAATATGTGAAAGTGATTGGTTCTCTCTGAAACCTCAAGGAACAGCATCTTTCACTCAATGAGAAGGTTAAAACAAAAGCAAAAAAAAAAGAAAGAAGTCCCTTTGTCCTGATCAGATCTGGGCAGTCGCCTGGACAAATCTGTAAGGATAGATTACCAGGATTGTCTCTACAGAGGAGTTCCCCTTTTCCTTGCTTCTAAACCAGGTGTCGTCCATCAACCAGTCCTCTGGAGCCCAGGAACTCTGGGGCCTGTAACTACAGTGGAGGGAAAGTTAGCCATGGAATGCAACTTCCCCTAGTCTCCCTGTACCCCCTCTCCAAACTATCATGCTGCTGGTATTGGCAATGAAACTGTCTGTGAGTGCATTGGCACTGTTGTACAGTAAGTAATCACAGCCATTACTGTTTCCTGGGGAGTCCCTGGATGGCAAAGAGCATGGTAGCCAATAAGGAGGCAAAGAGCATGGTAGCCTAGGAGGAGGCATACACATCTCCCTTGGCAGGTTTACAGTGGAGTTGTCAAACATGCTAAGGTTGTCACAGCGTTTGAAGGAGAACTACTTACTGCTTTGGAATGGGAAGAGGGTTGCATAAAACAAAAAGTATAGGATTTAGAATTTAACAGAGGTGGGTTTCTTTTTTTGCCTACCACTTAATAGCTTATATGACCTCAGGAAGGTTAATTAACCTCTCTGATCCTTAACATCACAAACTCAGAGTGGTTGTGCAAGTAAAATGAGGTGGTGTATATAATGTATCTGAACTGTTGCTTAGCATAAAATAACTGCTTCTTAAACTTGGGTGATGAAAATATGATATATTTTTATTTTTGCTTATATGTATAGTATTGATGAAATTTTCTGTAATGAACAAATATTTGTTTTATAATGAGAAAAAAGAGGATTTTTTTTAAAAGCTTAAAGCCTATTTTCTTTCCTTGCCAGCCTTGCAGGCTGTGTCTTGGCTGAGCCTTTCTGAGTCATTCATGCTTAGCATACTCTTGAGCTTGGCTGTCTCTGAGCAGTCATTGTACAGTAACATCCACAGGGGTTTGGAAGGGTTCATGTCTTAACTGAATGACTGAAGAACTGTTTGTCACTGACATAGGTAAAGTACCTCAAATATTTTCTCAATATTTCAGTAATTATAATTTGAATTAATTTTTCATCCAGAATCATTTTCTCTTAGCAGAGTCGCTATCACAACATTTAAAAAGAAAGAGAGAAAGATAAAACCTATACTTTCTGGATGATTGTCCTTTTTTTCAAATTTGAGTTTCCTTGCGATTTATCTTTTGTTTCCTTTCCAGCTAGGAATGAAATGCATTTTTCAGGAAAGGTCAGGGTAGGCTCCAGCAAACTTTGTAGCTCTGGGGAACATTCCCAGGGCCAGGGTTGACTGAGTTCTGTGGTGTCTGTTGAGAAAATCTCTGGCAAGTCAGGCTTCTGGGCTGCTCCTCTCCTGCAGGGTAAGTACAAAGAGGGCAGCATAACCCCCAGGCTAACAGGCCTGGACCCTTTTGAGGAAACTAAACACATAGGCAGAGTGAGCTGAGTGAGAACTCCTACTGTGTGCAAATTAGTTGCTGGGTGTCCTCTGGTCTTTTCTTTAAGTCTATAACATTTTAGATGGAGAATGACAGGTAGAAAATTTCAGGGCTGTTTTTTTTATTGCAAATGTGTAGAGGACCAAGAGTGGCATCTGTGCCCAGAGAGCACTTGGCCTCTCAACAACTTGAGCTAGTACATTCTGACTTGCATTATGATTACTCTTCAGTATGCAGGAGCTCTCCCTCCCACACTAGAGTGTGAACTGATTTCTCCTGCGTGACAAGGTCACCCCATAACTTCATGTTTTATATTTTTTTAACATTTTTAAAGTACCTGCCAAAAAATGGTGCTTATATGTGTTTGCTAATTGACAGTAATACCCTAGTAGGAGTTGTAGGCAGTGAAGAAATATTAAGCAACAGCCAATATTATAAGAAATTTTCTTGGACCCCTTTTGGAGTCAAAGAGAACCATTACAATGTCTTAGTCTTATGGGAGGGCCAAGAGGAGTGTGTCAGTCTACAGGCAGGTGTTGAGCATAGATTCATGGACCTAGCAGAGCACTGGCTCCTGTGGGGCAATCAAAAGCTGCAGACAAGCACTGTGGTTGCAGCAGAAGGCCATTATCCTAAATGGACTAATGCAAGAACAGAAAACCAAATACTGCATGTTCTCGCTTATAAGTGAGAACTAAACTTTGGGTACTCATGGACGTAAAGATGGCAACAGCAGAAACTGAGGACTACTAGAGAGGGAGGGTCAGAGCAGGGAAAGGGTTGAAAAAGTAACTATTGGGTACTATGCTCAGTATCTGAATGATGAGATCATTCATACCCCAAACCTCAGTATCACACAGTATAGCCAGGAAACAAACTTGTGCATGTACCCTCTGAATCTAAAATAAAAGTTGAAAAAAGAAAAGTATTTTTGAATGAATACATCAATGAATGAAAATGAAAAAATGCTGCAGACACAATCTCTCCATAGTCAAGTTGGTGAGCTACAGTTACTGCTCATGAAACTTTAATGAATAATAAAGATGATGTATACTTTTACCCTAAGCTGTATGGTACTAAAGTCAGTGAAGGCAGGGAACATAGTGGCCCAGAACAGTTAGGAAGGTTTTCTGGAGGAAGCCAGAATGAAACTGGGATACAAGGGTCAGTTGGTATCTATATTTATTTACTCTTCATACCCCTTTAGAGGGAGTCTGCTTCCACTTTTCAGAAGCCTCAGAGAATTTTCCAGGAGGAATTAGATCATGTACCCAGTAGCCCTGAGCTAATAAAATCTGGTTGTTAAATTCCACCCTTTTCTCATTCTCCCTCAAGGGTCTTGTAATATAATTTGCATTTCTCAAATCTCAGCTCCTGGTACCATTTTCTTAGAAGTCCTGCCTCCCAGCACCTCCCAACACTCTGCCTGATACTTGGCATGATGGGAAATTCTTTTTTTTTCTGCTAATATTTGTGCAGGTCCCATGAAAATAAACAATCTCCAAAATTGAACTTGACCCAACCAACATATTTCAAGTACCTGTGGTTTCACTATGTGTATATAAATGCAGATGCAACAGTGAACAGTTTCCTGTCCTCAAAAAGAGTTTACCTTCTAGACCAGGAAAAGAAACAACTATACTGCAGATAGAATGTGAGAGAAGCTACAACAAAGAAGGATGAGATTAACTGCAATAGGGGAAGCTTTTGTGGAGGGGATAGGACTGGGGCTAGTCCATAATGAGCACCTGAAATTTACCTATATGGAAGTGGCAGGGTGGGAGAGAGGGACATGCTAGTCAGAGGGTACATTGTGGACAGGCACACAGAGGTGACCAGTGCAGAAATGGTCCAGGTTTGGCTGAGGCTAGGGATGTGAATGAGTGTCATGGCAGTGAAGACTGGAATGATGAATTGAGTTTGGAACGTGAGACTGAGAGGTTGGGCCCTATACTTTGGGTCAACCCAACCTTTGCCCAAAGGGTTTTAAACAGAAAACAGAGGTGAATTTTAGGCTGCTGCTCTGGCCATAGCTTACGTGTGCAGTGGAAGCAGGAGGTGGTTACAGATGGAAGGTGGGGCAGGGCAGGTCTCTGTCTGGCAGTCACTGGTGCAGGTCGTTATGAAGGCTGAAAGTAGGGTAGTGGCGATGGGCCTGGAAAAAGGGGACAGATGAGAGAGAGGAGGCAGGGTGACCTTTGCTTGTCTTTCCTCCTCCCCAGGTGAGATACATTGTCACGTAGGCAGTCATTTCAGGATTGCAGGAAGCTAATGATTTTTCCCCACAATGTTGCTGGCTTCCAACCAGAGAATGTTGCCCTTGAGATTTGACAATGACTGTTGCCTCCTTGGCAGCGATTCTGAATCAAGGGCAGGAGTCAGCCTTGCTGGGAAGTTGTTCAGTTGATTCAAAGGGCTTGGGACATGTCTCTGAGACTGTAGGTGGCAATTCCTGCAAGTTGCTTCATTCCGTTGTGTCTTTCCCTTGGGTGGAGCCTCCTCTTGCCCTCTGAGTGGGGCCAGAGGCCCAGTTCCATCCCCCTGTAGGCATCAGAAAAGGGCTGCTTCCTGTGTTCAGTTTAGAGCTCTTTAAAGCCCCTGCTGACAGATCCTATTCAAGCTAAAATGAGTGGCTGGGGGCAACTCATACATAATTTCCTTCTATGTAGTGACTTCCTGCACCATGGGGTCTGCATGATTTCTGTTCATTTAATGAAAGGTTATATTGGCAAATTGTTATCCTTGGGAGTGTGGGTGTGCAGGGAGTGCTTTTGGAATACATTACAGGGTAATTCCCTTTGCCCTTTATTGCCTCTGCAGGCCATGTGTAATTGAATCGCAAATAACACACTTTAGAAACAGGCAGAGAGACTGAGGCCTGAGCGTCCTTTGGCTTTAATGAGACAGTGAGCGTGTGTGTGTAAACGACCCTCTGGTTATGCGGGCCAGGTGGAAGAGGTAGTCGTATAACTAATGGGAGTGATTTTTCTCCACCTGCCCCAGACAGTGCAATCAGCAGCCTTCACTCCCGCAGGGAGGGTCTCAATCCAGTGGCTGGCTCTGCCTTTGAAACATCCAGAGGGCCCATTACTGTTAATAGGAGCCTCTCCCGAGCACCTGCTAGAGACTACCTCACTTACATGCTGGCTGGTGGGGTTGAGGTGGCCCCATGCAACTTTCCCGTTCTCATCTCCCTCCCCAGAGGAGGCTGCTGTGCCCGAAGTTCTGTGCATGAGGAAAACACCAACAGGGGGAAACTGTTACGGCAAAGTTGCCCACTCTCAGAGGAGTTGGCAAAAGTCTGTGAAGTTCAGAGAATGCAAGGTCTTTAAGTGTGGGGAGGTGAAAGGGTGGGATGCAGCAGGGGATTAAAGGCAAGCAGTGATTACATGAGACGGTGTGATGTCTTAGGACACTCAGCACTGACCCCCAACTGGGCAAGAGCTGTGATCACAGGTGGATATGGCCACCTCTAGTCTAAGAAGTGTTTGTCCCTGAATTTGAGGGACTGGGTGTTAATACCTTTGTGCCCCATAACATCCTTCCAGTTAGTGGTGGCACCAGCATTTCTGCAGAGCAGAGGTGTGAGACTGCCATTTGTGAGGGATGGGAGTGCTATGGAGGGAGGAGATGAAGGTAGACAGGTGTTCATTTTCAGTAGGGTAGTTAGGGTGGGCCTCGATGAGGTGACATTGCAACAAGTCTTGAGGAGGTGAGGCAGTTAGTGATGAAGACGTCTGGGGAAAGACTGTTCCAGGCTGAGGGACCATGGTGGTGTTGGCACTTCCTAAAGCAGCTGTAGGCCTGGGTGATCCAGGACTACAAAATGAACGGGGCAAGTAGGGTGCCGAGAGGTGGGGTTGGAGATGGATTATAAAGTGCTCTGTTGGCCGCTGTAAGGATGCTGGCTTCTATTCTGAGTAAAGGGTGAGCCATTGTGGTTGTTGAGCTGTGGAGTGATATGAAACAGAAATGAAAATAGACGATCCAGTAAAATGAGGAAAATGTATAGATCCAGTTGTACAAAGGAAGCATTTGTTGGGGGGCAGGGAGAGGGGCTGTCTATCCCAGCCTGGGCAGGGGAGACAGGGAGGGCACGGAAAGGCTTCCTGGGTGGGCGGGGGAGGGTGTCAGCTGCATTTGTCCAGGGTCTTAAATGATGGGCCAGCCTGTGACCTCCCAACCCCCACCTGACACTGTTTCTGTAACCAAGGCAGCAAGGGACTAGTTTCTCTCCTGTGGATTCTTGGGCAATTTGTGTGGTCCTGTTTGCAACCTCTGTGTGTGGGAATCAATCTATGCCTCATCCTTTGGGCATAACCTTTGCTTGGAATCCACTTTCTATCCACTGACCCTTGGCAAATCAGTACCCATGTGGATATCTTGCCTAGCAGGATTTCCTTACATGCTAATGTGTTACTGAGCACTGCAATCCCAGGGCAGTGGGAGTGTGGGGCAAAGAAAGTGAGGCCAGGGAAGTAGGCAAAGTAGAAGCAAGGGGGTCTGTTGCAAGCTAGCCACAGCCTCACAAGAAAATATAGCCAGTTTTCTGGTCACATGAGATGTGACCAGGAAATGAGATGAGAATAGTCCATCCAGTTAGAGGAAGAGAGAACAATTTATTTGTTGGCACCTGCCTGTCTCCTCATACTCATTGATAAAGCTCTAGTCCATGAGGATATAGACCTGTTCTACTGGCATGAGTGCCTAAAGTGGCCACATGGTAGATAGAGCTTCAAGCTCAGTGGAAGCTTTACTGTATCCACTAGTCGGTGCAACCTCTCTAGGAACCTGGTAGAGTCAAAGTATGTGGGGTTAGGATGCACAGCCTCCACAAATATTTCATAGGGGTGGTGGTTAGAATGACCTCTCCTACTTCCATCACTTGGTTCCTGGGTCAGTTTATTGTAGCTGTTGGGAACACAGTGTCACATGTCAGCCACTGGTTTATCACCTACACCACATCTTGAAAGGTAGGGCCCAGCCCAGCAAGGAGTTTTTTTTTTTTTTTTTCTTCCCCATAACTCGTTGCCTTAACTTCACTTTCAATAGGCTGCTATGCCATTCTGTCAGTCAGATTGACTCTGGGGATGGCAAAGATTAGTTAGCCCCAGGTCATTGTCGTACTTCCTTTGCAATAAAATGGGTCGCTTGGTGTGAGACAATGTTTTCGGTTAACTTTCAGTAGATCAGGCATTTTATAAGCCTTTGCTCAGGATTTCCAACAAAAGCTCTGCAAGCCAGGCAGAATACCCAAGTCCGCAATGTGTATCAACTTCAGCAGGGATAGACCAATGTTCTTTCCCATGTGGAAGGGGCTCAATATAATCCACCTGCCACCAGGTTGGTCTTCTCAAGGAATGGTGCCATATTGAGGACTCAACATCAGTCTGTGCTGTTGACAAATTGGGCATTCAGCAATGATAACAGATAGATCAGCACTGGTGAGCAGGAGCCCATGATGTTTGGTCCATGCACAGCCTCCATTCCTGGGCAAGTAGTAGGGAGTGGAAGAGAGATGCCAGCTGACATTCATTAACATCATCTTGTCTAACTTGGCTCCTGAGAACTTTATCTGGAGTAGATTCTCTGCCATGGAAATTCATGTGAGATACAAAGATTTTCAAGCATTGTGAGCCCTTCTGTAGGTCCCTCCAGGCCTCCTTGCTGCTGGCCTTCCAGGTGTATTCCATCCAGCTCCTGACCTATCAGCAAATCCACTTGCCACTCCCAGAAGTTGATATCTGCACCACAGGCCATGTTTCCCTGAATACAAAGTGGATGACTGAGTGTCTGCCAGAAGCTTTGCTTCCTGGGAGGCCACTCTTGAGTGAGGCTATAGTTCAGCCACAGTCCATCTTCAATGCCAACATTTCCTGCAACTCACCTGTGAACCAGGCCCAGGTCCATTCTCCTCCATCCGTTGGTCATAGGGAATGGAAACCCACATATATGGAATGAAAAAAATGGTGTTGGTACTACAGAGGTAAGTGACATGGTAGTGACCTGACCATGAACTTACTTTTTCACGCAACTTATACTCTGCATCTGCTTGAGTCTAGTACCAAATATACCACTTTAATCATATAATGGATTGTGACTACACGCACTTGGCCTTATGACTTGGTGGATATAGTATTACTTAGCTTGTAATGGAGGTCATACAGTCTAGTGTTTCAAGGTCAAATGTTAGTTTCAGCTAGAACTCAGTAACACAAGGGAGCTATTTTTTCAAGTAGAGGACGTGGCCTTGATTAAGAACTCTCTAGGTCTGCCCTGAGAGTCTCATATTTGAGCTTGCCCAGCATCCTTATCCACCGTGAACCCCCCTGCACCACCAGATTTGCTGCAACATACAGGTCAAGTAGCTGGGCAGCTTGTGCCACTGCCTGAACCTGCTACAGAGTTCTCTGTTCCCCTGGTATCTTCCTGAATCACCGGGTAAATAAATTTGAGCAGTTTTCCAAAGTGTGGTAAACACTGCCTTAAAATTCAATGAATTTCAATGAGTGCTGTTCTTCTTTTGTAGTAGCAGGTGTTCTAGGAGCAAGGATTTCTCCTTTAGAGCAGTGTCCCAGCATGCTCCAAGTCACTGGAAGCTCTAAAAATGTCACTGATTTGGCAGGTCCTAAGTATTTGTGGCATTTATCTCCCACCTTCCACCATGTATGTGTTCTCTTAGTAAATTATCTAAGCCACTTCCTGCTCCCCCATGCAATTATTATAACATCAAGATAATGGACCCATGTGATGTTCTGCAGAATGTCAAGGCAATCAAGTTCCTTGAGGACTAGATTATGACAAGAAAATTAACATAGCCCTAAAGCTATTATGTTGAAGGTGTACTGTAGTCCTTGCCATGGAAAGACTACAGTACTTTGATGCCATCACTAATGGATATTGAAAAAAAAAGCATTTATCAACTCAGTAGCAATATATTCAGTACCAGAGTCCATGCTAATCTGCTTCAGGAAGTATGTTATTTTATCTAACTTATCAGTTAGCATTGCGACTACCACTTGGCTAATTGTACGGTAGCTTATGGCCATCTGCTATGCTCCATCTGGTTTCTGCAGAGGCCACAGATGAATTGAGAGACATGATGTAGACCACTATCTCTGCCTCTTTCAGATTTTTGGTTGTGGCACTAATCTCTTCAGTTGTTACAGGAATGCAGTATTGCATCCAATTTATCCAGGCAGAAAAGAGGGGTAGTTTCAGGGGGCTGCATTTAGCCTTTATTACCATAACGGCTCTTCCTCCACAGTCAGGGAAGAAACGTGAGGGTCTTGCTAGTTACTAAGTATCTCTATACCAACTACACACTTAGTGACTGGGAAATAATCCAGTGTGGGTCAGTGGACAGGCACATGTGACTCAGGCTAAAGCACTACGACATGACATCAGTGTGTCCTCACTTCAGTCAGAGGAGCATGGTGAGTTTTTGAGGTCCTTTGGTATTAGTGTCAGCTCAGACCCTCTATTTAACAGTTAATGAAATTTCTGGGTTTTCTCTTTTCTCAAAGGCGAAGTTACCCAGCAAATGTTTTCTTTGGGGTGATAATTAGAGGCATATTTTCTGCATATCTCTGCACTGGTGTTACACAATTCTTCCTCAAGGAAACCTAATCTTTTCTTCAGTCTGCTGTCTACTACCTCTCATGGCCTCTAGACCAATAACCAGTGCCAGGACTTAGCACAGCTTGAGTAGGGGTGCACAAGCCCTGTTCTAGGAAGTAATAGATGGTACCTGGAAGGGACTGTAGGACGTGGCTAATATATGCTTTGGATATGGAGCTTTGGGTCTGTGAGCTGACTTACGTCTGGAAACTGGGTGAGGGGACTGTGATTTTCTGCTGTGGAAACTGATGACAACCTTCAGCTCACCAGCTTGTGCATGCATGCGTGGAGTGTTTGTGTGTGTGTGTTTATTTTTGATTGTACAAATCAAGCAACACCCTAGTCAACTGCCCATCTATCTTGCCCCTTGAAACACCATCACCATAGATTTCTATTGATCGAGGCAGCCCAGTTGCTACTCCAGCCTTGCTGCACATTATGCTAACGATGTTAAGGGCTGCTTCCTGGCCTTTGCCATTTTGGGAACCCATTATTGCCTTTAGATTAAGGATCTCGGTTCCATGGCAGCATATTCATGGCAATTCCTGCCTGCAGTGGACAGCCGCCATAAAGAATCTCAATGATTCTTGTGCCCCCTTGATCAGTACATTTCTTATTGCCTTGTTGAAGGAAGTGCCCTTTGAGTCCTCTCAGAGAATTTATCATGTGATGGGGTCTCAGGTTTTACAGAGTAAATCCACTCTAACAGTTCCATCCCTCTGTGCCTTCTGACCCCTTCTTCAGAACTATGCTGAGGAAGTTTCAATATCTTCACCCAATTTACTGTAGGCCATCATTCTGCTCATGGTTCAAGGAGCCCTCCCAGTATGGTATCAGGACTGGTTCCAGGTATCCTTATCAGCTAATTGAATCCCAAGTCTCAGGTTAATGTTCTCATGTCAATCACCATCCCCATCTGTCCCTTTCCTTTGCTGAGTAGTCTCTTCACCCTCAAGAGTCACTCCTGCATGCTTGTTCATGAACACTGCTAGTATGTGTTAGCAAAGTTCTACAGTTCATCTAGTATATAGTCTACTACTTCATAGAATAGGGCCTGTATATCACTGTGCATGCATGCTGGCACTGGCTATTGGTCTGGAGGTCATGAGGGGTAGTTGGGGGCAGATCTTGGGAAGAATAAATACCATTCTGCCATGCACCTATTTCCAATAATATCAGTACGTGATCTTTCGACAAGTTGATTGAGGGAGGTGGGGGAACTGTTTTCCTCTGGCAATGGGGAGAAGCTTCTTTGGCTGGCCCAGAGGGTTCAAGATTCTCCAGCTTAACTACACGAATACCCCCACACCAGGTTTCGTAGTCCCACCCTTACTCGTTAGGGCTCTGATTGTGACATACGAGACAGGTCGAGGCTGCACATTTGACCTACTTTGAAAATTTACCACATGGAAAAGTCATGATCTGGGTCTGATTTTCAGTGCAGTTGGCCCTGAAGCTGCAGGAGACAAGAGTCTCTTTTTCTATGGATACAGAATCTTTGCACTTTTAGAATATGCCTGAAGCCAGCAATTAGCTGGCTTGGTTTCATTTTCTTTTTGCAAGACCTCAAATGCTTTCACAAATAGCCATTTCACACTCCCATCCTCATAGTTGTCATTATCTTCTGCCAATCAAATGATGCAGCCATTTGACCTTCCAGTGTCTTGCACTTTACCTGCACCTCATCTCAATCAACTGCAGGTGAAAGCTTGACTAATTGTGATGTCACCACATGCCACTTAGCAGCAGCAGAGGGATTCTTTTTTTTTTTCTCTTTTTAGACAAATGAGTATCAAGAACTGTGAAGAGTCTGAGATTACACTCTAGTTTCAAGCCAACACCTTACCTTTCCACATTCATGGATACTGAAGGAAGACAAAGTCCTTTAACTCGGGCCTAGTAGTGTCATGTCATTTATAAAAGACCAAAGGTGAATTGTATCCCAACAGTCAGTATTCCAACTCCAAAATCTTATACCGAGGATGTCCTGGTTCCAAAGTTTCTGGTTCGAAGTCCCTAGAAAACAAAACCTGAGGCAAAATGTATTTCTTCATGTATATTGAAAGATATATTCCCAGGCTGGGCACGGTGGCTCACGCCTGTAATCCCAGCACTTTGGGAGGCCGAGGTGGGTGGATTACTTGAGGTCAGGAGTTCAAGACCAGCCTGGGCAACATGGTGAAACCCTGTCTCCACTAAAAATACAAAAATTAGCTGGGCGTGGTGGTGGGTGCCTGTAATCCCAGCTACTCAGGAGGCTGAGGCAGGAGAATCACTTGAACCCGGGAGGTGGAGGTTGCAGTGAGCCGAGATCATGCCACTGCACTCCAGCCTGGGTAACAGAGCAAGACTCCATCTCAAAAAAAAAAAAAAAAAAAAAAAAAAAGATAGATATGTAAAGATATGTTCCCAGGGCACTGATAACATGGCGGGAAAAGGAAGTGAGGTAGGGATGGAGGAAAAGCATATGATGCTTTATCAAGCTGGCCACAGTATCACAGACAAAGACAAATGTAAAGGAGTCCATTTCTCGGCTCTGTAGGACAGGCTGTTATTCCTTAGAACAGTCATTCGTGGGAAGGAAGGGAAAGGTTGGCTCTGCCAATTCCTTCCCACAGAGGCACTCCTCTGTGTAGACACTCCATCCTACCCTTCCCAGTTGTTGCTGATGGCCTCTCCAGGCAGCCTCTGGGGAAGTGAGATTCAAGGCCCCACAGTATTTGCCTCTGGCTGTGGTGGGCTATGGTCCCCCTCTGCCTGCTCTTCTGCCTCTGACACTAACCATCCATGATTCTCGAGATGCTATCCCATCTGTTTTTACATGGACCCAGTGGGAATAATAATTGCTGCAGTGATTATTTTAAAAGAATGTTGTAAGAGAGTAAACATTTTGAAAAATTGTATGTGCTGTAGAAAAACTAGTTGCTATTTATCAGATTTCTCAAACTTGAGTCAGAAGAGGAAGAGGAGGCGCCTGAACAGGACTTTGAAGGACGAGTAGAAGATACATAGATGAGGACACAAGGAAGGGCTTCTCAGGTGGAGCATTCAGAGGCGTGGAGGACAGGGGTGGGAGACAGCATACAACAGGGCCAGCCTGAGCAACATAGTGATATCCCATCTCTACAAAAGAGGAAATATCAGCTGGGCATGGTAGCGCATGCCTGTGGTCCCAGCTACTCGGGAGGCTGAGGTGAGAGGCTCACGTGAGTCCATGAGGTCGAGGCTGCAGTGAGCTGTGAATGTGCCAATGCACTCCAGCCTGGGCCACAGAGCAAGACCTTGTCTAAAAAAAAAGAGCCAAGGCTCTGTCTCAATCAAAGAGCCAAATCCAGCCCGCCAACTCATTTTGTAATAAGTTATTGAAACATGGCCACATCCATTCACTTATGTGTCATTGTGGGCTGTTTTTCTGTAGTTTCAACAGAGACCATATGGCCTTTAAAACCTAAATTATTTACTCTGTGGCATGTTACAGACCCCTGATGCAAAAGGAAATATTAAGTATATTACAAAGTTGGTAATTAATGAATATAAATTGCCTTTCTCTTTTCATCTTCCTCCTTTGTCTCACAAAGAATTGATCACATAATGGCTACATAGTAAACACTGATTAGTGAACTTAGTCTTTGGAAATATATTTAATACCATTGCTTACTAAACAGAGTTAATCCTAGAAATTTACTAATTTAAAATCAATACCATAACCTACAAAGAATTTGAGGCATTTTATTCTATCCCCTTTACATGAATCATATTAATAATTGAGACACTGTCCCACACATAATCACCAACTATTTGAAATCTGGCTGTTCTAGAAAATCTGGAATTAATTGGGACTTGGCATTACAATGACTCTTTAAAAACCACAAACTGCTGAACACTGACTGCGTTTCCACAGGCAGCAAAGAAAAAGTCTGAAACATTTTCTAGATTCCTTGAGGGGAGGAGTTATGTCTTATGTGACTTGGCATAGAAGGGATTAATAAAGAATTGCTGAATAAATAAAGTGTCCAGAATAGTGCCGGGCACAGGATAGGTTCTTGGTAAATGTTTGTTGAATTATCTGGCAAAATAATCCATTGATTCAAATGAATGAGAATTTTCAGGCCACAGAACACAGATCATTGTTAGACCCAAGCTAATGATCTCCATAGGTTGCACACAAGTAATTTAAAATCTACATCTAATTTATTTGTCAGAATGTTGTATAACCATTGGTTGGCCCCAGATACTGGATGAGCTTCCCAATCAATACTACGTAACAAGAAAAGCTACCTGTCAAAGACAGAAAGCTCAGTCAGGAGGGACCTCATGGCTGTGCTGCTTTAAGGCTAATTAACTGGTGTCTGACATCTTCCAGTAAATCTAAATTAAATGTATTCTTGTGAATTCTAATTTCAAGTGAGTTTAATTGAACTTGGGAGGGAAGCTACCACTTAGTGAGTAAAATGAAAATGAAGTAATTGAATATTTTTCCAGAATTGTATTTGAAATGTGCTCCATCAAATGTTGTTTCAGAACCCAAGTGACCAGCTGCACATGGTTAATATTTGGAAAGGGAAGAGGAGTATTTAAATGTCAGCTTGTAGCCACTAGAAGGGTAAATACAATAGCCGGCTGTTCAGTTACTAGATGTGAGCTCTACTTGGCATTCAAAGCTTTTTTTTTTTCAAGTTGGAAGTTCAATAATGTGTTCAAGGGAATTAAGATGAGTTTGGACGACTAAAGCACAAAAACCAAAACCTTCTTTCCCCACTTCTCCCCCTTCCCAGCACACAAAAAGGACAGCAGTGCTGCTGATTTAAAATTGCAGGCATTTTGATGGGCTTAATCAACTGATTACACATTAAAGTGTTGAACCCTTTATTTAATGACTATTTATTAAAGGCCCGTGGTATTCCAGGCACTGCGGAGGATAGACGATTGAACAGGACTTAGTCTATGGCCTTAAGGAACTTTTTGTTCCGTAGTGAGATGAGACCTGCGAATTAAGTGGTATAGAAGAGGAAAATGTGACGCATATGGTAAGAGCAAGCACCAAGTGCTGAAAGAAGGTAGACTTCTGGCTGTGAAAACAAAGCACTCCTCTCAGGGGAGGTGGTATTTGAGCTGTAAATATTTGCAGAAGGAAAAGAAAGCATGGGACCTACTTGGAGGATGATGAAGCATTTAATTGGGCTGGTATGGAGGATTTGTGGAATGAGACAGTACGAAATAAAATAGCTGGTGTGGTTATAAAGATCCTTAAGTGGGTCTGTACTTTATTCAGTACACGGCCTCTCAGCAGGGAAGGGGTTTGATCAGAAACAGGAAAGAAGAATCTAGATGTAATGCTCACTATCAGAAAAATTCAAATCCAAACCACAATGTGATACCACCTCATACCTGTTAGGATGGCTACTATCAAAAAACCAGAAAATAGCAAGTGTTGGAGAGCATATGGAGAAATTGGAACCCTTGGGCACTGTTGGCAGGAATGTAAAATGGTACAGCCACTGTGGAAAACAGTATGGAGATTCTTCTCAAAATTAAAAATAAAATTACTGTATTATCTAGCAATCCCACTTCTGGATATATATCCAAAAAAGTTGAAATCCAGGTCTCAAAGAAATATTTGTAGACCCACATTCATAGCAGCACCGTTTGCCATAGCCAAGAGAACCCTTGGGCACTGTTGGCAGGAATGTAAAATGGTACAGCCACTGTGGAAAACACCGTTTGCCATAGCCAAGAGATGGAAGCAACCCAAATGTCCATCAACAGATGGTATATACGTGTAGTGGAATATTATTCAGTCTTAAAATGGAAGGAAATACCATCAGATACTATAATGTGGATGAACCTTAAAGGCATTATGCTAAGTGAAATAAGTCAATCACGAAAAGATAAATACTATATGATTTGACTTATATGAGGTATCTAAAGTTGAAAAATTCATAGAAACAGAAAGTAGGATGGTGGTTGCCAGGGACTAGGAGGAGGAGGAAATGGCAAATTGTTGTTCAGTGGGTAAAGAGTTTCAGATTTGCAAGAAGAAAAATTTCTGGAGCTCTGTTTCACAACAGTGTGAATGTACATAACACTACTGAATTGTAAACTTAAAAATGGTTAAGATGGTAAATTTTTTATTATGTGGGCTTTCAAAACCATAATAATAATAAAAAGAATATAGATACAGCGGCATGGTATGAATTGTATTGGGGTTGAAAGAGAGAGAAAGTGGGAAATCAGTTTAGAGGCTGTTGCCCTAGGCTTGATGAGATGTAACTAGGGCAGGGACAGGAGGAAGGAAGAGGAGTTCTCAAGATAGAATTAGTAGGATTTGGCACCTGCAGGAAACTCGATTGAAGGAGAGTGTCAGAGATGGCTTGGAGGTTCCCAACCAATGCTAACGAGAAAATGATGGAGGCTTTCCCAGAAATAGTGACTTATGTGGGGAGATAAGGAGTTTGGTTTTGGATTAATTCTGACTGCAGGTTGTGGCCAATTGTGCTGGAGCTGGTCTAATTATACTGTGTGCTAAGAGCTGTTGGAAGCTCTTTTTTGTTTGTTTTGCGTTTTCTCTCATGTTTCTATGTGTTTGACCTTCAACTTCTTAGTTGGCCTTGCTCAATGGTTTATCCCTAACTTTTCAAATTAAGGGCGAGTTGCACATTTTCAAATGTGGGTCTCTCAAGAGTTCGTTCACTGAATCCTTCAATCTGGGGTTGAATATCTACAGGATTGGTTGTAAAAATTAGGGAGCTATGAGGCTTTCTTTACTGAAAAACACCGTTTAAAAATTTTTTATCCTTTTTCATTAGAAATTTAATTTCCAACCTGGTCAAGTGAACACAATGCCCTTACCTTTTTAGTGTGGCATCTTATTCGTCTAAGCTGGAAGCAGCCTCAGAGGTGTGAGCTTATTTCTTTACTTTAGGCATTTCACAGGGACCAGAGGTTTACAAATGTATTCGTGTCGGTGCTCTATAAGGTCATCACCTCAAGATTCCCAGAGTGGTGGCAGTAGTAGATTTGTAATTCCAAATCTATGTTTCCACAGTTGAGAGAATTCTGCTGAAAATGGAAAAGGAGGGTAACGAAATAGACTGGTTTCACCTTGGCATGGATTGGTCTACAAAGATAATCACCCATTTGAGTATTGAGAAGTGTCTTTTTAGTGTTTGCTATACCAGGAGGTAAAAGAAACATTTGGGGACATTTTCAAAGGCCAGGATCTGGGATTGGAATGGGATGCAATTTTAAGGTCATTATTCTGTCACTTATGTCAGAAAGAATTTTTGTTACTGATATTTGTGAGCAAATGATTGCAAGTGCTGACATGAAGTTGAGCTTTGTTTAACACATTGCATACATATTTCAGCCCTGAAAGACTCAGATACTTAGAAAATTTTCCTTAGGCTTTGGAGAACAGGTTACATTTTGAGACAAGATTTTTATAGAACAATATGTGACTCTGTAAGAAATTATAAATACTTTTCTGAAAATCAGATGATCTTGGAGGCAGTTCCTTAATGCCACTGCTCAACCTTGGAGAAGAAGATGAAATTCACAGCAATGCTCCAGCCTCAGCATGCCCTCCCAGGCCTCCTGATTTTGTCAGGAAATACTTCCTTGAAGATTAAAGCTATAATTCAGAATCTAAGTCAAAGAAGAGTACCTTATTTAAACCCATGATTTTAACTCACAGCAATAAGGCCACAGCAGACGGGAGCTGAACATCTCTGTAGACTGGACCATCTGGACCATCACTTGCAAGTCCTTCTCTCAACATTGTTGACGTCCCCTAAATAATGGCTCTGCATTGACTGGTGCCACTGTCCCAAGAGTGGTTCCATGCTCAGCTCCTTTGCCTGCCTGTCTGCCTCTCTTTGTAGACAAGCAATTAACTGATTAGATCCAGACCTTAGTATTTGACTTGTTTCTTTTTCTCTGTGTCATGGGAATTCACTTCCTGTTTTAGGACATTTTCCCTTTTCAGCCTGATGGACCTGAGGATTTTTTATTCATTCATTTTTGACCCAGTGTTCACAGATTTTTACACTCATGTTTCTCTGTTAGGTGCCCCTAAATGCCTCCTTTAGTGAGATGCCTTTTCCTCCCCCAAATCCAGAATTGTTCATCCTTTTTTTGTAGAAGTCATGGAGTTTTCTCGAGTGAGAGATAGTAAAAGGCCTGGAGCTCGAGCTGGGCTGGCACAGGTACATGGTGGCTACTGGGGGCATCACTTCTACCACATTACGTGGATCAAAGCAAGTGGACGAGCAGTTCAGATTCAAGAGAAGGGGAAACAAGCTCTAGGTTGGGATGTGGATGTCCTGGAGGGGAGGAATTGTGGCAGCCAACTTTGGAGACTCCTACACTAGGCATTAATTTACATTCCCTCACAAAATCTTTGGAAACACAAATATTTTGATACCAAACTGTTGACATCTTTTGGGTGCCAGTGAACCTATATTTTCTTACTCTAGATTCCTTATTAGTAGTAGTTTGCAAATCAGATAAAGCCAAAATAGTTTATAACAATGTCTGTTTCTCCACCAATGCTTTACCTTGTATTAATAAATTGAACCTTACCCATGTGTTCTATAAAAAGAAATTCTTACAGTGTAAGTACTTAGTGACTATTTAAACTGACCTACAGAATTATCTTCCACTCAATGTTAAGTACCACAATAATATCCCTGCACTGTGCACGGCAATATAGTGTAGCAATGGAGTGCACGGACCTGAGAGCCAGATTGCCTGAGTTCTGATATGAACTCTGCCACGTACTAACTGTATAACCTTCAGCAAGTTTCTTAAGCCCTTTGTGAGTCAGTTTTCTTATCTATAAAATGAGAGACCTAATAATACCACCATATAGGGTTGTAATGAAGGTTAAATGTGCTCAGAACAGTACTAGACATATAGTAGCATACAGGATGGTTCAACTACTATTGTTGTTGTTGTTGTCATTGTTATGACAGAGCGATCAGCACTGAATGTTTAGGGCAAGTAATGTGAGTGGGACAGTTGGAACAGCCAAGGTACAAGGTCACCTCTCACCCATGGAATGCCATGACTTCTGGCCCACACTTATGCCCAATCCATCTTGCTTCATCCAGCTCTAGTGGGTGCATGGCACGAATGTTGGGCAGGCTGGGCAGCCCTGTGTGTTGCCTTCACTTCCATGTAATGATGGAGTGCTTTTGTATGCCTTCCATGTTGTGAAAGACAAAGACTCTCTCTATCATTCAGGCCGTGATTGGCCGTTCTGGTCTCAGAGTTATATGGCTAATGTCAGTCTTTTGGTGTTATACCAGAGCCTGGTAACAGGCTGGTCTTGTCTCTCAAAAGAATATCTAACCTTAGCCCTTGCTGGAGTTGTTTTAGTCCAGGACACAGTTGCTTTTCAGTTTGTTCACCTATGGGACATCACAAAATCTCCAAAATGCATTCACATTCATGCTGAGAAATCCAGAACTGCATTCTCAGCCAGGGCCTAGGGTTCAAGCCTCAAGAATGTTTGTGGCATCTGGAGACCTGCTTCCTGGAGCAGGTCCTACTAAAAAAAAATGACAATATTCCTGGGTACTTTAGATAGAGGATACTGCAAAATACTCAAATTGGATGTGGCTAGAAATATGCTATCCCAGGAATCCAGATAGTATGTCAGCTTTTCTTCTGTTAGTTGGTGGATCAAAGTGTAGGAGTTTTTCTTGACCTTGATGGGAATGTCTCCACTCCACCCATACATTTAAACCCAAGGAACTGAGTTCAAAACACAGGTCCTGGATCATGCCTGTGTTAATGACCCATCTTCAGTTCCTTAGGCAACTCTCTAAAGCTAAGTCTACTTTTTAGTGTAGTATCACCTTCACTCATGATCACTGATGTGTTGCGCTAGTTACAGGCATGTGGCTGGCACCAAGGGCCAGTGTTCTAATGAGCATGCCTATGGCCATTGCAAGATGTTAACATATCCCTGGAGCTGCCTGGTAAAGAGAATTCTGTGTCCTTTGTGTCCAGCTGTTCAGCAGACTAGAAATCCTGATAATGACTTTCTTGCTTAAAATAAGTTTAAAATGCTGACTAAATCATTTAAATATGTTTTCAAAGGCATTAATGGGTTAGCAAAAAATAAAGAACCTAATAGGCCACAATGGGCATCAGAGAGATGTTGTGACCCCATGCAGGCATTTGCCAGATTAGGTGAACTTGGCCATTAGTTCATACAGCCCTGGGAGACAGATGGACAAGCCTCAGATGGGAAATCCAATTGGTCCATCCAAAATGGGAACTATAATCGGAGACTCCCACTATCCCAATCCATGTTAAGTTAAAACCCCAAATAATTGCACCTTCAGGGTAAGAATAAAGTAGGAATAAGCCTCAGGGGATGACAAGGAAAATTGCTTGTCTCAATCCTTGATTCTGAGTGGAAGACAAAAATTCTCCTATAAGAATTTAAAATCTTTTTATAAGAATTCACACACCCTCACACAGTTTATATGCTCTGACATATTTTGTAGCCTGAGCTCACACTGTTTAGATGGTCTGGAAAACCTCAGATAGAAAATCGAGTATTAAGTTCAGGTTGGTTGTGCCAGAGGCACCTGGCAAGAGGAAACAAATCCTCTCTGGAGGAACTCACTTGTATCCAAGACCTCAGAGAAGTCTCACAGATAATGTCAGAAGTGGGGGAAAATGAGCTCATATTTTGGGGGCAAAATTGTGAAACCACTTATGGAAACTGTACTAAGAGTGGAGAGCCTGAAAAGACAGTGATTTCAGATACAGGCATACCTTGGAGACATCGCAGGTTCAATTCCAGACCCCTGCAAGAAAGCAAATGTTGAAATTAAACAAGTCGCATAAAATTTTTGGTTTCCCAGTGCATATAAAATTTTTGTTTACACAATCTGTAGTCTAAGCATTGTGTCTAAAAACACAATATGCATACCTTAATTTTAAAAAGCTTCATTGCTAAAAATTGCTAATGATCATCTGAGCCATCTGTGAGTCTTTTTGCTAGTGAACTGTCATGCCCCAATGTTGTTGACTGCTGACCAGTCAGGATAGTGGTTGCTGACAGTTAGGGTAGTTGTGACAATTTCTTAAAATAAGACAACAATGAAGTTTGCCACTTCGACTGACTCTTCTTCAACAAAAGATTTCTCTATAGCAAGCAATACTGTTTTATAGCATTTTATCCAGATTAAGACTTCTTTCAAAATTGAAGTCAATCCTCTAAAATCCCTGCTGCTGCTTTATCAACTAAGTCTAAGTAATATTCTAAAGCCTTCATTGTCATTTCAACAATGCTTATAACTTCCTCAGCAGGAGTAGATTTCATCTCAGTAAACCACTTTCTTTGCTTATCCATAAGAAGTAACTTCTCGTCCATTCAAGTTTGAATGAGATTGTGGCAATTCAATCACATCTTCAGGCTCCACTTCTAATTCTAGTTCCCTTACTATTTCCACCATATATGCTATTATTTCTTCACTGAAATTTTGAACCCTCAAAGTCATCCGTGAACGTTGGGATTAACTTCCTTCAAGCTTCTGTTAATGTTGATATTTTGACCTCCTCCCATGAATCATAAATATTTTTAACGGTATCTAGAATGGGGAATTCTTTCCAGAAGGTGTTCAATTTACTTTCCCCAGACTTATCAGAAGGATCGCTGACAGCTATAGACTTATGAGAAGTATTTCTTAAATAATTAGACTCAAAAGTTGAAATTACTCTTTGATCCATGGGCTGAAGAATGAATGTTGTGTTAATAGGTATGAACATTAATCTCCTTGTACATCTCCATCGGAGCTTTCAGGTGACCAGGTGTCTTGTCAATAAGTGGTAATATTTTGAAAGGAATCTTGTTTTCTGAGCAGTAGTATCAACAGTGGGCTTAAAATATTTAGTAAACCATGCTATAAACAGATGTGCTGCCTTCCAAGCTTTGTTGTTCCATTCATAGAACACAGACAAAGTAGATTTGGCATAATTCTGAAGGACCCTAGGATTCTGAGAATGGAAAATGTGTATTGGTTTTAACTTAAAATTACCAGCTGCAGCTGCATTAGCCCGTAACAAGACAGTCAGCAAGTCCTTTGAAGCTTTAAATCCTGGCATTGACTTCTCCTCTTTAGCTATGAAAGTCCTAGATGGCATCTTCTTCCAGTAGAAGGCTGTTTCACCTACACTGAAAATTTGTTGTTTAGTGTAGCCACCTTCATCTACTGTCTTAGCTAGATCTTCTGGATAACTTGCTGCAACTTCTACATCAGCACTTGCTGCTTCACTTTGCACATTTATGTTATCCAGATGGCTTCCTTTCTTAAACCTCATGAACCAGCTTCTGCTGGCTTTAAACTTTTCTTCTGTAGTTTCCTTACTTCCCTCAGCCTTCATAGAATTAAAGAGAGTTAGAGTCTTGCTCTGGATTAGGCTTTGGGTTAAGGGAATGTAGTGGCTGGTTTGATCTTCTATCAAAACCACTCAGACTTTCTATATGTCAGCAATAAGGCTGTTTTACTTTCTTATTGATATGTTCACTGGAAAGGCAGTTTTAATTTTCTTCAAGAACGTTTCCTTTGCATTCACAGCTTGGCTAACTTTTTAGTGCAAAGGCCTAACTTTCAGCCTAACTCGGCTTTCGACAAGCCTTTCTTACTAAGCTTAATCATTTTTAGCTTTTGATTTAAAGTGGGAGATGTGTGACTTTTCCTTTCATTTGATCAATTAGAGGTCATTGTAGCATTATTGATTGGCCTAATTTTAGTATCATTGTGTCTCAGGGAATACGGAGGCCTGAGGATAGGGAGAGAGATGGGGGAATGGCCGGTCAGTGGAGGAGTCAGAACACACACAACATTCATTAAGTTCACCATCTTATATGGGTATGGTTTGTGGTGCTCCAAAACAATTACAATAGTAACAGCATATATCACTGATCACAGATCACCATAACAGATATAGTAATGATAAATGCAATAAATTTTGGTTATTCTTACTGTATTTCACTGGATTATAGTACAGTGAGAATAACCAAAAATGTGACACACAGCTGAAGTGAGCACATGCTTTTGGAAAAAATGGTGCTGATAGATTTGCTTGATGCAGTGTTGCCACATGTCTTCAATTTATTTTTTTAAAAATACAATGTCTGCAAAGTGCATTGAAGCGAAGCATAATAAACCAAAGCATTCCTGTGTCAGTATTAATAGACACAGATTATAACTAGGTTTAATATGCTTAAAGTAATTAACAAAGGAACTTAGGAAATAACAAAGGAATATGATGCTTTAAATGATTAAGCAGAGTTGACAAAGAACCAAGTTAAAATTTTAGAAATGAAAATTATAATAGTCAAAATTTAATGATTATATTTAACAGATTTAACAGCCAATTAGACCTAGCTTTAAAGAAGATTAGTGACCTGAAATAAATCTAAGGAAAGTATACATAATGCAATCCAGAGAGGTAAAGAGATGGAAAAATGAGAGGATAAGAGTCGTAGAGGGTAGAATGAGAAAGTTTACAGATATCTAATGAGAATTTCAGAAGGAGAAAGGGAGAATATTGGAAAAGAGGCAATATTTAAAGAGATAATGTACTTATCTAAAACTAATGAAATTAAACAGTTTCAGGAAACATATTTAATCTCAAGAAGGTCACATCAAAAAGTCCACAACTCAACATATCATAATGAAATTGTAATGCCAAAGACAAATGTAAAATAGTAAAAGAAAAACAGTGTATATAGCTTTCAAAGAAAACAGCCCATTTTTAGGTCCTATTTGCCTTCCATTTTGACCAGTGGGGAAACTAAATGGTAAGTAGACAAATTTGCTTACTTCTTTCTCCTGGACTTACTTTCTTTCTGACAATTATTTAAGACCTTTGTTAATAGGTACTTGCCTTTTGGAAAAATCAAGTTGTAAACTTTTTCTCCAAATTAAAAATGAAGTTCTTCAACATCTCAACTTGACCAGATATAAAACAATTTTAAAACCTTTAAAAGCGTATTGAGAAAAACCGAGCTTTTCAAAAACAACATGCCTGTCATTATCAAAAAGAGGCATATTTAGGTAAAAATAACAAAAAAAAACCCTTGCTGCATAGATATTGCAAATAGTTCTAGTTATCTGGTCAGTGGGTAAAAAGCAAGGACTTAAGGTCTTCAGCTCCAATATCTTGCTCATTTCTTATTGCTGGAATTTCATATCCTTTTCTTCCTGTTGGATGACTAAATGGAGTGGTGGTGGAGATGGTAAGCCCACATTTACTCAGCCACATTCTGCTCAGCCTCAGGAGTGGATGAATTCTCAGCTTTTGTCTCTACCATCTTGTCGTTTGGGGTGTTCTGAGCATCAGGGCTGGTACTTGAAGTTGTGGCTGCCCCGAGGCTGAAGTGTCTGCTGACCCTGGGTTCATTGCCTTGGTTTTCCTTACCCATGTCATTGCTGTCCTCTCTCGGTCATCTTTGGCAAGGAGAGCTCCTGTGGAACCGTGGTCTCTAGCCCCATCCACATCCCGCCTCACTGGTTTACCTTGTGCCCCTGCGCCCTGGCTGTCAGCACCTCCACTTCTTCTCCCTGCAAGGGAGGGTGGGAATACTGTGATTGCCCGCAGGTTATCTGAGTGTAGTGAGGTGTGCACCCTGTGGGACCACTGTCCCATCCTGTTCTTTTTCTCTCTCTCACTATTGAGGACCCCTATGACGCGGAGTCTATCATGGTTGCAGCCTGCTCCACGTTTACCTCTTTGACCTGGAATTCCACCAGGGCCTGTGACACTTGCTGCCAGGGTCCTCCTCTCCTTAGATGACATCGAACTCCACAGTCATTCCATATCCTACCCTGCGAAGGTACTTCCTGGGGTTATTCTTCTTTACAGCAGTCTGGTACACAAATGCATCTTCCTCGGTATCATTCCTCTTGGTGAAACCATATCTGTTTCTTACGCTGAAATATTTTATTGTCTCCAAAACCTTCCTTGCAATGACCTTTTCCCCATTGGCAGGCGCCGGCGCTGTCCGTGGTGCTGGGCTTGGTGCCGGCAGCACCGAGGGCAGGGACGAGGGCGGTGGGGGCCGCTGGCGGCTCCTGGGCCGGGGACTTGCTGCTCCTAGCTCTGGTGACTGTGACTGGGGCTGGCGGCAGGCCGTGGGGCTGCTCAGGGTTCCCTGCGGGCCGCTCCCTCCTGGACTTTCTTGACTGTGTGACTATATTCTTAATTTTCCCGGAGGACTTTTTGATGAGCCTTTAGAGTACTCTGTGAACTTCATTTTGACTCATCAGTGTGGCTGCAGGTACCGGGTAAGGAAAACCTTGGGTATGCATGGCTGGG